>NC_000009.12:7510000-10010000 GCF_000001405.40 Homo sapiens
TGGTAAGGGTCAGGGAGAAGGGAAAATAGCTAAAGTAAAATCGCCTTTTCTTTATCCAAACACTCTTTTTTCTCTTGGATATAATACCTTAGCTAAAGACCCAAACTTTTAAAAAGAGCTTCCAAGGGCGCATTTCATGAAGGCAGCCAGTGAGCGGGAAAGGATGGAGGGAGGATGTGGACGGTGTTCTCCATACCATCTCCTCTACGTGCAACATGTGTTGTGAGCCGCCCGGGCTAGGTTAAGGGGAGTTTTGCCTAAAGATGTGGAGTCAAAGTGACTTCTCAGAGGTCCCCCTGGTCTTCTGGTTCCACAGCAGTGCCCAAGAACTGTCCTAACATATGTGGCATGAAAGTCCATATGGTTTCAATTTCCTTCACTGCATTACTGTTTTCGCTTTGTTTGTTCACAGACCTGCCTTTCTCAAAATTCCTGCTCTGCTGGCTCCTGCCACAGAGTTAGGGGTGGGGTAAGGTTAAAAAAACACTGAAGTGGAAGAGAGCTCAACCAGTTCATTTTGTATAATAAAATCCATTCCGTTGTGGTCCTGATTTCGTCAAGCAATCCAAGTCAACATCGGACATTAATGAGAGAAGGTTTCCAATTAGATACAGTCTGACACTGGCCCTGCTTCTCAGTCACCTTCAATTGTCACTGATAAAAAAAGGACAGTTCAATAAGATATGGATCATTCACTCCAAGTCTCCACAACTCATTTATGACAACTACAACTAACAGAGCATGGGGAAACTGCAGAATTGTTTTTCATTATCCTGGCACATTGGCTTCTGACTACAGCTGTAATGATCTTCAGTGGTTTTCCATACTGCAAATTTTTAATGAGTGATCTCAGATGTGATGGCAACCAGAATTCCTACTGAGAATCTCAGTTATCCTTTTGTTTTTGAAAGAACAAATGAGTCTCCAAAGGAAGAGACAGAGAAAAAAGATTTAAAATGAAAAAGTGATTTGTTTTCGTAAATGGAATGGGTTCTGGTGGGAGATAAGGTGGCATTCCAGCAGTATTTGGGGAGGAAGAAATTGGAGGGACCGGGCTCTGGAGTGTTAACCCACTGAGAACCCTGGAGGTGGCCATATACCCAAATGGTCTAGAGTCATGGGATAAACCGGAGTTTCAGGATGGCTAGTGCCAAAGTCTACATTATTCTCATAGGGTAAGCAGGGCCCAACCACTACAATTTCTGGAAAGTAATGATATTTCAAAACAGGTTTATGTCAATATTCCAGGTTCAGGTTCAGCCAGACTCCCTCTGGTGGGTAAAGATATGGGGCCAAAAAATAAATCCCTAAGATCTGGACATGCAAAGATTAGGATAATCAAGCCTCGGCCAATCAAGTAGGCTGCAGTTCATTTAACACATTTATTTATTGAATGAATAAATTAATGGAGTTTCACAGAAGGGTTTCATTTATTCATTTAATCAATATTTATTGAACATTCTATGCCAGATATGGTGTTCATAGATACTGGTGATGAGCTGTAGACACTATCCCTGGGAAGGGAATAGTGTGTAGGACAGCCAGAGTCTGAGCTCTAGGCAAGGCAGAGAGGTGCCTTTGAAGCTGAGGGCATGCAGAGGCTTCAGTAGACTTAACCATTTTTTTTCTCATCACTTAGCAGGTATCTTGTCTTTTCTTAGGGCTGTTATTTTTATTACCACAATTATTACATCAGCTACATCTCAATATCAAACCTCATGGGGACTAGGATGCAGGGCAGGGCAATAGCTGACCAAGGAAACATAATTCAGAAGGGCATGGGTGTTGAGAATAAGACAAGGTAGGCCCAGCCCAGAAAGGCATCTCAGATACTGAGAGGCATGGCAAAGCTATAAACCTGGAACCCAGGCTAACAACCTAGGCCACGTATGTAAAATACCAGCAACAAGGAGAAAAGCATAGGATCCAACCTTTGCATCCGCCAGCATGCTTCTTATATGTCCTTTGCTGGTGCAAGAGATAGTCCTGCCTAATTCTTCATGTGGGAACAGGCAGGTGGGTGAAGCCAGGTCAATACACATCTATTCTGCTATGCTATTATGCTATGTCTCGTTTATTTTTGAGGCAGTTTTGTAAAGTCAATTCTGATTTGCTCCATTTGGTGGAGTTTGTAAGCTCATCTCTAGTGCTCTGCCTTGAACAGAGGAGTTCACACTACTCTTACTACACAAAGCTCCACAGCCTCAGTCTTCAAAATGAATGATAATCCAATGTTGTATGGTTCCAGGATTATAAAAATAAGAGATAAAAACCACCTTTGAGGGCATGTGCTCAGCCCCTGTGTCTCCTTGGGACATGGCTTCCATGTTATTGGCTTACGGATTTTGGTCCAATCAGAGTTTAAATGTCCCAAATGCCAGACTCCACCTCTGGACTTAGAAGACAAACATAGAAAAGAAATCTCATTTTAACTATTTCTTTATGTTCAACTTTTATTTTTCCCTTTCTTCATTGGGTTTCATTAATCCTAATGGTATTGGCTTTCCCCTCTTGCTTTTAAAATATTTTTGCATCCTCTACAGCATTTGTACCCTTCAGATATTTATAGACTTCCTTGTCTTTCCTTAGTTATTAGTCAAGTCATGCATATTTAGCACTTTTAATCTCCCAGTCTCTCTTCATAAATCAAT
Organism: Homo sapiens; assembly: GCF_000001405.40. Lineage (NCBI taxonomy): Eukaryota > Metazoa > Chordata > Mammalia > Primates > Hominidae > Homo > Homo sapiens. The sequence continues at coordinate 7,512,652 of NC_000009.12, forward strand.
GCCCATATTGCTGGTGTCACTTTTGCCCCTCTGCCTATTTGATCTATATCTTTCTGATTCCGAGTGTTCACTACGTTCATTTATTCCATTGCAAGTGTCATTATTATTGCAAATACCTTAGTGAAAATCTTTCTCATCTAACTCTAAAAACAGCTCTGGACTCTTCCTACCAGATTTCATAACCTGGCCTATTTTAATCATCCTCTCCTTTCAAGAACATCTAGAAGGCAACAGTTTGTTGAAAAGATTGATGGACTAGGCTTTGGGTTCGAGTGCTTGCTTTATCACTAATTAAATTCTCTGGAGAAAGTCACTTTCTCTCTCTAAGCCTCAGTTTCCTAATATGTAAAAGAGGGAATTAGATTAGATATCGCTAAAGAATCATTGAGTTCTGAAATTGTATGATGGTCCTGGATTCATGAATTGAATAGCTTTGTAGAAATTACTTTCCTGTTGAACTTCTAATTTTCTCTTCTAATGGGAATTATGATTCCTTTCTTGTTCACCTCATTGAGTCCTTGTGGGGATCAAATGAAACTATATATGTGAAAGAGCTTTTAAAATTTTAAAGTGCTATGCAGACAGAAGGCTTTACTATTATTACAATGATAATTACAAGTGTCACTTCTATTTCTACCATCCCAAGCTCTCTGATATCCAGTTCTTGGCTCTTAGGCTGAAAGTCATTCTTTGTGTTACTGGTGGCTCTTTCCAGGCTCCTGTTTCATGGGGTAGCTTTATATAATATTAAACTCTTCCAGGCATGGAATAGTTTTGTGACTTGTTTATTTATTGTTGATAGCAAATATGCTTTCATTTTCCCAGCCTGTGTATCTTGATTTTATGACCAAGTTTATTTCACTTTATCTGATTGCTAGTATTTTAGATTATTGGTCCTAGGGAAATATCTTGCACTTCCTTCCTAACTTAGACCTCCGTATATCTTTGTCAGTCTGCCTTATTTATGTATCCTCAGTGGTGTTTCTACATCCTCCTAAAAATATCAACTGAAAATTTCATTAATGTGCTATTCACTCCTTCTTCAAGATCACTAATAGAATTGATTAACTGGTTAGGAAAAAATGAAAATTCTGAAGGTTAAAAAAATCCAGGAATACTAGTCGGAATGAGAGTGCACTAAGTAGTGCTTTCAAAAAAAATCAGTTCATTAAGCTGAGAAGGTAGCATACTAAAGTAGAAAAATCAAAGTAGGATTAAATTTTAGATCTTCCAGTTCCAAATCTGATAATGTTGCTTTGTTGCCACATCATATTCTTAATTATGCTTCCAGTTTGCACCTCTGTGACATTATTCTTAATTGTCTTTGGCAGCCTTTAAACAGCGGACTATTCCAGGGAATCTTGCATGTGAAAACTAAGCTTCCTTGGGTCAGCACTGTTTTAATTGAAAAGGAATAATGGCAGATTCTCTGGCAAGGCAGTAAGTCTAGAGAAGGATCTCTCTTGGATGGGAGATTTTTCTCAATCCCTCAAATAATGTTCACAAGACAATCCCCATTACATTTATCCGTCCATAAGACTGGACTTGACAGTGGTGCTTATTAAATGAGGGCTTCTCCAGAGGTGACACTGCCTGAAGTTATTAGCAGCAATCACTAGAAGAGTATTACATGCATTTATTGACACCTCTTCTGCACTATTATCATTAGTTTAATATATTTTGTAGAAAAAAAGTATTACCCCATTTATATGTGTCTTTAGTGAGAATCCAGGTTTAGGGAAAAAAAAGGAAAAAAGAAAATGCATTATACTACTAAGGGATTAGAACTTTGAAAAATGTATTCCATGTAAATCTCGAGTCTTAGAAATTCTGGTTTCTTCTATTTCCCTATTTACTTACTGGGTTACCTTGGACAAGCCATACAACTATCTTGAAGTTCAGCTCTTTGTGCAAAATGGAATAATGACACTTGCTTGAACTGCAGTGTAGCATTATGATTAAGATTAGATGAAATTTTTGTAAAATACTAAACCAGTGTGATTACCATTATAGTTATTTGTGCTTAGAAAGTTATGAGCAAGAGTTAGCTTAGTAGGCTGCCAATTAAACAGGAAAATATACCAAAATATCATGGCTAGTATGTACATTTAGACCACAAAGATAGGTGAATTTTTAGTTTTGGTGATCAATAACTCAGAGTTGAAGAGACTTACTAGGAAAGCTGGGAACCCCAAAGTAACTCTTAGGGCCAGCAACTCGATTTAAATTATTTGATACAATGAAGTATATCAATGATAAGTTTATTCCAGGAACTTTCACTCAAGATATGTTTTCATACTATTAATAGATATGAGTTAAAACAGTTCTTTAAATGGTGATTGGTAATAGATAATAGTGGCACTCTAGCTGGCAAAATAGCAGTTGTGTGTAAGTATTGAAGGTCATTAAATTTTGCTCAAATAGGCTGTCAGTATCCACATATGCTATTAAAGTAATAAATAGTAGTTTACCTTTGATCACTTTATGGGCTTTTTGCTAATTGCTTTGCTGCAATAAATCATTTTATTCACACAATAATCCTATGATCGATCCTCTGTCATAACCCCATGTTTTTAAAAAAAGAGAATGGAGGCACAGAGAGGCTAAGTAACGCACTCAAGGTCACACAGGTATTAAGTTGTACAGCCAGGATTTGCTCCCAAGGCAGACCAACCATACAGCCCATACTCTTTACTACTACAGTGATACCTTTGAGTTCTGTGGATCCTTAAGCTTATACAATTGGAGAACCCTCTTTGAAAAAAAATACAAAAATTATTAACACAGAAATGCTAAGACCCTTCCCATGGTCTTGGAAACATAAGCTTCATTAGATTCGGAGTCAATCTACCTGTTTCGATGATACGTATCACTTTGACTGAGTTAAACTTTTGGAGAAATAATAATGACATCATTCGCTTTACTGAACCACATGCTTTTCTACATGTGGGTGGTTAATAATTGAGATTCCATGTCATAATTGTTAGTATCTGAGATTTCATGTTATAATGCAGAAAGCTGCTACTATCTAATTAGTGGCAGTTACTGAAATCACAGCTTGGTCCTAGAAGGAAGTAAATAACTTTAAAAGTGCGTGTTTTGCAGATCACAGAAGAATTAAGTAGAAACCTTATCGAGTGATTTGGGGATGAAAAATATGAAACCTAAAGAGGAGGCAGTATAGGGAACTGGTACAACCATGGATCTTTGACTCCCATCCATCTAGATTGTGGAATCATAGAGCTAAAGTTCTACCTCTATTTCTGTGACTTTGTGCAGGTTTTCTGACCTCTCTCCCAATTTTCTTATTTGTAAGATGGTAATGATAAATGCCCATTTTAAAAGGAAGTAAGGATGAAATGAGATAATGAATAAAGAATTCTTACCATAACAATCTGGCAGATGATAACAGATATATATATAGAAGTAGTAATAATTGTTAATATAATTTAATTTGTTATAAGATTTGATTCCTGATCAAATAGCTTTTTGAATCCTTTAAACTGTTTCTTTCCCAAAAGAAATGCAATGATGGAAATGACACAATCATGATTTCCAGAAATTCAGGCATTTCCAGGAGACAGGTGGTAAATGGGAACACAATGTCCGCTCTTGGAGTTCCTTAAGTGAATAGCTAAGCTCTTTAAGAGTGGGCCTATATGGCTTAATGAGGTGTTACCTTTAACTAGCAAGGCTTTTGGTAAAAATTTAGTCCCCATACAGTTCCAGCACTTCTTGGGAACTGGAACTTATTGGTCCCAGAGGGAGAAACTTCTGTGGGAAATTCTATATTCAGAGTCCTGGACCACCCTCTGTTTTTCTTTCATTCTCACTACTGAATACACATGTCAGTAAAGCCTGATTAGAAAGCAAATAGAGTGTTTCTTGCAAGTTTTGCTGGACTGGTCTTGCAAAGCTCTGGATGAACTCCTACCATGCATCTGGCATTAAGCTGGGGTTGCTGACGACATCATTTTTGTCATTTTCATAGATGACATCCGTAAAAGAACTGAAATACACAGTCTCTCAGTCATTTTTCTCAGTGACCCAAATAAATTACATTTTAATAGTGGAACTTTTACACTTAACCTCTTTGAGCCTAATTTTTTTCTCTTAAATGGAGAAATGATTCCTACCTCACAGGGTGGTGGTATTTAACTAGATAGCATGGTATCTAACACATAAGAGGTTTCAATATATGCTAATTCTTATTATTATGTTTTCTGTCTTCTATAGCATTTTGTGATTCACAGATATCTTTCATAACATAAACTTAGTGGTTAAGTAAGTTTGAGGTGTGTTTGTTTTGTATTTGTAATATATGCTAACATGCATTGTTACACTTCAAGAGCGAAGTATAACATGGTGAGTTTCCCAAATTTAATTGCTAGGAAAAGTTTCCACAGAAGAGAGAAATGTTTTGCAGAGCACAATCTGAGAAATGCCGTATCTTATGCAGAACATTCTTCAAGAAGAGAGAAAGACCTCTGAACTCAAAGCTCTGACTCTTTATGGAGATTCTTAGAAATTAGGCAGTAATCCTAGCAAAAGAAGTGGGATATATAGAAATGACGGATGAGTCAGAAGTTTGTATTTTATGATCACAGCTTCATTTTTGGAGAAATTGGATTAATTTTATAGAAGTATATCTCTTTATTACCACTTCCTAAACAAAGAATTTCTGTGTCAGGAAAGAGGAGCTGAACACCAAAATTGGGGTTCCCTTTTCCAGGGCAGAGTTGTTACTAGGAAGAGGCTGCTCAGCTAGGCCTGCACTGCCTAGCTGCTTGCTTCTGGGTGTGGCCATGTGACTAGTACTAACCCACGGAATTGGAACAGAAATTATGTGTGCCATTCTGGGGCAAGGTTTTTAAGCAGCAAGTGTGCTGCCTTCAGGTTTTCTTTCCCTCCCAACTGGATAGATGAAGAAGATGCTCTAGCCTCTGTTGGTGGTGCCACAAGATGGAAGCCTGGGTCTCTAAACCATCACCCAGAGCAAAGCAATGTCTGGGAAGTACATTTGCAATGGGCTATCACACAGTGAGAGAGAAAACTCTGCTGTGAGGAGACACTTACTTGGGATATACTTGTTAGGGCAGCTGGGATTCACTAACTAATGCAGCCTCATCCTCCTTTTCTTTTTTTCCAGAAATATATTCTTCCTTGAAAGAGTACTTTTTTTTTTTTTGAGTCGGAGTCTCACTCTGTCACCAGGCTGGAGTGCAGTGGTCCCGATCTTGGCTCACTGCAAACTCCGCCTCCCGGGTTCAAGCGATTCTCCTGCCTCAGCCTCCCAAGTAGCTGGGATTACAGGTGCGTGCCAGCACGCCCAGCTAATTTTTGTATTTTTAGTAGAGATGGGGTTTCACCATATTGGCCAGGCTGGTCTCAAACTCCTGACCTCGTGATCCGCCCTCCTTGGCCTCCCAAAGTGCTGGGATTGCAGGCATGAGCCACCACACCTGGCCGAAAGAGTATTATTAAGCATATATTGCATTCAGTTCTGTGCAAGGCAAACGGTTGGGGAAAGGGGAAATGAAGAGGTTACATGTAACATCTTTCCTTGGAGAAAATTACAATGTGATTAGACAATTACCCTATTTCTGACAATCAGGTATGTACTCAGGGCAGGCGGATCTCCCTGAGCTCCCAAGGCTTATCTCCTGTCTTTGAGGATGTGCTGCTCTGCCGAGCGGCTTCCCAAAAGACATAGCAACTCTGCTGTGCTGTGTTGGGGATGGGGCAGATGTGGAACAAGTAATGTGCATGCCAGGGTTTGCAATACCCTAGCGGATCAGCCTCCCACCTGGTGCTGAAAAGTTTCTGAATAACTGGTGGTCTCAATGATGACTTTTAGTTCCAGCTGAGTAATTCTTAATTGTGGGTGAGAAAATTTCTTCTCAGGGTTTCAACTAGTAACTTTGTTCTCTACTGGTTAGGTTTGTATTCATTTAGCAAATCTTCGGCCATGTACACCATGCTAGGTCCCTAGGAGCAACAAAATTCCAACTTTTCTCACATGGAACTCAGATTGGGGGAGAGACGGGAATGCCCACAATCTCAGCCAACGTCATGAAAAAACTATAGTGAAGGGAGTTGAAGATTCTCACAGAAGGTGTTGCTTAGGAAAGTCAAGAAGAGAAGTAGGAATTTTCAGGAAAACGGGGGAGGGCTGATTAGAAGTGTGCTCTGGGCTGCAACACAGGCAAAATCAGGGTCTAGAAAGGGTAGAATGTGGGAGAGAGCCAAGCACCTCAGTGTGGTTGATATTTAAAATACTTTTCACATCTATAACAGTGCCTATGATAGGACGCTCAATAAATATTTGTGGAATGCATAAATACAGTACCAAGGAGGTTGGCATTTATCCTGAAAGAGACTAGATGCCATCAAAAGATTTTTAAGCAGAAGACTTAGATGAAAAGAAGAAAAAAGCAGTAGCTGGATTTCCAAAAAGCATACTGTTTAATTATGAGACAGTCCTTTGGAAAACTATGGCTGCAATATGGTTTTTCATTATGGGTAATAGAGATAAGAAGGCTATAATATTGTGCCTTTGAAATCTTAACTATGGAATTATTTGCTACTATCTTGCAATATTAAGAAAAAGAGGAGGCCCTAAGGCGAGCATTAAAGATCACAGAAAGTAAGACTTGGTTGATGAGTTACTTATTGAGAACATGTGCGAATGGAAAATGTGATATTGAAAACATTCCTACATAAGCTGAAGGTTGTTTATCCTATAGTACAATCAATCCCTATTATGATAGTATAAATAGAACCCTCAGAGAATCAGAGATGCCAAGGAGGACTTGAAATTTTGTTTGCATTCTCATCCACGGATGATGCTAAGAAAATAATGGCGAAAAAATCATTTGGAGATTGCAGGAAGGAGGGAAGACTTACAGAGATCCAAAAGAAAAGCCTCATTTTGAATTGGAAAGCAACTATGTATGTATGCAGGCTAGTGCATTTTGCAAGCAAGAAACTGAAAATGCCAAAATATCACTTTCTCTTCAGAGCTCTGTTGAACCCAAACCAGTATTTTATAGTATGGAAGATGATAGCTATTTCTATTATAAGTGGTACCATCATCCACAATTATGTTGACAGGAAGTATAGGGCCCCACTGGAAATAGTGAACTTTAATTTTCACCAGGAGAGTCTAAGAGTAAAGATTTAGTACAATAGGGTCATGAAAAATATCCTGTGCCAATTATTTTAACTAGCATGAAAATAGTCCAGTTTGATGATGTTTAAAATGTTACATAGCAGCCTAGCTAAAAAAATAATCTCTTATCGTCTCCGTTCTCTTTCTTTTATGGAGTGTGTTGGCAGAACCTTTTCTGACCATAAACAAGCAGGACTAAAGTGGAGATAATTCGGAGGGCCATTTACCTGTGTTCCTCCCCTGGAGGAAAGATACGGAAAGAGCCCAGAATTCCTCATTTATAGTTTAAGTTCCAGCCTACTATAATCTCATCTAAGGCTCATCTTTTCTAATGCCCTCTGGATTTGTAGGAGAGTTTCCCAGGGGCTGTTCTAACATGATTCAAATTCCAAATGCCTGGCAGAGTCCAGATGGAGTAACTTTTCACTGACAATGGCTACCATTGTACTCACAAGTATGTCTCTATCAATACGCTAAGAAAGTATCCTTTTGGGTGTTGGTTCCTGTAACCTAGCATGTTAGATAGAGTACTATGCTTGCTCTTACTTAGATATAGTATATGCTCGAGGGATCGTCTCTCGACCTCGCTTTCTGTCCTAGGAGGCTGACAAGTATGGATTACATCAACAAGCTCCCTTGCCCTTTGCCTGGCTGGATTCCTCCATCAAATCACAGTTCCTGTCAGATGGTCCTCTCCACACAGCCCTCTCACTCCTGGATTTGGTAAATGCTTTCTTTGCTTACCCCTTCAGGCATGAGGTGGTGATAGTGCTCCACTGTTACTACCTCTGCAGTACTGCATTCTCTTTGCCATCTCCATATGCTCTGCTCTCCTCTGTGCACACAGTGCTTTTGTTAATCTCTCCTTAAATTATGCCAGTTCAAGTATTCCACCTATTTTCTACCTCGTTTTCTACTCTAGTTAATGTCAGCTTCACTCATAATTAACTCAGCACATGCCACGCTGGGCGGTGGTTACTATGTCAATGCACCAACTTCCCATCGTTTTTATTTCATAATTTGCCAGGGAGAAGGAATTATCTTATGCCCCCTTAATCTCATGCACCAACTAGCTTGGAGTGGTGTATTGTAGTTGACCCCTGAATATTGGTTCAGTGAATGCCTAAAATGTTAATGGATCATTTGAATCTCAAATTTTCAGGCTAATCAGACTAAAACATCTCCAAAGAGATGAGAACCTTTTGTGGGTAATTTAAGAATTCTCTAAACTTCAGAATTACTTAGAAGAGATAGCAAAAACAAAAAAACAAAAAAACCAAAAAATCCCCATATTTTCAAAGGAATTTTTTCAAGTCACATGTTAAGTATTTATTTAAAAGTTGGGATTAGTTGGCAATTATTTTTGCCTTAACTATCTGTAAATGATCTTATCTCAAAAATATTTTCTCTGGGTTTCAGCCACTCATTAAAAAGAGAGTGATTTTCAAGGGTCAGAATATAGTGGTTATTGGTTTTTGAGTTCTATGTTCCTATTATAACTAGGTAGTTTACATGCATTATCTCACTTAATATAACAATAATGAAAACTTATTATAGTTAGCCCCACTTACCAAATAAGAAACTAAGGCTTAGAGAAAGTAAGCAAAGTGTCAAATACATGTATGGGAAAATCTAACTCATCAGGGAGTTAAGTTTGAGTTGCAGTATGGGTAAAGAGAAGGCGAGATTCTCATGTTTGATCTGGAGGAAGGGGAATGGCCTCACTGGGAGATGGTAGGGCGTAGAAAGAGAGGTGTAGGGATTTCTGAGGTTGACAGAAACCTATTCCCTATTTGTATGCAGTAGCCCAAAGTAGTATTTGCTATAAGAATCTTGTGGAGGCTGATACTAGAGTGCTATTACAACAAGAATGCTGCAGAACAGATCTCTGCAAAAGACAGAGCTTGAAACAACAATCCCTTGGAATCATTCACATATCAGCAGTTCTCCTGGGTTTTCACAGATCTGGTCTGGGTTCAGCTGAGTGGCTTTAATGACCACAGGTCTCCAGATTGTCTGGAGATGCTCTGCTTCACTCTGTGGTGACTGGTGCAGCTCTGCTCACATGGCTCAGCACCCACTTAGGACCTGTGAGCAAGCTGGAGAATGTTCTGCTCATGCCAATGCTGGAGGAATAAAAGGACAAGTGGAAGTACACAGGCTTCTTAAGGTGTAGACTTGGAACTTGCACATGGTCGTTTCTGCTTCATTGTATTGGCCAAAGCTTCTCACGTGTCCCAATCCAAAGTCAGGGGTAGGGGAAATACACTCTGTCCCTTTAGTGGTAGCAACTGGAAAGTCAACTGGCAAAGGATGTAGATCTTGGGGAAGTGAAGAATTGGAGGAAATAATGCAGTCCATTATAACTGAACATTGACTCTCATTTCCTGATTTCAAATGATGTTGATCATATTTTGGTTTGTTTATATATTCTTTGTTCAATTCTCTATGGCATTAATTTTTCACGGCCTTGAGAGAAAGGAGTGTCTGCAGAAAAAAAGCACCTTGTGTTTTCCAGCATTGAGTACCACTACTGCTTTAGAGGAGGGGAATGATAAAACTCTATACTTTTTTGTTTGCATATAATATAACTCGTGAGATTTAAAATGTTCATTTGATACCAAATCATAAGATTCTTTTGCTTTGCTTTTGGAACTGAAATATCCATACAAACTCATCAGAGAGCTAATCACTTTAGATGTTGGGGCACAGAGAAAAACATTTTGAGAGGAGACTATATGGGAATAGACTTGAATCTGGAAATAAACTGGCTTAATACCACGTGCCTAGGATTTGTGGTACAAAGAAACAAGCGTTTCATGTTGTCTTACCTCTATGAGGCTCCATTGGTCTCTGTCCCCTTTCTTACTCCTTGCAAGTTCACATGGGAGCGTGTGCTTATTAACAGAGTGTCCCCATTGGGTCTCTTCTTTCAATGTAACATGCTCACTGTCCATGAGAACTGCAGGTGTCATCCAAGACTATGAGGCTACATCTTCAACCTTCTCTAGGTTGCAGCAACTGACCTTTCTCACCTTCTCATGAAAAGCCTCCTATTTCATGCCCTCTTACATGTTGTTTGCATAATTTTATAGACATAGCTCTGTACATACATAGTCAAGACTAACATGGGCATGCTTTCAAAAACAACTAAAAATTTTGTTTGACCTGTGATTTTCTACCCCTTTTTGGTCACCCTTTATGGAGATTTAAATATTTTTGTGTGTAATAATGCTGATTTGCCAAAACAACATGGAAATGTCTGGCAAGTTTTTATGGGAACAAGAGAATAAACTATTTGGAATTGAATTTATCGAAACACACAGGAAGAAGTTTTCTATGCCTCTTTTACAAAACACTCCACATTATTTTATAATCAGAAGAGAGGCTGAGCACATTCCCTTGCCCATCCCAAGCCAATTATTTATGGCCTTTTCCTAGCAGTGATAAAATAGAGCCAAGGCATAAAATGTCATAAGGAATTCTAGAAAGGAATTAGAAGTAACCCTTAAATATTGCATATTGCCTATTCTTAGCAGCGTTGACAGATGTTGACCTTTGATAGGGACGTGTGTGTGCTTGTGCATGCTCATTACTCTAAATGGACTAGAAGTTCAACTTGGAAAGACTGATAACAAAATTATAACTGTCCAATAGAAATGATCTGAAATTCATGCAGCTAGATCAAAAGCCTCCCCCAGCTCCAAATGAGCAGTAACTGGAATTAATTACATTATGGAACCTTCCCAACTGCAGCTTAAATCATTTAAGACTTGTTTGGTATGGCACCTGCTGCTCACTTATTTTTAGGAGAGAAAATATACATTCTTGAGCATAAGGGCCTGAAGGATTTTTATACCCAAGGAAAAGCCTAAATGTGCCAAAATGTTGGGAGCTGAATTTTTAGACTGGTAGCTTAATTTGCTTCTCTCCCATGGGGTTCAAGGAGCTGAGATCACAGTGAAAAGAGCTCCCAGCCTTATGACGCGTCCATGTCCTTCCTGTAGGAGCCTTAGTGGGAGGTCATTGTGAAGACTGCTTCAAGCTTTCGAACACTTGAGCTGCAGACTTCATTACAGCAAGCAAAAGGGTGAGCTTAAGAAAAGAAGGAAAAAAGCTGGAATTCCAAATATTTGCTTAGTTTTCAAGAGTGCTTCAACCTTCGTGATCCCTCAGAGTGACCTTTACGTTTCAGAAATGAGAAACCCTGACCTAATTACTTTCTAAGGTTTCTGATACTGTCATACCTTATATAATATTCTGCTACCTTTACAAAAATAAAGGTTAGAGGAGAGTGCTGAAGGTATGTCTACATGTGAGAGGTCAGATGGGAAAGGAGGGCATACATCTCTATGTCTATATCACTCATACTTGCTGTGAGAGTGCTTTGGTACAGGTATGTCTACATGTGAGAGGTCAAATGGGAAGGGAGGGCATATATCTATATGTCTGTATCACTCATACCTGCTGTGAGAGTGCTTTGGTACAGAACTGTGGTGTCCAGTTATGGTGGCCAGTGGCCACCTGTTGCTATTTAAATTTGTTAGTTAAATTTAAGTGTAGTTATACGTTCAGTTCAATTCCTCAGCCACACTAGCTACATGAGGCCACTATATTAGATTGTATAGATTTAGAATGTTTCCATCATCACGGAAGGTTTTATGGACAGCAGTAGATAGAGGTCTCCTTTGTAAGACAGGACTTACTCTTAGGAAAAAAACATTTGTGCAAAATATTTAAAGCTTCCCAAGTTAAAAAAAAAAATTAACCCACATGTTTGTACAACCTAATTTCTTCTAACCAAACTGAGGTGTATTTGAAGTTTGTGGTGCTTCCCATTTACATATAGAATGACTTTCCCTCGTTCCCCATCACTGACTCTCTACCCCAAATCTCTCTCACACTTTGAGCTGTATTTTTATTCTCACCTCCCGGCCTTAGCTTACACTGGTAGCACATCTTTACAAAGGATAGCTTGTCCTTTCTTCGCTGCTTACCTCAAACCAATCCCTCCTTCCAGGTAGCGTTAATATGTCATATCTTCTGTGAAGACTTCTTAAATCACTGGTTCAGTTGATCACTTTCTGTTGTCATAATTTGCCACCAATTTTTGTATTATTCTTTGATTGTTACATGCGGTAGTTTCCATTTCTCAATTAGAATAGAGTGTCTTTGAGAATAGGGATCCGGTCTTACATTCTACTCATCAGAAGTGACCTTTGCCATTACAATCAGGAAATTTAACTTCGATTACTTTGATCTACAATCCTATTCCACTTTTGTTGATTATCCCATTACTTTTTTTATAGGAAGCAATTTTGGTTTTTCTCTTGTACGATCCGGTTTAGGATCAGGTGTTGCTTTTAGTTATGACTTTTAGTCTTTAATCTGAGACAGTTTCTTGGCTTTTCATTGTCTTTCCTACCATTGGCATTAAAAAATACAGGCTGTTTATTTAATAATATGTATCTAAATGTGATTTTTCCAACATTTCCTCACGTTTAGAATCAGGGTTATAACTTTTGAAAGCACTACTAGATAAATGATATTATGTTATTGTCAAGATATTATGAAGTGACATCATGTCTGTTTCTCCTTTATAGATGATGTCAATTTTGATCATTTGATTTAGGCATTGTTCAGTTTCTCCACCATATAGTTATTATTTTTCCTTTGGTACTTAATAATTTAATGTGGGCAGATACTTTGGGATGTGCTCTCTTCCCATCAAACTCTTCTGTTCCTCAGATTTAACATCTATGATGATTCTAGCCAGGATCACTTCTTACTATGATGATTACAAAAAGGTGGTTTTCAAAATTCATACTTTTTCCGTATATTTTTATAAGTCAGAATTCTATTATAGGAATGAGTTTTCTCTTTTCTTAATGTATTTGTTTACTTGCTTGCTTGTTTATTTACAGTGTGGATTAATGAGTTCAATTTTATTAATAGGTTGTAATCTATTGCTATTGCTATCCTTATTTATTTCAATGATCAAATCCCCCACATTTGGCCAGTTGGAGCTTTTTCCAAGTGACTCATGTATCCTTATAACATATTTCTGCTTTTATATTTTTTAGTGTTCCTTTACTTTCTGGCATAACAATATATTTTAGGCTCATCTTTACTTTGTTTGCCCCAGCCCAGAAATCAGCCATTTCTCCTGGTGGGGAATGGTATTTAGAAATCAAGATCTGAGTACAAATCTGCAATTTGGGCATGGCTTTGTGGGAAGGGTTGCTTCTATTCCATGTACCATCAGCTGGGATTGCTCAACTGAGATACTGTCTTAGTTTGGGCTGCTATAACAAATTGACATAGAATGGCTTAAACAACCATTTATTCCTCATGTTTTGGAGGCTGGAAGTTCAAGATATGGGTGCCAGCATGGTCAGGTTCTTAGGGAGGGCATGCTTCTTAGTTATTTTCTTACACAGCCTTTTCCTCATGCAAGGATGGAGGGAGATCTTAAGTTTCTTTCTCTTTTTGTAAGGACCTACTCATCAGAGGACTCCTGACCTCCTCTAAACCTAACCACCTCCCAAAGGCCTCTCCTCCACATTGGTAATTAGGGTGTCAACATACAATTTGAGGGGGACACCACACAAACACTCAGTCCAAAGCAGTTTTCCTATACCCAAATAAATAATATCTTCCCATTTGTTCAAATGTACTTTTTGCCTTTTTTAAAAAAAAGTTTTCTTCATATAGGTTTTCTATATTTCTTACTAAGTTTATTTCATTTTATACATTTGCTATTATAAATAGGATTTCTTTTCCATTATGTAACACCTGCTTGATGATTATTTGTGCATATGGAGGCTATTAATTTTTAGATGTTAATTTTATTGCATATTAGTTTACTGATTTAAAAAAATTTGTTAAAGTAGTTTATTATATTCTCTAAGGGTTTTGAGGCATATCATAATTTTATCTGCAAATAGCAATAGTTTTACTTCTTTTCCAATTCTTATGACTTTAACTTTTTGCTCTTCTCTAATTTTATGGGCTAATATCCCCAATATATATTGTCAAATGTAATAGGGGTAAGGATCATGCTAGCCTTGTTCCTCACTCTTGTTAGAACATCTCTAATGTTTCTCCATTAAGTAAGATGTTAGCTTTAGGACTGAGGTATCTATATATATTTTATCAAGATTAGAAAATGATATCCACTCCTATAATCTTAACTATTTTCATTAAGATAGGTGTTTGACTCTGTTAAATGTCTTTTCAACATATTTGAAGATAATTATAAAATTTTTCTTTTTAAACCTTTTTAAATCTGTTGAATTCTTTTAATCAATTTCTTAATAATGCACAATTCCTGCATTTCTAACATAAATTCTGCTTGGTCATGGTGTGTTCATAATGTGCTGTTGAAGTTTACTTGAAGATATTTTATTTAGGATTTGTCCACCAATAATCCTATGTTATATTAGTCTGTAATTATCTTTTTTTGGTGCTATTTTTATCAGGTTTAGATATAAATATTATAATTGCCTATTAAAGGGATCTGAAAGTTCTCTTCCATTTTCTATTCTCTGAGACAACTGACGTACCATCAGGCTTATCTGGTGACTGCTAAAGTTTTAGTAACATTTCCCTTGTGAAACCACCTGGACTTGTGCTTTTTTGTTGGATGGATCCTTCATTGTTTTTGCCATTTCTTCCTCAGAAATGGATCATTTAATCTTTCTATTTCTACTCAAGTAAATTTGGTAAATTAAATATTAATAGAAAATTATGCATTTCATCTAGCTCTCTACTTTTTTACATACGTGTATGCAAATTAATTTCATGATTTAAAATCTTCCTCTGTATTAATATTTATCCCTTGTCATTTCTCATTCTGTATTTCTGTATTTTCTCTCCTTTTTTTCATTAAATTGGCTAGCAATTTGTCTATTTTGTTTTTACATTAAAAAAACTAGAATTTTTATTTATGAATTTGCTTTTTTCTCTCTACCTCATCAATAACTTTCATTTTTAACTTTATTATTTCTTTCCTGTGCTTTCCTTTAGTTTTCTTTGTTGTCCTTTCCTAATTTCTCAGCTCGGTATTTAATTTATTTCCATTTTTAGATGTTATTGATATAAATTTTCAAAGCTAAGAATTTTACTCTAATCATCATTTATAAATATAGCTCATTGATTCTGATATATAGTATTTTTATTAGCATTATTTTTATAGAAATTCTATAATTCCTGTTTGTATTTTTCCACTTACTCAAAAAGTGTTCATTTGAAATTTCTTTTTTCTGGTGAAAGCATATTTTGGTTTTTGGTGTCAATTTAAATTTCTAGTTATATTGCATTGTGATCAGAGAGTATTTTTGTAATTTTTCTACTTTATGGAAGTTAGCAACATTGTCTTTGCAAAAGAATGTATGATCAATTATTATGAATGCTTCCTGTTCTTGAGAAGTTTTATTCTTTATTATCAGGGTGAGTTGTTATATATGTATTATTAAGATCTACACTATTGATTGCATTCTTTCAGCCTGCTAAAACTACCTAAATATTGTAAACTCAAACATGTACTGAGAACATGTTAAAGTCTCTGATGATTTTGCATTTTTTTCTACCTCTTTTGCATCTCCTGTAGTTTTGCTTTATATGGGTAGTTGTTGTGAGATATACGTACATATATATATATGTCTGTGATTATATATATAAAATTGTAAATATTGGCTTTTAGTTATAAAATATGCTTTGTCTCATTTATGCTTTTTTTATTGAATTCTACTTTGATATTAGGATTGCCACTCTGCTCTCTTTTTTATTTGTTACCTTTGAATTTCTTTTTCTATTGATTTATTTTAAACCTCTTTGAGTTACATTATTTTAGATGTTCTCTTGTACGGCACAGAGTTGGGCTTTACTTTTGAGTCAATTTGAAATCATTTTCTTTTATTGGTAAACTGAGGCCAGGTGCAGTGGCTCACACTTGTAATCCCAGCACTTTGGTAGGCTGAGGCGAGAGGATAGCTTGAGCCCAGGAATTTGAGACCAGCCTGGGCAACATAGTGAAATCCTGTGTCTACAAAAACAAAAATAAAATTAGCCAGGCATGATGATGTGTAATCCCAGCTACTTAGGAGGCTGAGGTGGGAGGATTGCTTGAGCCTGGGAGGTCAAGGCTGCAGTGAGTAGTGATGGTGCCACTGCACTCCAGCCTGGGAGGTAGTATGAGACCTGGTCTGAAAAAAAGAAAAGGAAAGTCAAATTAAGCCTAGTTACATTTGTTGATGTGACTAATATGTTTGGTCTCAACACTGTCATATTTCTTTATGCAACAGAGTCTTTGTATAGCACTCTGTTCGTTTAGTAAATGTCTTTTAGTATTTAGAAAAGTTTGTATTTTTAATGTAATGATTAGTTTTGTGTCTATACATTTTATGGTGCCCTTTTTTTTCCTAGTTAACTTTTCACTATCTTGTATGTTGGTTTTAAATGATACCATTTGACTCCTACTTCCTATTAAATGATCAATTATTCCATTTTAATTTTCTCTTTCTCATAGTCAGTTGCATTTTTACACTTTATCAAAACATAGAATGTTTACATACTATTCTCTCATCCATGCCCCACCCTTATTTTAGTCTTGAATCTTTGATTAAATGTATTAACCTCTCATTATTAGTCCCTTGTCTAAATTTTCCTAGTCATGTCTTGATTGCATGGAGCTTGTGTTCTAGTAGATTCTTTAGGAAATGCTTCTAAGAAGAGCATTTCTAAGAAGAGCATCTCCTGAATTCTTGCACATTTATAGTTGTCTTTCTGTAGGTTTGCTGCTTGCAGGAGAGCTTAGTTTCATATGCAATCCTTGGCTCCTGCTTTCTCTCCTTGAGTTTGTTGAAATTACTATTAACTCTTGTTTTCCTTTGTAGGTTTCTGCTTGAGAAATCTGATACCTGTGCAATTTGTTACCTTTATCATAATTAGTTAAGTCTTCAGTTTTATTAGACTCCGTCTCAGAGTTGATCATTCCAGGTCAGTTTTTCCAGATACAAGGTGAACCCTTTTTGTATGTAGATTTTCTTTTTCTCTTATTTCTGGAAAAGTTTCTGATATTACACACACACACACACACACACACACACACACACACTATATATATATGTATTATATATGTATATAATATACATACACATTTATATATAGAGAGAAGAATGTCCTTTCAGTGACTTCAATTATACATTTGTTGAATTTTCTTTGCTTTCCTTTTCAACCATTTTCTCTCTCTTTTTACTCCATTTTCTCATGTTCATTCTTTGTTCTTTCATCTTTATTCAATGACTCTTGATTTTATTTTTCTTAGACACTTTGTAATTTTTTTTCATTTTTGAGATTTTTTCTTTAATTTCTTTCTGAAGTTCAATCACTATTTATTGTATTTTTCCAGTTTTGCTTTTATTCTTCATTTTTAAATTTCTGACTTTAGATATTTTAATATCTGCAAATGATTGAGGAAATTACATTTTCAATATTGGATTCCAGTTTTATCTCATCATTGCTTTTCTTGAGGGAGTTTATCATCAACTGAAACGTATGCATTAGAATTTTTTTTTTTTTTTTTTTTTTTTTTTTTTTTTTTACAGTTGCTCTATATAGACTTTGTCTGAGTTCTTGTTTTTCTTATATTCCGAGGCAATTCAGTGACAGGGCTCATTACTGAAGACGACTTCCTTGTGCTAGAATAGTTAAGGCAGTTTCTTTAATGAATAATCATTTTGTTGGTGAAGATATTAGAGTAGGAGTTCATGTAACTTGTATTTCCCTTTTTTTCTGCAGGACTCTTAACTTTTCTTCCCATTTTTCTTATGTTGCTTTAATGCCACATCTTTGAGCAGATAGCTGTCTTTTTCTATCTTCTTCGCCCAAAATGCTTTTTAGAGATATCAGTAGAACTTCTCATTTCACTCACTTACATGCTTCTTCTCTGTTTCCAGTAGTATAAACCACCAAGTCCTAGACTTCGCATGTTCTCTTTCTGGTAGTTACTTTTACCTGGGTTTTATGTTAAGTCTGATACACCCCTCTCTTGGAGATCCCAAAGGCAACTCGTCACCCTCTAAACCTACAAGGTTTCAGTGGCCATGAGAGCTTCATTGGAATTTGGTGGTTTTCTTCCCCTACTTACAGGTGTGTGGTGCTATCTATCTTCTAGTAATTTTGAAGAGGTGGTTTATGTTGGTTTTGTTTGAGCTTCTTGTTGAGCTCAAGACATTTTGGTCAAATGTATAGAGTTTAGGATTCAGGAAGCTGCTTTTATGCTAGGGTCAACTAAAACCTCTCCAATAACTTCTAAGGTTTTCTTTTTACTCTTGATGATCTGTATTTTACTATAATGGGCTCAGATATAGATTTATTTTATTCTTCTTGTCACTTAAAGTGTACTTTAAATCTGAGAACTTAGGATTCTTCAATTTTGGAAAATTCTCTCATTTATATATATATATATATATGTATGTGTGTATATGTATAAAACTGTGTGTGTGTGTGTGTGTGTGTGCGTGTGTGTAAAAATAGTTCTTTCTTTCCTGCTAGGACTCTGGTGGATACATGTTAGAGTCTCCCAAACTCTCCTTCCTATCTTTTAATTACTCTTTTACACTTTATTTCCTTATATCTTTGTACTGTCTCTGGATGAATTTCTCAGTGCTATTTTCTATTTCATGAATTCTTTGACCATGTCAATCTGTAATTTATTGCATTTGTTGACTTTTTAAGTATCATTGAGTACATGCATTATTTCTAAGATTTCTGATTGATTTTCTTTTATATCCACTTGTACTTCTTAAATTTGTAAATGTTAAAAGTTTTTATTTCTTCATTTATCTCTTTGAGCATCTTAAGCATATTTATTATAATTCTTTGTCAAATGTCTTTAACATATAAATTTCCAGAGTAAATTCATGATTATGTAGTTCATTTCTGGGGGACAGAGAGACTTCTCCCTTTAATATTATCTAACTTCATATTCCTTTTGAATTCTGTATTTTGGATTCATTTAAATTGAACATTATGTGGGCTTTGATTTGTTATTTCTCTATGTCATCACTCTTCCCCATGTATCATGTTTATGTTGTCGTCCATTCTGTTTCTTATGCACCAGACTAAAACCAAGATTTATAATGGTGGCCTGGGACTTTCAGCCCATGATGGTATTGGAGATACTGGAAATTCTATGACTAAGCTGGAAGACAGTTTAACTCAGTTCCTCGTATGTGGAGACTGTGTGTGTTCTCCAGCCTCCTTGAACCCCCAGATTCTTACAATCCATAGCATCAGGCTATGATGAACTCAGCTTGGTAAGCTGGTTTATCAGCTTATTTTCATGAGTGGAGAGCCCTATTCCATCTCTCAATTTCTAGATTTAGTTTGTTATTCAGCAAATGACAAGAACATGAGGCAATTGGAAGGAAGCTATCCAGTATACCTGACTAATGTGAACTTATCCTTCATATCTCAGTTTAAATGTCATCCTAAGAGATTGTGACATTGACCCAAGTTCTATGTCTGAGATGTTTCCTTTTCTCTCATAGCACTCTCCATGAATCTATCTTGACCCTCAAACCACTATATTTTAATTAATTACCAGTTAACTAACTGGTTTGCATTTTCTTTTCTTTTTTTTTCTTTTTTTTTTTTTTGAGATGGAGCCTTGCTCTATTGCCAGGCTGGAGTGCAGTGGCACATGATCTCGGCTCACTGCAATGTTCGCCTCCAGGGTTCAAGCAAATCTCCTGTCTCAGCCTCCCAAGTAGCTGGGACTACAGGTACGTGTCACCATGCCCAGCTAATTTTTATATTTTTAGTAGAGACGGAATTTCACCATGTTGGCCAGGATGGTCTTGATCTCTTGGCCTTGTGATCCGCCCACCTTGGCCTCCCAAAGTCCTGAGACTACAGGCATGAGCCACCACGCCCAGCCACTTGTTTGTATTTTCACAGTAGATTATATGTGCCATGAGGGCAGATATCAAGGCTTCATTACCATTGTATGCCCGGTGCCTAGTACAGAGTCTCAAGGATAGTTCAAGTTTAATATACATTGGTTAAATAAGTGAATGTGAATCTAGACCTCTTTTTCCCTCCTAGCTTTAACTTTCTAAGAACGTTGACAGGTTGTCATTCATAGCCCCAGGGTAGCAGATGAAGAAGTAGTTGTGAACAGCACCACAGCATGAAGCTGCAGTTTGAGCAGTTTTCCTCTGTAATACACCAGCCTTTCAGAGTGCCTGGTGTGACACCACTATCATTTTTGCAGAGCGCCAATAAAAATGATTTGATATTGTTAAGGATGATTTCTCGAATGTGTTTCTTAGGAAGAAAGGGAAACGGAAAAAATGAGGTTTTAAAACATTTTAGTTTTTTGAGGAAAGAAATAAGAGTGAAGAAATAAAGGAGGAAAGGAGGGCAAATGAAGCAGAAGAAAGATGTGGTAAGCCTACCTCTAAGAGGCAGTATTACAGAGAGGAGAGAGCATGGATTTTAGAGTCAGAACTGAATTTGGATCCTGGCTCAGCTACTTATGAGCTGTCGGGCAAGTCAACCCCAGTGCCCTCTTATGAAATGAGCATCATAGCCATTATGTAGAGTTATAGAGGATTAAGACTCCCTCTGTAAAGGGCAAATACAATATGTGATATATAACAGAAACTTCACAAATGGTTGCCACACCATCCTCATCATTATACCACCATTAGCATAACCAAGGAACTAACCACATGTGAAAGGGGAGAACACAGGGGCCATGTCTTCTGACTATCGTGAGTCTTGGTATCACCTATGGGCTACTGTTGATGCCTGACATTGATGATTTTATTTCATTTTTTGCCTCTTCTAAATCTAAGACTGATGCAATCTATCATGATGTCATTTTGTAGACAGTGCACTTGCTGGTTTATGAGCAAATCCTCCCTCCTAAAATTCTAAAAAAAAAAAAAAAAGAAGAAGAAACCCGGGAAGTGAAAGAGACAGACAGGTAAGGAGATAGAAACAGTAGGGAGATGACACAGAACCCTCCCAGTCACTGACCGAGGCCTGCGAACTGAAATGGGTTAGAGGTAGTCAGAAGGCAGATATGCCTGAAGAAAGAGGCGGATGATGCATGTCTCCTTCACCATCAGAAAAATGATTCATTCTGGTATTTTGAGCAGAAGACATATTATTGAGCAACCAGAAGACAACATACAACACAATTTACATACCCCATCTCATTGTGACGTAGATATTTTATTGCCCATCTTTTAGATTAAGAAATAGCCATTTGGAGGAGCTAAATAAATTGTTCAAGCTGACATGACATAACCATTAAAGATAATGGCTGGGATTAAAATTAAAATCTAATTAGCTACAAAAGCTGTAACTGTTGCACTACTATAAGAAAGAGACAAGATGCAGGATGGAGGACAGCTTGGCTTACACATGTTGGAGCTGTTTCTATGGTAGGGTAACGGAGAATTGTAGGTCCCTATTATTACAGATGCATAGTGAGTGAAAAGAGGCTTAACCTAGCTGTCAGAGCCACCTCATAGGGAAAAATGCTAAGTGCCTTGAAAATAATTTACTTTCTAACTCCTGGAGGGGGTGGTGGTGGTGTCAACTCATTGTTCCAGTTGACTGATACAGAAACTAAAGCTTTTTAGCTTTGCCAGCTTGTGAGTACAAATATGGTTTGATTAAAATTAAAAAACCTAGTTTCAATGGCACTGAGCCTCAGTTGCTAAATCTTAAAGAGCTAGAAGTGTAAGTTTTCATAGTTTCCCCATTCAAAGTATTTCCGATAATTCCTAAAGCGTACTCTTAGATTATCCTCTTGTCTTCTTGCTGCTTCACTCGCTGTGCAGGAAGTGCTCAGCCTCAGTTCCAGGAAATTCCACAGAGATGCTGTTTCTAGCTATGAGTCTGTTCCAACTTCTCTGAGAAACTCCCTTTAGATGTGAGTGGAGCAAGCAATCTACTAGTTCTCCACCACGTTTTCAGTGCTGGTGGATCTGGAGACCCTGGAATAGCATTGATCCAGGAACCCAGAGCTCCTCTGAATTCTCAGTGCTGCTGGAAAACCCAGGATTCATGACACTCTTATGAAATGGGCAGGAGTGCCCCACTGTGTTTCGCTCAGTTAAGTTCAGTCCTACAGCAAAGTTGCTTGAGCCCAAACATGTCACAGTACTTAGTGATACAGTCCTTTAAATTTAGAACCTCTTCTTTGCCAGTTGTACAGATGAGAAGTTTTGAAATTAATCTCCCAGAACCCTCAATTCCTTCCAAGCTCTAAACCCTATTACTATTTAAGGTATTCAGAAATTATGATGCAGATGTATAATTCTGCTTCAATGCCTCAAATTTGATAGTGTCCTAGGGTGATACTGATCTCAAAGAAGTAGAAGTAAAATTTTAGGCACTATTATGAAAAAATTTAAAGTTAGGGCTTTTCTTTGTGCCTCAAATCACATATGCCTAAAGCAGAGTTTGGCAAACCTTCTGTAAAAGGCCACAGGGTAAATATTTTAGGCTTTGGGGGCCGTAGAGTCTCTGTCACAACTATGCTACTCTACTGTTGTGGTATAAAAACAGGCATAGACAATTACATAAACAAATTGGCATGGCAGTGTTGTAGCAAAACATTAGTACAAAATCAGGTGGTAAGCTGCATTTGACCCATTGGCCATAGTTTGCTAACCTCTAGCCTAAAGCATGGCCTTTGGAATTATTTTTCTATTTGAATTCTCATTGTTATTCATATCTATGCTGTACCCAGACATGTTCTTTAATCTCCCTGAACCTCAGTTTTATCATCTGTAAAATGGGATTGTGCCATTGACCTCATTGGCCTACTGTAAAGATTAAGAAGATATATGTTCAAAACCATCACCCCGACCAAAGTAACCTGCGTAACATATAGCTAGCATCCTGTTAAGTTCATTCATTCTCTTCTGCTATTGTTTGAATGTTTATGTTCCTTCCAAATTCAAATGTTGAAATCTTAACTCCCCAAAGTGATGGTATCTGGAGGTGAGACCTTTGAGAGGTCACTGGAGTCCTCATAAAACAAAACTCAGAGAGACCACTTTCCTCTTCTACCATGTGAGGATGCAGCAATAAGTCACCTTCTTTGAGTCAGAGAGCAGGTCCTCATCATACATGACTCTTCCTTAATATTGGATTTCCCGGCTTCCAGATCTGTGAGGATTACATTTCTTTGTTTATAAGACACTCAGTTTATGATATTGTGTTATAACAGCCTCAATGAAATGAAACTTTTTTTTTTTTTAACCTCTAGTCACTTTTTCTAATTAGCAGTCCTGATTAGAGGACTATAGCCAGGGCAATAAGTGGCCAGGGAGGTTTTCTCTGAGGATAGACGTCAAGACTGGGAAAAATAGGACTCTCCATTTCAGGATCAAAATATGGAGGCCTGAGGTGAGTTTTCACCACATGCAGTTGTTTCTGTTCATCCCCTTATAGGGAATTGAGATTCAGGCAAAAAGTTGACATGACAGTTGGGGAGAAAAACATTTATTTCTTGTACTTAGCAAGAAGTCCCGTCTGCTATAACACCCTGTACCCCACTAGAAAATATAAATCGGGGTGATCTGCATTGGGACTGAGTAGAGATCTTGTGTGTGGACAACATAATCCCCAACCTCAGGGCCCAGGCACACGCATTTGTCTGCTAGAAGGCAGAGTGCCCTCTAGTGTTGGTGATGTGGATAACTTGGCTGATTGATCAGGGTGGCAGCAGGAGGCTCAGCGGCCCAACATACACTTTATGAGGCTTGCTGTCTTACTTCCCTTCACTTTATGATGTGGGGATAGTTTGCACAATTTGTGGGAGCCAGGTGTTCTCCTTCCTTTGCACAGCAGGAGCCAAAAGAGAATTTCAGGGGAACTTCTAACAAAACCATTTTTACTTGTTTCTGGCTGCTGAGTTTTGAGTCTGATGAACCTTCCATCCCTTCATTTAAGCTACAAGGCTCAGGCTATATGATTGGCTACTCACTTGTTTGTTTGTTTTCTGATGATGATTACCTAATGCTTCTTTGGGATTGGAGTTCCTGATTGTTTGAGTTGAGTGCAGCCAGGTGGCCAAGTGCACTGGCTCTCCCTGATCAAGTCAGCTGCAACTCAGTAATCCTCTCTCCACCCCTCACTCCTACCACCACCTTTTGTAAATGTCCTAAGGAATGCTGAGGAGCATTTCCCAGGTACACGCACAGCAATATTGTCAAACGGCACGTTTGCAACCCAGAAAATAACTCTAAGATTTATTGGTATACTTTTACATATATTTATTGATTGAATAGGAAAAAGCATGTGAATTTGGAACCTATTTTTTCTTTATTCTTTAAAAAATGGGAAACATGTGCAGAACATGCAGGTTTGTTACACAGGTATACCTGTGCCATGGTGGCTTGCTGCACCTATTGACTCATCCTCTAAGTTCCTTTACCTCACCCCCACCCCCAACAGGCCCTGGTGTGTGTTGTTCCCCTCTCTGTATCCATGTGTTCTCAATCTTCAACTCCCACTTATGAGTGAGGACATGCAGTGTTTGGTTTTTTTGTTCCTGTGTTAGTTTGCTGAGGATAATGACTTCCAGCTTCATCCATGTCCCTGCAAAGGACATGATCTTATTCCTTTTTATGGCTGCATAGTATTGCACGTTGTATATGTGCCACATTTTCCTTTTCCAGTCTATCATTGATGGGCATTTGGGTTGGTTCTGTGTTTTTGCTATTGTAGATAGTGCTGCAATAAACAAACATGTGCATGTGCCTTTTTAGTAGAATGATTTATATTCCTTTGCGTATATACCCAGTAATAAGATTGCTGGGTCAAGTGGTATTTCTAGTTCTAGATC
Organism: Homo sapiens; assembly: GCF_000001405.40. NCBI lineage: Eukaryota > Metazoa > Chordata > Mammalia > Primates > Hominidae > Homo > Homo sapiens. The sequence continues at coordinate 7,537,701 of NC_000009.12, forward strand.
CTTGAGGAATCTCCATACTGTCTTCCACAATGGTTGAACTAATTTACTCTCCCACCAACAGTGTAAAAGTATTCAGAACTTATATTCAAATCCTGACTCAACCACTCGCTTCCAAAGAGACCTTAGATTAGTTTTAATTTTTCAGAGTGCAAGTTTCCTCATTGGCAAAAAGAGGATATGACAAATACTTACATTGTAGGGTTGCTAAGATAATGAGTGAGAATATATAAAGTGCCTATTACAAAGACTGATACATCCTAGACACTCAATACTTTGATGCTAGCGTAATTATTATTAGATTAAGGGAAGGCCAGAGGAGGGAGGGGGCAAAGGCAGGGTGTTTGGATAAAGAGTAGCAGGACATGAGGTTGGGGTTGAGTCAGGGATGTATTCTGAAGGGCCTCAGAGGTTCTGGAAGGTTTGGATTTTAATTAGTAGAGATCAGATCTACTTAAGTCAGATTAGATTAGAGATAATAGAAAAGAGGTTGGTGACTTAGAAAGAAAAATCTGCTGTGCAGGAGGAAAATAAAGAGATGGCTATTAATTGAAAGACAATGACTTGACCAGGCAGTGGAATTGGATATATACGGGCAGCAGAGAACAGGATTCAAGAATGGGGATGCTGAACCCAGCCACCTGGGTTTTCCCAGCTCTGTCATTTTTAAACTATGTGACCTTTAGCAAGTTACTTAACCCCTCAATATCTCCATTTCTTTCTCTCTAAAATGGAGACAGTTGTAGTACCTTCCTCACAGAGTTGCAAAGCTCTTAAGGCAGGACCTGGAATATGATGAGCATTTTTTAGACAAAAACATAATTCATAGTAGAAAATCAGTTTCACTTGACCACAGATTGAGAGTGAAGATGGAGGCAGGAAGAATGGAAGACAGATCTGAGGCCCCATCTTGAGAAACTTGAGTGTATGCTGGTGCCATCAGCTGACATAGAAACAAGAGAAGAAATGAACTTGAGAGCTTACATAATCAGTCTGGAGCCTGGAAGAAGGTCGGGACTGGAGATATAATTTGGGAATTGCATCTAATCTTGGAATATAATGGGGGTGAATGAGCTCATCCAATAAAATTAGGTAGTTAGACAAGAAGAGTGTTATAGAAATTTGGGATACATTCATATTCTTCAGATGGTTTGAGATCTATGATTTGAATAAGAAGGGAGCTGAATGACAAGAAGAGAACCAACAAGCATTGGGGTGGTAAAAAGCCCAAAGTAGAGACAATTATGTCTAAGAGGGTGGTCATCAGGGTCAAAGGCCAAATAATTCTATGAATTTAACATTAAACAATTTACCTCCCCATAGGCCATGTCTCTAATGTTCCTGGTAATGAGCTCTGCCTTTCTGTCCCATGAATTTCCAGCTGCTTACATTTTCAGTCATGTAATGAGACCCAGACACATGCACACATCAACCATGCAGCAGAAAAAGAATGACTCCCACACATCCCAGCGCACGTGCACTCAGACACACACAGGAAAGCCTGACCTGGAAAATGAATTAGTTGAGCCAAGAGGGAACTTTTTGTCCATAAGTTGAACGCTAATGGTTTTCTGTAAGTTAATGAAAATGGTGCTAATCAGCTCCCCCGCCCCGCTTTCCAGACCTCACTCTTCCCCACTAAACCACAGAGTCTCGTGAATGGCCTTGTTTCTGTATTTCGGCCCCATGATGCATATAAGTCATCACTGAGGCATAGGCTCCATTAATTTAGCTTGCAGGGTTATCACTTATATTCTTAAAACCCAGACGAATGGATTGCAGAGTTGGCTTTCCCTCACCCTTGACTCACTAATGATGGGGTGAGCAGAATCTTGGGAACCTCTGGAGGGAAGGATCAGTCCACAGTCACTGAGGCCATCTCTCTGTTTCTGGGAAGGACCATCTCAAATGCCCCAAATAGAGAAATAGTCTAGGTTTCCAGAGAACAAACAACGTTTGATTCCATTCAGAAATAAAAAGCTTTCATTAAGCACTCACTACGAACATGCTCCTGAGCAAGTAGCTGAGGATGCTACCAGGTAGGATCCCTGTCTTCCAACTCACAGTGAGTTGGGGAAAAGAAAACTGATAACAAGCAGCATTGGAGAGAAAGAAAAAAGTGCTTTGGGGGGTTTGAAGAGGTGGAACAAATACGAAGTAATTGCCTCTATTTTCAGAATGCTAATGATATGAAAAGATTGAACATGGGAAAGTGATTACTATTGACTCTATAACATATTTCAGAGTTGCTTTTATTTTGGGTGGAAAAAAGTGAAAGTTGCAATATACAATGAGAAATAATGGCAAAGAGACTTTTTATCAGAGCAATTAGAAGAGGTGAGTTTGGTCATTAATTAACTTAACACATACGTATTATATGTGTGTGGTGCAGCAGGAACTCTACTAGGTGTTGGGAAGCAGCTGGCCTTGTTGGGAATGCCAGGCACTTGTCCACATTTCCTGGAAGTCCTTCTGTTCTGCAAAGTGAATGTAGGGGTGGTGAGGGGGACTGTGGAGAAAGGGATACATCCAGCTCTCTGTTGTTATCCCATCCTTACAGAACGCTTCTGAACCTTGATGGAATGGTTATTTTGCTGATACGTCAAGCATTTTCCTCTTCTCACTTCCACCATTAGTGTTGAAAACCCAAAGGGTGGGAATAAATTGTCCATTCCACAAGCCATTTGTAGAGATGTTTAGTTAATAGACAGAAAATGCACAGTAGTTAAATGTTAATTAATTCCTTTTTTGAGAAGCATATTCATTTTATGCTATTTATGAGGGTTGTCTTGTAAACAGATTCCTATTACTTTGGTTCAACCATTGAATTTTCTTTAGTCACTGATCCTAAGTGTTCATTAATTCCACTAGCTCTAGAGACTAAATTCTCACTGAACATTACTGCAAAATGCAAGTCAAAAGCAAGGGCTGTGTCTGTTTCGTCCTCTAAAAAATGCCCCCTAAGGAAGGCGAAGTGCTTGAGGGAGCTCCAAAGACAGGATTTGATGAAGATAATGATGATAATGATAATGTTAGGGTAATGGAGATGGCAGTGATGGTGATGGCAGTATTGGATTTATTCCCTGTTTGGATGCTGAATGAAGATGAGAACTGTGGTGTAACTTGTCTTTCCAGGTGTATTGAAGGCATTTTGCGTTTTTTAACAGGTGCACAAAAATATGTTCACTGGGGAGAGAGTTTGCTAGACATTCTAGCTTGGAAGGGCAGCTGAGGAATGAATGGACCAGACAGATTTATCCATCTGCCAGGAAAATGAAGTAAACCTGCAGCCAGTGCAGGGAAAGAATTTGAAGGTAACCTGGCTTGACTACAAATCCAAGGCCAGTTACGTGATTTTGGGTGATCATGTAAATTCTGTCTCCATCTCCTCATTTGTAAATGGGATATAATTTCCTACCTTTCAGGGCTGATTGTGAAGATTTAGCTGAGTTATGGGGTAGAGCTTCCACATAGCTTCTAATGCATAAATTAGTCTCAAAAAATATTGTTATCCTCCTCACCTTCCCCATGATCATCAGTTTGCTTACCTAGAAAATGGGATAATCATATGTGTATCACATGTGATAATGTATGCAAGAGCACTTTGTAAAACAGAATCTTATAATCTTGCAAGTATTAAGTATACCCTGGTAAAACATGGGCTATTAGGAGTAAGCAGAGTCTTTCAAAAGTCCTTAGAAATCTTTGGAGTTTTTCAAGTTTCTCCAACTTTGAATACAGATTCAATGTCAACGTCATCCTCCAGTGGAGAGCTATAGTCATTCTTTTGAATGGTGGGTCATGGGGAGGCTGGAAGGTGGAAGCAGAAGGTGAGATATTGAAATTGCCCCTTTGGAACTTGGTTCTGCCATCCTAGCTATGGAGGAAATGCCGATCCATCTGTAGCCAGTTGGGGAGAAAGAGCAAGAGACGGAAGCACTGCAGAAGAGCTGCCAGGAATTCATGAGGCTTTGCAAAGTTCATCTGTTTGATGATTGCCACAAATGGCAAAGAGAGCTGGGCCTCAGCTACAGAGAGGGAGGCTGACGGGGGATTGTCATTGCTAAGCCCTGGAATGTCTTTTGAGAATGGTTCTGAACTGGTCACTTCTCTTAATGGCTCAAGCGGGCCAACTGTGCAATGCCCACAGCTTCTACCAGCTCCTGCCAGCACCTACGCTGCCTGCCCATTTGTCCCTTAGCTAGAGCTGCATCATGGCAGCTCCCTCTGCAACCAGCAGACAGAAGGAGAGAGGTGAGGCCCTTCAGTGTGGCTTCAGGATGATCTGTCTACATTTGGTTTCCCCCTCAACCTGATCAGCATGCTAATAACTCCCTTCCTTCCTGCCAAAACTTTTTATTGAAAAATTAAACCATCTTGTCTTTATTTTAGATTGTAAACAGGCAAATTAATTTTATTGGTTAAACCACTCTGGAGGAAGAAGGGGGCTTTTTACCTTCCATGCCATGACATCATCTCATCTGTCACCTTTTAAAAGCCCTGTGTTTGAAATCAACCCTCTTGGCAGCCTCTGCACTGGGCGGTAGCAGCATTACAAAGAGAAGGGGGAAAAGGCCATAAAATGAACTGACTGTTGGAAATTTAGTGATATGGCTACAAAGAATCAGGCAGGAGAGCCAGACCTGTAACAGCTGCTCCAGTCTTAAGAGTCTCAGCTCTGGAGGCAGCCAGCTCCCAACACATCATACACTATGGCAGATGCCGACTGCAGCAGGAGCATTAGTGGTTATTAGAATGGGGATAAGGTTTGAAATTGTGTTTGGGCCAGTGTGTGAAGGAATGACTGTTCTCTTCCATTCAACCACTAGGGAAGTTAGAAACATCTAATCTAGGAAGGGGTGAGTTTCTTTCCTTAACTCTGCAAATGGTCTCTTCTCTCATATGATTCTCAGGTCCTTGGGCCTTGAAAAGTTTAATCAGCACACTTCTCTCCCTAGTATCTACTTCTACCATAGTCGAGGCTACCCTGTTTTCATTGCTAGGCTCCTATAGTCTTCTGATTGTCATGCTGTCTCGGGTCGAGATTCCTGAGAAAAAAACCATTGAGATGGAGATTTGTATGCAGAAAGATTACTGAGGACTGCTTCAGGAGTCACTAATGATGAGGAGTGAGGGTAGCAGGATCGGGCAGGAGGAGAACTGAAACTGTGATGCAGTTGCCATGAGACCTCAGCTGATCCCACAGGGAGCTCTGGAGCTCAGATAGCCCTTTAGAGCCACCTCAAATAAAGCCTTTGTAGCAATGCTGATTAGTCATCTGATGCCAGCTGTCTCCAGGGAGGGACATAGCCTCCCTGTGGCAGCTTCCTTACGCCAAGGGCTAGTCTCAAAAAGGGATTTAACTGTGAGTTGTCAGCAACCAACAGTTCTGTAGCTGGGGAGATGTGCCTCAGTCCTGAAGTGGGGACCTGGGATACACATCACGGTGTCTACTATCTACGCATCACGGTATCTACAAATGTGGACTGCTCCCCATTTGCTCTTGTGCCCTCACTGTCTGTTCTCTCTCCTGTATTCTGAATTATCTTTCCAAAATGCAGTTGAATATGCTTTCCTTCTGCTGATAAAGTCATCAATGATTTCTTATTGCCTCAAGGTAAAGATCCAAATCTTAAGAGCTTTGCAAGAACTGAATCAGTATGACTCTGCCTGGATTTCAGCCTCTTCTATCTCTATCTCTCTTAGTGTGTCTCTACACTTAGGCAAGGGCTACTGTGCATGCAGTTCTCACTCTCTGCCATGCCTTTCTCCCCCTCTCTCCCATGGTAGAGGTTTTCTTTTTCTTTTTCTTTTTGTCATCCAGTGTTCCACTCCTCTTCCTGGTTTTGGGAAATCCTATTATGTGACTCAAAAGGAGGGAAGCCTATCTCTTGGGCACCTGACCTAGGTTTGTACAGCTGGGAGTTTCCACTCCAGGCTTTGTATCTTGACTTAGTGACAAAAAGCCAAAGGGACAATGGGACTTAATTACTGACCTCAGCAGCCACATCATGGAGCAGGAGTGGCTATGTGCTTGGGAGCAAGTCCAGGAGAGTTTCTGCTGCCAGCTTCTCTTGATTCCTGACATTTTCTGAGTTTATTCCTCCCTCCGGTCTTCCTGTAATTTGGTGCATCACCCAGTATCTTCCTTATTCATTCCTATTTTGGTACACTTTTGCTTTATTATTCATATTTTTGACATCAACTCATGAATAACTTACTTAGGGAAGCTTTCAATGGTGCCCCTATCCAGTGTAGGTCAATTTCCCTCTCATATCACCAAGTTCTCTTCCTCCTGAACACTTATGTATCAGTTTGTAATCAAACATTAATGGAAGTGATTATTTGATTAATGTCTATCTTTCCAATTAAATTTTGAATCTTCTGAGAGCAAGACTGTGTTTATTTTTGTTCACCTTTTTTTCCACCTGTCTAGCACAGGGTCTAAAACTAATATCCAAGCACACATTTTGATTAAATAAAAGAATAATGACAGTCAATAGGAATTGGCTGGCTATAATTTTTTTAAAATGAGGAAGATATGAATATTGAGGAGAAAAGATGTATTATTTTCCTGGAGGACTGAGAAAGCACCATCTTTGTTAGGCACTGTCTTCATGCACTTGTCAATAATTTTCTGTGTTTCTTCTCTTTCTCCCTTTTGTGACCTGTCCTAATGACATAATTGATTGCCTCTCTTACACTCTGATCCTTATCACATTTTAGAAGGGCTGAAAAATTCCAGCTTCACATTTTTTGGATCTGGGTTTTCCCACTCTTTAGACACAACTTTGCTTTGCTTTCCTTCTTACCCTTAATTGAACCCTTTAAAGAACTACTGATGAAATCAATAGGCAGCCTATGCGTGGAACCAGATTCTTTTACAGAGACTTCATTAGATTGCCCTGGAGAACTGCAGTGACAAAGATACTCCTTCAGTAGAAAGAGCATTAAATGAGAGTAGCTCCTGATTGTTCCTTTTTTTTTGGGTTTCTACCAAGCCTCCCATTTCCAACTTCTGGGCTCAAACTTATTGTCCTTTCCATTTGATCCTTGCTAGGAGTTTGGTTTTCAGATGGCCTTGGGAGGTCTGAGGCCAGAGATGGATAAATGCTATAATGATAGCTGTCCATTACCACACAGCCACCAGGATGTTTGTGGGGAGGATGAGCAGGGTTGAGTTTCACAATCTGGAGGCCACTTCAAATAGCATGACCCAGCTTTCTCCCACATCAGAGCACACGGGCTTCCAATGTGTTCTCTTTGCACAGAACTCCTTGTTATCTCTGGTCCATGGGTCCAGGGCCAACTTGGAAAAGGGATCCACTGACTTCCTCTGTCAACCTCCCCACCTCTTCCCAGGGCCAAGATACCAACACCCAGAGCTAGTCCTTATGGTGGCATCAGTGAACAGGGAGATTATCCATAGGGAAAGGTAGTTTTTGCTCAAGAAGACAGCTTTCTCTTATCAGAAACCACTGGTCAAAGAGAAGGGAACAGAGGGAGTATCCGACGGGCTCCAGAGCTGTGTTAGGCAGTTTTACACAGGTTGTTACTGGATTCTCACATTATCCTTGACAAATAGGTAGAATTATGACTACTTTATAGATTAAAATATTGAGGTTCAGAAAGGGCAAGTGACCAGGCCACAATCACACAACGTTAAAGTAGCAGAGCAATGATTAAAATTGAAGATTGATTCAAAGTCTGGGCTTTTCCCATCCTTCCAAGTTGTCATGCTGAAAGGGCACTATGGAACACAGAATTCCTGTGCCTGCTAAGAACTCAGCCTGGAGGAGACTTCTGCTTGCATGCAGTGCTAATCTCTCTTATCTATGGATGCTGCTTGGCATTGGTCTGCTGGCACTGCTGCACCCCATATGTCTTGGGATGTCTATATTCAGAACATTTTTCTGGGTATCCTATTTTTGATTGGCATGGTATCTAAAGCAGACAGGATGGTGTTGTGAAAATTGAAGGGAGCTTGCTTAAGAGTTAGAAAGTCCAAGATTTAGATTCCAGTTCTGTCATTTACTAGTTGTGCGATTATGGGAAGTTGCTTTACTTCTCTAAGCTGCATCCTCAAAATGGAAATCCTATTACCTTTGTGGCAGAATTTACTTTGTAATAAAGTCACGCTTCCTTATTTTCTTTAAGTTAATTTATAATATATCAGATTCTAAGCTCCCTTTTACCTGGCGCATGAAAAAAGTTTTCCTCAGACATCATAAGGGCTTCCCCTGTTAGGGTTGCGTAAGACTTATGTGTGGAAGACATACATTTGTGGTATGTGCAAAATGGAGGATGGGATTGGAGGGTTGAGTAAGGATTCCTGTACCAGCTAGGTATTCATAAAACCACCAGTATGTTCTGTTCTGTGATAAATTGTGGCGGGGGCTGGGGGGAGAGGAGAAGAGAGAGAGAAAAACACAGAGTCAGTCCCTAAAGCTGAGGAGGCAGATAAAGTTACAATCAAGTGTGATGAATATTATTATAGGGGAAGCACATGGGGTAACTATACTAGTCTGGTGGGGAGGTGGTATCAAGAAAACTTCTTAGAGGAAATATCATTTCAGCCAAAAGCCTGATTACGTCAAAGCAAGGCAGCAGTGAGGAAGAGTGTTTCAGGCAGAGGGAACAGCATGTGCAAAAGACAAAGTATAGCCCTGTTTCAAGAACTGAAAGAGGTTCATTGAGACTGGCACAGACAGCCAGAGGGAGGGAGGCATGAGATGGAGTTGGGCAGTTGGGACCAAATAGTTTGTCTGGTGTGGTCTTGTTATCAAGGCTCACAGGCTTCCCTTGAAGGATTTACACAACAACCTTATCTAAAGGAAACATTTATAAAGCAGAAGGAAAAATGCCCCACATGAGATTAATTGTTATAATTCATGTATATATTTGTTTCTTTAAAATGTTTTTGAACACTTTGTGTCAGACACATTTCTGTAGGAATCATCTCATTTAAACATCACAGTGACTTAATGAAATAAGCACCATTATCATGCTTAATGTATAGAGCAGAAAGTTAAAGCTTAGTGAGGTCAAGTAACTTGCCCAAGATCATACTGTTCATAAATTATGAAACCCTAATTTAAATCTAGGTATTCTCATTCCAGAGCTCTCATTTTTACCTTCAAATTTTCAAATAGCTGATCACATAAGTTGCCTGTTAGCAGAAAGCAGGATCCTAGGAATGTATACAGAAGATAAACATGTTTTGATGGTGAGAGGAAGCTAGTTTTGGAGAGCTGTATTAGAGAAAAGTGAGTGCCTCTAAAAGGAGCAATTATGATACTGATATGTGTATGTGTGTGTGTGCACGCACATATATGTGCCAGGGTGAGGTGAGTGATATAGTAGGTTGAGATCCTCAACCAACATTTTTCAAACTGCTCTGCAAAGATTTCTAATCTCACATCTGTTAAGACATATTTTTATGAAAAAAAGAGGTCTGTAGTCAAGTAAGTCTAGAAGAATCTTGGAGAATAAGATTAAATTTCTTTACCGAAGAATTTCTCAGTTCGTTTAATATACTATGTAATATATGACACTTTAAGAGGGGATTAGCATTTTTCAAAGGTAATTAATACCAGCACCTATTATTATTTGCACATTTATTAAGTAATAATGCCATGGATAACACAGGTTGAGCATACTGTTCTAAACAATCTTTGTAAATTTTATGATTTCACATTAGTGAAATTGATTATAGTAGTTAGTACAGATGACCTTACATATCTTTGGGTTCCATATCCACAGATTCAACTAACAATGGATTGAAAATATAAAACAATATATATATTACATATATATATACATAAATATATATAACAATAAATATAGTATTACAACAATTTACATAGTATTTACATTGTATTAGGTATTATAAGTAATCTTGAGATGGTTTAAAGTATACAGGAGGATGTGCATAGGTTATATGCAAATACTGTACGATTTAAATCAGAGACTTGAACATCTACAGATTTTGCTATGAGGGCAGTGTGTCCTGGAACAAATCCCCTGCAGATACAGAGGGATGACCGTATAATTCTGTGAATAACTTTTGATAAACATCTTCTAGAGGGATATTTTCTTTGAGACACAGGGATATTTTTGTTGACTTGTTCATTTTAATAGGAAAGGATCTTTATTACTGCTTTAGGGCAATATTTGTGCCCTTATGCCAATCTGAGCCTAAGGGAAAAGCACTTGCTTCTCCAGATACATTTGAACGGTTGTAGATTAATCAGACCGTCACTATTTTATTACAATGTATTTGCAGAGGTGAATGAATTTGACACAGGAAGGCTCCAAATTAGACTTTAAATCCAGGATCCAGAACCTCTTGTCCCACAACATAAAGTCTTTTGTGTCAGAAAGGCTTATCCAGGTTGTAAAGTTGAACAGAATGAGGAGTGGAGTGAAAATCTGGCTTTTCGAATTAGCAACAGCACAGAATGGAAATACAAACAGAACAAGAGGGGAAGGAGAATTTACTGAATTGTAATTTCCTTTTAAAATGTGTTCGGAGGGGCCTTCACTTTTACCACAATGTTCATCCATTAAGCTTTCTCTTTTTAGCAGTAAGCATTGATTTGTGAAAAGAATGGCTCCTGCTGGAAGATGAGAAATTCGTTTAAAAAAGAAAACTCTATGTCTTCTAGTTTATGGTTTCTTTTTTAAAAAAATCAAAAAGAAGAAATTGCCAACTTAATTTTGCGTGTTTTCACTGGGATTTGTTTTTCAAATTCTTGGACTGTTTCCATTGATAGAAACAATTTCGATGCATATGGTTTGGCAGGGAAATAAGATTTTTTTGATCCCCAATAATTGTTTTCTTTAATGTTTCAAATTCAAAAACAAAACAAAACAAAAATTCCAAAAGATAAAAACTTGCTAAAGTTTGAATGTTTAACTCTTCTAAATTCATCCTTAAGAATCATGCCAATGATACGGAAACAACCTTCATATGATTTTCAAATGGATCAGAAGGAAGAACCTTCACCAAGTGGAGTAGAGTGCACCTGGTTCCATTTTTTGAGATAGGGGCACAGGTACATCTGTAGATACTTGTTCCCAGTGACTCAGGGTGGCTGTGGTAGGAAGGAGGAAATGCCTTAAAAGACACATAGTTCTTGTAAAATACAGGTAAAGAGAGCTACTCAGTCCACCTTGCCTCAATCAAACAGTAATCTTGTGACATAAGTGTTTCCATAATCTCCATTTTATAGGTGAGAAAACAGAGGCTCAGAGAGTTAAACTGACTTGTCCAAGTTCACAGATTGGGCAATAGAACTAACACTTAAATCGAACTGTATTAGGGTTCTCCAGAGAAACAGGACCAATAGAAAGTATATGTATAGAAAGAGATTTAGTACAAGAAATTGGCGAGGTGGCTGGCACGATCCATGGAGAGGAAGGAAGAGCAGTGTGGTGTGACAGCCCACCTGAGAGCCACACAGGGCAGGGAAGCCCCCACTCCCCAGCCAAGGGAGGCGGTGAGTGAATGTGCTACCCAGCCTGGGAAACGGTGCTTTTTCCATGGAACTGTGCAACCCATGAATCAGAAGATCCCACTCACGAACCCACATCACCAGGGCCTAGGGTTTCAACCCTGGAGCTGAGCAGATTCTCAACAGCCTCTCAGCTTCCTGCTTAAGCCTGCTGAGCTCCTGGGGGGAGGGGTGACCAGCACCACAGCTGTGGCTGCCTGCTGTCTAAGCCTTTTGAGCTCCTTGAGGGAGGGACAGCAGCCAGCTCTGGGACTCTTAACTGCCTAACACAGCTCCCTGGCTGGGGGAAGGGTGGCATCCATCTCCATAGCTCCAGGCTGTGCTTTTCCCCTGCTGGAGCCAGGGAGGCTGGACGTCTTGGCCCCTAGAGGTGTCCCCCACCATTCAAACACACGGGCTGTGGCAGACTGCAGGCAGAACATCTCTTCAGGCCTGACCCTGATCCATCCTTTCTCACTGGGTGGGGTTTCCCTGCAGGAACTCCAACAACTTCAGCCAGAGACTCAGGGACCCAACCCAGATCTTCCTGAGCCTGAGCCCCTAGTGAGAGGGGTGGCCGCAGTCTCTGCGGACCAGCAGACTTACCCTTTCTTCCTGGTAGTTCTGAGGAATCCAGGCAGCCCAGATGAGTGGGTTTCCCCCCAGCAAAGCACACCCCCTCCACCAAGGTGTCATCAAAGTGCTTTGTTAAATGGGTCCTCTTTTCTGTGCCACCCAACTGGGTGAGACCCTCCAACGGGGGTTGTGAGACACCCTATACAGGAGCGATCCTACTGGCATCAGTTTGGTGCCCCTCAAATTCAGAGATCCCAAAAGAAGAAGCAGGCACCCATCTTTCTTGTTCTCCAGCCTCCTGAAGTGACATCTCCAGGCACAGGAGGGAACCCCCTGCAAACCATGGCAGCCTTACAGAAGAGGGACCTGACGCATTGAAAGAAAAACAAAGTGACAACAATAGCATCAACAATAAAAAAAGTCCCCACAAAACTCCATCCAAGGGTCAGCAGCTTCAATGATTGAAATGAGACAAACTCAAGATGAGAACGAGTCAATGAAAAAACGCTGAAAACCCAAAAGGCCAGAGTGCCTCTTCCCCTCCAAATGATTGCAAAGCCTCTCCAGCAAGGACACAGAACTGGATGGAGGATGAGATGAATGAATTGACAGAAGTAGGCTTCAGAAGGTGGGTAATAAAATACTCTCCTGAGCTAAAGGAGCATGTTCTAACCCAATGCAAAGAACCTAAGACCTTGATAAAGGTTAGAGGAGCTGCTAACTAGAATAACCAGTTTGGAGAGGAACATAAATGACCTGATGGAGCTGAAAAACACAGCACGAGAACTTTGTGAAGTATACACAAGTATCAATAGCCAAATCCACCAAGCAGAAGAAAGGATATCAGAGTTTGAAGACTACCTTGCTGAATTAAGGCATGCAGACAAGATTAGAGGAAAAAGAATAAAAGAAATGAACAAAGCCTCCAAGAAATACGGGACTTCATAAAAAGACCGAACCTGTAATTGACTGGAGTACCTGAAGGAGATGAGGAGAATGAAAAGAAGCTGGAAAACGCACTTCAGGAGAACTTCCTCAACCTAGCAAGACAGGCCAACATTCAAATTCGGGAAATACAGAAAACACTGCTAAGATACTTCACGAGAGGATCAACCACAAGACACATAATCATCAGATTCTCCAAGGTCGAAATGAAGGAAAAAATGTTAAGGGCAGTCAGAAAGAAAGGCCAAGTCACCTACAATGGGAAGCCCATCAGACGAACAGTGGACCTCTCAGCAGAAAGCGAAAAACAAAAACAAAAACAAAACAAAACAAAAAAAACAGGGTTGCAATCCTAGTCTCTGACAAAATGGAATTTAAATGAACAAAGATCAAAAAAGACAAAGAAGGGCTTACGTAATGGTAAAGGGATCAATTCAACAAGAACTAACTATCCTAAATGTATACGCACCCAGTATAGGAGCACGCGGATTCATAAAACAAGTTCTTAGAGACATACACAGAGACTTAGACTCCCACACAGTAATAGTGGGAGACTTTAACACCCCAATGTCAATATTAGATCAATGAGACAAAAAATTAACAAGGATATTCAGGACTTGAACTCAGCTTTGGATCAGGTAGACTTGGTAGACAGCTACAGAACTCTCTACCCCAAATCACCAAAATATACATTCTTCTCAGTGCCACATGGCACTTATTCTAAAATCGACCACATAATTGGATTTAAAACACTCCTCAGCAGATGCAAAAAACTGAAATCATGACAGTCTCTCAGACCACAGTGCAATCAAATTAGAACTCAGGATTAAGAAACTAACTCAAACCACACAATTACATGGAAATTGAACAACTTGCTCCTGAATGATTCCATGGTAAATAATGAAATTAAGGCAGAAATCAGTAAGTTATTTGAAACCAATGAGAACAAAGAGACAATGTACCAGAATCTCTGGGACAGAGCTAAAGCAGTGTTAAGAGGGAAATTTACAGCACTAAAATACCCACATCAGAAACTAGAGAGATCTTAAACTGACACCCTAACATCACAATTAAAAGAGCTAGAAAGGCAAGAGCAAACTAATGCAAAAGCTGGCAGAAGATTAGAAATAACTCAGATAAGAACAGAATTGAAGGAGATAGAGACACAAAAAACTCTCCAAAAAAATCAATGAATCCAAGAGCCAGTTTATTGAAAAAAATTAACGAAACGGACCACCAGCTAGACTAATAAAAGAATCAAATAGAAACAATAAAAAATGATAAAGGGGATATCACAACTGACCCCACAGAAATACAAACTATCATCAGAGAACACTATAAATACTTCTATGCAAATAAACTAGAAAATCTAGAAGAAATGAATAAATTCCTGGACGCACACACCCTCCCAAGACTAAATCAGGAAGAAGTCGAATCCCTGAAGAGACCAACAACAAGTTCTGAAATTGAGGCAGTAATTAATAGCCTACCAACCAAAAAAAGCCCAGGACCAGACAGATTCACAGCCAAATTCTACCAGAAATACAAAGAGGAGCTAGTACCATTCCTCCTGAAACTATTCAAAACAATTGAAAATGAGGGACTCCTTTCTAACTCATTTTATGAAACCATCATCATCCTGATACCAAAAATGGGCACAGACAAAAAAAAAAATTTTGGGGCCAATATCCCTGATGGACATTGATGTGAAAATCCTCAATAAAATACTGGCAAACCAAATCCAGCAGCACATCGAAAAACTTATCTCCCATGATCAAGTCAGCTTCATTCCTGGATGCAAGGCTGGTTCAACATAGCAAATCAGTAAACGTAATACATCATATAAACAGAACCGAAGACAAAAACCACATGATTATCTCAATAGATGCCGTAAAGGCCTTTGATAAAATTCAAAATCTTTTCATGTTAAAAACTCTCAGTAAACTAGGTATTGATGGAACATATCTCAAAATAACAAGAGCTATTTATGACAAACCCACAATGGGCAAAAGCTGGAAGCATTCCCTTTGAAAACCAGTACAAGACAAGGATGCCCTCTTTCACCACTCCTATTCAACATAGTGGTTCAACCTGGAGGTTCTGGCCAGGACAATTAGGCAAGAGAAAGAAAAAAAGGTATTCAAATGGGAAGAGAGGAAGTCAAATTATCTCTATTTGCAGATGACATGACTTTGTATTTAGAAAACCCCAACATCTCAGCCCCAAAACTTCTTAAGCTGATAAGCAACTTCAGCAAAGTTTCAGGATACAGAATCAATGTGCAAAAATCACAAGCATTCCTTTACACGGACAACAGACAAGCAGAGAGCCAAATCATGAATAAACTCCCATTCACAATTGCTACAAAGAATAAAATACCTAGGAATACAGTTATCAAGGGAAGTGGAGGACCTCTTCAAGAAGGACTACAAACCACTGCTCAAGGAAATAAGATAGAACACAAACAAATGGAAAAAAATTGCATCCTCATGGATAGGAAGAATCAATATCGTGAAAATGGCCATATTGCCCAAAATAGTGTAAAGATTCGCTGCTACTCCCATCAAACTACCACTGACATTCTTCACAGAATTAGCAAAAACTACTTTAAATTTCATATGGAATCACAGAAGACACTGTATAGCCAAGACAATTTTAAGCAAAAGACAAAACAAACAAAAAACAAAGCTGGGGGCATCACTCTCTCTGACTTCAAACTATGCTACAAGGCTACAGCAAGCAAAGCAGCATGCCCAGCATGATACTGGTACCAAAAAAGACATATAGACCAATGGAACAGGACAGAGACCTCAGAAACAACGCCACACATCTACAACCATCTGATCTTCAGCAAACCTGACAACAATGAGCAATGGGGAAAGGATCTCCTATTTAATAAATGGTGCTGGGAAAACTGGCTAGCCATATGCACAAAACTGAAATTGGACCCCTTCCTTATACCTTATACAAATATTATTAACTCAAGATGGATTAAAGACTTAAATGTAAAACCCCAAACCATAAAAACCCTAGAAGAAAACCTAGACAATACAATTCAGGACATAGGCATGGGCAAAGATTTCATGACAAAACCACCAAAAGCAATTGCAACAAACGCAAAAGTTGATAAATGGGATCTAACTAAACTAAAGAGCTTCTGTACAGCAAAAGATACTATCATTAGAATGAACAGGCAACCTACAGAATGAGAAAATTTTGCAATCTACCCATCTGACAAAGGTCTAATATCCAGAGTCTACAAGGGACTTAAATTTACAAGAGAAAAACAACCCGGCCAAAAAACGTGAAAAAAAGCTCAATATAATGGATTATTAGAGAAATGCAGAGAAAAACCACAATAAGATACCATGTCACGCCAGTCAGAATGGCAATTTTTAAAAAGTCAAGAAACTAATAGATGTTGGCAAGGCTGTGGAGAAATAGGAACGCTTTTACCCCATTGGTGGGAATGTAAACTAGTTCAACGATTGTGAAAAACAGTATGGCGATTCCTCAAAGATCTAGAACCAGAAATACCATTTGACCCAGCAATTCCATTACTGGGTACATACCCAAAGGAATATAAATCTTTATAAAGACACATGCACATGTATGTCTATGGCAGCACTATTTACAATAGCAAAGACATGGAACCAATCCAAATGCCCATTAATGATAGACTGGATAAAGAAAATGTGGTACATATACACCGTGAAATACTATGCAGCCATAAAAAGGAATGAGATCATGTTTTTTGCAGGGACATGGATGAAGCTGGAAGCCATCGTCCTCAGCAAAGTAACACAGGAACAGAAAATCAAACACTGAATGTTCTCACTCATAAGTGGGATATGAACAATGAGAACATATGGACACAGGGAGGGGAACAACACACACCCAGGCATGTTAGAGGGTGGAGGGACAAGGGGAAAGAACTTAGAGGATGGGTTAATAGGTGCAGCAAACCACAAAGGTACACGTATGCCTTTGTAAAAAATCTACATGTTCTGCACATGTATCCCGGAACTTAAAAACAAAAAACAAACAAAAAAGAAATTGGGTCACATTGTTGTAGAGACTGACAAGGGTCAGGATTTGCAATTGGCAAGCTGAAGACCCAGGAGGGCCAATGTTTAGTTCTTGTCTGAATCCAAAGGCCTAAGAACCAGGAGAGCTGATGATGTAAGTTCCAGCAGGCTTGAGATCCAGGAAAAGCCCATGTTTTAGTCCAAGTTCTAAAGTCCAGAAAAAACCAATGTCCTAGCACAATAGCCAGGCAGTGGGAATTTCCTCTGACAAAACCGTTTTGTTCTCTTTTGGTCTTTAGTTGATTGGATGAGGCCCATTCACATTAGAAAGAGCAATCTGCTTTATTGAGTCTACTGATTCATAAGGTAATCTCATTCAGAAACATCCTGACAGACAAACCCACAATTCTGTTTGGCTAAATATCTGGGTATCCTACGGCTCAGCTAAGTTGATACATAAAATTAACCACCACACAGGTCTTCTGAGTCTAAATTCCAGGTTCTGTTGGTTTAATTACAATATTAAATCCCCTTTCTGAATCCATTTTTGAAGCTGCTCTTGTCCATGCTCTTGTTATGTACATATTTCTTCAACAGTTTTACCTATCGTAGTTCATGATGTTTGTATGCATGACTCTGTCGATCAAGTCTTTCTCTTCACAAAGTTTTATGTTCATATTGATCCTTTACAGATAAATAAAACTAAAGGGCTTGCTTCCCCTGGCCACCCCCCACCCCCGCCCCCCGCCCCGAGTCTTGCTCTGTCACCTAGGCTGGAGTGCAGTGGCGCAATTTCGGCTCACTGCAACCTCCACCTCCCAGGTTCAAGTGATTCTCTTGCCACAGCCTCCTGAGTAGCTGGGATTACAGTTGCACATCACCACGCCTGGCTAATTTTTTTTTGTATTTTTAGTAGAGATGGGGTTTCACCATATTGACCAGGCTGGTCTTGAACTCCTGACCTTGGGTGATCCACCCGCCTTGGCCTCCCAAAGTACTGGGATTACAGGCTTGAGCCACAGAGCCCGGCCAGACTTAAGGACTTTTTGTTTGGTTGTTTTGGTCTTTTTTTACCCGCCGCCCCTCAATGGGACACTTGGCCATGTTTGCAAAACATTTTTGGCTGTAAAAACTGAAGTGGGAGGGTACTTCTGGCATGTAGTGGGAAGAGGGTAAGGATGTGGCTAAACATCTTGCAATGCATAGAATTGCTTCCCACAGCAAAGAATTAGATAACCTCCAATGTCAATTATGTCAAGGTTCAGAAACTCTGCTCTAGTGTAAGTGTCCTTAGGGTTCACTGTGGCTTTTGGGACATCTGTACATACCATGAAAACATATGCAAACTTATATATATTTAGCATGTACTTTTTTTTTTTCTGTGGAGAGTCATGGCTTTCTTCAGATTATGACAGCTTCATGCCTTCCACGGTAGGTGTGGTATCTTGATACCTAATATCAAGCTTCTTCTCTTGTCCCTTCCTGCACTGTAGAAACTTGATGGTTAGAAACTATCTGTATAGTTATTGTAATGGATATAAATTTAGTTCTCCCAAGTATATGCTTTAGGTTTATAAAGCTGAAGTGAGGCACGGACCATATTTCTGCTGTTTTGGTTGTTTTCTGCCGGTATAACATTGGATTTTCAATATTACCTTTCCAGGGACCACTCAAGAGCATCATGGGTGGTAAGAGGCAGTATGGTGGCAGTGGCAATGAAGGCCTTGGTATTGTAATATTAGATCACCATTGCAAGAGTATGTTCATGAAGACCACAGTTCCAGAAGCAGCCTTCTTATTCCCTACCTTCCTGTTAGAGGTGGGGATAACAGCTCCCTTGATGAATCATTGAATAGTTTTCTAGGAGTCATTTCTGGAGGCTCAGCCTAGAACCTGTTCCTCCAAACTCTCTAAAATTTTGAAAGGACCTAGTTCCCCATATTGAATCTCATTCACTTAAAATACTAAATCAGGTGTCTGTTTCTCATAACTGGATCTTGCCGATGCACTTCTGAAAAGTTGAGAATTGCTAATTTGCTGGACTGCTGGCCTAATGGGGTTGCTGATTCTTTTTTCATCTATCTAGATGGCAAGTTTTCCTGGCTTTCTAAGTCAGAGAGCTGTTCAGAAATGTTTGACCTGGAATATTACAGTAAGCTTGTCATTGTAGAGAATTAGAAAACACCCAGTGCAAAACAGACATTACTTATATAGAACTGTTTACTGGATATGCAAGAAATATTAAAAGGTTAACAGTGAAAAGGGCCTTAGAGACTGTCTAGTCAATTTGTTTTGCAACAGTAGAAATTCATGGAACATTTCGGGTTATCACAATCACTGGGGAGTGCTAGTGGCATTTAGTGTCCAGAGGACATGGGTACTAAATACCCTGCCATGTGCTGGACAGACTTACATCATAAACAACTGTTCCTTGCCTGCCAATGTCCATAGCACTCACATTGAAAAATGTCAGCCCAATCTCCTAATCTCCTTGTTTTCCCAAAGAAGCAAGTTGAGCACAGAACAATGAAACAATTTCCCTAAGGTCATAAAACGCGTAGAGCTAAGACCGAAACCCAAATTCTCTGACTCCCAGGGCAGAGGTTTGCACTCACCACAGTAGGAGAGGCTGTCCGATGTCACCAAGTCACCTAGGGAGATAAGAGATAAGCCCAGAAATCAAATTAAGAAGAGTTGCTGGGAGCAGGTTGGATAGTCAGTCAATGTGTGGACTATTTTGTTGTTTTGTACATGGGTAGAGTCAGTTTTGATAGCTCAGTGCCTATGCCATACGAATTATTAAATATTTTATATATTACCTTGAATTAGATAATCTTGTTGAGAAAAGTAAACAGAGAGACACTGGCTTGGCATTTGACTTTGTTTCCAACATAGTTACTCCATCTTGAGATGTTTATTCCTCAATGCACACAGGATATTTTAAATTATTCCTCCTCACTGTGTTTAAATTGCCAAACAGCAATCCGCTAGCTACCACATCCCAAAAGGAGACCTCACTTCCAGACTTTTGTAACTCTGCTATGATATGTTCCTTTCTGAGGTGTTAATAGATTAAACTGGAAAGTTTTGCAAATGTTTCTGAGGCTCTTGAACTGTCCCCATTCTCCTGGTGCAGAACTAATTGTGCAAGGATCAGTGATTAGTTCTTACTTTGGAAAAGAATATTTCTTGGCTGAGCAGAAAGCAGACTTAATGAGTAAGTTGCTTCTTTCCAGTGTAACATTCAGTCATAATCACCTTTCTCTAATAATTACATTTCTGACTTTTTTTTGAATTTCATTCTAATCTTGCTATTTACTCATATGAGAAAGAATTAGGATGGAAATTAGAACATATTAAATTAAATGTTGACTTGCCCATGTACCTATGGCCCATAGTCCTCTATACCTCCTGTAACAATGTACTGTTTCTTAGCAAGGACAATGTCTTACTACTATTGCAGCTGCACAAAGTAGGCATTCATTCACTTGTTCATACTGTTGACAAATATTTATTGAGCATTTATAATGTGTCAGACACTGTGAAGTACAAGGGATTTATCTAAGGTAATTTTTACAAGGATATATTCCCCAGCCAAAGTGTCAGTCTATTCAGGGGCATTGTAATTTTATTCCTGGTATTTAACAATGGCCCATTTGTCTTTATTCCACTCCCCATTTTGTACAATAGGTTCGAGGTAAAGCTGTTGATAATCACCTAGAACAGAGGAGTCTCTAAAGCGGTAAATAAAACCAGATGGTCCTAGCCTACAGGGAGCTTATATTCTGGTACTATAACAATGTATACTTTAGTATTAGAGGGGCTGGCAGAAAAGAAAATAAAGAGTTCAGCACAATGTCTGACTCAAGTGAGCACACAATAATTTATATTGATCTTAGTTATTAGGTGAGTTTTTGGCAGCTATTTTCCAGTTGACTGTCCATCTCATGCCAGTCTCCTTTTACTCCAGAACCCTGCCATTTTCACCCCCAGATTCCTGTACAAAATGGGAAATAGAATAAAGAAATCTAGGCCATTGTAAAATACCAAGAATAAACTGACAGACACCTTGGCTGGAAACGTTGCCTTAGATAAATTAGCTAAAATTTCTGTGTTTGTTTCTCCAATCAGGAAATGGAAATCATAACGCATGTCACCTCTTCCTCCTCCTGGAGCTGGGAGGATTAATGCGGGGGCTAGATTAAAGTTTATTATGCATGTAGGATGTAGACTTTCTCAGTGGATGACACACTATGATGATAGGCTGCTGTCCCCAACAATAACACCACAGAAGCCGAACAACAGATAAAATGATGCTGACTTTATGCTCTACTCGAAATTTGATAGGAGGGAAAGTGGGAAGAGTTCATGTACATTAAATGGAAAAAAGAAAATTAACTGAAAAAGACTGAGGACCACCCAAGAATTAGAATTAATAAGAAAAATAATGGGGTACATAGAAGGCACTTGAAAAGTAAAGGATAACGTAGGCAATTTTGTAGAGTATAGTGTAATCATGGCAGCAGAAATTTACTCTACAATGGGAGAGAGATGGCATTGTTTGAGAAAGTCAGGGCTGGGCCTGGACTAGCAACAACTTAATGAGTTGGGACATCAGTCAGTCTTTCTGGGTTTCATTTTTCTCATGTCAGTACTAACACCTGTCCTGGTCCACAGAAATTTTCTTGAAGACTTCTGAGAACAAAAAATAGGTAACAAACATGAAGAGCCTTAATACCAGCTGATTTGTGTCTCTCCTTCCAAAATTCATATATTAAAGTTCTAACCCCTAGTACTTCAGAATGTGACTTTATTTGACATGGAGTTTTTAAGGAGTAATTCTGCTTAAATGAGGTCATTATGGTGGATTCAATATGACTGGTGCCCTTATAAAAGAAAATTAGGATACAGACACACTCAGAGGGATGACCATGTGAAGACCCAAGGAAGAGGCCATCTACAAGCCAAGGGGATCGGCCTCAGAGGAACCACCCCAGCTGACACCTTGATCTTGGACTTGCAGCCTCCAGAATTGTGAGAAAATAAGCTGCTGTTATTTAAGTTGCCCAGCTTGGCACTTTGTTATGGTAGCCCTAGCAAACAAATTGCATTTGACAAGATAAAGGCACTATCCACTTCTTGTAGCTTTCCATGTAGCATTGAACACGTAGTAAATACTCAATAACTTGAACAGTTATCAATGACACATGGTAGCACTGTTATGCAAGCATAAATTCACCCATGTGGGATGACACAGAAGTAACACGACTGTGACTTTTAGGAGGTAGAATCTATTCTACTGAATAGAAGGTGAGTGAGAAAGATAAAATGAGGAGGACTAGCAAGTTGATGACTTGGGCAGCTGGGCAGGTGATGGTTCCATTTGCAGAGATGAGAAGCCTGTGGGTAGAGGAGCAGGACTTGGGGTAATGGTTCGTTCAGTTTTATTTATCCTGAATATAAGGTATGCTCCTCTTTTTAGACTGATGTTAGTACCTCTTTAAATCTATAATCATTTCAGGTTTTTCATTTACTAAAGCAAAACAATAGATCCAGTAGGACTCTTTTTCACGAGTGATCTTAGCCAGGTCCTGGCAAGTACATAGCCCCTGACTTGAGCGTACTGCAAAGTCAATGTTCTTACCCTCTAAAGACATTGTCTAAGAAAGTTGGGGAGGCAAATAGGCAGGAAGGGGAAACAAATATATAAAAAGAGAGTTGGGGACAAATAAATACACTTCCCTAAACGTGTTTAACTTCAAAGAGAAAGCAAGAGGCCACAGATGGCAAGGTTAATATATTTGTGAGTGGGGAGATGGTGATTTTTGCTAAAAATATATTTGGTGAGAGAAAGAAAAGATCCCTGCTTCTATCACTCTAGATTAATTCATAGCCTTTTTATGTCCTTTGGTGGAGTATTCCCATATAAATTGACAGACACCTATCCAAATGACTTCCCTTGGGGGATAAGTGTTTTCTGGGTCCTCGGTGCCCTTGTAGGAATGACAAACTAGAGGCATGTTTACCAAATACTCTTCAAATCACTGAAGCCTGTTCCAAGGGCTGTGGGAAGGAAATAGTTAAAGGCTGCTGCCAGGTCCTAGGGGTCCTTCTGGAGATCCCAGTTTTCAGCGAGGTGGAGTTGGCTGCCTTGTTAAGCAAGGAGCAGTCTTACCACTGCTTTCCTGTTTGTTTCTGGAAGTAACATTAAGGCTTGCAGTGCCAGTTAACAATTACTATTTAATCTGGTCTTCTAGCTAAAATATTTGTCAGTAGCAACTGAGAAGGATCAGCTGGTTTTGGAGAGACATTTCCACACCCCCTTCTGAGCCTAGAGAATGTGGATCAGGAGGTCATTAGCATGCAGAAGCCATGGGAGAATGCCTTTTATTGCAGACAGCATTTTATCACCCAGAATCGTTGGTGTATATACAAAGGGGCCTTTCAGAAATCTTCCCTGAACATAAGTCCTGGCCTACCCCAGCCTCTTTGCCCCTCCTTTGCCCCCAGCTGTTGTTTTTCGGATTATCGATTTTGCTGCTTGCTTGTGGTTGCTATTTCAAAAGCACCAAGACTGCTCTCTGTTTTGTTTTGTTTTTTGTTTTAAGCTGATGGTAACTTTTGAAGTCTATCAGTCTTTGGAGAACTTGGTGGCTCCACTGTGAGATAAAAAGAATGTATCAGAAAGAAAGCAAGATTTAAAAATATGTATTATCTTCTACTGGCTGTGTTTTCTGCTAAACAAAAGGCATCATATATGCTTCTCTGAGTTTTCAGGGTGGAGAAGGAATAGGGAAATAAAACTGAGAAAGGGCAGAAAAACCTGCACAGTTCCCCACCTGCCCCCTACCCCACTCCAGGAGAACATGCGCCTCCAACACACTCAGATACAGACACACACACGCTCATGTCCCTGCCAAGCCCATGAGAGAAAAGAGCCGCCTCAAGGTTGAGGGCTGAAGGAGCCTTGCCAGTGAGGACAGGAAGGTGTTTCCCAGGCTCTCCTGTTTTCTGTGTTTGAGCCATTAACGGTGTTAACCAAGTAAAGCAACCACCAGGCACAGCTGTTTTATTCCAAATACTTGCTGATCCACTCAATTTCTACAGAGCTTTGACAGTTGTTCTGGGCTCATAAAGGACATTGGAATAGATTGTTCTAATTCTGACTGGCACTGGAGTGTGGAATTCTGACCTCCCCGGAAACGACATTTTTCCAAGAGGAAAGATGGTAAATAGAATATTTCCCTCCTCTTCCCTCCCCTTTATGGCCCATGTTGGCTGGGCTGAATTGTTTGGAGACCTGTTTCATACTCTGTCTTCCTTTTAAAGAGGCTGCAACGTTACAACTCAATTACCATATGGCAATATTTAGAAATGATCTGAATAAATGAAAGCAAACAAACACATAAACACACATGCATGTGCACACACACACATACACACACACATACGTTCTAGCTAAAAAGCTAATCTGCTGAAAATGGAATTCTAAATTGATAGTTTCTGATTGCCATCCAGGACAAACATGAGGTCAGTAAACCATTATACATTTCTTGGTGCCATTGAAATCTGTCTTAATGGAATCAGGAATAAATATAAGATATGAAAGATATCATCTTTATTGAACACGCTGAGGGATTAGAATGCTTTATTTTGGGAAAAATGCATGGTCTTCCAAAGTTGTAAAAACTTAATTTCTTTCTGTAATGGCTCTTGATTTCCTCTTTTTCCTTTAGGACCGCAAAACCAAGAACTAGAATTTGCTTCTGCCTGCTGCTTCAGCATATCTGTTGACAGAGATTTTCCCCTTGTCCAAACTTCAGTTAGGCTCTTCTAAGCCTCATTCTCAACAAGCCTCAACGTGGGCTTCGGTCCTGCCTCACCCAGTGGTAGCAAGAATCCTGCTAAGTCAGTTTAGGGAGAATCTTGTGCACTTGATATATAGTCATGCTTAATATCTGGTCAAGTCCCTTATCTTCCACCATTGATTGGAAAAATCTTTGGGGGCTTTAGCAAGAATCCGGTTAGGTCAGTTTTGCAAGAACCCCCCATCCTTTGATGTCTCCTCATAGTTATTTCCCACCCAATGACATCCTCACTCTGCCTATAAATTCTCAGCTGCCTTTGCTGTATTGAGAATCGAGTTTAATCTCTCTCCCTATTGCAATACCCCTACTGAAATAGTCTTGAATAAAGCCTTACTTACCATTCAACAGTATCAGAATAATTATTTCTTTAATACTGGAAGGTCTGTGAGTCTTGGGAAGAAGCCCCTGGGAAACTGGGGAAAGGTCTGAGTAGCCTGCACTTCTCTCCCCTGACCCTGAGCATAAGGCTTATAGAGTCTATGTTGCCTCCTAGAATAGGTAGGCCAAGGTGGTCATTAGGGTGGCCACAAAATGCCTCTATTTCAGGCTTTGGATTGGGGAATATCGTGGTTATGGGGTGGAAGCATTTCTATTTTTTGTTTAAGCACTGATTTTGTAAATAGCTCAGGCAAACTGTAACCTCAAGATTAAAAGTATTGAAGTTTAAAAGGTGTTTTTCTACATACTGTTTGTACGTAGACATCCATATCATTTATGGAGATGCAACTTCTTCGCAAGTGAAATACTGGATTTTCTGAGCTTTTATTAAGAGGAGTAACAATGGTCTGTAGTTAGAAAGCAATTGAACCTTTGACCCAGAAATTACTCTAAGCATTACTGCAATGCAATCATTGAACTGGATCAAGGTGATATTCTTCATCCACAGTCTTCCCCACCAGCTCTCTGAATGGATCTTGTGTTATTTTATTTATTTATGTATTTTTTTGGTGAGGAGCAATGAAAGACATTATTTTGTCCCTTTCTAACAACTGTCACGTATATAAAATGTGGTGGGACTAACATATTCTCTATTTGCTTCATCTAAACAGGAGTGGGATTAGGACAAAGCAACAGAGGCACCTAGGGCACAACATTTAAGGAGATACTTACTCTTAGGGTCAGGCATGTCCCAGCGCTGCTCCTAAACAAAAGGATTTGGCCTTCAAGAAGCAACATAGAACATCTCTATTCCCAGCCTTGGACAAAGTAAAATCTTTATTGCTCTGCTATTTGATCCTTAGCAAAGCCCTGCTAAGAGACGTAATATTTTATGAAGGACCATTCAAAGGATCTGCTGTTCACCTACTGCTCTAGATACTATAGTTTCTATTCTTGGATCAAGTTGGGTATTCTCAGGACAATACACAGTTGAACAATTTTTACCTTAGCTGCTTTCAAAATTATATCTTAACTGAGTTTTCTTTTAATGGCGTTCACTTAGCTTCTATCAGAGAATGGTATTATTTTAAAAGCCACATCAAATTTGTAACTACATCTCTTGTAGCAATCTTGACAGAATATTTTTCTTTAGAATATTCATTGTTTCCTAAATTAATTCTTATAAGATTTAGCACTAGGAAAACTTTTACCTCCTTTGAGAAATAGGGATGAATCCCCATTTTCTGATAATTAATTTTATGTACTTGTCTACATCCTCTTTTTACTTTGGAGTTCGAAATGCCGACTGCCAGATTCAAATTTAATGCATATGTCTAACATCTTTGTTAATGCCACTTGATGGGACTTCTAGTCTTCTTTACCTTGGAATTGATTTTCTACTTTTATTCTTATCTTTTTTAGCCACAGTTGGATTTAGCCATAGTCTACTTTACATTTTAAAGTAGGAGTACTGCACATTTATTGAATGCTTACCATGAGCCAGGTGGATTCTAAGCACTTACTGGGGATTATTCCATTCAACCTTTATAACAACGCTGACAGTTTCTTATCTGTCTTTTACAGATGGGGAAACTGAGGCATGGAGTAGTTAAATAATTTGTCCAAGATTATGCAACGAAAAAGAGCCACCGTTTGAATCGAGACAGTTTTACTTGTAATACTCAATATTTTTAGCCAATATCTATGTGACCTATGTTTGAATGCATTTATATAACCGTTGTTTTTTCTGTCTTTGTAGAAAAAAACTATCTCTTTAAGGAGAGAGAGAAATCTATGTATGTATGTATTGTGGTTTTTCTTCTGGCCCCAGTGTGTATTTAAAAATACAAGGGCTACTGAACTCCTTAGTGCCTCTGTGCTATAGGCTTTTTCAATTAACTTTTTATTTTGAACAAATTCAAGATTATGAAGAGTTGCAAGAATAATGCAATGAACCCCTGGATACTTTCCACCCAGAATCATCAATTGTTTACAGTTTTACTATGTTTCCTTCATCACATTCATTTATATTTATTCCATTATTATTCTTTTATTACTGTTTTCTAACTATTTGAAAGTAAGTTATAGACATCATGACCTTTCACTTGTGAATGAGTCAACATGTATCTCTGAAGAACATAAACATTATTTTCCATGATATAGTTGTCAAATTCTTTGAATTTGACACTGATACGGTGCTATAATCTAATATACATTCTACATTCAAATTGCACCAATTGTTCCAAATATCCTTTATAGTAATCTTCTCTTTATTCCTTCCCTCCTCTTTCTTTCTCCCTCTCTCCTTCCCTTTTCTTCTTTCTTACATTTCTCACCTTTCTCCTCTCCTTCTGTCTTTCTCTTTTTTCCTCTTATCTTTCTCTTTTTTCCTCCTATCTAGGATTTAGTCCAAGATCATGTGTTATATTTGGTTGCTGTTATAGTTTGGCTCAGTGTCTCCACCCAAATCTCACCTCAAATGGTAATCCCCATAATCTCCACATGTCAAGGGTGAGACCAGGTGGCAATAATTGGATCATGGGAGCAGTTTTCCCGATGCTATTCTTGTGATAGTGTGTTCTCATGAGATCTGATGGTTTTATATGTGTCTGGCGTTTCCCCTGTTTGCACTCATTCTCTCTCCTGCTGCCCTGTGAAGAAGTATCTTCTGCTATGATTGTTAAGTTTCCTGAGGTCTCCCCAGCCATGCAGAACTGTGAGTCAATTAAACCTCTTTTCTTCGTGAATTACCCAGTCTCAGGTATTTCTTCACAGCAGTGTGAAAATGGACTAATACAGTTGCCACACCTTGTTATGTACTTTAAGCATTAACTGTCCCCAGACATCTACAGTTTCTACTGGCTAGGCTAGGATCCCTCAGATTTGGAGCTCCAAGTCTCTTCTCCTTTCCTTGTCTCCAAGTGCTTTTGAACTATTTACCATGAACCATGGGCTACAGATATTCCTAAACTTCAGAGTCCCTCCTTACTGGAGAGGGATCCACTTTTTAAAATATGATTTCTTGAAGTGGCTGCATACTATTCCTTCCAAGCACTTAAAACTCATCAGAAAAAAAAATCATCAAAAAGTCGAAGTTAGTTTTTATTACCTTCACCTTTTCAATGGAAAACTTTATAAACTGTGGATCAATTTATATTACTTTTGGATCAGTTTAGATGACTTTTAGTTGGTCAGTACTCTGGATCAATTTAGGTGACTTTTGCCCCAAAGCTTTGTAAGATCAACAAAGCCAAAAGCAGAGGAGTATGATTTTGAGATCAAGTATGTGACTTGAGTCTCATACTCTGGAGGAGTATGAGTGTTTCAGTGTGGTTTCTGAGAGTGAATACATGTTACACATTAGAGGGAATCTCAAGAAAAAAATAATCGGATCAGAACATCCCTGTGTTGAATATAAATGTAGTTAAAATAACATTATTTTCTAATTTTGAAGCAGTCAGGACAAAAGCATAAAGTCTTCCAAAAGTGAAATACATGGCCGTTTTAGTAAGTTCCTGGAACACATATCCCAGAGCTCCTTCAATGCATATGTTTACCTTTAACTCACTGAATTAGAGATGGAAATAATGCAAGAATCAGACAATAAAATGTCCATCATTCTCTCCTGAGAAACAGCATTTTCAATTCATATGAGATTATTTTGATGCTTAAGATTATATTTTGCATTATTTTGCAATGTATTTTAAGTTTTTTTTGAAAAAATTCTTCTCCATCAGTTAGATGAATATTTTAATGCTCTGATTTTAAGGCTGTCTTCCTCCACCCCCAATCTTCATGTCAATTACTTAATGATCTATAAATATTTAGAAAGTTCTAATGGAGCAAGCTATTTAAAGCAAACCTATAAGAAAGTCTGCATTATTTGAATAATTTCCCCTAATTTGTCTCTTTGTAGGTTTGGATACATGAATATTGAATTTTCTTAAATGAAGTCTTATTCTCGTCCATTATTGTGTTACATTTCTTCGACCCTCTTTCAAATTGATAGGGAGATAAAAGGAAAAATCTTGTTATCCTGTGAGTAAGCTATTAGACACTCAAGTGTTGGCTAAGGGTACTGGTAGGATAATAGGAAGATCAAAGATGTTCTCTTGTTAAAACGCTATTGTCATTTTAAAAATTATGAGTGTGACTGGTAATAATTGCACTCAATCCAGTATGTTGACTTCTCTTGCGTTTCATATCTGTCGTCCAGTTAGGGTTCCAGGGTACGTGTGTTTGTGGAGTCAGTGTAGTCCACAGGTAAGAGCAATGGTCTGGGAATTAGGAGGCACTTGTTTCTACCTAACCTCTGTCACTAATAAGCTTTGTGACCTCGAGCCAAAAGCTTTACCACCCTGGGACTCAACATCCTCATCCTCATCCTCATCTTCCAACGATGGTTCAGGTGATCTCTTGTTTTCTTTCTAGAACCAAAGGACACTCCTATGAGATACAAGACCATCAGATGGAAGCGTGCAACTGTTAAGTTTTAGTTGTTGATTGATATTTATATACCCAAACAACATCTTTTTATTTAATATCGATTTATCTTTATTTCTCCATTGGTTTGCCAATGCTGTCCTGGATATGAACTCAGGTAATATTCTTAAATTATAGGCCTAAGAAAATGGTAGAGCATAACACAGACATGTAGAATTTTGTTTAAATGTTTTCATTAAAATTTTAAATTAAAACAGTAATTTAAGGATATGCATTTATTCAAAATGCCTTTTCTGTAGAGCTGGATTTTTAAAATTGGATCTTTTTTTTTTACCTTCTAAATGAGGGGTTTCTATTTGATCTGAGATGACAAATTGATCTTATCTGAAGCATGATTCTAAGTCACAGCAGGTTAGAATGCTTATTGTGGTTAACAATCAGTTTCTACTGGGGGTAAGAGAAGTACGTGATGCCTTCCATTTACTGGCCCTAGATCAGATCATCACTAAGAGTCTTTTCTAGACATAGTCCTCCTCCACTTCTCTGTCTCACTGAATGACAGACACCCACATAAACGTACAAAAGGGAATGGGAAACAAAGTAGAAAAAAGCTCTTTAACTATCAGCACCCATGTACATTTGGGTCACTTAAAGATTAAATACAGTTTTAAATATTATATGATTGCTTTTACTTTGCATCACAGACTGGTATTTGCGTGTGTGTGTGTGTGTGTTTGTGTGTGTGTGTATGTTTGGTTGGGGGGTGTTGATGTTGAGGAACATAATCATGTTTTAGGGAACAGTGGCTCAAAAGGTCTGATTCTAGCCCTGCCTCTAATTCATTCTCCATATTGCAGCACAATAATCTTTTAAAAGTAGGACTTGATCTTGCCATTTCTTGTTTCCCACTGCCTTTAGGGTAAAGCCAAAACTCTTTATTATGTTCCATTCTCTCCTATTTCTCCTGCCTCCTGTCCCACCACATTTTCCCTTTCTCTTTTGGGTCCAGTCATATTGGTCTCCGTCAATTCCCCCCAAAAGACATGTGCAGTAACTTATTTCTCTCCTTATAAAGAAGGATTCTCTCTCTGCAGCTTTTTAAACTGTGGCTCTTGCTTCTGATTTCAGCACAAACATCTCCTCGATAAATACTGTTGAGATAAATGCATGCTTCTACACTTCCGTGTGATTAGGATTCCCAGGTAAAGCAGTAGGGTAACAGTAATATAAGGAAGTTTAAGCCTGGTTTTTAACATTCACTTTTTGGTCATGACACAAATTCAGCAGTTAGCTGCTGAGAAATATCCTAGGTTTTTAGAAGTTGTTGATTATAGTAATTACCTCAAGATGTAATGATCACACAACTATGAAACTAAAATCTGTGAAAAAAATGCGGTGGCATCTGATCTCCTCTGGAAGGCTAGGAGTCCTTCAATCTTTGCACGTCAAACAGGACGCTTGGTACCCTCTTCCTTCTCCCCCCCCCCCCCCACTTAAATAATATAGTCATCCCCAGAGGTCTCTTTTTGTGGCTCAAATCCTTGACGTCAACATTGCCTTCTTTTCTTCTCCTGATTCCATCCTATCAGCAAGGCATATTGACTCTATCTTAAAAATACACCCAGAATCTCACTCTTCTCAATCCCTCCTCTGCTATTGCCTCACTTCCAGCCATAACTATCTCTCATCTATACAACTTTAATAAGATCCTTACCTGTGCTGGTCTCTGATTTTGGCTCCCTCAGTCTGATCATTAAATGATGGCAAAAATAATTTTCCAAAAAACATATATTAGGCTGTATTATTGTTCCTTCTCAAATTGTCCTTTGATTTCCTGGTTTTGTTTCACGTTTAAAGTAGCATTCCTTAGCATGCCTTTGATGCTCTAAATATGATGGTTCCTGCCTACATCCTTACTCTCATCTCTTACCATTTACCTCCTCTCTTTTGATAATTTTGAACCAAAATGGCCCCCTAGCAATTCTTCAATCAGAAAACATTCAGTGTAACTTTAAGGCAGTCATGTGTGCTGTCCCCTTTGCCAGGAATTCTGTGCCCTGTCTCGACATACGGTGGCTCCTTTTCAATGGTCAAGTCACAGATCGAAGGAAGAATCCCCTCAACTCCCACCATCATTCTGTATCCTATTGCACTCAACTATACTGTCTTGATAGCACTTATCACCATCTAAAATCATTTCGTGATTTTTATGATCTACTTATTTTTTAACTATCTTCCTGCACTAACATATCACGTTCATGAGGGAAAACTCTTAGTTGCCTTGTTTCTTGCTTTATCTTAGCTCCTGGAAGAATGCCTGTCAAAGTATAGTTGCTGAATGAATGAATGGAAACTCACTTTGAAATGGATTGGTACTGGGTAAGGACTAAAAATCACTAAAAATGTTTCTGAAAAACTGTTTAGAAGAACTTTGGCTTTGTAATTCTTTTTATGCTTCCCCAGCCTCAGGTGTCTGTATTATAGAGAGTATGCCCACAGCTTTATCTTGGAGCATAATCGTGTGGCTATGTTTGAGTAGTAAAATTTTATGGTGAATTACATAATTTTAATAATTGTGACCTTTAGTATTTGGATTTTTTTTCAATAATGCATTTTTGTTAAAATAAGTAACTAGTTATTGGCTCTCCTGGCACTAGTCAATCGCTGATTACTTAAAACACATTGGTTTTTTTTCTGAGTTAATTTTCCAGTACTCTTAGTCTAAAATTCACACTTTTATGCCATTGTATCACACAAGAAGCCCCCATTGTCATCAAGTGCTGGGATTTCTAGACACTAAAGACACCTGGGTGGCAGCAACCACAGTTTACATCATAACCATCTTTTGACCTTTCAGTCAGCTGGTCTCATTCTGACCACTAGGTGGCACACATGAGATGGTGAGGCAAAATACTGACATTGACTCTGGGGCTCTGAATTTGTGAGGGAGTCACAGGACAAACCTTGAAATGAGGTTATAAAAGTCAAGGGCTGGTGAAGTGTAGCTAATTTTCAAAAAAGGTTATATGAGAAATATGAATCACCAAAATGTAATAGGGAATGTCCACTTGCATTTCCTAAGGGTAATCAATGCAAAAACCATGATACGGTAATTTAGTGATGGATGTAAATTGTCATTGCTGACCATTCTCTGGATATTAGTTTTGTTCAAGTTTTCAAATGAATAGCTTTTTATATTTTTATATGCCTCTTTAGTGCTGAGGAAAAAAATTAGTTAAGTGAGAGTTACACTTAGTTGAATTAAAATAAAATAAGAAATTTTTATTATATTTTGTTAGAGTAATAAATGTACGTGATAAAATGCAAATAGTACAGAAAGACTTATAATAAATAATAACAGTCGTCCATCCTACCTTCAGCCATATTTTCTAGAGAAAACTTTTTTTTACAAAAAGTTACAAAGTCATTATTTGTTGTTTGCTTTTTATAATTTTAATATTTTGTAGAGATGGGGTCTTGCTGTGTTGCCCAGCCTAGTCTTGACCTCCTGGGCTCAAGTGATTCTCCCACCTTGACCTCCCAAAGTGTTGGGATTACAGGCGTGGGCCACCATGCCTGGCTGCAAAGTCATTATTTAAATAGCAAAATTATGAAATAGTTTTGAGTAGAAAATAGATATGATTTTTCTTGGGAGAAGAATATGCAATGACAACTTAGTGTGCATATAATTTTGTACACTTGTTTCAACCTAATGCCATTGGGTTCTTTGTAATGAAATCATAGATGTCTGTTGAAAATCTTCTTTAAATTATGTACAAAAGATTTACAGCTTTGGAAGCCTTTTCTTGTAAACAATTCTATTAGTGTAGAAGTGGTGTGAAGAGAGAGAAAGAGAATGATGATGGCAGAGCCAGAAAATGGCAAATGATGGGCATATGGACAGAGACAGCCATGTTTCTGGTCCTCAGACTTCACAAGCTAGAATCTGGTTGGTTAATTCCTTATTGAGAGAGACTCAAGGCCAACATTCAAGTCACTCTTCTCAACCCCTCCTCTGAGCAAACTAAACTATCAAATCCCACAACTTAATCTCCTGCACCAAGATCAGCTCATCCAAAAAGCTTCTGGTGGTTTATCTGGCTTGCCAGTCAGATCACACAGGCACTGCATTGCGTGGATAACTGGAAGGTCTGGTTTTCTTTCCAGTTATAATTGCCATTGCGGATCATTTCTTAGGCATTTAATTTTCACCATTGGCCACTTGTGAGCCAGATTATCCTAAATGAATGGAGATGTATTTATTTGTGGGTAAAATCATATCTGTGAGGATATAAAACCTGCTACGAAGTCTTAATAAACTTTCTGGACAAAAATCTTGACAGGACTTCCCAGAGAAGATTCTATTATAAAAGCCTGTATAATAGAAGGTTTCCGGAAGACAGCCTCGATTTATTTCAAATCCTCAAACACCCATTTTCTATAATCCAGAGTTTGAGGGAGGCTCACAGCATGGGGACAGCATCAGGCCACATCTTCCCAGTAGCCACTTACTGACACTTCCATTTCTACAGTTGACCAGCCTCAATCATGGCATATTTATCCTCTATAATTTCACCCTCCTAGGTCATATTTTTAAAGTTCTGGGAGTGCCTGACACTACCCATTACCTATTTATTCTCTGCTTAGATCCAAACTTCAGAATGTGAATAATTGACTAGAAATTATATTCTCATCAGTTCTACAGTGATCACTTGGGCACTAAGAAATCCTCTCGAGGACCTGGTAAGACTTTCCACAATTCCTCCTGTATGTATGCCAGGATTCTCCCCATGAATTTCTTGCAGCCACTGGAGAGTTGGCGCAACTCAAGAGGGCTGATTTTCTGAGGCTTCCCTTTCTATGCTCTGGTCCTCTGCCTTTTTCTACTCCTTGATATTGGGACAATTCAGCATCTTCTTTTAGCTGTTACGTTTTTCTTTGTCATTTTGATCATGGCAGTGGAGTTTTAGGATTAGCTTTCATTTGAACTGACCAGGAACTTGGTACAGGTGATCATGAGCATATCAGCCTGAGTCTTTCTGTAGCCTGGTCCCAGTGAGTAAATAAGGCAGTACCATAACCACACAAATACAGTGTTTCACAAACACCAGGACCCCCATATAAAATAAAAGTATACTTCGTATTACAACCCAGTAGGTAGATAGACAGACACATACACACGATATATAAGTGAAAAAATTATAAAGTAATACTTAATTTTAGATTTCTGTTAAAAAGCGAAAACATAATTAATTTAAATATAAGCATTTGTTAACAGAAACGTCCTTAAAATACAAAACTAAAGGAATAAATGATAACAAAATCCTGGCTGTAACCCTGCAAATTGGTTTCATGACCTACTCATAGGGTATGAGCCTCAGTTTGACATATGCTGATCTTGAATAGGTTAAAGGAATGCTTCCTTGTTACTTTGGTGGGTGAAGCCTCTCCTTTATAGTCAGAGACTGCCATCTTGTTTGAGTGCCCTTTTGCTTCTGCTGTATTCAAGTGCAAATATGCTGCATACCCCTTGACTAAGCTCTTTGTCTGGGGAGAGATGCCCTGAGAGACGATGATGATGTCTAAGACCCTCCAGAGTTTGCCCCAATTTCTCCCAGGACCCACAGGATTTGAGGCTGAGTCAGGTCACTAACAACATTTTCCAGAATAATCAGGGAATCAAAGATGTGTGCTGTGTTATCCTGGGCCATGATGATGAGGCAGGAGAACATTGCAAAGCCAACAAGCAGCTGGCACTCCAAGGGGAATTTATCCAAGACATAGAGCTAGCTAAAAATTGAGTGGACTCCACCTGGTTTAGAAAGTAGGTTATGTTGAGCAGCCAGTGCGGGAAGTGTGGTTCACCTGCCACTTGGCTTAGATAAGCTCTCACCAGTACAAATGTGATGCCATCGACATCCAGGGTATGAAGGAAGGTCCATATATTTATAAGATTCTCCTGAAGATATTCTTGTTTCATCTAGGATATCAAGGCTCACAGCTTATCATTGGTCAGCCTCATTCCAATAATCTCAAATGAGCTATTTTTTTCAACAAGGCAAGTACTTCCAAATGTAAGAAGTGAGTGGGAAAAAAAGTCTAATCTGCAGAAACTCAAAGATCTTTTTCACTAGGATGATACTGTCTAGAGGAGCTTCCATGATATTCACATTAAGTGTAAATCTTTGCTATCCTGAATTCCCCCTTTTCCCCGAAAGCTCTCCTCTAGTGTGTCAGCTCACCTGCACTTGGGTCTATATGCCCTCACAAACTCTGGATCTTAGGACTTCTTCATGTTTGTGAAGAAAGTGTTTTGTAGACTGAGATCAGATCACCTTTTGTCATCCTTGGTTCTGTCTCACAGCTGCCTACTCTTCAGAGATATATACATACTCTAATCTAAAAGCTCCTGTCTTAATTTTGTTTATACCTTATCAGGAGCTGAGAACCTGGAGGGAGAATTTTGGGTTTGTTCTACCACTGGCTTCTGCAGCTTCTCTGTGAAACAAGGCAGCTACATGGAACTGTTGGTATTTTTAGTTCTAGAAGTAATCTCCATAACTTTAAACAACATGTTTGTACATACCTCTGCATTATTTCAAATGATAATTTGCATTATATTTGAGCCATCACTATCTTGTTCAGTTTAATTTTTTCTTAGTTTTTCCTCTTCATTCAGTCTGTCTCAAACCAAAAGACTAGCTGTAAATGCAAACCAAAGTACACTTAGGGTATTTACTTGAAAAGTTCAGAAATACTCCTCTTCATATGCCTTGGGAAACTGCTTTAATTTCCATGCATACCTCTGGCAGTATATCCTATAAGAAGCCATGAACACTCAGAAGCATCATGGAGACTGTAAGTGGAACTAGCAGATGCACTTCCAAGGCCTACACCTTGCCCCTAACACCCCATTCCTGTCCTATAAGTTCAATTTGAGATATAGCTTTGCTTTTTTCTTCTTTTTTTATTATTTTACTTTAAGTTCTGAGATACAGGTGCAGAATGTGCAGGTTTGTTACATATGTATACATGTGCCATGGTGGTTTTCTGTACCTATCAACCCATCATCTAGGTTTTAAGTCCCACATGCATTAGGTATTTGTCCTAATGCTCTCCCTCCCCTTGGCCCCCATCCCTGACAGGCCCCGATATGTGATGTTCCCCTCCCCGTGTCCATGTGTTCTCATTGTTCAACTCCCTCTTATGAGTGAGAACATGTGGTGTTTGGTTTTCTGTTTCTGTGTTAGTTTGCTGAACATAGTGGTTTCCAGATTCAACCATGTTTCTGCAAAGGACATGAACTCATTCTTTTCTTTTTTTATGGCTGCATAGTATTCCATGGTGTATACGTGCCACATTTTTTTTAATCCAGTCTATATTGATGGGCATTTGGGTTGGTTCCAAGTCTTTGCTATTGTAAATAGTGCTGCAATAAACATATGTGTGCATATGTCTTTATAGTAGAATGATTTATATTCCTTTGGGTGTATACCCAGTAATGGGATTGCTGGGTCAAATGGTAATTCTGGTTCTAGATCCTTGAGAAATCTCCACACTGTCTTCCACCATGGTTGAACTAATTTACACTCCCACCAACAGTGTAAAAGCTTTCCTATTTCTCCACAGCCTCACCAACATTTGTTGTTTCTTGACTCTTTAATGATCAACATTCTAACTGGCATGAAATGTTATCTCATTGTGGCTTTGATTTGCATTTCTCTAATGACCAGTGATGAGCTTTTTTTCATATGTTTGTTGTCTATATAAATATCTTCTTTTGAGAGGTGTCTGTTCATATCCTTTGCTCAGTTTTTGATGGGGTTTGTTTTTTTCTTATAAAATTAGGTTTTTTGTAGATTCTGGATGTTAGACCTTTGTCAGATGGATAGATTACAAAAATTTTCTCCCAATCTCTAGGTTGCCTGTTCACTCTGATGATAAGTTTCTTTTGCTGTGCAGAAGCTCTTTAGTTTAATTAGATGCCATTTGTCAATTTTGGCTTTTGTTGCAATTGCTTTTTGTGTTTTAGTCTTGAACTCTTTGCCCATGCCTATGTCTGAATGGTATTGGCTAGGTTTTCTTCTAGGGTTTTTATGGTTTAGGGTTTTACATTTAAGGCTTTAATCAATATTGAGTTAATTTTTGTATAAGGTGTAAGGAAGGGATCCAGTTTCAGCTTTCTGCATATGGCTAGCCAGTTTTTCCAGCACCATTTATTAAATAGGGAATCCTTTCCCCATTGCTTGTTTTTGTCAGGTTTGTCAAAGATCAGATGGTTGCAGATGTGTGGTGTTATTTCTGAGGTCTCTGTTCTGTTCCATTGGTCTGTATCTCTGTTTTGGTGCCAGTACCATGCTCTTTTGGTTACGAAAATCAAAGTAGTATAAATAAAGTAGCATAGTTCGAAGTCAGGCAGCGTGATGCCTCCAGTTTTGTTCTTTTTGCTTAGGATTGTCTTGGCTATACAGGCTTTTTTGGTTCTGTATGAAATTTAAAGTAGTTTTTTCTAGTGCTGTGAAGAAAGTCAATGGTAGCTTGATGAGAATAGCACTGAATCTATAAATTACTTTGGGCAGTATGGCCATTTTTACAATATTGATTCTTCCTATCCATGAGCATGGAGTGTTTTTCCATTTGCTTGTGTCCTCTCTTATTTTCTTGAGCAGTGGTTTATAGTTCTCCTTGAAGAGATCCTTTATGTCACTTGTAAGTTGTATTCCTAGGTATTTTATTATCTTTGTAGTACTTGTGAATGAGAGTTCACTCATGATTGGGCTCTCTGCTTGTCTATTATTGGTGTATAGGAATGCTTGTGATTTTTGCACAATGATTCTGTATCCTGAGACTTTGCTGAAGTTGCTTGTCAGCTTAAGGAGTTTTGGGGCTGAGGTGATGGGGTTTTCTAAATATACAATCATGTCATTTGCAAACAGAGACAATTTGACTTCCTCTCCTCTTATCTGAATACCCTTTATTTCTTTCTCTTGCCTGATTGCCCTGGCCAGAACTTCCAATACTATGTTGAGTAGGAGTGGTGAGAGAGGGCATCCTTGTCTTGTGCCAGTTTACAAAAGGAATGCTTCCAGCTTTTGTCCATTCAGTATGATATTGGCTGTGGGTTGGTCATAAATAGCTGTTATTCTTTTTGAGATGTGTTCCATCAATACCTGGTTTATTGAGAGTTTTTAGCATGAAGGGATGTTGAATTTTATCAAAGGCCTTTTCTGCATCTATTGAGACAATCATGTGGTTTTTGTCTTTGGTTCTGTTTATGTGATGGATTATGTTTATTGATTTGCATATGTTGAACCAGACTTGCATCCCAGGGAAGAAGCCGACTTGGTCATGGTGGATAAGCTTTTTGATGTGCTGCTGGATTTAGTTTGCCAGTATTCTACTGAGGATTTTCACACTGATGTTCATCAGGGATATTGGCCGGAAATTTTCTTTTTTCGCGTTGTATCTCTGCCAGGTTTTGGTATCAGGATAATGCTGGACTCATAAATAAGTTAGGGAGGAGTTCCTCTTTTTCTGTTTGGAATAGTTTCAGAAGGAATGGTACCAGCTCCTCTTTGTACCTTTGGTAGAATTCAGCTGTGAATCCGTCTGGTCCTGGACTTTTTTTGGTTGGTGGGCTATTAATTACTGCCTCAATTTCAGAACCTGTTATTGGTCTATTCAGGGATATGACTTCTTCCTGGTTTAGTCTTGGGAGGGTGTATGTGTCCAGGAATTCATCCATT
Source organism: Homo sapiens (assembly GCF_000001405.40). NCBI lineage: Eukaryota > Metazoa > Chordata > Mammalia > Primates > Hominidae > Homo > Homo sapiens. The sequence continues at coordinate 7,577,177 of NC_000009.12, forward strand.
TCTTCTAGATTTTCTAGGTTATTTACGTAGAGGTGTTTATAGTATTCTCTGATGGTAGTTTGCATTTCCATGGGATTAGTGGTGATATCCCCTTTATCATTTTTTATTGTGTCTATTTGATTCTTCTCTCTTTTTTTATTAGTCTAGCTAGATGTCTATTTTGTTAATCTTTTCAAAAAAAAACAGCTCCAGGATTCATTGATTTTTTTTGAAGGGTTTTTGTGTCTCTGTAGAGATACAGCTTTGCTTTTAATTTGAGTTACTTGAGCAAGAGACTAACTGGAAGAAGAGACTAACTGGCCTTATATTGTAAAGGCCTCTTTTGGCTTGTAGATTGGGATCTAGTCTGAAATCTGTAAAGTATAATGTAATAATAGCACCATCAATCATTGGTAATATTGCTCAAGTCCCTGGCCAATGCAATGCCATCACTTTTCCATGCTTACCTCTCCAGTATTCTCTTTCTCACAACCAGGAAAACATGCTTCCTTGCCAGAATATACACATGTTCACAACAGCCTCACTTTGTACAGTTCTACTCTCTGTAGGCAAAGTGATGGGAGGGAAGTGAGATCTGAGTTTTCTTTGTGACTGTTTCTTTGTGTTCCCTTGCCTCTTTCAAGCATCTCTTTCCTGAGGAAAGATGAATCCATTCACCCATTTAACAAATAAGTACTCAGCACTTTTTACTTTCCAAGAACTCTGATGATAAACCAGATAGATAAGGTACCTGCCTTCAAGGGATTTACATGTTGCTGAGAAGACAGGCAATTAACAAGTGTTAACAGTAAGTAATGATAAGTGCTGTAGCAGAGGAAAATACAGTCACAAATAGGAGGGTCAAAGATATAGTCCAGATGTGAGACAAGGCATTCTCAAAGGAGCGCCTCTGTTTCTGGACCCTGAAGCATGATTCAGAGTGTTCTACAGAGAGTAGATTGGTCTAAGCCAGGAAATGGAGCTCTAGAAATCTCAGGAGTGAGAGAGAGCCTGCCCAAGGTTTTCAAGTGACTGACAGCAACCAGGCAGGCTGGTAGGAAAGTGACCTGAAGGCTTCACGTTGGAGACTGGCTTGGTCAAGACTTAGTGGTTGATTTTATTGAAGGTGAGGGAAAGGAAAGGGAGCAAGAATGAACCAATATTTTGATGTGCACAACTGGGCTGATGGTAATGACATCTTATATAGTGAACTCTAGGACAGCACATATCTGAAAGAAAGGTAGTGACTTAAATTGAGAACACGTGGAGTTTACGATGGCTACAAGGCATCTACATTGAGACCTCAGGAGGTATTCAGATAAAGGATTTAGCAAATTGCCAGATAGTAAATATTTTAGGTTTTGAGGACCGGGCAGTCTCTGTTGGTGGTCTCTGTTGCAACTACTCATCTCTGCCATTGTAGTGTTGAAAGCAGCCACAGCCAACATATAGACAAATAAGAATAGCTGTGTTGCAATAAAGCTTTATTTACAAAGCAAGTGGAGTGCCTGATTAGTGCCATATGGACCCCTGAGCTAGGAAAATGGAGCTGAGAGAATGGAGATGGAGGGTCAAGAACTATCAGTATATTCAGTGATCTTTGTTTGAAGAGATACATCTTTTGATAAGATACATCTTTTGATAATTCTGTAGACTTCCAAATTTTTCCGAAGATCCCTTTCAGAGAATTAAAAGTTAAAATTAAAGTTTCCAAGAAAATACATCTTGGTGTGAACCAATAAACTGTGCCCAGAGACAGTTGTATAATTTTAGTTATTAATTTTTATTTTTAGTGATTTTAAATGTCACACTGCCAAAATAATACCATAAGTCCCAAGTCAGGAGGGAAGATGATATTGCTGGATGGAATATGTGCCAAGCAGAGAGAAGCAGGAGAGCCTTATTACATGGGGCAGGATGTCACCCAAGCGAAAAGAAAGGTCTGGGGTAAAAAGGCAGAGCTCACTCCTAGTGATGCTAATCTCCTCTGGCCCACGAAAGTATTGTCTTTGGCAAAGCTGGTTTGCCTCGTCAAGTCAATAAAGTTATGAACAATTAAATTGCCTTCCTCAGCTTGGGAAAGGACTGAGTGTACATCCCTGGGGATAAATTGATCTTTTAAAAGGCATTTTTTCCAACTCTTTCTTTCTGCCTTCAAATAAATCACTATATTCTTGACTCTGAAATCATCCTTCTTATCTGAAAATGCTCTGCCTTGAACCAAAATGTTTAAATAACATCTCAGAATGTAAACCTGTATTCCAGAGGAGAACCATTGCCTCTGGTAATTGGGACAGCGTGTTTCACTCAGCATGCCTCTACTGGGGAATTGCCAAAGCCTCCCTATTCATAAGGTCTTAAGTAGCTCCCCACCCCCACCACTCCCTTCTTTTTTTCTTGGATGCTCAAGGAACTTAGCAGGTGGTGCCTAATTTATCCTCCCAGGATTGCTGGGAGTTAAGCCAGCATGGGTGTATCTGCCTCCTCCTCTTCCTGTTGAGTACACTAAAGCATAGGTTGGTCAAGCAATGTTTGGGTTTTTACCTAGCAAGTTAGCTATAGGACTTGGGAAAGAACCCAGGAAGCATCTCCTCTAATGTTAGTTCCTGGACAGTAGTGATTTTCACATCGTGAAGCCCCACATTGAGCACAGGGATCTTGGAAATACACAGGGACCCAGGGGATGCCAAGTGGGAGATTCTGGCTTGTCATTCCCCCAAAACTCCCATATGCTTCAACCAGAAGTAGCACCACTTTTTTTTCTTTTTAATTCCTAAAGTTAAGAATTCTATACCTTGAAAAAGAAAAGGCTAAGTGCTTCTTTTGAAAATTATGTTTTGTTTAGAAATCTGTGTTTATGTCTCTCCAAGTCTCTTGTTGACTCCTGTTATAGCCTGGTTCCTACTCTCGATGCCCACTGATATTTATGAAAACATTTATTAGTACCTACCATATTGTACACTGTACTTCCCTGTGATTATGATGGTGAACTTCTCCAGTAAAAGCAACATATTTTCTTCATCTGTGTGAGCTCCCAGTCAGGTGGCAGTCAATACCTACTGGCTGAATTGTTAATGAATGCCTAGCTGGATGAACCGATGAATTAGAAAGTTTCTGCTTGGATTTTTATATGAAGCCAGCCATAACAGCAACTCATTTAACTTTATATAAGCTTCTCTATATAACTTAGACCCATGAGACTGTGAGCTTTGTGGATCATTCCTCATTCATCTTTGTGTATTTTCAGTTCCTAGAAAAGAGGCTGGCTTATAATAAGTATTTAATAAATACATGATTGAATAATCAAGGAAATGACTTTATAGTTAAGGTGATTCTTCTAGCTGAATCACTCCCAGGAAACATATTGAGGATTTGTTGTTTTCCAGGCAGTAATCTTAGTGTGGGGTTACAGGTACTGGTAAAATCTGGTCCTGGCATTGGAGGAATTTTTCTCTCCGAGGGAAGCGATCTTTTGGGATTAGAAAGACAGTTGTATCTTCCAGTCCATGGGGAGATAGGAAGGCAGCAGAATCACACCACCTGAGAAAAAAGCAGGAGCTGGGCTCCAGACTTGCAGTGATACTCACTTAGTGATGGGGGTGGGAATGCAGCAGTGAAAAGGAGGCCGATCACATCAATCTCCATTATGCTCCTAAGCACTCCTCCACGATGACATCTTTTAGGTTAGCCACTTTTGCTTATCTCTGCACATAGGCCAAGCTAACTATGGGAGGAATTTAGTTTATAGTTTAACCTTAAAGCAAGGATAATAATAATCCATCGCCAAAACTAACCACCAGGAAGATAAGGAGGGTATAGACAAAATTAACAAGGTTACATTAAAAATGTATAAGAGGATTTTACCTGACCAAAGACAGTTTATCCTTGCTGCCTCCCAGATGTCTGTGGTCATCAAGTAACTTTTTAACCTCATCTCCTTTCCTCTTTCCCCTTCCCCTAACCTAAAAGCAGCCCCAAATTCATATTAGCTTAATATAGTTCTTTAGGACACTAGTCCACCATCTTCTCAGTTGCTGGCTCTCCCAAATAAAGTCACTTTCCTTGCCCAGTCACATTGTCTTTCAACTTAGTGGCTGTGCTGTGGCAGATGGTATGAGCTTTGGACTCAACAGCAGGAGGAGAAGGGTTACACACCCATGGGCATCTCAGAACTCTGCAAAGCTTCATTAACCCATGTATCTTGCTCTTTCCCTGCCAGGTACTTTTGTTGTATACTAACAATCCACTACTATTAAAGACAGTGTGTATTTTTCCTTGGGTCTCTTGGTGCCTGACATAGTTTGGGGTCTGGCTGGTGGCATATGCCTGGATACACAGGCTGCTTTTGTCTGCCTCACCTTTCCTCTCTTCCTACAAGGGGAGGACATTTCCACATGGACTGTCTTCCTACATATTGTGAACTGAATGTGCTCCTCCGAAACCTATATGCTGAAGCCCTAACCCCCAGTGTGATGGTATTAGGAGGCTGGGTTTTTGGGATGAAATAAGGTTTATGTGAGGTCATGAGGGTAGAGCCCCCACAATAAGATTAGTGCCCTTATAACAACTGAAAGAGACACCAGAGCTTCCTCTCGCCATTATATAAGTAAACAGTGGGAAGGCCATTATCTGCAAGCCAGGAAGAGGACCCTCAGCAGACATTGGTGAGTGTTCAACACCCTGATCTTGGTCTTTCCAGCCTCCAGTACTGTGAGAAATAAACATCTTTTGTTTAATCCACCCAGTGCATGGTATTTTGTTGTAACAGTTTGTGACATAGTAAGAAATATATATTTCATCTCTGCCCCTGGATTGTGACATAGAGCTCCTAAAACTCTTGTAATTTCCTTAGTGGTAGGGATAAGAAGAGCATCTTTGTTATTTATAATACACCTTTTTCAACCATACCTGAATTTATGCTAATGAGGTGACTCATGATGGGCCCCTAGATAGCTTCATGGATCCTTCTCTGTAGCACTCACACCATATCTCTCTGCATCTTGCTGGGTCATTTGGAAGCTCCTGACAGAGCTCATCAGTACCTTCTCCTTCCAGGCCAGTCATGCCTTTCTCATGTTTTCTCCAGCCATCTTAATCTTTGAAGTTCTCTCTGGTATCCGAAGTCTATCACAGATGCTGGTTCCTTGCAGAAGCCTGTCTAGTTTCTCACAAACAAATGATATTGTAACTGTAATAGGATCATTTCCCAAGGCGCATATAGCACGCCAATAAGTTAAGACACTGGGTTTCAGCAGAAAAAGCATTTTAGTCATAGGGTCACTGAATGAGCAGGTGGGATGAAACTGTAAATCCATTTCCTCAAGTGGTTTGGTGCTAGGGTTATTAAGGGTTTTGAAGTGGGGCAAAGTGTGGGTTGTTGATCATTTGAAGAGTGCAGGGTGAAGTCATGGGACAGGGAGATGAAAAAGCTGTATACTTATGCTAATCCCATTTCTTTGTGGGGGTCTTCAAACTGGTTGCTGAAATTCAGGGTCTGAAAACATGTGATCCTTAAACGTCTTAATGATTCGAATACCAGAGATCCTGTCTCATGACCCTCATGTCAGAAATTCTATCTACAGGAACAATGGGGATGCAAATGGTCAGTATGTAGTGCTATCTGACCTTTAGCAACAAGGAAGTGGGCTAAAGTGCAGCTTGATTAATGCTTAATTATAACTTTATTTCTGTCCAGAACCCAGTATGCAATTCTTGTCAGCCTGTCAGGATGGCTTCAATATCTGTGGCTCCTTGAACCTGTATTACTTTTTTTTGGGAGGGGGTGGACAGAGTCTTGCTCTGTTGCCCAGGCTGGAGTGCAGGGGTGCGGTCTCGACTCACTGTAAGCTCCGCCTCCTGAGTTCACTCCATTCTCCTGCTTCAGCCTCCCAAGTAGCTGGGACTACAGGCGCCTGCCACCACACCTGGCTAATTTTTTGTATTTTTAGTAGAGATGGGGTTTCACCATGTTAGCCAGGATGGTCTCGATCTCCTGACCTCATGATCCGCCCGTTTCGGCCTCCCAAAGTGCTGGGATTACAGGCGTGAGCCACTGCACCCAGCCGAACCTGTATTACTTACTTTTTTGTTCTTATGAAGCACCTTTCCCGTTCTGCCTGTTATAAGCAGTAATTCCTTATCAGTTCTTGCTTTTTAAATTACGAGCATTTTGGAGACAGGGCAAGGAGTTTCCTTTTTTTTTTTTTTTTAATCCTCCACAGCATCTATCTCACTGCCTACCTAGTGAGTGATAGATATTTGATTAGTATTTGTGCCACTTTCCATTATATCTAGGATGACATATAGGTTTCCCTGACTGTGCCATCTGCAGTAGACTGCTAGTGGGTGCTTTGGGTTCTGGATTGAGAGGAAGTATTTGGGCTCAACAGGAAAACCATCCCAAGCAATTGGCAATATCTGCCACTGGTGAGGGGTAAACAGCAGGGGAAGGGGTGCTGATATCCCATTTATTTGCCAATCTTGTTCTACCTTTCTTCTTTACTTTGTTTTCACTTATTTAATTTATTTATTCATTTATTTTTTTCATAACTTGATTCTGTTCATTTCTTGCCCATGGACCTTTTATTTTCATCAAATGCATAGAGTACTTTTTTTCCCATTAAGTCATCGAATTTGTTTCCTTTAAATTACAATTCAAATCTCCCCTATCCTAGAAAGCTCTTTCATAGCAAATCCTAAGTACCAGTACAATGTCTCATTCTAAAATATCCTTAATAGTCAAGGGGAGCATTTTTCTCTTTTCTCCATAGAATGTAAAATGAAAAAATGGTAAAGTATGAAGAGGGATTGTTGGAGATGGGGGTGGTTGCAAAGTTGCTTGCATTCTAAATACATTGAGTCTGGAAAAGAGCCAACCTTTTAAGTGGTTTATTACCATTAACTGAAAGCTAAGGTGACAGAACTTAAAGCTTAAGGTGACTCAGTCAATTGAAATAAACCATAAATGAAGACATAGCATCTCTGAAATTACATTCTAACCAGGGCTCACTTTGGTCAAGACAGGGAAATGGGAACAAGGTTGCTATCTGCTAATCAAGCCAGTGAGAAATGGCTCAAGTAAATAGTCCACCAGTTGGTGAGTCAGCAATCCACACCTGTACTCATTGACATAGAAATTAAAAATCAGAAGAGAAATTATATATCATTTATTCAAATACTCTTATTTTAAGATGAAAACTTAAACCCATAGTAGTTGGTTTATAGATTTCCCAAGGTTATTCCATTCTGAATTATAGCAGAGCAGGCACTAGAACCCAGTTCTTTTCATTGCTTGTTGAGTTCTTTTTCCATATGTGTATTGTGCTTGAGACTGTATTAGACCTACCTTGACCTTGTTGTTTGACCCCAAAGATTGACTAATTGTGAGGATTCCATGTTAGGTAGTGCAGGAGGACAAGATCTAATTGGCCCATGAGTAAGCATGGTGGGGTGGGGGTGGGGCATCAGGAGAAAGAAGAGAGTAAAACAGAACCAATAGGATATATATATATATAGTACATAATATATATAAAATACCGAGTTAGCTCATGTAACTTTAGAGGGTAGCAAGTCCAATTTGCATGGTGGTTTGGCAGGCTGGGGACCCAGGGAGAGCCAGTGTTCCAGCTCAAAAGCCATCAGGGAGGAAGAGCCAATATTGCAGATGAAATCCAAAGGCTGTCTGTTGGAGAATTCTCTTACTCAGTGGAAGGTCAGTCTTTTTGCTCTGTTGAGGTCTTCAACTAATTGGATTGGGCCTACTCACATTATAGAAGGAAAACTGCTTTGTTCTACCAATTAAAATGATACTGTCATCCAAAACACCCTTCCAGAAACACCCAGAATAATGTTTGATCAAATATCTGGGCATCCTGTGGCCCAGTCAAGAAGACACATAAAATTAACCATCACAACATCCTTCACCTTATGTACAAAAAACAGGAGGTATCTTGATTATCCTTCAAATTGTAACATACAGATAGTACCTTAAACATCCTCAATTTAGGCACAACACACAGATAATATCTTGACTCTGCTTTCCACTTAGAAATGACTAGAAATAAAAGCCATTCATTTGCATCCAGTTTTCAAAAGCATATATAATAAAAAAGTAAGACATAACTGAATTTGTTTCATTAGTTGATATTGTTGCTTGAATTAATTATTAGGAAGCAAGCCACTTGAGGGCAGGAACCATGTCTTCTTATCACATATACACTGTGCATACGGAGTAAACAGTGACTTAATCTGGCTTGATCAGTAGTTTCTTTACCAAGAGAGATCTTATACCTGAGATTTTTGAAGTCATTGTCTCCCTAACTTGTTTCACTTGCTGAAAAATTATCCTTAGGGTTTTAAATTTTCGTAGTTGATTTCACCCCAAAGGTGAGTTATTTGGTTGTTGAATGTTGACAGAAACATCTATTCAGCTGTTTCTGGAACTTGGGCCAATGAAGAAGAAGAAAAAAGCCTATGCCATAAACACCATTTAAGATTATTTTTGCATGTGAATAACTCCAATAGGAAATAAATTTGAAATTTGAAGGTTTCCATGCATCTGTTGTTTTTTTTTTTTTTTTTGCAGAGGAAGAAACAGGGTCATTTTGAAATTTTTAAAATGCATATCCAGAGCAATTTCTAGTGGCCAAAATTTACTTTCTATATGCAGAGCCTGGATTTAAGGAACTGTTTCCATGATTCCACGTTTGGGAAATACATAATAGCTCTATTTAATACGTAGTGTGTGGATTTTTGTATATCTCGTTATAAATTTGTTTGAGGTTGGTGATACTATATCACAGGAGGGAAGGAATTAAGTTTTGGTATTGGGGTTTTTCTTGGGATTACTTTTACTTCCTTTCAAACCTACGTTCTTTATTGCTATACTCAAGAAAAGTTAAGCTTCGCTTTTCCTTGTTTCTTGGGTCTCTGGAGCCTATTGCACTTAGTATTCTCCATCCCTTATTGTTACATATAATAAATACATTGTCTGCCTTTAACATTAGATTCTAAGTTGCTGCTGCTGCTTCTTTCTTTTAGGTCAGAGATCTTTTTTTTTTTTTTTTTTTTTTTTTTGAGACGGAGTCTCGTTCTATCGCCCAGGCTGGTGTCCAGTGGCATGATCTTGGCTCACTGCAAACTCTACCTTCATGCCATTCTCCTGCCTCAGCCTCCCGAGTAGCTGGGACTACAGGCACCCGCCACCGCCCCCAGCTAATTTTTTGTATTTTTAGTAGAGACAGGGTTTCACCATGGTCTCAATTTCCTGACCTCGTGATCTGCCCACCTTGGCCTCCCAAAGTGCTGGGATTACAGGTGTGAGACACCGTGGCCCGCCGAGATCTTACTTTTTTAAAAAATACCTGACTCTGGGTCTGGCATATGTTCAGCATTCATTAAATGTTGGATAACTGAACGATAGAAGACAGGTGTTTGTTCAAGCTTGTAGCAGGACCCCTGACATGGAACTCTGGACCTCTTGTCTGGTCTTCTGCCTCCAAGCTGATAGTAGCTCAGTCATTGCAACATGATGTAACTGTGTATCAGAGTTTTTTTTTTTTTTTTTTAAACAACCTTTTGGCCTAGACCAGCTCAGTTGTGGAGAGGAATTAATTCCCCAGTGGCACTAGAGGAATTAAAGACACACATATGGAGAAATATAGAGTGTAGGGTGGGAAATCAGGGGACTCACAGCCTTCAGAGCTGAGAGCCCCAAACAGAGATTTACCCACATATTTGTTGACAGCAAGCCAGTGATAAGCATTGTATCTATAGATTACAGATTAACTAAAACGGGAAACAAAGGGATGGGTCTGGCTAGTTATTTGCAGCAGGAACATGTCCTTAAGGCACAGATGGCTCATGCTATTGTTTGTGGTTTAGCAATGACTTTAAGCGGTTTTCCGCCCTGGATGGGCCAGGTGTTACTTGCCCTCATTCCGGTAAACCCATAACGTTCCAGCGTGGGCGACATAGCCATCATGAATATGTCACAGTACTGCAGAGATTTTGTTTATGGCCAGTGTTGGGGCCAGTAGATTTCGGGGCCTGTTCCCAACACCTGTTCACTCCTGCCCTCATTTTATAAACATAAAATATTCCCATAACTCTTACTCTGATTCCTTTAAGAACCTTCCTGGCTTGAGTATAAGACTTTCTTACACTTGACTTTTTTAGCTTACCTTATGAAAATAATAAAGCCCTTTGAATTTTATAAATTTTATAAATTTATAAATTTTATAAATATGCTTGAAAAACTATCATCTCCCACTTCTGCTACTCCAAAATGCCGATATGTCCCCAAAGTGATGGTATTTTATGCCTGTGAATCACTCATGTCACCTTTTCTCTCATCCATGAGAATGTTGCTTTTAACATCATCAGGAATAGTGACTACATAAGAAGCTTCCCTTTTGAGTTTGTTGCCATGTTTAATCATTCTCTAAGTCAGGAAGGTCTGGCTTAAATTTCTATGGTTGCATCTCTATCCTGGAATATTTAGTTCTGAGAACAACAGATCAATGTCCCTTGTCCTAATCTTTGATGCAGAGAAAGTAAGTTAATGAGGTTGCTGCTTGGGCTTCTTTTTTATTTTTCTAAATTAAAAGACACCTAGCCACTTAAACTTTTCTTCTATGGGACTAATTTAAAATCTCTGTAATTAATTTCAGTTGATATTCTATATGTTATTTTAGACTTTCTCAATTTCTCTGCCCTATTCTTTATGCACTGCCCTGAAAGACCTAAGGCCATCTTAGCTTTCTTTTAAAAGGAGAAAAGTAAAACCTCAGGAATGAAATAACTGCCCAGTGATTCAAAATGATTGGTAAACTAGGACAGAGTCAAAGAACTCAGAGCATACTCAGTGGAGAGAATACTTAGAATCAAGAAATGAGTGTGAGTCCATTGCCTACCTGTTGTGTCACTCCTCTGTCTTCCGTTAAGTGGGAAAAACAACATATTCTGTCCCTTTCCTGGAGACATTATCAAGTTCATAAGAGGCCTTAAAAATAATGGTAAAGTATAAAGCTCTACATAGAAGTATCATTAGAACCTAAGGCAAACAGCAAAATGCCTTCAGAATGTCAAGAGAAAATTAACCCCTAGAAGTGCAATAAAGGAGAGCTTAAGTTTAGCAGTGAGATTAGTGATTTGTTGCTGTAAATCAGTGGTGGAGATAGTGTGTGAGAAAATCAAGGCCAATCAAGAGAATCAGGTGAAAGAATAAGGAAAAGTGTATTAATAAAGTACTCAATCTCCACTGTATGATGGGTAAATTACTGTATGATTTTTCATGAAAATAAATATATGAAAAAGGCATGTAGTAACATTTTTCTCTTTCTTTTGCAAAAAAGTGTACCCCCTGCTCAGAAAGATTAAATTATTTGTCCAAGGCAGCATGGCAATCGGAGGCAGAGCCTGGACAAGGACCATTTCCTCATGTTCTCAGTTCTGTTATATCACTGGAGGTGTAACACAATGAAGTGTAAACTAATGCTTTAGAGTGAAATAGCTGAAGCTGACTAATGAGAAGCTGAAATAGTAATTGTATTATAGAAAGACAATATTAATATAAGTGTATAGTATTGGTGAAATATAGTAAAAAAAACCTCAAAGAGAAAAAAATGTAGTGTTTACCTGCTCACTTCTTGATAATCTGCACTGCACCTGAAGGGGAAAAGAAGTAAATGCTAATATCATGGGGACCAGGAAGAAAATTCCTTATCACCATTTCTTCCCCTAGACCTAATTTATACACCCAAGCTATCTTGGGCTTAAACAAAGTTAACAGAAACAATTCTTTCTTTGTACAGAAATGCTTTGAAAGCATGGTTTACACGTTAATGATTTGAAATTGGGTTATCACGTGTCAGTCCCTTAGAAACAAATCAACGTCCAGTAGATTTTTGGATCTGCAAAGTCAAGGGCTTCCTGCAAACTATAGCAGCATCAGTCAGATTCTAATACCCTTAAAGGCCAGACTGTTGGCTAGCCCTCCCTCTGTGACACATGTCATGTCTCTTTAATTTTAATTACCGTGCTATAATTACTTTTGTGTCAGCTGTACCTTTGCTGAAATTATAAAATTTTATATTTAACCCTATTGTTCTCATTCTGGTAATTCCAGCAGGTTAAATGAGTGGCCCAAATGATATAGTTAGTGACAGTATGGTGTTTAGAGATGAACCCAGATCTCCTGAGTTCAAGTTTTTTCTTTTTTTCATATACGTGTGTGTGTGTGTGTGTGTGTGTGTGTATAATATATATACATTTATATGTTTTTCTATGTTTTTCCTTTCATGTTTTTAAAAACTCCTTCATAGTAGGGACTGTGTTTCTGTCATCCATGACTTAATTTCCTCTTCTTTCAACTGTGGATAACAATCTTTACCTCACAGTGATGTCATGAGAATAAAATGAGACAACAAATTTAAACAATAACACCTTGCTTAGTATGCAGTAGATGCTGAATTGAAGTTAATTCCCATTCATTCCTTTACTCTAGGTAACCTACAGACATTTGTTCAGTGAACTTTGTTTGATGACTTTTCTCCACTCCACTAGAAGCCAGTGGTTCTCAACCTTGACTGCAATTGGAACCACTTGGGAAGTTTTAAAAGCTACTCATGCTTGGATGGGTCCCAACCCCCAGAGGTTCTGATTTAATGGCTCTGGGGAAAAGAATAGCTGGACAAAGTATCTAAAAATGTCTTCAGGTAATTTAAATGTGCAGCTAAAGATTGAGAACCATCCCTGAAATTATTGTAAGTGATGGAGTTTTTCCTCAGCTTTACAATCCCAGAATCAATCTCAGCATTTCATTGTAGGCACTAAATTTTGGATTGCTTAGAAGGACTTCAGTGGCTGTAGACTCACTCCCTTTTTACTGTATTTGTTCATTCATTCATTAACTCATTCAAGTAATGAAATAATGGCTTATTATAGATTGATTTTCCCTCAGATTTAATATAAGCTATACCATATATTTACCAAGTCATTTTTTCTTTCATCACAACACATCATTTCTTGTGTGTTTTTGTCTTTCTGTTTTCAATCTCAGGCTTCCAGTAAAGTTGGAGATTAGGTCTCAATTAAAATTAATAAGCTCGTGTACTTATTCATGGATGCAACAAACATTTATTGAGTCCCTACTATATGCTGGCCACTGTGCTGGGCAAAAGAAATACAAAGATGAAAAAGATAAAAGGTGTTTTCAAGGAGTAGCAAGTCTGTTGAGATGATCATATAAATAAATAATTGTGATTATCACTTGATAAGGGTTTTGGGAGGAGTATAGCCCTTTTAATTGCCCAGTACCAGCTATTTCTTTTTTCCTTTATCTCTTTGATTTAGTTTTACTCTCTATATTATTTAGTATAAAGGTAGAATTTCACTTTGAATCTGGATGGAGTCTTTTATGGAAGTAGTTGGAGAGAAACATCCAAACTGATAAACAAATAAATAAGAAGGCATTCTTATATGCCTGACATTCTCTAGATAAAATCCTAAAAACTATCTGTCTTTGTTTCTATCAGAGGAATGTTTTTGCCATGGCATTTTGATAGCATTGATTATTTATAGGCAAGATTTATGTCTGTTCTCAGTCCTTTTCCATTAGCCCATAAAGTGTATTTTAAATTATGCAGAGTTTCAGAATGCACTTTCCTAATTATAAGGGAAACATTCTTGGCAATTTGTGGAGATTAAACTTCTTTCCTTATCTTCTGTCTGAATTATACCCACCCATGCACCTGCTACCCTGGAAGGTCCTATGGGATGCATTTATTTTAGATGATAAGGCCGGGATGTGGCTTTCATTTGGCCAGTGAAAATAAAATGTTATACCCTGAGATAGAGGAGGAATGATAGAAAACACGTTAGTTTAATATTTTCTACTCCTATTTATTCAATGGGTATTTGGCCATTATGACTCATTGTAAACTGGAAACCAAGTTACAGGTTCTTAGTATATGGTGTTAGTCAATCATTTTACAAAGCTCTCTGAGAGTAGGATCAAAAAGGAAAAAATAATTGGAATGGGTCACAAAGATCCAGATAATCAGTTGTGGTTAGATAAAGGCATCTCAGAGGAGAGCTGAGCATGAAGGTCCTGGAACCATGTGTATCTGTGCCTACATAAGAGTTATGGTGGAGAGATAAAGGTGATGCTGAAAGATAGATAAAGAAGGTGAACCTCTTCTGCATCATTTTTAGTTTGTCTAGGGCAGGGTTTCTCAACCTCTGTGTAAATGAAATTTCAGGCTGGATAATCCTTTGTTGCGCAGACTGTTCTATGCATTGCAGGATGCACAGCAGCATCTCTATCCTCTACTAACTAGATGGTAATAGCACCTCCAGTTGTGACAACCAAAAATGTTTCTAGACATTGCCCAAATCCCCTTCTTGGCAAAATTGCCTGGTGGAGAACCTACTAGCCTAGGGCAAGCTAAGGAATATTAAAGCCAACCAATTTAAAAAATTAAAATCTGTAACATAGTCCCAAGTGACACTCTGCTGGATAGTAAAGTCAGAGACCCTGAATATATTATTCACCGTTATTGCTAAGTAAGCAAATTAAGACCGAATTGTGAATGAAAACAGTTAACAAATGGCTTGTGTATGGAAAGATTAGAGCTTGAATATTGTTTATGCAGGAACTATCATTTTTCTAAGGACTCAGGGGGATAGGAGTACAGATTTTAAATGCAAATATTCTGGGTTTGATTTTGTTTGTCTGTATACACACACACACACACACACACACACACACACACACCCCTATAATATTTATTTGATACCTGGCACTTCAGGTCCTTGGGATGCATTTGTGAGCAAAACAATCACTTCTTTGCTGAGTAACTTTGGACAAGTCATTAGTTTCTGGGACTCTCAGTTTTCTCACCTATGAAATCATCATCATCATCATCATCATCCTCTGCCTACTCCATTATCAATCAAGGATCAAAAGATGCCACATAGGAGAGTGATGGCAGCAAGATGACAGAATAGGAAGCCTCAGACTGTGTTCCTCACAAAAACACTGACAACAAATATATAAAGTCCAAAACCTTTATGAGAACCCCAGAAGCCAGTTAGAAAGTCTCAGTACACAAGGAAAGCTCCAAGCCAAGAATGGCTGCATTAAAATGGGTAAGAAAAGCTGTTTAATTTCAACCACATCAGTCCCTCCTCAAAGCTGACATAGCTTGTGTTCTGAAGGAAAAGCCCAACTCTTAACTTATGTTTGAGGAAGTTAAGAAAAGAGTGGAATGTACATATCATGTTCTGGCTCTTTGGTGGGCTGCCCAAAGGACTGATTTCTGTCTTGCCTGACTCAGAACTCTGCCGTGGGAAATGGGCATAGTTTGGATGTGGGGGCCGCTGAGAACAAGAGTGCTCAGTGGCTTGTGACAGTGCCAGAGAACTTATAATATCTCAGAAGCTGGCACCACTCACCATAATCCAGAGAAAGCACTCAGCTGCGGGTTCTTCTTAGGAGGGAAAGAGAAGAGTGGAACATGAGTGCTATATTCTGGCTTTGGGGGAGGCTGCCTGAGGAAGTGCTTTCTGTCTCATCTGGAGCACTAATGGAATAAGCCTGTCCTGGATGCCTGGGATTGCAAACAAAAAAAGAGAACTCAGTGGCTTCTTGCAGATCCAGAGAACCTGCAGTACTTCAGACAGACACTAGAGAGAACAAAAGACTGCAGGCTCCCGAAAAACAAAAAATGAAACACAGTAAACCTCTTTAATTAGGAAATTACATGCACAAGCATCAAGAAAATTTATCCTCATTAAAGTTTTTGGAGGCCCTCTGAATTTCCAGTTTGCTGATTGATGAAGGCCTTTGCCTGTATAAAGCCATTCTATAAATACAGGGTGACATGGTTTGGCTGCGCACCCTCCCGAATCTCATCTTGAATTGTAGTTCGCATAATCCCCGCCTGTCATGGGAGGGATCTGGTGGGAGGTAATTGGATCACGGGGGCAGTTACCTCCGTTCTGTTCTCATGACAGTGAGTTGAGTTCTCATGAAACCTGATAATTTTATAAGGGGCTTTTTTCCACCTTCACTCTGCATTTCTCTTTGCTGCCACCATGTGAAGAAGGATGTGGTTGCTTCCCCTTCCAACATGATTTTAAATTTCCTGAGGCCTCCCCAGCCATGCTGAACTGTGAGTCAGTTAAGCCTCTTTCCTTTATAAATTACCTAGTCTTGAGTATATCTTTAGTTGGAGCATGAGAATGAACAAATAGACTGGGAGAGTTGGCTGTTCTTGTCAAATGCAAAAATTAACAAAAAATAACAAGGCGCACAAACTGAGAAACATGACTCAATAAGAGTCAATGAGAGTCAATATAAACTGCCAGAAGCTGACAATAATGACATAAAGATTTATAAATTACCTAACAAAGAATTTGAAATATTTATCTTAAAGAAGCTCGGTATGCTGCAAGACAGCACAGAGAGACAACTAAACAAAATCAGGAAAATGATGCATGAACAAAATAGATATAAACAAAGAGAAACTATAAAAAAGAACCCAAATAGAAATTATGAAGCTAAAAAATATTATAACTGAATTTAGAAATTCACTAGAAGGGATCAACAGCAGGTTTGATCAAGCAGAAGAAAGAATTAGCAAACTTGAAAATGGGCCATTTGAAATTAGTCAGAAATAAAAAGAGAAAATAACAATGAAGAAATTCTAAAGGACTAAATGAAGAAAAGTGAAGAAACCTAAAGGAGATAATTAAGCAGACTAACACACACATTGGGAACTGAAGAAGAAGAGAATGAAGTAGAGACCTTGTTTGAAGAAATAATGGAAGAAAACTTCTTAAATCAAAAGAAGTAAATGAACATCCAAATTCAAGAGGATCAAAGGAATTCAATTAGGATAAATCCCCAAAGGCCCATACTGAGACATATCATAAACTGTCAAAAGTTATAAACAATAAGAGAATATTGAGAGCAGCAAGAAAATATTTGCTCATCATGTACAAGAAAGACTCTATAAGATTATCATTGGATCTCTCAGCAGAATCATTACAGGTCAGAACAGAGTGGGATGATAAATTCAAGGTGCTGCTGGATTCGGTTTGCAAGTAAATTGCTGAGAATTTTTGCATCAGTGTTCATCAAGGATATTGGCCTGAAGTTTTTTTTTCATGTTTTTGTCTCTGCCATGTTTTGGTATCAGGATGATGCTGATCTCATAGAATGAGTTGGGGAGGAGTATCTCCTCCTTAGTTTTTTGGAGTAATTTCAATAGGATTAGCACAAGCTCTTCTTGTACTAATGTCTAGTAGAATTCAGCTCTGAATCCACCTGGTCCAGGGCTTTTCTTGGTTGCTAGGTTCTTTATTACTGATTCTGTTTCAGAAGTTGATATTGGCCTATTCAGGATTTCAATCTCTTTCTGATTCAATCTTGGGAGATTGTGTGCTTCTAGGAATTTATACATTTCTTCTAGATTTTCTAATTGTGTGCAAAGAGTTGTTCATAGTAGTCTCTAAGGATCTTTTGTATTTCTGTGAGATCAGTTGGAATACCGCTTTTGTCATTTCTGATTGTGCTTATTTGGTTCTTCTCTTTTTTTTTCTTTGTTAATGTAGCCAGAAGTCTATCAATTTTGCTTATTCTTTCAAAGAACCAACTCTTGGTTTCATTGATCTTTTGTATGGATTTTTGCATCTCAATTTCATTCAGTTCTTCTCTAATTCTAGTTATTTATTTTCTTCTGGAAGCTTTGGGTTGATTTGTTCTTCATTTTTCTAGTTTCTATAGGTATGAAGTTAAACTGTTAATTTGAGATCTTATTTCTTGATGAAGGAATTTAGCACCATAAACTTTCCTCTTAACACTAGCTGCATCTCAGAGATTTTGGCAAGTTGTGTCCCTATTTTCAGAATTTTAAAATTTATTCCTTAACTTTGATGTTAACCCAAGAGTTATTCAGGGATAAGTTGTTTAATTTCCTTGCAGTTGTGTAATTTTGAGAGATCTCGGTATTGATTTCTATTTGTATTGCACTGTGGTCCAAAAATGTGCTTGGAATAATTTTGACACCTTTTACGTTCAACAGAGTACTGGAAGTCCTAGCCACAGCCATAAGGCAAGTTAAATAAATAAAAGGCATCTAAATAGATAAAGAAGAAGTCAAACTATCTCTCTTCAAGGATGAAATGATTCTATACTTAGGAAATCCTTATCACTCTGCCAAAAGGCTTCTAAAACTAATAAATGACTTTAGTAAAGTTTCAGGATACAAAATCAATGTATAAAAATTAATAGCATTTCTATACACAAACAAGATTCAGGCTGAGAGTGAAATCAAGAACACAATCCCACTTACAACAGCCACAAGGAAAATGAAATACCTAGGAGTACAACTAACCGAGCAGATCTTTACAAGGAGAACTACACAACATTACTGTTGAAAAATTTCAGAGATGACACAGATAAATGGAAAAACATTACATACTGATGGATTGGAAGAATCAAGATTGTAAAAATGGCCATACTGCCCAAAGCAATTTACAGATTCAGTGCTATACCTATCAAACTCCCAATGTCTTCACGGAATTAGAAAAAACGATTCTAAAATTCATATAAAACAGAAAAAAAGAGACCAAATGGCCAAAGCAATCCTAAGCCAAAAGAGCAAAGCTGGTGGAATCATACTACCCAACTTCAAGCCATACGATAAGGCTACAGTAATCAAAACAGCATGGTACTTGTACAAAAATAGACACATGGACCATTGGAACAGAATAGAAAACTCAGAAATAAAGCCACACACCTACAATCATCTGATCTTTTACAAGGCTGACAAAAGCAAGCAATGGGGAAAGCACTTCCTATTCAATAAATGTTGCTGGGATAACTGGCTAGCCATATGAAGAAGATTGAAGCTGGATCCCTACCTTTCACTATATTAAAAGATTAACTCAAAATAGATCAGGATTTAAATGTAAGACCTCAAACTATAAAAATCCTAGAGGACAACCAAGGAATTGTTGTTCTCCACATCAGCCTTGAGAAATAATTTTTGGCTAAGTCCCCAAAAGCAATTGCAACAAAAATAGACAAGTGGGACCTAATTATACTGAAGAATTTCTGCTCAGCAAAAGAAAGTATCAACAGAGTAAGCAGATAACCACAAAATGGGAGAAGATATTCACAAACTATAGATCTGACAAAGGCCTAATATACAGCATCTATAAGGAACTTAAATCAACAAGAATAAAACAACCCCATCAAAAATGGCAAAGGACATGAACACTTCTCAAAAGAAGACATACAAGTGGCAGCCAACAAACATGAAAAAGTGCTCAGCATCACTAATCATCACAGAGATGCAAAAATCAAAACCACAAGGAGATACCATCTCACACCAGTCAAAATGGCTTTTATTAAAAAGTCAAGAAAAACAACAGATGCTGGAAAGGCTGTGGAGAAAAGGGAACACTTACACACTGTTGGTAGGAATGTAAATTAGTTAAATCACTGTGGAAAGCAGTCTTAAGATTTCTCAAAGAACTTAAAACAGAGCTACCATTCATCCCAGTAATCCCATTACTGGGTATATACTCAAAGCAAAATAAATTATTCTGCCAAAGGACACACAAATGCTCTTATGTTCATTGCTGTGCTATCCACAGTAGCAAATATGTGGAATCTACCAAGGTGCCCATCAATGGTAGATTAAATAAAGAAAATGTGGTACATATACACCATGGAATACTACACAGTCATAAAAAAGAACGAAATCACGTGGGGCATGCTGGCTCACACCTGTAGTTCCAGCACTTTGGGAGGCCAAGGCGGGCAGATTACGAGGTCAGGAGTTCAAGGCCAGCCTGGCCAACATGGTGAAACCCCGTCTCTACTAAAAATACAAAAATTAGCTGGGCGCAGTGGCTCATGTCTGTAATCCTAGCACCTTGGGAGTCCAAGGTGGGTGGATTACGAGGTCAGGAGTCCGAGACCAGCCTGCAACATGGTAAAACTCCGGTTCTACTAAAAATACAAAAATTAGCCTGGCGTAGTGGTGCGCGCCTGTAATCCCAGCTACTCAGGAGGCTGAGGCAGGAGAATCGCCTGAACCCAGGAGGCAGAGGTTGCAGTGAGCTGAGATCACATCACTGCACTCCAGCCTGGGTGACAGAGCAAGACTCCATCTCAAAAAAAAAAAAAAAAAAAAAAAAAGAAGAAGAAGAATGAAATCATGTCCTTTGCACAAACATGGATGCAGCTGGAGGCTATAATTCTAAGCAAAGTAACACAGAAACAGAAAACCAAATACCACAAATACCACATGTTTTCACTTACAATTGAGCTAATCATTGAGCACACATAAACATGATATAGGAATAATAGAGAAAGCAGGCTACTACAGGGAGGAGGGAGAAGGGGTCGTGTGTTAAAAAAAAAAAAAACCACACCTATTAGGTACTATGCTCACTGTCTGGGTGATGGGAATCAGACCCCTAATCTCAGCATCATGCAAAATTTCTATGTAACAAACCTGCCAATGTACCCCTGTGTCTAAAATAAAAGTTGAAATTTAAAACCAAAAAAACACACATCAAGAATCCAGAAAAACAAAGTAAATGCCCATGACTGAATGACATCACTGGAGAATCCTATTAGACTTTTAAAGAACTACCACCAGCTTTGCAGACGCCTCTGCTATCGGGTGCCCTGTAGTATCAGCCATCGTCAACCCCGCCGTGTTCTTCGACATCGCCGTGGATGGCGGGCCCTTGGACCGCGTCTCCTTGGAGCTGTTTGCAGACAAGTTTCCAAAGACAGCAGGAAACTTTCATGCTCTGAGCACTGGAGAGAAAGGATTTGCTTATAAGGGTTCCTGCTTTCACAAAATTATTCCAGGTTTTATGTGTCAGGGTGGTGACTTCACACATCATAATGGCACTGGCAGCAAGTCAATCTATGGGGAGAAATTTGATGATGAGAACTTCATCCTAAAGCATACAGGTCCTGGCATCTTGCCCATGGCAAATGCTGAACCCAACACAAACGGTTCCCAGTTTTTTCATCTGCACTGCCAAGACTGAGTGGTTGGATGGCAAGCATGTGGTCTTCAGCAAGGTGAAAGTAGGCATGAATATTGTGGAGGCCATGGAGCGCTTTGGTCCAGGAGTGGCAAGACCAGCAAGAAGATCAGCATTGCTGACTGCAGACAACTCTAGTAAGTTTGACTTGTGTTTTATCTTAACCAACAGACCATTCCTTCTGTAGCTCAGGAGAGCACCCCTCCACCCCATTTGCTCTCAATATCCTAGAATGTTTGTGCTCTCGCTGCAGTTCCCTTTGGGTTCCATGTTTTCCTTGTTCCCTTCCATGCCTAGCTGGATTGCAGAGTTAAGTTTATGATTATGAAATAAAAACTAAATAACAACAAAAAAAGAACTACCACCAATTCTTCTTAAACTCTTCCAAAATATTGAAAAGGAGGGAACATTTTCAAACTCATTCTATAAGAGCAGCACCACCCTGATGCCAAAGTCAGAAAAAGATATGAGAAAGAAAACTACTGCAGGCCAATATCCCTGATGAACGTTGACATAAAAATCTTCAACAAAACATTAGCAAATGAAATCCAACAATATATTAAAAGGATTATATATTATGACTAAGTGGGATTTAGTTTGAACATGAAAATTCATCAATGTAATACATTACATTAACAGATTAATACAGAAAATCGTGACAAAATTTAATATTCTTTTATGATAACAACAAACTAAGAATAGAAATATTTTACTTCAACTTAATAGATGCCGTAGGTAAAAGGCCCACCGCTAGCATCATACTCAAAATGGCAAAAAGCTAAAACCATTTTCTCAAAAGCAGGAACAAAGTAAGGATCCCTGTTCTCACCACTTCTACTCAACATAATACTCAAAATCCTATTCAGAACAGTACGGCAAGAAAAAGAAATAAAAGCACCCAATAGGAAAAGAAGCAGCAAAATGTTCTTTGTTTGTAGACAACGTGATCTTGTATGTAGAAAACCCTAAAGGTATTACACACATTTCACACAAAACCTGTCAGAAGTAATAAATTTAGCAAAGTTGCAGAATTAAAATTTAACACAAAAAAAACAGTTAAAGTTCTATAAACTAACAATGAACAATCTAAAAGGAAATTTTTTTAAAAATTACATTTAAAATAGCATCAAAAAATTAAAATACCTAAAAATAATCTTAACCAAACTGAAAAATTTACATCCAAAACTGAAATATTGATAAGTTGGAAAAAGACAAATAAATGGCAAGATATTTTGTGTTCCTGCTTGGAAAGAATTCATGTTGTTAAAATGTTTATACTACCCAAAGTGATCTATAGATTCAATACAATCCCTATTAAAATCTCAACAGCGTTTTTTTTTTTTTTTTTTGCAGAAATTGCAAAAAATTTCAAAAATTAATCTGGGATTACTAAAGGCCCCAAATAGTCAAAACAATCTTGAGATAGAAAAACCTGGATGCCTCACACTTTCTGATTTCAAAACATTTAAAATCTGCAATATTTAAAACAGCATGATAATGACATTAAGACACATAAAGGCCAATGGAACAGCGTAGAGAGCCCTGAAATAAATCCTCATGTACACGATCAAATGATCCTCAATAAAAGTGTCAAGGCTACACAATGGGGAAAGGGTAGTCTCTTCAAAAAATGGTGCTGGAACGACTGGATGTTTACAGGCAGATAAATGAAACTGGGCCCTTATCTTACACTATATACAAAAATGAATTCAAAGTGGATTAAAGATCTAAAAATGAGAACTGAAGCTATAAGACTTCTAGAAGAGAACATGGGGGAAAAGTTTGAGCTATTGAATTTGGCAATGATTTCTTGGCTATGACGCCAACAGCACAGACAACAAAAGTGAAAATAGACAAATGGGACTACAGCAAATGGAACAACTTCTGCACAGCAAAGGAAGCAAACAAGTGAGTGAAAAAGCATGGGAGGAAATACTTGCAAACCATAAGTCTGATGGGGGGGTATTATCCAGAATATATAAAGGACTCCTATATCTTAACAAAAATAGAAACAATCCAGTTAAAAAAAAAAAGGAATTGGGCAAGCACTTCTCCAAATAAAATATAAAAATGGTCAATAAGTGTGTTGAAAGATACCCAACATCAGTAATAATTAGGGAAATGCAAATTAAAACCACAATGAGATATTGCTTCACACCTGTTAGAATGGCTGCCATCACTAAAACAAAAAATAACAAGTGGTAGTGAGAATGTGGAGAAATTAGAACACTTGTACACTGTTGGTGGGAATATAAAATGGTGTAGCTACTATAGGAAACTGTGGAGGTTATTTTAAAAGTTAGAAATAATATGTGATCCAGCAATATCACTTCTGGGTATCTAAAATATTTGAAAAAGGATCTCCAAGAGATACTTGCACATTGGTGTTCATGGCAGCACTATTCACAATAGCCAAGAGATGGAAACAACCTAAATGTTCATCAACAGATGAATAAAGAAAATGTATCATATACATATAATGAAATATTTTCAGTCTCACAAAAAGAAGGAAATAATGTCACATGCTTCTACATGGATCACCCTTGAACAAATTATGGTAATTGAAATAAGCCAGTCACAAAAGACAAACACTACATAATTCCACATATATGAAGTATCTAAAATAGTCAAACTCTTAGAAACATAAAGTAAAATGGTGGTTGCCAGGGGTTGGGGCAAGAGGTAAATGGGAGTTGCTTAATGGATATATAGTTTCAATTTTGCAGGATGAAAAAGTTCCAGAGTTCTGTTATACAATGTGTTTATATTAATACTACTGTATTGTGCACTTAAAAATCATTAAGTTGGTAACTTTTATGTTATGTGTTTTTGACCGCAATAAAAAAGTAATTCATATGTCTAGTACAATGCCTGTAAAGAGTAATAAAAATATAATTACTATAAAACTGATTATAATAATGATTTACCAATCAGAGTAAAAGTCACCAACTTAACCTTTCAGAAGAGGAAAGTGAGTTCCAGAACATTCAAGAAACTTCAATAATAGAGCTCAGACAGGGCTTAAGCCACCTGCCTTCCTACTCTATCCCTCTCGTTGTGAGGAAGATTTAAGCAGTATAGATGTTAATAAAAAAGATTGGAAGTTCTGAAGATCCATTCTTTTAATGAAACATTTATAGTTATTAGGAGCTTAACAAAGATTACCCACATGCCATAGATAGTTGAATTAACACTATCTATGTGTTAATAACACATATCAATGTGGCATTCATAAGTACCATAGTCCATATGATTATCTGGGTGGGGTAAAGAGTTTTAAAGCATGAAAGAAAAATGAAAGAAACACCAAAACAGTAGGAGCATTCTTCAAAGAGGTCTTTAATTCACAGATTTTTAAGTCTTTTCTCCAACAAATCATAAGGCAGAAATTTCACACTAGGGTGAAGAGAGAACACGGAGAAACAGCTAATAGCCTTAAAAAGAGACATTTTAATGAACTCTACAGATGTTATTAGAATTTTTAATTTAAGTGAAAAAAAGAAATTTTAAAAAGTGCCTGAAAATGTATGACAGAAAAAAATCATTTAAATTCACCCACAAGCTCCTGTTAAAATGCCCTCTTGTTAGACTCCATACCTCTCTCTGTAAGCCAAAAAGACAATCAGAAAAGCCAACTGTTTCCTGGCCTCCTTATTAGTATTTGCAGGAGTGGAAAGGGAACTCCCAAACTCTTCATGAGCTGGCAAGACTCCGATCTCTTCCTCTTTTCACACCCGATACTCACAGCCTCACCATTGCCATCTTTCTTGAGACCATGAAAACTCACCTTATTATACCCTTTCTCCTTGTTTATGTCACCAAAAGAAGCACAGTTCTCCCTGGTCAACTCTCCTCCCTGTTTGGCTCCACACAGTCATTATCTGCCCAAACCTCTGCCACATACATATTTAGTAACCCCTTTCCTTGCTTTATTTTTCTCCATAGCACTTATCAACAGCCACCTAATCATACATTTTGTCTACTTCTTCGGTTTGTTTTCCTTTCACACTAAAATCTAAGTTTTATGAGCTTGGAGATAGGTGTACATTTTGTTCAGGGCCATATATTCATCACCTAGAACAGTGCCAGGCACGTGGGAAGCATTCAATAACTATTTGGTAAATTTAAAAAATGTACTTGATAAATACACTTGGATAGTGTGCTAGAGATTTTGCTAGTGAGGCATTGAGGGAGAGGGGAGTGGAACTAGAGATGAATTGGTTAGGATCTCTGCCCTCAAAGAGTCTGCAGTCCAGGAGGAGAGAAGATTGTCATACAAGCTAGAGTTGAACAAGTGTTTTAAGAAGTGTAGTAAAGACTTCCAATGCTCCCCTCAGTCTGGTTCTCCTCTCTTTCCAGGCCAGTGCAACGATACCAATTTTCCATGCCCTTTGCCATTAAGCAGGGACATGTGACTCTTGTTCTGACCAAGGGGTTGTTAAGCCGAAGTGATGTGTGTCACATTTGGACCTAGGACTTAATTGTTAGTGCAAGAATCTCCAGTGTTGTCTTCTTGCACTGTTTACAACTGAAGAGATGGCATGTTCTAGATAGTGCAGCTTGAGGATGGAGAATCTTGCATCAGCCTGGATTGATGAGGGGCTGTGTGGAGACGGTTTCCCTGAACCTTCAGCAGGTTGTTTCACTAAAGAGAAATAAACTTTTGTTACATTATCTCAGCTTTTAAGTGATTGAGATTTGGGATAATTTGTTCCTTTAGCGTAATGTAGACTACCTTGATTAATATAAGGAGTATAGAAGATGTCATTTTTCCTGAAGTCAGAATTATAGCACATGTCTTGAAAAATGGTCTATTAGAGCAGAACATGTAAAATTAGGAACACCCTCCATGGCTTGGAAAACTGTGAAGACACCTCTCTAAGTTTAAAAGAAGAGGAAGGTTCTATGTTTTCTTGTACAGTTGGACGCTGTATTACTTTCTCCTCTGACTTCAGAATGGCAAATAGAGCCAGGAAAAGCTGGAATAAAAGTTGAGAAAATATACCCTTCATAATGGCAATCCATCTGGAAGGTCATGAATTGAAAAATAGTTCCTGAGCGTCTATTCTATGCCCACCATTAGGTTAGGCACAAAAGGAGATGCCAGCGAAGACACAGTTCTCACTCTGAAGGAGACTATGGTCGTTACTGTAAATAGCTGCCAAATTGTCTACTGCAATATCTGCAAGGATTGTAAGAATTTAAAGGAAAGGAAGATCTCTGAAGTTTGGAGGGATCTAGGAAGAATTCTTAGAGGTGAGGGTTTGAAGTTGGCCTTAAAGAATTGGCAGGATTTAACACTACTAGTTAATTGTAAAAATATATTTTTATGTATGTAATGTAATGTATTCTTATTAGACACAATGTGAATATCTATGTAGCCTATTCAATCTTTCAGCAATCCTGTAGACACTATCTCCATTTTACAGATAAGAAGACTGAGGCTTGGAGATGTTAAATAATTTATCCAAGCCACAGAGCTGGGATTTAAACCCAGGTTTATTTCCTGCCAAAGTAGATGCTCTTAATCCTTGAAGTTAATTGTGCTGAGATGGAAAGCTGAGGAGAGAGTCTTTGGGGATGAAGCATGCTTTGGAGTGAACCTTACTTGCTTTGCTCTCAGACATTTCAGGGCCCTGACTTTATTGATTTTTCAGCAGAAATTTGAATATTTTTTTCTTCTGGTTGTGCAGGAGGAGCTAGTTGGTCTTTAAATGGTCCCCAAAGTAATGAAGCTGCCCAGCTATTAGCTTTGCTGAGTGAGCCACCTCTTCATATTTCCCAGGTACAAAAACCCATTTCAACTCTTCACCTACACAGTTATGACAAGGAAAGTAAGTGGTGGGTGAAACTGGTCCCAGTTTATCCAGACAGCTGGTTTCTCTAAGGGGATCATCAGTGACCTTGTAGCAGAAAACCTAATATTGCCTGCTGGGATTCCAGTAGGACTCCAGCTACACAGTTTTATCTGTGGTGGGTGATTGAGCATTGTGGGTTCAGTTTGGGTCCTTGCAGGAATCATACAGCATGCTCAGAGGGCTGACTGAAGAGAATTTAATGAAGAAACTGTGTGTAAAGCTGAGGGTATCGTAAGGGAACCAACACAGAATAACGAGGCCCCAGGGATTAACAACGTCAAGAAGCCATTGACACGTCTAGGCAAATAAAGGGAACAGTAAGCTAAACCCAAGTGTGATAGACAGAAGAATGGCTCCTTGAAGATGTCTGTGCCGTAATCCTCAGGGTCTGTGAATATGCTGCCTTACATGGCAAAAGAGACTTTGCACATGTGATTAAGGTTGAGGACTTTCAGATAAGGACATTATCCTGAATTATGCAGATGGGCCTAATTTAATCACTTAAGTCATTAAAGGAAAAGAACGTTTCCCTGCTATGGCCAGAGATGTGATGAAGAAAGAAAGGCCAGAGAGAGGCAACGTTGTTGGCTTTGAAGATGGAAGAAAGGGGCCATGAGCCAAGGAACATGGGCAGACCCAACAAGCTGAGAATGGTAAAGCAGAATTCTCAAGAGCCTCCAGTTCAGAGTGCAGCCTTGCCAACAGTTTGATTTCAGTCCATCAAGACTTCTGTCAGACATCTGACCTACAGAACTGTAAGATAATACATTTATATTGTTTTAAGCCACCAAGTTTGTGCTAATTTGTTTCAGTAGCAACAGAAAACTAAAACAACAAGTAAGAGAGGCTACCTATAAGAGCTGTGGGCCCACATAAGGAAATGCCGCCACTGCCCAGCTATATTCCAGCAGTTAGGGAGGGAAATAAATGCTCTGACCTCTCTTTTTTCCCCTGCCCTGGCAGTGTTTCCCATTAGCTGAACCCATTAGCCAAAAGCTATAGGGCAAAACAGCCTAGATGATGCAATTCCTAAAGTTTAGTCCTCTAGAGTACAGAGCAGGGTAGAAAAGGGCAGAGATGGATTTATAGGGGCAAATAAAAAACAACCAGCATAGATGCTGAACTTAAGGATGGAGGTTTTAAATGGTTGTGTTTCATTTGATTTCACTCATTATCATAGAAGAGAGGAAGTGAAAGGAAGCATCGCCATAACTGCTTTCAGGCAGGGGATTGGATTAGTTCAATATATTTTCATTGTTATAGCTAGGGAGTAAATATGTAAATTTATTAATACAAATCAATCAGTCCAATCAATCATTCAACAAGTCTGCTTGAAAGACTTCCTATTTATTAGGTATCAAGAAATAAGTGGGGGTGAATGAAGTAGGTTACAAGAATGTATACACAGCCTTTGCTCTGTAGGAATTTTAAATATGCAGAATAGGGATGGAGCTGCAGTAGCATGGAGAGGCAGACATGTACAGCCAGCCATAGTTTATCTGTCAGGGCCATATGCTTGTATCTGTGAGGAAATATGGAATGAGGTAAAGCACAAGGGAGATGGGGGTCGGGGGAAGCATTCATAGAGAAGTGGTACTTAAGTTGGGCTTTGAAATACGGGTAGGATTTTCTAGCCTCAAAAAGGGAAAGGACATCCAAAGTGCCCAAAATGGCATGAGCAGAGGAAAGGCCAAAACCTTGGCATTCAGGGAACAGTGAGAAGTTTTGTCTTGCTGGAATATAGGATGCTTGGGGCATGTGTTACAGGAGTGGCATGATAGGATCAGTTGTCTTATAAAGGGTTTTGAATGTCGTGTGTATGTGCGTGTGTCAGTGTGTGGTGTTAGCACAGAAAAAAATGTGGTTTAGTACAGGAAAATAGTTGGCATGACCTGTAGAAGTAATGTGTTTATTACAAATACACTTTTTAAACAAAAATCAGCAAAATGTGTGAAACAGGTCATTGCTTCTGTAATATAAACATTTCTATCTCTCCAAGACAATTCTTGTCTCCTGCCCTCACATACCCCACTCCATCCATTTATTTATAGAATTTTATACACCAAAATAAAATTCTAGACGAAAATGCTGAGAGAACCACAAACTCTGTATTCCCTGAAGGCAAACACATGGCAGAGATGACTTCTTTGCCTCAGATGGTTCTTGTCCTCTTTCTCTTTATACCCCCTTTTCTCCTGGACTGTGCCTGCACGAAGACAGACAGACAGACACACACACACATACACAAACACACGCGGAGGTCAACTCTGAAAGTGCTCTCCTGATTGCAGGAAAATGACCAATGTCTCTCTCTGCACCTCTCAGAAAATACTATGCTGCCTATGGGGCCATTTGGCTGGTTGACTACATCAATGATTTCCAGCGTCCTGTTCAATATCATTCAGATGTGGCCATTGGCCTCAAAAAATGTACCTTGTCTTACTCAAGAAAAACAGCACTTCTATTTCAGAGGCTATTTAGGAGGAAGAAATGGAAATGCTTTCTTCCTCCAAGACCATCAGAAAAACTGGCCGGGCCTTCCTTGACATGAATCACACAGTTGCATATGTTTTTTTTTCCTGGGATCAAACCCTTTCTGTATTGCAAGTGGGCTGGATAGTGCATGAAAAGAGATGGCTTTTATTATTATAGACATTCTATTTAATTACACTGCAACTGTCTTCAGTAGAATACACTGGAATGCTGTGGTAACAACATACATCTTTTCCAAGAACCTCAGTGGTTGAGCAAACATGAGGAAAGCAATACTAAATCAGAGAGAAAGATCCAGCCTGGGATTCAAGAAGCCTTGGGCTCTTGTGAAAGTTGGTTTCACTTTTCTGTACCCAAGTCTTTCATTCACAAAATAAGAGGCTGAGGAAAAGATTTTAAAGAGACAATTAGGAGAGTGTGCTGGTTAAAAACAGCTAAAAATAATGGCTTAAATCCAGCTCTGCCACCTGCTAGCCATGTGATCCTGGGTGTGGCACATTGGTTTATTGTTTCTTCTATAAAGACGATAAAAATGGTGCCTAGCTATGGGGAGGGGTGAATTAGAAAATGGACATAAAGTGCTCTGAGTAGTGTGTATGTGGTCATGCGTGTGTGTAGGCTTGCGTGGAGGCAAAGAAAAGTTAGGACTCTGTGGGGCAGTGACAGAGCCTCTTTGTGGTCACTTAGGAATCATTGAATTGGAGTTTGAATGCTGTCCCTTGGAAGAGGGTAGTGGGCTACAGCTGCCACAGCTCTGTTGCATATTTTACCCAGTTACTTCTAGTAAAGAAATTCTTCAACAAATAGGATAGGAAATACATCCAAATCCAAAAATGGCGATAAAAAGTGACTTGGCAGGGGAAACCAATGAAGTATCAAATAATAGTGTTCACATCACAGTGAGCAAATGCTTGCTGAATGCAGGAATGAAATAGTTTCTGGTTGGAAAGGAACACTCATTACCACTGACTTGGCTTCACCTTGTATTAATTTGAGAAATCAGTGGTGAATGATGTAACCTGTCATCCTTTTCTAACCTCTTTCCTTTGGAATTGGAGAATGAGATGAGCTTAACCAACGTCTCATCAAGAGGCTGTGAAATAAGCAATACAATGAAGAGGAATTAAAGTACTGCAGACCATATCTCCTAAGACTTGTAGGAAATGATTCACAGTTCTGGTGGTGGAATTCTTACAGAACACATGGGTGGGGAGGGGAAAAAATAATCCATCCAACTGCATGCTGGCTTTTCTCAAGGTAAAGTCATTGATTATGCTGGGTTCATAACTTTCCCCCTAAAGAATGAGGCAGTCGGATAGCGTGGACATCAAGTCAGGATGTGACTGGGGGCTAGAGAGGGATAGTTTTCCCTTATGGACTGAGAAAAATGAACTTGCCAAAAAAAAAATCTAAACTGGGAAATAGATATCTCCATTCCCTCTTTTCTGTCAAATTATCTCATGACCAGAAATCATTTAAATACTTTCCCCATCCCTGAAATGTAGGCCAATTACAAAGTTAGATGTTCATCTCCTTCATGCATACGAAATGTGGCTCTTTCATCAGGAGAGGTCCATTAGTATGTGTCTACAGCCCTGAGTTTTATCATTATCATCACTATAATGGCCTTCCTGCCTGTTCAGAGTTTAGTGCCTATTGAAACAATTTTCAGTACCTTGAAATTCCCTGCCTTTAACCCAGTATTACAAAAGGTCTTCCTCAACTTGACAATGAATGGTGATTAAATTCACATGTATGGAGGTGGCCCAGAACATGGTTGGACCATCACACAAGAATAACAATACTTTGGTTTGTGGTCACTGATTCAGCTTTATAATGCTAAAATCCTTTGAGGTTTTATTTCTATACATACTTGAGATCATCATAAGGCTTGCCTATATTCATTTATCATCTATCGGCTCACTTAAGTCATCCTAACAAATGTTTATACTATTGCTTCACTTTTCTCCTGATCTTAGAGAAGACTGGGACATGCATTTAATGTTTCAACACATTCCTCAGTTACCACTGTGATGGAGTGTTCTTGGAAGCCTCTCCATTTTTTTTTTCCCCATCTCAAGGCCTTGGCTGCCTTCCAAGGGATGTACCTTTTGAGACAACCATTACCAGTTCTGGGTTAGGTCCTCCTCATCTCTACCACCTTACAGGTCTAATTCCTTCTGCCTCTAATCCAAATAAGGTTGCTGGCCATATCTGTCTAAATAATATTAAGATTACTTTGGAATTGTGCTTTACATATTTCAGACCACTTTTCCTGAGAACTTTGATACCTAATAGTTTTACCAGCTTTGTCTTAAGGCGGGGAAAGGGCTGGTGAGTGAATATTTTCTAACTGGAAGTTATTTCTTGGGGCAGACTGTGGAGCTGGTTTACCCTGCTTGTCTTCAATAATAGCAAAGATGCTGGGCAGACACAGTTTGGGATCTGTTTATAGCCAAGATGATATATTAGTCTTTTCAGAGCACATATGGTCTGGTTTTCAAGTGTATCTTGAGGAATCATCTTTTTTTTTTAATTGAAAAACAGTATACTGATACATCTGCATTTATAAAAGGTAGTATAAACAGATACTTCTTTTAGTGTATTGGGATCCAATAACCATCTCCATCTCACATTTTTGGAGACCCTAAGGTATCTCCCTTGTTTATTCTTACATGCCTTAGAGAATCAGTATTGTTACTTCATAAATCTGTATCACACTTGCTAAAAGTCCTTCTGCCACTCTCACAGTACTGGACGAAAGTTCTTGTATTATTAGTACTCATAATATTTGCAATAAAAAACATGATATTGAGCAAACAAAAATTCTTTGCATTTTTAAGAAAATTCTTCCTAAACACACAATGCTGTTCCATTGCTATTAATCTAAATGAACTGCACGTGTTCTCCCAGTTTAAATTTACTGTTCATTCAGAAACGCCATTGTAAGTCCTGGATGCCTCAGCCCGTCTTCTGAGGGGAGTTACGCTTATTTTTTTTTTTTTGTCTTTTTTTTTTTTTTCCTTTTTCTGGAGAATGGGGTCTCGCTATATTGCCCAGGCAGGTCTTCCACTTCTGGGCTCAAGCTGTCCTCCCGCCTCTTGCCTCCCTGAGAGCTGGGATTACAGGCGTGAGCCACCACACCCGGCTGCCTCAGCCCATCTTCTGGATTGTTTTTCTTATTGGAGACTGATTGCTGGATGCAGCAACCCTCTGAATTAGGTCTGAGCAGGATATATAAGTACTGAGATCATAAAGCACACTACAAAAGTCCTTAGGGCATTTCTTACTGAGATTACTCATGCTCTGTGGACCATTTTCTCCAGGAGTTCCTTGAGATGGGTTTTGGTGTTGGAGGAAATCCTAAAGATATGGTGCTCTACGAAGGCTGCAATATTAGAAGGCCATTGGGATTCAGGGGAAAGCGGAAATCACTATTTTAGTAGCCCTCTCCCTGCTAAAACTCAATTATCTAATTATATGAAATTCTATGAAATATAAATTTACTTCAGTATTCTATTTCTGCAGTGCTAAATATTTTGGATTGACCATAAATATTCAGAATCATACCAAATTACTCTTGTTGAGGAATTCAGATCAATTAATTTATCTGCTCTGTGAAACTTTTCTCCTTAACCTTTGCTCTCCAAAATTCTGTCCCAAGCTAAGCTAATCTGGTTTTTCTTTTTAGAAATCTGGAATTGGTACTGCTGGGCTTTGGAGCTGGAAGCTTATCCTGGGCAGGGACAATCACTTTCTGCCAATTATACAAAAAAGAACAAAAATCCGGTTGGCACAGAGAGAAAAGAATATATATAATGCAAAAATCATACATGAGGATCAAACGGTCTTGAAGAGATGGAGATAGTTACTTAAGTCCTGACCTTCTACTCCTGGTTCACTTATCACATAAGATACATCTGTACTTCCCCATAAATTTCCATTGAGACGTACTTTAATGTGAGCAGTGTTATGTTCCTTGGAAAAAATTGAGCTAGCTCAGGGTAAGAAAACAACCTATTTCCTCCTGCACTGAAGCAGTAGATATAGCTGCAGAAGAACACACAAATAATGTGATTGATTGATTGATATCCATTTATATTTACAACCACAATTTTTAAATTTCCATAGGTTATTGGGGAACAGGCAGTTTTTGGTTACATGAGTAAGCTCTTTAGTGGTGATTTGTGAGATTTTGGTGCACACATCACCTAAGCAGTATACACTGCACCCAATTTGTAGTCTTTTATCCCTCACCCCTTTCCCACCCTTTCTCACTGAGTCCCCAAAGTCCACTGTGTCATTCTTATGCCTTTGCATTCTCCTAGCTTAGCTCCCACTTATGAACGAGAACATACGATGTTTGGTTTTCCATTGCTGTGTTATTTCACTTAGAATAATAATCTCCGATCCCATCCAGGTCGCTGTGAGTGCTATTCATTCCTTTTTACGGCTAAGTGGTATTCCATCATGTATATATATATATACACCACAGTTTCTTTATCCATTTGTTGATTGATGGGCATTTGGGTTGGTTCCATGTTTTTTCAACTGTGAATTGTGCTGCTATAAACATGCATGTCCAAGTAACCTTTTCATATAATGACTTCTTTTCCTCTGAGTAATACCGAGTAGTGGGATTGCTTGATCTAATGGTAGTTCTACTTTTAGTTCTTTAAGGAATCTTCACACTGTTTTCCATAGTGGTTGTACTAATTTACATTCTCACTAGCAGTGTAGAAGTATTTCCTGTTCACTGCATCTATGCCGACATCTATTTTTTTGATTATAGCCATTCTTGCAGGAGTAAAGTGGTATCGCATTGTGGTTTTGATTTGCATTCCCCATATCATTAGTGATGTTAAGCATTTTTGCATATGTTTGTTGGCCATTTGTCTATCTTCTTTTGAGAATTGTCTATTCATGTCCTTAGCCCACTTTTTGATGGGATTGTTTTTTCTTACTGATTTGCTTGAATTTGTTGTAGATTCTGGATATCAGTCCTCTTCAGATGTATTGATTGTAAAGATTTTCTCTCACTCTGTGGGTTGTCTGTTTACTCTGCTGATTGTTCCCTTTGCCATGCAAAAGTTCTTTAGTTTAATCAAGTCCTAGAAATTTATCTTTGTTTTAATTGCATTTGCTTTTGGGTTCTTGGTCACGAAATCCTTGCCTAAGCCAATGTCTAGAAGGGTTTTTCCGATGTTATCTTCTAGAATTTTTATAGTTTCAGGTCTTAGATTTAAATCCTTAATCCACCTTGAGTTGGTTTTTGTATAAGGTGAGAGATGAGGATCCAGTTTCATTCTCCTACATGTGGCTAGTCAATGATCCTAGCACCATTTGTTGAAAAGGATGTCCTTTCCTCACTTTATGTTTTTGTTTGCTTTGTTGAAGTTCAGTTGGCTGTAACTATTTGGATTTATTTCTGGGTTCTCTATTCTGCTTCATTGGTCTATGTGCCTATTTTTATAACAGGACCATGCTGTTTTGGTGAGTATGGTCTTATAGTGTAGTTTGAAATCAGGTAAATTAATGCCTCCAGATTTGTTCTTTTTACTTTACTTAGTCTTACTTTGACTGTGTGGGTTCCTTTTTGTTTCTAAATTCCAAAAAATAAATTTTAGAATTTTTGTTTCCTAATTCTGTGAAGAATGATGGTGGTATTTTGATGGGAATTGCATTGAATTTGCAGATTGCTTTTGGCAGTATGGTCATTTTCACAATATTAATTTTACCCATCCATGAGCATGGGATGTGTGTCCATTTGTTTATGTTATCTATGATTTCTTTCAGCAGTGTTCTGTAGTTTTCCTTGTAGAGGTCTTTCACCTCCTTGTTTAGGTATATTCTTAAGTACTTTAATATTTTGCAGCTATTGTAAAAAAAAGTTTGAGTTCTTGATTTGATTCTCAGCTTTCTCTCTGTTGGTGTATAGAAGAGCTACTAATATGTGTACATTAATTTTGTATCTGGAAACTTTGCTGAATTTTTTTTTTTTTTTTGAGACAGAGTTTCACTCTTGTTGTCCAGGCTGGAGTGCAATGGCGCAATCTAGGCTCACTGCAACCTCCACCTCCGAGGTTCAAGCGATTCTCTTGTCTCAGCCTCCCAAGTAGCTCAGATTGCAGGCATGCGCCACCATGCCTGACTAATTTTTTTGTATTTAGTAGAAACGGGGTTTTACCATATTAGTCAGGCTGGTTGTAAACTCCTGACCTCAGGTGATCCACACACCTTGGCCTCCCAAAGTGCTGGGATTACAGGCGTGTGCCACTGCGCCTGGCTGCTGAATTCTTTTTTCAGTTCTAGGAGCCTTCTGGAGGAGTCTTTAGAGTTTCCTAGGTAAATGATCATATAATCAGTGAATAGTGACAGTTTGACTTCCTCTTTACTGATTTGGATGCCCTTTATTTCTATCTATTGTTTGATTGCCCTGGCTAGGACTTCCAGTACTATGTTGAAGAGGAGTGGTGAGAGTGGGCATCCTTGTCTTTTTTCAGTTCTCAGAGGGAATGCTTTCAACTTTTCCCCATTCGGTATCATGTTGCTGTGCACATTCACAAATCTTAAGTGAGGGTCTAGCACTACCAAGTATACAACTTTGCTTCTCTGAATTGATTTTTTTATTTTCCAAGATGCTTATTTCATAATTTCTCCCCTTTCCTCAAATTTCCAAAACTCGTTTTGCTTGTCACTTTCATCTAATAACTCTAATTTTTAATTCATTGAAAATATAAAATAAATGAGAAAAGAATGACTTCATATGCCCCTGGACAACAAATCCACTATTGTGACTGTATTTGCATTCATCTACTCTACCTTCCCCACTGGTAAAGTGAATCATATGCCTTGTAAGGTAAGCCCCTCTTTATGTATACTGGGTTCCATTTTCTTTTGCCTACTTAAAGACTTCACTCCTTCAATTTGAAATGATCCAAACACAAATAAATGACAAATGTGTGTGGTGACAGAGATTCTAATTACCCTGATTTGATCATTATACATTTTATGCATGTATCAAAATGTCACATGTACCCTATAAATATATACAACTATTATGTGTTAATAAAAAAGAATACATGGAAAAAGACTTTATTCCTTCACTTGTCCCTTGCTGTCTTTCTCTTGCATCATTGATTCTTGCCTCTATACTTAATCAACATCCGAAGATACTTTAATAGTTCCCATCTTTATAAACAAAACAAAATCTTCCTTGATCTAGAGCAACTCTCTACTACCACTGAATTTCTCTATGACGTTTTATAGAAAATTTCCCTGCAATAATTGTTCATTCTCCTGTCTCCAGTTTTTTTCCCTTTATACCAGTACCTTCAAGCTTTCATTACCAGCTTCACTCCATTCACCTAAAGGTCAACAATAATGTCCATGTTCTTAAATGTTATGATCAGCTCCAAAATCTCATTTTCTTTCGCCTTTAGTCTGCGTTTGGCAGAACCAATGACTCTTTCTTAAGGCATTTTCTGAATGTGTTGTCTGAGAAACCACACCCTCTTGGTTTTCCTGTTTTCTTACTGTTCTCTTAGCCTCCTCTGTTGGCTCCCCCTCCAACTGCACTCCGTATTTTATTCACCTTTGTATCACTATTTTGATGCCGGATTGTTCTATTGTTAACTTAGTTAAGTTAGTAGCCACATTTCTCTAGGACCCTCTTCCCACTATGGCTCCAGGTTAACGTTTTTCAAAAGAAGAACTTGTATGAGATTTGGGAGGTGGAACTAATGCAAAATTATTTCTTTCTGAAGAACTTCAGGACAAAATATGGTGATGAAAAGATAAAGAAGTGCCTGTCAGGTTCCAGCTTGTTTTTGTTTTCTTCCACTCCAAGTCCAGTTCTTTCTCCTGACTTCTGGTTTTGTTAACCAGCAGTAGTCCCAGGAATACTGATAGATGCACAGAAGTGGTAGCTACATAGATACAGCAACTGCTATGCTCTTTGCAAGCAATTTGTCACTGGGGGCCCCCACTTCAGTGATTGAATGAGCCTAGTTTCTAAGATTTCCTTGGAAGCTCTGACTTGTCCACCTATGCCAGTGCTTAAAAAAGACTGGTTATTGATGTCTTCAAATCTTCCGCTTCCTCCCCCAGGCCTTCCCTGCTCTGGCTTCTCCCACAATCATGTAAATTCTATTATTTCCTATAATAAATGCTTAGTGTATATCATTTTAAATTGAATAGTCACTGAAACAATTATGGTACCACTAGAAGTGGTTCTAGAAGAATACATCATTAAGGATAACAATATAACATTCAGACTCTGATCTGCCTAGATTTAAAAGCACTGATTAATCTGTTGTCAGTGGTAAATGGGAGACTGGTAGTCTATGTCAAGCAATAGTTATTTTCTCACTTATAAAATGCATAGCTGAAATAGACAACTGGACAACTGATAGAATCCCCATATTGTTCCCTGGTCTATGGAATGAGGCCATTTATGATAGGAAAGACCAAATGGAAACATGTAGAACTTCCTCATCCTCCCAAAAATTTGGTGTTAAGTAGTCAGAAGGTGATATGTAAATAGACCTCTCCAAAATCACTGAAGAGATAAATGCCATCATCTAGGACTTGAAAGAAGCAGGGTTGTTGATTCTTACCACATCCCTATACAGCTTGCCTCTTTTACTGTGTAGACAACAGGTGAATCTTTGTTATATACTCAATCAGGTGGTGGGGGACAGCATTTGTAGCCTATTACAGATATTGTTTCTCTACTGGATCTAGTCAACACATCCCCTGGCACCTGGTATGCAGCTGGAGACCTGGCAAATGTTTTTATATCTGTTAGTAAAGACACCAAAACAAATTTGCTTTCAGTTGGCAGCTGGAAGTACATTGCCCTTCTCAGGAATTTATTAACTATTCACCCCTTTATTATAACCTTTTCCTTGGGAACCTACCTGCTTGCCCATTCCAAAGGACTTAGGGTGATTCATCATGTTAGTAACATAGCACTAAACAGGAAGTAGACACTCCTTGGGACATATGTGTGCCAGAATTTAGGAAATGTTTCTCATAAAAATGCAGTAGCATGCTGATATGGTGAAGCTTTTAGGCTTCCAGTGGCTTGGGGCATCTCAAGATATTTGCAATGAAAGGGACTATATTAGTCAGGGTTCTCTGGAGCGACAGAACTAATAGGATGTATATATGAAGGGAATTTATTAGTATTGACTGGGCTGGACACGATGGCTCATGCCTGTAATCCCAGCACTTTGGGAGGCTTAGGTGGGCTGATCACCTGAGGTCAGGCGTTTGAGACCAGCCTGGCCAACATGGTGAAACCCCATCTCTACTAAAAATACAAAAATTAGCTGTGCATGAGGGTGGGTGCCTGTAATCCCAGCTACTTGGGGGGCTGAGGCAGGAGAATTGCTTGAACCCGGGAGGCGGAGGTTGCAGTGAGCTGAGATGGCGCCATTGCACTCCAGCCTGGGTAACAAGAGTGAAACTCCATCTCAAAATGACAACAACAACAACAAAAAGTATTGACTCATACAATCACATGCTGAAGTCCCATAATAGGCTGTCTGCAAGCTGAGGAACAAGGAAGCCAGTCTGAGTCCCAAAACCTCAAAAGTAGGGTAGCTGACAGTGCAGCCTTCAGTCTGTGGCCAAAGGCCCAAGAGCCCCTGGCAAACCACAGGTGCAATTCCAAGAGTTCAAAAGCTGAAGAACTTGGAGTGTGATGTTGGAGAGCAGGAAGCATCCAGCATGGGAGATAGATGAAGGCTCAGCAAGTCTCCTCATTCCACTTTCTTCTGCCCACTTTATTCTAGCCACGCTGGCAGCTGATTAGATTGTGCCCACCCAGATTGAGGGTGGGTCTCTCTCTCCCAGTACACTGGCTCAAATGTTAATCTCCTTTGGCAACACCCTCACAGACACACCCAGGAACAATACTTTGCACCCTTCAATCTAATCAACTTGACACTCAATATCAACCATCACAGGGGCCATGGACACTCAGCATGGTACCAGGGGTTGCAGTTATAACACAGAGTTTAATGGGTGGCAGTGGGGGATGGGAGTTTACAATCAGAGAAGTAGTAGAGTTTACATAATCTCCCAAATTCTCATTACTCTATCACAGAATGGACATCGATGACCTATATGTATCATGACCAAAAGTCCTACAGAGGCTTGCTTCATTCAGAAAGCTGGTTGTATAAAAAAAGCACTCCTATTCCCTTACCCAGTTATAAAGTTAGTGTAAAAGAAGGAGGAAGTGCTTGGTTTCCTGTAGTTAAAAAAATAAATAAAAATAAATAAATAAACTAAAACAGATCTCTGGGTCCAAGAACATGCTAGGCAAGATGCATATCAGAGACAAAGGTCTGCATACCAAAGGCTCAGGGAACAAATTTGCCTGTTAGCAGTGCTGAAATCAGCAAAAGGGCCTATCTTTTGCAGGCTGGCTCCGTGCAGCTAAGGCAGCTCTCTGCTAAGTTTTCAAAAGGGGAAGGAGATGAGCCCCCAAGACTATTCAGATTTGTCTCCCATCAATATTTCTTCCAAGGAAAAGCAAAAGTTCCAGAATCAGTTCCTCCCCCTGTTTTAAAGTAGTACACTTTGTTGTTTATTTTGCATAGGTAAAATGGCCAGGTTTATAGATCTGCGTGATATATGGGTAGTGGCTAATGGTTTGAATGGAGTCAGAAACTTGGAAGGAACACAATGCAAAAATTTGATGATGAGTCAAGAAGTGGTATATGAACAGACCTCTCCAAAATGGGCACAAAATGTAAAGATATTTGTGTGCTATATGACTGTTTCCCAAAGAGCACCCTCAGTTCCCTTTGAGGTGGATATTAATAATTAGGTAGATAAGATAACTCAGGCTGTGGGTGTTAGCCTCTTTCCCCAGCCATACCCGTACTTGTCTTATTATCAAGGTGGCTGTGGTGGGAGGAATGGAGGTTATACATGGGTCAGTAACATGGACCTCCACTTTGCTTACTTCTTGTAGGCAAAGACCAATTAGGCATTAGTCACTAATGAGTGTCCAGTCTGCCAGCAGCAGAGAACATTAAACCATCAATATGTCACCACTCCCAAGCGATCGGAGAAGGTTAATTAAATTATACTACTTTTATCATGGAATAAATAGCTCTTTGTTCTCAGTGGAAAAGACACATATTTTGGGTATGAATTTGTCTTTGAAGATTCTGTCAAAACTATTCATAGATTTCCAAAATGTCCTATTTAGTGTTTCAGTTAAACGTTCGGTGTTAGTGTTGTCCATGAAAGTTATTTAACATGGAATTTACTAGTCATATTATGATGCTCACCCTGAATAACTTGACCTGATAGGATAGTAGAATATTTTTCTGAAGACTACGTTATGGTACCAAATGTACAGAACTATTTTGCAGGGCTGGAGTAAAACACTTCACGATGCAGTATATGCTTTGAATCAGTGACCAATACATGGTCCTTTTTCTCTCACAGACAAGCTTTATAGGTCCAGGAACCAGGGGTAGAAATGGGAATAGTTGCTCTCTGTTAGCCCTGTAAACCAAAATAAATTCTAAGGCCCCTCAACTATCTGAATGTCCTTTCGGCCAAGGACATTCCAGAGTTAATGTAAAAAACTAGTTTAGGCCATGATGGAAGAGGGGATCAAACATGCCTCATTGTACCCCCCTCCCTTTTGGAATTCAAGAAAAGTTGACCAGCGTTTAACATCAAAATACACTTAAGTCTAATAAATATTCAGAGTCTATTCACTCTGAAGCCTGCTATATGGAGGCTTCATCTGTGTGATAAAATTTTGGTCTTTACAACTCCTTATTGTAACCCAGAAATTCCTTTCTATAGATAATAACTCCCTCAACCAGTTGCCAGTCAGAAAATTTTTAAATTTACCTATGCCCAGGAAGCCCCCTGCTTCAAGTTGTTCCACCCTTCCAGATGGAACCAATGTAAATCTTATGTGTATTGATTGACTTATTATGTGTCCCTAAAATGTATAAAAACAAGCTGCAGCCAGACCACCTTGGGCACATGTCGTCAGAACCCCCTGAATCTGTGTCACAAATGCATCCTTAATGTTGACAAAATCAACTTTCTAAATTGACGGAGACCTGTCTCAGATAGTTTTGGGTTTATACCCTTAATAATCCTCTGGCAAAGTTTGTCCCCACCACTTTTAACGTACAGTTCTTACATGACAAAATAAGACATATCATAGGACACAACAGTGATTCACTAAACTGGAAGTTGACACTATTAACTGGCCATTATGGGCTCTTCATGCCAATGAACCAACAGGCAAAGAAAAGGGTCATTTTTATAGAAGAGGATTAATCCTATCAAGGGAAAATTGGATTGTTCCTACACAAGGGTAGGAAGGTGTATGTCTGGAAAACAGGAGATTTTTTGAGTGTCTCTTAGTATTTTCCCATGTCTTGTGTTAAAGGTAATGTGAAATTGTAACAATCTAAATAGGCATGATCACTAATGCCACAGGCCTAAAAGGAATAAATATTTAGGTCATACTGCCTTTGGTACAGTAGGTAGATAGCCAGGCACCAGCAGGGCAGGAGAGGGTCCCCTCAGCCTCACCAGGAATGTCAGTTGACATCAGGTGATGGTCAGGCAGTTGTCACACTGCCCCTCTAAAATAATAATTGGTTGCAGCCAGGGCCAGGAAAAGACAGTTTGCCAATGGATAAAAATACCTGTAGCTGGTGATCAGCAGCTTCCCAATAAGATCTCAGGAACTAAGTGAGTGGCCTTGAGCATGCAAATTAAGAGGCAAAATGGTGGAGTTTAACTGGTATATGACCTTCCCGGGGCATTTCACTGGAAAAGGGAAAAATGCCTCAGATAAGCATGTGTACAACATCAGTAAACACACTGTGCATGCTCACCTCCCAAGTGCTAGCAGGCCACCGTACACACAGGCAGTCCACCCTAAGGGAAGAATGAAGGGAAAGGGGACTCTTGATGCTGGAAGTAGGCCAGCATACAAAAACTGAAGTCCAAGATCAAATGGGGCACTTGATCTCCAAGATGCCCACTTGGGCCTCTTCCAAGTATACTTTATTTTCTTTTCATTCCTGCTCTAAAGCTTTTTAATAAACTTCTTCTCCTGCTCTAAAACTTGCCTTGGTCTCTTCTGCCTTATGGCTCTCAAATTCTTTCTTCTGAGGAGGAAAGAATGGAGCTTGCTGCAGACCTGTGTGGATTTGCCACAGGTATGTCGGTGAAAAGAGTCAAACTCTGTAAAATATTTGAAGAAATTTATTCTGAGCCAAATATGAGTAACCATGGTCCATGACACAGCCATCAGGAGGTCCTGAGAACATGCACCCAAGGTGGTCAGGGCACAACTTGGTTTTTACATTTTAGGGAGACATGAGACATTAATCAAACACATTTAAGAAATACATTGGTTTGGTCCAGAAAGGTGGGAAAACTCAAAGTGGAGGTTTCCAGGCTGTGGGTAAATGTAAACATTTTCTGACTGACAATTGGTTGAGTTTATGTAAACACCTGGGATGATAGAAAGGAAATCTTCAGCTTAAGATAAAGATTGTGGAGACCAAGGTTCTTCTGAAGTTTTATAGTGGCTACCCTAAGAGACAATAGATGACAAATGCTAGACTTTTAATCTCTTTAGGACTGGAAGGGCCTGGAAGAAAAAGATCTAGCTATGTTAACAGAGTTTCTTTACAGATGCAAATTTTCCCCCACAGAGGACAGCTTTGCAGGGCCATTTCAAGATATGGCAAAGAAATATAATTTGGGGTAAATTTTTTTTTTGACATGGAATCTTGCTCTTGTCGCCCAGGCTGGAGTGCAATGGCACTTGGCTCACTGCAACCTCCACCTCCTGGGTTCAAGTGATCCTCCTGCCTCAGCCTCCCAAGTAGCTGGGATTACAGGCGCGTGCCACCACGCCCAGCTAATTTTTGTATTTTTAGTAGAGACGGGGTTTCACCATGTTGGCCAGGATGGTCTTGATCTCTTGACCTCATGATCTGCCTGCCTCAGCCTCCCAAAGTGCTGGGATTATAGGCATGAAGCACTGTGCCCGGCCGGGATAAAATATTTTGACTTTCTTCTTTATCACATAATGTTATGCCAGAGTCAAACTGGAAAGTAAGTCATGATATATATGGTTAAATTAAACCCATCTGATGAGAATTTATGGTTTGTAGGGCATGACTCTCCAGACCTTTCAGATAGGAATTTGGGCAAGATAAAAATAT
Organism: Homo sapiens; assembly: GCF_000001405.40. Classification (NCBI taxonomy): domain Eukaryota; kingdom Metazoa; phylum Chordata; class Mammalia; order Primates; family Hominidae; genus Homo; species Homo sapiens. The sequence continues at coordinate 7,620,828 of NC_000009.12, forward strand.
CAGAGCTTAGTTCTCAGGTAACACCATCAAATCAGTGTGATGTTTTGTGTTTTGACTCGACTGGGCCATGGAGTGAAAAGATGTTTGGCCAAACACTATTCTGGGTGTGTTCGTGAGGGTGTTTCTGGATGAGATTACCATTTGAATTGGTAGGCTGAGTGAAGTTGATTGCCTTTTCTAATGTCGGTGGGCATCATTCAATCAACTAAAGACCAGAATAGAACAAAAAGCCTATTTAAGAGGAAACTCCTGCCTGACTTCTTGAGCTGGACATTGGTCTTTTCCAGCCTTTAGACTTGGACTGAAACATTGGTTCTTCTTGGGTCTTGAGCATGTTATTGTTCAGCCTAGAACTTACAACATTTGCTCTCCTGGGTCTCCAGTGTGCCCACTGCAGATTGTAAATTTTGTCAGCCTCCATAATCATATGAACCAATTCTGTATAATAAATCTCTGTCACACTCTTTCTCTCCCCCTACACAAAGACACACATGAGTATACACGTATGTGTGTATGTGTTTGTGTATATTTATATATATAGAGAGAGTATCTATCTATCTATCTATCTATCTATCTATCTATCTATCTATCCGTTAGTTCTACTTTTTTGAAGAATACTCAGAGTAAGAAACCATGACCAGTTAAGGTGCTTGCTGAAGGAAAATATAATAACTAATTAAACATTATTCTTTTACTTCAGAGCATCCTAGGAGAGGAAAAGCCTAACTTCTCATGACTTTTCTTTGTTCCACATTGCCCACCAATAACATTCAAGGCTGCCTTCTTAGTTAATAAATTTATTTGTAAGGGACAGAATCCCACATGGAGAGGCCTAGGTGAAAAGGAATTTATTCCAGCAGTTTCCAATGGAAAACAATTATAAAAAGTATGGCTAGTCCTTGGGGGAACAGCAAAGCCACTTTGAATCATCTGTGCTTGGTTTGGGGTTAGATGGTTTCTTATCCTTTTTCATCTTCACACATCTGCTTTATCCTCTCTGCAACCAAGATTTTCTCCTTTTCTCAGGCTTTTCCATGATGCTATCACAGCTGACACAAAGGATTTCTTAGGATAAATGAACTTTTTGCTCATGCCTATGTGTCCCAAGTCCCAATTCTCAGAAAAGGGAATATTATTGGTTGGATCCATTAGCTGTGGTGTGGTTTGGGGTCACTTGATTCCCAGGACTTCCCAGTTTGGTGGTGTGAGTAGATCAGGGAATGTGAGTAGAAGTGAAATAGTGGTTATCTTTAACACCGTATTACTCTATTATGTTTTTTAAATCAATAATTGAATAGCTGGCCTGCCTCTCTATGGCCCAACGTTCAAGCTCTTCCTCCTTAGAGCACCTTCCAATATGGGCGTGTACCCAGCCTCATTTTCCCTTTATACCCTTAGTGGTCCCCCTCTTTTGGTGATGGGACTCCTTTACTCATCTACTTTGGGGGTTCATATTTAACAGAGCAGTTCCCTCATGGTGCTGTATTAAACATAGTCCTTGGCACAAGTGAGATGAGCCCAGTGCATGCAACAGAATAATGGTTGCAATGAGGAAATGGTGATGGTGGCACAGGTAGTGACAGACCAAGGCCAGCACTCAGAAGGTTAGCCAAGGAGCTACACCCCATCCCATCAAAGAAAGTTTTAGGGTACTGATGGGTGAGCACTTCAGAAAGAATGGCCCACTGATAGCAAAACTGAATGACCCTGATGCCATATTTATTATTATATAATTTTTATCCACAGATTCCAAGTGATTGTTTTTCTCTCCTAGGCTGCTCTTCCATATGTGTGTGTGTGTGAATATTCTTAATGTTAACAGCTGCTGAGTGTGTGTAGGCGGCATGCAGAGAAGGAGTCAGATGAGGCCAGCTTAGCTGGCAGTGCATCACCAGGGGGATTCTGATGAAGCCAGAGCCCTACTGTATGTCATATTGGAATCAAACCTCCTATTGCTGAAAATCACAGTGTCTCTGATCTCAGAGTTATCAGATAAGCTGCCAGAGAGTAACATCTTAGATATTCATTTAATAGGAGGCAGGGACGTTGATAGCACTGTCTTGCTTTGAAAATTTCTACAAGAAGGCAGAGCTGAACACATGAATGACAAAACTATGGTAGGAGCACCAGAGAGTTAGAAGCTAAAAGTATGGTGGAAACAAAGGATGAGAGGCTCTTTGAAGTGTATTCTCTTTTAAGAGCATTAAACAAACACCTGGCAGGACTGCAGACCCCTAATTATTTTCTGGCTCTGTGCTCACAAACAAGTACCATGTGAAAAGCAAAGCATCTTCAGCATGAGAAAACAGAAAAGAATGATTACAAGAAAGCACAGAAATATTCTAGAAATTATTCTGACTGCCACTTGCCCCAAGCACCAGGCACTGTGCTTGTTCTTGGGATACAAAGATGAATGATGTGAGGCCTGCCCTCCAGAAGCTATGACAATACTAATCATGACAGTATTCCATCCTTAGTCTCAACAGTTGTGGTTTCCCTCTTCACTCCCACTGCCATCCTCCCAGGCCTGTTTCCATCATCTCATACATGAGTCACTGAAAAATCTTCAGGGGTCACCTTTCCATCCTTTACATTGAATACTGTGCTACTGTTATCTCTTCCCATATTGGTCACGTTATTCTTCGGCTCAAGAACCACCACAGATCTTCCTACTACATACTGGATAAAATCTGAATACTTTAGCCTTGTGTTCAAGACCCTGCTTAATAGAGCGTTTCCCAACACATCCACATAAACAGCCTCACCTTCTTTCCATACCAACCTCCTGCTTCACTGAGGGGACTCTTTTATTGTCCTACCCGAATAATGCTGTTACCATTAAAAGTAGGACATTGACATCCATATCTTCAAATACTGAAGAATTTTTCTCTGGCCTTTCTTTGACTGAATTCCCTTTTTACTCTCCTATTCTCCTTGGCTTGTGAAATGTATGTTTGTAGTAATAAAGACACCTGAATGGCAGGATATTTAATTACTGGAATCAATGTTGGCCAATTTTAATATGACCTAAATGTGTTGATATGTTGTACAGGCAAACACTGTCTCAAAAACATATTGCTTCTATTTCTATGTGCACTTTCTAACTTCTATGCCTTTATATATAATATTACATTTGCTTAAAAATATTCCTGACATCTCTTTGGCCTATTCATCCCAATTCCACCAACTGACAATTGTATTCAGTCAATTGGCTAATATGTATTTGTAACCTGTGCCTACTTAGGTCACATTTGCCTAGAATTTGAAATTAGATCAAACTGACATTAAACATGTGTGTTTTCATGGTGTCTTGTATCACCAGTTAATGCAGGACTTTCAGGTCCGTAGACAACCCCCTTTTTTTCTTTCAAAGGGGCCTTGTCTTTGTTTGGACTGCTATAACAAAACGCTATCAACTAGATAGCTTATAAACAACAAAAATTAGGTTGGTGCAAATGTAATTGCAGTTTTCGACATTACTTTTAATGGCAAAAACCACAGTAACTTTTGCACCAACCTAACACTTCTGAACTGTGGTTCTAGAGCCTGGGAAGTCCAAGATCAAGGAGCAAGAAGATTCTGTGTCTGGTAAGAACCTGATTATGGCTTATGGATGGTACCTTCTCACTGTGTTCTCACATGGTGGAAGAGGCTAAGTAGTCCTCTAGGGTATCTTTTATAAGGGCTCTAAAATCCCATTCATGAGGGCTCTATCCTCATGACCTAATCACCTCCCAAAGGTTCTTATTTCCTATTACCATTGTATTTATGATTAGGTTTCAACATACGATTTTAAGGGGGACACAAACATTTAGGCCACAGAAGTTCTCACTAATGTTCTCAAAAACAACTTTTGTCAGTTATAATTCCCCTTTCCTGGTTCTGGACCCACTTTGCTAGATGCTGCCATTTCCTCCTGGCACTGCCCACCTCCCCTGAAAACTGCTGCTCTAAACAGGCATTGCTGCCTAAAGTTGGAACGTTGCTGCTTCCTTCAGGTTCTCCTGCTGACTCTGATCAGCATTGCCCTCCTTTTCTGGGCTCTACCCCCCTTGCCACTGTCGTTGCTCTGGAGATCTGGATGTGCCAGAGCCACAAGTTGTCTTTTGGCACAGACGTAGAAAATGCCTCAGTCACTTGCCATGTTGTTATCTTCTCTTAGGATAATACCAAAGCAATGTGGCTTTTATTCCAAAGTCTTTCTGGTTGAACTAATTGCATAAACTGCCAGCCAAGTCAACCATACCTCAGGAGTCTGGATGCAGGGTAAATTTGGGTAAATAATCACACCATAACATGAAACAAGTCCTGCCTGTCTTCTAAGGAAGTTCTCAAATTCTTCATGAGAACGGTATCTCAGTGGCCTGCTCCACCAGTTCACCCCCATTAACCAGAGAGATCACAGTGCTATTTGGGGAACATCATACGCTAAAACATGAACCAAGTCATACATTTATTTAATGGCTTCGATCACTGAGTAGCTATGTGACTTCAGTCACAGCACTTGATCTCCCTGGGTCTAAATTTGATCACTGAGATGACATCTAAAGTCTTTTTGAGTGCTAAAATTCTATGCTTTAAACATTTGGCTGGTTTTCACTTCTGGGTGTGATGGGTGTGATGGACTAAAACCCTATGAAATGATTGCTTCATGCAGAAAACACTTACACAACTTGGTCATAAAAAGTGCCTACATGAAGTCACTATGTGAAGAATGAACAGAAGCAGACAGACTTTCATAGGGAGTGTACACTGTCTTGGAGAAAGAGAGATGGAGTCCTATACAGTTGTCCCATCTCCATTGCATTTAGACTACAGCTAAGTGTCACATTTGTGAGGCACAAAACTAGTAGGATACAAGTGGGAAAATCCGCCATCTTTCAAGTGTGAAGTACAAGAAAAGCAAAGCTGTGGAGATGAATGCTGAGGAGAGTGGGAGCAGGAAAGAGACAGCGAAGTCATTCTTACATTCTATTTACTCGTGTCTTTGACCTTAAACTACACATGTATGGAATAGACTAAGAAGTTTAGCCAAAAACAAGAAAAATCTGAACTGAGACCAAGGCTGAAACTCTGAAGGTACTGAAGAGAGAACGGAAGCAGACAGGCCCTGGTGGAAATTGTAAACTGATGTAGGGGAGAGAAGGTAGAAACTGGACATGTAGGTTCCATCTCTGCAGCCCTTAGACCATGTCTAAATCCATTTCATGGTGGTGAGCACAACAGAGGCAAAAACATACATACAGTTGGACATGGTGGCTCATGCCTGTAATTCCAGCACTTTGGGAGGCTGAGGTGGGCGGATCACCTGGGGTTGGGAGTTCAAGGCCAGACTGGCCAACATAGTGAAACCCCATCTCTACTCAAAATACAAGAATGAGTCGGGTGTGGAGGCGCACGCCTGTAATCCCAGCTACTCAGGTGGCTGAGGCATGAGTATCACTTGAACCCAGGAGGCGGAAGTTGCAGTGAGCCGAGATCATGGCACTGCACTCTAGCCTGGGAAACAGAGTGAGAACCTCTCTGAAAAAGAGAGAAAACACAAACAAACATAGGATAACCTGCAACCTTGTGGCCTGGGAATGCTAAAAAGAGAAGCCAAGAAGCCACGAATGATTAAGAGATTTGGGGTATACCACAAAGCAAAGAGCCAGAGAAGGGATCCCCAAAGTCTGTTTACTCACATCTTTACTTGAACCTTCAACTACTTATGTGTAAAACAGATTCAAAGCAGCCCATCTGAAGACACTGAGCTAGCGGCAGGAGTTTTTTTTTTTTTTTTTTGTTTTCTATACCCCAGTGGTGCCTGAAACGCCAGTGAGACAGAACCGTTCACTCCCCTGGAAGGGGGTGCTGAGCCAGGGAACCAAGTGGTTTTGCTCAGCGGATTCTACCCCTGTGGAGCCCAGCAAGCTAAGATCCACTGGCTTGAAATTCTCGCTGCCAGCACAGCAGTCTGAAGTCTACCTGGGATGCTTGAGCTTGGTAGGGGGAGGGGCTTCTGCCATTACTGAGGCTTGAGTAGGTGGTTTTCCCCTCACAGTGTAAAAAAAGCTGCCAGGAAGTTCAAACTGGGAGGAGCCCACCGCAGCTCGGCAAAGCTGCTGTAGCCAGACTGCATCTCTAAATTCCTCCTCTCTGGGCAGGGCATCACTGAAAGAAAGGCAGCAGCCCCAGTCAGGAGCTTATAGATAAAACTGCCATCTCCCTGGGACAGAGCATCTGGGGGAAGGGGCAGCTGTGGGTGCAGCTTCAGTAGACTTAAATGTTCCTGCCTGCCAGCTCTGAAGAGAGCAGCAGAACTCCCAGCACAGTGCTTGAGCTCTGCTAAGGGTCAGACTGCCTCCTCAAGAGGGTCCCTAACCCACGTGCCTCCTGACTGGGAGACACCTCATACAGGAGAGCTCCGGCTGGCATCTGGCAGGTGCCCCTCTGGGACAAAGCTTCCAGAGGAAGAAACAGGCAGCAATCTTTGCCATTCTGCAGCCTCTGCTGGTGATACCCAGGCAAACAGAATCTGGAGTGGACCTCCAGCAAACACCAGCAGACCTGTAGCAGAGGGGCCTGACTGTTAGAAGGAAAACTAACAAACAGAAAGGAATAGCATCAACATCAACAAAAAGGACATCCACACGGGAACCCCATCTGAAGGTCACCAACATCAAAGACCAAAGGTAGATAAATCCAGGAAGATGAGGAAAAACCATCGCCTAAAGTTTGAAAATTCCAAAAACCAGAACTCCTCTTCTCCTCCAAAGGATCACAACCCCTCGTCAGCAAGGGAACAAAACTGGACAGAGAATGAGTTTGACAAATTGACAGAAGTAGGCTTCAGAAGGTGGGTAATAACAAACTCCTCCAAGCTAAAGGAACATGTTCTAACCCAATGTGAGGAAGCTAAGAACCTTGAAAAAAGGTTAGAGGAATTGCTAACTAGAATAACCAGTTTAGAGAAGAACATAAATGACCTGAGGGAGCTGAAAAACATAGCACAAGAACCTCATGAAGCATACACAAGTATCAATAGCCAAATCGATCAAGTGGAAGAAAGGATATCAGAGATTGAAGATCAACTTAATGAAATAAAGCATGAAGACAAGATTAGAGAAAAAAGAATGAAAAGGAACAAACAAAGCCTCCAAGAAATGTGGGACTATATGAATAGGCCAAACCTGAGTTTGATTGGTGAACCTGAAAAGGATGGGGAGAATGGAACCAAGTTGGAAAACACTCTTCAGGATATTATCCAGGAGAACATCCCCAACCTAGCAAGACAGGCCAACACTCAAATTCAGGAAATACAAAGAACACCATAAAGATACTCCTCTAGAAGAGCAACCCCAAGACACATAATTATCAGATTCACCAAAGCTGAAATGAAGGAAAAAATGTTAAGGGCAGCCAGAGAGAAAGGGCAGGTTACTCAGAAAGGAAAGCCCATCAGACTAACAGCAGGTCTCTGCAGAAACCCTACAAGCCAGAAGAGAGTGAGGGCCAATATTCAACATTCTTAAAGAGAAGAATTTTCAACCCAGAATTTCATATCCAGCCAAACTAAGCTTCATAAAGGAAGGAGAAATAAAATCCTTTACAGGCAAGCAAACACTGAGAGATTTTGTGACCACCAGGCCTGCCTTACAAGAGCTCCTGAAGGAAGCACTAAATATGGAAAGGAAAAACCGGTACCAGCCACTGCAAAAACATACCAAATTGTAAAAGCTATTGACACTATGAAGAAGCTGCATCAACTAACAGGCAGAATAACCAGCTAGCCTCATAATGGCAGGATCAAATTCACACATAAAAATATTAACCTTTAATGTAAACGGGCTAAATGCCACAATTAAAAGGCACACACTGGCAAATTAGAAGGAGTCAAGACTCATTGGTGTGCTGTATTCAGGAGACTGGTCTCATGTGCAAAGACACACATAGGCTTGAAATAAAGGAATGGAGGAAGATTCACCAAGCAAATGGAAAGCAAAAAAAAAAAAAAAAAAAAAAAAGCAGGGCTTGCAATCCTAGTCTCTGATAAAACAGACTGTAAACCAACAAAGATCAAAAAAGACAAAGAAGGACATTACATAATGGTAAAGGGATTAATGCAACAAGAAGAGCTAACAATCCTAAATATATATGCACCCAATACAGGAGCACCCAGATTCATAAAGCAAGTTCTTAGAGACCTACAAAGAGACTTAGACTCCCACACAATAATAATGGGAGACTTTAACACCCCATTGTCAATATTAGATCAACGAGACAAAAAATTAACAAAGATGTTCAGGACTTGAACTCAGCTCTGGACCAAGTGGACCGAATAGACATCTACAGAACTCTCCACCCCAAATAAACAGAATATATTCTTCTCAGTACCACATCGCACTTATTCTAAAATTGGCCACATAATTGGAAGTACAACACTCTTCAGCAAATGCCAAAAAACAAAAATCATAACAAATAGTTTCTCAGACCACAGTGCAATCAAGTTAGAACTCAGGATTAAGAAACTCACTCAAAAGCGCACAACTACATGGATACTGAACAGCCTGCTCTTGAATGACTACTGGGTAAATAATGAAATCAAGGCAGAAATAAATAAGTTATTTGAAACCAATGAGAACAAAGACACAACGTACCAGAATCTCTGGGACACAGCTAAAGCAGTGTTTAGAGAGAAATTTATAGCACTTAATGCCCACAAGAGAAACCTGGAAAGATCTAAAATCGACACCCTAACATCACAATTAAAAGGACTAGAGAAGCAAGAGTAAACAAATTCAAAAGCTATCAGAAGGCAAGAAATAACCAAGGTCAGGCAGAACTGAAGGAGATAGAGACACAAAAATCCTGTCAAAAAAAATCCATGAATCCGGGAGCTGGTTTTTTGAATAAATTAACAAAACAGACTGCTAGCCAGACTAATAAAGAAGAAAATGAGAGAAGAATCAAATAGACACAATAAAAAATGATAAAAGGGATATCAACACCGATCCCACAGAAATACAAACTACCATCACAGAATACTATAAACACCTCTGCGCAAATAACCAAGAAAATCTAGAAGAAATAGATAAATTCCTGGATACATACACCCTCCCAAAACTAAACCAGGAAGAAGTCGAAACCCTGAGTAGACCAATAACAGTTCTGAAATTGAGGCATTAATTAATAGCCTACCAACCCAAAAAAGCCCAGGATGAGATGGATTCACAGCCAAATCGTAACAGAGGTACAAAGAGGAGCTGGTACCATTCCTTCTGAAACAATTCCAAACAATAGAAAAAGAGGGACTCCTCCCTAACTCATTTTATGAGGCCAGCATCATCCTGATACCAAAACCTGGCAGAGATGCAACAACAACAAAATTATTTCAGGCCAATATCCCTGATGAACATCGATGCAAAAATCTTCAATAAAATACTGGCAAACCAAATCCAGTAGCTCATCCAAAAGCTTATCCACCAGGATCAAGTGGGCTTCTTCCCTGGGATGCAAGGCTGGTTCAACATACTCAAATCAATAAAGGTAATCCATCACATAAACAGAACCAATGACAAAAACCACATGATTATTTTAATAGATGCAGAAAAGGCCTTTGATAAAATTCAACATTTCTTTATGCTAAAAACTATCAATAAACTAGGTATTGATGGAATGTATCTCAAAATAATAAGAGCTATTTATGGCACACCCATAGCCAATATCATACTGAATGGGCAAAAGCTGAAAGACTTCCCTTTGAAAACGGGCATAAGACAAGGATGCCCTCTCTCGCCACTCTCACCACTCTCATCACTCTCATACTCCTATTCAACACAGTGTTGGAAATCCTGGCCAGGGCAATCAGACAAGAGAAATAAATACAGGGTATTCAAGTAGGAAGAGAGAAAGTCAAATTGTCTCTGTTTGGAGATGACATGATTGTATACCTAAAAAACCCCATTGTTTCAGCCCCCAAACTCCTTAAGTTGATAAATAACTTCAGCAAAGTCTCAAGATACAAATCTGTGTGGAGAAATCACAAGCATTCCTATACACCAATAATAGACAAGCAGAGAGCCAAATCATGAGTGAACTCCCATTCACAAGTGTTGCAGGGAGAATAAAACACCTAGGAATACAACTTACAAGTGACATGAAGGACCTCTTCAAGGAGAACTACAAACCAGTGCTCAAGGAAATAAGAGAGGGCACAAACAAATGGAAAAACATTCCATGCTCATTGTAGGAAGAATCAGTATCATGAAAATGGCCATACTGCCCAAAGTAATTTATAAATTCAATGCTATTTCCATTGAGCTACCATTGACTTTCTTCACAGAACTAGAAAAAAACTACTTTAAATTTCATATGGAACCAAAAAAGAGCCCTTATAGCCAATACAATCCTAAGCAAAAAGAACAAAGCTGGAGGCATCATGCTACCTGACTTCAAACTATATTACAATGCTACAGTAACCAAAACAACATGGTACTGGTACCAAAACAGATATATAGACCAATGAAACAGAACAGAGGTCTCAGAAATAACACCACACATCTACAACCATCTGATCTTTGACAAACCTCACAAAAACAAGCAATGGAGTAAAGAATTCCCTATTTAATAAATGGTCTTAGGAAAACTGGCTAGCCATATGCAGAAAACAGAAACTGGACCCCTTCCTTACACCTTATACAAAAATTAACTCAAGATGGATTAAATACTTAATTGTAAGACCTAAAATCATAGAAACCCTAGAAGAAAACCTAGGCAATATCATTCAGGACATAGACATGGGCAAAGACTTCATGACTAAAACACCAAAAGCAATGGCAACAAAAGCAAAAATTGACAAATGACGTCTGATTAAAGAGCTTCTGCACAGCAAAAGGAACTATCATCAGAGTGAACAGGCAACCTACAGAATGGAGAAAATTTTTACAGTCTATCCATCTGACAAAGGGCTAATATCCAGAATCTACAAGGAACTTAAACAACTTTACAAGAAAAAAAAAACCGTCAAAAAGTGGGTGAAGGATATAAACAGACACTTCTCAAAGGAAGACATTTATGCAGCCAATAAACATATAAAAAAAAAGCTCATTATCACTGGTCATTAGAGAAATGCAGATCAAAACCACAGTGAGATACCATCTCACGCCAGTTAGAATGGCAATCATTAAAAAGTCAGGGAACAACAGATGCTGGAGAGGATGTGGAGAAATAGTAATTCTTTTACATTGTTGGTGGGAGTACAAATTAGTTCAACCGTTGTGGAAGACAGTGTGGCAATTCCTCAAGGATCTAGAACCAGAAATACCATTTGACCCAGCAATCCCATTACTGGTTACATACCCAGAGGAATATAAATCATTCTACTATAAAGACACCTGTACATGTATGTTTATTGTGGTACTGTTCACAATAGCAAAGACTTGGAACCAACTCAAATGCCCATCAATGATGGATAAAGAAAATGTGGCACATATACACTATGGAATACTATACAGCCATAAACAGGATGACTTCGTGTCTTTTGTAGCGATATGGATGAATCTGGAAATCATTATTCTCAGCAAACTAACACAGGAACAGAAAACCAAACACTGCATGTTCTCACTCATAAGTGGGAGCCAAACAATGAGAACACATGGACATAGGGAGTGGAACATCACACGCCGGGGTCTGTTGGGGGATAGAGGGCTAGGGGAGGATAGCATTAGGAGAAATACCTAACGTAGATGTCGGGTTGATGGGTGCAGCAAACCACCGTGGTGTGTGTATACCTATGTAACAAACTTGCATCTTCTGCATATGTGTCCCAGAACTTAAAGTATAATAAGAAAAGAAAAGAAAAAGAAAGTAAATTGCTGAAAAAAAGATATACCATACAAACGTATGCATAGAAAAGATACAGTGGTTATATTAATATCACATAAAATATATTGCAAAATAAAATGTGCTAACTGAGAATAAATGGAACACTTTACAATGACAAAAATCATTTCAAAGGGGTATATAACAAATTCTTATACACCATTAATAAAGTTTCAAAAGAAAAGAAGCAAAACTTGATGGAATTAAAGGGGGAAACAGACTATTCTAAAATCACAGATGAAGAATTTAACACTACTCTTTCAGCAATTGATAGAATAACTAGAAAAAAATCAAAAAGATCTAAACACCTCGACTAACCTTTTTGATGTTTGATATTCATATAAGACTACACTCAACAATGGCAGAAGGTACATTTGTTTTCAGATGCACGAAGTACATTTACTAGGATAGACCATATAGTGAGCTTTAAACAAAAGTCTCAAATATAAAAATATTGAACTCATACATATTATGTTCTTTCATCATAGTAGAATTAAGCTAGAAATCAACATTGAGAGAGTAGAAAAATATAAATACCTGGAAATTAAACTGTACTCTTTTGAATAATTTTTGAGTCAAAAAATTACAGGAGGGGTTGAAAGTATTTTGAACTGACTTATAATGACAATCCAACAATAAAAGTTTGTGGGGTGCAGCTAATAGTACTAGAAAAATTCAGAACTTTAATGCTTGCAGTAGGAAAGAAAGGTCTTAAAACAATGGTCTAATCTTTTATCTAAGAATCTAGAAAAAGAAGCAAAAATTAAATCCAAAGAGCACAGAAGGGAAGTGTAGAAATCAATGAAATAAAAGTAGAAAAATATTAGATAATAGTCAATGAAACCAAAAGCTGATTCTTTGGGGGAAAAAATAATAAAATAGATACACTTTTAGCTGTACTGATCATGACAAAAATAAAAAAAATGCAGAAATTACAAATATCAAGATAAAAACAGAGGACATTCCTGCAGCTCCTTCAGACATTGGAAGCAGAATAATGAAATATTACCATGTTATGTTAATGCATTTGGCAATCTAGATAATATAAACAAATTATTTGAAAGGCACAAATAACCAAACTGACTCTAGAATAAATAAAAAAATTGAACAATCTATATCAACTAAATAAACTGATTTATAATTGAAAAGCCTCCCTCACATAAAACTCCTGAGTTAGATGGCTTCATTGGTGAATTATATTAAACATGTATGGAAAAAAGTCCCAATCTTATACAAATTGCTTTCAGGAAACAAAGGAAGAGGGAACGCTTCCCAACATAATTTGTAAGTATAGTATTACTCTTATTTCAAAACCAAATAAAGACATCACAAAAAAATAGACCTAAAACTAGTATCTCTCATAAACATAGAAGTATTTGCAAATAAAACCCAACAAGATATAAAAAGATAATATATCATGACCAAGTGGAGCTAATCTTGCAAGTTTGATAAAACATATGAAAATCAGTTATTATAATTTTACCATTCTAATAGAATGAAGGAGTGAAACTATATAATATTTCAATAGATGAAAAAAATTTTAAAAACTTGGACTAATTTTACACACTTTTGTAATACAAACTTTCAGCAAACTTGGAATAAAGGGAACATAGTCTGATTTATGACATCTGTGAAAAATCTACCACTAACATCACACTCACTGGTAAAAGCCTTAATGAGTTCTGTCAAAGATCAGGAAGATTACTTTTATTTAATACAGTAGTGGAAGTCTTAGCCAGCTCGGTGAAGTAAGTAAAAGAGATAAAAGGCATACCATTTGGAAAAGAGGAAATATAAGTGTTTTAATTTGCAGATGACATAATCATGCGTGTAGAAAGACATAGAGAATCCACAAAAAACTACTAACATAAAAATACTTAGGTATAAATTTTACAAATGATATGCAAGAATTGAATACTGAAACACTGTGAAGGGAAATTAGAGAGGACCTTAAAAATGGACACACACAGACACACACACACACACACGTATCTGTATATCCATGGATCATGTTCACAGACTGAAAGACTCAATATATTAAGATAGCAATCCTGCCCAAATTTACCAAGATATTTAATGCAATCCCAAGATACTTTTTTAAAACAAATAAATTGGGATACTGATTTAAAAGTTTATATGCAAAGATAAAGAACTAGAATAGCTTAGTTTTTTGAAAAAGAACAAAATTGGAGAACTTATACTATTGAATTTCAAAATTTTCTATAAAGCTAAAGTAATCAAAAACTGGTATTGGCATACAAATTGATATGTAGATCATGGAGCAATATAGAGTCTGAAAATAGATGCATACTTATATGGCAAATTGATTTTCAACAGATGTGCCAAGCTATTTTGAACACTTAAATTATTATATGTATTAAGCTAGAGTAGGTTAGAATGCAGTAACAAATGAACTGCCAACTTCAGTGGCTTAAACAAGAATTACATTTCTTGTCTGAGATGGGTATTTGGATTTGTAAGGTAGCTCTCCTCCACAGGAAAATTCAGGGACCCAGGCCAATGGTGGCTCTGAAATTTTCAACATACTGCTTCCAAGATCCCTCTGAACATTACTGTAGACTTCATATGAAAGGGGAAAGACCATGTATATGAGGGGCCAGATGTGTATGTTCTTTATAAGCCAGAGCTAGACCTCAGTTACATGGTTATACTCAGCTCCAGTGGAGGCTAGGATATGTAGTTAAGCTGTATGCCTAGGATGAATAAAAAGCATATTTTGGTGAAGAGCTAATAGTCTTTGGTACAGTATTGAAGAGTATGCAATATAAGTAAATGGACAGTGTAAATTGAAGAAATATATAAATGACAAATGAATAACAGCTATGTCAATAATTGCAACAGTCTTCATTGGACGTATGCCAATATAATTCTGGAGACATTGCTACCAAGGGAGATGATTACCAACCTAGTGAAGATGAGAATGATAGAATACAGTATTACCCAATGAACCTGCATCTAATGCAATATTCCTTTTATTTTCTTCCTAGGTCCTAATCCTAGAAGGTGTATGTCATATGCAATACACATAGGCAGCGTAACTGATTATGAAGATGTGATCATGGTATCTTGAAGGAAACTGTCAGGCTACAAGTTATATAGCCATCAGTTATGCAATTGACTCCTGAATAGATACTGTCTTTGATGACCTGTTTGTGGAGGGCCTAATATTACCATGTATCTGAATGTATCAAGTACTACTTCTAAAGCATGGTTAGTGCTAATTTCAGTTAGTGCTTGTGAATGAATAAATCAGACAGACATTGCTATTAGTACTCTTGTTATTTTTTTCCCAAATTCGCAAAGTGAGAAATTACTTTACATGAGGAGAACCTACTTTCTGTTTTACTACTTCTGTTTGTAAGAGGAAAAGAAATTAAGTTCTGAAAAATCCCAAAATATTATGAAAATACAAAGGCAAAATAAATCCTGGAGACCTGGTAATAATTAATGATGTCATGTATCTTCTGAGTGTGTGTGTGTGTGTGTGTGTGTGTGTGTGTGTGTGTGTGTGTATAGATGGCCAAGTGAGAAAAAACAGAGAAATTCCAGGTTATGTCAAGGGAGACATTAGATCATAAATTCTTATTGTTGCAAAATGATATCATCAATTCTTATTGAAAAATGAAAAATGGTAACAGAGCACCTTCTAATGCCTGATTTCTATTCAAATCTCAGGTGTAATACTTGGAAAAAAATCTTGAAGAGGCTGCAAAAATCTAAGAAAGCACTGCCTGAGTTGTCCTAGTTTACAGATGGCATGGTTGAGATAAAGCAGTCTCGTTTCTAAAATCTTCAAAGGGCCATGGATATAAAGAAGGTAATACAGGAGTCTGCTATGACTCACTTTCCTAATATGGGAAGTTCAAGAAAAAAAATTTTATCAAGCATCTATGTGTGTCAGAAAATGTGCTTGCAGCTTTGTGTGTATTTTTACTTAGTACCCTTCAAACCAACATGCAAATGAGAAATTACCTCTCATTTTAAAGCGCAAACATTAAGGCTCAGACAAGCCTAAATAATTTGATTGCTGGGATTCTATTTGCAGATTTGCCTGATTCCAAATCCCAGTTTATTCTATCAAAATCTCAATAGAATAAAAAACAGTTGGTTATTTGTATCTACTTTCCCATGGAATAGGGACAAGCCTTCCCTTTCTATGAGGCTAGCTCCAACTTAAATAGAAAGCTTTTCCACTCCTGCCTAGCCGTTCCTTAACTTTCCCTTTGTTCTTAACCATGGCTGCTTTCACACAGGCTTTGCCTCCACAGAAGTTGACAAGAGTTGGGTAGAAGCTGTTCTCTTTAGCTGTGACAGAAACTCTTCAGATGCCAGAGTCTCCACTCCTCCCTATTACTTTTTGCCATGGTTGCTGAGTGCTTATGGCTCTTAATCAGCCTGCTTCTACCATTGCTTCTCTCATAAAAGAGTTAAGAGAGCTCTGAGATATTTATTGTTCCCTTGTTCCTATCAGAAGTAGGAAATAAAATGCAGGCTGAGGGAGCCAACCATTCCACTGAGCTGGCCTCACTCATTTATGATATCTGCCTGCCCTGGAGGCATTTGAGTTTTGGATTCCTGGAATAGAGATATTCTGTGAGCCTTTCAAAGTGACAACTAGCTTTGTCTGATAAACTTATCTCTATTAATATGATGAGGCGGGGAATCCTCTCTGCCATGTTTTATCTGAGTGTCTTCTTTTTCTCTACATTTCGTGTTTGTTTTCTAAAGTAGTAGTCTCCAAATAGTGGATCAGCTAGACTGACTGCATCCAGACATCTGGAAAACTGGTTAAAAATTTAGATGGATTCCCTAAGCCCTGGCTATAGAGATTCTGATTCAGTAGGTCTAGGATAGGGTCTGGGAAAACGTTTCTTAAAAAACTTTCCAGGCAAATCCGATGGGCAGTCATGTTTCGGAAGAACAGACAAAGGAACAACTCTTCACGGAAGTGTACTTCAGGACAGGTAGAAGATGAGCGTGGAAGAACATTTAGGGGAGGCCAGGAGTCACAGTTGCCACAGGAATTCCATTTGCCCGAACTGCCAGACATGTGGAATGAACACTAATGATCAGTTCCATATGATAGAAATCATGGTTATTCTACCTTGCCATCCCACACACACTCTGGGCTAGTTAAGGCTCTGTTTCTACAAACTCTAAGAAAACACAGATTCTGGTGGCTTACAGAGAAATAACAGCTTCCAAAAGCACTCATCTTATAGACAGGGACTACTCTCTCTCTCTTTCTTTCTTTTCTTTTCTTTCTTTCTTTTTTTGAAACAGAGTCTCGCTCTGTTGTTCAGGCAATCTCAGCTCACTGCAACATTCGCCTCCCCGGTTCCAGTGATTCTCATACCTCAGCCTCCCGAGTAGCTAGGATTACAGGTGTGGGCCACTACACCCGGCTAATTTTTTGTATTTTTGTTATGTGGGCTAGGCTGGTCTCAAACTCCTGGCCTCAAGTGATCAGCCTGCCTTGGCTTCCCAAAGTGCTGGGATTACAGGAGTGAACCACTGGGCCTGGCCCTCTTTTTTTATAATTATTTTTCTTTTTTACTATATTTGCTTTAACAAACTACACATATAGAGACAGTAGATAGTAGATAAATTCATATTAATGCATAATTTCTGAAGATTTTGCTTTGTATTTTTCAACTGCAGTTGGCATTCATTTAGTACTGAATTTTAGATATGTATGATCTTGGTAGTGTTCTAGATTAGATACAGTAACTATAAATAAAGTTTAACTGAGACTATAATTAAGATATTTAGTTAATATTTAGAGTTAATTATATCCACTTAAGATTTTCACATTCCCCCAGTTAATATGTTATATATAGCTAAAAATACAAAACACTCATTTGAACTTGTACTTCACTGCCAGATCCAGCAGCAACAATAAAAAATAAATTATATGAGCTACCTGGGAAAGGGATTTGGCTGAGGTTGAGTTGAAAAGGTAAAGCTCTAGGTATTAATTTTCACCCTGAGTGAATACTTGACTGATGGTTGGCATGCAGGACATCTGTATGAGTAAAGCTTTTGAACAAAGAATTTCATTTGGTTAGGTTGAGATGGTCACGGTTTTGGTGTTGCCTCTTTTTTTTTTTTTTTTTTTTTTTTGAGCCAATGGTACCCAGGAGAAAAAAGCACAGTAGTTAAAAGGAATGGAGGTTTTAAGTCGTCACTTTCAAGTGTGGACTATTCCATTCTGATCCAAGGTGTACCTCTCTTTCATCTTGGGGTAAATCCCAGTGAATTGAAAAGAAAGACAGCCACATCAGATCTAGGCCAGGCTCCCTCAAGAAGCAGTCATTCAAAGCTCACTTTCAGGTCCAAGGTTGTGACTTTCCTGGCTTTTGCCCTGTAGTGTTGCCTTTCTGTGTCTTGCAAAATGGCTTACCACAGAGTACATTTATCACATAAGAGAGACAAATTGCAGAGCCAGGGAAGTGAATTTCATTAAGCTGAAAAGCTTTCTCTATATTATGACTTTGACTACTGGTTTACAGTAACTCATCCACCTAAAATAATTTGAGACTCAGAATTCACCCATGGAACGGCTTTACTTATTTCCTTATATACTCCCCCAACTCAATTTCTTACCCTACTTTCTGACACATTTTGAATCACCTCTGTCAACTGTATCACCAAATTTCTTAGCGAGTAGATATTTAAATAATTCTATTTTAGTAGCTCTCAGAATACACCTGAAGTGGATGATGAGGTAGAACCTCGTGGCCATACAGGGCACCAAATGCATGAGAAATGTGAGGAAAGTTGTCCCAGGGTCAAATCCTGGCCAGAGGTGAAAATGTGCTTAGCTTATACAAAGAATAGTACCAATTTATCATCCTTTGATGGGTGTCATGGGAATAAACATGAGTGAGTTTGTATTGTGCCGATGTGCATGGCCTCAGCCAGGAATGTTGTCCATTTGCAATAGGGATATTTACAGACTCATTCCAAGACACAGGAGTGTTGACAGAGAGCTCTGGGTGAAGTATAGTGTAAAAGACCATTGGGAAGTTTTCTGTCACCATAGTTAGGGGATTTCATCTACAACCCAAGAGTCCATTTCTTCAGATGAGTATAAGCAATGAATGTTGCTTATACCCTCTGGCCCATTTCATTCTTCTTTGCTGTTTTTGTTGCCTGTTCAGGTATGCTTCCCCAGACATATGTGAGTATTACATAGACATATGTCTTGATACCAACATCCATCTAGAAAGTTATACTTTGATAACTCTAAAACTTTATCCTTTGCCATTTAGACTTTGAATTTGAAGATTAAAAAGGCTTGTCTTGTCAAAATAGTGCGGTCTAAATGAGAAAGGGTGTTAAATAAGAATTTTCAGTCATTCTGACATTCATCATCATTCCAATGCTATAGTGGTAGTTGCAAAAGTACCAATTTTACACAAGAAAAGGGAATTCCTTGACTAACCTCTAAACAGAATCTTATTTTCTATCTAAAATTACATAGCCACAGTGTTACACTTAAAGCATCAAGGGCCTCCAAAATCAGTAATCATCCTAACTCCTCACTTTGCCCTTCACTTAATGTAAGTCTCTGTTTCTTCTCCTGCCATTACTTAAGTGCATTTCTATTCTCTTACTTTCCTTTTATTAATTCAGTCCACCAGGATTTTGGCATAGGGTCAGAGATAGATGTATAAACAATTCCATTCAATTCCATTACCCAACAAGCATTCCCCAAGTGACTATTTTGTGCCAACTTTTGTGCTAAGCACTCTAGTCAGTATAAAAGTGAAGAATCATGGCCCAGATTTTATTTTACTAAGGAGTCTCAAGAGATGCTTTAAACTCTTAGTCAGATGATCAACAACATTTACTGGGCATTTGTGGCTTATAGGACCTGGCTAGTTGCAGTTGTAAAGCATAGATTCCAAATACTTCTTCTAATTTCTTGGATACTCATAAGACCTTTTTTATTCCATCAAATGTTTGCAACCAAGTGATACAGACTGAGGGGATTGAGAGAAGCTAAATAAAAGCACCTGTTTCAGAATTTCATATGAATGCAGATATTTAAAATATGTAGCTTTACTCATTATAGGGACAACTCAGCCACGTAGCCATCATCAGCCATCAGCCCATTCTTTACATTCTTTTTGCATTGTTCTCCATACTAGTGACAATATGTTTGCATTTGTTTATCCAGGCTCACTGACCTGGCCATGAAAAGGGCCATTTTTTTTAAGATATCTTGGTGACAGAGAGGGCACTAAAATCAGAGTTGAATTTGAGGACTAGGCTCCACACATGCCATTCTCTTTTTGATCAAGCCAAACAGTCACTTGGGGCACAAACAAGATATCTAATTGTATGTCAAGATAGGATAATATAAAAGTATAATAGGATGATGAGAGATACTTACTCAGATTTTCTTATAGAATACTGAGGAGTGCAGAGATGACAGTAGAAGTGGGTAACCTGCAGGGAGCAAAGCTATTAAACTCCCCAAGCCTGAGTTAAAAAGAATGTCTGGTTCTTATCTGAGACTCCCACTCTTAATTCCTGTTGTGAGTGGAATTAAACTAGTTTGCTGGTCTTTGACAATGGGAGCAATAAGTAGGGGGCCATAGGAGTGTGAGAAAGGTATTCATGAAAAGGGGAAAGCATTCAACTGGTCTCCCTCCTTCAATCAAATGAAATTTGGGGTTCGTAAGCAAGATAAAATGTTCACAAAGTTTGTGGGTATTTGCGCCGAGAGGAGACTGCCAGTCATTCCTCCATTGGCTGGCCACCATGATATCACTCTTGCTGATGTGTCCTGATGCTATAGAGTGGGGAAGAAAACATCGCACAGAAACAGAATAGTGAAGTGACCAGGCAGAGTATCAAGGCTCACTTTCTTGAGTGTTTGGTTCCTGAAAATGATGGAAAGTGGATCTTACCGCATTCTAGGTTTCCCAATTGGAGCAATAGAGGGGAAAAGAGAAGGGCCACTGCAGCTTGGTGGGATCACTCTAGTATCGGGCAGAGAGGAAAGGAGAGTCATGTCAGTATCCGAAGTGAACTGGAAAGTGCAGAATATCTCAAGAGATTATTAATATTGTGGTTTGCTGCATGGGATTGAGTCCCTTGTCAAAGGCTCTTTTGAGGCCTCTGGGTGCCACCTTAGAAGGACATAACAGGCTAGATAAGCAGTGGCAACCAGCAGAAAGGGGAGAGCTACTTGTGCCTCTAAGCCATGGTGACTTAGGTATATTGGATTTCTATTGCTGCTGTGACAAATTACCACAAACTCTGTTTAGGGCAACACAAATTTATTCTCTTATAGTTTTAGAGGACAGAATTTCAAAATGAGTCTTAGGGGCCTAAAATAAAGGTATCAACAGGGTTGGCTTCTTCTGGAAGATCCAGGAGAGAACCCCTCCCTTATTGCTTTCCACACCTAGGGACTGGCCCATGGCTGCATGACTCCAACCTTTGACATTGTTGCATGGTGTTCTGCTGACCTTGTAGTTGCCTGTGTCTCTCTTATAAGAACCTTTATGATTATATCGGGCCCATCTGAATAATCCAGGGTAGTCTCCTCATCTCAATCCTTTACTTAATCACATCTGCAAAGTCCCTTTGGCCTTCTAAAGAAAAATGCACATATTTCAAATGTGGACATCATTGGGAGGCCAATATACAACCTTCTCTGTCAAGTGAGGGAGCACATTAGTGGCAAACAAAGAAGCCTCCCAGTCACTCTGCTCTCCATAACCCTCTCCCCTTTTCTCTTCTCTGCTCTAACAGGAGAAACAGAGGCAAAGTGTTGTAACAGTACTTTTTCTAGTTAAATTATCTGGAGCCGCTAGCCTACGGTAGGTGTTGAAAGGCACTGAATCAAATAAGAGAGTGAAATATTAATTGTTTTTTAATTTTAATTTTATTTTAGATTCATGAGACACATATACAGGTTTGTTACATGAGTATATTGCATGATGCTGAGGTTTTGGCTTCTGATTATCCTGTCGTCCATGTAGTGAACATAGTATTTGATAGTCAGCTTTTTGACCCCTGCCCTCCTCCCTCCCCTCTTTTGGAATCCCCAGTGTCTATTGTTTCCATCTTTGTGTCTGTGTGTACCCAATGTTTAGCTCCTACTTATAACTGAGAACATGTGGTATTTTGTTTTGTTTTTTCTAGGTTAATTTGCCTAGGATAATGGCCTTCAGCTGCATCCATGTTGCTGCAAAGGACGTGATGTTATTCTTTTCGTAACTGCATAGTATTCCATGGTGCCTATGTACCACATTTTCGTTATCCAGTGCACCATTGATGAGCACCTGGGTTGATCCCCTGTCTTTGCTGTTGTGAATAATTGCTGTGATAAACATATGAGTGCGGGTATCTTTTTGGAAGAATAATGTATTTTCCTTTGCAGACATACTGAGTAATGGGATAGTTGAGTTGAATGATAATTCTGTTTTTATTTATTTTTTTGGATGGAGACTTGCTCTGTCACCCAGACTGGAGTGCAGTGGTATGATCTTGGCTGACTGCAGCCTCTGCCTCCTGGGTTCAAGCAATTATCGTGCCTCAGCCTCCCAAGTAGCTGGGATTATAGGTGCATGCCACCATGCCCAGCTAGTTTTTGTATTTTTAGTAGAGACAAGGTTTCCCCATGTTGGCTAGGCTTGTCTTGAACTCCTGACCTCAGGTGATCTGCTCACTTTGGCCTCCCAAAGTTTGGGATTACAGGCGTGAGCCACGATGCCCAGCCTAATTCTGTTTTCAGTTATTTGAGGAATCTCCAAACTGCTTTCCACAGTGGTTGAACTAATTTGCATTCCCACCAACAATTTTTAAGCATTCTTTTTTCTCCATAACCTGTCCAACATCTGTTATTTTTTGACTTTTTATTACTAGCCATTCTGACTAATGTGAGATGGTATCTCATTGTGGTTTTGATTTGCATCTCTGTGATGATTAGTGATGTTGACTATTTGTTCATATGCTATTGGCTTCTTGTATTTCTTCTTTTGAGAGTGTTCATGTTCTTTGCCCATTTTTTAATGGAATTATTTGTTTTATTCTTGTTGACTTGTTTAAATTATTTATAGGCTCTGGATATTAGTCTTTTGTTGGATGCATAGTTTGCAAATATTTTATCCCACTCTGTAGGTTCTCTGTTTACTCTGTTCATAATTTATTTTGCTGTGCAGAAGCTCTTTTGTATAATTAGGTATCATTTGTCAATTTTTAGTTTTGTTGTAATTGCTTTTGAGGACTTTAGTCATAAATTCTTTGCATAGGCCAATGTCTAGTAGAATATTTCATAGGTTTTATTCTGGGATTCTAAGTCTTACCTTTAAACCTAATCCATCTTAAGTTTTGTATATGGTGAGAAGTAAGCGTCCAGTTTTATTCTTCTGCATTTGATTAGTCAGTTTTTCCAGCACCATTTATTGAATAGGGAGTTCTTTCCCTGTTGTTTATTTTTGTCTACTTTGTCAAGGATCAGATAGTTGTAGGTGTGAGTCTTTATTTGAGGGGTCTCTGTTCTGTTCTATTGTTCTATGTGTCTGTTTTGTACCAGTGCCATGCTGTTTTCATTACTACAGTCTTATAGCATAGTTTGAAGTCAGGTAATATTATGCCTCTCATTTTGTTATTTTGCTTAGGGTTGCCTTGGCTATTCAAGCTCTTTCATGGTTCCATATAAATATTAGAATAGGTTTTTCCTAATTCTGTGAAAAATAACATTGGTAATTTGATAGCAATAGTGCTGAATCTAGATTATTTTTGGCAGTATGGATATGATATTGATTCTTCTAATCCACGAGCATGGAATGCCTTTCCATTTGTGTCATCCATCATTTCTTTCAGCAATCTTTTGTAGTTCTTTTAGACATCTTTCACCCCTCTGGTTAGATTTATTCCTAGAGTTTTTTTTTTTTTTTTGTGGCTATTGTAAATAGGATTGTATTCTTGATTTGGTTCTCAGGTTGAATGTTATGAGTGTACAGAAATGCAGCTTATTTTTGTACATGATTTTGTATCCTGAGACTTTGCTGAAGTTGTTTATCACCTCCAGGAGTTACCTGGCAGAATATTTAGGGTTTTCAAAGTTTAGAATCAGTAAAGAGAGATATTTTGACTTCCTCTTTTTCTATTTGGATGACTTGTATTTCTTTCTCTTGCCTGATTGCAATGGCTAGGACTTCTAGTACTAGGTTGAATGGGAGTGGTAAGAGTGGACATCCTTGTCTTGTTCCATTTCTTAGGGGGAGTGCTTCCAACTTTTGCCTGTTCAGTATAATGTTGGCTGTGGATTTGTCATAGATGGCTTTTACTATTTTGAGGTATTGTCCCTCAATATCTAGTTTGTTGTAGTTTTTTATTATAAAGGGATATTAGATTTTATCAAACGCATTTTCTGCATCTATTGAGATAATTATATGGTTTTGTTTTTCATTCTGTTTATGTGGTGAATTGCACTTATTTATTTGCGTATGTTAAACCATCTTTCCATCTGATGACTAAAGCCTACTCAATAGTGGTGAATTGACTTTTTTATGGGCCACTGGTTTCTGTTTGCTAGTATTTTGTTGAGGATTTTGCACCTATATTAATCAGGGATATTGGCCTGTAGTTTTTGTTGTTGTTGTTGTTGTTGTTATGTGTTTTCCAGATTTTGGTATTAGGATGATACTAATTCATAGAATGAGTTAGGGAGGAATCGCTCCTCCTCTATTTTTTAGAATAATTTCAGTAAGATTGGTATCAGGTTTTCTTTGTATGTCTGATGTGGTGGTTAATACTGAGTGTCAACTTGACTGGATTGAAGGAGGCAAAGTATTGATCCTGGGTGTGTCTGTGAAGGTGTTGCCAAAGGAGATTAACATTTGAGTCAGTGGGCTGAGAAAGACAGACCCACCCTTAATCTGGGTGGGCACAATCTAATCAGCTGCCAGCACGGCCAGAATAAAAAGCAGGCAGAAGAATGTGAAAAGACCAGACTGGCTTAGCCTCACAGGCTACATCTTTCTCCTGTGCTGGATGCTCCCTGCCCTCAAACACTGGACTTCAAGTTCTTCAGCTTTGGGACTTGGACTGGCTTCCTTGCTCCTCAGCTTGCAGATGGCTTATTGTGGGACCTTGTGATCATGTGAGTTAATACTTGTTAATAAACTCCCATATACATATTATATATTTTATATACATATATATACATATATATGTATATAAAATATATATTTTCTATATACATATAATATATATGTATTATGTATATATGTACATTATGTATATATGTACATATGTATTATGTATATATGTACATATAATATATATTTAAAAATATATATATGTGTATATATATATATATATATATATATATATATAAAATATATAAACCCTATTAGTCCTGTCCCTCTAGAGAACCCTGACTAATACATTTGGTATAATTTGGCTGTGAATTCTTCTGATTCAGAGATTTGGTTGGTGACAGATTTTTAAAATTACTGATTCAATTTCATTACTCCTTATTGGTCTGTTCAGAATTTTTATTTCTTCTTGGTTCAGTCTTGGGAGGTTGTGTGTTTCCAGGAATTCATCCATTTCCTTTAGATTTTCTACTTTGTATGGATAAAAATTTTCACAGTAGTCTCTGAGGGATCTTTTGAATTTCTGTGGGATAGGCTGCAATGCCACCTTTGTCATTTCTGATTGTGCTTATTTGAATCTTTTCTCTTTTTTTCTGGTCTATTAATTTTGCTTATCCTTTCAAATAACCAACTTTTTGTCTTGTTTTTGGAGTCTCAATTTCATTTAGTCCTGCTCTGATTTTAGGTATTTCTTTTCTTCTGCTCACTTTGAGTTTAGTTTTTAACTTGTTTTTCTAGTTACCTTAGGTGTGAGATTAGGTTGTTATTTTGAGATTTTTCTATCTTCTCGATGTAGGCGTTGAGCACTATAAACTTTCCTCTTAGCACTGTTTTACCATATCCCAAAGCTTTTGGTATGTTTTGTCTCTATTTTTATTTGTTTCAAATAATTTTTTGATTTCTGCTTTAATTTCATTGTCTACACAAAAGTTATTTAGGAGCAAGTTGTTTAGTTTCCATGTATTTATGTGGTTTGGAGAATTCCTTGTGGTATTGCTTTTTATTTTTATTCCGCTGTAGTCCAAGGGTATGGTTGGTATGATTTTGATGTTTTTGAATTTATTGAGACTTGCTTTATGACTGAGCATGTGGTCAATCTTGAGGTATGTTCCAGGTGCAGATTAGAAGAATGTATATTCTGTGGTTGTTGGGTGGAATATTCTGTAGGTGTCTACATGGTCCAATTGGTCAAGTGTCAAGTTGAAGTCCAGTATTTTTGTTAGTTTTCTGCCTCAATGACCTGTATAAATGCTGTCCGTGGTGCCTTGAAGTCCCCCTCTATTATCGTGTGGCCAGATAAGTATTTTCTTAGGTCTAGGAGTAATTGTTTTATAAATCTGGGTCCTCCAATGTTGAGTGCATGTGTTTACAGTAGTTAAATCTTCTTGTTGAATGGAACCCTTTATCATTATTTAATGCCCTTCTTTGTCCTTTTTTTTTTTTTTAACTGTTGATTTAAAGTACTGTTGGTTTAAACTTATTTGTTTAAAGTCTATATTATCTGATACAGGAACAGTGACTTCTGCTCTTTTTTGTTTTCCATTTGCATGATAGGTCTTTTGCCATTTCTTTACTTTGAGCCTACTGATATCATTGCATGTGAGGTGAGTCTCTTGAAGACAGCAGAAGGATGGGTCTTATTTTTTTTTTTAATCAAATTTGCCACTCTGTATCTTTAAAGTGGAGCATTTTGGCCATTTACATTCAAGGCTGATATTGATATGTGAAGTTTTGTTCCTGTCATAGAGTTGTTGCCTATTGCTTTGTAGTTTGATTGTGCAGTTGCTTTATAGTGTTTGTGGGCTACGTGCTTGCATGTGTTTTTGTGGTAGCATTGTTCTCGTTTCCATATTTAGAACTCCCTTCAGCATCACTTGTAGGGCTGATCTGGTGTTGATGCATTCCCTTAGCAATTGCATCTCTGGGAAAGACTATATTTCTCCTTTGTTCATGCAGCTTATTTTGGAAAGGTATGAAATTCTTGGCTGGCATTTATTTCCCTTAGGAATGCTAAAAATGGGCCCCCAATCTCTCCTGACTTGTAAGGTTTCCACTGAGAAATCCACTGTTAGTCTAATGAGTTTTTATTTTTGCTAATATGATCCTTTTCTCTAGCTGACGTTAAGATTTTTTTCTTTCATGTTGACCTTGGACAGTCTGATGACTATGTGCTTTGCGGTTGGTTATCTTGTATAGTATCTTGCAGAAGTTCTCTAGATTTCTCGTATTTGCGTATTGATCTCTGTGGCGAGATTGGGGAAATTTTCCTGAATTATGTTCTCAAATCTGTTTTCCAAGTTGCTTACTTTCTCTTCTTTTCTCTCAGGAATGCCAATATGTCATAGATTTGGTCACTTTACATAATCTCATATTGAGAGTGAAATACTTATTGGACTGGATTGATTTGGTAACTGAAAGTGACTAAAAATATACAGGTCAGAAAGTTTATAGATCAAATTTATAGGTCAGCCCATTTAAGTTACCTGCTAACCAAAGGGAAAGGAAGTTTGTTTGAGTGAATTTAGTAGCAGTTACTGGAAAAATAAAATTTCCAGGGTTGACATCATTACAGATTCTACATACGGTAATATGGGAATATTATAAATTACTTTATGTGAATAAATTTGACAATTTAGATGAAATGGTCAAATTCCTTGAAAGACACAAACTATGGAAGCTCACTCAAGAGAAAAAGATAACCTGAATGATCCCCTGTATCTATTAAGGTAATTATATTCATAGCTAATCATCTCACAAATACAGGAGTAGATGGTTTTACCAGTGATTTCTACAAAACAGTTAAGGAAGAAGTAATCCCAATTTTTTTACAAACTTATCCAGCTTGTTCAATACTTCTCAACTCCTTTTCTGAGGCCAGCATTACCCATGTATCAAAACCTGACAAAGGCAATACAAAAAAGAAAGAAAGAAAGAGTCCAGCCTCATGAACACAGACACAAAAATTCTAAAAAATGTTAGTGCATGAAATCCAGAAATACATAAAAAGAGTAATATACTATGATCAATGGGAATTTATTCCACGATACAAGGTATGTTTAACACTTAAAAATTATTCAATGTGTTTCATATTTAAAAAAACTAAGAAAGAGGAAGCATGATTATCTCCATAGATATGCAAAAACAAGATTTAACAAAATCCAACATCCATTCCTAATACAAATTCTCCGCAAACTAGAAACAGGAATTTCCTCAACCTGATAATGGGCATTGTTATGGGTTGAGTTGTATCCTCTCAAAATTCATATTTTGAAGTCCTAACTCCCAATTTTTCAGAATGTGACTGTATTTGGAGATAGGCTTTTTGGTGAGGGATTTAAGTTAAAAGAAGGACATTAGTGTGGGTTCTAATCTAACATGACTGCTGTCCTTATAAGAAGAGAAAATTTGGACATATACCTGTAAAGAACAAAGGCATAGGGAAACGGAGGCTATCTGTAAACCAAAAAGAGAGACCTCAGAAGAAGCCAACCCTGTTTAAGCCTTCGTCTTGTATTTCTAGCTTCTAGAACTGTGAGAAAATAAATTTCTGTGGTTTAAGCCATGCAATCTGTGGTATTTTGTTATAGGAACACCAGCAAACTAAGTCAGTGATCTATAAAAACCCTAGAGCTAACAATTTTGAGACTCAACACTTTCCTTATAATATCAGGAATGAAATAAAATTGTCAATTCTTGCCATGTCTATTCAACATTGTACTGGATTTTCTAGCCACTACAATAAAGCAAGAAAAATAAAAAAGAGATACCCATATTTGCAAAGAAGAAGAAAACTATCTTTATTTCAAATAATATAATGAGATATATAGAAAACACGATGATCTACAGAAAACAATTGTAATCCATAAGTAAGTTTGGAAAATGCAGAATACAAGGTCAACACACGAAAATATATCGTATTAGCAATAAACAATTAGAAATTAAAATTATAAAATAATAACATTTGCAATAGCATTCTATTCAATACATAGAGATAAATATGGCAACAGATGTGCAAGATTTGTATAGTGAAAAACTATTAAAAAACTGAAATTTTAAAAGATCTAAATAAATGGAGATATATACTTTGTTTATATAAGACAATTCAAGATTGTTAATATGTCAATTTCTTCAAATTCATCCAGAGTCAATCCAATCACAATCAAAATCTTGTCCCTTTTTTTTTGAGAAATTGACAACTTGATTCTAAAATTCACAGGGAAGTGTGAAGACCTAGAATAGCCAAAGCAACTGAAAAAATGGAAAACAAAGTTGGAGGACTAATACTATGATTTCAAGACTCATTACAAAGCTACAATAATAAAAATAATAATTGTACTAGTATAAGAATAGACAAGTCAATGGAACAGAACAGCGAGTCCAGAAATAGAACCTTATATATATGGACATCTTATCTTTGAGAAGGGTACAAAAGCAATTCTATCAAGATTAAACATTTCAACAAATTGTGCTGGAATAACTGGATAGCCACATGCAAAAAAAAAAAATGGAGGAGGGGTGAAGAATCTTGATCCATTTCTTCATACCATATACAGAATTAACTCAAACTGGAACATCTTCCTAAATGTGAAACGTAAACATAAATGTAAACTTCTATGATAAAACATAGGAGGAAATCTTTGTGACTGTGGGTCAGGCAAAGATTTCTTATATTTAACACCAAAAGCACAATCCATTAAAAAGTGTTGGCAAAGATGTGGAGAAACATTGCTGGCAGGATTATAAAATAGTGCAACCACCTTGGAAAACAGATTGACAGTCTTTTGAAAAGTTAAATATACAACTACTATATGATCCTGCTATCCCATTCCTAGATAGTTACCCAACAGAAATGAACATGTGTATCCATACTATAATTGACATATGAATGTTTATATCAGCTTTATTTCTAGTAGACCCAAACTGGAAACAACCCAAATATTCATCACCAGTAAATATATATGCAATTTGTGGTGTCTAGATACAATGGGATACTACTCAGAAAGAGGAAAGAACTATTGATACTGACGATAAATGCAACAATATGAAGGAATCTAAGTAACTATGCTGAGTGAAAGAAACTAGACCAAAAAATACATATGGTATGTTTTCATTTACCTAAATCTCTAGGCTGGATGTGGTGACTCACACCTATAATCCCAGCACTTTGGAAGGCCAAGGCAGGTGGATCACCTGAGTTTAGGAGTTCAAGACCAGCCTTGTCAACATGGCAAAACCCCATCTCTACTAAAAATACAAAGAAATTAGCCAGGTGTGGTGGCATGCACTTGTAGTCCCAGCTACTCAGGTGACTGAGGCAGGAGAATCACTTGAACCCAGGAGGTGAGGTTGCAGTGAGTCGAGATTGCACCACTGCACTCCAGCCTCAGTGACAGAGTATCTCAAAAAACAAACAAAAACTTTAGAAAATACAGGAAACTTTTGAAAGAATTGGATATATTGACTATCTTTATGGCCTGAATGTTTGTGTCCCCTCAAAATTGATTTGTTGAAGCCCTCACTCTCAGTGCGATGGTGTTTGGAGGTGGGACCTTTGGGAGGTGATCAGGTTTAAATCAGGTCATCAGGATAGCATCCTCATGATGGAATTAGTGCCCATATAAGAAAAAGAAGACAGAGATTTCTCTCTCTTCTCACCTGCAAAGAGGTCATGTGAACACACAGTGAGATAGCAGCCATCTGCAAGCCAGCAGGAGATCCCTCACCAAGAACAAAATCTGCTGGCACCTTGAACTGGGACTGCCCAGACTCCAGAACTGTCAGAAATAAGTGTCTGTTGTTTAAACCACCTCGTCCATGGTATTTTGTGATAGCAGCACAAGCCGACTAAGAAAACTATCTTAACTGTGCTGATGCTTTCACAGGGTCCTAGATATGTAAAAACTTACCAAATATTATAATTTAAATATGTTCAGTTTATTGTAGTTCAATTAAACCTCAGTGACACGGTTAAAAAATAAAAATTTCCATGCTTCTGCTGCAGGGGCATTTGAATCTTCCAAAAACCTTACTGTGCGTTAGGCTACCACTAAAATACTTAGCAACTGCGGTTTGGCGGTTTGGAATGGGAAGCAGAATAGGCGCAGGAGACAAAGAAGAAGCCTTCAGTCTGGAAATATACTTGTCATACAGCTAGATTCACAAATTTATATTTTGATATGGCTATGATGATTGAGCCATTGCCACTTGGTCTCTTAAACTAAAAGCCAGTGGTTACGTAAGCATCTCTCTTAACGAAGAAGAGATAATGTGACTTTGAATCCCCAGCATACTCTTTAGGCCCTTGAAGCAGAGCTCAATTGAAAAGAATTTTAAACATCTGAAAATTATATTACAGGATCTGGGTAAGGCTGTGGCAGGAGGAATGAGCTTAGAGTAGAAAAGTGAGTCCAGTGACCTGCCTCAAGGCCATTTCTTAATTTCTGAACCCTCCTAAGGAAAAGGGTGGATTATTCTTATCTTAAAGACCTCCAGCTTCTTACAGTTTTTAACTTAGAGGGACACAACAAAGTAAATTGAAAGGGCCCTGGCCTGGGATTCCCATGTCTCTGAGCATCTTTGGAGAAGTTCCCTGACCTAAATTATTAGTTATTACATACATGAAAAGAGATTGCACTGAATGATCTCCCCTGTGGTTATCAGTTCTAAAGGTCAATGATTCCATGGTGGAATGAGTTAGGAGCTTGGAGGTATTATGATAGACCCATGCCTGATGCCTGAAAGCTTCATGAGCAAATGTTTACACATCTCCACTCTCCTGTACACTTGACCTCAGTTTCTGTAGAATGCTTGTGCTGCGTTATCTCCATTTCATTTACATTTTCAAATGCAAGCCAACTTTGCAAAGAACAATAATAATGGAGGCATTTTATATCCAGTGGATTTAATGAGCATTCTTCCCTTTAATCATTATAAGTTATAATAGGACAAAATTTAAATGATTCTCAGATTGGAGGAGTTGTTCATCTGTTGTGAGAGAGAACAGATTATTCCAGTCCCTTTTGAACAGCTGGTATTTTGTTCCTTATGTAAAATAAAGGACATTCCCAGTAGCATTACAGTACTGGACTGAGGATACACAAGTTGCAAGGATGAGGAGGTAAATCCATAGACTAGTTATTAGAGACAGAGTCTTGGTTTCCTTTCTTGGCCCACCTGAATAATGTTACACTCTGAGTGCTCAGACCAATTTCTTAGTTTTCCTGGGCCTAACAGGGTCAAGGAGAAGTTATAGCTCAGGAAGTTCCCAAGTGAGAATGATGAGTCAAATTCTTAAAAAGCATTTTTATTTTTTTCTAGTGGAATAGGTTATTTTATATGGGAGTGCATCAGAGGTGACTAGAATAGATTATCCATTTTTTGAGTGGAATGGGTTATTCATTCCCTACATACAAGGTATGTGTTGATGGAAAAAAAAGTCCACTCCTGCCCCTCCTGCTTTACACTTCCAGCTTAGCTACAGTGAAGTGGAGGCGGGATCCTTCCAGAGCTCGGCACTATAAATGGGCTGCTTGCCTGATATGAGAAATGTTTAATAATGCAGTGTCCTTGGGACTGCCTGCCCACCTGTCACAATGCCGGCCTTTCCCTCCGGATATTGTCAGGCTCAGTCTATTGTTCATGCACCAAACCTTCTGACACCTATTGTTATAAATGACCCTGCCTTTTGGAAGCTATTCATCATTTCCATAAATGGAACCGTTCTTCCTCTTACAGCACACATTTCCTTCCTGTTCTTACTTAGCAAGCAAGATGGACAGTTCCGAATAACTGCAGCTACGTAGTGTGGTAACAGTCCATTAAGAAACTCACCTTTCAAAATAAGATGAGACTTATTGAAAGACTTTAATTGCCATCAAGAATTTCACTTCTACACAGCCTGTCAAACACATGTATGACAGTATTAGCAGCACCAATAGCCACAGAGCATAAACAAATTCACATTCTAGTTCTCAACTTTTTCTGCATGGGGGAAGCTTATGTGGGGGATATGTGTGTGTTTGTGTGTGTACTTTTGGGTGGGAAGGACTGATTAACATGTAAATATCCATGCAAATCAGAGTAGTCCCTCTTGAGTATTTATCTACTTATAAAATTGTCCCAACTTGTTTGAAGTTGTAGTGTTCTCTGCAGTGTATGTATAGCTAAACAGTCTAGCAAATGGCCTGCTGACTTCAGAACCATTGTGTTGCACAATTCTAGTGGCATGTTTACATTACATTCTGTATGAATTGTGTTTCTTGCAATTGTGTGGTGGCTCTGCCCATCTTGATTCCTCTAGAAGATTTAATCCTCATTTTTCAAAGGCAGGGCTTCTTTGTCTTACTAGAAGTGCCTCCAATGTCTCTCTTGCTCACTAGGTTTTTAGTTACAACCGTGCTCTAGCAGTGATTAACTCTTTCCTAATGTCTACTCTTGTGTTTTGCTGTGTCCTAAAACAGGGTGTTGGTCCATTCACTCTGTTTCCTGTTAGCATCTATGTAGATGTTATATTTGAGCTGGGGTTTCACTCTTGTTGCCCAAACTGTAGCACAACGGCGCAAACTTGACTAACTGCAACCTCCGCCAGCAGCCCCCCGCCCCAGGTTTAAGTGATTCTCCTCCCTCAGCCTCCCGATAGCTGGGATTACAGGCGTGTGCCAACACATCAGGCTAATTTTTATATTTGTAGTAGAGATGGGGTTTCGTCACGTTGGCCAGGCTGGTCTCGAACTCCTAACCTCAGGTGATCCACGTGCCTTGGCCTCCCAAAGTGCTAGGATTACAGGCGTGAGCCATCCCGCCCGGCCCTCGGTTTTTTTTTTTCTGTAATGCTGGAGTGGAAAGGGAACTTTGTCATTACATCCCAGTTTTACCCGTTACTAACGATGAGATCAAGATTGGGGGCGACAGCAACTGGAAGGTTCCAGTTCATTCTCGTGAGCTCCAGCTTGTGTTTGTGCCTTCTGACTTATCCAGGCTGTCTCTTATTTAACATCCATCTTATTTTCCCCACTGTCTGGCCTGTGGACTTCAATTGTTAGCATCAGTCCTGAAGACAACAAACTTACTGGGACCACTTAACCCGCTCCCACGGCCGCATAAGTCCAATGTCTGTAACAAATCTTTTTATAAAAACACACCACATGCAGGCACACACACACACACACACACACACACGAGAGAGAGAATGAGAATCTTTTAGTGGTTTGGTTTCCCTGGTTGAACCTTAGCCGACATATATACAATATATAAAGTGCCAGGATTATGGAAGAT
This sequence comes from Homo sapiens, assembly GCF_000001405.40. Taxonomy (NCBI): domain Eukaryota; kingdom Metazoa; phylum Chordata; class Mammalia; order Primates; family Hominidae; genus Homo; species Homo sapiens. The sequence goes on from NC_000009.12 coordinate 7,655,111, forward strand.
AGTCAATAATGAATGGACAGATGAATGACAGAGACCTGCTTGTCTGAATGAGGATGGAGAAAGTGAGGAGGTACACAAGAACTTAAATTTCTTGAGCACCTACTATATGCCAGAAATTATGCTCTATGTTGAGGGTACAGTTGTGTAAAATCAGACTTGGTTCTTGTTTTCATGACAGTTGCAGTTTAGTGGCATTCTTTATCTTCATTGCTAGCTTTTCTGACTTCCTGCTGATGGCCATTTTAAGGCTACATGGCATATAGGTAATGTTGAAGTTACTAAAGAAAGCAAATGAAATACACACATTTTCTTCTTTTTCAACACCTCGCAATCATGACTGATCCACTTGCTGTAATACTCAGCAAATGTTTAATGGAGGAAGGAAGTTAGGGCAGGTGTGATTCTGACATCTAACAAAGGAGACAGAGCACCCACTCCTCTGGGATATGTTGCGAGCTTGTGAGGAGCAGGCTAACCATACTGACCAGGTTTTCTATTTCCCTGTTATTAATCCCTTCCACAAGGAACATTTTGACCAAGTAGGAAAGTCTAAATAGGGGTCTGGCTCTCTTTGCTGATATGGTCTTTAAGCAGAAAGGCCATCTCTCTGGCATAAGCTGGTTTGTGATCTTGGGCTCTTCAGAATTGTTATCTCTCTACGGTATGATATTGACTTAGAAAATTTTTATAATCTATTGTATATCTTTGATGTATAGGATTCCAGAATAAAAAAAAAATTGTCAGGAAGGATCTGGTAAGGTTACTGCTTACTAGGAGTTTTACTAAGAGTATATACCACAACCATGACATGGGCAGTAAATAATAAAGACAGGTGTCTGAAATCCTGGAGGTCATGTCCTTATCCTTCAGGTCATGAGGAACAGCCAGGTTGGTTGAAGACTCAGGTTGGTTTTGGAGAAGAACCAGGGCACACAATGGAAGCATGCTTATATAAGTAACTGATAAAAAAGAAGGGATGCTCACAAGATAAAAATCAGCTCTGTGCTCATTTGGTTTTCCTCATTCCAGGCACATAATTCTGATTCCTGCCAGAATAGTTACATAAAATCTATACTTATAACAATAACCCAATGATTTTATAGCTGAGGACTTTACAAAGCCGCCCAAAGATTTGTTGAGAATCACTGACCCCACATTTTGTAATACTGTGTATTAATTATAATAGATTCTAGCTTAATGCAGGCATCTTATCAAGATAATAGTCTATATTTTGGTCTAATCTTCTCTTTGAAATTAGATTCCATTGATACTCTTCTGGATTCCATTATTATCACACATTAATGAACCTCAGGATGCTTGATCCTTGTCTGCCTCCGTCTCTGTTTGTGTATCTTTCTTTCTCTCTCTCTCTCTCACACACACACACACACACACACACACACACACACACACACACACCCCTACCGTATACCTTATGTGAACTTTTGGAATTGTTCAGCTTACAGCTCCTGGTAGAAGTAGTTCTTTGACTGACTTGTGGAGTGTTACCCTACACATCTACAGCTTAGTATTTGGCACAGTTGCCAGGGGACTCTTTCACAGGTTTCTGAAGTTCTTCCTCTGTGTGTCTCCTTCCTCTCCAGTACTCTGACCCTCAAATTTGAGCCCTCTCATTCGTCACCAACTCTGATCTCCCTCCTCAACTCAGCAAGATGGTTGTACTGTGCTTGGCGTGTCCTTCCCTGATTCACGTGCTTCCAGGCAGAAAGCCAAGTTATTCACAGGGCTCCCTTTGTTTTCTTTCTCTAAAGGATCACGGTCCTAGACTGTAGGTTGTTTAATGTGTGAAAGCCATTGTTTTAAATATTTTCTTCCTTTTTTTGTTGTTTCTGGCTGGGTGGTAGGTCAGGTCTGGGACCTAGGGACTCAGTGCAGCAGAGAACGAAGCTCTGCCTCTCTTTTTGGACCAGGAATAACTACATGATGCTCCATGTTGTTGCCTTCTCAATCTGGGTGTTCTCCCTGGGTGTGCACACATCCTTCTCCAACAGGCTATGACAAAGGATGGGGGTAATTTAAACTCCCTTGGGGGAAAAGAATCACTTTCTAATTAAAGTCCAAATTGAAAACTGCTTTCCTACTTTGGGAAGAAATATCTATCTATGATACTTCTGACTTCCTGCAGATAAATATCATTAGACAACCTCCTCTTTCCTGGCTGTGGCAGCTCAGAATGTGTGAGTGTTCATTTTTTTAACATTTCTTGCCCAATATTATGGAAGTTGCATATCTTTTCATGTGTACTCTTTTAGAATATAGTGATCAATGCAGAAATGTTGACGTTCTAGCTAATGGAATGTGTCTCTAGAAGGCCTCTCTGTCTTGCTCTAGGGAAGACTGGAGAAATAACACTAATGACTAACATTTGTGTTTCACTTCACAGATTACAAAGACTTTCACATCATTATTTCATTGAATCTTCACAATTACTTCGAGAAATACGCAAGGCAAATATACTGTATTTTTCAAATTCACAAGAAAGGAACTAACTGAAAAACTTCAAACTTTTGGTTCAAACGATTGGCTGGGCACGGTGGCTCACGCCTGTAATCCCAGCACTTTGGGAGGCCGAGACGGGCAGATCACGAGGTCAGGAGATCGAGACCATCCACAATTTTACAACTTTATTGTAAGTCCCTTTGGTACGATTTATCATGAGTATAACTCAAATAAGTGCTTAATATATGATTTCCAACTTAATGCAATATAATAGAAATTCAACTTTGAGATTTCTACAATTTTAATTTTTAGAGGAATTGCCCAGGTTAATTCAAAAGTGTGTTGCAAATGTGCTCTATTTTTTTTGTATTCTGTTATCTTGCCTGTGGGGAGCTAGGCTTTCCAGATCTTGAGGGCATAAATCAAGCGCCACCAGGTGGCAGCTTAAACAAATTGCCAGTATAGCCTCTGGTTGGAAATAACCTCCATCACGTGAAGTTTACAAGCCTGGCTGGGTTCGGGCGCGGCGGCTCACGCCTATAATCCCAGCACTTTGGGAGGCTGAGGCGGGTGGATCACGAGGTCAAGAGATCAAGATCATCCTGGCCAACATGGTGAAACCCCGTCTCTACTAAAAATACAAAAATTAGCCGGGCGTGGCGTGCGTGCCTGTAGTCCCAGCTACTCGGGAGGCTGAGGCAGGAGAATTGCTTGAACCGGGGAGGTGGAGGCTGCAGTGAGCTGAGATCGTGCCACTGCACTCTGGCCTGGGCGACAGAGCGAGACTCCATCTCAAAAAAAAAAAAAAAAAAAAAAAAAAGTCTGTTATTGCCAGGTGATCAGAATGGCCAACATTACCCTAAATGTAGAACAAATAAGGAAGAAGGTGAGTTTTGCAGAAGACTCTGGGTAGAATAATGTAGTAGATACTGTTGGAGTACCTACCCAATTCTCACACCTTTTCTTTTTGAATGATTCCCCAAAGTCCTAATTTAGGATAGTGGTTCTTTAGAACTTGGAAAAGATATTTAATCATGATGTGGATGTTTCCAGAAGCTAAAAAAAAAAAAAAAAAGAAAAAGAAAATTTAATCCATTAATCATTTACTGGGTACCTACTATGTACCAAGCTCTATGCAACCACATGGAGATACAAGATGAAGAAGCAGCTTTTAGGTGACACAGCTAAGTTAATACATAGCAGGTTTCAGCAGAGAATGAGAAGAAACTTCACTCTGTGATCCTGTTGCTGAGTGAGCTTTTGCTACTTAGAGGTAGCTGAGCTTTGCACAAAGGAAACCACCTTAGAGTTTCCTAAGAAGGCTATAATCCTTGGAGTCTATGGATAGGGACAATGAGTCTTCTTGTCAATTCCATGTATGCGAAAGGGGAGCTTAGAGTGCCCTAGGTGGGCCAGGCTAAAATGAGATGTCTTAATGAACAATGTATCCTTGCTGATGGGAGATAAATAGGCCAATAGCTGAGGATATAGATCCTCCTATATGAATGGAGGATCCTGATTTAATAATATAATAACAATAACATTAATGTTAACTGCCAATTATGGTACACCTAATATAAGCCAAATACTGTGTCAGATACACCACAAACACACAAGATAGCTATTACTACCCAGTTTTACAAACAATAACATTGAGGCTCTAGGAAGTCATATTACCTTCCTGAGGTCACAGACCTAGTGAATGTGAGAGTTGAATTTGGTTCTATACCTATGTGACCAAAAGTCTCTACATGAACCGTAGCTGGTAATATTAAATAATATTGAGTGACTGTGGGTCTACTCAATGATGTTTTCGCTGATGCTGAATGTGTTACACTTAGTGATTTCTCTCTCCCTTTTTTAAAACTAAAAATGTCTCCTGATGCACTCATATCAGCATGCTGAGGAGTGGGCAGTTGGTATAAGCTTGTAGGCTTTCTAGTCTAGAGATTGCTCCCCCCTTCTGACTGAGGCACTTTTGCCAAAAACATAGGCAATCCCAATAAAGCGAGGTGGGCTATTTGTCTCAAGAGCATTGATACAGAAGACAAGTGAATAAATGTTAGTTTTCAGTGAAAAGGAGTAAAAGTAAAAGGTGAGGAGTAAGAGAGGGTAGTAAGAGAAAAAAAAATGGTTATTAGGCTATTTATATCTCCTCTGCAGCCTTCCCTCTGCTATCTGGCTGGGCCTGGTCCTGAATAAGTAGCTGAAGGCACTGGTTGGTATCTTGCCTTGCTCAGTATATACGTTGAATGGGCAGGGGAAAATGATTATTTCCCATTGCACTGTTATTAGAAATTGAAGTCCCCATATAACAGAAGCAATTTTTTGGTTCTGTTAAGCTGTGGTTTGCTACCTCGTGAAAAATAATGGTTGTGCAAAATATATATGCTGAGTATGACAATTTCAAGCTTTAAATCTTCAAAGAAAATTCACATCATTTTCCATTTAAAGAGATATGACCATGTTTGGGTATGTGTGTAATTAGAAAATTAGGTAATGGGAGATTATGGCAACCAAATTTGCTAGTATCTTTATTCTATCTGGGGCGATATGTGCTCATGCATGCGTATGCACAGGCACATACACATTCAGCTCAGGACAATGAAAGGAGGTTGGCTCATTTTGCTTTACAGAAAGTTCAGATAAAAAAATTTATTAGACCCTTATCACTCTTACCTGTCTGCAGCTCTCTCTCTCAGACCTTGCCTTATTCATTTATGGCTTAACAATGATGCATCTGAAGGCACCAAGCCTCAGGGACTTGGGGAAGTACAGCACCAGTTCATGTTTTGTAATTCAAGTTAAGGTTACTATTTGTCCATAGGCTGATTTTATTTTGGCCTTGGGCCTCTAGACCTGTGCTCATTTTTGTGGCAATAAGAGCAATTCCCTTCAAGCAGAATCTAACCTGAAGGGATCTCATTCGTGCAAAAGTCTAAGTTGGTACAGGAAAGGTGGCCTGAGGAACAGACAGCAAAGAAAGGAATTGATGTCCACCTGGCCTGAGGGCGAATCACGTCTGAATTATTTCTTAATTCTTACCCATTTTATAGCAAACATTAAACATTAGGGGATATAGCAATGAGTTACACATGCTCCTCACCTTCAAGGAGGTGAGGATCTAATAAAGGAGATGGGCTTGTAAAAGAACAATTTAAGTTCCATAAGATGATTACCGTAATGGGGGAATAGGTAAAAATACATACAGCATATGGAGAAGAGGCCATTCACTCACCCTCTTTTTCTAAAATCTCAGACATTAATATTTATGAGTGTTTCCTCCCTCTGACCATTCATAGTTAACCAAGTCCTGTCATTTCTAATTTTTTACTGTCTCACAAACCTGCTTAATCATCTCCATTTCCACAATAAAATCTGACTTGAGGAAGCCCCATTCCTGCCTGGATAACTGCAGCAGGCTTCTTCTAGGTCTCCCTGCTTTTCATTGCCTCCTTCACATCCTTCTCCATATTTAATCCTTCAGTGTTTCTTCAGTGACTTCAGGAAGATATCCAAGGAAGTCCTGGCTGGTATCATGTTCCTTGGTTCCCTTCATTAATTCCTCCAATGTTTATTGAATACCTACTACGTGTCAGTGCACTCTGTAGTGCTAGCAAAGCTTATGGCATTTGGCCGAGATAGTCCCCAAATAAAATTCACGTTATTTTATCTATCGATAAGCTCAAAACCTTCTCTAACTATTCCATATATTTGTTGGAGAATAAAATTAACCTGTGAGAATGCCTTAAAAACACAGAAGTACACAGGTAGGCCTTGCCATGGCATATCCCAGGATGTTGGAGAAGTGTTATTTCTCAAGTACAGGAAAGGAGAATCTAATACATTTAAAAATAATTTTTGTTTTTGATAGTTGCTCTTTGGGCAGCTTAGTGTAGTCATTAAGAACATCTCAATTTAGTACTTAGCCTGTTAGGGTTGCCACAACAAAATACCATAAACTGGGTAGCTTTTCACTAACAGGCATTTATTTTTCATAGTTCTTGAGGCTGGAAGTTCAAGATGAAGGTGCTGGCAGATTCAATGTCTGGTGAGGGCCCCATTTCTGGTTCATAGATGGGGTCTTCTTGCTATGTCATCATATAGTGCAAGGGGCAAGGAGGTTTTCTGGGGCCTCTTTTATCAGAACACTAGTCCCATTCACGAGGCCTTTGCTACTATGACCTGATTACCTCCCAAAGGCCCCACCTCCTAATACTATCACCTTGACGATTAAGTTTTGACATAGTAATTTTGGGGGAGGACACAAACATTCCGACCACAGTAGTACTGGACCTGCCACTTGGGATTAACTCTGTAACCTTGGGCAAGTTCCTTAACCTCATTAAGGCTGAATTAGGGGATCTGTAAAAAGGGGATGATAAGAATATCCACAGTTGTTGTGAGGATAAAATTGAAGACAAAGGGAAAGCATTTATCTCAGTACCTGTCATGAAATAGATGCTTAATAAATGGCCGCTATTGTTACTTTCCTTTCTGAAACACACGTGTTTCATGGGGCCAGTACACAGTCAAGAGTGAGAAAGCAGTTTCAGTAAGTGCATGAACTTACTATGCTTGTTTACACCTGGAGAACTTTGGTCCATTTATCTCTCTTTTCTCTCCCATATTCCCAAACTCTAAAATCCCTTATTTCTGTGCAAAATATGTTAAGAACAAGAATCTGAAGTGGAGGGAAGTCATCTTAGAGAGAAAAAAAGTTTGTCTGTGAAAGTCAATTCCACACAAAGCAAATCTGGCCAGTGCAGGGTCATTAGCTGAGCAATTCTCAGGCAGGCCTGGTCCAGGTGTGGGTGGACAAAAATGATCCTGCTGTGTGAACGAACAGAACAAAGGTTCACAGCTTGTAAAGGGGGAGCCCCTGTCTCATGGAGGGCGCATGAAAAATGCTGACTTCTTAGAGAAAATACGCTATTTGGTTTGCAATATATATGTATATATGTATATATTTACCCCTCTTGGGTCTTATCAAAAAGACCATATTTTTAAAAGATTTAGCTTTTTTCCAATCCAAATTGGGGCTGCGTCTAAGTTAATGGTGCCTAGGGACAGATGTACAGCTGATCGCATTCCGAAAAGTGCTCTCCAGAGACGCCCTTCAGAAACTCCGGCCTGACGACAGAGCAAGAGACAGATCTCCTGAGATCGTTCAAGCAAAAGGAAACATATTTTATTTACAACATTACTAATAAATCTTTCCTACTGCACTTTAGGTTTCCTCTCTTTAAGTAGGCTTTATGATATCTCATAAGGGAGAGTTGGCGTCACTGGAAATGCCTGTCTAGGAGCTGCACCTTGGGAAATGAACTGCCTAAATGAACCCAAAGGATTCTCAACCCAATAACACCTGCCTCAGCTTTTCTGTCTCCATCAACCTTTCTCATTTCTACACCTACATAAAGAAGCATGTTGCCCAGCTAATGCAGAGCAAATACCCTGTGGATATATTCGTTTCCTTCCTTTTTCTTCTTACTCCCTTCTTTCTTCATCCGTCTTTCTTGGTTGTTTTCTTCTTTCTCAGTTTTTTTCTTTTCTAGCTCTTTTCTCACATCCATTTCTTCTCAACAAGCTTTACTTTTGCAAACTGCATTTACCCTTTCTTTTCTTCCCTACCTTTCTTTCTCACCCCCTTTTCAGGCATTCACTGAAGGAAGAAGATTTGTCCTTTAAGTGTTCAACAGGATGGCTGTCATTCTCCAGGCTGTATCTGTGCAGCATCAGAGAATGTTGGGTCTTCGTGTGTTTTTCTTACTTTATCTTTAAAAATCATTGGTCATAGGTTTAGGGAAATTCTGATAATAATTATACCTTGATTTTGTTTGTTTGTTTTCCTACTGTTCACCAAGCCTTTCTCCTTTCTTTATCTCATTTAGTCTTTACATACTGTCGGCCTTCCAGAGACAATGTTCAATATTTGTAGATTACAGCAACCTTCCAAATCTGGGGTCACTAATATTACCCAGATATGGAACCTGAAAAACAGAAGATGATTTTGCATTTCATTTCCACAAACATTTACTGACTGGCTTCTCTGTACCAGGTACCATGTACCCAAAGACAAAGAAGCTGCAGTTTTGTCTTCTAGGAACCTCTAGTCTACTGCACACAAGTTCAATGCAAAGAGCTAAGTGTTAAGCTACTGACAGAAACAAAGGGACACTGTAAAACAGAGGAAACATTGATTTTTTAAAATGTATTTTGGTGGGAAATGGATATTATGGAGAATAAAAGATGACAGAGGAGCTGGACTTTAAAGAGCGGGATTGGGCGTAGTGACTCACGCCTGTAATCTCAGCACTCTGAGAGGTCAAGGAGAGTGGATTGCTTGAGTCCAGGAGTTCAATACCAGCCTAGGCAATATGGTGAAACCCCATCTCTACAAAAAATACAAAAATTAACTGAGCGTGGTGGCATATGCCTGTAGTTCCAGCTATTCGGAAGGCTGAGGCAGGTGTTACTTGAGTCCGGGTGGTTGAGGCTGCAGTGAGCTGTGATTGTCCCACTGCACTCCAGCTGGGGCAATGCATGACACCCTGTCTCAGAAAAAAAAAAAAAAGAAGGAAGAAAGAAAGAGCAGGATTTCTGTACATTGTGACTGGAAGGGCACTTAAGCAAAGAGAACAGCCTGAACAAAGAAATGAATCATATAACAAGTGTTTATTTATGCCATAAATTAGTAGACTAGTCTGAGATGGGTGAATAAGTATTGGTAGGACAATAGTAAAAAATAAGACCAAATTATTGCTGCATCCATGATTGTGAAGGTTTTGTGCTATAGGATTAAGACTTTGCTTATACAAATAATACATTATGGAGAATTCTGGTGAAACCCTTACGGGGGGATTTGAGTCATAACTCACCCCATATTATAACAATCTTCCTTCTTATGATGGTAGAGGATATTATTCCATTTTGACTATTTTTTCTTGGAATCTGCCAAACTGTTTTTTTATCATGTAAGATATCTGTATTTTTGTCCCAAAGAGAATAATAACATCTGAAAATTCTCTTCTCTTCTGGGATTTTGGACCCTGCTAAAGGACCAATAAGACTTAACTCCAGGGACTAGTTCTGAACGTAAAACTCCGTTAGTTGATATTTGATATATACTATGTCCAAGCCTGCAAGTGTCTAGGACAACACAGACACAAAGTTTTTCACATTCAGGCAAAAGAGGCAAAAAGTAATTTGTAATATATCTAATTATAATTTAGGCATTGCATTTAGTAGGAGATAAAAGGGTGTGGGTAAATCTGTTTACTGGTTTCTATTTCTTGATATCCTGACATTATCACGCCATTATGATTAAAATAATCAAAATGTGGGTCTAGCCCAAAGGGCAGAATCTTTCCAGTTTGGGCCAGATTCCCAAATTAATTCTTGGCCATTGAAATAGAGGGAGGCTTAGAGAAGAAATTGGCTGCAACCGAAAGGACCTATTAAGATGTAATGGCTGCATTCAAGTAATGGGAAGAAGGAGAAGTATAGTAATAGAAGGGATTCCAGATATATTTCAAGAGGTCAAATTGATAAATAAGGAAGTGGAAAGAGGATTCAGGGAGGATTCACAGGGTTGTAGATTTTAAGAATTAGTTCATACTGTGATTAGATAGGATAGCAAACTCAGAAGGGAGAGAAAGTGACAGCTGAAGGAAAAGATCCTAAATTTGTTTTTGGACATGTTGGGAATGAAGTGTCCAGAGCACAGCCCAGCAGAGACATTGAGCATACAATTGGAAATTTATATTTGAAGCTCAGTAGAGAGGTTCAGCATGGAGAAATGAAATGAAATAATAACACACAGGGAATTAGGATTCTTGAATCAGATCCTGAGTCTATCTAAGTGAAATTGGGAAGGTTGACAATTTACCTCTCTGGACCTCAGTGTCTTCGTCTGAAATATCCAAATTCCTTTCTGAAAACCCCATTGAGCAGTGTAAACAATGCTGGCAGGTGAAACCCTTTCCTGGCTTTTGCATCCTGTCTCCTGATTTGTGTGATGGGCTCAAGGAAGAGTAAGGTTGAGAAACAATTGCAGTTTGTAGGCTAACTTTTTTGTGATAGCTCTAGTGGCTCTTACTGTTTAGAAAACTGTTTATCATCTTGGAAAATTACTTCAATCTTCAGTTTCAAACACTCTTGTGTATTTCAAGGAAAAAATAACTGCACCAAAAATCAAAAACAGCATCATCAACAAACAACTTATCCTAAAAAGTGCAGTTCATATTTGAAAATGTTGGCAGTTCCTTTGTTTCAACGTAAGTATGTGAAGATTGTGAGGTTACTAAAGTGCTTGATCCAGTGGAGTTCTAAAAAACAAATAAAAGACCCAAAGAATTCCTTTGTTAGCACTTGGCCTTAGTGACTGTCAATCTCTAGCTCCCCAAGGAGAACTTTATCTTCCATGAGAACAAACCCATGCAGTTGCTTGTTGTGGATTAGGTGTGTGATTAATGCCCCTGCTCTCCAATCTCAGCTGCTAAGGAGATCAGATGGGTCCAAATCAGACCTCACTTGATGCTGGGCGTTAAGTGATGTTGCGAAAACCTCATGAATCGTCAGGAATGCAGCCTCTGCCACTCATCAGTGAAAGGAGCAGGGAATTGGTAAAATGGTGGGAGAAGTTTTATAGAATTATATACAGCTAGAGAAGCAGATCCTAGAAGGGCTATTTAAAAATTGTACATGATAAGAAACATCATAAGGAGGGGAAATGCAATTTAAAAGCATAACTTGCATCTAAGGAAAGTGGATCTTGTCCATCCTTTTACTGCTAAAGGAGTAATCTGTGTACCCTGAAAGATTTGAGATTATAAAGGTAGTTCAGAATTAGGAGTTTGCCAGTGAATCAATAATTCTCAATCCTGATACATTATTATCAGCTAGAGTGCTTTATAAGCTTGAGGAAGCAAGCTCAGATCCTATCCAGAAATTCTGATTTAATATGCCTGGAGTGGGGCTGGAGCAGTTTTACTCAGGCAACTATAACCTTGGTGTTCCTCCTTTATTTGAAATAAGGCCTTTCTGGGGTGCTTGTTAAGAATATGGATTCCAGCGTTTTATACACCAAGCTTAATTTAGTAAAAGGAATATACACAGCTATGTGTTGAAGTGCATGATGGTTAGTTTTATGTGTCAACTTGGCTAGGCCATAGTACCCAAGTATTTGGCCAAATACTAGTTTGGATATTGCAGTAAAGGTATTTTTTAGATGAGGTTAACAACAGTAGACTTTGAGTAAAGCAGATTGTCCTTTATAATGTGGACTAACCTCACCCAATCAGTTGAAGGCCTTAAGAGAAGAAAGACTGACCTCCCCCAAGAAAGAGGGAAATCTGCCAGCCTGCCGGCCTACCTTATGGATTTTGGACTTGCCAGCCTCCACAGTTGTGTGAGCCAATTTCTTTTTTCTTTTTTTTTTTTTTTTTATTATACTTTAAGTTTTAGGGTACATGTGCACATTGTGCAGGTTAGTTACATATGTATACATGTGCCATGCTGGTGCGCTGCACCCACTAACTCGTCATCTAGCATTAGGTATATCTCCCAATGCTATCCCTCCCCCCTCCCCCCACCCCACCACCGTCCCCAGAGTGTGATATTCCCCTTCCTGTGTCCATGTGATCTCATCGTTCAATTTCCACCTATGAGTGAGAATATGCGGTGTTTGTTTTTTTGTTCTTGCGATAGTTTACTGAGAATGATGGTTTCCAGTTTCATCCATGTCCCTACAAAGGACATGAACTCATCATTTTTTATGGCTGCATAGTATTCCATGTTGTATATGTGCCACATTTTCTTAATCCAGTCTATCATTGTTGGACATTTGGGTTGGTTCCAAGTCTTTGCTATTGTGAATAATGCCACAATAAACATACGTGTACATGTGTCTTTATAGCAGCATGATTTATAGTCCTTTGGGTATATACCCAGTAATGGGATGGCTGGGTCAAATGGTATTTCTAGTTCTAGATCCCTGAGGAATCGCCACACTGACTTCCACAATGGTTGAACTAGTTTACAGTCCCACCAACAGTGTAAAAGTGTTCCTATTTCTCCACATCCTCTCCAGTACCTGTTGTTTCCTGACTTTTTAATGATTGCCATTCTAACTGGTGTGAGATGATATCTCATAGTGGTTTTGATTTGCATTTCTCTGATGGCCAGTGATGATGAGCATTACAGGAGCTGAAATTGTGGCAATAATCAATAGTTTACCAACCAAAAAGAGTCCAGGACCAGATGGATTCACAGCCGAATTCTACCAGAGGTACAAGGAGGAACTGGTACCATTCCTTCTGAAACTATTCCAATCAATAGAAAAAGAGGGAATCCTCCCTAACTCATTTTATGAGGCCAGCATCATTCTGATACCAAAGCCGGGCAGAGACACAACCAAAAAAGAGAATTTTAGACCAATATCCTTGATGAACATTGATGCAAAAATCCTCAATAAAATACTGGCAAACCGAATCCAGCAGCACATCAAAAAGCTTATCCACCATGATCAAGTGGGCTTCATCCCTGGGATGCAAGGCTGGTTCAATATACACAAATCAATAAATGTAATCCAGCATATAAACAGAGCCAAAGACAAAAACCACATGATTATCTCAATAGATGCAGAAAAAGCCTTTGACAAAATTCAACAACCCTTCATGCTAAAAACTCTCAATAAATTAGGTATTGATGGGACGTACTTCAAAATAATAAGAGCTATCTATGACAAACCCACAGCCAATATCATACTGAATGGGCAAAAACTGGAAGCATTCCCTTTGAAAACTGGCACAAGACAGGGATGCCCTCTCTCACCGCTCCTATTCAACATAGTGTTGGAAGTTCTGGCCAGGGCAATCAGGCAGGAGAAGGAAATAAAGGGTATTCAATTGGGAAAAGAGGAAGTCAAATTGTCCCTGTTTGCAGACGACATGATTGTTTATCTAGAAAACCCCATCGTCTCAGCCCAAAATCTCCTTAAGCTGATGAGCCAATTTCTTAAAATAAATTCCTTAGAAAGAGAGATTTATTTTAAGGAACTGGCTCACCCAATTGGCACACACACACACACACACACACACACACAATTAATTATATATGTACATCCTGTGGGTTCTGTTTCTCTGAGAACTCTGACTACTACAGAGTAATATACCCACCTTAGTGATCCACACCCTGTCAATAAAATTTTGCTCCACAGAATAAAATAATTTAGTTGAATCATAAAGTCAAAGCTATGGGTGACTATGGTTACTACTCCCCAAGCCCAGAAAATGTAGATTAATCCTAGGGAGAGCATACTTACCACAAAACATGAAATGGGAGTTCAAGCTAATGCTACATAGATTTTAAAGGGATGGGTAATAATAGCTAACATCTAATTACACCAGAAACTACCATCATCTTTAACTTTTTCCTTAATCCTAGCTTCCTTTTTCTTTTTATGCATAAGCCCATCTTCTGAAATTAGACTTAGTAACAAGTTCATGTAATTAAAGGTCCAAGTTATCAGGATTTGCACTAATGCTGCATTCAACATGTATAGAAGATATGTGAATAAAATCTATATAGATACAGATACAGGTATAAGTATAGATATATATTCATCTAGAACTATATGAAGAGCTGTGCGGGTTACTTGAGAGTCATTCTTTGGAATGATCTCTCGCTGTTATTATTTTATTCTCTTGCTAACAAATATCACATTTTTAAAACCTGTCACGTCATGGGTGTTCTTTTTCATTCACACAGCACATTTTCACTGAGTGCATCCTCAAGTCTGATGCATGGCTTGGCTACGGGGAGGGGTGATGTTACTCTTGCCTGGGAGGAAACCAGGGAATGAATGGAAAAGAGAGTTGACATCAAACAAATATTTGCAGTAATATGTGGTAATACGTATAAAAACTGGGAAAATGCCATGGGAGGCAAAGAAAGGAGTGAACAGGGAAGATATTACAGAAGAGATGACTTTGTACACTGGGTTTTAAAATATGAGGAGTAGTTTTCCAGTTGAAGGAAAGGGAAGGAATGACAGAGACAGAGGTGGTGACATCAGCAGTCAAAGGACATTTATGAATTTAAAAGAATAAGACTGGACAGATTCTGGATGTGGATCTGAGGAAAAAGAGTTCAGAGTGACTTCTATAGAGACATATATCTTTTGATATTGATTTTAAATACAGGTAACTTTATGGAGTTAGGTTGGTAGAGATGGCATCTATTTCCTTAAATAAGGAGGGAATAATTATAAATTCCCTCCTTAAATAAGGAGGGAATAAATTTTGCTATTGTAATATTCCTTTCAGTTCCACAATCCTATGCCTCTATAGGAAGATAAATCTAATGAACAAAATTAAAGACTTGAGATAGCCTAGAAGAAATACATGAAAAGAGATCATTTGTTTTCTTGGCATTAACATTAAATATTCCTTAAAGAAAAGGAAATTCTGGAAAAAAGGAAAAAGTTGTATCAGTGGTTCCAGTTAAACTAGGAGGAATGAACACAAGCATTTATCAACGCTTCCTCCTGAAAGTCTTTCAAAATGACTATAATTGAATATAAAATAAAAACTGCAGTGACAAATGGAGCAGCAGAGGGGATGATAGCAGAAGAGGGATGTCAGCAAAGTTTTGAGGATGGTAGGCGGATGAGTCCACGGGAACTGACGGAATGGAGTAGAGAACACAGAAGCTGAGGCCTGAAAAATGTAAAGTGAATGAGAAGAAAGCCAGTCTGTGCCCCCAGAAGTCTGGAAGTGCCTACAAAGTAGAGTTGTCAGGAATTTCTGAAGGCTGGAGTCGGACTGGAAACAGGGTTGGTTAAAAGTTGTGTAAGGAGCTGTTAGAACCCCTATCCACTTCTCTGTTTGTGAGAATGGGGCTCTTTACTTCCCTAACTAGACAAAAGTTAGTTAACCTCTGACCTGGGGAACCCTAACCACAGCTGTGGACAAGGGTGAGCCACTAGGCAGAAAAACAAAGGAGCATGTAAGAATGACACACCACCAGCCTTCCTGCTTTTCCCCTTCAGTTTCCGGAATGCTGGCATCCAAGCTGATTGCCCATCTCTCTCCTTCCTTCATTACCCTTTGATTCATATGCCCAGGCAGAATATTAGAGAATTTCTCACTGGAGAAACCAGTGGTCCAAGGAAAAAGATGTCAAGATATTGAAAACAGTGCAAGTCTCCTGAAGTCTGCTCACCACCACGGCCTCCTTCAGAGAAACCGACCAGAAACTTGCTAAGATTGTCAGCGCCTCGGTGTTAAACATGAACAGGAATACAGAATTGCCAGGCCATTTTTTTTTTGAGACAGAGTCTTGCTCTGTTGCCCAGGTTAGAGTGCAGTGGCATGATCTCGGCTCACTGCAACCTCTCCCTCCGGGGTTCAAGCGATTCTCCTGCCTCAGCCTCCTGAGTAGCTGGGATTACAGGTGTGTGCCACCATGCTCGGCTAATTTTTTTGTATTTTTAGTAGAGACAGGGTTTCACCATGTTGGTCAGGCTGTTCTCGAACTCCTGACCTTGTGATCTGCCCGCCTCGGCCTCCCAAAGTACTGGGATTACAGGCATGAGCCACCAGGCCTGGCTGAATTGCCAGGCTTTTTAAGAGAACATCTAACGTGAACAACAACATAGGTCAAAAAACATATGTATAAAACAAAAAAGATACAATGTAGCTATATAATATATAATAAAACAACAAAAAAAATAGAATACAGAGAAAATGAAGAGAAAAGGGGGAAAAGCACTCTAAAAACTATAATATACTTGGAAAGATGAGGATGCTTCAATAAGTAAAAAAAAATATTGAAAATGAAAATTCAAAAAATATTCACACATAGTGAATTGGATCATGAAGAAATAAAAGTTACCAGCAATATAAAGCTAACTTTGGCAAAGAGATAGAATTCTTGAGGGAACTGTTAAAGACATTGATGAGATCCAATGTCTTTCTAATAAATGGCCCAGAAAATGTGAGAGAAGATAGAGGGGAAGAAATAGAAGAACATTTTTCTAGGCTGAGGGGACTCTTAAGTTTTAAAATAAAATTGACTCACTTAGAAGGACTATTAAGGAGTGAGATTTTGTATCTTTATATTTTTCTTTTTAAAACTTCACAAACAAAACATGCTTCTGACAAAACAGAAAAGTGGCCTACACAGAAAGGGTGGTGAGTAAACTAGAAGATGAAATAATGTATACGCATTCTGAGGACACGGAGTTTGAAGCTGGTATTCAGTATTCTTCAAAAACAAGAACCAAAATTAAAGCATCAGTCATATTCAGAAAAATACATGATTCCTATGTGTCCTTTATTAAGTATTCAAGGTGGTGTTTATTAAAATAAGACATGGGATAAATGGGTAAGCAAACCATAGTATATACATACAATAGACTATTATGCAATCTTAAAAAGGAAGGAAATTCTGATACGTGCTGCAACATGAATGGACCTTGAAGACATGCAGCGTGAAATAAGCCAGGCAAAAAAAGGACAAATATTGCATGATTCCACTTACACAAGCTACCTAGCACAGTCAAATTCATAAAGACAGAAAGCAGAATGGTGGTTGCCAGGGCCTGCAGGGAGGGGGATTGGGGAGTTACTGTCTAATGGGTGTGAAGTTTCAGTTTGGGGAGATTAAAATGTTCAGCAGCAGGATGGTGGTGATGATGGTAAACAATGTGAATGTACTTAATATCACTGCACTGTGAAAACAATTAAAAGTGGTTAAAATGGTAAATTTAATTTTATATGTTATTTCACCACAATGATAGAAAGAATAAAAAAGAAGAAAAGAAAAAAGAGCAAATGAACGAACTTATGAAAGGAAAATACGTGTTGTACGGAAAAAATAATGAGTAAAAATGCTAGCAAAACTGATAGTTAATATAACTGCTAGTTTTTAGGTGGTGGAACTTAATGCTCTTCTTTAAAAAATTTTTTTAATAAAGGAGAAATAATTTTTTAAGTTTTATTTTTATTTAAATTTTTTTTAGGCCGGGCGCGGTGGATCATGCCTGCAATCTTAGCGCTTTGGGAGGCGGAGGCAGGTGGATCACTTGAGATCAGGAGCTTGAGACCAGTCTGGAAAACATTGTGATACCCAGCCTCTACTAAAAATACAAAAAATTAGCCAGGTGTGGTGGTGCATGCCTGTAATCCCAGCTACTTGGAAGGCTGAGGCAGGAGAATTGCTTGAATCTAGGAGGTGGTGGTTGCAGTGAGATCACGCCACTGCACTCCAGTCTGGGCAACAGAGAGAGAATCCATCTAAAAAAATAAAGTAAAATAAAATATTTTAAGAGAAGTCTGTTAGGCTATATCAACATGGATTCAGCAGACAGTCTCAGCTGCCTGAAAGTATGATGTGAAGAAGCAGATGATGGAAGTGCCCCAGGGTTCATCATGAGAATAACAGAAGATCAAGAGAGTGGAAGATTCTTGAAAATTGGTGAGACCATGTTGATATGGCCTATTAATGGTTCGGTTTTCATAGGGTTTCATGAAAAGCTAAAAGACATGGTCTAATTTTAGTGTCTGATGTGCTGACTTGGAGGAACTATTGTATGAAAATGGAGCTAAGGGCAGATCCATTGGGAGGGCAGAGTAGAATAAAGATACAAAAGGTTGGGATCAGAGAGGGGCATTTTCTACTTTCAGACCCTGGCATAGAGCAATTCTGTTTGATAATGGGGTCCCAAGTTTAGAGACATTGGAGTTGAGAAAATCAAGAAGCCATAAAAAGATGATGGTAGAAAGGATCACCAATCTTGTCTGCAATGTTCCAGTAGGAATGAGTAGAGATGTGGAGGTAAGGAAGACTGCTGATTCAGAACCCCACATTTGAGAAGGAGGTGGCCGCATGCCAGAAGATGGAGGAGCATGGCACCAGAGGGGAAAGAAAAGAAGAGTGGAAAGCAAGGGCCATATCAAAGGCAGCCTCCATTCATCTACTTTTGTGGAAAGTGATGACACTAGTGTGGTTTCAATGCCACAATTAATTTGATAGTATTTGTAATCATAAATGCATATTTCAAAACATATGCATAGTGTACTCGTGTTAGGTTGAGTCACGTGAAATGCCAATATCATATGGTAATCATAATGGAATTTTCAAGGCTTCCTCAATTTCTCCACCATTAGAGAAAAAAAGGTTTTAGGCATCTTTTACATATTTCCAGTATGTCGATTTAGATGTGATATGCTGAAATTTTTTGTTCTAGTGCAATATGGGAAACATTTATTTCATGTATGGCTAGTAGTATGCACAGCAAGTGGGTTGTAAACAGCCAGGATTTTTGTCTTGTTTTAGTTCTATATCCCAGCTACTCAAAAGTGTTTTTGGAGAATTCTGAGAATAGGCTCTTCAAGTGTTTTGTTTCTAGACCCAATTGGAAATATAAAGAAAGCAGCCTAATGAGAAATACTTCAACTTTTGATTGAGTTCACTCTCTGTATATCAGATTCAAGTAATATTTATTAAGTACTTGAGCATTTTCTATTTATCAGCCCATGTGCTAGCTTTTTTCAAATACACAATTTCTTTAATCTAACAACAACTCTTTTTGTAGTCTTACACTAGGGTTTAAGTACAATTTCCTCATTTTACAAATGAGGAAAAAGGTTCAGAGAAGATGAGTGACTTTAGTCACATTATGGAACAGATAAAGAGTGGATCCAGGAATTAAACTCAGGTCTCTACTTTAAGTCTTGTATTCTTTCTGCTATTCCATGATCCTTATGTCTACATTTCTAAAGCAAAGTGAAAAATTACATCTAGGGTAAGATAAAAGCCCTTGGAAGAGAGAGACAGAATAGATGTTTGTTATTTAATTAGGTTATCATAGATAACATTGCTCTCTGCTATCATGTAGAAATTAAACTATCTCTATGCATCATATTATACATGTCAAAGTTTTGAACTAGAGGACCCTGTCATTAAGAGACGTGGTAAAGAAAATTGTCTCAGTATCTTGGACTATAGGAATAGAGTAGTTTAAGGGAATGGCATAGACGTAGAAGAAATAGGAAAGCATGATGCAGGGAGCACATTGTATGACCTCTGTGACCTGTAAGTTTGGGAACACAAAAAATGTGTGTGTGTGTGGTTTATGTGTGTTTCCTATGAATTTTAACGTGTAATTTGATACTACCTACAAAATTTGAGTTTATGTAGAATGCATAAAATACATTATGGTCATCTTACTGAAGTATTATTTAGTTTATAAAAGTACCATCACAGTTTAAATATTATGTGGCTTATCTCTGAATTTTAGAAACACATCTGTTCTGGAAAGCAGCATGGACTTGTTCCTTTAGTGATGTGAAGCTACAGGTCTATATAAGCTTCTGGAGAGTGTAGATCTTTCTTATCTATCTTTATACTGAGATTCTTTATATTTTGTGGATCATGATTCCTTTGAGAATTTGGTGAAAGCTAGATATATGCATAAATGCAAAGAATCTTGCTTTCCATGCGAGGAATTTGTGAACTTATAGGCACCAAGCCATGGACCCTCTGGGTTAGGAACCACTTGGCACCAACCCTGTTGCTTAGTAAATTTCATAGATATTTCTTTATGCTTCTCAACCTATGAGAATGAGATGTAAGAGTGTCAAGTGGAGATGAACCCATCACTCCACAGCTCAACTCCCCCTCCTCCTAATTTACTATGACTCTAATCCCATCCAAACCTCTCCTTCTGACTGAAGGTAAGGGGAGGGATTATAATCTTTGTGAAAAAATTGTCAGTCCTTTTAATGAAACCATTTTGAAACAGCTACTCTGGTTTGGAAATTTTTGAATTAGAGACAAGTAATAAAACTTCAAGTTTAAAAATATATCTCCAAGTAATATGAAGGGAGCATTTTCATTCTGTCTTGAACCTCATCGCATCATTAAGCTCCATTTGCAGAGAATGGATAAGATAGGGCGAAGTTTAGATGTGAGTTTGGGATTAAAAAAAATTAGAGCAAGTAGGCCAGGTGCAGTGGCTCATGCCTATAATACCAGCACTTCGGGAAGCTGAGGGAGGAGGATCACTTGAGCTCAGGAGTTCGAGACCAGCCTGGGCAACATGACAAAACCCTGTCTTTACAAAAAGTAAAAAAATTAGCCCTGTGCAGTGGTGTGCACCTGTAGTCCCAGCAACTGGGGAGGCTGAGATGGGAGGATCGCTGGAGCCTGGGAGGTAAAGGCTGCAGTGAGCAGAGATAGTGTCACTACACTCCAGCCTGGGCAACAGAGTGAGACACTCACTATCTCAAAAAAAATTAGGGGAAGTCTTTATGCACATTAACTATGATAAAACCCCCTTCTTTTATATTTTGATATGGCTGTGTGTCACAGCTCAAGTTAGCTGCAAGAGGAGTGATGGTAGAGAAAGCCAATGTATTAGATGCTGCCAACAATGTTTCTGGCGTCAGAGGCTCACAGAGTGATCCCTTGCAAAGTTTGCTTTCAGGCTCAGGACTTGAACTGACACCATGAATAAACTTAACTTGTAAATACAAACTCTGAGGCCATTTTCAGTTTATGCTACATTAGCTCAAATTAAGGGACAGGCTTTTGTGTAGTAGTACATCAATTGTTATAGCAGACATTACTATTTTTCACTCATATACCATTTCCCTCTCCTTGTGGGCACAGGAGAGGATTGCATTTTCGACTCCCTTGAAGTTAGTTGAGACCGTTTGATTTTGTTTAGCTAATGAAATTTAAGTGAAAAGAAAACTAACACACATGATGCCCTACCTCCCTTCCCTTATGCCTCATTGACCTATGAAATTTCAGGTAATGAAACTCCATCATCTTTGGTATCCAAGTGAGGATGACATGGAGAAGAAGCCACTGCCAACCTGCAGTGGATACACAGCAGAAGCAAGAAAAAATACCTGGGTTGTTATATGCCGCTGACATCTAGAGTTATTTGTTACAGCAGCATAACCTAGCCTGTTATGCTTGCTATTGGTATACAGTAAACTTAATGTAACTTTTATTTAAACAATACAAATAATGAGTTGATGAGTAGGTGGGACAGCATAAAAGGGGGAGCTAGTAGTGCCTTACCTTTAATAGCTTACTTTTAATGTTCCTCCCTAGAAACATCTCAGCCAGTTGTTCTGGCATTCTTGGCTATTCTACAAAGCAAATATGTGTGTGCAAACATATCCACAGAATGATGCCTTGGAGAATTCACAATAGCTAGACTGGCCCAGTGGCCCAGACAAATAAACACCATTTGCTTCCTTTTCTCTCTCATTTTCTCTGGGAGCTGGAAAGTACTCGAGTTTTTCAGCTTCCTCCATTGGGACAGTGGTGACAATGATCCTGTTGTTCTCCGGAGGCTCCATGTCATGGTTAAGTCACTTGAAACTATTTACTAATCTGTACAGGTCCTGTTGGGTTGTGAAGTCCCAAAGCCACTTCCTTGTGCATTATCTTCTACCTCCCTCATTTTTTTCCATGAACAGAAGAGCCTCTGTGGACGCTATAAAGTGTATCCGTTACAGACTTGGCTGCAATGGGAAAGAAGCTGGGGAAAGTACTTTTCCCGTTAGCAGACATGAATCTAACAAATCTTAATAAATGACAGCAATAGGTGATGAAGAGCTGATTCTTCGATTCCAACACTTGACCAGTACTGCCTTCTAATTTGACAGATGATATAGAGGTAGGGAGGCAAATGTTGTCATGAGAAGAACTTAGAATTTGGAATAAAATATCTTGTCTGAAAAGCAGTCGCTACTGCTTAACAGCTTTAAATACCTGTTTAAGGTTTCTCACCAGCACCAGTAGGTGCAGAGTCACCTGCCTTCCGTGGCAACTCTGGAGATACGTTTTGCAAATGGACTCTCATCCAATTCTTGTTTCATTTTCTTTCTTTTCTACTTAGTTGGAAAACATTATGGTAATTTAGGAGTCCTGACTTCTCCAGTCCTCAGGCGTCTCATTTTCCTTTAATGCCCAACTAGTCTTAGTCTGAGCCTCCGTTCTTCCATAATTCAGTAAGTCCAGTCTTCCCTGATTCCACTCTTCAGGCTTTTCTAGCAATCCTTGAGGAATGTGTATGTATTTCACACTGCATCCTGGCTGTGCTTTTCACCTTAGCCAGCTGTCTGGACCAGATTGCTGTCCTGATTTCCTATAAGTCCCTCTCACTGTCATAGACCCATCTCCTCCAAGCTCTGGCACTTCATCCCTATAATGCCTTTCTCTAAATGTTGGCCCAGGGCTATTCCTTTATGCCCTCAGCAAGCAAAGACCAGGTTCTGGCAAGATCATCTTGAAGGCTTAAGGACAGGAGGAAAAGATTTCAATGTGGTGGTAGGTGGGGTGGTGGGGTGAGGAAGGGCTCACATGCCCATTATGTTCTCATAATTCCCAGACTAAATCCTCTCCATGGGCAAGACTTTCCAAATTGTCTTTGCAGAAGCACCACCTGGGAATTGTGTCATAAAAACTGATTTGTCTATTAAACACAGACCTAGTGAATTAGAATTTATGAAGATGGGGGCCCAGAATGTATATTTTATTAAGCTTCCTATGAAGCACTTACAGGTTCTCTATTGAAACCTGGAAAAGAGTGTTTGGAAACATGTGCCCTAGAGACATGTTGCAGGGACCAGCTTACATCCAACCAAAAATAGTGATTTAGTGGTATCTTCCTTATCTACAGTCTGAGCCTCAACTTTTCTGGGACCAGACTAAAGAAACAAATGAAGTGAAAAATAACACTAGCAGCATCAACAACTCTTTGTAATCCCCAAGTTGGAGCAAACATTGTTATTTGCTTACCCAATATTCATCTCCTCTCTTCTTTGCTCATGGAACCCTATTTGGTTGAGCAAAGGTGTGGCTATTTTCTGTTGATAAATTAGGGTTGGTTCAAGTTAACGTTGACCACCTTGTTTCATCTTTGTCAGCCTCCCTTGTAGTTAGGGGTGGCTGTATGACTCAATTATGGGAAATAAGGTGGAAAGGGAAACTTCTATGGGAGGTGGGGAGGTCTCTGGGAAAACATTTGTCTTTCCACCTTGAATGTAGATATGATAATTGGATCTGTGACAATCATCTTCTGACCATGAAGGAAAGGAAAAGAAAATTAAAGAAACATGTCAGATCACTAGACCAAAGTCAGCAGCTGCCAACCTTCAGTCTTCTTCTGACCAGAGAGAAATGAACCCCTATTTTAAGCCCCTGTAGCTGTTGTTTTGTGTGGAAACTAAAAGCATTTCCAATCTCAGACTATCCTTATAAGGATAATGTCATTTCAATGTTAACAACAATGATGACGGCCTTTTATATTACATGACCTATTAGCTCCTTATTATTGCAAAATATTTCCATTTTAGAGGAGAATCTTGGCTTTATCAAAAAATCACTCTTTTTTTCAAGTTGATAAAAAGGTTTGTCCTTAAGTTTGCTCTGAAAGTGATTTGTCCTCTGCCTCTGCTATCAACTTTGACAGAAGACTTTTCTCTTTACTATTTCTTCTTCCTCCACATACGTACTCCCATCTACAGTTTCAGAAATTGCTGAAATATGTCTCAGGCTGAGTATCTTTTATACAAATATGTAACATGTAAAAATTTTCACTGGCATTTTCCAATCTCCTAAGAAATGTTCCCATATCTATACATATATCCATCATCTTTTCCTCCTTTCCATATTGTAAAGCTAAGAGATCCTACAGACATATGGGGAAGTGGTCTACTTTAGGCCCATACCATCAGCACATGCAGTAGGACCCACTGGCATTTTAAAAACAAGTCTGTTTAGGCAGAGTTTAAGGCAGCAACAACACATATTGAATTACTCTAAAGAAGAGTAATTCAAGGTCCAATCCAGAGAACATAATTTCCGCAAGGCACTCCTGAAAGAAAAAAAAAGTTTCTAGGACAAATAATGAGCAGCATCATTATGTGTCTCACTTTTAGAGATTTTTGCAATTCTTCATGTGTTGTTGGTGACCACAGGTCCTTTGGACCATGTTGCTCTTTTGCCTAGAACTCTCCTCCCCTTTCCTCCTTAACATAAACAGATTCTTCAATTGTCAGTGCCGTTATGTCATCCTGATCTTGACTAGATCAAAATCTCTTATTGTGTATACTTCATAGCACCATAGAGGTACTTGTGTACCCCTTCAAAACAGTATTACAATGAAAATTGTGCTTATTTATATAATTATATGTGTCTACTTTTCCCTCTAGATTGTTATAAACTCTATGAAGCCAAGGACCATGCCTGTTTTTCTCCAGCCGAGTAGCTTTAGTATCTGAGGCATGGTAGGCACTTAATAAATAGCTATCTCACGCCTGTAATCCCAGCACTTTGGGAGGCCGAGGCGGGTGGATCATGAGGTCAGGAGATCGAGACCATCCTGGCTAACAAGGTGAAACCCCGTCTCTACTAAAAATACAAAAAATTAGCCGGGCGCGGTGGCGGGCGCCTGTAGTCCCAGCTACTCGGGAGGCTGAGGCAGGAGAAGGGCGTGAACCCGGGAAGCGGAGCTTGCAGTGAGCCGAGATTGCGCCACTGCAGTCCGCAGTCCGGCCTGGGCGACAGAGCGAGACTCCGTCTCAAAAAAAAAATAAAAAATAAAAAAATAAAAAAATAAAAAAAAAATAAATAAATAGCTATCAATGGAATGAATGACCACAGGAGACATATGTACATGTTAGTGGCTCAGGAATATCTTGCAGTAAAGAAATATGATTAATTTCACTTCTCTACATTTTCCACATTTGTCTGAACCACAGAACTATTCTTTTTTCGTGTAACTTCCATTAATATCCTGCAAAATAAGGTTCTGAAAATATATTAATAAACTCTTTTCTAAAGCAAATTGGCCATGCATGTTTCCAAGTCTGAAGGAGGCTAAAAATTTATCTAGTTTAAACCATTTATTTGACAGAAAAGGAAAACAAGCCATAGTAATTAAGTGTCCTTTCTAAGAACACATGTATTAGGGTTTTACAGAGAGGCAGACCAGAAGGATGTATGGAAGGAGATTTACTAGGGAGAATTGACTCATAGGATCACAGAGGTGGGGAAGTCTTACGATAGGCCATATGCAAGCTGGAGCTTTCTCTGACTTTCAGAAAAGCCAGTGGCATGGCTAGTCTATAAGCCTTAAAACCCAGGAAGCCCATGATGCAGCCCCTAGTCCAAGGCTGAAGGCCCAAGATCCTCCAGAAGGCCACTGCCACAAGTTCCAGATTCCCAAAGCCAAAGAACCTGGGGTGTGATGTCTAAGGGCAGGAGAAGGAAAAGAGCCCCACTGCAGAAGAGAGAGAGGGAGAGAGAGTCCTCCTTCTACCCGTTTTTCCCAGCTGGGCCCCCAGCCCATTGAATGACAACTGCAGGCATTGAGCGCCAGTCTTCCTCCCTCAGTGCGCTGACCCCCAGTTGATCTCCTCTGAGACTCCCTCAAAGACACACCCAGAAACAATATGTCACCAGCCATCTAGGCATCCCTCAATTCAGTCAAGTCGATTCTTAAAACTTATCTTCACAACACATAACTGGTTATTGGCAGAAAAAAGACTAAGAATTAGCTCTTCTGATGCCTGCTCCAGTGATCTCTTCATGTCCTGTATTACTTTTCTAAACCCAGAATTAGGTGAAATTCACTTGTAAAACAGAGTAGAAAAAGGAATGACAGGTTGTTAGAAATTTCATTTAGAGCTGTTCTCGTTCATCTTCCATTTCATTAAGGCGTTTATTTGTTACTTACTCATGTAACATTTATTTAGACTTAGTCATTTAACATTAATGACTATAAATTAAAATCCAAAGCACTTGACACAGAATTTAATCCTTAGAGAAGATATTCCTCAACACTAAGGAATATCAGCTCCCACTTTTCAATATACTCTTCTTCTTTCATTTCTTCTAATCTTACCAGCAATGAGAAGGCTCAAAGAAGACTCTGTACTTTCTTTTCTTTCCTCACACTGCCCCCCCACCAATGTTTTTGCAGCAGTTCTTTATGGAGATTTTTTTAGATTAAATTTGCAGGTCCTCAATGAGTTCCTGACAACCTGACAAAATGAGTCAAGTTACTGAGTTGTCCATCAGTGGCACGCTGGTTCTCCAGCAGAGGCCGACTTTGCCGCCTCATTAGCCTGACTCAGATTTGGCAAGGGATTTTAAGTTCACCCACACTCTAGTGATTTATTTCGGAGATCTGGGCTAAAAAATTTGTTTCTCAGACACTTGTTTCTTTTTTGCTTGTTTAAAAATTTTGTTTTAACTTTAAATTTTTTTTTTAGAAATGGGGTCTTTCTATGTTGCCATGGTTGGTCTTGAATTCCTGGACTCAAGTGATCCTCCTGACTCAGCCTCCCAAGTAGCTGAGACTACGGGCATGGGCCACCACACCTGGCTCACAGGCACTTCTTTTGCAGAAAATTTAAAAGGCCGCAAATGTATCTTTATTACGTTTTATTTTTTATAGTGAGTATTCCTTATAAAAGATAGTATGATACAGCAAGATAAATGAGGAAACAGATAAGAAATGCTGATACAAAATAGTAGGAAGTAAAAAAGGGTCAAAGAATAAATGATAGGAAGTTAATGAAAAACCTCTTACCCCAAATCATAGAGAACATTTGCAGTGACATACAGTTTCTCTTACAATGGGGTCGTCTTCTCCGTTGCATCTAAGAGTCTACCGGTATATGACTGTCAGAGCTATTCTTTGGCCATATTTTAGAGTCTTTTGCCCTATCTTAGTGTTCCTTTGCCAGCACTAGGATTTGTTCACCTCTCCATCCTCCACTGTCTCCCTCCTCCCAACCCCCTTCATTCCCATGCATTGGGAAGCAGGATTAAGGAACTGTGGAAAGATATCACTCCAGTTTAGGAATCCAAGTGTTACTTGAAAAATCATGATCCTTCAACTTCTTCTTTAGATTATAACTTAACTTACAAAAACCCATTGGAATAATAGAACTATTAAAAGCCATTGCCTTGATAAAGTCAGATGTAATCTCCACAGAAATCAATCCAGCTTCGCCAATATATGAAGTCACTGCTATGTGCTAAATGGCAGTGAGAGAAACACACACAAGCAAATCAGAGCAATCAGGACGAAGCCTCGGGAGTTTACAATCTAAGGTGAAAAAGAGAAATGTGAACTAGTATTGAGTGGCATCTTCTATATGATGGACCCTAAGCCAAGTGAGCATTTCCTTTAAACTGCCCAGTAACTTTTAGTACAGTGTTTAATTCCTAGGACAGTGCCTAGCGGAGTATAAACACTTGTAAATATTTTCCAAATGGAGGCATGAATGTATACTTATATAAGGAACCTAATACTCCGAGGAGTAGTATGATTGTTTGTAGTTAAGTAGTACTTACTATATAAACAATAATGGCTTGCCAATTATTGGGCTTTTTAAATGCCTGCACCTGTTAATACAGAAGTTCGCCCAACACAGCAGTCTGGTGTCTGGACTTTGGTGCTAAGCAGACGTGGGCTTACATTTCTGCCCTACCAGAGTTACAAACATGGAACCACAGGACCAAGTGTCTTCAAGTCACTAAACTTCAATTTCGGCATATATAAAATGTAGACGAGAGTACCTCTATTTCAGGGAGTTTATGAGGATTAAATAAAGTAATATGTAAAGTGCTTGGCATAGTGCCTGGCACAGAGCAGTACCTAAATGAACAGATTAAAAGTGGAACCCAGCTCTTGTGGAATGAGTAATGGTTCCCCAAAGATGCCTATATCCTAATCTCTAGAACTTGTGAATAGATTACTTTACAGGACAAAAGGGACTTTTCCTGTGTGATTAAGTTAAGGCTCTTCAAATAGGGAGACTATCCTGTATTATCTGAGTGGGCTTGAGGTAATGACATGGCTCTGGCTCTTTATAAGAGAGAGGGAGGCGGGTCTGAGTCAGAGGAGAGGTGAAAACAGAAGCCAAGGTCAAAGTGACATCGCCACGAGAAAAGGAACTGGGCAGCCTCTGGAAGGTGGGAAAAGCAAGGAGCAAATTTTTTCCTAGAGCATCCAGAGGGAACAAAACTCTGCTGACACCTTGATTTTGGCCCAGTGAGACTCGTTTTGGACTTCTGACCTTAGAATTGTAAGATAATAAATGTCATTACTTTAAGCCAGTAAGTCTGTGGCGATTTGTTACCGTAGCCCTAGGAAACTAGTACACCAGGTGCACATGCTCTTTCCTTGACACCTTGCTGCCTTCTGCAAATTCAGAATTCACTAAGAAAGAAATCTGGTGGTCGGCAGCCTGGTGCTGTTTTTCTTTTGAATCCCTATTCTGTTTCTCCTGCTGTTTGTTTCTCCTCTGGCTGCTTCTCCTTTCATGGCCAGAGGCCCTAGCAGGTCTGTGTGCTCCGTCTGATTGTCCCTTCTATGGCTGCTACTTTGGGAATTACGTGGAAAGAGACAGCAAAGGGATAAGAAAGAAGAAAAAAAAAAACATTGACAGAAGCAAGGAGAATTTTGATGAAAGGCAGATCCTCTGTATTTGTGGTTAATGTCTTTCTACGTTAGAAAATATATACCTCCCTTGAAAGAGTTGTGTTTTTCTCCACCCTTTTCCAAACATACCTCTCCACACCTTTCCCATCTCTCACTCAGACACAAACACAGAGCAATCTGGAGACCCTGGAAGGCTCATCTAATAGAGGCCTAACTTCTAACTCCCATAAAGGTTTTTCTGTTATGTTTTTGATAAAACGCCTCCTCAAAGAAAAAAGTTACTGTAATGAATATGAGAGGAAAGCTCCAGTCTTTAAAGATATTCATTCACTTATTTACTTATTAACTCAAGAAATATATTTTGGGAACTTCACATGTGCCAAACACTCTCATGAAGAATATAACGGTGAATGAACAGCTCAGAGGAAGTTCCTTCCCTCATTTGCTTAAACTCTAATGAAAGACAGACCAGCACAAGTGATACACGTTAAACGTGTATTAAAAGAACTGAAAATTATGCTATATGTTCCTAAGGAAATGAACCCAGGGCTGAGATACCTCATAGAGTGTGCAGGAAGTGAGGAGAGGGAGAGGGCTTCTTTAGGAAAGTTAAGGAAAGGTCTCAGACAGGTAAGCTGAGACTGTCTTAGAGAATGAGTAGGAGAAGCCTTGTAAAAATAAAGATATTACAGAAAGTATTCCTGGCAGAGTGTAGCATGTGCAAAGGCCCTAAGGCAGATACAAGTTTAGAATTTCCAGGAATTGAAAGAAGATTGTACAGTTAGAACAGAGGGAGTAATAGCATGTTTTAAGATGGGTTTGGAGCCATAGCAGTTTAGGTCATGGGGGGTCTTTTAGGCAATGGTAGAGAATTTTATTAATTTTGCATGCAGTAAAAAGCAATTAGATATTTTAAACAGGCAATGACAAAAACTGATGCATGTTTGAACAGATCATGCCTGTTTTTTTTTTTTTTTTTTTTTTTGAGACGGAGTTTCGCTCTTGTTGCCCAGGCTGGAGTGCAATGGCACGATCTTGGCTCACCGCAACCTCCGCCTCCCAGGTTCAAGCAGTTCTCCTGTCTCAGCCTCCCGAGTAGCTGGGATTACAGGCATGCACCACCACACCCGGCTAATTTTGTATTTTTTTAGTAGAGACAGGGTTTCTCCATGTTGAGGCTAGTCTCGAACTTCTGACCTCAGGTGATCTGCCCGTTTCGGCCTTCCAAGCCTGTGGTTTTTTTTTTTTTTTTTTTTTTTTTTTTTTTTTTTTTTTTAGAATAGATTTGAGAGGGACATGACTGGAAATGGGAAGACTAGTTTGCAGGCTGTTGCAGTATTGCAGACGAGAGCTGATGGAGGCTTGGACGGAGGTGATAGAAGTGAAATGTATTTCAAAATATAGTAGAATTAATTTGCAAATAGATTTGATATGGGGTCTCCTGGTGTGAGTACCAGGGTGGATGGAGTGACATTCTAAATGAGATGGGGAAGATAAAGTTGTAGAGGTGATAATTTTTACAAAGAGATTGGGAATTTTGTGTATTGAAGGTTCAGACATCTGGGAGTTATCCAAGGAGAGCTGTCAAATTGGAAGCCGGATGTGTATATAAGCCTGGAATTCAAGGGACAAGCCTAGACCAGAGAGATAAACGTGGAAATCATTAGCACACTTATGGTACTTAAAGCCAAATTATTTGTGATACACCTGCAGGATATGTGTAGAGCTGGAAGACAACCCAAGATGAAGTTCCCTGGAGAATTGTCACATTGAGATGTCAGGTAGAGGGGGATCAGTAGTCATGAGAACAGAGAAAGAATGGTCCACGAGGGTGGAAGACACCAGGTATGTGAGGAAGGAGGCAGTCCAGAGAGCAGGGTGCTGGAGCAGGAGAGAGATGGCAACTATGCTAGACGATACTGAAGGATTGAGTGTGACAAAGACAGAGAAGTGTCTCTTGGACTGGCCAATGTGGCAATCATTGATAACCTTGATAAGACAGAGGTACATCTAGGTTGCACAGTAGATTGCAACGGGTAAAGGAGTGAATATAACATGAGGGAGTGCAGACAGCATTTGTATGTAAACAACTTTTCTAAGAAATTTGATTAAGATGGGGGGAGATAAATGGGGCAGAAGCTGGCAGGGGCTATATAGTCAATGGAGATATTGTGTGTGTGTGTGTGCATGTGTGCGCACACATGCGCATGTGTGTAAGATGGAAAATCCTAAAACATGTTTGTATGCTGAAGAAAATAAATAAGCAGATGGAAAGACATTGATGATGCAGAAGAGAGAGTAGGTGACTGAAAGAGCAAAGTTCTTGAAAAGATCAGAAAGAATGTGAACTTGACCTTCATGATTAGGGACAGTAAGCAGGCGGGGGGAAGACAGGTGTCATTGATAGGAAGATGATGTTCCTACTCGATGGTTGCTATTCTTCAATTAATTTTAAAAAAATTATCAACTGGGTATGAGGGTAAAATAGGGTTAGTGGGGGGTTTGAGGAAAGAGGAGAAGAAAGGAAATTTGTTTCAGGGAAACTGCTGTGAGACTGTCAAAGAATCATAGCATTTTCAAGGAGCATTGACTGAAAATTTCAAGTGTGAGAATGAATTTAGAGTGAGCGTGGTTTTACTTCAGGAATGTGATTTTTCTTCAGTAGTGGTCAGGAGGTTTAGTGGGATGTAGGAACAGAGAAGGAGAATGACATAGGTCGTCCCAAGTTTCAGCCTTGCCAGGAGCGTAAAATGCAGAGACATAAGGGAAAGGTTGTTAAAAGTTTTTGCCAGGCAGTGATTGAAGAGAAAAACTGAGGAATGTGAGCTGAGCAAGGGGGACACATGGTAGTGATCCAGATGGGTTGCCAGTGTCCTGAAGATCTTGATGGGCTGAGAGATGGTTTCACTGGGCAGTACCTGAATAAAGGGTGGTAGTTGGAGAGAAGGAAGTTTGAGATTTTAGAAATGGGGCAGTTTGGGGAGAAAACAGGCATGGAAAGGACGTGAGTGGTTAAATAACAGTGAAAGGAAAGATTGTTATGGATGAAGAGTTCAAAGTGGCCAGGATGTTGAATGATGTATTTTTGAAAATGTTGAAGTTATCAGGACACATGAAGAAGTTGGGGTTGAGACTCCTACAAGCTAGGAGCAGATTCTTCGGTCGACTAGGAGGAGTGATGAGAAAATTGACAGACAATGGCAAGAGGAGAGCTTGTAAGTGGTATCTGGATGGTATATATGTCACAAAGGAATAGGAGGATATGTGCCTGTGTGCGTACATATATATGTGCATGTGCATGTATACATATATATGTGCATGTGTGTGTGTGTGTGTACATATATATGCATGAGATGTGTGGATACAGAATTGGTGAAATAGTCTGGAAATTGTGATAGAGAACAAGCAAGAATTTTATACTACCTCTAATCAGGGCAATTTTTATAGCAACATATACAGAGTGAAAGAGAGTCACACCAACGAATATTGACCGTGCACATACAGATACTCTTCAGTGGCTGACCTATCTGACTCCCTCTGTGTAAAGTACCCACAAGATTCTCAGAACCTGGTGCCATTGAACATTTGAATTAGATAACTAACATCCCTTTAGCTGACTCTATGCTTACCAAGCAAGGTACTTATTATAATTTGACTTCCTAGGGAATTGTCAACAAGGAGAAGATGCACAGGGCAGGGTCTTGCAAGTGTTGTTCCAGAAGACATTAGCATTCTACCAGTAAAATGTCTCTTGTGAGTATGTCTATGTAGGCTGACATAGTCAACTCAAGAAGGCAGAGAAGCTCTGATCTACAGAACTTCAGTCTGAAATGTGACAACTTTATCATCTTTGCATATGGTTATCCTGGAAAAATCTTTGCCCTACTCAGCACCTTTCTTTTAAACTTCAGTAGGGATTATATTATTTACTGGCATTAAAGAGGCAAGTTAGACTCATTCACTCAGGCCAACAATAGACTGTGTGCATTCTACCTTTTACACAAGAGGCATGGAGAATGATCAGTTATGATCATCAACAGTCTTATTGAGACATTATTTTATGCCCCTAAATACTTTCACCCTTTATCTTATAATGGCGAAACTTCTGCTGTTCAGTTCTTATAGAAATAAAATGAGTAAGCAAATAACATGGAGAAAGAGGGCAGATCTGTATTAGTTTGGGATTAAGCGAACTTCAGGCTCGTGTCAGAGTTCTCAGCAACATTTCACTTCACAGTCTAAAAAATTACCTAGTAATGGCTGCATAATTACTGTAAAAATAGAGAAGGGATGAAAAAATTGGCAGGGTATAAGAATATTGTTCTTAAGGCTGTAAAAATCCTTGTACAACCCAAGGACTGGCCATCATCCTTTCACTCCCATCATTCAGAAGCTTTTGGTCCCTAAATATTCAAGGAAATGTCATCTTCCAGTATTTTAAACAGAGTACATAGTGACCATTCAGAAGAAGAAACTATAGATTTCTGTCTCAGATTGGATTCTTTTGATATTCCCTCCCATGACTTCTCTTAATAAGTCATTATGATAATCACATTTTAAAATACTTCTTCATATAATTTCCTGTCAAAAGGATAGAAAAAATTAACTGTGAGTCCTAGACCAAAAAAGAAAGCCACAGTATAAATCTATTATAGCAGCTGTGAGTCTGTGTGTGTGCCAGGGCAGAGGATAGTGGGGAGATAAATATTTTTGTTTTTGTAGTGTTCCCTTGCAAAATGGAGCTCAGAAGAGCCATCAGATTACAAAAACAAAACATATGCATTTATTCCAAGAATGCTTATTGAGCATGTAATGGAGTAGGACACTGTACTGATGTTGGGTATACAACAATACAGATAACCGACTTTGGAAAACTCTACCCTCTTAGAAAATCACATTCTGGTGAATGGCTCTGCTCTCAACCTCACTACACCAATGAGTGTGTATCCTGGAAGTTTCCCATACAGTGCTGTGAAACTCATGGGAATTAAAGGTTTTCTTTTTCTTCGGTTAAACACAAACTGGCTGTGTACTTTGTCTTTCTAGTTGAAAGACTTAAATGAAATAAGTGACTTTCAGGTTTACAGGTTAATAAAACTTGTGACCAACAAGCAGAAGGGGGTGATGGTATTATTTACTGTAGAAAAAGAAGCGCATCTGGAGAGTAATGTGATTAGATCTATCATGGTAGCATGCAAGTAAATAGAAAGCAGCCATCAAATATGATTGAATCCTTTTCTCCGTAGTGATAACATTCTCTTCTGTTTTATTGAATCTTCCATTTCATTTTCTGAGAAAACAAGTCTTTTCTCTCTCTCTTGAACTTACGAATTCTCAAACACACATAAGCATTGTCTCTCTGTCCCTATTTCTCTGTCTCTGTCTCTTACACACACACACACACACACACACACACACACACACACGCTTTCTGTTCCAGGCTAGCTACTTCAGTGATTCATCTCAAAGCTGCTGTCTGGAAACAAAGCCCACTGTTTCTTGTTCTCATCAATCAACTTAAGCTTCTCTTTGAAGATAACTCAGAAAGTTCAGTGGAGTCATTTTCCTGGTTGCTGAAAATTCCATTACTGCATTTTAACAGCAGGATTCTCAAGCTGATAGCTTTGCTCCTGCAGTAACATGGGGACTGACTTCTTTTTTCCCTTACTCACATGGTGAGGGTAACACATTAGGAAATAAGGGAGGATATTGCTTCCACACTGTCTCCTTGGCACCATTTATAGATTCCGCATCAACACACAAGATTCTCTATGATAATGAAGAAGGTAATTTGTCTATAATTAGAAGTTAATAACAAATCTATAAAAAATGTTAGGATTTTGACAGACTTTTCTTTAAGTGACATTTCTATGCATAATTAATTGCTGATCTTGAATTGTGTCACTGGAAAAGTATTCTTCTGATCTCTAGTAATTTCTCACCCAGAAACACTTAAAAAAATTAATACTACATCTCTAGGTGTTCCCAGTGCAGCTGAGCTGTGCTGTAGTGGAAGAAAAGACAAACCATACAGGACACAGTTAATGCAGTTACTAGCAAATTACCACAGTGTAACTGATGCACCACTGGGATCTACTTTGTGAGTGACAGGACATACTCACTCATCCTTCTTCCAAAGGCATTTCCACCCCAATTCCTTAAAAAAGTCAGTGAACTGGAAACAGCTCAGATTTCACTGCAAAAATGGGAATTGTGATAGGTAACACACAAGATTAACAAGGAGAAAAAACAGGAAGCAGGACAGATCCTTTTTTACTAAGTATATTCATGTAAATAAATAATGTCTTATATATGCCTGCAAGACTGTACTAAGGCTTGATACATGGCAATTCAATAGAATTTTAATAGAAAAGAATGTAAGGATTGCTATGGAATTACACTGGTATTATATTCACTAATATCAAACGCATTAGTTATGGTTAATACTATTACCATTACTGGCTAAATAGGGGTGCTCACACCTCCAATAATCTGCTGAGCAGGTTTCATAGAGACTTTCTATCAAGTAAGAATAAAAAGTGAAATGCTTCCTGAGGCTCCGACTAGAGAGAAAGATAATGGTGTCAGGGATTGTGCATTAAAGCTTGCAGCAATGTTCATTTCCTGCATTATGTTCCAGCTAGAATAACACAGCCATAGGCAAGTATGTCAGATGATTTTATTCCACAGCCTGAGCAAATGATGAAGAAGGGTCATCTATATAGTTAGATCGTGGTTGTCATCCCCTGATTCAGACATAGCTCCGTCCATCCATAGGCTGCCTGCCTCTCCCTGCTATCAGTGGGAGGCCATTTGGATTCTGTATTGTGGTTCTCATGGCGTTAAACATGAGGATCCAGGAAAGGTCCACCACCTACCTCTGAGCTGATGCTTCAGAGCTGTACCTTAGTGCTGGTGCTAATGTTCTGTAGTCCTACCACTGTACCTACAGTCCTTCATTGTCCCCAGGGAAAGGACAAGCTGTTTTTCTGATGGTTACATGTCCCAAGAACCTGAGATTTCTTGCATCATATGATGATGTTATTTACTCACCTTAAGTATTGGCGGAGCATTTTTAATCTAAAATTCTGAAATCCAAAATGCTCCAAAATCTAAAACTTTTTGAGCACTGACAGTGCCACAAATGGAAAATTCCACACCTAACCTCATGTGATGGATTGCAGTCGAAACACAATCAAAGCTGTTTCATGCACAAAATTATGAAGAATATTATATAAAATTATCTCCTGTTTTTGTGCATGAGGTATATATGAAACATAAATGAATTTTATGTTTAGATTTGGGTCCCATCTCCAAGATATTTAATTACACATACACAAATATTCCAAAATCCAAAGAATCCAAAATCTGAAACACTTCTGTTCCCAAACATTTCTGGTAAGGGATACTCAACTCGTATAAAGAAGCTGAGGCTTGGAAACGTTTAGTAACATGTAATAGCAAGTAGATGGCAAAGCTGAGAGTCAAATTCAGGCTGATCTAAATATTCACACCTTAGCCACCATGTAGTATTTCCTCCTATATTCCTGAAACTGTTGCCTAGACCGCTGATTCTCATGTCTGACTGTACATCAGAAACCCCAAGAAGCTTATTAAAAATAGAGATTCCTGAACATTCTTCCCTCAGATATTTTGCTTTAGTAAATCTGGAGTAAAGTACTGGAATCTGATCTATTTTTAAGTGGCTCCAGGTGATTCTGATGGATATCCAAGATCATGAACTGCCAATCTTGATCAGTGCAATAAGCAGGAAACTCAAATTGGTTTGCTTATGTTTCTTTCAACAAATATTTGTTGAATTTTTACTATACACTAGGTGATATGGTTTGGCTCTGTGTCCTCACCCAAATCTTATCTCAAATTGTAATCCCCACGTGTGAGGGGAGAAGCCTGGTGGGAAGTGATTGGATCATGGGGGCAGCTGTCCCCCTTGCTGTTCTCATGATGGAGTTCTCATAAGATCTGATGGTTTAAAAGTGTGGCACTTCCCCTTTCATTCTCTCTCTCTCCTGCTGCCATATAAGACATGCGTTGCTTCCCCTTCCCCTTCTGCCATGCCTATAAGTTTCCTGAGGCTTCCCCAGCCAGGCAGGACTGTGAGTCAATGAAACCTCTTTTCTTCACAAATTACTCAATCTCAGGTAGTTCTTTATAGCAGTGTGAAAACAGACTAACACAGAAAATTGGTACTGAGAGAAGTGGGGCATTGCTATAAAGATACCTGAAAATGTGGAAGTGACTTTGGAATTGGGTAACAGGCAGTGGCTGGAGGAGTTTGGAAGGTCCAGAAGAAGACAGAAAGATATGGGAAAGTTTGGAACCTCCTAGAGATTTGTTGAATGGTTTTGACCAAAATGCTGATAGTGATATGGACAATGAAGTCCAGGCTTAGGTGGTCTCAGATGGAGATGAGGAACTTATTGGGAACTGGAGCAAAGGCCACTCTTGCTATGCTTTAGCAAAGAGACTCGTGGCATTTTGCCCCTGCCCTAGAGATCTGTGAAACTTTGAAGATAAGAGATGATTTAGGGTATCTGGCAGAAGAAATTTCTGAACAGCAAAGCATTCAAGATGTGACCTGGCTTTTTCTAAAAGTGTACACTTATATGCATGAAGAAAGAGATGGTCTGAAAGTGGAACTTACATTTAGAAGGGAAGCAGAGCATAAAAGTTTAGAAAATTTGTAGCCTGATCATGCAGTAGAAAAGAAAAATCCATTTTCTGGGGAGAAATTCAAGCCAGCAGCAGAAATTTGCAGAAGTAAGGAGGAGCTAAATGTTAATTGTCAAGACAATGGGGAAAATGTCTCCAGGGTACGTCAGAGATCTTCAAGGCAACCTCTCCCATCACAGGCCCAGAGGCCTAGGAGAAAAAAGTGGTTTTGTTGGCCAGGCCCAGGGCCCTGCTGCTCTGTGCAGCCTCAGGACATGGTACCCTGAGTCCCAGCTGTTCTAGCTCTAGCCATGGCTAAAAGGGGCCAAGGTACAGCTTGGGCTGTGGCTTCACAGAGGGTGAAAGTCCCAAGGCAAGAGTTGAGGTTTGGGAACCTCTGCCTAGATTTCAGAGGATGTATGGAAATGCCTGAATGTCCAGGCAGACATCAACTGCAGGGGCAGAGCCCTCATGGAGAACCTCTGCTAGGGCAGTGCAGAAGGGAAATGTGGGGTTGGAGCTCCCAAACAGAATTCCTACTGGGGCATTGCCTTGTGGAGCTGTGAAAGGAGGGCCACCATCCTCCACATCCCAGAATGGTAGATCTACTGACAGCTTGCACCAGGCACCTGGAAAAGCAATAGGTACTCAATGCCAGCTTGTGAAAGCAGCTGCAGGGGCTGTTCCCTGCCAAACCATGGGGGTGGAGCAGCCCAAGGCCTTGGGAGCCCACCCCTTGCATCAGTGTGGCCTGTATGTAAGACATGGAGTCAAAGGAGATTTTGGGACTTTAAGATTTAATGGCTACCCTGCTGGGTTTTTTTATTTGCATGGGGCCTGTAGCTTCTTTGTTTTGGCCAATTTCTTCCATTTGGAATCAGTGCATTTATCCAATGCCTGTACCCCTATTGTATCTTAGAAGTCACTAACTTGTTTTTAATTTTATAGGCTGATAGGTGGAAGAGACTTGCTTTGTCTCAGATGATACTTTGGACTTGGACTTTTGAGTTACTGCTGAAATGAGTTAAGACTTTGCAGAACTGCTGGGAAGGGATGATTGTGTTTTGCAATGTGAGAAGAACATGAGATTTGGGAGGGGTCAGCGGTGGAATGATATGGTGTGGCTCTGTGTCCCCATCTAAATATCTCAAATTTTAATCCCCATGTGTCAGGGGAGGGCCTGTTGGGAAGTGATTAGATCATGGAGAAGACCTTCTGCCTTGCTGTTCTTGTCTTAGAGTTCTTATAAGATCTGATGGTTTAAAAGTGTGGCAGTTCCCCCTTCACTTGTTTTCTCTCCTGCCACCATGTAAGACATGCCTTGCTTCACCTTCAGCTTCCACCATGATTATAAGTTTCCTGAGGCCTTCCTAGTCATGTGGAACTGTGAGTCAATTAACCCACTTTTCTTCATAAATAACCCAGTTTCAGTTAGTTCCTTATAGCAGTGTGAAAATGGTCTAATATACCAGGTATAGTTCTGGGTGCTTGAGTTACAGCTGGAAATAAATACAATTCCTGCTCTTGTGAAACTTATATTCTAGTTGGAGCAGTCAGACAGTGAAAAAACTGGTGATACATGCTATGCAGAAAAAGAAAACATGGGGAATAGAGAAGGATGAGGCAGTGTGTATGGAATTTCAGGTGGGATGGTTAGTGAAGTCTTCTTGATAATGTCACATCTGAGCAAAAGCCTGGATAAAGTGAGAGAGTAACTCACAGAGTACCTGAGCAGGTGTCCAGAGAGAACCTTAAGGGCAACAATCCTGAGGTGGGAGCACACTTGTTATCTATAGGTGATATTAACAATGTGGCCATAATCAGGTGAGCAAGACTGGAGGAAAAATGATGAGAAATTAATCTGGAGAGGAGAAAGAATGTCCTCTCTGATTGAAGAAGTCAGCAGATTCATAGACAAATTCCAAAGAGGTTGCTATAAAAACCCCTTCTGGAAGTGAAACAAGGATGTTCTATTTTTTTTCCTCCAGCTGTTGTGGTGATTATAAGATGACAATGCAGTCTGCCCTTTTTCTGCAAGTAGGCATCCTGAAATGTGGAATTCCAGAGCCCACAGGCTCATCTATGCCTGTTTGGGCTGCAAGAGTGAATTAGTTCAGCAGCACTGACAAAGGACCACCCCCTGGAATTATAGATAATGTTTATTGCCCAAGTAAAGATTCCAAGGGTGCCTAAAATACCATTTGAAATACCATTTGATTCTAGGTAGTGCTGAGAATCTTTGAGGGTTCTACACAGCAGTGAAAGAACATCAACAGAGCAGTTCACAAATAGATCCTGGGGGATGCTCCTTCTTCCTTGGGGCAAGCTCTATAGCTGCATACACCCAGTCAGCATCTTCTGTCAGCTAGGACCCACCGAGTGCAAGTTCAACGCTTCCACATGGCATCTCCTTGGGGGGTACCCATAGTGTGCTTGATGCTTTAAATTTCTACTCAAATTCTTTCAGACACCTTGGGGACTTTATTCACCACATATTACTAGAAGGATTTTGTAAAGTGTGCTTCCTCAAAACATTACAGGTTGAGACCAAAAATAAACAGATTATTTTAGTCCATGCTTACTCAAGGCTGTGGTAGGTACAAAGGCAGCTTCTCAGAGGTACTCTCAGAATTTAAGGGAAGGCTCAGGAAAAGTCAGCCTTTAAGAGTGGGATAGCATGCATGAGAGTGCATGTTTTACTCACAGAAGGGCCTCACCCTCACACGGTTTCTATCTATTTTGCTGAGAAGATTCTACAGATTAGGATGGCTAACACCTTGTCCTGGGACTAAGTTGGAATTCCAGAAGGAATTTACCTAAGTACTAACATTACTGTCTGCATACTTGAAGAGGCAATGCTATGGTGGCTACAGGGTGGTAGAATTCATGAAAGCTGGAAAAAGGGAAGAGGACAGGAAGAATAAGTCTCTGTGTATCCAGTCCTGTCCAGAGAAAAGGAATCTAGCTAACTAGCATGAGTGCTCACTTATTCTTTACCTATCTAGAATAGAAATTAGTATGTCCAGCCTTCAGGTCTTGAAAAGACTTTAAAATCATCCCACTCCCTCGACTCTTGCTCTCAGCCAAGCATGCAACAACTTCACAGAAGTGGGTTATCACTGAGAATACACTGAGCAGTTAACCTTGATATTTCAGATTTTTTGAGGATTTTTTTATTTTTAATTTGTGCGTGTACATAATAGGTGTATATATTTATGGGGCACATGAGATACTTTGATATAGGCATGAAATGGAATAATCGCATCATGGTAAATGGGGTATATCCATCTTCTCAGGCATTCATCCTTTGTATTACAAACAATCCAGTTATACTCTTTTAGTTATTTAAAAATGTACACTGAAATTATAGTTGACTGTAGTCACCGTGTTGTGTAATCAAATACTAGATCTTATTCATTCTTTCTATTTTTTTTGTACCCATTAGCTATCCCCGCTTCCCACCCACTCCCCCTCTGCCTTCCCAGCCTCTGGTAGCCATCCTTTTGTGTGCTCTCTCCATCAGCTCAATTGCTTTGATTTTTAGCTTCCAGAAATAAGTGAGAAAATGCAAAGTTGTCTTTCTGTGCCTGTGTTATTTCACTTAACATAATGGCCTCCAGTTCCATCCATGTTGCTGCAGACGGCATGATCTCTTTCTTTGTTATGGCTGAAAGTACTCCGTTGTATAGATGTACCACACTTTCTTCATCCATTCATCTGTTGTCAAACACTTAGGTTGCTTCCAAATCTTGGCTATTGTGAATAGTGCTGAAATAAACATGGGAGTGTGGATATCTCTTCAATATACAAATTTCCTTTCTTTTGGGTATATACCTAGCAGAGGGATTTCTGGATTGTATGGTAGCTCTACTTTTCATTTTTTAAAGCTTCAAACTGTTATCCATAGTGGTTGTATTAATTTACATTCTGATCAACAGTGTACAAGGATTCTCTTTACTCCATGTTCTCGCCAGTTTTTTTTTGTTTGTTTTTTTTGATACGGAGTTTCGCTCTTGTTGCCCAGGCTGGGGTGCAATGGTGCAATCTCAACTCACTGCAACCTCTGCCTCCCAGGTTCAAGCAGTTCTTCTACCTCAGCCTCCCAAGTAGCTGGGATTACAGGCATGCGCCACCACACCCAGCTAATTTTGTATTTTTAGTAGAGATGCGGTTTCACCATGTTGGTTGGGCTGGCTGGTCTTAAATTCCTGACTTCGGGTGATCTACCCGCCTTGGCCTCCCAAAGTGCTGGGATTACAGGCATGAGCCACTGTAAGCAGCCTCTCTCCAGTGTTTGTTACTGCCTGTCTTTTGAATAAAAGCCACTTTAACTGGGGTGAGAAGATATCTCATTGTAGTTTTGATTTGCATTTCTCTGATGATCAATGATGTTGAGCAAATTTTCATTTGCCTGTTTGCCATTTGTATGTCTTCTTTTGAGAAATATCTATTGAAATCTTTTGCCCATTTTTTTTCTTACATACTCTCCCATCCAATCTTTTGCTCATTTTAAAATAAGATTATTAGATTTTTTTTCTTACAGAGTTGTTTGAGCTTCTTATATTTTGTGCCTATTAATCCTTTGGCAGATGAGTAGTTTGTAAATACTTTCTCTCATTCTGTGTGTTGTCTCCTCACTTTGTTGATTGCCTCCTTTGCTGTGCAGAAGGTTTTAAACATGATGTAATCTCATTTTTGCATTTTTGCTTTCAATGCCTGTTCTTGTACAGTATTACTTAAGAAACTTTTGCCTAAATCAGTGTCTCAGAGAGTTCCCCCAATATTTTCTTGTAGTGGTTTCATAGGTTGAGGTGTTAGGTTTAAGTCTTTAATCGATTTTGATTTGATTTTTGTATGTGGTGAGAGATAGGCATCAAGTTTCATTTTTCTGCATATGGATATCCAGTTTTCCCAGCACCATTTATCAAAGAGACTCTTTTCCTCAAGGTATGTTCTTCACACCTTTGTTGAAAATGAGTTCGCTGTAGGTGTATGGATTTGTTTCTGGGTTCTCGATTCTGTTCCATTATTCTATGTGTGTTTTTATGCCAGTACTATGCTGTTTTGGTTATTATAGCTCTGTAGTATAAATTGAAGAAATGTAATGTGATTCCTCCAGTTTTGTTCATTTTTCCAATGA
This sequence comes from Homo sapiens, assembly GCF_000001405.40. NCBI lineage: Eukaryota > Metazoa > Chordata > Mammalia > Primates > Hominidae > Homo > Homo sapiens. Next base: position 7,697,872 of record NC_000009.12, read on the forward strand.
TAGCTTTGGTTATTCCAGGTCTTTTATGGTTCCATATAAATTTGAGGATTGTGTTTTCTGTTTCTGTGAAGAACTATGTTGGTATTTTGATAGGTATTGCATTGAGCCTGTAGATTGCTTTGGGCAGTGTGGGCATTTTAAAAACATTGATTCTTCCAATCCATGAATATGGAATATCTTTCCATTTTGTGGTGTCCTTTTCAATGTCTTTCATCAGTGCTCTGTAGTTTTCATTGTAGAGATCTTTCACTTCTTTGGTTAATTCCTAGGTATTTACTTTCATTTGTGGCTATTGTAAATGGGATTACTTTTTAAATTTCTTTTTCAGATTCTTCTCTGTTGGCATGTAGAAATTTTACTTATTTTTGTATGTTGATTTTGTGTACTGCAACTTTACTGAATTTGTTTATCACTTCTAATAGTTTCTCTGGATTTCATTTTCTCTAGATTTTCCAATTTATTGGCATACAGTAGCTCATAGTAGCAACTAATGATTCTTTGAATTTCTGCAGTATTAATTGTGGTGTCTCATTTTCATCTCTGATATTATTTATTTAGATATTCTTTCTTATTTAGTCTGAGTAAAGATTTGCCAATTTTTTTATCTTTTCAAAAAATCAAATTTTTATTTCATTATTATTTTCTATTATTTTCTTCATTTCAATTTCATTTATTTCTGCTCTGATATTTATTATTTGTTTTCCTCTACTAATTTTGGATTTGGTTTGCTATTGCTTTTACAGTTCTTTAAGACACATCATTAGATTATTTATTTGAAGTTTTTCTTCTTTGACGTGGGCATATATGGCTATATATTTCCCTTTTAGTACTGCTTTCGCTATATTCCATAGGTTTTGGTATGTTATGTTTCCATTATCTTTTGTTTCAAGAAATTTTTAAATTTTCTTCTTAATTTCTTCATTGACCCACAATTATTCAGGAGCATATTGTTTAATTTTCATGTGTTGTATAGTTTCCAAAATTCCTCTTGTTATGGATTTCTAGTTTTATACCATTGTGGTCAGAAAAGATGTTTAATTTATTTCAATTTTTGTGAATGTTTTAAGACTTGGTTTGTGACTTAACATATGGCCTATCCTTGAGATGATCCATGTGCTGAGGAGAAAAGTGTGCATGCTGTAGTTGTTGGATAAAATGTTCTGTAAATATCTATCAGGTTCATTTGTTCTATAGGGCAGATTAAGTCCAAATATTTCTTTGTTGATTTTCTGTCTGGAAGATTTGTCCAGTGCTGAAAGTGGGATGTTGTAGTCTTCAGCTGTTATTGTATTGTCTCTCTCCTTAGCTCTAATAATATTTGTTTTGTATATCTGGATACTCCACTGCTGGGTGCACATATATTTACAATTGTTATATCCTCCTGCTAAATTGACTAATTTATCATTATATAATTAGGCTTTTTGTCCGTTTTTACAGTTTTTGTCTTGAAATCTATTTTGTTTGATATAAGTATAGCTACCCCTGCTCTTTTATGGTTTCCATTAGCTTGGCATACTTTTTCTATCCCTTTGTTTTCCTCTGTGTGTGTCTTTATAGGTGAAGTGTGTTTCTTAGAGGCAACAGATCATTGGGTACTTTTTTTTTTAACCAATTCAGCCACTCTATCTTTTGATTAGAGAGTTTAGTCCATTTACACTCATTGTTATTATTGATAAGTCAGGACTTACTCCGGCCATTTTGTTATTTGTTTTCTGGTTGTTTTGTTGTCTTCTCTTCCTTCTTTCCTTCCTTTCTGTCTTCCATTTAGTGAAAATAATTTTTTCTGGTGGTATAATTTAATTTCTTGGTTTGTGTGTGTGTGTATTCACTGAATGTTTTTCAAGCTGAGGTTACCATGAGGCTTGCAGATACTATTATATAACCCATTATTTTAAGCTGATGACAACTTAACACTTGTTTGTTTGCATAAACAAAGAAGCAAAAATAAAATTAATAAAAATTCTATACTTTAACTTCATCCCCCCTTTAACTTTTTGTTGTTTCTCTTTATGACTTATTGTACTATCTATGTTGTGAAAAGTTGTTGTTATTTTTGATTGGTTCATAACATAATCTTTCTACTTAAGAATAGTGGCCGGGTGCAGTGGCTCACACCTGTAATCCCACCACTTTGGGAGGCTGAGGCAGGTGGATCACAAGGTCAGGAGTTCGAGACCAGCCTGGGCAAGATGATGAAACCCTGTCTCTACTAAAAAAAAATACAAAAATTAGCCGGGTGCGGTGGCAGGTGCCTGTAATCCCAGCTACTCAGCAGGGTGAGGCAGGAGAATCACTTGAACCCGGGAGGTGGAGGTTGCATTGAGCTGAGATCATGCCGCTGCACTTTAGTCTGGGCGACAGAGCACGACTCCGTCTCAAAAAAAAAAAAAAAAAAAAAAAGAGTAGTTTACACACCACAGTTACAATGTTATAATATTCTATGTGCTATTATCAGTGAGTTTTGTACCTTCAGCTAATTTTTTATTGCTCATTAATGTCCTTTTCTTTCAGATTGAAGAACTCCCTTCACACTTATTGTAGAACAGATCTAGCGTTGATGAAATCCCTCAGCTTTTGTTTGTCTGAGAAGGTCTTTCTTTCTCCTTCATGCTTGAAGGATATATTCACTGGATATACTATTCTAGGGTAAAAGATTTTCCTTCAGCACTTTAAATAGATCATGCCACTCTCTCCTGCCCTGTAAGGTTTCCACTGAAAAGTCTGCCACAAGATGTATTGAAGCAGCATTTTATGTTGTTTCTTTTCCCTTGCTCCTTTTAGGATCCTTTCTTTATCCTTGACCTTGGGGAGTTTGATTATTAAAACACTTCAGGTAGTCTTCTTTGGGTTAAATCTGCTTGGTGTTCTATAACCTTCTTGTATTTGGATATTGATCTCTCTCTCTAGGTTTGGGAAGTTCTCTTATATTATTGCTTTAAATAAATATTATATCCCTGTCTCTTTATCTACTTCCTCTTTAGCTCAATAACTCTTAGATTTGCCCTTTTGAGGCTAGTTTCTAGATCTTGTAGGCTTGCTTCATTGTTTTTTATTCTTTATTCCTTTGTCTCCTCTGACTGTGTATTTTCAAATAGCCCTTCTTCAAGCTCACAAATTCTTTCTTCTGCTTGACCAGTTCTGCTATTAAGAGAATCCAATGCATTCTTCATTGCCTATTGCATTTTTCAACAGTAGAATTTTTGTTTGATTTTTTTTTCGTTTTTCTTTTTTTTTTTTTTTTTTTTGAGATGGAGTCTCGCTGTGTCACCCAGGCTTGAGTGCAGTGGTGCCATCTTGGCTCACTGCAAGCTCCGCCTCCCGGGTTCATGCCATTCTCCTGCCTCAGCCTCCTGAGTAGCTGGGACTCCAGGCACCCGCCACCATGCCTGGCTAACTTTTTTTGGTATTTTTAGTAGAGACGGGGTTTCACTGTGTTAGCCAGGATAGCCTCGATCTCCTGACCTTGTGATCCACCCACCTCGGCCCCCCAAAGTGCTGGGATTACAGGCGTGAACCACCAAGCCCAGCCTTGATTATTTTTAATTATTTCAATCTCTTGGTTTAATTTATTTAACAGAATTCTGAATTCCTTATCGATGTTATTTTGTATTTCTTTGAGTTTCCTCAAAATAACTATTTTGAATTATCTGTCTGAAAGCACATATTTGTTTCTTTAGGATTGGTTCCCGGTGCCTCATTTAGTTAATTTGTTGAGGTCATGTTTTCTTGGACGGTCTCAATGTTTGTCAGTGTTTGTCAATGTTTGGCCTTGAAGAGTTAGGCATTTATTGTAGTCTTTGCAATTTGGGCTTATTACCTTCTCAGGAATGCTTTCCAGGTATTAGAAGGGACTTCAGTCCCAAGACCAATAGCACTGTGGCTCTTGGAGACTCATAGAGGTACTACCTTGGTAGTCTTGGACAAGATCTGGAACAACTCTCTGGATTACCAGGCAGAGACTCTTGTTTTTTTCCCTTACTTTCTCCCTGCAAAATGGAGTCATTCTCTCTATGTTGAGCTGCCTGGAACTGGGGGTGAAGGGACATGAGCACCGCTGTGGCCACTACCATTGGAACTATGCTGGCTCATACCCGAAGCCAGTACAGCACTGGGTCTTGCTGAAGGCCCGAGGTAACTAATACCTGGCTATCACCTATGTTCCCTCAAGGCCCTAGGTCTCTATAATCAGCAGGTGACAAAGCCAGCCAGGTTTTATCCCTCCTTTCAGGGCAGTGTGTTGGGTCCAGAAATGCTGTCCGAGAGCCAGGGATTGGAGTAAAAAGCTGTAGAAATGTACCTGATGTTCTCTTCTACTGAATCTAAGCTGACACTCAAACCACAAGGCAAAAGTTCTTCCTGCTCTTCCATCTCTTTTCTACAGGCGCAGAGGAGCCTCTCCCAGTTGCCAACACTACCACCAGCCCATGAAGGATTCTGCCAGGCCACCACCAATGTTCACTTAAATTCCAAAGGCTCTTCAGTCAACTTGTGGTGAATGCTGTCAGGACTGGGACTCACTCTTCAGGGGAGTTGGCTCCCCTCCAATCCAGGACAGGTTCAGAAATACTGTCTAAGGGCCCAGACCTGGACTTGAGAAACCCAAGAGTTTGCTTGGTGCTTTACCCTCTGTGGCTGAGCTGGTACCTCAGGTGCAAGAAAAAGTCCCCTTTACTTTCCCTCTGCTTTTCTCAAACAGAAGGTATCTTTCACCATAGCCACCATAGCTGGGAATGTGCTGCATCACACCTGAAGCCAGCATGTCTCAGAGCCCAAGGCCCACAGTGTACTACCTGGATGTTGCTATTGGTTATTTAGGACCCAAGAGTTCTTTAGGCAGCAGGTGACATATCCTGCCAGGACTGAGTCCTTCCCTTCAAGGCAGTGGGTTCTCTTTTGGCTGAGGGTATGTCTAGAAATGTCCTTGAGCTAAGGCCTATAATGGGGGCTTCACAACTCTGCCTGGTGCCCTATTCTACCATGTCTGAGCTGGTCTCCAAGATGCAAGGCAAGGTCCTCTTTACTCTTTGCTCTCCTCTCCTCAAGCAGAAGGAAGGGGTCACTTTCATTGCTCTGGACTCCACTGACTGGGACTGGGGAGGGATGGTGCAAGTACTTCCTTTGCCACTGCATCTGGTATCTCATTAGGTCACGTGCCCCCACCCAAGTCCACCAGCTCTAAGCCCAGACCAGTACTAGGACTTGCCTAAGAATTGCAGTCCTTGTGTCCTAGACCACCTGTCAAGTTTACCTAGAACCTCTGATCACTTTGGCCAGCAGGGAAATTCGAGTTCCACCAGCTGGGATGGGCAATTCCCCTCTGGCTAGATCTGATTCAAATGCTTCTTCTGTGCAAAGGCACTGGCTGAGCCCAGCATGGCTTTGCTCTCCTCTGTGACAGGGTAGTGCTGCGTTCAATGTAATGTCCCTCAGTGACTGTATTCTCCCTCCTGGAAGTGCACAGACCCTCCATCCTACATTGCTGCTGCTTGGGGGTGGAGGAGGAGAGGTAGTGTCAATGATTCAAGACTGTCTCTCCTAGCCTCTTCAGTGCTTCTTTCAGTGATATAAAGTTGAAGCCAGGTACTATGATTGCTTGCCTGATTTTTGGTTCTTGTGAAAGGGCTTTGTTGTGTGTAGTAGTTAAATTTTGTAGTAGTTAAAATTTGGTGTTACTGCTGGGGGAAAGATAGCATATGCTTCTATTAAGCCATCTTGCTCTGCCCTCCTGAGAGGTTTTTTGTTTTGTTTTGTTTTTAAACTGTTAATTTCTTGTTGTGAATTAGTCACTCTGATTAACATGAATTGATCTCAAAAGTCTTGGACTGATAAAATTGAGCTGCTGTACCCCAAGGGGGTGATGCTGTTAGAGGGCAGCTGGTCTGTCTCTTTAATACCTTTCTTCCAAACTTAACCTGGGTAAATAGGTATGACCTACCCCAAGGAAATTTTAGACTCAATTAGAGAGAGAGAGAGAGAGAGAGAGAGAGAGAGAGAGAGAGAATGAATGAATGGGTTCATAATCATAACCTGAAGAAAAAGTCAACCTCACATTAGAAACTGAAGGGACTACTGATATGGTCAGGGCTAAAACAAGTGATTCCTTGATTGCCAATAACTATTATCCAAAGCATAATAAGCACAACACATATTTATAAGGATGGATATACTTTTGCAATATTTATGTCTCGATGTAATTAAAAATCAGAGATCCTTTATTGGAAGAGACCTCAGGAGAGCATCTGGTCTAGTTCCAGCCCTGAAGCAGGTAAGGGTAGAGCTGTGTATTAGTCCATTTTCATGCTGCTGATGAAGACATACTCGAGAATGGGTAGTTTATAAAGAAAAAGAGGTTTAATGGACTCACAGTTCCACGTGGCTGGGAGGCCTTACAATCATGACAGAAGGTGAAAAGCATGTCTTACATGGCAGCAGGCAAGAAAGAATGAGAAACAAGCGAAAGGGATTTCCCCTTATAAAACCGTAAGATCTTGTGAGACTTATTCACTACCACTAGGACAGTATGGGGGAAACCATCCCCATGATTCAGTTATCTCCCACCAGCTCCCTCCCACAACACGTGAGGATTATGGGAGCTACAATTCAAGATGAGATTTGGGTGGGGGAGACAGCCAAGTCACATCAAGCTGAAATAGTTCTTAGGATTATCTGGTTTAATATCATGGTTTTATCAGTGAGGAAACCAAGATCCTCAGCTGGCAAACGAATTGTCCATTTCAGTACAATTAGCTAATGGCAAAATTGGTGTTAGAATCTAGTTCTCTGGTGATCTGGTTAAGTATCCTTTCCATTACTGCTACCTTATTGTTGCTATCATATCACTCACTTTTACTGATAAGCCCAGTGAGTAAATAGACTCACCCAGAGAGCTATATGCTGCTTTATTACTCTCAGTAATGTAATCTGAAAGTCAGCTATAGTGCACAGTTTATACACTGAACAAAAAAGATTAATAAAGACTCATGAGATAAAGAAAATGACCATTTTTATTTTTATCTTTAGTTCAATCTTTCTATTTTGCAGTTGATTTTTTTATTTTTTTCCCTCTAATAAGCTCACTTGCCAGTCCTATCTTTTGGACAAGTTGTTCCTGCCATCTCTGTTTTTATAAGTTCTCTCAAATGTTTATTACCCTTTAGTACAGAATTATTTGTCCCCGGATTCTTTTGGTTATGTATCTAAGCACTTGGGTTATTTTAATAATGACTTTCCTCTCAGTAAGTCTGTTTGGATTTATGTTAGCTACAGCTCTTTCCCAATTAAACTAAGTCACCCCAAGGTTTCTAAGACCATAAGATCAAACTTATTGATGACTTCAATTCTTAGAAGTCAATCTTGTCTTATTGCATACAGAGCCTTAGCTCAGTAACAAGGTCTTATTACAAAGGGAAAGCACGAAGTGTTCATTATAATGGATATCATTGTGATAGGTTATTATTATCCACTGAGAGAACTGCAAGTGAAGAAGTTTGCTTGGAGTTCTGCCATCGCTCCTCTGCCTTAGATAAGCAACTGATTTACTAGGAATCAAAATATCCAGTACATGGAAGATACAGTGAGTTGCCCCACAAGAAACTGAAAATAAGAATGTGCCTTGAGAGTTCAATAATAAAGTCAACACAATGAATAAGGACAAAGATGTTGGACATCACTTTGAAGATGTGGGGTGATTTCCAGGATGGAGAAAGTATTCTTATTGATAGTGTTAACACATCTGAATAATGAATGAGTAAAAGCAAAGTGGCTTGTTTAACCATAAATGTGCAGGGAAGGGAGTGCTCAAAGACAGCAGTGCCTAGGAAGAAGGGCAGGGGTGCCTCAGGGAGTAAATGTCAAGTATAAGAGACAATATCCTGAGACCTTCAATAATCCCCAAATATCATAGAATTCAACCAATTTTTTCATCTGTAATAGAGATTAAAAATATCAACTTCATAAAGCTGTTGTAAAGTTTAAATTAAATCCTGTATTAAAATGAGAACAAGACCACATGATCTGAATAATGGGATAATGGGTATAAACCAATTTCCTCATCTGTAAAACAGATTTAAAGTGTCAACTTCATTAGCTGTTGTAAAGTTTAAATAAGCTCTTGTATTAAAGTATTAAAGTGAGAAACCACATAGTTTGAATAATGGGATACTGAGTGTACGTTCACTCTTCATGTCAGCACTTTTCCATAAGTCAGTTGCAAACCTATGTTACAGTTTTTGAAATTTAAAGTACACTTTTACTCATACTTACTTAATATTTATCTTGAAAACAACTCACTTTTTTTTACTAAAATAGAGTTAGATGGAAGTAAAGTAATATTGTTACTATAGGTATGCCTATGTCACTTTGATAAATAGAATGTAACTAGAAAATTAAATATCATAGAAACTTTTATCTCCAGTTCACCTGGAGGCCATTTCCATTCTGGTGGAGTGAAAGATTCTAGAATCTTCCTTGCTACCCAAGGCATGGCATTTGGATCAGATCAGTATCATCTGGAAGCTTGTTAGAAATACAGACCCTCAGCCCACCCCACATCTGCTGAATCAGAATGTGCATTTTAACAAAACCCTCAGGTAATTTGTAAGCTTTGTTCCAAAAATTCTCCTTTCCTGCTCCTAGGGCCTACCCCTTTCCACATTAACCCCTTCAAATGTAACCCTCAACTTCTTCCCTCCTTTATCCTTAATACATATTTTGCTTTCAATCCTTTTGCTTTATATAAGCTGAAATGTTGTATTTATAATTTAAATGCAGGGGTGATTTAAATCTTAAATTGGGTCACTTATGTACACATGGATTTTTATCTTTTACAAGCATTCTGCATACCATTAGTGGTGCACATACTACATTTGGAAAAACTGCCTTGCTTCTGTGTTTGTGTTCACCATGTCTCCAGTCATTTATAGGTCCTTGGGGTCAGTCATAAATAGTCAAGACCAGAACTATTAAGTCTATAAGTACCAAGGAGTATTTGTCATATTCCCATTGGCTTGGCTATTCCTATGCCAGAAAAGAGCTTCCAAAGCTTTTTTCAGTTGATGAGCTCTTCTTGCATTTGCTCCTCTATTATGATTCTTTGCTCCAAAGGAATCCCTACTAGTAATTTGGTGGAAAATAATGTACCAGTCATGCTACCTGCATGGCCAGAATATATAAATTCCTATAACTTAATAAAATTGACATCCAGGTCTACACAGTAATCACTGGGAACTAGTTAATATTCATATGGGAGCTTAGATATATTAAAGATTTGTTGCCAAATGACATTTTTGAGCCTACAATGCAGGTTTTACTGTGGACTATAGTAAATGAACCAGGAAAATTCTGTCTGCTAAAAACCTGCTCTAGAAAGATTGGCAGCCAATGACTCCTGGTGCCACCCTTACCCCAAATGTGCTTTTCTTACAAATGTAAACACCAAATTGAGTTGGTTCCAATATATGCCTACTGAAAATAATAAATAATTCATCATCTCAGTCTCACACAGAAATATTAACTTTCTTAAATTTTCAGTGCTTAGCCAACCCTAAGGTGCTCTGAGGCTTCAACTCACCATGGGGCTATCTAAAAATCTTATACCAGCTCATCTCAATTTTGGCCACTTAAAGTCATAGGCCTTCATTAATTCCTGACTCCTAAGCAAGCTTCCTTTATTGAGTGATAAATTCTGGGGGCTGGCAGATATTAGAAATCCATCTGGGCTGCTCCTGTGATAGACAGATACTAAATAATGTAAATTAGGGTAGAAAAAGACTTTGAGGTCAAGAATGAAAGAATCAGAGAACTTGAGAACCAGAAAGGACTCTAGAGATCAGCCAACCTAACCCCTTGGAAAGCTGAGCTACAGAGAGATGAGAATATTGGCTAAGGTCACAGACCTGGTAATTAAGTAGCAGTGGTGGAAAGTATAATCGGGCCTGATGAGAGTGCTTTTACTACAGTGCATTCTTCATCACAGAAGTGCTTTGGACTGATTGCTATTAAATAAAGCAGGGTGGTTAGAGAAACAAAGCAGGAAAGAGAAAAAGAGGATAAAATTTCTGAAGTTGGTTTTCCCTGAAAAAATCTTCAGAGATTGCCCTCACTTTGATAGATAATGTATTCCTCCAGCAATACTCAAGCCGCGCTTTTCCTTTCTCAGCTGCATGGGGTTAAGCTGAAGGCTTTCAGACTTTTCTACGATAACCATGGAAGTATTTTCTAATTACCATTCTGCATTCCTTTTCCATTTATCAGATGGTTTCACCATGCATTGTCTGCTTGACACTTGCTGATTTCATCATCAGCATTAACCTTATTGCCATCTACCTTTTACCATGTCTGACTGCACCATCGCACTGTTTTTTATGGTTCTATTGACAGTCCTCAGGTGCTTATGTTTCCCACCCCATGACATCCCTGTGCCAGTCCCTGGTAGGGTGTTACCAGGGGCTTGGAAGAGAGAAGAGCACACAAATGAGAAAAAAAAAATCCCTGTAGGTTTTACAGGAAAATTGGAATTTTCTCTAAGATTTTTGTGTTGTATAGGAATAAAGAGTTCATTCCTTCTGCTCATTTTTTTAACATGATGTAAAATTTTTTAACACCTAAAACTCACCTTTGCAAGGTTTAGATGTATAGATGTTAAAAACCAAAACCCGGTTTCCACTGGGCGCAGACTATTCTAAATTCATTTCCATTTAAGGGATTAAAAAGGCAAAAAGAAAACATTAAGTGCTCTAGAGGAATTTAAATCTTCCTCCTTCTCAGAGGATTTAATGCTCAGAGTTCTGTTTCTAAATGTTACAGTCTTCAGTATAGTTCAGGAAATCCAGGACCTATTATGTTTAGCTTTTCCAACCTCAAATGACTCCCATTAGGGCTCTGTGGTCTGAAAGAAGGAGATGAAGCCAACCCTCAGAATGGGTTCTATTCTAAAAAACTCTTGATTTATACTCCATCAACTTAAAATAGATGATTTAATTGTTTTTTTAAATGACAGACACATTTTTGGGTTTAGGGGAGAAAGATGTAATCACTATGTTATCTCCCATAAAGACTCATCAAAACCCCAGTGGTTAATGTTGCCCAATATATTAATGGGAGAGCCACATCTGGAATATTGGACTCCATGTCATTCTGATCATGGGTCCTCAAGAAAGATCTAATGGCACTGGAAACAGTTATGAGACATGGCAAGGAAAAATGCCTAAGGAGAAGAAAAATCAAGAAAAAGAGGGCAGACTAAAAAGAAAATAAAAACAAATTAATATACTTGCCTCAAGATGGGTAAGTGTATTTATGTCTAAAACATGATGTGTGCAGAGCACAAATACAGATTTGAAAAAATGTCTTATGTGTCTGCTTGGCATAAGGCTGCATGTTGAGTGATGTGAAGACAATAGAGATGAGTAAGACAAGATTCATATCACAGGGTTATTTGAATGTTAGCATTTTATGTTTAGAAATATAACTTAAATATCAGTGATGCAAGTAGAACACAGCACATGTCTAAGAGATATGAAGGTAAAACATCAGAGTATTTCAGAGGAAGACTAGTGTCCATTGGAAGGACCATGGAAGGCATAATGGCTAAAGTTGTATCTCAAAGTGTGGGTACAACTGGAGAAGCACATATTAGAGACAAGGATGTACGATATAGTGGAGCTACAGAAAACCAAAGATACAGCATCAGTATATTAGTTGAGATAAAGTTTGCAGGGATAACAGATAAATCCCCAAATCTCAGTGATTTAACAGAATAGAAGTTTAATTCTTGTTCCCATAAAGTCCAAAATGGAAATTTTTGTTTAGTTCTGACTATCTGACAAGCGGTGATTGAAGGACCATCTTTTGGCTTCCTCATCTTTAATACCTCCAAGGTCACTGTGCTCACCTACATTAAGCTGGTAAAAGGAGAAAGAGTATGGAAAAAACAGTTTAGGAAATTTCTGTGGCCCAGGCCTGGAAGGTGTACAAATCACTTCTGCTTATATTCTATTAACCAAAACTTAAGCACATGTCCACACCCAAGTGCAAGAGATGCTGGAAAATGTAGTCTAGTGAGAAGAGAAATGTGTGTACCCAGGAAGAAGAGAAAATGGGCTTGATGAATGAATATCCAGCCTGTCTCTTCAACATGTAGGGAGGTCTATATGGAGAAGTAATTCAATTTAATTGAAATAGAGGATGGGAGATGAGGAATCATTTGAGATACAACTGAAGAAGTGAGTTGAGAACAGTTTTATTTTTGATTGATTGATTATTTAATTCATTTATTTAACAAAGTTTATTTAGCCTCTGCTGCATGCCAAATACTATCCTAGGTGTTGAGGATTCAATACGGAATATGTTTAGTGGAAAAGACAGGTATGAGAGCAAGTATTGTAGGCACTATAATAGAGGTATGTGCCAAATGCCATAAAACGCAAAGGAGAGGCAGTAACTCTGATGGGAGAGCTCAGGACTGCCATTGAATCAGAATGACGGTCTTTATATGAGGAGGGTAGATATTAGGGATATGAAGGAAACATCATAGGCAAACACACAGGTACATGGAAAGACATCATGAAGCCACAAAGTTATAGGGAATATGAAAATTTTCACAGAATCCTACTTTATCAGAAACTGGGCCAAACCTATGAACCTAAAATTGTAAATTCAGGACAAAAAGCAAACAACAACAACAACAACAAGAAATGCTACATTTTGCAGTGAATCATAAACCGACAAAACTTTTTTTAATTTAGTGTTTTACTAATAGTACAAGCTAGTGATAGTTACATTTACCACTGGGTTAAAGAGATCAAGGTTGAGAAATTCATATGTCATTCAGAAAAGTAGGAAGGTTTTAGGGGCATATTTCTTGTTCTTTGCAATTAGTGGTTTGCTCAGAATATATTGTTTGAGATTGCTGTCAAAGACAGGGGCTTTGAAGTCAGATAGATTTGGGTTTTAATCATAAATGCAGCCTTTGTTAGTTGTATAGCCTTGGGCATTTTTCCTCTTGGTTTTCCTTGCCTGTAAAATTGGGACATGGATATTATACATTCCAGTTTATCAATTAGTCTTTGTTGACTATAGTTTAGGGGATTAAAGATAATTTAATAGCTCATGGTTCTAAGAGCTGACAATTTGGAGTTGAGTTCAGTGAGATAGTTTTTCTGCTGGCTTCACTTGAACTGATGGATGTGGCTGCATGCAGCTAAGGGTTAACTGGGGACTAGTTGGTCTACAATGGCCATATGTCTTGTGATTTGTGCTGGCTGTTTGTTGGTACTGGTTGTTTGTTAAGGTCATGGGGATGAATATACCACATGTCTCCAATGGGCTAGTTTGGGCTTATTCATATAGCACCAATCTCAACATTCCCAGGAGCATCAACATAGGACATCCCCCAGTGGTCAAGTTTATTACAAGCCTTTGCCTGTATCATGTTATTGTTCTACTAGCCAACACAAGGCACGTTGTCCCATTGGCCAAGCCCAGAGTCAGTGTGAGAGTTGACTACCCAAGGGTGTAGTTACGGAGAGACAAAACCAAATTGGGACTGCAACAATCTACCATATCCAATCGTAGAATTGTGTAGATCAAATAACATAATGTACATAATGATATGTTTATCAAATTTACTGCCATGAAGTAAACATTCAATAAAACAGAAGTGATGAAGATGATGCACGGATCACTGTGAATGTGGCATACCTAATTTTCATTTATAGTTGAAATCAGTATCTCATTGGGGATAGGAGGTCTGGAGGCTAGTCTAGCTTTGTGGTTATGTAATCTTTAGTAGGCAACTGGGGCCAGAGAGACTACGGGTTGTTTAGGCACAACAATGCACAAATGGAAAACACTTTTTGCTAACTGCCTGTCTTTGTTCACACAATTCTAGAAGCTGGATAGTTGAAGATGAATGTGCCAGGAGATTTGGTGACTTATGAAGGCTCATTTCATATATGGTGCCTTTTTACTGTGTCCACACATGGCAGAAAGAAAAGGCAAACATGCACCTTCTGGTCTCTTTCATAAGGGCACTAATCCCATGCATGAGGGATTTCCTCTCATGACCTAATCACTTCTGAAGGTCCCCAACTCTTAATATGATTGCATTAGATATTAGGTTTCAACCTATAAATTTTGGGGAAACACAAACATTCAGACCATAGCACTGCTGCTCCACTAAAACTCTTCTAACCACTGCTTCTGTCTTCCTATCACATCCCACCCTTCTATCCTGTTGATCAATGTCCTTCCCTTGTCCAACCCACCACAGCCACCTTTTTCTACCTACCGTTACAATCACTGCACACATGACTTACCATAGGACTGTTTAGACCATGTCAGATTGCCTAGGTACTTTTTCTTTCGGAATCTGTAACTAGATTTGTTAAAATGCTTATAGATGCATGTAATTAAATAACCAACTGACACAGATTAAACTCTGAGGAATTATTACCTAATTTAATAGCTCTGGGAGAAGTAGTCCCTGAGTTGATTGACTAATGCAGAGGTTCAATAAATGATGTCAGGACTCAGAGATGGCTTATCTGAGATTTTCTTTAGCTTCCCTCAGTGTTATTGAAGATGGCAGCTGCATTTCCAAGCACCCTGCTCTCACAAGACAACATCTAAGGGCAAGAGAGAAAATGCATTTCCTACTTTCCTCTGCTAGCTCTCATTCACTTTATTTATCAGGGAAGTACACTTCTCTCAGAACCTCCTGATATATTTCTCATTGACCAGAATGTAGTCACATGATAACCTCCAAACCAATCAGAGGCAAAAGAGAATAATATTACCTTTATCATAGTTGTAGCAGATTTTTCATGATTTATGTCCTAGAATTAGGAAGGTGCCTATATTTCCTGGGTATACTGTTGCAGAATACATTGTTACAGGCTAATTATTTTTTAAAGGTTTAATCATGACTGTTATGCAGATATAAAATGAATATGTATAAAAGATTTTGTTTAATTCATTAATTAAAGAGGGAACCACAAAAAAAGTTACAACCAGTTCCAAAAAAAAAAAAAAAAAAAAAAAAATCCAGAGAATGCGAAAGTAGTCCAAGATGGCCGAATAGGAACAGCTCCAGTTTGCAGCTTCCAGCGTGATCGACACAGAAGACAGGTGATTCCTGCATTTCCAACTGAGGTACCTGGTTCATCTCATTGGGACTGGTTGGACAGTGGGTGCAGTCCATGGAGGGTGAGCTGAAGCAGGGTGGGGCATCGCCTCACATGGGAAGTGCAAGGGGTCGAGGGATTTCCCTTTCTTAGCCAACAGAAGCCATGACAGACTTACCTGGGAAAGTGGGACACTCCTGCCCAAATACCGCGCTTTTCCCAAGGTCTTAGCAACTGGCAGACAAGGAGATTCTCTACTGTGCCTGACTTGGCAGGTCCCACACCCATGGAGCCTTGCTCACTGCTAGCGCAGCAGTCTGAGATCAAACTGCGAGGCGACAGCCTGGCTGGGGGAGGGGCGTCCACCATTGCTGTGGCTTGAGTAGGTAAACAAAGTGGCTGGGAAGCTCAAACTGGGTGGAGACCACTGCAGCTCAACAAGGCCCACTGCCTCTAGACTCCACCTCTGTGGGCAGGGCATAGCTGAACAAAAGGCAGCAGACAACTTCTGCAGACTTAAACATCCCTATCTGACAGATCTGAAAAGAGCAGTGGTTCTCCCAGCAAGGCATTTGAGCCCTGAGAATGGACATACTGCTTCCTCAAGTGGGTCCCTGACCCCCGTGTAGCCTAACTGGGAGACACCTCCCAGTAGGGGCCAACAGACACCTCATATAGGCGGTT
This sequence comes from Homo sapiens, assembly GCF_000001405.40. Taxonomy (NCBI): domain Eukaryota; kingdom Metazoa; phylum Chordata; class Mammalia; order Primates; family Hominidae; genus Homo; species Homo sapiens. The sequence continues at coordinate 7,713,678 of NC_000009.12, forward strand.
CCCCCTCTGAGACGAAGCTTCCAGAGGAAGGATCAGGCAGCAGTATTTGCTGTTCTGCAGCCTCTGCTGGTGATACCCAGGAAAAAGGGTCTGGAGTGGACCTCCAGAAAACTCTAACAGACCTGCAACTGAGGAACCTGAATGTTAGAAGGAAAACTAACAAACAGAATGGAATAGCATCAACATCAACAAAAAGGTCATCTACACCAAAACCCCATCTGTAGGTCACCAACATCAAAGACCAAAGGTAGATAAAACCACAAAGATGGGGAGAAACCAGAGCAGAAAAGCTGAAAATTCTAAAAACCAGAGGGCTTCTTCTCCTCCAAAGGCTCGCAGCTCCTCACCAGCAACAGAACAAAGCTGGGTGGAGAATGACTTTGATGAGTTGAAAGAAGCAGGCTTCAGAAGATCGGTAATAACAAAACTTCTCCAAGCTAAAGGAGCATGCTCTAGACCATCGCAAGGAAGCTAAAAACCTTGAAAAAAGATTAGGCGAATGGCTAACTAGAATAAACTGGGTAGAGAAGACCTTAAATGACCCGAGGGAGCTGAAAACCATGGCACGAGAACTTCGTGATGCATGCACAAGCTTCAATAGCTGATTCAATCAAGTGGAAGAAAGGGTATCAGTGATTGAAGATCAAATTAATGAAATAAAGCAAGAAGACAAGGTTAGAGATAAAAAGAGAAAAGAAATGAACAAAGCCTCCAAGAAATATGGAAAAAGTCTAAATCTGTGTTTGATTGGTGTACCTGAAAGTGATGGGGAGAATAGAACCAAGTTGGGAAACACTCTTCAGGATATTATCCAGGAGAACTTCCCCAACCTAGCAAGGCAGGCCAACATTCAAATTCAGGAAATACAGAGAACACCACAAAGATACTCCTCGAGAAGAGCAACCCAAAGACACATAATTGTCAGATTCACCAAGGTTGAAATGAAGGGAAAAGTGTTAAGGGCAGCCAGAGAGAAAGATCAGGTTACCCACAAAGGGAAGCCCATCATACTAACAATGGATCCCTCAGCAGAAACCCTACAAGCCAGAAGAGAGTGGGGGCCAATATTCAACATTCTTAAAGGAAAGAATTTTCAACCCAGAATTTCATATCTAGCCAAACTAAGCTTCATAAGTGAAGGAGAAATAAAATCCTTTACAGACAAGCAAATGCTGAGAGATTTTTTTACCACTAGGCCTGCCTTACAAGAGTAACTGAAGGAAACACTAAACATGGAAAGGAACAACTGGTACCAGTCACTGCAAAAACATGCCAAATTGTAAAGAACATCGATGCTAGGAAGCAACTGCATCAATTAACAGGCAAATAACCAGCAAACATCATAATGACAGGATCAAATTAACACACAACAATATTAACCTTAAATGTAAATGGACTAAATGCCCCAATTAAAAGACACAGACTGGCAAATTGAATAAACAGTCAAGACCCATCAGTGTGCTGTATTCAGGAGACCCATCTCACCTGCAAAGACACACATAGGCTCAAAATAAAGGGATGGAGGAAGATCTACCAAGCAAATGGAAAGCAAAAAAAAAGCAGAGACCAATCTTGGTCTCTGATAAACCAGACTTTAAACCAACAAAGATCAAAAGAGACAAAGAAGGCTATTACATAATGGAAAAGGGATCAATTCAACAAGAAGAGCTAACTATCCTAAATATATATGCACCCAATACAGGAGCACCCAGTTTCATAAAGCAAGTCCTGAGAGACCCACAAAGAGACTTAGACTCCCACACAATAATAATGGGAGACTTTAACACCCCACTGTCAATATTAGACAGATTAACGAGACAGAAGGTTAACAAGGATATCCAGGACTTGAACTTAGCTCTGCACTAAGCAGACCGAATAGACATCTACAGAACTCTCCACCTCAACTCAAGAGAATATACATTCTTCTGAGCATTACATCACACTTATTCTAAAATTAATCACATAAATGGAAGTAAAGCACTCCTCAGTAAATATAAAAGAACAGAAATCACAACAAACTGTCTCTCAGACCACAGTGCAATAAATTACAACTCAGCATTAAGAAACTCACTCAAAACTGCACAACTACATGGAAACAGAACAACTTGCTCCTGAATGACTACTGGGTAAATAATGAAATGAAGGCAGAAATAAAGATGTTCTTTGAAACCAATGAGAACAAAGACACAACATACCAGAATCTCTGGGACACATTAAAGCAGTGTGGAGAGGGAAATTTATAGCACGAAATGCCCACAAGAGAAAGCAGGAAAGATCTGAAATCGACACCCTAACATCACAATTAAAAGAACTAGAGAATCAAGAGCAAACAAATTCAAAAGCTAGCAGAAGGCAAGAAATAACTAAGAACAGAGCAGAACTGAGAGATAGAGACACAAAAAACCTTTCAAAAAATCAATGAATCCAGGAGCTGGTTTTTTGAAAAGATCAACAAAATTGATAGAGTGCTAGCAAGAATAATAAAAAAGAAGTGAGAGAAGAATCAAATAGACGCAACAAAAAATGATAAAGGGGATTACACCACCGATCCCACAGAAATACAAACTACCATCAGAGAATACTATAAACACCTCTATACAAATAAACTATAAAATCTAGAAGAAATGGATAAATTCCTGGACACATACACCCCCCGAGACTAAACCAGGAAGAAGTCGAACCCCTGAATAGACCAATAACAGGTTCTGAAATTGAGGCAGTAATTAATAGCCCACCAACCAAAAAACATCCAGGACCAGACGGATTCACAGCCGAATTCTATCAGAGGTACAAAGAGGAGCTGGTACCATTCCTTCTAAAACTATTCTAATCAATAGAAAAAGGGAGAATTTTCCCTAAGTCATTTTATGATGCCAGCATCATCCTGATACCAAAGCCGGGCAGAGACACAACAACAAAAAAAAGAGAATTTTAGACCAATATCCCTGATGAACATTGATGCGAAAATCCTCAATAAAATACTGGCAAACCGAATCCAGCAGCACATCAAAAAGCTTATCCACCAAGATCAAGTCAGCTTCATCCCTGGGATGCAAGGCTGGTTCAACATATGCAAACCAATAAACGTAATGCATCACATAAACAGAACCAGCAACAAAAACCACATGATTATCTCAATAGATGCAGAAAAGGCCTTTGACAAAATTCATGCTAAAAGCTCTCAATCAACAAGGTGTCGATGGAACATATCTCAAACTAATAAGAGCTATTTATGACAAACTCACAGCCAATATCATACTGAAGGGGTAAAAACTGGAAGCATTCCCTTTGAAAACCAGCACGAGGCAGGGACGCCCTCTCTCACCACTCCTATTCAACATAGTATTGGAAGTTCTGGCCAGGGCAATCAGGCAAGAGAAAGAAATAATGGGTATTCAATTAGGAAAAGAGGAAGTCAAATTGTCTCTGTTTGCAGATGACATGATTATATATTTAGAAAACCCCATCTTCTCAGCCCAAAATCTCCTTAAGCTGATAAGCAACTTTAGCAAAGTCTCAGGATACAAAATCAATGTGCAAAAATCACAAGCATTCCTATACACCAAGAACAGACAGACAGCCAAATCATGAGTGAGCTCCCATTCACAGTTACTACAAAAGAATAAAATACCTAGGAATCCAACTTGTGAAGGATATGAAGGACCACTTCAAGGAGAACTAAAAACCACTGCTCAAGGAAATAAAAGAGGACACAAACAAATGGAAGAATATTCCATGCTCAAGGATAGGAAGAATCAATATCGTGAAAATGGTCATACTGCCCAAAGTAATTTATAGATTCAATGCCATCCCCATCAAGCTACCAATGACTTTCTTCACAGAATTGGAAAAGACTACTTTAAAGTCATATGGTACCAAAAAAGAGCCCGCATTGCCAAGAGAATCCTAAGGAAAAAGAACAAAGCTGGAGGCATCACGCTACCTGATTTCAAACTATACCACAAGGCTACACTAACCAAAACAGCATGGTACTGGTACCAAGACAGCATGGTACTGGTACCAAAACAGAGATATAGACCAATGGAACAGAACAGAGGCCTCAGAAATAACACCACACATCTACAACCATCTGATCTTTGACAAACCTGACAAAAACAAGAAATGGGGAAAGGATTCCTTATTTAATAAATTGCATTGGGACAACTGGCTAGCCGTATGTAGAAAGCTGAAACTGGACCCCTTCCTTATACCTCATACAAAAATTAATTCAAGATGGATTAAAGACTTAAATGTTAGACCTAAAACCATAAAAACTCTAGAAGAAAACCTAGGCAATGCCATTCAGGACATAGGCATGGGCAAGGACTTCATGACTAAAACACCAAAAGCAGTGGCAACAAAAGCCAAAATAGACAAATGGGATCTAATTAAACTAAAGAGCTTCTGCATGGCAAAAGAAACTACCATCAGAGTGAACGGGCAACCTACAGAATGGGAGAAAATTTTTGCAATCTACCCATCTGACAAAAAGCTAATATCCAAAATCACCAAATACTCAAATTTGCAAGAATAAAACAACCCCATCAAAAGTGGGCAAAGGATATGAACAGACACTTCTCAAAAGAAGACATCTATGCAGCCAACAGACACATGAAAAAATGCTCATCATCACTGGTCATCAGAAAAATGGAAATCAAAACCACAGTGAGGTACCATCTCACACCAGTTAGAATGGAGATCATTAAAAAGTCAGGAAACAACAGATGCTGGAGAGGATGTGGAGAAATAGGAACACTTTTATACTGTTGATGGGAGTGTAAATTAGTTCATCCATTGTGGAAGACAGTGTGGCAATTCCTCAAGGATCTAGAACTAGAATTACTATTTGACCCAGCAATCCCATTACTGGGTATATACCCAAAGGATTATAAATCATGCTACCATAAAGACACATGCACACATATGTTTATTACTGCACTATTCACAATAGCAAAGACTTGGAACCAACCCAAATGTCCATCAATGATAGACTGGATTAAGAAAATGTGGCACATATACTCCATGGAATACTATGCACCCATTAAAAAGAATGAGTTCATGTCCTTTGCAGGGACATGGATGAAGCTAGAAACCATCATTCTCAGCAAACTGTCACAAGGACAGAAAGCTAAACACTGCATGTTCTCACCCATAGGTGGGAACTGAACAATGAGATCCCTTGGACACAGGGTGGGGAATATCATACACCGGGGCCTGTTGGGGGATAGCATTAGGAGAAATACCTAATGTAAATGATGAGTTGATGGGGGCAGCAAACCAACGTGGCACATGCATACCTATGTATCAAACCTGTACATTGTACCCATTTACCCTAGCACTTAAAGTATAATAAAAAAAATTAAAAAATATATATATTTTTAAATAATCGAAAGAACAAACAAACAAATACAGAAGATGATTGCTTGGGCCAGGCACCGTGGCTCATGCCTGTAATCCCAGCATTTTGGGAGGCTGAGGTGGGTGGGTACCTTGAGGTCAGGAGTTCGAGACCAGCCTGGCCAACATGGTGAAACCCCATCGCTACTAAAAATACAAAAATTACCCGGGCATGGTGGGCGCACACCTGCAATCCCAGCTATTTGGGAGGCTGAGGCGGGATAATTGCTTGAACCCAGGAGGTGGAGGTAGCAGTGAGCCGAGATCACAGCACTGCACTCCAGCCTGGGCAACAGAGTGAAAAATGAAAAAAAAAAGATGATTGCTGAAATGAATTTATTTAATCAATGTAAAGTTAGCTTCTTTTTACTGTGGGGAAAGAAAGTCAATTGAACCTCAATTGAATATAATTTATGTGTATATTTATAAACAAGAAATATTTGTCTTTCACCAGTTTTCTACAAATTAATGTCTGTCTCGGCAGGATTGTAAAATAGCTCAAAGATGATGAAAGGCACAAATAACACAAAGTAGATAGGTGGAAGAGTAAGCTCCAAACAACACTTAGTTTTCAATAGAAAGTCCCTCATAGTCTTTTGATCCACTTAAAATTCTTTCAATTTATCCTTACAACACAAACCAAATCAGATTTTCTTAACAAGAAATAGAGGGGAAATGTCTGCAGTACAGACAACCCAGAGTGTCTGCCACAAACACATTGCTAGAAATTAAGAGAGAAATAAACATATCCTAATTTGCAGTGAGATTTAACACCTCCTTAGACAGATCACATTGGCTACAAATGATAACCAAGCAATATTGGTTGAGGCAGAGAAAGCCTGGCGATTGGCCCTGAGTTTAAGCCTGAGTTTGCAGCACGTGGGGCAGCCACTTGCTATCTCTACCCCTGAGGACTTGACTGAATTGCAGGATAGGAATTTTAGCCAGAGGTACTTCTGCCATGAGGGGCAAGACCATGGGTGATTCCCTTTTGGAAGCTGCAGGATTTAATTTTTCTCATGTATATGACCATTCTGTGTTCTAATTCCCACGCCCATCCTTGGCTCTTTGTGCACTTAGTATAAATTGAATTCCAAGGAAATTATACCAGGGATCACATACTATTCATTTCAGTCTGTTGACAGGCAATTTTTCTGTAGTACCCTGCTGCGGGATTTGATAGTGAGTTGGGGTGGTGTGAAAATGTGATATCTGATATTCTTACAGCATTTGTCCCCAATCTGGTGTTTATGGGCTGTTTTCTTCCTATGTCTTATACAGTTTGGGATACTATATTTTTGTACCTTAATTAGTTTCAAAATTAATAAACTACGTTTTTTTTTCCTTTAAAGTTCTAAGCCACACACTGTACTTGCCAGCACTGCTTGTGGCACTGCAAGCCTGTCATATGAGAGGAATCTAGTCAGGTTTTTGCTAAGCACTACATTTCACGCACACACTTCTGATTTTTGTCTGTGAGTAAATTGCTCCTTGAGAAAAAATTGCTCACATTTTAGAGTAATAAAAATTCTTTTGCATTGTTACATTGTAACTATATACACGCCCATTGACCATTTCCAAGATGAGGTGCAGTCCTACCTTTGAAGCACTGCTTTTTCTGGGCCAGCGGCTCTAAACCTCCAGTGTGCATTATAATCTCACAGGAGGCTCATTAAAACACAGATGGCTGGGCCCCACCACCAGTTTCTGTTGTAAAAGTCTGGATGGGACCAACAGTTGGCATTTCTGACAAGTTCCTAGGTGCTGCTGATGTTGCTGGTTTGGGGTCCAGAATTTGAGAACCACTGCTCTGGACCATGCACCTTCAGGTCTGAAAAGATTGTCTCTGTCCAGAAGACAGCCACAGATCTACGTATCAGAGAAAAAAGAACCAATTGGATTATCACTAGGGAGTATTTTCAGGCCTTCCAAAGAAAGCCTATTTGTCATCCCTCCATTATTTCACTCAATGCAAATATTGATATGAATAGTCCAAAATGGCAGATCACTGAAAATCATCATATTGGAATCACTCTAGGGCTTCCAGCTAATTGCTGATGCATCATATGGACAGGAGAAAGTATCTGAGCTGAAGACATGCAGACCCATAAACCTATTACTGTTATTAGTGGCAGGTTGCTTTGAGCCCTAATCTTCCATGGATCTGATTCTATTCAGAGGTTCAAATGGTGTCTCAGGCCCATCTGCTGATGTGGACCTCTAGAGTAAAAGGGCCTACCAAGAAGAAGGGACCATACCTACCTCCAAGGCCATGGCTACAGTTTTGTCAACCATGATGTCAAAGGATGAAAAGAAGAGCCAAGTAACATTTCAAGGGATTCAAAACTGCATGACTGGGATAGGATTAATCTGATTAACAGGGTGTTAACCTTGTCTCTTGACAGAGCTGCTGTGGGCTTACTAATGATCTCCAGCTGCCAGACCCTGTTTTACATGCTCTCACACCTGTGCCCTCAGCATTATTTCAGCACCAAAGTTCCTCAATTGAAGGATAAATGCTGTCTCCACCTTTGCAGTGGAAACGTTGGGGGCTTTCCTAGGAAGTGTTCCATCTGTGTAACTAGGAAACCTGCCTCCGCTTAACCTTAGACATCTGAAAGGGTCACAGAAGAAAGGCAGAATACTGTAGGTTTCACCACAGAGTATTAGAGGCCCATGCCAAGTTTATGGCAAGCAGACAGGAGAGCAGAGACCATTTGAAGTGGAAGCTATTGCCTCCTGTTGTGGTCAGTTGCATATGTGTGTATATCTGTCTCTTTTCCAAGGCTGAGCTCTTAAGCTCAGTCTTCCAACTTTGCCTTATTGAGTTTATCTATAATGATATTTTGTCTTCATATTGACTTATAAAATAATAAGCCCATAGATTCATAATAATCTGTTTCTTTTTGCCCTTCTCCCTCCTTTCTAGGTCTTTGTAGACAGGACCTGGAACAGAAGAGGTGCTTTACAAAGGTCTTCTGAGTGGATAAATAAATGGATGGCTGAATGCTGTTTTGAGCATTAAGGTAAATATAAGAGCTATTCTCTTGGTTTGCCTGTCTTTCTCAGAAAACTCCCTAGAATCAATAAAGTTGTTAATAAAAAGTAAATGAATGACTTATATGAAAACGGAAAGTTGCATGAAGGCTCGGAAACGCCATTGCCTCAATAAAGAGCCATTGAATGGATGGAAAAATAACTTCAGTGAAGTTTCAGTGAAAACAGAATTATTTTGTAGCTGACAAAACTAATGTCAATTTCTGAGTCCTGATAAATTTTCATTGCATCCCCAAAGTAACTATGCAATAAAAAAATAAGTACACAGCTTCTCCTGATCTTGATTTTTATGAGTTATACATGTTTATTTCTTTGTTTAATAATAATAATAATAGCTAACCTTGATTGAGCACTAAAACCCAGACCCTGTTCAAGCTTTTTAAAAATTTAATACTCAACATCAATCTGAGATGTTACAACAATTAACCTCAGAAATAATGAAGAATTTACTGAAGGGCATCTAGTTGATGATGGCTGGAGGCAGGATTTTTTTTTTTTTTTTTTTTACTGTTATTTTAAGTTCAGGAGTACACGTGCAGGATGTGCAAACTTGTTACATAGGTAAATGTGTGTCATGGGGGTTGGTTGTACAGATTATTTCATCGCCCGTGTATTAAGCCTAGTATCCATTAGTTATTTTTCCTAGTTCCCTCCCTCCTCCCACCCTTTATCCTCCAATAGACCTCAGTGTGTGTTATTCCCCTCTATGTGTCTGTGTGTTCTCATTATTTAGCTCCCACTTATAAGTGAGAACATGAAGTATTTCATTTTCTGTTTCTGTGTTAGTTTGCTAAGGGTAATAGCCTCTATCTCCATCCATGTCCCTGCAAAGGACATAATCTCATTTTTATGGCTGCATAGTATTCCATGGTGTATATGTACTACCATATTTTCTTTATCCAGTCTATCACAGTTGGGCATTTAGGTTGATTCCATGTCTTTGCTATTGTGAATAGTGCAGCAATGAACATATGTGTGCATGTGTCTTTATAATGGAATGATTTATATTCCTTTGGGTATATACCCAGTAATGGCATTGCTGGGTTAAATGGTAGTTCTCTAGGTCTTTGAGGAATTGCCACACTGTCTTCCACAATGGTTGAACTAATTTACACTCCCCCCAACAGCATAAAAGTATTCCTTTTACTCTACAACCTTGACAGCATCTGTTTTTTTTTTTTTTTTTTGACTTTTTAGTAGTAGCCATTCTGACTGGTGTGAGATGGTATCTCATTGTGGTTTTGATTTGCATTTCTCTAATGATCAGTGATATTGAGCTTTTTCTCATGTGATTGTTGGCTGCATGTGTGTCTTCTTTTGAGAAGTGTCTGTTGATATCCTTTGCCCACGTTTTAATGGGGTTTGATTTTTTTCTTTTAATTTTTTTTTTAAGTTCTGGAGGCAGGATTTGTGCCCCAGTGTCATGCTCCATGTTACCACATTATACCAGAGGCATTGATGGTGCGGAGCCTTTGGGGAAACATCTTGAGGTGGGCTGAATAATGGCCCCCTAAGGATGTATGTTCTAATCCCCGCAGCCTCTGAATGTATTACCTTACATGGTAAAGGGGATTTAGGAGTCGTGATTAATTTAAGGCTTTTGAGGTAGGTAGATTATCCTAGATTATGGGGAGGGGCCTCATGTACTCACAAGGGTCCTTATAAGAGTGGGGCAGGAGGGTCAGAGTAATGAGAGTAAGAGAAGGCCATGTGATAACAAGTAGGGGGTCAGAGTGATGTGGAACTATGAGCTGAGACATTCAGGCAGCCTCTGAAAGCTGAAAAAAGACAAGGAAGAAATGCTGTCCCAGCTGGCCCATTTTGGACTTCTAACCTCCAGGGCCATAAGATAATAAATTTGTGTTGTTTTAAGCTGCTACATGGTGATTTATTACAAGTATTTATTTTGGGTAACATGTTACAGCAGTCATAGGAAACAAATTCACAGCTGATGTAACCTGGTGATGTTCACACTCTGCCCTTGGTATGAAGATGCTAGCACAAGGTCCCAAATCTACTGCTTCAAATGCTTCACAGACCTTACTCTGGAGAGAAATACCCTGTTGATTTTGAGGCTTCCCAAATTTGCCTGCTGCTTTATTTATCAGTACATAAATACATGCCATTTCAGAAAGTAGATGCCATTCCCCAGCACATTCACAGCAATCAAAATAGCAAACAGACTGAAAATTGCCATAATAGCACTTATTCTTGTCCTCACTTTGACTTATAAAATAACATGCTCAGATTTGTAAAAATCTCTGCTTTTCTTTGCTTCCTCCCTTCTTTCTGGATCTTTCTTTTTCCTCTTCACTAAGAAATTAAGCCCCTTAGCAGGTTTATTCAGTGACAATACTGTGAACATCATTTTTTTGTTTACCATAGAGCATGATTTTTTCCCTTTTAATTATTGTGATACATGTGTTTGGTTAGAAACAAATATAACTTTGAAAGTGGCAAACATAAACATGAGGAATACAGCTATAAATTAATTTTTCCTCTAATTTAGGGGTAAAATGGTTGGACCCTATTTGAGTATATCACAATTATACAGTAGAGAAAATAGGATTGGTTTAAGCTTAAAAAGAAGAAAATTAATATATCTGGACATTATTATACATCTACTGTTTTATGTATGCTATCATGTTACTTCTCACAAACTGGAAATACTAGGTTTTATGCCCATGTTTTGGATGATGAAACTCAGAAAGTAAAATAACTTGTACAAGACCTCACAGTGCCAAAAAGAAAAGCCACATATTCACAGATGCCTCGATTACTGAAAACCCCATCAAGAGCTGGTTTCTGTCCTATGCCACCTCCAAGATAAAGAGTCTTTTCCTCACTGACCATCACCGGGTAATTTTCTGAGCGCTCCCTGACACTTGGGAGCAGGTGGGGCCTTTAGAACCATGGATCCTTCTTCTTCTGCTTCTTCTATTCACGCCATTTTCCTCCTAGTTGGAAGTTATATGTCTGCCTTCCCCATCACTCTGCCATTTCAATATTTTCTCTTGTCCTTTAAGTTGTGGAAGGTGGCCTTGCCCATGGACTCAAACTCCTGCCTTCATTCTGTGACCTTGTGGACATGTCATGTTTGGTAGAGTTAAACATTTTGTGGAGAAGGCCTTTGTGGTATTACCAGGGCAGACCTTGGCCATCCACATTATGGTACACCCAAAAATATGGTGGTCTCTCATCCGTCGGTGAAGTCAGATTGTTCCCCTTGGTATTCCTTGATATTCACTTGAAACATTGGTGCCCATTACAAATATATATGGTAAGGATGATACTTTTATAATGCCACCAGATTTTGGTGCATACAAAAAGGCAGAGTATAAATTTGTTTAAGCAAGTATTGGGGGAGAGAAGAAGAGAAATAGTGAGATGAGGAGCAGGCATAACAGGGGGTTTTAGTAGGAAAAAGAAAAGCTTCATGATTTCATGTTTAGCAAAGTTAGTTAAGACTAAGTACACTTGGAAGTGCAGCAAATACACAGTTCCACTGACAAGCATGGGGTTATATTTTCCACTGCCCTATGCCTGTATAGACCTCAATATTGCCTAAAACCAAAATGCAGTCCTGAAGACAGGAGAAAGAACACATGGCAGACAAGTCAAGTAGGCTCTTGCCTGACCCATGGACCACTTTATCCAGGCTCTCTTGAACTCATCTCACTGGGTTTAGCCAGTGAAAGGCACCAGTGGGAGGACAGAGAAGTTGAGGCATTTATTTCCCGCTCCCTTCCTGTTCCATGCTGTGGTTTTGGTGATGTTTCTATTCTTCAGTTAATATAGATATTAGTCCCACCCCCACAGATCTATCTCTCACTGGGCTTCAGTAACACTGTTTCTTTCCTTTTTCCCTTCACGTATAGAAAAAGTAATGACTTTCCATGATTGCTAATCTCTGGGTGCCTCAGCTTCCCTTGTTGGTCACCTTAACTTGCTGACTGTTAATGCAAATAGCCCTCCATTAAAATTTCTTTAGCTGAAGCTCTATAATTCTGCTTCTTGCTGATACCCTGACTGAAGCACAAGTAATTCTTTTTCTCAAAAAACTACCCAGAATCTTCTGAAGAGTTTCCCAGCAACCACGATTGTTTCATTTTTCGGTTTTGTCCCAGCTTTAGAGCTAGTGATGTTTTTATACATTTTTCCTTAACCAATCTTGTTTGCTTATTTTCCTTAGTTTCTTTTTTGCTCATTTTTTGTTGTAAATGAAAAAATAACTTCACCTGTTCCACAGGAAAAACATAAGGCAAAATAGAACTTTGTTAAAAATGACATGATTTTGTTCCCCTGGAGGGTTAAATCAGTGACACCCCTGGAAATTATCTGTGCCTATTCATAGCCCTGTTGTATACAACTCTCTTGCCGTAGGGCAAAATTTCTGTGACAGGACTTTTCCTTGCCATATAACATCAGGGTCACAGTGGAGTTCCACTGTGCTTGTTTTAGATCCTACAATGTCATTTTTATGGCTTCGCAATACCCATGTCCCTAAATGTCCCAGACATCTTTAGAGAGTTTAACATAGCCATCAGCAATAAAGTGTTGTAAAGACTTGGACTCTTACCTCAACCAGGCAAAAGCTTGATTAGAAAGATCTTGTGCTAGCTCTGAAGGTCCGTATTTATGGCACTATATTATTTATAAATAATGTGAGAATTATGATAGCAATAAAAGCTAGCATTCCAAAGAATGGGCATATTAGTGATGGCTAAATTATGGTGACATTGAGATCATAGGTCACATCTGAAGTTTCACTGCAAACCAGTGGAAAATTACCACCAACTTGACTGCAAAGCTACAGGAAAATCTTGAAAGACATAAAGAGCAGTGGGAAATTCCTAAGCACAGGAGAAACGAGGAGGACTAGGCTGATCCAAGGAGCAGGGAACATCTTATCTACAGACTTGAATAAGTCGGAGGCCTTTCTTAAACCCAACTGGCAACTTTTCTGCCTCTTTCTTCTCTGAAGCTGAGTAAAGTTCTGCTCTAGTCAGAATTCCAGAATCTCAAATAAAAATATACAATGGAAGAAACGCCTGGAAGAGAATGAGATTGGATACCCTATGTTAAATCCTGCCAAAAGAGAAATACTGGGTTAAATTGGACCACAGCCCATAAACTCCTTCTCCTCTCTTGTACAAGATCAGACAGCCCTATGATGCCCTGTTCATACCATGGCATGGCCAAGGCTCAGACAGGTTTATAGGACTGATACAGGAAATTCTCTCTATTCTTGAAGGAACGCTTTAGAAGCACAGAATTATTAGAACACTCTCAGGCACTATCCTTGTGAAGATGTGGTCCACTTAATTGCAGGAGAACACAGTCTAATTACAGACCTATCAGTTTTTAAAGAAACACTCACTTGGAAAGATTCTATTTTACATAATGCCTCTACTTCACTCTTTCTTTGATTTACATGCCTCAAAACCCGGGATCAGTTTTCACTAAAAAAAGAAACAAAACAAAACAAAAAAACACACAAAAAAAACTGTATAAGCGGGTGCTTATTACTCTAGGAATCATACCAGTTTTAAAAGTTCAATGAAACTTTAAACTGATTCTGACATTTCCGAGATGAAAAAGAGCTCAGAAAGTGATTTTTATAACCAGTCTCCTAATTTTACTGTTTCTGGCCATGGGCAAGAAATTGATTTAGTTAAGAAACATCATTCTTGTGGCATCTGTAATCTAAGAACCACCAGGAGGGTCTCACTCTGCTGGAAGATCTCCTGCCCAAAGAGCATCAGAGACGCAAGTGAACATCTGAGAAGCAAAATGAAGTAAAATAAACCTCCAGTCCTTTGATAGACAGTTCATCTCTTTATTTTATTTCCCCTATGTTTTGGCTTTCTGAATAGTTATCCTCTTTTCTTGGGGTTCATTACACAGGGTGTAAAATTTTTGTAAATATTTTTTCTTCTCTAAGAAAAATCCTTTCTTCTAACAGGTCTGTTAAAGTTCTTAAGCAACTTTCAAACTACTAATTATGTAGAGATTGTACTGAGGAGGAGGTAGACTCAAGTCAAGGATGAGTACCGTGTAATCTAGAGAGCATAAATAATAATCTACTTTGTGCAGAATAGTTTGCAAAATGAGCAACCATTTCTTGGCTATGTGTGCCTGGGGAAAGAATAAGAAACCAAATGTTTGTTTTGATTCATTCATCTCTGTTGAGAGTTGTCATATATATTCTTCTAATCTTTTCATTATGGAAATAAAGTAATCTTCAATATTATATGTCTTCCTCTCTTGACTTTCTGCATTCTTAGGGGCAGAGTCAGGCTGCTCCACCTTGGACTTTGCAGGACAGCATGGTGGAGAAGCAGAAGCAAAGCTTCTAGACTTGGTTGGCTGAAAGAAAGTCATACCCTTTATTTCTATAATCTATATTCTAATATTATTTGTAGGTTGTTCTACACAGTTTTGCACTACGGAAATACAGAAAGCTCTGGTTTTTCAGGTTCAGGATGTAAGGTTTCATTGTTTGATTATTCACTGTGTACCTTCTTGTGGTTTCAAGTTAATTCACTCTTAAATTAATAGTAGATTGGAAAGTACTAAGGAAAGGTATTTAAAAATTCGCATTTAATTGAGACTTTTCCCCCAGTGGAATATGAAGAACTCCAAGGCTCTGCAAAGAGGAAGCTGGCATCTATCTTAAGTACAGACCAAATTTTTATGGATCTGCTGGTCTTAATAAATCTAAATAGTCTATCCCATCTCGCTCAAATAGGAGGGGTATAACAAATGCTGTATTACTATTCTATGGTGACATTTAATTTATCACAAACATATAGATTGTTTCCTCAACCACTTCATATGTTTATTAGCCACATGGGCCATATCTGTGAATATTTTTGTCTCCACTCCAGTGTGTGCACATATGCTTACATAGACAGAACTCACACAAACTGCTGAAGCCAAATTATAGTTCATTTTATTAATTCAAGAAATGCATCATCAGTCAAGATAGGCTAGGATATGCTGCAGCAACAAATGATAGCAGCTTAGAATAACAAAGGCATATTTCTTTCTCTTGCTGCATGCCCATTTTGGAGGTCATCTGGAACTCCCCTTCATTTGATCTTCACCCTGAATTCAGGTTAATGGAGCAGTCTCAATAAGAAATACTGCTTGTATTATGGCAGAGGAAAATGAGAGATACTGAACCATGTGTAGGATTTTAAAGCTTCTGCTTTGAAGGAACATGCAGCATTTTTTGTCACATTTCATTGGTCAGAGAAAGTCATACGGCAACTCTAGAGTTTAACAGGGTAGGGTTGTATAATCCTCCTGCAGAGAGGGGCACTGAAATAAAAGAAAATACTAAGTAAACTCTAATATAATCTTTCACAAGAGACAAAGAATTGGAAGGGAGATGTACTGGGCAAGTACTAAGGCTGTATATAGCCTCCTAACCTGAGGCCAGGGGCATAGCAGCCATTATTCACTACTTTCCTGTCTCTCCTAACCTTGAGTGTGATTAAATTAATTGGTTAAGGAAAGCTGGGATGTATTTCATGTGATTAATGCCTTGGAAAACAATTGCAGTAGATTGCATTGATTCATTTCATTTTACATACTTGAAATTAGAGGCTTATGAAGTCTACATGCAAATTTATGCAAAGTGGGATGCAAATTCATATTGTGAACCATGAGTCCTGGCATTCCCCCCTCCCTTTAGAAAAAGAACTGCACCACTGAATATGCATGTGCACATATGGTGCTGCTCGTTTCAAATAGCAACTCAAAGCTGGCAGCCAAATAAATCCCAGTGACATCGACTGAGCAACAAACAAAAGTTTAAACTCATTTACAAACAAAAATTTAGCACTAAAGCATCAATATTTTCAGGGTCACCGTCTTCATTCTAGACTTGAGTTAACACAAGTGCACTGTCCCCCGGACTCCAAGCTCTGTTATGGACAAGGCTGAGGTACACTGTTGAACAAAGGAGGTACTGGCAGAACCCACCCTGGAATTTCATTCTCTTTATTACTTGCTCCTGGTGATCACTTGGCTGACTAGATCAAATAAATCTTCATTGTCACGAGCCAATGCCCATGTGTGCTGACATATTTCTCCCTCATTTGTACCCATCAGTGGGGGATTCTGGTTCCAAGATTCAGATGTAGAGTGATTATTAGGATGGTCTCAAATACAGGAACAAATTTTGCACCTGAATGCTTGCAAGTCAGGCATAGGGAAAAAATTAACCACTTGTAGGAATACCAATTAGAAGCAATAATATCTTGATTGGCCTGCAGGTACTCAGATGATTCACTGAGCTCATTTTGCTCTTATGAGACCCCAATTTTGCACTGATACTAAATGCATGTAAAATATTTTTGGTGAATGTTTATAAACAGATATGGAGTGCAGTCTCATGAGAGTTTTTCTAAGTTGATGCTAATTAATTTAGCATTTAGTCATTTATTCATTTATTAAATATTTTTTGATTACCCTCAAAGTACTGAGTAGACATCTGGGGGTACAAAGATGAATGAAATGTATCCCTTACCCTTCAGGAGAACCAAACCACAGAGTAAACCAAAGTTTTTCTCACTGTCTCCTGATGACTCTTACAAGTAAGTGCTTATGAATCACATTGAGGGAATACACCAGGTGGAAAGAGGAAGCAATGAGATAGTCTGTTGCGATGGTTGTAGAACAACCCTTCATTACTGCAACTGCTTTGATAAAAATCTACTCAGGAAACTATTTTTCGGCCATGGCTTAAGTTTCAAATAACAGTACAACAAAATTTTAGTACAACAAATATGTTTCAAATGTCCCCTGGAGTTTGCCTTAATGGCACTTCATGAATTTTTAAAAATATGCCTAGTGGTTTGTGTAGATTTTACTTATAAAACTTTCCTGGAGCAAAGGGAAAAGGAAATATAGATACCTCGTTGGAGCCGTAAAACGGCCAGAGGGTTAAAGGACCTGTATCTATTTCTACCTTTGGACTGTCACCTTCAGACAATCAAAATTGGCATGTCAGTGACAATATGCCAGGGATCCCCACAGATATCAAGGCAGGAAAGTCAAGTCGCCATAGAAGCTAGAAGGCAGTCTAATGAAAGCAACAATCCAATCATCAAAAGATGGCCATTATTCAGGAAAACGGTAATAATAATGGCCATAATTCAAGAAAACAGTAATAATAAATACAACAAGGTCATATTTACCAAATATTAAAGTATTCAGTAAGTACTGGAATAAGAGTGTTTAACCATTGCATCAACTCAACTCATTATACCCATTTTATAGATAAGGACACTGAGATTCAGGCAGGTATATAAAGGAGCCAGACTGGCATTCAGTTTGACTCCAGAGCCGCCTCCTTTCCCCAGGTGTTAAATCTCTGCCTGAAGAGAGTCTCTGTCCTTCAGCTAAGACCCAGGGTGGCTGTCAGAGTGGGAAGGTCTGCATCAGTTTGACCTCAGAGAACAAACCGCTTGTAGAAGGCTGTTCATGTCAGGCATGTTCAATGAGCACAGCTGATCCAACTCAAGGGCCTAAGAAGCCTCTTCCTCTTTTATTCCTTTGACTAGAAAAAACCTTGGAAGCAGTGGAATGAAAGGGATCCCTTATGACTCCCAACATGTTAGCATTTTTCAAGTTTGTGGATACTACATAAAGTGGGTTGAATTGTTCAAGTCCTAACTTTGGTACCTGTGAATATGACCTTATTTGGAAATAGAGATTTGCTGATATAATTAATTAGGGTGTGGTCATAGTGGATTAGGGTGGGGCCTAAATTCAATGGTGTCTTTATAGGAGAGAGGAAAAGGAAATTGGATACAGGGACACTGATTCGAAGGGAAGAAGGCCATGTGGAGATGGAGTCAGAAAATGGAGTGATGCAAGCTCCAACTAAGGAATGCCAAGGACTGCTGACAACACCCAGCTGGGAGAGAGCAGACCCTTCTCCAGAATGCTTGGAGGGAACATGGCTCTGCTGACACTTAGATTAGGAACTGCTACCCTCAGAACTGTAAAAGAATACATTTCTGATGTTTTAAGACAGAACTTTTGCCCACTACTCACTAGCCACTTGGTGATCCTTTCTTATGGCAGCCTGGAAGATTAAAACACCACATGTCTTGTCTCTCACTTTTACAACTGTTTTTTTTGTCTTGCTTTGTTTTGTTTTTGTTTTTGTTTGTTTTAGTGTGGCTACCACCCTAACTCAGGCCTTTGTCTCCATCATTAGAATTCTTGTAGTGGGCTTTTCTCTGGTCTGGTTATTGTTAGATTAAGTTTAGCCTAAAGCTGCCTCCTTACATAAAGGATTCAGCCTCACATAGAATAGTGAACTGTAACGTAATAATAAATGGATGTGTAAACAGACTATAACCTACTCTTGTACCAATCACAGATTTCTGGCTAATCACAGCCAGCCAGCTGTTTAAACCATGTTTGAATAAGGCAAACACCAAGCTCTAGCCAATACAGTTGTTTCTGGGCCTCACTTTCCTCCTCCTGTCCCTAAACATGATCTGACCATGCGGCAGCTCTGGAGTCATCTTGAACTTCTTCTGGATCCTGGGGCAGCCTGATTCATGAATTGTTCTTTGCTCGATTAATCTCTGTTAAATTTAATTTGTCTAAAAGTTTTTCTTTTAACATTATCAAAGGATTCTTCCCTTTTGCAGGGCCTCTGTGATGGTTAATTTTAGGTGTCCACTTGACTGGATTTGGATTAAGGAATATCCAGACAGCTGGTAAGGCATAATTTCTGGGTGTGTCTGTGAGGATGTTTCCAGAAGAAACTGGTGTTTGAATCAGTGAAATGAGTAAGAAAGACCTTTCTTCACCCAATATAGGCCGGCATCACTATTAGGCTGAGGGCCTGGATAAAGCAAGAAGACAGAGGAAAGGTGAATTTGCTCTCTCTTCTGGACCTGAGACCTCCATCTTCTCTTGCCCTGGGATGTCAGCACTCCAGGTTCTCCAGCTTTCAGACTCTAGGACTTGCACCAGCAGCCTCCCAGTTTTTTATGCTTTTGGCCTCTGACTAAGAGTTCCATCATCAGCTCCCTTGGTTCTCAGGCCTTCAGACTTGGACTCAGCCATGCTACCAGCTTCCTTGATTCTCCAGCTTGCAGATGGAAATAGTGGGATTTCTTAGCCTCTATAATTGTATGAATCTATTTCTCTAGTAAATCCTCTCTCATCTGTCTATATATACAGTTGTCCCTCGGTATCCATGGGGGTTGGTTTCAGGACCTCCAGTGGACACCAAAATCCATGGGTGCTCTAGTACCTTATAGAAAATGGTGTAGAATTTGCATATAACCTATGTACATGGTCCTGTATACTTTAAATTATCTCTACCTTATTTATAATACCTAATACAATGTAAATGTCATATAAATAGTTGCTATAATGTATTGTTTATGGAATAATGGCAAGAAAAAAGTAGTTCAATACAGGCACAACCATCCTTTTGTTTAAAAATTTTTTTGATTCATAGCTGGTTGATCCATGGATGCAGGACTTAAGGACATAGAGGGCCAGCTGTGTATATCCTATTGGCTGTGTTTCTCTGGAGAACCCTGACTAATACAGCATCTTTCCCTTCAGAATCAGAACCATTTTCCAAAATCCCAGGTCCAGTTATGCTATATTTTCACGGTTTGAAGTTTTCAATACTCCCCAACATACAACACCCACAGCCTGGAATTCTATATCACTCATTGGATAGCTCTGACTTCTAACATCAGAAGAGTTGATGATGTAACTCTCAGTCTGAGGCCAAAGACGTAAGAAACTTCTCACCATTATTGCCTCTCACTTCTCTAGAAGGCTTGCCATGATGAGCCCACAGTAAATATTTGTAATTACTGTTATCCCATCATCTTAATTCAAATAACATTTAGAACAACAAAATTCGAGTACAACAAAATTTGAGTACAACAAATGTGTTTCAAATGCACAAGGCCATTCAACATTCTTTACCTATGAGCTCATTCTTTCCTCCTCATTGTTTTTGCATCTTTCCATACTCCAATCCTGCTATTCTCTCCTGGTCTTTTCCCTCTGAAGTCCATAGTTCTCCTTCTTCATGCTTCACAAATGCCATCTTTTCACAGTCTTCCCCAGTTGCACTAACTTAGCAATTCCTTTCCACTCTCTAAACTCCCATAATTTTTTCCTCTATTAATATTAATTAACATTTACTGAACTCTTCCATGTATCAGTCACTGTGCTGAGTGTAATTTGCATAGATTATCACATTTCATCCTCACAGCAATCCTACTTGTTAATTTGACAGAAATGAGCTTTAGAACTAGAATGTATCTTGCTGAAGTTTCACAGATATGAAATGGTGAAGTTTGGCTTAAAATCACAGTTCCATGTTCCTCACCACTCTACAATGCCACCTCTGTGTTAGTCTCTGTGCTCTTGAATTATAGTGATGTCCTGGCTCTTCTTATTGTCTCATATTTTCTACTGGATTTTGAGCTCCTTTTGGGTGGGTTCTGCATCTAACTAAACTTTGTTTCCTTTGCAGGTTTTAGTGTAGTGAGAAAGACTCTGGATTAGGAGGTGGAAGACATGAGTTTTAGGCTTGACTTGGCCATGAAGCAATGATGTGGTTTTTGTCAATCAGATTATTTCTGTAGATATCTCTGTGGGCCATTCTGACTCTAAGGTTTAACAATGATCATAGCTTAGAGTTTGGGCTGTATTAGGAGAGCAACATGCATTGGTTTCCCTGAAATTAATTAGCAGCAGGTCAAGCAGTGGCTGAGACCTTGAGACAAATTAGAAGGCCAGAGCCCTTGGATAAAATGCATATTTGACCAGTTCTTTTGTCCAGAAACACTACTTAATCCTTAAGCCAAACATTATCATGAAAGATTCCCTTAAAACAGCGACAGATTATGTGCTAAAGGCAAGTCTGCTTATTTCTTTCTATTGTCACTTTAAATCAGATGGATCTTCTATTTTTAACAAGTCTTATTTTATTAAAATAAACTCCCAACACATGATGTAAGGCATAAGATTTAGCAGTAGATTTTAAGGCCATTTTTAAGGCAGCTAGAGCAATATCAAGATGTTTGAAGACTGTAATTAAAATAAGACATTAAAAACAAAATGATTTCACAGCTTTTCAACCATCAAAACATTTGGTGTCCCTTTCTTTGCTAGGCTCCAAATAGCCATGTGATCATCAGTCTGTGTTTTACATGCAGTTTTACAGCTAAGTACATCATTATTTGGATTCCACAGATTATATGGTAATCAAGGATTTACTGTAAACCCAATTTAATTTCTACAGAATTACTGACTTTAAGGTTGCAAAACAATATTGTTTACAAGGCAGTATAATAGCACTCAGAATGAATACTGATTAAATAAAGAAAGGAATGCGGAGCTTTCAGGGTTAAGCCTAAATAGCTATAGTGATCGATATGGTAATCAAGCTCCTTTAAGTGAGTATCTGTTGAACACCTACACTGCATTCAACAAACAATACAATGAGGTTATCAACAAGAACCAAAGACCATTTCAGTGTAAAATTCAAGGATAATCCTTATAATGAGCAACCACATTCATTTCTTTGCGTAGTGTAACTTTATCCTACATTTGGGATTTCAATTTTTAGTTAATTACCACAGTGTTGAATACTTGGATCAGTTAGCGTTTGAAGTATCTCCTCAAAATCTAAACGTTGCACATTTAATCTATTACACGCTAAACTTGTTCTTGCCATCCTTTTTCTTTCAATCCATTAAAAATGATTTCGATGCACATGTGGAAATATAATTAACAAATAGATACTTCCAAATTCAAAAAAACTTCGAAATATATTGGATTGTAGGAAAAATATATCTAAAATTTAGTGGTGCTTCTTGGTCACGATCTCTGATGATTAAATGTTAATTGCAGCACAAAGATGAAAATTAGCCTAATATATGTGTCATGCTGTGCAAGTCTTGGTTAAGTGTAGGGTAGGGAATACATAGGGAGGACACATGCAAATCCTCCCTGCCAAATAAAATAATAGCAGACTTTAAGAATACCAGATTCTAACCTAAGGAAAATAGAAAGGTGGCAGTCTAAAAAAGAAGGGAGAGGGAGCATATTCCATATTTTTTGAATCTACTTTATGATAGAAATTATATTTGAAAGCATTAACAACTAGAAAATTTAAGACTTTTTAAATTTAATAAGGATTGTGCATGCTAGAAAGAGGTTACAAAGTAGTCACAAATGGAAAAGAGAGGAATTAATTACAGGCATACCATGCAGATATTGTAGGTTCTGTTCCAGACTACTGCGATAAAGCAAATATCACAATAAAGCAAGTCATACAAATTTTCTGGTTTCCCAATGCATATAAAAGTTATGTTTCCACTACAGTCTATTAAGTGTGCAATAGCATTATGTCTAAAAAAATCTATGTACATAATTTAAAAATACTTTTTTGCTAAAAAGTACTAACAATCATCTGAGCCTTTACCATGTCATAATCTTTTCGCTGGTGGAGTGTCTTACCTTAATGTTGATGGCTGCTGATTGATCAGGATGGTGGTTGCCAAAGGTTAGGGGAGATGTGGCAATTTCTTAAAATAAGACAGCAATGAAGTTAGCTGCATTAATTGACTCATACTTTCATGAAAGACTCCTCTGTGGCATGTGATGCTGTTTGATAGCATTTTAGCCACAGTAGAATTTCTTTCAAAATTGGAGTCAATCTTCTCAAATCCTGCCACTGCTTTATCAACTAAGTTGGCATACAATTCTAAATCCTGTGTTGCCGTTTCAACAATGTTCATAGCATCTTCTCCAGGAATAGATTCTATCTCAAGAAACCATTTTCTTTGCACATCCATAAGAAGCAAGTCTTAATCTGTTAGGTTTTATGAGAATACAGCAATTCAATTGCATCTTCAGGCTTTACTTTTAATTCTAGATCTCTTGCTATTTCCACCAAATCTATGGTGACTTCCTCTACTGAAGTCTTGAACCCCTCAAAATCATCCATGAATGCTGGAATCAGCTTCTTCCAAACTCCTGTTAATGTTGATATTTTGACCTCCTCCCATAAATCACAAATGTTTTTAATGGCATCTAGAATGGTGAATATTTTCCAGAAAGTTGTCAGTTTACTTTGTCCAGCACAGATTCATCAGGGGAATCACTGTCTATGAGAGCTACAGCCTTATGAAATGTATTTCTTTCTTTTTTTTGAGATGGAGTCTCCCTTTGTCGCCCAGGCTGGAGTGCAGTGGCACGATCTCAGCTCACTGCAGCCTCTGCCTCCTGGGTTCAAGCTATTCTCCTGCCTCAGCCTCCTGAGTAGCTAAGATTACAGGCATGCACCACCATTCCCAGCTAATTTTTGTATTTTTAGTAGAGACAGAGTTTCACCATGTTGGTCAGAATGGTCTGGAACTTCTGACCTCGTGATCCACCTGCCTCAGCCTCCCAAAGTGCTAGGATTACAGGCGTTAGCCACCACGCCCAGCCATGAAATGTATTTCTTAAACGATAAAACTTGAAAGTCAACATTTCTCCTCAAGCCATGTGCTGCAGAATAGATGTTGTGTTGGCAGGCATGAAATTAATCATTAATTGTACATGTCCATCAGAGGTCTTGAGTAACCAGGTAAATTGTCAATGAGCAATAATATTTTGAAAGGAATCTTTTTTTTCTACATAGTAGGTCTCAACAGTGGGATTAAAATATTTGGTAAAATCATGCTGTAAACAGAAGTGCTGTCATCCAAGCTTTGTTGTTCCATTTATAGAGCACTGGCAGAGCCGATTTCACATAATTCTCAAGGGTCTGAAGATTTTCAGAATGGGAAATTAGCACTGGCTTTAACTTAAGAGTCAGCAGTTACATTAACCCCTAACAAGAGAGTCAGCCTATCCTTCGAAGTTCTGAAGCCAGGCATTTTCTATTTTTTAAATATGAAAAGCTTAGATGGCATCTTCTTCCAATAGAAGGCTGATTTGTCTATACCGAAAATCTGTTGTTTAGTGTAGCCACCTTCATCAGTTAGCTAGAGCTTCTAGATAACTTGCTGCAACTTCGACATCAGTACTTGATGCTTTGCCTTGTACTTTTATGCTACGGAGATGGCTTCTTTCCTAAACCAATCTCTGCTAGCTTCCAACTTTTCTTCTGCAGCTTCCAAACCTCTCTCAGCTTTTAGGAATTAAATAGAGTTAGGACCTTGCCCTGGATTAGGCTTTGGCTTAGGGGAATGTTATGGCTGGTTTGATCTTCCATCCCGACCACTAAAAACTTTCTCCATATCAGCAATAAGGTTATTTTGCTTTCTTATTATTCATGTGTTCACTGGAGTAACACTTTTAATCTCTTTCAAGAAGTTTTCTTGTTTTTTTCATTCATAACTTGGCTGTTTGGCACAAGTTTAGCTGAAAACCTTCGACATGCCTTTTCTCACTACACTTAATAATTTCTTGCTTTTGACTTAAAGCAAAAGATTTGCAACTCTTCCTTTCACTTGAACACTTAGGCACCACTGTAAGTTATTAATTGGCCTAATTTTAATATTATTGTGTCTCAGGGAATAGAGAGGGTATGGTTCAAGGCCCCCAAAACAACTACAACAGTAACATCAAAGACTGCTTACCACAGATCACCATAACAAATATAATAATAATAAAACATTTGAAATATTGTGAGAATTACCAAAATGTGATACAAAGACACAAAGAGGACAAGTGTTCTTGGAAAAATGGTGCCAATAAACTTGTATGCGGGGTTGCCACAACCCTTCGATTTATAAAAAATGTAATATCTGGGAAGTACAATAAAGGGACGTGCCATAAAATAAGGCATGCCTGTACATCTCATTTGGAAACAAGTACACTCTAAAATCCTTTTAGTTTCCAGACTAAAATATTCCTGGAAATCAATGTCAACCATCTAATTACATTCCAGATAGTTAATTCTAAGACAAAAGTTCCTTGGGTACACGCATTCTATTTATTTTATTTTTTTCACTAATTTATTCAACCAATATTTAATGAGCTACTACTACTTGCCAAGTTTCGTGTTAGATGCTAGGGATATAAGATTCAAAAGACGGATGTGATGCCCTACTCCACATTCTTGTAGTATTCAGCCTCATAGAGAAGACAAATACCTAACAAATTATGTCCAAAAGCATGATAAATATTGTTTTAAGTCATAATTCTTTCAGGTATAAGAGACAAACCCCCCACCCCTAAAACCCTCTATTTGGCTAAATTAAAAATGGAATGATTAGTTTACAGTTCAAAATGGTCCAATGCACTCGTCATGACTATAAACAGGTTCACAGGAACTCTTCTGATTCATCTTATTGTTTTTCTCTTTCTTCTGTAATGGTTCCATACTCAGGCATACTTTCTCCTTATGGTGACAAAATGGCAGCCAGCAGCTCCAACAATGGCTTTTAAGTTTTTAGTATCTTTATGGAAAGAAAATATCTCTTCTTCAGCAAAATTGCACAGAAGTTCTGAGCCTGATTTGTATTGTTTAGCTTACCTCAGGCCACGGCCCCATGCCCACCCTGCAGCTAGGGTATGACCATCTCCTATGAAATCACAGTAAGGGGGAAGAGAAGGACTAATTGTGTTTTTAAGAGATAGGCTCACTGCAGTGTCAAACTTCAGCAATTGATCCTCTAGCCTCAGCCTGCCAAGTAGCTGGGACCGCAGGTACATGCCACTTGGCTCAGATCACACAAGTAATGGAAAATACAGGGCCCTTCCCCCATACACACAAGGAAGCATCTTTTCAGTGATGGTTATATTAAAGTCATCTTAAAAGATATTTTTGAGCATCTTGTACAGTCAGAGTATTATTTTGAGATACCAAAGAAATATGAGCCAAGGAGATTGGGGTCTATTTTAAACACAAAATATGGTCAACTGAAACAATCTAAGAAGTTCTAATATATGTAAATTGATACATTATAATTTAAATGCTTAAGTGCTAAGTAAAGCACAAAGACTCTCTACACTCTACTATAATAAAAAATTACAACTACCATTTGTCCGATATTTCCTGCTTTAAAAGCGTTTTCATGTATTTTATCTCAGTTGATTTTAAAATCATCTGTGTCAGGCTGCAGGGGCATATACTTTCATTTCCTGCATTTTCCACAGGAGACAACTGAGGCAGGAAGGGGTACAGAAGTCCAACAGGGAGGCAACAGATGAGAGGGGCATGGCTATCCTAGCTGCTACTGTTCCCCTGCTCTGGAAAGGGTCTTCTCTGAGATGCTTTCTACAGTGGACGTTTTGGGGTAGTCAAAGTACAGCCTGTGTAGCCTGCCATGAGCAAGGCTTTTTCTTTCGAAATGTTCGTGTTTTAGCTTTAAAGTGTCTGTGAAGCTGCCTTTCATTCCATAATATGTCTATACTTCTTTTAATTAAAAAACGGTTTGCATTGTTTTTGCAACCTCTGTGCTAGCTTATTCTATGTGTCCCCATTGCATTTTTGACATTGGACTTGTCACCCAAATTCAGAAAGCACAGAACAAGGGCACAGGGACATGGAGAAGTGTGTTGTGTCTCCTGAGAGGACGGGAGCTGTCATCTTCAGTCTTGAGGAATGTGTTTGATAGAAGCATAATGTGGAGTCACAAAGTAGCACCCTTTCTTTGTGTACAATAGTGACAAGAGAATAATTCAAATAAACGCAGGTCCAGTGGGAAAAATCTGTACATGGCAAGTTTCTGCTATTATACATCCAAAAATTTGTGCACTTTGGTTTCCTGTAATCACGTTTACTCCCTTTCACAAAGAGATAAATCAAATAGTAGGTTCCACAGGTTTCAAGTTTGTAAAAACAAACACAATTTCCAGGATATTTTATTGCTTTGCATCTTCCAGCACTTTGTATTCACTAAGTGCCTTATAGTTTATTCCTTAATCATCATAGAATCCTTGAAATAGTTTTGCCTTGAAATATTGCCATCTCTGTTTTATGAATGGGGAAACTAAAAGTGATATTCAAAGTTACACACAAAGACCAAAGTTAAAACCCGTAAGTCTTAATTACAAGTAGTCAGCCTTCCATATCCATGGTTTCCACATCCATGGATTCAACCACCTGAGGATCCAAAATATTCAGAAAAAAAATTCCACAGAATCTCACAATGTAAAATTTGAATTTTTGTGGTGCTGAGTACTACACTGAGTCCACACAGATGAAATGATGCGTAGGCATTGTATTCGGTACTATCAGTAATCTACAGATGATTTAAAATGTACAAGAGGATGTACATGGATTATATTTAAGAAGACTCCATTATACATGAGACACGAGCATCTACAGGCTTTGGTATCCACGAGAGTCCTGGAAGCAATACCACATGAATACTGAGGGAGACTGTATATTCCATTGAATTTGGCCTTTTTTTAATTTTATTTTTCTGTACTTAACTTTGGGTTTTCTGTAATCTCTTCAAGTCAAGTCAAAAGGAAAAATCTCCACTTGACTTTGCCCAACCTTTATTCTGACTTTGTCATGGCTGACCATGATTTGATAACGTTTCCAGCCTTTCCAAACCTGATATTTTGATTTCTTGTACAAGACTTCCACTTCTCTTTGACAACAGTGTTTTACAAACTTTTCACAGAAGGATAGCCCACAGAAAGGAAAATTGCATCTCTATCTCTGTGTTTCCTGATAGCTTTTACCAAAATGATTCCCTTGCAAAGAAAGCAGTTACTTAAAATCCTCATACTGTCTTTTAAAGTCATGCTATTTTGTCAGACATATTTGTAAATGTAGTCATGCACTCCCTGGCATATACTACTTAATTGCGGGGAGGCCAGTTTAAGAAGCAAGATAACTACCTGGGAAATGTCCGTATCTGTAGGACAAATTGGTGAGATCCACTAAAATTCCCATCTTTAACTCTTTAAATCTAATTAGATTTAGAATGCTTATGAGTGGGACCAGTCTGCTCTGGGTCCCAAGGATGGGGTTTTAGAGTTCTGATTGTTTCCTCTTGTCTATATTGTCAATTCATTATTGTGACTTGTTCTTCCTTATTATTGTCCTGAATAAATGAAGTATCTCAAGTCCAGACAACTTACATTTCACTGACCAAACCTTGCCATTTCATGAACACCAATTTCTTGCCTACCCTACCCCATCCTTAGTGTCATCTGCATTCACTTCTAGCAGTCTAGTTTTAAGGCCATCATCATTAGATAAATTTTTATTGGGCACGTAACATATGAAAAAAAAAAAAAACCCTTCGGGTTTTTTTTTTTTTTTTTTTTTTTTTTTTTACAGTTTTATGTTCTGTATGGACAAAAGAACATAATTTTGAAATCAGGCAGGCATAGGATTAGATTCTGGTTTTGTTACTGTCTTAGCTTGGGCTACTCTAATGAATTAGAATGGGTGGTTTAGACAACAAACATTTATTTCTCACAGTTCCGGAGGCAGGAAGTGCAAGGTGGGGATGCCAGTATGATTGGGTTCTGCTGAGGGCCTTCTTCCTGGCTTGTTTATGGCCATTTTCTTGTATCCTCACATGTTGGAAAGAGAGAGAGGAAACAAGCCCTCTACGCCTTTTCTTATGTCAGAACTAAACCCATTATGAACCAATTACTTGCTAAAGGGCTGGCTCTACACCCTGGGAAGTTTAGTTATTTTCTAAACTTCATTTTGCTTAATAATACCAAGATGCTGGCATTATTCTAAAAATTAAATAATGTAAGTGAAAGGCCTAACATAATGCTTGCCTCATCATGGCAAGTTTTTAAAAGCTTGCATTTGGGAGTTGAACTAAAATATGATATCAAATTCTTTCCCTTTTACTTAGTAGTCTCAGAACCAAGGGCATATCATTTAACTTGAACAAGCCTCAACTGTCTAACTTATAAAAAGGGGAAGTAAAGCCAATGTTTTAGGTGGTCTTTGCCTATAACAAATGCAACAAATGTTAAATGTTGCTATTAAGAATCTTTGTACCATTCATTCAACTGTTTTTAGTCAATATGAACTTCTCCTATTTTCTTATTTTACTCTATCTTGTGGTAGATCATAAATCCCTCAAGGACACAAGCTTCCACTTACAAACTGCTGTATAACAGTGGTTCTGAGCCTTAACTGTGCCTTAGAATCAGCTGGGCAGCCTTGCAAACCCCCTTTCTTTCACTCCAGACCAATTAATTAAGAGTAAATGAGAGGTGGGTTTGAAGCATAATACTTTTAAAATATCCCTGGATGATTCTACTATGCAACTAGATTTGCAAATCTCAGATTTATAGAGATATCTGCCATTCCTACCAGACAATCTCTTATAAAGCCATAGCTCGATTTCTCTCTCTCTCTCTGTCTGTCTTTTAAATAAATTCAACTTTTATTTTAGATTCAGGGGGTACATTTGTAGGTTTTTTACATAGTTATATTGCGTGATGCTAAGTTTCGGAGTATGAAAGTTCCTGTCGTTCATGTCATGAGCATAGTACCCAATAGGTAGTTTTTCATCCCTTGCCTTCCTCCCTTTCTCCCTCATTTACAAGTTCCCAATGTTTATTGTTTCCATATTTATGTCCATGTGTACCCAATGTTTAGTCTCCGCTTACAAGTGAGAACACACAGTATTTGGCTTTCTGTTCCTGCGTTAATTTGCTTAGGATAATGGCCTCCATCTGCATCCATGTTGCTGCAAAGGACATGATTTCATTCTTTTTTTGGCTGCATGGTATTCCACAGTGTAGATGTACCACATTTATCCAGTCCTCCATTGATGAACGCCTGTGTTGATTTTATGTCTTTGTCTTGTGAGTAGTGCTGCAATAAATATATGAGTGTATGTGTCTTTTTGGTAGAATGACTTATTTTCCTTTGGGTGTATACCCAGTAATGAGATTGCTGAGTCAAATGGTGGTTCCATTTTAAGTTCTTTGAGAAACCTTTAAACTCCTTTCTAAAGTGGTTAAACTAATATACATTCCCACCAACAGTGTATAAGTGTTCCCTTTTCTCCACAGCATTGCCAGCATCTATTTTTTGACTATTAATATCTATTCTGGCTGGAATGAGATGGTATTACATTGTGGTTTTGATTTGAATTTCTCTGATGATTGGTGATTTTTGACCATATTTTCATGTTCATTGGCCTTTTATATGTCTTCTTTTGAGAGGTCTCTTGTCATGTTCTTTAGTCACTTTTTAATGGGGTTATTTGGTTTTCAGTTGCTGAATTCAGTTCCTTACAGATTCTGGATATTAGACCTTTGTCAAATGCATAGTTTGTGAATATTTCTTCCCATTCTCTATGGTGTCTGTTTACTTTGTTGATAGTTTCTTTTGAGGTACAGAAGCCCTTTAGTTTAATCAGCTCCTATTTGTCAAGTTTTGTTTTTTTGGCAAGGTGCAGTGGCTCACACCTGTAATCCTACCACTTTAGGAAGCTAAGGCAGATGGATCACTTGAGCTCAGGAGTTGCAGACCAGTCTGGGCAACATGGCAAAACCCCGTCTCTACAAAAATATAAAACTTAGCCAGGCGTGGTGGTGGGCACCTATAGTCCCAGCTACTTGGGAGGCTAAGTTGGGAGGTTGGCTTGAGTCTGAGAGGTGGATGTTGCAGTGAGGTATAATCACACCACTCTGCTCCAGCCTGGGCAACAGAGCCAGACCCTGTCTCACAAAAACAAAAACAAAAACAAAAAACAAAAAACAACAACAAAACTAAATAAAGAATTATTTTTGTTGCAATTCTTTTGCGGTCTTAGACATAAATTATTTGTTAAGGCCTGAAGGGAATTTCCTAGGTTTTCTTCTAGGATGTTTATAGGTTGAGGTATTACAGTTAGATCTTTAATCTGTCTTGAGTTAATTTTTGTATATGATTAAAGGTAGAGGTCCAGTTTCATTCTCCTACATATAGCTAGTCAGTTATCCCAGCACCATCTATTAAATAAGGAGTCTTTCCCCATTGCTTACTATTGTTGATTTTGTCAAAGATCAGATGATTGTAGGTGTGTGGCTTCGGATTTTCTAGTCTGTTCCATTGGTGTATGTGTAGCAGTACCATGCTGTTTTGGCTACTGTTGCCTTATAGTACAGTTAGAAGTTAGGTAATGTGATGCCTCTGGCTTTGTTCTTTTAACTTAGCATTGTTATGGCTATTCAGGTTCTTTTTTGGCTCCATATGAATTTTAGAGTAGTTTTTTAAAATTCTGTGGGAAAAAATGATGTTGGTAGTTTGGTAGGAATAGCATTGAATCCGTAGATTGCTTTGGGAAGTATGAACATTTTAATATTGATTCTTTCAATCCTTAAGTATGGTATGCTTTTCAATTTGTTTGTCTCATCTATGACTTCTTTCAGCAGTTTTTTGTAGTTCTCCTTGTAGAGATCTTTTACCTTTTTGATTAGATGTATTCCTAGGTTTGTGTGTGTTTGTGTGTGTGTGTCATAGCTCTTTTTTAATTCAAGAAGCAAATCTTCACCAGTTTGGGGCTTAATTAAAAGTAAATCCATAAATTGAGACATACCTAATAAGTAACTCATATAAAAGATTGCAACTGGTGCCCCACCTATACAATCATGTCAGACACCCCTGGGATCCTATAGAGAATCAGGAGAAATGGAAGCTACTCTGAGGACTTGCTCAAGCTGAATCTTTTTTCACATGGATCCCTCTAGATGTCTAGATTTCCTTATTTACAATGCTTTCCCACGAGATAAGATTTCACCATTAAGAAGTTCATTTAAATTAACAACAAAAAAGCTATCAATAAAAATATATTTGAAAGAATTAAGATGGATTGGTGAGAGGAACAAAAAGTAATCTTGTGTGGGGGTGAGTTCACCCACAACCTGGGGCACTTGACTTCTGCTGTTGAGGAAGCTGGACCACCACCCCAATGGGTCCTGGGGGTGGGACTGCTGCCCCAGTGAGTTCAGAAGGCAGAACATAAAGCCAAAGAGGATTATTTTCAACCTGTAAGTGCTCATGCAGCTTGTCTTTCTAGGTTTTGAATTTGCTTAGGACTTGTTGCCTCTTCTTTTCTGTTTTTCCCTTTTGAAATGGGAATGTCTATTATATATCTGTCCCACTGTTGTATTTTGGAAGAATAGAACTTTGGTTTCACAAGTTCACAGCCAGAGAAGAATTTTGCCTCAGGACAAAACATACCTAAGTCTCATCCATATTTCACTTACAGGAGATTTTGAACTTTAAACTTTCAAATTGATGCTGGAACTAGTTCAGGCTTTTGGGGTTCCTGGGATGAAGTGAAAGTATTTTGCATGCAAGGATGTAAGTTTGCTGGGGGAGAGGCAGAGGTGAAATGCTATGGACTGAATGTTTGTGTCTCTCCAGGATTTATATGTTAAAATCCTAATATCCAATGTGATTGTATGAGGAAGCGAGGCCTTTGGAGATAATTAGATGATGAGGATGGAAGCTTCATGAGTGAGAATAGTGCTCTTATGAGGTACAGGAGCTTGCTCATGCTGTTTATTCTCTGCCATGTGAAGAAACAACAAGAAGACAGCCATCTGAAAACCAGCAATAGTGCCTTCACCAGATACCAGATCTGCCAGCAGCTTGATCTTGATTTCCCAGCCTGCAGAACTGTGAGACAAGGATTTTTGTTTCTTAAGCCAAAGAAAAAAAAGGAAGGAATCTTGGAATACTAAACACTTTGCTGAGGAATGCTCATGGCGGGACTTGGGAAGCCTGCAAATAAAACTTCAGTCTCTACCATTACCCATGTTTCCTTCCTGCTCTGGTCATGATTTAAATTTATAATACAAATATATCTTGTATTTACTTGTACCTTTTTTCTCTCATCACTGGATGCTCAATGTTTTGCACAGTGCCTGACACAAATTAGGCACTAAATATACACTTATTGAATGAACGAGTGAGTGAGTGAATGCACAAATGAATGATGCCAATGAGCCTGAAAGGGTCAATGAATCGGAAGACTCATTTATCTTCTGTTAAGATCCCTCTTACTTCTGAACATACTGAGAAAGGAAACATCGTCAATTGCTTCTCTAGTACTAGTGAGGAGATGTTTCCGTTGAGCGTCAGACCTTTGAGGCTGGGAAGCAGTTTTCCTCAAGTTCAGGAATATCCTAATCACCAGCCACATATACGGCATTGTTATTAGTCATAATGAGAGAACAAAACCGAATAAGTCAGGACGCCTGTTTAAACTCTTTAAAGCATATTTTAAGATTCAAGAAAGAAACTCAAATAACTCAAACCTAAGGCATAATATGAAATACGCTGTGAAAATGTTGCATATGATGTGCTTTGGGAACATAGAGCAGGATATTGAGAAATGCCTTTTAGAGGTTGCTTTAGTTTTGGTGATTGCTTATTAATTTTTATTTCTAAGGTAATATCTTCTCATGAACAAGACTGATACTTATGGTATCTGGTGAAAAGCCTCCCTCTCATCTCTTTTTCCCATCATCTCCAGCCCCACCAACCCAAACAAGAAAGTCCCTTATGTTCTTTCAGAGTTCCTTTCTACAAATCTAAGCCAAAAAAGAAAATGCTGATATAAGTATTCTTCCTTTTCTCCATTTTTTACTTTTTACTAAAAATGTAGTACATTATACATACTTTTCTGCACATGCTATTTGCACTTAACAGTATATGTTGGAGATCTTTGCATGTCAGTACACATAGAACTTTAGAGTTTGCTTTCCAGCTGGCTCTTGAAAAGGAGGAATCTTATTTAAAAAAAAAATAGGGGAAGGTAATTTCAGAGGAATGACCTGGAAAGTTTGGAAAAGCAAGGTTATCCTGTTTATCTGGCATACAGAGGAGGAGAAAGGGAGTCACTTGAGATAAAGCAGGTGGAGACACCTTAAGGGTGATGCAAATACCTTTGGAGGACATTGTTGGGTGAAAAAGGATGTGATGGAGCATCAAAGTACTCTAGGAAAATCAGTATACAGTGGGGGACAGAAGATAGAGATAAGAAACAGGGAGATCATCTAGGAAGCTAACTAATCTAAATCTAAACCAGGCATGGTGGTGGAAAAAAAAAATGGCAGGAAAAGGATGTAAATCTTAGAGACATAGGGGAGATGTATTCCACAGCAGAAGTTGTCTACCCTTTTTGTCCGGCTGTCACACATGATAAAGATCATTTGTACTATTCAATTCTGTGGGCCTATTTAGTGATATGTACATTTCCCAGCTTGCTGGGCTCACTTCTATCCATTCCTCTAGAAGAAAAAAAATCAGACTTTATATGAGTGAGAATGATGACTTATAGAGTTGATTTTGACTCCCCTCTATTTGATATACTTGTCAAAAAGTAAATCATTTATAACTTTGGCATTTTATTATTAGCAATAGTAAATTATTTTGCAGCTGATTGACAGGGTAGTCTAACATGCCAACTTGGAACCACTGATTCCCAGAACTTGGTAACTAATCCTGAATAGGGTTTTAAAGAGGCCAGTGCAGGAGGAAGGAGCTGATACAAATCGGAGTGACTGGATGCTTGGGATGTAATTAATAAAGACGGAAAATGAAGCAGGAACATAGTTTTGTAACAGTGAAGACAGAGAACAGCAGGTATAATCAGCTATGTGCCTTACATTATATTTAGAAATCTAAACCTTAAAAAATGTTCAGAGTAAATATATGAATAAGCACATGGCCTGAGCCTCTTCATTTATTCTGTCTATTCCAGTAGACACCAGTGATTTAGAGGATGAGTCTAAAATCAGACAGCCTAGATTTGAGTGCTGTCTCTGCCACTTCTTAGATTTGTGACATTAGGCAAGTTACTTGACATTTCTGTGCCTCAATTTTCATGTCTGTCAAGTGGGAAAATTATAATACCTGATTCCTAAGTTAGCAGGAGGGAAAAAATGAACTACTTCATGAAAAGTGCTGAGAACAGTCCCTGGCATATAATAAGAACTCCATTAATATTGTCACTATTTACTTATTAGATAAATATTTATTTAGTGTTTACCATTGACTGTACAACACATTATGCTCAGTGCCTAGCAAAGCACATTTATTTCCACCCTCACGGAGTACAGAGAGGAATGATGAGCTTTAAGACAGGAAACACTGCCAGTAGTCATGATTGCTCCTGAAGAGAAAGAAATGAGAGACATCTGTGTTACTGCACAGGAAGCTCTCTGATAAGTTAATGTGTGCAAAGATGAGTAAAGAGTTAAAACATATAAAGATGCATGTGTAGAAGGAGGGAAGAAGTGCATATCATAAAGACAGGTATAGAAACAATACTTCAGGACAACTAAAGTCCAGAATGAGATGAGAATTGCAAAACTTGCAAACAACTGAAAGAGCCTTTCCTGGTGTTTTCAGAGCAAAAAAAACCTGATCAAGTAGAAAAGAGACACCAAAGCCAGACAAGATGCCGCAAGAAAAGAACTACAGAGCAATACCCTTAATGAATACAGATGCAAAAATCCCCAACAAAACACTAGCAAATTAAACCTAGCAGCACATTAAAAGTATGTTTCATTCCATGACCAACTGGGATCTAACCCAGGAATGCAAGGGTGGTTCTATATAAAGTCAATCAATGTAATACAAAATGAGGGGAAAAAAAAATTCCTGCATTTCAATAGATGTGGAGAAAGCATTTGACAAAATTCAACACTCTTTTGTGGAAAAAAAAATCTCTTAGCAAACTAAGTGCAAAAGAGAATTTCTATAGCATTTATGAAAAATCCATAGTTAACATACTTGATAGTAAAAGACTAAAATATTTTTCTCTAAGATCAGGAACAAGACAAGAATGTTCATTTTTACCACTACTCCTCAATATTTTACTGAAAGTTCTAGCCAGGGCAATTAGGTTGGAGAAGAAATAAAAACCATCCAAATTGGAAAGGAAGAAGTAAAACTATCTATTTTTAGATGACATGATTCTATAAATAGAAAATCTCAAAGAATTCACAAAATAACTACTAGAGGTAATAAATGAATTCAGCAAAGTTGCAGGATACAAGAATAACACATAAAAATCAGTTGTGTTTCTGTATACCAGCAATGAACAATCCAAAAAGGAAATTATGAAAAGAATTCCATTTGCAATAACATCCAAAAGAATAAAACACCTAGAAATGGGAGGTAAAATTCTTCATAAAAACTATAAAGCATTGCCAAAAGAATTAAAGACCTAATTAAATAGAAAGACATTTCATGTTCATGAACTGGAGGACTTAGTATTGTTAAAATGGCAGTATTCCCCAAAGAAATCTACAGGTTCAATGCAATCCCTACCAAAATTCCAATGGCCTTTTCACAGATATGGAAAAGCCAAACTTCAAATGCATGTAAAATTCCAAGGGGCCCTGAATAGCCAAAAGAATATTTTAAAAGAAAAATAAAGTTGGACAACTCACACTGCGCAATATCAAAACTTACTACAGAGCTACGGTAATCAAAATAGTGTGGTACTGGCATAATGATAGACATACAGACCAATGAAATATAATTGAGAATCCAGAAATAAACCTAAATAT
Source organism: Homo sapiens (assembly GCF_000001405.40). Classification (NCBI taxonomy): domain Eukaryota; kingdom Metazoa; phylum Chordata; class Mammalia; order Primates; family Hominidae; genus Homo; species Homo sapiens. The sequence continues at coordinate 7,750,650 of NC_000009.12, forward strand.
CTGTAGTCAATGATGCCAACAACATTCAACAGGGAGAGAGTAGTCTCTTCAACAAAAGGTGTTGGGACAACTGGAAAGGCACATGCCAAAGAATGAATTTAGACTCTTCCTCACTCCATTACAAAAACTAACCCAAATAGGATAAATGGCTTAAATATAAGAGTGAAAACAATAAAGCTACTAGAAAAAAACATACAAGTAAATCTTCATGACCTTGGATATGACAATGGATTCTTAGATTTGGCACCAAAAACACAAACAACACACAACAAAGAAGAGAAATAGATACACTAGACTTTATAAAAGTTAAAACCTTTTGTGCATCAAAGGACATTATCAAAAACATGAAAACCTACAGGACAGGAGAAAATATTAGCAAATCATATATGTAAGAAGGGCTTAATACCCAAATATAAATGAAATCTACAGCTCTCAACAACAAAAGATGAACAACCCAATTTAAAAAGTGGACAAAGGATCTGAAGAGACTTTTCTCTAAAGAAGATATACAAATGGTCAATGACCATATGAAAAAATGTCCAACATCATTGATAATTAAGGAAGTGAAAATCAAAACCACAAAGTTTGAGATCAGTCTGGGCAACATGGTGAAACCCCATCCCTACAAAAAATACAAAAAGTAGCCAGGTATGGTGGCCTGTGCCTATAGTCCCAGCTTTTTGGGAGACTGGGGTGGGAGGATCACTTGAGCCCTGAAGGTTGAGGCTGCAGTGAGCCATGATTAAGCCACTGAGTTTCAGCCTGGGTGACAGAGTGAGACTCTGTCTCAAAAACACAGAAAAGAAAAATAAATCCCTTAAACCACAATGAGATACCACTTTATACCTACTAGAAAGGCTAAAAATAATCATACTATTAATAAATATGTAAATAATTTAAAATAATAAAAACAAAAATGAAAATTAAAATATGTATAATTTTAAAAACAAAAAAGAAAATAATTGTTGGTGTAGATATGGAGGAATAGAAATGTTTTACATTGCTAGCAAGAATGTAAAATCATGCAGCCACTTTGAGAAAAAGTTTGAAGATTCTTCAAAAAGTTAAACATAATAATTACCATATGACCCAGCAACTGCACTCCTACGTATATATGTAAGAGACATGAAAACATATGCCCACACAGCAACTTGTATATGAATGTCTATATTAGCGTTATTCATTAATAGGAAAAAATGGAAACAACTCAGGTGTCCATAAAAGAATGACTGGATAAATAAATAGTGTTATATACATAAAATAGAATATGATTCAGCCATACAAATAGTGAAATATTAAAACATTACATTGTAAACCATAAATATATACAATTTGTCATTTGTCAATTTAAAAATAAAGTAACTTTTAAAAATGATATATTGACATATGGCACAACTTGGATGAACTTTCCTGTTTGCCCCGAGAATACTCGCAGAAGGCACTTGCAGCCACAGCGTTTACCCCAAGATAACTTTGCCATGAACTATCCTGCTTTTGTTATTATTTTTGCATTGCTCTAGTATATTGACTTTGGAAACAAAAGACATCATCCTACTTATAGCATTCTGTTTTTAGTAGTGGTATTCCCATTTACAAAATATAGTAGTACTTTGATGGCTGAAAATGTCAAATCCTAGAAAATGTTGCATTCCTATGGATGAAGTTAACATCATTTTCCAACAGTTAGCCAAAGATTCATTTGATAAATCCAATTTTTCAGAAATAGACGATTCTGATGATTCAGACAATTCTGATGTTATTTTTGTTTAGAAATAACTCCAAGAACAGTTTTTATGTTTTATTTTCGCGTTGAAAATCAGTCAGATTTGCTTCAGCCTCAAAGAGCATGTTTGTGTAAAATTGAATGAGCACTCACAGCGAGCTTCACTTTTTTTTTCTAAATGGGAAAAGGGTTAGAGACATTATGCTAAATGAAAAAGGCCAGACACAAATGATCGTATATTGTGTAATTCCTTTCATATGATATATCCAGAATAGTCAAATGCATGCAAACAGAAAGCAGATTAGAGGTTGCCAGGAGATAGGGGGAGGAGGGAGCAGGGAGGGATTACTGAATGGGTATGGGGCATTCTTCTGGGGTAATGAAAACTTTTTTCCTTTTTTTGAGACAGGATCTTGCTCTGACATCTAGGCTGAGTGCAGTGATATGAGCATGGCTCACTGCAGCCTTGACCTCCCAGGATCAAGCAATCCTCCCACCTCAGCCTCTAGAGTAGTTGGGACTAAAGGCATGCACTATCATGCCCGTCTATTTCTTTATTTTTTGTAGAGCTGGGATCTCACTATGTTGCTCAACGTGGTCTCAAGCTCCTGGACAGAAGCAGATCCTCCTGCCTTGGCCTCCCAAAGTGTTGGGATTACAGGCGTGAGCCACCACGCCTGGTCATGAAAAGATTTTGAAACTAGAGAGTGGTGGTGCTGCACACTATTGTGAATGTATAAATGCCACTGAATCATACGCTTAATTCAGTGTATTAAATTGTTAATCATATGTCATGTGAATTCACCTCAATTTAAAAGAAAGAAGAAAATAAAAAAGGAGGAGATTTTGGGAGGGAGGGAGAGACAAGACCCCTGCCTGGCTGCAAATAATGTTGAGTTAACAAGGAGTGAAGAGCTGCCAGGCCTCTTCAATTGTAAAGCATAAACCAGACTTTTTTTTTAAGAGAGAATTGGAGACCAATTATAAGACATTGCCTAGTTTCTTGAATTTAGTTCAAGTTGTCAAATGCAGGTGAATTACCTCTGTAGGGAGTAAAGGAATTGTCTAATGTGATTGTGGGACCACTGTTTGTCATCTTTGAGAAATCACAGACAATGAGAAAGGTGGTAGGGCAGTGGATATGGACAATAGAAAATTTTTTCACAGAGGGGAAAACACTTTCTGAATTAGGGGAATGCTATAGAAATGAGGAAGCTAAATTTATCAAGGCATCAAAGATTTTCTTGCTAACAAAATGGAAAATGTGCACTCTAATAATAGTAGGTTTAGCTAGTTTAATTGCTGGCTAAATAATTGCTAGTTTAATTGCTTGTTGAATATCCAAGGAGTATTGATTAATGGATGGACACCAATCTGGAAGGAGACCTTGATAATTACATTCTAGGGCCTTATTCTATTGCCTATACCAACTCAACTTACTACTTAAACTTAGGTTCACAGTGTACAGAATCATAGTAAGAGATCTCGTGGCAAGAATAAAAGTAAAGTTTTTGGTTAGTTTATAAAAAACTATCAATGCAATTACAAATAAAAATGATTTAACTTGATAACTTTTCTTGTGAGAAACTTGATCAACAAAGTAAATGCAAGATGCTTTTATTCCTCAATATTGAGTGTCTGCTATTTTTTAGGCACTCTGCTAGCTACTGAACTCATAAGATATGGTCCCTCCAGGAGCCTATAGTTAAGTAAGAAAGCATAACTCAGAGCAGACTAGCTGTTGTAAAACCATCCTAGATATTTTAGCCGTTAGTTTCTTGCTCAAGTCCCAGTATAACATACGTCAGCAGTAAGGGACACTCTCTCAATCAGGCTTTTAAGGACCAAGACTTTGTTTTTATGGCTTCACCATCCTTAGAACCTTGGAGCCCTTCACTCTCTCCACATCTGGTCAGCAGACAAAGGAAGAGAGAGAATGTGGAAGATGCCACCATCTCCTGCTTGTCCCATCTCATCAACATATGATCTTATCTAACTGAAAAAGCCTGGGAGGTATAGTCCCCCACTGTGCCCAGGAGGAAGAAGGAAAATATGTTTGAGTAGCAACTAGCTCATTTCTAACCCAACAGGAAGAACAGAAACATAAAAAGACACTTACAGAACGACATAGTAAATATTAGGTTAGTGCAAAAGTAATTGCGGTTTTGTCATTAAAAGTAATTTAAAAGTAATTTGCCATTAAAAGTAATGGCAAAACTGCAATTACTTTTGCACCAACATAATACCATCAGTATTACAAAGATACAGGAGGTGCTAAAACACCAAAAAGGATTATATTGAAGGAGCCTGGATTGGAGAGGTCAACGATTTTCAAAGAAGGTGATACCTGAGCCAAGTCTATGAGAAGGATTTAGTACAGGGGTTAATCTGACAAACAGGAGAGGGTTTTGAAAGAGAGACAAACCCAGAAAATGCAAATGAAAGAATTTGGAGGGACTCTGAGCTTAAGGGAGAGCACTTGCGGTCTGCCAGGGGATGGGGCGTGGCTGTCCTGGCATTCATGTTAATCTCTGGCATTTGAGACAAATGACTTGGCTTGATTAGGAAGAGAGTATCTTATTTTGTTCCACCGTCTAGTTCGCAGAACTCCTTTATAGGGGCAGCCATCAGAAAATGGCCCATTTTTGTACTGTGCCTTACCTTGTAAAGCACCATATAACCTCTTCCAAAGCATATCTTCGTGGGCCTCAGTAGAACTGTTCCACCAGCCAAAGCTGTGAAGACAACTTGATACAAACTGGACATTATGTTCTATTTACGTTAGTGGGTTTCCACTGCCTTCCCTAAGAAGCAAGCCATGGAGATGTGATTTACATCTCAATTGTAACAGCTATCTTATCTGTGAGAAAAACGCATCTGAAAGAGGGAGATTCTGCACTATCTTGGATCCAAGATTTCCATTTTCAGAAAACTTGAAACAAATGACCGAAACGGAGATGTGGCTGCCCCCAAGCCAGGGAGAGCAAGCAAGGGCCAGCAGGAGCTCTTCCCAGCTAGCTATAGTGGCCTAAGCAGCTCTGTTTCAGGCATAGGGGTCTTAGTGGAAAGCACAAACCCCAAAGCAATTTCATTATCTTCAAACTCTTAGACAAGGGGAGACCAACATGAGCAGGTTTGGGCTGTTCTCATGCTGGGGTGGTCTTTCCGGCAGCCAGCACCACAGGAACAAGTTTCCCTAGCCCTTGGTTCTGGGGTCCTTCCTTGGTTTTCTGCCCTTGGTCACTAGGCTAGCTGCAAAATATAAAGATGCTCTAAAGAACCAAGAGAAGCTAGCCAGCTTCAAGGGGATGTTTAGGCCCTAATTTCAGCATCCCACTGGTTCCCAAATGGAAAACAAGGATCCTAGCTTCCAAAGTGAGCTCAAACCTTTCATGTCTCAAAAACTGGAATGATGATACTCAGCTGCGTGTCAAAATAAAACATAAATAGTATTTTATTTTTACATAGCAGGGACTATAAAACTAGATGCTTAAAGCACAAACCAAACATCACACACAGAAATCATCAAGATTCAGGTTCCAGCTTTGTTCTTTTGCCCTAACAAGGGAGGCACAGTGCAGTGAAAATTGTAAACATTTTGATGTCAAAGTGATCTGTGTTCAAGTCCAGGTCTTTTAAGATGTGTGACATTGGGCCAGTGACTCAATTTCCCCCAATTTTGATTTCCCTATCTATAAAATGAAATGAGTATTCTTACTTCATTGTGAGAATTAACTTAGAACACTGCTGTAGCATGTCTAGTTCAGGAATGGTATATAGTAAGTGCTCAATAAATATTATTCTATTCTTTTGCTTTCCCTGTAAACCTTTGGCTTTCTTCTATGCTTCAATTGTGGGAAACCCCCAAGCCTTTGTCTTGCTGGCATCTCAGACTCAGTAGGTCTCAAGATGAGTCATTTCCTTTACCTCTAAACCAGCTCTCTGTTGCTCTGTTTCAACTTCCATTTTAAACAGCACCACCATTTTTTCAATTAATAGACTCACCCCTATACTAGTCACCAGACCTCATCAGTCACCAAGTTTTATTGGTTTCCTTCTCTGATGTCTGAAATAGCCTCATTACACCTTGCAAATCCATACTTTTAAAGTTATGGAAGCATCACAAATGTCAAAGCAGCCATTGAGGAATTTAGAGTAGATGTCTACTTGGTGAAAGCAGGCTTTAAAGATTTATTTTAAGCCCACTGTTGCTAGAGGTGAGGCTCAGAACTGCTACAGAACTGAGGGTCAGGACAGGAAGACAGTGGAGTGTAGGGATTCCCATAGAAACGAAGCCAGATAAATGGAACTTACATCAGAAGGAAATTTTCTTGTTTACTGAAAGCTGAGGGCTTCAGACTTTGATCAATCCAATGATTCTTAGACATACTTTACCAAAGTTGAACCCACACTTTGCTTTGAGCCTTTTGCTTACTGGATTAAGGATTATTAATTTTTTTCCACCTTTTATCCCATTTAATATTTGAGAATGCTGAAGCCCAACAAGGCAAAATGATTTGTCCAAAGTTTTCCAGCAGGTTAGCCAAAAATGTGTTAGTTGCTCTATTTCTTCTCCTCTCAGAGCTTAGCTCTGTGCAAGCCAATCTGAAATAAATGGAACATCTTTGACTCCATTATCTTCTGAATATAAATGCTGACGTATGAATGTTGATGCCCAGATTTGGATTAATTGTGGCTCCTACCTGATCATTGCAGGGCCTTGGCTGTCAGCACCCAGAATACTCTACTGGTTATTTCTGAGAGAACTAAGGAGAAAGAAGCAGCTCACACACGTGCAAGGACAAGTTCACTCATGCTTGCATTAGACCTGACCAAACTACTTGCTGGGCATCTGGGAGAATTGTGGCCTGTCTACCAGTGCTGTGTGCTGCATGCACTCCTGCTGTTTCACTGGGCCCAGACCTTCTCCTCTGGAAGACTTGCTGAGTCCTCGGGGTGTCATGACTGCTTTGAGACCTAGGCTAAGTATGGGTGGTGGTAAGAAAGTCCTTTTTTCCTTAACTCAATTTCACACTTGCTTACTTAGGGCCTGAACCAGTTTTGCTTATGCCCAAGGTCTTACACATCTTCCAAACACTCTTCCAGGTTCTGGCCACACTTCTTCCTCCCTTCATCTTAACTGAAACAAATAAGCAATTAATCAAATAAATTTCTGTCCCCCAGGAAGAAGAGATACCATACCTCTCCTCCACTGGCATCATCTCTCCTCTAGTGCTCTTTGAAAAAAACAAACCAACAAAGCTTTTTTCCTTTTTCCAAATAAATACTTGGGCAAAGAGGTATCCCCAACTCCCACTTGGGACATGTCTATGATTCTAAGCTCCAACTTAGCCAGAATTCCTTATTATTTTGCAAAACTTCTGTGCGATGACAACCATGTGTATTAGTGGGTTCGTATTTGTCATGTTTCTGATGCTGAGACCAGTCGCTGGCTTATGCATAGTAGAGACTCAGTAAAGACATACCTTTTAGGAGAGGTCTCCTGGTGGCACCAGGCCTTGCAAAAGAATGCTATGATCTTTGCCAGTTTGATTCCACAGGGACCAGTCATGTAGACAACAGCAAAACCACGAGTCTGAGGCCACAGCCTACACTTTGCCCAACATATCTGTGTTTGGGTAGGGCTATAGGGGTGGGCAGTCATGTATGTAGGATACATATTCTTGAGACTCATTTTGGGTATGGGTTCCTCCAGGAAGCCTGCCCTGATTCCCAGTATGAGTTACGTGCACTCCGTAGCATTCCCATTGAACACTTCACTTGTCTCCATCATAGTATTTTCCATTCTGTGCTATGATTATTATTTAATTATCCATAATTCTCCACTGGGCTATGAAGTGGCCTATTTTATTTGCTTTTGTAAACCTAGAAGCTGATATGAGACCTGGAACTTGAGGAGTTGGATGGCTTTTTATTGCTATGCAAAAACATAAATAAAGAAAATTAAAGCTCTCAACATGGATTATACATCCCCCACCTCTTACCCCTGTCTGCTTCTCCAGCTTTATCTTCCTCTTTGCTCATTTCTCAAAGCTCAAGTACATTGGCTTCTTTCAGATCCTTAAATATGCTATGTTCCCTCCTGCTAAAGGAAGTTTTCCTACTTTGGCCCTCATAATCTAAGCTCTCAGTTCATATTCCACTTTCTTAAGAAAGGCTTCTCTGCTTCTGCCTTACTCTAATGCATGCAACACCCATCACCTCCTACCTCACTCTTTCCATTCCAGGTCCAGATTAGGTTCCTTTGTTATGAGAGCTCACAGAATCATGTTCTGTGTCTTCCAAGCACTCACCTTGTAACTACACTCATGGCTGTGCTTTGTGATGAATCTTCCTGCCCACACCTCTTATTACATTTTGATTCCCCAAGAAAAGGGAATTGTATAGTATATTCCAAATGATCAGCACAGTGCCTGACATACAAACTGTGACAAATTAATATTGTAGAATAAATAAAATGTTTGCTGCATGGGTAAATGAATGAATTAATGAATTCAGATAAATTATGCCAGGCCACTGAAGGCAGAGAGAAGACTGTTAGAGCTCAAAATACCTCAGTTTTTATTGTATTATTTTGTTAAATTTAGATAAGTGGCCTTTTTATGAGCTCCAATAGCAAATTTGCTTAACGATTTCAGGTGCACCATGAAAATATTTATGAAATGTATTTTCCAGGATGAGAAAATAAAACTAGGGTTAATTTTTAAATTAATAACATGACTAAGGCAAAACCCTAATACAGTTGCTATATACTTATACATGTATTTAACCAGTATGCAGGTAGAATTAGTGATGTATTCATGATTTTCAAATGCTTCCTACTGGCATATGCGGATAATCTGAAAGAACATTTAATAGGATATACTTAAACTACTAAGATACTTAAAATAATTACACTTTTAGAAGAAAGCCACAGAGATATTTGAGGAGCCAGTTCAAAGGACTTACAACTTGGTGATTATATTGGCAGAGCTAATGTTTTATAATTAAAGCAGAATACAGTCATGCCTCATATCCATGGGGGATTGATTGGTTCTAGGACCCCCTTGGATACCAAAATCCATGGATGCTCAAGTCTCTGATATTAAATGGTGTAGTATTTGCACTTAACTTACTCACATCCTCCTGGATACTTTAAGTCATCTCTAGAATACTGTAATTTAACCTAATACAATGTAAATGCTCTATGTATAGTTGTTATACTGTATTGTTTAGGTAGTAATAAAATCTGTACATATTCAGTACAGACACAATCATTTATTATTTTTTCCCAAATATTTTTGATGTGAGTTTGTTTGAATCCAAACAATGCAGAACCACAGATACAGAGGGCCGACTGTACTTGTATTTAACACAACAAAGGTATTTATTATCTGGGGGAAGCTCATAATTTGTCAAGAAGGACATAGACTTTAGTGTCATCCAAACCCAGATTTGCATCCTGATTTCACTGCTCTCCAGCTGCGTAAAGTTGGGTAAGACAGCCATATTGGCTTTCTTTCTTTTCCTTGAAATTCACAAGTCCCTCTTGCTTCAAGGATTTTGCCTTTGGCTGGGTCTTTCTCATCCTTCAGATTTCAGATCATATTTTTTTTCTCTGAGAAAAGGCTGTTTTCAGTTCCTTGGGCAGCTGATTCTGACATGCTGATGTGTTTGCAGAAAGTTGATTGGGAAATGCCCTTGGGAATAATACTTGTGAAAGAGTAAGGGAAGTAGGATTGGGCAGAGAGAGAAGTTGAGCTTTGATGTACTCACAACAGAGGCCTCAGCCAATCTCACAGGGAGCTCAGGAGTGGGATAGGCTTTCAGAATTGTCCTGTATTTGGCATCCAGTGTCCTATCAACCAGGCATCAGATGCAAGCTGCCCCCTGGGAATGGGGAGTCACGGGAGTGAAGTAGCTTCCTTCAGCCAAGGACAATTCCCAGAGTGATTCAGCTGTGAGCCCATGGAAGCCAACATTGCAGCAGCTGGGACCTCAAGTCCTGAAGGGGATCAGGGTGATGCAGCACAGCATCTGCTAGAGGCCAGGCGGGATAGACACCTTTGTACACTGCATTCTATCACATCCCTCTGTTTATTTCTATTTTATCATACCATGTGTTTTAAAATTAATTGATCCATTTGTTCATTGCCTGCCTTCTCTACTCAAGAAGTAGAGTTATCTCTTGAGGGCAAATACATTACCTATCAGAGAACAATGTGTACTTAGTAAGTACTGATTGAATAAATGAAGGGTGAATGAATGAGTTAGGTCTCTAATATGAACTCTACATCACTTGCCATCAAAATTAGGATGTCCAAAGCTTACTGTACAGAGTAAGGGGTCATTTTACAAAGTAGCTACATCTGTAGTATGTGGAAGGAATAAATGAACACTAGAATCCAGTTCTCATTCTGAAAGTAGAAATAGAATATGGTCTCAAATTGTAATATCAGATCCATTATAATTTCCAAGTAAGTTTTCCAAAGGAAAAAAAGTTAAATGTTTTATTCTAATTAGTAAAGTAACAGATGTGTTATTGTGGAAAATGTGGGCAATACAAAAGCTATAAATAAGAAGATAAAATTTATCCATTACCAAAACACAGAGAATGACGACCACTGTTAGTATATTATGATATGTTAATTCTCAACTTTTTTCCCATTTCTATTTTCTAAATAATTGAATCATACTGCTTCTATAGGGTGTTTTTTTCCTTCAGAATCATATAAAGTTTTTGAGGTCATCAAAATCCTTTAGGAATATCATTTTTAAAGGACTACTTTTTAGTTCTTTAAAATTAAATTCAGTTGCAACATTATTATTTAAGCCTACTACCATGATAATTATATTGTTTCCATTTTTTGTGATTACAATTTCAAGTAAGTCTTTCTTATAATCAGATTTATTAATGATTATTCTTTTAAACGCTCAGATGATCTAATTTGTTAATCATATGCCTCATTTGTCAGTTAGATCAAATCACTCCCTTTCATTAAAGTCTTTTATCAGAAATAATACAGTAGAAAAAAATCGCTAAGCTAAAAGTAAGGCATTCTGGGTTAGAATCCAGGTTGCCAACTTACTAGATGTAGTCTTGGGAAAGTAATGTGCTATTCTACCTGGGGCCTCAGTTTCTTTGATTGTAAAATGGAATGATTGAACTAGATAATCTTTGAAAACGCTTTTCACTGTGGTATCCTACGCTATTATGACTGCTTCTTACTTTCTCCCAGAAACAAGCTTCATGGGCTCAATTTCAGGCCTCTTTGACATTCTGAGTTAACTACAAATCTTCTCTGATTTCCTGTATTTCTGATTTAATTTCTGACCCTTTATCCAATTTTGGCTGGTCCTTAATCTTCTTATCTAGGTCTTACTATTGTTCCTTCTTTCACTGCTATCCATTAAACTGAAATGAACCCTCTCTTCTTGATCTTTTACCCACTCAGTACCTAATTCTTCTTTAATCTTTTCTCAACATTTAATGTTATTTTTTTCTGCAAAACTGTTTGATGTTCAGTGCTCACAAAGATTGTTCAACTTTCTGCTTTCTCTTTTTCTGCAAAAATAAATGCAAACAAAAAGTTGGGTAAAAGAATGAAGGGAAGTAAAGTTAAACCAAGTAACATGATATAGCACACATCTGGCGTTTTTAATACATTTTGTCTGTAACAGACTCTATGTGGTATGGGGATTGGGAGTGAGGGTGTGGGAAGGGGCAGGATATGCTGAGGACAGCCTGAAAGGCCAAAGAGTATTTCAGTCAGTGAGGAAGGTTAATTGAGGCCCATGCATCACATTACTCTTAATCTTCTAATAAAAATGATGATAGTAGTCGGTAATTGGTAACATTTTAAATTGCTTTTTATGTGGCAGGTGTTATACTAAGTGCATGAACATACAATGTCTTCCTAAATCCTCAGAAACCCCTGTGAGGTGGAAATTATTATTACCTCCAATTGGTAGATGGGGAAACTGGTATTAAAATCATTTTACTATATTATAACAAATTTACAGTAAATATATAAAATCCTAGGAGTGTAGTTAGCATAATGGCAGATTTGGGTTATACTGTGTATCAGAATGTTTTATGTTTCAAGTCGTCTCAACTAGGATTTATGCAAAATCAGAGCCTGAGGAAAGGATTTAGCAAGATGATTCCAGGAATCGGAAGTGAGGAAAGTGAGAGAGAGAAAGAGGGAGAGCAAAATAAGGGTCATGGAGACCACCACTGCAGGCATCTCCAGAGAGTAGTCTGTCTCTGTCTCTCAAGATCAAATCCCCTGGAAGTGCAAAGACTGGCATTCATTCTTTAGTTACATACTATCTTTTCTGAAAATGGGTTTTCAGAAAATAAAAATTTGGGGATGTTGATAGGCAAGATAAGGGCTCACTTCCTTTTTTTATGCTCCACTATACTTGCTTCAAAGACGTTGCATTTTTTACACATTGAAGGTTTGTGGTAACTCTATGCCTAACAAATCTATAGGACCCATTTTTTTCAATAGCATCTGCTAACCTCATGTCTCTTGCTCACGTTTTGGCCATTCGTACAATATTTCAAACTTTTCCATTATTACTGTAATGATTCTGCTGATCTGTGATCAGTGATCTTTGTGGTTACTACTGTAATTGTTTCAAGGAAGCATGAATTGTGCCCATACAAGACGCTGAATGTAATCAATCAAGGTTGTGTGTATTTTGACTGCTCCACTGACCTGCCATTACCCTGTGTCTCTCCGTTTCTTCAGACCTTCCTATCCCCTGAAACACAACAATAATGAAGTTAGGCCAATTAATAACCTACAAACGTCAGGCACAGTGACTCATACCTGTAATCCCAGCACTTTGGGAGGCCGAGGCAGGCAGATCACGAGGTCAGGAGTTTGAGACCAGCCTGGCCAACATGGTGAAACCCCGTCTCTACTAAAAATACAAAAATTAGACAGGTATGGTGGTGCCTTCCTGTAATCCCAGCTACTCAGGAGGCTGAGGCACGAAAATCGCTTGAACCCGGGAGGTGGAGGTTGCAGTGAGCTGAGATTGCGCCACTGCACTCCAGCCTGGGCGACAGAATGAGACTGTCTCAACAACAACAACAACAACAACAATAAGCTACAATGGCCTCTAAGTGTTCAAGTGAAAAAGTAAGAGTCTTACATTCTCTCACTTTAAATCAAGAGCTAGAAATGACTAATAAGGAAGGCACGTTAAAAGCTGAGTTAGGCTTTTATGCCAGAGTTAGCCAAATTTTGAATAAAAAGGAAAAGTTATTTAAGGAAATTAAAAGTGCAACTCCAGTAAACACATGTACAATAAGAAAGCAAAACAGCCTTACTGCTGATGTGGAGAAAATCTAAGTGGTCTGGACAGATGATTAAACCAGCCACAACAAAACCTAATCCAGAGCAAGGCCCTAAGTCTCATCAACTCTATGAAGGCTAAGAGAAGTCAGCTACAGAATGAAGTTTGAAGCCAGCAAAGGTGGGTTCATAAGATTTAAAGAATGAAACCATCTCCATAATGTAAAATGCAAGGTGAAGCAGCAAGTACTGATGTAGAAGCTGTAAGTTTTCCAGAAGATCTAGCCAAGATCATTAATGATGGTGGCTACACTAAACAACACATTTTCATTACAAACAAAACAGCCTTCTGGAAGAAGATGCCATCTAGGACTTTCATAGCTAGAAAAGAGAAGTTGATACCCGGCTTTAAGATGTCAAGGGACAGGCTGACTCTTGTTAAGGGCTAATGTAGCTGGTGACTTTTTTAATTGTGAAAGGAAAATAAAATCTTGAGACCCCAATTCATTATGCCAAAAGGAAAAATTAAGCTGAAAGCTGAGCCGTGCAAGTAACTGCCTTTCCTTTTGTTCCTAAGCAGGTAGGCAAAGGTAAAAGGCCAGATATTGCCACAGGTAGCTACTCTGTGTTCACTTACATAATTTACTATTCTGCCTACCTGAATCCTTACAAGATATGGATTCAGTAATGCAACTGTACTGTACCTCTTTCCCTTCCAGCCTGCTTTCCCCCTTTAAATATTGAAGCCCTCAAAATCATCTTTGGAAAAGGCATGGACCATAGATTGTTCCTGTGGTTCTGTGTTCTTTTTTCCTGGGCATGTCCTTATCCATGGAAAAATAAACTTCTAAATTGATCGAGACCTGTCTCAGATACTTTTCAGTTTACATGTTGAAGCTAATGTTCATTTACAATTCTGAAAATTCTGGGACCCTTAAGAATTATGCTAAAGTTGAGTCTGAATTTGGGCAGCTCATCACCTTCCTGCATCATTTGTGCCTCTTCTATAAGGTAAGAAACTTTTCCAGGCTGAGGATCTGAGCTCCTACCAGCCCCTAGTTCTCAGAGTTCTTAGATCACTGTGGGTCTCATCTCCCTCTTTTCTAACTCTGATCCAGTCGCTGCATGTGCTTTTTAAATGGAATAACAATGCCTGGATGACAGCACATCTGTTTACAGCATGGTTTACTAAATATTTTTAGCCTACTGTTGAGACCTACTGCTCAGGAAGAAGGATTCCTCTCAAAATATTCTTTCTCATAGACAGTATACCTGGTCACCCAGGAACTCTGATGAAGATGGACAAGGAAATTTACGTGGCTTATTTTTTAATGTCTGCTAACACAACATCCATTCTGTAGCCCACAGATCAAAGAGTAATTTCAACTCTCAAGTTTTATAATTATAAAAATGCATTGCATAAGGCTATAGCTGTCATAGACAGTGACCCCTCTGGTGGACCTGGGCAAAGTAAATTGAAAACCTTCTGGAAAGGATTCACCATTCTAGATGCCAGAGAGAACATTTTTGATTCATGGGAGGAGGAGGTCAAAATATCAACATTAACAGAAGTTTGAAAGAAGTTGATTCTGACCCTCATGAATGACTTGAGGGGTACAAGGCTTTAGTGGAGGAAGACACTGCAGATGTGGTGGAAATAGCAAGAGAACTAGAATTAGAAGTTGAGCCTAAAGATTGGACTGAATTGCTGCAATCTCATGATAAAACTTGAACAGAGGGCCAGGCATGGTGGCTTATGCCTGTAATCCCAGCACTTTGGGAGGCCAAGGCGGGTGGATAACAAGGTCAGGAGTTTGAGACCAGCCTGGCCAATATGGCGGAACCCCATCTCTACTAAAAATGCAAGACTTAGCCAGGTGTAGTGGTATGCGCCTGTAATCCCAGCTACTGAGGAGGCTGAAGCAGGAGAATTGCTTGAACCCAGAAGGCTGAGGTTGCAGTGAGCTGAGATCATGCCACTGCACTCCAGCCTGGGTGACAGAGCAAGACTCTATCTCAAAAATAAACAAACAAACAAAAAAACTTGAACAGAGAAGGAATTGTGGATGGAATGGATGAGGAAAGAAAGTGGGTTCTCAAGGTGAAATTTACTTGTGATGAAGATGCTGTGAATATTTTTGAAATTATCACAAAGGATCTAGATTATTACAAAAACTTAGTTGATAAAGCAGTGACAGGATTTGAAAGGATTGAGTCCAATTTTGAAAGAAGTTCTGCAGGTAAAATGCTATCAAACAGTATCACATGCTACAGAAAAATCTTTCATGAAAGGAGGAGTCAATCAATGTTGCAAACTTTGTTATTTTCTTATATTAAGAAATTGCCACAGCCACCTCAGCCTTTAGCAACTACCACCCTGATCAGCCAGCAGCTGTCAGCATGGAAGCACGATCCTTCACCAACAAAGAGATTACCACTCACTGAAGGTTCAGATGATCATTAACATTTTCTAGCAATAAGAGTTTTTTAAATTAATATATACACATTTTAGGATAACGCACACTTAATAGACTACAGTATTATGTAAAAATAACTTTAGTACACACAAGGAGACCAAAAAAATCGTATGTCTCACTTTATTGGGCTATTTGCTTTATTACCATGGTCTGGAACTGAACTTGCAGTACCTCCAAGGTATGCCTGTATAACAGAAAAAGTGGCCAAATCAAATATGTTTGGGAAACACTACAAGTAAAATAATAGAGATTAAAAGTATATGCTACTCTCAGAGGTCCTAAACGTTTCTATAGAAGTACGTTTAGCTGTTTTCAAACCACTGTTTAAGTTTTATTTAGACAAACAGGCTAGTATATCTCTTAGGAAACCAGCTTGGAAAACACGTCAGGAAGCTATTACTAACCACCACTGAGAGAACAAGAATTACTCCACCAGTTAGGAGCCAATAGGATGGGTCAAAGGATAGTTTACCATGATTAGATGGGAAGAACTAAGCTGATAGCCCTCAAATCAATGCTGCAGTGAAGATCTGGTGCGTGACGGGACAGAGCAGGGAAGTAGGGTGGGTGGCTTGTGCTGGAGGGTTTCCCTCCATAAGGGCCCTGCCTGGTTCACTGTTAAATCCCCAGGGCCTACATTGTACCAGGCACAGAATGGATGATCCAGCAATGGATTACTGAGGCAAGTTGCTTCCCATCTCTGTGCCCAGAGAACCCAGGAGAGGATCCTGGATTGAGCCAATTGTCCCTCCTTCTGTCTGGGGAAGCTCCTTGCTGGTCTTAACTGGAAAGGTCTCCCATATCACACAGACATAGCTTCAGCCTGGTGGTGTATTCCTGGGAGGGTGGCAGGGAGCTCAGAACTCCAGGACTGGAGGAGAATTAGAAAGGAGGGAGATGAGACCCACAGTGATCTAATAACTCTGAGAACTAGGGGCTGGAGGGAGCTCAAATCCTCAGCCTTGAAAAGTCTCTCTTTTTTTTTTGTTTCTGAAAACTTTTTTTTTTTTTAATATACTTTAAGTTCTAGGGTGCATGTGCACAAAGTGCAGGTTTGTTAAACATGTGCCATGTTGGTATGCTGCACCCATTAACTTGTCATTTACATTAGGTATTTCTCCTAATGCTATCCCTCCCCCCTTCCTCCCACCCCACAACAGGCCCCTGTGTGTGATGTTTCCCACCCTGTGTCCAAGTGTTCTCATTGTTCAATTCCCACCTATGAGTGAGAACATGCTGTTTGTTTTTTTGTCCTTGCGATAGTTTGCTAAGAATGATGGTTTCCAGCTTCATCCATGTCCCTAAAAAGGACATGAACTCATCCCTTTTTATGGCTGCATAGTATTCCATGGTGTATATGTGCCATATTTTCTTAATCCAGTCTATCATTGATGGACATTTGGGTTGGTTCCAAGTCTTTGCTATTGTGAATAGTGCCACAATAAACATACGTGTGCATGTGCCTTTATAGCAGCATGATTTTTAATCCTTTGGGTATATACCCAGTAATGGGATGGCTGGGTCAAATGGTATGTCTAGTTCTAGATCCTTGAGGAATGGCCACACTGTTTTCCACAGTGGTTGAAGTAGTTTACAGTCCCACCAACAGTGTAAAAGTGTTCCTATTTCTCCACATCCTCTCCAGCACCTGTTGTTTCCTGACTTTTTAATGATTTTCATTCTAACTGGTGTGAAATGGTATCTCATTGTGGTTTTGATTTGCATTTATCTGATGGCCATTGATGCTGAGCATTTTTTCATGTTTCTGTTGGCTGCATAAATGTCTTCTTTTGAGAAGTGTTTGTTCATATCCTTTGCCCACTTTTTGATGGGGTTGTTTGATTTTTTCTTGTAAATTTGTTGAAGTTCTTTGTAGATTCTGGATATTAACCCTTTGTCAGATGAGTAGTTCGCAAAATTTTTCTCCCATTCTGTAGGTTGCCTGTTCACTCTGATGGTAGTTTCTTTTGCTGTGCAGAAGCTCTTTAGTTTAATTAGATCCCATTTGTCAATTTTGGCTTTTGTTGCCATTGCTTTTGGTGTTTTAGACATGAAGTCCTTGCCCATGCCTGTGTCCTGAATGATATTGCCTAGATTTTCTTCTAGGGTTTTTATGGTTTTAGGTCTAAGATTTAAGTATTTAATCCGTCTTGAATTAATTTTTGTATGAGGTGTAAGGAAGGGATCCAGTTTCTGATTTCTACATATAGCTAGCCAGGTTTCCCAGCACCATTTATTAGATAGGGAATCCTTTCCCCTTTCTTGTTTTTGTCAGGTTTGTCAAAGATCAGATGGTTGTAGAAGTGTGGTATTATTTCCGAGGGCTCTGTTCTGTTTCATTGGTCTATATCTCTGTTTTGGTACCAGTACCATGCTGTTTTGGTTATGGTAGGCTTGTAGTATAGTTTGAAATCAGGTAGCATGATGCCTCCAGCTTTTTTTTAATATATATATAGAAGAGACACAAAGAATGCAGGTGATGAGCTGCCAAAATTCACAGACTGCACTCTCTGCTTCTAATATTAATTGGAGTCTGGGTGTGGTACTTGAGTTTTAAAAATACCTTTGGATCCCTTGCAATGCCAGATTCTTCAAATAGATAATGAAAAGGGATGGTATAATCAGAGCACTGGACATGAAGCTCAACAAGGAGCTTGAGCAGGCAGGAACTATGAAAGGTACAAGGCACTGAGTGTTGCCCATGTAGGAAGGAGGAAGGGAATGGACAGAGATGTGTTGTATCTTTTGTACCAGGTACTTTCCCTTCACCATCCCATCTGTTCTTCATCACAATGGTAGGAAATGATCATCACTCCCATTTCATAGTTGGGGAGATCTGAGTCCTGAGAAACTAAGTAACCATGGTAGGATACCACACACAGCACCTGGCTAGGTACTGGAACCTAATGCTATCCGAATTAAGCACCTGTCCTCTGTTTTGGATACCCATTGTCTATAGGAGTTAATGCCTGGCATCATTTTCTCTTGGGGAAAGGTCACTTCCACCTCTCCTTCATGTTATCAGACACATGGTGTCTGATCAGACATAAGAACCATGAAATTTGTTGAAAGTTTGGCCTGTTGGGCAGCTGTTTGGGGATCACTGGAGCTAAGAAGTATTTGTAGCAGACAGTGAATCCATGGGAAAGCTTTTTAAATAGTTTGTGGAGCTTTTTCTAAGTCTGGACGGTGTGCACTGATCCACTGCCATTATGGCTCTGTGCTGGATGCCCCATCTGTGAATCTCTTCTTCCTAGGCCAATCATTTGTTAAATACTGCTCCCTGAGAAATCAGCACTTTTCCAAAACCCAGAAAGAAAGAAAGTCTTGAATAAATAAGGGTAAAATATGTCATAATTTTTCAAACTAGCTTCCATATTAAAATTTACCTGATTTATTTTCATTCCTGGATGAAGAGAGGCATGAATGTTTCACAGCTGCTACCCAAATGTTCCAGAAATACCACTCAGGGCCAGAATTCCAGCATCTCCCTGATCAAAATTTGAACAAGTTGGTTGATCAAAAATCCCAAATAAATTTGTGGTTTACTTTTTTCTCAGAGAAACTGGGTTTCAGAGAAAGAGAGATATGATTTCAAATTCCAGGTATGCTTTTGACTAGTTGTGTGACTTTGGGTGAGTTAATTAAATTCTCTGCTTTGTCAAAGCAAGATGGGGATAAAATGGTAATGATCATATTTGCACAACAGTATATTCTTCTGAAGGTGAAATAAGCAATGTGTAACTATTTTTAGCAAATTTCTTTATCACCAACAGGTACTCAAATATTGGCTTTCATTCTATTTTCTCCAATCTCAGCTCACTTATCCTGGTAGAGAATCTAGAAAGTAGATAGCAGACTATAAAAATTACATGTTGTTAAACAGTAACAATCAACAGCTCTAGATCTTTACTGTGCTAGAGTTTTGGCAAAAGAGTTAGCATGTAACTCCTAGATTTGGAATAAACAACTATAGTGAAGTAAAAATCCAACTCAAACACTCAGATCCTGTTTGTTTCTGGGAGAAAATTGTGTCTTATTTTATACCAACTACTGTGCTATTCTCTCCAGAAAATGATTGGTTGAATTAGGTGGCCAGGGAGTAAGAACTGAATAGATCCAGGAAAACAGCTGTGTCTGGTTGGTGGCAGCACGCTTCCAGCTCTTGCTGATTCATTTCTCTGGCAGTTTTTACTTAACAGAACCATCCATAATGCATGGCTGCAGGACTATATAGAAGGCAAATCACCCAAACGGTGAGCATTACAAGCATTGCACATTTCCTTTTCCAATTCTGGGAAACTGCATGAGGAGCTACCTATAATTTTTCTAGCAGGAGCATGAAAGCAAGAGAATTGTAGCTATTCAAACAAACATGGAAAAGTGGGGATGACTGATGTGCGTTTTAGGGACATCTTCACCATCCTTCCAATAAGAATTAGTTATTCATTTAGTCTGCAAACATTGGCTGAACTTCTATGTGTCAGGCACAAGGCTAAGTACTGGGTATTCAGAGGGCAGCTAGAGTCCCATGATTCCTACTCTCACAGAGCTTGCAGCCTAATGAATCTAATAAACACATCACTAAATAAATGAATATGTATTTTCAATTTAACAAAAATGCTGTGAGGATAGAAAACAGTGAGAATGTACTTAGAGGTGCAAGCAAAGTTCTGCCTGTAGAGTTCACATTTGAGCTGAGCCTACAAGATGAGGAGTCAGCTTTATAAAAAAGCTAAGACAAGGACACCCTGTCAAAAGCATGTGCACAGTCTCTGGAAGGTAAAAAGCTTGGCTTGCTCTGGAAACTAAAAGGAAGCCAATGAGACTAAAGCAAAGCAAACAAGGGAAAGTTGCATAAAAGGGAAGTTGGGGGAGAAAATTGGGGGGTGGGTAGGGATGTACAGAACGTAGCTTTTATTCTAAAGTCCAAATGAAACCACCTAGAGGTTTGACTCAGGGGAAAGGCATAATCAGATTTACAACTTAGAATGATCACTCTAGTTGCCTGATGGAGAAAGACCTGTGTAGGGAGGGCAAAAGAAGATCCGCAGCTAATTAGTAGACATTTTAATATTCCAGGCATAGAATGACGGTGGGGGTTGGCAAGGGTGGGAGGGAGGTAGGAACATGATGCCAGCAGTGACATTACTGGTGAAAAGAAGAGTGAGGGATACCCAGTGGAGCTGGAATTGACTTGGGGGGTGTGAGGGTGACTAAGAGAGTTTAAATGGACTGGATGTATGGGATGCCACTTACTGGGATGGGAAATACTGGGGGAGAAGCAGAGGACAATTCAAACTTTCTCTGGGGTCCTTGAGAAACTTTACTTATCTTTATAGAATGAAACACACTACACTTTGCTTTATTGTCTACCTGACTGCCTTCCTTGCCAACTCTTGAGCCCCTTTGGGAAAGAAGCACAGGAATTGACAGCAGGGGCTTTTAAGTCACAGAGAACAGCTGAAATCTATACTCTGTCACTTGCAGAGTTTACTTAACCTTATAGAGCCTAGGTTTCTCATTTTGTAAATAGATTCTGAGAACACCTATCTTAAGGGTCATTGAATTAAACAAAATGTTACAGAACATGTCCAGTGCTAGTATGCAATCAACGTTACAGAACATGTGCAGTGCTAGTATGCAATCAATGAATGTTGGCTGTTTTTATCAGTAGAATCTTCCGTAGTCCTGGTCCATAATAGACAATGGGGAAGAATGTGCAGAATAAATGAATGAATGAATTGAAAGTCACTTAGGTGCTCACTGAACAAATGAGTAAATCAGTCCCAGATTCTAATCCTAAGCCAACTATTAACCAACTAATTACGGTTGGTTTTAACCTTCCCAGATTAAGCATAAGCTGGGTTTCCTCATCTGTAAAATAAGGCAGAGGTGTGTGAAGGATGGGCATAAGTGTGTTAGACCTAGTGGTTTCTTAAGAAGCTTCTAAATGTAAACTTCTAATAGTCATAGGGTTTTTTTTAATACACTTATTCAATAAACTATTAAAGGGTAATTAATAATTCATTAAATTATTTGCTTTTCATTTGATGCTTATAACACTGGACTGGTGGCTTGCTAACACTATTCTTAGTTTATAGGTGAGAAAATTGAGGTTAAATGGCATGTCCATGGTCAGTATTTGAATTCAAGCCTTATACACAAATTATGATCCTTTTTCCACCACTCTCCATGGCTTCTTGGACTAGGTGGTAATCTTCAGATGCAAACAAGAATAATTTATTTCAACAGCCATATTGAAACCAACCACTTATAAATGTTGAGTCATCCTCAGCTTAATATCTATTCTAGAAAAGAATACAAATGGAGTTTCAGAGCTATGAGAACTGCAACAGGCAAGCAACACTTCCAGCATGCACTTACTTAGTTCTTCATATTTCTATTATGCTGTTTAATGGAAACATAATGTAAGCTCATATGTTATTTTAAATTTTTAGTAGTCACATTAAATAATTAAAAAGAAACAGATGAAATTAATTTTAATATTACATTTTACTTAACCCCATATATCCAAAAATAATTTTAATATGAAACCAATGTAAACATTATTTAGATATTTTTACAGTCTTTCTCATTCCAAGTCTTCAAAATCCACTGTGTATTTTACATTTATAGCACATTCCAATTCAGCCTAGCTACAAGTGGCTGTTGGCTACTATGTTGAACAGCACAGAATATACAAGTAGTAAAATCACACAATTTTGTATTTCCCTGAAGATTAATGCTCAGATAAGAGAATGGTGTCATAGTGTTACAGAATGGTTGGGTTGTAAGACGCATCATTTAATGGATTAAAAATATGGCTGTATTTCTTAAAAAGATCAATCCAGTTAGTCAAACTTCGTGTTTTAATTGAGGTAGAATGCATTACACGAAGAACATCTTCATTTAGAAAATATTTAAAACATTAGGAACATAGCACTGTGTATAATAACTCTCAGCATAGGTATCTCCCTGCAAAAAAGATCCATAGACATACTCATATATATATATATATATCTGTATATACATCCGAAAGAATTTCCAGGAAACTGGTCTCAGTGGCTGACTTTGGAAAAGAAGACAGGTCTAACGAATTGGAATGCAGAGTTTTTTTAAATTAAATGTGCTTTTATACTGTTTGAAATTTTTACCAGAATTTTCAACAGAAAAGAGTTATAAGAAGTTACTTTTTCAATATAATAATTATGATATAACAAAACTACATATTTAGCAAAAATAACTATCAAAAAACATAAACATGCATCAGAGAGAAGGAAAATTCCATTGGCTTTTCACTTTTTATTTTTCTCAGTAGGGCCCTTTGATCAGACAGAAAGCTAGAAATTGCAGTGGCATGTTATCCAAGGTTACAATCAACATATAAACCCAAGAAGGGTTCACCATATCACTGTAGCACTGTAGCATAGGAGACAGACACAGTGTGTCTAAAAGTTCCTGTGGATTTGATGGGATTTGCAGCCCTACATCACCCATGGGCTCAGGCTGTCGAGCAACCAGAGAAAATCAATAAAGACGCCTTACTTATACTCAGAATGGCCGAGCATGTTTGATGTGTTCCTGGCCACCTGGCCCGAATCATATTTTGGCAGATTGTGATCATGTCATTCCACTGGCTCTAGATTGATCAAATCCTTTCTTTTTTGGGAGTGACATGGTTTGGTGTAGTGTTTATTTCCCAAAGTGAATCTACTAAACACTGATTCCAGGAGGTACTCTTTTAAAAATTAATAGAAGTTTTTGCTCTCCTTACCTGTTACTGTCTTGGAAAATGAAAAATCAACAACATTATATTCATGACACAGAGAAGTACTATACAGAGTACATCCCCTTTATGTTGTTTAGTACGGTATTTGCCAAGCCTGTGGGATCAAGCAACTTTCAGTTTCTTTGGGACACTCTGAATTGGCATACCTGGGCATACCTTGGGAAACTCCAATGTGATTATAAATGTACCTTGCCCTACCACTTACCATTTATGTGGTCTTGGCCCAGTGACTTAATTTTCTTAAGCCTCCTTTTAAAAATAGGGATAATACATCTATCTCAGAAATGAGGATGAAATTAGTTTAACAAAATTGTCTATGAAGGGCCTCCATGATGGCCAGCACATGAGAGGCACAAAAAAGAAGCTCAGTTGTCATGAATTCTATTCTTTTACACACTCCTGCCCTTCTCTGTTCCTCCTTGTCATTAGGCAAACTCTCACAGATAGGATGTGATCTATAGAAAGGAATAATGCTACTTAGAAATATAACTATTAGAAAATGGGAAGACCTTTTTTCTTTACTATGGCACGCATTCCAGTAAGGCTAAGATATTAAGGGGTGTGGATAAAGCAGAAAATGAAAACGGATGAAAAAATATCAACTACTTATGTACATGTTGCTTTAATTAGGTTTTCAGCACAAATGAATATTTTGTCCTATAGAGAGAAATTCTTTAAAGTAGGTCCAGGAACTATTTGTTGCTGAAGGATGGTGGAGAAGCAAAGAACAATCTTCGATCCCCAGTGTCTCAACTTTGCTTTTCTCTCTCTTATCTAGAAGGGTCCTGCCTGAGTTTTCCTGTGAATGGAAAGTTCTGTTGCTTAAAAAAAACTATTTTGAGAACCCAATATCAAGTAAGAAAGTATTATAAATTTTAGGGTCTGTATATATTCATACATTCATTCAATCATTCAACAAACTCTTTTAGTGTCTACCATACACAATGGTGAGCAAAATAAATTAATCAATTACTTAATCTGCCATAAGAAGTTAGGAGCTAAGAATTAAAGATGTATCAGTCACTGTCTTAGCATTTTTTAAGTTCAGACTGGAAACTGCCCCAAGTCAACTAATGTTTGACAGACATTTAGCAAGATCCTGTTATGCATAAGGTAATAGGTAAAGCAACATCACAGGTAGGTGCTGGAAATGCAACAGTGAATAGCAACTCTGCTCGCAGAAAATCACAAATCAATACTTTGCTTCTTGGTCTCAAGGATGGTGGAGTTTTGACCTCCTCTTATGCTTCCACTTGTAGTGAGGGAGGAAATATCAAGTGGGACTCATCTTCCATATTTCTTATTATCCCCCCTTCCCCAAAAACAACAACAACAAATTCCTTCTATACAGTTTAAGGAAACTCCATGAAGAAAAATAATGGCAATATAATAGTTCTTGGGTGGCTAAATCACAACTCATGGACTGGTTGTAGACCCAGGAGGACTATTCAGTATCAACCTCATTCCTAAGAGTGGAACAATATTTCAAGTGCAAAGCCTTCTTGGAGGGGAAGCTACAAGTTTTTATTTATAATATCTGTACTTTAATGCAGAATTCTTAGAGCAGAGCTTCTTATAATGTGGTTCATGGGTCACCTATATTAGAGCCACCTGGGGAGCTTGTTAAAAATGCAGATTCCTGAGTTTTATCCCAGACCTTCATAATGAGAACCTGCAGACTCTAGAATTCAGAAATTATAATAAGGACCCTAGGTGAGTCTCAGGCACACTAATGCTTCAGAAACAACATTTCAGAAATATTTTAATGGGTAACCAATCTAACTTTGTAATGTATGTATTCATTCATTGTGTTATGAGTAGGCAATATTAATGAACTCCACCTAAAAAAAAAAGAAAAAGAAAACCTCATCAATATACTGTTAACCAGTATATTTAGTTCCATTTCAAACTAAAAGTGCCACCTACTAAAGAGTTTCTCTCTACATCTCTACATACCAGTATTCTATTCTAACCAAAATGAAAGTGACTGCTTGATAACAAACATTCTTGTTTCCCCTTGTTAAAACAGTCCAGGCATTCAATAAAGTTAACAAAACAACAGCTGTGTCTGGACACCCAGCAACCCCACCCTCGAATTCCTCCTGAAGCATCCAGGAAGTCTTTGGGGGTACCTCACATGTGTCCTCATGTGGTTCCTATGTGACCTCTTCTCCCTCAGATTTGCAGTACTATTGTTCTGACACTGTCACTGGTGCATTTGGGGACTTCTACCCCTCTACTACTGATAGAGGCAGCTCTCCAGGATGCTGCAGTTTTCTGCTCTCAACTTCCCAAACCCAGAGCTCAATTTGGTTCCCCTTTCATGCTTCAGGTTCCAACAGTCCACCCTGCAAGCGGGGAATCCTTTCTCTTGCTAGCCTTGTGTTGTCCTCTGCATCTGAGGCTTTCAACAGGTCCGCCTTTTACCCTCCATGTCTTGTGAGAGAGTGAAATGTGGTTCTCATTTGGTCATATCTTCCTGTCCAAAGAAATTGGTTACAAGTCATTCAGGGTAGAGTTGAGGACGTTGGGCAGGAGGCTGATGACACTGCAGTTGATCATTGTTCTTACAAAGGTCCTTCAACCTCCTGTGAAGCTTGTTGACCTCCACATACTCGCTGATAGGCTAAGGGTACTTTTTTTTTTTCTATAGGAGTTTTAAAGGAATGCTTTCATTAGGTTAAAAGTGTCAGGGACATAGGTGCTTTCAGTCTTCCTGCTCTGCCACCTACAGCTTGTTGGCTTGCAATAATGGGGAAGTATTAAAATATTTACTAGTTACCCACAATCTATAGTGTCTGTCTTCTTAATCAGATTTTAACTACCCCTACTTTTCTTGGTAAAAATATAAAAAATACAACTAAGAACTTTCAATAGCTTTTCAGAAGTGTATATGTAACATAAACGGTTGATAATAAAACAACTGAGATTTAAACAGAACATTGATGTTTGCTATCTTCTAGAGTTTGTGAATCTTTTCAGTTCTAGCTAATCAAAACTCTCTTACCTTTCTGTAACAACCCAAGACTTCAATGGTATAAGTAACATGAGCCACAGACCACAGTTCCATTTCAAACTAAAAGTGCCATAGAATTAAAAAAAAGAAAAGAAGGAAGAAGAGAGGGAGGGAGAGGAGGAGGAAAAAGGAACAACTGCAACCAACCATTAAAGTTAATTAGAACAAAGTGTCAGAAACAGAAATTTGAAGATTTCCTTGATGTTTACTTTAAAACCCACCTTCCCCAAAGCTTCCAAGTGCTTTTTTATTTGGTTTTATTTCTAGGACTTGGGCTCACAGCAGCAGATGTGGGAGCAAAAATGAAATCAGAAGGACTTTGGTATTCTGGAGTAAATTGCTCTCCACCGCATTAGTGAGAGGGAATACATTGTAGTTAGGATAAGAGCAGTGTAAATAATTTTAAGTGTGCAGTAGCGCACAGCATCGATTTGAATGACCTGGTAACTTGGCACCATCCCAGGCAATTATTTCCAAGGCAGGATTTATGTTGTGTGTTGTCAAAAAGCAGTCCAAACCTTAGATACAGATATATGTTTAGAAGTTGCTCTTCTCAATTGGAAAAGACCATTGGATTGCTCTGTTATAGAAATCAGAAATCATTTTATCTTTTCCTTTAAATTCAATAACCCTCAGTGGTATTAGGGAATGATTCACCTTTTCCCAGTCATTTAAACAGCCATTTAAATCTTTTTGAAGATGCACATGCAGATTTATTTAAAAAGTATCTGAAAATGATGACAAAAATTTATCATTACAAATATATGAATGATACAACAAAAAATCCTACACTTTTATATTTGAAAGTATCCTTCATATACATCTAAAACTATTGCTGGGCTTTTAATAAAACCGAAGAAGAAATTAAAATATGTTAGGTTTTTTTTTTCCCTCACTCCCACTTCTTTCTGGGGAAGCAGCAAGGCTCAGATTCACATAAAGAACCACATGTTAATGTCATAGCCTCAGATTGTCTGGATAAATGCCAAGGAGCACATCAGAGTTAGTAATGAACCTTCTATTGACAACTCAGTCAGCCTTTTGACTTCACATTTTATGGCTCCCCACTCTGCCTGACATTATATTTTAGGACTATAGTTGGGATGCTGAGCACAATGGTTTGTGCTTGCTTTCTAATCTCAGGTGCTCAGACATGCACTGGTAGATTTTTCTTTTCAGTTCAGAGCAATACATCTCATGAACCTGTGGTTTAAACTTGGCTGTAATTTTGGCAACAGAGCTGCCATTCAAGGGCTGATCTCTTTCATTTGCTGTATATATCTCTCACTTACAGCTTTCCAAAGCAGAGCCAGATACCTGAGCCATCCTCAGGTAGAACTCTGAGCTAATATATAAAATCTAAATTTAGGCCAGGCGCGGTGGCTCACGCCTGTAATCCCAGCACTTTGGGAGGCTGAGGTGGGCAGATCACGAGGTCATGAGATCAAGAATATCCTGGCTAACATGGTGAAACCCCGTCTTTACTAAAAATACAAATATATATATTAGCTGGGCATGGTGGCAGGTGCCTGTAGTCCCAGCTACTCAGGAGGCTGAGGCAGGAGAATGGTGTGAGCCCAGGAGGTGGAGCTTGCAATGAGCAGAGATCGCACCACTGCACTCCAGCCTGTGCAACAGAGTGAGATTCCATCTGAAAAAAAAAAAAAATCTAAATTTATACAGGCATTCCAGGTTATAGTATGGGAAAGAGAATGCCAGGCTCTAATATTTCATCCCCAGCAACGTTTTTTGTCGCTGTTGCCTACCACCCTTTTGGTTTTCCCAAAAACCCATTTTATGAGCAAGTCCCCTCTGAACGCTCCTCCATCTTATTTTGTTAATTTTAATTTGATAAACTGATTTCTCTCTCCCATTTTTCCTCCTTCCTGGGAATGAGACACTCTAAAATCAGGAGAGCAGAAAGAGGAATTTGCTCAAATCACATGAGGAAAGAAGCAGACACTCTAGCTATGCAAAGAAGGGATTTATTTTGACAGCATAAAACTGTTCCATTGTCTTTCCAATCCTCCATTTATAGGATCTTAAGTACTTCTCTCTCCTACACACCCCAAAAGTAACCACTAACTTGTCCCAGAGACTTGAGAAGATGAGGAAGGCCCCAGGGAAAGAAATACAGAAGGGTCAAATAGACAATGGCTATACAAAGAGGGTTTTGAATTCCTAGTGACTCAGAGGGTGGAAGTGGAGGGCAACCCTGAGATATGAGAAGCTACCCAAAAACTCTAACCTCTGGACATTTATTGAATCAAAAGTAAAGAACAATTTGTACATGCTTGGTATTCTATGTGATACCCGACTAAGAATAAGGATGTTTAGAAACACCTCTTGTCCATTAGTAAAGACTAAGACTGGGCTTATTCTAAACTGACTCCAAGCTTCTTCATACTGACAGGTGGCCAGAAAGGGCTTGTAGAAAAAATGAACATCACGAAAGAGGCCTCTCTCTCTCTTTCACTTTTTCTTCCCCTTAAATACAGAGGTCAATTTTTGCATGAAGCTATTTCATTAACTCCATTGATCCTCTCAATAGATGAAGTTCAGATAATTTATGACTTGTCTACACCCATGGAATGTGCTGGGACAGGTAATCAGAATCAGATTTCTCAATTTGATTACAGTACACTGCTTGGGTAGCACCTACAAATTGGGACTTCAGAACAATCTGAGAAGGTCCTTGCCTATATGGCTACATGTATAAAGATCCCTGGACATGGGAAGGGCAGCCTTGAACCTCCAGATCTCACCTAAGTCTTGGTTTGCTCAACTTGGCAAACCCGGGTTCCTTGCACCTGAGGCATTAACTCTACTAATTTATTTTCTTTAGTAATATGAATTTTAGGAAATGAGAAGTTTAATCAGAAGAAAATTTGAGATCATGTCCTCAACAGTTATGATAGTGTTGGTATTTGACTCCAACATCTCATTGCCTCATATGCGACTTTTCTGCCACAGTTGTTTTTCCATGGACAGTAAAGTAGGCTCATAAACCAAAAAATAAAACAAGGAATTATGGGCTTTTAAAGTTAGTGGTAATCTTAGAGATCATCTGGTCGAAACCTTTATTTTACAGAAAAGAAACAGGCCCAGAGCTTGCATGCTTTCATTCATTTACACTTATTCATTGCATTCCTACTGAATACATGACATTGTTGTAGACAGTGGGGATAAAGACGTAAGCAAAATACACAGTTTCTGTCCTTGCGACATTTACATTTAATCGACGAGTGAGGATGGGTGTGTATGTATTTGAGTGGAATGTCAGGTAGTGATAGGTGCTAGGAAAACAGAGTATGGTAAAGAAACAGTAATAGGATTGGAAGTAGGAGCTCTTCTGGATATAATGGCAAACCCTCTAAGGGAGTTTGAGCAGATGCCTGACTTATGTGAGGGACAAGCACCATGACTAAGTCAAGGGAGAAGTTCCAGGCAGAGGAAACAGTAAGTGTGGAGACTGAGTGAGAAGAGGCTATTCCTGTTTGAGAGACAGCAGGACGTGTGGTTGGAACACTGTGAGCAAGAGGGAAAGCATGTGAAATGAGATCAGAGAAGTATCCAGGGTTCAATTATGTAAGTCCTCCAAGGCCAGAATAAAAAACTTGAAATCTATTCTGAACGTGATAGAAAAAGACTGGCCACTGGAAGTTTTTAGGAAAGAGGGTGAGGAGATCCAGTTTACATTTGAACTGATCATTCTGGCTGCTTTGTGGGCTGAAACTGTAGGGGATGCAAGAGAAAAAGCAGAAAGAGCAGTCAGGAGAGGATTATGATAATTCAGGCAAAGGCTGGCGATGGCTTGAAGGAGGCTGATAAGTGGTGACCTGGGGTCAGATGTTAGGAATAGTCTGAAGTTAGAGCTAAGAGGATTTGCTGAGGGGTTAGTTGTGAAGTGTGAGAGAAAGAGAAGAATCAAGGATAATTCCAAGCCTTTTGACCTGAGCACCTGGGAGGATGGAGATGCCTCTTCTTAAGATGGGGCAGGAAGACAAAGCAAATTCTGGAAGTGAAAAAGTAGAAAACCAGAGTTCAGTTTTAGATATGTTAAATTCAAGATACATATTAGGCATCTAAGCAGTGATGTCAAGAGATTGGGTCTAGAAATGTAAATTTGAGAATCATTGTCATTGATTTATTAAAATTATCATTATCATTGGTCAAAGGTGATCCAAGATCCCCCTTGACACACCTGAGACATGAAGCCTGAACTTCTGCTCCTTCTTTTTTCCCTGTATATATGTATATATGTGTGCGTACATTCAAGGAAACAAGTGGAAGCTAAATTCAGTAGGAGAAAATCCTGAATATAAAAACAGACCTAATAGTAATTTGAAAATCAGCAGAATTTTATGAACTATAAAAATAAAAGCCCTGAACCTGGCATGATGTTTCAACTAAAGTACAAATGTACAGAAAGAGAATGTCAGCTAGAGTGTCTTAGCAGGCTTTGACCCTGGGAGAAAGTTGAGTTAGAGAAATGATATCAGTGTCAACTGGCGTCAAGTTCACCTAGGGCTTTACAGAGTAAGTAATATGTCACCAACCTGCACCTGAAATATCTTGTAGCCAACTGAGCCCAGGTGGGATATTCCACTTGACTCCATTTGTTAAGAAAAGGAGCAGCTATGCCCCTCAACAGCTGGGGATCTGGATAGAATCCTAATGGAAGGAGCTATCATATTTCACCTCAAGGGTAAGAGGAAAGGGAAGAGGAGTCAAAGAACAGTCGTGTGAACAATCAAACTGTCTGGAGGAAGAAGGAGCAGACTTGATGTTTTATCTTCTGATTCAAAGGATTCAAAGCTGAAAGTCTCTTGCAAGTTCCAAGAGAGCATGATGTTTATTCGAGGATCAGTACCTCAGTAGTGTTTCTGAAGAGCTAAACTGGTTGCAGAGAAGAAACAATCTCTAATATTTCACAGAAGATCCTGGCTTTGGAATGTCTAACAGCACCATGTGATGTGTAACTCCATTTTCTTTTCTTTTTTTCTTTTTGAGATAGAGTCTTGCTCAACTGCCCAGGCTGGAGTACAGTGGCATGATCTCAGCTCACTGCAACCTCTGTCTCCCAGGCTCAAGCCATTCTCCTGCCTCAACCTCCCAAGTAGCTGGGATTACAGGCACCCACCACCACGCGCGGCTAATTTTTGTATTTTTAGTAGAGACGGGGTTTCACCATGTTTGCCAGGCTGGTCTTGAACTCCTGACCTCAGGTGATCTGCCCACCTCGGCCTCCCAAAGTGCTGGGATTACAGGCATGAGCCACCATGCCTAGCCTGTAATTCCGTTTTCTAAGAGTTGCACTGCATACTTTTGAAAAGGTTCAACTGGATGAGAGAAGTGGGTAACACCAACTGGTAAGGTTTTATGAATTGTTTAAAAGACTTACATATCCAGTTATCCTATTTGATCTTCATTAAAAAGCTGTGAGACGGGCAAGACAGGTAAGATCACCCATTTTCCAGCTGAGGAAGCAGACACTCATAAATGGTGGTGATTGTGTCCAACGCAGGGGCTTCATTCAGAACTTGTGCCAAAGGAAAGTATGTCAGTCCCACAGTCAACTTGGTGAAATAAGTGTCAAGCACAGCAGGAAGCCAGAGCTGCTGTCAATTGCCCTCCTCCCCCTCAGCCATGGATATATTTAAACCCAGCAATAATAAAACAAACTGGCAGCTGGCACTTTTGTAGTGCCAACTCTGGAGCCCCTCAGAAGAAAACTTTTTTTCTAGACAGACTTTTTCTCTTTTTTATTATTCATTTGCTATTTATTTTAAAGTTATATTTCTAAGTGAAACATTTTAAAGTTAGAAAATGGGATGAACTGAGCCAAACTGCAAACAAGAAACATGCCTTGAGCAATGTGCAGGTTTTTAATTTGTTTACATTCTGCCTTCCTGGCATCTGCCTGTGATGCCTGATGTGACCAAAACCACCCAATCGCACAGATACTAGTATACCAGCTCCTCCACACATCCAGATTCTGAGTTCTCAGTCAGCTAGCAAGAGGACTGATGACACATTAAACTATTAAAACAAAGATACTGGTGAGCATTTATTTACTGCCTAGTACATCACAGTCTCTAAATACCCATTCAGTTCCCACAAAATATGGTGGGTAGGGCAATGCACATTTTATAAATTAGGAAGCTGAGGCTCAGAAAACTTAACTTGTTTAGGGACAGTTTCCTGATTCAAACAGCATCACTATTGCCTGAATCACTCTAGGCCCTCTGAACCTCAGGCTTCCAAAAACAGTCAGTGTGTTTCCTTCTGAGGGAGACAAACTGAATTTGTGTTGCTTTAGGAGAGGTCCAAATTTCTGCTTCCTACCCAGAAGATTACAGTAGACACATCTCATTTAATTCTTTGAGAACCAGTATGAAGAGTATCCTGCAAAGGTGCCACGTATCTGAGCTCATATGATGAAATCTGCTGCTTCCTAGGTGACTGCACAGTCCCTGAACCATATGAAACTACCTCCATCTCTTCATCTGTAAAATGGGAACTATGGAAGATGATCCACCTTCTCTCCTGGGTTGCTGTAAAGCCAGGCATATAAATGAGTGAAAGTGCCTTGTTGATTAAAACATTCTCTACAAATGGGATTAGTATAATTTTCATCATCTAAAAGAGAATGCCACCAGAAGTTCTAGCATCCCCTTATTCAGCCACAGTAAAACCTGCTTGAAGACTTTACTTGCCTCTCCCTCTTACGTCTATTAGGTTGGTGCACAAGTAATTGCGGTTTCTGCCATTGAACGTAATGGCAAAACCACAATTACTTTCACACCAATCTAATACGTACAGCAAAAGAAACAAATGGGTTTGTGGAGTGGAAGCCACAGAGAAAGGATCATGTTTTCACTAAATCATGAGGTGGGGCAAATCTGCTAGTGCTGCCAACATGTGCCAATGTGTCTCTCAGCTTGCTCCATCACTAGCAGGTGTTCACAGGCTGGTGAGGATGGAGAGTGAGCTTTCCCCCCAATTTGCCTGTCTTTCACTTGTCAAGGCTTTTGACAGGCATTTTGCAGTTCTCTGTCACACAGTTCTAAGCGTGGCTGCACAGCATGCTGCTTAAAGCAACCCCAAGTCATGGAACTCTGAAAATTCCTCAAGTTTCTGTTTGATGGAATGCCCAAAGTATGAGTGTTAGTAGCCCATCTTGTTGATATGGGTCTGCTTCATTCATCCTCCTGGTAGGTGGGCTATCAACCCACCCCTAGGGATAGGTCAAAAGGTTGTCTCATGGTGATTGGGCTTTGCTGTGTGTTAGATGTCAGATTTGATTTTTGTCCCTGTTTAATAATGAAAATATCCCTTCTTCTTGCTCCCATGTACCCTGTGTAGAATACTTATTTATATCACAATCACCTTTTAGTGTGTCTGTCTCCCAAACTAGGCTATCAACTTCTGGAGCAGGGGCCCTAGAATATTCTTAACACACCTGGCAGAGTGCCTGGTGTTAAAAGGTAAACTTTGACATATTAAGATTTTAAAGAGTTTATTTGAGTAGACAGCAATTGATGAATTAGGCAGTGCCAAATCATTAGTAGTGTAGGCTCTACCTAGGAGGAACAAGAGGCAAATTTTTACTAGGTGTTCAGGGAAGAAAGACAAAGAAAATGTTTGATTGGTTAAAGTGGAAAGTCCCTCGTTAGAGGTTAATTGGCAGTTTCTGATTGGTTAAACTTCAGTTTCATTTTGCTGGGATATGATCGGTCACACTGATTTGAGTTTTCGTTTGCTTACATAGGAACCCAAAGCGCTGGAGCTGTCTCGTCCTAATGGCCTCCCAGTTACTTATTTTAACACTGGCATAAAACAAGGGCTTATAAGTGCATGCTGAATTGAATCAATACAATGCGTGTGAGGTACCTGACAATGGTAGTTTCCTTTAAGGAAATGAGACCAGATTTCTTCTGGTCATTGAGAACTTTTTTGATGATGACATGATCAGAATCTAGGGCCTTAGCTAGGTCTGACTCCTGATCCCTGGCTTAGGGGCCATTTCTGTAGTTGACCATTATAATGATGAAGCCACCTGTGGGCTTTACTGTACCCACTCAGCTTCACATACAAGTGCATGCCATTTAAAATATATATATTATTTAATACCTCCAGGCACAAGAAATAATGTGCATTTTTATTGGTTTGCTTTGCCTATTCACTGATAGCATCTTTCCCTTTGCTAAGGTTTGTTATTTTAGACACAGCCTACACAATATATAGTGTTTAATTCACATCACTAAACCAGTATTATGAAGAGTGAAACTGAAGGAAGTATTTTCCTATTTAGGCTGTTTGGAAATAGAAAGGGACCCCCCCCCCCCCCCCCCCGCCCCACACACACACACGCACACCATCCCACCACCACCAATCCCAACCTTTCCTTTGACTTCCCATATTTCTTTTGAATGTCTGGGCAGTTATGCAGGCCAGGAGAGGGGCCGTTTCATGACTACGCCAAATATCCTATTTGGGGTCAGTTTCCAGCCCACGCTGAGGTTCGAGGGGAGTGGGCGGATGGGCAGATAGCTGAAAGGGCACTCGGGGGCCCGTAAACAGGTGAAAGGTAGTTTTATTCAGCATTTCTCTCAGCAGCAGCTTACTCACACTAGCTCTCTCACACTATCCACCTTGTCTCAGCTGCTTAGTCCAGCGGCTCCCACACATAGCTGTGTGGCCGGCTCTCCCTTCAGGGTCAGCAGCTTAACTCTTTCTTTCTCACTGGGCATGAGCGAGGTCTGTGTCCCAACTTTTTCCTGTCCATCTGCAAAGATGGACAGCTCTGGCTCTTTCTCTGAGTGCAAGCATGCCTGTACAATGTCTACAGGGAAATTATACCTTTTACAGGCAATAGTGGCTTAGAGCCAAGTGATGAGCCTTCCCTATGTTATGGCTATGGTGGTGAGCTTCTCTATGTTATGTCTACATGGCTATGATAACAAGTGAAGTTATAAGCCTGCACTCTAAACTCGCTGAGTCATTCTGGATGTTTACCTCAGCCTATGCTTGACCAAAGCACAGCCATGTTCCTTACACTCTATCCCCTAGGCCGAGGGAGACATAGGCCTTGGATACGCAGGTTATACACATAAACTTTGGGTACATAGGCTTGATATACACACACAGGCTTTATATATAAGTTTTGGGCACATAGTTTGATAAACAGGCTTGGCCCACAGGCCTTACATTCCACCCCCTAGGCTGAGGGAGTTCTTCTAGTGCAGATCTGTGTGCATAGGGCAGCACCTTGGACCCATAGGCCACAGAGAGCAACAACCTACCACTAATATTCCTGATGTGCTACCCATGATTATTAGAGCCCAATGTAGGCCAGAGCCCCAGAGGCACCCACTATCTCTGCAGGGGGTCCTCGGTAAGGTGTTCAATCACCTTAATCTCCTGTGACACCCCTTGTAAGGCTGCTGTTATGTTATGGTGGTTGTTAGGGATAAATGTACAACACTGTGTCCCTGCAAGGGCACAGGTGCCACCTTGGGCAGTTGTAACTATGTGTGCGGCCATACAGTTTTGCTGCACCACCTTCCTGATCTGATTAACCTTATTAGTTAGCAAATGGAGAGCAACTTGGGTGTAATTCAGGGCCGGAGCTGTGTGCTCTGCAAGGACTATAACTTGCATTTCTACAGGAATAACACCTACTTCAGTGATAGTTATTATTAAGGGATAGAACCACTGGGGGCCTGCCGCACTCACAAAAAGTGGGAACACAGCACCTCCCAGTTATGCAGGTGATTAGGCAATGTGGGAAGCATGGTGACAGGGACATAGGGCTACCCCCAGGTACAATGTCCAGTCCATTTGACTGGCAGATATGGCCATCCGGTATCCCCACAGACCATAAGCTCCCAGGAGGCATAAATTCCATGGGGGCCCGGCCTTGGTATGGCCACTTGTTCCACCACACCCTTGGTGTAGCGACAAATGTTATGTTTGCACAAATCTCAGCAGGCAACGATCCCACAGTGACTTTACCCCAGTGCTGGTCTGTACATCGTGGTACCTACAATGGGGGCACCATGTGTTCTCCCATTAGCCAGCCCTATCCATCATGGACAGTTCGAGTCAGCCAGGGGGCAGGCTTGCCATGGGTTTTGCGACACTCCCTGTCCAAAGCTCACCATATTGCCTCCCACCCATTGTCCGTGCGACCCGAAGTCTCTAGCCACGTCCAGTTCTTCACAGAAGCTGAATGCATGTGCCAGGGCAAGCTGTCTGCAGCTGCTGCTGGAAGGGTGGTGCAGATCCAACAGTTGGAGACATTGGTCACCTTGGTATAGGTCTGGGCCCAGTCCATGATGCTGCTGGACATGCCAACCTACAGCCAGAACGACAAAGCAAGCATAGGTACTAACAAGGGTAAATCATGTCCCTTAGGCCAAATACAAGCCAACTTTTATCTCTAGCTGACAATGCAGCTGCCAAGGGCTTCTGCCCTGGGCAATGGTACCACACCTTATCAGCTCCCCATGGTTCTTTTGGGTCCTATACCCATGCCAAAGTCACAGCAGAGCTTATGACAGGCCACACGGACAGTACGTATGTCCCCCAGAGGAGGGTCCCTTCCCCGACTGTTTCCCTATGAATGGTTAATTGTGGAGGCCACACATTAAACACCCAAGGAGTAACATGTAAATTACACTGCAGATCCTCCCCCACAAGGGGCTACAATAGCCAACCATCTGCAATGAGGGGCTTGGAGGGTCCATGGCCAACACCAGGGTTATCTGTTTCCCTACCTTTAGGGGTGTTGGGGCAGGCAATAACAGATTACCATTCGTCCCCATACCTGGTTGGAGGAGGTCATCTTTCCTCTCATAGATCTGGCCACATGGCCTGGCCCTATATGGGTCAGTGACTAGCTAATTCTGTAACTTTCAGGTAGTTAATCACAAGGTTAAGCCTCAATAAACTACCCAGCTATTGCTGCAGATTACCATAGGTGTCACCTCCTTGGTGATCATTATCTACACTGCCCTGAGTTTAACTTATTAGCTACTTTGCCCACACTTGTTATCAAACCATATAGTGACAGTATTAGGCTGGCCTGCAGCAGCAATCTAGGCAGCAGCAGTACTCTGGCTAGACCTATCTATATAACATGTGTCATTAGGAATGGGAGTGTGCCCTTCCTTAAACAGTGATGGCTCAGGGTCTAGGGGTGCCGTAGGCCCCATGGCCTTATCTTACATTAGGACTATAGGCCCTAAAACCTCTTGTAACTTTGCTGCTAAGGGACTTGTACTTACAGTACTCTGCTGTTCTAAGTAGGCGCCCCACTTTGCTAAAGTGGATGTCTGTGCTGTCCCAGTCTCGGAGGTTGTTACCCATGAGCACATCCACCTCGCTATTGGGTAAGCCATCTGCACGACTGCAGCCTGTCCTGCAGTGCTCTTATGAGCCTGAAGGGCAGCATATGCAGTTACTAACTGCTTTCCCAGTCCGGGGGGTGGTTATCTATGAATACACCCATCCCATATTACTAATCACTTCTCTATTAAGGACTACCAGAGCTCAGCTCCCGTCCATAGTTGGGACCAAAAGCCTATTGGCATACTCAGATGCTCTGTGCACTGCTATGGGCCCTAACAGAAACTATCCATGGTCATATGCACATTTACGTTAAATGGGCACCCCTGGTCAACTACCCTTAGGGTTTGTACCTGCTAAATAGCCCGCTTGGTTACCAGACATGCTGTCTCAGCTTCGTCATCCCAATCCCAGGCAAGAGGGTCATTGCCACTTCTAAACCTGCAACAGAATCAAAGGTTAGCATAACATCATCAATGAGATCATGAAACATGGTGGGGCTATGCATATAGCCCTGCAGCAACACTGTGAAAGTCCATTGTTGCCCTCCCATGAAGGCAAACTCTGCCTGGCTCTCTGGAGCGATGTCAATGGAGAAGAATGCATTAGCCAAGTCCCATCACAAAGTGCTACTGTCCCAGCTCTATTGTCAAGTCCATCAAGTCCACGATGGAAGGTCCAGCTGCACGTGGAGGGGGTGTTACTTATTTCAGTTCCCAATAATCCACTGTCATCTGCCAAGTCCCATCAGGCTTTCTGACTGGCCATACTGGGGAATTGTAGGGAATATGGGTGCCACACACTATTTGCACCTCCTCTAACCTCTT
The DNA here is from genome assembly GCF_000001405.40 of Homo sapiens. Lineage (NCBI taxonomy): Eukaryota > Metazoa > Chordata > Mammalia > Primates > Hominidae > Homo > Homo sapiens. The sequence continues at coordinate 7,789,149 of NC_000009.12, forward strand.
AATAGTCTCAGTTATCTCTGGCAAATGGTATTGATGAGTGGAGGTAACCCATCAGGGTTGTGGCAGAACTTGGGACTGGTGATGCGAATGTCCACACAGTACCAGTTTTAATACATGAATTCTTAGTCTGAATTCTCCAACCGCAGTGTGTAAGTCCAGACTATGCAAAATGTCCACCCCCAGAATATATTCAGGTATAGGAGAAACATACACAGTGTACAGGCAGGGAGCCAAGTGGCCAACGCCAAGATGCAGAGACACAGGTTTCACCTTCACTGACTGGCCCCCATAACCGTCAATAAATGCAGCTTTGCCCAGAAACTTATCCGGGTTTCCATAAACTATACTGCAGTCTGCACCAGTATCTACCAGTGCTAGGACCTGCTGTACATTAGTGGGGGACCAGTGGATTGCCAGCTCCACGTAGAGCCTCCAGTTGTCTGGTACCCTCCGCTGAGCCAGGCACCTCGGCCAGTTCCCTAATCAAACGAGAAAGCCTCCATATATTCACTTGTCTGCAAATAGTCCTTGAGTTGCAGGATCCAGGTGGGAGTAGTTTGAACAACATTGCTTCACCGTCCCACCTTAGGCATTCTCTGGAATTGCTGCTCTGGGGACAACTGCCTTCACAGAACCAACAGCATTCCATTGGGTTGCCTGTCAATTTTCTCCCGAGCAACCCCAGCTGCAATTAAATCAATACACATCTGCATGCAGTTTACCTGCTGGGGTTCCTTCTCATCTTGTGGGGTGGTTACCCACAGAGGGGGCACCTTCCCTTTCTTTATGGCATGGGTTCCCAGGTCCTGCCAATGCCTTTCTGTCTCCCCGAGGGCTGCCATAGCATTAGTCACTTCATGTATATGGCGCCTCACATACGGGGTGAGAACAGCAGCTAGAGAACCAAAAGCTCTCTGGGGCACTGAGCCCAGCACAAGATCCCTCATGTGGGAGGTAAAGCGTTCATCATTTGGCCTCCGGGTATTCAGATCAAACATAGCCTGCCACATACCCATCTCCTGGAGTATCTGCACCAAATCAGTATATGATTGCCGTTTACTCACTGTTTCTGGTATCTTTTTGGCATCATTCCAAACAGTCCGTATGGCTGCTATCAGCCACTCAATTAATGTGTGGTCACCTTGTCCTCGTACCATTGGCATGGCTGCAGCCGCTGATGAAAGGAGGGATGACTTGTGATAGAAGCCAGTTTCTCCATCTCAGAGGCAGAGCAAGAAATGCTATCAGTTCCTTTGTCCCGGAGACAGAGCATTCAGGTAGGGAGGGGTTCCCCTGGGTGCGGCCTGCACTGTTTACCTAACTGCTGCAACTCAGTGCAGGTATAAGCACTATAAGAGGTGTGTTCTACCACTTTGGGGGGTCCCTGGGCTCTCCCCTGGGGTCATATCAGCTGCTTATGTTCTACCTTTTGATGGATCACAGGGTGAGCCCACAGTGGGGGAGCCTCCTTCTCTTTGGCATCAGACCAAACAAGAGTGTCCGGCCAGGAGGACAGGCTTAAGGTCACGCCAACAGCTGTTGCTAAGTCCTGTTCCAAGCTGTTTATCTGGGCCTCCAAGTGCCCTGCTTGTGCCTGGAGATCCCCCATCCTCAGGTCCTGTTCCAAGCTGTGCACTTGGGCCCGTAGGTGTGAAGCTTGCACTGGGAGGTCTCTTACCTGTGGGACTGAGCATGTACTTCCCGCAGTGCAGTCAGAAATGCCCATCCAACTCTCCTGGCGAAGGTGCTTTCCTTCTCTGTGCTGTGTGCTTCCAGCTGCTTCAGTGCTTTCTCCACATTTGCGGGAGACCCGCCCACTGCCTCCCACATTTCCACTGGGGCACATCCAAGCAGCACCTCTGCCACCGGGTACCATAGCCCATGCTGCAAGATGTTAGGGAGTGGCTCTCTAGCTGCTGTTCTCACCCCAAATGTGGGATGCCACATACATGAAGGGACTACTGATATGGCAGCCCTCTGGGAGGCAGAAGGCCATTGGTGGGACTGAGGAACTAGTGCCATAAACAACGGGAAGATGCCCACTCCACAGGTAACCATGCCACGAGGTGAGAAGGGGTCCCAGAAGCCGACCCAGGAGCCCTCGGGGGCTGAAGACCCACTCACTTCATCCTGCCAACGTTGCCAATTGTCAGGTTCACGACTATGCCAAATGTCCTGCTTGGGGTCAGGTTCCAGATCATGATGAGGTTCGAGGGGAGTGGGCAGATGGTCAGATAACTGAGAACAGTCAGCATGGGCTGGAACCTGACTGTGAAAAAACACTCAGGGGGCTATGAACAGGTGAAGTGTAGTTTTATTCAGCAGCTCTCTCATCAGCAGCTTACTCACACTAGCTCTCCCACACTGTCCACCTTTTCTCAGCTGCTTAGTCCGGCAGCCCCCACACACAGCTGCACAACCGGCTCTCCCGTCAGGGTCAGCAGCTTAACTCTTTCTCTCTCTCTGGGCATGAGCAAGCTGAGCTCTGTTCTGGCTCCCTCCTTTGTCATCTGCAAAGATGGACAGCTCTGGTGCTCTCTTTCTCTGGGCGAGAAGTGCACCTGTACAGTGTCAACAGGGTAATTATATCTTTTACAGACAATAGTGGCTTAGAGCCAAGTGATGAGCCTTCCCTATGCTATGGCTATGGTGGTGAGCTTCTCTATGTTATGTCTACACGGCTATGATAATGAGTGGAGTTATACGCCTGCACTCTAAACTCAATGGGTCTGGATGTTTATCTCTGCCTGTCCTTGACCAAAGCACAGCCATATTCCTTAGAAGAGAGTAATCACACTTCGTGCTGCAGGCATGATCTAATCAGGAACGGGTCAGGAAAGACCTCTTCCCACCCAGTAGGGTTGTTTGGTTGGCTAGGTGCACTAACTGGGGTGAAGACTGCTAAATTCCTGTTAAGCATCAGGCATTGCAGCTGCAAGATGTTAGGGAGTGGACTTGACTGGGTAATAGTCTAATCTGCTGCAGCTTTGCAGGATTACTGCAGGGTGCTATTTCAATTTTCTATGAATTCCTCATTGCTATCTCTGTCTTTTGGAATCTAAGAAAGTGTATCTACTTCTTTAAACAGAGATTATGGGAAGAGAGGACTTTAGTGCTGAAAGAGAATTTAGAAATTATCTGTTCTGATCTTCTGACTTCACAGAGGGTAAAATTTATGTTGTTAAATGCTAAGTGACTTGCCCAAGAGCATATTAGGAGCTGGTGGCAGAACTAGGATTAGAAGCTGGGTTCCATGGCGCCAATCAGATCTTCTTTCCATTATGTTATAATTAAGATCCACTGTACAAAGGTCAGTCAGTTTCAGCTATGCCTGAGGTTCACCAAACTTTCTTAAGCCTGGAGGGCTTGTTACAATACAAATTGGTGGGTTCTACCCCCAGGGCTTCTGATTCAGTAGTAAATGTCAATGGGCTGAGAAGGTGGAAGTTTCATAAGTTATCAGGTAATGATGCTGCTGCTAGTCCAGGGACCAAACCTTGATAACCACTGAGATATCCTAAAGTTACCAAATGGGACAAACATTTCTTTCTCTTCTCATTCATTTGTTCAGTTGTTTATTCACTCAGTCATCAAATATTTATTGAGTATCATCAACTGAAAGCCTCACATGTTGGTGCTGGGGATGGGAAACATGAAGATGACAAAAGCACAATCCTCTTCTTGAGGAGTTCACAATCACTGGGGAGGGACAGATGCATAAATAAGCAATTACTGGGCAAACATTTAAGTGCAGTGATAGAATTCTGCAGAAAGTTAATGGTTGCACCAGAATCAAAGTAACTGAAGTGGAACTATTTCACGGAAGGCTTCACCGGAAAGGCAACACTCAGTCTGGGCCTTGAAGGACAAGTGGGATTTCTCCATATAATGCAGGGACAAAAAGATATTCCAGCTTGAAGGAATAGCATGTGTAAAGGCATAAAGAATGACATTTTAGGGAGAACTGGCTTAAGTAAGTGGCAGAAACATTGGCTGTACGGAACAGATGTCGAGGAGTGGAAGACAATTAAGACAGAAAGTTATGGAGCTGAAGATGAAAGGCATTTCATGATCTGCCAAAGTGTTTGGGATTCATCTTGTATGCAGCAAAGATACTGAATGGTTTTAAGCAGGAACATGTTTTCAAGTAGCTTGGGCTATAGTGGAGAGTAGATGAGAGGGTTTCCTGGAAGCAAGGAGGAATTAAGAATCTATTATAGCAATCTACATGAGAAATGATGGTAACTGGTCCAAAACAATAGCAATGGGAATGGACAGAAGTGACGATTAGAAAGTTAAAATAACCAGGGCGTGTTAACAGGTCAGAAGTAAAGAATGAGGGTAAGGAGGGAGTCATAGATAATTCCATGGTTTCTAGCTTGGCCAGCTGATGAAGTGGAAAGACTATTAATAGAGATAAGAAATAAAAAAGAAATAGGTTGGAGGGAGATATTAAAGGTTCATTTGGGACACGTTGGGACTCTGATGTCTGAGGACAGACAAGAAGAAATGTCCTGCTGTGACTGGGAAATACAGTTGGAGGTTCAGGAGAATGGTGCAATGTCAGGATAGAGATTGGGGTAATGTCTTCGAAGGGAATGAGCTTAGGGAGATGAGTTGAATGTCTTCTCCTGGATTAATATTTACATTGCTGTCACAGTGATAAGTGATATAACCTCAATTATAAAGAAAGGAAACCAAGAGATTAATGATACTAAGGGATAACCAGAAAAAAGTGAAAATCAAAATGCAAAATTTCTAATTTTGAAACTTGAATATTTTGAGAATGGACGCTAAGAAAACAACTGTAACAACATATGTTTCTAATTGGTGTTCTTAGCTGAGCCACTACTGGTTCATTGGCCTAAGACCTTCTTTGGGCAAATTCTTAACTCCTTCAGGTCTCAGTCATCTAATCTATAAAACAGGGTTGCTGAGGATTAAATAAAACAATTCAGGTAAAATATTTAGCATAATACTTGGCATATAAAAAGGGTGCTGTAATTTTTAATATATTTACTTATCAGTGGAACAACTGTGCTAGAAAGCAGAAAACAACTAAAAACACACATTAAAACTATCCAAGAAAACCACCAGTAAAAGAACAAGTGAAGTTAGTTACTGGGAAGACAAATGCTATTCAAATAAATGGCTTTTTCTTGCTACTTCCTGAATACACAGAATGGTATTTAGTCTGACACGTCACCTACTATGACTAAAACACCACAAAACACCTCTAATTCCTTATATTAGTTTTCTATTGCTGAGACACAAAAATATCACAAACTCAGCAACTTCACATAAATTTATCTCGGTTTCACATGACTGATACTCAGCTTAGGGTCTTACCAGACTGAAGCCAAGCTGCTGGTCGGAGCAGTGGTTCTTGGTTCTCATAGGGCCCTCATGCAAGTTCACAGGTCACAGGCAGCAATTCATTTCCTTGCAGTTGTAAAATTGAGGTCCTCATTTTCCTTCTGGCTGTCAGTTGGGGGCTACTGTCAGCATCTTCAGGCTGCCTGCAGTTCTTTACCACATGGCCCCCAGAGGCAGTTCACAACATAGATGTGAACTTTTTCTCTACGGGCCAGCAAAGAACTTCTGGAGCACTAAATCCTTCTCATGCTTCTAATCTGACTTCTGTCTCTGACTTCCAGACAGAGATTTATTGGGCTTATATGATTAGTCCTTCTAGATAATCCATTTTATGGTCATCTGATGTGGTACCTTAATTACACCTGCAAAATCCCTTCACAGCCAGCACCTAGAATGGTGTTTGATTTGAGTAACTGGGAGGTGTGTGTACCCCAAGGGGCTGGAGACAGGGACCATCTCAAGACCCTCCTACCACATTCCTGAAGCCCCTGCAAGTTCAGTCACAGGACTGAGCAGTGATTTTTAGTGGCATGGCTGGATTTAACATTTGACCCTCTGGCTATTTCTCTACATTCCATTTATATTTGAATGACAAGTTGCGAATACCTCAAAGTCCAAGAGATATGCATTTTAGAATGATGTGTAATTATGGGTCTTTCACCTTTAAGTCTGTGCCCCTAACACCTACATAATCATTGGGTCAAGACAAGAATTTGTCACTTAAAAAAAAAAAAAAAAAAAAACAGCTTTTCAACTAAAATTGTTTACTATTGTTTAAGAAATGTCAGTTTGATCAATGTAGTCCTGGCAATAAATCAGTTGAGGCCAAGCCTGGTTTGAGGGGATATGTGAACATATACTTGCCCTAAACATATTTAATTAAAGAGCATGTATTTTATGTTGTCAAATCAACTGGCTTCTTTCAGGAGCCTCCTAGCTTAGACACAGCCAGGCTGAGAAACCATTAATAAAAAGAAGCAAGCAGCAAATGCTAAGCTAAGGGTGGAGCTGAAGTACAAATCATGGTTGAGATGCTAACTTCCAGGGCCACCAGAAACAGCTGTCTCTGCACTGGTCTCAGCCAGGTAAAGCTCCAGAAACTTTTGAGACTGCTCTGCATTTGGGACACTCCAGGGCTGTCAACAACAGCTGTCTCCGCAACTGGCCTAGGGAAAAAAAAAGAGATCTCCCATCCCCTTCCCCTATCTTACCCAGATCCTTGAGGGTCAATCTATATGTGGGTCCTTTAATATGTTCATTTTGCTAGCTGATCACACTATTCCAGACTAGTCAATACAATACACAATAGGAACAAAAGATGGTGTAATGATTTCTTGAATATCTCGAGATATCAAAGTTTATACTCACTATATATAGCTTGAGTTAACGATATCTTGGACACTGATAAAAGCCAATGTTCACATGTACATTCACATTTTGGTCTCTGGATCCTAGAGAAATGTATAAGTGCATTTTAAATTACTTTTTGTACTTTGTCTCTTGTCTCCTTCTTTGCTATAGGTAATGATGAGACTTTATAAACTCTCTTTTCCATGCTGTAAAGGGATTCTAAAGTCTGTAAATCATAATTAAGCTGGTGTTCTTACATGACTGAGTTATAATCCATTGATTCTTGAGCCCATTTATCCTGCTTACTCCACCTCAGCTTCAACAAAAGGAAAGATATTGGGGGCAGTAAGTGAACTTTCTGTATTGAAGGATTAAGACGATGTCTCTGTCTCTGAAACCTCTCTGAGAAGATCAGACTCATCCCTAAAACAAACTAGGATGTCTGGGTTAGCACTGGCAGAAATCAGATTTTGGAGTATACTTCAAAAGAAAAAAAAAAAAACTTTTAACAAATGCAGATTTTCCTTTTGCTTCTTCCCACATTATAGACATGGTAGAACAATATTTTGCCCATACTTAGTTAAATTATTCCAAGATGGAAAGAACCAAACACACTTTGGCATTATTAATGGTGAGCAGGCAGGTTTATTCAGAAAAAGCTCAGATTCATACTCGTAAAAGTCTGAGAAAAACATTAAAATGCTATTACAATACAGTTGACCCAAACAACACAGGTTTGAACTGCGCAGGTCCACGTATCTGTGGATTTTCTTCCACCTCTGCCACTGGGACAGAAAGACCAACTCCTCTTGCTCCTCAGACTACTCAGCGTGAAGATGAGGATGAAGACCTTTAGGATGATTCACTTCTACCTAACGAATAGTGAATATATTACTTCCTTAATAACATTTTTTTTTTCTCTAGCTTACCTTCTTGTAAGAATACGGAATATAATACATACAACACAAAAAATGTGTTAATCAACTGCTTTATGTTATCAATAAGGCTTCCAGTCAATTGTAAACTAACTACTAATTAAGTTTTTGAGGAGTCAGGTTATATGCAGATTCTCCACTGAGCAAATGTTCAGCGCTCTTAACTCCTGTGTTGTCCAAGGGTCAACTGTATATATATTTAAGAGTTATTATTTACCCAGTAGATCAAGCCAAGACCAAGTTAGGTTTATGTGTTTTTGGTTTAACCAAAGAAAATGTTCAGGGACTAAAGCAGTCCATCAATAGAACAGACTGCCTTTTAAACCAGGGAACAACTTGTCTTTGTAGGTATTTTAGGTATATGAATGACCATATGTATCTGCTTTGGGTCATCCATGGTCCCTTCCAACTTAAAACTTCTCTATTCATGAACATAGCATAACTGAGCTATGGATTTCATATAAATAATATCTTGTTGCGTACTTTAGGTTTGAAATGTTTTCTTTTTCAGTTGCATAGATATATGTAGCACCATCCCCGCTATGAACTCTGATGTAGAAAATACAAGATTCTAAAGTCATCTGTGAGGCTAAATAGACTTAGGCACTTCCACATAATGCTGCAAAAAGCAACAGCCGTAAAGGTACTACCTGCTCAACATGTCATTCCAAACAAATACACTATGATTAGCAGCTGAATTTAACAGTATCTTTCCGCTTTGAAAAACACTTTATATACCTTTACAAAGAAGCCATAGTATCTCAGGGTAGAAAAACCCAATAGGTAGAAAACATGGCCTTCTCTTAGAAATGAACTATGTAATTTTGAGTACTTATCTCAAAATCATCACAGAAACATATCTAGTGCTTGTGGAAAAAGAATCAAAAGATCTTTTTTTTTTTTAGCTAAAGGTTTTGAATTTTTCTTGTGACATTTAAGTCTTTTATTGTATGCTGATTTTTATGATTATCTAACTGTTTCATAATGGTTATTCTTGCCTCCATGAAAGGGAAGACTAGAACAAAAAACTGACAAGAACAAGTTCTAGCTCCATCACGGACTTACTGAATGACCCTAGGCAAATCATGTGGGCTCTTTCTTGTGTTTTAAGTTTTACCTCCAATGAAGTAACTACCTCAGACTAGCTGTGAAGCTCTCATAAGGTGATGGATTTGAAAATGCCTTGCAAAGTATCAGCAATTCATACACAGAAAATTTCACGTACTTCTATATATTGCATGATGCCCACCCAGGGTTAGGTTAACAGTTGTTGATCCAATTATGAAAGAAATAAAAAGAACTCTTTAAAATAATGAAGTAAAATAGCTAATTTTCCCGTTGGTTTACCATATGCTGTATTTAAAAGTTTTAAAAATTATACTAACTATATAACTAAACATATTTATGTTTATTATATATAATATGACATGCAATTATATAAGACATACTATTATGTTTATATATAATGCTTAATTAAGCAATTATATTTAAATATAAGTTATACTTTCCTTCCCCAGATAAGACAAAGAACCTGTTTACTTCTCTGAGGGATTTATTGGTTCCTGTGAAATCTGTGAAGGCCACAAACACTCCATAGCCAGAGAATGACAACATACGATTTTCTTCTCAGTCTTGTAGTATCCACAGTAGTGATGTCTGTCCATGTACAAGTGTCTGTCCAGAACACCCATTAAATTCCATGCCTGCTGTGTGTGTCACGGGGAAAGGGACAGAGACAGAAGACAGATTCACTGGTGGTACTTTCAAACAACGCGGTAGGCCTTCCCTTTGGGGTCTGCCATGACAACGATACCCCAGGTGGCAATGCCTAGAAAAAAAACAACAATACCTTACCTTTATGCTGCATTTAAATTTACCAAGTGTTTCACATATACGCCATCTTATTTAACCCTCACAACACTTCTGGAGGATATATTACCATTGTATCTTTCTTATAAGGCAAGTGAAGCACAGAAAAAGAAAAAAAAATCAGGAAAAAAAAGAATATCCTGTAGGAGAATTTACCTATACAGGATCAAGAAGGTAAGACAGTTAGAAACCTAAAATTCTATTCACTGACAATCGGTTTGAAAGCTAAAAAAATCATGACGTTTGATTGGATGACATCTTGACGATCACAGAACGGGGCTGTGGGCCACATTACCCAGGTGTACCAAGTAGGTGAGCTTAGAATCCACGTCTAAAGATCTGGGATTCAAGGCAAATTTCTTAAATTAAGGTCAAGGGCCCTCGCTCAGGCTTTCTCCAGGACCTGGAGAAAAAGTATGGGCTTTGAGATCTGATATACCTGGGATCAAGTGACTGTCATTTCCTGACCATGAACACAATACTCCTCGTTGCCTCGGTTTGCTCCACAGTAAATACTATAATCATACCTACTTCTAACAGCTATTCTGAGAATTAAAAGGGCTGAGTCTAATAAGGGTTCTCAAGAAATACTAACTTAAAATTAAAAAAAAAAAAAGAAAGGCGTTCCAACAACTTCCTCTCCCACCTTGTTTGAGGTGCCCCCACCACCTGACCAGCGGCAGCACCCCGCCTCCCCGCCTCCCCGCCCACGTGGCTGCTCCGTTTCCTTCCTCTACCCCGCAGATACCCAACCCGCCCAAGTGCTGTGCCTTGATTCTCACTGAGGCCGATGACCATCTGCGTAATGGTCCATGGACTCGGGGGGTATCCCATCTTCATGGGCTTCCGTGCCACCCAGTACACGTACCCGCCCGCCCCCATCAGCCCCAACCCAGAAAGCACGCGACAGCTCCAGCAGGTCTTCAACAGGCGGTGTTCTGCTGGGGAGGTCGGCGCTCCGGGTGTAGCTGGGGGCGCAGGTTTGGCGGGCGCGGCGGCGGTACCGGGAGGCGCAGTGATATAGGACTCAAAAGGCTGGGACAACCGAGACCCCATGCTCTGGAACTCGGCCTCAACCTTGGGCGTCTTTGGTTCAAACTGGCGTAAACGACGCACCGGAAGGCAGAGCGCCGGAAAGCAGAATGCCGGGACGCTAGCGCAGTGCGCGGAGGAATCTTAAGGGCTGCTGGGAAATGAAGTTCTCCTCCGCTTCAGAGGCGGAAAAGGTGAAAGAATGCTGCTCTTTCCTGCTGGATTTCTCTGGCAGCAACAACCTTGTATGCGCTGGAGGACAATTCCAGCCCTCCTCCCCGCCGCCCCCCCCGCCCCCACTGTTTTAGAAATTCTGTAATCGCTACTCACTAAATGAATCACCTTTCAGTCTCCTTAAAGAAGTCTGGCTCTCTTAAGTTTCCTGCCTCACATGAACTGCGAGACCTTGGGCATGTCATATCTCCTATCCAGAGGCCTGTGAATCAAGGAGTTGGGTTTTATATGTGCATAATCATGTGCTAGATACAGACATACCATAGCGATTGCAGGTTTGGTTCTAGACCAACACAATACAGCAAATATCTCGATAAAGCAAGCCATGCAATTTTTTTTTGGTTTCTCCGTGCATATAAAAGTTGTTTATACTGTAGTCTATTAAATGTGCAGTAGCATTGTGTCTAAAAAACAGTATATATATCTTAATTTAAAAAACATCTTGCCCAAAAAATGGTAACGATTACCTTAGCCTTCAGTAAATCCTAATCTTTTTTTTTTTTTTTTTTTTGAGGTGGAGTTTTGCTCTTGTTGCCCAGACTGCCCAGTGCAATGGCACAATCTCGGCTCACTGCAACTTCCGCCTCCCGGGTTCAAGTGATTCTCCTGCCTCAGCCTCTCGAGTAGCTTGGATTACAGATGCCTGCCACCACGCCTGGCTAATTTTTTTGTATTTTTAGTAGAGACGGGGTTTCACCATGTTGGCTAGGCTATTCTCAAACTCCTGACCTCAGGTAATCCACCTGCCTTGGCCTCTCAAAGTGCTGGGATTACAGGCATGAGCCACCGCACCTGGCCACTTCTAATCTTTTTGCTGGTGGAGGGTCTGGCCTTGATGGTGATGGCTGCTGACTGATCAAGGTAGTGGTTGCTGAAGGTTGGGGTAACTGTGCCAATTTCTTAAAATAAGACAATAATGAAATTTTCTGCAAGAATTGACTCTTCCTTTTACGAAAGATTTTTTTGCAACATGCAATGCCGTTTTATAGCATTTTAATAACCACTATATAACGTCTTTCAAAATTGGAGCCCTTTATCCAACATTTTGACAATGTTCATAGCATCTTCACCAGGAGTAGATTCCGTCTCAAAAAACCACTTTCTTCATCCATAGGAAGTAACCCCTCATCTGTTCAAGTTTTATCATGAGATTGTGGCAATTCAGTCACATCATCAGGCTCCACTTCTAATTCTAGTTCTCTTGCTATTTCCACCACATCTGCTGTTACTTCCCTCATCTGAAATCTTGAACCCTTCTTAGTTGTTCATAAAGATTGGAATCAATTTCTTCCAATATCCAGTTAGGGATATTTTGATCTCCTCCCATGAGTCACAGATATTCTTAATGGCATCAGAATGGTGAATCTTTCCCAGAAGGTTTTCAATTTACTTTAACCAGATTCATCAGAGAAATCATTATCTCTGATTGTAAGGCTGCAAGAGCCTTACAAAATGTATCTCTTATATAATAAAACTTGAAAGTCAGAATTACTTCTTTATCTATAGGCTGCAGAATGGATGTTGTGTTAGCAGTTATGAAAATGCTAATCTCTTTGTACATTTCCATTAAAGCTCTTGAGTAACTAGGTACATTGTCAATGAGCAGTAATATTTTGAAAGGAATCTTTTTTCTGAGCAAGAAGTCTCAACAATGAACTTAAAATATTCAGTAAACCATGCTGTAAACAGATGTGCTGTCATCAGGCTTTGTTGTTCAAATTATAAAGCACAGGCAGAGTATCCTTAGCATAATTCTTAAGGATGCTAGGATTTCCAGAAAGGTAAATGAGGACTGGCTTCAATTTAAAGTCATCAGCTATATTAGATTCTAACAAGAAAGTCAGATTTGAAGCGTGAAACCAAGCATTGACTTGTCCTCTCTAGTTATGAAAGTCTTAGATGGCATCTTTTATTAATAGAATGCTGCTTCATCTATACTGATTATCTGTTATCAATTATCTAAGCTACATCTCTTTGATAACTTGCTGCAGCTTTTACATCAGCACTTGCTGCTTCACCTTGCACTTTTATGTTATGAAGACAGCTTATTTTTTTTTAACCACATGAACCAATGTCTACTAACTTCCAACTTTTCTTCTGCAGCTTTCTCACCTCCCTCAGCCTTCGTAGAATTAAGGAGAGTTGAGGTCTTGCTCTGGATTAGGCTTTGATTTAAGGGAATGTTGTGGCTGATTTGATCTTCTATCCGGATGACTGAAACTTTTTCCATATCAGCAATATGGCTGTTTTACTTTCTAATCATTGGTGTGTTCACTAGAGTAGCACTTTTAACTTCCTTTTTCTTTGTATTTACAACTTGGCTGTTTGGCCTACATTCCGGCCTATCCCAGTTTTCGACATGCCTTCCTTAGTAATAATCATTTCTGCATTTTGACTTAAGTTGAGAGAAGTTTGACTCTTCCTTTCACTTGAACACTTAGAGGCCATTGTCATGTTATTAGTTGGCCTAATTTCAATATTTTTGCATCTCAGCAAATGCAGAGGAGAAGTAGAGAGGGCAATGGTTGGTGGGTGGAGCAGTCAAAACACACATTTTTATTAAGTTCACCATCTTCTATGGGTGTGGTTCATTCTGCCCTAAAATTATTCCAATAGTAACATCAAATATCACTGATCACAGATCACCATAACAGATATAATAGTAATGGAAAAGTTTGAAATATTACAAGAATTACCAAAATGTGATACAGACATGAGTGAGCACATACTGTTTGAAAAATTATGCTAATAGGCTTGCTCTACACAGGGTTGCCACATAACTTTCTATTTGTAAAATATACAATATCTGCCATTTACAGTAAAGTGAAGCATAGTGAAATAAGACATGCCTGTCCTTTGCTAAGCAACTAACTGCATGATGCCATTTAATCTTCATGACTCAACATGGCAGATGAAGTTTTCCCAACATATGACAAAACTGGCTAACTGCCATAGCCACAGTTGAAACCAGTGTCTGTGGATACAGTCAAATATCTTAAACACTACCTGTACATATTGTGAAGAGACTACACAAATGTGATCAAGATGTTAAAAATTGGTTTGAATTACCTGGATAAATACTTTTTATTTCTCTTTAGCTTCTTTCTTAAAGACATGGTCTGAATTATGTCATAGTCATGGCATTGTTTTTTTGAGAGCCTTGGAAAAATTCAACCCCAAAATCAGGCTAATAGATATGAGGAATTGATACAGAATCTGTTTTTGCCGGTTTACTTTCTTATCTCTTAAGAATGATGTTTTACTTATGATACTGTCTTTGCAATTAAACTTCTGTATCATCAACTCCCAACTCATATCACCTTTCATTTTCTTTGGGTTTTGAGTACATATTTCTTATGTTGGGTGGTTCTCAGAGAATTACTAGCAAGAAATAATGACATTTAGAGTTTTGAGTTTGTTTCTCTTAGAGGAGATGGGTGAATATAGGGATAACTTTGGATTTAAACTTTTTTCCTTTAGATTGCCTTTAAAAATTAACAAGATAAACACATTCTATTCCATGTTCTGAAATGCGATGTGATTTTTAGGAAGGCTAAAAAAAGGAAAAAATAAAGATATGGATATATGAGGATAAAATAAAGTAGTGAGAATACTGGGTTGGCCTACTGCTTAACTTCAAAGATGCTCTCTATTTATATATATGTTATATGGCACATATAATTAGGGAGGATCTTTATATATACACACACATATATGAGAGAGAGACATATAGATATACATATCTCTATGTATATTTATATCTATAGAAAGGTGTGTGTGTGTGTGTGTGTGTGTGTGTGTGTGTGTGTATGTGCATGTGTGCACGTAGTAGGAAGACAAAGGAGTTTGGGAGATTTGGGTTCGATACCTTACTTTATTACTGTGGGCCACCCATGTGACATAGAAAATATTATTTATCTTCTCTGGACCTCAGGTAAATCATGTGTAAAATAAGATTTGGACTAGTTGGTCTCTAACAGTTTTTCCTGACTTGAAAATCCAACTACTTATTAGGAATCTCTCTTCAGATGGCATTGCACTAAGTGCCATACCAAATGAATTCAATAGTATTTCATTTAGAAATTCACAATTGTGGCTTCTGCTTCTTACTGCCTGATAACAACACTTTATAGTTATGTAATTTCTTCGTATTTATATAGGAACAAACTCATCGTTTCGCGATTGTTGCCAGACATTTTGACTGATAACCCTATAGATAAAAAAGATTGAGCACACACTATCATTTATGCATGTTTCTTATTTATAAATTATATATTAATATACCGCATTATATATTATAAGCATGAGGTAAAATAATAGAAATAAGAAATTTCAATATTTTCTCACATCACAATATATGGACTTGTGCATCTCCATGGATACCATGGTTATTTGACATGTGATTTTATTTATTCATGTTTTATCTAAAAGCTTATCTTCCATCAGGAGAGAACATCATTAATTCTCCAAATAAATAGTATTAAAATAGCCCTGTAACACTATATCCGAACAACAGGCAAGATTTTATTTTAATTTGTGTTCCTTTCAAGTACCTTCCAAAAGATGGGTTTGTTCTCTTATGATTATCTCAAATGAACTATTTCAGGCTTTGCTGCTATTTGATTGTTATATCCCTCCAAAATTCAACAATGGCTTCTGCAGAGCCTATGTATCCTAAAACTACATAGCACATGTTGCAATTGAGATGGACTCACATAATTTTGATTGGAAAATTACTGGAAGCATTAACACACCTCTTGAGATCAATGAAACAGAAGGGCCTGAGAATAAGGGAAGATGCTGATGAAAGCAAGCATTGTAATTGGAAGAAGTCTTTAAGGGAAGGAAACTAGTAGAAGGTTGAAAGCTAACTTTACCTCATTTTCTTCTTCATTGTGTTTATTTCTTTTACTATTTGTTATGTCTATAGTTCATTTTAGCACTTTTGACTCACAAGATCTCGTGATTTATTTATAAATATAAAAAGTGCAAAAGATGTAAAACTGTACATACTGAAAGTGTGCTTCACACTCCTGTCTGTCAGCCACCCAGTTCTCCTTCCCTGACAGTGTGTGTTACTAGTTTCTTGTGTGTCTTTTCAGAGATGTTTGCTTATGTGCGTTTTTTTTCTCCAATGATTTTAGAGTTCACTGCATATCAGCCAATATGTAAAGAACTTCTTTATGCTTTTGTGTGGGTCTATAGTATTCCATTTTATGAGCATACTATATGAGTGCCCTCATATCAGTGGGCACTAATGGACATTTAGACTGCTTCCACTCTCTTGCTACTATAGATAGTGTCACAATAAATAAGTTTGTGTATACATCATATCAAAAACATATGAGTATATCTTAGAATAGGACATATTCTAAAGATATGTATGGTAATTATAAGCGTGGTGGATAGTACCAAATTGTCCTCCATAGAAATCGTGCCAGTTTACCCTCTCACCAGCAAGTACAAGAAGACCTGTTTCTTCACACTGTTATTTAAAATTGAATCATTGATCTTTGATCTCTGCCAATCTAATATATGAAAAATGGTTTCATTTTCCTTTTTTTATTATGAGTGAGCTTCTTAAGTATGTTTAGGGGCAACTCATATTTATTTTTCTGTGAACTGTCAACATATTTTATCCATTTTTCCATTAGATTGCCTTTTTCTCATTGACTTCTCAGGACTCTACATATTAGATGAGTTAACCTTTTGTCTGTGATGTAAGTAGGCATATTTTTCTCCCAATTTGATATTTGTCTTTTGACTTTGTTTTGCTTTTTACTATGCATATTTTATTAAACATATACTTGAGTCGATCTTTCCTTTTATAGCTTCTAAGTTTCATGTCATGTTTAGAAAGGCCCTCCACCATCTATGGTTTCTCCAGTATTTCAGCCTTTTTTTAATGCTTAAAAATTTAATACATTTGAAATTTATCCTGTTATTATGTGTCGATAATAGAATCAGACTTTTCCCCTCAGAGGCTACCCAGTTGTCTCAGTATTATTTATTAAGTAATCCACCTTTTTACTACCTATTTAAAATGCCACTTTTAGCCCATAGTTGCAGCTACCCGAGAGGCTGAGGTGGGAGGATCAGAGAGACTGTAGCGCACTATGATCATGCCTAGGAATAGCCACTGCACTCCAGCCTGGGCAACATAGTGAAATGCTGTCTCTATTAAAAAACTTAATTAAAAATCAATCAATAAATAACATTTTAAAAAATTAAATGCTATTTTTCAAAAATACCATATATGTAAATATATGTTTATATATATTTATGTATATATGTCTATATTATATATGTATTTATCTATATATACATCCATATATATATATATTTACGTTTATCACTGGACTTCATATTCTATTCCATGATCTGCCTATTAGTTCTTATGCCAATATCACATTAATTGCCAAATCTCTATAACGTGTTAATACTTGGAGACTGGTTTGCCCGTATCTTCTCTTCCAGACTTTTCTTGGCTATTTTTGCTTGTTTATTTTTCCACATGCACTTTTGACTCAGCTTGATTATTATAACAAAAGATGATGACATCTTTATTAGGCTTATATTAAAATTGTAGGCTAATTTAGGAAGAAATGACATCTTTATGATGTGGGGTCATCTTATCCAAGGACATGGAATGCTTTTTCTTTCATTCATGTCTTTTGTATTCCTCTGTAGCATTTTAAAGTCTTTTCATAATGATCTCACACATTTTATTTCAGACATTTTATCTTTTGTGTTGTTACTGAAAGTAGGGATTTTTCCTTCTGCTGTATCTTCTGATTGATTGTAGTTTAACTATAAAAAGGCTCATGATTTCCAGAAATCCTAATATTGAATTATGCATGCATTCTGATGAACCTCTGAAATATGACTGATAGTTTTGTGTGTGTGTGTGTGTGTGTGTGTGTGTGTGTGTGTGCACACAATCTGCTGATTTAGGTGATCACTATTATGTCTACTTCATAAAAAGAATTTGGAGATACTCCTTTTTCCTGGATTCTGGAACAGTTTAAACATTATCTGCTTTTTAAAAGTTTTGGCAGAATTTCCCTGTTAAATTGTCTAGTTCAGTCACTTTATTCTTTGTGGGGGCAAGCAGGTTATTTGAAGAGGTTCCTTTCTATTTTGGAAAGCTGTTTAAATTTTCTGTTAGCAGTTTGTTTTTACAAATTATACATCTCTGGAATATTATCAATTTCATAGTAGTTTGCGAGTTTGTTTTTATTGGTCAGATACGATGGTTCACACCTGTCATATCAGCACTTTGGGAGGCTAAGGAGAGAGTATCCCTTGAAGCCAGGGGTTCAAGACCAGGCTGAGAAACACAGCAGGACCCCATTTCTATGAAAAAATGAAAAAATTAGCCGGGCATTGTGATGCATGCCTGTAGTGCTAGCTACTCAGGAGGTTGAGGTAGGAGGATTGTTTGAGCCCAGGAGTTTGAGGCTGCAGTGAGCTATGATTGTGCCACTGCATTTCAGCCTGAGTGACAGAGCAATACTCTGCCCACCCCCATAAAATAAGTTTGTTTGTATTAAGTAGAAAAGACAGTACCCAGCAATTCTTTTAATCTATTAATTTATTTAATCAGTGTGGAATCTGTAAATGTTAGCTTATATGGAAATGGATCATTGCAGATGTGATTAAGGATCTGGAGATGGGTTGGTTGTGATGGATTTTCTGGTCAGGCCTAAATGCAGTCACAGGTATCCTTATAAGAGACACACAGAGAACAATTATACACAGAATATAGTGTGACCCCAGAAGCAGAGACTGGACTGAGGCAGCCACAAATCAAGGAATGCTGGCAGTCACCAGAAGCCGGAAGAACCAAGGAACAACATTTCCCAAGACCCTCCAGAGGGAACTTGACCCTGTTGACACCTTGATTTCAGCTCAGCAATTCTGATTTTGAACTCTGGCCTCCAGAATAGTGAGAGAACATACTTTGTTGTTTCAAGCCACCAAGTTTGTGGCAATTTGTTACAGTGGCTGCAGGAAACTAATAATAAATGCACTTGATTAAACTATTGTCTCAAGACTGCACTCAGAAACCTAGGCTCAGACAGCAAAGTATATCTAACTGTTTGGGACAGCATTTTCTTTCTTTACGGATTCTGTGTTCCTCTACTGTTTTCTGACATTGAACATTGCTGTGGAGAATTCTGAGGCCAGGCCAATTTATTTTCTGATGTAAGTGACTAGATCTTTTTGCCTGAATGCCCAAATGATTTTCTTTTCCTTCCCTCACTTTTGTTTTTTCCTTCCTTCCTTCCTTAAATTGTCCAGTAAAATCTTTGCTGACTATTCTAGTTCAGTTTTCCCAGGCATAAGCAATACCCTTTCTATATAAATAGATTCTTATCACTTATTTCAGGAATGTTTATCTGAATTATATCTTCTTAAAAACACAATTATTTTATTACTTTCTTATAACCAAATACAGCTAACTCGCATTACTTCTACTCATTCATCATTACAAAGGACAATTTATTGAATAATTTTAAACAATGCACTATATGACAAACAATAAAGTTAAATTTACAAAGCATCCTGATTAATTATGTAGACTGATCATTAAAAAAGAGCAGAATTAATCATTTGTTTCTTTCCTTATAAAATAGAAGTTGAAAGGGTTCTGTTAGTCTTAATATCATCTTTATATTAAACTAGTGCAAAGTGTGGTACATATAATTTCATCTGGAAAGGTATGTAACTTATACATCTCATATAAATTAAGAAAATTTGCATAATAAAATGAATACAGAGAGCCTTAGGCTTGCATATTAAAATTTGATGTTGAGCTATCTTTTATGACATTATAGATTAATTATTACATAAAACATATTTTATAAATTTATAACCCTGAGTAAAGAAAAATAATTGCTTCTTGAAAAGGTATTTCCGTAGTCATTTGTTTTATAATAGGATAAGCTGAATTTCTGAGTTTAATGTCTAGCAAATCTGAACACCTTAGCTTGAGTCAATGAATTGGTTATGCCTCATATTTCACGGTGACTGTTTCCTAAAGTCATGAATCTGCCATTTCTCCTGAAATACTGACAGATGATGCACTTCTTGGAGTATTCCTGTCATGGTAGTTTTCCATGTGCTGTTGTTGTGTATGAACTATATTATCTCTCCTCCCTTCCTCTTGTATGCCCTTCCATTTTACTTAATTAGAGGTCCTTTCCAAATATGCTCAAGAAGAATATTCCTTTAAGAATTTCTCTAAGCAGGGAAGTTTTGAGATGGAAAATTAAAGAGAAAACTGGGTATTAGAGTTCCTTGGCTTTGCCTATAGTTGTTGCAAACCTCTGCTGTTAATGAGGTTGTTGAAGTTTCTAAATGTGGTGACGAGATCTGTAACTCTGATGTTTTTCTACAAATTCAGTATCTACCTATGGCTCCTTTTTTATTGGATCTTTTTTGAAGACTGGCCTTTTAAGTCTTTGGTTGTTTATTTTTTTTTCCATACTCTTTCATTCTTAGCCTCAAGGAGCTCCATATGCCTCCTTAGATAAACACTTTTTATTGTGTGTGCATTTATAAGTGTTTTGCCACCTTTTGGAGCTTTGCTTCTAATACATGTTTCTCCTAGCTTATTCTGTTGCTGATGCAAAAAAAAAATAGGTCACTCTAAAAGACCTCCCTAAATTTCTGCAGGTGTCTCTGTCGTGGGCCTCCATTTCTAAAGAAGAAAGAGATTGCAGATGAGGAGCTACATTTTTGTCCATATTCTGCTAGATTTTCATACGTTCACAAGGTTTTGTCTTTTCTCTTTCCAGAATGAGCAGTAGCTGTTTTATGTGATGGTCTCCTTGTAATTCCAGTGATAAACATGTCTGTCCAGACCCTGTCAGCTCATAGGTTCAGAAAAGTATGTCTCCCTTGGGAATCCTCATTACTTCCATAGACTTTGGGGTGAGCGGTGGCCTGAGAGTGGTAGGTTGTAGCATTGGTACAGGAAAAGGGAGTAACAAGGGAGCGTGGCATGCCATAGCCCCTGTCCCCTGCACTCAGAGCCTGGCATGGGCCCAGGGGCATAACAGTCACATCACTTCTTCCTGTACTGTCGCCAACCTGGGCATGCACTTTAAACATTCGTTATATGTTTTTTTTCTTTAAGGATTCCAATTATGTACACTGTTATATCTTCTTTCATTTTCTCACTAATTCATTTCATTTACTTTCTTTTTGCTTCTTAATATGCTTGTACAAGTGTCTGTTTTCCTTCATATTTCTCCATTTTTGCCCTTATAACTGAGATGGCTTAATTTTTTTCTTCCACTGTGTTTATTGAGCTCTGACAACTCATATTTTATTGTCTCCTGCTGTCTAATCATCTCATTCTGAGTTCTTTTGTTTGTGCTTTGAGTTCTTGCTTCATAAACCTGATTGCTTCCTTGCGTTTTTAAAATTCAGGGAGAAATGTTTGGTCATGATGTTTATATGCTCCATGACAATATTTTTCTGGATGTTATTATGAATCTACCATTTGTGTTTCTTATTTCTTTCATTCTTTCCCTTTTTTTTTCTTAGTATACCTTTGAATATCCTGTGTTGGTTCCTTTTAAAATTAAGCATCTTTGAAAGGTTGAGATTTCCCAGCTATAAAAGAAGATTTATATCAGGAAAGAGACAGAACCAAGTTTCAAGCAGGCTGAGATTTTCCCTGTAGTTCAGGGAGTGGTGTGTGAGTTCATATAGCCCTCTTTTCTCCTCAGTGAGTGATAATAGGCAGCTTTGGGATTTTATAACTCAGCCTTTTTTCTTCTACACTGCTGCAGAAACCATGTGCTTCCTGGGTACATGCCTTCTTTTTGGCTGGTGGGTTTCCTTGTGGAACTCTACCTTCTTTTCTTCATGGAACAAAACTGTGTCTATGGAACTAAGGACTTAATGTTTTGCATCTCAAAGTGTGCCCTTCACCTTCAAGAATTATGCTTTGCTGACTCTTTCTGATATTTGCAGCTGAAATGCCCTTGCTCTGCTGTCTCTTCTCTCCAACACACCCTCATGTGATCACCACTGCCATAGTGATTGCAGGTGTTCAGATTGCAATGAAGCCTCCTCAGCCTTGGTCCCTGGTAATTAGAATGAGCAGATACTCCTCATTACCTGCTTTGATATGTAGGGTGAGAGAGAAATAAACTTTTGTTGTATTAAGTTCCTGGGATTTAAAGTTATTTGTTACTACAGCATAACCTAGCTTATTTTGACTGATACAGTTGGTTCACAACTGAGGTTACTACCCTTGAGGGCATTTGGAAATAGAAGGAAGCATTTTTGGTTATCACAACAGAGCATCCAGCAGCCAGGATACTAAGTCTTTGGTAATGCTACAACAGTTCTACTCAATAAAGATTTCTTTGCCTGAAATGCCAATAGTACCCCTCATGAAACACTCAAGTAAATGGCTTGACAAGAACAGCCAAATCACCTTTCTGAGTGCCCATTATTGAACCCTTGCCCAAATTGGATGTTTCTGGCATCTTTTATTGTCTTCTGTTTTAAATAATTCAGGTAATTTTAAATGTTTGTATATAATTTATTATTTTCTAAATATCACATCAATGAGTGAACTGTTAGAGTTTATTCATTTTTGCATTCTCATACTGTTTAGCACGGTACCTTACATCTAAGTGGTACTCAGTAAATATCTGTGAATTTCATTAGAATAAAGTATAATCTTGGGCCCCTGTCTGAAGACCTGTTTTCCATATTCTGGGTGCACATTAGTAAATTCAGGGTTCCCTTTTTTTTTCTGTAGTTTGAACTGACAAGAGATTTGAAAAATAAACAACTGAAAAAGACATTCCCTAAAGGTAAACATCAAGTGTAATAAGACTCGAGTCAAATGGCTCAGCTGTCATAGTAAAATACAGCCGATTGACTTCCTTCTCACTAGGGAAAAGCACTGCTTACCACTTACCACAGACAGCATGGAGAGAAAGTATCACCCTTAGAGCTGCAGGAGGAAATGTCCTGTGTAGCTGAGAGAGAGGCACAAAACAAACCTGGCTGGTAATAGATAGCCACGTTTTATAAGAGGTGAGGGTGGGAAACAAATTATCTTACCTTAAGGGTCAGAAAATAAATAGCACCATAGTTAAAATCTAAGTGAGGTGACCAACAACTTTTTTTCAAAAATCACTAGAAAAAAATATTAAATACCCACTAGGTGCAAATTCCTAGTGCAGGAGTGGGTAGCAGTGAGTCTCACACAAAGATGAGCAGGATGGAGGTTGCCTTCTCGGCTTCTGGGATCTTAACTGCAAACTGTGTTCATATCTAAATAAATATAATATCTATAGACGCTGACAAATGTTATGACAGAGGTAGTAAGAAAATTTACTGAGAATGAAGGAAAAATATCCTTTCTAATTGGATGGAAGCAAATGAGTTGAACCTAGAAGGAGTAATGCTGCAAATTGAGCCTTAAAAGAAGGCTAACATGTGGAACACCGGATAATACAGAACTACCACTGACTCCCTTGTCCAGCAGCAGGGTTAAGAGGTATAATAAATAACATTGATAAAATGCTTCACAGGTAAATGGTATGATTACATACATTATTCATATGGCTGCATTACTATTAATGGATGGTTTATGTAACTAGAAACTGAAAAATAGTGACTGTTAAAGACTTTAAAAATTGGGATATACTAAAAATTATTACAATAATTTCTCACTGACTTATCAACTTATTATTGCATATGTCTGCATTTCTAGGACATTTATGTCATGTAGAATGACAACTAGTATGCTCTCCGGATGGCCATATTGCTTCAGCCTATTGACATTGACTCCTTGCAGGATCTCATTCCAACCTCAACTAAAGATAAAAACATCATTTGAAATATTGCTTCAGTAAATTCTGTTCTTATAAAATCAACCACTCTTATGACTTAGGACTAATGTTTATATTTGTTAATTTCAAGGCATTGTACATGGGCTATTAAGCAGTATATTTCTTTTGGTTTGAGTGCTTGTATTGATTAAATGAATAAATACCTTGGCTTCTCTTCAAGAAATGGTACTTCATGATGTCTTATAACTTCTTAACTTAGAAAAGTCTAATGGGTACACACAGTTAAGGGGGAGGATAAGCTGTTCAAGTACATGTCAGTGAGCCCAGGCCTTAAGAACCGTGAGCCAAAAATACTTTAATTATTTCAGTTTTTACCATAACACTTATTCACTTCAACAAAATGCCTCTCTGCTTCCTTGTTCCTTATTACTGCCATGAGGAAGGCACTCATATTGATCCCTGTGTAATCTTTTTTTAGGCCTTATGGGTATTTCACAGGTGAACATCTGGGAATGTTGTTCTTAGGCATCCAATGAATCAGTAGAAGAGGAGTGAGCCCTAGGTGTCTCGCAGCCCACTGCATCTGAAGGATTGCTGACACTAATCCACACTGCATCCTGCTATCAAATTAGAAGGCCCTGGATCTGCCACTGATGTGAAGCATAGATGGCCCAAGGAATATAATTGCTGTTGATAATAAAATGCACGGTTTTCTTGGAATTTTGATTTATCCCAGAATTTCCTTCCAGAGCATAGTCTTGTATTTTTACTGAAGTTAGCATAAATAATAGAGTGGAAGAGGAATAGAATGAGGTGATAATATGAATTAAAATATCTATAGTATTTTCCTGTTTTCTACATTTAATACTCTAATTTAATACTATCTAATTTAATACTTACAATAGTACAATGACATGAGTACTGTTATTTCCATCTCACAAGTAAGGAAACTGAGGTCTAGAAGGTTAAATAGTTTGCCCAAAATAATTTGCTAGTGGATGGAAATGCTGGTGGAAAGAAATAACATCTAACATCGAGTGGGAAACTGCATATATTCCACATATGTTAGTAAATTCAATCTTTACAACAACCTTATAAGCCAGGAACTCCTACTAGCCCCATTTTTTAAATAAACAAGTTAGGAACCAGCTATTAGTGATGACTTTGTTTAAGGGATGAAGCCTAGATTTGAATCCAGAGTTTCAGGCTCACAGAACGTATTCTCAACCTTTATACTGTGGTGTAGTCCAACTTAGTATGGCATCTGACTGTAATTTGAGATTTCCATCCATACACTGTGCTAAGATGCACCTATAACATGCTTTACACACTGCCTGGCACAAAGAATGCGTTTTATAATTGAAAGCGACTATTAATGTATGAATAGCAATGGTGTATTTGCCTGTTACCTTTATTACAAAGATTTCTAAACATTCAACACCTATTGTTGGAGTCATAGAATACTGGATTCCGCATATTTTCAGGTTATATTTATAAAGATTGAGATTCAGTGGCAATATGTAACTTTTCAAAATTGATAAGGTGTCAGTGGCAGGTCAGGCTGGCAAGGCAGTAAATAAAGTTCCTATTGTGCTTGACTGCATGGTACCCCTTACTGACCAAAAGCAGCCTGTGAGCTCACAATATCATTTTTTAAACACTTTGCAGTTTACCAAGTGCTTTTAAATGCATCCATTCATTTGTGTCTCACAACAACCTTGTTAAGTGGCCAATATTATCTCTGTTTTACAGAAAAGAAAACTGAAACACAAAGTCAGAGGTTAACTAACGACACAATTCATGCAACTAAGCAATGAAGGAGCCAAAATCAAGAGCAGATTCCCTGACTCTAAGCACAACGATTTTTTTTTTCACTGTACATTGTTGTGTGGTATTTTTATTAAGATTTTCATCTCCTTATATTAGTTATGAATTAAATCTGAAAATGCAAATGTAATAAAGTATCACAGTGGGTAGCTATTTGAAATGAATTAGCAAAAGGAAAAATCTGGTAGGCCTAATATCAAAATCTTAAAAACTTCTTTCAACAAATATTCATCCAACATGTATTTATTTAGTCCCTACCTTGTCCATGACATTTTGTTATGTGAGGTACATAAAGAAGCAGGGGCCAGGAATGCTGAGAAAAGCCTTCAATTCAAGTTCTCATATTTTTAGATGTAAGAGAATTTATAGGAATCATGTCAAGGTAATTATATATCTTATTTCATTAATTAAACTAAAATCAAATTGGTGATGGCAGCTGTGTCTTAATTATCTTTACATTTTGCATAATGCATGGCCCAGTATCTTACCTGTTGAATGAATGAATTGGGGTGTGAATTCAGAGCCATAGTGCTTCAAGAGTTTATGGATTAAATTGAAAGACATGAAACTAAGTTAAATAAAATAGAAGATTGATATATGATCGATCATATGATATAGAGAAGAGAAGCATTATTTCTAGTTGAGATAATCCAGGAAAGCTTCATGGAAGAGATACTTTTTGAGTGAGAGATAAGTAATGATTTTTGCTGCCTTTTTAAGGGTAATATAGATAAATTAGTCTAATGAAAGAGGTAAGATATTTAAATCTCCTAACAACCTGTAGTGGGCATAGTGGACATTCAAAATACCTTTATTGAATGAATGACTGACTGAATCTTTGCAATGAAATTTTAAATGTATTAGCCTTTAAATATGAAATGTTGAGATATCTTGGTATTACTTAGAATTATATTAGAAATGTCAAAACACTCTGATCAAGGATCTTTCCATATTTGATTTGACCCTTCTAAAACAAGGAAATCACATAAGTATTTTAAAGAATGCTCTACTCTGTTATAGAGATCTGATAATCCTGTATAATTTGAAGATGCATATGGAATATATAATCATAAAGTAATACAAACATCTCTGTGAGGTTGCATCACTTCTTTTTTTTTTTTTATTTCATCCTTATTTTTATTTTTATTTTTTTAGGGTTTTTTTTTATTATACTTTAAGTTTTAGGGTACATGTGCACATTGTGCAGGTTAGTTACATATGTATACATGTGCCATGCTGGTGCGCTGCACCCACTAACTGGTCATCTAGCATTAGGTATATCTCCCAATGCTATCCCTCCCCCCTCCCCGCAAACACCGCATATTCTCACTCATAGGTAGGAACTGAACAATGAGATCACATGGACACAGGAAGGGGAATGCAGCACTTCTTTGAAAGGGAAATCACTGAACCAAAAGTATTCCCTTATGTCCTCATTCTTAATATATCCCATTTAATTTTGACATCTTTTGGCAGTCTGGCCGTAAAAACTATGATATAAGGATTTCCATTCAATTTTGAGTCTGGGTTACACTTTAGTCTCTGCATTGATCATTCAGTTTCATGTTTTTTTTTTTTCACAGGAAACCACTCACATGCCTCCTAGGTTACCCTGGTAGTGTGAGAGCTAGGACTTTTATACGAACAATAAAAGGAAGCATTATTTACCATAAGGCACTTTTCATTTGATGGTCAATGACTCACAGTGCTTTCCCTTACTCAAGAGTAAAATAATAATGCTTCTATCCAATATTTAAAGGTTTTAAAAATGTTTACTAAATTTCATACTAGTGTAATTATCAAAAGAATAAATACAAATTTAAAACATTAATTATGAGGATGGGACTTCAGTTTGCTTTTATTACAACAATAAATAATAAACATATTCAGTGGGCTTTCCAAATATTGTACTTCTTTTGGATTTCTTTTAGAAACATTTTTAAAAAAATAGCATAAAGGAAAATGTCAACAATATTAATATTACTAATATAAATTAATGTTTTTGGTGGAAACATTTGGTGTCTCATATATTCTCACATTTGGAAGATTCCTCATTTGTGCTAGATGTGTGCATCTCTTCAGTAATGTTCAAAAAATTTAAAATTTTGATAAGTAAAATCTTGATGAACAGTAAAAAAAAAACTTTCTAAATTAATTATCTGACACTATGAGGTAAATCCTGTTTCTTGAACGTGTACGTGGTGCATTTTTGGAAACTATAGAGAAATGCTTGAAAATGTTATTTCATATGATAAAATGTGAGCCTTTCACAAAACTTCTCAGAACTTTGTAAAGTTTAGAGTCATTTTTTAAATTATACTTTAAGTTCTAGAGTACATGTGCACAACGTGCAGGTTTGTTACATATATATACATGTGCCATGTTAGTGTGCTGCACCCATTAACTTGTCATTTACATTAGGTATTTCTCCTAATGCTATCCCTCCCCCCACCCCACAACAGGCCCCGGTGTGTGATGTTCCCCTTCCTGTGTCCAAGTGTTCTCATTGTTCAATTCCCACCTATGAGTGAGAACATGCGGTGTTTGGTTTTTTGTCCTTGCAATAGTTTGCTGAGAATGATGGTTTTCAGCTTCATCCATGTCCCTACAAAGGACATGAACTCATCCCTTTTTATGGCTGCATAGTATTCCATGGTGTATATGTGCCACATTTTCTTAATCCAGTCTATCATTGATGGACATTTGGGTTGGTTCCAAGTCTTTGCTATTGTGAATAGTGCTGCAATAAACATACATGTGCATGTGTCTTTATAGCAGCATGATTTATAATCCTTTGGGTATATACCCAGTAATGGGATGGCTGGGTCAAATGGTATTTCTAGTTCTAGATCCTTGAGGAATGGCCACACTGTCTTCCACAATGGTTGAACTAGTTTACAGTCCCACCAACAGTGTAAAAGTGTTCCTATTTCTCCACATCCTCTCCAGCACCTGTTTTTTCCTGAATTTTTAATGATCGCCATTCTAACTGGTGTGAGATGGTATCTCATTGTAGTTTTGATTTGCATTTCTCTGATGGCCAGTGATGATGAGCATTTTTTCATGTGTCTGTTGGCTGCATAAATGTCTTCTTTTGAGAAGTGTTTGTTCATATCCTTTGCCCACTTGTTGATGGGGTTGTTTGTTTTTTTCTTGTAAATTTGTTTGAGTTCTGTTATCCCCATGTGCTCTTATAACTACACATCATGGTTCTATAGTTTTATAATGATTATGACTGAATGATTACTTTTATTTGGAATGCCAAAAAATAAAAGAAGAGAATGATAAGAGTAGTTGGCATATATCATAAACAATATGAAAGGACGTTTAGAGTTAAAAAAAAACAAAGATATGCTTTCGTGGCTAGACGTCCCCAAATGGATTATGTTTCAAAGGGAATATGTAGTTTCTTTCCCAAGGGAGTGATTTTTAAACCTTGGTGCCTTAGTCTATTTTGTGTGGCTATAACAGAATACCACCAACTGGGTAATCTATAAAGAAAACAGTTTTATTTCTTTCTTTTTTCTTTCTTTCTTTCTTTTTTTTTTTTTTTTTTTTTTTTTTTTTGAGACAGAGTCTCACTCTGTCGCCAGGGCTGGAGTGCAAAGGCAGGATCTTGGCTCACTGCAACCTCCACCTTCCTGGTTCAAGAGATTCTCCTGCTTCAGCCTCCTGAATAGCTGGGATTACAGATGCTCACCACTACACCCAGCTAATTTTTTGTATTTTTAGTAGAGATGGGGTTTCACCATGTTGGCCAGGGTAGTCTTGAACTCCTGACCTTGTGATCTGCCCGCCTTGGCCTCCCAAAGTGCTGGGATTATAGGCATGAGCCACTGTGCCCGGCCGACAATTTTATTTCTTACAGTTCTGAAGACTAAGAAATCCAAAATCAAGGGGCCAGCATCTGGTGAAGGCCTTTGTGCTGTGTCACCTCATGGTGGAAAGCATCATATGGGCGAGAGAGAGCAAGAGATTGAACTCACAGTCTCAAGCCCTTTATAATTGGCATTAATCCATTCATGAGGGTGGAATCTTCCTGACCTAAACACCTCTCTTCATACCCCACCTCCCAACGTTGTTGCCTTGGGGATTAAGTTTGCAGCACATGCTTTTTGGGGTACACATTCAAACCACAGCACTTGGTGTATAGGGGGAATCACTTGTGGAGCCAGTTAAAAATAGAATTTCTGAACCCCATTCCTAAATATTCTCTAGGAAGTCTAGTAGAGGGCCTAGATAGCTGACCATACCAGTGTTGACAATGATTTAGAGGAAATGGAATTCTCATGCTCTGCTTGTCAGAACATAAAATGGCACAACCACTTCGGAAAACAGTTTGGTAGTTTCTTAAAAAGTAGAACATACACCGACTATGTAACCCAGTTATTCCACTCCTAGGTGTTTACCTAAGAGAAATGAATGTATATGTCCATACAAAGACAGTGTTATTTGTAGCAGTCAAAAACTGTAAGCAACCCAAATGTGTGTCTGCAGGTATAAACAGGATCAACATGGAACAGTATATCCATATTAGAGTATTACTCTCTAATGAAAAGGAATAAACTATTGATAAGAGCAACAACATGAGTTAATCTCTAAATAATTATGCTCAGTGAAATAAGTCAGAAAAGACTACATGTTATATAATTCCATTTTCACAAAATTCCAGAAAATGGAAAATATAGAGATGGAAAACAGGTCAGTGGTTATCTGGGGAAAGAGATAAGGGGGTGATGAGAAAGGGAAGAGATTAAAAGCCCTGGAAAAAAGCTTTTGGGGATGATAAATTTGTATTTTACCTTATCTGGGGAAACAGCTTCATAGGTGTGCACATGTCAAAATATCAAATTGTACATTTTAATTAAGTTCAGTTTGTTGTATGTCAGTTATACTTCAATAAAGCTGTTTTAAAAAATGAAATGAGCATGGGCAAAGGGCAGGAGGGGGTTCCTCTGCTTTCTAAGGCATCTAGCCTTAGAGGTTCTTGTGTCTCATGTTAGGACCCCTCTAACCCAGGCACACTGCGAGGTGTGTGTGTGTGTGTGTGTGTGTGTGTGTATGTGTGTGTATGATGTGAAGGCATTAACAGGGAGCAGAAGCAGTCTCAGACAGTTTTGATTTTTGTGTATTTATATGACCAAAAGAGAAGAGTAGCATTCCTGCCCCTCGATAGGCCATTAACTGTGAGTCTACAGCTGTGACGAATACAAAATCTTACCTAGGGCATGTGGGTCCTTCCAGTGACTGTGGCATCACACCGAAACTACAGTCTCTTTCATATCACTCAAGTTGTTTCCCATTTTAAAAATATATATGTATATGTATATGTGTGTGTGTGTATATACATATAGATTTAGAACAGACACAAAATATCACACATTG
Source organism: Homo sapiens (assembly GCF_000001405.40). NCBI lineage: Eukaryota > Metazoa > Chordata > Mammalia > Primates > Hominidae > Homo > Homo sapiens. The sequence goes on from NC_000009.12 coordinate 7,819,987, forward strand.
TATGACTCCATTTATATGAAATGTTCAGATTAGGCAAATCTATAAAGACAGAAAGTAGAGTAGTGTTGCATAGGGCTGGTGAAGGATGGGGAAAGTGGAGAATTGGGAAGAAGTAATAGCTAAAAGGTACAGGGTTTCTTTTGGTGGTGATGAAAATGTTTTAAAATTGATTGTGGTGATGGTTGCGCAATTCTAAGAATACACTAACTATTGAATTGTATACTTAAAAGAGTAAATTTTATGGCATGTACATTATAACTCAATAATGCCATTATATTAAAAAACCCCTGTGGCCCTGAATCTTAACAGTAATTAACAATGTGAACCAATGATGTATTTTGTCATTAAAACCTTTTATTATCTCCACACTGAAAATGCCTAAAATCAATGACCAACCTAATAGTAAAGTCTACTCTTAGTACCCAGACCGTGGTTTCTGTCATTCTCATTAAAAGGAACCTTGTTTCTTGGAGAAATGACTGATTCTAGATATGAGGCAAAAAGGAACATGTCTGGAAAATCCTCTAATATTGAAAAGAAAGGTAGCTATCAAAGTATACTTGAGTCAGGTCAAAAGAACTCGGGAGACCATTTACATAAGCTTCCACTGGTCAAAGATAAAATAATTTGGGCATCATTTAAGACAAAAACTGCAATGGATTGAATTGCATCAAATATGTTTAAATCCATGGGTTTATAATGTACCAAAACCAACTCATTAATGACTTTGGTGATTCATTTTATTTATTTATTTTTAAAACTTCTAAAGAGAAAAAAATCAAGCATTTGTTCTTCATTTTTACATGATATTATCTCAAAGTAACTGAATCATTGATGAGGGGAAATTTCTCTGTATAGAAATATTCTAGCTAATAAATGAAGAAGGAATGACCAATATTACTATTTGCAACTCCCTAATAAATTAATGGGTCCAAGTTATAATCATTAATAGCTGATAATATCAAGCAAAAGGGACAACCATGTGTATCCTGATGGAAGTACGCAATATTACCTGTGAAGGAAATTTTCTCAGAAAAGAAAAAAATTTAATCCAAATCTGATCAGGCATCTAGATTTACCTATAAATTAATAGGCAACACAGGTGACAAAGAAACTCAGTAAATGACATTACAGGAATGTACTTAGCAAAATAACTTAAAAAAACTCTACAGGATAAATTATCTAGTTTCATCAACAGTGACAACAATAAGAAAGGCAAGAAACAAGAACAGAGGGAGCATGCCTTAAAAGGCATATGTAAACTATCTTAATGTGAAGACCTTATCTGGGTCCTGATTTAAATGAATAATCTGGTTTAAAAATTTATAAGAGCTTCCACGTTGGTGAATACTTTTTCCTGAAGGTTCTATTGTTTTCATTATAGGCAAAATAAATGAGATGAAGAAAGATGGACTATTTGTCTACACAAATAGACAAATAGGGAAATGGGGAAGGTGGAGCCTCTAGAGTGGGCATGGAAACTCTGTGCCCCCACACTTTGTCCTATGCATTTCCTTCCATTTAGGTGTTCCTGAGTTGTATCCTGTATAATAAAATGGTTAACATATATAAAATGTACATATATTTACAAGACAACCAGGGATGTCTTAACATTGTATGGATAGTTGATTATATTAAGGAATTATTAATTTATTAGGTGTGATTGTATTTTTCTTTCATTTTTTTTTTTTTTTTTTCAAACAGAGTTTTGCTCGTTGCCAAGGCTGGAGCACAATGGCGCAATCTCAGCTCACTGCGACCTCCGCCTACTGGTTTCAAACGATTCTCCTGCCTCAGCCTCCTGAGTAGCTGAGATTACAGGCGTGTGCCACCAAGCCTGGCTAATTTTTTTTGTATTTTTAGTGGAGATGGGGTTTCACCATGTTGACTAGGCTGGTCGGGAACTCCTGACCTCACGTGAACCACCAGCCTCAACCTCCCAAAGTGTTGGGATTACAGGCGTGAGCCACGATGCCCGGCCTAGGTGTGATTATATTTTTATGTCTTCTTAAAAGAATCTCATTTTTAAAGATATATGCTGAAATATCTCTATGGTATGAAATGATATTATATTATTTGCCTTAACATAATTGAAGGAGTAGTAAATAAAAGTATACATAAAATAAGCTTGTCACATATTAATAGTTGTTAAAGTTGGGTGATGCAGTGTAAACATTGGGTTCATAATATCATTGCCACAACTGTGTTTTATGTTTGAAAACTTAATAAAAATTTTAAGTGAAATAAAATGTAAGAAGAATAGTGCATGTTTTGGGGCCTCATGATCAGTAGACATAATTTGAAGGAAAGGAAATAAAGGAACCATCTTTGGCAGCTCTTATGCTTCCTCCTTAGAGCCTTGATTTTACACTGGGCAACAGGATTAAGTCCCTAAACTCAGCCTATCAGGGATGCATCAGAGCCAATGAATTAATAATCCAAAGTCAGAATGTGTCACAAGTTAAATTGTTTATGTTTATTTGTTTGAAATATTAAATTCATTCATTTTCCATGGATGGCAAGGATTTTGCCTGTAGGTAACAGCAGGCAGTGTGTGTTTCAACATCAGTGAAATTCTATTTAGAAAAATTAACTGAAAGAGGGGAAGGACTGACTTCATTAAAAACCAAAGTGAGGAGAATGAGAGAACAGATTTAATGAAATGTGGAAGACTACAAAAAAAGAAGAAGAAATGGTCCATTACCAATTTTACAAGAATGTGAGCTGACTGAAGAATAGGTCAGAGTTTTCATGGGAATTATAAAAGCCTACATATTTACAGAATGAATAAGCTTACTTAATGTTTAGGTAGCCCTTTTCATAGGAGAATCATTTATAAAGATTTATGTTGATTTATTTTCCCAAGTCCAGGAGCTAGTTTTTGTAATGTTGATTGCTAGTATTTTGGCTTTTTGACATAGTTACTTAATTTTAAGTAACTAAATTCTGATATTTATGTTGTTATATTATTTTGTGTTTAAAAACCTGAAATCTCATTTTTTTTCTTAAGATACCCTGAAAATTATCATTTTCAAACCAACAAAATATACTCAGACATTTTCTGACCACATTCTCCCTTGGCGTAGTATTACTGTTATGACTCTCATTTCTGAGGCTGCTATATAGTCATGTGTTTTATGTGGGTGCATTTTATCAGGCTTATTTTGAGCTTTATCTGCTATATTCTTGTGGCAGGCAGAATGGCCTAAGATAGCCTTCAAGATCCATAATCCCCTCCCTTCGGTGTGGGTAGAAACTGTGAATATGATGGGATAGTTATTTCCTTGATTAGGGTGCACAATATGACAAAAGTGATGGGATAGTCACTCTGTGATTATCTTCTGTTACAGATATTGCTGTCGTTGTAAACTGGAGAGAGATGCTCCTGTTGGCCTTGAACAACCAAGCTGCCATGTTGTGATTGGGACACATGGCTATCACCTGAGGGCAGGCCCTAGGAGCTAAGAGTGACCCCTGGCCAAGGAACCCTATTCTTCTTACAACCTGAATGAGTTTGCAGGAAGACTAAGATCCACCTGAGAACACAGCCCCTGCTGACATGGTGATTTCAGCCTAGGCAGACTCTGAGCAAGAAACCCAGCAAGAAACACTATGCTGACTTCTGACCTAGAGAACTGTGAGGTAATAGATGCATGTTGTTTTACGTTTGTGGTATTTGTTATACAACAGTAAAAATGAATACAATTGTTGTCCTTTTAGAATGAGGGGAGTGGCGTAGGTGGTGGAATACAATGGAACATGCATGGCAGGATGGTGTGGTTGGTTGGTGGATTAAGTCAGGGAAGGGGAAGAAAAAAGGAAGGAGGTTCTTAGGCCCAATTCCCAGCTGTTTCCCTGGAGGCCAGCTTCCTGCCTTCGCTCGTAGCGAAATTCTTTCCACTTTATTCCCTTGATTGTTTTTCAGGAAAATATCTGTCTGAGAATGACCATTTCTTACTTTAAATAATTTAACCAGGGTCTTTGGCTCCAATTATTCTCCCTGTGGTGCTGGACTGTGGCTCTCACTCAGGGAGGAATTACCTCTGAGGGTTTTGCTGTTAAATAAAATGTGGCACTATTAAGTGATTTTCGTTTACCAGCTCTGTTGAATAATTTTGTCTGTTTAACATTTCATATGTATCTGTTTTTTTCTGCATCCACACAAATATGGTTTGAATATTATATTACAGGAAATAAATAAAAACAGTATTGTCTTTTTGGTTTCAATATTATAATCACTAGGGACATTTACTAATACATCTCTTACCATTAGAGAGTAGAAGAGCTTATTTTCTTTCAATCCATTTGTTTAAGAAACACTTGTTTAGTACTCACTACATTATGGTAGACATAGTAGAGGACATAAAAATGAACAAGAGTATCTGCTGAGGACAGTAACTAGTAGCTAGCAAGAGTATAATGCATTGACCTTTTTCAGTTTCACCGAGCATCAGCTTGAGCTCGAGCATATCACTTGACTTCCCTGGGCTTTGGTTTCCTCTGTACAATGACGGGCATGGTAGAAGATCTCAAAGTGTCTGTCTTTAATGTGATAATGATGTGTCAAGTTGGCAGGGACATCAGTAGGAGACTAGAATTAACATGTAACACTAATAGAGCTTCATGGAGAGGTAGAGTCAAAGCTATACATTGAGTTTCATTAATATTTGATGAAATATAAATTAAAATAAAAATTTCTATATCTATCAGATTGTCAAAAAGGATAAAGTGGATAATACCAAATGTTGGAGAAGACGTTAGGAAACAAACCCTCAAATACAATGGGTAAGAGGGCAATTTGGTAATTTCTGTGAAAACTTTAACTGCATACACCCTTTCACTCAGCAATTTCACTTCTAGGAATTCATCCTATAGAAATACTCTAATAACTACCCAAATACTTATTCATAATGATTCTCATTGCAATGTTGGTTATAATAGTTCCCAAAATGGAAACAACCTGAATGCTCATAAGTAAAAAATCTGTTTCATAAGCAGAATTCACTAATAAGCAGGATATCACACGGTTATTAAAAAGAATCAGGTAGCTCCCTATATATTGACATAGACAGATATCTATGATATATTGTTTATTGAAAAAAGCAAGTTATAGAAATAATGAAGACTGGGTGTGGTGGCTCACGTCTGTAATCCCAGCACTTTGGGAGGCCAAGGCGGGTGGATCACCTGAGGTCGGGATTTCAAGACCAGCCTGACCAACATGGAGAAACCTCATCTCTACTAAAAATACAAAATTAGCCAGGTGTTGTGGCACATACCTGTAATCCCAGCTACTTGGGAGTCTGAGGCAGGAGAATTGCTTGAACCCTGGAGGCGGAGGTTGCGGGGAGGCGGAGGTTGCAGTGAGCTGAGATAGTGCCATTGCACTCCAGCCTGTGCAACAAGAGAGAAACTCCCTCTCAAAAAAAAAAAAAAAAAAAAAAGAAAGAAAGAAATGATGATTCTATTTCTCAGAAGTAATTATATATATATATATCTGTATAATATATAATTGTATATATAATATACATACATATTTATATATAATTGGGTATATGTTTATAATACAGAAAAGTCTAAAAGGTTGCATACTAAGTTGTTTAATAATATTCACCTTCAAGAAGTAGAATAGGGTTAGGAGGGCAAACTTCCATGTCTGTATCTGTACTGTTTAAAAAATTCCTAACAACTATATACTATTTTTACTATGAACAGCTCTTTAGACAAATTTTTAATATGCACAAAAAATATGAAAAGAAAACCATGCACTTGGTCATAGGGAAGATCAGGCTAGATTTTGGGCCCCTGGACAATTAATAAAAATATAGATGTCAATTAAAAATAAAAATAAAACCATTATGCTGAGCAAAAGAAATTTTTTAAAAGAGATATTTATGGAGCCCAGAGTAAGGGGTAGGGTACTAGGACAGTGTCTGCACTGTCTGTAAGACTGCTGTGAGGAGGGCAATTACATTTAAGAAGCAAGGGAGGCATATGATGGCATATGGAAAAGGATTCAACATGATGAGGTTGGGAATGGGAGAAATAGGTCCACATTGGACTATTCCTAAGACAAATGGGCAGACAGCTAAGGATGCAAGTCTCCCTTGGAGGTTTCAATGCTTTATTGAACTCAGATCTAGCATACTTATTACCTCTTTTTACCAAACATGCCCTTGATCTCAACTTTTGGGAAGCAAACGTGGCTGCAGAGACCAGTAAATCCCAGCCCCTGAATCAGAAACTATCCCAAATCGAACTTATTTATGAAATGTATAGAGATGTGACACTGTGAGGTATGTTTGTGTTAAAAAAAAAAAAGTGGAAGTTTGTGTGTGTGTGGCTGGGCTGTAGAATACAGCGTCTGGAATCAGTTTCTATCTATTCCTAGTTGTTTATATTTACTGGAAAGAGCACTGGATTCAGAATCAGAAAGCCTTGCTGGGCTTGGACCCTTGTGCTGTTAATCACTAGTCCTCTGGCCTCAAATAAATTATATAATTTCACTGACCCCCAGTGTCTTCATGAGTAAAATAGGACTTTTAATAATACCTATTTCAGAGGGTTGTTGTGAGAATTAAATTGTGCCAGGCATGTAGTAAGTATTCAAAAAGTGGTGACTAGTAGTAGGTAGTAATCTCTGAACACTTACCATGTATCAGGCACTATAGAAGCACTTTAATATTATTTCATTTAACCTTTAAAAAAACCATCAAAGTTGACATTATACTTGACATTTTACAGATGAGGAAACTGAGACATAGTAACGTTAAACTTGACCCAAACAGTAAGTGGCTGAATTGAGAGCTAAGCCCTGCCTCTTAAGTTATAACAATGTACTGTTCGTTGGTTCCTTCCTTTTTTCATATTAGAAAGCAGCAGTGTCCCAAGTTATTTTAACCAGAGTGTTAGCAGTGAGATGTAAGGAACAGAAGAAACAATGAAGGCGAATTATTTATTTTTGAGAGATGGTAATCTGGGTGGAGCTGTTTAATTAAAATATAATCAAGTATAAAATATAATCTCTGTTCAAAAGTGGAAATAAAGACACTTTCATCAGTATTTATCAATATCCTTTACAGAAGATGAGGAGTCATTGGTTTCATTTTAATACAGTTTTTGTACATCTCTAAAAACCTGTTTTATACGTGTTCCTAGCTTCTTTTAAAGAAAGAACATTGTAGGATCTGCAAAATTTTATACCCCTTGCTTTTTCTTTAGAGTAAGAGAAATGGGGAAGCTGTTTCAAATATATTTCTCCACTTTCGTGGAAAAGGAGTTCTTTAAGTGTGCCAAATATAATAGTTATGACCCAACTATGCTTGCATAGAGGGAATTTTTATTTCCTTTTTAAAAAAAAACCTTAAGAAAGAAAAAGGTTCCTATTTCACTCTAACTGTAAATCTCCTCCCACAGAGATCCATTCTCACTTAATATCCCCCTTTAGAAAATGACACATTTTATTGGTGGGAACAGTGGGAAGCATCGTTGCCTCCTTGAGTGTCTTTCAAATCTACCCATTGGTAGCAGGAAAAAAGAGGGTGCTGAAGAGAATCATGAACTATGGGAAGATGAAGAAATGAGATTGTCTCTCGTGGAGGATCAACTTTCCTCCATAACTTTACCATGAGAGAAAATTGTCTCTCATGGAGGAAGAAGGATCCTCCACAACTTTACCAGGAGAGCCAATCTCATTTCTTCATCTTCCTATAGTTAATTAGTCTAGGCAGCCAAGACACTCTTATTTTCTTTATGGTAAGGACATTTCAGTCTTGGAAAAGATGCCATCTTCCGGTAGTAACAGTTTATTCCAAGACTGTGTTTTCTCTAGAACATAGGCGAAGATACTTGGAGCAAAACCGAACTACAGCAGGACTTTTTGCTGAGGGTTTCTAACAATCAGGATCTCTGCAATGGCCTTTTCCTGCTTCTCAGCTGTAGTTCATCTTAGAAGTGTGGCAGCCACCAGAGGAAACTGTGTGTAGTTGAGTGGTTGTGCTACAGGTTGTCATGACGGCTAAATCTATGATGGGACAAAAATAGCCTACCACTTCATCCATAAACAAAAAAACTGATGGAGAGTTTACCATGCCAAAGAGACAACTGATATCTGAAGGACTCAACTAGGCTGTTTTAAATACCTTAATTCAAAGTATTTATTAAGCATACAATTTTTACTAGTAGTTGAGGCTTCAAAAATGAATAAGACATAAACATTTGCCACAAGAGCACAAAGCCAAATGAGAGAAAGACATTTACTTGGATAACGGTTTTTAATAAGTATTATAATAGGGTTTGTACAAACACCAGAGGTACATAAATAAGAGAAAAATAAAATCTTCTTTGAGTGGAGTTGGGATTAAAGTAGTAAATACAACTACAAAGAGGTAGTTGTCAAAACTGAATGATTTGCAATTTTACCCTACTGGCAACCTAACAAGTCAGCCTTCTACAGTTTTGTGGATGCAAGCAAAAAACACAAGATTCCTGGGACAGAGATGAAGAGCTTTATTACTCATGGCACCACAAGCAACATGAGCTTCCTGTTGGCATTTGTTCCTCTTTTTGCTCAAGCCCTACAAGGTTAACACAGAGCAGCCAAGAGAACACTGGGCATGCAGTGGATTTGCATCACAGCCGAGGAACCCCAAGCTTAGGAACTTCAATTCTTTTACAATGGGCCACAAACAGACATATATAAACTCTGCCCCAGGGAGATACTATCTGTATTATACTGGACAATAAATAAACCTGCCCTCTGCTCCAGAAAAAAAAAAAAGTTCTTTCTTCTAAGGCTGTTTGCTAGATAGATATTTTTAAAAAGATAGTCTGGAACAAAAGCTTCCAGTGCTTCTGTTTGCTAGATGTGCAGAAATGTGAGACCCGTGGAAAACTGTCTTCCAACAATATCCACTCCTTTTTTCTACACCATATTAGCTTTTGATGTATTTTCCAATATGTATAGCCACTCTGATTAATCTGACCTACAGAGGATGAGATAAAATGTCTTTAATTTGTCTCATACAGCACTTAACTAAAACTATTAGACTCCAAGTAGTTGAAGGAGAGCCTTCAATATGGTCCTTGACCTGGATCTAGAATGTGCCAGAAACAATCAGTTAATCAAATCCCATAAACCATCAACATCTGCCTCAGAAATTCAGATAGCTTTCTCCACAAACTTCTGTACTGATCTTTCTACTTGGCCCAAGGCATTAATCCAGGTACAACAGGACATATTAGTAATTTCACAGCCTCTCTATCTTGTCCTCAAATGAAGAAATTGAGAGCAAGTCTATCATCTGTAATATTTTTGGCCAGCAAGTTGAGGCTGACCTGAATGCCTTCCAAGGCTGAAACGGTGTTACCTTAAACCTTTGAAAGTCTCTTATGACCACACCTAAGGTGCAAGTCACTGTATTTTCAGAAAAGAGGCAAGTGAATGTCTTACTTCCACATAAAAAAAGTACAGTCTCAAGGGCACACATGCTGCTCTGGAAAAGAAGTGTTATTTATCATTGTGGTCTACCCCTCCTCCCCCAGTAGGACCTACCTCAGACAGGGACACAGGTTGACAAAGCCTCCGATATGGTTTCCTGGATGGCTGATGGGCCTTAGGTATCACACTTCAGTTTGCTTAATTGTGTCTAGTCCTTGTGTAGGAGGGACTACCAGAGGGCCATTAGTCCCATCTATAAAGTCAGTGAAAGTGACAGTCCTCTACTTTGAAGGAAAGACTGAGGAGCAGCTGTGGGAATAGGGGTGTGATAGACATCTGGAGGTGTGACAGGCACTTTGTGTGGGAGGTGCATGAACTGAGCCAACCCTACTTTTTCTTACAGACTTCACAGAAGGATAAAGAAGAACTGGGATCACATTATGGTCAGAACTCTTTGTCAGGAGAAGGAAGGCTCAGCATTCACTTAAATTCAAGGCACTTGCTGGAGTTTGGGAGAGCAGCACCATGGTATTTGCCTTCATAAGGAAGCAGGCAAAGGGGGTTCTCAAAGACAAAGATCATTAATGCTTATCTGTCCCTCATGCACTCTGGGGTACAGGCATTTCCTCCTCAGGCGCTACTGAGTTGTTTTTCTTCTTCCATTGCCACAAAATCAGTGTATCCCATTTCAGTAGCCATAAGTTCACCTTTTTTTTTTTCCAGTTATTCCCCACTGTACACAGAACTTTCGTCCAGAAGAGTCAGATACAGGAAAGATAAGGGTATCTTTAGAAAATTAACAAGAATTAAGTTTTATTGCCCTAGGCCCCTTTGGTAGAATGGTGTCCTCCCAAAGATGCTAATCCCCAGAAATCTCCAGAACCTGCAAATATGGTAACTTATATAGCAAAAGAGGTTTTGCAGATAAGATTAAGTTAAGGATCCTGAGACAGGAATATTATACTCAGTTACCTGGGCAGCCACAATGTGACCACAGGATCTTTATACGAGGAAGTAGGAGGATCAAAGTCAGAGGGTATTCAATCTGATGCCAGAAGTGGAGAGATTTGCAGATGTATTAGCCGGTTTTCATACTGCTGATAAAGACATACTCAAGACTGGGAAATTTACAAAAGACAGAGGTTTAATTGGACTTACAGTTCCATATGGCTGGGGAAGGCTCACAATCATGACAGAAGGCAAGGAGGAGCAAGTCACGCCTTACATGGATGACAGCAAGCAAAGAGAGCTTGTGTAGGAACCCCCCCCGCCCTTATAATAACCATCAGATCCCATGAGACTTACTCACTATCTCAAGAACAGCACAGGAAAGCCCTGCCCCCATGATTCAATTACCTCCCACCAGGTCCCTCCCACAACACTTGGGAATTCAAGATGAGATTTGGATGGGAACACAGCCAAACCATATCAGCAGGTATTACATTACTGGCTTTGAAGATGAAGGAAAGGGCCACTAGCCAAAGAGTGCATGTGGCCTCTAGAAGCTGGAAAATTCCAGAAAATGATTCTTGCCTAGAACCTCCAAAAGGAATAAATTCAAGTAACACCTCAGTTTTAGCCCGGTATAACACAATTTCATACCTCCAGAAGTGTAAAATAATAAACTTGTGTTGTTCTAAGCCACTAATTTTGTGATAATTTGTTAGAGCCACAATAGGAAACTAATACAGCCCCCTTTTCATTGTGTTGCCACCTAGAAGGTATACCAACTTATCTGGCCTTGAGTTGATGATGCCAGGATAAAGAAAGATACATTATACCTAGGAATGGTCAATACAGAATCCAAGATTTTCAACATAGGCCTGTGTAACCACCATCCATTTCTTCCTAATTATTACCCAAGAAGTGGCCAAGAATCATGATCTCTTTCTAAGAGTGGCCACATTCAGTGATCAAGCTGTCTTACTATGGTGTGTAGACCAGGAGGAAGTGAGAAAGGTAGCATCAGGAGAGGGTAAGAGAAGTAACATCAGAAATACTTTGGAGTCCCTTTTTGAGGTTATTCCAATGCTGGACTATCAGATGCCTGTGGATGGTAGGGAGTATGGAAAGTCCGTGACTATCAGCCCATTATTGAGTAGCTTTTACAATAAAAGGTGCACCATTGCCAGACTATAGATGATCAAGTAATCTAGAAACATGATACAGATTAGTTTTAAGGGCCACAGTGGTGTTACTGGAATCATCTGATTAGACTGGAACAACTCCGTAACTTAATAAAGTATCAACAGTGGTGAGGTACCAATGCTTGCCTGGAAAGAGGGTTAAAGATCCAATGTAGTCAATTTGCCAGAAGCAGGTGGGTCAATGCCCAGTGCAACGTGGCTTCTCTCACTGTGAGAAAACCATGTCAACCATTGGCAGCAGTCACAAATCTGGCATGCAGTAGTGGCTTCTTCATCAGAAATACGGAATCCTTTACATTGTGCCCAGTCTATAATGTTGTGTTCAACTGAATGACTTATCCCAGTAACAATGGTGGCAATGTGGGCAGTGCAGGCTTATTTAGCAGCTTAATTCCCGTTGGTATCATCAAAGAACAGGCACTCATCATGGGCATCTACATGAGATACCCAGATGGCTTATTCAGCAGCCATGATTCATTTTCACATGTCATGGTCCCCAAAGAGGGATGTCCTTAATCTGCCAGTCTGTAATTTTCCAAGGGGCAGGCCACATATTTAGGCCATTGGCAACAGCCACAAGTCAGCAAAAATATAATAGGGTTTATCAAAGGGAATATTGGCCAAAGATATGAAGTGAACCAGCAGTCTGCCAACTGTGTACAGCAACTATGACCATTTTCGGTTCTGCATAGCTGACGCTGAGCCTGAACAGCTGCCTGGTGGAAACCACTTAGTTCCAGCTTGACCAAACCATCAGTACATCCATCAAAAGCATGTAAGAGGAATCTCTGTGAATCAAGGCCTCATAAGCCAATGGCTTTGCTTCAGTTGGTGGAGTGGGAGGTAAAGTTATCTCCAAAGGAATAGCTGATACTTTTTCACATAAAGTCAAGATGCCACTGAAGCCAGTTCTTGAATTAAAGGAGTGTATTATTGAACACATCTTTTCCTTTTGATAAGTGAAGTTTACTAGGCCATTCCTACTTTTTTAATTATCAAGTCAGAATCAACTGATCCCAAAATAATATATGAATATTAAGCAGGGGAGTCAGAAGGCTTCCAGGGTCTGGCATTCAGATTCAACATGAGCCCAGCAGCAAGCTGATAGCTGATTCTTAAAATTAGCCATGCCAGGGAGGCAACAAAGCCAAGCAGCATCTCTGGGTGGAGGCTGCTGCCCTTTCTGAGAGGCTTCCATGGCAAAATAATCAGAAACTTGAGCTCAAAGGGATCCTTAAAGTGGTGGAGTCTTCAAGATGAAATACTACCACAAGTTGCTGGACAGCTTCTAAAGCAGCCTGTTTGTTTGGGCCCTATTCAACAGACAGCTTCGTGGTTAGCCAATATAAAGGACCTAGTGGAATGCCCAAGTGAGGCACTTATTCTTTCCAATACCCAGTCATCTACTGGGCTGTCATTTGGATGGTGAAGGGCTGAAGAAACAGCTTTCCATCTTAGACCATTGAAAGCCAAAGACTTCCCAGTGTTGTCCCACACCCTTCACCTCTTTGACATCATCTCCTACTTTTCTTCCCTTCATTCATTTTGGCCTGCCAACACTGGCCTTCTTGCTGTTCCTGAGATGTCTGGCACATGTTCACCTCAACCACTGTTTCTTCTCTCTGATATGTTCCTCCCAAGATACCTGTATTTTCTCTTCTCCATCTCCTTTACATCTTTGTTCAATTGACAATCTCAGTAAAGCCTTTGACAGTCACCCTATTTAAAATACGACCCACTGCCCCACTTTACAGCACTCCACACTCCCTTGCCTGCTTCATTTTTGTCATAGTACTTTCTGCCATCTAACTATACATTTTACTAACACATTTTATGTATTGTCATATTCCTCCACTAGAATGTAAGCTCTATGATAGAGTGTGTGTGCATGTATGTGTGTGTACTTATTTCAATGCCATTTCCCTGGTACTTAGAAGAATATGTAGTACTCTGAATGAATTAGTGAATTATATACAGATTCAGGCAAGGAAGGAAGGAAGGGCCTTCCATCCTGGAATTTACAGAGTATACAGTTGTGTCACACAGAACTTCCTAGGTGGAGGGTGGTGGGGAACTGGATAGAACATACAGAAACAAAAGTTGCTGCTGTAGCTGGGAAATAATTGTGCACAAGGTAAGTAATAAGGAAACACCTTTATACTCTGGGTGATGGAGAAGTCTGGGGAGGCATAAATACCATCTACCAAGTGTGTGACTGCATCCCTTGCACTGATAACATATGACTTCTGTGAGGAAAGCTACTGCCTAAATGATACTTCTCCTGCCTCCTCAATAAAGCCATAGCCTTAGAGAAGATATTGAGAAAGGAAAGAAATAAGACTATGCACTTACCTGCCAGGACATAGTGAAAGAGTCATGGCCATGAGGGAAGCCCATAGTGCAGTGTAGTATCTGCCTGTTGCTCTGGGTGCATCTGTGAATTATGGAGGGAGAGGTTTGATGGTTTATTTTACCTGAGTTGACCTAGGGTTTCACATCTGCTGCCCTTCCTTTTGTTTGTTGGAGTTTTTCAAATGATAAATGGCCAGATGTCAAGCTTTCTGTCACTTATTGGCCAACACCATCCCTCCTTCCTCAGTGAGTTGACAGGACTGCTGTTGCTGCTCCTGCTGTTGTCCCACTGATAGGTATTTTGCCAGCCATGGGCAGGTTACATGATGCTGTTGTGAGCCCAAGCTAATCACACCTTCCAGTCCTGAATGCTAGCTGCCTAGCAGATGTCAGTTCCAAGCAGAAAGTGACGAGCTGCCCAGTAGAAATTGCTAACTCTGAATTCTCTCTCATCTTGAAGAACAACAACAAAAACCCTGAGAAATCTGATATGGTCTTCAGTTCTTTAATATCTACTTTGACATATTTAGAAACACCACGATTTGCTAGGCTTTTCTACCTTTTGTTCTCTAGCACACACCTCCCTCCCAATTCTCCCTTTTCTTTTCCTCCTTGTATTGCCAATCCTACAGATGTTCATGAGTTACCTTCAGAAAGTGGCTGATACCCTTTTGGAATAAGAGCCACTTTGTCTTCACATTCCAAGTGGCAAGGAGCCCAAGCTTCCCTTTGCAGGCAGCACATATCTGTCTGCTTTGGTACACGGTGGCAGACATTTGAAATATGGTGAATAAAAAAGGCTGTAGAAATCAAACTGCACTTGTGAAACAAAACGACAATAAAACAACTCCCTAATCTTTTAAATGTCATGCAGCTCAGCTATAGCTTTCAACTTAGTGTTCACAGCCAGTTCTGCCTTGATTGCAATTCCTCTTGGCACTGGCCAAATAACACTTTCTATTTAGAAACCACTTAGTTATAATAAAATTACCCACATCACCCCCCATAAAATATAAAAGCAAATGAGAAGATACGCAGGAGACAAGCTGCAGTGAAACAAATGGCTTTCTGTCCCTGGTGGGATGCTCATGGACTATACTTTTTTGTCCTCTTGGCAACATTCACCTTTAGGAGCTTATATATGTATCATTACTATTAACTACTCTGAAATTAAAAAATGAATTTTCATATTCTACCTAATATTATAACCATTCTTGTGTTTAGAGTGTTGAGAAAGCAGTGTGTCATTATAACTCCCTGTCATGGTAGCTACATGCACAGGTCTAAAGTTAGCTCTGTTGTGGTTTGAATTCCAGTTTTGCTATTCAATGGCTTAATATGACCTTGGATCAGTTGCTTAATCTTTCTAAGCCTCAGTTATATCATATATAAGATAGAAATAAATATATCTATATCATTGGGTAGTTGTGAGGATTAACTGAAATAAATAATGTACAGTAGTAGAGAAGAGACTGCTAGTTGTCCACCAAAATCCATTTTCCCTTCCTCTTTGGTTCAACACTAGACCTCAGTTTTTTAATATATATAATTTTTATTTGTTAATTATACCTCAACAAATCTGGAAGAAAAGGGAAATATTTAATTTAAAAAATTTCTACTAGTTTATACACTGATATTTGCATTAATTACATTTTCCAAAGATAACACATAAATCTATAGATTATAGATTTTTTTTCACTGTGGGAGTCCTATAGAGAATAGGTACACTCTGCTAAAAATGTTCTATAGGTAAGGACTCTTTCACGTTTAGATTCCATTAATGTGCATATTAAACCACATGTCAATGTGGTTTTTTAAAGATTTTTCTTTTTTTAAATTTTACTTTAAGTTCCAGGATACATGTGCAGAACGTGCAGGTTTGTTACATAGGTATACGTGTGCCATGGTGGTTTGCTGCCCTTATTGACTTGTCCTGTAAGTTCCCTCCCCTTTCTCCACATCCCCAAACAGATCCTGGTGTGTGTTGTTCCCCTCCCTGTGTCCATGTGTCCTCATTGTCCAACTCCCACTCATGAGTGAGAACATGCAGTGTTTGGTTTTCTGTTCCTGTGTTAGTTTGCTGAGGATGATGGCTTCCAGCTTCATCAATGTCCCTGCAAAGGACACAATCTCATGCTTTTTTATGGCTGCATAGTATTCCATGGTATATATGTACCACATTTTCTTTATCCAGTCTATCATTGATGGGCATTTTGGTTGGTTCCATGACTTTGTAAATAGTGCTGCAATAAACATACATGTGCATGTGTCTTTATAGTAGAATGATTTAAATTCCTTTGGGTATATACCCAGTAATGGGATTGCTGGGTTAAAAGGTATTTCTGGTTCTAGATCCTTGAAGAATTGCCATACTGTCTTCCACAATGGTTGAACTAATTTATATTTCCACCAACAGTGTAAAAGCATTCCTATTTCTTCACAGCCTTGCCAGGATCTATTGTTTCTTGACTTTTTAATAATCACCATTCTGACTGGTGTGAGATGGTATCTCATTGTGGTTGTGATTTTCATTTCTCTAATGATCAGTGATGTTTAGCTTTTTTCATATGTTTGTTGGCTGCCTAAATGTCTTATTTTGAGAAGTGTCTGTTCATATCCTTTGCCTACGTTTTGATGGGGTTGTTTTTCTCTTGTAAATTGGTTTAAGTTCCTTGTAAATTCTGGATATTAGGCCTTTGTCCGATGGTAGATTGCAAAAATTGTCTCCCATTCTCTAGGTTTCCTGTTCACTCTCATGCTAGTTTCTTTTGCTGTGCAGAAGCTCTTTAGTTTAATTAGATCCCACTTGGCAATTTTGGCTTTTTTTGCAATTGCTTTTGATGTTTTCATCATGAAGTCTTTGCTCATGCCTACCTTCTGAATGGTATTGCCTAGGTTTTCTTCTAGGGTTTTTATGGTTTGGGGTTTTACGCTTAAGTCTTTAATCCAACTTGAGTTAATTTTTGTACAAGGTGTAAGGAAGGGTTCCAGTTTCAGTTTTCTGCATATGGCTGGCCAGTTTTCACAGCACCATTTATTGAATAGGGAATCCTTTCTCCATTGCTTGTGTTTGTCAAAGATCAGATGGTCGTAGATGTGTGGTGTTATTTCTGAGGTCTCTTTTCTCTTCCACTGGACAATTCTAGACATCACTTTCTATCTTCCCTTGTGGCTAAGTGGGGCCAAGTGAATAAATTCTCTCCAAAGGGATGTGAACAGAAGTAATGGGTGCCACTTTGGGGCCTAAGCCTTAAGGCAGTGCCCCTGCTGCCTCCATGTTCTGTCTTCTTCCTTCCAGGTGGAACCAGGATCTAGTGGACCTTTGTGTTTTGTCCATGCAGATGGCATTGTTTTAGCCTCTAGAGTCCAGGAAGGTGGCAGATGTAGCTCTTTACCCTTGGGTCTCTTGTTGAATTCCTGGAGCAGAGCCCACCTTGAACATTTACATTTGACATAACCTTCATTTTGTTTGAGAGTGGTTTTTTTTTTGAGACAGAGTCTCACTCACTCTGTCACCTAGGCTAGAGTGCAGTGATGCAATCTCCACTCACTGCAACCTCCACCTCCCAGGTTCAAGCCATTCTCCTGCCTCAGCCTCCCGAGTAGCTAGAATTACAGGTGTGTGCCACCATGCCCAGCTAATTTGTGCATTTTTAGTAGAGATGGGGTTTCACCATTTTGGCCAGATTGGTCTCAAACTCCTGACCTCCAGCGATCCATCTGCCTCGGCCTCCCAAAGTGCTGGGATTACAGGTGTGAGCCACCAAGCTGGACCTTGTTTGAGCTATTGTGTTTTTGAATATCCTTGTTAAAGGACTATAACCTTTACCCTAACTAGATGTTTAGTATGAGATCCAGCTAGTTATAGATGTTAAAAAACCATATATATTTTGTACATGCAATTTCCTTATTAGACTATGCTTTCTTTGTGGCAAAGTTGTAAAATGCTTTACTGAATAAATATAATTAATAGAAGTACATCACAGTTCATAATATATGGAGTTTGAAGTCTCAGTTGTTATACATTCTTTTCTTTCCCTTTCATTTCTGGCTTTTGTAGTTTCCCTTCTTCAACTACAGGCTGTCTAGAGGCTAGAATTAATCATGTTTTATGATTCAGGTGTTGTTATCATAAGGTTGTTTTGGCAGCAAGGATATGCCATGATCTGATATGATAATTTCTTCTTTAAAATACAATAAATCTTTAAATAAATTAGGAATTCCTTCTCTAAATAAACTGCTTATATTACAGGTAACAATGACAGTGGTTTTCTGGAAAAATTAGGCAGATAAGAAAAAATGTTCAGAAAAGTTCCCATGAATTTAAAAATAATCACTCATAATTTAGAGTTCATCGTTCTTGAGCTTTATTTCATGAGATAGATTTAGGTCATTATTAAGAATGTGCTTCTTCTTGCATTAGAAACTTGATAAAAAAGGACAGTAGTTTATGATGGCTATATACTTAATAAGATATTAAAATTTCACACTGCAGCAGGGGCTCAAGAAGAAGAAATATCTGAGAGAAACATATCCTTTCTAGATATTTCTATGGTTTGGACTCTGGTCTGGGCTATAAATTGATGTGAAACCATTATCATTTTTATAACCACTTTATATGCCTATATGTGCTTAGAATATAATTAACATGGATGATTTTGGGAAAAGGATAGTTAATTGATTTTTTTAACTTTAAATCATATAGGCCATGTATAACCTAATAGTGAGGGACTAGTTGATTTCTATTTTTTCCTAGGCAGATGTCATCTTTCTGGCTGTTTTTCTTAGGAAAGTTTATTTTAGGAGCCATTTGAGTTTCAATTTCAGCTTTGACACTTTCTAATGTGTCCTTGGTAAAGTCACTTAGTCTTTTTGAAACTTAGTTTCTTAAAACTTTAAAATGGAGATAATAACCATCATTACCTCCTAGCATTACTGTGAAGACTAAATGAGATAATGTATATAAACCTTATAACAGTACCTGGAATCTAGTAATTGCTCAAAAGAGTTAACACATTTTATTTATTAAAAACAGTGATTCTCAAAGTATGGTCACTAGACCAGCATCAACACCACTTAGGAACTTGTTAGAAGTGCGATTCTTGTGACTCAGTCCAGACCTACTAAATCAAGAAACTCTGGGGGTGGAACCCAGCAATCTGTATTTTAATGAGTCCTCCAAGTAATTCTGATCCTCTAAAATTTAAGAAACAGCTTATGTAAATGGTTTAATATTTCTGGGTTCTCATTTTTTCCAACATGTAATACATTTCTATGATCAACATGTGATGCTCAGAAACTACTCCTCTTTTTTTGGAAAGAGCACCCTAATTTTCCATTATGGAAACCACCTCTTCCCTATTCTCAGTCCATGTTGTTGGGTGGGGCCTATCCTACCTACCCCCAGCTTTGGAGTGGGTTTCAGGGCTAAGCCAATTAGTGTATCCCATCCACTAGGCCACAACAATTACTTCAAGCATGGACCTGTGATCCGATTTAGGTCAACGAAAGCCACGTCCAGGAATTTCACCGGCATTGTTAAGAAGATGAAAGCTCTTCACCATTGAAATTGCTAATAGGAGATCATAAACCTAGAGTTAAAGAACATAAACCTAGAGTTAACCTAGAGTTAAGAACAGAGGTTCTCAGAAAGGAGTCAGACAGAAAACTTCAGAATCAAAGATGGATAGAAACCAAGTCCTAATGACATTGATTGAATCCTTAGACCTAGCCATGCCTAAATGTCTCCCCCTGGACTTTACAGATAAGAAAAAAAATTATACCTCTTCCACTTCTAGAACAAGTTTTCTTATTTTAAATATCAGTTTTCCATTATTTAACATGAGACCTTATTAGTAAACTATCTCACGAGATTTTTGTAAGTAGTAAGATGAGTCATCGTATACAAAAATACTATCAGTCTGGGCCATTTGAGAAGCAGACAATAAGATGGAATTAGATGTGCAAGAGATTTATCAAAGGAAATGACTGTTAACGGAAAAGGCATGTGAAGTCCAGAGCAGATGGGAGAACTATCAGACCTGTACTACAGTGAAGACCTGCACTATACTATTAATACTTGTGAAGGAGAAAGGGATGGAAAGGAGGTTATGGAGAAGACCCTTAAACTGAGGCACAATTCCAAGAGAGACTCTGAAACAAAGTCATCTGCCTGAGGAATACCCTGTCTTCGAAGAATGGACACACGTTAATATCACGCTCAGTGATTGGTTAGAAGCAGCCCATGGGAAGTTTGGCCTCTGTGAGAAGGCAGTGATGGATTTCAGAGCACAGCAGTTGAGGCCTAGATCAATCATGCTCCTCACGGTCAGAGATGTGACAGACACATTTTCATGACCATGACAAATGCCTAGGGCGGTGTCTAGAGTTAGCAGGGCTTTGATAAAGGCTAATGCCATTTCCACCTAACCTATTCTTTTGAAAGCAAAACAAACATCCTCAAAAACCTTGCGCACTCCTTCTATTCTTTGTTCTAATTATGAGTGTAACCTGGGTCTTTCAGCAGTCACATGTTCTAAATATTACAGACCAATAAAGCAAAATAAACCCTATAGCCCAGCAAGGAGCAAGCTATTCAGCTCATCATTTTTTGCAAATGCCACTCAGATGTTGCCTTTAATGCATAACTGCCAAGCATACTGATTTTGTCAATATTACACTTGGACTAAAATCAGCATAGGTTAGCTCAAAGCATAAGCCACTCCAGCTCTCTCTTATTGTAATGGAGTGTAATTTCTACACACCTTAACCCCAATTTATCTTTCACTGCCTCTGAAGTATAGCGGTTCATCAAGTCCAGTAACTTTTAGGGCTAGGAAATAGAGTTACAAATTCTTGGAATTGCATATTCAATAAGATCCAGCCAGGCCATTTTCTATCATTCTTCCTTTCTTCTGGCAGAAGAGTTGAGGATTAGTAGTAGCCAGGTGAATCGTAGATATTTGAATTTTTAAAAATTTAATTCAAATAAAATTTCTGAGGTTACCTAAAGTACTATTGGAAGAAGAAAAATATGAATTACTATTACTGGAAAGAACATTGTAGACAGCATGGTGTTTTTTTGTTTTTTTGTTTTTTTTGAGATGGTTTCACTCTTGTTGCCCAGACTGGAGTTCAATGGTGCAATCCCAGCTCACTGCAACCTCCACCTCCCGGCTTCAAGCAATTCTCCTGCCTCAGCTTCCTGAGTAGCTGGGATTACAGGCATGCACCACCACACCCACCTAATTTTGTATTTTTAGTAGAGATGGGCTTTCTCCATGTTGGTCAGGGTGGTCTTGAACTCCCAACCTCAGGTGATCCGCCCACCTCAGCTTCCCAAAGTGCTGGGATTACAGATATCAGCCACCGCGCCTGGCCTTGTAGACAGCATGTTCTAACTCATTGACTATTGGGAAAAATGATGTACAAGTAAGACTCTGATATTATATTATTCTTTATATACATTCATCAAGGATACCAGTTACTACTGTATTAAAAATGTTAAAAGCCTGACAACTTAGGAG
This sequence comes from Homo sapiens, assembly GCF_000001405.40. Classification (NCBI taxonomy): domain Eukaryota; kingdom Metazoa; phylum Chordata; class Mammalia; order Primates; family Hominidae; genus Homo; species Homo sapiens. Next base: position 7,841,451 of record NC_000009.12, read on the forward strand.
TAATGTTTTTCTCAGTTGAGTGCATGTAATTCCTGAGATAACATAATACCAATTAGGCATGATCTAACTGTATTAATATCTGAGGGAGGAGTCTCTCCAGTTCCTCACTCTGCAACATTAAGGGGCTTTCCCACAACATACCATGTATTTTGGGTTTTTAATTCTCTCTGCTCTATGGTTTTGAAACCCCTATTCAAAACCTCTGTATGGTTGTTTTAGGTTGGGCATGGGGCAATCCAATAACCTTCCTTGGTTTTCTTTACAACCTTCTTACTCATTTTTTTTAGGTTTCGAAAAGACTCGTTCAGTTTTACTTTGTCATTACTCACATGCTCCATCCTGTTATAAATGGCCCAGCTGTGATTATGGCAAATGCTGAGAGCTCCAGCATGTGAGCTGGAGTAAGCTACCATTTGGCCTAAAATAAGGAGAGCAACATCTGAATGCAGCCCTAGAGGAGAGGGGCCTGAGCATCCTAGATCAGCATGCTGCCTGGTGTTAATAATTGTATTCCAAAGGACAGAGACTAAAGCTGGATTCCAACATGAGACAGTCCTTGGCTGAAAAGAGCCAGAGAAGCAAGCCAAATCTGAGCCCATCAGCTTCTGGCAAGCCAGTAAGCAATATCAAACCACAGGTCCTGTTGCAAAATGTAATCGAGATTTTAGAGCCAAGAGTTCACAGTAGAGTAGAGACAGGGTTTGAGAGGCAGCAGGTGAGATATAAGCAAGGAAGATCTAGGGGGCTTGCCATGAGTGACTTAGGGTATCTCCAGCTTGTCACTATTCATTGATTAGTGTGTGACACTTGAGTATTTGGGTTCCCTTAAAGGGTCAGAGCCAGTTTGTTGCATAGCACAGGCAACATGCTATCCTCATCTTATGGTAAACCTTTAAGTCTAAATGGTGTGGGGATAAATTCAAGTTCTATACAAACTTGTTAATTCCAAGATATTTGATCTGAGGGATATGGCTCATGATGCATTTTTTAAATTTCTGGGAAGATATGGTTTTTATTTTTAGTTGAAAGTCTTGTCCATCAAGGAGAGTAATGCAACATTACTGGAGAGATTTCCAGAAGCCAAACCTATTCTGAAGCTGGCAGGGGGTTACCTTTGATGCTCTCTAGGTAGTGTAGTAGAGTGGTTTAAAGCATGAATTCTGGAACTAGTATGCCCAACTTTGAATCTCAATTTTGCCCGCTACTAACTGTGTGTAAATTTAAATAAGTTTTCTAACCTCTTCATGCCCCAATTTTCACATCAGAAAAGTGAGAATAATAATTGTACCTATGTCGTGGTGTTACTATGAGAATATAATGAATGAACACAAGTAAAGTTCTTAGAACAGAGCCTAGCACATAGTAAGTATCTCTTAAGTGTTGGCTATTACTATTATTCACTTGTAGGCACTTGGGCATTTTAAGTGAAACCTAGGCTTTTGGTTTTCAAACATTTTAAAAACAGCAAACTCTTTTTTAAAATTCAAACTTTCATGGGAAATTCAACATGTGAAATAAACAAACATGGTTCTTCTCCACTTGATACAGGAGATGGGGATACCCCAAACCCTGCCCACTCATCCCTCTGTAAAACTTCACAGAATTCAAAGGCCATGAAGAGCGCAGCTTGAAAATTATAAATAAGAATTGTTCAGACCCTCCTTGCTAGTGGGAAATGTGCTGTCATCTATTGGACTATTATTAGCTCTAGAAATGGAAGCTACAATGCCTGGGTTAGTCTTAGACTCTTGGTGATGGACCTAGGACAGAATGGAACTCAAGTGACATGTGGCTATACTCAACTCATATTGTAGTTGTGTACCACAAATAACCACCCACTACATAATTCCTTTCAAAATATGGCAAAGTACTTTTGCCAAAAGTTAGTATAGGAGGGAGGATTGACCTTGATTTTCAGGAGAGTACAGACACACACACGCACACACACACACTGTGGCTTATTGATGAGATTGGCATGTGAACAGCATATCCATGCTGAGAACATGGGTAAGATATTTCCCCATGAACACATACATCTCTAATGCATACCCCCAAAATACAGTTCATATTTTACAAGATTTGTGCTTTGCCAATGAAATATCAAGGTGTCAATGTTAGATTTCTCTATTTATTCGTAAAGTAGTAATAAATACCCTGTTGGGCACTGAGAATACAAAGATGATGAGAATCGTTTGCTCTCAAAGAATTCATTCTCATAGGAAGAGACACATAAATATAATACATATTTACAATTTGATGTAGTAAATGATAAAGAAGCTATAGAACACAGAAAAAGGATAAACCATGGGAAGAAGTAGGGAAATCTTCATGGAGGAGAAGTCATGGATGGTGGGAGCAAGAAACTGAGTAGAATTTTGCCAGGTGAAGAAAACAAAAGCTGGGAGATACTTCACTGATAGAATAGCACATACTATCCCATATGTGTGCAAAACATATGGCATACATGGGAAACTGTGAATTGTTTGGAGGTCAGGGTCCTTGGGATTGTAAGAGTTAAGGCTGTAGATGGAAACTAATGGGGTTCACCAAATAATTTGACTTTATTTTGAACGGCAGGGAAATACTGAAGGAATTTAAACCAATTAATGATGTGATTAGACCCAGAAGTGGTAGAAAGAAATAATGGATGTGCAGCAGTAAGGGGCTTGGAGATCTGTTGAGAAGCTCTTGGAATGTAGTAAAGGGGATGTGTCAGACAAGACAGAACAGAGGTTGCTAAGCCAGATAGTATCCAGTGTTGCATTTTGCATTGCTTGTACAGTGTTAGCTCATACAATGTTCTTAAAAATTCAAATTGTTGCCATATGATCAGATTTTTCATAAAAATCTGGATTTCCATAATTTTTTGCAAAATTAGAAGATGGCATGCAAACAGTTGGCTGGCGTTAGTAACAGTTGTTCCCCATAGATGTAGTGTGCATTTTCCTGGTTACTACAGTCCCCAGCTCTCCCTCTTGTGTCTGTAACACTGGAGCAAAGTGTCAGTAGTCATATACCATTGCACATTTATGTCAGCAGAGGGCATCTTCACAAACGGAGTCTCTCCTGAACCTATAATCAGTTGCTGTCCTTACTGGAATTCACTTTCTAATGAATTGGGGGAGATGGTTCTCCCTACTGAAAACTATAGCATTTCCTTGGGATCTCTTGATTTTCAATGCATCCGTGAGTTTTGCTTCCTTAAGTATGGCTTAACTCTGATGTTGAAGTCGTTTGTGTTGGATGTAAGGGACCTTCTTGTAAAAAGGTATTGCATTTCCCATTGCGTAGCAAATTAAGCAATAGATGAGTGCTTATAGCAGGCCAGCTGCAGATCTACGCACCATGGGGGATACCAGAGATATGAGACGAATTACCATCTGTATTAGTCCAGTTTGCCCTGCCATAAAGGAGTACCTGAGATTCAATAATTTATTTTAAAAAGAGGTTTATTTAGCTCACAGTTCTGTAGGCTGTACAAGAAGCATGGTGCCAGCATCTGGAAGTTTTCAATCATAGTGGAAGGCGAAGGGGGAGCCAGCATGTCACATGGCAAGACAGCAAGTAAGAGAGAGAAGAGGTGGGAGGGAGGTCCCAGGCTCTTTTTAACAACCAGATCTCCTATAATGTAATAGAGCCAGAACTCACTCATTACTGCAGGGAGGGCACCAAACCATTCATGAGGGATCTACCCCCATGACCCAAACACCTTCCCCTAGGCCCCACCTCCAACAATGAGGATCACATTTCAACATGAGATTTGGAGGGGACAAATATCTGAACTATATCACCATCCCTCACAGAAATTCACAATCTAATTAGAAGGCATTTCCATTCTACTAGCTGAAGCTACCTCTTACTTGTCAGTCTTGCACCTCCGCACTCTTGATAAATGCTTTCTAATCAGCAGAGTACCATCTAGTTCACTGAAGCAACTATGCCCAATGGCACCCTGAGACCTAAAAAAGTTTCTATAGCTCTGAAAGGGGTGGAAGCTGCAAGTGGAGAGCAGCAACTGAACTGGATCAGTGTAATCTATTCACACTTGGACTACTCTGTTTTTTGCAGCATACCAGGGTGTTTGTTGTAAATGGGATGGAGGGGGTATTCCTTTGAGCCTGTGGGAAGTTTGAGCAGCAAGCAACCAGTCACATATCCCTGTGAGCAAGATCAGAATTGCTAAGTTTAAAAAAAAATTATCTGTCTTCTAAATTATGGTTTTAGAAGATGATACAACAAGTTGTTAGTGTCTTGTTTTTCCTAATGTTCTACAAATTTATACATCTTCTGAGAATACAAATACTCTCACCAGAAATAAGAATAAATTATGGCAATAAATCTATTATATAGTGACCTAATAAGAAAAGTGATAACCTCTTAAAATGTCACACAGAGGCATTTAATTTGCATTTCAAAGGCAGTTACTGTGAGTAATTATAACTTAATTAAATATTGATTATTCTAAGAGCTCTGTTGTGATTTAGGATTTATGCAGAGTAGAGTAAATCTGGGTGGTTTGAAATAAACTCAAAATGACATTAGTAACTACTGTGTAATTACATTTTATGGTTATTAAATGTGACTAAACAGGCTAAATATTTATGACGAACAAGTCAAATATTACGATAAGATATCAACATTGGTTTTTCGGTACCTACTCTTATTATATGTCTATTTTGCCAAGTAGCTACTAAATGTTTAAACTTTCCTAAATTTTGCATTTTTTTTTTAACTATCAGCTTACTCTCAGTTCTTTCCGTGAATGTTGAAATATTTAGAAGAGAAATTTAATGTATTTTTGGGTACTGTATTAGTCAGGGTTCTCCAGAGAGACAGGACTAACAGGATAGATGTATATATGAAGGGGAGTTTATTAAGGAGTATTGATTCACACGATCACAAGGTGAATTCCCACAATAGGCTGTCTGCAAGCTGAGGAGCAAGGAAGCCAGTTCGAGTCCCCAAACCTCAAAACCTCGAAAGTAGAGAAGCCTATAGTGCAGCCTTTAGTCTGTGGCCAAAGGCCCGAGAGCCCCTGACTGGTGTAAGTTGTTAAAGCAAACTAACTATGGCCTGAGAAGGACTCTGTACTTCTATATCTGAGGCCTTGTGGATGAACTGTAACCTAGCTTAAGAGTCAGATAAAATTGAAAACCTAACTCAATAGTATGCACCTGTAACAATAGCTGAGTGTTGGCCAATCCCAGCAGCCATACTTCAACCACTCATAGACTGCTGAGTGTTCAAAATACATTCAAATAAGGCAAACGACGAGCTGTAACCAATTTCACTGTTTCTCTACCTCACTTTTGATCCCTGTATGTCACTTTACCTCCTTTTTGTCTATAAATTTGTCCTGACCACGAGGCACTCCTGGAGTCTCTGTGAATTTGCTCTGATTCTGAGGGCTTCCCGAATCACGAATTGTTCGTTGCTCAATTAAACTCCTTTAAATTTAATTCAGCTGAAGTTTTTCTTTTATCAGATGGTGTCAGAAGCGAGATCCGAAGTGGAGCTTCCAGCGTCACCCAGGAGCACTGAGTGAACACGCAACGTACCTGCAGGACTCACTTATGTCCATTGATCTCTCAGAGCAGCTGGGACTTGTGGGTAAGCTCCCCCTTGGATTTTGGAGCTCCATGGATTTGTGTTTTGAGCTCCCCAAGTTTCTTTGAGCAAATTTCTGATCCAAACTGGGTTTGGAGTCACGATAGAAACTGCACTGGGTCTGGGAAGGGATTTGATCCAGGAATTAACTGGCTCGGATCCAGTTAGAGGCCTCTTACATCTGACTGGGCCAGAAAGGAACTGGTGGAAAGCAGTAATATTGCAGGGGTTATAAAATGCACAGGGATTTTTGTGTTCTACCCTTTTGTTTCATTTTTCTTGCCCGCTTAGGTAGGAAAAAAATCATTGGCTAAGTTAATCAAGAGAACCTGAGAGTAAAGCCAATATTTTAGGTAAAAAATGGGATCCTTAATTTCTAGAAAACTGAGCTCCTTCTGGCTTATACTTTAGGCCTGGGAGGCAGCGAAGTCTTACAGAATCTTATAAAATCTTACTAAAGATAACTTACAGTGGAATGTTCTGAATGAACAACAATGCATTGAAGTACATTTAAAAATGAGGGCTCTCAGTAAAGTCCCTTTCAGCTAAGAACAGGTTTGGCCCTACAGGATGTCAACTGCTTATTCTCTTTGGAATAATCTGCCTTGCGCCCTTTGCTAACCGCTATGGGTGATAGGATTAGGCGTGTATAGGATCACGGGACATGGGGAGCTTTTTCCTCCCTAAAATGGAAATGAGAGCTGATGAGACTGCTGGAAAAGATCCCTTTGCTACCGAGAAGCAGCCGCTTGAACTTTTCAGTGTCGCTGCAATGGGTGAGTCTTTCTGTGGCCTCCCTGGTCATTTCGCCTTCCCCACCCGGCCATAGGCAATGCTTTCTCTCTCTCCTTTCCCTTTCTCATCTTTTCTATTACTCAGGGTGACCATCTTGCCCAGAGACCACGTGTTGAAACTCCTAGTTGGAGGTTGGAATAAAGATGAAGGGGCCCATCTGAGGGCAGATTTAAGCCTTGCCCGTTTGATATTGGGTGCTAAGCAGAGTGGCTAATGTCTATGTTTTATCACATGTATTTTGCTTTGGCCAGAATGAAAAAAAAGGTAATTTTCCTTTATGATGCGGATTGGCCCCCAGCACAATAGTGTGGCCAGCTGAGTCACTAGGGCCGCTCAGGGAAAGAGAACCCAGAAACCTGGCATGCTGGCAAAATGGTAAGAATATCTTACCAGTCAGATTTCTGGCTTCTGTCTCTCTGTGCAAACAGGTGAATGGTAAAAATCACTGTTTATCTCTTCTGTAAAGTTTTGATTAATGCGAAAAAGAATTCTGAGGCTAGTCTTGAACTGATGTGTTTGTGCTATAAATTCATTTTTCTATGTCAAGGGATACCTTAAAATAAAACATGGGTTTAGGACCCCATAAGCTCACTGCTCAAGACGGCCCTGCAAGCTGGTCAGTAACAAATTTTCCTGCAGGTCCCTGAAACAAAAAAACCTGGATGGGATCTCCATCTTGTTGTATGTCCTTGGGAGCTTGACCTTGTAACCATGTGGCAATAGTTTTGGTCTCCGCCTTCAAGGGGACAGGAATTTTAGGGTTTATGTCATAGTTAGCTCTAAAAATTATCTTGAGTAGTTAAAAGGCTTTACAAGCTCAAAATTAGCTACTCTAGACTTCTTCTGAGAAGTACACTGGAGGTTGCCATATACTGTGGCTCAGTAGCTAAGTTTTGCCCTTTCACAATGGTGGTCTGGGTTTGATTCCCGGCTTAGGAAGTAAGTCCTTTCTGGTTTAATATCGGCGTGACATTCTCTAGTCTCTTCTCCTCCATGGACTATCTTAAATTTTCCTTTCTGTGAGCACCTGGGAGGTTATCTTTGGTAAAGTTTAAAAGCCAGAAATGTTGCCCATTTGGCCTGGCTAAAATCAGGTAATAAGAAATTTTAAAAGGACTTAATTAAAGAGTGCTATGGTTAAGAGTCAGCTTAATTAAAAGCAGATATTCAAGCTCTAACATCCTGGACTCCTTGGTAAAAACAGGAGGCACCAGAAACCCCTTTCTTGGCCCTGTTCTTCCAAGGACTCCACCATAAAGCAAATAACCAATTAAGAAACTTAAAAACTGACAAATGAAAAATCTTACAACTACTGTAGTAATCTTCTTCTGTCTATCTGTCTGTATAATTACGTATGTGTTGTGCGTAATGTTGATATAAAAGAACTCTAATTAATTGGCTTAAACAAAAATAAGCACTTACATCAAATATTTTGAAAGCAAGATAAAAAGTGTAATGCCTTTCAGTTAGGTGACTTAAGTAATCTTTGGGAAACAAAGATAGTTTTAAAAATTATTGGCAAAATAAAGACATTTGGTCTAAATTATGCAGATCAGATATTAAGTTTACTAAATGCTTTAAGGTTATAAACTGCTTCTTAGGCTTTTGAAAATTGTTCAATTTACCTACCCTGGAGACCTTAGATTCTAGATAAGGCCTGGGGACATGTGGAGTTAGCCACACCTGCTAGCTATGCTGGAGAGTCAGCCCCTATCTGTACTTCTGCCTGGTATGTCCTAGACTAGGCTCCACACATAGTACACAATGAAAATCCCTTACCTACTAAGGTTTTTACCAAAAGGAAAAGTTGCTAAGAGTTAATATTGTCGTATGTAATTGAGACTACTGAAAAAATAAGTTTACATACAAGGTATGTAAGGAGAATAAAATGTGTTTTGATTATAAGATTATAAGAAGGTAAGGGAAAGTTAATTTTTGCCTAGGTTAGAGGGTTAAAGGGTTGTTTTAAATTAACTAGAGCTAAAGATTTGAACAAGTTGTGGTACAAAAAATAACTGTAAGAGATTCTGTGTGAGAACATATTGGCAAAAGTTAAAATGCCATTATTCGGCTTTTTTTTTTTTTGCCATAAATTGGACATTGGAATAAAAGCACAACAGAGTTTTCTTAGAAATTAGTTCTGCTCTGAGAGATTGTAAAGGGCTATAAGAGGTTTATAAAAATCTTACCTTATGGTCAAACTAATTAAAACTGAATAGATTTATAAAATGTTAAAACTAGCTTTAACGTTAAAATATACTAATGAAAACATAAAATTTGTTTTTCTCTTTTAAAAAGGATTTTTATGTAATATTAAAAGATAATGAAAGGTTTTTTTTTTTTTTTTTACCTTTTAAGTAAACTACAAAAGCAAAAGAGGAGGAAAGGAAAGAAAGGAGACAGAGTCAGTTGTCCTCATGCTATCTTCATTGGGTCTTGTTTGGAAAGCTAAGTCTCCTCTCTATCAAAATAATGTTTTTTCCTTTTAAAAATTTTTGAGTTATCATTTTGGCTAAATGAATGACTTATGGTAACCTAAGATTCTATTTTGTAATATACAATGTTTTAAACCTTTGGTATTTAACAAACCTTTCAAAGTCAAGCTCTAGATTATCATGCTAAATCAGCCAACACTAAAATTGTTAAATAAACAATTTGAATGCATTCCATGGTCTAAGTCAAATTACCTATGATCAATGCTATGCACCTACATTGGAGAAACAACTGGTAGTCAAGAGGACATAAGTCTAATGTTAAGCATGGACTCATGAAGAACCAGGACAGCTGTCTTGTCCTTCCTGAGTCCTTAAAGCTTTTGTTACTAAAGGTTCTGCATTCCATGACTCATCATGGGAAAGATAAAATAATCCAAGCTGAATATATTGACGTGGTGACTTATAAATTGTGGAAATAGGTTAAAACCAATATTTGTTTCCATATTCCTGGAAAGACAATCAAAGCTTCAGGTACATTTGGCTGCCTGATGGGCTATTTAAACATTTACAGAGGGATTTCATTCAATTATCATTTTCAATGCATGTTTTCTGGTTGTATAGAAGTTTTCCCATGCAAAAGGGTTGATGTTGTAGCAACGGTAGATTATTATGCTACAGTGAAATTTCACCAGGCTAAAGAAATCTTTTTATGGTTCACTGAGGACAATCCCTTCACAATCTAAAACTCAAAGATTAGATCTTCTGAGAACCTCAGAGAAAGACTGTCCTTTCCTTCCACACTACAGCAAAACTTTGGAGACTTGAACCTTGGGTTCATAATCTCACAACTGAGAAAGGTTCCTCCACACTCCTGGAACTGTACACCCTTTGGAGCCTTTAAGGAAAACTAACCAGGAAAGTTTCTCCCCAGAAGAAGATGGCATCCTTGATGTGAACAACTTTTCCCAAGATCACAGATCAAAACATCTACTGCTATGAGACTCTTATCTTTGAATTTTTTTTTTTGTTTATGCCTCTATGAGCAATTTATAGGGTATACTTTTATTTGTGAAGGATTTTGCAGCTAGCGTTATACATGAATAACCTTATACTTTAATAGATAAAAGATGAAGGCCCAAGATAGGTGAGAAACTTTAGCGGTATATACATTGCCTCATAGTCAGTCAAAACTTCTCTTAACCCACATCACAGATTAAAGAGAACATTGCCAGGAGGCCTTCACTCTTCTAGAAGGACATCGTTTGTTAGGTCCTTTTTCCATGGTTTAGAATAAAACAGGCAATGATTAGAATGTCTCCCTCATAATAGGTTTTACAGAAAATTCTACTTTAAAGGCTATCCTTATACAACAGAAATTAAATTCTCTTGTGAAAGTTACGCTAAATAATATAATTGATTAGACAGAGAAGTACCTGTGTAGCTGATGACACTTACGGTCTGTAGAGAAATGCATCAAATGTAGATTATAAAAATTCAGTTATGGTGGATTCATGAAAAGACCACTTAGTCAAGTGAGTAGACTCTTCATCTAGCTCATTCTTTATTTAATTTTACATGGTTTGGTTTATGGGGACACTGGGTAAGGAGCATACTCCAAACTCTTGGTATTATCTTCCCGATAGTCATAATAATAGTCTCCCTGGTGTGCTGTATTCTCTCAAAGACTTTAAATGTTTGCATGCAGCCATCCCTAGAATGTCAAATGGTCTGTCTTCAACTTGAATGATAAAAGCTGAAAGAAATGTGTGACCATAAGGACACCGAAACCTATGAATGACACACTGAGACTGGAAACCCAAAATGATGGTAACTGAGAGTGGTGCTAAGGCCCTAAGTTTTGGTCACACTGTCACCTAAGTGAGAACCTGGCCAAAAAGGGGGAATTTTTCTTAAACAAAATTGGCCATTATTTTGGACTAAGCTTATGCGGTAGGCCCCAACAAACCAAACCAAACTAAAATGGAGTCACTCATGCTAAATGTGACATAACCAAACTAAGGCTTCAAGAAAATACATAGATCTTAGAACAAGCCAGGTTTTGTTTTTTCCTCCTGTAAACAGGATGTTCCAGCGTAGGGAGGAACCCTCTACTCAGTCCTTATTCCCTCCTTGCAAAACCCACTGTTCTACTGTCTCCCAGTGGGTTTCAAAACCATATAAGTGCATGTATGATAGTGATAGGAACATCAATGACTACGGTTTTGGTCAATCTTTCAAAATTGAGAAAATGACCAAAAGGGGGGAATTGTTAAAGCAAACTAAATATGGCCTGAGAAGGACTCTGTACTTCTATATTTGAGGCCTTGTGGGTGAACTGTAACCTAGCTTAATAGTCAGACAAAATTGAAAACCTAATTTAATAGTGTGCATCTGTAACAATAGCTGAGTGTTGGCCAATCCCAGTGGCCATACTTCAACCACTCATAGACTGCTGAGTGTTCAAACTGCGTTCAAATAAGGCAAACACCAAGCTATAAGCAATCTTGCTGTTTCTGTACCTCACTTCCGATTCCTGTACATCACTTTACCTTTTTTGTCCAAGAGTCCAAAAGCTGAAGAACTTGGAGTCTGATGTTCGAGGGCAGGAAGCATCCAGCATAGGAGAAATATGAAGGCCAGAAGACTCAGCAGGTCCAGTCCTCCCAACTTCTTCTGCCTACTTTATTCTGGCCACGCTGACAGCTGATTAGATGGTGCCCTCTCAGATTGAGGGTGAGTCTCCCTCTCCCGGCCCACTGACTCAAATGTTAGTCTCCTTTGACAACACAGTCACAGACACACCCAGGAACAATAGTTTGCATGCTTCAATCCAATCAAGTTGACACTAAATATTAACCATCACAAGTATGCTTTGCATTGTGCCTGTTGATATTCTCAAATGCAATCAACAGTAAGTTATTATGTAGTGAGAGTCTTTCACTTACTTTGGCCAATGCACTCCTTTGAAACACTTATGTTTCACTTCAAACCTATAGCCAGTTGCTATCCTTACTGGAATTCACTTGCTAGTGGATTGGGGAAGATGGTTTTCCCTACTGAAAACCATAGCATGTCCTTGGGATCTCTTGATTTTATATGCATCTGTGAGTTTTGCTTTCTTAAGTATGGTTTGACTCTGATGCTGAAGTGGTTTGCTGCTAGATGTAAGGGACCTTCTTGCAAAAAAGTATTGGATTTCCCATTGTGTGGCAAATTAAGTAATACATGAATGCTTATAGTAGGCCAGGTGCCTAGTATGTTTATGAACTATGCACTCGAGTGATTTATTCTTCCTCTCTTACCTCTTACAAGAAGAATATCATCAAGTAAATACAAATTAAATCCAAATAAAACTTATTCTGACTATTCCCTTTGAATAGGAATGCATTTTTCCCAAGAATAAATGCATTTTTGAGGTTTCTAAGTTTTGAGGGCAAACACAAAACTTGTCACTTACAGGAAGATATAAGAAATTTCTTTAATAAACTTCCAGACATTGCTATTTTAACTTTAAATTCATACTTACCTTTCCATCTATTAAAGAAAAAATTATTTATGGCACTTATTAAAGATGATAAGGAAGACATTAATTAAAGGGGTCTGCAGTGAGGTCCACTGCAATGAGGTCTTGCAATGGAGAAGAGAAATTGGGCTTGACTGCATCCATAAAGGACAAATGTGGATTTGTAGCCAAGTAGCATGATGAGGTCAATAGATAGACAATTGGTAAGAGGAAACATCAGAGATGAGGGAAATTATTGCTAGACTGACTCAACAGAATTCTTGCTGAGGGCAACCCAGGGTGATAAGATACTGGGGTGGAGAATGAAAACAGGTACCAAAGGTGGGAGATTCTTACTAAAGTGGCTTAGCAAGGTTCTTGCTCAAACTGGGTTCAACAGAGAGGGAAGCCCAAGGTCAGGCCTGTAGAGTAGGGGGTTCAGAAGAGCCTGACTCAAGTTTGGTCAAAAGAGAGAGTCTGTCACATCCATCCATTTATCTATCACCCATCTATGCATCCAAATGGCTATTTATTCAACAAGCCATTATGACCAATTCTCCATAAGATTGTGAAAAATTTGATCTTTTGGCTTCTTTACTAGAAACCCAACTCTGTTAATGCTGGAGGCTAGCTAGGTACGTTGATGGAACTGAGAGTCCTATCAAAAGCTGATGTAAGGTGTACCTACCACAGAGAAATCTATGCTCCTTGTTTTTGGTCTCTTTCTCTGGCGCAGATAGATAGGTATCATCAGGGCATTGCCTCTTTTAGCTTGCCCCCCACCCGCAGCCCCCAAGCAACTTAAACAGGGAATCATCTCCCCCCAAAAAATCAAGAGAAATCATCAAATAAGGACTGAGAAACACAAAGAGCCATAAATGGAAGAGTATTGTAGAATTATTGTGCACCTGACATTGGAAAAATCACTAACAGCAACATCTTAAAAAAACATTAATTATGAGCAGACACACCTTTAGGTTCAATCTCTTCTGGGATTCAGAGGTCAAAATATAAACAAAGAATGAACTGTTATTTAATCTTTTATTGAGCCTGTAATATGTATCTGGCACTGTGTCTACATTTCATATGTTTTATTTCACTCGAATTCGAATCCATGCAACAACCATGTGTCATAGGGACTATTATTATTTTCACTTTACAGATGAGTTTACTGAGGTTGGGCGTGGTTAACTTGTCTAAGATGACGAGGTAGTAAGCTTCAGAGTCCACTTTCAAGCCTTGGTCTGTTTCCATCAAAAACTTTCTCTTTTCCTTTCTATGATCCTGCTCCTGTTTTGCAACTCTATGCCCATTAATTTTAAGATTCACCTCTTTTTATTTAAAGAGATATGCTTTTAAAACTTTTGTTTAAATCAAACATTAGTGGGACTCATAATATTTTAAATAAACTTTGATGGAGGGAAGCAATGCTACTTAAAATAATCCTAAAATTACACTTGCTATGAATCAAAAATTCTTTTGATGATGTGCATGATTATCCTTATTTATGTTTTTTTACTCCAAATTTTAGCATTCTAATGTTCTAAAACTGGGATATACTTATAAAGGCCTTAGTGTGGGCTATCTTGTGTCAAATATCTAATTTTAAAAATTAACTTGTTTTCTTAGATTTTTTTTATAGTTTGTGAGCATTATATAATGTAAAAATAATCCATTAAGTGACAATTTTGAACACTATTTATAAGGTGATGATGTTATGATAGGTATTTTACATATGTCATTTTCATCCTTATAATAGATTGTAAGGTAGCAGTAATAAATTCCTGTTTTACTTATGTAGAAACAAAATGCAGAGAAATTTAGTAACTTGCTCCAAAGTCACTGGTCTATTAAGGAACATGCCTGGGATTTATTCTTATGTCTGTCACAGGTAAACCATATCTTGTTCCCCCATAGAAGCCTGTTTTTCTAACACAGTTTATAGGGGTTGCTAAGAGAAACACACAAACTGATGGGTTGTGATTTAATTAACACTAAGCCCTCATGGTATTTCACTGATTCTAACATTTTCACTTTTTCATATTTTAATATTTCCAAAATTGATGTGTATCTGAATCAATAGCATCATAATATTGTGTCATATTTTTACCAGTAGTAATTTTTCTTTCTTTAATGATACATTAAATGATAGTATGTCTTCCAATAAATGACGTCTTAATTCAGTTAAACATGTACATATGTTTATTGAATATAATGCAGTTTTTTGTAATTAAAGATGTATTACTTGACCCTTCTTCTAAGCTCACTGCATTTTATTAGAACTCACACCAAGACTTGGTTTTTCAAGGCATTTTTTCTTGTGACTCCTCCTCACTTCCGCATCAATCCTATCATATTCTTTTATTTAATGATGGCTATATACTTACTGTGGTTGGATTTCTAAAAAAGAAGGCTTTGAACATTAAAAAGTTGGATTGAGGACAGGTGCAGTGGCTCACGCCTGTAATCCTAGCACTTTGGGAGGCTGAGGCGGGCAGATCACCTGAGGCCAAGGAGTTCGAGACCAGCCTGGCCAACATGGTGAAACCCCATTTCTACTAAAAATACAAAAAGTAGCTGGGTGTGATAGAAGGCACCTGTAATCCCAGCTACTCAGAGAGCTGAGGCAGGTGAATTGCTTGAACCTGGGAAGCAGAGGTTGTAGTGAGCCAAGATCATGTCACCGCACTCCAGCCTGGGCAAGAGGAGGACTCTGTCTCGGAGGGAAAAAAAAAAAAATTTGGATTGAAAGAAAACATTAAGCAATCTGCAAATATTACCAGGCCTCCTAGACATTGTTAAGTGTTGATGTTAAAATAAAATATATGAGGAAAAGAGCTAAATACTTACTTGCTAATCTGTTGACATGACCTTAATTCAATTTGTCTAAAATTAATCTCCTCTTTCTGCCTATCTTTCCAAAACAATTCCCCTTCCCAAATTGGTAAGACTGCTATATGCTGAGAATTTTCCAGTTGTATCTCTCTTCCTAAAACCTTAACTCTTAGCCATTGTATCTGCTTTCAAAGTCCTCCATAGTCATCTGGGATGTGTCACCTTTTCATTCTTATTTCCCGCTACTCCCCAGCACAATCTCAACAACTTCTTTTTCTTATATTCCTATCAAAATCTTTTAAGATTGAGAGCCCAATCTTGCATCTGTAACTCATTGGCTGTTTACATTTGTACAAATCACTTAACCTTCTTGAGTTTCAGATTCTTAATTTGTAAAATTGGGAGAGAGGATGCAGGTCATGGATGTGGAGGTGCCTGAGATATCACTAAGTTTCTTTCCAGTCTGAGACTTTTTTTTTTCTTTCAGTTCTACCTTACACCCCGTGTCCTTCACGATGCCTTCCCCAACCATAACAGTACATACTAACTTCACTTCTGTGAACTCTTACACCACTTGCAGCCTATGCTACTCAATCTGTTACTGAGTTATGGATTGTCTTAGACCATTCTCTTTTGTTCTATAAAGTTTCAGCATTATCTTTCTAAATGGACCCTAAGCTTCTCTAGGTCAAGAACCATGATTTAGGGGTCTTCGATGTGCCTATCACTTGAGTCAAAAACCTTAAAATAGTAATGGGCTCAGGGAAGAAGCTATATACTTTTGATGGATTATTGACTAAAAAATAGAACAATTCCCATGTACCAAACTATGTGAGCTGAAACAATCCTGTTCATCTATCTAGACTCAGATAAGACATTTCCTCCTCTGTAGGACTATGCTTTGTTCATCTTTTCATTCCCAGCACCTAGCACACAGCGAGTGGTCAATAAATATTGGTTGAGAGAATGAATGAGTGAATATCCTCTGCTTTGAGAGCTTTTATTAGCCATTTGGTTTATTGAAAATAGTTTATTCTCTTAATTTATGCACCAGCAAAACACCTTTCAAGTCTCAGGTTTTCATCCAAAGATTTAAATACTCCCTTTCAAAGTATATTAATCTGCGTAATCTTTTGTTACTATTATTATGTCATGTAGTCCAATACATTGTATCCTCAACAGAGTCTCTGTACTAAGAAAACACTTGCCCTTGTCTAATCACATCTGCGAGTAAGCAAATATTAGCAAAAACTCATAAAATCTTATTGTTCCCTTTGGGTAAATGATGTCAAACTTAGGGACCACTGTTGCCATTTATACATATGAATCACAAATTTACATTGCCTCTGGACATCATAAATGGCCTGTGTCATATAATGTGAGTAAAGACTCTGCTTCTTCTAAGAAGGGTCAGCATGAATAATCAACTCAAAACAAGACCTTAAAAGCATTTTGATGTTAAAGGTTGCTTATTACAGCTCAAGTCCTAAGAGTAACACACAATTTTTACCTATTTAGTTTGATTCCGTAGGTTTTGGTTGCTTGTAAAAATCATACTGTGCAGTAAGGAAAGCTAAAATGGCTTTTCTGAATAATAGTCAGATCCATTATGATTCTTGACTGCAAGCAACAGAAATAGTTTTTGTCTAATAAAAGGGAATTTATTACCTCAGAATGGAGGATTCACAGGGACTCTGGGATGCTGGAGGATGGGATTGAGGACAGATGGGAACCAGCAAAACTCCAGAAAACAGAAGGTAGAAACCCCTGCTGTTATCTCATAACCTGAATTGTCTGGAAGGGCACCACTGACGCCTTTGCTGAAATGAATGTACTTGAGTCACTTGTGCAAAACTTTTCCTGGTTCTTCCGTGTAAGAGATTTGCCTAGAATTATTCACCCTACAAAATTACATACAGTGAAGGTATGTATATGTATGTAAAGGTATTGTCCCAGTACAAATCAGGGTGCTATTATAAAGGAGAATGCATATTGAGTAGCCCCAAAGTGCCAAAAATTTACCACAGTAAGTGCTCAGAAATACAGGCTTGCATTTGTTCAGTGCATCATTCATTCAGTCAATAGACTAACGTTATGCATGTCTACTGTTAGCTGTTGGGCAGAGAGCTTGACATCTGACCTTGAAGAAGATACCATCTAGTAGGTAGGGGAAGCCTATAAAGAAACAGTGTGATTAGGGTCACAATTACTCATAAATAAAGTGATAAGGAAACTCGGAGAGCAAGTGTAATGAAAGGCCGTGAAGGGGAGGAAAAAGAGTCTTGGACGTGGAGTTTTTGAAGCTGAGTTTGATTCTCTGTTCTAGTAACTAACAGTTCTAAAACTTTGAAAAGGTCACTTATCATCTCCAACATTCAGTGTCTTCATCTGTAAAATGAGAAGAATAAATGGTCTTTGTAGGATTGGGAGAGGTAAATGAGATTGCATATATTTAACTGTTTAGCATTTACCAGGTATTTGATAGGTGGTCATTGATTCATTCATGTATTCATTCATTCATTCATTCACAAAATAGAAAGTGACTGACTTAGCCTTGGCTCTACAAAGAAGGAGACGTAAGAAAATACATCTTTAAGAATGAGTAGGTATCCCCTGGATTGGAATGAAAGGGCATTCTGGCACATTCAAAGGTGAAGAAGTGATAAGGGCATGAGAATGTCATGAGGGGTGGCAAGATCAGCAAAGATGGACAGTGGACATTTAGGGCCATGTCAGGCAATGAGAGGAGAGTGATAGAGAAGGGATAGCTGATAAAAGGTGTTGGTCATGTTAAAGAGTTTGGATTTCACCCAGTAGTCCGTGCTTTTCAAAATGTGTTCCCTGTGCCTCCTACATCTAATTCACCAGGAGAACACTTAGAAATGCAGATTCTGGGGCCCTAACCCAGACTTCTTGAAACAGATCTCTGAGAGTAGCACATGCGCAATCCACAGTTTTTACAATCTCTCTGAGGGATTTTAAGACACTCTGCTGTATGAGAGACCCTGTTAAGGTAATAGAGAGCCAAGGAAACTGTTTAAGTGGGTAATCAAGAGCAAACCAGATTTTTGGATTCCATGCACTACATTTCTTTTACTTTAGGACTTCAGAGTGAATTTTATCCATCTGGGTAGGATTTTGATATTGTTGAACTAAACTTAACACATATGAGACAGAATCCCAGCTCAAATAATAGTATTCTCTTTTTACAGCCAAGAATCAGCCTAGACTGTGGAATAATTCTGTGGCAAATAAAACAGAACAAGATGGCTGATAATAAAAATGAATGATTTCAAAAAGCATTTAACACTCGAGGAGATGGAGCCAAGAGGAGAAGTATGCTTTTGAAAAGGGGGTAGAGGTGGGAGAAGGGGAAAAGAAAGCAGCATAAATTTACAGAGTTATGGTAAATGTCACAGAGAATTCAACAATTTTCTTTGCAGAATTTAGAAAATGAGCGCATATAATTCCAACTGGTTGCTATCACAGGGAATTTGAAAAGCACCCCGAGGCAATTCAGAGAGCTGCTTTTACATTGAAGCAGAATGAAATAAAACATCCATATTTCAACTAAACACACACACACACACACCCTTTCACTCAATGGCTGCATGCACAAAGCATTTAGTCACAAAAATATATTGTTAGGTTGAAAGTACAACAGGCAGGATTGCTTTCTCAATGCCCTCTGTCTATTTACCCAGGCCCCAAAGTCAGGACTGCAGATGTTGAACCAAAATCATCAACACGCTTCAATTCAACCTCAGACCTTTTTGGGGGGAACTGAATAGATTAAAAAAAAAGTCTGTTCCTTGTTGTTCTGATTTAAAGCCTTAAAATGGCATATGCATGGACTTCTGTAGTAGTTAGATGCTTATTTGCAGAGGACTACACTGAGGCACAGCCTGTGATTTCCAGCAGCACTGTGAGCAACACATTAAGAGTTTGAACTCTTTTGAACCAGCTTCTTGCTTTCATTCATTTGCTGAAAGCAAATCAGAAAGTAAAGTAAAGGAAAGGAAGTTGATAACATGCTTGAAAGAAGAAATTTCAGCACAATAATATGAAGAAAAGGCATAATATTTCTGAGGCAGAAGGACAAACAGATGTATTTTCATGGCTGCGGTGCTCTCAGCAACAGAAGTAAAGAATGTCAATAGAATTGATGATTGACCCAAATTGGAGGTCTCTAAGGAGTCACTCTTGGTCAAATTCATTGATTGATTCATTCATTCAGCTAACATTCATTTAGCCATTACTTGTGTCCTGCTCTGTGCTAAGTGGTGGGGATACACAGATGAACATGACACAGTGCCTTCCATCAAGGTGAGCACATTTCTGTGAGGGAGGCAAATGGGGAAATAAATATTTGCAAAACATTGTGTGTAAATGTGGACAGTAAGCAGGCAAATAGTTGCAAGAGCATTAGAAAGAAAATTGGAGGAACATAATACTTGAAACTGTATGTGTATGTAACAAAAAAGAGACAGCAAGGGAAGTTCATAAGAATGCCTTCATAAGGGGAAATTAATATGACTTTCTGACCAGTTTTAATGAAACATTGGGAGCTTGTTTAATATACTACCATTAAATATCATTCTTGTTATCACGCTGCATTTGGCTGGAACATGAATTTCGAAGATGAAGTAGTGTTACAGTAAGGCAGCTGGAATGTCATATGTCCTGTCTTGTAACTCCATGCTGCTTTCAGGATGAAGTGGAGAATAAAGGAAGGAAAATGTATGGTCAGGATCTCCATCTCCCTGAGTCAAGAATTTTTAGAAACTCAGATTACTTGCTTAATTGGATGGAATAAGCTCATGATCATATCTTCTTTTTATAGAGCCCAAGAGGTGATGGATGTTAGGGGAATCAGCTCAAATTAAACTTTAAAATTTGGAATATATGCCTTTTTTGATGACTTGGAGAATAGTAGATGATCTGAAGAAACTGGCATTTATGGAAAGCACCTAGTTTGCACCTAGCTCTGTGTCTAGAGCTTGGTATAATTTATTTCTCATATTATTACTACTTAGGAGGTTTATGGAAGTGACACTACTGCATTGAAGTTGTCTAAGCATAGACATCCTGGGATTCAAATCCCATTTCCTCAACTTATAAGTTGTATGATCTTGGACAAGTTACTGAACTTCTATGAGCCTCAGTTTTTGTTGTTGTTGTTTTTTATCCAAAAGACATTATCTTAATAGAATCTACCTCAATGGTTGTTATGACCATTAAGTGATTTAATGTAAGTGAGATGCTTGGAGTAATACCTTACCCAAAGTAAACACCAATAAATGTCAACTACTCTTACTACACTTAGTACTATATACTAATATTTCATTCTTAGTTGACCTCTGAGGAAGATACCCATTCATATTTTCTTTAACAATTAGCAAACTACAAATATAAAAGATAGAATTTGGTAAAGTATAGTGAGAAAAGGCTTAGACTAATCATTTTACTTAATGGTGAAATGCAAAAATCTTTTTCTCTGGGACCAGAAAACAGATAGGGTTGCATTTTATCACTGATACTATTGAACAAAGTAGTGGACATTGTAGGCAGGGCAGTAAGACAAGAGGAGAAGAAAAAAGGTTTAAGGACTAGAAATGAAAAAAATCCAGCTGTCACTATTTATAAATAATTTAATGGTGTACAGACTGGTACCCATCCTTGGCTTGTTAGGAACTGGGCCACACCACAGGAGGCGCATGGTGAGCAAACAAAGCTTCCTCTGTATTTACAGCCACTCCCCATTGCTCACATTACTGCCTGAACTCCACCTTCTGTGAGATCAGTGGTGGCATTAGATTCTCACAAGAGTGCAAGCCCTATTATGAACTGTGCATGTGAGGCATCTAGGTTGTGCATTCCTTATGAGAATATACCTAATGCCTGCTGATCTGAGGTGGAACGGTTTCATCCCAAAACCATCCCCCCAGCCACGTGTATTCATGGAATAATTGTCTTCCACAAAACCAATCTCTGGTGCCAAAAACGTTGAGGACCTCTGGTGTACATGAAAACTTCAAAAGAATTATTGGATTTAAAAGATGAGTTTATTAAGGTTTGTGGATACAAGGTTAATACAGAGAAGTCCATTGAATTTCCATATTCTAGAAATGAACAGATAATAAAATTTTAAAAAGACACCTTTTATTATAGCATGAAAATGCCAAATATCTAGGATAAACGTAACAACTGCAGAAAGCTATAAAAACTTCATTAAGGCAAATTAGATATTAGAAGACTCAATAGCGGCCGGTCATGGTGGCTCAGGCCTGTAATCCCAGCACTTTGGGAGGCCGAGGCAGGCGGATCACGAGGTCAGGAGATTGAGACCATCTTGGCTAACACAGTGAAACCCCGTCTCTACTAAAAATACAAAAAATATTACCCAGACGTGGTGGTGGGAGCCTGTAGTCCCAGCTACTCGGGAGGCTGAGGCAGGAGAATGGTGTGAACCTGGGAGATGGAGCTTGCAGTGAGCCCAAGATCGCGCCACTGCACTCCAGCCTGGGCGACAGAATGGGACTCCGTCTCAAAAACAAAACAAAACAAAAAAGCAAAGACTCATGAAGTCCTTGCCCATGCCTATGTCCCGAATGGTAATGCCTAGGTTTTCTTCTAGGGTTTTTATGGTTTTAGGTCTAACGTTTAAGTCTTTAATCCATCTTGAATTGATTTTTGTATAAGGTGTAAGGAAGGGATCCAGTTTCAGCTTTCTACATATGGCTAGCCAGTTTTCCCAGCACCATTTATTAAATAGGGAATCCTTTCCCCAATGCTTGTTTTTCTCAGGTTTGTCAAAGATCAGATAGTTGTAGATATGTGGCGTTATTTCTGAGGGCTCTGTTCTGTTCCATTGATCTGTATCTCTGTTTTGGTACCAGTACCATGCTGTTTTGGTTACTGTAGCCTTGTAGTATAGTTTGAAGTCAGGTAGCGTGATGCCTCCAGCTTTGTTCTTTGGCTTAGGATTGAGTTGGCGATGCAGGCTCTTTTTTGGTTCCATATGAACTTTAAAGTAGTTTTTTCCAATTCTGTGAAGAAAGTCATTGGTAGCTTGATGGGGATGGCATTGAATCTGTAAATTACCTTGGGCAGTATGGCCATTTTCACGATATTGACTCTTCCTACCCATGAGCATGGAATGTTCTTCCATTTGTTTGTACCCTCTTTTATTTCGTTGAGCAGTGGTTTGTAGTTCTCCTTGAAGAGGTCCTTCACATCCCTTGTAAGTTGGATTCCTAGGTATTGTATTCTCTTTGAAGCAATTGTGAATGGGAGTTCACTCATGATTTGGCTCTCTGTTTGTCTGTTGTTGGTGTATAAGAAGGCTTGTGATTTTTGCACATTGATTTTGTATCCTGAGACTTTGCTGAAGTTGCTTATCAGCTTAAGGAGATTTTGGGCTGAGAAAATGGGGTTTTCTAGATATACAATCATGTCGTCTGCAAACAGGGACAATTTGACGTCCTCTTTTCCTAATTGAATACCCTTTATTTCCTTCTCCTGCCTAATTGCCCTGGCCAGACCTTCCAACACTATGTTGAATAGGAGTGGTGAGAGAGGGCATCCCTGTCTTGTGCCAGTTTTCAAAGGGAATGCTTCCAGTTTTTGCCCATTCAGTATGATATTGGCTGTGGGTTTGTCATAGATAGCTCTTATTATTTTGAAATACGTTCCATCAATACCTAATTTATTGAGAGTTTTTAGCATGAAGGGTTGTTGAATTTTGTCAAAGGCCTTTTCTGCATCTATTGAGATAATCATGTGGTTTTTGTCTTTGGTTCTGTTTATATGCTGGATTACATTTATTGATTTGCATATAATGAACCAGCCTTGCATCCCAGGGATGAAGCCCACTTGATCATGGTGGATAAGCTTTTTGATGTGCTGCTGGATTCGTTTTGCCAGTATTTTACTGAGGATTTTCGCATCAATGTTCATCAAGGATATTGGTCTAAAATTCTCTTTTTTGGTTGTGTCTCTGCCCGGCTTTGGTATCAGGATGATGCTGGCCTCATAGAGTGAGTTAGGGAGGATTACTTCTTTTTCTATTGATTGGAATAGTTTCAGAAGGAATGGTACCAGTTCCTCCTTGTACCTCTGGTAGAATTCGGCTGTGAATCCATCTGGTCCTGGACTCTTTTTGGTTGGTAAGCTATTTATTATTGCCACAATTTCAGCTCCTGTTATTGGTCTATTCAGAGATTCAACTTCTTCCTGGTTTAGTCTTGGGAGAGTGTATGTGTCGAGTAATTTATCCATTTCTTCTAGATTTTCTAGTTTATTTGCATAGAGGTGTTTGTAGTATTCTCTGATGGTAGTTTGTATTTCTGTGGGATCAGTGGTGATATCCCCTTTATCATTTTTTATTGCGTCTATTTGATTCTTCTCTCTTTTTTTCTTTATTAGTCTTGCTAGTGGTTTATCAATTTTGTTGAAGGGTTTTTTGTGTCTCTATTTCCTTCAGTTCTGCTCTGATTTTAGTTATTTCTTGCCTTCTGCTAGCTTTTGAATGTGTTTGCTGTTGCTTTTCTAGTTCTTTTAATTGTGATGTTAGGGTGTCAATTTTGGATCTTTCCTGCTTTCTCTTGTGGGCATTTAGTGCTGTAAATTTCCCTCTACACACTGCTTTGTATGTGTCCCAGAGATTCTGGTATGTTGTGTCTTTGTTCTCGTTGGTTTCAAAGAACATTTTTATTTCTGCCTTCATTTCGTTATGTACCCAGTAGTCATTCAGGAGCAGGTTGTTCAGTTTCCATGTAGCTGAGCGGTTTTGAGTGAGATTCTTATTCCTGAGTTCTAGTTTGGTTGCACTGTGGTCTGAGAGAAAGTTTGTTATAATTTCTGTTCTTTTACATTTTCTGAGGAGAACTTTACTTCCAAGTATGTGGTCAATTTTGGAATAGGTGTGGTGTGGTGCTGAAAAAAACGTATATTCTGTTGATTTGGGGTGGAGAGTTCTGTAGATGTCTATTAGGTCCGCTTGGTGCAGAGCAGAGTTCAATTCCTGGGTATCCTTGTTGACTTTCTGTCTCGTTGATCTGTCTAATGTTGACAGTGGGGTGTTAAAGTCTCCCATTATTAATGTGTGGGAGTCTAAGTCTCTTTGTAGGTCACTCAGGACTTGCTTTATGAATCTGGGTGCTCCTGTATTGGGTGCATATATATTTAGGATAGTTAGCTCTTCTTGTTGAATTGATCCCTTTACCATTAAGTAATGGCCTTCTTTGTCTCTTTTGATCTTTGTTGGTTTAAAGTCTGTTTTATCTGAGACTAGGATTGCAACCCCTGCCTTTTTTTGTTTTCCATTTGCTTGGTAGATCTTCCTCCATCCTTTTATTTTGAGCCTATGTGTGTCTCTGCCCGTGAGGTGGGTTTCCTGAATACAGCACACTGAGGTGTCTTGACTCTTTATCCAATTTGCCAGTCTGTGTCTTTTAATTGGAGCATTTAGTCCATTTACATTTAAAGTTAATATTGTTATGTGTAAATTTGATCCTGTCATTATGATGTTAGCTGGTTATTTTGCTCGTTAGTTGATGCAGTTTCTTCCTAGTCTCGATGGTCTTTACATTTTGGCATGACTTTGCAGTGGCTGGTACCGGTTATTCCTTTCCATGTTTAGCGCTTCCTTCAGGAGCTCTTTTAGGGCAGGCCTGGTGGTGACAAAATCTCTCAGCATTTGCTTGTCTGTAAAGTATTTTATTTCTCCTTCACTTATGAAGCTTAGTTTGGCTGGATAGGAAATTCTGGGTTGAAAATGCTTTTCTTTAAGAATGTTGAATATTGGCCCCCACTCTTTTCTGGCTTGTAGAGTTTCTGCCGAGAGATCCGCTGTTAGTCTGATGGGCTTCCCTTTGAGGGTAACCCGACCTTTCTCTCTGGCTGCCCTTAAGATTTTTTCCTTCATTTCAACTTTGGTGAATCAGACAATTATGTGTCTTGGAGTTGCTCTTCTCGAGGAGTATCTTTGTGGCGTTCTCTGTATTTCCTGAATCTGAATGTTGGCCTGCTTTGCTAGATTGGGCAAGTTCTCCTGGATAATATCCTGCAGAGTGTTTTCCAACTTGGTTCCATTCTTCCCGTCACTTGCAGGTACACCAATCAGACATAGATTTGGTCTTTTCACATAGTCCCATATTTCTTGGAGGCTTTGTTCTTTTCTTTTTATTCTTTTTTCTCTAAACTTCCCTTCTCACTTCATTTCATTCATTTCATCTTCCATCGCTGATACCCTTTCTTCCAGTTGATCGCATCGGCTCCTGAGGCTTCTGCATTCTTCACGTAGTTCTCGAGCCTTGGTTTTCAGCTCCATCAGTTCCTTTAAGCACTTCTCTGTATTTGTTATTCTAGTTATACATTCTTCTAAATTTTTTTCAAAGTTTTCAACTTCTTTGCCTTTGGTTTGAATGTCCTCCCGTAGCTCAGAGTAATTTGATCGTCTGAAGCCTTCTTCTCTCAGCTCGTCAAAGTCATTCTCCGTCCAGCTTTGTTCCGTTGCTGGTGAGGAACTGCGTTCCTTTGGAGGAGGAGAGGCGCTCTGCTTTTTAGAGTTTCCAGTTTTTCTGCTCTGTTTTTTCCCCATGTTTGTGGTTTTATCTACTTTTGGTCTTTGATGATGGTGATGTACAGATGGGTTTTTGGTGTGGATGTCCTTTCTGCTTGTTAGTTTTCCTTCTAACAGACAGGACCCTCAGCTGCAGGTCTGTTGGAGTACCCGGCCGTGTGAGGTGTCAGTCTGCCCCTGCTGGGGGGTGCCTCCCAGTTAGGGTGCTCGGGGGTCAGGGGTCAGGGACCCACTTGAAGAGGCAGTCTGCCCATTCTCAGATCTCCAGCTGCGTGCTGGGAGAACCACTGCTCTCTTCAAAGCTCAGAAAGCAATGGCAATAAAAGCCAAAATTGACAAATGGGATCTAATTAAACTAAAGAGCTTCTGCACAGCAAAAGAAACTACCATCAGAGTGAACAGGCGACCTACAAAATGGGAGAAAATTTTCACAACCTACTCATCTGACAAAGGGCTAATATCCAGAATCTACAATGAACTCAAACAAATTTACAAGAAAAAAACAAACAACCCCATCAAAAAGTGGGCAAAGGACATGAACAGACACTTCTCAAAAGAAGACATTTATGCAGCCAAAAAACACATGAAAAAATGCTCACCATCACTGGCCATCAGAGAAATGCAAATCAAAACCACAATGAGATACCATCTCACACCGGTTAGAATGGCAATCATTAAAAAGTCAGGAAACAACAGGTGCTGGAGAGGATGTGGAGAAATAGGAACACTTTTACACTGTTGCTGAGGCTAAACTAGTTCAACCATTGTGGAAGACAGTGTGGTGATTCCTCAGGGATCGAGAACTAGAAATACCATTTGACCCAGCCATCCCATTACTGGGTATATACCCAAAGGACTATAAATCATGCTGCTATAAAGTCACATGCACACGTATGTTTATTGCGGCATTATTCACAATAGCAAAGACTTGGAACCAACCCAAATGTCCAACAATGATAGACTGGATCAAGAAAATGTGGCACATATACACCGTGGAATACTATGCAGCCATAAAAAATGATGAGTTCATGTCCTTTGTAGGGACATGGATGAAATTGGAAATCATCATTCTCAGTAAACTATCACAAGAATAAAAAACCAAACACTGCATATTCTCACTCATAGGTGGGAATTGAACAGTGAGAACACATGGACACAGGAAGGGGAACATCACACTCTGGGGACTGTTGTGGGGTCGGGGGAGGGGGAAGGGATAGCATTGGGAGATATACCTAATGCTAGATGACGAGTTAGTGGGTGTAGCGCACCAGCATGGCACATGTATACATATGTAACTAACTTGCACATTGTGCACATGTACTCTAAAACTTAAAGTATAATAAAAAAAAGAAACAAAGACTCAATAGCAACAGATTAGAAGACTTAGGTTTAAATAAGAAACTTCTTCCTCAAATTAATCTAAATATTGAACTTTTTTGTAGATAGTCTTCCCAGTTGTTCTTCTTTAAGAGTATATTATTTTTAATCTTTTGTATTTCCATATTAAATTTAAATCAATATGTCAAAGGAAATAAATTACTGGGATAGTAACGGGCTTTCGATTAATTTGGGTAAACAATGGGAAAACATTCCAGTGTATATCAGCTTTCATGCAAAAATACAAAGCACATAAACAAATCCATAATAATGAGAGCCAGTTGGTAGACCCAATAAATAGAATAAGTGATGCCTAAGGAAATAGAAGTAATTGAGCAAATGGTAAAAGTGTTTAAAACAAGTTTGTTTAGAATCTTCAAGGAGAAAAACAAAGAAATAGCATTCTAAAATAAGAACACATTGTGACATCAGAAAAGACATATATATATATACCAAAATTGTTGAAGATAAAAATTAAGTAAATGGCATAGTAGATTAGTAGATGTATTATAGAGTGAACTATATAAATTAAAAGAGAATCGGTATGTTAGATGAGAAAACTAAATAGATATAGTAGAATCTGACTAGACGCTTACCAATTGCATTTTCTTTTTCTAAGCACATAAGAAAACAGTGTTTCCTGAATCTGTTTGCAGTGAGATTGGGGCCATAGGTTTGGAATGTGAGTTAATTAATATATATCACTTTTAGGTCTGGCCACAAAACATCCTGGATGATTCTTCATGCTTTTCTCCTTTTTTAGAGATCACGAAGACCATATATTGATGATTGTAGCATCACAAGATCAAAGGAGGTTATATTTCTGATTATAGGTTGGAGGACACCTGTTCAAAAAGCCACCCAACATCATCAAATGGTGATATCAGTGAGATGATAAATCTTTATCTTGCTTTATTAGCTTATTTGTTGTATAGCAGAGCATATTTTATGCTGAGTGTACAGGAAATCACTCAGAATGTAGTAAAACAAGATAAATCCATAGAAAAACAGAGACGAAGTTATAGAGGATAGACTGAGAAACTCTGACATATTTATAATTGGTGTGTTAGATGAAATGGTAATTAAAACATGGAAGAGAAATTATTACAAGAGAAAATAGACTGAGAGTTTTCCAGAATTGAAGAAAGATATAAATCCTTAGATTGAAAAATAGTCATTTGGTGTACTTTCATAAATTCCACAATGATACTGAAAAATAAATTGAAGGCCAAAAGCTTAGAAATGCTTCATAATCTTTAGTAACTCTTCATTTATTTATTAATTCTTTCATTAATTTATACAGAACATATTTGTAAGAACCAACCATCTGTCGGATTTTCAGTTAGTAACTGAGAGCTTATAATCTAGTGAGAAATTAAAGAAGTAGCCAGAAACTACTACAGAGTGCATAGCATAGAGAAGGAAAAAACAGAGGGCATTCTGGGCAAAAAGAACAGGTCATAGAATAGTGAAGAGATGAGGCAGAGAACGGTCCATTAAAGAAGATAAAAAGATCAATTTGGCTGGGATCCATATGATATAATTAAAAGAACATGGGGATTAGAACACACATTTCTTGTTTGGAAACTCTAATGGTGATCATTTTAAAGCTTTTCAAAATCACCCATTTACTTCTATTTCTTTGTTTATGGAAGATAAAAATTAAAATGTATATTTAAATACATATAATATATGACAATATTATTTAATAGCAATCATACATAATCATATATGATTATATATAATTATATAACGTTTATATATTATATATAATTATATATTATATAACATTTATATATTATATATAATATATATTATATATAACTTTATATATTATATATAATACATATTGTATATAACATTTATATATTATATATCATATATAATATATATCATATATCATATGATATAATATATAATACATCATACATCATATGATATAATATATAATATATCATATGATATAATATATGATCATGATTATATATATGATTATGATTATTAATTATTACAATTATAACAATTATATAATATATAATTATATATAATATATATACATATGTAACATATATAAAATTGTGTATAATATAAAAATATATATTACATATATAATTATATATCATATATATAAAAAATTGAGGCAATTTTTGCCACATTTATGAGATTTATTTCTAGTTAATTCTTGTTGAAACAGTGTGCAAATGGGGACAGCTATGCGGCATAGTGTTAACAGTCCAAGGAGAGCACAGTAAGACACCCTAAAAGTTAGTGTAGATTAACTACACTAAAAAACTAACCTAAAAGTTAGTGTAGATTAACTACACTAAAAGTAGATTCTACTGGGAATTAAACTGGAGGAAACAAAAAGTCAGAAAGAAAGGCTATAGGAAGATGTGAGCAAACCTTGTCCTCAGGCTATGAACCTAGTTGTGGTTTGATCGTAAAGAATAGTTCTATTAGTGTTTTAGAGAGAAAAGGCCTATCTTAAACTTTACCAAAAAGCATTCCTAAGAAGTTTACTATAATGATCTACCAGAAGATTTTCCAGGGTCCTAAGATTCTAGCCATGACTTGCTATGAACACCATGAGATAGGTATCCTAGTGGGAGACAGAACCAGGGTCAGGAAGATGAGAATCTCAAAGGTATAGAGTTCTTATTACTTAGAAATAAGTCATTGAGGAAGCCTTGTGGAGAATAAAAGAGTGATCTTTTCCCTCCAAAATGCTCATGATTGCAAAAATGGCAAATGAAACTGAAATCTAGAACTTTCAAGAGATAGACTCAACATGGGACAAAGCTGAGACTTCTAGGTAAGGCAGACCATGGTGAAAGAGGGCACCAAGAAGAGAAAATTCTCACCCCTATTTCTAAATGCCAAAGAAAATCCTCTCAACACTATTGTACTATTGAAGAAGTTGACTGTGCACCTGCAAATCATGATTCTATTCAATAGTTATTTCCTCATAAATGTGGAACATTTTGAGATGATAATGACAACTTCCCTGAGATTATTTGAGTGGTCCTGGCCCAATGCCCACTTTGTGAACATGATAACCCCAGTAAAATAAGATCTGGGGAATTTTTTGACTTTAAGGAACTTTGTTAATGCCATCAAATTCTCTCTGGTCATACTTGGTGAGCACATGTATAAGCTGGCCAGTGAGGTGGACCACAATTTTCTGCTTTGGCTACAGTGGCTGATCCACCTCCTGGACAAGATGGAGTCCATTCTGCTTCTTAGCTAGCTCAGTGCCTTGGATGAGCTCTTCTCGGAGTCTCGGCTGCTTGATAGCTTTGCCAAGCCCCTACAAGATCCTCATCTTCTGTCGAATCCCTTAGTTTCTCTAGCTGTTCAGAAAAATATTGCTAATAACATGGCCTGGGCTCACATCTTGGGAGATTAAGTGGCTATAGCAGATTCTGAAGGTCCTAGAAGCCTTGGCTTCATGACTGTCTCTTCTATCCTCCAGAGCTTGTGAAGCAGTGTGAAGGGGGCTTGCACTTGAGGACAGAGAAGCAAGCAAACATCTGCAGGAAAAGCCAGCATCTGACTCAAAGAGAGACTTTTCCTGCCCAACTTGCTCAGAAAGCAGTTTCTTCACTGAGTGGAGGAAGTAAATGTATTTCAAACTGCAGGTAGCAACCCGTTACTGGGTCAAAAATCATCTTAGTGAGTCATAGTCAATATATTCTCTTTTAAATTTATGTATGATTTCTCAAGATCTAAAAATGTATTTCCTAAAACTAATAAGATACTTTTTATTGACTATTTAGCATTTTGACTATGTGTCACTTTTAGAAAGAAGAATTTTGCCAGATCCTAAGGGTTCTCAGGCCTGTCTGTGAACACCTTCAAGTTAGGTGTCTTACTGGGTGACAGACCAGGCTTAGGGAGATAAGCACTCAGAATTGAGAGAGTAAATATGTTATGAATTCAAGCAGCCAAACATGGAAATATTATCTCAGAAACATCAGTAAGTGAGAACTTGGGAAGATGTCTTTGCAATGCCTACCACCATGCTGTACAATTCCACACAAAACAAATGACTGCCCTTCTCAATGTTTATAGAAGGAGCTCGTTCTTTTACAAGGAATATGGGGAAGAACTGATTAACAGGAAACAGTTGACCTCTCTACTGGAATCTTAGATATTCCTTTTGATTCCAGAATCTGTAATGTTTCGTACATCTTATCACCAAACCAATATCAAAATGGGGAAATAAACATGCACTGAAAGATTTTTACAAATCAGAAACGTTTATGTTGTTTATATAATTTAATCTCTATAATAATCTTGGTTAGAATGTATTATGCTTATTTACAAATGTGCACCCGGTAGCTCTGGAATCTAAGTAATGTACTCAAGGGCACCTGGTTGATGGGTTGTAAGGGTGACAGCCACTGCAGCACAAGCTCCACAGACTTTGTTTTCTGTATCGTGCTCTCTCTGTAATCACAATTAAAGGATCTAGTTCACCTTCTTTTGATATTGTTTATTTCTATGTTTTTTTTTTCTGTATGTTTGGTTTTGATCATGGGACTATTGGTTTCAGATTATCTTGCAGGGCCGCAAACTATGAATACCAGTGTCAAAAGGTACATATCTATCTAGTAACTCCCTTCTGGACTCTTTCTTAAAGCTTTGATTTCATGAAAGAAGGAGCACCCTTCAAGACATTTTACTGTTACAGGTTTGCACAAACCAAAACAAATCGTTTGGAATCTTAGTTTGAAGACTGACTACCTTAAGAGCCAGTGTCCATTATCACTTGAATTAAATTACGTTTCTCCACAAGACAAACACTTTTGTCTAAAAAGAGTAATGTGGTGTGTAGCTCAGTGAATACTTCACTCCATTCTAACAATGTGTTTAAATTCTTCCATCTTCCATTATTCAGGACCAAAATATCCTCTCAGCAGATTATCTAAACTATCATTTCCTTCTATCTTTCTAATATTTGCTCATCTTACTACTCTTTCTGTAGTTGGGGCTGCTTGGATGTCAGTAAAAAACCCAACTCCAATCCATTCAGACAAAAAATGGAGCTATTTTAAGGATACATCTGTCCCCCTGGGTATGGAATTGGGAGATTCACTGACAGCTTCCCTCTTGGTCTTTTTCACAAGCTGCATAATCTCTCTCTTCTATGCTTCTATCTGTTCATCTCCTCCACCATCCTTTCTGTGAGTAGCTTCCTTTTCTGTCTTTTTTATTTTTATCTTTATTCATTTATTTTTTGGAGATGGTCTTGCTCTGTCACCCAGGCTGAAGTGCAGTGGTGCGATCTCAGCTCACTGAAACCTCCACCTCCCAGGTTCAAGCGATTCTTGTGCTTCAGCCTCCCAAGTAGCTGGGATTACAGGCATGTGCCACCATGCCTGGCTAATTGTTTTGTATTTTTAATAGAGGGGGGGATTTTGCCATGTTGGCCAGGCTGGTCTTGAACTCACGACCTCAGGTGACCCACACGCCTTGGCCTCCCAAAATGCTGGGATTACAGGCGTGAGCCATTGTGCCTGGCCAGTAGCTCCCTTTTTTAGAAAACTTTTTTAAAAATTATTTTCTAAAATAACTAATTGTTGGAGTCTGACCAGCATTAGCTGGTTAAGGGGAAGTGTTTCTTCACTGTTTCGTAGTATATCTAGTAAATGAGAAAGTCAGTGTCAAATGTCAGCACAGATTTTTCTAAAATCGTGTTAATTTCTTCATGACAGAGTACAGAGTGAAAAAAATTGATTTGCCCATCAAGAAAGCTATGTTAAATTTTCAGTAGATCCAGATGTGCCACCCCTAAACCCCTGCGAACATCTTTTCCACTTATTCAGCTTTCTGGGCATTACCAAAGCAGTCCCTATTCAAGCAATGTAAATAGGTAGCTGTGGTCACCAAGCACCTGCTCCAGCTCTAACTGGCCAGGTAAGCTCACCAAGGTCAGAACCAGGAGGAGTTTAAGGAAAGCATAAGATAAACATTAAGAGTAGCATTTCAATGACAGAAATACACTATTAGTATTACTGAAGTTCTGATATTGCCAAATAGAAATAGTTGGGGAATGATCCTCCAGGCATCGGCTCTAAGAGTCTTGAACTTAGTGGGAGCTTGCTTTGGTACTGTCTGTGTTTGCTGAGCCAGGCAACTGAAGGGGTGCCTTGGGCACTTGGCAGAGATGTCAGTTTGGATGTGTCTGGCACTTAGGGTCCTTCAGTTTAGTCACAGGGCACTCTCCAGTGCATTGCAGCTGTCCTTGAAGTTTTTCAATTTGAAAAAGTGCTCAGCAGGAAAGAGGTATTACCTTCTAATGGATGGGGTTGGGAAACAGGATGACATATTTAGCTGACCTGATTGTCATAGCCAAGTAGAAAGATGCTGCTTCCTGATAAAAATAAGTGCTCACTCTGGCCAGAGATTGCTTCACAGAGTATACTGTTTCATGGTCGTCTAGTGGAATATCAAGAAAGGCCTTGTAGGCACTCTTGAAAGGATACTAGTGTTTGGGAGATCTACACAGTAGGAGCTAAAATGCTCATCCATTAGGAAGTGGAGCCACTCCTCTGTAGTATGAAATGGAATCTCAAAGGTACTTAGGTTGGCCAGTGCTTTCATACTGTAGAGGTAATTGTTGCTGTATTGATTTTCCCAGGTCGTCTGCTCTAGCAAACTGCCATCTTAATCTGCAAGAGCTTGAGTTAATGCTTTACATTCTGTTTCCTAGAGAGTTGAGTGTCGATTTCCTCCTTCAGGAACCTGGGTATTTTCTCCCACAGTGCATGAGGTACTTTTAAAGATTTCATTTCAAAGTGCTCAACTGTCTTGTCATAAATGAATACATTTAACAGCATAAGCATCAGATGTCATTATCAGTATGATAGTCCCTCAGTCAACCAGTTTCTTGTTTTCCCCAGAGCTTGCCTCCTTATTCCTGCCCTCATCAAGGCAATGACTCCAGGCTCCACTGCCATTTCTTAAGAAGGACATCCAAGGCAAGACTTGTCTGAAAATATGGAGACGAAAGTGACAGGGTGGAGAGTCTGGGAGAAAAAAGATATGTCTTACTGCTTCTGATATGGTTTGGCTCTGTCCCCACCCAAATCTCATCTTGAATTATAATCCCCACCATCCCCACATGTTAAGGGAGGAACCCTGTGGGAGGTGATTGGATCATGGTGGCAGTTTTCCCCTTGCTGTTTTCATGATAGTGAGTGAGTTCTCACAAGTTCTGATGGTTTTATAAGTGTTTGATAGTTCCTTCTGTGTCCATTCTCCTTCCTGCCACCTTGTGAAGAAGGTGTCTTGGTTTCCCTTTGCCTTCTGCCATAATTGTAAGTTTCCTTAGGCCTCCCAGCCATGTAGACCTGTGAGTCCATTAAACCTCTTTCCTTTATAAATTACATAGTCTTGAATATGTCTTTATAGCAGTGTGACAATGGACTAATACAGTAAATTGGTACTGGTTGAGTGGGGTACTGCTATAAAGATACTTGAAAATGTGGAAGTGACTTTGGAACTGGGTAATAGGCAGAGGTTGGAACAGTTTGGAGGGCTCAGAAGAAGACAGGAAGATTTGGGAAAGTTTGGAACTTCCTAGAGACTTGTTGAATGGTTTTGACCAAAATGCTTATAGTAATATGGGCAATGAAGTTGAGGCTGAAGTGGTCTCAGATGGAAATGAGAAACTCATTGGGATCTGGAGCAAAGATCACTCTTGCTTTGCTTCAGCAAAGAGATTGGCAGTATTTTGCCCCTGCCCTAGAGATCTGTGGACCTTTAAACTTGAGAAAAATGATTTAGGTATCTGGTGGAAAAGAATTTCTAAGCAGCAAAGGGTTCAAAACGTGACCTAGGTGCTCTTAAAAGCATTCAATTTTATGCATTCACAAAGAGATGGTTTTAAATTGGAACTTATGTTTGAAAGGGAAGCAGAGCACAAAAGTTTGGAAAATTTGTAGCCTGATGATATGATAGAAAAAAAAATCCATTTTCTAGGGAGAAATTCAAGTCAGCTGCAGAAATTTGCATAAGTAATGAGGAGCTGAATTTTAATCACCAAGACAATGGGGAAAATATCTTCAGGGCATGTCAGAGATCTTGGCAGCAGCCCCTTTTATGACAGGCCTGGAGGTCTAGGAGGAAAAATGATTTCAGAGGCCAGGCCCAGGGCCCCCTACTCTGTGCATCCTCAGCACATGGAACCCTGCATTCCAGCTGTTTCAGCTTCAGTCGTGGTTAAAAGGGGCCAAGGTATAGCTTGAGCCATGGCTTCAGAGGGTGCAAGCCCTAACCCTTGGTATCTTCCATGTGATGTTGAGCCTGCAGATGCACAGAAGTCAAGAATTGAGGTTTGGGAACCTCCGACTAGTTGTCAGAGGATGTATGGAAATGCCTAGATGTCTAGGCAGAAGTTGGCAGCAGGAGCCGATCCCTCATGGGAAACCTCTGCTAGGGCAGTGTGAAAGGGAAATGTGGGGTTGGAACCCCCACACAGAGGCCCTACTGGGGCACTGCCTAGTGGAGCTTTGAGAAGACAGCCACATCCTCCAGACCCCAGAATGGTAGATCCACTGACAATTTGCACCATGCACCTGGAAAAGCTGCAGACACTCAATGCTAGCCTGTGAAAGTAGCTGGGAGGAGGGCTGTACCCTGCAAAGCCACAGGGACAAAGCTGCCCAGGGCCATGGGAGCTCACTTTTTGCATCAGCATGATCTGAATGTGGGACATGAAGACAAAGGAGATCATTTCAGAGCTTTAAAATTTAATGGCTGCCTTGCTGGGTTGTGGGCCTGCATGGGGCCGGTCACCCTTTTGTTTTAGCCAATTTCTCCCATTTGTGATGGGAGCACTTATCCAACACCTGTCTCCCATTCTATCTTGGAAGTAACTAACTTGCTTTTGATTTAACAGGTTCATAGGTGGAAGGGGCTTGCCTTGTCTCAGATGACACTTTGAACTTGGACTTAGAGGTTAAAGCTGGAATGAGTTAAGACTTTGGGGGGCTGCTGGGAAGGCATGATTGTGTTTTGAAATACAGGACATGAGATTTGTGAGGGGCCAGGTGTGGAATGATATTGTTTGGTTGTGTCCCCATGCAAATCTCATCTTGAATTGTAATCCCCTTAATCCACAGGTGTCAAGGGAAGAACCTTTAGGTTGGATCCCTTTAGGATGGATCACCTTTAGGATGGATCATGGGGGCGGTTTCTCCTTTGCTGTTCTTGTGATGGTGAGTGAGTTCTCACAAGATCTGATGTTTTTTTAAGGGTCTCTTCCTCTTTTACTCTACACACTTTTTTCTCTCGCCTGACACCCGGTAGGATGTTCCTCTTCCCCTTCCTCCACGATTGTAAGTTTCCTGAAGCCTCCCCCATCATACAGAACTGT
Organism: Homo sapiens; assembly: GCF_000001405.40. Classification (NCBI taxonomy): domain Eukaryota; kingdom Metazoa; phylum Chordata; class Mammalia; order Primates; family Hominidae; genus Homo; species Homo sapiens. Next base: position 7,877,969 of record NC_000009.12, read on the forward strand.
GAATCAATTAAAACTTTTTCCTTTATAAATTACCCAGACATGGGTATGTCATTATAGCAGTGTGAAATACATCTTCCCCCTGACAAGAGACAGAGGCAGCAATACAGCAAGGATTGCAGGCATTAACTTCCTCCTCAAGGGTCAGGGCTTCTCTTTCCCCACAAGTTTGGTGTGTTTTGGCTTGCCATAAATGCACTCTGCTCTTTCAGCTTGTTTTTCCAGAATGAATCATTATAGCGGGATTTGTGTTTTTCCTGGTTTAATTTCTCAGTGGAGAGAATCCGATTAGCTCCGCTCAGCCTAGCAATGGGTTTCCCTTAGGTCAAGAGCTTGCCCTTAATCAGTTGTGGACAGATTACAACATCAGGGTACCATGGACACTTGGTAGAGAAAACTCCAGGAGTGGGGAAAAGGACTGAAATTAGTGAAATGAGGTCTCTGATTTATCTACATTAATTAAATTTCTCTGATAGAAATGATCAAAAAATTAAAAAGCATAAAACCCAAATCTCATTTATAAGTGACTCCAGTGATTTATCGGTTAGTTATGGAAGTATGCTGACTATATAACATAGCACCTTACCTGAAGAAAACAGCTCTTTTGGATTTGTTTTTACTGATTTTCATCATGTCAAAGAGTGTGATAAGTTTTGGGAAATTTAATAAAGGTATGTTAGTGAGAACAATGTGTTCCTGTCAGCCATAGTCCCTTAATAAGGATCTTGAAACAAAATTTCTTTAATATCTGAGTTACAAGGAAATGTGTATTTCTTCTAACTGTGTTGACTTTATAATGTGGACATTTCCCCTCTTAAAAATGATTGTTTTTTTCCCTTCCTTTGGCTCCTAGGAAGCTCAGAACCAACTTTGTAGACCACTTACAGCAAGTGTATAGTATCTTAAGATGTGCATTCCTGTTGGCTCATCTTCCATATGGCTTTATTTTATATTTCTCTCATTGTGCCCATTTTCCATGTGTAATCTCTTCTCTCACTGACTCAGATGGTCCCTGTCATGTCCCCAGCAACTTCAGTTCCAAAGACACCCTCAAGGCCTTACTCCATCCACAGGGAAGGAGAGCTCTAAAATAGTTCAAAGTGAAAATGGAATTCTTAGGCTACCTAAATTAGGTTGCCATATTGTTTGTAGAAAGGTGGAGTTTTAATGAGAGGACTAACCAAATTAGAGCCCAAACAAAATCAGAGACATTTCTCCCACATCATTTTAATTTCCTCATTTTCTCTTATCTTCCTCTCTTGTCTCCCGAGAATTGGTATGGTGAATCAAGGGCTGGAAATGACTTCTGTTTGGGAGGTACCCTGCATTGGACAGCCAAGTAGAAATCTGAACAGGATTTAGAGAAAAGGAAGGTTAGATCAGCTGCTCATGCTAGTTTCTGGACTCTCCTTTAAAAGGAGCCAGGGTTACTTGGTGCACACCATAACTCCAGTTATGCTCACCAGCTTGATTGGGGCAAAGCTCTAACTAGAAAAGAAGAAACTGTGCAAGCTTGAAGCGTGCCTTGTACCTCTGATCCTCAGGCCCTCATGGTGGTGCCAGGCAACTGGAGCAAGTATTTGGATCCCCACTGCAGAGAACATGTATAAAAGCCACAATTTCTGATGGGCAGGGCCAAGATGGCCAACTAGAAGCAGTTGTGATCAGAGGCTCCCAACAAAAAGAACCATAACAGCATGTGAATCCTGTAACAACAACTGAGGTATCCAGGTTCTGTCATCACAAATGACTAGGCAGCTGGCATGACTCATGGAGAGGAAGGAAGAGCAGTGTGGTGTGACTGCCAACCTGAGAACCACATGGGGCAGGGATGCCCCCACCCCCCAGCCAAGGGAGGCAGTGAGTGAGTGTGCTACCCAGCCTGGGAAAAAGTGCTTTTTCCATAGAACTGTGCAACCCACGGATTGGAAGATCCCACTCATGAGCTCACACCACCCGGGCCTAGGGGTCTCAACCATGGAGTTGTGCAGATTCTCAACAGCCATTAAGCTAGAATCTGCTTAAGCCTGCTGAGCTCCCGGGGGAGGGGTGACCAGCACCACAGCTGCGGCTGCCTTCTGTCTAAGCCGTTTGAGCTCCTTGGGGGAGGTGTGACAGCCAACACTGGGTCTGATCAAAGCCTAACACACTAAGCTCCTAGGGTGGGGGAAGGGCAGCAACCCTCTCTGTAGCTTCAGGCTGTGCTTTTCCCCTGCTGGAGCCAGGGAGGCTAGACGGCTTACTCCCAAGAGGTATCCCCTACAGTCCAACACACCTGCTGTGGCAGATTGCAGGGTGCCTCTTCAGGCCTGACCTTGACCCATCCCTCCTTACTGGGTGGGACCTCCCAGCAGAAACTCCGAAAACTCCAGCCAGGGGCTCAGGTACAGAACTCTGGTCTCCCTGGGCCTGAGCCCCTAGGGAGAGGGGTGGCCACAGTCTCCACAGACCAGCAGACTTAGTCTTTCCTCCTGCTAGTTCTGAGAAATCTGGGCAGCACAGACGAATGGGTTTCCCCCCAGCAAAGCACACCCCCTCCACCAAGCGACAGTCAAAGTGCTTTGTTAAATGGTTCCTGCTCCCCATGCCACCCAACTGGGTGAGACCCTCCAACATGGTTTGTCAGACACCCTATACAGGAGTGTTCCCACTAGTATTAGGTCAGTTCCCCTCAAGGTGAGAGATCTCAGAGAAAGGAGCAGGCATCCATCTTTGCTGTTCTCCAGCCTCCTCAAGTGACATCTCCAGGTATGGTAGTGAACCAGATGAATAGGGCCTGAAGTGAATCACCAGCAAACCACAGCAGCCCTACAGAAGAGGGACCTGACCATTGCAAGAAAAACAAACAAACAGAAAGCAACAACAACAGCATCAACAGAAAAAAGTCCCTACAAAAACCCCATCCAAGGGTCAGCAACCTCAAAGATCGATACTAGGCAAACTCATGAAGATGAGAAAGAATCAACAACAATAACAAAATATGCTGAAAACCCAAAAGGCCAGAGTGCCACTTCTCTAAATGATCACAATGCCTCTCCAACAAGGGTGCAGAACTGGACAGAGGATGAGATGGACGAATGGCCAAAAGTAGGCTTCAGAAGGTGGGTAAAAACAAACTCTGCTGAGCTAAAGGAGCATGTTCAAACCCAATGCAAAGAAGGTAAGAACCCTGATAAAAGGTTACAGAAGCTGCCAACTAGAATAACCAGTTTAGAGAGGGACATAAATGACCTGATGGAGCTGAAAAACACAGCACGAGAACTTCATGAAGCATACACATATATCAATAGCTGAATTGACCAAGGAGAAGAAATGATATCAGAGTTTGAAGAACATCTTGCTGTAATAAGGCATGCAGATAAGATTAGAGAAAGAAGAATGAAAAGGAAGGAACAAACCTCTGAGAAGTATGGGCCTACGATTGATTGGAGTACCTGAAAGTGACGGGAAGAGTGAAACCAAGTTGGAAAACACACTTCAGGATATTATCCAGGAGAACTTCCCCAACCTAGCAAGGCAGGCCAACATGCAAATTCAAGAAGTACAAAAACATGACTAAGATACTGCACGAGAAGATCAACCCCAAGACACATAATCATCAGATTCTCCAAGGTCGAAATTAAGGATAAAATGTTAAGGGCAGCCGGAGAGAAAGGCCAGGTCACCTACAAAGGAAAGCCCATCAGACTAACAGTGGACCTCTCAGCAGAAACCCTACAAGCCAGAAGAGAGTGGGGTTCAATTCAACATTCTTAAGGAAGAAAATTTTCAACCCAGAATTTCATATCCAGCCAAACTAAGCTTCATAAGCGAAAGAGAACTAAAATCCTTTCCAGACAAGCAAATGCTGAGGGATTTTGTCACCACCAGGCCTGCCTTGCAAGAGCTCCTGAAGGAAGCACTAAATATGGAAAGGAAAAAAACAGTACCAGCCATTGCAAAAGCACACCAGAATGTAAAGACCAATGATACTATGAAGAAACTGCATCCAGTGTGCAAAATAACCAAATAGCATCATGATGACAGGATCGAATTCACACATGACAATATTAACCTTAAATGTCAATGGACTAAATGCCCCAATTAAAAGACACAGACAGGCAATTTGGGTAACAGTCAAGACCCATTGGTGTGCTGTATTCATGAGACCCATCTCATGTTCAAAGATGCACATAGGCTCAAAATAAAGGGAGGAAGGAAAATTTACTAAGCAAATGGAAAGCAAAAAAAAGCAGGCGCTGCGATCCTAGTCTCTGGCAAAACAGACTTTAAACCAACAAAGATCAAAAAAGACAAAGTAGGGCATTACATAATGGTAAAGGGATCAAATCAACAAGAAGAGCTAACTATTCTAAATATATATGCACCTAATATTGGAGCACGCAGATTAATAAAACAAGTTATTAGAGACTTGAAAAGAGACTTAGACTCCCACACAATAATAGTGGGAGACTTTAATACCCCACTGTCAACATTATACAGATCAACAAAGCAGAATATTAACAAGGATATTCAGGACTTGAACAAGGATATTCAGGACTTGAACTCAGCACTGGATCAAGTGGAACTAATAGACATCTACAGAACTCTCCACCGCAAGTCAACAGAATATACATTCTTCTCGGTGCCACACGGCACTTATTCTAAAATTGACCATATAATTGGAAATAAAACATACCTCAGCAAATGCAAAAGAACTGAAATCATAACAAACAGTTTGTCAGACCACAGGGCAATCAAATTAGAACCGAGGATTAAGAAACTCACTCAAAACCTCACAATTACATGGAAATTGAACAACCCGCTCCTGAATGACTCCTGGGTATATAATGAAATTAAGGTATAAATCAAGAAGTTCTTTGAAAACAATGAGAACAAGAGACAATGTACCAGAATTTCTGGGAGACAGCTAAAGCAGTGTTAAGAGGGAAACTTATAGCACTAAATGCCCATATTAGAAAGCTAGAAAGATGTCAAATCAACACCCTAATATCACAATTAAAAGAGCTCACATAAAGTATAATAATAATAAAATTAAAAAAAAGAGCTAGAGAAGCAAGAGCAAATAAATCCAAAAGCTAGCAGAAGACAAGAAATAACTAAGAGCAGAGCAAAACTGAAGGAGATAAAGACACGAAAAACCCTTCCAAAAAAAAAATCAATGTATCCAGGAGCTGTTTGTTTTTTAAAAATTAACAAAATACTTAGACTGCTAGCTAGACTAATGAAGAAAATAGAAAAGAATCAAATAGACACAATAAAAAATGATAAAGGGGATATCATCACTGACCCCACAGAAATACAAACTATCATCAGAGTATAGTATAAACACCTCTACCCAAGTAAACTAGAAAATCTAGAATAAATGGATAAATTCCTAGACACATACACCCTTCCATGACTAAACCAGGAAGAAGTTGAATCCCTAATAGACCAGTAACAAGTTCTGAAATTGAGGCAGCGATTAATAGCCTACCAACCAAAAAAAACAGCTCAGGGCCAGATGGATTCACAAGCAAATTGTACCAGAGATACAAAGAGGAGCTGGTACCATTCCTTCTGAAACTTTTCCAAACAATTGAAAAGGAGGGCCTCCTCCCTGACTCATTTTATGAGGCCAGCATCACCCTGATACCAAAACCTGGCAGAGACACAACAAAAAAAGAAAACTTCAGGCCAATATCCCTGGTGAACATCGATGTGAAAATCATCAATAAAATACTGGCAAACTGAATCCAGCAGCATATCCGAAAGCTATTCACCATGATCAAGTTGGCTTCATCCCTGGGATGCAAGGCGGTTCAACATATGCAAATCAATAAATGTAATCCATCATGTAAAGAGAACCAATGAAAAAAATCCACATGATCATCTCAATAGCTGCAGGAAAGGCCTTCGATAAAATTGAATATCTCTTCATGTTAAAAACTCTCAATAAGCTAGGTATTGATGGAGCATACCTCACAATAATAGCTATTTATGACAAACACACAGCCAATGTCATACTGAATGGGTAAAAGCTGGATATTCCCTTTGAAAACTGGCACAAGTCAAGGATGCCCTCCCTCACCACTCCTATTCAACACAGTATTGGAAGTTCTGGCCAGGGCAATCAGGCAAGAGAAAGAATTAAAGGCTATTCAAATAGGAAGAAAGGAAGCCAAATTACCTCTGTTTACAGATGACATGTTTGTATATTTAGAAAACCCCATCATCTCAGGCCAAAAACTCCTTAAACTGATAAGAAACTTCACTAAAGTCTCAAGATACAAAATCAATGTGCAAAAATCACAAGCATTCCTGTACACCAAAAATAGACAAGGAGTGAGCAAAATCATGAATGAATTCCCATCCACAATTGCTACAGAGAGAATAAAATACCTAGGAATGCAGCTAACAAGGGAAGTGAAGGATCTCTTCAAGGAGAACTATAAACCACTACTCAAAGAAATAAGAAGAGGACAACAAACAAATGGAAAAACATTCCATTCTCATGGATAGGAAGAACCAATATCATGAAAATGGCCATACCGCCCAAAGTAATTTGTAGATTCAATGCTGGTCAAACTACCATTGACAGTCTTCACAGAATTAGGACAAACTACATTAAATTTTATATGGAACCAAAAAGAAGCCCATATAGCCAGGACAATCCTAATCAAAAAGAACAAAGCTGGAGGCATCACGCTACCTGACTTGAACACTCACCAAAACATCATGGTACTGGTACCAAAACAGACATATAGACCAATGGAACAGAACAGAGACCTCAGAAATAATGCCACACATCTACAACCATCTGATCTTCAACAAACCTGACAAAAACAAGCAATGGGGAAAGGATTCCCTATTTAATAAATGGTGCTGTGAAAACTGGCTAACCATGTGCAGAAAACTGAAACTGGACTCCTTCCTTACACCATACACAAAATTAACTCAAGATAGATTAAAGACTTAAATGTAAAACCCAAAACCATAATAACCCTAGAAGAAAACTTAGACAATACCATTTAGGAGGTAGGCATGGGCAAAGACTTCATGACTAAAATGCCAAAAGCAATTGCAACAAAAGCCAAAATTGCCAAGTGGGATCTAATTAAACTAAAGAGCCTCTGTACAACAAAAGATACTATCATCAGGGTGAACAGGCTACCTACAGAACGGGAGAAAATTTTTGCAATCTACCCATCTGACGAAGGTCTAATACCCAGAATCTACAAGGAACTTAAACAAATTTACAAGAGAAAAACAACTCCATCAAAAAATAGGCAAAGGTTATGAACAGTCACTTCTCAAAAGAAGACATTTATGCATCCAACAAAGATATGAAAAAAAGCTAAGCATCACTGATCATTAGAGAAATGCAAATCACAACCACAGTGAGACACCATCTCACACCAGTCAAAATGTCAATTATTAAAAAGTCAAGAAACAATAGATGCTGGCAAGGCTATGGAGAAATTGAAACACTTTTATACTGTTGGTGGGAACGTAAATTAGTTTAACCATTGTGGAAGAGAGTATGGCAATTCCTCAAGGATCTTAGAACCAGAAATACCATTTGACCCAGCAATTCCATTACTGGGTATATACCCAGAGGAATATAAATCATTCTACTATAGAGACATGCACAAGTATGTTTATTGCACCACTATTAATAGCAAAGGCTTGGAACCAACCCAAATGCCCATCAACCATAGACTGGATAAAGAAAATGTGGTACATATACACCATGGAATACTATGCAACTATAAAAAATAATGAAATTATGTCCTTTACAGGGACATGGATGAAGCTGGAAGCCATCATCCTCAGCAAACCAACACAGGAACAGGAAACCAAACACTGCATGTTCTCACTCATGAGTGGGAGTTGAACAGTGATAACACATGGACACAGGCAGGGGAACGACACACACCAGGGCCAGTCAGAGGGTGGAGGCTGAGGGGAGGGAAAGCATTAGGACAAATAGCTAATGCATGCAGGGCTTAAAACCTAGGTGACAAGTTGATAGGTGCAGCAAACCACCATGGCACACGTATACCTATGTAACAAACCTACATGTTCTGCAATTGTATCCCAGAACTTCAAGTAAAATAAAACAAAAACCCACAATTCCCTTATCTATTTATCTAATCCTGTTAGATTGCATTTACTTTTACAAACAGCCTCAAATTCCTTGGTGAGAAAAACATGACATGTACACATGAATGAAAGAATAGAGGACCCTGATGAAAATGCAGGTAGAATAAGCCCTGTTGATGCCAATGCTCTCCCACGTGGTGGTCTGTCACAATGCCTGAAATCCTGGCATTAGAGATCCTTCTTTGAAATGAGTTACTTTCTCCAAAACTCACGGTCAAAATGAGCACATTTTCTCCCTTCAACACATTGGTGATTTATAATTGTACCTTTAAATACTTTTTAAGCTGAAGGCCCTTTACAAATTTAAGGAATTCTATTATCAGTGCCATAATTTTGATTAATGTAGATTAGATTATCGGTATCTTGGAAATCAAAAGGAAGGACCCTGGCACACTAGGGTGGAGAGCAGATAAATCTTATAAGCTTCATTAATGAAGCTCAAAGGGAAACCTGGGAATGATTGAGACAAGTTGTTCATATGTTCCTGGTATAGAGCAAGCTGTGGGGTAATGAGGCCATTCAGACGGGAAGATCACCTCTCCACAGGAGGCTAAGTAAGTCATGAGGAGTATGAATCCTAGGGCCAGATTTTCCGGTTCAAATCCTGGGTCTGCCACACACTGGCTGCATGATCTTGGGCAAAAGACAACTTTTCTGTGCTATTTTCCCATCAGTGAAATGGAGACAAGAGTAGAATGAGCTTCATAAGGTAGGCTTCAGGACCGAATGAGTTGACATTAGAAAAGTGTTCAGAGCAGTGCCTGGCACATAGTAATACCATGTTGGTTAAATAAAACATGGAAAAAAATAAAGTGGTTCAGAGAAGGGCTGGGTATCATGGAAGTCATGAAATGCTTGTGATTTTAACTCTAATATAAATGTATTTTTCCATTTTAAGAGACATATCTATGAAACAGAAGTATAAGATAAATGAATATTAAAAGTGGGGAGTTTAGTATGCAAGAGTGCATGAATCCAGTGGAAGAGACAGAAAAACAGGTTTTAAAGAAAATGCAGAATTTGATGACAGATGGAGTGATAAGATTTTTTTGTTTGTTTGTTTTTTTAGAAGAACAGGTAAGATAGTTCTTGAATGCCAAGAATTGTGGTTACTCAAGTGCAAGTTCCTGTTGTTTATGGAAAACTGTCCTGGGCCTGTTGTGAGCACAGGTGTTGAATGGATGTTGATGGACGCTTTTAATGAGTGAACAGTGGCAGGACATAGCATTTTAGGACTTAGAGTCTATACCAAACTGCCCAACAGAAACATAATGAGAGTCATAGATGTAATTTAAAATTTTCTAGCAGTCTCATTAAAAAGAAGTAATGAAAGACAGAATCAACTTTAATAATATGTTTTACTTAAATTAATATATCTAAAATATTATTTCAATATGTAATCAAATTTAAGAAATTAATGAAATTTTTTTACTAAATCTTTGAAATATAGCATGTAATTTATACTTCTAGCACAACTTAATTCAGACTAACCACATTTCACATGCTTAATAGATGAATGTGACCAGAAGCTATGGTATTGGACAGAGCAGTGCTGGACCTTCAGTTATTATTAGCCTCTCTCTTGGGGTGCATAGTACCCTTATCTACTAGATTAATACCCAGTTGTTCCATTTTAGTCATCCATGGTTTTCACTCATACATTAAATTCCTACTCTATATTGGACCCTGAATTAAATACTAGCAATTCAAAGATGTACATAAGGAGTATAATTTTATATCCCAAGTAAACTTAACTGGATTAAACTAGTTCTGGCCTGTTCACATTGAATTCAACCAAATTAAACTAGTATAAATATGATCAATTGAAAACTGGATCAAACTGCTTTAAGAAAGCAAGCCATTGCGAACCTGTTTTAACAAGAACAAAAATTTCTGGTTAATTCCCTTGGTTTACAGTTTAATTACACTCTTGAGAAGTTGTTCCAATTTCAACTGGCTCTTGTGTGTGTTGATAATTTAGTTTAATCTAGACTATTTATATTTCAGCCATTTCAAAATAGCTCATAATAGATCCAATAACTTCTTACCAATTCAAAATTGAGTGGTTTGTATATTGGTCATTCCTCACGCTGCTATGAAGAAGTACTCAAGAATGGGTAATTTATAAAGGAAAGAGGTTTAATTGACTCACAGTTCTGCATTGCTGGGGAAACCTCAGGAAACTTACAATCGTGGTAGAAGGCAAAGGAGAAGCAGGCACCTTCTTCATGGGGTAGCAGGATGGATTGAGTGCAAGCAGGGGAAATGCGAGATACCTATAAAACCATCAGATCTCCTGAGATTCACTCATCATGAGAGCAGCATGGGGGAAACTGCCCCTATGATCCAATTACTTCTACCTGGTTCCACCCTTGATGTATGGGGATTATTACAATTGAAAGTGAAATTTGGATGGGGAGACAGAGCCAAACCATATCTGCCTGATTCTAAAATATTAAATATTTTAAGCTACTTATAAACAGGCAAATGTTGCTAGACCCACAATACCATGAGAGATGAAGGCAGAAACCAGGTTATAATAATTGGGCCTGGTAGTTACAGCTACTCTAGCAAGAAACCTAACTTTAGCTTGAACTGGTGGATTATTGTACTAAGATTTCCCAAAACCTCCTGAATAAGGGAATGCTTATTCCCAGAAAGAGGGACAAACATGAAACATTGAGCTAAGGTCAAATAACCTTAATAGTAAGTTCATGTCATAGTTGGCAAGTGGATGCTAAGTGACTCCTGACACTTAGGACTATACACAACAAGTGAATGGGGAGAGATAGGGGATTGGACTCCAATTCAACATGGGGTCACTCTGAGACACCTGGTAACTGTACTAGGGAAAGAGGCAACAAAAAGAAGGAAACAGAGAAGGGATACAAGTTTCCAAAAACACTTCACTCAGACTTTTGAGCTCATGCCTGGGTAAAGACAGCATGTGAAGAGATTCCCAACCACGCCTTGGGTCTTGGGGAAGGAGGTAGCCATGAACTGATGCACAGACAGACTGCGGGAAGATACACTAGCTTTTTCTTACTCCAGACATTTTATCATTCAATGCATGCTGTCTAGCACTATCAGGCTAATTTTTCCTGAACTACCCTTTCATTATTTTCAGGTCTCTCTTCTCAAAAACATTCAGTGGCTCAACTTGGCTCCCAAGTCAAGCTCTACATCTGATTTGTTATCACCTCGCTCTTCTTTGCTAGCTAGGCTACTTTTCTTGCCACTTTCTGATTGCTACTAACCTCTATAGTCAGCATTATTACCCTTTCAGACTCATGTTAATTTATTCTTCTTGATGATATCCCTGTCTTCATTTTGTGTTTCCTTTGCTTATCTAATTCTTTTAACAAAAGAAATACAAGGTCCCACTTCCTCCCTTAAGTCTCCTACCTCATAGATTTGATCTTCCACTACAACTTCCAGCATCACACAACATATTGCCTATATTGCCTTGTCTTATTCCTTGAGAATTTCACCAGTGTGAACCTCAACACCTCAAGCAGCTTGAAAGATATTCAACAGCAGGGATCTTGCCTTTGTAGTCATTTGCCACCAGCATTATAAAGCTTTGAACACAGAAATCCTCAGTGTATTCCTCCAAAATAGGTTTTAGTGCTTACTACTTGGGATGAAGCAGGAAGTAGGTGTCTTGGCTTCATGGAACTTATAATTCAATAGGAGAAAAATGAAGACATAAATGAATAAATAATTAGCTTATTTATGACTTGATATGTCCCATGATAAAAATAATTTAGTCCATTGAGATAAGAAGAAAGAAGGACGCTATGGGTGAAACTTAGTTATCAATATTCAGAGAAAGCTTCTCTGAAGAACTTAAATTTAAGCAGGGCCTTGAATGATGAGAAAGAGGAGGTAGCCCTGCAAAGGGAAATATGTACTGAATATTTTATCTTTTGCATTATTTGTAATAAATGCAGAGAGGCTGCCATACACATTTAGTCCAGGTATGAAGAAAACTTTACCTACTTGCCATCTGGACTGTAAAGGAATACACTGAGCCTACAAGAATGCAAAGAAGGCCAGGCGCGGTGGCTCACGCCTGTAATCCCAGCACTTTGGGAAGCCGAGGTGGGTGGATCATGAGATCAGGAGATCAAGACCATCCTGGCTAACACGGTGAAACCCTGTCTCTACTACAAATACAAAAAATTAGCTAGGCGTCGTGGCAGGTACCTGTGGTCCCAGCTGCTCGGAAGGCTGAGGCAGGAGAATGGCGTGAACCGGGAGGAGGAGCTTGCAGTGAGCCGAGATCGTGCCACTGCATGCCAGCCTGGGCGACAGAGCGAGACTCCATCTCAAAAAAAAAAAAAAAAAAAAAAAAAAAAAAGAATGCAAAGAAAAAAATGTTCATAGAGTAATGGAAGAGCACTTTTTCAATTCTCTCTATCTGCAAGAAGATATTGATTTAAATGTGATAATCAAAGCAGTCTTATGATGGAACTTATAAGTAGGGAGCATTCCAACATACTTTTATTTATTTTTTTTTTTTTGAGAGAGTCTCGCTCTGTCACCCAGGCTGGAGTGCAGTGGCACAATCTCGGCTCACTGCAAGCTCTGCCTCTCAAGTTCATATCGTTCTCCTGCCTCAGCCCCCTGAGTAGCTGGGACTACAGGCACCCACCACCATGCCCAGCTAACTTTTTATATTTTTAGTAGAGATGGGGTTTCACCGTGTTAGCCAGGATGGTCTTGATCTCCTGACCTCATGATCCACCCGCCTCGGCCTCCCAAAGTGCTGGGATTACAGGTGTGAACCACTGTGCCCAGCCTCAACAGATTTTTTAAAAATAAAATGGTAATACAGGCCAGGTGTGGTGGCTCATGGCTGTAATCCCAGCACTTTGGGAGGCCAAGGTGGGTGGATCATGATGTCAGGAGATTGAGACCATCCTGGCTAACACAGTGAAACCCTGTCTGTACTGAAAATACAAAAAATTAGCCCAGCGTGGTGGCGGGCGCCTGTAGTTCCAGCTACTCAGGAGGCTGAGGCAGGAGAATGGTGTGAACCCGGGAGGCAGAGCTTGCAGTGAGTCAAGATTGTGCCACTGCACGCCAGCCTGGGCGACAGAGCGAGACTCCATCTCAAAAAAAGAAATAAATAAATAAAAAATAAAATAAAATGGTAATATAAAACAGGGGTTATCAGAGATATTGCACAGACCTTCTAGCCCTACTTTCTGCCTTCTAGACTGCCTAGGAACTATGAGACCCATATCAGGATTCTCCAGGGAAACAGAACCATGAAGGATGAAGAGAAAGTGGGAAAGAGACACAGAGAGAGAGAGATTTTAAGGAAATACCTTATTTGATTGTTGTATTAGTCCATTTTCATTCTGCTGATAAAGACGTACCCAAGATTGGTAATTTACAAAAGAAAGAGGTTTAATGCACTTACAGTTCCACATGGATGGGGAGGCCTCACAATCATGGAGGAAGGCAAGGAGGAACAAGTCACATCTTACGTTAATGGCGGCAGGCAAAGAGAGAGCTTGTGCAGGGAAACTCCCCATTATAAAAGTGTCAGACCTTGTGATACTTATTCACTGTCACAGAAGAGCACAGGAAAGACCTGTCCCCATATTTCGATCACCCCCCACCAGGACCTTCCCACAACATGTGGGAATTAAAGATGAGATTTGGGTGGGGACACAGACAAACCATATCATTCCATCTCTGGCCCCTCCCAAATCTCATGTCCTCATATTTCAAAACCAATCATGTCTTCCCAACAGTCTCCCAAAGTCTTAACTCATTTCAGCATTAACTCAAAAGTCCACAGTCCAAAGTCCCAAGTCTCATATTTACTGTATTAGTCTATTTGCACACTGCTGATAAAGACATACCTGAGACTGGGCAATTTGCAAAGAAACAGGTTTAAGAGACTTACAGTTCTTTGCGGCTAGGGAGACCTCACAATCATGGCAAAAAGCAAAAAGAAGCAAGTCATGTCTTACCTGGATGGCAGCAGGCAAAAAGAGAGAACTTGTGAGTTTATAAACTCACCCTTATAAAACCATTGGATCTCATGAGACTTATTCACTATCACAAGAACAGCATGGAAAAGACTTGCCCCCATGATTCCATCATCTCCCACCGGGTCCCTCCCACATGTGGGAATTCAAGATGAGATTTGGGTGGGGACACAGACAAACCATATCAATTGTGTATGCTGGCAAGTCCACAATCTGTAGGATTAGGCTGATAGGCTGGAAACCCAAGATAGCAACCCAGGGGATATTTACTGTTTTGAATTAAAAGGCAGTCTGCTGGCAGAATTTCCCATTCTTCCAGGAAGGTTAGTCTTTTTTCTATTAAGGCCATGATTAAAGCATGAACTATGGCATTGGTTGCAGGGATAGCGAGGGGGTTACATTTAATAAATATTTGCAAGATAAAGTAAGCACAACTTAATGATTAGATGCATAGAGAGGGAAGGGAGAATCTAAATTGACTTCCAAGTGCTTAGCTTGGATGGCCAAATGGATTTAGGCTCTATTATTTGAAAGCAGAATATATATAGAGAAGCAACTTTGTTGAGGAAAGAGATTGAAGAAATTTGAATTTGTATTGGAATACTGTGAGTTTGAAGAGCCACTGGGCCTTCTAACAGAGATATGCAAAAGATTTTCTGAGTCTTAAGTTCAAAGAACATTTGGGAATTTAAGAACAAAATGTCAAACTCATCTGCACGCAGATTATAGTTTTCCACTAGAACTTTCAATGAAATTGGCCAAATAGAGGCTGAAGAGGAAAAGAGCAGTGTGGGTCATGGAGAAAGGAGACAGAAGTCATAAACAGGACTGTAGAGAAATAGTCACAGAAGTGAAACGGAACCAGAGTAACAAGTATCACAGGAGCCAAAGCAGAAAAAAAAAAAAGGAGTGGGGGACCAACTAGAATAAGAAATAAGCAGTGCCAGCGCAACGAAGAGTTTAAGAAAGATAACTACCTGCAGAGGTCCACGGTATTTGGCAACAGGGAGGCCATTGGCAACCTTAGCAAAGGCAGCTACAGTGGAGTGATGGGAAGAAGGCCAGATTACTAAGGGTTGAAGAATGAGTAGGAACAGAGAGAATGGCAGCTATAACAATCCTCTGACAAAAACCCTGGCTAAGGGAAGGAGACAGCTAGACATTTTTGGTATGGAAGGAACTCGATTATATTTGTAGGCTACAGGAAAAGAACTGAATGGAAGGATGAATAGAAGTTGCAGGGAAAAGAAATCATTGTAGGGTTCCAGAGGAAATGGAAGCAAATCAGTTTAGGGGCCCAGCCCTGACTAGCTTATCTATGACTGGAGAAAAGCAGAGAATGTTGTCTGCAAAAATAAGTGCAGGCATATTTGGGGAAGCTCCAAACTGAACACTATGTTGATTGATAGCCTCAATTTCTTCAAAGAAATAAGAGCTGAGATTATCATCAAACTACAAGTGGGCTAGAAGTTAGTGCGGGTTTGGGGTGGCAAGTAAAGGGAAAGAGAAGACACTGACAAGGGACCCAACTCAAGACCATGAGCTAAGAGGGCATGGGTGGTTATAACTCTGTGATGTTTTACTGGCTTAGCCCATACAGCCAAAAGGAAGGGCCAGTAGGCTTAAGAGTGTTGATGAAGAAGCTCTTTCAATAAACAACCATTTTAGTTCTTCAGTCTTTTTTTTTTTTAACCTTATGGTGGTGTTATAGAAAAATCTCTAAAAAACATTTCCATGTTGTATTCCCTTAAAATTCTACTGCCTGAGCCTCTTAATCTTATACTATCCTTAACTATATCAGCTTATAGTGAAAAGGAAGACTAATTAGAATTTTCCTAATGATAGAAAATTGCCCCCTCCAAATCTACAGGTCCCAAACCACTAGATAAATAACAATAGTAGCTTAGCTTTAAATAGTGCATTTCCTTCTACCAAACCCCCAGAAATATGAATACAGAATTTTAAAGATATGCATATGCACACAGGTGCATATATTTGACACAGTACAGACCTTTCATTGGAAAATAAAATACTATTCATGCTGAGTCGTTTTCATAATTGTTTTCTTTTTGTATTTGAAAGAGAAGCAAGTCTACTTCCTCTGTATTCACAGAAATGGAAATTAGTATTGAAAATAAGCAATTAAAATCCCCAAGATGATTTCATTCAAAACAAAATACAATAAGTTAAAAATACCATATGGAGCGGGCAAAATCTGATACGGAGCCAGGAGAAAAATAACTGTAAAGGTCCAGAATTCAAGGACAAGCTTTCCCTGCTCCTTCCCTCTCTGCAAGGTACAGGATTTCCACACATATGGTGTTAGAATCGTTCACTGTTCTACAACCCCTGGTGCAGGACCATATGTGCTGAGATCCACAAGCACAACGGGATGAGATGGGAATTATCTGCCAGTTTTTCCTTGGAGTTCCCTTGTGTTAAGAAGTTTTATACCTTGCCCCTATTGTTATAATTCATTAAATTAACTATGGAAGCTTTTAAGTATGTGATATCCCCTAATTGACCCAGCCTCATATATGACTGGTTTTTGCTCAAGCCTGTGCCAAAATCACTACTATAATCCATTTCGGCCTCAAATTTAGTATCATAGAAAATCCAGTCAGCTAATTGATGAGGCCCTAAATTACACTTTTCTCTGGCTGGCTCTGCTCTTGTTTCTAATTCAGAAATGCTCTAATTACTGACTCCTCCCAGCACCCTTCACCCATTTTGATTAGTTTTAAAAAGTTAAGAGTAGCATCTTGGTATGCCATATTCCCAGTTCTAGATATATTTTTCTCTTGTTTTATTTATTTTTAAAAAAACTGGCAAGGATTCATAAGATGTTAGAGGTAGCTCCTGGAGTATTATTATATTTGGCCAGCTTTAGGAGGAGTTGACATCTAGGGCAAAATTTGTCTCTCTTGGCACCATTGACATTTTTGGGTCGGATAATTATATGTTGGGGGGCTGGTCCTGTGCATTGTAGAATGTTTACCAGCATTTGTTGCCTCTATCTGCTTGATGCCAGCAACCACCCCAATGAAGTTGCAACAATCAAGTGTCCTCAGAAATTGTCAAATATCCCCTGGGTGACAAAATCATCTCTGGTTTAAAACCACTGATCTGGTGAATCTTTGGGAACCTTGCAATATACACCCACACCAATGGAGTCATTCCTCTATGAAGAGCAAATAGTATAGGAGGAGAAAAGCATTAATCCTTATTGTAGTATTTTACGAGTAAGTGTAAAAAGACTAACAAATCCTGAGAAAGTATGTGTGTGTGAGAGAGAGAGTTTGGAGAAGTTTGAGAATTTCGGAAGTTAGAAACTAAAGGAAACTGAAGGAAAACGTGTCCCTCAGTAGAAATAAGGAACCATAGGGGCAGCTGAGGATGTGGAAAACAGAATTCTCTGTCCAGATTTTTCTCAGTTCTGTCTCAGTAAAAATTGATTGTAACTTATTTCTCCTCTCATCACCCACACCTAATCCATTACCAAGTCCTATAGACTTGATCTCTAAGATATTTCTTACCCCACCCACTGGTTTCCATAGCCACTACCCCGTCACTAGTCCACATTATCATCATCTATTGTCTAGACAATTCCAATACCTCCTAACTATCCCTTGGATTCCAACCTGGCCCTACTCCAATTTCTTCTGGATGCTGCAGTCAACATGATATTTTCAAAAACTCAAATCCAGTCAGGGCTCACCAATTTGCTTTATACCCCTTAGTGCATCCTCTTGCTCTTATAAACAAAACTTTGTGTGGCCAACAAGTCCCTGCACAGTCTCCTACTGAATTCCTCCAGCCTCACGTCCTAACATATTCCCATTTCACTCACTACGTGCCCTCTTTTCTTATGTGTTTGCACATTCAATTTCCTCTGTCTTGAATGCACTTACCTCTCCTTTTCTAACTCATCCTTCAGATATGAGTTGTAACTTTGCAGAAATTTCATTAATTTTCCACTCCTCCCATCAGAATGCTTGCTCCCTGAGAGCAGGAAGAGATCTGGTCCATCTGGGTCCAGCTTGTATCCTTGTATCCCCAGAGACCAGCAGCACAATGCCAGCATATAGTAGGTGTCCAATAAATATTTGTTTCATCACTGAATGAAGAAGTACATAATGAATTCTGTTGCAGAGAAATCTATGAAAAGATTTGATGGGGCTGCATTTTCTTAATGTATCATCCTATTCTATAAATATACAAATGTTACCCATTCAGGCTGATTGCATCATTGCATCATTTCATGTGGCAACTAGGCTATCAGATTTTGGTGAAAAGCACTGTCCTAAATATCTTTGATTTTCTCCAGGGACCTCAGTAGTTGCCAAAAGCTGGCTAAATGCCTATGAAAAAAATGAAAAAAAAAAAAAACCACAAATGACTAAATGAATGAATAAATAAAAATTCTATACTATAATCTCCATAAAGATGGGACCAAATCTAAATATTCTTTTATATCTTAGCACTAGAGATTTCTGAAGTCTTTTTAACATGAATCTAGTAAGTGTTTGTATTTCCTTGTATTCTCCCTTATTGTTC
Source organism: Homo sapiens (assembly GCF_000001405.40). Classification (NCBI taxonomy): domain Eukaryota; kingdom Metazoa; phylum Chordata; class Mammalia; order Primates; family Hominidae; genus Homo; species Homo sapiens. Next base: position 7,896,676 of record NC_000009.12, read on the forward strand.
TTATCTCAGAGTTGTTCCTAAACAAATTGGCTTCAAGGTAAGGAGAAACTAGCTGAGACTTGAATAAGCTGCTAAACTATGGAGAAGTTATTGAAAAGCTGCTCTGATTGGTACAATTTTGAAGTACTTGACAGACCTTATTTTCTGATCAATGGAAATTTCACCATTGCCCTGGTGTGCCCAATGTAATCAGAATGGTTCTATAGCCTTAGACATCCACCTGAAAAGAAAAAAGGAAGTTCTAGGATGGCCTGAAGATGAAGGTGGCCCATGGAAAAAAAAAAAAGTAAATACAATGGAGTTTAGGCTGTAGTCCAGGGGAACATTTTTTGTTTGATCCTTGTGTTTCATGATACAAATGATAATAATGATAATAATAACGATGATGACAATTGATATTTTTGTTAACTAAGTGCTAGACCTGGCAGCTGGCCATTTTTATATACATTATCTTAGTTCCTATGACTATTCTGTAAGATATAATTGTTAAGGGTCAGGAAATTATGCTGAAAAAAAATTCTTCTTCCAGATTCGTGCTCTATTTCTGTGTCTCTACATTGGAGAAGGAGAGAAAAGAGAAGATGTTCACAGAGGCAGAATTGCCATTTTATGCAGTATTTTTTTTTTATATATTACACTGAAAACTATAGTTCACAACTATAGGTCACCATGTTTAGGCTCAACCATAGCCAGTATTTCTTGACAGTGTATGTGCAAGTTAATACTAACTTTGCCCGAATTCGAAAAGCATTTTACTTTTATATATCAATTTTATGTGCATTTCTCGTTTGATCCTTAAACAGTCTTCTCGAGAATTTTATCCCTATTTTACAAATGAGGATGCTAATACTCAATCCAAGGTCTGTAGCCAGCCAATAGTTCTGCCAGAACTTCAACAAAAGTCTTAGAAATGTGAGTTCAATGCTGAAGACAAGTCAAGACTGAGGCAGGAAAAGTCATTTGTTAGCATTAGTTGTTTTCCAAAAAAGCTTTAGACTCACAGCAGAAATTTCAAAATTAGTTGAGTTGATGAAGCGAAGAATCTGGGGAAATGGCTTGGAGACTTATCCTAGGAGGTTGAGGATTGAAGTGGAAAGTCAGACAAAAGTGTAATGATGTTTGTATGTAAAAGGGATAAACACAGGATGACCTAACACTAAATTTCTTTTGCCAATTGTATTAATTCAACGGTTTTAGAAACAGAACACTGCCTATTATAGTAATAGCTATAGGTCTTAAAACATTCCAGGTATAATTCTAAACACAAAGTAAATATTAACTTCTTTAATCCTCTCGACAATTGTATAATGTTGTTTGCTGTGGTGGTTAGGAGCAGGACTCTGAAGCAGTATTGCTTGGGTATAAGCCCTGACTCTGCCTCTTATGAACTATGTAACCTTGGAAAAGTTACTAACCAACTCAGTTCCTTGATTTCCATATCTGTAAAATGGGAGTAATAATAGAAACAACCTCAGAGGGTTGCTTTGAGCTATAAATGTGGAAATATATGTAAAAGGGCTTAGAATAGTGTCTGACACAAGCTAAACACTATGTAAGTATTTGCTCTTATTACTTTCTTTATCCCCCTTTACAGATGAAGAAATAGAAGCATAGAGAAGTAATTGGCTCAAGGCCACACTGCTAGTAAGTACTAGAGCTGGCACTTGAACCCAGGCATACAGCTCCAGGAACCACATTCTGAACCAGAATTCTCTACAAGGTCCCATGCTATAGCAGTACCCAGGAATGTGGTTAGACTTCTAGAAGACTAAGATTCAGTTTCCTCCCTGGGACGGCTGTGATAGGCAGAATAATGGCCCTCCAAGGATACATGACTCTTAATCCCTGGAACCTGGGAATATGGCATATTACATGATGAGGGGGAATTAAGGTTGTGAGTAGAATTAAGGTTGCTGATCAGCTGACTTTATAATAAGGATATTATCTTGAGTTGCCCTGGTGTGCCCAATGTAATCAGAACGGTCCTAAAATGTGAAACAGCAAGGCAGAACTGTCAATGTCAGAAAGATATGATGTGACCGAGCCTCAACCAGTTGTTATGGGCCTCGGAGTTAAAGGAAGGGGCCACCAGCCAGTGCTCCAGAAGCTGGCAACCTTTAGAAGCTGAAAAAGGGAAGAAAATAGACTGTCTTCTATAGCCTGCAGAAAGGAACCCAGCCCTGCCAACACCATGATTTTAGCCCAGCGAGACCCATTGAAACTTCTGACCTCCAGAATCATAAGGTAAAAAAACTGTTGTTTTATGCTACTACATTTGTAGTAATTTGTTATGGCAACAATGGGAAATGAATAGAGGAGCCTATAGCATGGTTAGGGAGGAAAAAGGACAGAGACTCTACTGCATATTGAAGACCAACCCCTACCACCTCATGGTAGGGAGGATGGAAATATAACAGAGTTTAGCAAACAAATCTAAGAGGTGTATTTTAGTGTGTAGGTTTTTTTTTTTAAATTTTGTATTTTGTAGTCTAATAGGCAATTAATTGTTTCGGACTAAAACTGATCATTGCACCTCAGTTACAGTAGCACACATTGCTATCTGTAAATAATTTTCTCTTTCACTACCACATTTCATCCCTGTGGTACTAGGTCATCAGGATAGGTGGTAGTATCTGATACACTGTGGATGAGTAAGAGATGTGCAGGATTTAGAGGTTAATAGACCTAGGTTCAAGTTTTGTCTTCACTCATGGTCGCTGATGTTGGGCATGTGATAGAATCTCTCTGAGCTACAGTTTCTTCATCAGTAACATAATAATGGTGCTGCCCCTTCATGAGGATTAAAGGGGATGCCACTCTGAGGGTCCCTGCCACTCAGTAAGGTATTCTGTGAGAGTTATTTTTTTCTGTTTACATCTTACAGATGGGGAAGCTAAGGCCAAAGAAGAAAACAACTTGAGAAGTAGTTAATTAGTAGGTGGCAGAGTCAGGACTCAAGCTATGTTTTCAAAATCCTATTAGAAAGTTGCTTCCATTATGTCTTGTTATTTTCCTTAGATGACTTTTGAAAATGCATTGCTATATTCAGTAACTTGCTAAACCAATATGATTGCATTAATCAATTTATTTATTATTTATACTCTTCCTGTTTCCAACAAGAATTGGAAATGACTTGATCAAATTTAATGCCCGAAAAAGTTACCTTTGTCGGCCTCTTTAGCAGTGCTCCCAATAGGCACACTGTCCCGGGAAGGAGCAAAGCAGGACTGTTATCTGATAGAATATTCTAGATCCAAAAGGCTGCTGCTGGTTAAGCTGGCCACATAACCCAGGGGCAAATTCACAGATTCTCTGACTTCACTATCCAACATTTATGCTATTTGCTCATGGAACATATTCTGGAGAATATGCCAGCAGAAATCTGCTAAGGAGAGCTATCTACTCTCATAATTCAAGATAAGTTCCAAAGTGGGACATGAGAAGGGTCACAATTAGAAGGATATCAATTAACAGTAGATAGCAAAACTAGCTACCCATATCAAGAAATGTGTTTTGAAAAACATCTTGTGGGTCACTCTTACCTTCTGTTAAGTTTAATAATAGCTAAGCATTCACAAGAACTGAAAAACTAAGTCAATAGGTTACCAAGCTACTCCTCAGAATAAATTCAAATGGACTAGGTCCTTCTGTTGGCCAAATCAAGGAACTGGGGTTTAGAAAACAAGTTTGATTCCCATAGTATAACCATAAGCCTTTTTAGTTCAGATTGTAGCCTGAAGTGGTTTGAAGTGGATATGTAAACATATGCCTGCTGAACTATATATACTTTATATATAATTTTATATTTTATAATAAAATACACTTATTAAAAACTTTTTGTTTAGCTTTTAATAAATGTGTTTTGAATAGTAGCCACTGTGTAAGATACAAATCAGTGCCTGACCTTATGGGTCCACTGTAGATATGTGCCGCTTCCATGCATCATTATAATGAAGGCAAGAAATCATAAGTATACTAAGAGTGTTAAAGGAAAAGCATATGGGAGTTCAAGGATATAGCACATTGAGTTGGCAAAATGAGGAAAGGCATTTTGGAAGAGCTGTTTTGATGTAAGCTTTGAGAAATAAATAAGAGTTACATCTGAGGTGATAGGATAGAGGGAGAGCCAAGTATGAAAGTGTGTTGCGTGAGTAGGGCATATGCATACGAATGAATGAATAGGGTGGGGCTCTTTAAGTGGGAAGAACATGGAAGATATATTAATTTGTTTATTCAATACCAAAATATTTATGAAGTAGCTCCTGTGTGCTATGTTCATTTTGGGTGAAGAGAGATGAATAATATAGATAGGATCTCTACCTCACAGCAGGTTGTAAAAGTTGTCCATGGATACAGTGCATTAAAGGAAAAAAGTGATAGAAGATATCAGCACCATAAGAGCATGAGCAGACTCTTGGAATAAAATAAGCATTTTTTATTTATTTCGCTATATGAAGAGGCTGTATTTGTGGTTGACTGTTCAAAGTAAATGTATCTCTTGCGGATAGATTCCATTACTACAGACAGGTCTGTAGTTTGTTTAGTGTTCTTGGAAAGAAACAGATGACATTTTTCACTACCTACCCCCATCTTTTTTTCTTCTAATACAAAAGGGACATTAAAAAGCCCTCAATAATTGCTGGTATAAAGCCTTTCTTTTATGGAAACAATAAAAATATAAGGAAAACAATAAAAGTATCTACTATTCAATATTGAGTTTATTACGTGCTTTGTATATATACTTGCAACAATATACAATAACTACCACTGTTATCATGCCCATTTTACAGATAAAGAAATTAAGGTGTTGAGGGATTAGGTGACTCACCCAAGATTAGTGATTTTATAGCTATTTAGCAATAGAACTGAGACAAACTGAGGTGGAACAGCTCCAGAGTCCCTGTTCTTAACTAGCCTAGGCTACTTCTAATATCATGTTATGCTAAGAAGTTCCCTGGATGAGCTAAAAATTGAGACGATGTTAGTGCTTTGGGCTCTCTTTACCTAACATTTCTCTTGAAATTCTCTTAAGTGGTAACATTTACTTTTGGATGCATTCCAGGGGCCTCCATATATTTGTGCAAGAATGCGTCATCCGCATCTGAAGATAAGAGAAGTTGCTCTTTACACCATTGCAAGGATTCCAAATTTAGTGAGTGGTGCTTGGCCATCTAGGGCTTTGTGATTCCTTTATGGGAGTGCAGCAGGTCAAACTTCCAAAACCAAAGAGGGCCCATACAATCCAAAAGCGTACACTCAGCCCTTCCATGGCAGGCAAATCAAAATCCCCTGCTGAGTTTAACATTCTTGCTTTGTTCTCTAATCAGCAAAAATTCTTTTCCCCCCAAGTCAGTATTTGTTCATGCGTTTCCAGAGGCCTGGGAGGAAGGATATTATGCAGAGAACACACCCAAGCATATAACTGGATAGATTAAAAGATCCAGATGGACACCCAACGTACTCACATAAATACATAAAAAGCCAAACTAGAGCACTAAGTGGTGGCACTTATTGTGAAATGGTACTGAATAATGCCATTTCTTCTATTTCTAAACCAATTTAGATTTCAGGGCTCATTTGCAGCACTGGTTCCATAGCCATTGGTAACCCAAGGGACTTTCGTATACTCTTCTTCACATATATTAGTCTTTTTTCCTGCTCTTTTTAAAGGCATAAAACTTTTTAATGAACTTATTCTCACATCTTTCCAGTGTGGAGCCACCACTTCTTGAGCCCCTCATTGCAAAGCCAGGGGAAACAGAAAAGCCCCAAAGTGATTCTCATCTATTTTGAAAGCTGACCTTGGGGCATGTGTTCATATGAACACCTGGAGGCATTTGGACATTGTTACCCTTACTCACAGAAACCACCTCACAGGTCAAGACAAACATCAAAAGTAATGAAAAAAAAAAAAATAAGGCAGCAGCTCAAGTGTTTATTGACTACCAGCTGGGAGCCAGGTATCTCTGCATAAGGTAATGATGATTTGGGGACGCCTTTGATTTGTGTTCTTTTCACCAAATTAGGGTATTTGAAAATGTCACAAATAATTATTTCGTCAATGAACCAAAGATGTTAATTCAGTACCAGGTCTCATTATGAACTAAGACAAAAGATTTGGAGATTTATCCTGAACCTTCAGACACCGGATCTCCATGCTTGCACAGGGTCTTGTCTGGGACAGTTACTCTAATACATGACCCAGAAGCAATAAGGATATTTTATATAGGAATGTATTCGTAAATATTTTTATACTTTAAAGTATTTTTTTCAGAGTTATTTTGGCAGGAAATCACTATATGCTAAAGTATTCCACATTATGGAAGGTAGAATGGGGACACTGGGAACACCATTGTTTCCATCATCGAGTGGAAAAATGAGAATTCTCAACACTCCAAGATGAATAGGAATGTAATGCTATAGCTGGAATGTTTTTTTAAAGTGGCTGACATGATTAGAGTATGGAAACTAATACATTAAGGAAACTCCAGTAGTCCAATTTGTAGACACAGATGCCTTGATATCCCCATAGAGTGTCTTGCATTGTAGGCACTGAATATAGGCTTTTGGAATGATGATTGAATTAAAGTCAAACAACAAAACAAAGACTGACAAAAATCCACACATTTCCAAGCACACTGGGAACCATTTGGATGTGCAAATAGGCTATAATATGAGCAGGTATCAGTTCTCACGTAGCAGAGAGGAGAGAATCAGACTTGACCAGGAAGTCTGGCAATCCGACTTGACCGGGAAGCACATTACATTCGGTAATGTGCCAAGGTGACGTAGCTTTGTTACCCGAGATGAGACCTTTAGCTATGCTAGTGTCCTCATCTGTAAATGGGTGTCACTTCTTTCAAGCAACAATGGCTTAAAGAGTTGTTGAGGTTTTGAAATTATGTGTGTCATAATTTGTTATTTTTTTGGGGTCCTAAACAAATATAATGGATGTGTTGATGGTTAAACAAGTGTTTATTTAAAAGTATTCCTGTGGAACGCTATTCTTTTGAGACAAGATTTAAAAATTAAGGCTATGGGAGGAATGGGGAGGAGCTATACTAGGAGTCAGCGTCTCCAAATCTCCAATTTTTATCTAGAAGAGATTTGTTTCATATATTTTATATATGCTGCACTTTCACATAGATTTCAGCTAAAAAAACAGTTCTACTGATTAAAAAATTTTGAAGACCACTGAATTAATCCTTCTTATTTGGGTTTGGAACCATGAAAATAAGAAACAACCCAAATGTCCATGAAGAAAAGAAAGGATATGCAATGTATAGTATAATCATATAATAGAATACTACTGAGCATTGAAAAGGAATGAACTACTCATACATGCCGCAATATAGATTCAAAACATTATGTTGAGCTAAAAATAAAAGTCACAAAATAGTACACACAATTTCATTTATATAATGCTAATTATACATTTAGGCATCTCGCTCTAAAGTGCTATTGACCTAAAAGAAGTACAAGAGAACTTTTCTGGAATGATAGAAATGTTATATATCTTGATCTGGCAATTGATTATTAAGATATTTCAAAATGTTCTTGAGCTCTACACTTAATATTTGTGCAATTCACTCTATATAATTACTACCATGATTTGAAAAAGTAGGCTCAACTTATTGGTTTTCTGGTCATCGTATAGAAAATTAATGGAATCAGTTAAGTTCCAGAGAGATACAGAGGGAAACAGTAAAAATGTATCCATCTCTCTCTATGATGAAGTCTATCTCCCCACTTCTAACTCCCTAAACACATACACATAGACACACACAAAATGTACACATCCATACCCACACTTCTTCATTAAGCCTATTTGCTTTCTTGTCCCCTTCCTCTTCTCCGTTTTTGTTCTTTCCAGACTACTAGATTGCTGGATGTTATAAAACTCATTGAATAACACCAATACTTATTTTCAAAGTGATTTTGTGTTTTCCTATCCCATAAGAATCTCTGGTGGATAGAAAGATGCATCAGCATGCAAAAAATTCTAGTCCCCAAAACATATTTTCCTAGAAAATTATTTTACTTATAACTTTGATATAGAAATCTATTTATAAACACTCAGAAATGCTTATATATAAAATAATAGTTAACATGTATGGAGCATTTACTATGGGCCAAGTACTAGTCTAAGTAATTTGTATTGATTAACTACTTATTTTTTCCAAGAAAGTGTTAAGGCAAATGTAGATGAGAAACTGAGCCACAAAGAGATTAAGGAGAAACTGAGCCACAAAGAGATTAAGTAACTCACCGAAGGCAGTAGGTGGGGAGCTTCAGTATGAACCCAGGCAGCCTGGCCCCCCACTCAACCACCATGTGTGCAGACAACTATCTCTAAGCAAACAGTGTATTCACTTGCAGCTCTAAGTGCCCTCTGAGAACCTTAGCTTGCAACTGGATATTCTTACTATTGTGTCCTTTCTGGTGACTTTTTTTCAAAAACTTTTCAAACCTATAGTCTCAACTGAATTGGTGTTCTCAGGTGATACTATCATATAAGAGACCAGTAAATTTTCCTGAAAGGCAATGCAGTGATCAACAACAAAATAGAAGGCATTCGTGTGCCTGGACAGGCTGAGAGACATAACACCAGCGTTAGTTTAACCTTCTGAGCAAAGCAAAGGAACCATGACTCCTTAACCAGCTTTGTAGTGCTGAGCCCAGTGTGAGGCACAGAAGGTCAGCTGTTTGATCAATGTGTGTTATGTAGAGATCTAAATCACAGCAACTGTCTTTATGCCTTGTATGAGATTCCTAGGGTTGTTGTAACAAAGTACTGTGCTACAAACTGGGTGACTCAAAACAATAGTAAGCTATTGTTTTACTGTTCTGAATGAAAGAAGTCTGAAATTAAGGTATCAGGCAGGAGAATAACCTAAGTCTCTAAGGGAGGATCCTTCACTGTATTTTATAAAAATTTTATTTTCAATTGACAATAATTGTATAGATTTATGGGGAACAATATGATGCTTTGATATAGATTTCCATTGTAGAATGATAAAATTGAGCTAATTAACATAGCCATCACCTTAGATACTTACTATTTTTTGTGATGAGAACAATTTAAAATCTATTCCTTTACCAATTCTGAAATATGCCATACATTATTATTAATTATAGTCACCATTCTGTGTAACAGATGGCTAACATTTATTCCCTCTGTCTAACTGAAAATTTTACCCTTTGATCAACATCTCCCCTTTATCCATCTCTACCTCACCTCCCTAGCCTCTGGTCACCACCATTCTACTCTCTAATTCTATGAGTTCAATTGTTTTAGACTCCACATATAAGTAAGATCATGTGGTATTGGTTTTTCCACACCTGGCTTATTTCACTTAGCAGGTTCATCCATTTGTGGCAAATAACAGAATTTTCTTCCTTGTAAAAGGCTGTATTGTGTTCCATTGTATATGGAAGCAACCTAAGTGTCCATCGACTAATGAATGGATAAAGGAAATGTGTTCTGTGTACACAATGGGATATCCTTCCTTGTCTCTTCAAGTTTCCGGTAGCCCCAAGAGTCACTTGTTTTGCAGCTGCATCACTTCAGTCTCTGCTTCTGCTGTCACATGCTGCTGTCCCTGTGCATCTGTGTCTTTCCACCTTACGAGGACACGAGACACTTTAGATTAAAAGCTTACCTCAATAAACTTACCTTAACTTGATTATATCTGAAAAGGCCTATTTCTTTCTTTTTTTTTTTTTTTTTTTTTTTTTTTTTTTTTTTGAGTTGGAGTTTCACTCTTGTTGCCCAGGCTGGAGTGCAGTGGCATGATCTCAACTCACTGCAACCTCTGCCTCCCAGGTTCAAGTGATTCTCCTGCCTCAGCCTCCAGAGTAGCTGGGACTACAGGCGCTGCCACCACACCCGGCTAATTTTTGTATTTTTATTAGAGATGGGGTTTCACCATGTTGGCCAAGATGTTCTCGGTCTCCTGACCTTGTGATCAGCCCGCCTCGGCCTCCCAAAGTGCTGGGATTACAGGCGTGAGCCACCACACCCAGTCACACAGGCCTATTTCTAAATAAGGTCGTATTCATGGGTACTGGGGATTAGGACTTCCACATTGCTCTCTGAGGGACACAATTCAACTCTTAACAAACCTGAACCACTGCAGTCTTACAGTTTTTCCGCATACCATTCCTTGGTTATAGTTGTTTTCCCCCAAATTCCATCTTCATCCTTCCTCTCCCAAAGCTCTAATTTGCAAAGGCATCTGAGCCATCCCCAGCAAACCCAGTTTTCTCACTGACACACTGTCATTACTTCACCTCTCTCCTCAGTAGCTTAGTCATCTCTGGAAAAAGACTTTAAAAATGAGTTCTCTCTCTTTGCCCTGAAACCAAGTTCATTTTGCTCTCAAAACTCCAGGCTAAACAGGACCTTTGAGATAAATTTTGCATTAGTTTATTTCTACAAATGAATATTCCATAACACACTATTTAATGTCACTGGGCAGCCTCTTACTCATGCAGTTGCCAACAAATTCCCACCAAGTTGATGTCAGAATGTGAAATTAGTGACTAATAAAATGAAACAGACAAAAGGAGAATGCTGAGTTATAGAAGGGATAAGCAGGATATATGAATATCATTAGCTGTTCCTTAAAAAACATTTATGTGATTACATGAATGTGAAAATGCAATGCAGTATTTTAGAATTTCACCAGTCAATGGAATGCTCTGAAACAGATGGACTGTGTGACTGATGATTCAATAATTGCACTCATTAAAAATGTTCACGCTTTTAATTTCTCCACAGCCTTCATTCCCCCAACCCATTCTGTGAAGAGCTGAGGAATGAAATGGTTTTGCCATTGTCAGCAGATAGATAATAATTGAATTTGCTTTGATTTCCTGGGGTGCCCCTGTCCCACCTCTGTGTTCCTGACTGACAGCTCATAAGTCCAGTAAAATATTGCAACCAACCCTAGCTGTCTCAAAGGCAAGAGATATCAGGCGATCATCTTCCGACTGCCTTTGTTATCTCACACAATATCCTACCTCACACATAGATAGAGTGTGGGTTTGTGTCTCCCCATGTTTCTACACCACAAATCTCAGGCATGGAAAATTGAACTGACAGCTTTGAATTCAAGTTCCCTACTTACAGCCAAGAATAAATCAGAGTGTGAATGGGAGGTAGGCGGTGGGTGGGAGGAGTCAACAGCTGCAGCAGTGATGTCAAGATGGGTAACAGAACTCAAATTGAATACCTATGGTTATTGCCATGTGCCTGTAGAAACCACAACATCTGTAGAGCAATACAATGGTTTAGAAAAGGCTTAACACTGCCTGAAGTAGCTCAGTAAGAATAAAACTTTTTTTCTCATTGTATTCATTTATTTGTTGCATTCATTCATTCATTAGTCAAAAAGAGCATTGTCCATTAGCAAGAGATTCTGGTCTGACTCATACCACTAACCAGCTGCATATCCTTTACTTTGCTGGCTTCGTTATGCTCAGGCCCCAGCTCTAAAGCTCTAAAGCTCTATGATTATATAAAATATTGGCTGCTTACTCATTGGAAGGTGCAGGTGGCAAAGAAACACTGGCTACCGTACTAGTCCTTCTTCAGAAGCCCACATTCTCACTGGGGAGATATGGCATAGTTGCATACACAGTAGAATAACATCCTAGAAGCCAGCTGAACTCCCTTACCCAAAGGTGTGACAGTGAATGTGTTGATTTCAGGGAAAAGAGATAAAGACCTTGGGGTCAGGGAGGTTTTAGAGTAATGGTCTTTGAAGCAGGGATAGCATTTTGAGAGATAGGGAAGAGGAAAGGGGGCATACTTGGGACAATAATTTGAATAAATGTTCAGGATTTGGGATGAGTCAGATATCTTAGGCTAGATTAATGAGTGGGCAGGTTGACTGTTGCAAAAGTTTCGTGGGGCTAATAGGGCTTGCTATAGAGAAATACCAAGCCCCCAATATAAGGGAGAACTCTAAGCCTCTTCCCCAACTTCCTTAAAATCTCTATTCAGGATTGAAAGGGATTGAGTTCACATAAAGAAAAGTCTTAAATGCCACATAAAAGATTAGAGTCTGTAAGCAAAAGGGTGTCATTGAAAGCTTGTCAGAGGAGAGTAACATATGATTAGGGGAAGCATGGGAAGTTTCAGGACAGAGTAGCCTGGAGGATGGATCACAGGAGGTTGGACTAAAGACAGAGCGCTTACCTCGGGAAGTCAGTATTATTCTAAGTGAAGTAACTCAGGAATGGAAAACCAAACATTGTATGTTCTCACTCATAAGTAGAAGCTAAACTATGAGGATGCAAAAGCATAATAATGATACAATGGACTTTGGGGACTCTTGGGGAAAGGGTGGGAAGGGGGTGACGGATAAAAGACTACAAATTGGGCTCAGTGTATACTGCTTGAATGATGAGTGCGCCAAAATCTCACAAATCACCACTAAAGAACTTACTCATGTAACCAAGAACCACCTGTTCCCCATAAACCTGTGGAAATAATTTTTTTTAAAAAGAATAGAATCCATAGCCAAATAAATTTACACATGAATAGAATAGAGGTTTTGGGATGATCCTTAGTTTAAAAAAAAAAAGGTCAGGTATGATAAGGACTTAAAAAAGAGCAGGGCAGAGGAGAAAGAAATGAATTTGATTCTCCAACAACGTTCTCCTATTTGCAACCTTTGCTTTCCCTTTTATATCAAGATTCAAATTTGTCATTGTGTGCTCAGTGTCAGTTTTCCTTTCTAGACTATCAACTCCCAGAAGGGCACTATTATGTCTGTGTTTTTGGAGATTTTTATCTCCAGTGCCCAGCATGGTGTTTGGCCCAGAAGAAATATTCAAAACATTTGGGGAATAAAGAAATGCAGGTAGAAATGAGCAACAAAATCCCATGAGGCAAAGAATTTTTAACTTGGTAAATGGGAACATGATGACAGGAACAGAAAGAGGTAGAAATAGCAATGTTGGAAGAAAAACGATGCTGGAGTTGAATTTGAAGTGATGTCAGGATATCCATGTGGAAATGTTCAGAAGGTCAGTGGAAATATTGGATTGTTTGCTGAAAAACTGCCAGTGTGTCCTCCTTTAATACAGAAAAATTGAGCCGGTTGGCTGAAGTCCTTTGATTTCCAAATTCCATTCAGCAGAGAATACATCTGAGGTCATGGACGTCAGTGTTTTTAATGTACAATAACGAAGAGTCACAGTTACCTTTTTTTCTCCCGATCCTATGTCAGAAATTTAATACCTACTTTCATGCCATTTTTACTTTTAATAGAGACTTTTTGGTAAATTAAGATTTTGGCTTTTTCTTTTTAATATATGAAGCTATATCTGGAAAGTCCATTGTAGCAGAAAGTGAAAGAAAATGTATTAAGTTAGAGAATACTTTGTATTTACTAGATATATTAACATCTCCCTTTTTTCGGGGTAGTTTTGTGTCTACCTTTGGATTCCACAAAGAAGATTAATGGTGAGAGAACTGGTATATTTTTTAGATATAGTTTAGTAAACTTTGATGTCACATTGACCTAAACTTGAATTCTGGGTTTCACTACTTCCTACCAAGTTACTTAACCATCCTGGACCTTAGTTTTCTCATCTGTAAACTGGAGTTTCTATTGCCTACCTAACAGATTTTGTGAATTGTAAATACACATTGCTTTGGGTTGGGAGTAGTAGCCCCACACAAACACTTGTCCACATGTCAGAACCTGGAAATGTGACCTTATTTGGAAAATAAGGTCTTGCAGATGGAAGAATCTCAAAATGAGATTATCCTGATCTATCTGGGTGGGCCATACATCCAGTGACAAGTGTTCTTGTTGACACATGGACACAGAGAGTAGAGGAGAAGGTCATGTGAAGACAGAGGCAGAGATTGGAGAGATTAGGGAGACTGGATTGATGCAGCTGCAGGAAATGCTGACAACCACATGAAGCTGGAAGAAACAAGGAAGGCTTTTCCTCTAGAGCCTCCAGAGGAAGTGCCGTGCTGCCAACACTTTGATTTCGGACTCTGCTCTCCAGATCTGTGAGAGAATAAATGTCTGTTGTTTTAAGCCTCTGGTTTGTGGCATTCCCTAGGAAATAAATACACACACTTAACTAGTCACTCAGTAAATTCCGGTACTAGCCTCTCATTCTTATTTAAACCACCACATTCCAAGCCCTCTTGTATGAAAATAAAATAAAATGATGGTTAGAAGTATTCCAGTAGAGTAGAGGAAGAGGCCACATAAGAATGTTTGTGCGTGATACCGGTAACATGAGAAAGTACTTGTGAGACATACGGGGTGCACAAAGAAGAGAGCAATACCAGAGAAAAGAAGATAATGAAAGGGTAAAGCAGAAATCAGAGTATGAAAGAAGGAAAAGCAATGTCACCTCCACCCCAACCCCTGTCCTCCCTGTCTCTTAGGGTCCTTCCTTGGTTGTCACTCAATGGAAACTGGAAGGAAATGAGAGAAGTATTAAGGAAAGGAGAACCACAGATATTTCAAACTTGCCCTCATAACATGTCAGAGCTGCTATGCCATTAATCTTCTCAGGGTGGAGAAACTGAGATATGGGGCCATTGTCAAGGACACTTTCATTAGGACCAAGGTCTGTTGGCTTCTAACCTTCAATTCTCAAGATTGTGCAGTTTCTGCTGAAGATCCAATATCTATCACTCATTCTTTCCTCTTTTGCTCAGCTGTCAAATGGAAACTTAACAGAAGGATTAGGTATAATATAAGATACTGCAATAATCACAGCAGTTGCAATCCCTGCCACAATACAACATTGTTTTTAGTACTTTAGTGATTTGTCGTTTCCAAAGAGCATTTATTTAGCAGTAATTTTCTATGTATTAGTGGCCCACATGAAAAAATAAAAATAAAACAAACAGGTATAAGACACTTTAAAATATTATTATAAATATTAATATGCTATGGGGGCATGGTGAGAATGGAAAGAATAAGCTCTTCCTGCAGTCCAAACAAATGTATTAATAGAACTCAAATAATGGAGTCTATCAAATACCAAGTGATTGGAGATATTTCTATAATTTCTCCAGAAAACAGTATCTTCTCAGGTCCTTGACAATCACAGACTCTGTCAGTGTCTTGTCCCCCCAGTTTGAGAAGTGGTTCAAATGGGTCAGGACATTTCCGTAGAGTCCCAAGAGAAAGGGAATAGTCTCTTGCCAGGTGGTCAATAGTCATCCTGATAAGGTGATACGAAAAGCTGCTACATATGTAACGTTGAGTCTTGTTGTTTTGTTTTGTTTGTTTGCTGTTGTAGTCACACTTGGTGACCCAAAAAGTATCTTCTTCCCCCTACACCTCTTGTCCACTGCAGGGAAAAAAAAGAGACTAGCATTGTGTTTCTGAAGATACTGTAAAGTGTTTAAGCAGAAAACAGCCAGACCTCAGAAGCCTTTAGTGTAGATTTTGTGTCCAGCCTGCTTTTGAATGGACTCATGGATTTCTGCAGTGGCCATGGTAGCCTTGGGCCCAGGACTCTCTCCAATGTCTTGGGACATGTAAGCCCCTGGGGCTTTTCTACAGTCTTAACTCAGAGGGAGAAATGTTTTAAAAAAAAGACTCTTCTGACCTATCTTGGCAAATGGGAAGCTGAGAACAATCAAGAACTGTGAAATATCCCATGTTGTTGTGAAACAAAATTCTTAGTTTTAATATTGGCCTCAAAGGCAGAAGTAAATGAACATTTGTCTAGTGTTACAGACTGCTATTTAGTTATACCAGATTCTGTTTGTGAGAATTTTTCAAATAAATTGACTCATTGTTCCCCAGTGGAATAGATCTCCTGTACAGCAGTCTTCCCATCCCACAATATTACAAGGAAGGTTCTGCAAGCACCACCCTCTTCCTGACATTCTGGTGATGAGAGTTAATGACCGCTTATGTGGGACACATGAAATAACAGAGGTTAAAAGTTATCAAAGCGTGCCATGCATCTGAACAGATTATGGGAGCTTTGGCAGAGGATGACAGCCCTGATACTCTCCCAGTCACTAGACAAGTGAGCTGAGTCCCTGTGTCAGGATGGGAAAGGCAGATGCCCCCAAGGGTGTGACAGATCAAAGTGGGCCAAGTCACCCTGCGCTTGTTAAAGTGTTTTTCCTAAAAGGAAAACTTTAAAACATTAAAAAAAAAAACAAGAAAGAAAAGGAAAAGAAAAGATAGCGTATATTTCCATGAAAGAGAGAAAGAGCCGAGTGACCTATTTTACCACTAATGTTTCTCCCATGCAAGAGTCCCTATGCTTCCTTTGAAGAACCATGGAGGGTTTGTAGGAGCCCATGTCCCCCCAGACATTGTGGGAAAAGTTCTGTGCATTTTTTTCATAACAGTATTTATAAACTTATTACCACAAAGAGTTGAAGAAGCACTTGGATGGAAGGGATTCATTATCTCTCCTCTCTGAGCTGCATTTATTAACACTGGGCCCAAGAGGGATAACTTAGTTCTGTGGCTCAATGTAGAAGTGAAAATGAAATCAGGAATCTCTAGACCAGTAGTCTCAAACCTATTTGGCACCAGGGACCAGTTTCATGGAAGACAATTTTTCTATGGACATTGTGGGTGGGTGGTGGGAGGGGGATCGTTTTAGGATAAAACTGTCCCACCTCAGATCATCAGGCATTACATTCTCATAAGGAGCATACAAGCTTAGATCCCTCGCATGTGCAGTTCACAATAGGGTTCACACTCCTATGAGAATCTACTGCCACAGCTGATCTCACAGGAGGCAGAGCTCAGTCAGTAGTACTCCTTTACCCGCCACTCACCTTCTGCTGTGTGGCCCGGTTCCTAACAGACCACGGGCGCCTGTCAGTCCATGGCCCAGGGATTTGAGACCCCTGCTCTAGACTACCTGTTGAAGTTTACTTTTTGTGTCCTGTGACTCTGTGCTTTCTGGGAGCCATGCATTATGAAAAGTACCTCATGGTGAAAATTGACTCACTGCAAAAAGTCACCTCATTGGATATTCATTACAAGCCTGTGAGAAAACTGTTTTTACTCCACAGAAAAATAAACTCAGAACAGAGAGGTTTGGTAACTTACCAGAGGCCACAGAGTCAGGAATGAGCAAGCCCAAAATCCAACCCCAGGTTTGTGAATTCCAAAGCCTGGACTAGTTCTACCAATCCACTCTTCTCAGAGCGCTCATGTGATAGCTTCACAGGTGTCTCCCATTCCTGCTCAAGTGGATTCAGATTCCCCCAATGGAGGGTTTTATAAGTATATATTAGATATTTCTATACTTTTAGTATTCCCTGGTGATTTAGAATCCAGAAAGGAAACATAAATGTATCTGATTAGAAGCAGTGGGTGACTGTGACTATTCTAACACGTGGTCTTATTCACTTCAGCTTAGCTTCAAAGAGGGTATAACTGTGTCTACAGGGTGCAGGTTCTGGTGACAGATTCAGGTGCCTGAGTGTCAGCTCTAGCTCAGTCACTATCTAGCACTGATGCTTTGGGCATGTCACCTTTCCTGTATCTGTGTCATTATCTGCCAAATGGGGGCAATGACCCACTTCCCAGGGCTACAGTGAAAATCAGATAATGTAATTAAGAAATACTCCGGCTATAACACTGAAGGTGACATTGATAAGACATACAAATATTTTACGCAAGGCACCTGATGGAGTATTTTTGGTGCTTAATTTCAAAACAGTGAGCTCCCACATTCCTTTCTGATTTGTGTTTGTCTCCACAGGTCCCATAAGAATTCCATAAGCATGAACTACTGAGGAAACAGTAGATGTATTCAGATCTATGCAGAGGTCATAACACACTCCAACATGCAAACATATGTGTATGGAGGCAGGTCACCATTTAATATCCGTGTTGTGAAAGAATAACTAGAAAATCAAACTGTTGTAGTCTGTTTGGGCTGCTCTAGCAAAATATCTTAGAATGGGTAACTTGTTCATTCTTGTGGAATATATTGTTCACAGTTGTGGAAGTCCAAGAGTAAGGTGCTAGCAGATTTGATGTCTGGCAAGGGACTGTTTCTTGCTTCAAAGATGGTGCCTTGTTGCTGGTCCTCATATGGAGAAAGACAGAAAAGCAAAAAGGATGAACTCATTCCCTCTAGCCCTTTTGTAAGGACACAAATCCCATCCATGAGGGTTGAGCCTTTATGGCCTGCCCAAAGGCCCCACCTTCCAACGGCCCCATGTCTTAATACCATCCCCTTGAGGTTTAAGTTCTAAATTATGAATTCTGGAGGGACACATACATGAAAACCATAGCACAAATGAATGATGTTACCAGGTAATGATTTATTGTCAGAACTTACAATTTAATTATGAGGAATAATAGCATGAAAAGTATTTACCGTTACTTGTAAAATTCAAGGCTTGTTACAAAGCAAACAATTTAATAATAGTCATAATCGAAGTAAAAGTCTTTAGAGGACTACCTCCCAAAATGTGTTCAGCAGAATACTAGTGCAATATTGCAGGCAAATAATTTTGGAACATTTATACTATGGTCATTTCATAAAAATGTAGCACATTAAGACTTTGATTAATCCTTAAAGAAATAATTTCATTTAACTATGTTTAAATCAAGATTATTTGTCTCTAGAGTATTTCTTATTTTACTCCATCTGCCCCCTTTTTATGAATTATATATATCTAACATTCCATTGAATAAATTTTGGGAAATGCTGATTTGACAATGGAAGAATAAACAGAAATAATCCATACTTTGGCTTACTGCTGTTATGTAACTATGGACATAGTAGAATTCCATTATAAGCTAGTACTTTGTGGGAAACAAAACTACTTTATCAACTTTTGATGTTGCAGAAGTGGAGATACTCTATACAAAAATATTCTTTGGGTACATACGACATTCGGTCTCTTTAATGAATATGTAAAGAGCCACAATAAATAGAAAAATGGTGAAAAACTGATGAATTAACAATTAAGGAGTGCAAACACGAATATCATTTAAACATGTCTCATAATAAATACAAAGTAAGAGTAGCAGGTACGCTTTTCACTTATCAGATTGTTAAAAAATACTATAATAATCTATTGGAAATAGTGTGGAGAAAATGATACTTCCATCCATTGTTGAGGGAAATATAAATTAGCATGATGTCTATAGAGGGTGCAATGGACTGAATGTTTGTGTACCCTCAAAATTTATATGTTAAAATCCTACTCCCAATGTGGTAATTTTCGGAGGTGAAGCCTTTGGGAAGCAATTTGCTTATGAGCGTGGAGCATTCATGAATGGGATCACTGCTCTTATGAAAAAATGTGAGAGGCCAGGCATGGTGGCTCACACCTGTAATCCAAACACTTTGGGAGGCTGATACGAGAGGATCACTTGAGGCTAGGAGTTTGAGTCCAGCCTGGGAAGCATAGTGAGACCCTTGTCTCTACAAAAAATAAAAAAAAATTAGCTGCATATGGTGATGTGAGCCTGTAGTCCCAGCTACTCTGGAGGCCTAGGCCAGAGGATCACTAGAGCCCAGGAGTTCAAGGCTGCAGTAAGCTATGATTGTGCCAATGCATTCTCACCTGAAGGAAAGAATGAGACTCTGTCTCAAAAAAAAAAAAAAAAAGAAGACATAAGAGACCTGCTTTTCTCTCTCTCTCCTCCATGTGAGGATGCAATGAGAATGAGAAGTTGGCAGTCTGCAACTTAGGAGAGGGCTCTCAGTAGAACCACACCAAATTCTATGTGTCCTTCAGGCACATATAACTTATTAACATAACTATCACTCTTAGATTGAATTGGATGTTAGATGTTAGTAATGGATCATTTGGGAGGTTTGAAAATAATGATAAACCATCTTCAATTTAATGTGGGGTTGAGATTTTTCAACAGAGGAACTGCCGAAATAACCAGGCAGAAAATCGAAGCCATTGAAGGCTCTCTTTTCTAGAGCTTAAAAGGATAAAGGGACCTTTCTCAACTGTGACTTTATCCCTCCTTCCCAGATGTTCAGTGGAAGTAAACAACAGTACTGGGTTTTTAAGACGTACTATGAACTGGGAAATGGCAGTCACTGCCCTTATTTCATTAGGGAGAAGATTACATCATTAGCCCTGGACACCTGAGGGGGAATATTCTCCCTTTTGGTATAAAACTGTTCATTACAGAAGGGAATCTAATGTAAATTCCCAGTAGCCAAATTATATCACTTAAGACAGAAACCTTTCCTTTAGGTGGTCTCACTTTTGTTGCAAACTGAGACAAAAAATTCAATAAGAAACAAATGTCCAGTGGCTTTAGGGTTTGTAATCTTTCAAGACTGGCAGGTCTGCTTGTGTTTGAAGATCAACCTAATGGGTATAAAGGTCACTGTGCTCAAATAGCTATAATTAAGAGAAAGGAAACTGATCTTGTTAGATCACAGGGAAATGGCTAGGCTCTGCAAGATTTCTTTTTTATTCTGTATAATTAAATCTTTCAAGGCAAAGGACAACAAGGTATATGTGGACATATGTGTGCAACAATATTTCTATCGATAACATTGATTTCATTTAGAGACAACCTAAGCCTTATTGGAAGTGAGTTCATTTAGTCTAGTTCAGGCAACTTCCAGCCATATCTTAACTGAAATAACACAATATCGGTGGTTCAGCCTGTAAGCTCTTCCCTCCAGTGGATAGTCATATGTTTTTTGTTATTTGTAGTAATTGGCTGAAGCTTATACAGACAGAAAAAGAAAAAGAACAGAGGATGAGTTTATAATTTAACATTACAAACTCATTACTAGATGAAAGCAAATACTAATGTAACTCATTTATAAAGCCAATGATATGACTCAATGAGTAATGAATGAAACAGTTGGATACTCTTTATTTGTCTTCCGTCTGAAAAATATAAAGTTTGGTAAAGGACAGATAATGTGGTTCAGTGGAAACACTGTTGGATTTTGTGCCTGTGAGAATGGATTATTATCCCTATTCTGCCATTTGGTAGCTGAATGACCCTGGGCAATAATTGGATTTTGTTGGCTTCTGTTTGTTCATGACCTAAGAGAGTTGGACTACATGATCCCTAAAATTTGTTCCAGCTATAAAATTCTACGATTCTAATTAAAATTAGCCAGTGAAGTTTGCTTGCCAGCAAATCACAGCAAAAAGATGGACATGCCGTTAGAGACTCTTGCTTGAAAGTTGCCGCCTAAGAGAAGTTGTGCAGTAGCTAGTAGCATATTAATCATTTTATTCTATGAATAAAATTTAGGGTTCTTAACACTAAGAACTGAAAGTTTAGCAAACTGGTATATATAATATTTATAGTTTAAAGTGACAGGAAACTGTCACCAATATGTCTATGTGAAATTATTTCTGTTAGACCAGGTCCCCTAGTGAAAATAACTCATTTGTTCTTTCAGTCTACATCATTTCCCTCTTAGGCACTACCTCAGAGCCTCCCAGGCTCACCTGTTTCAGAGCTTGTCTTAGGATTCTTGCCAGATAATTTATGGAGGGAGTACTTTGGGGGTAAAACCTGCAACAGTGTGAAGGAGGCAAGGCAAGTGAAATAGGAAAAGTAGATCTGCTTCTTGAAGAACCTAGGGTAACACATACCCTAATCAAATTTTAAAACTATAACTCAAGCATTTTTATGCATTAAAGCATAGCTTTCTCTAGCTCCTCAGTTACCCATTCCAAGAAGAAGACAAAACATTTTGATTTCACACCGTACCCCAGAGCGCTTTGTAGTAGCTACTAGAGTTAGACACAGCTCTTAAAGAAAGAAGCCTCATGCTTTTTCTGTTGCTAATTAAACTCTGCTAAGAAATGTGAGCTCCCTCTGAATCAATCCAAGACCCCACTCTGTAAATATAAATGAATATATAATTACCAGGTGCTTTTCATTAAGCTAAGAATGATTTAAGGTTTAAAGTCAAAGCCTTTACCTAATAATTCACACAAAACGAGCTTTTTGTGGGGCAGTGTCCACACCAGAAATTCAACTTGCTCATCTGGAAAATAAAGGGTGTAAAAATCCGAAATAGGGGAAATGCAACTCAACCATTGAAATATCATTCCAAGTTGCAGGGCTGTGAGGAGAAAGCCTGCTATCTCTCAGGAAGCTCCAGAGGATACCGTTCTTTGTAACAGCATCTTGGCACTGTCTGGAGGCCTGTTCCACAGTCTTACTGGTCCAGACACATACATTGTCAGCACCCTAAAAGTAAGTACATTTCTTAGGAGCAGTTACATTGATGAGCTCCCATGGCCAATATAAAAGAGCAGAATATTCATCGATTCCTATGCATTGAAAGCCACAGATGGATGACAAGGCTGGAGGCCTCAGGCCCAAACCACCCTCTCCCTGTAACATTTAGGAAGCCGTATGACAATCACAGAGTTGCTTTGTGAGCAAGAAGTAAAGCAAGAGAGCGAATGAAAAGAAACCCTAGCTGACTCTGTTGATACCATGTGGCATGTCCCCAGGCCTCACTTCTGAATTCTTTGTCCCTATGGTGGGCAGTTTCAGGTACCCCGTGGAATGCTTCCCACTTTAAATGCCTGCTCCTCTCTGTTTCCTTGCTGGAGTGCGTCCTTCCCTAGCAGTATGAGCTTGCTTAGCTACAAGTCAGAACAATTCTGAAGAGCCAAAGAGTTGTTACTGCTGGCCTTGTGATGGGAGTCCATGGAAAAATGCCCCAGTCTCTCTGTCCTGCTGAAGCTCAATTCTAAGATACATTTTATATGGTTTCTCAGAAGGTGCCCAGCCAAGTCGGGACCTCAGTTGTCCACACCGATTACCTATTTATTATTGTACCCTTCATTGGCTTTTCTCCCTGCTAGGGCTGCCAGGTAGCTCAGTCTGAATTTCAGATAAACAGTGGAAAATTTCTTTAGTATAAGTATTTCTCATGCAAGGTTTGGGACATATTTATACTAAAAAGTTACTGGTTTTTTATCAGAATTTTAAATTTACTGGGTTTTCTATATTGTTATTTGCTGAATCTGACAACTGTGTTCTCATTTCCAACTCCCTTACTTCCTGAGATCGCCTCTCAAATAAACTAGTCTCAGGTCCTGTTTTTGGGTGAATTCAAACTAAGACAGAATCCAATTTTTTTTCACATCTCTGAATCAAAGACTGATAACTCCTCATGCAATATCATTCTCCCCTTTCCACCAATCAACTCCTAATTTCATTCTGGATGTCTTTGCTACCAGCTAAAGCCCACATTTTCAATCTTACCTCAGTTAATGACATGTAAACAGAAGTCTTCAGGTAACACTTCAAAGAAGCCAGCTGACTTAGGGAGCTCCTTAGGGAGATATGACCTTTGCCTTTCCTCTTACTGCCTATGTAGAATGTAAATATAATAGCTGGAGGTCCAGCAGCCATCTTAGGCATAAGACTAATTTTAGGATTGAAAGCATGCAGTAAGAAGGCTTAATGAAAATACAGGAAACTAAATTCCTGATGATTGTAGAGTTAATAAAATAGCCCAGAACTGCCTACCTCTGAATTTTCTCTACATATGAAGAAAAAGAACTTCCAATTTCTTTGGATTTCTGAACTTGAGTTTCTGTTTCTAATAGTTGCATGTAGTTTCTAACTGATAAAGTCACTGTGGGAACCAGGAATCTTTTCTTTTTTTTTTTTTTCCAACAGGGTCAGACTTCTTCATTTAGATGTCATCTTTTCCAGAAGGTCTTTTCTGATTGGCCTATCTAAAATGACACTAAGCATCATTTACTTCATTTCTCTCCATCCTTTGTTCATATACCTATTTCATAATGTCTACTTTGAACATTTGTTGTAGGGCTAAGTAAAGTAACATATATAATTGCCTGGCACAAAGTAAGCAAATTATAAATGGTATTCACTGTTATGCCCAACTTCAAATGAGAAACAAAAGATCAGGGAGTAAACATCAGGTTACTTTAAGTTCGTGGTCACCAGAAAATGACAGTGTTTGCTGCAACGATTCTTTACAGAGGTCAGTGAAAGTATTTGCTGCCTTAGAGTCTTAATCAACAATGGTAGATTTTTCTGCAATGGATTATTTGCACATGAACTTGAAAAGAAGTTGAAACTGTACTGAAATTTAGAAATAAAGGAGCATTATGTATGTAACTTTCAAACCATTCAGTAAAAAATTATAGATTGGGCCAGGTGCAGTGGCTCTCGCCCATAATCCCAGTACTTTGGGGGGCCGAGGCAGGTGGATCACGAGGTCGGGAGTTTGAGACCAGTCTGGCCAACATAGTGAAACCCCATCTCTACTAAAAATACAAAAAATTAGCTGGGTGTGGTGATGTGCACCCATAATCCCAGGTACTCGGAGAGCTGAGGCAGGAGAATCATGTGAACTGGGAGGTGGAGGTTGCAGTGAGCCGAGATCGTACTGCTGCACTCTAGCCTGGGCGACAGAGCAAGACTCTGTTTCCAAAAAAAATAAAAAATAAAAAATCATAGATTGGTAGATTAGATAGGTAGATAGATTGACTGA
Source organism: Homo sapiens (assembly GCF_000001405.40). Lineage (NCBI taxonomy): Eukaryota > Metazoa > Chordata > Mammalia > Primates > Hominidae > Homo > Homo sapiens. The sequence goes on from NC_000009.12 coordinate 7,921,153, forward strand.
TTAATTGATTGAAGCAATGGTAAAACAGTGGGGACAAAATGTTAACTGTACGAGAATCTGGGTAAAGGATAATGAATGTTCCTTGTATTTGTCTTGTAATTTTTATTTAAGTTTGAAATTGTTTCCAAATGTGAAGTTAAAGTAGTGAGGGGTCTTCTAATAATTTGGGAACCACTGATCTAGTTTAGTCCCTAATTTATAGGTGAGGAAACTGAAGCCCAAAAGACCTGCTCAAGTACTAATAGCCACGTTTGACTGGGTCTCAAAATACTCAACATTTGCACAAATACACCTTGCAACTCAAAACATAAAAATACTTTTAAGTTTATATAATACATGCACCATCACATCCACAATGCTGTTCCCCTATATTTATGCAAATAATATAGATTTAATTCTATACTTTTAAAATATCGCATTTATTTTGTTCACAAACTTCTGACCGGCTCTGAGCTTCCTTATATTTTTCACCTCAAGAGAAGCTTCCTTACTTCTGTTGTGCTCCAGCTATTTATTTTGGTTAAATTAGAACTGTAAAATAACCTTGCCTAAGGATATGTTTATGTTCCATGGGACTGGGCGGTGGATTCTCTACCTCTTGCAGCTGTTTGAAGGGGTAAGTGGGGTGGGGTGGGAGTGAGGAGGGTGGGAGCTAACCTTCCACTCTTTCTTCAGGCTTTCCATCTATGTTAAACAGATTTTCTTGCTTCTTTTTTGTCTCTGTTTTTCTGGTGTTTTTAAAAATAGCTTTGAAGGAATGGAAAATTTCTGTGATAGCTGATAGCAAATACAGAAAGGCTCATTTGCATATAGATATTTCAGCCTGCAACTGCATAATCCCCTGAGAGAGGCCTTGTTTAAATGGGCAGGCAGGCTGGCACGGGGCTGCCCAGTTCCTAATGAAAACTAAATCGAAACCCGGGAAACATTTGCCTTGGAGGTGGCCAGGCTTTTTAGAGTATCAATTTAAATCTGAAAGATGCAGGCAGGCCTGTGCCAAGTTGCCCCTCAGTCTTTAAAAACCTTAAGACAGAAGGTAGAGGAAAAGGGTGAGAAAACAATAAATAATTGGGTAAAACTTGAGCTAACCAATGTGCCTGTTTTACTTAGAAATTGTGCCTGAAGAATTCAAAACACTGAGCAGGTGGGACAGTGAGGAAGAGCAGGGAAGAGAATGTGGAGGCTTCATCTATTCAGGAAAGGCCTTGGAAACAGAAAGGCTCTTTTTCAGGTATCTTGGTGAGCCAACCCTTCTGAGACAACTGGTAATCCATTTATAGGCTAAAGACTTTTCAGATTGAATGTTCCCCTGAACTTGACTGAGGGCTAAGCAGATAAGGACAACTCTGAAAACAAGATAATGTGGAAAGAAAAGAGATTACAAAAAGGTCAAAAGATTAGCTGGGGGATAAGAAGAAGTCAGAGGAAAATAAGGGAAAAGGTTAGAAACTGATACCAAGCAAGGCAGATAAATCAAGTTAGGAAGTGAAAGAAGTGAACACAGCAGGAAAATAAGAAATGGGATCAGGGGAATTGGCCACAGGATAAGAGGAATACAAGGACAATTAAAAATAAAAATGCAAGAAAACAAAAGAATTGACAATGTGGATGAAGGAAATATAATAAAAACACCAAACTGAATATCTCTAAGGCTTCTATGTCTGAATCTAATGAGAATTAGTATGTCAAAATTTACTTTTCTCCCAGAAGAAGTAGTATGCCTTTGCTGTTATTATCAAAAGCATTGTTTTCCTTTGATGAAACTCTATTTTATAATCTTTTTGATTCGACATCTGGAATTGAGTATAATATCCTCACTCATTAGCTAAAGCATCACAGGATTTGATCAAGTTTTTGATAAATGAAAATATTAAAGGAGTCGTTAATGTAAGTGTGAGAAAGATAATACTGTTTCCCCAACACACACACATGCTCACAAACACACGCATGCATACCTGTGCATATCCACACACATGCAAGCTCACTAGATACAAATGAATATTTACTGAATGCCCGTTATGTTGTAGGTTGATGCTGAAGTGGTGAACTTGACTGACAGTCTTTGTGCTCACACTGTTTACAGTCTAGTGTGACAATAAATAAATAATTAAATATAATCTTTATAGGAAAAGAAAAAAATAGAATTGAGAGACAATGACATTTGCTATTTATAGCGTCCCATTCAGAGAAAATAGAACCTGAAACATGGAAGAATTTTTGTTTACTTACCTTAAAGAGAGTACAATCATGCACTTCCTAATGATGTTTCAGTCAAAGATGGACCACACATCTTATGGTGGTCCATAAGATTATAATGCTTTATTTTTACTGTACCTTTTCCATATTTGTATCTACTTAGATACAAAAATAATTAACATCGTGTAAACGTTTAAGGCAAATGCAATTGCCTATGGTATTCAATACAGTAACATGCTATACAGGTTTGTAGTTTAGGATAAGTAGGCTATGCCCCATAGCCTACGGGTGTAGTACGTTATACCACTTAGGTTTGTGTAAGTATGCTATGGTGTTTTCACAATGACAGAGCCACCTCATGTTGCATTTCTCAGAACATACTGCATGATTAAGTAACACATGACTGCATAAAGCAATGTGGATGCCAGATTACAGAGGCTAAACTATTTTGTATATAAAATGGGTAAAGAAAGCAGTTCTTAGGGAAGATGCTGAAATAGAGAGAGTGGAGATGGAAGGGCTTTGTTGGAAAGTCTATAAGATTGAAGACAAAAGGGATCTGGGAGGACTGAAAAGAAAACCCATGCTATGTAATATAAATCCTTTTTCTTGCCCCACTGCTGAATCTCCAGAAAAATCCTTTTTTTTTTTTTAAATCAGGGTCCAATGAGGTAGATTTTCCTTTGGGAATGAAGAGAATTGCTGAATTCTGCCCAAGGTTGACTAGGGAGAATCACACCCACCCATAAGGTAGCATCTGTTATGCAAAAAGTAAAAGAAAAGTGTGGAGAATATGACAAGTTCAGCACTTGCTTATTCAGTACTTACTCTGTCTCAGGCCTCCTGGGAAGGTCTGGGGTAAAAATGGTAACTAAGCCAGTCCCTATGCTCAATAAGCACATGATCTATGGGACTTAAACAGAAAAAATATTTGATCTGTTTTTCAATCCATCATTCATGGATCCAAGACTTCTAAAAATAAAGTAAAACAAACAAGCTAACTACATTTAAACAAGTATAGAATCTAAGTATCTATAGTAAAATGCATTGTGTGCTAATTATTTGTCAGATGTTATGCTGAGCTCTTTATATGAAATCTCTAATTTAAGCCTCATTACCAATTCTTGATGTAGTTTTTAAAATTATCTTCTTTGTATAGATGAAGAAACTGGAATGTACATCTATTAAGTAATTTTCCAAAATCATGATTAATAAATGACAAATCTGAGACTGAACCTACATCTGTTTGATACCAAAGCCCATGGGCTTAAAAACCTTATGGCCATTTTTTGAAATTTAAGAGAGAGTACCTTAAAAATTAAAATTACTTGTCTTAGTCAGTTTTGTGCTGCTTATAACAGAATTCCAGAGACTAGGTAATGTATAATGAACAGAAATTTATTTGGCTTGTGGTTCTTGAGGCTGGGAAGTCCAAGGTCAAGGGGCTCACATCTGTCAAGGGCCTTCTCACTGTGTCATACATGCCAGGAGGAAGAAAGGGAAGAGAGCATGTATGCAAAAGAGAGAGGAGGGAAGGGAGCCAAATTTATCCTTTTTATCAGAAACCCACTTCCATGATAATAACATCAATCCATTCATGAGGACAGAGCCTTCATGACCTAAACACTTCTGAAAGTTCCCACCTCTTAACACTGCTAAATTGGGGATTAATTTTCCAACAAATGAACTTTGGTACATTCAAACCATGACACTACTTTAACTACTTTATTATTATTCACCAAAGGAGAAGTACTAAATTTTATACTGAAAGACAACTCCAATTGAAGTTCATAAGGGTAATGTCTATAATATGCCCATGAAATAATTTTTAAGGTGCATTTAATTATGAAACTGTTTGGCTGTTCATTGTGATATTACCAAGAAAGTCAAGTGGATTTTTCACTTAGGTGTTTTGGTGTAGTTGACGTAGAAAATCATTGCTATTAACAAGGCAAATTCAATCCTGAACATCAAAGATTATGTATTTGTATGGCACATAACTTCAGCATATTATCAAATTTGGCTCTTTTGTTTGTAAAAATATCATTTGAATGTGACAAAATAGTCACATATTGCTTGTGCTTAAAAGAAAGAAGTAAGGAAGAAAGGAAAGAAGGAAGAGAGGGAAGGAGGAAAAAATGAAGGACAGAAGAAAAGTAAATGGACTTCTTTGGATTTTGGATTGGGCCTTCTTACCTTTTGTTTTACTAGTTTACTTGGTGTACTTTTTTCCTTGTCACGAATTCCAAGAGGCTCCAACACCAAGACAGATTTCTCCTCCGGTATGGCAAAAATTACAAAAAAATTGTTAAGTATTTATTATTAAACCAGGCAATTAAAGGTAAGATGAAATGTATGCATTACATAATATTCTCCTATAAGGGAAAGAGGCTAGCAGAAGAGAAAAACTTTCTCTCAGGCACTTGAATAACTATTGGACTAAAGTCACTCATTACTCTCCGGCACACTGCATTTTGGTTGACCTTGTGGAATGTCTGTTTGATGGTTTTCAAAATCACTTATCCATGCAGTTTTGGCACTTCTGTGCTGTGTTACCAATCTCAATTTTGTATTAGATTTTACTTTAATCTCTTATGTAGGTCCTGAATTTCCCCTCTTCTTCCCCATCAAAATATATAACCAGGTAGCCTGCATTTGCCGATGACCACAAAAGAGTAATTTAGGGCTGTGAAAAACCCTAATATTTCAAAATATTTCTCCTAAATCATGCACATACTTTTAGTAAAGGTGCAGAAGCTAAATAGTGGTTACCTCTCTGAAGTCATGAAACCATTGAGAAAATCTTTAATGTAGTGATGGAAATCCTTACGAAATGTTTGAGAAACACCTTAGTACACCTATGAAACATTTCATACCAGTAGATGAATTAAGTTTGAGTTTTGTTTCCATCTTCTTATCAATGATTTTAAAAGGTGCCCATGACTTTTCAGAGATAAAATTCATTTTGTCTCTAAATTATCTATGCTTGTCAGTCACACGTCCTTCTTTACATATTTAAGTGCTTGGTTACTGTTTGCCGGGTACTATATTGTGCTTTCTATACACTCATGGTCTCATATAATCCTCACAGGAAATCTATGAGCAAGGTATAATTAATATTTCCACTTTATAGATAGATACAGAGAGATTATGCAACTTTCCTGAGTCCCCACTGCTAGGAAGTGGCAGACCTAGGATATGAATACAGGTCTGTTTGACCTTAAAGCCTGAAGTTTTAATGGACACTGCCTGCCTGGGGTTGCAGCCAGACACTAGTCATGGAGAACTGAAATCCTAACATCTCTTCTCCCCATCTTTTAATCAAAAGGTTCTTATCTCTTCTTAGGGACCAGATCCTACCCCCAAGTCATGTGGTTCAAGTGGGACTAACCACACCCCTTAGTCCCCAGGGTAGGCACATGATACAAGCTCGGCCAATCAGAACATTCTGTGTCCCTGGACATCATGGTTACATGGAGTACTGCTTGGGGCCACCATGTGGGCAGAGACTATCTGGGGTGAAGCAGAGATTCTGAGAGCTAAGAAATGGAAATACCCTTAGTTCTAGGGACAATATTTGAACCCCTACATCCAGTCATGACTTGGATCCTTGAACTTCCCAGGTATTCAAGAGCTAATATATTTCATGCTTACTTTTGTGTTTCTTAAGTCAGTTTGATTTGGGATTCACTCATAACTGAAAAAGGCCTGATGAAGAAAGCACAGAAAACCCTCACATGGTCAGGAGATAATGCTGGTAAGAAACTTCCTGGAGCACTTTGAATCTTCCTTCAGTCTCTCGCACCTCCCCAGCTGTTGATCCTTTGCCACAGCTCTAGTGATGCCACTTCTTTCAGTTTGGTGTTAAGACAATTATGGCATTATCAAGTTAAATCCTGCCCTTTTTTCCTATTAAAGTCCTTGAATATATGCTATTTTCCTGCCTTTGACAGTCTTTGTTGTTGTTCCCATTACTGACACATAAATCAGCAACACAGATGAGGTCCAGGTCAAGAAGGTTGTAATGAGCACACCTAGAAGTCTCCCAAGAGGTAGTTGTCTTAGTACTTTTGGGCTGCTATAACAAAGTACCATGAACTGTATAGTCTATAAACAAAAGAAACTTTATTGCTCACAGTTCTGGAGGCTGATAAGTCCACAATCAAGCTGCTGGCAGATTTGGTGTCTGGTGAAGGCTTGCTCTCTTGCTCATGGCACCTTCTTGCTGCATGCTTACATGACAGACAAGGCCAGCTAGCTCTCTGGGGTTTCTTTTATAAGGGCATTAATGCCATTCATGTGGGCAGAGCCTTCATGACTTAATCATCTCCCAATGGCCCCACCTTCTCATATTATACCATTAAGGATTAGATTGCAAAATATGAATTTGGGGAGACACAAACATTCATTCTTATAGCAGTGGTGTTAGGGACTGAAGTTGGTGGTCCACCAAAGTCCATATGTTGAAGCCCTAATCCCCAGTGTCATGGTATTAGGAGGTGGGGCTCTTGAAAAGGAATTAGGTTTAGATGTGGTCATAAGGGTAAAGCCTCCATGATGGCATCAGTCCTTATAAGAAGAGGGAGAAACATCAGAACTTTCACTCTCCACTATGTGAGGATACAGCAGAAAGGTGACCATCAGCAAGTGAGGAAGAGAGCCCTCAATAAGAACCTGGCCATACTGGCACCCTGATCTTGGGCATGTTGCCTCCAGAATTATGAGAAATAAATGTCTATTGTTTAAGCCACCCAGTCTATGGTATTTTGGTATATCAGCCCTAGCTGACTGAGACAAATAGCTGAGGAAGTTTTTTAGAAGAAATATTTCATTGTAATAATTTCATGAAGCAACCAAACAATTTCTGAGAGTAAGAATCATTGGAAAATTAACAAGTTACATTAAATGTTACTTATGAGAATACTTTGATTTGAATGATCAAAAAATTCAGGTTACATTCTTTAAAGATGGAGATTTGCTTGAGAGATTCAAGTACAGATGTCTCTGTCTCTAACACAGAAATGTGCTCAATAAATATTTATTGAAATGAACAGTGAAATTTAAGTATGATATTTGTATTAGGGTTCTCCAGAAAGACATAACCAATAGGGCACTAGATAGAACTTATTAGGGGTTCATGCAATTAGGTAAGCTGAGGAGTTATACAATATGCCCTCAGCAAGCTGGAGAGCCAGGGAAGCCAGTGGTGTAGCTCCAATTCCAAGGCGGAAGGCCTGAGAACCTTCAGGTGTTTGTGCAAATGCTGGAGTCCAAAGACTGGAGAACCTGGAGTTCTGATGTCCAAAGGAAGGAGAAGGAGGGTATCCAACTTCAGAAGAGAGAGAGAGAGAGAAGAGAGAGAGCAAGCTCACCTTTCCTCTGACTTTTTGTTCTATCTGGGCTCTCAGCTGATTGGATGATGTCCACCTACCTTGGATGAGGGTAGATCTTCCTTACTCAGCCCACTGATTCAAATGCCAATCTCTTCCATAAACAACCACACAGACATATGGCAAAAGTATGCCCTACCAGCTATCTGAGTATTCCTTAATCCAATCAAGTTAACAACTAAAATTAATCATCAACATCTCCTGGTGTATAAGCTAAGGTACCAGAATTTCCAAACCAACTAGACCACAGCATTTCTCAAAGCAAAAATTTTGTTCTGCATCTGGGCCTTTATGTATATATGTGTCATTATATGCACACATGTATGTATGTATGCCTCTGTCTATCTATCTATCTATCTATCTATCTATCTATCTATCTATCTATCTATCTATCCATAGCTGTATGGTAAGTTAGGCTCAAAGCTTGACACCTTTTTGGGGTGTATAATCACATATGTACTGGTGAGTTCATAATCAATGAAAACTTCATAAGGCACTTTATCAACAAAAGGTGTTGCTGGTAACAAATGAACAGATCCTTTCAAATTTCTTAAGAAGTCACCAAACTATGTCTCTCTTTGAGATGAATGCTATCTCAGATATAGGCTGCATTTCAAGAATCTGATCTAGTGCGGCAGAAATTGGAAAATAGTTTGAAAAGTAAAAAATGCCACACAGACACAAGGTGCTTATCAGCAGATACAGTGCGGTCTAGAAAATTATTGCCAAGAATTTTGGAATTAAAAAATATGCGACAAAACATTCTGTGAATTCTGGGAAGCACTTCGAGGTAAGGGGAGAGGAAATTCACTTTTAGGGAAAGATTATACCTCTCTATCAAATATTAACACACAACCAAACCATCCTGAAGATAGGCTTGAGGAACATGCCCATGTTAGATTGTGAGAGCCAGAGGTAGGATTTGAACTCAACTCTCTGATTCTGAAACCTGAATGTTCAATGTTGTCTGTAGAAGTGAGACCTTAGGTCTGAAAAACACGATGTCCTCATTCCTGATTCCCATCCTAACACTACCACATCTCACTATAATACCGTTATTGTGATTAAAGCCTCATAATGTGACTCACAAAGATGTGTTAAGCATAACAGAATACATTCTTGGAGGAAAGATTATAAAGAAAAGATATTGTTTTTGTTCTTTGAAATTAAAAGCTAAAATAAAAAAGAGAAATCCCAACTTGTAGCACTTTGACATTTTTGTGCTGTAAATACCCCCATCATGGCTGATTTCAAGCTGCCAGCATTTTATTGACTAGCTTGCAAAATTCCTGAAAATTTAGCAGTTGGCTTGTATGAACCAGTAAGAGCCCATTGATTAGCTCCAATACATCATTGGAACAAGGCTTCTTAAAAAAAAATCTTTGGGAAGATGCTCTGGCTGGATTTGAGCAATTTACTATCATTTTAGACCAATCACCATAGCTAGGTGTGTGGGTAACTACAATTACCCATCTTGGGTCTTGTGACCCTCCCTTACCAGCTGGCTGGGCATTGAGATGGCAACATCGCCAGACCCGCATACCTGATATTAGTGAGAAACAGTCCTCTGAATGTCCAGCAGAAGAGAAATGTGGATTGGATAAACACAATTCAAGGATGTGCTATAGAATCCCTGAGAGAAAGACAGGGTATGCAAATATATAATTATTAAAATTATGCAAATATGACCACAGTAATTGCAAAGAAGAACTGAAGGCAATGAGGTATTTTAAGGGTCCATTTCTTGGTATGGAAAACAGAGGGATAAATTAGAGAACATTACTTAACTTGTATGAGTTACATTTTTAAATACCTTGAGCATGGTCTTGTTCTTTAAGACAAAGTACAGAAATGGACCCAGTGTTCTCTTCCCCAGAAAAATGATACTGGGGCCATTTAGAACAGAAACACACAGTAAGTATGTTGCTTGTTTAAGGACTGTTGAGATTGTGAATATGAGTTTTCCAATTAGCATAAACACAGGTGTATTTTAAACGCTTCAGTCCCCAGCAGTTCTGTCACTATAGGCTCTACCTTTGAAGCTTTGTTTTGATCATTTTTTTGGCTCCAAAAAGAATTTTCTTTTTTATGCTGTTATTCTATATTTTGCTTCTTTGATGTGGGGCTCGACTGCCATGTTGCAGAAGCACACTTTCCAAGCTTAAGAAAAAAACAAACAATTCTCACCACCTACATATCTGGCTTCATTGAACAGTTTCTTTCCTTCCAATTAATCCAAAGAGAGTTAAGATGCATTGCTTCCTCTATTCATCAAGGTGATTGTCAATTGAAAAGGGGAAAAAACAGCAAATGAAGCTAACACTCTTCAGAAACTCTCAGCAAAGAAAAAAGAAAGAAAAAAAGAAAAGAATAAAAGCCAGGAAGAGACGAAACTCTTTAGAAGGCATCTAGAATTTAGAATGCATTTTTTAATTATCCTGGTAGAATGTCCAATGTTTTAATGTATATTTAAGACGAAAGAATAAAAAAACATTGTTGAGCATTTTTTTTTCAAATTTTTATCTCAGCTTAATTTTGAACTGCTCTTAAAAACTTTGCTGGCACTCAAAGCGGAGAAAAAGCAAAGATGTTTCTTACATTATTATTGATTAAAAAAATGAGAAACAACTTAGATGTACAAATATAGAGGGTGTTTAAGTAAATTATGGTGTATCCACTGAATGAAAATTAGGCATGTATAATAATATTTCTGAAAATTTTACAAATAATTGATAAACACTTCTGTTTTATATTGAGTATAAAAAACATCATTCAAACTTTCATATTTAATATATAAATGTTCATAATAGCTTTATTCTTAATACCAAAAAACTAGAAACAAGCCAAATGTTCCTCAGAAGGTAAATGAATAAACAAATTGTATTGAATTCCTATAGTGGAATAGTACTCAATGATGAAAAGAACAAACTATGGATGCATGAATAAATCTCAAAAACATTATGCCAAGGGAATAAAAGCCAGGCACAAATAATTACAAACTCTGTGTTTCCATATAAGAATTTCTAGAGTAGACAAGACTAATCTATGGCAACAAAAAACATATCAGTGACATCGAGGGGCACGGTTTGAGAGGGGCTTCACTGCAAAGGGGTACAAGGGACCATTTTGGTGATATAAATGTTTTATGTCTTGTTAGGGATAGTGGGTACATGAGACTTTTTTAAAAATCAAAATATTATCGTTTTATATTTAAAATTTACAAATTTTATTATACCCCCAACAAAGTTGATTTTAAAATAGAATATGTTGTCTTAGTCCATCCAGGCTGCTATAACAAAATACCACAAATTGGGTAGTTTATAAACAACGGAAATTTCTCTTTTACAGTTCTAGAAGCTAGGAAGTCCATACTCCAGCAGATTTGGTGTCTGGTGAGGGTCTAGTTTCTGATCCACAGGTAGAATCTTCTGGCTGTGTCCACATGTGAGAAGGAGAAAACAAGAGATTGGGCCTATTTTATAAGGGCACTAATTCCATACATAAGGGCTCCCCACTCATGACTTAATCATCTCCCCAAAGAGCCCACCTCCTAATATCATCACCTTGGGGATTAGGGTTTCAACATATAAATTTGGGGTTGACACAAACATCAACCCATAGTATAATATAATTCAATTTTGTAAAATAAACTGACAGGAAACTATACATAGAAAAATACTATAAGGAACATTAGTAAGTATTAAAACATTTACAGTCATTATCCCTAGGTATGTCATTAAGAGTAATTTTTTTTCTTTCTCCTAATTGACTGAATTGTTAAAATCGGTACTGAAAGCATACACTTTTAAGTTATTTATCCATCTACTATGTCTGTCTATCCATTGGTCCCTTGTTTGTCTACCTGTCCATCCATGTATCCATCTACCCTCTTTTACCTTCCTAAATTATCACCTTTATGAAGAACTTTAGTAACAGGTTTATATAGATATATAATTCTTTTAAGTATGCTTACAAACCCCAAGCATTATAACAGTTCTGCTTCACAATGATTTAACCAGAGGATACTTTCTTGGTTAGTTTTGTGGGCATGTCTGCCTCTGCCCCTCCCTGATTCGGGCAGTCACTTCAGGGAAAAGTAATAAAATACTTGATTTATTTTAAAAGAGTCAGGCTTATTGACTGTTTAGAATGCTTTGATCATTCATTTTGTCAGGATCAAAGAATAGAGACTATTGATTACCTAGTGTTCTATGCAGACCTGCTTGTATGACACAAAGATTACTTGAATAGCATTGATCGTTGTCTCTCGAGTTGCAATGAAAATGGAAATGGTTCTCCTGGGAGGCTGTCATTCTAAACAACAGCAATAACATCAACTACTATCATTCCTCCCGAATTTTTTTTTAAAAAGGATAATATTAATATTAAAATGATTTGGAGTACTTACATATTTACAAAAGACTTTTAACCAGAATAAATCTTGAGATACAGCAATCTTGTGGGGTAAATAAGAGAAGCATTATAGATCTAGTTTTTAGAAGAAGACTCTGAGGCTCAGGAGGCTCATCGCACAATTAAATGACAGAGCTAGTGTGCAAGTCCAGGACTTGAAATATTATTTCCACTATACTACACTGTTTGGCTTAATACATTTAAAAATGTTCCCTGTATTTTATGTCCATGTTGGCATTCATTAAAGTTTCCTTTTCTTCTGGGTTGAATGAACAGAAAAAGGTTTTCATGAGAATTTTGGTTGTTATTATTATATATTAAGATTTTCTCTCTTGCTCAGTTTAGAGGTGGGGAAAATTAAATGCAGCTTATTAAAACTTACAAATATTTTTGAGCCAGATCCATCAAATTCGCTGAAATCAGACTCAAAGACATCAAATTGGTTTGACCATGTTTTTCTTCCTCTGGCCAAAGTGTCAATATTTCAATCCAACAGAAACCTGACTGATTTATGAATGTGTATTATTGGCAAGGGGATAGGCATGGTGGCTAAACTATCAACACAAAGACAATTTCAATGAAGCATTTAAACCTAAGCATCTCTGATTTGGATAGAGAAATGGGTTCTCATTCTTGACTCTACAATATATTGTTTGTATAATCAACCTGTTTTAGGACACAAACTTTCCTCCACAAAATCTTTTGTTCCCCAGGAAAACAATTTTTGCTGTCAGATAAATCAGTGATAAAAGAAGACATATTTTAGCAAAACATTTGTTTTATAGATTTCATGTTTACATATCCAGAAACATGATTGCTTTTTTATTGTCACAAATACTTTTTTTCTCATTTAAAACAAAACAAAACTTTCAGCTGTGCTGCTCATAAGAAAGTAAATGAAAATATTTGAAAGATAAAGTAGTCACTTTCTCATTATTAGATAGGCTAAGACACCATGAAATATTAAAGTTATTAGCAGAGTAGAATCCTAACCTAGCTCATCTAGGTTTATGATTTTAATTAACCAACTTTGCTCTTTCCGAAGTAATACAAATCAAAGATGCCAAAATCACTTCATAAGAAGAAGGAAACATTATTCCTAAATTATTAAGGAAAGCCAAGAGAAACTGCCTATGGACAATTGGCTTAATCTAAGAGTTCATCGTTTTCTGCCTGAAGTTTCACTGAGCAGATGTTCCATTTTTCTTATCTTTTTGAAATATGACTTAAAAAAACACCTAGGGGAAAATTTTAAATTTCATGAAGGATGATGGTTTTTGTCCCGTTTTATACCTTTTATGTGCTACTATGTAAAATGAGAATATTAATAATGGCTGCCGTAGTGTTACTATGATCAAGCAACCAACAAGGCACCTGGCATAGATACGTTAAAAAATGTTTGTTATTATTCTTATTAAACTATTTTTCATAGTCTAAATATTAACTAATGCAATAACAAATGGAATTTTTTTTTTTTTTTTTTTTTTTTTTTTTTTGAGACGGAGTCTCACTCTGTCACCCAGGCTGGAGTGCAGTGGCGCGATCTCGGCTCACCACAAGCTCCGCCTCCCGGGTTCACGTCATTCTCCTGCCTCAGCCTCCCGAGTAGCTGGGACTACAGGCGCCCGTCACCACACCCGGCTAATTTTTTGTATTTTTAGTAGAGACGGGGTTTCACCGTGTTAGCCAGGATGGTCTCGATCTCCTGACCTCGTGATCCGCCAGCCTCGGCCTCCCAAAGTGCCGGGATTACAGGCGTGAGCACCGCGCCCGGCCATAAATGGATTTTTTTACCTTTGAAGATACACATGCCTGTATGTATATATATCTGTATCTACATATGCAAACATACACATATATGTATATATTTTTTAAAGGAAGTCTTTTTATTGTTGCTGCCGCTAAGCAATGGTTTCAGTGAAATTCAAATACAGAGAAAGCAACTTACTTATCTGCACAGAGACCAGAGGTAGATGAAAAAACAGTTCTTGTCCTCTCAGAGGAGACTGAGTGAGGCCTCTGGACTCGGCCTCTATTGCGCCCCAATCATTTCACAAGTAAAAGGAACCTTCAGTGTGAGAATGGACAGACAGGTAGTACAGAGGCTATTTTATTATAATAAATGGAAAGCCCTGTTGGAGTAAGCTACACGCTGCCAGACATCATTTTCTCATGACTGCATAATCTTTCATAGCATTGTTTAAGGATTATTGTTTTAAGCCCCCCATGGAATCTTGTGGAGACTGGGGTATGTGGATTCACAACAACAACAAGAAAACCAAAGCTCTAGATTTAAGAATTGCCAGAAGGCCATTCATTAGAAGCCTGGACAATATCAGAGTTCTTGAAATATGGTTACTAAAGACTTCACTAGATAAAGGATTTCTTTTTCCTCAGGTTTGCATGTTTCATATTTTCTTTCATACACGTTTCCCGTCAGACTTTCCAGTTATGAGTTTGCACCCCCATCCCTTGCCTATTGAAAATCCACAAACTGTGGGGCATAGAAACTGTTTGGAAGGAGGTTAGAGAAAAAACTCACTTCTCTAATCACGCAGCAGAAGTGGCTTCTGCAGATTCTGAAAGAAAAGACTAATCTCACTGCTCCTCCTTCACAGTCTTTACTCGTGGAGCCTGTGGTTTAATAGAGGGAGAACTCAGTGTCATAACCTCATTTTTTGCTATGCTAAGATTTGTTTATACAGGAAGGGTGGGACTTCTGTTGAACCAAGAAAATCTCTCAAATGAAAGAGAAACCACAGCAGTGCCTATCTTGCACCTACTACATATTCAGTATTTATTGAATAATAAGTAATGAATGATTCATAGTGTCTTGCCTCAGCTTTTTCTCTGAGCCTTAGGTTTCTCTTCTATATGTGGTTTGGAGCAGATAAGGGCTATATACAATTTTTGGGGATGAGAATGTTCTTCTCAGCTCCTGTCCCACATGTCAGCTGATTGGCTAAGCCATCATCCCCCCACCAGGACGTATTCAAACTTGGCACTGAATATTCAATCTTTACAATACAGTGACATTCCTCTGGGTATCTGTGTTCACACAGGAGCCTAGCCAGTTGCTAGGAAGGCAATGGTTGCCCACACTGAGGAAGGAGGAAGAGTGAAAAGAGACTATGGGAGCATGTTTATTCTCCCCGAGGGAAAGGTCTTTGAGAAGCCAGGCAACGTGTAGGGCCTTAGTCCAGAGAGCTGTGACTCGGCAAAGGGCTCAAGTCCCAGCAGGAAGCTGAGGCAGAAGGCCAGGCCATGTGGACCAGGCCCAGAATGCGGAGGGAAGAAGAGGACTACCATTTGGTCAGGCCCCAGGTGCCCAGCACTCACACCAGGTGTACCAGGTTCTGAATTTATAGCTAAACAGCTATTTTCAGACCCCTCCTGCTAGTAAAGGCATGCCTCCCTGCATACTGCCTGCTTTTAGGTTTAGGAAGTAGGTGGAGTTTTCTGCAGGTGGAAAAGCACAGCTGAAAAGGGAGGGAGAAAACAGCTCTGACAGACACAGAACAGTATCCTTTCTGTGGTGCTAATTTGAAGAATTCTTTCAGTAACGTTGATTTGAGGGTGGTTGCATAGCCAGAGAGATGAAGGTGAAATGGATGTTTTCTTTAGTCTGGATAACAGCACAGGCTACGCTGCTGAGTCTTACAAAATCACCTGCTGAGGGATTCATGTCAATGTGTCCCATTCCTCCCCCTCCTCCTCAAAAAAAAAAAAAAATACGTATATATATATAGAGAGAGAGAGTACAGAGTACAGCAGGTTATTTTAAAATATTATTTCTGGCCAAAGACATGCCCATAGAGTCTAGAAGAATGATCACCTGGCAGGCAGTTATAGCAAATCACATGTTAGTTTCATGGAACCTCAAGTCTAGCTGGATCCAGCTGGACAAAGTACAACAAATGAATAAACATATAAAAATAAAATGAGATTTAAAAACTTCAACATTAGCGTCTATCATTGGACATTTGTGTGACCTCAAATCTCAACCAAAGTAAAAAGCCCAAGCATTCCAATGCAACTAGGGAAATTTTTCCATGGTGTAAGGGCCATTCAAGGTCCAAGACTAGTCACCTTATACTTTGGCTCAACTCCTAAGAATCCAAATCCCAGAGGCCTGGGCTACATGTGGCAGGTCAGGACATTCCCAGTAAGGGCCTTCAGGACCTTTCTCAGGCTGAGAACCTAACTCAATGGAGTCAATACATACAGACACAAAGGTATCTTTGAAGTTTGTATTTTATTTGATTTCCAGCTGTTGCAAAAAGGTGTTTTTAGTCTCCAAATATAGTCACATTGCAGGGTTATAGTTTCAATCTATGAATTTTGGAGGACACAGTTCAGCCCATAACTCTCTTTAAATTATTTTGGTTTTGCAAAAGCAAGTGGGAGATGATAGCTGTGGAAACTAGAACTTAATTCTAATGGAATAAGTTCCCAAATGGAACTTGAGGACTGAAAATAGTAAAGACTTATGTGTACCTTTATATTTTTCCTCAAAACACCTTCCTATGAATGTTGTTTTATAAAAAAATTCGTGAAAACCATGAGAGGTAAATTAGAAAAATATTATTATCCCTGTTTGGCAGGCAAGAAACCTGAGGGGGTGATAGGGGATGTGTAAAATGACTTGCCTAAAGTGAGTCTGAGAGCTCAGAGGTGCTGGGATCACCATGCAGACCCTGCTGTAGCTTTCCATGGCCTTGTCTCCATCACTTGTCTTTCCTTTGCAAGCTGCCTGTAAAATATTTTTCAGATGTCCCACAATGACGCAACAGGACAAATATCTATAGCACTCCCAGACACCAGAAGTTATTATAAATGAGTAATATGAAATCATGCCCCAAAAGGTTGAGGCTCTGTAAGTTATTTCACTCTTGCTATAATTTCATTCTCAAAATATTTTCTGGGCACCGTTCCTCAAGTAAATGGAAGAAAAATACCCTGGAGGAAGATAAAAACTTTAGTGTGAAATCTATTGTATTTTTTTTTAAATGAGCAAAGTTCAGACAGAAACAGGAAAATTGAGCACCTGATGTGAAGAGGGAAGGTTTCTTATATGAAGTCTTTAGGTGATCCGGAAGAATATGCCAGTAGGATCTGGTTTGGAATATTCCCAAGGGCAAGGTGCAGCCTCTCTGAGATTTTATGGGTAATGCATTCGTGAAAACACCTGCCTTGTCCTTCAGAGTTTTCTCTAAGCTCAGATCAGCCTCACTGGTTCATCCTTCCTCTTACTCCTCCCGTTTAGGCTGATTAAGGAGCTGCTTCCTTGATCATCAACCCCCGGCTCTTCTGGATAAACACACGTAGATTCCAGAAAAGAAAAACCAGAGAGATAAACCAGTGGTTCTCTGATGCTTGTGGCAGGGGCAGCAGGAGGTTTCTTCTAGGTGCCAGTCCCACATTCTAGTGATCCTATATCATAGCCCTGCGGATTCTGCTCCACAACAATGGGCTGACTTTTATTCTTTTTGCAATAGGCTCTTCTCCTATGACCTTTTGTTTGCTTTGCTTTTCTTTGCTTTTATTCTTTTTCTGTCAATAAGAATATGTGACAAACTTCCAGTTTAGAAATAATTTACCAGCCTGAGCATAAGGGGTATTATCACACACAAGATTGTGTTGGTATATTGAAGAGAACTGCATGCTGTGGTGTTCTCGGTTCGGCCCTATGTTATATGGCTATATTCTATAGATTTGTTCTGAGTGGAAAAATCGGTGGAGGGGGGGTTGAGCTATATTATTAATCCATAGTCATAGTATTCTTCGAATAATAGCATTCCCCAGACCTGCCACATCTTCGGCAATTACATTTAGTGTCAATTGCTACTCTACCTGTAGGCCTCCTCAAAAATGGCCCACCTATATGACTTAGCTAAGGGCCATACATAACAGAGCTCAGGGAAAATGAGCTGATTGAAAAATAAAAGCTGTTATTTACTGAGCATCTGCTAGGGGCCAGGTCTCTAGTTAACTATTTTACATTCATTATCTCAGTTCGTGCTGACATCCATTCCGTCAGGTGTACACCGTCATCTCTGTTTCACCAAAGAGAAAACTGAAACTCAGAAATACCAAGCATTTTCTCATGATTACTCAGTGGCAGAGCTAGAACTGGAACCCAGGACTTTGTCAACACCTATCATCTAGACCAGACATTGCACTCCTGCTCCCGGAAGGGCTTTGTTACCATCCAGTTGCAGCATTTACTGGCCTATGGTCATTCTATCAAGTGGAATCTTAACACCTCAACAGTTTGAGGCGAGCAGTTTGTTTATACCAACTTGACCAATTGCCTTTGAAATACCTGTAATCTTTCTTTATCAATCCTATGATGTTAAATGAAGTAATTAGTCTGTTGCTTTGAAAAGCAAGTCGTGATTAAAATTTCAGAGAGCTGTATAATACAGTGGTGCTCTATGTTATTCTTACCCGAGAGCATGTGATCAGTAGGAAATGGGTGTCCTGGAATTGCAGATAAACTGTGATTCTGACAGCAGAATTGAAGCCCATTATCAACTCAGAGAAAATTCACTGTTCATTACCAGAAAGATTACAGATTGATTCTATGTGTCCTACAACCTACGCTTTTTAACATTTTAAAATAACTTGTTACACAAACACATAACAATATCGATGGGATACAAAAGAAAGGGGAGAAAATTACCCACGATCCTGACACATTTTTTAAAAATCTATTTTCATTTCTCTTTATTCCCTTCTAGTCCTGCTCTCTCTACATAATTTTTACAGTGTTCAAACCTACCAGAGGTATTATTTTGTATTCTATTCATCTTCTTTCAATAAACATTAGAGCAGAAGCTTTTCCCACATTTTCGGACTCTTCAAGTACTGCAGCTGTGGAAGGGCAGTGCCCACTTCCAGCTGAGGCCAGGCTGTGGGCAGCTTTCCAGCCCAGGAGGGCAAATAGAAGCGGCTCCTGAGAGAAGCGTTTGCTTCTTTTGCTCCCTATTATATTTTGATAAATCCATGTTGAGAAATGTGGCTATAGTTCATTCCCTTTAACTGCAGGGAAGTATTTCACAGTATGAATATACCACAGTTCACTCATATCCAGGGAAGAATCTGAGCAGATGGTTAGACATGGGTCTGCCCAAGGAAATGATTCTGTACTCAAAATCTGGATTAAGGGTCAGCTCCTGAAACCTGAAAGCCTTGTAGAAGAATATTGCTGTAGAGGTGAGGAGAGAAACAAAGGAAGTGCCCAGTAAGCAAGCCAGGTTGGAAACCAAAGATGGATGCTGGGGGAAGGAGGATGTGTTTTAACAGGAGGGTTCCAGTTAGAGTTGGGAGAGAGGAAGTAAGTGCAGTGATTTCTTAGCCTTGAGGTCCAGGCAAATCATCACTAGCTAGGACAGTCATATTTTATTGCTTTATTTATATTTGGTTCCACAAAACTCACTGTACCTTTGTTTCTTGTTTTTTTAATTTTTAATTTTTCAAAAACAAGGAACAAAGGTAAAGGTTGCAAAATATTAAGAACATTCAGAGTTATAGAGGATAGCGTAATAAACACTCATGCACTCACCACGCGGCCTGATCATATGTTAAAATGTTGCTATATTTGCCTCAGATATTTGTAAGCACTAAAACATTGGAGAGAGAGTTTAATCCACCTGTGTTGCTCTTCTCCAACCAAATTTTCATTCCTTTTATGTAGAAGTAACTGCTATTCTGAAGTTGCTATCTTTCGCTTGCATGCTTTTAGAACATAGCATGTGTGTATCTAACTAATATCCTTTTACAAATTTCATGCTATATACAAATAATATAGTGTTTGTGTCATTCTGCAGCTTACTTATCTATAGTTCACTCATTTTAACTGTTGCACATTATTTTGTTGTATGAACATACCAGACTATTTTCCTTTAGATGGACAGTTATGTTGTTTTTAGGCTTTGCTATGTTTAAAATGTTATAGTTAACATTCTTGGGTATGTTTCATTGTATATGTCAACACTGATGGGTTGAAGCAGCTACTTGGTGATATCAAATTGCCCTCCAAAGTGTTTATTTCACCACGTTCTCATTAATGCTTGGCATTGGCAAATTTTTACATCTTTGTTGATATGATTGATGTGAAGTGGTATCTCATTTTGGTTTATTAACATTTCCTTGTTTAGTAATGAGGTTGAGCATCTTTTTATAAGTTTATTATCAATTCTGATTCTTCTTCTGTGGTGTCTCTGTTTATATCCTTTTCCTTCTTTTCCATCAGGTTGTTCAATGTTTTCATAATTACTAATAGGAGTTCTTAAATCTGAATATTAATCTTTATCAGTGATAAGAGTTGCAAGTATCTCTTTTAGGTCTGTTCTTTGTCTTTTAATCTTATATACAGAGACTTTGAACAGAAATTCTGATGTTTTTGACTTTAGCAGTATTTTTTTAAAAAATCATTATTGTGTTTTAATGACTAGTCTAAGAATTTTTTCTCTACCCTGACATAAGAAAAAAATGTTTAAAAGAATTTGTAAGAGTTTAAAGTGTTTGCTTTTTTACATTTAGATTTTTAATCCACTTGAAACTTTGTTTTGTATATAGTGTGAAATAGCCATCTGATCTTATTTGATTTTTTCATGTAGATTGTCAATTTCACCCATCAATTTCTCTCTGATATGTGAGGCCACCTTTGTCAAATAGTAGGTTTTCCTTTAGGAATAGATCTGTATGAGGGCTCTCTAATCCGTTCTACTGGTCCACTGTCTATTTGTGCTCCAATACAGCCTGTCTTCATCACTAGAGCTTTATAATAAGCCTTGGTACAAAGTCTCCCAAACTCATTTCTCAAAATTATCTTAGTTTTTATTTACTTTTTTGTCTTTTTTTCTTTCATATTAGTTTAGGGTCACATGAACACAAAGCTTGCCTACTTTTTTTTTCCAATTCTCATACCACATACTTCTTTGTCTTACTGAATTTCCCAGGATCTCCTGTATAATATTGAATAAAATTGTCAGTAGTGAACATCCTCATGTTGGGACTGCTTCTAGAGTTTCAACATTGAGTATGGAATTTGTAAGTTTTTAGTGAACGGTATTCATCAGGCTAAAGAAATCCTCTTCTATAGTGTTTTCTTAGAATTTTTTTAAAAATCAAGCACAGATGTTGAATTGTATTGAATGTCATTTTTTGATTTATTATAATGATATGAAATTTTCCCTTTAATTTCTATTCATAGGTTTTATAAAGCTGTATTATATTTTCATGATTAATAAAAATTCATGGTTGATAATGTTATAGTGCTTGTTTAATAAACTGCCGAATTATATTTGCTAGTATTTTAATTAAGTTTTTGTTTATAATTGAGGTTGATCTCGAATTTTGCTTGTTGGTTGAATTTTTAAAATTTTGTTTTTCTTATACTGTATATATCTAGTTTGTTATATAAGTTATATTTGCAATATAAAACAAGTTGGGTAGCATTTTTTTCCAAATTGAATACAATTTTATAGGTTTAAGATTGAATTAAGGAATATTTATTAAGGCATTACTAAAACCTTTTAGGAAAATAATAAATAATCATCTGGTCCTGGAATGATTTGAATTAGGATTTTTTTTATTACTGATTTCAATTTTAATAATGGTTATTAATTTGCAGAATTTTTCTTGAGTCATTTTTAAACAATATTTCTAGAAAGTAACTCCAAAATTTTAGGAAGTCCATCTTGGCCTTCAAGATTTTTAGAATAAAATTGTTATAGTATTCTCCTATCATAATTATAGGTATTTATTTTTCATTCAAGTCAAAGATTATTTGTTTGTGACTTTTCTTTAGTTCTTGATCACTTTTGCCAAAGATTTTCTCTGTCGTGTCAGAAATGTTTCAATGCCACCTCTCACATTGAATCAGTTTGCTGTTTTACCATGAATACTACAGGTGGTTACTAGGTAATACATTTTTCAAAAGGAATTATTGGGTCAAATATTTCAGTGTTTAATATTAATTATCAAAAGGAGCATTTTATGGGTCATATTTCCCATTGATATGGTTTGGCTGTGTCCCCACCCAAATCTCATCTTGAATTGTAGCTTCCATAATTCCCACGTCATGGGAGGGACCCAGTGGGAGGTAATTTAATCATGGGAATGGTTACCTGCATGCTGTTCTCATGATAGTGAGTGAGTTCTCATGAAATCTAATGGTTTTATAAGCATCTGGCATTTCCCCTTCTGGCAATTCTCCTTGCTGCCACGATGTGAAGAAGGACATGTTTGCTTCCTCTTCCTCCATGATTGTGAGTTTCCTGAGGCCTCCCCAGCCATGCTGAAATGTGAGTCAATTAAACCTCTTTCCTTTATAAATTACCCAGTCTCAGGTATGTCTTTATTAGCAGCATGAGTACAGACTAATAACCCATACATATTTCATGATGGAAAACATTACTTTAAAGACCATTTTATGTGGCTAGCATTCCACAGAAACATTGGGAAAGTCTTGTTTTGTCTAAATCATTTTATAAATGAGTAAACTCATGTAGACTCCAATAAATCAAATCCTTTGATTAAGGCCATCATATTGTATCTCTCCTTCACTAATGCACTAGGCTCACAAAAATGGGTGAATCAATGCAACATTCGCAATCTGTGAAACAGATAATTGACTGGTATTTTCTTATTCTTTATAAAATATTAAGAAAAATCATTGTCGAAATTCAGCTCTTTAAAAGTACTGGATTGTAATAATTTAGATGAGAAGAAACTTTATAATTTAACATGACCTAGAAATGACAAAATTAACTCCACTCATTACTTATAAGGGAGATTCTTAATACTGGAGTGGGGAAGGGTAATCCCTGAATTATATTTGTCTTATCACTTATCACCCCTGCATCATTACTAGAATGTCATCATTTCTATTAATAAGGCATCATATCATAAATATGTTGAGGCCAAAAAATATTCATTACAAATCACAGATATTAATGAAACAAGGATAATGGAGGAGATAATATCCAAAATAGAATGTACAATAATAATAAAAAAGATTCCTAATATTGAGTCAAAATATACCATTTTATATACATCATTGCTTGTATTAAATTAACATTTTAAAAATCCACATTTTTTATAAAATCTGCACAAGGATGCCAAACAATAAATAACTTGCTAAAAGACTAATAGACCACCTATTTAGAGACATAGAAAGATGCCCAATAAAAAAGTCTACATAATCAGCAAGAAAATGACAGTATTTTATATAAAATGCAATAACTTCCTCTGTTTCTGTAGAAAACCTGTGTGGGAATAATGTCTGGTCTTATGTCTTTCTTTATTCCTGCTTCAGACTCTACCAAGCCTGCTTTTACTTCCAAGATTTTTATGTCAAATAAGAATATCATTATCCATCAACATCCATGATAGAAATGGCCTGTTTTTATACAAAAACTTTGAAAGAAGATTAAAATTATTATTCTATTTGAAACACAACTCTGGCACTTCCAGAGAGACCATCATAATATAGGTGATATAACAAATACCAGCAAAATAGGAAACGAGCAGAAAAAGTTATTACCACAAGTAACATGTTTCAGCAAAGGTGTTGAGATGTTCTTGGAAAAGAGCCTTTACTCTTGTCACCTTTGGAACTAGTCCAACTGCCAGAAGCCTACGGTCATAGAAATAAAACCACTCAGAAAAGAGTAGACATGTTCTATTTTGTATTTAGATATCAAAGACCATTATTACCAAACCAAATTGGCATGCACAGTCTGATAAATATAAATGAACTCAAGGGCCCTACATGAAAATATTTGAAGCTGAAACCAACCTGAAGAAGCAAGTATCTTTAAATACCCTGGCTAAAGTATAGCTTTATTGAGTTCCATTTCCTTTGTTCACTTAGTTGTGAACTTTTAACTGATTCACTATCCTTGATTTAATTGGTGAGCCCTTTAGTAAAGTGTCTTACTTTTAACAGCCTATAAAGTACTTTGCAAACTTACATAAGGAAAAAATTATACCTTCATGTTTTGTGGGAGGTTAAACTGAGGGCCATTTTTCAATATGTCCTAAGTGCCCCCTCCTCCACCCTGTGGCTAATTAATGAAAACAGTCATGTTGGGGGGTATTGCCAAATAAATACCAAATGAACTTGAAAAAATAAACAAATAGTTATTGGACAATGTTAACTTAACAACATGGACACAATGAAGATCCATCTGTTCCAGAATGATAATAGTTGAAAACACCAACATAAAAAAGTGGAGTAGCATACTGTCTGGGGTCATTATTTCTTTTATTTATTTATTTATTTTATTTTTCTTAATTATGATTTAAGTTCTGGGATACATGTGCAGAACGTGCAGAATTGTTACATAGGTATACACGTGCCATGGTGGTTTGCTGAACCCATCAACCCGTCATCTACATTAGGTATTTCTCCTAATGCAATCCCTCCCCTAGGCCCCCACCCCCTGACAGGCCCCACTGTGTGATGTTCCCCTCTCTGTGTCCATGTGTTCACATTGTTCAACTCCCACTTATGAGTAAGAACAGGCGATATTTGCTTTTCTGTTCCTGTGTTAGTTTGCTGAGAATGATGGTGTCCAGCTTCATCCATGTCCCTGCAAAGGACATGAACTCATCCTTTGTTATGGCTGCACAGTATTCCATGGTGTATATGTGCCACATTTCCTGTATCCAATCTATCATTGATAGGTATTTGGGTTGGTTCCAAGTCTTTACTATTGTGAATAATGCTGCAATAAACATATGTGTGCATGTGTCTTTATAGTAGAACGATTTATAATCCTTTGGGTATATACCCAGTAATGGGATTGCTGGGCTAAATGGTACTCTGGTTCTAGATCCTTGAGGAGTTGTCACATTGTCTTCCACAGTGGTTGAACTAACCATTGCTTTTATTTTCATTTTTAAATTTAAAAAATTGAATTATAAAAATGTAAGAAGAGTAATATTTTCATCTAGAAATAAGTTAAAATTTTACTTCTATGTACTTCTAGCTTTTTTTTAAAGAAAGAAAGCACTATGAATACAATGAAAATCCATTTTACTACTTTCTTCTCAACTCCTACCTCCCAGTCAGCATTGCTTTTCTCTTGCCCTTTTTACTGGCTTCTTCTACTAGACGCTGAGGGGCACAGGATGGAGTGTGTATGGGAAAGCTTTCTCTGATGGGTTCATAATGAAAGACATTTTATAAGAGTTGAGTTAGAGAAGGGATTTGAAAAGAGAAGAGATGCAGGTGGTAGGATTTGGAGTTACCTGAAAGGGGAGTGAACCTTTCTACAAATGAAGCAGGTTTTCTTTTGCTTCCTTTTATGCTTTCCTATTTTTATGTTATCATTCCCCAAGGCTCTAAGTCACGCATGTGCTTCTTTAAATAAATCTCACAAGATAAAAGCCAAGTGCATCAAAATCACCAGGCATTGATGCCTGTCTGTAAAATAAAATCACACACTAATCATGGAGTATAGATTCGCTTTCTTCCCTAAGGCAAGACGTTCCCTGGCACCTGTGGAGGTGAGCCCCAGCATGAATGATCTGTTTTTGACAGTCTTTTCATACATGAAAGCTCATTGACAACTCACCTAGGCACACAATTTAACAATCCCAACTAGCATTTGTGTTTGCTGTGAAATTATGCATCCAGAAAACCAGGAAGTACTTCTTCAGCCATGCCCATCTGTTGCTGCCTTGAAAAGTCTAACTTGGCCATCAAATTTAATTTAATAGTGCTGGCTGGCTACATGTGGGTATTTAAGTTAAAATTAATTAAGATTAAAAACCCAGTTTCTCAAGCACACAAGTGACATTTCAAGTGCTCATTAGTCGTACCTGACTAGAAGCTACCATACTGGAGAATTCTCAACAGATACAGAACATTTATATTATTGCAGAAAACTCTATTGGGCAGTGCTGGTTCAGGATGCAATATCTTGTAACATTATTTTCCATGTGATTAAGAGTCCCTCACATGCATAGTTCTCCTTGAATGTTGGTGGATTAGGGTGAAAACTATCTTTCTAAACTTTGGGGCTTTCTTCCTTCCCCATTGCTTATAGCCAAGCAAAAAATGTGGGTGACAATAAGGAAAATACTATAGTTCTTTGCTGCTAAATGTATCTGGCGCCCTTACACCGAAACTATTACTTACCTAAGAAAAGAAATGTAGAAAAAAACTGGCACAATACTTGGCACACAGTAGGTTCTAAACAAGGTTAGCACCTGTATCTAGCAGGGCTGAGGTAGGTGACAGAATCCACACCAGTTATAAGGACATAGATAATTTAATATAAATATTTGTTAACAAGCTGTTAAGTTGTTCAGTCAAGTAACTAAGGTATCATGAAAATAGCAACTACAGGAAGTAGTTTCTATTCTTAGAATTGGGAGAACAGTGATAGAGATTGGAATTATTAATCTTAGAAACTCAGAGGAAGGTCCATGCTTAGCTGTAACTCAGACCTCTGAAGAAGAGGTTCTGTTCTGTTGAAACTGGTGTCTCTTGCAAGCATTAGAGAAACTGCAACTTGAATTCAGCTGCTGCAGTGGGGAGGAACTGCTGCAGCCATTGTGAAGAAGCATTGCTAGGGTGATGCTCACAAGAAGCTGGCACGAGACAAGACCACAGGGAATAAATGGAAAGGAGACAGTTTCTTTTGCCTCTTCCAGCTTTGTAGGCCCTCTCTCACATCCTCTAATGGCAGAGCCTAACCAGGGAGCAGGTAGTACAGCTGAAATGGTGTTTGCAGAGTTCTAGCCCCAGGATTAAAAAATCTAGTATAGAAAGTTGGGCTTGAAGCTGAGAGATATTAACTTGAGGGCAGGCACAGGCCTTATAAACTCTTAAAATATTTTCCTTGGCTAAAGGTGGGACTTCTCCTTTTCACATATCCATCTCAGTCTCTTATTTTTTTTTTTATTTCAAGCTGCTGTTAATGATGGTTAAAACCTACTTATCACAGACTAACATACAAAAATCAGTTGTATTTCCATATGTATGCAATGAGTATTTGCATTTACATTCAATTTACAATAGTATTAAAAATGATAAAACACTTAGGATTAAATTTAACCAAGAAAGTGCAAGACTTTTATACTGAAAAACTACAAAACAATGTTAAAAGAAATAAAAAAATTAATAAATGAAAGATATCCGTGATCATGGGTTATTAGACAATATTTTTAAGATGGAAATATTGCTGAAACAATATATAGATTCAATAAAATCTTTACCAAATTCGAACAGCCTTTTTTTTTTTTTTTTTTTTTTTTTCAGAAACAGACAAGTTGATCCTAAAATTCATATTGGATTTCATGGAACCCCATATAGCTAAAACAATCTTGAAAGAAAAGAACAAAGTGAAAGTATTAATATACTTTCTGATTTCAGCACTTACTACACATCTCTGAATAATTAAAGCTGTGTGGTACTGGAATAACAATATAGACATACGGATTATTGGAATAAGACAAAAAGTCCAGAAATAACCCATACAGCTGGACCCCTACTTCAGACCATTAAAAAAAATTAACTCAAAATGGATCGAGGACCTAAATAAAAGAGCTAAATATCTAAAACTCTTGAAAGGAAGCATAGGTTTAAATCTGTGGTCTTGGATCAGGTAACAGTTTTTTAATTATGACACCAAAACACAAGCAAAACAAGAAAAAATAAGTCGAATTTCATCAAAGTTAAAAATTTTGTGCATAAAAGTACAACATAAAGTGTTTCATTGAATAACAACAACAACCAAAAAACAACCAACAGAAGGGGAGAAAATATTTGCAAATCATGTTTCTGATGAGGGTCTGGTATCCATAATATATAAAGAACTGTTACAACTTAACAAAAAGAAAGCAACCCAACTAAAAAATGAACAAAGAAGTTGAATAGATATTTCTCTAGAGAAAATACACAAATGTCTGATAAGCATAGAAAAGCTACACAGCATCATTAGTTATTATAAAAATGCAAATCAAAATCACAATGAAATACCCCTTCACATTTAGTTGATGGCTATAATTTAAAAAAAAATGAAAAATAACGTGTCAGTGTGTATGTGGAGAAATTTTAGTCCCCACATTTTGCTGGTTGGAATGTAAAATGGTGCAGCAGCTGTGAAAAACAGTTTGGCAGTTTCTCAAAAAGTTAAACATAGAAGTATCATATGAACCAGCAATTTCATACCTAGGTATATGTCCAAGATAAATGAAAATATATATTCACACCAAAATTTGGATATGAAAATTCATAGCACATTATTCTTAACAGCTGGAAGGGAGAAACAGCCCAACTATACATCAACTGATGGATAAACAAAATGTGGTATATTCATAAAGTGGAATATTATTCAGCCCTAAAAAGGAATGAAGTACTGATGCATGCTCCAAAGTGAAAAACGATGTGTGTTTTAAAGTAGATACAGAGACCTGAGGCTCACAATAAGTATATCATAGTTATTCATAATCTCTCTCATTCAGCAAACATTAGTTAGGCACCTGCTGTGGTAATAATAATAAATTATTTATTGTCTCTACTATGCTACAGACACTTTGCATTTGCTACTTCTAATCCTCAGAACAACTCTATAAAGCATATATTATTTCTATTTTATAGATTAAGAAACTGAGGCTCAAATAATTTAATGTATTTTATATAGCACAATTAACAAGAAGCCGAGGCCAGATTTGAACTGCAATCTGAATGACTCCAGATATAACATTCTTTCTACCCTACCTAGCAGCCTTTCTTTGTAGCAAGCATTATGTGAGATAAGTCACAAAGATGAACACTCCCTTGAAGCACATATTAGCTGATGGGTAAGGTAGACCATGGAAACCTCTGTTAGGTTGAATGGTGTAAGTGCTGTGGAGAAAAGCCCAAAAAAGAGCATATACGAGAATCTGAGGTTGGGGGCAGAGCTGGTGGAGATTAGTTAACAAAAAAAAATCTTAGGCAAGACCAGGACAGGATGCTTTTGGCAGAAAGGGAAACAGAATTTGCTCAGTTTTCTTCCTTGTTAATTTAGTTTCTTTCTTCATAGCATGTCAGAAGGTCAGCTGAAAACGTACAGCTTGTGCCTTTACTCCTTTCCCTCTCTGGAGGGATGACCCAAAGAAACTAGTGGAAGTGTTAGTTGGAAATATTATACAAGATAAATTTCTTTTCTACTCTTAACCCTTAACTTTTTCTTTTTAATTGTAATCCTGCCCTTCGGAATCTGCCAAATGCAATCCGCAGCACAGGGAATGAACTAGTAAGGGTCTCAAAGATATACACAGACATACTCAGGAGGGCATTTTCAAGCAAGGGCTATTTCCCTTTGGCCAGTCTCAGAGGTGAAGAATGTTTGAGAGTGGCAGCCTGATCAGAGCTAAGGCAGGAGGTGGTAAAACACAAGCAAATCCTTCTGTGATCACATCCTTCAGTGTTTGATTCTAATGTGTAGTCAGAACTTCACAAACTAGATGCCGTCCTTTGGTGGGCTGGAAGCAAGCACGTGGATTAAAACTATAAAATGTCCTTTGCTCCACCAGAGTGGCTGTGAGTCATCCCTACCTTGAGGATTTCACCTGAGAGTCTTTCTTATGAGTTAAGGAAAAATTCAGGATGATTGAAGCTGGCTATCTTTGGACATGGTTTCTCTTGAGAGTACTTCTGATATTGACTTGTCAATGACTTGCTATGTAACCCTGGATAAGTCAATTACTTTCTCCATACCTCTCCATATAATAGGAAATAATCATTTTTCTCCTAATAAATAATAATACAAATAGTTTATATTACATATTTTCAATGTAATTTTTTTAGTTTTAAACATAAATTTTGTTAATTGAATAGGCATTTACAGTATGCTGGGCACTGTACTGAACATATTGCTCACATAATTATTCGACAAATCTTCATAAGTTCTCTATGAGGGCATTATTATTACTGTATCTGTTTTGCAGATGAGAAATTTGAAGCTTAGACTATTTAGGTAACTTGCCACAAATTGCCCTGGTTGTAAGTGGTTGAGTTAGGGTCACTTTATCTACATTTATAGCTCCTGTTCACATTATAAATTATTGCGATCCTGTGAATAACAATATAAGCCTCTCACTAGATTGCAAACTAGTCATCTTTGTATCTCCTGAAGTATCTTGAAAAATATTGGCACTTAGTAGGAACTCAGTAAGTTTTATTTTATAATTCATAAACATGAATGGAAGAATAGATAAAAAAGTTATTGCCATCATTATCATTATCTGGTTGCTAACAATAGGAGAAGCCAGATTTCCTAGCAACTGTGATGAATTATATATTGTGATATATAGACCTAGAGAATGTTGATTAATTATGTCACATTATTTCCCCCAAAACAAAGACAAAAAGCTTAGTGAAAGTCTACGGGGAAAGATAATAGCAGCATCACACTCCAAAAAGATGTTACTGAATTTGCAACAGAGCAGTTCCAACATATCTTAATATTTTAAAACTTGGTCAAATTAATTAAAACAATGAACCCTGTACCCAAATAGCATACATGATAATTTCACAATATAACATCTTTCTACATTTTATAGGTGACAATAGGAATTAGTGATATGAAAGGCATACATATTTGTTTTTATGCCTATTGTTAGTTCTGAAATTTATGCCATGACATTAAATTCTGGATATTACTTATAAACCAAACTTCAAGTGTATTTTAAGGAAAAGAATTATCCAAAGCTTAGGGAAATTAGAAGAAGTACACACATACACAAACACATGTGAAAGTTAGTGGCTTGTATGTGTGTGCAAATGTATGTGTGTGTGTGCAAGAGTGTGTGTGTAATATATATATTTCATATATATGAAATAAATCATATTGAATATTTTTAAAAATCATAAAGCTCTTGCCTGGATCCAATCTAGGGAGTTCAATGGGAGGTAAAGAGGCAGAACAGCATAACTTTCATATTTAAAGTATTACAAAAATGTGCTTTGAATGAGTAAGTAAACCATCTGCACACCTGAGGATTTCTCTGAGTCCACATGTTCACTATACATGTATATATCTGTCTGTTCATTAAAGTGTCACGAGAAAAATGAGTAGTCAGGGTTTGTCAAAATTTAGAGGGGTATTTGGGGTGATAAAAGTTAAAATGAAGACTATGTGGCCTATGAAAAAAAATTTTGAAAATTATGGGGGTCACCTCTAAACAGACAGTCATCATCTTCTATAGGTGGCTGACACTGAGATTGGCCCAAAAGTAGTAAGACATCATGCAAAATCACAAGAGTAAACATTTTAGTGGAAGCTGATTCTCACATGGGCAGCTCTGTATGGTGAGTTCCAAGTAGTAGAGCAAGTGGCAGAAGAGATTTATTTATTTATTTATTGAGAGCTATGTGTTCTCCTAAGCTTTGATTAGTAGTCCAAGCAGTTTTGAATAAATTATTACTGCTGCTCTAACAGGCTTTACTTTAAAAAAAAGATTAAAAAGAATTATTCAATAGGCACAATTTAGAATCCGGAGGTTAAATCAACTCGTCATCCACTTTGGAATCATTTTACTACTTATTTTATCTCTTCTTTTTGGTTGTGTGAATAAAACTTGCCTATCAACCCAGGAAAGTAGTGACTGCTTTTCACTCTGTCAGCACTGGTGTTAGACCTCTTCCAAAATGGCAAATTACTCTTATGCACCATAACCCAGCTTCTTGGAGTCCGCCAATGACTCAGATAAGCCCTAGCTTCTGAGTCAGCCAATCAGCAACAGCTGCACTCCAGAGCCCAGGCTTCCAGGCTAAAGGCCAACAGATGAGTGTCTATGGAGACTCTTCTGAAAGCCCACCAGTCTTGAATTCCATGCTTCTCATTACCCTATATTTGATCAGAAGTTTGCTTTGAAAAACTGTGTCCTACAAACAGGGTCCTGCTATTCTTAGCAAGCAACAAGTTCAGCTTCTGGTTTCAGATATTGTAGTGTGGGCCTCTTCCTTCATTCATGGAGAGCAAATGATATTTCTAATAAGGAGATTTAAGAAATGGCGCGATCTTCTCCTCGTATCCACAAAAATCTGGTTCTGGCAGGAGACCTGCCTTAACATTAAACTAATCCTAGACCATAGGAGGTGCATCTTAATTTACTATCTACTAGTTTATATTCCTCATCTGTTTCCCAAAACAAGATGCATGTACTACTTGTGGTTTGGGAGATTGTTTTGCTGGTACATAGATGGACTTAAAAATGTGTGTGTGTGTGTATTCTTTAACATGGTATTTGAAAAATGTAAAACTAGCATATCAAATCAGTGATTTCAGGAACATTATTGCTTAAACCAAAGCTAACATAGGATGTTGCTATGGTTTGAATGCTTTTGTCTCTCCAAAATTTACACATTGAATTCTAATCACTAAGGTAATGATATTAAAGATAGGGCCTTTGGAAAGTGATTAGGTCATGAGGGCTCATCCTCAGGAATGGGGTCATAAAAGAGACCCCAGAGAGATAGCTAGCCCCTTCCACCTTGTGAAGATGTAGCCAGGAGTCACCATCTATGAACTAAAAAGAAGGAGCTCTCATCAGACACTGAATCTGTTGGTGATCTTGGACTTTGTAGAGTCTAGAACCATAATCAATAAATTTCTGTTGTTTATAAGCCGCTCAGTTTATGGTATTTTGTTACAGCAGCCTAGCACATAGAAAATGCTCAGGAAATATTTGTCAACTGAATGGGTAAATTTCCAGATAAGCCTTAGAATAATCAAGGGCAATCATACCATAAATGACTGTCATATGAGATAGATAGCGATGGCTGCAAGAAGCGAAGATAAATATCCTGCACAGTATAATGTCTTTCCAGAAGTCTTTCTTGAGAATCCATGTCTAGAATGCATTCATTCGGAGATCTCTTTGAAAATGCTTAGCATTTCTCTTCCTTATTCATTTGAAATTTAAGCATATTCTCTTTTAAATTAGCAGAAGAAACTCACAATTTTTTGGATTTCAGTTCACAAAACAACTTTACATATATCAATGATTAGATTGTTTAAGCAACTTGATGAGATAGGCAAAACATGCCTTCCTGTTCTGCTATGAAAAAACTAGGTCTCATGGAGTTTAAATAACTTGCTCACTTTGAAAAAAAAATTGTTAATCCCTTTCCCTGTGCAAGGCTCAAGAGGCTGAAGGGTAGAAATTCTGCAGAAAGCTCATTAGGCTTAAGGTCTTTCATTTTGCAGAGTGGTTAGGTGTTGACTATCTCTAAGTCCTTGAATTACTTTGTGACTGGTATGGCCATAGTTATTCTGATAATATGTAAAAACTAAGATCAAAATTTTTAATTCTATAGAGCTGCTACAAATGAAGAGAAAAGGCTCTGTGTTTTGGGAAAGCAGCTTAAATAGTTATGAAACCAATATATTAATACTTTATGTAGATAATACTTTTCCATCTATTCATATTTTGTTTGAGTTTTGTCTTAGGAATTGTTTAATTTTAACAGATACTTTCTCAGATACCATTCATATGTTTATACTGTTTCTTTCTTTAATTTGTCAATACAGTGAATTATATTGATAGATTTCTTGATTTGGGACCATGATTACAATCCTGAAACAAATATTTTAGTCAGTGTATCTTTTGACACTATCTACATTCCATTTGATTATATCATATCTGTATTTGTTAGTGAGTTTGGTCTGTGGATCTCTTGTATCATAGTATTTTGAACAGGTTTTGGTCTTACAATGATTACATTATAAAATGAATTAAGCAACCTATCATCTTTTTTAAGAGCTGTAAAATAGAAGGTAAGCGCTTTAAGGACAAGGGTTTATTTTATTTAATGTTGCACCATAGAGCCTAAAACACTGACTTACATTTTTGATACATTTTTGTCCAAGGTAGAAAAGGAGGAAGCAAGGAATGAAGGAACAAAGAACAGGAGGGTCTGTTTCTTTAAAGTGTGGTGAAAATCAGCCATAATGTTATTCAGTTGCTATTGTTGATAGTTAATATTTAACTTCTGTATTACCTGGTCTGTTCCAGTTTTCCAGTATTTTATTTAACTTTAGTTACTTTTATTATCCAGTTCCTTTAGAATTTTAAATTTGTTGCCATGGAGTTACATATAATCTCTTGTATTCCTTGAATTTTTTCTGATTCTAAATGTGGTTATGTCTCCTTTCTCATCCATAACCTTGTGGGTTTTTGTGCTCTCCTTTTTTCCCCCTTTAATTTGGATTATAAGATGTTTATCTCTTCTTGTGGGCTAGTCAAAGACCGGGCTTTTGAATTTATCTTCTCTACTGTTTGCATTTTGCTTTGTTTTCTAATTCATCACTTTAAGATTGAATTAAATTAATTCTCTTTTCCTACTTTGCTTTGGTAGATTCTGGTTTTTTTTTTTTTTTGCATTTTTTAAGATGAATGTAAAACTTTCCTTAGTTTTATTCTTCTTTTTTAAATGTAAAGGCAATTATGTTTATAGCTTTTGCCATGAATGTTGCTTTTGCTATTTTTTATAAGTGTTAGTATAAAGTGCTTTTTATTTTTATTGTTTCCAGAGAGAATGTAATTTTAGTTTTACTTCCCCTTTAGGCTAAAAATTATATAGAAAAGTGGTTCATAATTTCAAAGAGGATAAGATTTTACCATTTAAGATTTTTTCTTGTTTTATTATAATATTTTCAGTGTGGCCTTCATGACAGAAAGTCATTATTAAAGTATTATTTGTATCCAACCAAGTATGTGATTGATTTTTATGAATTCTCATTTCATATAACAAAAATATTCTCTATTTCCCAATTTTAAGATTCAACACACCTATTCAATTGATTGACTATATTATTAAACTTTTCTGTCTTTATTAATATTTTGTCTACTAGATCTTCCTGCTTCTGAAAAATACAAATTGAAATATGCCACCATCATTTATTTTTTACTTAGTTATCTTTAAGTTACTAGTAGTTTTTGCTTTATTTACTTAACTTTTGTGTTGTTTGGTATCTACAGGGTTACGAGGGTATTTCTTGCTTCAAAAATTATATTTAATATTATGTAATTTCTTTTTTTAATTAAAAATTTTAACTTTAAATTCAACTTAGTCTGATAGTAATGTTGCCCCTCCTGATGTTTTTTTCTTTCTGCACTAGTCTTTATTATGACAAGTTTACATAAACAGGTTTAAAAGGTAAACCTAAGCCTGCTCTTTAAAGATGTAATATGTGCTGTTTTCTTTCCATGAATGGAAACATTTCACAAAGAAAGAACTTTGGAAACAAGAATTGAGAACATGTTATTACAATATGTTTCTTTCTGCATTGATTTTAAGCCCGGTAGTGGAGCATACCCGTAGTCCCAGGTGTGCTAGAGGGGAGGTTGAGGCAGGAAGATTCCTTGGGCTGAGAAGTTCGGGGCCAGCCTGGGTAACCTAGTAAGACTGTCTCTTAAAAAAATAAAAATAAAAATTAAACATTTCAAGTCCTCTTGATTTTTAAAATTATATTTGCCTCGTCTTTGTCCCTTCTTTTCCAAACTTTATTATTTCATCTTAAACTGTATTTCTAGTAAATGGTATATAGCCCAACTTTGATTTTTGCTTCAGTCTAACATTCTCTCTCTTAGCCGGGAGAATTCAGTATTTTATGTTTTGTATCATGGTATGCTTGTCTTTATACCTTACTCCTTACTTTGTTTTATTTCTTTTTCTTTTTTCTTAATTTATTTGTATGATTCAGTTATTAGTTTATTAATTTTCTTTTTCCTTTTTGTTAACTTGGAAGTCCTACTATTATTTCATCTTTCATTAATGGTTATCTTGCTTTTCTTCGTGTTCATAATTGTAAACATACTTATTTAATATTATATGAAAACGAGAGCATAACTCTTTTTCTACTAAGGTTCTTTATTAGTTTTACTGCTTATCTGCCTTCTCTCAATAAGGCCAGACTGTTAGCACATTTTCACTTGTTCCACTAGCTTCCCCTCAACCCCATCTGCCCTCCATAGGAGACCTCTGGGATACTTTTATTGTGTTCTTCTTTCTCCCATCCAAATGCCATCTTCAATAATTTAGTACTTTTAGTTTCTGGCAATTATTAGAATTTTCCTTGCAGTAGGCCTCTTCTATTTAAAAAATTCTTGTTTATAACCTAGTTTACAAATTCCCAGATTGTATTCAATTGTATTTCCTTTTAAACCTATTACCAAGTTCTTTGTTCACCAGTTTTACCTATTCATCTGTTTCTCTATCATGAGATTTAGATGTTTTTAATTCTATGGTTTGAGTTCTTTCTTAAGCATTTCCTAAGAGGGGATATGTAAGTGAAGTAATCTCTGCAAATAGCATTCTTTTAAGCTATTAGTGAATAATATCTTATCACAGATTCAGTCTCTTATTCTAAAGCATCTGTAGATATTGTTCTACCATCTCATAGTTTTGAGATTGCAAAACTTAATTACCAATCTCAAACTTTTTTGTTTTGTTTTAGAAACAGGGTCTTGTTCTGTCACCCAGGCTGGAGTGCAGTGATGCTATCATAGCTTACTGCAACCTCGAACCCCTGGGCTCAAACTATCCTCCAGCATTGGCCTCCTGATTAGATAGGACCACAGGTACATGCCACCATGCCCAGCTAA
The DNA here is from genome assembly GCF_000001405.40 of Homo sapiens. NCBI lineage: Eukaryota > Metazoa > Chordata > Mammalia > Primates > Hominidae > Homo > Homo sapiens. Next base: position 7,957,773 of record NC_000009.12, read on the forward strand.
TTTGTAAACTTTTTATTTTTTTTTTTGTTGTTGGAGCAGGTGTCTTGCTATGTTGCCCAAGCTGGTCTTGAACTTCTGACCTCAAGCGATCCTCTCAAAGTCCTGGGAGTACAGGTATAAGCCACCATGCCAAGTCTCCAATCTAACTCTTTTTTCTCTTTTCTTTTACCAAGATGTATTTATTATCTTAGCATCTTATCTGGAACTTGATGAGCTACTTAAATCTGCTGACCCAGGTATTCTTCAGGAAAATTGCCTTCAGTTATTTGCTTGATGATTGTCTCTCCTTCATCTGTCTGTTTTTCTCATTCTAGAACTTCTATTTTTTCTCCTGAATCTATCTTTCAAAATGTACGTTTTCCCCTCATATTTTCATATAGTTTTTCTTTGTATTCCTCTATGATTTAACATATACTTCCACCTGATCTTCCAAGCCACCAATTGGAGCATCTATAATGCAGCCCTCTCTTTTATTTTATCTATTAAATCTTTAAATTTAAAAAATCTTGTGAGTTTAGCTCCAGGAACTGTGCCAACTGCTATATATTGGACTTCTTTACATATTCTCCTGCTTCTTTCAAATCTAGCTTTAAAGGAAGCAGCTCTATTTCTTTAGTGGTCTCTTCAGATTTTTCTGTTCTGTCTACTCCCTGGCAGATGGGCCCTGTTAATAGGATGTCATTTCTCTGCGTCTACTCATTCTGGTACCTTACATGGGAGCCGTCCTGAGCATGGTGGAAGGAGCAACCCTGTCTGTCCTGTGGCTCATTGTATTAATACCTTCAGCTGGCTGTCCATCTCTCTTCTTTCAGTGGACAAAAGCAGAGCTTCTTTGTTCTGTGATCTCTTGTGTTCTCTAAATCTCAGAGATAGAGACGAATAAACTCAACTGTTTAATATCTCTTTAATTCCTTAAAGCCAGGGAGACCCTGAAGTTCAGTTCGGAAGAACTGAAGTTCAAGAGAGCGTAAGTTGACTTTCTCCCCAGGAAGCGCAGTTTTCAGATATTGGCCTTAAGCTTTTGTACTGAGCCCTAAAGTTCTGACCCAAAGAGGAAAAAGTATGACAACTGGTGTCGGCCCACCCCTGCTGATTGGCCCCACAAGAAGGGGGTGAGTTGGGGTCATCACCCCATGTGGAAGAATGTGGGACACCTCAAGCCATCATCCTGCCAAAGTTTCTTCCCTCTGTGTTCATTTAGGGCAATATTTTTGAAAGCTTATTAACTTAAACTTAGTAGTAGTTCTGCCCTATCCACTAATTAGCAGCACGAGTTTGAACTAATCACCTACTTCTTTGGGCTTCAGAGTCCTTATCACTGAAATAATTAGGCCCCTTCCACTAGTCTAAGATGTCTGTGTCTGATCTTCCAGCATGCAAGTTGACTCAGCCATGTAACTGCCATACATTCAAGTGAGAATTGCCGCTCCCTGTATCAACTCTGAGTAAGAAAATTATTTTGGAGTAAAACTTGGGCAAAACAAGGTCTTTAGTTGCCAAAAATTATTCTGCAAGAGTTCAAAACACTAACTTTTAGTATTTACCTCAGTCAAGCCAATTTTCCTTCGGGGAACACTATTGTTCGAGTTGAAAAAAAATGAAACCTAAATTGTGGTTATGTATCTGGCATTTATAATGTAAGTATGAAAGCAATAGATTTGCCTGTGTTTTTCTAAATCACATAACTTGCAAAAAGCATGTTCACATATGCAATTTATTTTCACATTCAAAAAATTAAACTCGAATTCTAACTGCGAAGACTTGTCCCTTAGAATTATGAGGGGAAAGAAATACCTAACACTTTTTACAGTGCATTATTCTTTGTGGAGATGGTGTTTCCCTTTTTTTCATTGTTCCTTTAAGGTCGTATTTAACCACAGACAGTTGTCGAAGAAGCTGCAAACCTGAGAACCAGGTGCACCCTCTTAATGCCTCCTATGGAACATTTTATTAATCTCTTTGACTCCACTCTATTATCTCTGCCTGGAGTGTCCTTCCTGTCTCCTTCCTCTTCCTACAATTCCAAGCTTTAATGGTCTTTCCATTTTTAGCGTGGACTCTTTTGATGCTTGCAGCCATGGGTGTGGGGCTAGGTGGCTGGAAAATTTAAGGTTAGATTCCATGGCCTTAAATACAGTATCATAGAAGAGTCAGTAAATACTGGAAACCATTTTAGAGTCCTATGTATTTATTATCAGTGTATGTGTATGCTTCCCCCCACCTCCCAGATAATATGCAGCTTGTAGGTGGTGTCTGTGTCTCTGATCCCCTTAAGGAACAGGACTAGTCTTTTAGATAATAGGTGTTAATTATTTTGCATTAAAATTATTTAAGTTACTAAGTATCTTTCCCACTTAAAATTTCATAATGCCCCAGTAAGAAATATTAACGCTAGAATCCAAAGATCGTGGTAGGTAGAAGCTGCTCTTCCACAAATGCAGTTTAAAAATGCTTATTACTGCAACTGTTACCTCATTACTGCATGTTTGCAAACATTAAACTTTCTCTACTGAGAAGTGAGAAACTTTTCTAAAGTCAAAGTATCCAACCAAATTGCATCATGATTTTCCTTGACCTGGAATGGACAAAGCATTTCTTGATTCAAAAGTTTTTCTTTTTTTCTTTCTTTTTTTTTTTTTTTGTGGCCTCCTGATGTCCTAGACAGTAGTTTAAGTGATGGATGGATTGGAATCAATTGTATGCACTCTAACTATCCCTGCTATTGCTTCCGTGCAATTGTGCTGGAGCAGCAAATGAAGGATTAGAGGGTAACTCTCTGGGGGCAGTGAAAATACCCATCAATCTGTTCCTGCTGCAGGGTAATATGGATGATGTAAAGCTTGAGTAGCCAAAGATCACAGCGCATTGTTCTTCTGGAAGGAAGGGTCATCTTGAGAAAAAATAACAATAACAACAACTATTTAGTTCTCATCTCCAGCTGACCAACAGCCTCTCACTCCTTACACACACACACACACACACACAGAGCAAAATATGGGATCATAAAAATTATAATATGCTGTTTGATTATAACATTGCTATAGGATGGCAACTTACAGTATTTTATGATGACTGGCACAGAATGGGCTTGGCAGGAAAGGCTCTCATTCTTAGTTCTCAGGAGTTGATATTTTGCAAAATCCCCTGGCTCTTTCATTTCTGTTGGTTGCTGTTGCAGAAGAAAAGTGAAGATTTCCTCCCAGTCTTTTTCCTCTGCAACTCACAGCAATTGTGGCGGATACGTGGGGTCTGTTACCATTGGTAATGTTAGCCAAATTAGTAAGTGAGAACTCTGGAAAAGGAATTTCCTGGGGATTTTCATAAGTGGTAGCTAATTTGTTTATTTTGCTTTTATCATTTTTCCTCATGAGAAAAGAAAGAAAACAGTAGCCTATGGAAAAGATTAGGAGACAGAGGCCTCTGTCTCATTTCTACTTCCTCCTGCTGACTTTGGAGTGTTTGGGAGGTCAGAGTGGAGATTGTGAAGTAGGCGGGAGAACATTCTTGTATCTCAGGTATCCTGGAAACAAAACACACATCTGGGTCTTCAAGAAAAGCCTGGATACCTGGAGTGTGGGTCCCATTGAGCTAACGCAGGGAAAAGGAGAGAAATCCTTTGGGAAAAGTCATTTCTTTCCCTTTTGAGCAACCAAAAATTAGGCAGATGTTTTAATTAACTGCTTTTTTATTTTGTTTCACGATGTGGGTATATGTGTGTATTTGGTCCCGGGTTCAGCTTCTGATAGATATATCATCTACATAATAGGTTGTTTTCTAAAGAGCAAGGCTGTTAAGCTGGTTAAAAGCCTGAGCCTTGGAGTCAAAAGACTTGGGTTCACATTTCAACTCTGCCATTTATTAGCTAGATGACGATCAATTCTGGAACCACAAATGGCTGATTTCAGTGACAGACCCTAGACAAATTGCTTAAATTTCTGAAGTATCAATTTCTTTCTTCATCTGTAAAATAGAGATAACAATGGTAGCTAATCATAGTTGCAGTAAGAACTTAATTAAATAATGAATGTGTGTTTATAGCACTTTCAAGGCTAAGGCTGTTATACAGTAAATGATCAGTAAACATGGACATTTAAAAGCTCATTCTCTGCTCAGCTATGAACTGTTTTAAAGCTCAAATGTGATTGCAAGCCTGGGGAGAAAAATTTGCCATCTAGTATAGTATTCTGAGTGACACTTAGTGGTTGCTATGCCTTAATATCGCAAAGCACACACACACAGGCACACACACACATGCATGCACACGTACACACTCCAGAAATTACCCCTTTATAACAGAGATGCAGACTCAGATACATGGATTATGTCTGTAAGTAATACGATGTGGTAGTGATTCCAGTTATCAAACCTAGGTTAAATCAAAACCGTCCCATAATTCTAACCCAGAGTACGAGATAGTGTCTTAAATGACCTCCGCCATCCAGTTTTTGTACTTGAAGAAGTCAAATAGTTCTCCTCTCAACTTCTGTCTATTTTATACGTTGCTGTTGAACTGCCTCATTGTGATTCTTGAAGGTGCAACTGTATAGTAATTATCCACATCTGAAAAAGGAAGAAAAAAAATCTTACACTCTTGATGACTTATTTTTGCTTGGTGCTTGGCAAGCCATTTAAGTTAGGTTTTAATCAGTGTTGGCATCACTTCTGCTCATGCTATAAAGAATTATGTTCCTACATATGTGAAGCCCCAGGAGGAAAGAACCTTCAGACAACACTAAAGCTTTGGTCGGGCCTTCCCAGGAAACCATGCAGTCTTTATGGACCACTGGGAATAGCCTCAGATTTTCACAGATGTGATCGCTTCAAAAGGGTGACCTTCTGTGTAGTTCACATAATCAATTCCAGTCAATTCTCACTGCCCTCGTTTATCCCCCAAGGGGGAATAAGCTTGTAAGAATCAGAAGCATCTAAACAAGCAAAGGAAGACACCATAGAATGAAGAGGTGACAGACAATCAGGGGAGAGAGAGAAGAGGAAACCATTTGCAATGGTTTATAACTGCTTTCTCATAAATGTTTCAGTAATTGCAAAGTCTCTCTGATTAATGTTTATAGTTCCCACTCATTTCAGGCTGGCATATGACCCCTGATCCTTTGTTAGTATTTTGTATATGAGGACAGTGACACTGGGCATAGGCATTTCTAGTAATTTTGCCACCCAAAAATAATGTCAACCTTTTCTGTAACTGCAGTTGCAACAGATCAACCAGTTGCTGTGCACAATTGGCAAAAGCATGGGGTTTGAATTTTAGGACTCGTTTACAACCTGCATCAAGGAAGGGATAGCTGAGCTATAAACAAAGAAGGAAATGTGAGTTATAAAAGACGTAACCACAGAGATGTTTCATAGGTCACTTTCACAGTTGACTCAATATTGCTCAGTGTGGAATTAAACTCCTCAATGCCAACTTGGCAGCAAGTGCACTTTTTAATCTCTATATACAATTATAGTGTTGACAAGTCAAGGGGTCGAGGGGGAGACATGCCACACAGATTTGTCTTCAAGAAGAGACTTGTTGCCCAGCTGTGGAGAGCATAGTCAGCTGACAGCTGGAAACGGTCACCTCCCTCAGGGTAGACCGCAGCTGCAAAAAGCCTGCTAGTCCAAAACTTGGGACATCTCTAACAAGGAATATTTGCTTCAGATGTCCTCCACCTCCACTCTGGCATAGGGTGGCTGAGGCTATTTGGACCTATAGCAAACTTTGGCCTCTCTCACTCTGCCCAAGTGTGCTTCCTTCTAACCTTCATGAGTGTCGATACCTAACAAACATCTTGCTCCCCAAATTTAGTCTCACCATCTACTTCTGGAGATCTTGATGTGTAACATAATTTCTCACTAGCATACTGCTTTTAAATTTTTCCCCCAGAATTCAAGGAGCCCCCAAGGCTCCAAGGCTTGAAATCATTACACTGATGTTTGGAAGTAGAAGTTGCATAGATTCCTCCACTGTTTTGCTATTTGCTATTTGATATCCAGTGTTACTTTTGTGAGAACAGAATGAGTCTATACAGAATTAAATGAAGGCTGAGAAATTCATTTGTCAACTTATCGGGACTTGCATTAGGATATGAAGCTGGAAATAGAAGTACTGTAAGAACGATATAACCCCTGACTTCAAGAGGATCACAGTCTAAGAGAGAGTAAGAGACTAAACGAACCAAATATTATAGCCAAAAAAAAGTTTAAAAGGTAAAAAGAGTAAAGGATTGGAGGGGATAAGGTAGACAGAATAAAGACAGGGAGACACAGTGGAGAATAAATGGCAGAGGAGAAAGAGGAATCAACATCAGCTTACCATCATCCAAGGACATCAGATAATTCATCAGAGAAGAAATTTTTTTCTCTTGACTCAATCTTCATATTAGTTTTTGAGACTAAGTTATATTTCTAACAAAAGTCATTAAACAATTGCCTATAAAAATGGGTAAAATAGGGAAAAATGAGAAAAATGGGGGAAACAGAACTCTTCAGTCTCCTCAAAGAGTTCTGGTTGACTTTCCAACTAGCTCAGAACAGCATCATTTTCTTGTGTCACCTCAGTTGTGCTTCTTTTTTCGGCTCCCCACATTTTTTCGTAATCTTACTCAGCATGGATTCCATACTTCCACCCAAGTGCATATGTATTCCTTCTGTTCAAGAGACCCAGGCACTTGCATTTCATCTCGTTGGTCCAGGCAGATGGGAGCAGTGTGGCCAAACAAGTACAGTCAGAGACTTGGATTAAATCTAGTTGACTGCTGTGTTCCTTGTACTATATCAAAGTGAATGTCCGCCAATGTCACATAAGAATGTATACAAATTAACTGCAGACAAGAGGACATATGAGAAAAAGAATCAACAAAACTATAGTATTAAGGAATGTTTAAGTAAGTGAGTTGAATCAAAATAATTTAACTTAAAAATAAGTTAGTTGTGAAACGTAACAGCTTAAGTAGTAAATACAGATAAAGAAGACAGGAGGTTAAGGAAATTTAGGAAGTTAAACTTGGGAATAAGCAGACTGGAAAAATCTTAAGATTTATTCATGAATAAAAAATTGGAAAAATAAGACAGAATAATACCAAATCCTTTTATTGCTAAAGACTAATTTTAATGCACTTTGACGTACTGTCTCATTTTTTTTGAACACCCTATGAAAACTATAGAAACAGCAACTCTTGTCTTCCTTTTTAAAGTGAGGATACTGAGGTTTGAAGAGGATAAAAAGTTCACTTTTATAAACTGCTTCACTAGTTAGTGAAAAATCTGGAATCTATGCCCTGCTCTCTTGATTCTGAGTCTAAGACCTCTTCTCATTAGACCTTGATGAATGTCTTCTACGATTGAGGAGGATGAACACCGAGCTGCCAGAACCCCCATTCTTTATACAACCCAAGGAATACTTGAAAGAAAATAAAGAACTTTGTCCTTAGAAACAAGCCATCTGTTACAGAGAGGAGCAAAACAGCCAGGCATTCATGAGCCGCACATCAGTTCTGCCAGGATCTGGCTGGGCAGCCTCTGTTGCAAGGTGTTTAATCTCTGATTCCTGTAAATCAGGAACAATATCAACTGGTTGATGGAGAGTTTGGAGAAGTCCAGGGCAAAGTGAATGCAACAACAAACACCAACTTAACTTCAGCCAAGACCAGCTCTGCAAATTCTTTCTAGGGCAGGTCAGATTGATTAGGTTTACCTCTAGCCTAATGCCTATATTACCAATAGGAGCATCCGTGCCATTCAACCTATAATGCTTAGACATTGTGAAGAAAAATTGACAAGGATGACAATTTTTATCTGAAAAGAAACATACATTAAAATCTGGGCTTGTTTTTGTTTTCACTTGCTTAACATTTTTGTTCATCGTTTATAGCACATCGTCAGCAATGAGGAATGATGGTAATGAATCTCTTTTTTTCCTTGCTCTTGCTTTTTAACCCTTTTTAGTCTCATCTATCTATTTCTGTTTTTAATTGTGGAAGGGAAAGTTACAAAAATGCTGCTTTAAAATTATTAGAAAGGAGACATGACAGATCATTTTTTAATGTTTTGCATTTTCTCAAAGTATTAGCAGAACTCAAAAATGGTTGTTTTGTGATAAATAGCCATCATCTACTTTGGTAAAGTGGCATGCAAAATTGCTCCTGTGAATGCCAGACATAGTCCTGACTCAGGGACTTTGCAATTGCTATTCCTTCTGCCTGAGCACCTTTCCCATAGATATTTATCTTTCTGGCTTTCTCACCTCCTTCAAGTCTTTACTCAAATGACATATCTTAGTCAAGTCTTCCCTAATTACCCCGTTTTACATTGCAATCTGCCCTAGCATGCCCTACTCTCTTTTTCGACTTTATTTTTCCCATAAAATCATTGAATTTTAAGATCCTGTATAATTTACTTATAAGCTGGAGGCGGGAGACCTGAGTGATTGAAAGGTGGACTCTAGAGCCAACCTGCTTGGGATCAAGTTCTAGTTCTGCCTCTTATTACTTCTCAAATCTTGGGCAAATTACAAAATATTGTCTATAAAATCGGAATGATAGTAGTAACTATGTCATCAGGTGATTATGGGGATTAAATCAATGCCTGGCACATAAAAAAAGAAGTACTATATGTGTTAGTAATTATACAATTATTTCTGGCCATTGGAACATATATTCTGTGCAGGTGGTAGATTTTGTCTTTTTTGTTCACTAGTATATACACAGCGACTTAATCAGTTCCTGGCACACATCAAGTGCTCTAAAAATATTTATTGAACAAGTGAATAAAGGAAGGACAAATATGTGAAAAAGCAGGCAGTCCTTTTTGTGTGCAGGAACCAGTGTCTGTAGTTAAACCATGTTTGGCGGCACACAAAGACATTAAGCTTGGTTAGTTTTAGTTTCTCACCTACCTGCAAATTTTTACTTTAGAAGCCCCTCAGTGTGCACAAGGTAGCGAATTAACATATTAAACTTTCCCTCTTCACCTAGATGTTCTGATATCCAGGTTTGTAAGAAAAAGAGAGAGTGAAAAAAAGTTGTATGGGTGAACATTTCAAAATCTGTAGGGTGAAAACTCCTGTTTTATGTTTGGGTATCTGGGATAATTCTTCAGTAGTGGGAGCACAGTTCTACTGGAGAAGGGGAGAATATAAAGATTGCATGAGGAGGACAAGAAAGTCCAGGAGAAGGGCCAGGATTCTAGCAAAGCATTCACGGCAGAAGTTAATCAAGAGAAATAAGACCGGTAGCCAGTGGGTGTACCTGGTGTGGCAAGATAATATTTTGATATATTAACAGATGTGTTTCTCCTTCCCAGATTTCTTCCTCTGCGATATCACAAAACAAAATGCCAAAGACAAAAGGAGTCAAAGCTCAGCTTTTGAGTGGCAAAATAAACTTTTGAAAATTGTGACAGAGACAGTGGTATAAGAAAAAAAGTTATGAGTTTCGAAATTCTTGGTTTTGAGTTTCAAAATCTACAGCTCCAGGGGACACAGGGCATAAAGTTTATGCATGAAGCAATAGGTCGGAAAGAAAACAAAGCTGGCAAGAGCTGGTTTTCCCCACTTCACCTCCACCCTACAGCAAGGTTAGATTCCTCTAGGCTGGATGAGAACGTTAAGCCAGAGGAAAGCAAGGTTTTAAGCACATGAAATGTTCTGAAAGGGGTCATATGCTCGTGCGCCTCTCTCCAACTGAGACCAGGCACTGGGACTTTAGAATCCAAGATCAGTCTGGGAGGTCTAATGGTGGCGCTGATCTGTGCCTTGCTTCCTAATTGAATGTTGAAGAGGCAGCCAGCCTTGGCTTTCTCCTCTGGGTCACATAGAGGAGTTGAGGTGACTAGAAAGTCTCTTAGTCAACAGGAAGTAAGCTTATGAAGTTCCTCTGCCCTAGACATGGTATAAGGATGCTCAGAACTTTCACCACGGACCTGAGAAGCAGTGTAGCTATAGCCCAGAGAGCAGGGGCTTACAAGTCTTTTCAGTGTGAATAGAAAAGTGTAATGACCATGTCTTTTATTTTCTATGTTTTGATCCTTTGACACCTAGGCCCTTGCTGACCCTGAAGGAACTATCCCAACTAGGGCTGGCCAATTCCTAAAGATAGTAAAAACCTTGCCAGCTCAACTAGCAGGCTTTTAAAATGCAAACCAACCAATCCAGATCCCACATTCCTAACCACCTCCTTTTAAAGGTGGTTAGGAATGTGGGCTCTGGATTGATCTCACATTCTGAGACACTATTCACCTGAACTAATTACCCCAGGGCCAGGTACTAGATAACTAGGGACAGCCCTGACACACCAGAGTCCACTGAAATCATTCAAACTGGCCAATCCTAAACCTGTTTAACCTGCCTTACCTGTTTCTTCCAACGGAAACCACAATAAAGTATCTTGCTCACAATTCCTTTCTCTCCCTCTGCCTCCTGACTAACCCTGGTGATTCCCCATGTGTCCCCTCGCACCATAGCATGATGTGCTCCTCCTCTTGGGATCTGTGAGTATAACAAATTATCTCATCAATGTCAATCATCTCCTGATCTGTTGGCCTTATCCTACCTCAATAATAAATATAATATAGGCATAATAAAACCTCTATTAAAAAGGGAGTGAATTGTAGGTCAATAAGCAGAAATCAGAAGGAATATTAAGGGCAGTGGGTAGACAAAAGCAGACAACCAGTTACTCTTTTCCACTAATGCATTGCGCTACAAGAGCCTTCCAAAACTCAGACACAATTGGGAAAGGAAGGAAACACCTTGAGTTGATGGAGAAAACACTAAAGTCAATGAGATAATCCCAAATTGATTATGGAGAAGCTGAGACAAATCTGAACTGGCTGAGAATTAGTTTTTAGTTTTTTTAGTTTTAGTTCTACATTCTCCACTCACCAGAAAGCAGAAATTATTTTAAGTTAAAGTAAATAACATTATATTTCCTGTGCCTATGAACTTGTAGACTGCAATTGGGATACGAGTATGGATGGAAGAAAGATTTGGTAAATAAGTAAAGAACATAATTCATTGCACCAGAGCAGATGTTGGCAAACTATAGGCCACAGGCCAAGTTCAACCTGTTTTTGCAAATAAAGTTTTGTTGGAACAGAGCTACAACTATTCATTTACATGTTATCGATGGTTGCTTTCCAGCTACAAAGACAAGTTGAGTAGTTACGACAGAGACCATATGTCCTGCAAAGCTTAAAATGTTTACTATCTAGCCCTTTACAAAAAACTTTTGCCCTGAACTAGAGTACACCAGAGTACAACATCAGCAAAAGCTAAATTATTATTGTGACTGTGCTCTACTGATATACAGTTGTTTAAATTTCTCCTTTTGAGATTGGCCCTAGAATCTGGGGTAAGTAGGCCAGTGGCAGAAATTAAGAGAAATATGAAAAATAGAAACATAAAATAGGCAGGACATATTACAGTTCCTCTCTGTGCTCCTCACATAATCCTTTTCATGTGTTAGGTGTCTATTTAATACTTGATGATTTGATTTTATATCTGGAAAGTGCATGCTTTGAATGATCTGTGGGCATCCCCATCTGTGAATTACAGTGGTTTCATTCCTATCTGTGAATGTAAATGAAAGTAGTTTTAGTAATTAGGTATCTTGGCCAGGCGTGGTGGCTCACGCCTGTAATCCCAACACTTTGGGAGGCTGAGGCTGGCGAATCACCTGAGATCAGGAGTTTGAGACCAGCCTGGCCAATGTGGGGAAACCCCGTCTCTACTAAAAAATATAAAAATTAGCTGGGCATGGTGGCACACGCTTGTAATCACAGCTTTTCGGGAGGCTGAGGCGGGAGAATTGCTTGAACCCTGGAGGCGGAAGTTGCAGTGAGCCGAGATCATGCCACTGCACTCCAGCCTGGGAGATAAGAGTGAAACTCTGTCTAAAAACAAAACAAAACAAAACAAAAGGTAATTAGTTATCTTATCCTCTGAGTCCAAGTTCTCCAAGGAAAAGAGCATAGGTGGTAGGTGGTACAGGTCTTAGTTTTTATTTTGTCACACTTTCTGAATGATTTTTTATAAGTCACCTTGACCAGCACTTCTCAATGGGGGACAGGGGTGGGAATATTTTATCTCTTTGCCCCAAGGGACATTTGACCATGTCCAGAGACATTTTTGGTTTTCACAACTCGGGTAGTGGTACTATAAGCAGGATCTAGGCAGGTGGTGCTAAGGTTTGGACCATAATCCTGAACACTATGATCCTGAATGCTGAAATCCTGAAAGACCAAAATTCCTAAAATCTAAAATCATGAAAATCACAATTCTGAAATGTCAAAATACTGAAAATATAATTCTAGGAAAAAATAACTTTATAAATTTTTTATAAAATTTGCATTTTAAAATGTTGGTTTTACTTACATTTATAAAAGGTGGTTTATTTGAGAAACATAAAATATGACAGAACACTTCATAGGCTGCTTTATACATAAAAGGGACAGTAATAACATGTATATTTTTGCAAGTATAAACACTCCAGCATGCTAGCAACAGTAGCATGAGTATAACAGTTATAAGCAGATGAATTTAAGAATAGCCTATATAACTGCAGTCATCTGAAAAACCATGACAGACAACCTAAGACTTTTGATGAGACTAATCAAAAACTGAGATGAGTCAGGACCACATAGGCAGATGCTCAAAGAGCCAAGATCTTGGGGCATTTTATCTTTCACGAATGCAGATGTTCAAAAAGAACGTCCCTTCATTGATTGAGGAAATTGTAAAGTTTTTACATATACACACAATACAAACACACTATATCAATGTTGTTATATTTGTCTAATCAAATTTGCAAAAGATGCATACAAGAAATTAGAACTCTTTAAAAGTCTTTACACAATGTATGCCTCCAATATTGAAAATGATGTGAAGGTAAAATACATAGTATATCGAACTGCAAAAAATAATGCTGACAATTTAAAATAGTGGGGGAAAACACTAAAAAAGAAAACAAAACACTAAAAAGAAAAATTAGCATATGAAAACTGTATATTATAGGGATGGATTATAGGCAAATTGCATAGAGGTCGCTCCTAAGAGCTGGCCAACTTTCCCCATCATTAACTGTATTTTGAAGACTTGCAACACAATAAGTAACTGCTTTCTTCCTCTTAGGGCGTGGTTCTTCTCAGAGAATACATCACATTCATTTTCTACATGGCACTGCTGTTTCTGAAATTTTTTTATAATTCAGTATGAACTGACATAAGCGTTTTCTATTACATTTTCCCATATTCTGTGCCATACTTCTACGTTGTTCTGGGCTCAAGGAAATTCATTTTACATGTGCTCATATATAGACCACAAATTTGGCAGAAACAATACTGGTGATGGAACAGCAACACTGTTGCATAAGTGACTTCTTATCCTACCATGCACATAATTATTTTCTAACCAGCCAGTAACTTCACTGGCTTCTTCAGGAAAATGCAGCTTTAATTCATTAAAAGCTCCTGGAATGTCATCAGCTGGAAGGGTTGCCAATGCTGGCAAATGACTCATTTTTAAACTGAAGTTTTCCTTATTGTCATATCATGTGGCCAATCCATTCATCTGAATTTTCTGTTAAATGCATTGGGCTGAATGAAAAAGCAAAATTTATTGGTTAACAACTTGAAATGTTCTTTTAGAAGCCTTGATCACACTTAATTTCAAGTCTGTCATTATAGTTTGGGGATTCAATCAGCTGTTAGGGATTTTAGACTTTAGGGGTTTATACTTTAGGGGTTTCGATCTTTCAGGATTTCAACATTTGGCATTATGACATTCAGCATTGTGTCTTTGGGATTATGATTGGCACTGGATGGGCTATAAGTGAGTTGAGACGAGAGACATTGCAAAACATCTGATAGGGCACAGGACAGCCCCTACGATGAAGAATTATCTAGCCCAAAATGTCTACAGTGCTGAGATTGAGAAAGCTGGATTTAGACTCTTTGAGGTTCAGTTTCCTACATGTGTGTATGTATACTCACCTCACCATAGTTCTTGTGAGATAAAATAAGATTGCTATGTGAAAAGTCCCATATAATAAGCATTATCCTCATTATTCAAGATAAATAATAATTTATTCTAAAAATATTCATTGTGAAACACTAAGTATTCCTATCATCTTATTCAATAGGCTACCACCGGCTCTTTTACCAGATTAATTTCATTTTACTGAATAAAGATCAAAATTAAATACATCCTAACCTGTGTTCTCACATCTCAGTGAACACAACTTTATTTTAGTTTTTACCACATTATATTAGTTACACATCTCTTTATGTAAACTATTTTTCTCCTTGAGAGTATGGATTACACTTCACTTCCCATGGTGCTATTCCAAAGTTGACACTCAGTAAATAGTAGAAGTATTGTTATTTGAAATGTTCAGTTATGAATGGATATGAATTGTTAAAACCATCATATTACTGAAGAAAACCTTCAACTGCAAGTCACTGCAAGCTTGACTTAAGGACCCAAAGAAAAAGAGCAAGAAGTCTGAATCTGGACATTGATTGTCATGGACCCAACAATGTCAGACATGAGATATCAGGACCATCTTCTCTCTGTTTTTTTGCTTTTCCCTTAAGGCTGGCCTTTCACTTCAGTTCTAGGTATCATAATGTACTCAAGATAGAAAGTAGAGGAAAGTGAGAAGTGTTGCTTTGGCTGCACCTATACTTTAATTTCAGAAAACCAAAACTTTCTTAGAAGGTTCCCTGATTCTGTCTACATATCACGAGCTGGCAGTTGGTTACACACAAATCTCTCTCTGCAAAAAGGGCTTAGAGAGTATATGTATTTCCAGTCTCCGTATTGAAATGTTCAGGGGAAAAGGAGCTGATAATGGCTTTTGGGAAGCCATCCATCCCTACAAGCTTTCTTGAGCATTCTGGACATAGTACTCTATTTTGAAATGAATATCGTGTTCATGGAGTTAGGATTTAAAAAGGGGAATTACACATTTTAAAGTGCTTGGAGATCTGAGAGATATTGACATTTTAGTTAAATGTGAAAACTCCCCTGCTGCTTTTTTTTTGAGACAGAGTTTCATGCCCAGGCTGGTCTCAAACTCCTGGGTTCAAGTGATCCTCCTGCCTCAGCCTCCAGAGTAGCTGAGACTACAAGCACATATCAGCATGCCCATCTTCTCCCTCTAATTTTATCTTCCCATTAAATAGAAAATGAGCCTTGAGAGGTTTACTGTCAGGCATAACAAATACCAAGAACACAGAATTGTTTGATGTTATGTTTTTAAAAAGTATCAATATGTTAATAATCTGTTATTTTAAAATAAAGTCAATAATAAAGAGGTAATAGAGGACCTGTGTCATTTAGGAGGACTATAGTATGCAATTCCTTTTCTCATCTGAGAGATAGTTCCTACTGATACAGTATTGTAAGAATATAGTGTCTTTGCTTTGATTATGGACTCTAAAAAGAAAAACTCCTTCTTTCCATGGCTTCAAAGCAGGGCACAGGCAGTCATAAAACTTAGTATCCGCCAGCTGCATCGTCCTACCTGGGACTTCAAGTTCCTTAACAAAAGTAGGAGGAGGGTTTATTCACGGTAGTTGCGTGAGAGTAACCAGTGGCAGGTGGCTCTCCAACAATGGTGGGGTGTCTCTGCCAGGCTGTTCCCTTTAAAAGATCCTTATGTTTACTATGTTCCTTCTGAAACAAAAATTCTTTTCTTTGTTTAAGAAACCAAAATCAGATGTAGGTTTGCAAACAAGGCCGTGATGGATACTGCAACTATTGGTAGATACACATTTTTCTGTTTGCAAAGTTAAATATAGTCAAATAGAGTTTATAAAGTTGAAGGACGAAAACAGATTTGCATCTTACAGGTTTTCTTTTCTACTTGCAAACCGAAAGTAGATTGTTAGTAATAAGATTGTAATAAGATTGTAAGTAGTAAGATTGTTAGTAATAAGTCAACAACAGGCTCCAGAAAAAAATGGAAATATAAATGGTCCCCAATTTGGCATTTTGGAATTTGAGGCTTATATAGTATGAGCAAAATAAACTCCTCCTGCTTCTATGAATTCTTTGCACTTTTTCTCTATAATTCCTTATCAAGCAATGGGTTTGTCTGTTAACCAAGACTATACATAAAATGTATTCCCGTAGTTCCTTTTATTACATTTTTTCTTTGTTGTTACTAGTGGAGAAGCTAACAAGAGCAGAATTTCCTGCCCAACCGTAGCAAATACAGAAAATCAAAAAGAGAAGCTTTGATACAGCCAGTGTAGATACAGCTAGGACGTCATGAATCAGAGCTCCCACACACGATGATAATGGAAACATCTTATCCATATCTGATTTGCTCACATATAGTTATTTAGACAACAAATTTTACATTCCTGGATAGGGAGCCTCCGATTTGATTTCAATCTCATAGTCCAGGTAGGTGTAAAATGACTGCCAAGCCAGCAGACATAAATCTGTATTATCTCATTTTCATCACAGTCTCTGCATTGGGAAAAAAATGTGAGTGAAAAGACATTTTCTCCCACCTTGTTAAGTACACAATTACATAGTTTAAAGAAGATAAGAATTTCAAATTGTTAGAATGATATCATTATTCAAATGATTCCCTGAGAACTTCAAGTATTCCCCTTCCCCCAAATGTAGGCAGGGCAAAATAGAACCAGTAGGAATGAAAAATGTTAATTGTTTCAGGTTCTGTAATTTTGGGTTTAATGACTCAGGCTATGTGCTACTGAGTAAAATACTCATCTGGAGAAAAAGACTGTTGCATGACATATTTCTGATTAAGGACAATTTAAACTAATTCTAAGAAAACTCTTACATACTGCACATGCCATAAAATAAGCAATCCATTTAGAAGCCAAATGAACACATATGAGCAAAGTGGGTGAATTACGGCTGCCTTGGGAGCCTTGGTGTTACTTCTCCTTACGCTTGTAGGCTTAAATGATTGCTGCAGCATAGATATTGACAAATGGATATAGTTACACAGTGAGGCCTCGTGGGTTGACACAAATGCTGGTTGCTGTGAAAATACTCAGCAGTCGGAGGAACAGGAAGTGTCCATGGCTGCATTTGCAAATTTGTTCAGTTGCTCTCAAATTGCTAGCTTTCTGATGTGATCTCTGCTCATTTCCCCCACCCTAGCACCTGCCTCACTCTAGCACCCGTTTATGCCATTGCCCCCAAAAGAAGCCTTGCCATTTGACCAATTGTCCCATGCCCATTTTCAGACACCTCAGAATCTCTTCTCCCATCTCCGCTGTAAACTCAAGTTTCTTAAACCTTTCCAGAGCAAGTCCAGTCCAATCCAATCACATTGTTCCGTTGGGAATATCTTTGCTAATGGCAGCAGTGGGTGGAGAGAGGTCCTTGCCGTTATTTTGTCAATGTGTCTTGATCCTGTCTTTTCCAATTAATGATAAGTTCCTTGATGACAGGACCCATCTCTTTTTCCTCCTTCACTTCCCACAGTGGCCATAGAATAAATATAGACAGTATAGCCTATTAGGGAAAAGTGATTTACACAGAAATGAAGCATTCTTACTTTTTATTTCCAGTTGCCCAAAGACTTAGCAAAGTTGATCCTGCTACCTAATGAGGCATCTCTCATTCCCACAGTCTCTGCCTAGCTCCCCGCATATTAGAAAAATGTGACAATTTACAACTTTGTTGGGGAGCTAGGAACATTCGTTCCTGGAGCAGGTTAAACTGTTAGCAGGGTGGAAACTATTTCTTCAAACTAGATGTAATCTGCAATTCTAGTAAAGCACTTAGCAACAATTCCAGTTGATCCTCACTTGTGAGTTTATATGCGTAATACCCACAAGGGCCGTACCCATGTTTGTTTTGTTTATTTTTGTATCAAAAACCTTAGCCTAGAAACTAGTGCAAAGGAGTCGAAGACCCTGTCCATTCATATATTCAGCAAATACATTGAGCACCCACACACCCACAAAGTGTGTGTCTTTTGTTCACTGCTGTCTTCCCCATACCTAGGGAAGGTAGGGACTGCCTTCTTGGTTAACTTCTGGCTCAAAAAAAGTAAGAGCTAAGAATTAGCAATGCTTACTCTGTGCCTGGCACTTTTTAAAGTATATTACATGTATTTTAGATGTTTAATCTTTATAGTATCCTACAAATTAGGGATTATTAATATCCTTATTTTTACAGATGTGAAAATTCAGACACTTTTCTGCATAAATATGTACATAGTACTTATGTGTTGTAATATACACATTACAATATAGCATATATTTGTCATATAACATAACATGTATATGCACATAAATACATACTATAATACACATAGCATATATTATATGTAATACATATCATATATACATATATACATGTACATATGTTCATGTATTGATATAAACATATATTCACACACATACCCATATAACACTGATAAAAATGAAGTTGCTCTAGTGTAAGCGTGATGGCAAGAAGGGCTGAAATCTGCTGGCCTTTCGTCTTGTCGTCACCCATCCCCTCCATATCCTCTAAGGCACTTTCTCAGAGCCCAGTTTGAAACCACTCATCTAGCCCTTGTCTCTCATTTTACATTTGAAGAAAGTGAGGCTCAGAGAGGGAAAGTGACTTATTTAAGGTCTCACAGCTTCATTAGCTGTGGGCTAAAGGCTGAGCCAAGACTAGAATGCCCCAATTTTCAGATAAAAAAAGCTGAAGCTCAGGGATATTGTCATTTACCCATGAGCTCACAGGCAGGAAGTGGTGAAACTATCATTAAACTACGGTTGGCCTTGTTCTTTTGTGGTTTCATTTCACTAAGCCTCTGACACCCTGACCTCAACTTCCTTCTGTAGATATGTCACCTGGCCTCCTTCAGTCTAAGACACTACACACTGGCCACACACTTTGTCATCCTCATAGACTGACAACCTGCTCTCACATACCCTGCTTTCTTACTGTGTAGGCTCTCTTTTCTTGCTCAGAATGTCCTTCCCCACTTCTTCATGTGCCAACTCCTAGTCATCCTACAAGAACCACATTCACTTTAAGTTTCTTTTGAAGCCTTTTCAGTGTCCCATACCCTGATCCCATTACCTCTTCTATGTATGCAGGGCTTGCTTCATGCTTGTGTAACCCAAGGGCCCTGCATTTGATTTAACACATTTTAAAATTCTTAACAATTTATGAAAAAGGAAACCCATATGTTCATTCTGCCCTGGACCCTGCAAATTATGCAGCCAATCCTGTGTGTGTTTTTTCATGTTGCGTAGACTCTATTACAGTCAGTAACATATTGAGAAAGAGTGTGTGTCTCCTCTGATAGTCTATGAGCTCCTTGAAGCAAGAGGCTTGTCTTAGTCATTGCTGTATCCTCACACCAGACTCTACGGGATGCTCAGGATTCACCTGTTGATCTGTGAGGAAGCCCAAGGCTCAGTTAATGCCCCCCACCCTCCTTCCATAACAGTCTCCTGATTAGGAAACAGTGCTTGACCTCTAGACAATCTGAGTATCCACTCCAGGAAGTGGAACATTGCCTTCCCAATGTTGAAACTGTTAGCACTCAATCATGTTTCAGGAACATATAGAAGGTATGTGCCTATTCTGCTTCAATTGCTTTCCAAAATAAGTATACGAAAGTGGATAGAAAATATTTTAGTTTGATGAAGTAAGAATGTTATGAGGCAAAAGGAACTGACTTATCCCACTGGGTGGGGATTAGGTCTGGAATAAGATTGCACCATGACTAAAATGACTTCTTTAGCCAATGACATTCCTGAAGATTGGATCAGAGTAAAGTTAAACTAACCTACTCAAGGAAGACTTTCCTAAATCAGCCCCTTTGCTGTATAATTTAGTATGGAGAGCTGATTGTGGGTTTTTCTTGTTTCATTGTTTAATACATAGAGGTTTCACATTTCATTTTGAAACAGAAAGAGGGACTGGAAGAGATAAGTTAGTATGAGTGAGGAAAAGATTAGAAGGTAGAGATAGGATCGCAATGCTGTTATCACCTTTGCTTTATTGATAATCTCAGGAAGGACTAGACTGCTAAGAAAGAGGAGCCCAGATTGGAATAAAAGAGACGATGCCAGGATCAGCCTGTGAGAGGATGTCTCACTTAGTACACCTCAAGGATCATGTCAGCTGAGCATCTATACCCCGCGTGATGAATATTGCATACAGACTCTGCCTTCAAGTCATCCCCCATTCGACAAGCATTTATTTAAGGTTCTTACATTCCAGGACTTGTACTAGATGCTAGAAACAAACAGATAAGGAAAACGTAGGAAAATGCTTCTCTCAGGAAGCAATATTGTATATGAGTGGTGAAGAGCTTCAAATCTGGGGCCAAACTGCTGGGTTTGAAATTTGGCTTGGCCACCTACTGGCTGTGAAATCTTGGGCAACTTTCTTAATCACTCTGTGCCTCAGTTTCTTCATCTGTAAAATGAAATAGCCATAGTACTTATTACAAATAGGTAATAATTAGTGAGAATTAATTTGAGTCAATACATAAAAATGACTCAGAATAAAAGACCAGCTAAGAATATATACACACATACTTAGCTACTTATAATCTAGTAGGAAAGATGGGTATGTTATCAGAGGACTTACCATGCAAGACATTTGAAGACAAATCCCTGAAGTCTAGAGTGACACATCACCAATGGCTGATTGAATGCCACTGAGGTCATCAGCAATGGTAATGGAACACCTAAATATGACACCAAATGGACACCATAATAGCCTTAATCTCTGGAAGCTTTCAAATCACACTATATGGTTCTGGAGGCACTTAGACTGTCCACCTTCCATGGATGATTCTGGTTAGAAAGGAGGCAATGGGCAATGGCAAGGAGTGAGGGGAGAGATAGGGAAGTTTGCCTATGGCTCCTCACTACAGGGCCACATGGGAGAAGGCACAGCTAGGACCTCTTCCATTATGTGTATATATGGAAGTAGGGAAGGACTTCCCTTAATCTCTTATCTCTTTGTTACTTTGTGACAGTGCTTCTTTTTTTTTCTCTTTTTCCTTCTTTTTTTTTGAGACTGAGTCCCCCTCTGTTGCCCAGGCAGGAGTGCAGTGGCGTGATCTTGGCTCACTGCAACCTGCCTCCCTGGTTCAAGTGATTCTCTTGCCTTAGCCTCCTGAGTAGCTGGGATTACAGGCACAGGCCACTACGTCCAGCTAATTTCTGTATTTTTAGTAGAGATGGGGTGTCACCATGTTGGCCAGGCTGTTCTCGAACTCCTGACCTCAGGTGATCCTCCTGCCTCAGCCTCCCAAATTGCCAGGATCACATGCATAAGCCACTATGCCAGGCAAATGGTGTTTCTATCTCAATAAATATCAACAACAGACACCGAAAGTCTAAAACAGAAAAAGGTGGAAATTACTTTTCTTTTTTTTTTTTTTTTTGAGATGGAGTCTCACACTGTCGCCCAGGCTAGAGTGCAATGGCGTGATCTCGGCTCACTGCAACCTCGGTTTCCTGGGTTCAAGTGATTCTCCTGCCTCAGCCTCCCAAGTAGCTGGGATTACAGGTGTCTGCCACCATGCCCAGCTAATTTTTTTTGTATTTTTTTAGTAGAGATGGGGTTTCACTATGTTGGCCAGGCTGGTCTCAAACTCCTGACCTCATGATCCTCCTGCCTCGGCCTCCCAAAGTGCTGGGGTTACAGGTGTGAGCCACTGTGGCCAGCCGGAAATTACTTTTAATAAACTTCTCCAGTGGCTCCCTAATGTCAAGCAGCATATGTAATTACATTGGGACAAGCACTGCGTCCTGGAACTAGCCTGAATAGCCACACTGCTATGGCAAGAGGTCATCCTGGTTGGTCAGGCTTCTTCCAAAACATGAGAAATATTGACAGCGGACAGAGTGCCATTGTCTGGCTGTGAAAATGTTTCTGTTGTTTATGAGTTAATCTGAACTGTTCACGAATGAAAATGCCGTTAGTCCTCTGAGTCTGGTTTTTCTTTCTCACCCCTTCACTTTGGAAGACAGCCTGCTTTCCAATGAAATTCACATCCTAGATAAGACCGTTGCTGCACAGGCAAGATAGCAGACATCAAGGCTTACGGGCAATGGAAGTTATGACCAAATCAAAACCACTGCTCTGTGTCCTGTCCAACAGAGATAGGACATTTATATTCATATTTGGCTAAGTTTCTCAATCAGTGATTGATGAACTAAAGCTCATCTTCATAGTAAGGTGATGTAATTTTCCTCTTTGGATGATATTTGCATTGTAAATCTGTTAGAAGGCAGGAATGGCACAGTCTCACTGTGTAATAATATCTCAAAGCAGAGCTATAGTCAGAGGGAATTTTTTTTAATAGAATCTGAGAAATAGTGCATTTCATATAAAATTTTGAAACAGATTGGGTGGGAGAATGCCAGATAACTAGTTATTGCAGGAGTGGGGGGTGATGAACTGTGGAAACGGATTTAGGCTCTTTCAAATCCCCAAGGTTCCCTATGCCAACGTGTGGCTATAATGTGGAAAATACAGCAACAGGGAACCCTGAACACTCAGATCCTAAATGCCTTGCAAATAATCAGATGTGCTTTTTCTAGAAAGCCTCATGATTTTCTTAGCTTAGCTATGAAAATGGATTTCATTTTACTTTTTTCTAAACAAGTCTTTCCACTGAATGGCAACTTTAGTACTCAAAGGCTTCTGTCTTGGCCTCTTCATTGTAATTTTAAATCAGTTTTAACGGGTCAGAATTCTAAGCCGAGAGTCATTATTTGGGAAAAATTTTCTCAAAAATTTTTAGCAAGAAATGGACACATTTTTACTTAATTCTGAAAAACATCTTTTTCTATTTGCCTTGATTAAATTTCTTTTGAGTCTTAAAAATAACATTTACACTGTTGGGCTTGCAAACATTCTGCAGATTTTCTTTGTAACATTTATACATATTACTCCACTGTTTGTTCAGCCACAGAAGTGGCCTTTCTTTGGGCTTTCTCCCCACTTTAGTTTTAGCCAAAAATGAAGTGCTAATCCCACGTGGTGGGCAGACATGTGGCCTGCTCCTCCTAAAAACCTCAGCCACCAGCCAGTGTGATCAGAGGGCTTTAAAATGTCTCTTCAGGCCCAGGTGACAGACTGGGAAGTGGATTGTGAAAAACCAGGAATATCAAACTCTGTTTTTCTCTCCATGTTGGAAAGCATTTGTCCTCTGAGCAGAGGTGAGGAAGGGCCATTTTCTCAGGTCCCTACTAGCAGCATGCCACATTCTGCCTTCATCTTGATGAACATCTGTCTGCCCCTACCTGAAAGTGATTTATTGAAAAAGCCTCAGTGTGTGTGCTTCCAGGAAAATGCAGCTGCTCTACTCCCACACTGCCTTGGTGAAGAGCACCCTCTGCATGGAGCTCACATTATTAATCATTAGAGAAATGCAAATCAAAACAGCAGTGAGATACTATCTCACACCAGCCAGAATGGCTGTTATTAAAAAGTCAGAAAATAACAGATGCTGGCGAGGTTGTGGGGAAAAAGGGGAATGTTTAGATGCTGCTGTTGGGAATGTAAATTAGGTTAGCCATTGGGGAAAGTAGTTTGGTGTTTTCACGAAGAACTTAAAACAGAGCTACCATTTGACTCAGCAACCCCATTACTGGGTATCTACTCAAAGGAATATACACTCTCCTCCTATAAAGATACATGCATGTATATGTTCATCACAGCATTAATAGCAAAGACCTGGGTTCTCAAATTTAAGGGAGAAAGTCCACATAATTGAATGATGCTCCAGTCCTGTGGAAATAGCCTGAGACCACCCAAATGATAGCAAGCAAAGGCTATTTATTTAGAGCTTGCTACAGCATGCTGTCAGCTGCCAGCATTTGTGTTTGACAAAAGATTGACAGGCAGGCAGGGGAGTGGGAAAGCTGTATAGTAAAGGGAAGGCCCCAGGTGCACTCTGATTGGAGTTTGTTAACATGTGAAGCCAAGACACTAACTAGAATAAGGACATCTCATGTGATTGATTAGGGAGCGTACCGGACTTCCTCTGATTGGGCCTGAGTTGGAAGGAGGGAGTTGGAGACAGAGAGATAGAAACTGTCAGTTATTGACCAAGTCTTGACCTTTCTGGACCAGTTGCTGTGGAGGGTGTGGGTTTAGCTTGCTGGGCTTCTTATGTGGATTGGAGTTTATTGTCATATATGGCCTGGCATTGTCCATCTGAGTATTCAGTCTCTCAATTGGTATGAAGGAAATACTGACATGTCATTAAGTGTAGAGCTGTGCTGTTCAGTGCAGCAGCCACCTTGCGTGGCTATTGAGCAACTGAAATGTAGCTGATCAGAAATGAAATGTGCTGTGACCGGGCGCGGTGGCTCAAGCCTGTAATCCCAGCACTTTGGGAGGCCGAGGTGGGCGGATCACGAGGTCAGGAGATCGAGACCATCCTGGCTAACATGGTGAAACCCCATCTGTACTAAAAATACAAAAAAAAAGAAAACCAAAAATTAGCCAGGTGTGGTGGTGGGCGCCTGTAGTCCCAGCTACTCAGGAGGCTGAGGCAGGAGAATGGCGTGATTCCCGGATGTGGAGCTTGCAGTGAGCAGAGATGGCACCACTGCACTCCAGCCTGGGGTGACAGAGCGAGACTCTGTATCAAAAAAAAAAGAATTGAGATATGCTGTAAGTGCACAATATGCATGCATTTCAAAGCTTCTATATAAAAAAGAAAAAAATATCATGAATAGTGTTTTAATATTTAGTACATGTTAAAATGATAATTTGGAGTCTATATTAGATTAAATAAAAATATTAAAATCAATTTCACTTCTTTCCTTTTACTTTTTTTAATGTGGCCAGGAGAAAATTTTAAATTTTATTCGTGGGTCACATTTCTGGCTTGCATTCTATACTGATCGGATAGTGCTGGAAAAGAGGATTGATACATTAAACAAGGGCTGTGGGTGGTGTTTCTCCTGGGAAATCCTTTACAAATCTTCACATAGTATAAATACATTTTCTGTGTAAGAGCAGAGCAACTTATAATGAGAAGGTACTTTTGGGGACCCAAAACCTGAGGATAAAGGAATTACCTGTTCAAAATACTATTGTTTAAAAACTTTATAGGTTTGACTCAACATTATCTTTGGGAAAAGCCCGTATTTGGTTTAGGAAATCTTTTTAGTGTACCTTGTGTTATACGAATAATCAAATAATAGAAGAGAGGGCTTGAATGGAGGAATCTCTTACCCTACCTGGTATTGGAAACTGAAAGTTTGCTTTTCTGAATTGATGAGATTATTGTGGTGTTGCGATTGTTCTCTTTTCTCGAGAAAGGAGCTAGGGGACAAAAACAGGAAGAGGAGGCTGAGACGCAGGGGAAGAGGTTCTGAGGACAAGGGTGGCCCAGCAGCACAGCATGGCAGTCAGATGGGAGCTGAGGAGGGAGCTAGCTCTAGGGGACCCCTTACAGTGGGACTTGAAGAGAAGTGCCAATTAATAACCAATGCTAAGCTCTTCTCCCTTTCTGCCTAATAATTCATTTTTTATATTTTCAAATCTGTAGCAAAGTCAGGCATTGGGATTGGGCTTGGCACTTCCTTGGGGAAAGAAAGAAGAACTGCATCCGCATTTTAAAGGATTGCAGCACATTCATTAAATCCTCCACTTTCTTCCAGCTCCTTTGTAATGCTATTTGTTTCAACACAAGTGTTTAAAATAAGACACACAATTTTAATACCTTTAGACTACCCACTATTGTCTTCCCTGAATCTTTTTCTATTGGCTCAAGAATGCAAAACTGTAGCAAGTCTCAAAGGGTTCATACTGTTGAAAGGTTCGCTGTAGATTAAAAATAGCACCGTAGTTTATCTTCGGCTGCTGGGGTATTGGTTTACTTTTCTCACAGAAACAGGCTTTAATTACGGAGCAAAGAATAAACTGGACTTGATTGCTCCCCGGAAAGACTGACATTTCAGTCTCTCCCACAAAATACTTATTGATGTTGATGTAAGAGGAAGAGAAGAGTCAGAATACAAAAGAGCTTTGTGTTGCCTGCAGTTGGGAGGCATCCTTTGTCTTCCCAACTTAGCAGTTTTGATATGGAAGTCAACACAAGATAAAAAATATAAAGCACAACATTGTCATTTTCACAATCTTTCTTTGTGACTGTACTTCAGAAAACACCCACAGTAAGACAATTGATGTTTTTGAGCTGCTGGAGAAAAAAGGAAAGCAAAGAAAACAGTCAACAAAACTGACCACATTTCAAATTCATACTTAGGAAAATATATTATTTACAATAATTATAGCTGCATTTTCCACAGATGTTGAAACACAGATGATGATTTAACATTCAAATGGGAGAGAAAAACCCTCATTCAAAATAATTGGTGACATGTAAACCCCTCTTCGAATGCAGTTTGGGATTAATTAAAATGTATATGCCATGGTACATATCAAAAAAAGAAAAAGTCCTGAGTATTCAGGGCTAAAGAGACAGGGATTCTTTTCCCATCCCTAATATTTCCTTAGAGAAATATTCCTTGCAAGTAGGTAAACATCTGCTATTAGCTAGATAAAGAAGGTAGACAGCAAAGGATACTGTGTAAACAGAAGGAGATCCATCTAAAAATAATTCTTATGTACACAGATAAAGGGATCATGTTAGGAGCGACCATGAGAGGGGCAATACAAACAGAGAGATTTTCATGGAGACATATACCTAGCTAGAAATATTTTCTGATTTTGGTAACAATTGCCAGCCTCTCAGCTTACTGGCTGGAGGAGATCTTACCTTCTTCTCTATTGTCATAGCAAACCCAACAATACAGAGTGTGTGTGTGTGCGAGGGGGTGGTGGGGAGGCAGTAGGGGGGTGAAGTTTTCATTAATTCCAGAGAATTCAAATGCAGAAAATTAAAAAAAATTTTGCAAAATGAAAGAAAAATGAAATCAAACATGATCTTTAAGAAAATAAAAAGGCAATGTGAAAAATCTCTAAAATCCACATTGTTTCTTAGCATTCCTCAAGAGAATGTGATGTTGGTAGGAAGATACGTGGACTCCAAAACAAGAATTCACTCCCAGTCAGCCTAAAGCTAGTTCTTGGCACCCTCAAATCTTCATCGTTCTCAAGTGTGCAGAAGGAATGCTTTAAATAACTCGTGAAAATGGCAAAGTAGAATTTCAGATTTCAAAACATTTCTGTGTGAAGCAACTCAAAGGAACAGCATCACAATCATCATTCTCTAGGAGCATTTCCCCCCAAGCTCCGTGGCAGTGCGTTAAGATACAACACAAAGCCAATGAAACCTAGGTACTCCTGTTTTTTGAGACTGCATCAACAATTACTTCCTTTTTAAACTGTGGCACTAAGTAAAGTGTCCTTTCATGAACTAGTAAAGCAAAACTCTGAAGATTAATAAAATCATTTTATAAACAAGAGGGCAATTAGTGATGTTTACAAGATATTCAATGTTGGGACCCATTTCAATGATAAATTCCTACAGGAAATTTAGTACTGCTAGAATTTATGTCCAACTAATTTATTGAATGACATTGCAGCTATTGAACATGAGCATGAGAGATATTATTTATCTAATAGTAGGCTAATGAGATAAAACATAAATTGTTGAGATAATGAGTCCATTGCTTTAGTGTAAATTGAGAAAATGGCTATAATTAAGAGTGGTATTGATTATGAAACTTTCCCAGGTCGACTGACCTCAGAATGCACGACTGCCACATTCTGTCTGTCATTGCCATAGAATTGGCTGGATCAATCTTACAAGTGGAAAATCCACCCACAAGTGGGAAATCCGCAAGGGAAAGATAGAATTGTCATTCTAGGGAGGTAATGTGGATTCCCACTTTCTGGAATAGTGCCATGGGTCTGAATTCACAGATGCTGCGGTCCCGTTATGATTACTCAACTCCTTAGGTTACAGTGGCTCAAATTCTACCACTGGCATTTTAACCTGTGTCCCAACTGTTTTATTTGTCATATTGCCACCTGCGCACTCAGACCAAAACAGAGGGTATGGCTGGAAGCCATAATATTGGTGGCTCAGGTAAAAAAAGTCATGAAGTTCCATTGGGCTGCCAGTGGGAAGGGTTTATCTTTGAACTCATCTCAACATAATAACTTTCTTTTCATTAAGAGAGTTGTGATAACGATGCCCCTAAAATAAGCACCCTCCTGCAATAAATTTGATTCTCCTGCCAGTCACTATCGTGGCCCACAGATATATGATCTCCTTTATTTTGTAAGCAGCATTAACCACCTGAGAAGGCACATAGGCTTCAATTCCTTCAACTTTGTATAATTTAAGCCCGTGACCTAAGAAATAAATTATAGATGTTTAGATGAGATGCCTGATCAGAACAAACAATATCTCTCCTCTTCAACATTAATTTGTCATCATTTCTTTATGATATGTGGCAGATAGGGGAAAATACAAAGGAATATCAGATCAGGAAGATTTTAATTTGACTTATATAATGGTCAAGAAGAGATCTCATAGCTTGAATCTTAGGTATGAGGCTTTGGAAAAGATTTAATAAGAGAAAAAATCTTAGAATCTGATCACAACATGAAAATGTTTACAGTTTCTCATATGAGACTAACTAGCAAAATCAGCTCAGTTGCAACAGATATCATAGGAATAAATTAAGTAATTGAAATGCATCCTTTATGTTATCTTAAGTGTCTATACCAAAATCCACCAACAAAGAATGTTTTAGTGGTAATAAATGTTATAACTGTTAGTTATTGAAGGTTTGTTTTTCCCCAGAAAAAAAAAGAAAGGTCTTTTTTAAATTTGCAATTTTATGATGGTTTTCTATAACTTCGGGTGGTCTTGATCAAGTTGCTTTTCCTCATTGGACCTCAATTTCCATATCTATAAAGCAAAGAAAATGGTCCAGTTGATCTCTGACATTCCTTCTAGCACTAAGAACCTGATTCCAACACATTCCCATTTGCCAGTACAGTAACATAGTACAAAGTAAATGACAAGCATAGCTAAGATATTGAAATAATACTAATGTTTTATCTCCTTGTGACTTGTCCATTATCTGTTAGTGAGCACATGACATTCTGTGTGACAGAGAGCTACTAATTGCTACTTTACATGACAGAAGTGGACTCTTGTAAGGATGTATTTGAAGAAGAATATCTATACTTGGTAAGTAGAATGGACCTTGGTAGAGGTGCATATTCTTTGTCAGAAGTAGGTATGAAATCTATATTTTGGTGAAATTAGTAGTCTATGGACTGATTCTGCATTCCTAAACTAAACCAAAAGATGCTCTTGTTTCAATGGCACTTATCCTGAATTAAAACTCAGATTACTCTGTATTTAAAATATTTATCAAATATTAACTAAATATAAAATTATGATGAGAATGTGCAAAGATTTCAGCAGACCCTAATTTCTGTTTCACTGCATGAATTCATCTTTTTGTTGAAATGTTGTGAAGGTTCTGAATTGCCTCTACCTTCTGCAGCATAGTTAGCTGTGTTCCTGGGGACAGAAATGATACCAGGCTTATCCATCTCTTGCAAAGCTAACAAATATCAAAGCCAATGAGGTCCACTAAGGTTTGAGTGGTGGAGCGACTGAGATAATCAGTTGGTGTTTGGTATAAGAAAACAAGTCTAGTCTAACCTTTTGAATGATACACTGGCTAGAATAAATAGCTAGATTTCTGGGAGTTGGAAGCAGGATTGCATTTGCAAAGCCTATACTAGAAAAGGAAATACATATATTTTTAAATTACACTTTTAATGACCATTTCTGCCCATCTTTATAACCTTACATAGCATGAACTTGAGCAAACGAGGATTGAGATTTCAACCTTAATCAAGCCCTAAATATTGGCAAAACTCTTCTTGGATTCATGGCAGGTCTTTTTGCCTGTTTCTAAAAAAAAAAGAAAAAAGCAGCCTATTAGCTGTGCTGCAGAAGAATAAATCAGGATCTGATTACATAGTTTAGTCGGCAAATTAATTCATGAATTTTCCAACATTTTTAAAAGCACTCGTGTTGAAGTGCTGAACTCCTGCCCCTGGTGAAACTTTCAGAGCCCTTTTGAGACACACAGATACAAAGAGAAAATATGTAAAATAATGAGAAGCATTTTCATGATATTTAGTGGTATTTGTTTGCTCCTCAGAATTCTATTAATTTAAGAGAATGACTTGCAACTGTTACTACATTAAGAATCTTGGCAAGCACCAGAGTATAATTATTTCTGCTATAGCACTGACACATACAAAAGAAAGGAACCGATTCATGGACTCTATATACATATTTCTGGCTATTTTTATTTATATTATTGTGATTTACAGTTTCCAGAAATTTGCCTCCATTCTTTCTCCACACTCAAGAAGGAAGTATACACAAATGGCATTGCATTTCTGACAATTGGTATTCCACTGAAAAGCTAGTCCTAAATTGGATATCTGATTCTTAAGGAAAGCTGTTAATAAATTCTTAGCATCTGCCTTATGGATATCCCAAACGGGTAGCTTTTTTGATAGTATTCATCAATGTTTGATTGATAACTAAAAAGGGTAATTCTTTATTGTATTGGATTGTCCTGAGCATTTTAGGATGCTTCTCATCCCTCACCCCCGTTCCTTTGAATCCCTAAATGCCAGTAGTCATTGTAACTACCCAACACATCCCATTTCCCAGCTTTTTCTATGGATGTCTATTTGAAGATGACTGCAAATAGATCGAGCTTCAAGAATGATATTGAGGTTATCATGGGGTATTCTGTGGGAGGGGAGCTATACTAAGCTTTCTCTTATGCTTTCTCTACTAATTATGTAGAATGTGAAAAATTCAAAATGCCTCCTCTTCCTAGGGCCTTCAGCAATATGGACTTATATTGTTAAAAATAGTTGTTCTTTGTGTGCTGGTTTGTGACTAAGTTAAAGAAAAATTAAATAATAGCACTCTCTTTACTGGCTGCCAGATGAATTACCTCACTTTCCTATCTCCAAAGGACCTTCCTAGGAGGAATCAGATAAAAGAGTTATTTCTAGAATATCTGTTCATCAAGACACAGGTATGTGTTGTCCTGAGGACCAAGGGAAGCTTCTGTGATGACTCTACTTTACAAGGTATTTTTAGAAACTGAGTCAGCAAAACAGAAAGTAACTGAAGAAGTGAGGTGTATTAATCTTTTCTTACACTGTTACTAAAAACTATCTGAAACCAGGTAATTTATGAAGAAAAGAGGTTTCATTGACTCACAGTTCCATAGGCTATACAGGAAGCATGGCTGGGGAAGCCTCAGGAAACTTACAGTCATGGCAGGAGGTGAAGGGGAAGACAGCATGTTTTCACATGGCAGCAGGAGAGAGAGTGTGTGAAGGGGGAAGTGCTACACAGTGTCAAACAACCAGATCTCATGAGAACTCATCTACTATCATGAGAACAGCAAGGGGGAAATCTGCCCCCGTGATCAAATCACCTCCCACCATGTCCCTCCCCCAACCCTGGGGATTACATTTCAACATGAGGTTTGAGTGGGGACACAGAGCCAAACCATATGATGGGGGCAGATAGAGACAGGGATCAGAGTTTAAGCTTCTATTACCTGCCTAGCTCAGTAAACTGAATTGACAATTATCAAAAGATTAGGGTTTGCAATAAAGCTGGGAATTTGCTTAATAACAATATACTAATATCAGACAATGTACAAACATACGTAGACAACAGCACTTTGGTTACATAAAACATTGCTTTCTAAAGTTACTCACACTGTCGCAACCCATTCTTTTCTCATTCTTTATTTGTCCTTTGAGACAGAGTGTTTGTTCCGTTGCCCAGCCTGGAGTGCAGTGGTACGATCGTTGCTCATTGCAGCCTTGACCTCCAGGGCTGAAGAGATCCTCTCACCTCAGCCTTCAGAGTAGCTGGGACTACAGGCACACAACACCAAGCTTGCTACCTTTTTTTTTTTTTTCAGATGGATTATCACTCTGTCATCCTGGAGTACAGTGGTGTGATCTTGGCTCACTGCAACCTCTGCTTCCTGGGTTCAAGTGATTCTCTTGCCTCAGCCTTTCAAGTAGCTGGGACTACAGGTGTGTACCACCATGCCCGGCTAATTTTTGTATTTTTAGTAGAGACAGGGTTTTGCCATGTTGCCCAGGCTGGTCTCGAACACCTGACTTCAGGTGATCCGCTGCCTTGGTCTCCTAAAGTGCTGGAATTACAGGCATTAGTCACTGTGCCTGGCCACTTGGCTACTTTTTAATTTTTTTATTTTTTAAGAGACGGAATCTCACTATGTTGTCCAGGCTGGTCTTGAACTCCAGAGATTAAGCAATCCTCCCATCTCGGCCTCCCAAAGTGCTGGGATTACAGGCATGAGCCACCATATCTGGCATCTTATTCTTTCTTCTCCCCTCCATACCTCACTCTGCAGTTTTCCTTCCCCTCTTTAGACTTCTGATTCTACTTGTTTTCCCTATGGGACTGCTTCAGTGGTCTCCAACCCAAACTCTGATTCCCTTTTGAATCATGAATTTCTTAGGACTTTTCCCACAAATCCTATAATTCTAACCCTCTCTTCTCTCTTATTTGCTTGTCTTCTTGCACTCTTTTTCTCTCTCTTCTTGTCTGTTTTTAAAATTGTCTAGGTTTTTATAATTTACAAAGCAGCTTTGCATGTACTCTGACATTTAATCTTCATTCCCAGTGAATTGGTCATAATTATCACTTCTATTTAGTAAGTGGAAAAATGGAGGTCTAGGGAGGCTAAAGTGATTTTCCCAACATCGTACATTATTAACAGCAGAGTCAGGATTTAAATTCAGAAATTTTGACTTTTAATGGTATCTCATTGCCTGGAAGTTAAATAATGAATTTTTTTGTTTCTATGTTTTCCCATGACTTTTTGAAATTTGGGAATTTTAAAAGAAAAAATGTGACTCAGTCTCTTACCTTGATATGACACACAACGTAAAGACAACTGGATTACATGGCTAAAATAGACTCAATCCTCCTGAATACTAAAGTGAAGTCAGATTCTCTCACTGAACTTAATATTCATAAAAGAGCAGAATTGGGAAGGCTGTAATCATCATCTAGTTGACTGTACATCTCAGAGATGAGGAAACCTGTGGCAGAGACAATGCTATAAATTCACTAACTTATTTATACTTTCCTTGGACATGCAAAAAGACTGATTTGCTAGCCCTCCTTGAACCTATTTGCTACTGAGTTCTATTCAATGGAGTAGGCAGAAATGGGGTACCTCACTTCCAGGCCTAACCTTAGAATGTATTGTACAATCTTCTCTCTTTCTCTCTCTGTCTCTGTCTCTGTCTCTCCCAGAAGTTTGCTAAGATAAAAGGGAAAGACTCTTTTGCCAGACAAAGTTGCCTAGAAGAGCATTGGACTTTATGGGAATGAGAAATTATTTTTTATATATATTCATTTATTTATTTAGAGACAGGAGACAGGGTCTTGCTCCTTTGCCCAGCTGGGGTGCAGTGGCATAATCTTGGCTCACTGCAGCCTCAAACTCCCAGGCTCAAGGGATCCTCCCACCTCAGCCTCCCAACTTGCTGGGACTACAGACATATACCACCTTGCCTGGCTTGAGAAGCCAGGTATTATTGTATTAAGCCTTGGAAATTCTGCAGGATTATTTGTCACCACAGCGTAGACTAGCCTATCTTGATGGATAAATAAACTGAAGTTCATAACTACTTAGTAGCTTGCTTAGATTTACTCAGGGAGTAAACTATTTGCTGCTGGTGATGATACTAGGCAGGTGCCCCCAGTCAAATCATTTTTACAAATATTCATCTGTGTTAACATAGACCCAGGCCTATAAATATTATTTTTATTGACCTAAATACAGATGAACTCACTTCAGTCTATGTTTTCAGAGATCCACTGTTACATACATATGTATTTCATTACATAGGAAAAGGCCTAGAAATCGTGGTGGGGAAAGGAAAGGGACGGAGCTGAGGGGAAGAAGTCAGGAGGAGAGGGAAATAGTGATGCTTTAACATTACCAACTGTATTATTTAAATATTTTTGCAATGAAAATGTATTCATGTACTACTATTAATATTTAAAATAGAAAGAAAAAAAGAAAAATCCTGCATCGCCATAATTACTCCTGCAACTGCTATGCTCAGTATTTCAACACCTATTGAAATCCTGTCAACCCTTTAAGGCTCACTCAAATGCTGTCCACTCCCTGGATGTTTTTCCTAAAGCTTTCCAGAAGCAATGATATTTCTTTCTTCTAAACACCTGCAGAACCCAGTGGCTGCTTATGGAGGCACTGCCTTTGTCTTTGTCTTGTATTTGAGTTATGTGGACAAACATTCTATTTCCTTATTTGATAGAACTTTTCTGAAAAGTAGAGACTATATTGCTCTTCGTCAGAAAAATTGCACTAAAGTAAAAATCAGGGGATTTCTGGAATGGCAAAGTAAATAGCTTGGCAAATCTCCTCCTCAAGGAGAGAGGATAAAACTGGAAAAGACTGTTAAAAAACAATGATTTTAGGACTCTAGGCATACAACAAATTGAGATGCATTTATTCAAGAAAAGTTACTGAACTCCAGGTAAAAACAGTGGGAGTCTGTGATGTTATAACCTGGGTTACTCCATCCCTCAATTATAGCACCTCCAGCTCCATAGCCATGGCAGTTCCACCATAACTGAGAAATCCATAAAAACCAGCAACTTCCCTGCCAAAGGAGGCTAACTTCACTTAGAGGCGAGAATGGAAAAAAATCCAGGATCCCAAAACAACCCAAGGGCCTATTGATAGATGAATAATCAACACATGGCAGTATGTCCATATAATAGAATACTACTCAGCAATAAAAAAGAATGACTTATTGCCACATGTAGTAAAAAGAATAGCCTTCAGAATAATTTCTCTAAGTGAAAAAAGCTAGACAAAAATGTATGCATACTGTACAAGTCCATTTACATGAAATTCTAGGAAATGCAAACTAATCTACAGTAACAGTGGTTCAGTGGGGATGGGGTAGTGAAGGATGAGGGAGGAACTCCAAGGACATGAGAAAACTTTGGGGGAGTAATGAATACATTCACTCTCTTGTAGTGATTGTTTTACAGATGTACACATTTGTCAAATCTTTAAAAATTATACACTTGAAATAAGTGCAACGTATTATATTTCAATTATATCTTAATAAAGATGTGTTTAAAATTCTTTGCCTTAAAAATTGTTGAGTTAAATTGATTCTCCCAGAAATCTCTCTCATGTGTAGCCTGTGGCTTTATTTCCCCTTTGGTAGAAAGCTTTACTCTCCCAGGGGTACATAAAAAGCTATCAGGAGCATGTGTTTAGAGGAAACAGAATAACTGCACTTAAAAAATGGTGATTCCATGCTTTATAAATGTAAACAAGGAATGTTAGAACTAGAATTCAATCATCTAGTCTAGACTTTCCTATTATACTCGAAACTCAGAGAAAAGTCCTGGTTGAGGTCAATTGGCAGCAAAGTGGACTTGAAAACCTGCTTTTTGTTGTAAACTACTGGAAAACGCAGAAATTGAATATTCACTTTGCTGACTTTATCATTCACTTTGGACATTTCTATTTAGAAGAAGTGCATAAGAACCACACTAAAAATACGAAGTCTTTTTAAACGCTCATTGGCTTCTGACAAATGCAAGCAATGTCAAACCTGTATTTTAAGATGTTATCTATTTAAACATTCTTTCCCCTTTTCATTCTAATTGTTTTCGTATAGTTTAAATTATTGCAGAAGTTTCACTGAATCTCTGACAGCCCAAACCAGCTGTGTTTGCTGGTAAGGGTGAAGATAGAAACAATATTTACTAGCAAAATCAAAATCAGACTTTAGAGGGAAAAAATCAATCGGCAGCAATGGAAAGAAGAACATTTGCCATTCTAGAACAGTTTCTGAACTCTAACACTGGTTTTACCCTTGGCCTAAGACATCCAGATCCAAACTACAAGAGAGGAGGGGCCACTTCTGTAAATTTCTATGGATAGCTACCAAGAGGCCCAGGGAAGAATGCCTTTCCTTGCTCTTAAATTTAAGCATCAATGATGCTCCTGTCTCCCTGGCACAGTGGGAAGAGTATAGGCACTGAAGTCAGGTAAAACTGAAATCACCTCTTGAATTCTCCACTTGTGGATAATTTTCTATCTATTCTATGGTTTCCTCATCTGTAAAATAGAGGTAATAATGTCTACTTTATTTATAGTGGAATTGTTATGAAATTTGGAAATAATATACATCGATTCCATTTTACAGAGCCAATCACATGCAAGTGACATATGGACACTCCCTAAATGATAACTGTTATTATTTATTATTTTAAGACTTAGCACATAACCGTGAAAAGAGGCATTGCTGGGTGGAGGAGGAATGTACGTCCTGCACTTGGCAATTCTATTCAATCACGCCAGGGCTCCTGATATTTGTCCCTCAGCTTCCAGCTGTTTCCTTCTGCTATACCTGATGCAGTATAAGAAAATATCTCTGCAGGTTTCTGCAGAGGCAGCCAGCACTTAGGCTGTGAATCTTTCCTTGAGTTGGGTGAGAAGTGATTTTTTTTTCCTTTCATACTTAGAAGGACACGCTGCTCTCTCTAATACAGAGTAGAATTGCACTGACTTTGAGATCTTGATGAATTCCTTTGATTTTTTCTTTCGTAAGTGAACAATGCAGTTTACACAGATGTAGTGACTCCTTCAATTTTATTTCCTTAGACCTTTGTAAATATTTTTCGCATAGTACTTATCACAACTCATTGTGGATGTTAGCTTATGCTGCTAATAGTACATTCAGAGCTAAATTTTGAGTTTCTGAAGGACAGGGCATATCTTCTTTTGTGTGTCTACAGCACATAGCACAGAGTCTGCAGGTAGATAAAATTCTATAAATATTTGTGGAGTTGACTGTCAGGAATCTCAACTATTCACGATCAAATCAGCTTATTTCTCCTTTAGAATATGAGAAGTGTCTAAAGTTTCTGTGAGCTACATGACAAGCACAGTGCTCTGGTGGCTGCCTCCAATTAACTGGAGCAGATCTAAAAGTTGGAAAGCAACTTCTTATAGAGTAGGAAT
Organism: Homo sapiens; assembly: GCF_000001405.40. Taxonomy (NCBI): domain Eukaryota; kingdom Metazoa; phylum Chordata; class Mammalia; order Primates; family Hominidae; genus Homo; species Homo sapiens. Next base: position 7,994,856 of record NC_000009.12, read on the forward strand.
TTACACTTGAAAGAGTGTATCTACCTCTTATAAGACGGATATGCAAAGATATGTTTGTATCACAGTTGGCAATGACTGAATACTATACAGTTAAATAATATGTTGGACCTGTTGGATGTGGGAGGGGATGTAAGTGGGAACAAATCCTCTGAAGTTAGTTTGAGAAAACTGATGAATTGGCAACAATGTTTAGTCTGTCACATATAAAATACACAATATTTCTAAAGAGAACCAGGCTGTGTTAATACACGACTTTATAAAGCATGCATTTGATTATTTAACGACCAATCTGAGGATCTTACAAAAATCATTCGTGTGTATTTTTATGAGGCATGTCTTATTAAGTGTACCTTTCAGCTCAGAACTTTATAAAACAAAAGAAATTTAACTAAGAAGCCCTGAATCTACCCACTGGGGTCCTCTATTTATTAATAAAAAACAGTTAACTTCAGTGTAACTAATTTAGACAGAAGTCTGAATTTGTTAGTTGCATGGGAATAAAAGGATATTATTCTACTAATAACTGCTGCTAACTGTAACCAGTCAAAGCTTTCTTTCCAGCTGATGGAAGATTCCCTTAACAATCCTCATCCAATTCTATTTCCTTTTTCATCTCTTTCAATTAGTAGAACAGTCTCATTTTGGCTCATTAAGACTCTGTCTTATTCATTTTCATATGCAGTTTAAAGACATTTTTCCTCCTCTCCCCATCTCCATCTCCTGCCTCAGTCAGCACAGGCCAAATGCATGCATCTAGAGTCTTGGTGGGTGAGTGAAGTGTTGGGCTTACCCTCACCTCTCACCTCTCCACTCACCCTCAGCTCTCTCTCCCCTGTTTACGGCAGAGCCACAGAATAAGAGAATTGAGAGATAGCCTCCTTTAACATGACTACGAATCTCAGATGCTATTGGAAAGCTCTTCCTTTACTATAAAGGTTAAAGAAACCAAAAACTACCCTGGTTCTCTTGTAGCTATGGTACCTAAGTGACCTAATTGTGGCTAATGAGAAATAAGCAAAAGCTTGTTATGTGGATTCTGAGAATACTTTTATCTTCCTGATATAAATAATACACTTTGCTGTTCTCTCCTATTCCCAGACTTCTTCCTTCCTTCAGTGTGCACCTGATGCCTGGGGTTAAGACAGCCACCAGAGGGAAAGGCTGAGAGAATTTCAAAACCATTGAGATATGGAACCATTGAGAATTTCAGAACCATTGAGATATGGAACCATTGAGAATTTCAGAACCATTGAGATATGGAATTTACTCTATAATATAGAGTAGGAATATACTCTATAATAGCAACTTCCCACAAGACATCTTGTTATATGAGAAAAATAAATCTCTATTTGTTAAGGCCACTGAAAAGTAGGCTCACTCTGTCACCCAGGCTGGAGTGCAGTGGTACAGTCTTGGCTCACTCTGCCTCCTGGGTTCAAGCGATTCTTTTGCCTCAGCCTCTCAAGTAGCTGGGACTACAGGTGCCCACCACCACGCCTAGCTAATTTTTTGTATTTTTAGTAGAGACAGGGTTTCACCGTATTAGCCAGGATGGTCTCAGTTTCCTGACCTCGTGATTGGCCCACCTCAGCCTCCCAAAGTGCTGGGATTACAGGCGTGAACGCGTGACCTACCTCACCCGGCCCCAAAAGCATTTCTAACTGATATACTGCCCCTGGATATGTATTACTTGTCTCCTTGATTGGCCATAGCCTGATCCACTTGTCATCCACAGGCTTTGTATAAGACGAGTGGCTTTGGCCAATTAATTGCTGATCAGCCCTGCAATTAATTGCCTTACTTCTAACAGTGTTCCTGGGGATTTGTAGCCCCTTGAAAAGTTAGTTTGCATCTGCTAGCTAATCCCCAGATGGCAGCATCTTGCCTGCTTCCTCTATTCTCTATGTCTCTTTGCCATTCTCTATGGCACTTCCCCATCACATGCACCTTCAGCAGCTTCCCAGACTTAGAGCCTCCAAGCATTGGTGAATCCCATCTTCTGTACCTCTGGAGCAACAGGAACTTTAGAGAGCCAACCCTGGCCATCTTCACATGTGGCCACCCACCCCATACCATCTCTTGAGTGCTGATGAAAACCTGACTATAAGCAAGTTCCAGGAGCTAAGCAGACAGGCAGACTGCTGGATAAACATCAATCTTTCCACATCTGTGGGAGTGATTATCTTGGAGCCTTCCTTACCCCTTCCGTGACCCCCTCAGCTCACCCCATTGCCTAGGGAACTTAGGAAAAGGAATATCTTTTGTTCATTAACAATGTACTCTCCTCTCCCTACCAAAAGGGAACCTCTGCACCTTTCTCTCTACTCTCTTCTTATATCTACCAGAGTCAAATGAAGGCAGGGGTGAGGGATGGTGACATAGGCAGTTCTGCTGATCTGGCATCGCCCTCGAGGCAGTCGAGGGAGGACAGCAGGGATAGCCCTATGAAAGGGAAAGTCTCCAAACTAATTTGTAATGTTCACAATTTAGTGGTTTCTGTTTTAAGTTGTGCACCTTGGTCTCCAATTCTGACAACACTTAATGCTATCCTAAGCATTCACAGCATAATATATACTTTTATGTCAATGGACCTTGGATACTTCTCTGCTTCCACCTCGAACACTACTCCATATTGCACGTCATTTTTCTCATATCAGCAATGAGAATTTAAATATTAAAATTCTCATCCTATTTGTCTTCAGTTTCTTGAAGTTCAGTTTTGAGCACATATAGAGTTCATGCTTCACATAGAGAGTATAATGATTGATCATCTGTATATCTATTGCTCTGCTCCTGCCAGCTATATCATGAACCTGCAAAATGCTGCACCATTGCAAACATGCTCTGCTAATGCCTGCTGTGAGAAGTCTTCCGTAGTGAGCCCTCTGCAGCCTCAGTACCAAGGGTGTTTATAGAGCTTGGCTTCAGGTATCCAAAGAACATATTTCAGAGTCCTCCAGGATCCACACAGCCTGGAGGACTCTTAACCTTAAGTACTTTCTCGATTTTTTTTTGTTGTTGTTGGTTTATTTTCTTTGTGGCCCCCACCCCAACCCTACCACAAACACACATTACTCCCATGGCAGCTGTAGGATAAGGGTAAAAGCGTTCCTTTTTCAGCCTTGCAGAGGTTTGCTGGGCACCAATTTCATGCCCACTTTTGTTTCTCTTACTTGTACTGGCCAATCCTTTCACTCATAAACTAGTCAGACAGCAAGCAGAAGAATTCAGACAGCAGCAAAAATCATAAAACCTTTTTCTTTTCATTAGAAAAGAGAAATATTGGTTGATTCAGTTCAGACCGAAGTTGAGTGCTTGAGCCATTCCAATAAGTTGGAAAGCACTCTTTTCCAACCTTCACCATTTTCAAACCACTTATAAAGGGTTGTCTAGGCAAAATATTGGAGGAATGTTTACTCCCCACCAGGAGATTATAATTTATTGAGTATTCAAAAAGAGTAACAATGACATTCAGAAATTCTAGTCATCTATATAAATATGTTTAATTTTCTTCAATAGAAATCTAAGGAAAGTAGCAGGAACTGCTAGTGAATTTAGAAAAGCTTTTATTTCTTCTATTATGTAAAACAAGTACTGATCATAAAATCTAAATCTTATTCAGGCCATTCAGCTGTCTGCTTAGATGATAATGATGAGTAAATGTTTGTCTCATGTTCAAGAAAGATGCTTGATTTGATACATTAGTTACAATGGGATAGTAATTTTTATTATTTTATTTTTTCTTTTAGCAGGATAAATAATTGCTTGCTAATCTTTGTTTTCTCTGTTTGATGTCTTTTTTAAAAATTATTTTCGATAGATTCCACTTATATTCTTATTTATTTTATTTTTTTTGTTTTGTTTTGTTTTTGAGATGGAGTTTAGCTGGTCGCCCAGGCTGGAGTGCAGTGGCATGATCTCAGCTCACTGCAATCTCCACCTCCCGGGTTCAAGTGATTCTCCTACCTCAGCCTCCCAAGTAGCTGGAATTACAGTAGCCTGCTATCATGCCTGACTAATTTTTTGTATTTTTAGTAGAAATGGGATTTCACCATGTTGGCCAGTCTGGTCTCGAACTCCTGACCTCAGGTGTTCCACCCACCTCAGCCTCCCAAAGTGTTAGGATTACAGGTGTGAGCCACCGCGCCTGGCCTCCACTTATATTAATTAACAGACTTTGTGGGAGTGCAAGTTTCTACCCAAGCTTTAGCTGCAAACACATGAAAAGGACAAGAGTCCTGAAGTTTGCTGACAACAAAACCAATGACAAAGCAAGAGTTTTTGGTGTCACACATACATTGTGGCTTGTAAGTCATAATGGCTTTCCAAATTTGTATTTTGGTTAATTCATTCTTAGCAGAGTGACTGTGTAACTCACTGAATTCCAGGATACTTGTTATGTGGTTCCTGTAATCTCTGCCCACCTTTTTTCTGCAGTCTGAAATCTTATCCTAATCCATTCATTTCTTCCCCTATGGACTTTTAGCCTCATTACTCTGAGAGGGGGTGATACTCTCAGTGTTTCCAGTTTTTTCTTCAGGTCATCTATGATGGTAAGAAAGAACACTACTCAAATCTTTAAAGTAGACTTCAGATGTGGGAGCCGATGCTTAATGGGAAGATTGGATCCCACCAAAGTGAGTTTTGATTTCTTCATTATTTTTCCTAAATCAGATGATGATGGGAGCAATAGACTTGTAAATGTTCTGTCTCATTTCTCTGATTTGTATACATAGAAGATAAAGAAAAAAACTTGATAAGGCAACCACAAAGCAAGTGTCAAAGAAGAAATTGCTGTTGAACATAAAAGATCAGAGGATTTAATGTTTCCTGACAACCTATAGAAGCAGAATAATTGAACCTGCCTCCTGCTTAGTTCATCCACTTTCCCTATCTGCTTTCCACAGTCTTATCTTAGCCTTGACTTGGCCAATGGCTGTTTTCTAAGGTGAATACTGAAGAATCGAGTCTACAGTACTAATTGTTCCATAAGGCCACTAATATATTCTGACACATGTATTGATTTAAAACTATGCGTATTTACAAAACCACCCAAAAAATCCAGTAGAGGTTAATGAGATAAGGGTTTTCAAGTGTGTTATATGTTATATTTCCTAGAAGAAATTACATCTGGGGAAAGCTGTTCATGTTTTACTACTTTGACTTTGCCTTCTTTCCATTTTGACTTGCTCCTACCTGATAAATATCAGCAATTCTCTACTCATGCCTTCAGTTTTAGTACTCCTTTGGGAGACCAGCAAAGCAGCTGTGTAATGGAACAAAGTCAGGGAGAAACTAATAATGTTCACCTGATAGCTTTCTTCATGTTGGGGGTACCTCCTGGCTTCCATTTATTTCCCCATCAATAATGCTTGATTAAAATAATAGGAGTCTACTTTCAATGCTTAAGTTATTCTAAGCATTGCTTTCTATTCTGAAGAAAACGCTAGTGATTTTTGACAGGGATTACAATTTAACTATTTCATAGTCCCCTTAAAATTTTGTTTTAAGAAATATTTTTTTTATTTACATTCAAGTCCAGAGAAAGTCATCTCAGACAAAAAGGCAGCAGCTGCTGGTGTTTTGTGCTTTGAGGGACATTCTGGAAGCTCATCACTGATTCACTATTCCTTCCCTACCAATCATCAAGGTGTTTGTAGTTCCACCATTACTTATTCCTTGGGTTCTTTTCTGTTTAAATGTCCTTCAAAAGTTTCCAGTTAAAATGCAACTACTCTTGGAAGGATTATACATTAAGCATTTATTACCAAGCACTTTAGCGAGGCTCTGGGGGGTTGAGAGCTAACACTGCCATATGAGGCTAGGGGTGAGCAGCAGAGAAGTGGTGGGAACTGAAGCTTGAAGGTGCCATGTTCAGGTTTTGATACTTCACAGATTTGCTGAGAGCCCATCCAGCTTCTCAGTATCTTCACACAATCTGAAATATTTGCTTGCTCAAAAATATTTCATATGTGAATTCTTTTATTTATTCACTTATTTCAATTTAATTTATTTCTACAAATGTTTGTTAGGTATAGTCATGTGCCAAACAGCATGCCAAGTTCTGGAATAAGGAAAGCAGGTGCCCTGCTCTCAGGAAAAAAAGTGACAGCAAGTTAGAAGGAGGAGAAATAATAAGCTGTTTATTCTGTTTAATGGATCAAAAACACACAGAAGTGATGGCATTTGATTTTAGCTCAATTGAGAAGTGAGTAGACAATACAAGAAAGGATGTTTCAGGCTGAGGCAACAATATGGAGGTACAGAATTGGAGGATTAAAAGTCTATGTCTCTTTTGAAAATGCTCTGCTGTCTGGTGCGGCTTCAGGTCTGGGTACACAGAAAGATGCACTGGGAAAGATCATTCAATCATGAACTGTTGGGAGTTTTCTATGTGCAAGGCATTTGACTATGAAGTGACACTGTATATAAAGGGTAAGTTGCAGAGCAACACGTGCATGTACACACACATTCACAAAACTGTCTTCTTTTCTTAAAACTTTCTATGCCACAGCAGGTATTTCTCTTCATCTTTTGAACTTCTAGAAGTAGAGAGGATAAACAAATGGGTAGGTGGCAAAGGGTGCCCTAGAGTGAAATCACATCTGGGGCCTCAGTGTGCTTCAGAGAAGCACATGAGAAATAACTTGGAAATAGCCTGGAAAACTTTTCTTCCCTCACTGAGGAGGACCTTATAGATGCTCTGTGGGAATGCACATCAAAGTAAACGTTACTATAAGTCTGAAAACTCTCATTCACTCAGTTAATAAAAATAAAGCAATGGCGTACTATATACTAGACAATAGGCTTAAAGCAGGGGATAGAGTAGTAAGTAGAGACTAGAGTCATGAGAGAAACATACACAAACCAATAACAACAGTAGTTGAGTAAGGGCAATAGTTGCAATGGAAGATACACTAGAAGCCCAAAGAATGTTTCATTCTACTTATGAAGGCCAGGAAAGACTTCCTAGAGAGTCAAGAAGCAAACTGAATTTTGAAAGATGAGTAAGGCTTTCTCATGATCAAAAGGAATGGGGAGACAGTCCACATATGCAAAGGCAGAAATTGCAGAACTTATTTGAAGAATTGCAAGTAGCTCAGGAGAACTCAACTGGATAAGAAGATAGAGTAGTAAGAAAAGAGAAATAAGGCTAAGAGATGAGTAAAAGACAAATCTTGAAGGACCTTACGTGACATGAAAAGTAATTTAAATTTTATTGTATAAAAAATGGATTTCATTGAGGGGGTTATGTATTCATGTGAGTGGAATTAACTTTCAATTGTTTTTTAATATTTTTAATTGACAAGAATTTTCTATATTGTATACAACATGATGTTTCAAAATATGTATACATTGTGAAATGGCTAACTCAACACAAGTTAACATATGTATGACCTCATATACTTACCATTTTTTTGTGGTGAAAACACTTAAAATCTACCCTTTTAGCGATTTTCCAGTATATAATACATTGTTAATAACTATACTCACTGTGTTGTACAATAGATCTCCTTTTTATTTTATTATTATTATATTTTAAGTTTTAGGGTACATGTGCACAATGTGCAGGTTAGTTACATATGTATACATGTGCCATGCTGGTGTGCTGCACCCATTAACTCGTCATTTAGCGTTAGGTATATCTCCTAATGCTATCGCTCCCCCTCCCCCCACCCCACAACAGTCCCCAGAGTGTGATGTTCCCCTTCCTGTGTCCATGTGTTCTCATTGTTCAATTCCCACCTATGAATGAGAACATGCGGTGTTTGGTTTTTTGTCCTTGCGATAGTTTACTGAGAATGATGATTTCCAATTTCATCCATGTCCCTACAAAGGACATGAACTCATCATTTTTTATGGCTGCATAGTATTCCATGGTGTATATGTGCCACATTTTCTTAATCCAGTCTATCATTGTTGGACATTTGGGTTGGTTCCAAGTCTTTGCTATTGTGAATAGTGCTGCAATAAACATACGTGTGCATGTGTCTTTATAGCAGCATGATTTATAGTCCTTTGGGTATATACCCAGTAATGGGATGGCTGGGTCAAATGGTATTTCTAGTTCTAGATCCCTGAGGAATCGCCACACTGACTTTCACAATGGTTGAACTAGTTTACGGTCCCACCAACAGTGTAAAAGTGTTCCTATTTCTCCACATCCTCTCCAGCACTTGTTGTTTCCTGACTTTTTAATGATCGCCATTCTAACTGGTGTGAGATGGTATCTCATTGTGGTTTTGATTTGCATTTCTCTGATGGCCAGTGATGGTGAGCATTTTTTCATGTGTTTTTTGGCTGCATAAATGTCTTCTTTTGAAAAGTGTCTGTTCATGTCCTTCACCCACTTTTTGATGGAGTTGTTTGTTTTTTCTTGTAAATTTATTTGAGTTCATTGTAGATTCTGGATATTAGCCCTTTGTCAGATGAGTAGGTTGCAAAAATTTTCTCCCATTTTGTAGGTTGCCTGTTCACTCTGATGGTAGTTTCTTTTGCTGTGCAGAAGCTCTTTAGTTTAATGAGATCCCATTTGTCAGTTTTGGCTTTTGTTGCCATGGCTTTTGGTGTTTTAGACATGAAGTCCTTGCCCATGCCTATGTCCTGAATGGTAATGCCTAGGTTTTCTTCTAGAGTTTTTATGGTTTTAGGTCTAACATTTAAGTCTTTAATCCATCTTGAATTAATTTTTGTATAAGGTGTAAGGAAGGGATCCAGTTTCAGCTTTCTACATATGGCTAGCCAGTTTTCCCAGCACCATTTATTGAATAGGGACTCCTTTCCCCATTGCTTGTTTTTCTCAGGTTTGTCAAAGATCAGATAGTTCTAGATAAGTGGCATTATTTCGGAGGGCTCTGTTCTGTTCCATTGATCTATATCTCTGTTTTGGTACCAGTACCATGCTGTTTTGGTTACTGTAGCCTTATAGTATAGTTTGAAGTCAGGTAGCGTGATGCCTCCAGCTTTGTTCTTTTGGCTTAGGATTGACTTGGTGATGTGGGCTATTTTTTGGTTCCATATGAACTTTAAAGTAGTTTTTTCCAATTCTGTGAAGAAAGTCATTGGTAGCTTGATGGGGATGGCATTGAATCTATAAATTACCTTGGGCAGTATGGCCATTTTCACGATATTGATTCTTCCTACCCATGAGCATGGAATGTTCTTCCATTTCTTTGTATCCTCTTTTATTTCATTGAGCAGTGGTTTGTAGTTCTCCTTGAAGAGGTCCTTCCCGCTCCTTGTAAGTTGGATTCCTAGGTATTTTATTCTCTTTGAAGCAATTGTGACTGGGAGTTCACTCATGATTTGGCTCTCTGTCTGTTGTTGGTGTAGAAGAATGCTTGTGACTTTTGCACATTGATTTTGTATCCTGAGACTTTGCTGAAGTTGCTTATCAGCTTAAGGAGATTTTTGGCTGAGACAATGGGGTTTTCTAGATATACAATCACGTCATCTGCAAACAGGGACAATTTGACTTCCTCTTTTCCTAATTGAATACCCTTTATTTCCTTCCCCTGCCTCATTGCCCTGGCCAGAATTTCCAACACTATGTTGAATAGGAGTGGTGAGAGAGGGCATCCCTGTCTTGTGCCAGTTTTCAAAGGGAATGCTTCCAGTTTTTGCCCATTCAGTATGATATTGGCTGTGGGTTTGTCATAGATCTTATTATTTTGAGATACGTCCCATCATTACCTAATTTATTGAGAGTTTTTAGCATGAAGGGTTGTTGAATTTTGTCAAAGGCCTTTTGTGCATCAATTGAGATAATCATGTGGTTTTTGTCTTTGGTTCTGTTTATATGCTGGATTACATTTATTGATTTGCATATATCATACCAGCCTTGCATCCCAGGGATGAAGCCCACTTGATCATGGTGGATAAACTTTTTGATGAGCTGCTGGATTCAGTTTGCCAGTATTTTATTGAGGATTTTTGCATCAATGTTCATCAAGGATATTGGTCTAAAATTCTCTTTTTTGGTTGTGTCTCTGCCCGGCTTTGGTATCAGGATGATGCTGGCCTCATAAAATGAGTCAGAGAGGATTCCCTCTTTTTCTATTGATTGGAATAGTTTCAGAAGGAATGGTACCAGCTCCTCCTTGTACCTCTGGTAGAATTAGGCTGTGAATCCATCTGGTCCTGGACTCTTTTTGGTTGGTAAGCTATTTATTATTGCCACAATTTCAGAGCCTGTTATTGGTCAATCCAGAGATTCAACTTCTTCCTGGTTCAGTCTTGGGAGGGTTTATGTGTCAAGGAATTTATCCATTTCTTCTAGATTTTTCTAGTTTATGTGCATAGAGGTGTTTGTAGTATTCTCTGAGGTAGTTTGTATTTCTGTGGGATCGGTGGTGATATCCCCTTTATCATTTTTTATTGCATCCATTTGATTCTTCTTTCTTTTTTTCTTTATTAGTCTTGCTAGCAGTCTATCAATTTTGTTGATCCTTTCAAAAAACCAGCTCCTGGATTCATCAATTTTTGAAGGGTTTTTTTGGTCTCTATTTCCTTCAGTTCTGCTCTGATTTTAGTTATTTCTTGCCTTCTGCTAGCTTTTGAATGTGTTTGCTCTTGCTTTTCTAGTTCCTTTAATTGTGATGTTAGGGTGTCAATTTTGGATCTTTCCTGCTTTCTCTTGTGGGCATTTAGTGCTATAAATTTCCCTCTACACACTGCTTTGAATGTGTCCCAGAGATTCTGATATGTTGTGTCTTTGTTCTCGTTGGTTTCAAAGAACATCTTTATTTCTGCCTTCATTTCGTTATGTACCCAGTAGTCATTGAGGAGCAGGTTGTTCAGTTTCCATGTAGTTGAGCAGTTTTGAGTGAATTTCTTAATCCTGAGTTCTAGTTTGGTTGCACTGTGGTCTGAGAGAAAGTTTGTTATAATTTCTGTTCTTTTACATTTGCTGAGGAGAACTTTACTTCCAACTATGTCGTCAATTTTGGAATAGGTGTGGTGTGGTGCTGAAAAAAATGTATATTCTGTTAATTTGGGGTGGAGAGTTCTGTCGATGTCTATTAGGTCCGCTTGGTGCAGAGCTGAGTTCAATTCCTGGGTATCCTTGTTAACTTTCTGTCTCGTTGATCTGTCTAATGTTGACAGTGGGGTGTTAAAGTCTCCCATTGTTATTGTGTGGGAGTCTATGTCTCTCTGTAGGTCACTCAGGACTTGCTTTTTGAATCTGGGTGCTCCTGTATTGGGTGCAAATATATTTAGGATAGTTAGTTCTTCTTGCTGAATTGATCCCTTTACCATTATGTAATGGCCTTCTTTGTCTCTTTTGATCTTGTTGGCTTAAAGTCTGTTTTATCAGAGACTGGGATTGCAAGCCCTGCTTTTTTTTTTTTTTTGCTTTCCATTTGCTTGGTAGATCTTCCTTCATCCCTTTATTTTGAGCCTGTGTGTGTCTCTGTACGTGAGATGGGTCTCCTGAATACAGCACCGTGATGGGTCTTGACTCTTTATCCAGTTTGCCAGTCTGTGTCTTTTAATTGGGGAATTCAGCCCATTTACATTTAAGGTTAATATTGTTATGGATGAATTTGATCCTGTCATTTTGATGTTAGCTGGTTATTTTGCCCATAAATTGATGGAATTTCTTCCTCGTCAATGGTCTTTACAATTTGGTATGTTTTTGCAGTGGCTGGTACCAGTTGTTCCTTTCCATGTTTAGTGCTTCCTTCAGGAGCTCTTGTAAGGCAGGCCTGGTGGTGACAAAATCTCTCAGCATTTGCTTGTCCGTAAAGTATTTTATTTCTCCTTCACTTATGAAGCTTAGTTTGGCTGCATATGAAATTCTGGGTTGAAAATTCTTTTCTTTAAGAATGTTGAATATTGGCCCCCACTCTCTTCTGGCTTGTAGGGTTTCTGCTGGGAGATCTGCTGTTAGTCTGATGGGTTCGCTTTGTGAGTAACCTGACCTTTGTCTCTGGCTGCCCTTAACATTTTTTCCTTCATTTCAACCTTGGTGAATCTGCCAATTATGTGTCTTAGGGTTGCTCTTCTTGAGGAGTATCTTTGTGGAGTTCTCTGTATTTCCTGAATTTGAATGTTGGCCTGCCTTGCTAGGTTGGGGAAGTTCTCCTCGATATTATCCTGAAGAGTGTTTTCTAACTTGGTTCCATTCTCCCCGTCATTTTCTGGTACACCAATCAAATGTAGATTTGGTCTTTTCACATAGTCCCATGTTTCTTGGAGGCGTTGTTCATTTCTTTTTACTCTTTTTTCTCTAATCTTGTCTTTTCGCTTTATTTCATTAATTTGATCTGCTTGATCTAATTGGCTATTGAAGCTTGTGCATGCATCCCGAAGTCTCGTGCCGGGGTTTTCAGCTCCATCAGGTCATTTAAGGTCTTCTCTACACTGGTTATTCGAGTTAGCCATTCATCTAACCTTTTCTAAAGATTTTTAGCTTCCTTGCGATGGTTTAGAACATGCTTCTTTAGCTCGGAGAAGTTTGTTATTATTGACCTTCTGAAGCCTACTTCTGTCAACTTGTCAAAGTGATTCTCTGTCCAGTTTTGTTCTGTTGCTGGCGAGGAGCTGTGATCTTTTGGAGGAGAAGAATCGTTCTTGTTTTTGGAATTTTCAGCTTTTCTGCTCTGGTTTCTCCCCATCTCTGTGGTTTCATCTACCTTTGGTCTTTGATGTTGGTGACCTACAGATGGGGTTTTGGTGTGGATGTCCTTTTTGTTGATGTCGATGCTATTCCTTTCTGTTTGTTAGTTTTCCTTCTAACATTCAGGCTCCCTCAGCCTCAAGTCTGTTGGAGTTTGCTAGAGGTCCACTCCAGACCCTGTTTGCCTGGGTATCACTAGCAAAGGCTGCAGAACAGCAAATATTGCAGAACAGCAAATATTGCTGTCTGATTCTTCCTCTGGAAGCTTTGTCCCAGAGGGCACCTGTCTGCATGAGGTGTCTGTCAGCCCCCACTGTGAAGTGCCTCCCAGTCAGGCTACATGGGGTCAGAGACCCACTTGAGGAAGCAGTCTGTCTGTGCTCAGAGCTCAAACGCCATGCTGGGAGAACTACTGCTGTCTTCAGAGCTGTCAGACAGGGACGTTTAAGTCTGCAAAAGTTGTCTGCTGCCTTTTGTTCAGCTATGCCCTGCCCACAGACTTGGAGCCTATAGAGGCCGTAGGCCTTGCTGAGCTGAGGTGGGCTCCACCCAGTTCGAGCTTGCAGTCCACTTTGTTTACCTACTCAAGCCTCAGCAATGGCAGATGCCCCTCCATCTGCCAGGCTGCAGCCACGCAGGTCGATCTCAGACTGCTGTGCTAGCAGTGAGCAAGGCTCTGTGGCCGTGGGACCCACCGAGCCCGGCACTGGAGGGAATATCCTGGTCTGCCAGTTGCTAAGACCATGGGCAAAGCACAGTATTTGGGCGGGAGTGTACTATTTTTCCAGGTACGGTGTGTCACGCTTCCCTTGGCTAGGAAAGGGAAATACCCTGGCCCCTTGTGCTTCTCAGGCGAGGTGATGCCCCACCCTGCTTTGCCTCACCCCCCCGTGGGCTTCACCCACTCTCCAACCAGTCCCAATGAGATAAACCAGGTACCTCAGTTGGAAATGCAGAAATCACTTGTCTTCTGCATCGATTTCGCTGGGAGCTGCTCATTATGGTTTTGATTTGCATTTCTGTAATGATTAGAGATGTTGAGAAACTTTTGTTTATTTGTTGGCCATTTTTATGTCTTCTTTTGAAAAATGTCTATTTAGGTCCTTTGCTCATTTTTTAATCCAGTTATTTGTTTTCTTGCTTTTGAGATGTTTGTGTGCTTTATATGTTTTAGATATAAATCCCTCATCAGATGTGCAATTTGCAAATATTTTCTCCTATTCCATGGGTTGTCTCATCACTCTGTGGGTTATTTTGTTTGCTGTGCAGAAACCTTTTAGTTTCATGTAATTCCATTTGTCTATTTTTGCTTTTATTGTTTATGCTTTTGGGGTTGTATCCAAAATATTATTGCCCAGACCAATGTCATGAATATTTTTCTCTATGTTTTCTTCTAGTAGTTTTATAGTTTTAGGTTTTGCATTTAAGTATGTAATCCATATTGATTTGATTTTTTATATGATGTGAGATAAGGGACCAATTTCAATCTTCTGCATGTGGATAATTTCACAGCACCATTTATTGAAGAGACTTCCCTTTCCCATTGCATGTTCTTGGCATCTTTGTAAAAAATTAGTTGACTGTAAATATATGTATTTATTTCTGGGCTCTCTATTCTTTTATATTGGTCTATGTGTCTGGTTTTATGCCAGTACCAAGCTGTTTTGGTTATTATAGCTTTGCAGTGTATTTTGAAGTCAGGTAGTGTGATGCCTCCAGCTTTGTTAATTTGGCTCAAGATTGCTTTGGATATTTGGGATATTGTCTTCTACAATGTCTTTCATCAATGTTTTACAGTTTTCAATGTAAATGAAAAAGTTTATTGGGTATGTCATTGTTAGTGCATGAAAATATTACTGATTGTTACATGCTGATTTTATATTCCACAACTTTACTGAATTTGTTTATTAGTTTTAACAGTTTTTTGCTAGAGTCTTTAGAGTTTTCTATGTAAGTGATCATTGGGTCTGCAAACAAAGACTATTTAACTTCTTCCTTTATTAATTGGATGCCTTTTATTTCTTTTTCCTGCCTAATTGCTCTGGCTGGGACTTCCAGTACTATTTTGAATAGAAGTGGCAAGAATGGGCATCCTTATCTTGTTCCCAGTCAGAACTAACTTTTAGAAAACACTCACTAGTAGCCTTGTGGAGGATAGGTTGAAGATGCCACTTTAGGGAGAGAAGTATAAGTGAGTCCACTGAATGAATGGAGTGTCAGAGCGATAGATAAAGGGAAAAATTCAAGATAAATTTGAGAGGTTTAATAGATAGAACTCACAGATTAATCAGATGGTGAGGGAATTTGGAAGAATAAAAGAAGTTTGGCATTGAGTACATATGGACACAAACAAGGGGGCAACAGACACCGGGGCCTACTTGAGGGCAGAGGGTGGAAAGAGGAGGAAAATCAAAAAGCTGTCCATCAGGTACTATGCCGGTTACCTGGGTGATGAAATAATCTGTGCACCAAACCCCCACGGTGCAATCTACCTACATAACAAATCTGCACGTGTATCCCGAACATAGAAGTGAGAAATATGTACATACATACATCCATTTTACATAAAGGTAGACATTTAAAAATACATAAAACTTTAAAAAGAGGTTTAGAATAACTCTTTTTTAACTTAAAAAATATAGAAGAATCACCTCTACATGTACCTCTGAACCTGCATGTTTCCAAAAGAACTGGTGTGTTGTTTTGGGACTTCACTTCTCTATCTCATCTTGAATCCTACCTTTTAGTTTAGCATTTCTTTACTCTGTCATAAAGAGGTAGAAAAACTGGGTACTTCTTCATGACCACACTATGCCCATTTTGGTGATGCCAGCCAGGCTAACTTTATAATAAATATACACAAACTCTGTATATATTTGTCAATTAGAGTTACTGAGGAAAACAGTCAGAAAATTCATTAGGTCAGTATTTATACAAGTTTTGGATAAGCAAACCAAACATTATGAATAGCAGTCACTGCTACCCATCAGGCTGAAAGGACAAGGGGGACGGATGTAGTCTGCCTAGTCAGAGCTAGACTATGATGAATGTATGCCTTCTGAGGACAACCACTGCCTACTGGAGCTGGCACAAAGGAAGATGGGAAACCATTGCTGATGAAGCCTAAGCAAAGAAAGAGAGGAAGAAACATCTCAGATACTCCCTTTTTCCCACCTCTCATTTCCTGCCAGGCCTCCTTCTGAAACTACTTGAAAGTTGGTTGGGGGGTGAACCTGATAAATGTTTGCAGGGATCAGCCCTCTGCAACATAGAGCTAAGAAGTAGAGGCCAAGAAGTATATCTGGGAACAAATAGATGACTGGCACACACACGTATGTGTTTATTTCCCTTAGGTAAATTAATACATTGCTTACAAAAAAAAAACAGAATTGTAGAATTATATGACCTCAGATATAGAATATTGTTGGGGTACAGAAAATGATTCCCCCAAATATGGTACTTCTGTATACTGAATGCCTTGAAAATGGAAAGATTTCAGAAATAAGCTTCAGAACCAAGGTATTTCTTTGACCTTTTCCCACCTCCCTGTCTGTCTGTATCAGGAGGGACTCATCTTGGAATCTTCTTACCTAAGAAGGCTGCTTTCCAACAACAGCAACAACAACACAATGCAATAGTCTAAGACTCCCTTCTTAGGAATCTCATCAAATAATCAAGAAATATCAACCACCAGAGAAAGCGAGAGACTGGGGGTCCTCACCATGAAGAAATTTCATTAACTCTTCTGAGGGCACCTCTGAGAGATTACCTGGGGGACTTTATCTACGTAATAAGCCAAGAGAATCATTTACTAGCCATTATCTGAACATTGGGCCTATTCATTCCCCCACGTCCCTTTCTCCTAAGAAGAAAGCATTTAAGCCTCAACCCTCCGGCCCCTCTTTGCGCTTGTATTTTGTATGATTCCCATGTACAAATGTACACATGTGCATGTAATAGTAATAAATCTGTTATGCTTTTCCTACATTAACCTGTTTTTTTTGTTATAAGGGTGTTGGCTATGACCCTTTATGATGGGGAGAAAAGGGATTACCCCCTTTTTCCCCTACAGTTCATAGTCATCTCTTCCAGATATTGTCAGATCTTGCCATGTGAGTATATTTTATTGAAATTATTTGCATTTACCTACTACACAAATTCCGAAGGCAATCGGCTTTTCAAAAGGAAAAAAACATATTTTACACAATGATTCTTATAAGTTTCATAATCTGTATTTGGGCCATCAGTTAGTAATTATCTTGTTTTTTCATAATTTAATCTGGTTTTTATTCATATAGTCTTTATAGTCTAAATTGCCACATGGACTCATTTCCTGTATTATGTAAGTGCTAAAAGATGAGTATTCTCTCTATTTACACCCCTAAGAACCCTGCTCAAAGGTCTATGCAAAGGGGTACTAAATAAATACTGTTTGATAATGAACTCATAGAAATGGAGCTTGCTAGGTGACAGTTTATTTTATTTCTTGTTTCCATTTGCTTTTCTTTCCATAGCAGTTCTCAGTAACCTTAAAATGTATTCAATGTGAAGAGTTCTAACATTAGGTTAATTTGTGGCAAGATGAATATGTTTTCCCTTCATCAAGCCACATTTACTCTGGAGTCCATAAAATAGTTTTATTCATGTTGCTGTTAATTGCAGAACTCCTGGTAATCTGCCAAGGATAATGACGTTTGCCACTTTTGATCAGTGCTGTGGTATAGAACTTGTTCAGACCCTTGCTGAGAAAAGAAAAAAACTTATTAAATGGATTACACTACATTTGTTGTATGTGGAGTACCAAACTGAGCTGATATTAGAGAGACTGATAATGTCATGATTCATCTTTGTAACTAAGGAATACAAAAGAAACACTCAAATACATCATGACTGTGAAAGTTCTTTACCTGTTTACTTTTCTCCTAACATTCTAGTATCTCATCTTAAAATGACAGTAAGTGTAGCTGAATATTTCCCGTGACTTTTATTTATGCAATTATGGATAATAGTTATACCTGGGGTCAGATTCATAAAGGCGTCAAGCATAAAACTCAGAGAAGTTAAATGGTCAGTGGCAAACAGGAGAACACAAGCCCCATCTAATGAAAGCAGCTGCTTTTCTGCATCCCTCAACAGTTTTGCAACAAATAATACCTGACATAAGGTGAGTTACCTGTAGAACATGAACCTTAAGCCATATGGATAAAAGAGGAGAACTCTCAGACAGAGAAAATAGTGAGTTCAAAGACCCTAAGGCAGTGGTTCCCAGATTTTGTGGAACATTGGAATCACCTGGGCATCTTTTTTTTTTTTTTTTTTTTTTTTTTTGAGATGAAGTCTTACTGTGTCGCCCAGGCTGGAGTGCAATGGCATGATCTCAGCTCACTGCAACCTCCGACTCCCGAGTTCAAGTGATTCTCCTGCCTCAGCCTCCCGAGTAGCTGGGATTACAGGCATGTGCCACCACGCCTGGCTAATTTTTGTATTTTTAGTAGAGATGGGGTTTCACCATGTTGGCAAGGCTGGTCTTGAACTCCTGACCTCAGGTGATCCACCCACCTTGGCCTCCCAAAGTGCTGGGATTATAGGCGTGAGCCACTGCGCCTGGCCTCTCGTAGGCATCTTTAAAAATTACCAGTGAATGGCTCTCACTCCCAGACATTCTGACTTAATTAGCTTGGGATGCAAGCTGAGCATCAGGAATTTCAAAATCTGCCGAGGTAACTGTAGTGTGCAATGGAATCTGGGAACCTCTGCCCTAAAGCGTCAACTAATTATTATCATACAGAATTGCAGGATTACAGCCTCCATTCTTCTGACCTTTTCAGGAAAAGTCAGCAATCCAGAGTTTGTTATTGTTTCGTTTTGTTTTTGAAATCTCTTAATTCATAAATATTAAGTCATCTTCTTTTCTTTTACATTTTAACAAAACTGCCTCTGGACCAGGTCTAGACTATGAGCTAGTTGTTGCTAGTTTTTTTCTGACTTAAAGGCATAAATCCATAGATTGTCCAAAAGATAAGAATATTCCTGTATGTCGAAGTGTCAAGGTGCAGTGCAAAGATATGTCAGCTTTAAAAGGCACAAGCAGGGATATAAAAGAAGTCCAAGCCTAAACTCTCCGTAGCATGAGTCAATGCTGAAGCTCTGTCCCTTGGATCTTACCTTAGGTCTGTGCCGCTGCCCTCTGTTACCTCTGTTCCATCTTCTCAAGTCAGTCTGACTAAGGTTTCAAGCCCAGTTATCTGCTTTTGAATGCCTTTTTGACTTTGATGTCACTGACAAAATTGGCTCTGTTGAAATCAGTTACATATCTTGGTAGTACCTTTGATTTACCCCTTATGTGGAAAAATCAGATTGCAAAAGGGCAATGTGCAGTAGAATCTCATTTTTAATAATATGTCTATATAGATATCCTTATAGATAGATACAAGAGTCTGGAAGGATATGCCAAATGTGGAAGTACTTACCTTGGAAAGACAGAATTATGACTGGCTGACCTTTCTTCTTCATTGCTGTCAACACTTTGTGTGATTTTTTAAAAAAATGAGCTTGTGTTATTTTTAGAATGCAGAATATTTCTCATATTGGGTATTCCTAGATGGAAAAGGATTATGTCTTAGTCATGTGTGTGTGTGTGTGTTTGTGTGTGTGTGTGTGTATATATATATATATATGCAGGACTTGAAACATTGTAAGTGCTAGGTAAATATATATAAAATGAATGAATGAATGAATGAATGGAAGAAAGAGGTGTATAAGTTTTAAATAAAAATTTCTTTGTAATTAAATGCATTATAAGCACAGACATGTGACACAGTTTCGTGAAAATCATCTTTTTAAGCTTGTGTTCAAAGCAACAACCCTCTCAGATGCTGGAATCATGGAAGCAGGTAAAGAAGGGGATGAAAGATGGAGATGGAGCAGGCTGTGGGCATTCTCAATTGTCTTTCCACATTTTTTCAAAACCTTATGTTTGTGCTAACTTCCTAAAATATCCACTGCCCTGTATGCAGGTGGATTGCTCACCACTATTTTACACTAGCCAGTTTTAAATTACAGCTCTGATAATCACGTACAAGTGAAAAATATAAATATGGTTAATTTGAGCATTGTTTCAAGATCTATTTGACATCTCTTTAAAATGTTAACTTATTATTTATATGCTTCCTACCGAAAAATCAAAATTTAAGCAGCAGATTTCTGTTTTATGATAAACACTGGCTATATAATATAGTATTGCCTCTCAGTGGGCTGCAAACTAGTTTCTCCCTCCTTAACTTTATCAGTGTCACCTGGAAAGAAAAGAAGCTATAGACAAGAGATGCAATGCTCGTTTAGTGCAAAGTCCCAGGTTGCTAGAGTCAGGAATGTCCTTAATATTTGCCTTATGCCATGATTCACAAACCTTATTTTAGTGGCAGAATTTTTTTTTCTCCCAGAAGAAATCTAACGAGCATCACTGCATCAAACATATAAATGCAGCATGGCCTAGTTAAAGTAAAGGCCTGAAACTTCTCCTTGTTTCTTGAGGTGACCTACAGGACCGCCTTGGAATTTTAGGGCTCTTCAGAGCAGTTTTAATAACTGCTGAGCTAGTCCAAGCTCCACATTCTACAGATATTGAAACTGAGCCCCAGTAAGGCTGTGACTCATATTATACTGTCAAGTTAATGTGCAGAAAAACTACCTCTTGAATGTTTCATAGTGATGATGAGTGGATTCTTAATGGCCTTATCCAGTTTGTGGATTAGTCTTGCCATCTGTTTCATTTATTCTTCTCTAAGGCTGCCTGCCCTATGGCTATTTCACACTCATTAATAGCTCCATCAGAGGTCTAGTAAAGGGAAAAGAAGATAGAAAACTCAAATCCCTTATTAGATCTTATCTGGAGGAAGAAAGATTGAAACTAATGAACATGGCAAGATTGGATGTCAGTTCTGGCTGGGCCTGGAGTGCTGTCAGCCCTGTTCCTGTTCTGTTTCAATACTTCCCTCCACAGCCAAGGGTTTCCACACATCCAGTGTTTGCTTCCTGACCAAACATGAAACTTAGGAAAGTTTCCTGCCCAAAGCAAAGACTAAGTTCAGTATTAAATTCAGTCTTACTTACACTGAGGCTTTGTAGCTGGCACCAGACTCACCGGGGTTTTGTCTCCTCTTGGTTGGAAATTTTGATGGTCTTAACCTCCCTGCTATCTAGCTGTCCCATCTGAATTTTGGCCTTTCTGTTAAAGTTCTCTTCGGAGAGTGGTTTTATACCCTTCTATCACAATTCAGTCTCTCCATCATCAGCTTCTGGGCTTAGCTCTCTGGGATTTGCACTGCTGTTTTCTTGAGGTAATGGTCTCTGGGTATGGGCAAGGCTCCTTATCCCTAGCTCATGACGACCCACTGCCCTTGCTTTGATCCTACTGAGGAACTTGGTGATGCTTCATTTTAGCAGAGTTCCTGACTCTGCTGCTACCGGATTAAGACCACTTAGGCCCTAAATTGTGGACTAGGCTTAGAAATAAAACCAGTGGCTCAACCCACCCAACATAGATTTTGTGAGTTGAAAATGGCTCAAGTGTGAGTAGGCTCTAGAAAGTACCATTGCTTTGTTTTTATCAAGACAAACTGAAAAGGGAGAAGCTTAAGAATGTTGGATATCAGCTGTGGGCAAAATATTCTGCTAGACACTTTCACACATACATATTTCTTGATTCAAGTCATTCCTTCTCTCAGTTAAATTCATATGGTTAAATAGATATATACGAATAAATGTACAATGGGCTCTCTCTATCTGGATTTCACATCCATGGATTCTACCAACGTGGATTGAAATATTTTAAAAAATTACATCTCTACTGAACATGTAAAGACTTTCTTGTCATTATTCCCTAAACAATACAGTATAACAACTATTTATATTTCATTTACATTGTATTAGGTATGACAAATGACCTAGAGATGATTTAAAGTATCCAGGAGAACATGCATAGGTTACATGCAATTAGTAGCTGTTTTATATTAGGGACTTCGGGATCCATAGAGTTTGGTATTCTGTGGGCAGCTCAGGAACCAATCCCCCATGGATACTGTATTAGTCCATTTTGGCATTGCTATAAAGAAATACCTGAGACTGAGTAATTTGTAAGGAAAACAGATTTATTTTGGCTCGTGGTTCTACAGGCTGTACAGGAAGCATGGCACTGGCATCTGCTCCTGGTGAGGCCTCAGGAAGCTTACAGTTATGGCAAAAGGCAGAGCCAGGGCCAGGCTTGGGGGGCGTGGATTGGTGTATCATGTGGCAAGAGAGGAAGCAAGACAGAGGGAGCAAGAGAGAGAAGGGGAAGGTCCCAGACTCTTAAACAACCAGATCTCACATGAACTGAGAAACAACTCACTCATCACCAAGAGGATGGTGCTAAACCATTCATGAGGGATCTGCCCCCATGATCCAATACCTCCTTCTAGGCCCCACCTCCAACACTGAGGATTACATATTAACATGAGATTTGGAAAGGACAAACATCCAAACCATATTAGATTCTGAGAGATGACTGTGTAAATACATACGTGTATATCAAGTCTATGTGATATATGCGAATTAATTTGAATATTTCTTTAACTGTTACAGCAGAGACCAAATAACAGTGACTTAAATAAGACAGCAGTTTTCCTCTTTTAAAAACTAAATTTCAAGATTATACACATTTCCTCTCCTTCCCAGTTATTAACGAGGATGCCTAGGTGGTCTTCTCTTCTGTAAGAGCCTGGAAAGTAGTGTCAGTTTACAATAAACAATGAACTCCTCGCAGTACACCATAGTCTTCTGTCCTATATTAAGAATCGTTTAGTCTGCCCTACCTCAAATAGCTCTCTCTCACTCAAGCATAGCTAATACATTTGTTCTTCTCCTTTGGCAAATCATATGCTCTTTGGAAGTGGGAATTGTGTCTTATATAATTTACTATGAAACATCTTTGGATGTGTAGATGGTGGTTATTACCTATTTCCTATTACCACAAAGGACAGAACAAGGAGAAATAGCTTCAAAGGAAAGCAGGTAATCAGATAAGTTGGTCAGATATTAGAGTCAGTTATTGAGGGAGCTCACTGAAGCTTCTTCCTTGAAAATATTTTAAATACAGTATAAAACTCTATGTCCAGGCTGGTTTTGATTGGATCTAAGTGTCAAAATTTTTTTTTATTATTATACTTTGAGTTTTAGGGTACATGTGCACAATGTGCAGGTTAGTTACATATGTATACATGTGCCATGCTGGTGTGCTGCACCCATTAACTCGTCATTTAGCATTAGGTATATCTCCTAAAGCTATCCCTCCCCCCTCCCCCCACCCCACAACAGTCCCCAGAGTGTGATGTTCCCCTTCCTGTATCCATGTGTTCTCATTGTTCAATTCCCACCTATGAGTGAGAATATGCGGTGTTTGGTTTTTTGTTCTTGCGATAGTTTACTGAGAATGATGATTTCCAATTTCATCCATGTCCCTACAAAGGACATGAACTCATCATTTTTTATGGCTGCATAGTATTCCATGGTGTATATGTGCCACATTTTCTTAATCCAGTCTATCATTGTTGGACATTTGGGTTGGTTCCAAGTCTTTGCTATTGTGAATAGTGCCGCAATAAACATACATGTGCATGTGTCTTTATAGCAGCATGATTTATAGTCCTTTGGGTATATACCCAGTAATGGGATGGCTGGGTCAAATGGTATTTCTAGTTCTAGATCCCTGAGGAATCGCCACACTGACTTCCACAAAGGCTGAACTAGTTTACATTCCCACCAACAGTGTAAAAGTGTTCCTATTTCTCCACATCCTTTCCAGCACCTGTTGTTTCCTGACTTTTTAATGATTGCCATTCTAAATGGTGTGAGATGGTATCTCATTGTGGTTTTGATTTGCATTTCTCTGATGGCCAGTGATGGTGAGCATTTTTTTTCATGTGTTTTTTGGCTGCATAAATGTCTTCTTTTGAGAAGTGTCTGTTCATGTCCTTTGCCCACTTTTTGATGGGGTTGTTTGTTTTTTTCTTGTAAATTTGTTTGAGTTCATTGTAGATTCTGGATATTAGCCCTCTGTCAGATGAGTAGGTTGCAAAAATTTTCTCCCATGTTGTAGGTTGCCTGTTCACTCTGATGGTAGTTTCTTTTGCTGTGCAGAAGCTCTTTAGTTTAATGACATCCCATTTGTCACTTTTGGCTTTTGTTGCCATTGCTTTTGGTGTTTTAGACATGAAGTCCTTGCCCATGCCTATGTCCTGAATGGTAATGCCTAGGTTTTCTTCTAGGGTTTTTATGGTTTTAGGTCTAACGTTGAAGTCTTTAATCCATCTTGAATTAATTTTTGTATAAGGTGTAAGGAAGGGATCCAGTTTCAGCTTTCTACATATGGCTAGCCAGTTTTCCCAGCACCATTTATTAAATAGGGACTCCTTTCCCCATTGCTTGTTTTTCTCAGGTTTGTCAAAGATCAGATAGTTGTAGATATGCAACGTTATTTCTGAGGGCTCTGTTCTGTTCCATTGATCTATATCTCTGTTTTGGTACCAGTACCATGCTGTTTTGGTTACTGTAACCTTGTAGTATAGTTTGAAGTCAGGTAGCGTGATGCCTCCAGCTTTGTTCTTTTGGCTTAGGATTGACTTGGCAATGCGGGTTCTTTTTTGGTTCCATATGAACTTTAAAGTAGTTTTTTCCAATTCTGTGAAGAAAGTCATTGGTAGCTTGATGGGGATGGCATTGAATCTATAAATTACCTTGGGCAGTATGGCCATTTTCATGATATTGATTCTTCCTACCCATGAGCATGGAATGTTCTTCCATTTCTTTGTATCCTCTTTTATTTCATTGAGCAGTGGTTTGTAATTCTCCTTGAAGAGGTCCCACAAGCATTCTTATACACCAATAACAGACAAACAGAGAGCCAAAACATGAGTGAACTCCCATTCACAATTGCTTCAAAGAGAATAAAATACCTAGGAATCCAACTTACAAAATTTTAAATAACTGATTTTCTATAATTTGGGTGAATTCAGCTGTGCTATTTAACCCATCATCAGCCAAGAGCACATGGAGCTGTTTATAAAATGTCATTGCCTTTAACCCGAGGTTGGCCCTCTCTATTCTGTATTGCTTTGGGATGAACTGGTAGAAGTACTGTACCACGACCCATAGATTTTACATCGTTTTTACTCATTCATTAATTCCTTCATTCATTTATTTAGTTAATATAAATATAGAAGGCTTACTATATACCAAGCACTAAGTATTGACTGTAGAAGTGTGAAGCTATAAGAATCATCCTTGAAGGTGAGACCCTAGTTACACTATGGAAATTGCTGACCTAGGCAGTTCATAAATTCGAACTTGTATTTTGATGTAATACAATAAGTCTTATTTGAAAAAGAAAATTCTCCTGGTATTTTTAGGGTATCTTTTTCCCCCTTCTGAAGGATTTTATGTTTGTATTTGTCTATGTCTGTATGGGTAACATACCAGCAATTTATTTCCTTTGTCTTTGTCCATTTTAAGCCACTGTTTTAAAGTTATTTAGAGATTGGGCGACATCTTAGTTCTTAACTCCTAATAGGTGTATTGCCCTTACCATCTCACTACACAGATGGAAACAAGACCATGATAACTGAGCTGCACAGAGTGTATGGCTGTCTTCCTGGCCAGGAGTACCCAAACTTTTCCCCAAAATGGTTCTGTTTGTCTTTTTAATTAAAACTTAAAGCATGAGCTTCTTGGCTCTGGCAAGGACTCTCCAGTGAGAAGCTGCCTCACACAGATTTGTCTCACTGCAATCTGCCTCACAGCATGCCCCTTAGGTGGCTGCCATCGGATTCTGGGATGAGAGAAATCTTGTAAGCAACCAGAGCTACAAAGAAAGGCAGTTAATGGCCAGAGGTACCTGCAGCTCCTCTCAGTTCATTAACTAAAACTAACTTGAGAATCATTACTGGAAGGAGACTAATTTGGCAGCCATCAGCATAAAGGATAGAGATCCCATGCTGACTTCAGGTCATGTGGACCCAGCATCCCACACTCATCAGCTATGCTTTCTCTCTCCCATGTCCCAAAGCTCAGTTACAGCTCATGAATAAGGTTTCTCCTTGTCTTTGCCAATTACTCAGTCATTATTACAAGGTAGAACTGTGTTCTGATCTAAAACTCCTCTAAAATAGTTAATAACATTAAAAAGCCAACCAAACTATTTACTAACAATTAGTTATTATTCCCACACTTTCCCAAAAGTTTCAAGATAGAAATAAAAGGATACTGCCCACAAAGTAGTCTGTGTGTTTTTTTCTACCAACAAATGTTTTTCAACTATGTTGTTTAGATAAGCCTGCAATAAATATATTATTATGTAGAAAGTATGAAATATATATATATGAATATATATATATATGAAATTATGTGAGGCAGATCATAAAAGATTAAACATTGTATAATGCACAGAGCAGATTAAGAGCAGTTCAAGAAAAGAAAGATTATCCAAGGGTCTTATTACTATTTTGTCCTACTTCAGATTATCCAACAAAAATTCCCTGATTAAAATGTGTAAAAGCATATGCAAAAGCATGTACAAACATTAGTGTTTATACTTTAAATATGCCCTCAATTCCTTTATCACTTATTTAATCCACATCAGTGATCTCAACTTGTCAGGAGAAGAGACTGAGAGATTCTTAGACACTATAGAACTGCAATTCCATATGCCGACCTAATATTGCCAACAGGCTGAATAAATACCTTATTATTTTTCAAATTTCAGATATGCTGATATAATTAATGAATTGCTAACCCATTAGGGAGTGTTGTTGAACCCATAGTAGTTCTTTGCCTTGTCTCTGTTTTTGTTTGTTTGTTTTTTTAATCAACGGAAATACTTTTACAACTTCCAGGCTATTAGGCATTCTTTTATAATTTTGTCAAAGCTTTGCCTCCTCAAATATAAAGTTATATTCAGAATATTTCCAGCTTGTAAATTTCAGGTGGTTAGTGCCTTGATGAGAAATATTTTCTTTCTTTAGTTATTTGGTTTATTAGGTGACTGTATGAGGCAATTTTGATAAAAAAAATTATACTCTTTTGTGAAAACCTTTGTTCTCACTGGAGATTTCCTCATTACTCAGAAAAATGCCATCATAAATTGTGATCTCTTAGTTGTTTTTATGGTTTTTAAACTTTTCATCTCATTAGAAACCATTAAGAGTCCCTAAAAAAATCAAATATCTTGTATAGATCACCTAGTACATACTATATTGTCTAATATATTATATAAGCCAATCTTTTGTCAGCCCTGTGATATAGTCACTATTTTTTTACACATTGTGGATGAGAAAACTGAGTCTCAGAGTTAATTAACTAATAATATCTGGCAAGGCAAATCTTAACACAGATATAAGTGATTCCAGAAACAATGATTTTTTTCCACTGTATCAAAAGGATAACTTGAGATTAACTTGAGCCTGCAATCTAAATTCAGTATATCTCTGTTCATATAATGATGTGTACATTTATGCAAAGGATGATAAAATGTATTAAGAGGCTATATCAGGCATGGCCCTTTCTAATATCTTTCTAAATAATACTTTGTTTCCTCCATTTGTTTTCCATGTTCACTTATGGGTTTTCTAAAAGTTTAAGGAAAATGCATATTATGAAAAAACTATGCATGGATTTCAAATTTTTTTGTACCAAGATAAACTTATACCAACTTGTTATAACACGTCTGAACAACATCTAGTTAGAGGCACTAAGAAGGATAAGACATCAGTTTGAAAAGGGCCCCTGTCAGAACAATATGGATTCTGCTAAAATTGAAGCAAGAGCAAGCACCAAATTTATGGTGAAGTTTGAGTGGAAGAATGATGAAATCATTGATAGTTTACAAAAAGTTTATGGAGACAATGCTTCAAAGAAATAAGCAGTTTACAAAGAAATAATTTAAGAAGGGATGATATGATATTGAAGATGAAGCCCACAGCAGCAGACTATCCACACCAATTTGCAAGGAAAAAATTTGCATTGTCTGTACCTTAATCAAAGAGCACCTACAATTAACAGCACAAACAATAGTTGACACTACAGACATCTCAGTTGGTTCAGCTTAAACAATTCTGACAGAAAAATTATGGTTGAACAAACTTTCCAGTCAGTGGCTACCAAAACAGTTGTGCCCAGATCAGCTGCAGACAAGAACAAAGCTTTCAATGGAAATTTTCAACAAGTGGGATCAAGATCCTGAAGTATTTCTTCAAGGAATTGTAACAGGAGATGAAACATGGCTTTACCAGTACAATCCTGAAGGCAAAGCACAATCAAAGTAACGGCTACTGAGAGGAAGAAGTGGTCCAGTCACAGCAAAAGTAGATCAGTCAAGAGCAGAGGTAATGGCAACAGATTTTTTGGATGCTTAAGAAATTTCACCTGTGGGTGTTATGGAGCACCAAAGAACAATAACTTCTGTTTATTATGAGAGTATTTTGAGACAACCAAAGCTTTAGCAATAAAATGCTCAGGAAAGCTTCCAGAGAGTCCTTCACCACGGCAATGTTCCTGCTCAGTCCTCTCATCAAACAAGGACAATTTTTATGAGAGTTTCTATGGGAAATTATTAGGGGTATGCCGTATAGTCCTGATTTGGCCCTTTCTGATTTCCTTGTATTTCCTAATCTTAAAAAGTCTGCAAAGAGCACCCGTTTTTCTTCAGTTAATAATGTAAAAAAGACCGCATTGACATTGTAAATTCCCAGGACCCTAAATTCTTTAGGGATGGACTAAATTGATGGTACCATTACAAAAGTGTCTTGAACTTGATGGAGGTTGTGTTGAGAAAAAAAGTTTATATTTTGTGTTTTTATCTTTTAATTCTATTTTTCCATGAACTTTTAGAGTATCTCTACGTGCCAGGCACTGCGACTCAAATGATAAGCAACAGGGAATTCCTGCCCTTACCCTAATGTGGCTTGGGTGTGAATGAAAGGGCAGTTCTAATAAAATGAGATATGCTCAGGACTCTGTAAATATGTAAGGAAGAATAATTTAACCTAGCTTGGGAAAGTGATGGGAATTAAGTCATTAAAAAGTGAGGAGATCCATTTAATGTTACCTTTTAGAATAGTCCTGGGAGTGGTTGAGGAAGCTGAAGTACCCAATTTAGGCTTTTCACTGAAAAAAAGTTGCACATAATCTAAGCTTTTTACTCTTTCCACCATCGTAGTAGTTTTAAATTAAAGCATACTGCATACTAGTGCATCTTTTGGGGACCTCTGATGTTGTGGATATACTTACAGGTCTCTAACCTGGAGCACACACTGCAGTTGCTGCTACATTTATGCTTCTTGTTACAATCTCCAGTCCACACACTCTTCCCTTCACACTCACTGTCAATTCTGCAGTCCAGGGCACTGAATCTCCTGCCTGAACCATGTCAAAAGCCTCTGAACTCATTTCCCTGTCATCTGCCTTTTCCCTTTCCAGTGCGCTTTCCACCCAGCTAGAGTCATTTTTCTAAAATCACATTTGATTATGTTACTTCTCTGTTTAATGGGCTTACTGTTATCCAAAATAAGTTTCTCCTAAATTCCTTATGAACATGTCCTCAAGGCCCTTTAAAACCTTGCCCCAACACACCAGTTCCAGTTTGATGTCCCAATACTTCCTTCTACATTCCCATGCTCTGACCCTTCATTGCTCCTTGATCATAGCTTCTTTCCTCTCTGCCTGACCAATGCTATTCTCCCTTCAAGACTTCTTCTCTGACTCTCCTAGAGCCATAATGGCCACATCTTTCTTTTTCACCTTGGGGCCTGGTAACATGTTTATCACAGAACTTATATCTCTTTGTTTCAACCACATGACTCCATATCTGTCTTTGCTGGCAGACTCTGTATTCTTCCAGGGAAGAGAATAAATATTTTTCATATTGAACACAATTGTACCCTAAGTGCCTAGCATGGCACAAGGCTTATAGAAGGTACCATATAAATATTTTTATTTATTCATGAAATAGTCAATATTTACTGAGCAATTACTATGAAAGTTTCTATATGATGAGTGTTTTGTATGCTTTGTTTGTCCATTTTGCACTGCTGTAAAGGAATACCTGAGAATGGGTAATTTATAAAGAAAAAAGGTTATTTGGCTTATGGTTCTGCAGGCTGTATAAGCATGGCACCAGCATCTACTCAGATTCTGGTGAGACCTCAGGAAGATTTTACTAATGACTGAAGGCAGAGGGGGAGCATGTATGTCACATAGTGAGAGAGGGAGTGAAATAGAGAGGAGGGAGGTTTCAGACTCAATTTTTTTTTTTTTTTGAGACAAGATTACACTCTGTTGCTTAGGGTGGAGTGCAGTCATGCAATCATGGTTTTCAATGCACCGCAGCCTTGGCCTCCTGGGCTCAAGTGATCCTCCCATCTCAGCCTCCTGACTATCTAGGATCATAGATATGTGGCATAATGCCTGGCTACTTTTTTAATTTTCAGAGAGATGGAGTCTTACTATGTTATCCAGGCTGGTGTTTAAATCCTTGACTTAACTAATCCTCCCACCGTGGCCTCCCAAAGTGTTGGGATTACAGGCATGCACCACTGCTCCCAGCTGACTTTTCTTAACAATTAGATTTTGTGGTAATTCATGGAGTGATAACTTACTCAATACCACTGGTAGGACATCAAGTCATTCATGAGGGATCCAGCTCCATGACTGAAACACCTCCCACCAGGCCCCATGTCCAACACTGGGGATCACACTTCAACATGAGATTTGAAGGGGACAAGAACCCAAACTATATCATATGCATTATTTCTGTTTTTCCTCATAACTTACCCCATAATTAGGCACTACTAATAGTCCCAATTTTACAGATTAGGAAATTGAGGCTTACAGTTAGTAAATGATTTGCACAAGCTTAAGCTGAAGGAAAACAGTAGATTTGAACCAGTCTCCTAATCACTACAGTATATTGTTGAATGGATGAAAAAAATGGAAAGGACAGCTTGTTGCTATTCATCAAATTTTTTGTGATACTAGAAATTGGGATAAACCTACTTTGTTTAGTTTTTTTTTAGGTCTCCTCTTATAATAAACTATTAAAGTAGTTTAGATAAGACTTTAACAGAGGTTTGTCTTATCTCTGGAAAAGTGGAATCAGTCTGGGATTTACTATTAGTTCTAGAGTAGACTAAATGACTCGCACCTTAAACATTTAAAAAAGAAAGTATCAGCATAAAGCTGTAGTCTGAGTAAGCATTAGAGAGCTCATTACAGACAAGTATTGGGCAAGACATTTAAAGAGTAGAATAACAAGCAGAATACGATTTACAGAATGGCTAGCTGAACAGATAACATTAAGTAATCATAGATAACATTTAATAAACATATGATTTGATCTCTAAGAACATCCTTTCCTTTAAAAAGGAATATTTTTAAAAAGGAAAATTTCCTTTGAAAAGGAAAGAGTGTTCTTAGAGATCAGATGGTAATACTGTAGGGTATGAACCAGGAACCGGGAACCAAAATTCCATATTCTTTTTGCTCTGTGACTTTGGTCAAATTTTTCAGTTTCTCCAGGCCACTGTTTCCTAAGATGCATTATTCAAATTCAGTGAAATTCAACAGGTCTTTATTGATTGGCAATCATGCCCATAAATGGGCTTACAGGGTCTCCAAGTCTGCTGTCACATCTCACAACCAATGACTCCGAACTTCCCTCTTCAGTTCTCAGGGGATGAGAAAGCACCTCAGAGTGAGGTGCTTTGCCAAGCTTACATGACTAATTGGTAGCAGAAAACAGGTGATTATCACAACTGCCATTTTATACTATTAATACACTGTTAGCTAAAAACCACACCACACACATTGAGGAGTGTAAAATGTATGCATTTATCATCTATCACCCTCAGCAATGTTCAGTATAATCTCTGCATCATTTAAGAAATGTGGAGTATTTGGCAAAATTTCAAAAAGACCTCTGGAAATGAGAAAATGATGCTATAATATTACCTATTAAAACAAATGAAAGACAATCTCTTCCTTCTTTCTTTTTTCTTTTTTTTTCTAAAGAGAAAGAGCCAGAACAACTGAGGTTGAATACCAGTTCTCATATAGCTGCATGGCCTTGCCATCTGTGAATATCAACTTCCTCATGTCTGAAATGAGATGAGATGCTTTGACCGTCCAATACGACAATGTATGTGAAAGTCCTCTATAAACAACTGAAGCACTACAAAAATGTTTATTGCTGTTAACTGAAGGTGCTTTGCTAAAAGAAATTCTTACGTTTTCCCATCTTCTTCCAGGACAGAGAAATTACTCTAAATAGTAAGAGAATAATTTCATCTTTAAAAAAGAATCAACTTTCTGATAGTAAAACTTGTTAGATATTGTAGGCAGGGGGCAATAAAGGTACTTTACCCTTTTAATTCATATTTTTAAATATTTTTTTAGAGACGGGGTCTTGCTATGTTGACCAGGCTGATCTTGAACTCCCGGCCTCAAGAAATTCTCCTGCCTCACCTCAGCCTCCCAAAGTGTTGGGATTACAGGCATGCACCACTGTGCCCAGCCAATAAAGATATTTTAAAGCAATATTTTATCCAAAAAATTTTAAGAAGACAAACATATGTAGTATAATTTGCTCCTTAAAGCAGGAAGAAGGAATAGGTGATCTCTGATAAGGAAGATCCAATAGTAACAAACTGCGTAACATATGAAAACTATGATTTATCTTTTTGCTTGAAATGAAAAAGAGAAAGAAACTTGGTAATATTTGTCTCAAATATCTACTTCACAATTGCCAGGAGTCCTTGTATAGTATGTGGTGGTCACATGTATTTTCGGGAGAAAATGTTTTATGTAGTCAGGAAATAATTTGATCTTTAATGCATAACTGAGTTCTCTGGGTGAAGACAAAGACCCTCAAAACAGTTCAGTGGGAATAGAAAACAACAGAGATGGCTGTGTGCATTTCAGTCCTTTTTCCTGACAGCATGCTTAGGAATTCGGAGGCAGTGTCTTTTAACTGTATCGCCTTTATTTTCTCCAAAGAGCAATTTGGGGACTGGTGAGTTGGCATTTGCAAGAGGTTAAAAGAAAAAGAAAATTGTTACCCTGCTGTGAATTTGTTTGTGTGCCTCGTTTTATGTTTCTAAATAACAGCCTGTGGCTTTATTCAGTGTAATAGTGAACTGTATTTATAAGAGGCTGAGAGAGAAAAGTTTCTTAATTTAAAAAGTACGTGAGGGACCCAAGACATGGGCAGCAATTTTTACTGCAAACTCTGCTCTTTCAGCACTTTGGTTGTTCCATTATATATAAACTGTTTCAGCAACCCGTACACAATATGTACGTTGTGTGTATGTTAATGGCATTTAGGGTAAAATGAGAGAGCAGGAGAGTTCTGTTTGGTCAACTTTTTGTAATGTAAGAGCTCTCTGAGACCACCCAGTGTTACGGAGTGTCATTCTCCAGAGAGAATGATGAGGGACTGTCTGTTTATTACAAGGAGGGATCATTTATCATCGAGTGCTCAGTAGCACCAAGGATAGCACTGGCACCTGGAAGACAGTCAATAAATTTCTCTTGAACTGAATGAACTGAATAAAATTCATAGGATTATGGCATTGGCCACCCCTATGGAAAGCTAGATGTGTCCCTTAAACAAAGTTTGGTTGATATTTCAGAAGGACCTTGATCAGTCTTCGTGGTTAAGAGCAGAAACTCTGGGTGGAATCTGCCTATGGACATACTAAGCATGTGACCTGGGTTAAGTTATCTCACTTTCAGTTTTCTCATTGATAAAATGGGAATTGTTATAGTGCTTACCTTATTCCATTGTTGTAAGGATTAAATGAGATAATCCATGCAAAGCTCTTAGAAGAATGTGTATCTGATAGCAAGTGCACAATAAATATTAGCTACAACTATTGCTCCTGGATAAAGACTTAGCGAACTAATTTCAAATGTGAATGTGAATGAATATAAACATGTATATATTCATTCTGACTGCAAAATGAATTGAGAGCTTATTATGTGGCAAGGTTCTGTTCACTACAGAGATAGAGGTGAACAAGTAAGACAAGTGATAAATAGTATATGCCATGAAGGAAAAAACAGTGATGTAGAAAGTGACTGGAGTGGGGGCTTGGGGTGTGGAATCTGTGGTCGGGATTTGGTGACATTTGCGCAGAGAAGGGTGGGTCACATCAAGAGCCAAGTGATGAGCCTTTCCTGGTTAGGGAACAGCAAGTGGAAAGGCCATGAATTTTTCAAGGAACGAAGCCACCATTGCTTGGCACGTGTACCACCATTAGTGTGGAAGTGTAAGCCTTCCAACCTTAGCACCATGGAAATTTTGGGCTGGACAGTTAATTATTTATTGGGAAGGTGGGTGCTGTCTTGCGTGCTATAGCCTGTTCATTCCTAACCTCTACCTACAAGATGCCAGTCACGTTCCTTCTCCAATTGTGACAACAAAATATGTCTCCAGGCATTGCCAGATGTCTCCTATAGGGCAAAATTATTCCCCATCTCCCCTGTTGAGAATCACTGGAGCAGTGAATAAGCAAGGAGGAGAATAGTTTTATATTGAATTAAAAATGTTGGGAGGGTTTTGGTAGGTTCTTCCTGAGCAACAATCCTAAGGCTTTATTGGCAAATCATTTCACCTCACCATTCATCTCCTGACCAGAACATAACATCTGGATTTGTAAAAACTAAAGATCCAACTTCGTAGGCTTCCAACCTCAAGTGTCAGTTACAATTCTTTTCTTAAGCCTCAAGGCCTGTGACTTTATTTCTCTACTTGGAATACAAAGCAATAATATGCCATTTTTGCTTTGCCAGGTGAAATATGTAATACTGGATTATAATTCTAACAGGATAATCAGTACTCGCAAGAAAAGTAAAACGCTATTTCCTTAAGCTCATAAAAGTGAACACTTGATGCATTTCATTAAGTAGGACTTGTTTTATCATACCTGAAAATTGAATTGAAAATAACTGTCTCTTCGGTGTCTTCAGTGATGTGAGGTTTGCATGCAAGCTGGCTAGGGATTATTTACCTAACATGTGTAGATTTAAATTAAGTTATGAAGGTGAGGAGGAGCTAGTAATGTCCATTTTAATGCTTCTAAAGTTGTTCCCAGTATATCCAAAATATTAACAAATAACTTACTCTTTAAAATGGTTGTGATTTAACATTTCCTGAGGCTACATGATTGAGAGGTGTTTTTAGCTGCTGCAAAATCAACAATTTAACAAGACATCCCTGATGCTACAATTTTTATGCAAAGAACCAGAAAGAGAACTTGCATCTGAATGGGTGTAACATTTGTCAGGATCAACTCTAAACTGATCCCAGTGGTTTGGGATCTCATTTCATCTTTAAACCATCATTTCTTCCTTGGACATCCTCTAGAAATTGGCTATCCTGGAATGTTATGCTCTGGGCAGAAAAATTCCCCAAGAATATTTTCTAGATATCGATGGGAGTAGAAAAGGATCCTAGAAGCTAGTCTTTAAGATTACTTTCAGGAAATTTGAACAGTTTTCTTGTTTTGTTCTGGAGTTGTAAGATTCTGAAATTTTCTTACTTATCTATGAAGATTTCTTAGATTAGAATTAGTGACTGCCTTTAATTTCATTGTGTGTGATAGATGCTAGAATTTGCAGCCATCCACAATATGAAAGAACTAAGTCAAGACTCTGGAGACCTCTGCTTTATGTCATGGTTAAAAACCTGTCCAGTTCACTGTCAGACTGTCCCCTCTAGGACTCGCTAACGTCTCAGATGCTATGACTTATGCTGAGTCACTTGGAAGTCCTTCAACAGATAATTTCTGCTTGGCACATGTATCAGGTATTTTAATCTTGTACCCTTCATCATTCAACTCATATGCTTCAGAATAATAACTAAAAATAATCCTTTACTAACAATGTCTCTTAGCTTTGGGAATCGATTTTTTCAGAAGCGGAAATTTCAAGAGAGGGAGGATAATTGAACTCAAGAATAGACTACCATGGGAATGTCTCCTTTCCTGGAGAACATAAAGAAGAGAGTATGTAACCATCTGCTGGATGGACTAGACACAGCCTTGTCTGGGCTGGTGATCTCTTGCTCCCTTTCGGCTCTAGGCATCTAGGATATTTTGTGGAGGTAAAAGGAAAGCCATGAATTTTTTTTAGTACTGTGAATCTGTACCTTTGTTTTGTTTTGTTTTTTAAGTGTTGGTTCTATTAAATTGCTGAGTTAGTTTTTTGTCACAAAAAAGTACAAAGTAAAATGTGAAACTCAGCCCCATACCCCAATTTTATTCCTCAAAATAAAGGTTAACAGTATGGAGGGTATCCTTCTAGGCTTATTTCTATGTGTGTATAAATGCATTTTACAAATATCATTTTTAAAGAAACTACATAAATATACATGAGTAGACATTTCTTTCCATCTACATTAGGTATGTATTTTATTATAAAAATGGGAGTTCTTTACAACTCTTCTCGAAAGTACTCCCTCTGCCCTAACGTGTGTTTTGTTCTTCACCCCATTTCCTCAACCTCCATATTCAGTGCCACTGAAACCAAAGAACCCTTCTGAAAAAATGATGATTCTAACTGAAGGACAGGGATAGGGAAGATACAGAGAAGCCATAGCAGGCATATACCATTTATAGTACGGTGAGTGTGCGTGTGTGTGTATATATATGTGTGTGTAAAATTTATGTGTCCTGATTTATGTAGGAAGTAGA
The DNA here is from genome assembly GCF_000001405.40 of Homo sapiens. Classification (NCBI taxonomy): domain Eukaryota; kingdom Metazoa; phylum Chordata; class Mammalia; order Primates; family Hominidae; genus Homo; species Homo sapiens. The sequence continues at coordinate 8,031,255 of NC_000009.12, forward strand.
AATGGGATCATTGTGGCTAAGGACATGCCATAATTTCCAATGTATCTTTCCTCAAAAGAGCTCAAGAAACTTCTGTAAGATATTTTGCTGTGAATTATTTCTACAAACATCATATAGCATCTTGCTATGCTCCAAGGAAGTTTGCCTGTCTGGACAGGGGTGAGGTGTACATGGGACTCTCCAGTGAACTTAAAATGGATGTCTCAGTTCAGGGGAGAGCAAGCCTGACAGTAAAAAGGGAAGAGGAGAAGGAAGCTCCAAATTTAATCAGTTGCAGGTACAGAAGGAGGAAATCACTTCAGGGCTAAACCAAGAGAAACGTCTTTATCCCACTTCCTGCTTACTTACCTCTTCTGTCTCATCTCCCATTGTCTACCCTTTGGTTCAAACGCCTTTTTCCCCCAGGGATTCTTTCATGATTAACCCATCTCTTCCCCTCACCTACATGTCCAATTCCTGGGCTCATACATCACACTGTGATTTTATCACATTACTTCTTTGTTAGAATGCATGTTTAAAAAAGAATCTCTGCATGAAACTAAAATTTATCAAGACAGTTTTTCACCTCTATATCCCCACCACTAAGCACAGTATGGTGTATAGTAGGTGCTCAATATATGTCAAGAAATGAATAAAAGTTCCATCACCTATTACAGTAGCATCATCAGAGCATCATATTAGTAACCTTACCTATAACCCCAAACCTTAAATGACATGGTTATATTCCATTCATTTTGATCATTTTCTGGTATCACAAACAAAAATACACCCAACAACCTCCTATTAAACTTTTTTGAAATGATTTAAAAGAAGAAAAATTAACAGAGATCATTATATGAAACCACATGACCGTCATAAATCCACAAAGTTTTTAAAATGTCTATCAAGTTATTTTTTTCTTTCTCTTTTATTCATGGTAGCTGTTTCTGTAAGATCTTCTTCTCCATGACTCGCGTGGGTGGATAACTTTCCTGCCCAGTAGGTTTACTATTTTGAAAGACAACTGTGCTTACACATTAAGATGCAAGTGGTTTTTTCCTAGAGCCTAGAAATGGTCTCTAGAAATGTTCCACTGGCATTAAGACAAGGGACAGTGCCATTACTATATTTGCATAATGATTAGATAGAGGCTATTACTGACCTTCTTCTAGGACAGCCTGAACTCCCACCTAGAGTCCTTAAAAACCAACTGAATGACAATGAATAGTGCCCTTTTCTTTTTGCGTTTTCTATTTTATATTTCTGATGCTCAAAAACACATTTTGTTTAAATAATATCTCTCAGAGTCTCAATTACATCCATAGCAATATACACATATTTTTCTTATTCAGATTACTTTGCTCTCTTTCTCTCCTCAATTTCATTTCACCTATGAACTGAAAACTCTTTTCTCTTTTCCCAAGTTGGATGCCTTCTAAGTTTTACCTGACAATTTCCAGAATGTAAAGACAAAAACACAGGATAAAAAAATCCTTATCAGTAAACAAACCAACTAGTGAGGTTGGTGTGTGTGTGTGTGTATATGTGTGTGTGTGTGTGTGTGTATGTTTGCGTGTGTGTATGTATCTCCCCAGCATGGAAAGCCTACTTCAGCCAGGAATCACCCTGAGGCATTCTCAGCTGTGCCATCAATTAGGCCCTGAAAATACATCAAATATTGTTGTAACCTCTTATCTTTGTGTGCAGTCTGTACTACCTAGCATTTGAAGTATACTGCAACAATGACTAGCTCAATACCTCAGAGTTTTCAAGAGAGTCTGGATTGACATCCCCTCCTAAGCCTCTTCCTCCCCATAAACAAACATCTCTTTCTCTATATAGAACAGAATGGGGCCACATCATCCTGAATGGTTCTTAGAATAAAATAGTCATTGCTTCAGTCCTGATGTCCTCTGTGTGTGTGTTTGCCTTACTATGTAATGGAGAACTAAAAATCTCATGCTTAATACAATGTAGAGAAAAGACTCTAGGAAGTTCATTTCACTATTTATCAAACATTCATTGTGCACTGAATACAAAGCAATTGATCCTACTTACTGCAGTCCCATTTTTAAATAGTTGGAAAATGGGAACATTGGCTCTCAAGAAGGTAGAATTTTTATGTACATGCTGATAGCTTCTATATTTTTTCAAGTTTCAACATTTGATCTCAACTGCTGATTGATTTAGAGGTGGGCTCATTAAAATCAAGATTCCAATTGTTATTTCAGGTTGCTGGTGGAGCAAGGGTGAGGTCAATGATATCTTGTTCCTTCATACCTCACAGCCCAGGAAGCAGAGAAGTCTAGGACTCCCTTCCCTGTTATTTTTCTTTCCAAATTGCCTTGATGTTTGGGGGTGTTTTTCCACTTTTCTTGAGGTCAAAATAAAGGTGAAAATAGTTGGTTTAATAAGTAAGGAGTTCTATACATGTATCTGTCAGGATCCAGTAAGGAGACAAACCACAAGTTATTTTAACAGAGAGAATTTAATATAAAAATTGTGAATTATTGGTTATTAAATAATTAAAAAGGTAAAAATGAAATAATAAGGTATCCTGAGGATGGCAGGAAGCAGCTTCCACCCCTGAAGCTGGAAGCACAAAGAGTAGATGTTGGAATAACTAAGATGTAGAAACTTGGAAAAGCAGTTCCATATAGCTGGGACTCAAACCTTCTAGAAAAGGCGCTTCTTTGCTGGTGGTAGATATTCTGAGCCTCCAGTGCTACAGAGCTGTGACTCAGGCCCCTGAGCCAATCATGTGGCTGGCTAGTGTTAATGCCTCTGAGGAGCATAATAAGACTGGCTTGTGAGTGTTAGAAACACTGCTAGAATCAACTGCTTCTAATGGAATGGAAAGAAAGCAAAAAGGAAGAAGCAAGTCCCTTCTTTCTTCCCCCACTTGGTAGTCTCCATCTACATTCTTTATCGGTAAACCATAATAGGAACCAAGCTGGCAAAGGAGAAATGTGACTTGCAGAGTCTCAGCCTGATATCACCAAAGCAGAGGAGAAAAGGGTGTGTTTGAAGCTGCGAGAAAATAGCTTAACACATGGGAAAATATTATAAATCACCACTATATAAATATATAAATTTACTGTCTCTCTTTCTTGCTTTCTAATTTTTTCTTGTCTTTATAAAAACCTATAAACCTTCTTCCCATCCTAGGCACTTCACTTCACATATGCACGCCCGCCACTCTTGCATTTTCCTTTCTTTGCAAAACTTTGTAAAGTGATTGACTATAAAAATAAAGTTTGCTTTATTCTTCTGGGTACAGAAAATAAAAGAAACAAAAGCTAGGGTGCCTGTATCACTCAGTGGTGTGCCAAGTGACCAATTATCTTATAGAAATCTAGCCTTAATGTTTATAAGTTCATAGCCTTGTTGTTCCTTCCATATTCCCCAGGTGCCAGTATACACTCTGCATTTTACTGTACCTGGACAGGGCTGCCATTAGCAATTGTATAAGTGTGTCCAGCCAAGAGAGTAAGGGGAGTGCTAGACACCACCAAGCCAAACACCCCGATGAAGAACTATAGCTACAGAGGAGAAGAACTTTTCAGTTATTCACATAGAAATGTCATGTTGGCTAGCAGCAGCCCTTCACATTCTTCCCATATCCACTTATTTAAAACCTCAGGCCAGTGTAAATGCCGCCTCTTCCATGAAGCCTCTTTATCTCTCAGACCGAAAGAAATTACTATTTCCCTCCTTAGAAATGCCAAAGCACTTTAGTTTTGCCACTTTTGTTATTTGTAAGAATTTTTCCTTCCCTTAAAGCTACTTGTATACTTTTAACTTCTCAATAAGACATAACATTTCATTATTCATATTTGAAACTTTGATAATTATTTTCTTGTATGTATCTCATGCTCTTTTACATATTATTAATAGAAGTTTAATACATATTGTTTCAAAAATAAGTAAATGACTGAATAATAGTATGCTACTGGTGATGATTATATAATACCTAATTTTGAGATTACAAACCATTTTTGCAATTGCCACTGCATAAATGTCTCAAAAATTAGTTATTGAGTCATGAAATAAAATTTTTTTAACCAACTTTAAAACAAACAAAATTGGACTTTATAAAATTTTTAAAGTTGTGTTACAAATGATTCAAAAAAGTGAAAAGATAACACACAGAATAGGAGAACTTATTTGTAAATCGTATAACTGATAAGGGACTTATATAAAAAATAGGTATATGAAACCTCTCATAAGTCAATTACAAAAAGATAAATGACCAATTGGAAAATGAGCAAAGAATTTAAATAAACATTTCTCCAAAGAAGACATACAAATGGCTAATAGCTACAGGAAAAGATGCTTGGAATTATTAATAGTTAGGTAATGCAAATCAAAACAACAATGAGATACAACTTCATATACCTAGAATATCTACAACAAAATGGCAGAGAGTAACAAGACAGGATACAGTGAAATTGCAACTTTCATATATTGCTGGTGGGAATATAAAATCCTACAACTGCTTTGGAAAACAGAAACAGTTCTGTATTAGTCCATTCTTACACTGCTATAAAGATATGCCTGAGACTGGGAAATGTATAAAGAAAAGAGATTTAATTGGCTCACAGTTCTGCAGGCTGTAGAGGCTTCTGCTTCTAGAGAGGCCTCAGGGAACCTACAATCATGGCAAAAGACGAAGGGGAAGCAGGTATATGTTCACATGGCTGGCGAGAGAGAGAGAGAGAAGAGGGAGGTGCTACATACTTTCAAATAATCAAATCTCATGAGAACTCTAACACAAGACAAAACTAGGGTATGGTGCGAAACCATGATCCAATCACCTCTCACGAGGCCCCATCTCCAACATTGGGTATTACAATTCAAATGAGATTTGGGTGGGGACACCGAGCCAAACCATATCATTCCACCCTGACCCCTCCAAAATCTCATGTCCTTCTCACACTTCAAGACACAATCTTGCCTTTCCAATAGTCCTTGAAAGTCTTAACTCATTCTAGCATTAACTCAAATGTCCAAATCCAGAGTCTCATCTGAAACAAGGCTAGTCCCTTTTGCCTATGAGCCTGTAAAATCAAATTAGTTACTTCCAAGTATAAACAAATTAGTTACTTCCAAGGTACAATGGGAGTACAGGCATTAAGTAAATGCTCCCATTCCAAAAGAGAGAAATTGGCCAAAAAAGAGGGGATACAGACCTCATGAAAATCCAAACCCAGCAGGGTGGTCATTAAATCTTAAAGCTGCAAAATAATCTCTTTTGACTCCATGTCTCACATCCAGGCCACACTGACAACAGGGGTGGGCTCCCAAGGCCTTGGGCAGCTCTGCCCCTGTGGCTTTGCAGGGCTCAGCTCCCATGGCTGCTCTCAAGTGCTGGCACTGAGTGCCTGTGGCTTTTCCAGGCACAGGGGGCAAGCTGGTCTATGCAGCCTCAGGACATGGCACCTATTGGTGGATCTACCATTCTGCAGTCTGGAGGATGGTGGCCCTCTTCTCACATCTCCACTAGGCAGTGCCCCAGTGGGGACTCTGTGTGGGGGCTCCAACCACACGTTTCCCCTCTGCATTGCCCTAGGGCAGGTTCTCCATGAGGACTCCACTCCTGCAGCAGACTTCTTCCTGGACATCCAGGCACTTCCATACATCCTCTGAAATCCTGGTGGAAGCTCTCAAGCCTTAACTGTTGCACTCTGCACACCTGAAGTCTTAATACTATGTGGTAACCACCAAGGTTTGGGGCTTGCACTCTCTGAAGCAATGGCCCAAGTTGTGCCTTGGCCTTTTTAGCCATGGCTGGAGCTGGAGTGGCTGTGATGCAGGACATGATGTCCTGAGGCTGCACAGAGGAGCAGGGCCCTGGGACTGGCCCATGAAACCATTTTTCCCTCCTAAGCCTCCAGGCCTGTGATGGGAGGGGCTGCTGTGAAGGTTTCTGAAATGCCTTGGAGGCATTTTCCCCATTGTCTTGGCTATTAACATTCAGCTCCTCTTTACTTATGTAAATTTACACCACCTGTTTGAGTTTCTCCCCCTAAAATGGGTTTTTTCCTACCACATGGCTGGGCTGCAAATTTTTCAAATTTTTTGTTCTGTTTCCCTTTCAAATATAAGTTCCAGTTTCAGTTCTTTAATTTGCTTATGCAAATGAGCATAGGCTTTTTAAAGCAGCCAGACCACATCTTGAAAGCTTTGTTGCTTAGAACTTTCTTTCCCCAGATACTCTAAATCATCTCTCTCAAGTTCAAAGTTCCACAGATCCTTAGAACAGGGGCATGATGCCACCAGTCTCTTTGCTAAAGCATATCAGGAGTGACCTTTACTCCAGTTCTCAATGAGTTCCTCTTTGCCATCTGAGACCTCCTCAGTCTGGACTTCACTGTTCATATCACTATCAGCATTTCAGTAACAACCATTCAACAAATCTCTATAAAGTTCCAGACTTTCCCTTATCTTCCTGTATTCTTCTGAGCCCTCCAAACTGTTCCAACCTCTCACCATTACCCAGTTCCAAAGTTGCTTCCACATTTTCAGGTATCTTTATCGCAATGGCCCACTCCCAGTACCAAATTTCTGTATTAGTCTGTTCTCACACTGCTATAAAGAAATACCTGAGACTAGTAGTTTATAAAGAAAAGAGGTTTAGTTGACTCATGGTTTTGCAGGCTACCCAGGGGCATGACTGGGGAGGCCCCAGGAAACTTACAATTATGGGGAAAAGTAAAGGGGAAGCAGACATATCTTCACATGGCTGGCAAGAGTGAGAGAGTGAAAGAGGAGGTGCTACAGACTTTTAAACAACCAGATCCTGTGAGAATTCTGTCACGAGACAGCAGCTAGGGGGATGGTGATAAATCATTTGAAACCACCCCCATGATCCAGTCACCTCCCACCAGACCCCACCTCCAACACTGGGAATTACAATTCAACATGAGATTTGGGTAGGGACACAGAACAAACCATATCAGCAATTCCTCAAAATGTTAAACACAGAGTTACCATTTGACCTAGCAATTCTAGGTATATTCTGAAGAGAAATTAAAATATATGTGCATGCAATATTTGTCCACAAATATTTATAGTTGCATTATTTATAATAGGAAAAAAGTGGAAACAACCAAAATATTCTTCAACTGATGAAAGGATAAACAAAATGTGATACATACACACAATGGAACATGATAAAACAATTAAAAAATGAAGTACAAATAAAAGCTAACATGTCAATTAACCTTGAAAACATTATGGTAAATGAAAGAAGCCAGTCACAAAATATTACATATTATTAAATTGTGGTTTTTGCCGTGGAAAATAATGGTAAAAACTGCAATTTCTTTTACACCAATCTAATATATGTTATTATTCATATCAAATGTCCAGAATGGGAAAATCTGTAGAGATAGAATGTAGATTGGTGGTTACTTAGAGCTTAGGGTAGAGATGGTGACAACACTGTTAATATGTCAAAAAAACTTAGAATTGTCAAACTCAAATGAATGAAGTGTAACACATGTGAATTTTATCTCAATAAAGCTGTTTAAGGAAACCAACTGTGATTACTAAAATGAATATTCAGGAAAATTTTACTCCCATATTCCTTAACTTGTGGGAACTTAATAATGGATTTGTTTGTTCTCTTAATTTTTCTAATAAATACAAGTTGATTCAAACCTTCAGTCTCTCAAATATGAGTTCATAAATTTAAAAAATGTGTAACTTACATTTAACGATTTTAAATTCTCAATTCTGTTTGGTCTTCCATTCACTTATTTTACAAATATTTATTGAGTGCTTATTATGCCCCACACACTGGTAGACATTGGAGTTACCATAATGAAACAGATAAGCCTGCTCTCTGCCTTTCATAGAATACAAATCCAGTAAGGCATAAATCTAAGTTAGCATAAATCTGCAATCAAAAGTATAATTTCAAATGGGGGAAAAGGTTAAAAGAAGTCTGGGAATGAAGTTAGAAGTCTATTGTAGTAAGCCAGGCAACAGATGATGATGGTTTGGCCAAAGTGTGTGAAGAGGGAGAGAAGTGGTTAAAGACGATGGATATTTATGATAAGATATTTGTGCACTTGGGAATAGACTTGGTGGAAGATAATGGAAAGGGAGGCACCACGCATGAATTTGATGTAGTTCAGGTTTTCAGAACTAGGTTGATGGTGATACAATTTACTAAAATATGCAATGCTGGAAAAGAGTACGAATTTGAAGGGCTTTTGAGACATCTAACTAAAGGAATCAAGCAGACATTTACATTTTGATATGTGAGAGAAGGTCAAAGCTGCGATATAAATGTAAGACTCAGCTACTTATAGTTGCTATCTAAAACTGTTGGTATGGATGAGGTAACCTAAGGAGAGAATACAAAATGAGAAGTAAAGCAAGACTGGGACTTGAAGAGCCTCAATGTTGAATGAAGAAGTCTAAGCCTATAAAGGAGACCAAAATGATGCAGTCTGAAACATATGAGTAAAACCAGCAAAGCATCATTTTATGAAGGCCAAAGGAAAAATATTATTTGAAGATTTTCCTGGAGGACAACGATTGAGCTGCTTTTGTGCTACCACAGAGAGCTAAGACATTGAAACAGATATTTTTAGGCCAGAGAGACATGAGAAGAATTAGGAAAAGTTCCAGAAGGTAGTCTAAAGAGCAATTCCATTAAGACCTAGGCATGTTCAACAAATTCACTGTAAAGGATGAAGATTTTCTTATACAGGGCCTAGCAAGAAAGCCTATAAAGTACAAAGAGTTTAGAGCTAAGTACTTCCAGAAGATTGATGGTGATACGCATTACACAAGACCAATAATAGAGCTTAAACATCTTTTAAGCATTTTATTTTTTTGTGGAAATAACACTGAGCATGAAATGTACCTTCTTAACACATTTTTTTTTCAATTTCAACTTTTATTTTAGATTCAGGGAGTGCATGTGCAGGTTTGTTACATGGGCATATTTCATGATGCTGAAGTGTGGGATATGAATGATCCTATCACTCAGGTACTAAGCATAATACCCAATGGGTAGTTTTTCAACCCATGCTCCCCTCCCCCCTTCCTCCTCTAGTAGTCCCCAATGTCTGTTGTTCTCATCTTTATGTCCATGTGTACCCAATGTTTAGCTCCCACTTAGAACATGTGGCTTTTGGTTTTCTGTTTCTGTGCTAATTTGCTTAGGATAATGGCCTCCAGCTACATCCATGTTGCTGCAAAGGACAGGATTTTTTTTTCTTTTTTCTTGGTTGTGTAGTATTCTACAGTGTATACATACCACACTTTCTTTATCCAATCCATCACTGATGGGCACCTAGGATGTGAAACTCGGCCCCCTACTTATCACCAAAAACCAAAATTAACACAAGATGGATTAAAGACCTAAATGTGAAACCTCAAACTATAAAAATGCTAGAAAAAAACCTAGGAAATACCCTTCAGGACATCAGACTGCAAAGAATTTATGCTAAGTCCTCAAAAGCAATAGTAACAAAGACAAAAATTGACAAGTGGGATCTAATTAAACTAAAAAGTTTCTGCACAGCAAAGGAAACTACCCACAGAGAAAACAGACAACCTACAGGATGAGAGAAAAATTCTGCAAACTATACATCTGACAAAGGGCTAATATCCAACATCTATAAGGAATTTGAACATGTCATCCAGCCAAAAACAAATAACTCCATTAAAAAGTGGCCAAAGGAAATGTACAGGCACTTCTCAAAAGAAAACAGATAAGTGCCCAACAAACATAGGAAAAATGTTCAATATCACTAATAACCAGAGAAATGCAAATCAAAACCACAATAAGATACTATCTCACACTGGTGAAAAGTCAGAATGGTTTTTATTAAAAAGTCAAACAATAATAGATGCTGGTGAGGTTGTGAAGGAAAGAGAATGCTTATACACTCTTGGTGGGACTGTAAATTAGTTCAGCCACTATGGAAAGCAATTTGGAGATTCCTCAAAGAACTAAAAACAGAATTACCATTCGACCCAGCAATCCCATTACTGTGTACATACCCAAAGGAAAATAAATCATTCTACCAAAAAGACATATATGTACTCATGTGTTCACTGCTGCATTATTCACAATAACAAAGCCATGGAATCTTAACATATTTTAAGTGTACAATAAATTGTTGACTATAGGTACGAAGTGCAGCAGATCTCTAGAACTTATCTTGCTTAGTAAGACTTCATGCCTATAGATTAGTAACTCATTGTACCCTATATAAGTAGAATCATGCAAAATTTGTCTTTCTGCAACTGCTCATTTCACATAACATAATGTCCTCAAAGTTTATCCATGTTGTCACATATTGCCAAATATTCTTTTTTTAAAATCAAATAGTGTTCCATTGTATGTATAGACCTCATTTTCTTTTTTTCTTTTTTTATTATACTTTAAGTTCTAGGGTACATGTGCACAATGTGCAGGTTTGTTACATAGGTATACATGTGCCATGTTGGCTTGCTGTACCCATTAACTCATCATTTACATTGGGTATTTCTCCTAATTCCATCGTCCCCCAGCCTGCCACCTCAAGGCAGGCCCTGGTGAGTGATATTCCCCACCCTGTGTCCAAGTGTTCTCATTGTTCAATTCCTACCTATGAGTGAGAACATGCGGTGTTTCATTTTCTATCCATGTGATAGTTTGCTCAGAATGATGGTTTCAGCTTCATCCATGTCCCTGCAAAGGACATGAACTCATCCTTTTTATAGCTGCATAATATTCCATGGTGTATATGTGCCACATATTTTTAATCCAGTCTATCATTGATTAACATCTGGGTTGGTTCCAAGTCTTTGCTATTGTGAATAGTGGCACAATAAACATATGTGTGCATGTGTCTTTATAGTAGCATGATTTATAATCCTTTGGGCATATACCCAGTAATGGGATCACTAGGTCAAATGGTATTTCTAGTTCTAGATCCTTGAGGAATAGCCACACTGCCTTCCACAATGGGTGAACTGATGTACACTCCTACCAACAAAGAAAAAGCATTCCTATTTCTCCTCATCCTCTCCAGCATCTGTTATTTCCTGACTTTTTAACGATCGCCTAACTGGTATGAAATGGTATCTCATTGTGGTTTTGATTTGCATTTCCCTGATGACCAGTGATGATGAGCATTTTTTCATGTGTCTGTTTGCTGCATAAATGTCTCCTTTTGAGAAGTGTCTGTTCATATACATTGCCCACTTTTTGATGGGGTTGTTTGTTTTTTTCTTGTAAATTTGTTTGAGTTCTTTGTAGATTCTGGATATTAACCCTTTGTCAGATGGGTAGATTGCAAAAATTTCTCCCATTCTGTAGGTTGCCTGTTCACTCTGATGGTAGTTACTTTTGCTGTGAAGAAGCTCTTTAGTTTAATGAGATCCCATTTGTCAATTTTGGCTTTTGTTGCCATTGCTTTTGGTGTTTTAGTCATGAAGTCCTTACCCATGACTATGTACTGAATGTTACTGCCTAGGTTTTCTTCTAGGGTTTTTATGGTTTCAGGTCTAACATTTAAGTCTTTAATCCATCTTGAATTAATTTTTGTATAAGATATAAGGAAGGGATCCAGTATAAGCTTTCTATATATGGCTAGCCAGTTTTCCCAGCACCATTTATTAAATAGGGAATCCTTTCCCCATTTATTGTTTTTGTCAGCTTTGTAAAAGATCAGGTGGCTGTAGCTGTGTGGTGTTATTTCTGAGGTCTCTGTTCTGTTCCATTGGTCTATATCTCTGTTTTGGTACCAGTACCATGCTGTTTTGGTTACTGTAGCCTTGTAGTATAGTTTGAAGTCAGGTAGCGTGATGCCTCCAGCTTTGTTCTTTTGCTTAGGATTGTCTTGGCAATGTGGGCTCTTTTTTGGTTCCATATGAACTTTAAGGTAGTTTTTTTCCAATTCTGTGAAGAAAGTCATTGGTAGCTTGATGGGGATGGCATTGAATCTATAAATTACCTTGAGCAGTATGGCCATTTTCATGATATTGATTCTTCCTATCCATGAGCATGGAATGTTCTTCCATTTGTTTGGGTCCTCTTATTTCGTTGAGCAGTGGTTTGTAGTTCTCCTTGAAGAGGTCCTTCACATCCCTTGAAAGTCAGATACCTAGGTATTTTATTCTCTTTGGAGCAATTGTGAATGGGAGTTCACTCATGATTTGACTTTCTGTTTGTCTGTTGTTGGTGTATAGGAATGCTTGTGATTTTTGCACATGGATGTTGTATCCTGAGACTGACAAAGTTGCTTATCAGCTTAAGGAGATTTTGGGCTGAGATGATGGGGTTTTGTAAATATACAATTATGTCATTTGCAAACAGGGACAATTTGACTTCCTCTTTTCCTAACTGAATACCCTTTATTTCTTTCTATTGCCTGATTGTTCTGGCCAGAACTTCCAACACTATGTTGAATAGGAGTGGTGAGAGAGGGCATCCCTGTCTTGTGCCAGTTTTCAAAGGGAATGCTTCTAGTTTTTGCCCATTCAGAATGATATTGGCTATGGGTTTGTCATAAATAGCTCTTATTAGTTTGAGATATGTTCCATCAACACCTAGTTTATTAAGGGTTTTTAGCACGAAGTGCTGTTGAGTTTTGTCGAAGGACTTTTCTGCGTCTATTGAGATAATCGTATGGGTTTTGTTGGTTCTGTTTATGTGATGGATTGCGTTTATTGATTTGCACATGTTGAACCAGCCTTGCATCCTAGCAGTGAAGCCGACTTGATCATGGTGGATAAGCTTTTTGATGTGCTTCTGGATTTGGTTTGCCAGTATTTTACTGAGGATTTTTGCATCAATGTTCATCAAGAATATTGGTCTAAAATTCTCTTTTTTTGTTGTGTCTCTGCCAGGCTTTGGTATCAGGATGATGCTGGCCTCATAAAATGAGTTAGGAAGGATTCCCTCTTTTTCTATTGATTGGAATCATTTCTGAAGGAATGGTACTAGCTCCTCTTTGTACATCTGGCAGAATTCGGCCGTGAATTTGCCTGGTCCTGGACTTTTTTTGGTGGGTAGGCTATTAATTATTGCCTCAATTTCAGAGCCTATTATTAGTCTGTTCAGAGATTCCACTTCTTCCTGGTTTAGTCTTGGGAGGGTGTATGTATCCATAAATTTATCCATGTCTTGTAGATTTTCTAGTTCATTTGTATAGAGGTGTTTATAGTATTCTCTGATGGTAGTTTGTATTTCTGTGGGATTGGTGGTGATATCCCCTTTATCATTTTTTATTGTGTCTATTTGATTCTTCTCTCTTTTCTTATTAGTCCTGATAGCTGGCCATCAATTTTGTTGATCTTTTCAAAAAACCAGCTCCTGGATTCATTGATTTTTTGAAGGGTTTTTTGTGTCTCTATGTCCTTCAGTTCCGCTCTGATCTTAGTTATTTCTTGTCTTCCGCTAGCTTTTGAATTTGCTTGCTCTTGCTTCTCTAGTTCTTTTATTTGTGATGTTAGGGTGTTGATTTTAGATCTTTCCTGCTTTGTCTTGTGGGCATTTAGTGCTATAAATTTCCATCTACACACTGCTTTGAATGTCTCCCAGAGATTCTGGTATGTTGTGTCTTTGTTCTCATTGGTTTCAAAGAACATCTTTATTTCTGCCTTCATTTCGTTATGTACCCAGTAGTCATTGAGGAGCAGGTTGTTCAGTTTCCATGTAGTTGAGCGGTTTTCAGTAAGTTTCTTAATCCTGAGTTCTAGTTTGATTGCACCGTGGTCTGAGAGACAGTTTGTTATAATTTCTGTACTTTTACATTTGCTGAGGAGTGCTTTACTTCCAACTATGTGGTCAATTTTGGAGTAGGTGTGGTGTGGTGCTGAAAAGAATGTATATTCTGTTGATTTTGGGGTGGAGAGTTCTGTAGATGTCTATTAGGTCTGCTTGGTGCAGAGCACAGTTCAATTCCTGGGTATCCTTGTTAACTTTCTGTCTCATTGATCTGTCTAATGTTGACAGTGGGGTGTTAAAGTCTCCCATTGTTATTGTGTGGGAGTCTAAGTTTCTTTATAGGTCACTAAGGACTTGCTTTATGAATCTGGGTGCTCCTGTATTGGGTGCAAATATATTTAGGATAGTTAGCTCTTCTTGTTGAATTGATCCCTTTACCATTATGTGATGGCCTTCTTTGTCTCTTTTGATCTTTGTTGGTTTAAAGTCTGTTTTATCAGAGACTAGGATTGCAACCCTTGCCTGTTTTTGTTTTCCATTTGCTTGGTAGATCTTCCTCCATCCCTTTATTTTGAGCCTATGTGTATGTGTGTCTCTGCACATGAGATGGGTTTCCTGAATACAGCACACTGATGGGTCTTGACCCTTTATCCAATTTGCCAGTCTGTGCCTTTTAATTGGCGACCAGGGCGTATTTCATCCCTTATCTACAACTGCATAAGACAGATACTCCCAGAGCGGCCATTTTAGAGACCTTCTCCTGGGAGTTCATTCATTTTCCCAGGGTTATTCCTTGCTGAGAAAAGAATTTAGTGATATTTCTCCTATTCACTTTCTGAAAGAAGAGAAATATGGATCTGTTCTGCCTGGCCCCGCAGGCAGTCAGACTTTATGGTTATCTCCCTTTTTCTCTTAAAATCGATGTTATCCTGTTCTTTTCAAGGTGCCCAGATTTCATATTGTTCAAACACACATGTTTTACAAACAATTTATGCAGATAACACAATTATCACAGGGTCCTGATGTGACATGCATCCTCATCTTAAGAAGATGACGGGATTAAGAGACTAAAGGAAAGACAGGCGTAGGAAATTATGAGTATTGATTGAGGAAGTGATAAATGTCCATGAAATCTTCACAATTTATGTTCAGAGTTGCAGTAAAGACAGGTGTAAGAAATTATAAAAGTATTAATTTGGGGAATTAATAGATGTCCATGAAATCTTCACAATTTATGTTCTTCTGCTGTGGCTTCAGCTGGTCCCTCCGTTCAGATTCCCTGACTTCCTGCAACAGATCTCGTTCTTTTTTATGACTGCGTGGTATTCCATGGTGTATATGTGCCACATTTTCTTTATCCAGTCTACCACTGATGGGCATTTAGAATGACTCCATGTCTTTGCTATTGTGATAGTGCTGAAATGAACATGCACATGCATGTGTCTTTAAGATAGAATGATTTATATTCCTTTGGGTATACTGTGTTGAATGGTACTTCTGCTT
The DNA here is from genome assembly GCF_000001405.40 of Homo sapiens. Classification (NCBI taxonomy): domain Eukaryota; kingdom Metazoa; phylum Chordata; class Mammalia; order Primates; family Hominidae; genus Homo; species Homo sapiens. The sequence continues at coordinate 8,046,418 of NC_000009.12, forward strand.
TTAGCTCTTTGAGAAATTGCCCCACTGCTTTCTGCAATTGTTGAACTAATTTATACTCTCACCAACAGTGTATAAGTGTTCCCTTTTCTTCATAATCTCACCAGTATCTATTATTTTTTGAATTTTTGTTAATAGCCATTCTGACTACTGTGAGATGATAACTCATTGTGATTTTGATTTGCATTTCTTTAATGATCAGTGATATTGAGCTTTTTTCATATGCTTGTCGGCTGCATGTATGTCTTCTTTTGAAAAGTATCTGTTCATGTCCTTTGTCCACTTTTTAATAGGCCTGTTTTTACTTATAAATTTGTTTAAGTTTCTTATAAAGCTGGGTATTATTAGACTTTTGTTAGATGCATGCTTTGCAAATATTTTGTCTCTTTCTGTAGGTTTTCCACTTATTATATTGACTCTTTTGTGGAGCAGAAGCTCTTTAGTTTAATTAGATCCCATTTGTCAATTTTTGCTTTTTTTGCAATTGCATTTGGCATCTTTGTCCTGAAATATATGTATTGCCCATTCCTATGTCCAGAATGATATTGCCTAGATTGTCTTCCAGGGTTTTTGTAGTTTTGGTTTTACATTTATGTCTTTAATCTATCTTGAGTTGATTTTTATATATAGGATCCAGTTTCAATCTTTTGCCTATGGCTAGCCAGTTGTCCTAGCACCACTGAATAGGGAGTCCTTTTCCTATTACTTGTTTTTGTGAATTTTGTCTATGATCAGATGGTTGTAAGTGTGTGGCATAATTTCTAGGCTCTCCATTCTTTTCCCCTGGTCTATGTGTCTGTTTTGTACCAGTACCATGCTGTTTTGGTTACTGTAGCCCTGTAGTCTAGTTTGAAGTCAGGTAGTGTGATTCTTCCTGCTTTGTTCTTTTTGCTTAGAATCGCTTTGGCTATCTGGGGTCTTTTTTGGTTCCATATAAATTTTATAATATTTTTTTCCAGTTATGTGAAGAATGTTATTGGTAGTTTGATAGGAATTGCATTGAATCTATACATTGCTTTGTGTGGTATGGCCATTTTAATGATATTGATTCTTTCTATCCATGACCATGGATGTTTTTCCATTTGTTTGTGTCATCTCTGATTTCTTTGAGCAGTTTTGTGTAATTTTCCTTATAGAGAAATTTCATCTTTCTGATTAGCTGTATTACTGGGTATTTCATTCTTTTTGTGGCAATTGTGAATGGGATTGTTTTCCTAATTTAGCTCTCAGCTTGGCTGTTTCCAGTGCGTAGGAATGTTAGTGGTTTTTGTATGTTCATTTTATATCCTGAAACTTTTCTGGTATCTACAAATTCAACACAATCCCCATCAAAATACCATCATCATTCTTCACAGAATTAGAAAAAATAATTCTAAAATTCATGTGGAACCAAAAAAGAGCCCATATAGCCAAAGCAAGAGTAAGCAAAAAGAACAAACCTGGGGGCATCACGATACCTGATTTTAAACTATACTATAAGGCCATAGTCACCAAAACAGCATGATACTGGTAAAAAAAAAAAAAAAAAATAGGCACGCAGACCAATGGAAGAGAATAGAGAACCCAGAAATAAACCCAAATATGTACAGCCAACTGATCTTTGACAAAGTAAAGAAAAAACATAAAGTGGGGAAAGGACAGCTTTTCCAACAAATGGTGCTGGGATAATTGGCTAGCCACACGTAGGAGAATGAAACTGGATCCTCATCTCTCACCTTATACAAAAATCAACTCAAGATGGATTAAAGACTTAAACCTAAGACCTGAAACTATAAAAATTCTAGAAGATAACATCAGAAAAACCCTTCTAGACATTGATTTAGGCAAGGATTTCATGACCAAGGACCCACAAGCAAATGCAATAGAAACAAAGATAAATAGCTAGGACTTAATTAAACTAAAGAGCTTTTGCATGGCAAAAGGAACAGTCAGCAGAGTAAATAGACAACCCACAGAATGGGAGAAAATCTTCACAATCTATAATCTGATAAAGGACTTATATCTAGAATCTACAACAAACTCAAATCAGTAAGAAAAAAACAATCCCTCAAAAAGAGGGCTAAGGACATGAATACAAAATTATCAAAAGAAGTTATACAGATGGCCAATAACATAGAAAAAAATGCTTAACATCACTAATGGCAAGGGAAATGCAAATCAAAACTACAGTGTGATACCATCTTACTCCTGCAAGAATGGCCATAATCCAAAAACAGTAGATGTTGGCATGGATGCGGTGAACAGGTAACACTTCTACAGTGCTGGCAGGAATGTAAACTCATACAGCCAGTATGGAAAACAGTGTGGAGATTTCTTAACGAACTAAAAATAGAACTACTATTTGATTCTGCAATCCCACTACTGGGTATCTACCCAGAGGAAAGGAAGTCATTATTTGAAAAAGACACTTGCACACGCATGTTTATAGCAGCAAAATTCACAATTGCAAAATCGTGGAAAAAACTCAAATGCCCATCAGTCAACAAGTGGATAAAGAAACTGTGGTATATATGTATAATGGAGTACTATGCAGCCATAAAAAAGCAATGAATTAACAGCATTCACAGTGACCTGGATGAGATTGGAGACTATTATTCTAAATGAAGTAACTCAGGAATGGAAAACCAAACATCATATGTTCTCACTGCTATGTGGGAGCTAAGCTATGGGGATTCAAAGGCATGAGAATGACACAATGGACTTAGGGGACTCATTGGGGAAGAGGGGGAGGTGAGTGAGGGATAAAAAACTACAAATATTGTGTGGTGTATACTGTTTCAGTAATAGGTGCACCAAAATCTCACAAATCGCCACTAAAGAACCTACTCATGTAATCAAATACCACCCATACCCTAATAACTTGTGGAAAAATAAATTAAAAAAAGAAACTTTTCTGAAGTTGCTTATTAGCTTAAGGAGCTTTGTGGCCAAGGCTACTGGGTTTCCTAGATATGGAATCATGTCCTTTGTTGACAGGGATGGTTTGACTTCCTCTCTTCTTATTTGGACCCTTTATTTTTTTCTCTCGCCTGATTGGTCTGGCCAGGACTTCCAATATATGTTGAATAGAAGTGGTAATAGAAGGCATTCTTGTCTTGTCCTGGTTTTCAAGGGAAATGCCTCCAGCTTTTGCCCATATGGTATAATGTTGGCTGTGGGTTTGTCATAGATGGCTCTTATTATTTTGAGGTATGCTCCTTTGATGGCTAGTTTGATGAGGATTTTTGACATGAAGTGATGTTGGATTTTATTTAAGGTCTTTTCTGTATCTATTCAGGTGATCAGGTGATTTTGGTCTTTAGTTCTGTTTATTTGATATGATTATTGATTCGAGTATGTTGAACCAGACTTGCATCCCAGGGATGAAGCCTACTTGATCATGGTGGATTAGCTTTTTGATGTGCTGCTGTATTCCCTTTGCTAGTATTTTTTTGAGGATTTTTGTATCAATGTTCATGAAGGATATTGGCCTAAAGTTTTATTTTTTGTTGTGTCTCTGTCAGGTTTTGGCATCAGGATGATGCTGGCCTCATAGAATGAGTTAGAGAGAACTCCCTCCTCCTCAGTTTTTTCAAATAGTTTCAGTAGGAATGATACTAGTTCTTCTTTGTACATCTGGTAGAATTTGGATGTGAATCCATCTGTTCCTGGGCTTTTTTTGGTTGGTAGGCTATTTATTACTGATTTAATTTTGGAACTCATTATTGGTCTCTTCAGGAAAACAATTTCTTCCTGGTTCAGTCTTGGGAGAGTGTTTGTGCCCAGGAATTTATCCATTTCTTCTGGATTTTCTAGTTTGTGTGCATAGAGGTGTTTATATTACTCTCTGATATTATCTGTATTTCTATGGGGTCAGCGGTAATATCCCCTTTGTTGTCTCTAATTGTGTTTATTTGAATCGTCTCTCTTTTCTGCTTTATTAATCTAGCTAGTGGTCTATCTTATTAATTTTTTCAAAAAAAAAAACAGTGCCTGGATTCATTGATCTTTAGAATGGATTTTTGTGTCTCACTATCCTTCAGATCAGCTCCTATTTCTGCTATTTTTTGTCTTCTGCTAGCTTTGGGGTTGATTTTCTCTTGTGTCTCTAGTTCTTTTAGTTGTAATGTTAGGTTGTTAATTTGAGGTATTTATAACTTTTTGATGTGGTGTTACATGCTATAAATTTTCCTCTTAATGCTACCTTAGCTGTTTCACAGAAATTCTGGTATGTTATATCTTTGTTCTCATTAGTTTCAAAGAACTTCTTCATTTCTGCCTAAATTTCATTATTTATTTCCAAATCATTTAGGAGCATGTTGTGTAATTTCCGTGTAATTGTATGGTTTCGAGCAACTTTCTTAGCCTTGAATTTTATTTTTATCATAATGTGGTCTGAGAGACTGGTTGGTATCATTTTGGTTTTTTGCATTTGCTGAGGAAGGGTTTATGTCCGATTATGTGGTTGATTTTAGAGTCTGTGGCATGTGGCAATAAAAATACTGTATATGCTGATGTTTTTAGTTGGACAGTTCTGTAGATGGCTATTAGGTCCATTTGGTCCAGCGTTGAGTTCAGATCCTGATTATCTTTGTTAATTTTTTGCCTTGACAATCTGTCTAATACTGTCAGTGTGGTGTTGAAGTCTGCCACTATTATTGCACAGGAGTCTAAGTCTCATTGAAGGTCTTTAAAAACTTGTTTTATGAATCTGAATACTCCTGTGTTGAGTGAATATATATTTAGGATAGTTTGGTCCTTTTGTTGAATTAAGCTCTTCACCATTATATAATGGCCTTCTTTGTCTTTTTTTGATGTTGGTTGGTTTAGTCTGTTTTATGTGATAGTCTGTTTTATCTGAAATTATAACAGCAACCCCTGCTAGTATATGTTTTGTTTTCTGTTTGCTTTGTAGATTTTTTTTCTATTTGCCTTGTAGACTTTTTTTCATCCCTTTACTTTGAGCCTATGGGTCTCATTGCATGTGAGATGGGTCTCTTAGAGACAGCATATCACTGGCACTTGCTTCTTTATCCAGCTTGCCATTCTGTGCCTTTTAATTGGGGCATTTTGCTCATTTACATTCAAAGTTAGTATTGATATGTATTGATTTCGTCCTGTCATCATGTGGTTAGCTGTTTATTATGCCAACTAGTTTGTGTGATTTCCTTATAGTGTCACTGGTCTGTGAATTTAAGTGTGTTTTGTAAATGCTTTCCTTTCCATATTTAGTGCTTCTTTCAGGAGCTCTTATAAAGCAGGCCTAGTGGAAACAAATTCTTTCCACATTTGCTTGTCTGAAAAGGATCTTACTTCTTCTTGGCATATGAAGCTTAGTTTGACTGGATATAAAATTCTTGATTGGATTTTCTTTTTTTTTAAGAGTGTTGAAAGAAAAAGAAAAAAGAAAGAAAGAAAAGAAAGAAAGAGTAGGGTAGGGTAGGGGAGGGGAAGGGAAGGAAGGAGAAGGAAGGGAAGGGAAGGGAAGAGAAGGGAGAGATTGGGCCCCCAATCTCTTCTGGCTTGCAGGGTTTCTGCTGAAAAGTCTGCTGTTAGTCTGTTGGGCTTCTCTTTTAGGTGACCTGTCCTTTCCCTCTACTGTCTTCAGCATTTTTTCTTTCATTTTGACTTTGGAGAATCTGATGATTATATTTCTTGGTGATAAAATTCTTGTAAAGTGTTTTGTGAGGGTTCTCTGCGTTTCCTGAATTTGAATGTTGTCCTGTTCCCTGAATTTAAATGTTGGCCTCTCTAGCTAGGTTGGAGAAATTATCATAGATGATATCATGAAACATGTTTTCCAAGTTGCTTCCATTATCTCCATCTCTTTCAGGGATGCTAATGAGACATAGATTCAGTCTCTTTACATAATCCCATATTTCTTGAACATTTTGTTTATTCCTTTTCATTCTTTTTTGTTGTTGTTATTGTTGTCTGACTGTTTTATTTCAGAAAGCCAGTCTTCAAGCTCTGAGATTATTTCCTCAGCTTGGCCTATTCTACTGTTAATACTTGTGATTGCATTATGAAACTCTTGTAGTGTGTTTTTCATCTCCATCAGGTCAGTTACATTATTTTCTATTCTGGATATTCTGCTATTTTGTCTGTCAGATCCTGTATTATTTTATCATGATTCTTACTTTCCTTAGATTGGGTTTTGCCATTCTCTTGAATCTCGATGATCTTCCTTCCTCTCCACATTCTGAATTCTATTTCTGTCATTTCAGATATCTCAGCTCAATTAAGAATGCTTGCTGGAGAACTTTTTTGGTCTTATGGAGGAAAAAAGATACTATGACTTTTTGAATTGTCAGAGCTACTGCACTGGTTCTTTCTCATCTTTGTGGGTTGATATTCCTTTAATCATTGAAGTTGTCCTTTAGATGAATATTTTTTCCTTTTATCCTCTTTGATGACTTGTGGGTTTGCCCTGGTACAAAGTGGGTTTGGCTGACTTGTTTTGTTTCTGGGAGACTTTAGGGGCCTAAGGCTCAGCTCAGGACTCTTGGACTGTGTGCTTTAACTCTGGAGGACTGGTATCAGGCCCCAGCTTTATTCTCTGGCTCCAAGAAGTTAGACACTAGCTGTGCTGGACGAGCTGAGGCCCCCGTGGACCACTAGTCACATTCCAATGGGTGTGCCAGCCAAAGCACTTCACAGGGTAGTGGCGGTATAATTCATCCTTGTTCATATGTGCCAGCAGCAGGGGGGTGCATGCTTGTCAAGTGGTGTATGAGTGTTCACAGCAGTGGCAGTGACAGCATAGCTTGTGAAGGAGTGGCAACTGTATGTGTTCATGCTGGTAGTGGTGTTAGCATGAGGGCAGGATGCTGGTGGATGCAGGACTGTGCATGCCCTCTGTGCATGTTTACATGGGCAGCTGTGGCTGCTCAGGGCTGGTACAAGTCCACTGTTCTCCATGCCTAGCTTTGTGCAGGTGACAGTGTTAGTGCAGGGGCGTGGTGCTTGAAGGGCAAGGCTGGCAGCTCCATGCTCACCAATACTCCAATGACAATAGTGGTGTGGCCAGAAGACAGGGGGTTGGAGTGCGCTCATACTGGCAGCAGTGGCATGGAAGGATGCACTTGCACACATATGCTGATGGATAAGGGAAGGCAAGGTCTGTCCACACACACACACACACACACACACACACACCAGCAAAGCCATGTAGGTGGTGGGCATGGGTGAGCATGCAGGCAAAGCAGCACAGAGGAGGCTATTGTCAGGGGAGGGCACGAGCAGGCTGGTGCTTTTCCATGGGGTCTGCTTTGCTGGAGCATTCTGCCGGTCAGGGGCAGTCCAGGGCAAGAGCTATGATATGCTGGGCAGGCCAGGTTGGGGCCTGAGGAGAGGCCAGCTGATAAACGGGTGCTCAGGTCAGACCAGCCTTGCTTCTTGCACAAGACCACCCTGCATATTTCGGGTCCAATAGTTCCCCTAGGGCTAAAGTACCCTATGGGAACAAGTCAAGCCTAGGGGGATGGGTGTCCCTGGTCATGCTCCATTACAGATGCTCTCACACCAGATGCTCTGGGCTCCCCACCAGCTGGAGTTCTGCCCCTACCACTTCTCTAAGCAGCTCTCCCTGCCAACTGAAGTGTGTGTGATGGTCAAGGGGTCTCCTGCCAGGATTCTGAGTGGGTTGCTCCTTGCTTGTTCAACTCATCCCTTCCACAGGAGTCACTGGGGGCCAGGAATGAGTCCCAGTGCATGGTAGCCCCAAGAAAGTTCCTGGCTTCCTCCCTCTTCAGCCCAGTATCTGTGCTGAAGGTTTTTATATCAAGGTTCTACTGGTGTCATAGAATTTGTTGGAAAATGTTCCTTTTTTGTATTTTCCTAAAGAATTCATGTAAAGTAGATGTTATTTTCTCCTCAACTGTTTCATAGAATTCACTGGGATGGGAAAGCCATCTGGAAGTTGTTTTATTCGTGGGAAGGTTTTCTTTAATATGTCGAGGGTTATTCATATATTCTTTTTACTCTTGTGCTGATTTAGTGTGCTGTGTTTTTATCTGAATTTATACATTTCATCTATATTTTCATATTTATTGGTAAAAATAATATATATGTTTAATGCTTGTGGAGTCTGTAGTGATGTTGCTCATTTCATTCTTAATATTAATAATGTGAATATTTCTTTTCCCTTCATTAGTCTAGCCAGAAGTTTTTCCATTTTATTTGTCTTTACAAAGTAACAAGTTTTCGTGTTTTAAAGTCTTTCTGTAGTTTGTTTTCTATTTTATTAATTTCTGCTCTTATATTTGTTATTTCCTTCCTTCTGTTAATTTCTATTCACTTTGTTGCTCTTTTTCTAACTTTTTGAGGGAGGAACTTAGATCATTGATTTTTAGCTTTTCTTGTTTTCTAATATACTAAATTAACAGTATAACTTTCATTTTAAACATGACTTTTGCTAACTTGTACATTTGATTTAATATGTCATATTTTAATTACCATTCAATTAAAATAGATCTTTTTATTTCCTTTGTTTTTCTTCTGTGACCCATGGATTAATTTAAAATGTATTGAATATTTTTCAGCTCTATGGGCATATTCTTATCTTTTGTTATTGATTCAGAGGTTAATTACTCTGGGGTCAGAGAATATATTTTGTATTATTTTCATCATTTGAAATGTGTTGAGAATTGTTTCATGATATAGCAAATAAAGAGCTTTTATAAAAGTTATTTTTGCTCTTGAAAAGCAAAATGCAAAATACTGCATGTGTATTTTGCAGATATTGAGTGAAGCATTCAATGTGTGTCAATTAGCTCCAGTTGATTGATATTGTTTTTCAAGTCTTCTAGATTCTTATGGATATTTTGCTGTTTATTCTTAGATATATTAAACCTTAATACTATGTGGATTTTTCCATTTCTCCTTTTTATTTCTATTTTGTTGCTTGTATTTTAAAGGTTGTATTAACCACATGCAGATTTAAAATTTTTGTGTTTTCTTTATTATACTTTTGTCATTGTAAAATTTACTTCGTTATCTCGAATAATACTTTTTTCTTAAACAGCTACTTTGATATTAAGATATTAATATTGCAATATCAACTTTCTTTGTTTTAGGATTAACATGATATATCTTTTCATCCTTTGACTTGTATTGTAAAAAGCTATAGCTTTTAATTTTTAAATTAAGTCTGGCAGTTATTATTTTTAATTGGCATAATTATTAACCTAACTATATTTTAATTATTTTTTTTAAATTTGGAGGTCCAATCTTTATTGTACTTATTTTCTATTTGTTGCTATTTGTCTTACAGAATTTGTGTTTCTTTTTGTCTTTTCAATAATTTTTTTTAATTTGTAGTTTTATTCTGAAATTCTTCACCTTGTCAGTTAATTCTCTGAATGTCTCAATCATAATTATATTAAAGTCAAATATAAGCTTTTTTCCACCTTTTTATTTGGTGTTTTCTATTTGTTCCAGTTTTTTAACTTTCTTTTTCTTCTTGCATTTTAAATTTCATTTTTCTTTTTGCTTGATTCTATCTGTTTTCCTTTGCTAAACTGAAAGATCTGCCCTCCATTTCTAATTTTTCAATCAGTTATTACTGAAATTGTACAATGCATAAAGTCTTAAAGTTAATTTCTTTATCTTCATTGTGAAAAAGCAATTCTCTTCCAACTCACATGCCAGTATTTTTCAGCATTTTCTGTTATTCTTTTTAATCCCAAAAATGACTTATTATTATTATTATTATTATATTATATAAGCAGTACTAGTCTACATTTACCTGCATACTATCTGATCTCTTTGCTCACTATTCCTTCTTTTATTGCAGACCTTCTTACTGGAATTATCTCTCTGATTGCTGAAGTACATACTTTTGAGTTTCCTTTAAAGAACATACATTGATAGTAACCTTGTCAGTTCCAGCTACTCAGACTATGAAACAACTTTAGTCCCTTCGTATCCTGGCTTACAATTGGAATCTCAGGCTCAACTCCTTTCCCTTGTTAGTCTAAGGCTTAGCTTTCTTTCTGCAGTGTCCTGCACTCAGGTATCATTGCAAGGCTGACATTTGAAGTTGCTTTTAAGATGAAGTCACTTTTTTGTACTTGCTTGAAAAAGTTCCTACTAGCTCTGTTTCATCTCACTGTTTTTTGTTACTTAGTTCTTATTTTGTCCTAGCAATTCATTAAAAATTCTACTTTACCCAAATCTAGTTGTTTACAATGGAGGGACCTCCAGAATATTTAATCTACATTACTGCCTGGGTGTGACAGCTGTTGATTGATGGGCCTCTTATGTATACTCTCATGCTATAAATGAGATTGTTTTTGAGGATGAAACAATTGGTGTATCTCTGCCATCTGGCTGTTTCTGATGAAGCATGGCTATAACATGAAGTATCTATGGTTAAAAAAAAAAGGCAGTGATTTCTATTTATCGTGATGTACTAACACAAACTCAGACTTCAAGGATTCATTAACCTTCGCTATTTTCTATTTCTCCTGAGCGTTACCTTTATCTGGTAGGCCATGAAATGTTATAGTAATTATAACATTTTATATCTGTAAAACATATTAGAAATTGAGTAACTCTATAGCTCTTCCTTTGTTTTTGGAGTACTCACATCTTACATTTCTGTGATGAATGTCAGAAGCAATAATGAAAGAATGTGACACTTTGTGTTCCTATTTGACATTTCTTCTCCTTTCCCAGCCCATGAGCTTTTTCCTCCTTCCTAAGAGCTAATTCACTGCCAACACTATCTTATCTACTTACAGGGCTCTGGAAGCCATTTTCAAACTACATGAGCTTGGCTGCCAATGATTGCATTAGGGGTGATAACCTGATCAAATCCGAGCCAATAAAATTTTTTTAGGGGAATTGGAATTGGAAGACAATAGAATTAGAGACTGAAAGTTCAATAAAGTTAAAGGAAGAGATATAGAAACAAAATCTGCAAAATGCTACTACTGTAGTCTAAAGTTGCACAGGTTCCTAACCTGAGTTAAATCAAAGGTTTGCCAGATCTGTATCACAATTCAAATTCCTCTAATGCTTCCACCTTCTTATTTCCAAGGCATTAATCGTTAAGAAATTTCTTTACATACCAAATTGCATCTCACTGTCTGCTTCTGGGGAACCCAACTTGCAACACTCAGTATATGTCCAGTAATTTTCTCTTATATTTTTAATCTAAATTGAGTTGGTTCTGTCACTTGCAACCAAGAGTATTAAGACTTTATAGTATTTACATAGTGAGTAGCATAGGTAATCAGCAGGGATGTTTAGCAGCTTTGATAATATCCTGATTGGATGTTGAAAGTATTTAAATTTTTCCCTTAGGACAGAGGGTAACATTTAGGATTACTTGAATTACTCCAATTCAGATGAAATTATATTAGCTCTTATATATAAAACCCTTTACTCTTTGGAGAACACTTTCAAAAATCATGTATATTCTGTTTATCTTTATAAACCTACAATCCAGCACAGTTACCAGAACAAGCTTGAGTATTTATTATTTCTATGTGTCCAGAACTTTTCAAGTTCTTTTAGCTATACAATTTTTTGTATATTTCAATATTTTGATATATTCAATACATTGTTGTTAACTGTAGTCACCCTACTCTTCTATTAAACATTAGAATTTATTCCTTCTATCTAACTTTACATTTATACTTATTAACCAGGCTCTTCATGCCTCCCTCTCCCTGTACACACACCCATCCTCTCCAGCACCTGTTGTTTCCTGACTTTTTTATGATCGCCATTCTAACTGGTGTGACATGGTCTCTCATTGTGGTTTTGATTTGCATTTCTCTGATGGCCAGTGATGATGAGCGTTTTTTCATGTGTCTGTTGGCTGCATAAATGTCATCTTTTGAGAAGTGTCTGTTCATATCCTTTGACCACTTTTTGATGGGGTGGTTTGATTATTTTAAAAAGGCAAAAAATAACAGATGCTGGTGAGAATGCGGAGCAAAGAGAACTTTTATATACTGTTAGTAGAAATGTAAACTAATACAGTTACTATGGAAAACAGTATGGAGATTTCTCAAAAAAAAAAAAAAGCTAAAAACAGAACAACCATATGATCCAGCAATCCCACTACTGGGTATTTACCTATAGAAAAAAACATCAGTATATCAAAGGGCTACCTGCTCCTTCATGTTTATTACTTATTCACAATAACAAAGATATGTTTTTACTGTTGAAATGATTTAGTTCCTTGTCTATTCTGGATATTAGTCCTTTGATAGATAAATAGCTTGCAAATATTTTCTGCCATTCAACAGGTTGTCTCTTCACTGTGTTAATGGTTCCCTTTGTTGTGCAGAGCTTTTTCGTTTAATATAGTCCAATTTGGTTCTGTTGCCCGTGCTTTCGAGGTCTTAGCCATAAAATCTTAGCCTAAACCAAAGTCCTGAAGTGCTTCCCTAGTGTTTTCTTCTAGTTGTTTTATAATTTCAGGTCTTATGTTCAACTCCATCTTGAGTTAATTTTTCTGTATGTTGAGAGATAGGTGTCTAGTTTCATTTTTCTGCATATGGATATCTTACTTTCCCAGCACCATTTATAGAAAACTGTTCCTTTCCAAAATGTATATTCTTGGCACCTTAGTAAAAAATCAGTGGGCTATAAGGATGTGGATTTATTTCTGGGTTCTTTTTTCTATTCTATTGGTCTCATGTGTCTGTTTTTATACCAATGCCATACTGATCTGGTTACTATATTCTTGTAATATATTTTGAAGTCAGGTAGTGTGATGCCTCCAGCTTTATTCTTTTTGCTCAGGATTATTTGGGCTATTTGGGTTCTATTTTGATTATATATAAACTTTAGGATATTTTTTCTATTTTTGCAGAAAATGCCATTAGTATTTTGATAGGAATTGCATTGAATATATAAACTGCTTTGAGTAGTATAGTCATTTTAACAATATTAATTATTCCAATCCATGAGCATGAGATGTCTTTCCATTTGTATGTGTGCTCTTCAATTTATTTCTTCAGTGTTTTTAGTTTTCCCTGTGGAGCTCTTTAACCTGTTTGGTTAAATTTATTTCTCTTTTTTTGTTTTTGTTTGTGTAGCTACTGCAAATGAGATTGCCTTCCTGATTTCTTTTTCAGCTATTTCATTATTAGTCTATAGAAACATTACTGATTTTTTAATGTTGATTGTTGAATTTGTATCTTACAACTTTACTGAATTTATTCATCCAAACTATGGGGTTTGGGGAGGAGTCTTTATGTTGTTCTAGGTGTAAGATCATTTTTTTCAGTAAAAAGTGACAATGTGACTCCCTCTTTTCCAATCTGGATGACTTTTATTTCTTTCTCTTGCCTGATTTCTCTGGTTAGAACTTCTAGTACTGTGCTGAATAGGATTGGTGAGCATGAGCATCTTCATCTTGTTCCAGTTCCTAGAAAAAAAGGCTTTCAGCTTTTCCTCATTAACTATGATGCTAGCTGTGGGTTTGTCATATATGGCCTTTATTATGTTAAATGTCTCTCTTCTATGCCTAGTTTATAGAAAGTTTTTCTCCTGAAGGGAAGTCGAATTTTATCAAATGCCTTTTCTGCATCTTTTAACACTGTAGTGGATTTTTATCTTTTATTCTCTTGATGTGATCTATCATGTTTATTGATTTGTTTATGTTGAATTATCCTTTTATCCCTGGGATAAATCTCACTTGTCTATAATGTATTATCTTTTTAATGTGCTCTTAGATTCAGTTTGCTAGTATTTTGATGAGGATATTTATGTCTATGTTCATCAAAAATATTGGTCTGTAGTTTTCTTTTTTGTTGCATCCTTGTCTGGTTGTGGTATTAGGGTAATTCTGAGCTTGTAGAATGAGTTAGTTCTTCATCATCCTGAACATTTTTTTGTTGGGAGACTTTTCAGCACTGATTCAATCTCACTACTCATTATTGGTCTGTTCAGGTTTTCAATATATTTCTGATTCAATCTTTGTAGTTTGTATTTATGCAGGAACTTACCCACTTCCTCTAGATTTTCTAGTTAGTTGGCATGTAATTGCTCATAATAGTCTGTGATGATCTTTTCCATTTCTGTAGTATCAGTCATATTGTTTGCTTTTTTATTTCTGATTTTGTTTATCTGGGTCCTCTTTCTTTTTTTTCTTGGTTAGTTAGTGGTTTATCATTTTGGTTTATCTTTTCAAATAACCATTTTTTATTTCATTGATCCTTTTTTAGTCTCATTTTGTTTAATTCTCCTCTAATCTTTATTGTTTGTTTGTTTGTTTGTTTGTTTCTAATTTGGGGCTTGGTTTGTTGTTTCTTTTCTAGATTCTTGAGATCCATCATTAGATTGTTCATGTGAAATCTTTGTTTTGTTGATATATGCACTTATTGCTATGAAATTCTCTCTTAGCACTGCTTTTGCTGTATCCCACAGGTTTTGGTATGTTGTGTTTCCATTACATTTGTTTTAAAGTATTTTTGATTTCCATCTTAATTTCTTCAATAACTTAATTCAGAAGCATGTTATTTAATTTCATGTATTTGTACAGTTCCTAAAGCTCCTTTGGTATTGGTTTCTAGTTTTATTCCTTTGTGGTCTGAGAAGATAACTTGAAATGATTTTGGTTTTTTTTTTTACTTTTTGAGAGTTGTTTTGTGTTAAACATATGGTCAATCCTGGAGAATGTTTTATGTGCTGATTAGAAGAATGTGTATTCTGTACCTGTTGGATGAAATGTTCTGTAAAAGTCTTTTAGGTCCATTTGATCTAATGTGCAGTTTAAATCCTATGTTTCCTTATTAATTTTCTGACTTGATGATCTGTCTAATGCTGAGAGGGGAGTGTTGAAGTTTCCAATTATTATTGTTTTGGAGTCTGTGAAGTCCTTTAGATCTAATAATATTTGTTTTATTCATTTGGGTGCTCCAGTATTGGGAGCATATATGTTTAGAATTGTTATATCCTCTTGCTGAATTGATCCTTTTATCATTATATAGCCACTTTCTTTCTTTCTTTTTTTTTTTTTTTTTTTGCTGTTTGTTACTTTAAGAGTCTGTTTTATTTGATCTAAGTATAGCTATTCTGTTTACATGGAATATATTTTTCCATCCCTTTATGTTCAGTCTATATGTGTCACCACATGTAAGATAAGTTTCTTATAAGCAGGATGTAGTTGGATCATGTTTTTTTAATCCAATCAGCCAGTCTATATATCTTAGGTGGACAGTTTAATCCATTTGCTTTCAAGCTTATTAGTGATATGTGAGAGCTTATTCCCATCATTTTATTTATTGATTTCTAGTTGTTTTTTATATGCTTTGTTTTTTTCTTTCTCTGTCATTATCATTGTGGTTTAGT
Source organism: Homo sapiens (assembly GCF_000001405.40). Taxonomy (NCBI): domain Eukaryota; kingdom Metazoa; phylum Chordata; class Mammalia; order Primates; family Hominidae; genus Homo; species Homo sapiens. Next base: position 8,061,709 of record NC_000009.12, read on the forward strand.
GGTATTCTACAGTGGTAATATTTGAAGCTTTCTTTTTCTTCTTCGTATGTTTATTCTACCACTGGTTTCTATATTTCCATGTGTTTTCATGATGATAGTTATTGTTCTTTTGCCTCCAGGTGTGGGACTTCCTTAAGCATTTCTTGTAGGGCTAGTCCCCAACTTTTCCTTTTCTGGAAAGATTTTATTTCTTCTTCATTTATGGAGAATAATTTTGCTGGATATTGCATTCTTGGGTGGTAGTTTTTTTTTCAGTATTTTGAATATGTCATCTCATTCTCTCCTGGCCTATAAAGTTTCTGCTGAGAAATCACTGTTAGTCTGATGGAGTTTCCTTTATAGCTGACTTGATACTTTTGTCTTGCTGTTTTTAGAATTTTCTTGTTTTCTTTTACTTTTGATAGTTTAACTATAATGTGCCATGAAGAAAATCTTTTTGAGTTGTATTTGTTGATCTTTGAGCCTCCTATATCTGGATGTCTAAATCTCTTGCTAGACTTGGAAAATTTTCATCTATTATTGTGTTAAATAGATTTTCTAAGACTTTCACTTTTCCTTCACCTTTTGGGACACCAAAATTTTGAGTATTTGGTCACTTTATAGTGTCCCATATGTCATTAAGGCTTTGCTCATTCTTTTTTTATTTTTATTTTTTATTTTTTTTGTCTGGGCTATTTCAAAAGATCCGTCTGCAAGTTCTGATTCTTTTTTCTTCTTGAGCTAGTCTGTTATTGAAGCTCTCAAGCATATATTTTATTTTATTTTGTGAATTCTTCACTGCCAAGATTTCTGTTTAGTTCTTTTCTTATAATATCGCTTTGGTTTAGGGCACTCATAAATTTGTGGTGGCCCCAATGCTGGGGGCAGCAGGGTTGCTACCAGTGGTTGGCACATCAGCCCTGGTGCTGGCAGCCAGCAGTGGCAAAGGCTGTAAGTGGGCGAGCTTGTCCTCGGGGTGCTTGTGAATGTGTGGTGGCCTCACCGCTGAGGTGGCAGGTTTGCTGCCAGTGACTCATGCTTCAGCCTTAGCAGCATAGCCAGCAGCAGCAGTGGCTGTGGATGGAGGATGTAAACTGAGTTCTACGGATGTGGAATTGCAGGGACTGTTGGCTGCCAGGGCAAGATGTAGTCTGGTGGGTGCTGGACTCTCAAAATGGTGTTGTGCTGTAGCTGCTTAAGACTCACAGGGGTAGTGGTGTATGAGACCCAGCATGAGCTTCCTCTCAGGAGCAATGTCATTGCCCAGGCAGCTCCCTGTGTTAGTCTCAGGGCCTGTGAAGGTGGAGGGGTTTTCTTGTAGTTAGGATTGCAGGAGTTTTTGTTGGAAATGTGGACCACTAGAGGTCTTTCACTTGCCCTTTCCCCACATTAGAGAGCCTGCCAGGCTCCGAGGAAATCCTGACCAACAGGCTGCCTTGCTCCCACCTCCTTACTTGCCTTAGGTGTTTCTTGTCACTTCTCTGTTGAATTCTAGTGCTCTCTTTTAGATGATCTGTTCAATGTTTGATTATCTACTCACCATTTTGGTTCTTCTCTGTGGAAGACACCAGTACCTGAAGCCTCCAGTCTGCCATTTGGAAGTTCCTCCCTCCCATTCCTTTTCAGAGGCTCTTTGTCTCTGACCCACATGTTCACTCTTGCTCTCCTATCTTATCTTTTTCCTAACCCTCCACTCCACCACCAGAATCTTTCATGGTAAATATATCTTCCATATCCTCAGGCTTCTTTCTTAGTATTTCCTTGCCTTCATTCTCCCCTGAGTTTACAACTGCTCCTTGCAGCTTTCTCCCTATCAAAAAGAAGAAACTCCAATTTTCAGCAAATATATTCATGTGGACTGGTATCTTGTAGTAATTGTTAATCACAACAGGAGGTGTTATATCATGCTCAGAGTGACCAAGGCAAGAGACTTAGAAAGAGTCTAGTATTTGTAATTCTAGCTTTGTATCCAAGAGAGTGCCCAGCTGTGGATAAGGTATGTATCAAAATTGCAAGGGCAAGGGATCCATTCTGATAAATCAATGATGATTCCAACAGTGATATTATGTCAGGGGAGTTTGGTAAGGAAAATAGAAGCAACTCTACATATTCCAAGTTTGAATGGTTTTGACTAAGGAAATTAAGCTTATCAATCATTGGAAAGCACAAAGGAATTAAGGTCAAGGAGTACCAAAGTACACTCTGGTACTTAACCTTGAAGCAAAAGATTCTCAATAGCTCACCTAGAAGCCATTGCAAACCTTAGGAATCTCTAGGAAATTTGCACCAGCTAACCAGCTCGTCTACATGAGTAAAATGGGTGGCTTTAAAGGATTTGTTAGATATCTGCTGTGTTCCCACACACTTGCATGTAGAATATTTGACCTCCTTTTCTAATGTCTTCCAACTCTTGTTTAAGTGCCTCCTATTGGCCAACTCTAACCTGGAACAATAAAGGGAAGGAAGAAAATTCTGGGAAATGTTGCTTCCATGCAGTGATGAATTAGAAGGAGCTGGTGGTGATACAAAATTGACAAGGGACTAGTCAGACCTTTCCCACTGGGCTTCAGGAAAACTGAACATATTCATAAACCAAAGGAGGCATCAACTAGATCCAGGCCAAAATATTAATTTCTTCCTTCAGCCAGGTTATATAGCAGAAATAGATTTGGGGCCCCAGAGGAAAGAAATCCAGTTAAATTTCACATTGCCAGAATTAAGCAATTAATGTATGCAATGTGAGGCTTGGCAAATAAGCATTTTTTTTAAATTTTAAAATATTCCCATTCCTTTTTTGGAAATTTATATAGTATGTGCCACTCCTCAATCTTTCTGCTATTTCTGAATTGCATTAAAACATTAATTAAATGAATTCAGCAATCAATCCTAACAGGCTTTCCCCTTGGAATAAAGTAAAAGTTAATTTATTTCTACTTAATTACCTCATTTCAGCCTTGCCATGTTTATTAATAATGAATATCTGTTCCTTTTTAAATGGCATTGATCACTAATTTTCACTGACGCTGAGGAGATTTGACATGACAAATGTCCAGAACTAGAAGTTCAGAGTTATTGTTCAACTGGATATACTTACAGCATAATCAATTTGTAAGCAATCTATACTTACTCCATATGTACCAAACACAGCAATACAGTAGAAAAGCACAATATATTTTTTTTTCAGTATGTTTTTTGCTAAACCCTGAACTCCAAGTTAACTCTCGTGAACTTGGGAAACTAACACATTTACACTCACTGTATGGGGTTTCTCTCCCCCTTTCCCTCTCTTGGTCCTGCTTTCACACAGTGAATGTCACCAAGACTAATTGATTCATTTTTAGTTTAGGAGAAATCATTCCAATTGATGTTTTTAGCCATCTCTTTAATAATGTCAAATGATTAGAAACAGGTGAGGTGAGAGACACTTACTACTTGCAGAGAGGAGTGGTGTAAATGGTATCGATCTGCAATTAAGGGTTTACAGTAGAGAAACATTCACCACATTACTTAAAGTGTAAATACCTATCATCTGATTTATTTTTGTCCTATATCCAAACATGTGTAACACAGTTTTGCTCTTTCGTTTGGCTTCCTCCACCTCCTTTTTTTTTTTTTAATGTTTTGACACAAGCCCAATCTGTTCTATAAAGTTGTTTAGGTTTCACTTCTAAAGACTAAGGTGATAAGAAGAAAAAAGGAATTAAAAAAAAAAAGGAGAAAAAGGCAAGGGAAAGGCAAGGCTTATAGACTTAGAACCTAAATATATCAGTCAGTCATAAGGAATAAAAAAGACTCAGCCCTTCAAAGTTGATGCCCAGAAGCAAAACCAAGGAAGACGTCCCGCTCGGGCTTCCACCACCTCCACCCCATTATAAAGTGAAAGTGTCCTCTCTAATATGGCTTGTCTGGAAATCCTCAGAGAAACAGCAGACAGGTCACACAAATATAGAAGTTAATTCTCTCTGCTTGATAAAAACTTTCTCTGGTCAAGAGAAAAAATATGGGGTAGGGATCTCTCAGGATATGAGAATATGAATAAGGACTGACTAGACGGAAAAGAGGGTCAAGTTGGTAAACCCGGGAAGGCATGAAGTGGAAGAAGCATATTTTCCTTTTATTCTGTCAAATCAGTAAAAGTAAGGTAGAATCCAGTTGCTACGTTCCTATTTAGATAAACACTATAAGCACTAATATTTTTAAGAGAAAACTCTTATAACAGCATCTAATGAATTTATGAAATTAGCACCACTTTTCTAATTAAACAATTCCTCAAGTAATACAAAGGATAATTTATCTTGTTATATAAATCATAAAGAATACAGAGTGAGTATCTCCTTCCAACATCCCTTATTAGAGGTGACCCCTGTTAAACATTTCATAAGGAACCTTTTAGTTCTGTTTTAAATTTAACAAAAATTATAACATTTTACATTTCCTTGTGATTTTCTTTTTAAAAAAACTTAGGATGTCTAGGAGATGTTTTCTATAATAGTACATATATCATTCTTCTAAGGGACTGCATAATATTTATAGCATGTGTGTAAAAATTAATTTCAAGTTTCCTTTTTGATTCATATCTTTGGCTATTTTCAAGGTATTTTTACCATTAAAAATAATTATTCAATTAACATTTTGGAACAAAGATTATCACGCTATATAAGAGTATTTTTATATGAGAGATTATCAGAAGTGGAACACCTGGGCAAATGTTTCATGTATTTTAATTTTTGGTCAATGGGGCTAAATTCCTCTAAATAGACTTTAAAACTCTGTACTACCATGAAAATATATCAGAGTATTCTTCCCATGATTCTCACCAAAACAGAGTAGCATTAATTACTAAAATGTTTGCTTATCTGATGGACAAATATCTGATTGTTATTTTAATGTGCATTTTCCTCATTAATAATGAGATTTGATTTTAAAATATACTTATTAGCCAGTTATATATCTTTTACCAAGGATTTTCTGGTCATACACTTAGCACATTTTCTATTTTGTTGGATGAATTTTTTTCTCAATTAAAAAGCTATATTCTCCAAATAATTTAATAAATACTCCATCATTTCTCTACTGATTTGAAATGTTACTTTTACATTTACTACTTCTGAATTCTCATTTTTTTCTATGTATTTACTGTAAGTATTTAAAGATTCTATTGTATTTTTATGTTAACTTTGTATCCAGACACTTAAATGAATTCTCATTTTTCAATGGATTCTCTTGGATTTTCTAAAAAGAAAATCACAAACTGTTTTATTTGCAATACTTATACTTCTATTGTTTTATTCTTATCTTATTGCATAGATGAACATTTCCAGGAAAATATTCGATAATAGAAATAATAGTAACATCTGTGTCTTTTTCCTGCCTCCTGTAGACATGGTTTCTATATATGGTTATTGATAGGTAGTTTGCTGGTTTGTTTTTCTTTTCTTTTCTTTTTTTTTCTTTTTTTTTTTTTTTGAGACAGAGTCTCCCTCTGTCGCCTAGGCTGGAGGGCAGTGGCACATCTCGGCTCACTGCAAGCTCTGCCTCCTGGGTTCACAGCATTCTCCTGCCTCAGCCTCCCGAGTAGCTGGGACTACAGGCACCTGCCACCAAGCCCAGCTAATTTTTTATATTTTTTAGTAGAGATGGGGTTTCACCGTGTTAGCAAGGATGGTCTCGATCTCCTGACCTCGCGATCCGCCTGCCTCGGACTCCCAAAATGCTGGGATTACAAGCATGAGCCACCGCGCCCGGCCGGTAGTTTGCTGGTTTCTGATAGATAACACTTACTTAGGTGAAGGACCTTTCTTTCTATTCCTAGAAAAATGTTTATTTGCTTACTATCTGAAATATATATTGATTATTATTTGATGATTTTCAGCCTTTGTTGAAATAACTGCATAGATTTTCTTCTTTAAAAGATTAATGTTGTGATTTATATGGAAAAAGAAAACTTTTGTATAATGATCTATCCCTGCAATATTTCCCTTTTTTAGTTTCAGATTTTTTAATTGACAAATAATCATACGTATTCAATGGGGTATATATTGATGTTTTGATATATACAATGTATAGTGATCACATTGGGTTAATTAGCATACATATCATCTCAAACATTTATCAATTCTTCAAAGAAAAATTTTTCTTTACAAAAACAATTTCAACTTTTATTTTCGATTCAGGGGATAAAAGTTCTGGTGTGTTCCATGGGTATATTGTGTGACGCTGAGGTTTGGGGTACAGGTGATCCCGTCACCCAGGTAGTGAGCATGATACCCGATAGATAGTTTTTCAGCCCATACTTCCTTCCCTCCCTCCCCCTAGTAGTTCCCAGTGTCTATTGTTCCCATCTTTATGTCCATGTGTACGAATGTTTAGCTCCCTCTTATAAGTGAGAACATGCGGTGTTCGGTTTTATGTTTCTGCATTAATTTGCCTTGGATAATGGCCTCCAGCTGCATCCATGTTGCAGCAAAGGACATGATTTCATTCTTTTTTGTGGCTGCATATTATTCTCATGGTGTATATGTATCACACTTTTAAATCAAATTCATCATTGATGGGTACCAAGGTTGTGATTTGCATTTCTCTGATGATTAGTGATGATGAGCATTCTTTCATCTGTCTGTTGGCTGCTTGTATGTCTTCTTTTGAGAAGTGTCCAGGTCATTAGCCAAATTTTTAATGGGGTTATATGATATTTGCTTGCTGATTTGTTAAAGTTCCTTATAGATGCTAGACATTAGACCTTTGTCAGATGCATAGTTTGCAAATATTTTCTCCCGTTTTTTAGGTTGTCTGTTTCCTCTGTCGATAGTTTCTTTTGCTGTGCAGAAGCTCCTTCGTTTAATTAGGTCCCACTGGTTGATTTTTTATTTTGTTGCAATTGTTTTTGGGGACTTAGCCATAAAGCCTTTCCCAAGGCCAGTGTCCAAAATGGTGTTTCCTACATTTGCTTCCAGGATTCCTATAGTTTGAGGTCTTACATTTAAATCTTTAATCTGTCTTGAGTTAATTTTTGTATATGGTAAAAGTCAAAGTCCAATTTCATTCTTCTGCATATAGCTAGCCAGCTATCCAAGCATCATTTACTGAATAGGAGTCTCTTTCTCCATTGTTTGTTATCGTCGACTTTGTTGAAGATCATTTCTGGATTCTCTAATCTGTTCCATTGGTCTGTGTGTTTGTTTTTGTACCAATACCATGCTGTTTTGGCTACTGTAGCCTTACAGTATAGTTTGAAGTCAGGTAATGTGATGGCTCCAGCTTTGTTCTGTTTGCTTAGGATTGCTTTGACTATGTGGCCTTTTTTTTCATTCCATATAAATCTTAGAATATATTTTTTTCTAAATCTGTGAAAAATGAGATTTGTTTTGCGGGTTTTTTTGTTTTTTTGTTGTTGTGTGTTTGTTCGTTTGAGACAGGGTCTCACTCTGTTGCCCAGGTTGGAGTGCAGTGGCTTGGTAATAACTCTTTGCAGCCTCATCCTTCTGGATTGAAGCAACCCTCCCGCCTCAGCCTCCTAAGTAGCGAGAATTACAAGCATGTGCTACCATGCCCAGCTAGTTTTTGTATTTTTTGTAGGGACAGGGCCTCCCTATGTTGCTTGAGCTGGTCTCAAACTCCTGGGCTCAAGCGGCCCTCCTGCCTCAGCCTCTCAAAATGTTGGGATTACAGGTGTGAGCTTCCGTGTCCTGGGTTTTCTAAGTATAGGATCATATCATCAGTGAAGAGAGATAGCTTGACTTCTTCTTTTCCTGCATGCATATCTTCTATTTAGTTCTCTTGCCTTATTGCTCTGGGTGAATTCTAGTACTATGTTGAATAGGAGTGGTGAGAGTGGATATCCTTGTCTTTTTACAGTTCTCAAGGGCAGGATATCCTTGTCTTTTTACAGTTCTCAAGGGCAGTGTTTCCAGTTTTGGCCCATTCAGTATGATGTTGACTGTGGGTTTGTCATAAATGGCTTATTACCTTGAGGTATGCTCCTTTGATGCCTAGTCTGTTGATGGTTTTTATTATGAAGTGATGCTGGATGTTATCAAGGCTTTTTCTTCATCTATTAAGATGTTCATATGGTTTTCATTTTTAATTGTTTGTAAGGTGAATCACATTTATTGATTTGCATATGTTGAACCAAACTTGCATCCCAGGAATAAAACTTACTTGATTGTGGTGGATTATCTTTCTGATGTGCTGCTCAATTTGGTTTGCTAGTATTTTGTTTAGGATTTTACATCTATGTTCATCAGGGATATTGGCCTGAAGTTTTCATTTTTAATTGTGTCTTTGCCAGGTTTGGGTACCAGGGTGCTGCTGATTTAATAGAATGAGTGAGACAGGAGCCTGTCCTTCTCAATTTTTTGGAATAGTTTCAGTAGGGTCAGTAATATCTCATTTTTGTATGTCTGATAGAATTCAGCTGTGAATCCATTTTGTTCAGGGCATTTTTTTTTGGTTGGTAAGTTTTTTATTATATTAAATTTTGAAACTTTGTATTGGTCAGTTCAGGCTTTCATTTTCTTCCTAGTTCAATCTTAGGAGGTTGTGTGTTTCCAGGAATTTATCCATTTCCTCTAGATACTCTAATTTGTATGCACAAAGGTGTCCATAATAGTCTCTGAAGATCTTTTGTGTTTCTGTGGAATTGGTTGTAGTTTCATTTTTGTCATTTCTGATTGTGCTTATTTGGTTCTTCTCTTTTTTTCCTTTGTTAATCTAGCTTATGGTCTATCAATCTTGTTTATTCTTTTGAAGACTCATATCTGGGGTTCATTGATCTTTTGTATGGATATTTGCATCTCAGTTTTGTTCAGTTCTTCTCTGGTTTTAATTATTTCTTTTCTTTTGCTAGCTCTGGGATTGGTTTATTCTTTATGTTCTAATTCCCCCAGGTAGAATATTACATTCTTAATTTGATATCTTTTTAACTTTTTGAGGTGGGCATTTAGCACTATAAACTTCCCTCTTAGCATTCCTTTAGCTATATCCCAAAGATGGTGGTAAGTTGTTCCTCTATAGTCACTAATTTCAAAGAATTTTTAAATTTCAACCTTAATTTTATTGTTCACCAGAGAGTTATTCAGGAGCAAGTTGTTTAATTTCCACACATTTGAATAATTTTGAGATATCTTGTTGGTATCGATCTCTATTTTTATTGTACTGTAGTCCAAGAGTGTGCTTGGTATGATTTTGATTTTTTACTCCCTCAGCAGGTCCACTCTTGGGCCTTGAGGGAGCCCCCTCCTATCACTGGCACTGTGCCAGCATTTCCTTTGTTAGCTGTTCCAGATCTTGGGGCTCCTTTGGACAGACACTGCAGCTGGCAGACAGGCCACTCTCAGACTGGCCCTGCAGAAGGAGGCATGCCCGGCTACAGCATCTGTCCATGAGCCTGTGATCTCATTCCTCTGTTTTCTGAGAGTGGGGGTTCCTCCCCAACTAGAGCACTGGCTACCTCTGCTTGACACTCTGGTGCTGCACACTTTAGCCCTGGGACATTGGGACTGGACTGCAACTCCATCCTCCAGCCCCTGGGCTTTGGCACTGGCTGCTCTGGGGGATCTAAAGTGCTCCCAGACCACCAGCAAAGCACTCGCCCTGGGCAGCAGAGGCTGCGCTATGCACAGGCTCCTGCAGGAGGATCCAAAAGGGGACTTGGGAGGGGCTGTCAGGCAGGAGGGCCTGTAGAACAGACAGGGCCTATTCCCTTGGGAAAGTCGGCCCTGCTGTCTCTTGGCCCTGCAGTCAGCTGAAGTTAGAGCAACTCAGAGCAACATAGGGAGCCTTGGGGACTGAACCCCTTTTGCTGCATCCTACTGTATCTGCCCTGTGCACAAAACCCCCTGGTTTCCGCACAGCCCTGGGTTCTGTCTCCTCCTACTCTCTGGGCATATCCTCCTGTCAGTTCACACGTTTGGGGGCTGGGGGGAGGGGCTGTAATCTCTTGTGGGCAGGATCCCAGAGGTCCTTGGTAAATGTGGGCTGCCCCACTGTCCCTTCACTCACCTCCTAGGAGCCATTCGGTGTGGGCACTAGCCCTTGTATCTGGCAACACTGCACAGGGTTCCCAGCTTCCTGTCTCTTCAGCCTCAGTGTCCGCATTGCCTCTCTATTGACTCTCAGTATTTACTCTCCAAAGATCTGTTCAAAATCTATTGGTTCACTTGGTATTTTTATCTCTCTTGGTGGGAGCAGCCTTTCTCCTGGCTGCATCTCGTCTGCTATCTTGTTTCCCTGTACTGCGATTTTTTGAAGACTTCTGACTTGATCATGATTTATTATTCTTTTATTATAATGTTACATTTAATTTGCTAATATTTAAAGTTTTTGAATCTGTTTCTAATTAAGAGTTACCTATAGCTTGTTTGTGTGTGTGTGAGTGTGTGCAAATATCTTTTTATTTTTGGTATCAGGGCAGTGCTAACATCATACATGTATTTGTGAAAATGTTCATCTTGTCACATGCCTCTAATTGGTGTTTCACAAACTGGCTGATTATAACCATACTTTTTGCACTTTTTAACAATATAAATTCCCTGTCATTCTCTTGAATATTCCAATTCAGTGAATCCAAGGTAATACCCGGGAATGTGCATTTCAACAGATCTCTAAAGATTCTTATCAGTTGGCAAATTTGGAAAACATGATTTTGGAAATCTTTAAACAACTTGCATTTATATATCTTGAATTTGGGGCAGTTTATATCTGTAATTTGGCTGGAATTTATATTAAACATTGTGGATTAAAATTGATATTTAGATCTACTCTCTTCTCAAACTCTAGTAATATAACTATACTGAAAAAGGTTTAGGGTAGCAACCCATAGGACAAGGAGAAAGGAAAAGAAGACATGTTAACACAGTTTCATAGCTATAAAGCAGGATAATGTGTGAGTGATAACGGACTTATCCGTTTTAGGAAAACTAAATCCTAAAGCACCAGCAGGGAAGGCAGAGAAGCTATTGTATCACAGAAATTTCCAAAGGCTAAGAAATAAGCAACAAATTGGCTGTGAAAACAGGAGACAGATATGGCGTCAACAAAAAAGACTGATTAAAAGTCTGTTTAAGAAGTAATTATTCCTCGGGCCTCTTCCCCAGTTTTGAGCAATCAGGCAACTTCCTTCCCATCCACACAGAAGATGGAAATTTTATTCCCTGGAATAGTGAAACAAAGGTCTTTGGACAAGAAGAATCAGCAAAGTTGATGATGAGAGTGCCATACTAAAACCAGGAAGATTACATAGACTTTGCATAACAAATGTTAAGAAATATATTAAAATATGAAGCCATTTTGCATACTTGGTTCCCAGTGACTCTCCAGGATATATATTGGAAGTATCAGTTAGAGAGATCTGACTGGCCTAAATAAAATACCTAGATTATAAACTTCAGAAGTTCTCTTCCTACAAAATAGCACAGCGAGATCATCATGTGGTGAAGACCACAGTCAGTGAAACTTTTACATGCAGAAATCTTTTTAATGCGCTACTTTTAAATATGAGTCGACAGCCAACAATTACCACACAATGTTAGGAAAACTTCTTTTTTTTAAATTTTATTTTATTTTATTATTATTATACTTTAAGTTTTAGGGTACATGTGCACAACGTGCAGGTTTGTTACATATGTATATATGTGCCATGTTGGTGTGCTGCACCCATTAACTCGTCATTTAGCATTAGGTATATCTCCTAATGCTATCCCTCCCCACTCCCCCCACCCCACAACAGTCCCCGGTGTGTGATGTTCCCCTTCCTGTGTCCATGTGTTCTCATTGTTCAATTCCCACCTATGAGTGAGAACATGTGGTGTTTGGTTTTTTGTCTTTGTGATAGTTTGCTGAGAATGATGGTTTCCAGCTTCATCCATGTCCCTACAAAGGACATGAACTCATCATTTTTTGTGGCTGCATAGTATTCCATGGTGTATATGCACCACATTTTCTTAATCCAGTCTATCATTGTTGGACATTTGGGTTGACCCAGCCATCCCATTACTGGGTATATACCCAAAGGAAAACTTCTAATGTAAACAGAACAAGCCAAACAAACAAAGAGAAAAAAAATGAAAACGGAGACTATGCAGGGAGAAAAAAAATGTAGAAAAGACACAAAACAAATGAATCAATTACTAATAATCTTAAAAAGAGAAAATAATACCAACATCTGAAAAAGAATAAGTTGCAATAAAAATACCACACCCAAAAATATGAAAAGAAGTTCTTGGAAATTAAAAATACAATACATAAATGAAAATTAAAATAGAAAAGTTAGAAGTTAAAATAAGAAAATTCTCCCAGAAACTAAATTTTAACTAGAATTAAAAGACAAGAGATGGACAATTGGAAAAACTCTAGATCAAACTTCTGTATTAAGAAATTACAGGAAGAAAGAACAGAAAAGAAGAAGGGTAATAAATAAAATAAATAATTTAAGAAAATTTAATTTAAAAAAGGAATAATTTTCCATATTGGCAATTAAGGATCCATGACATAGAATAAACATATATTCATATCAAACCACAACAATATAAACTTTGACAACAATGAAGATGAAGAAAGTATCTTACAAGTTGAGAGAAAGAAGAATTAATTATTTTTTGTTTGTTTCCCCCACCAGACTATAAACTCCACATGGTCAGGGATTTTCTCTGCCTTATTTATTTCTGTATCTTCAGAAATGATGTTGTGCTAAACTGCAATAAGGGTTCAATAAATATTTGATAAGTAGATGAATGCATTAATGAATAGAGAAATTAGGCTTACAATGAGCATTTTTCTCATCTTATTATGAAGTTGAACAAAGTTTAAAGTATTTTAAAAAGGAAAATGAAGTATAAGTGGATGCTGGTTTTACCTACCCTTAAAACCTGGTTCCAGAATTTTACTGTAGAATGGCTCTATTCTTAGGCTGAGAGAACACAGATGCAGAAAATCTCTAATTGAAAGCATCACAGATCTTCTTTAGTTCAACCTCACTCCCACGGATAAAGCCCTTCTATAATGTTATTGACAAATAATCACTTGGGCCAGGTGTAACTGCTTCCAGTGACAGGAACCTCACTACTAGCTGGTTTTGCTAGAGAAGCTGTGCTCATTTCTATACCTCTCTAAAGGACCAGAGCTGTGTGTGACTCCAGTGTAAACTGACAATAAAAGAGACAAATTAGCATAACTGACTGTTTCGGTTATGAAGATTAAATAGCCTTTTATTGCGGATGTTTGCCAAGGAAAATGCTCCCCAGTGGAGGACTCTAAGCAGTTAAGATAGATTTGATGAGGGTCTTAATTGCTGTTATGCAACTGGTAATGGAAAGTTTTTATTAAATGTCATGCAAGAGTCAATCGATAGTTTAGAAGAGAAAAGCTTCTCTCTGATATAGACCTCAGGCTTTTCCAACAGTATTTTATCAGCAGGGGCAATTTCATCAGCAACCACAAATATTTATCACGTAACCAGTATGCATGTGGCGATATCATAAATGTGTCAAGGACTGATGGGAATTAGAAAAAAAAAGCCGATGCTGCAGAGGATCTATGATTTTTTTTTTTTTTTGAGGTGATGTCTCCCTTTTGTCACCCAGGCTGGAGTGCAGTGGCACCATCTCGGCTCACTACAACCTCTGCCTCCCAGGTTCAAACAATTCTCCTGTCTCAGCCTCCCGAGTAACTGGGACTACAGGCACCCGCCATCACACCTGGCTAATTTTTGTACTTTTAGTAGAGATGGGGTTTCACCATATTGGTCAGACTGGTCTCGAATTCCTGACCTCAGGTAATCCACCCACCTCAGCCTCCCAAAATACTGGTATTACAGGGGATCTGTGATTTTTAAGCGAGCAAATAACTACTGTAGAAACTAAAATAAAAATAGATGCTTACACTTATATACACATATGTGTGCATTCTACTTAAAATTCAATAGAAAACATCGAGAAGCAGAAAAAGAGATGTATTAAAATTGAACAGGTACAAAAATACCATTTTTTTCAAAATTATTTATCAAAAGGATTTTTATCTATTTACGTGTTCTTGATTTTTTGTTTGCTTTTGTTTTTAGTAGTACAATGGAAAAATATTTGGCTAGAATGCAGAATACAGGGTTCTAGTCTGCCACTTACTACGTGTACCTGGGGTACTTTCTTAATTTTCTGGGTCTCAATGTTCATCTATAAAATGGGGCTTTGGATAAAATTCTGAAGACATTTGCTAGCTTCAAGATTCATTGATTTTTATTAAGGAGTAAGCAACCACAGAGTATGCATACAATAATTCATCCTTTTTTTGTTTGTTTGTTTGAGATGGAGTTTCGATATTTTTGCCCAGGCTGGAGTGCAATGGCACGATCTCAGCTCACTGCAATTCCACCTCCCAGGTTCAAGCGATTCTCCTGCCTCAGCCTCCGCAGTAGGTGGGATTACAGGCACCTGCCACCACACCCACCCAGCTAATTTTTTCTATTTTTAGTAGAGACGAGGTTTCACCGTGTTGGCCAGGATGGTCTCGATTCTTGACCTCGTGATCCACCTGCATCGGCCTCCCAAAGTGCTGGGATTATAGGCGTGAGCCACCATGCCTGACCCAATAATTCATCTTATAAAATTATTTCATACAACTTTTAAAACTTCATTCATTGCACAAAGTACATGCATACTAATATAAGAATCAAATGTCCCATAAAATGTATGTATTTTAAAACTAGAGTAGAAACTTGCTCAGCCAATCGTATTTGGTATTCCCCAGATCCCCAAACTTGCAAAATTATCTAGAACAATTTTTGTCAAATTTAGCATACTGTCAGCTTGTCTCTCCCTATTGGTGTCACACTCCCCTAGCTGCTCCATGAGCCTATGCTAATAAGTGAAAAGCGTGTTGCTTTATAAAAACAACTGATCCCTCCTGAAATGGGTGTTTCAGGAAGAATCATTCTGTAGTTTTGTGATCTATCAAGACTGAATCAGCAACTTGTCTTCTGAAAAGTAGTGGCTGAAATTAGAGGTTGTTGGATTTGGAGTGAGAAGACCTGCGTTCAAGTCCTGACCCTACCATTCTTGAGTAGTGTGACACTGGGAAACGCCTATGTCTCTGAGTCTGTTTGCACAAATTAAAGTGCATGATTGAAATGGGTGCATTATTGGTGTTATGGAACCTGCATTATTGAAAATGAGATAATATACATATTCCCATACTGCAAGTAATCACACACTTCTAGGTTATTGCTTTTATAATTCTAAGCAGGCATTTCAGGTTTTTTTCCAGATTCAAAAGAGTATCTTTGAGTTCCTACTCCAAGCCAGGCATTATACTAGGCAATTTCACTAGAAAGCAGTATTGAATTTTGCATCCAGATTAAAAAGTGAATTAATGTAGTGAGGATTTGGAGAGAGTGAACATAATGGTTAGTGAGTTACTGCTTTTGAGGAGGGAGCTGCTGTAGCTTCCAACTTTAAGTATTTGCCCACAGACAGCAACTTTGGAAATGAAAGAGAAACATTGTGCAGGGAATGATTGGCTGCTTAATTGCTAGGAGTAAAATAAAGGGTCACTGCATTTTTAACCCATTCTCTTTAGTCCTCAATATCTGGGGTGTACCTGAAGGCCATCTACCAGCAGCTATATTTATAAAGGTTAGAGAGCAGTGTTAGAGCCATTTTCAATGAAAAGGACATTAAAATCAACAGTAAATATATAAGGTAAGTGGAGGAAAGCCTGCTGTGTGCTTCTGGACCAATAATTTAACACATGCTATTTGTTTCACCTTTTAAATTTAGGAACACGACAATTCTTGTCTGAAAGGTGAAATATAAATGAAAGGGAACTTATGGATTTGCCTACTATGTACCAGGCACTTTATCGAAAACAATGCAATTTACATAGAGTATTTCATTTTGTCTGCTCAGCAAACCTTTAAAAGTATCTTATTACTAATTCTTCATTTTACAGGTGAAGGAACTAAGGCTTAAGAGTATTAAGTCATGCAGCTAGCAATAGTGGGATTTAAATCTAACTCTCTATTTATAATCTCAAACCCAAAATTATTCCTGGGAATGCTTTCAGGTTCCCAGTGGGATGACTCTTCATCTATGAACTCACTATCATTTTGGTTCTACTTTACAAGTAAATAAGGAATTGCCTAGTTGGCCCATTGGAGGGACTCAAATGTCTTCATTTTGAGAATACTGCTGCCTGAAAGTGTACATTTAGAGTTACTGTGGAATTTGGCTTAAAACTGGTTTCCTTTGTTTAAAAAATTTTCCTGTACGAATGCTTTTACACTGTTGGTGGGAGTGCAAATTAGTTCAACCATTGTGGAAGACAGTGTGACAATTCCTCTAGGATCTAGAGCCAGAAATACCATTTGAAGCAGCAGTCCCATCACTGGGTATGTACCCAAAGGAATGTAAATAATTCTATTATAAAAAGATACATGCACATGTATGTTTATTGCAACACTATTTACAATAGCAAAGACACCGAACCAACCCAATGCCCGTCAATGATAGACTGGATAAAGAAAATGTGGTACATATACACCATGGAATACCATGCAGCCATAAAAAAGGAATGAGATTATGTCCTTTGCAGGGACATGGATGAATCTGGAAGCCATCATCCTCAGGAAACTAACACAGGAACAGAAAGCCAAACACCGTATGTTCTCACTCATAAGTGGGAGCTGAACAATGAGAATGCATGGACAGAAGGAGGGGAACAACACACACTGGGGCCTGTCAGTGGGGGCGAGGGGAGGGAGAGCATCAGGACAAATAGCGAATGCATGCCGGGCTTAATACCTAGGTGATGGGTTGATAGGTGCAGAAAACCAGCATGGCACACATTTACCTATGTAACAAACCTGCACGTTCTGCACATGTATACCAGAACTTAGAGTAATATTTTTAAAAAAAATTCCTAAGAAGGACCAAGAATCTGTTAACCTCAGGATGTGTGGTAGATTAGGTCATTGTTCCTCAATTCTTCATGCCCTCCCTGTTAGAATTATACACTTGTGTCCTTTGCCGTGTGACCTTGCAGTTCTGCCCTTTAGACACAGAGCTGCTTTCTTTGGCCAGTGGAATGAGGAAGAAGTGACAGTGGGCCACTTCTAGGCTAAGACTACTTGCCCTGTCATGCTCCTGCTGTTCACTATGAGGAAAACACGCTTGGTTGCTCTTCATTTGTTATTTTGTGGCTATAAAGAAATACCTGAGGCTGAGTAATTTATAAAGAAACGAGGTTTAATTGTCTCACGGGTTTGCAGGCTGTACAGAAAGCATCTGCTCAGTTTCTGATGAGGCCTCAGGCAATTTTTACTCAAGGAAGAAGGCAAAGCAGGAGCAGGTATGTCACGTTGCAGAAGTGGGAGCAAAGTGGTGGGGGAGGTGCCACACTCTTTTTAACAAAAAGGTCTCACGTAAACTACGAGCAAGAGCTCACTTACCACCAAGGGGATGGTGCCAACCATTCATGAGGGATCTGCCTCCATGATCCAGTGACCTCCACCAGGCTCCACCTCCAACTTTAGGAATCACATTTCAACATGAGATTTGGAGTGGGCAATCATCCAAACCATATCAGGTGCCTGCTGGTCCAAAGAGGAGAGAACGGTAAAACAGACCTGAACCCAACTTTCAGCCTAAAGCAAAGCCCAGCCCAGCCTAACCTAACCTATGTTAGTTGATCTATAGACCAAGAACAAATAATTTTTATTGGAAACCACTGAGTTTGGGGATAAAATAAAGCATTATAATTGCAATAGGTAAATATTATGGTGTGTACGAATGGGTTTTTTATTGTTATACTTTAAGTTCTAGGGTACATGTGCACAACGTGCAGATTTCCTACATAGGTATACATGTGCCATGTTGGTGTGCTGCACCCATCAACTTGTCATTTACATTCGGTATTTCTCCTAATGCTATCCCTCCCACATCCCTCCACCCCACAACAGGCCCCGGTGTGTGATGTTCCCCGTCCTGTGTCCAAGTGTTCTCATTGCTCAATTCCTACCTATGAGTGAGAACATGCGGTGTTTGGTTTTCTGTCCTGGTGATAGTTTGCTAAGAATGATAGTATGCAGCTTCATCCATGTCCCTGCAAGGACATGAACTCATCCTTTTCTATGGCTGCATAGTATTCCATGGTGTATATGTGCCACATTTTCTTAATCTAGTCTATCATTGTTGGACATTTGGGTTGGTTCCAAGTCTTTGCTATTGTGAATAGTGCCACAATAAACATATGTATGCATGTGTTTTTATAGCAGCATGACTTGTAATCCTTTGGGTATATACCCAGTAAAGGGATTGCTGGGTCAAATGGTATTGCTAGTTCTAGATCCTTGAGGAATGGCCACACTGACTTCCACCATGCTTGAACTAATTTACACTCCCACCAACAGTGTAAAAGTGTTCCTATTTCTCCACATCCTCTCTAGTGTCTGTTGTTTCCTGACTTTTTAATGATCGCCATTCTAACTGCTGTGAGATGGTAACTCATTGTGGTTTCGATTTGCATTTCTCTGATGGCCAGTGATGATGAGCATTTTTTCATGTGTCTGTTATCTGCATGAATGTCTTCTTTTGAGAAGCGTCTGTTCATATCCTTTGTCCAGTTTTTGATGGAGTTGTTTTTTTCTTGTAAATTTGTTTGAGTTCTTTGTAGATTCTGGATATTAGCCCTTTGTCAGATGAGTAGATTGCAAATATTTTCTCCCATTCTGTAGGTTCCCTATTCACTCTTATGGTAGTTTCTTTTGCCATGCAGAAGCTCTTTAGTTTAATTAGTTCCCATTTGCCTATTTTGGCTTTCGTTGCCATTGCTTTGGTGTTTTAGTCATGAAGTCCTTGCCCATGCCTATGTACTGAATGGTATTGCCTAGGTTTTATTCTAGGGTTTTTATGGTTTTAGGTCTAACATTTAAGTCTTTAATCCATCTTGAATTAATTTTTGTATAAGGTGTAAGGAAGGGATCCAGTTTCAGCTTTCTACATATGGCTAGCCTGTTTTCCCAGCACCATTTATTAAATAGGGAATGCTTTCCCCATTCCTTGTTTTTGTGAGGTTTGTCAAAGATCTGGTGGTTGTGGCTGTGTGGTGTTATTTCTGAGGTCTCTGTTCTGTTCCATTGGTCTATATCTCTGTTTTGGTACCAGTACCATGCTGTTTTGGTTACTGTAGCCTCGTAGTATAGTTCAAAGTCAGGTAATGTAATGCCTCCAGCTTTGTTCTTTTTGCTTAGGATTGCCTTGGTAATGTGGGCTCTTTTTGGTTGCATATGAACTTTAAAGTAGCTGTTCAAATTCTGTGAGGAAAGTCATTGGTAGCTTGATGGGGATGGCATTGAATTTATAAACTAAACTGGGCAGCATGGCCATATTCACAATATTGATTCTTCCTTTCCATGAGCATGAACTGTTCGTCCACTTGTTTTTGTCCTCTTTTATTTCGTTGAGCAGTGGTTTGTAGTTCTCCTTGAAGAGGTCCTTCACATCCCTTGTAAGTTGGATTCCTAGGTATTTTATTCTCTTTGAAGCAATTGTGAATGGGAGTTCACTCATGATTTGGTTCTCTGCTTGTCTTTTATTGGTGTATAGGAATGCTTGTGATTTTGCACATTGATTTTGTATCCTGAGACTTTGCTGAAGTTGCTTATTAGCTTAAGGAGATTTTGGGCTGAGACAATGGAGTTTTCTAAATATACAATCATGTCATCTGCAAACAGGGACAATTTGACTTCCTCTTTTCCTAATTGAATACCCTTTATTTCTTTCTTTTGCCTGATTGCCCTAGCCAGAACTTCCATTACTGTGCTGAATAGAAGTGGTGAGAGAAGGCATCCTTGTCTTGCGCCAGTTTTCAAAGGGAATGCTTCCAGTTTTTGCCCATTCTGTATGACATTGGCTGTGGGTTTGTCATAAATAGCTCTTATTATTTTGAGATATGTTCCATCAATACCTAGTTTATTGAGAGTTTTTAGCATGCAGGGCTGTTGAATTTTGTCAAAAGCCTTTTCTGCATCTATTGAGATAATCATGTGGTTTTTGTCATTGGGTCTGTTTATGTGATGGATCACATTTATTGATTTGTGTATGTTGAACCAGCCTTACATCCCAGGGATGAAGCCCACTGAATCATGATGGATAAGCTTTTTGATGTGCTTCTGTATTTGGTTTGCCAGTATTTTATTGAGGATTTTTGCATGAATGTTCATCTTGGATATTGGTCTAAAATTCTCTTTTTGTGTTGTGTCTCTGCAAGGCTTTGGTATCAGGATAATGCTGGCCTCATAAAATGAGTTAGGGAGGATTGCCTCTTTTTCTGTTGATTGGAATAGTTTCAGAAGGAATGGTCCAAGCTCCTCTTTGTACCTCTGGTAGAATACGGCTGTGAATCCATCTGGTTCTGGAATTTTTTTGGTTGGTAGGCTGTTAATTATTGCCTCAATTTCAGAGCCTGTTATTGGTCTATTCAGAGATTCAACTTCCTCTTGGTTTAGTCTAGGGAGGGTGTATGTGTCGAGGAATTTATCCATTTCTTCTAGATTTTCTAGTTTATTTGAATAGAGGTGTTTATAGTATTCTCTGATGGTAGTTTGTATTTCTGTGGGATCGGTGGTGATATCCCCTTTATCATTTTTTATTGCATCTCTTTGATTCTTCTCTCTTTTCTTCTTTATAAGTCTTGCTAGCACTCTATCAATTTTGTTGATCTTTTCAAAAAACGAGCTCCTGGATTCATTGATTTTTTGAAGGGTTTTTTGTGTTTCTATCTCTTTCAGTTCTGCTCGGATCTTAGTTATTTCTTGCCTTCTGCTAGCTTTTGAATTTGTTTGGTCCTGCTTCTCTAGTTCTTTTAATTGTGATGTTAGGGTATCGATTTTAGATCTTTCCTGCTTTCTCTTGTGGGCATTTAGTGCTATAAATTTCCCTCTATGCACTGCTTTAAATGTGTCCCAGAGATTCCGGTATGTTGTATCTTTGTTCTCTTTGGTTTCAAAGAACATCTTTATTTCTGTCTTCATTTTGTTATGTACCCAGTACTCATTCAGGAGCAGGTTTTCAGTTTCCATGTAGTTGTGCAGTTTTGAATGAATTTCTTAATCCTGAGTTTTAATTTGATTGCACTCTGGTCTGAGAGACAGTTTGTTGTGATTTCTGTTCTTTTACATTTGCTGAGGAGTGCTTTACTTCCAATCAGTGGTCAATTTTAGAATAAGTGTGATATGGTGCTGAGAAGAATGTATATTCTGTTGATTTGGGGTGGAGAGTTCCATAGATGTCTGTTAGGTCTTCTTGGTGCAGAGCTGAGTTCAAGTCCTGGATGTCCTTGTTAACTTTCTGTCTCATTGATCTGTCTAATATTGACAATGGGGTGTTAATGTCTCCCATTATTACTGTGTAGGAGTCTAAGTCTCTTTGTACATCTCTAAGGACTTGTTTTATGAATCTGGGTGCTCTCGTATTGGGTGCATATATATTTAGGATAGTTAGCTCTTCTTGTTGAATTGATCCCTTTGCCATTATTTAATGACCTTCTTTGTCTCTTTTGATCTTTATTGGCTTAAAGTCTGTTTTATTAGAGACTAGGAATGCAACCTTTGCTTTTTTTTTGCTTTCCATTTGCTTCATAGATCTTCCTCTGTCCCTTTATTTTGAGCCTATGTGTGTCTCTGCATGTGAGATGGGTCTCCTGAATACAGCACACTGATGGGTCTTGACTCTTTATCCAATTTGCCAGTCTGTGTCTTTTAATTGGGGCATTTAGCCTGTTTACATTTAGGGTTAACATTGTTGTATGTGAATTTGATCCTGTCATTATGATGTTAGCTGGTTATTTTGCCTGTTAATTGATGCAGTTTCTTCCTAGCATCAATGGTCTTTACAATTTGGCATGGTTTTGCAGTGGCTGTTACCGATTTTTCCTTTCCATGCTTTGTGCTTCCTTTGGGAGCTCTTGTTAGGCAGGCCTGGTGGTGACAAAATCTCTCAGCATTTGCTTGTCTGTAAAGGATTTTATTTCTCCTTCACTTATGAAGTTTAGTTTGGCTGGATATGAAATTCTGGGTTGAAAATTCTTTTCTTTAAGAATGTTGAATATTGGCCCTCACTCTCTTCTGGCTTGTAGGGTTTCTGCCAAGAGATCCCCTGTTATTCTGATGGGCTTCCCATTGTGGGTAACCCGACCTTTCCCTTTGGCTGCCCTTAACATTTTTTCCTTCATTTCAACCTTGGTGCATCTGCCAATTATGTGTCTTGGGGTTGCTCTTCTCGAGGAGTATCATTGTGGTGTTCTTTGTATTTCCTGAATTTGAATGTTGGCCTGCCTTGCTAGGCTGGGGAAGTTCTCCTGGATAATATCCTAAGAGTGTATTCCAACTTGGTTCCATTCTCCCCATCATTTTCAGGTACACCTATCAAATGTAGATTTGGTCTTTTCACATAGTCCCATATTTCTTGGAGGCTTTGTTTGTTTGTTTTTACTCTTTTTTGTCTAACCTTGTCTTCTCACTTTACTTCATTAATTTGATCTTCGAACACTGATACCTTCTTCCACTTGATTTGATTGGCTATTGAAGCTTATGCATGCATCACGAAGTTTTCACGCCATGTGTTTCAGCCCCATCAGGTCATTTAAGGTCTTCTCTACACTGTTTATTCTAGTTAGTCATTCCTCTAACCTTTTTTCAAGGCTTTTAGCTTCCTTGCAGTGGGCTAGAACATGCTTCTTTAGCGTGAAGAAATTTATTATTACTGACCTTCTGAAGCCTACTTCTGTCAACTCCTCAAAGTCATTCTCCGTCCAGCTTTATTCCATTGCTGGCAGGAAGCTGCGATCCTTCGGAAGAGAAGAGGTGCTCTGGTTTTTAGAATTTTCAGCTTTTCTTCTCTGGTTTCTCCCCATGTTTGTGGTTTTATCTACCTTTGGTCTTTGATGTTGGTGACCTACAGATGGGGTTTTGATGTAGATGTCCCTTTTGTTGATGTTGGTGCTATTCCTTTCTGTTTGTTAGTTTTCCTTCTAACAGTCAGGTCCCTTAGCTGCAGATCTGTTGGAGTTTGCTGGAGGTCCACTCCAGACCCTGTTTGCCTGGTTGTCACCAGCAGAGGCTGCAGAACTGCAAATATTGCAGAACAGCAAATATTGCTGCCTGATCCTTCTTCTGGAAGCTTTGTCCCAGAGGGGCATCTGCCTATATTAGGTGTCTGTTGGCGCCTACTGGGAGTTGTCTCCCAGTTATGCTATGTGGGGATCAGGGACCCACTTGAGGAGGCAGCCTGTCTGTGCTCAGAGTTCAAATGCCGCGCTGGGAGAACTGCTGCTGTCTTCAGAGCTGTCAGACAGAGACGTGTAAATCTGCAGAAGCTGTCTGCTGCCTTTTGTTCAGCTATGGCCTGCCCACAGAAGTGGAGTCTATAGAGGCAGTAGGCCTTGCTGAGGTGCAGTGGGCCCTGCCCAGTTCGAGCTTCCAGGCTGCTTTGTTTACCTACTCAAGCCTCAGCAATTGCAGACACCCCTCCCCGTGACAGGCTGCAGCCTTGCAGTTTGATCTCAGACTGCTGCGCCAGCAGTGAGCAAGCCTCCGTCGGGGGGGACCCACTGTATCAGGCATGGGAGAGGGTCTCCTTGTCTGCTGGTTGCTAAGACCTTGGGAAAAGCACAGTATTTGGGTGGAAGTGTCCCATTTTTCAAGGTAGAGTCTGTTATGCCTGCTCTTGGCTAGGAAAGGAAAATCCCCTGACCCCTTGTGCTTCCTGGGTGAGGCGACACCCCACGCTGCTTTGGCTCACCCTCTGTGGGCTGCACCCACTGTCCAGCCAGTCTGAATGAGATGAACCAGGTACCTCAGTTGGAAATGCAGAAATCACCCATCTTCTATGTCGATCATGCTGGGAGCTGCGGACCGGAGCTGTTCCTATTTGGCCATCTTGGAACGTATCCGAAAAGATTTATTTTTAAGGGAAAGGTTTGGTAGGCAAGAGAGTGAAGAGAGTAGGATGCTAGGCATGCTCTGGTAAGGGAAGTGGAAAAGAAGTCAGAGAATATGATTAGTATGGAAAACAGAAGAGGAGGGCCAAAGAAATGACAATATGCACATCAGCACTTTAGGGACTGGTGGATACAAGAGCAGGTGCCTATTGTGTGACTTGGTGCTTGTGTGGCTTCCTTGAGACCCTTAGTGACAAAAGAAGAACCTGCTCTGGTCTGGAAACAATTGAGAGTGCCAGAGCCCTTGAATTATACAGGCAAATGTGTTCTTGCAAACTCTGAAACTGGCAACTCACACTCCAAGTTTAAGGTCAAAAAGAATTGAATAGGCTAGAGAACCTCTGCATTCAATCTCCTGCTCTACAACTAAATGATTATGCTGTTGAGTAAAGCAGTATGTCTGAAAATTATCTGCAATGAGTTTTATGTTTAAAGAGAACATGCCAAAAATGGAGAAAATGATTTTTTTTTCTTCTGAAATGGCTTAATTTCTGCAGTGCTCTAATAAGCAGGCTCTGCATGATGGGCTGATGGCCGGCTGCATTATGTGTGTTTGTTTCTCTACTGCTCTTCAGAGCCACAATAGCACTTCAGATAATGGCTGCTGCTTAATTGCCATTACACAGATGTTATTTGGTCAGATGCCTCTCATCTTTTCCACTCCCAGACATCTGATCTCCACAGCAACACATATTGTCATTCAGGTGGGAAGAAACAGGATTTTTGAAGCTCATCTTCTTTTCCCAAACATACTTCTTAAAATGACCATGAGTACTGCCTTTTGGTGGGGGTTAGGGGGAGGTTGTTGTATATAGAAAACCCTAATATTCCATTTATAGAGAATTGGTTAAATTAATCATCCTATATCTACAAAAAGAACTGCCAGGCCACCATAAAAAACGATAATGTAGGCCAGGCATGGTGGCTCTTGCCTGTAATCCCAGCAATTTGGGAGGCTGAGGCAGGTGGATCACAAGTTCAGGAGACTGAGACTATCCTGGCCAATATGGTGAAACCCCATCTCTACTAAAAATACAAAAAAATTAGCCAGGTGTGGTGGCACATGCCTGTAGTCCCAGCTACTTGGGAGGCTGAGGCAGGAGAATCCCTTGAACCTGGGAGGCGGAGGTTGCAGTGAGCCGAGATCACGACATTGCGCTCCAGCCTGGGCAACAAGAGTGAGACTCCGTCTCTCTCTCTCTCTCTCTCTCTCTCTCTCTCTCTCTCTCTCTCTCTCTCTCTCTCTCTCTGTCTCTCTGTCTCTCTGTCTCTCTCTCTCTCTCTATATATATATATATAACAATGTAGACCCATACTTACTGAGTTGAATATATATACATAATACAATTGATTAGTAAAAAAGTTCATTGATGGCCGGGCGCAGTGGCTCGCGCCTGTAATCCCAGCACTTTGGGAGGCCGAGGCGGGCGGATCACGAGGTCAGGAGATCGAGACCATCCTGGCTAACACAGTGAAACCCCGTCTCTACTGAAAATACAAAAACATTAGCCAGACGTGGTGGTGGACGCCTGTAGTCCCACCTACTCGGGAGGCTGAGGCAGGAGAATGGCGTGAACCCAGAAGGCGGAGCGTGCAGTGAGCCGAGATCACGCCACTGCACTCCAGGCTGGGCAACAGAACGAGACGCCGTCTCAAAAAAAAAAAAAAAAAAAAAAAGTTCATCGATAAACAACACGTGTGGTATGATTCTGTTTTAATTATACAACTATGTATGTGTGTGTATGTGTAGAATAGGATATAAATTAATATATATTCAAAGTCAACAGTCTTGAAGGTGCCAAGATTTTATTAGTGGTTACAGCTGAGTGACAGGATTATATGAGATTTAGGAATTGAACAATGAGAACACTTGGACACAGGAAGGGGAACATCACACCCCAGGGCCTGTTGTGGGGTTGGGGGAGGGGGGAGGGGGGAGGGATAGCATTAGGAAATATACCTAATGTAAATGACGAGTTAACGGGTGCAGCACGCCAACATGGCACATGTATACATATGTGACAAACCTGCACGTTGTGCACGTGTACCCCAGAACTTAAAGTATAATAAAAAAATATATAAAAGAGATTTACACTTATGTCTTTGTACTTTTCATATCTTGTTTTTGTAATAAGCACTGCTTTCTCCAAACAAATATATTTTATATCCAAAAGATAAATAATGGGCATATCTTTAACTTTTAATGAATTTCATGTGTTTCATCTTATTCAAAATAATGTAAACCTGCCTATTTTCCTTCATCTATAACCAGAATAAAGGTAAATTTTCATAAATGAACTAAGGTTATTTGTAGAGCTTTGGAGAGGACATTGGACATTTGCTACCTATACATGATAGTCACTGTAAAATATGCTTTATCAGGTTAAATTTAAGTGTCTCTCAACTGAAAGGCAACAACGTAGTCATTTATTCAAAAAACAGATATTCAACATGTAGAAGAAGACACTATTCCTTGCACTAGAGTGAAAGAAGGGAACCTAAGGAAGAGTAATAACAATCTACATTTGCTTTCTAATATTTTTTTCTATGCATTATCACCATGATCTTCATGATATGAGGTGAATCAGGCCAAGGCTTCAGATGAATGAACTGAGACTCAGTCAGGTGAAATGACTCATGCACTTCTGCCCAGTATCATCTCTCTCCAGACTTAGCAACCGTATTCCTGGTCCCTCAGTGCAGTGTTCTTGGCAATCTATTCTTCATCAAAACAATGGAAGTCTGTGTATATGTGCATATGTTTGCATGTATGTATGTATGCATGTATGTATTTATCTAGCTATGGTTGCCTGGTGAAGCCAGCTTTTCTATTTAAAGGGTATTGTCTAAATAACAGTGACCAGTCACCTGGAATTGGATTAGCTCTTTAGCTAGGTTATGCTGGCAAAACTTGGCTGGTCATTAATACCATATAAATTAGTTTATAAGAGTGTCTTGAGAGTATGCTGAGAGCCTGTAGGGAAAGTGGGCAGAAATCCAGGACACTTAGGGGATATATCTGAGCAGTACTGTAGCAGCCTGTGGCTGCATGTATGCCTTGGATTCTAA
Organism: Homo sapiens; assembly: GCF_000001405.40. Classification (NCBI taxonomy): domain Eukaryota; kingdom Metazoa; phylum Chordata; class Mammalia; order Primates; family Hominidae; genus Homo; species Homo sapiens. The sequence goes on from NC_000009.12 coordinate 8,088,739, forward strand.
AGTAATCACATTCATTGATTCTCCAGCATCTGGTCCACTGTAGAAATACTTATAAAATGGTCCAAGAAATCCCTTGCCTCTGCCTAGTAATTTGTTTAGGACTTCCTAACAGGCTGCTTCTGGTGAGTAAGAGCTAAAGGGAGCATTTTAAAAAATGTTTACTTCATCTGAAAAGGAGACACAAAGAAGAGTGTGTCCCCTTCTTCTCCTCAATGGCACTATGAAGGAAGGTCAAGCCTGGAGTGCTGCAGCCCCCTTCTGAGCATAAGGAAGCAGCCTGAGGCCAATGCTCATGGGAGGAACTTGGGTCTGTGATGACATGGAGGGGATGTCTGAATCAACAAGCCTTCAACCCTGAGTTGTTGACTTCCCACTACATGAGATAACTCATTTCTTCATAGCTGAAGCCCATTACACTGAAGGTTTTTTGAGATTTGTTGCCAGAAACTTTCAAACTGATATGGGTTCCCAGAAGAGGAAGGTAGAATCATGAAAGGAGAAAGAAAGGAGTCTCTGATAATAAATCTTTCACTTCAATTTTTCCTAGAAATAGCCCTACCTGCTAATACATTGCAATATGGAATAGTGTAGATCAGAACTTTTAAAACATGAATGTAGTCCCTCCTGGCAAGCTTGTTAAATTCAGATTCTGATTCAGTAACTAGCTCCCAACTGATGCTGATGTTGCTAGTTCTTGGGTAACAGCAAAAGTGCAGAGAGAAAGGTAGTGGATATTGAAACCATATGTATTGATTTAAGATCTAAGAACCTTCTCATCACGTGAAAGTAATACTTCATAATTTATAAACCACTCTATAAAAGCTATTAAGAATGATGATGATAATGATGGTGATAATGATGCTAATGATAACAATGACTAATGCATGTGCATGCAGGTAATATGCGTAGTAAGGTGGTTAAAAGCATGCATTTCAGAATTAGATACATGTATCTAAATCCTGGCTGTACCTCCTACTAGCTATATGTCCTCAAATTATCTAACATCTTTCTACCCCAGTTTCCTCATCCACAATATGGTTGTATTAATTGTACCAACCTGATATGGTTTAGCTTTGTGTCTCCACCCAAATGTCATCTTGAAGTGTAATCCTCAGGTGTTAAGGGAGGAACCTGGTGAGAACTGATTGGATTATGGGGTGGTTCCCCCATGCCGTTCTCGTGATATTAAGTGAGTTCTCACAAGATCTGATGGTTGTATAAGCATCTGGTATTTCCCCTGCTCACCTCTTCTCCTTCTCCTTCTGCCACGTTATGAAGAAGGTGCCTTGCTTCCCCTTCCACCGTGACTGTAAGTTTCCTGAGGCCTCCCTAGCCATGCTGAACTGTGAGTTAATTAAATTTCTTTCTTTTATAAATTACCCACTCTCGGGCAGTTCTTTTCAGTGTTAAAACGGACTAATACACGGCCTTATAGAGTTATTCTGGTGATGAAGAAATAATGCACATACAAGGTGTTTAGAGGTGCCTGGCAAATAGTAAATGTTCTAGTAGTAGTAGCAGTAGCAGCAGAAGTAGGATGAATATTTCACATAATCATGAAGTTTTCCTTTGGTTATCTCTCTTTTGTCGTGGCCAAACCCCTCTCTGCACCAAAACTTTTCCTTCAGTGTCCTCTGCTGCTTCTCCTAAAATGAAATCTGATTTTATGCCTGCAATCCTCTTCTACACGCCGATCCCTGAAAGCCAGTGACTTTTCCCCAAGCATCTTACTGTTAGCTGTAATATCATCATTTTAAGGCCACATAATTCTAGACAATACTCAAACACTTATAAATTTGGGGTTACACTAGCATATTACCACCCAGTCTGGGGGCACAGAGGGAAGGAGATTCAGATCCACCCAGAACTCTGCCTGACAACTCTACAGACAGCAGAAAAACTCTCCACCTTGAACTTTCTCTGTCATCTCTCCTTCTCCTGTTCCCACTGTTTTCCTCATCTTCTCTCTCCTTCACCAAGGTCCTTCCCTTGCTTGAGCTCATCCTCTGGAGAGCTGTAGAAAACAAAAAAATTAATTTATTTTTGTCTGGTTCTGCTTCTAGATGGGATTTGGCTGGATTCAGCATCCAATCAACAGACTTTCTCCTTCCCACCTTATTCCCTGCCTTTATATTTCATAATTTCAACTTCCAGGTTGATGCGCAAATTAGAGCGCTAACTTCTAAATTCCTAAGCTCTGTGACTTTTAGTTTCTGAGATTTGCATTTCCATTTTACTTTAGCTACCTGAAGTTGAAAAAAGTTATTACTCAAAACTGTTCTACCTTCGTGACCTACATCCCAGAGCTTCATCCCTTGAAACCAACTTCCTTTTCTGCCACTTCACACCTGTCAAGGTTTCTCCTGATTGCCCCCTCCCCAGTGCATCAGCCCCTTCTGTTTTATTGGATTCGCTGATGAACTCCAACTCAGCTCCTTCCATGCTATCGTCTCAATTGCTTTAGAACTTCCTGCTTCTTTGCTCTTCAATCATGTTCCTGTGTCAGTTCCCAAACTGGGTCACAACTATAATTTTGTTTCTCTACCTCTGGGTTCAGAGCTTCATTAGAGAAACTTAAATAACAACCCAACCAAAATACTGATTAGAATCAGTACTGAAAGAGCCCTTGTCAACTCCCTATCACATTCCCCACCGCAGCAGTTTCGAACATTTTCCCACAATTTTCAAGCCTCTGATCTCACTCCCTCATAGAGTAATGTTAAAGTACAAACACGTCTTCTGGGAACCGTGGTAAAAGGAAATTCCAATCAGTGATCCTGAAGTCATTAGTTTAGAAACCATACATCTGAGTACGAATGTCTTACAGTTAATTCCTTTATGCTTTTTCTGGAACTTGGTCAAAGAAACTATATTTTTATCTTAAATCTTTAATTTCTTTTGTTCTATCTTCTTTCCCTAAGCCCATAGGCATGCTCAGTTCTAGCAAATATAACATTTTACTAACTCCACTATTCCATAAAGTAGCATTTCTCAAAATGTGTTTCATGGAACACCAATCTTTTAAACTATAGTATTCCATGGAAAAGATAGATTCTATGGTCAAGTACATTTGAAAATGCTTCGTTAAACATAGCTCAAATTTTATTTATGAAGTTACTTCCTATGTGTTTTCCCAGGCACCAACTCTGGAGTTACTTTAGTAAATACCATTCTAGAAATATCCGAATTGTCCCTTCCTTTCAAAGCACAAGTTTTTCAAACCATAGTTCACATGGATTGCCTCAAATTCATCACCGTCTGTTGAGTCCATAAACCCTAACATTCAGATTTTTCTCACTATACAACTGCAACTGCTCCTCCAAATAAAATTAGCTATTGAACACTTTCCCTTTACCTAACCAATTTTTAAATTGTATATTTATGTATGTAACAAATACATATACAGAAAAGTAAGAATGTAAAGTTACCCATAAACCTGATATCCAAATATAACCATGGTTGACATTGTTTTTCATATCCTTCCCATCTTCTGTCTACATATATGTATATATATATGTACACACACATATATATATGCATACTCACCTACCACATACTTACATATAGTGTATGTTTATGTTTGTGTATATCATGGGTCTGTGTATGTATGTATGGGTATCAGGCCTGAATAATACATGTTATATAGCAAAGTAAACCATTTTTCTCTCAATAGCTGGTGTCATAAATTCTTTGAGGGACAAAATAATTCTTAGTTTTGAAAACTGCTGTTGTAAGTGCTTGGATTAGAAGGTGAGCTCCTGAGAGGGAGAAATCTGCCTTCTGTAATAGAGAAGAAAGTGTTCATACTTCCTTGAGACTCTGGGAAGGAGCATAGTGATAAGAGGAGAGAAGAAAATGCATGGATAGTGGAAAATTGTGTGGTACATATTGTCATTTCTTTTTGAGCCTTCAAACATTTAATAATGCTTTGAGAAGCTTCTTTTTGTAATAATTGGTGGAGGAACTGAGATTCTTGTTTAGAGTCACATGATACAGTACCCAGATAGCCAACAAGGGGATTAGAGCCCAAACACAGAGAGAAATTTGAAGACAAAATCTCCCAAGTAATACAGGTATTAGGAGAGATCTGAATATCCATATATTTTAGAGTTGGAGGTTTAAAGCCAAGAATATTCATATCCTTGGAAAAAAAGGAACAGCCAATCTTGACAAAGGAAAGATAAGATATGATTTTGAGTATTATATACTGCTTATTCTATGTTCTTTTGCAAAAAAAAAAAATGGCATCAAACGTTGCAGTCTGTTTTGTATTCTGAAAATCAGATTTTCAATTACATTGGATGGACCATCCATTGATTTTTCAGTAACAGAGTCTTAATATGTGAATGCAATTTTATCTAAGTGATTTTAATAAAGCCATTAAAAAACTGACCATATCGTATCATTAAGTTTGGATTTTGGGCTTGAGATCTCTAGTATATTATTCTCAGGCCTTACAGTGGTGCCTCAACCCTATAGTCCAACAATTTCCACCCCATTCATCTTTCCAGCTTCATTTCTTCCTGTCCGTCCCTTCCTCTCCTACCTTCTCTAAACTAAAGAGATTGTAAAACCCATGCCCCATAAACTCCAGGCATTTTCGAGTTCTTGACAATTCCAAAATGGCAAACTCTTTCAACACCTCTTGCATTCTTGACAACAAGAATTCTTGCATTCTTGTTGTCAAGAATGCCCTTCTTCCCAATATCCAATTCAGCTACTACATGATAAAGGGAGCATTTCTTCAACCCCCACTGGCAGAATGAAAGGTACCATTTCCTGAGGTTTTCCAGCACTTGATTTATATCTGTATTTCAGCAGTTATAACGTTTTCTTTTATTTATTTGTTCACATGCACTTTTCTGGTCTAAAGGTGGGACAGGAGATTATTCAATATTGTAAAACATGAACACACATCATGAATCTATGATCACTAATAATCATTATAACAAAGCTAATGGCATGATTATAATATGCTATATGTGTTGCAATAGTCCTCTGCCCCAACTACTACACCTGTACAAACATGCACGTGCTTTTCTTAGTTAATACTTACATAAGGCTCTAAGAAGATCTATTACACCACACGTTTTCCTCTCATGAAACCTCTTGCATGGTGCATCTCAAGTGTCAATGTGAATTTAGCTGGATATTTTGTTAAAATGCAGATTCTGATGTGTAGATTTAGGGTAGGTCCCAAGATTCTATATTTCTAGCAGGCTCCCAGGAGATGCCAATAGTGATTATCTGTAGGCTCTGTAAAATGTATTTACATTGCCATGAATTGAATAAGTGCTAAGGCCTAGCAGGAAATTCATACATGAATAATTTATATCTCAGATGAGGTTTGAGTTCTAAAACTAGCCAACACTGCATGTAGTTAAAATTACCTTCGAAAGCATGATAAGAAGATGCCATGGTGGAGAAAAGCACAATTTCTCTCAATTAGTTCCATATGACTTAAGGTTGAGCCTTCAGTATTTGTGTTGATTGATAAATCTTTGGTTGAGCACCAGATTGAGGAGTCAGTTAACATGTAGAGGTCATGTTGTACAAAAGTAAATAAATATTTTTTAAGTAGGTAAATAAATCTCTTTCAACACTAGAATGACAGTGTTCACATTCTGAGAAGCATATGGGAAATTAAGACTGCCATGGGAGAAACACCTCTTAACCTTGCAATCTCATGCCCATTCTTAGGCAAAGCATCACTGAGTGGAATGGCAAGCAGAACTCATCATCCTAAGTTAACTGTTATACTCCTCTATATTTCTATTTTCGACTGAATGGATATAGTTACATATGTGTAAGTTACATATATGTAGTGTTCTCATAACATCAATGCCAAAGACATGAGAGCTTTTTAGGTATTCCTGCCATCTGTAGACTGAGAGGAAAAGTTCAGGATTTCTCAAACAGATAGCCTGGAAGTCGAGGCCTGCAAAGCAGTGGAGTGTAATATGGAAAGCCTGTCATAGAATATTAAATAACATAATAAGCATACCTCTGCTGAAATCTATAAACGAGCCATTTTCAGATTCCAATTATAAGCCAATATAACAATGTTTATTTTTTTCATAATTCCTTATCCTTTTTATGGACTATTTCCTCGTAAAAGAACTAGACAGCTTTTCCATCTTTATTGCCATTTGGTTCAGGATCTCTCCTTAGGGAGATTAGCTGATCATGAATATTATATATGTTTGAAATTTTCATTTTATCTTTACAAATAACACTGAAATTGAAAAGATTTTATGCCACTCTAATAGAGCCCAGTGAACATTTTAGGCATGTGGTTAGATTGGGCAATAATCAATTTTCCTAGAATTTGTTTTTACACTTATCCCTTGTCTTCCCTACTAGCTATATCACTCTACATAAATCTATAGAATTTTTGGAAAAGAAGATACTTCTGGCCGGGTGCGGTGGCTCACGCCTGTAATCCCAGCACTTTGGGAGGCCGAGGCGGGTGGATCACGAGGTCAAGAGATCGAGACCATCCTGGCTAACACGGTGAAACCCCGTCTGTACTAAAAATACAAAAAATTAGCCGGGCGTGGTGGCGGGCACCTGTAGTCCCAGCTACTCGGGAGGCTGAGGCAGGAGAATGGCGTGAACCCGGGAGGCGGAGCTTGTAGTGAGCCGAGATCGCGCCACTGCACTCCAGCCTGGGCGACAGAGCGAGACTCCGTCTCAAAAAAAAAAAAAAAAAAAAAAGGAAGATACTTCTAACATAAAATGCATGATTAGCCTCTCTTACTTCCCAATCTCAGAATCAAACCAGACTAACAATCTGCTCTGGATGTCTTTGAACAAGCTAATCCTGCCTCCTGCCTAAGGGTACTCTGGGAGATGATTGAAATTTTAAAGATATAAAAACACACTAAAATGGTAACAAATGACTCAGCAATGTGCCTTCTAAGGTGGACAGATTCTTGGTAGGCAGCCCTAATTGCTGCAATCGTTTTTAGGTATTCTAATGCACTCAGCTGAATTATGCACCACACTGCTTCTGAATGACACAGCCATTTCTGACTCCATTAATATGGAAGATTTCAGCCAAATGCTCTTAAACGATAGCTTCTCTTTATTTGTAATTTCAGACTCTATTGATTTCCTTCTGTTCCCTTCATTATGATTTCAATTGATTACCTTGGCAACTGCAATAACAATGATTGCACTTGACACTGTCTGAGACTCTTGAGATGGTATTTGAATAGGAATGGTATAATTTGGGGGAAAGTGCCTGCAAGAACCTGTCATTAGCAGTACACTTACACTTTACTTTTATTGACCTTCCTCTCTTTCGAGTGGGCCCTTGTCACAGAGTTGGCTGTTAACAGGGCTACAGTAGTAGTTCAGATTTCTGTGCCTCTTCAAAGAGTAAAAGATTATTATTATTAAAGAGAATGGAGTGGGCTTGCATATATACACACACGTACACACATTATACAGTGTCTGTGTGTGTGTGTGCATGTACACGCGCATGTGTAGCTTTTGCCTTTTTGCCAATGTTGCCAGCTGTGATTACCATTCAGGTCAACTTACCAGCTGGGGTGGGCATCTGATGATGGTTAAACTCAGGGCATTAGAGCTCAGATGAAAGACTCCAGCCAAGATTCGATAATGAATCCTGTACAATGTCTTTATTAGGCTTTTAAGAAAGAAGAAAACAAACAAACTTGCTTTATGTCATTGTCACAGCACAGAATTTAAAATTCACAGGCTCAACTGAGAATTGCTAGCTGTGAATAGTATGTAAGCTCTTGGGTCACCACGTAGCTCCACTGGCCCTTCCTGAAAGACTGTTTTCTCCATGAGATTCATGGAGGATATTGGCTGTGCAAAACAAGGGCATCTGTGGTCACACTTTCCTAAGTTTTTTCTTCTAGTGACGTTTTAATTAAATGGCCACCCATTTATCCTTTTGATAATAGCACATGTCTTCTGGAACAGAGTGAGGTGTTTGCCATGTTGGAGGGCTTCACAGGAATTTAGCAACCCTTAAGTTTCAGCCATTTTCTGCTGAGAGGCTCATGTTCTGTTCATTCTTTGGAAAATATGTAACACTCTGTTTCCCACCAAAATGTTTGGCTTTTTTATATAAGATTTACCTAGCAGCCTTAGTACAGTGAGAAGAAACACAAATTTGAGCTCCATAGACATGCTCTCTAGGCTCATTTCTACCATGCGCTATGTGAGCTTCTGCAAGCCAGTTTTTGTCTCTAGACCTCAGTTTATTCATCTGTAAAACAAGGGGATTAGATTCAATGATGTCTAAGGCCCTTTCTACTTCTATATTTTCATAAAATATTTAGCAAAGAAACTTGATGAGCCAGCTTATTATATATAAATGTCAATGAATTTAAGTAGGAGAGAAAATTCCTCGCATAAAATGTGCTTAGTGTGTGTAAAATCTGCAAATTTGAAAACAAACAAACAAACACCAAAGAGGTTTTCTGAATTCAAGCTATTTTCTTTTTCTCTTCAAAGTCATTCATCCTTGCCCTTGCTTGTGTAGCTCCATTGCTTTTGTTGAGCTGAAAGCTAATTAGATTTCATCATCTATTTCCTGTTTGTTTGGCAGACACAAGATTCTAGTCACACCCTCAACATAATGAACTTTTAGTTTGATATTTCTTAATTGTGTCCCACTGTGGTGTGTGAATATGTGCATGATGATTGTGTGTTGCCCACTCCATATCAGAGAGTGGTAACTCTCATACCTGTGTGATGTCGTTTCAGGGTCATACAAACTACATCGGTGACTTGCGTGACACAAGTCCTCAGGAGACACTTTATTTTGTTTTTATAATTTCAACTTTTTAGATTTAAGGGTACGTTTGCAGGTTTGTTACCTGGGCATATTGCATGATGCTGAAGTTTTGGATGTGAATGATTCCATCACCCAAATAGTGAGCATAGTAGCCGAGAGTTTATTTTTCAGCACTTTCCCTGCTTTCTTCCTCCCCACATAGAAGTCACCAATGTCTATCATTGCCATTTTTATGTACCTGAGCAGCCAATGTTTAGCTCCCACTTATACATGAGAATATGTGGCATTTGGCGTTCTTTTTCTGTGTTAATGCACTTAAGATAATGGCCTTCGGCTGCATCCACGTGGCTGCAAATAACATGATTTCATTCTTTTCATGGCTGCATAGTATTCTATGGTATATACATACTACATTTTCTGTGTCCAATCCACCATTGATGGGCATCTTATTTGATTCTGTGTCTTCGCCATTGTGAATAGCAGTATTAGTGTGTTCTCATTCTGCTAGTAAAGACATGCTTGAGACTGGGTAATTTATATAGGAAAGAGGTTTAATTGACTCACAGTTCAGCATGGCTGGGGAGGCATCAGGAAACTTACAATCATGGCAGACGGGGAAGCAGGCACATCCTTCATCACATGGTGGCAGCAAGGAGAAGTACAGAGTGTAGAGAGGGAAAGCTTCTTATAAAACCATCAGATCTCATGAGAATTCACTATCATCAGAACAGCATAAAGGTAACCGCCCCATGATTCCATTACCTCCCACTGGGTCCCTCCCACAACACTTGGGGATTATGAGAACTACAATTCAAGATGAGATTAGGGTGGGGACATAGCCAAACCATATCAGTAGCACTGCAATGAACATGCGCATGCATGTGTCTTTTTGGTAGAATGATTTATTTTCTTTTGGCAATATACGCAGTAATGAGATTGCTGGGTCAAATGGTAGTTTTGTTTTAAGATCTATGAGAAATCTCCAAACTGCTTTCTGCAGTGGCTGAACTAATTTACATTCCCACCAATAGTGTGTAAGCATTCCCTTTTCTCCACAGCCTTGCCAGCATCTGTTGTTTGTTGACTTTTTGATAATAACCATTCTGACTTGTATAAAAATGGTATCTCATTGTGGCTTTGATTTGCTTTTCTCTGATGACTAGTGATGTGAAGCATTTTTTCCTATGTTTGCTGACCACTTGTCTGTCATGTTTTGGGAAATGTCTGTTCATGTCCCTTGCCCACTTTCTTTTTCTTTTTTTTTTTTTTTTATTTTTGTGGGTACATAGTAGGTGTATATAATTACGGAATACATAACATGTTTTGATACAGGCCTTCAGTGCACAATAATCACATCATGGAAAATGGGGTATCCTTCCCCTCAAGCATTCATCCTTTGTGTTACAAATAATCCATTTATACTCTTTTAATTATTTTTAATGTACAGTTGAATTATTATCGACTATAGTCACCCTGTCGTGCTACCAAATACTAGGTCTTATTCATTCTTCCTATTTTTTTGTACTCATTAACCATCCCCACTGCCCTCTTCTTCCCCCCACCCCACTGCCACCATCCCCCTAATACCCTCCAAGTCTCTGGTAACCATCTTTCTACTCTCTATCTCTGTGAGTTCAATTGTTTTGATTTTAAGATCCCACAAATAAGTGAGAACATGTGATATTTGTCTTTCTTGCCTGGCTTATTTCCTTAGCGTAATGACCTCCAGTTCCATCCATGTTGTTGCAAATGATAGGATCTCATTCATTTTATGGCTCAATAGTTCTCCTTTATGTACAAGTACGACATTTTCTTTATTCATTCATCTGTTGCTGGACACCTAGCTTGCATCCAAAATTTTGGCTATTGTGAAAACATCTGCAACAAACATCTTTGCTCACATTTTAATGGAAGTATTTGGTTTTTGCTTGTTAAATTAAGTTCCTTATATATTCTGGATATTATATCTTTGTCAGATAATGTAAACATTTTCTCGCATTCTGTAGGCTGTTGACTTTTTTGGAAGTTTCTTTTGTTTTGCAGAAGCTCTTTAGCTTAATTATGTCCCACTAGTCAATTTTTGGTTTTGTTGCAATTGCTTTTGAGGACTTAGTCAAAAATTCTTTCTCAAGGCTGATGTCTAGGGTGGTATTTCCTATATTTTCTTTCGGGATTCATATAGTTTGAGGTCTTACATTTACATCTTTAATCCATCTTGAGTTAATTTTTTGGAAGTTGGGGTTCAGTTTCAGTTTCATTCTTCTTCATGTAGCTAGCCAGCTATCTCAATACCATTTATTAAATAGGAAGTCCTTTTCCCATTGTTTGTTACTGCCAACTTTGTAAAAGATCAGATGGCTGTAGGTGTGCAGCTTTATTTCTGAATTCTCTAATTTGTTCCGTTGGCCTATGTCTGGTTTTGTACCAGTACCATGCTGTTTGGGTTACTGTAGCATTATAGCATAGTTTCAAGCACGGTAATGTGATGCCTCTGACTTTCTTTTTGTTTAGAATTGCTTTGGCTATTTGAGCTAATTTTTGTTGTTGTTTCATATGAATTTTTGAACAGTTTTTTTTTAATTATATGAAAAGTAACACTGGTAGTTTGATAGGAATAGCATTGAATCTGTAGATTGCTTTAGGCAATATGGCCATTTTAACAATATTGATTCTTCTACCCCATGAGCATAGAATGACTTTCCATTTGTGTCATCTATGATTTTTTAAGCAGTTTTTTTATTTTTATTTTTATTTATTTGTTTATTTTTTGAGACAGAGTCTTGCCCTGTCACCCAGGCTGGAGTACAGTGGCCTGATCTTGGCTCACTGCAAGCTCCACCTCCCGGGTTCACGCCATTCTCCTGCCTCAGCCTCCCAAGCAGCTGGGACTACAGGCGTCTGCTACCACACCCAGCTAATTTATTTTTTTGTATTTTTAGTAGAGGCGGGGTTTCACCATGTTAGCCAGGATGGACTCGATCTTCTGACCTCGTGATCCACCCACCTTGGCCTCCCAAAGTGCTGGAATTACAGGCGTGAGCCACCGCTCCCAGCCATTTTTCAGCAGTGTTTATAGTTTTCCTTCTACAAATCCTTTATCTCCTTGGTTAGATTAGATTTATTCCTACTATTTTTTTGTGTGTGAATACAGTAAATGGGATTGTTTTCTTGATTTGGCTACCAGCTTGAACATTATTGGTGTATAGAAATGCTATTGATTTTTGCACACCGATCTTGTATCCTGAAACTTTACTGAAGTAGTGTATCAGTTCCAGGAGCCTTTTGATGGAGCTTTTAGGGTTTTCTAGGTATAGGATCACATCATCATCCCTGAATACAGATAGTATGACTTCTTTTCTATTATGGATGCCGTTTATTTGAGAGATAGTTTGGCTCCTTTTCTTGTATAGATGCCTTTTATTTATTTCTCTTGACTTATTGCTCTGGTTAAGACTTCCAATACTATGCTAAATAGGAGTGGTGAGCAGGCATCCTTATCTTTTTCCAGTTCTCAAGGGGAATTCTTCTGGCTTTTACCCATTTTGTATGATATTGGCTGTGGGTTTGTCATAGACGGTTTTTATTATTTTGAGATATAGTCCTTTGACACCTAGTTTTTTGGGGGTTTTAATTGTGAAGGGATGTTGGATTTTATGGAAGGCTTTTTCTGCAACTACTGAGATGATCATATGGTTTTTGTTTTTAGTTATGTTTATGTGGTAAATCATATTTATTGATTTACATATGTTGAGCTGACTATGCATCCCATGGATTAAGCCTACTTGATTACAGTGAATTAACTTTTTGATTTGCTACTGGATTTAGTTTGCTAGGATTTTGTTGAGGATTTGGGGGTTTATGTTCATAAGAGATATTGGCCTATAGTTTTCTTTTTTGTTGTTGTGTCATTGTCAGGATTTGTTATCAAGGTGATGCTCGCTTTATAGAATGAGTTGGGGAGGAGTCTCTCCTCCTTTCTTTTTTGGAATAATTTCAGTAAATTGGTACCAGCTGTTCTTTGTATGTCTGGTGGAATTTATGAATCCATCTGGTCTGGGGCTGTTTTTGGTTGGTAGGTTTTTTATTACTGATTCAATTCTGGAACTTGATATCAGTTTGTTGAAGATTTCAATTTCTTCCTGATTCGATGTTGGGAGGTTGTGTATTTCCAGGAATTCATCCATTTCCTCTAGATTTACTAGTTTTTTTGCATAAAGTTGTTAATAATTGTCTCTAAAGAGCTTTTATTTTTCTGTGGGATGGATTGTAATGTCATCTTTATAGTTGCTGACTGTGCTTATTTAGATCTTCTTTTTTTTCTTTGTTAATCCAGCTAGTCTAGTGCTTTCATTTATCCTTTCAAAGAAACAGCTGTTGGTTTCGTTGATTCTTTGTATGGACTTTGGGGTCTCACTTCCATTCAGTTCTGCTCTGATTTTGTTTATTTCTTTTCTTCTGCTAGCTTGTAGTTAGTTTTTCTTGTTTTTCTAACTCCTTTAGTTGTAATATTAGATCATTCATTTGAGATCTTTCTAACTTTTTGAGTTAGTTGTTTAGCACTACAAACTTTCCTCTTAACACTGTTTTTGCTGCATCCCACAGATTTTGGTATGTTGTGTCTCTGTTTTTATTTCTTTCAAAGAATTTTTTTAATTTCTGCCTTATTTACTCAAAAGTCATTCAAGAGAAAGTTGTTTAATATCCACACAATTGTGTGGTTTTGGGGAAACTTGTTGGTATTGACTTCCATTTTTATTCTATTGTGGTCTGAGAGTATAGTTGGTATGATTTCAATTGTTTTTGAATTCACTGTGACTTGCTTTATGGCTAAGCATGTGGTTGATCTTGGATTATGTTCCATGTGCAGAGAGGAAGAATGTATATATTCTGTGGTTGATGGCTGGAGTGTTCGGTAGATGTCTTTTAGGTCCAATTAGTCAAGTGTCAAGTTTAAGTCTAGGATTTGTTAGTTTTCTGCCTCAATCATCTATCACTGTCAGTGGGGTGGTGAAATCCCCCCATATAATTTTGTGACTGTCTAAGTCTTTTCATAGGCCTAGAATTCATTGTTATATGGTGTTGGGTGTGATAGTTAAGGCTTCTCATTGAATTGAACCCTTTATCATTATGTAATACCCCTCTTTGTCCATTTTTACCATTGTTGGCTTAAAGTCTGTTTTATCTAATATAAGAATAGCAAACCCTACTTATTTTATTTTTTATTTTTTATTATACTTCAAGTTCTAGGGTACATGTGCACAACGTGCAGGTTTGTTACATATGTGTACATGTGCCATGTTGGTGTGCTGCACCCATTAACTCGTCATTTACATTAGGTATATCTCCTAATGCTTCCCCTCCCTGCTTCCCCCACCACCACAACAGGCCCTGGTGTGTGATGTTCCACTTCCTGTGTCCAAGTGTTCTCATTGTTCAATTCCCACCTATGAGTGAGAACACGCAGTGTATGGTTTTTTCTTCTTGTGATAGTTTGCTGAGAATGATGGTTTCCAACTTCAACCATGTCCCTACAAAGGACATGAACTCATCCTTTTTTATGGCTGCATAGTATTCCATGGTGTATATGTGCCACATTTTCTTAATCCAGTCTATCATTGTTGGACATTTGGGTTGGTTCCAACTCTTTGCTATTGTGAATAGTGCCGCAATAAACGTACGTGTGCATGTGCCTTTATAGCAGCATGATTTATAATCCTTTGGGTATATACCCAGTAATGGGATGGCTGGGTCAAATGGTATTTCCAGTTCTAGATCCTTGAGGAATCGCCACACCGTCTTCCACAATGGTTGAACTCGTTTACAGTCCCACCAACAGTGTAAAAGTGTTCCTATTTCTCCACATCCTCTCCAGCACCTGTTGTTTCCTGACTTTTTAATGATCGCCATTCTAACTGGTGTGAGATGGTATCTCATTGTGGTTTTGATTTGCATTTGTCTGAAGGCTATTGATGATGAACAGTTTTTCATGTGTCTGTTGTCCGCATGAATGTCTTCTTTTGAGAAGTGTCTGTTCATATCCTTTGCCCACTTGTTGATGGGGTTGTTTGTTTTTTTCTTGTAAATGTGTTTGAGTTCTTTGTAGATTCTGGATATTAGCCCTTTGTCAGATGGGTAGATTGCAAATATTTTCTCCCATTCTGTAGGTTGCCTGTTCACTCTTATGGTAGTTTCTTTTGCTGTGCAGAAGCTCCTTAGGTTAACTAGATCCCATTTGTCAGTTTTGGCTTTTGTTGCCATTGCTTTTGGTGTTTTAGATATGAAGTCCTTGCCCATGCCTATGTCCTGAACGGTATTGCCTAGGTTGTCTTCTAGGGTTTTTATGGTTTTAGGTCTAACATTTAAGTCTTTAATCCATCTTGAATTAATTTTTGTATAAGGTATAAGGAAGGGATCCAGTTTCAGCTTTCTATATATGGCTAGCCAGTTTTCCCAGCACCATTTGTTAAATAGAGAATCCTTTCCCCATTTCTTGTTTTTGTCAGGTTTGTCAAAGATCAGATGGTTGTAGATGTGTGGTATTATTTGTGAGGGCTCTGTTCTGCTCCATTGATCTATATCTCTGTTTTGGTACCAGTACCATGCTGTTTTGGTTATTGTAGCCTTATAGTATAGTTTGAAGTCTGGTAGCGTGATGCCTCCAGCTTTATTCTTTGGCTTAGGATTGTCTTGGCTATGCGGGCTCATTTTTGGTTCCATATGAACTTTAAAGTAGTTTTTTCCAATTCTGTGAAGAAAGTCATTGGTAGCTTGATGGGGATGGTACTGAATCTATAAATTACCTTAGGCAGTATGGCCATTTTCACGATATTGATTCTTCCTATCCATGAGCATGGAATGTTCTTCCATTTGTTTGGGTCCTCTTTTATTTCATTGAGCAGTGGTTTGTAGTTCTCCTTGAAGAGTTCCTTCACATCCCTTGTAAGTTGGATTCCTAGGTATTTTATTCTCTTTGAAGCAATCATGAATGGGAGTTCACTCATGATTTGGCTCTCTGTTTGTCTGTTATTGGTGTATAAGAATGTTTGTGATTTTTGCACATTGATTTTGTTTCCTGAGACTTTGCTGAAGTTGCTTATCAGCTTAAGGAGATTTTGGGCTGAGACAATGGGGTTTTGTAAATATACAATCATGTCATCTGCAAACAGGGACAATTTGACTTCCTCTTTTCCTAATTGAATGCCCTTTATTTCTTTCTCCTGCCTGACTGCCCTGGCCAGAACTTCCAACACTATGTTGAATAGGAGTGGTAAGAGAGAGCATCCCTGTGTTGTGCCAGTTTTCAAAGGGAATGCTTCCAGTTTTTGCCCATTCAGTATATTGGCTGTGGGTTTGTCATAAATAACTCTTAATATTTTGAGATACATCCCATCAATACCTAATTTATTGAGAGTTTTTAGCATTAAGAGCTGTTGAATTTTGTCAAAGGCCTTTTCTACATCTATTAAGATAATTATGTGGTTTTTGTCTTTGGTTCTGTTTATATGCTGGATTATGTTTATTGATTTGCATATGTTGAACCAGCCTTGCATCCCAGGGATGAAGCCCACTTGATCATGTTGGATAAGCTTTTTGATGTACTCCTGTATTCGGTTTGCCAGTATTTTATTGAGGATTTTTGCATCGATATTCATCAGGGATATTGGTCTAAAATTCTCTTTTTTTGTTGTGTCTCTACCAGGCTTTGGTATCAGGATGATGCTGGCCTCATAAAATGAGTTAGGGAGGATCCCTCTTTTTCTATTGATTGGAATAGTTTCAGAAGGAATGGTACCAGCTCCTCCTTGTACCTCTGGTAGAATTCGGCTGTGAATCCATCTGGTACTGGACTTTTTTTGGTTGGTAGGCTATTAATTATTGCCTCAGTTTCAGAGCCTGTTATTGGCCTATTCAGGGATTCAAGTTCTTCCTGGTTTAGTCTTGGGTGGGTGTATGTGTCGAGGAATTTATCCATTTCTTCTAGATTTTCTACTTTATTTGTGTAGAGGTGTTTATAGTATTCTCTGATGGTAGTTTGTATTTCTGTGGGATCGGTGGTGATATCCCCTTTATCATTTTTTATTGCATCTGTTTGATTCTTCTCTCTTTTCTTCTTTGTCTTGCTAGAGTTCTATCAATTTTGTTGATCTTCTCAAAAACTAGCTCCTGGATTCATTGCTTTTTTTTAAAGGGATTTTGTGCCTCTATCTCCTTCAGTTCTTCTCTGATCTTAGTTATTTCTTGCCTTCTGTTAGCTTTTGAATGTGTTTGCTCCTGCTTCTCTAGTTCTTTTAATTGTGATGTTAGGGTGTCAATTTTAGATCTTTCCTGCTTTCTCTTGTGGGCATTTAGTGCTATAAATTTCCCTCTACACACTGCTTTAAATGTGTATCAGAGATTCTGGTATGTTGTGTCTTTGTGCTTGTTGGTTTCAAAGAACATCTTTATTTCTGCCTTCATTTCATTATGTACCCAGTAGTCATTCAGGAGCAGGTTGTTCAGTTTCCATGTAGTTGAGCAGTTTTGAGTGAGTTTCTTAATCCTGAGTTCTAGTTTGATTGCACTGTGGTCTGAGACACAGTTTGTTATAATTTCTGTTCTTTTACATTTGCCGAGGAGTGCTTTACTTCCAACTATGTGCAAACCCTACTTTTTGCTTTACATTTGCATGATATATCTTTCTCAGGAGACACTTTATAAGACAGTTAGGACATTATGTGTTGATTATATGTTGTATCTTCTACTGCAGAATGTGAGACAAGAAAGGAGAGGAACAGAAAAAAGGGCAAGCTCTAGAGGAAAAGCCAAAGGAAGAGAAAAAAAAAAAGAGAAAGCAGACTTGGGGAGAAGACTGATTAAGTAAGGGTCAGTATCATTTTCCTTTCTGAAGAATCTGTCTTTTCACAGAACTGTAGATTCTTTCTCGGTTTTGACATGGCCCATCCCTCAGCACTGCCAGAAGTGAAATCAGTATCTTCTAGATGAAAAATCTTCATGTTTACCATGTTTAAGAATGCCAGTCATTCACCAGCCTCAATATTCAGACTTGCTTGTCAGTTGGTAATCATGCTGCCAGCAGTACTAAAAAAATGTCTGGAGTAAACAATGGATGGATAACAGCTAAACTACTTGATAATACTGAAGAGTCAAGGCAAGGTATAATTTTAATCACAGAAGGCAGGTGTGGAAGGAGCTTCCCCTTTTTCTTTAACAAGCCCCAGCAATATCTGATTGTCACCTAACACAGAACATACATGGGAATCTCTGTCATTTAAGAGAGGATTAGGGACAACCATTTTCTGATGAAACACTGCTAAAGAATGGGAGAAAAGAAAGACATCTGGGGCCCAAACTTCTTGACTCTCCAAAGCTCTTGGTAATTACTTGCTTTATAAACTGAAAGGCCAATTTAAAATGGAGAAAACTTATAAAACAGAAGTAACTAGACTATGTCAGCAGAGACTTGGATAGGGTTATAAGTTGTTTTACAAAGAGGCTTCCTATTTGATTTTCACAAGAACGCTGAAAAGAATACATTTTTATTGCCTTATGTTAGTGGGGGACCAGAATCACAAAATTTGGTTGGGTTTATGAAAATAGTAAGAGGGAAAAGTTAGAAATTAATAGCAAATATTAAATCAAGTTAGAATAAGCTTTCCATTATAACATAGCTTCCTCCTGGAAAACAGAGCTCTGTATTTTTTTTAAATCATATCTGCAACATCATGCCAGTGTAGACTGGGATGTGCTTGTCAAGGAGTTGAGGTGACTTTGGCCTTGGTTATGCATTCATTTTTGAACCTCAGAAGTTATGGTTGCTAACAGCAAGGATTTTCTTGGTATGACCTCAGAGACAATGATATAAATTCTGCAATCTTTTTCCTGCTTCCAGTGACTCCTTGCTGGCATAGCATACCACTCAATGGCTAACAGATCTGGGAGATTGGCACAGAAATTTGCCATGAGCAGATTTTCCTTGTGTTGGGCCCTGTGTAATGGTTGCTTGCTTCCTCTTTCCACTGCCAGGAAATGAGTCCTTTCATGAGGGCATTTGAAGGAGATGCTTTTTGTTTAGTGATTTTCTGCACCAGCAGTTTCCTCATTTAGAGATTGAAATGGATATACTTCACCTTGGGAAGTGATGTTCTAGAATCTGTTCCTTTTCTGTGAGCAGCCAGGTGGCAGGGACATTTGCAAATATGGAATGAGAGAGGACACAGCTTTGCAGAGGAGAAAGGGTCTGTGTGTGAAGAGTGTCAAGTCCAGGGAATGAATCTGGCTGTTCCTTCCGGAACTTCAATAACATAACCAAATTTGCCTGCCAGGACAATGGCAAAGAAACCCTATAGAATGTATAGAATCAAAAATGTGATTTCTACTGGGGCTTTTTAAAAATGTTTGTTAATGGGCATCTTCGATATTTGTGAAAGTAAAACTTGTATGAAAATTTAGTAGAACAACTTAACCAAGGGACCACGATGGATACATTAGTGAAGATTTTGACAATCTGGGGATTTAACCAAAGGGAAACAACCACACGTGGAGAAGCACATAAAACTGAATTGAAGTTCACTGCAACACAAAGATCATTGCATTGGATGACAGTCATTTGGCAGCACGGTGTTCATACAACAATATGCTCTCTTGAAGTACATTGTGCATTAAGAGACTGTTTTGGGGTCAAAAACAGAACTATCTCAGCTTAAGCACAAGATAGCTCTGGATTCAAATCCCAACCCTGCTACTCATAAACTACATGGCCTTGGAAGAGTCATTTAACCTTTATGAGCCACAGTTTCCTCACCTATGAAATGGAAATAATACCAATTTGTAAGTATATAAAGCACTTGATAAGGGGCAGTTAACACTGCCACTATTACTTAACTCAATAAAGACTTTATATTGGTTATCAGCATCACTTTTTGTTATTCACAGTGCATATCTTTCAGGTCACTTGTTCTGCATACAATTTTAAAAGGTTAGCACTTTGCGTTTAGATATGCTCTAAGAGGACTGGTAATACAGAAAATGATCAAGAGGTGGCCTCTCTTTATTAGGAATAGCAGTAGAGAATCTCAAAGTTATGCCAGATTTTGTAATTACTTCATTGGTGAGGTACGATTTGCACCTAAATTGATAATCCATCATTCACCAACACTGAGTTTAAGCTCCGGACTGCCATGGCACATATGACCTGGTTTATAGTACTGGGTACTTGTTCATATAGAATCTCCCATTTTTTTAGTTGTTCTGAAGAAGAAGACTTGGCCAAACATCTACACTGACTATATAACTCATTCCATTTTATGTAATTTCTTTTCAAATTGATGTTTTCTCCTAGTTCTATCTCAGACCAGTCACAGCCTTCATGAGTTATTTGCAAAAGTATAGATTATATATATATACATATATATATATGTAGTTCTTGGCATTTACTAGGCATTGTTCTAAGCACTTTAAACATATTAACTTATTCTCATTGCAGCGGCTATTCCATTATTATCTTCAATATACTGATGAAGAGTACCACTGTTAGATGAGGGCAAAAAAGGCTCCTGGTCTGAGCCTTTTCCATTTATGCCCTTTATCATGGGCAAAGAATCAATGGGGTTAGGAAGACATCCTTAGCTGAAGTCAGAGGCATGGCCAAGGGGTGGCCTCAGGTTGACTGTTTGTGGGAATTACAGACTCCCAGGTACTCATGGGTCAGGATGGTATAATCAAGTGCATTTGAAGCCCTTTGTTGGAAAGAGAGAGTGTAGGGGAGGAGAGGAATGTGTGCCACTCTCCAACTGTCCTGGTACCACCATGTTCCTGCCTGGTAGTCTGAGAATGCTAGATAAGTACTTTTTGTTTTTCTAGGATGATAGACGATATAACAGGTGCTAGCTAGATTTACGACCTTTAAATGGACATAGAGTATGTGAGCCTTCGTTTATATTCTTTCCTCAGGATGTGCCAGTGTAAGAGGTAGACTAATCAAGGCACATAGAAGTTAAATGATTTGTCCAACATCACAAAGTAAGAAAGCGGTAGAGCTGTGATTTAAAAACAGGCACTCTGGCTGCAGAGTCTGCGCCTTCACATTATGATATCTTCATAGCTGCTGAGTTTAAGCAATCTGCAGATAGGATATTGACATGACCTCTCACCCTCATTCCTCATTACCCTCAAATAATAATCTTGCAAGAAGATCTAAAATTTCTGTGCCACTGAAGGGGGCACAGCATGGGAGCCTGAGCAGCCATTGCCACACTGTGTTCAAGGAGATTCACAATTCCCTGGAGCTGACTCAGGCCAGTGAAGGAGCAAGATGGACTCAGAGTGGCAGACTCTGAATCATCCGGAGGAAAAATATTTTCAACCATCAGAGAAATCAGCATCCTGGGCAAAATTTAATAGGAGAGAAATAAGGATTCTATTACAAAAAAAGAAAATTTGGTTAAAAGGCACTCATATGGTAAAATGAACTTGGGGTTGGAGTCAGGACTGGGTTGAATCTATTGACTTGCTAAGTGACTTTGACAAGTTACTTAATCTCTGCAGGCCTTTGCTTCCTCATTTTTAAAAATGGACAGGACAAAAATCCCATGTAAAACTGTTAGCACAGTACCTGACACAGTGAAGGCACTCCATAAAGGGAGATCAGAACAATTACAGGAGCAGCAGCAATTATAGAAATAATAATAATGATAATAGTTAATGTTCATATAGTGTTTACTACATGTCAGACACTCTACATTTTCACTCTTTCATCCTGAGAAGAAAATAATGAGGGAGTTCTATTATTATTACTTCCCTTTTACAAATGAGGAAACTGAGGCAGTGGGCAGTAAGTAACTTGCCTAAAGTCACTGGAATGACAAAGTGGCAGAGGCAAGTTTGTAATCCAGGGATCAGCAAAACTTCCCTATAAAAGACAAGATAAGTGTTTTAGGCTTTGCAGGCTTTTAGGATGGTTTCTGTCACAGCTACTTCACCCAGTTCTTGTCGTGTGAAAGTATCTGTCAACAATACATAAACAAATGAACATAGCTGTATTCTAATAAAACTTTGTTTATGAACACAGGAGTTGGCATTTCATATATTTTTATGTGTCATAAAATATTTCCTCTTCTTTCAATTTTTTTTACCAATCATTAGCTTGTAGGTCATACAAAA
Source organism: Homo sapiens (assembly GCF_000001405.40). NCBI lineage: Eukaryota > Metazoa > Chordata > Mammalia > Primates > Hominidae > Homo > Homo sapiens. The sequence goes on from NC_000009.12 coordinate 8,110,673, forward strand.
ATGGGCAATGGGCTACATTTGATCTACAGATCATAGTTTACTGTTTCTTGTTATTAAGTGGGCCACAGGGGGCCTACAAGGTAGAAAAAATTGACCTTTGAGGGGAATCAGAAGAAAACATATGACAGGAGGAAAATAACCCATTTCTGAGAGAGGAAGTCTTGGAAAGAATGAAGGGGACCTGAAGAGAGGGACAGCCAGAAACAATCACCGTTTTGAAGGAATATGGTGAGGAACTGAGGAAATCAATGCCTGACAGCCCATTTAAAGCTATTTCTAGTTTTATGATGTAGTAAGCTTTGCAGCTAAGGTAAGCAACACGACTTAGCCTAACCTTGTTTTGTGGGAGCTGAGTGGGAGAGAGAAGGGACAGTAGGTAGTTTTCAGGCCTGAGTAAGCTGTTTATCAGCAAAAAAGAACTGACAAGTAGAAAAGTCTGTGAATCCATTGCTTGTTTTTATTGATGCACTATCAACATAAACATCCTGCTTACCAACAAAGAGACATTTGTGAAGTCCTTACATCAGGCAGTGTTTTGATGGGTTTATATACTGTATGAAGAGAGATTTTGTTCTCCAGAAGCTCACAATTTTAGGGATTTTTCTACCTATTAGGTTGGTACTTCCCTTTCTTTAGGGCATACTGGAACAAATATTGAAAATCCTGTTAGTGGATTCTGTTCTTCTAAAATTAAGACCTAGACTAGGTAGAGAAGCTTGATTAATTCTATGAGCAGAATCAAGCCTGTTCTACACAGTTAAGAGTGGCTAAGCTCCTGGGCCCAGGCTCTCACCTCTTCCCACCCACTTCTTCCTTTTTCAACAGCCTGCTGGTAATTAGTAATTTTAACTATTGTTCTGTCTATGAGTGCAGTCTCTCTTTTCTTTTTAAGTTGGAAGAATGTGAGGATAACAAGAACCAAAAGAAGGAAATAGAAAAGGAATTAAGTAGTGAGATAGCATTTTAAGTCACCCCGATCCACTAAGAAGTTTCCTTTAGACATGGTATGCAAGGCTTAGGGGTAAACTTGAGACTGAGGATCTGGACATTTAAGTGTACATCTAACCTAGGATCATTTTTAATACCTTCTTCTTTCTGAGGATCTTCAATCCCCACTTCTCAATTCAGAAAAGGCACATTACATTTCATATATTGTCCTAAACATATTTTGTAGGAAAACATCATTGCTTCCTTGGAAAACTGCATTATCTAGACTACACCTTTTGGGGTTATGTGATTCTGATTCTAGAGTAGCCATGTTACAACTCTGTAGGCTGCCCACACCCTACAGAGCAATGCAAAATCATTCTTGACTGAAGATAAGCAAATTCTCTTCAGTGGAGGTTGAACTGACTTCTCTTCCCCATTGAGAAAGAGCTAGTTTTACCCTCATTTGCACATTCCATTCAAAATTCCTGATCTATAAATGATCTGGTCTTTGGATTTCCCTTTGAACTGGTGGTAATATCTGATGAGTTCTCTAATTAAGAAGTTAAGAAGAATAATTTACATATGTTCCTTTTGTATCTGTGTAAGAATCATGATTTTACCTTCTCTTGAAAATTATCCTTTAACATTTTCTTCTAGTTTGCAGATTGGGGTTCACTACTGGCAAGTAACTCTGTCACCAGTGTCACTTGCCAAGGTGTAGATAAATAAAACGTGTTTCCCTATCTTGTTTCTACAGCTTAATCTTATCCTAATAATTACATTAAGTTTTATGTTAACTTGCTTCAGAGCTATGGGGAGTGGAGAATAACAGTGTCTCTCTGGATTGGGGAAATACTTTTAAATAGCCCAGAGGCACAGTGTTCTATATAACAGCATAAAGGCAACAATTATAGCATTTCGATACCTTTCCTTCTCTATTACCTCCAGCTAATAAGCTTTGCAGAATCAAGGTTGGTTCTTCCCTAACAGTGTACAATAAAATGTTGTCTTTTTGTGGTATTCTGTTCATCCCTCTTAAAAATTGTGAGATAAATATCAAAACTGTTTTGGGTTTTTACAGACCAAAATAATTGATCAAAGAAACAAAGTTTTAAACAGTGAAAACTGTACACTTCTATGAGAACATTAGTGCAAAATGTTCTTTCTGCTTGGCTGGCTAGAATGGAGACTTATGTAGAAAGAGCATAACTCTATTACTCGATGATGGCCACTCGGTATAATACACTCTCTGGAAATAGGTTTAAGAAGCTAATAGAATCAATTGATTATAATTAGGAATGATGAGATCAGCAGATGAAGTTGGCACAATAAACCATGCTGTTGAGTTAGGCAGACTCTGCCGGATGCTTTTCTGCTCCTACATTGTGTCCATGTGAACCTTGGCCTGGGCCCCAGTCCACAGCATGGCAGCCCTTCTAAAAGTCACTTACTATGAGTGACCTGAAATATTGGATGAGTTATATGGTCTCATTTTTTAGGAAATGGGACCCCCATTCCTAGCTATTCTTGATCAATTAATGAGCATTATGTGACCAGCAATGTGCTTAAAAGTGTTGATAGGCCTACAGAAGTATACCTACCTGGCCTCACAATGCCTATAATCTTGTTGGAGAGAGAAATCTAACAAAACTATAGCAATAAGAAAACAATTTACTGTTTACATGAGATACTGATTTTGAGTACAATTATCATGCACAGAATAGTAATGAGGAATTGCCTCGCAGAGAACAAGGCATTTGAGTTAGATGTTGCATGATTTGAAAGTTGGATATTGCAGGTAGAAGATACAGGATGAGCAAAGGCAGAATGGTGAGAAAAGGATGGCACATATAAAATTTAGGGGGAGATGATACTGGTATGAAGAATGCAGTTTATGGAGTAACAGAAAGTAAGTCTGAGTTGGAAAGAGAGAGAATGGGAATCTCAGTTGACCTAGAGGTATGGAAAGAGGAGTCTTCTGGATTTGGCACAAAAGCCAATCAAGGTCATTTTGGGATTAGGAGTGGAAAATAACATAAAGTATTGATTTATGCAAGGTAGCTTGAAAGAAAAAGTCCAAGATAATAAAAAAGATGGACTGTGACCAGGTCCTCCTTTAGAGGTAGCATTACTCAAATGAAAATATGGAAAATCTAACACATATTTTAAAAGAACCAATGGTAAGATTTTAATTCAATAGAATAAACATTTATTGAATATATGTATAAAGCACTATGACAAGCATTGCAGGAAACCTTAAGATGAGCAAGGCAGTCCTCTGTTTTATGAGTTTAAAGTCTAGAAGGGGAGTTAGTACTGTACTGAGAAAGGCAAGTCCATGCACGCTTCTCGAAAACGTATTAAAGCTATGCAGAGAGGATAGGTATTTATTTTACCTAAGGTAATTAGGCAGAGTTTCATGAAGGCTAACTAAAACTATAAAAAAAGAATATTGGAAAAAGCTGGAAACATCATGGGCATAGCATTCTTCAGAAATAGAGACACAATTGGAATTTAGGGCATAAGATTTGTTCAGGGGGAAGGATGAAGGGGGCATCAATAAGATAAGGAATGTGGAAGGCACAAAATTATGGAAGGTCAAATATCAATTTAAACTATCCAGACTCCCTTTATGGGGACATCATAAAACATTGTGTAGAGAAAGTAATCATTCAAATCTCTTCATGATAATGATAGCCCTGATCATGGATCCAAGATGGACTGTGGGAAGGAATTATAGGAATGATTGGTGATGAGGAGGTCAGAATGAAGTAAGGTCGACTGGGAACAGTGAAAATAGTCACCATAGAGGAAATAATTTAAGAATCCTTGCAGAGGGAGCATGTTTAAACACTGACTATTAATTGGACATAAGAAGCAAAAAGGTGCTATCCATAAAACCAAAATTTTGTTTGTGTAGTAAGTGGGTGGTAACATCAATAACTAAATCAGGAATATGGAACTAAAGCAGATTTGGGAAGAATGATAACGAATTCTGTTGTAGACATAGTGAGTTTGAGGTACTGATAGGTCATCTTTACGGAAATGTCAAAAAGGCAAATAAAATACTTGCTTGGAACCCAGAGGAAAACTCAAGATTATAGATGTAGAATGAGTTTTGTCCACAGAGGGGTGTTAATGTCTGGCATTTAATGAAATTACTCCAGAATTAGAACACAGAAGATGTGGGCTAAGGATTGGACCCTGACCTAGGGAATAAAATCATTTAGTGGGTAAGAAAGGGGAAAAACCATTGAAGTTAGACAAAGAATTAGCAAGAGAACCATGGGTAGTGGTATCATAAAAGGCAGATGTTGAGAAGTTTTCTGGATAAAGGGGTTGGTGGGTCATATATACTGAGAAGTCAGGGTTATGACTGATAAATATCACTGGATTTGTCATCCAGGAAGACTGTGGTGACTTTAGTGGAGTGTAATTTTAAGTAAACTTGGGGGTGTGAAAGCCAAATTGTACCAGGTGACAAAAGAATAGGAAGAGATTACAAAGTACTCTTTCAAAGAGTTTAGCATTGAAAAGGAGAAAGCAGACCATTGTAGCTTGCAGCGGCCACAGAATTGGCAAGAAGAACTAGTGGCAACTTTATATGAGTAGGAAAAAAAATCAATGGAAAAAAGAAATTGAAGCTAGAGAAGAGATGTGGGAATAATTGATGAAAGAGAAATGAGTAAGGATACTATCAAAGCAAACTAAAGGTGTTAGCCTATGTGGGGAAGACACTCTTATTTTTCTCTCAGACATTGTTGGACTAAGGTCATTTAATTTTTTTGACAAGGTTTTTGGACCTTTAGATAAAGGTATATGAATTGCATATAGCAAGCCAACAGATAGTGCCTCAGCAAATGCTGCCTATGACCCACAGTTTGAACTCACTCAATCCAGTTGTGAATTTTCTGTATTGACCTCATTGTCCCAGACTTGGCTCTTCCCTCAAATACCAGTCCATTAGGCAGTCTTTTGGACTGTGTGCTTGGCTTTCAATCTTACTTTAATACCTGGGACCTACCTCTGAGATCACTTTGAATTCCACACATCAAATTGCAGATCATTCCCCCTGTCCCTCTTTGCCCAGCAAACATTACACTCTGAGCCCAGTGCATCGTGGAGGAGATTGCAAGGCCTGCATCAACACAGAAGTGAACTTCTGGAGAACTGAAGAGCTCAAGCCTAGCTGGATGACTCATGGACATAAATTCCCCCTAACTCTGAACTATTGAGGTTGAGAAAAAAGATCTGATTAAAAGAGGAAGAGTTTGTTTTCAGTTCTATTGAGATTGATGTGACCAGAGAACATGTTTAGAGAGTTAGAAATATGACCTTGGTGTCCAGATAAGAAGCCTCTAGTTCATTCTCAGTTATGAAAATGGATTCTACTACTCATCCCTAAAATAAATTCACGTATATATTCATACATACATATATGACTCAGGAATGGTCCCTGTTTCTTTTCTCCTCTCTGTCTCTCTCTCTGGGTAGGTAGATATATATTATCTTTAGTTCCATCTACATCTTCCTTAATATCTTTTTTTGTCTGTGTCCCTTTCATACATAACCAAATGAGTTTTCGCAAGAATATTTAGCAAAGAATATTGAGTGCTCAGTTAATTCCGTCTGGCAATAATGATGAGTTGCTCCAAAACAATTTTATGTGGCTCAGAATTACTTTATTTGGTTTAAATAAATAGCCCACAACTTCCTGCCATGAGCTATGGTTGACATGTACAGTCCAGGCCCAGTCTCTAGAAGGCAGGATGAGGGGGAGCAGAGCTTCCTAAAAGGTTGTGGGAAGCTCGCAGATTATCTTTCAAGGTAGCTCAAGTTTTTCATCTCCAGGGGACTACATTTTAAAATAGCCAAAACCATAAAACATCCTTGGGCTTTCTTTATTGCCTTTGTTTCCACTTATGGCTGTAAGTGTAAGTCATTAGAAAGATTCACTCCACCAAAGGACCATGGAGAGTTGACTAAAATGGAGCAAAATCATAGGGTGAACTGAAGGTTTTCTATTTGTACAAGTGTTGAATTAGTACATCTAAGAGGTCTGTGGAAGTGAGCAGATTTGATACACTCCTTTAATGGTTCCATCCAGGAAATCCTCCTAACATGGGAACTGAAGATTTAGCTCATGTTTTCCTCATAAGGAGTTAGCCTCATGTCAGCTGAATGTAATATAATAAGAATAAAATATGATCACTAGCTGTGCTAGATTCAGCAATACCACCAAAGTTCTTCCTGTAATACTGACTGGTATGAACCACTGAGTCCCAAAACAAACCTTCTTATCCTCCTCTAAGTAAACATTCTCTCCAGGCCGAGCATCTTCAGCAGCAGTGGTTCAGAGCTCAGCTTCTGTAATGAAACCACTTTTATACTGCCTGTATTCAGAACCACTCTGCCCCTCATTAGCTGTTTGACGTTGGGCAGGTAGTTTAATCTCAAAGTCTCGATTTCTTCTTCTGTAAAATTATGTGTAGGATTTCTTCTATTTCCCCCTCCAGATTCATTAACCAGCCTTGTCGTCCTCTTATCAACTCCAAAAGGCAAACAATTACAGATAGAATGGCCACTTAACTTATTGTTCAAAATGGATGCTTAGGTGTAAAAGAAGGAGACTGCTAGTATTTATGCCAGAAAAAGGGTACAAATTGGTACTGTTCCAGGCAGACCTGGATATATAGTTAACTACTAAATAGGCTAAGTCAGTGGCCTCATTTGCCCCCTGGCTTTTGAATAGCTGGCAGAAGATTGAAGAGGGAAAACATGATGCCACGGTATTGACTGCCCTGATTTCTTCTTTGCAGTATTGCCAAGGCTGACTATGCCCATCAACCTGGGTCAAAGAACTGCAGGTGGTTTCACCATGTACTTTATCCAGGTTCCGATAACTGTTTCCTTTCCTCCTGCTTTCAGGCCTCGGGTGCTACCCCAGTTACCACTACACCTCGCATTAGCAGCCCCAGGGTACTGCACTATCACTTGTAGTTTCCCTACACCATGGCCACAGCTTGGTGAATAGTTCCTTTATTAAACCCTCTCCAGATTATCTCTATTTGAGTGTACTCTTTGTTTATTGACAGGATTCTGATAGATACAAATCCAGCAGGATTGTACCTACCTTCCAGAGTTCTGCATTGAGGTAATCTGTGGAACCCGCATAATGGCAAGTAATCATTAAAAAGTAGTAATTACAGATTATAAATTGCACTTTGTAAAGGAGTTTTGGATACTCCATCCCATTTGGTCTTCAGAACATGTATGACAAGGGAGTAACATCATTGTTCCACTTAATAGTTGAGGAAATTAAAGCTAATTGAGTTAAACGACTTTTCCAAGTTTATAGAACCAAGTAACAATTTGAGATTTGAACCCAGTCCTCTTGAGTCCAAAGCCATGTTCTTCTCTTACTGAGCCACATTGTATTAAGATTTCTAACCAGTCTCATTGGACTTTCCCCCAAACTTCTCAGACATAATTGTGAAGCATCACCATCAGTCACCAGTCATATGGAGTTGCTGTTTATTTTTAACATTGAAAAAAATTACAACTTGTTGGGATACTGAAAAGGCAAGATGTAGAGCTAAGGGGAAGAAGAACTATTGTGTAGTAACTCCAAAATGGCCCCTGCTCTCACTAGCTTTTTCCCATAAGTTTAGGTAATGGTTACATTTATGCTGTGACTCTGAGCAATCAACTTTACAGCCCTCAAATGCCTGCCAAATATTTCTGGAAATCCTTAAAGGGGCACCTAAGCTAGTCCATTATCCAGAGTCATTAAAGACCCCTGCCCAGTTTCTTCTCCATTGCTCTCACTCTCTCTCCTTGATACTGCTGTCTTCAAAGTAGCTTAGAGAAGCCTTATTACAGTCTCTGCTGCTGGTGCTATGATAAACAGGCAAAAGTTTCTGCCAAGGTCACTGTATCCAACTATTCGTAATACTTTCAATCTTTTCAGAACAGAGAGAAGGACTTCCTCCTTTTTCTAAAACACACTATCCTGCGGGACTTGAGGCAATAATATTTGTGCCAACATTTTACAAGCTCTCAAGAATTCTTCCATCAGTGTCTGGTGCCCATCCCTCAAGCCACAAGGACATACACTCTGTCCAAGGGGCTGGATAAGAAGTAAACTCTATTCTTTCCTCTTCCCCAGCCCCCACTCTCAGTCAGCCATTTCTTACTCCCAGCAGCTGCCTCTCACTTACAAAGTGAAACATTGAAAACCCCATTCATAACACATGATGGATTCAGACGAAGGGCAGGTGGAGCACACTAGCAACCCCTGCATCCCAACTCAGTAAACCCCAAATGCCCTGATATAGTGGATGGTATTTCAGGTTTATTGTTTCAGAGCATGCAAAAAGCATCAACTCCTGAAACAGAAGATCTCTCCAAGCAGGCCTTGTTAGCAGAAAAAAATGTCCCAATTACTGTAAGAACGATCTGAGGGTCAACTTGACCATCTTTCTGCAAAGACCAAGTGGCATTTATGAACTAAGCAAAGTAGGAATTTAGAAACTCTGTATTCCCACCACACTTTTGCTGTTTATTGACTTGAAGTTTGCCTTTGAGCAAGTTACTTAACCTCACTATGCCTTTGGTTCCTCATCTGGAATCAAAGAAGAAATAAAAATACTTTCCTCATGGGGGAGTTGTGTGAATTAACTAATGATGGAGAATTTCCATATAAATGCTAAGTAGCCTTATTATTCTTGTAGCAGGAGACTACTGATGTGTGCTCAGAGGTGCTGTGTGTGTCCTTTGTTACTCAGTCCTCTCTGAGTGCCTCTATCTATTGGTGACCTCACCTAGATGTCCTGGCTCTCAGACTACCAGGACAGCGTTCAGTTCTTTGCAGCCTCAGGAGCAATGTTGTTGTAAACCTTAGGCCTTTGTTAACCCTTCCCAACTTATCCACTGTCAGAAAGCCAAGTGTCAGCTACACATCTGGCAAGGACTGCCACTAGAGAACAGCCCACTGGAACACCATTAACATTTGCATCCATTCCTAGACATCATTAGTCCTCTGAGATATTGTCGAGGAAATACGCTGGTTTGTTATTTTTCTCCAAATATATGATATGTGATTGACATGTATATGGTACATACACACAGATTACCCACATCTGACAATACCTGTTTGTGCATGCTGGGACCTTAGAAGTCATAGAAACAGTTGCATACACCAATGAAGAAAGCCACAGAGTTGTTAATCCAAAAGACCCAAAACTCCTAACACCATTAATATTGAGATATTGGTTGCAGTACACAATTATTTAAGTGGAGTTATGTTTAGCATAGACTACTGTTAAAATGCATTTGCCTTCTCTGAGCATATATAAGCTGTCAGGTGGCCAGCTTTCCCATGTTTGTGCCTGTGTTCAGTCTACTCCTTTTGCTTCACATACTGTACTCACTGCTTCCTCCACTCCCATCTTATTCTTTCTTAGAGATCTAGCTTCAAGTCCCATATCTTCTACAAGTCTATCTGACTCTCACAGACTTTGATATTTCCCCAATCAACATTTATTTAACACTACTTACCACTCATTTGGTTTCTAATATTTTCTACCTTACATTGCTATCTGCCATTTACAAATGTATCCCAGATGTTAGGAAGGATCTCTTGGTAGTTTTAGATATAAGTAGCATTAATTTAAAACCTAACCATTTAAACACCTAGTGAAAATTCAAAGCCCTCCCAGAAAGTTCCTCAAAGTTCTCTAGGGGCTTACATTTAATATGGTCACCTCTGACTATAGGTTTATACCCCTTTTGAAATGTTTCAGGTTGTAGATCATCTTACTGCCCGAGAGTGATATACCTGTTTTGGATACACCTAAATATAAAACTCACCCCTTCTCCATTCCCAGAGCCCCCCTCCCTCATGGGAAGCATTCACAATACAGCAGCCATTGCTGAAGAATTGAGGATACCATAGAGGGCTTCTGCTTCACAGCCACACAAACAACTTCAAATTGAGTATGGATGATCCTAGTTCCATCGCTTCTCTCACCTACAGGGTCTTTTTATTGGTTATATCATGCCTCAGCCTTATATCATTTGTTTGGTATCTTTGGTCTCCTGTCACTCTTTCTCCCATTCTTTTCAAAAAACAGAACAAACTTTCTCTTATTTTCTCATGCAGAGTACCTAAGCCATTTCTTTTGTCATTTGGCTCATAGATATTTATGCCACCAGAGTCTCACCTTACATCCCAAAGTATCAAGATTCTTTCCCCAAAAGATGGTTTCTTCTCAAGGGTAATTTCATATCAGCTGTTGAGATGGCATTCTTCCACCACTGCATGTGTGCTGTCCCTATACAATTATATTTTCAGCTTTTCGAAGCTGGATCACTTCTCATTCTTATATTCTTAATGCTCAGTACAATTTAGGGTCTATTAAGGCTGACTAATGATGGTGATGACTACTGTATGCAAAGCCCTATGCTTGGCACTGTGGGGAGCACAGAAGTCAATGTGGTATGGATTCTCACCTCAGGAAGTTCATGGTCTAATATAAGAGTTGAGAATTTAGGCATGATGATGATGATGATACTGATGGCAACTAACATTAGGGTAGAGGAGATGGGATATGAACCACGTGCTGTTAAGTTGTGAGGAATCAAAAGTTGTCTTGGCTAAATCGTCCATTACATGAATATTTATACATTGATAATTAGGAGAAAATTATACTTGGTCGTAGATATATATGAATTGTCTTGAACGTTGAAGATTTCACATAATGAACAAATGCTAAGCAATTGATTATTTTCTTCTTTAAAGTTTATCATAGAGTTTGATTAATAGGCACAAATAAACAGACAAAGAAAAAGACCTAGTGTTCTATAGATCAGTGGTGTAGCTACAGTTGACAGTAATTTAGTGTACATTTCAAAATAGCTAGAAGAGAATAATTCGAATGCTCCTAGCATAAAGAAAAGATAATTATTTAAAGTGATGGATATGCCAATTACCCTCATTTGATTTTTAGATATGAATGTATCAAAATATCACATGTACTGTAAAAATTTGTACATCTATTTTGTATCAACTGAATACCCAAGAAATTACATTTATGTCAATATTTTTATATTGACTTAATTAACATTTTTTAAATATTTGAAATTCAGAAAGACACCTAAAGAGTAATATGACCAACTCCTAAGTATCACTCTACTTAATAAATAAAACATTAATGACACATTTGAAGGGTCTTGGTGCCTTTCCCTCATCCTATTATCCTTCCTCCCTATCAGAGATAACTAATCTATAATACTTTAATTTTCTATTTGCACTTTCCCAGATCATACTCTGATAAAAACTTCTTCCACAGTCCTACTTCAAGACAGACATGTGATTACAAATTTTCAGAGCCTTTATTTAACTTCCATTACCCAGGACAAGATGAGATCCTAGTTGTCTTTCTTTTCCATTGGGCAGATTTTTTACTAGTCCACCTTTTAACTGAGGATGTAACCCTTCATGGGTTCTGGCTTTCCAATGAGTTATCAGTTCCAACTCCCGCCATATGTGGGCTGAAAGCCTGCCTTATCTCCTAGAATAGATGAGGCCATGAAAACATAAACTCCACAGTTACTCACCCTCCCCAACCTCAGCTCCCTTTCTCCCTACACAGGTAGACAGAAGCTTCTCTGTAGTTTATATTTCTGATTTCCAGTTTCCTTTCAACTTCTGGTCTCTGGAAGTTTCCTTTCTTAATTATAAATTTAAAAGTATGTATTCTATTTTTATTCAGAGTTTTTAGTCTTTCTTATTGTCAGAAATGTAAGTGTCCCTGTCGATATTTCCAGTTCAATGGTCCACCCTATGATTCCCAAGACAAACAAGCTTGTTTGGTACTCTGGCCCTATCATTCACCAAGCTGCAGCCGTTTGCCTTCTACACATTTCTCAGTTGTACCCAGCACTTTGCTGTTCTATCTGGGACACTAGTTCCCAAATACTTCCTTCTTATCATAGTTTAGGTCTCAGCTCAAATGTTTTCTCATTAGAGAGGCCCTTGCTGATCACTCTATCCAAAGTGATCTATCAGTGAGTTATCCCTAGTTGCTTCCTATTGCATCAGCTTATTTTATTGTTTTTGCAATACATTATTTGAAATTATCTTCCCAATTTTTCTGATTACTTGTTGAATATTATTTCCACCTTTCATAGTAAGGGGTCTTTGAGACCAGGAACCTTGATGATCTGATTTACTATGGTATTATATATGCCTGGAACAGTAATCAGCACAGAGCTGTCTTTCAAGACATAGTTATTATCTTTGATATACTAATTTCAATATAGGTAAGACACAAAAAACTAGCCATGAATGATTTTATATCTATTTCTGTGTTTCTTAACATCTTTCTAGAAGATGGAATTTTGGAATAATTATAAATTGACAAGTAACCAGCACCATAGCAAACAAATACAATCCAACTGAATAAATGAGTAGAATCGTCAGCTTAAGCAGGTTAAAAGGACTGCTACCTTATACTATTCCACAGTGGTTAATCTGCCTGATTCAGTCTTTCTCAAGAAATTAATTTGGAACAATTCTAGATCATCAAGTCCTGATAACCGCAAAGCAGAAAAGTTTGGAATGTTCCCAGAAAGTGAAGCTCTAAAGGGCGATGAAGTAAAAAAACTGATGAATGAGGAAGAAAACATTTCAGATTAGTTCTTGTCTAGGAGTCAAACAGGAAAGAGAATAAAAAGGATGTTAAGGGCATAAGAAAGGGTTGAGAATCTTTGAACTGCATTCAACTGCATTTTTGAGTACCTATAATATGTGCCAGCGTTGGGAATATCAACATGATCAAGACGTGCAGATGCATCTATTTCATCCACTATCCTATCCTTGAACTCATTTAGCCAAGTAGTTTTCAAATTTGATTGCACATTAGAATTACCTGGGGACTTATTTCCTCTCTTCATGCCCAGACTGAACACCAGACCAACTAAATCAGAGTCAGAATTGGGTGGGACCCATAATTAATTTTTTTTAATATTTGCCTGGATGATTTCACAGTACGGCCAAAGCAAAGAGTACCACATTTTCACCATCTCATTCTCTGAGCTGGAATATTCTCTCACTTTAAGCTCCATTAAGTAAAAAGCTGTACCTATTTATGTGTGCATTTTTATCCCCATTGTATCCCCAGACTTTAGCACAGAGCCTGAGAACTGGTATGCACTAAACTATTATTGACTGAATGGATGAAAATCTTTAATGCACTTGAAAAGCAGTACATGGAATCTTGGGGAGTACTAATCAATACAAATTATTTCCTTATCATTAGAGAAGGATTTTTTTTTTTCACTTCTGATTTCTGTGTAGCTTTCCTAAATACATACCTCGACTCTTACTGCCCCATATACTCACTCATATATGAGGAGGCAGATGGCTTCTCTGATCGATACACTTGGATGCATAAAGGGGCATGATTGGCTCAGCCCTCAATTTCTTCTCTTAGAAGTGAGAGCAGGTGACACATGAGGATATGCATCCCTCCTTCCTCTGGGAGTGCTGCTTCTGGGAGAAGGAAGCTGCCTGGGATGGGAAATCTGTCCAGTTCTGAGGGTGGCTTTCCTACTACCAGTGTACTTCCAGTCTAACTCCATCATTAGAAAGGATATGCTTTGATCTTTACCTTCCACTCTTTTGTTGTTCTTCCCCAAAACTTCAGAACTCAAGTGAGAAAGAGGATGCGATTTATTAGGGTGCTGTCAGATTCCCAAATACTTAAAACTAAATATGCCACATAAGACATTATCTCTTGTGGTATTTGTGTTACATTTGTGGCATAAAAGAAGAAAACTCCCACCTGGGAACATTGGAATATTTAATAATGGCTGTCAGGCTCTAACACTTGAGGGTGTTTTTTTCCTTTATAAAGATATATTATTCCAGATTTTTAAATTACATGTCTTGGAGTGCCTCTCAACATCTGTTCTCCACATAAGACATTTCACTCTATGTGTAATTTTCTTAAACTATGCTGCCCAGCAATGAACCCCATGGCCTCCTTTAATATACAAAATGAGAAAGATATATTAACTGGGAAAACTAAGTGTGCACATCTCCACATTTTGTGTCTTTATGTTTACATTATTATTTATTTTTTCTAAATAAAATGGAAAGGATCAATATATTGTTCCATATATAGCTGATGATTCAAAAGTGGCTTCTCCATTATAAATTGGGGATTTATGAAGCATTCAATGGAACTTGAAAAAACAAAGACATAAAAAATTTTATGACCAACATTCGCTAAAAACAAATTGAAATCAAAAATATGTTTGCAGGCTCTTGGTGCTTTTTAAAGTAGATAATGACAGAAGGATAGATAGATAGATAGATACATAGATAGACAGATAGATAGATAGATTTGGCTATATTATCTCCAATGTTATAAATGCATATCCTTCTATAAAAATTAAATGCACCTGATTAGACCTTTAAGCAAGTCCAACTATATGAGATCAGTGCATAGAAGCAAAAGAATAAAAAAAAATTCTCTGCTTAGGAAGAATGCAAAAAATTCCTAAAACAGGCAAATGCTTATGCCCTGCAGCAAAGGATCATGTAAGCAGGATGAGCTTGACTGTGTATTTCCTTCTTGAGCACTTATCACTGTGAGCCCACAGTTTTGACAGCAGTGCTTGATTAAAATGAAAAAGATCATCAGAGACAAAAATAAGAAGCTGATGCTATACTATTTATTTCATGAGTCGTAGGGAGGGGCTCAATTAGGAAATATGGTGAAGTTGCCATTAAATGCTGATGCAAACTAAATATTTCTATTCATGGGTATCCCCCTCTATACCTAAAGGTAGCTGAGACTTAGTAAAAAGAATTAGCTTGCTGAAATGCACAGCAGTTTCCCAATATTGGAATTCAACATAGCCCAACAGAGTGACGAATTGTAGGCCGGAGAGAAGCATTGCTGAGTCCAGCCATGAAATTTTACATAGAAAAGGAATTCAAATCTTAAATGACAGTAAACCAGAAAGATAGAAGACTGATTCAGGAGCCTCTGCAAATGCTATAGTTGTTAAAGTACATGAGAACCTAAAGGCATTCCCTTCTATAAATGTAGACATCAGGCTGGTAATCCATTCAGCAGGAAAACAAGCTAACAAGCCGTTTATGCCACCAGAATTGTGTTTTCTAAACTTAAAATGAAGGAGCTGAGATTGTAGTGGTGGCTCACATTAAAAGATTCAGAATCTGCTTCCATAAACATCTTTGAGTGTTATGCACCAGGACCTATGTAAGTCATTTGATATCTATTACCTTACTTTATACAATTAGAAGTAATTTTTAAAATATCTGCAAGGAAGATGGTTCTTCCTAATGATCCAGTCAGGATGGAGAACACACATGTCATAGTAAACACTAATATGAATAAAAGATTAGATGCAAAAATGATGATGGACTTCACATTAATCAAATGTGTGGTGAAAAATACTATGGAATAATGACATTATTTTGGCCTATTTAAAGTAAAAATGAAAGTCATGAGCTAAATTCCTTTTTCTCCTGCTTCTGCATTCTCTTTCTTTTCCCACTTCCTCCTTGCTAATCATTCTAGCCTCTACCAAGGGCTATTTCTCCATGGAAAGAACTTTGAGGGATAAATGTCAGCATCCTATAACAGATTAGGTTTTGAGATGGGAAATACCTCATAGATGAGGAGCCAATTCACTCCCTATAGGAATGAGTAAATCTAGCAAGGACTCACGAAGAAGCAAGGAGAAAACACAAGAGCAGGAGAAAACAAGTTTCTTGTTTGCTTTGTTCTCTTCTACATTGTTGTTTGCCTTTCTCACTGTCTTTCTCCTTTTATTTTAATTTTTTCAGCATTATTAAGGTATAATTGACAAAAATTATATACATTTATGGTATACACCATGATGCTTGACATATGCATACAATGAGAAGTGATTTAAACA
The DNA here is from genome assembly GCF_000001405.40 of Homo sapiens. NCBI lineage: Eukaryota > Metazoa > Chordata > Mammalia > Primates > Hominidae > Homo > Homo sapiens. The sequence goes on from NC_000009.12 coordinate 8,126,582, forward strand.
AGCTAATTAATGTATCCACATCAAATGCATATCATTTTTGTGGTGAGAATATTTAAAGTCGATTTTCTTAGCACTTTTTGAGTATACAATACATTATTATTCACTATAGTTACCATGCTGTACAATAAATCTCTAGAACTTACTCATCCTAAGTAAAACTGAATCCTTTGACCAACATCTTCCTATTCCCAGCCTCACCCCTACCCTCACCCCTAGCAACCATCTTTTACTCTCTACTTGTACAAGTTCAATGTTTTAAGATTCCTCATATAAGTAAGATCATGCAGTACTTGCCTTTCAGTGCCTGGCTTATTTCACTAAGCGTAATGTCCTCCAAGTTCATCCACGTTGTTGCAAATGACAGCATTTCCTTCTTGTTTAAGGCTGAATAGCATTCCATTGCACATATATACCACATTTTCTTTATTCATTCATCTATCAATGGACTTAGGTTAGTGTCCATTGATGGATGAATGAAGAAAATGTGGAATATATGTACAATGAAATGCATATCTTGGCTAGTTTGAATAATGCTGCAATGATACTAATTTCATCTCCTTTGAATGTATACCTAGTAATGGGATTGCTAGATCATATGATAATCCTATGTTTAATTTTTTGTGGAACCTCTATGCTGTTTTCCATAATGGCTGTTTTCCCATTCCCACCAGCAGTGTACAGGGCTTTCCTTTCTCCACATCCTCACCAACACTTGTTATATCTCTTGCCTTTTTGATAACAGTCATTCTAACAGGTGTGAGATGATATCTCTTTGTGGCTGTAATTTGAATTTCCCTAATGATTAGTGATGATGAGCATAGTTTTATATACTCGTAGGCCATTTGTATATCTTCTTTTGAGAAATATTTATTCAGGTTCTGTGCCTATTTTTTGATCAGCTGTTTTCTTGATAACAAGTTGGTTGAGTTCCTATATATTTTGGAGCTTAATACCTTATCAGACATATGGCTTGCAAATATTTTATCCCATTCCATGGGTTGTCTCTTTATTTTTATTGTTTGTGTCCTTGGCTCTGTAGAATTTTGTTAGTTTGATGTTATTCTACTTACCTATTTTTGCTTTTGTTGTCTCTGCTTTTGGGATCATATCTGAAAAATTATTGCCCAGACAAATGTCAATAATTCTTTTCTATGTTTTCATCTAGAAGTTTACAACTTCATTTCCTACATTTAAGTCTTTGATCAATTTTGAGTTTATTTTTTGCATATGTTTTGAAATAAGGGTCCCATTGTGTTCTTCTGTGTAGATTCCACATCTTTGCTATTGTGAATAGTGCTATGATGAACACAGTGTGCATGCGTCTTTTTGGTGGAATTGTTTATTTTCTTTTGGGCATATACCCAAAGATATATGGTATATATATTTGGGATTGCTAGGTCAAATGATCATTCTCTTTTAAGTTCTTTTGGAAATCTCCAAACTGCTTCCCACAGTGGCTGAACTAATTTCATTCCCACCAGCAGTATACGTGTTCCCTTTTCTATGCAACCTCTGGCATCTCTTGTTTTTTGTCTTTTTAATAACAGCCATTCTGACTGGTATGAGATGGTATCTCATTGTGGTTTTGATTTGCGTTTCTCTAATAAGTGATGATGAACATTGTTTCAGATGCTTGTGGGCCACATGTATGCTTTCTTTTAAGAAGTCTCTGTTCATGTCCTTTGCCAGTTTTTAATGGGGTTATTTGCTTTTTGCTTCCTGATTTAAGTTCCTTATAGATTCCAGATATTAGAACTTTGTTACATGCATAGTTTGCAAATATTTTCCCCTATTCTGTAGGTTGTCTGGTTTATCTGTTGATAGTTTTATTTTGCTGTGCAGAAGCTCTTTAATTTAATCAGTTCCCACCTGTCGTTTTTGTTTTTGTTGCAATCTAGGTTTTCCAGTTTGTTGGTGGATAATTGTTCATAGTTTCTTTTGATTCCTTGCATTTCTGTAACATCAGTTGTAACCTTTCCTCTTTCTGATTTCTTTTTATCTCTTTCTTCTTAGTTTAGTTAAAGCTTTGTTGATTTTGTTATTTGGTCAAAAAACACAACTTTTTGTTTTATTTATCTTTTATATTGTTTTTCTATTCTCTCTTTTTTTTCTATTCTCTATTTTAGTTATTTCTGATCTGATCTTTGTAATTTCCTTTCTTCTACTAAATTTGGGCTTAATTTGTCTTTATTTTTTTTTGTCTCTTAGGGTATAATAACAGGCTCTTTATTTGAGATCATGCTCTTTTTAAAATGTGGGCATTCTCTATAAATTTCCCTCTTATAACTGCTTATGCTGCTTGTTAGATAGTTTTGATGTGTTGTTTCATTTTTGTTTATCTAAAGTTTAATCTATTAAAACATTTATATAGTACAGAGATAGAGACTAAAACACTGTGGGGGAAGTGACATAGGAAATTGGGGGGTGTAGGTTAGAGGACACAAGGCAGCAAATATAGGGGATGAACAAGTCTAGAGATCCAATATACAACATGAGGACAATAGATATTAAAATTGTACTGTACATGGGAGTCATGCTAAATGAGTAGATTTTAGCTGCTCTTGCCCAAAAACATTGTAACTATGTGAGATGATGGATTAACTTGTTTCATCATAGTAATCTTTTTACTATCTGTATGTGTCCCATGGCATCATGTTGTTAACCTTAAATATACATGGTGAAATTTATTTTAAAACATTTATATCGCTTAAAACAATTTTGGAGAGCATTTTTGCCTGTAGTCCTATGTGCTAGCCTCTGTAACTTCCTTTACTTGATACTGTACTATACAAATTAAAGTAGAAAGTGTTATTCCAAGCATGAACTGGGCAATACAAATGGAATATACAGATGTAATAACTTTTTGATATTAATACAAGTACCTCGTTATTATTTCTATGCATGTTTTACAAATGTTAAATAGCATCACTTCTTACAAATTCTGCTCTATGTTTCACACATCATGGCATTGTTTAAATGTCTCTTGGGATTATATTTATTGGTTTAAAACTGTTCTTGAATGTCATAGTCCAGCACTGTCCATTAGAAGTTTCTTTTTTTTTTCCTTTTTATATATTTAGGAAGTACAAATGCAAATTTCATACATGCATATATTGCATAGTGGTGATGTCTGGGCTTTTAGTGTACCCATAACCCAAGTAGTGAACATCGTACCCAATAGATAATTTTTCAACCCTGCCCCCTTTTGTAGTCTCCGTTATCTATTATTCCATTCAGTAATTTCTATTATTCCAAATACTACATGTTCTCAATTATAAATGGGAGCTAAACAATGGGTATATATGGACATACACGTATAAGTGAGAACATGTAGCGTTTGACTTTCTGTTTCTGAGTTATTTCGCTTAGGATAATGGTTTCCAATTCTATTCATGTTGCTGCAAAAGACATGATTTCATTCTTTATTAGGGCTGAGTAGTATTCCATGGTGCATATGGTACTGTGAATAGTGTTGTGATAAACATATGAGTGCAAGATATCTTTTTGATATAATTCTTTCTTTCCCTTTGCATAGATAATCAATAATGGACTTGCTGGATCAAATGGTAGTTCTATTTTTGGTTATTTGAGAAATCCTCATTTTTTTTCCATAAAAGTTGTACTAATTTACATTCCTACCCACAGTGTATAAGCGTTCGTTCCCCTTTCTCCACATCCTTCCTAACATCTGCTGTTTTTTGACTTTTTAGTAATAGCCATTCTGACTGGTGAAAGATGGTATCTCATTGTGGGTTTGATTTGCATTTCTTTGATTAGGAATGTTGAGAATTTTTTCATCTTTGGCCGTTTGTATTCCTCTTTTGAAAAATGTATGTTAATGTCCCTTGCCCACTTTTTAACAGGTTTTTTTTTTTCTTCTTGTTGAGGTTTTTTAGTTTCTTGTAGATACTGGATTATTAGCCGTTTGTCAGAGGAATAGTTTGCATTTGGTCGTGGGGAAGCTGAATATCATTTCTTTTTATTGTATTCCTTATGACAGAACAGAAGAGATCTGTAAAATTGTTCCCTCAGAAAAAGGCCATGATAAGTTAAGTGGCAAGGCTACTAGATGGTGAAAGATAAAAGTTTAAAGGCTAATGATTATTGGTGCTGCAAAAGCAGAAAATTCCTTAATGGCAATAGCTGAACAATAACCAGACTTTCTAATGGGCAACATATATTTATAAAATTTATAGACCACAGTCACTCTCCAAATACAAGTGCAGTGAATGTTTTGAAGATCATTGATGAACTGAAAATGCAGGTGAAAAATACAAGAAATCTCCCTTGTTAAATTAGTCAATGATGCGTGAGTTCTGCTCCTTCACACATAGCACATGTTTGCTATGCATTTAAGTTTTACATCATTTGCAATACTGAAGTAGAAATTGTATAGACCTTTAGAGAGTCCTAATTCATTTTATGCATTGTTTTCTGCAAATGTGACTCCATGAAAGTGTATTATCACAATGTTGGCTTTGTGTGCAAGCATTGTGCATGTACATAAAAATGTCTAAACTTCCTCAAAAAATGAAGAGGTGTCCTCTTTGTACATCTGAATTTGTGAAAGATAAAATTTCTCAAGATTTCAACTCTTTGGGTGGCTGCATAAGCAGTGGTGAGCCACTGTAGTTTTGGATCAATATCATCGAAAGACTTAGGTTGTCCATCACGGTATTTCAGATGACCTCAGTTATAAAGCTGGGTGCACACAATTACCAAACATAGTGATACTTATTTATAGCTTTCACTTTTTGACCTATTTCTCTTAGAATGTGACTCCTCTGCTCATGAATATTATACCCATATAACTGTCATTAGTGTACTGAATGTTTATGATTATAAAAATACATGTCATAATTACCTGTTTTGTTGTGTATAGTGGTCAATGAAATGTTCTGTCATGTTTTTATGTTTCTCAAATAATCCCTTTAAAAATTTAAATAAATATTTCTTAAAGAATTAAGGAAAAAATTTAATGCACACATTGTTTCCTTTAGAATCAGAAGAATGCATACATCTTTATCAAAGATGAATCTCTAATTCATCTTTAATATATTAACCTGGTGATCCTGGGTGTTGCACCAAATTTCTTGAATATGTGTGTATATACATATAGACATATGTCTTCTCTCTCTCTCTCTCTCTCTCTCTCTCTCTCTCTCTATATATATATATATATATATATATATACAGGATTATATGTATGTTTATATTTATGTATGTATTTGTGTGTATATATATGTGTGTCTGTGTGTAATATATATAATTTTTCCCACCAAGTGATTTAGTCTTATACAGACTAAAGTTGGAAATCAATAGACCAAAATGTACATGTGTATAGGTTGCGAAGATGACCACAGCTTGGAAAATTTATTTAAATTTATCAAATATTTCTAATGTGGCTTTTTAAAATGGAGTTAATTTATATATGTACGGTTGTTTCCAATACACTCCCTTTTTCTTTCTTACATATGTATATAAAAATAAAAGCATTTGGGTCGGGTGCGAGTGGCTCACACCTGTAATCCTAGCACTTTGGGAGGCCGAGGTGACTGGATTACTTGAGCTCAAGAGTTCAAAACCAGCCTGGCCAACATGGTGAGACCCTGTCTCTACCAAAAATACAGAAAATTAGTGGGACATGGTGGTGCACACCTGTAATCCCAGCTACTCGGGAGGCTGCAGCAGGAGAATCAGTTGAACCCAGGAGGCGGAGGTTGCAGTGAGCTGAGATTGCGCCACTGCATTCCAGCCTGGGTGACAGAACCATACTCTGTCTCAAAAAAAAAAAAAAGGCATTTGATCTATAATGTCAATTGACTGATAAAGATGCAAAGTATTTATGTTTTCTAACAAATTCTTCCTGATTATCTTTTGGATAGGATGTGTAAGATATTCACGAGAAATATTATGATGTTTTACAATGTTCATGATTTATTCATTTTTATATATTAAATGTATATTATATAGAAATATATATTTTAAATAAATATCAATATATTTGTGGAGTGTGCTTAAGGGTATTCAAGTTTGATAGACCATTGCTTTAAGAAAATAAAATACACACAAAAAAGAGAGAAAAAAATTAGCCAACTTGGTATAGTAGGCTTTAAGTAGGCATATAAATAATTTAGGAAATAAAACAAATGAATCACCTGGAAGAAAAGCTATAGCAATGCAAGACAGAGATTTTCCCAAAATAACTAAATGAAGGAAATGGCAAATTGCAATACTAATGGAACTTTCAAGATGCAGGTAGGGGAATCATTAGTTTACTGATTGACCTATTTTTCTATTTAGAGCAGTTCACAAATCCCTTACCTAAAGAAAATGGAAGTGTAAGAAAAAGGTTACAGAATTTTGTAAAAGCAAGTTATGATACACTTGGTGAATTGTTTTGCTTTGCTGTATTGACTGAGAAATCAGGATAGACAGTTCAACAATTATAAAACTCTCAGTAGGACCTTGCATACATTACGTCACCTCACAATGGTGGCTGTTTAATTGTTCCTCCCTCTTTCTAAAAGAGTCATTTCCTCTCAAAGCAGCAGATTTCATATTGTTGAGAAAAGTAGAGGAAGAAACAGCATCTTGCAACCACAACCAGGTTAAATATGAGCATTAATCTGGTCATATTAAGAGCTCAGAGACAAAAGGAAGAGGAACAGGGACAGTGTGAAGATGGCGTTAGGCATGTGGGGAGCTACCGATGGGCTTGCACCCCTACTCCCACCATCCAGAAAATAGCAAACTCAAAAGATGCAGAAAGTTTGCTTGTAAAGCATGAAGTCCTCCCGATAAAGAAAGCTGAGGCAGGCCAGATAACTGGTTAAGGACACTGCAAGGTAGAAGGGCTAATCAATTTGTTAGAAACATAGATGTAATATATTAACATCAGAAACTCAAGCAATCAGCTTTTGGAAAGCTCTCCAGTATAGCAGGGATGCCCCAAACCCACTGGCCTTCGTAAAGCTGAAAAGTCAAATTCTACACCCACACACTGGCAAGTATTTCCCTTTAAGTCAACGTTTTGAGCTTTAACAGCTGAAACCAAGTCTTTTAAAAAATACAATAAAAGCTGGAGCTATAAAGACTGTGGAAACTTACTTAACAGCATGAGCTAAAGATAACCAGGAATTTGCCACTGGGAACTATTTAATGCTTTTGATGGAGCTGCGGCATATAGGGCCTAAGGTAATTGATGTACAGAAAGAACAAGCTAATAAATACTAGTTCTAGAATTTCTATGATTTAAGGGGGATGGGAGTGTTAAGTTGATGGATAAGTCCCACAATGCTTTTCTTTTATAAGGTCTGCTAAGCCTAGTTGGCAATCATATTTCACATCCATTCATAAGGTCTCAATAGAAGAATAAAAAACAAGTGTCATGTGTCTGGACAATCACCAAAAAAAAAAAAAAAAGAATCGAGGTTGTGTATACATGCTCAGCATTTTAAAATGTGCTAAAATCTTACTTCTGGTGAAGCCATTTAGTATGGTTTTTCTGGGCTGTTTCTAACCTGCAGCTTTAACATAGCCTTTAATAAATCCTAACTGATAGAAACTGAACAATAGCAAGAAGGGCCATGGGCGGGAATAGGGAGCTAAGAATGAAAGTTACTAATCTCTTTGGAACTTGTTTTTTTCTTATTTTGTTTTCAGTTTTTTTGAATTTTGGGGTTTTTTGTTTGTTTGTTTTTTGAGACGGAGTCTTGCTGTCGCCAGGCTGGAGTGCAGTGGCGTAATCTCAGATCACTGCAACCTCCGCCTCCCAAGTTCAAGTGATTCTCCTGTCTGAGCTTCCCAAGTAGCTGGGTCTACAGGCGCCTGCCCCCATGCTTGGCTAACTTTTTATATTTTTAGTAGAGACGAGATTTCACCATGTTGGTCAGGATGGTCTTGATCTCTTGATCTCGTGATCCATCTGCCTCGGCCTCCCAAAGTGAATTCTGGTTTTTGTCTGAAGTTGTGTTTTGTTTTTCAGTGAGGAGGTTGATTAAGAGATTTGAACTTACTAGAACTCTCCAATCCAAGGCATAAACACACTAACAAAAATACCTCCAATTAGATCAGCACTGTATTGGCTAGCCCTCTGTATAACAAACCGCCCAAAACTCACTGTCTGAAAACAATAACCCTTCATTATTTCTGGTGGTTTTAGAAGCTAGAAAGGCTGTGCTGCTGAGCTGGGCTAGGCTCAGCTGATCTCTGCTGGGTTTGCTCATGTCTGCAGTCAGGTGGCAGGCCAGCCAGAGCCTGGGGGTTCTGGGAGGTCTGTCAAAGGGATGACTTCATTCAACACGATGTTTTGTCTTTCAGTGGACTGTCTCAGGCTGGATCTCATGGTGTGGCAAGTATCAGAGGGAAAGCTAGAACGGAAGGCTCAATGCCTTTTGAAGTATAGACTGAGAACTGGCCCACTATTACTTCTTCCACATTGTATTGATCAAAGCAAGTCATAAGCCTAGTCTGGTTTCCAGGAGGGATGAGGGAAAAGATTCCTCATGGGAGCAGCTGCAAAGTCTTTAATAAGGGATGTGAATATGAGGAAGTGCAGAAAATGTAGGTCAGTTTTGCAATCAGTCTACAAAAAAATGCAATAAAGACATGTAAACCCAATCTATACATTCTTACTTGTATTAGCATCTTTGTAACAAAAAGGACTGGACAATGATACTCTTTTCTAAAACATATTTTGGCGCAGTGGGCAACTGGTGATTGCAGCAGATATCCTGGACTTAGATTGATTTGAATCCTAGCTGTAAAATGTAATATCTGTGTGTCTTATTATTTAATACCTCAGTAGTCTTATCTATAAAATGGGAATGATAATAATACCTTCATTAAAGTATTGATGGGAGCATTAAATAATATATATAAAGCTTTTAGAACAGAGCCTGACACACAGTCATTTGATAAATTTATATTTTATTTTTAGCACTGATAGGAATATATCAACAAATATGCAAATTATAAGAATGTAGAAATTCAGTGGATTTCCAGCTGGACTTGTGATAAGGCTAAGCATCAATAGTTTATAGTAAAATATAGCACCAAGTACATACCTATTATGTAGCCTAGGTTTTAACTATCTCTAAATTATTTCTTTGAAATCTCGCTGAATCCTTTTAACTAGTAAATGAGCAAAGTATATAAATGTTCTGTACTTATTTCACTTTTTGAAAAAAATGGAATTCTGAATTCACTTCAGTGCATTTTAAAGAAAGCCTTTATCAAAGCAATCTATATTGCAGCAGGACTCTCCAGATCGGACCAGAGGGAAATATTCTAAATCAAGTCTTTCATGGAATTAGAAATGTTCCCATTCCTTTTTCCCCCAAACATTATTTCCAATCCTTTCACTCATTACCCAGTAAAGCCATAAAGGAATTGCATCAAAAGTTATGCAATCTCAAATTCATGTATCATAAAAAGAACATATACTACCCATGGGTAGAAAAAGGAGGAAAAGCCAGCCAACTAACCACAGGTCACAGCTGGGGATATGTATCAAGCACCTATTACTTGAAGGAAGAATGGCAGTGCTTCTATTAGAAGAGAAGAAAGGAGAAATCTGGAAAAAGAAGAGTGCCAAGTCACCAGAGAAACCAATTATGTTTCCAAGCAGCCAAAATATATGCATATGTCTGGGTACCCAGAGCTTAAAAGAAATCAGAGAGGGTTGAAAGAAAATCAGGCTTCAGATCTAAAGGAAATCATCTTCTTTGTATATCCTGCCTGAAGTTTTGATTTTTTTAAATTTCAATAGGATTTGCATGAACCGTTTCAATTCATTCTCTTTGCACAGATACAGCACATTTAACAACATGCTGACATTCTAGTGGAAGAGCTGGAATTTGATACATGCCTTTAAGTGTCCTTCATATAATGGAACTTTCTCACAAACTTTGCTTTTGAGTTTCCAGGAGGAAGAAACTAATATTTATTGATCACTTGATATGCAGCAAGAATCTGCCAACCGAAAGCATAACAGGGCTCATTGTGGTCCAGTATACTTCCTTTTCATGGGCCCTGCCTAGCACAGGGAAGTAAACCATTAATTTAAAATAGGTTATCACATATGGTCTGTCACTTAATTCTTACCATGACCCAGTAAGGCATTAACCCTATTTTACAGATGAGAAGACCAATTCAAAGGTCATCTGACTTAGCCAAGACCACAGAGCAAGCATAGTACTGGGGCAAAACCAGGTGTAGTGACTGGTAATTTACAGGAAAAGGTAAATAGCAAGCATGCAAGTCACCTCTGCCATCCCCACCACCTTCTGTCCCCCTCTATGCTACTTCCTAAAGACAACTTTGTTCTATCTCTACGGCATTCATCTCCAGCCACACTAGAGAACTGCTTCAGACAGAAAGATTGACACATTTTTTAACTCAATTACCAAAACATCTCTCTTCCCTCACCTTTCTCACACACACACACACACACACACACACACACCCCTACAATAAAATTCAGGGGTAGGAGGGAAAAGGAGTTTAAATGTTAATAACAGAGATTTGAGCATAAAGGCAACTTGGCTTGCATCTTCTTTGCTTTATCACCCTATGTTTTTCAGAGACCTATTTTAAATTAATGGTTTACTGCCCTGTGCTAGGCAGGGCCCATGAAAAGGAAGCATGCTGGACCATAATGAGCCCTATTAGTCCTTCAATTTCAGGAATAGACCAATTCCAGTGAACTGCCAACAAATAAATGTGAATAACTTGTGGAGTTAAATGGAGAGTAGCCCATGGATTTTAAATTTCCTCTAAGCCACAAGTATCTTGCCAAGTGAGTTTGATGTACTTCTGCCCTTCTAGGAAGTTCTGGTGGTTTAATTCTGATAGTCATGTCTGCACCTCCAGAAATTATGCCTTTTCAGAGAAACTGAGAATTTTACAAGATTTTCCAGTGCTTAGTTTAGTTAATGGATTATCAGATGGACAAGTGTAGGTTACAGGTGGATGCAAATGCAACCCTGTATTCACTGTTAGGGTCAAATGTGTTAATTCTCCAAGAAGTTCTGAGAAGCCTCTAAGCCTCTTGAGTAAAATCTATTCTCTAGGCATAGTACTAACTGTTCAATATAGGTTGTCTCATTTAAGTTAATCCTGTCTTTTAATGTTCATTTTCACATGAAGCTGCTGGCAAGAATGGTTAGGAAAGCAGATGTGCTGATATGTGTCCATTTTACCTTAAAAAGGGAGCTGAGATCAGGGCAAGCAGGGTGGTCCTTGTGGTGGGTTGGATAGGTATGTGCCCCTAATATCATGGCTTGAGTCCATATAAATACCTGAAAGAACAGATACCCAGTGGTCTGGTCACTTGGTGATTCTTTCTAAACATGGAAAAAGACAAGAAGCCATAAGCTACAGAAGTAGAGGTTATTGATGGAAGCAGAGTTCCACAATGACCTGGGCTGGGGCTGAAGTCAGATGAAATACTTATGGTGCAGACTTTTGATTTCTTATTGCCCTGAAAAGAGAATAAATGATACTTATATTTGTTGGTCTAAAAACTAGTTGAAATTACTTACTGAAGTCAAGACAGAATTGGGGAAAATGTTTTTAAGAAAGACACAGTTACAAGAGCCTGCTTATAGAGCAAACCTCAATCCCTTCAATCCCTTGTGAGACAAAGATGTAGGCCAGCATAGACTCCCTTTTTTTTTTTTTTTTTTTTTTTTTGACGGAATCTCATTCCATCGCCCAAGCTGGAGTGCAGTGGTGCTATCTCGGCTCACTGCAACCTCTGCCTCCCGGGTTCAAGTGATTCTTCTGCTTCAGCCTCCTGAGTAGCGCGCCACCACACCCCGCTAATTTTTGTATTTTTAGTAGAGACTGGGTTTCACCATATTGGCCAGGCTGGTCTTGAACTCCTGACCTTGTGTTCCACCCACCTCGGCCCCCCAAAGTGCTGGGATTGCAGGCGTGAGCCACCATGCCCAGACAATTTCTGATATTCGAATTCCCTAGCCACTTATTCAACACTTTTCGTGCTATCCAGAAGATCAGATCGTTATGGTACAGTTTGTTCAGCTACAACCTGTATGGGGAGGAAATTCAGATTCACTGCCAAGGTGTACCCAGGAAGACATTGCCATGAACTCATTTCACCAAGCAAAGAAAGCCATAGCTCAAATACTACAGTGATTCTTTCTGGCCTCTTCAGTGATGGATAAAAGCCTCGTGATCTAAATATTAAGCTCGTCCCAATCAGTCAACATTTGACTCACATTAGCAAAGACCTCTCAGAGCTCAATGCCATGCTTGTTGACCACGAAAAAAGTACCTGTATTTATTTAATGGCTGGTCTCTTCAGCTAGTTTTATTTCAAGAGGATTTCATTTTTATATTGCATAAACTGCAGGCAATGGCTATTTGACACATTTATTTTAAATCCTGTTCAGTGTTAGTGGAGGATATCAAATTGACAGACTCAGAGAACAAGCAGAGTTATCAGAGCAGAGTAACGTTGCAAATATTCTCTCAGTTTATAGTCCCCAGAGCTGCCAGGTGACCCTGGTGTTACAGTGGATTGAAAAATACTCAAGCAAGTTAGTTGAGCTACAGGTTGGAGGAATTTTATTTTGGAAGAGGAAATTCTTAGGGCTCTCTGGATGGCCAAAGAATCCTTAGCTTAATCACCATCCTTTGTTTTACAATAGGATGCAATTGAAGATATTTGCTGCCCCAAATGTCTTATTTTGCCTTTCCACTTCTCTAAATCCCGGTTATTTTTTAAGGCCTAGATTTTATTTCACCACCTCTGTGAAGACTTGTGCAAGCACTACAAGACAAAGCAATTGCATCCTCTTCCAAACTCCTATGGCTCTAGGAGGAAAAACATCATTGTGATTAAATCACGGCATAGGCCTGAGTTCTAGCTGCATGATGTTGGGAAGCTTACCTCTCCCCTCTGATTCTTGATTTCCTCACCTATCATTCTAGTCTAATGATACTTTACCTCACAGAGTGGTTACAAGGATTAAATCAAACGTGTCATGGGTAAGGGCCTGACCCATAAACACTCAAGCAATATATCATATCCTCTCTTACTCTGTTACTTACTGTATATTTAGTGTGTTCTTTATCCTTATGGAGATGCCAAATTCCATCAGGATTATGTGTCTTATTTACTTGTGTTCAAACCTTCTACCACCTATGTTAGTACTGATGGATCGCAGCTGCCCAGGCAATATAGACTGATGGTTTGGTGATTTAAATCAATGTAAATGGCTTTGGCAAAAAAACAGAGCTATGTTCTAGAGATAGATGCAGCCTGCAAACATATGTATTCCTTTTTTTGTTAGTAAGTGTGGCCATGACATGGCACAGACAGCTGAGAGAAGATAAACTCTGCAGCTTGAATGGCTTTTGCCAGAACTCTGGCAGAAGGGAGGTTTGTAATGTGAAGAGGCAAATACCACATATGAAAGGATTTAGTATGCCTTAAAGGAATAATTTTATATGTGTATTTTTCTCATAGAATATAAATCTGGGAATTCTGAGATCTCAGAGAGAGTAGAGACCAGTAGGTTCCCTCAGATTCAAATGATGACTGCCAGAGCCCAGGGAGGAGATAGTTCTGTTGGTTTGAAATTATAACAGTCTGTGTGGCAAGTGGTAGGTACTGCCTGGGGGTTGCAAGACCAGCAAGTTTCAAGGAGTGAGACACCTGACCCTATAACCAGGAGCTAAGGTAGGATCCCTTTGCTCTATCTGGGCATGTGACTGACAAGATCATAGGCATGTAGTTGACTGGCTAAGCATCCTGGTTTGGACACAAACTATTAACCTATGCTGAAATATGGCCAGCCCCAAATTTGAGCATCTTGAGTCACCCAGTCTTATATTTGAACTCTCTATGATTTATCTATCACACCCTATCCTCTCACACTGAGCTACTACCCCTCTCTGTTGAATCACTAATGGGGAGAGCCCTGTAGATTGGTTACATCACATTCACCCATTCCACAATGTCTGCTATGTGCATTTACTAGCAGCCAAGTATTAAATGAAATAATAGAGCACATAGATAAAAACACACAGTGCCTGCTATCAGGAAATAGGCAGGTCTTCTAGGCAAGGCAGAGAAGCAAAGAGTCTATTGCAATCAGTATAATAAATGTAATGGTAGAGTCATGCATAAAGCACTATGGGATGAGAAACACCTAATTTACACAGCTGGAGGGAAGGGAGGTCAGAGAAACCTCTTCAAACAAGTCGCTCTGAACTGAGTTTTGTAAGATGAGAAGGTGTTTGCTGGAGGAAGGCAGAAAGAAAGAGCATTCTTCATAGGGGGTGATATACGTAGCAATGCAGAAATGTGTGAGGCACACTGCAGTCTTAAATTCACTGGATATAAGAATAGCTCAGGATACAACAGAGACAAGAGGAAAGCTGAAAAGGTATGTAGGGACCAGACCCTGAATAGCCATGTGTGCTGTGCTACAGGGAATGGACTTGATGCTGATCTCAGGAATATTCAGGCAAACACATGGACAAAACTTGATTAGATGTGAAGGTAAAAGTTTGGAAAGAAGCTAAGAAGCTAAGTGATGATAATGGTGGAGAAGAGGATCTTGGAGAAAAATAAATAAATTTTTTTTGGTCATGACAAGATTGTGGTGCTTGGGAAATACCCAGATGAAGATACCTGGTGGACAGTTGAATATAATTCAGGAGCCAAAGATGCAAGCTGGGAACTTATCAGTAATTAAAACCACGGAAATTGGTTATATCACTCAAGGAGAGTATGAAGAGTAAGACGAATACAAACCAAAATTCTGGAATGATCATTAAAAACATTATTGATAGGTACTTAGAAGGGCAAGAGAGGAAGAAGAAAGTAATGAGAAATGCTTATGGAAGCCAAAGGAGCTTTCCAGGAGAAGAAAGTGATCAACAGAACAAAAGTCACTTGGCTGCAATTGACTTTCAGCTTGGCATTTTAATCCTCATCATAATTCTCTAGTAAAATACCTGCTTCCTAATTTGATTGTTGACAGTTGCCTTGCCTCACCCTGATTATAATTTCAACTGTTCCATGGCTCAATAAGCGAGGCAGAATTGCCAGAGCATAAGCAGATACTAGTGGAATTGCAGCTTCCTTCTCATATGCAAGAGGCACCAACAATAAAATTACAGGGTTAGTAATTAGAGACATGGTCCTATGTGAAATGGTCCCCAGCTTTGTGTTTATCCTGAGAGTTGACTCAGCACTTCTTACTGCTGGTGGGGAGAAATATTCATAGCATTTTTTCAGTTGCCCAGACTGCAGGTTCTTCATCTTACCATTTAACCGCCCAACAGCTGCTCACAAAATTCTGTGTCATTCACACTGTGCCCAATCCAGGAAAGTTTAAGTGACCATGGAATGGCACACTGGCAGTGTCTCAAAAGGATCAGTTCTTTTAGGAAGACTTTTACCTTGGTCTTAGAAACCTGAGGAAACTGTCCAGTTTATTCCAGAGGAATGTCAAATGTCAGGATCTAAAGTCTAAAAGAAGTAAAATAATAATGAATTATTAGTTTTCATGATTACATGGGTTGGGTTGGCATTTTGTATGTTCATTTCACCTGGACTCACTCATGTGACTACATTCAGCCGCTGGGTTGGTTGAAATGGAGAAGGCCCAGGATAGCCCCACTCACATGTCTGGCTGTTGCTTCTGGCTGGGGTAAGGGTACCTTAATTCTCCTCCACAGGGTCTCTCATCCCCTGGTAGAGTAGACCATCTTCCTTGCATGGCTATCTCAGGGCAGCATTCCAAGAATGTGGAAGGGGAATCTGCAAAGCCTCTTGCAGCCTAGTCTGGAAAGTCACACAAAATTCCTTCCACTGCATTTCATTTTCAAAGCAAGTCACAAGGCCACCTTGGATTTTGGGGTGGGGAAATAGACTGCAGCTCTTGATGAAAACACTGCATGATGGGTTTTTTTTCACTGCTGTGCATGTGGGTGTGCTTTCGTATTGTTTTTAAATAGTTGCTATCTTACTGAAGAGGTAGTATCGCATAAAAATTAAAAGCAGGTTCTCTGAAATCAGAGTACTTGAGTTCAAATCCCAGCTCCTCCCAGCTCTACAACTACTTACCTCAATGGCTTATATATTTTATAGTATCTTTTTTATAAAGTGCTTAAAACAGTACCTGGTATATTAAAAAAGACACTCAGCATTATTGACTTTCATTTTCTAGTATTTTAATGTTTTATTTTTCTACTCCACTTTATAATATAAACGTTTTCCTGTATTATTTCACAGTCTTCACATTTATAATTTAGATTTCTACCCAGGAGTAAGATGTAGCTATACCACAATTTTCTTAACCATCTCCCCTATATGACTTTTAATTTATTCCTATTATTAGTTATTATATATGGAATAACATGATCATTTTTAGGTAAAAAGTTTTGTGCTTGGGGGGCTATACTTGGGCCTATGTATATTTGACCCTATTTTGAATATTTCCATAGGATAGATGCACAGGATTGGAATTTCTTGTGATGAATTATTTAAGGCTTCTGATATATATTGCCAAATTCCTTCCAAGAAGAGCACACTGTTTACAGCCCCACCAGCAACACAGGAGAGGACCTGCCCCACTCTGCCCTCAATTGTGGTTCATTCGATGTAGCATTATCTTCAAGTAGAGCACATGGGAAATCTGCACTACGTAATTTTTCTCATCCCAGTGAAGGCAGATTAAAACTGAAAGGAAAAGCAGCCTCTAGATGCCATCCAAAAAGGCTGGGAAAATATGTGAGGGTAGAAGCAAGCATGTCTAGTGAAAATAGAAAAATACAATATTCACATTAAAAAAGTAGTTGCCATCTGTCCTTTCAACAATAAACTAAAAGATGTACACTTAAAGTAATAGTCAACATTGTTATTTTCATTTGATGGCTAGTTTGATTTTCTTTATGGTAATGTCTAAATAATGGGAAAACAGATAGAATTGCCAATATTAGAATTTCTGCCACAGCCAAAATGTCTAGTTAAGACCCTCTGCAAAGCAAAACAGGATAATAGGTGGATTTGACATTTACAGAGGATTTTAGCTTTCATCATTAGATGGATGACTCCAACACAATGACAATAAGTCCTTATCTTCCAATCATATTTTAATAGAACAAATTTGCCGTACTCATGAACATGAATAGACACTTGGCAGTGCAGGTTATTTTAATGGACGCATCATTTTAAGCTAAACCTTCTCCATCTGTTCTGCTCTCTAATTACCAATGAATAAAGTACATAATTCACAATTACGTCATAAATATAAGATCTACATTATATCAACTCATGTCAAAGCTTTTTAATCCACACTATTTGGCATCTGTTTTACAGTATTAATATTTGCTTCATTCTGACAAATCAGGGACAAACACAGTACTTCCTCAGTTAAGAAAATCTGAAATAATTACATGTTTGCAAAGGAGAAAGGAATTTTCTCATACTATTTTATTTTATAATTGTCTTATTGATCAGTATCACTTACCTTCCACTATCATTAGTCCTGTGGGGTTTAATCTCTCTCTGAGTTGGGCCTTCACAACTTTTATCAGAGTGGAGATGAGTTAAAAGTCACAAAGTGTCAAATTTTGCACGTGCTACAATAATAGTCAATTTTTAGCTCACTTTAGAAATATAAATGATACAACTGAGAATAGAAAAAATATATAAAATATGTATTTTCATTTTGAAGCTGATTGGATTGATCTGTGTTTTTATTAGAAGAAAAGCCATAAGAGGAGAGTAAAGAAAGAGAAAAGAAGAGGAAAATAGTGGATAGACCAACCCATCTACCTGCCTACCCCCAAGCTTTCTCTCACCTTAGGCCGTGGAGATTGAGTGATGTGTGGAATTCCCTGAAAATCATGTCCCCTTGCAGCTTTGCTCTGGGATCCCATTTTCTTGACCATTTCCTTTGCTTAGCTTTGTCCAGGATGCAGTTCTTCAATTTTTATAATTACCAGTATCTGTTTGTCTTTGCCTATCTGGTTTATTCAAATTTAGAGTACTTTGAGTTCCCTTTGTGTAGTGTCACCACGGTGACACACTCACATAGAGGTTTAATGGAAGATTTGTTTCTGGTGCTGATGATATAAAACACCAATACAGAATTGGAGAGTGCTAAGTGCTTCAGATGGCAGACAGGAGAACTTCCAGTTCAAGGAAGCCAGAAGACTTCCCTTTTGCTGTAGATAAGAGCAATACCACTCAAGCAAATGAGGCTAGAGAATGTTGGCTTGTGTGCTGGCTTTTACACCAGAGTAAAAATTGTTAGCATTGTTTTCATTAATTATCCTTAATTAATCACTCAGGAAAGAAGAGCATCTTAGAGATATATTGAGTATCCTGTCAATCAGACAAGCCGCAGTTTAGTTGATTCTTCATCTGTCTTCCAATATTGCCATATGTATATATATATATATATATATATATATATATATATATATATATATATATATTCTATACCATTTATTATCTCATTATGATTTTTTCACATGTCTGTTTCCAAATAGACGAGGGAGACCAATAGGTCAGAATTATGGGCTGAAACGAGTCTCCCGCCAAAATTTATATGATAAAATCCTCTCTCCAGTACCTCAGACTACATTTGAAGATACGGTCTTTAAAACAGGAAATTAAGGTTATATGAGTCATTGGGGTGGGCCTTAATCCAACGTGAGTGGTGTCTTCGTAAGAAAAGGAGGTAAGGACATAGGCATGAACAAAGAAAAGACTATGTGGAGATGCAGAGAGAAGAGGGTGATCCTCAAGCCAAGGAAAGAGGCCTCAGAAGAAACCAATCCTGCCAACTTTCTGATCTCAGACTTCTGGCCTCCAGAACTAAGAGAAAAGACATTTTTGCTGTTTAAGCCACCCAGTTTGTGGTACTTTGTGATGGCTGCCCTAGAAGACCAATAATCTGGGACTAAATTTTATTCATGTTTCCATCTCTTTCCAGAGTATATGTTGGATGAATATCTTAATTAAATTTTATTGATTAAAAATTATAAGCCTCGGTCCTTTGCCTTTCTTTGCTTCAGAAAGCTTACTACTTATATACTTCCAGGGTTTATTGTAAAAGGGAAAGCAATAATACAGAGACTCAATTAGAAGACAGAGCTCTGGAAATTTCAGCAGGGGAGCCAATAGAGGAACATAAAGAGAAATGTATCAGTCAGGATAAGCAGATTATACTGCACTGGCAGAAAACCCACAATTTCTGTAGTTTGCCATATTTTTAGATTATTTCTCATTCATTCCTCCTAGCCATTTGAGGTCACCATGGAGTCTAGACTGGTACAGCAGTCTTTTTCTGCTTTTCCAGAAGGAGAAGGATAAAGGACATGGTGAGCCATCACTCTAATCTACAGCTAAAGTAAAGTCTCCTGGCTTCTTTCAATTAGAAGTTCTCCCATCTGCCATTTGAAGCACTTAGCACCTTCCAACTCTTTGTTGGTGTTTTACATAATTGTCACCAGAAACAAGTCTTTCGTTAAACCTCTACAAGAGTGTGTCACACAAAGAGGACTCAAAGGGAATCAAGCCTATTCTCAAAGCTTTTATATTGAGGTGACATAAATCATTTCTGTCTACATTTCATTGGTCAAAGCAAGTCACATGGCCACTCTTAAATTTATCATGGATGAGATGTGTAATCTTCCCACTGTAAGGGACATCACAGGGTAGTTTGGATATGAATATCCATCACAAAGTATGATATTAAAAGGAAACTGAAAGTTAAAAGTGGTGGACAACAGTTCAAAACCCACAAACACACACTGTGTTTTTCCCTTGTACAAATAATGAATGTTAATTTACTTAAAATTAAGGCAATGAATAAAAGTATTAATTATTTAAATCTATAATTACCTCATCTTCTAGAGACAATCTCCGTTAACATGTCAGTGTAAACACATTTATCTTCTCAGTCTTTCGTTTAACAAAATAAACATTTTTACCCACATAGCTCCTTTCACAGGTCTTTTTGTCCTAAACTTTTTGAGGAATGTGGTAATGGTGATGGCCGATCCACTTCTGTACCTGCTCCCAGGATATTTCCCACATGGATTCAGTTCAGTTCCACCTGGAACTATATCTTGTCTCCATCCAAACACAAGTTGCACACATTTAGAACCCTCTGTTCAGAGTACTTTTTAGTGCCCAGGTCTGTGAAAGGCAGATAATGAATTGGTGACGAGAGGGAGAAGAGTGGCTATTGGAAACAGTTTTGAGCTTCCTCCTCTGTGGCCCTTGTTCCTCTGTAATTACCCCACTAGCTCACCCCAACCTTTCACTCAGTTTTTTGTCTGCCCTTCCTACTTCTCTTCTTCCTGCACATCTGTCTTGTCTAGCGTCTTGGAAAAGAGAAACTGACCTTGAAGGTATGCCTCCAAAGAATCTGTGTATTACGAATATAGTTTTTTTTGATTTGTTGTTCCTGCTTCCTCGTGAACTTGGGAAAGTGGAATTGGCTTTTGGGGTGGAAAAATTGCTCTGAGTGTCCAACTAAGAAAGACAAAAAAGGTGACTTGAACCAAGATAGCCAACTAGATGCAGCCAAGAAGAGCTTCTTCCACTGAGAGAGGCCAGGCCATTAAGTAAATTGGCACATTATGAACATATCTTTTGGAAAGAAGTCATTGAGAATGGACAGAGGGAGGGTGCAGAAACTTGACTGAAAGGGAAGGAAGCATGGGGTTGCCAAGGAAGGAAGCATGGGGTTGCCCAGAACCAGGGCACATTTCTGGCCCCATGCAGCCCTAACGAAGGTATAAATGAAACGGGTAAAGTGGCTCACTCTCACCGTGACCCTCTGGAATCCTAGTTGTAGGAGACCCCACGACCCACATGGATATTTGAGCTGTCAGTGAGAACTTCCCAGAAAGCAGAAAGACACAGAACTCCAGCCAGCACGAAGCCTACAGGATTTGGCATGGGAACTGCTTAAGTGGAGCACAGCCATAGGTGCCCATCCCCCAAGGACTGCCATGATCCTGTAGGAAGCTTTAGCCTTTCTTGGCTGCTATACCTGGACAGAACAGGGCCATCTTGGCCTGTGGGATGCAGCCAGTCTGATGTGAGTACCCTCCTGTCTGCCAGCCCATCTCCAGTCCCTGCCTGGTCCCACCCACTTGCAGCACAGGCTCAGCTGACCAGCCAAGGTGCTTGCCAACAGCCACCATGAGAGTTCTTTCACTGGCAAGCTCCATCTAACAATTGGAGAACTTCTGGAGATGGGCCCTGACTGGCAAGCACCCACTTACAGCCCTCTCCTGCCAGTGTGCACTCATTCAGTCTCCCATCCTGTTTTGCCAGTGCATGCGGAAACTGCCAGTCACTGCCACAGGTGCACACACACACCTGTGTGACTTAGCAGTGGTCACCTGGGGCCCTCCACCGCCTACCTCCTTCCCACGGAAGTGATTTAACCAGATTCCTCATCTGAATGTTGTTGTCAGCAGATAGGGAACACCTCAGCCCCTCAAGCACAATAGATGATTAACCTTGAGGGGCCAGAGAAAAAAGCTGCAGGTCTAGTCCTAGCCCTCCAGGGTGAGAGCACAAAGTCTAGGAGTGCTGAGCTGAGTGTTTGGCCCCCTGAAATCATCCAGAAACAAAGCCAGTTGACTAAACCGAATATTATATACCACAGTCAAATCCTCAAAGGCATCAAAGAATATAAAAGGAAAAAGCTTCATCCAAAGATAGCAACTTCAAAGATTAAAGGAACAGTAGAGCACACAGATAAACAAACAAACAAACAGAACAAGAACTCTAGTAACTCTAAAAGCCACAGTCTTCCCTTACCTCAAAGCAACCACACTAGCTTCCCAGCAATGGTTCTTAACTGGACTGAAATGGCAGACACAGAATTCAGAATCTGGATGGCCACAAGGATCATTAAGATCCAGGAAGATTTGAAACCCAAGGAATCTAAGGAATCCAATAAAACGATACAACAGCTGAAAGACCAAATAGCCCTTTTAAGAAAGAAACAAACTGGTTGAGAACTCAAAAACTCATGACAGGAATTTCATAACACAATTAGAAGTATGTTAACAGCAGAATAGAGTAAAATGAGGAAAGCATCTTAGAGCTCAAAGACCAGTTCTTCAAATCAACTCAATTAGACAAAAGTAAAGAAAAAAGAATTTTATAAAATGAAAAAACCTCTGATATATATGGGATTAGACCAAACCTACAACTCATTGGCATCCCAGAAAGAGAAGAAGAGACAGAAAGCGACTTGGAAAACATAATTTGAGGATATTGTCCACAAAAATTTCCCCAACATTGCTAGAGTAGTCAAAATGCAAATTCAGGAAATCCAGAGAACCCCAGTAAAACACTATATAAGACAACCATCTCCAAGACATACAGTCGTAAGATTTTCCAAGGTCAGTGTGAAAGAAACAATATTAAAGTCAGTTAGAGAGAAGGGCCAGGTCATGTACAAAGGGAAACTCATCAGGCTAAGAGTGAACATTTCAGCAGAAACCTTAAAAGCCAGAAGACATCAGAGACCTACATTCAGCATCCTTAGAAAAAAGAAATTCCAACCAAGAATTTCTTTTCCAGCCAAACTCAGCTTCATAACAAATGACAAATAAAATTCTTTTCAGGAAAGCAAAGGCTAAGGGAATTCATTAGCACCAGACCTGCCTTACAAGAGATCCTTAAGGGAGTGCTACACATGGAAACAAAAGAACCTTATCTGCCAGAACAAAAACATATTTTTCACACTACGTACTTAAGTACATAGCCCACTGATGCTATAAAGCAACTATACAATTAAGTCTATATAACAATCAGCTAACAAGATGACAAGATAAAATCCTGATATATCAATATTAACCTTGAATATAAATAAGCTAAATGCCCCATTTAAAAGACATAGAGTGGCAGGTTGGATAAAGAAGCAAGACTCCACTGAATGCTGTCTTTAAGAGATCCATCTCACATGCAATGACACCAATAGGCTAAACTAAAGGGATAGTGATAGATCTATCATGCAAATGGAAAGCAAAAGAGAGCAGGAGGTGCTATTCTTATTTCAGATAAAACAGACTTTAAATGAACAATGATCAAAAAGGACAAAGAAGGGCATTACATAATGATAAAGGGTTCAGTTCAACAAGAAAACTTAACTATCCTAAATATGTATATGCACACAACAGTGGAGCACTAAGATTCATAAAACAAGTTCTTAGATACTTATGAAGAGAAGTAGATAACCACATAATAATAGTGAAAGACTTCAACACCCCACTGACAGTGTCAGATCATTGAGGCAGTAAACTGACAAAAATATTTAGTAACTAAAAAACACTTGACCAAATAGACCCAATAGACAACAACAGAACACTCCACTCCATAAAAGAATGCAATTCTTCTCATCTGCACATGGCACATAATCTAAGATCAACCATATGCTCGGCCATAAAGAAATTCTCAACAAATTTAAATGTATATATGCCAACCACACTCTTGGACCACCACACAGTAAAAATAGAAATTGTTACCAAGAAGATATCTCAAAACCATACAATTACATGGAAATTAAACAACCTGCTTTTGAATGACTTTGGAGTAAAAAATGAAACTAAGTCAAAAATCAAGAAATTATTTGAAACAGATGACAACAAAGATACAACATACAAGAATCACTGGGACACAGCTAAAGAAGTGTTAAGAGGAAAGTTTATAGCCCTAAACAACTACATCAAAAAGTCAGAAAGGTCTCAAATTAACAATCTAACATCACACTTTCAGGAATTCAAAAGAAAGGAATTCAAACCAATCCCAAAGCTAGCAGAAGAAAAGAAAGAAGGAAAATCAAAGTGGAAATGAATGAAATTGAGATGTGGAAATGCATACAAAAGATCAACAAAACAAAGTTGATGATATGGTTTGGCTGTGTCACGACCCAAATCTCATCTTGAATTGTAGTTCCCATAATCCTCACATGTTATGGGGGGGGACAAGGTGGAAGGTAATTGAATCATGGGGGTGGTTATCACCATGCTGCTGTTCTTGTGAAAGAGAGTTCTCATGAGATCTGATGGTTTTATAAAGTGATTTGCCCCTTTTGCTCGGCACTTCTCTTTGCTGCCATCATGTGAAGAAGGACACGTTTGCTTCCCTTTCCACCACGATTGTAAGTTTCCTGAGGCCTCACTGCCCTGTGTGACTGTGAGTCAATTAAACCTCTTTCCTTTATAAATTGCCCAATCTCAAGTATGTCTTTATTAGATGCATGAGAATGAACTAATACAGTTGGTTGCTAAAACAATAAAGAAGACTGTTAGACTACTAGCTAGACCAATAAAGAAAAAGGAGAGAAGATCCAAATAAACACAATCAGAAATAACAAAGGAGACATTACCACAAACCCTACCGAAATGCACCAAAAAAAAAAAAAAAAAACCCTCAGAGACTGTTATGAATACCTCAATGCACACAAACTGGAAAACCCAGAAGAAATGAATAAATTCCTGGAAATGTACAATCTGCCAAAGTTGAACCAGGGAGAAATTCAATACCTGAACAGACCAATAATGATTTCCAAAAT
Organism: Homo sapiens; assembly: GCF_000001405.40. Classification (NCBI taxonomy): domain Eukaryota; kingdom Metazoa; phylum Chordata; class Mammalia; order Primates; family Hominidae; genus Homo; species Homo sapiens. Next base: position 8,151,181 of record NC_000009.12, read on the forward strand.
AGAATCAGTAATTCTTAAAACCTACCAACAAACTGAAACAAATGGATTCACAGACAAATTCTCCCAGGTATATAAAGACATGGTACCAATCCTACTGAAACTGTTCCAAAATATTGAAGAGGAGGAACTCTTTGCTAACTCATTATATGAGGCCAGCATTATTCTGATACCAAAACTTGGCAGAGACACACAAAAAAAGAAAACTACAGGCCAATATCCCTTATGAACATAGAAATAAAAATCCTCAACAAAATAGTAGCAAATCAAATCCAGCAGCACATCAAAAAACTAATCAAACATGGTCAAGTAGGCTTTTTTTCCAGGAATCCAAGGTTGGTTGAACATATGCAAATCAATAAATGTGATTGATCACATAAACCGAACTAAAAACAAAAGCCATATGATTATCTCAATAAATGCAGAAAAGGCTTTCAACAAAATTCAATATCCCTTCATGTTAAAAACCTTCAACAAATTATGCATCACAGCAACATACCTCAAAATAATAACGGCCATCTATGACAAACCCACAGCCAACATTATACTGAATGGGCAAATGCTGGAAGCATTGCCTTTAAGAACTGAAAAAAGACAAGGATACCCACTTTCACCACTGCTATTTAACGTAGTACTGGAAGTCCTAACCAGAGCAATCAGGCAGGAAAAATAATAAAATGCTCCAAATAGGAAAAGAAGAAGTCAAACTATCTCTCTTTGTTGGTAATATAATCATATACATAGAAAACCCCAAAGACTCTACCAACAGGCTCCTAGAACTGATAAATGACATCAGTAAAGTTTCAGGATACAAAATCAACGTACAAAACTCAGTAGCATTTCTATACACCAACAACATTCTAGCTGTGAATCAAATCAAGAACACAATCCCATTTTCAATAAACACAAAAAAAATGAAGTAATTAGGAATATAGCTAAACAAGCAGGTCTCTACAAAGATCTCTACAAGGAGAACTAAAAACTGCTGAAATAAATCAGAGATATTACAAATAAATTAAAATACATTCCATGCTTATGGATGGAAGAACCAATATTGTTAAAATGGCCATACTGCCCAAAGCAATCTACAGATTAAACACTATTCTTGTCAAACCACCAATGTCATTTTTCACAGAATTATAAATATTCTAAAATTCATATGGAACCAAAAAATAGCCTGAAGAGCAAAAGTAATCCTAAGCAAAAAGAACAAAGCTGGAGGCATCACCCTATCTGACTTCAAACTATACTACAAGGCTACAGTAACCAAAGCAGCATGGTATTGCTACAAAAAACAGTTACATAGACTAATGAAGCAGATTAGAGAACCCAGAATTAAAGCCACATACTTATAACCATCAGATCTTCAACGACATTAATGATGACAAACAATGGGAGAAGGATTCCCTATTCAATAAATAGTGCTGGGGTAACAGGAAAGCCATATGTAGAAGACTGAAATTTGACCCCAACATTTTACTATATGCAAAAATTAACTCAAAATAGATTAAGGATTTAAATAGTAGAACTCAAACAATATGAATCCTGGAAAGAAAATGTAGAAAACACCATTGTAGACACTGGACTTGGGAAAAAATTTATCACTAAATCCTAAAAAGAATTGCCACAAAAATAAAACTTGACAAGTGGGACCTAATTAAACTAAATGGCCACTGCACAGCAAAAGACACTATCAATGGAAACAACAGACAACCCGCAGAATGGAAGAAAATATTTCCAAGCTATGCGTCTGACAAAGGTCTAACATTCAGAATTTATAAGGAACTTAATAAGCAAAAAACAACCCCATTTTTAAAAATGAGCCAATAACATGAAAAGATACTTTTTCAAAGAAGACATACATACAGCCAACAAGCATTTGAAAAGATTCTCAGCATCACTAATCATTAGAGAAATGCAAAACAAAACCACAATAAGACACCATCTCATACCAGTCAGAATGGCTATTATTAAATAGTCAAGAAAATAACAGATTTTGGTGAGGCTTTGGAAAGGGAACACATACACACTTCTAGTGGAAATACAAGTTAGTTCAGCCACTGTGGAAAGCAGTTTGGAGATTTCTCAAATAACTTAAAACAGAGCTACCATTCAACCCAGCAATCCCATTACTGGGTACGTGCTCAAAGGAATACAAATCATTCTACCATAAAGACATATACATGCATATGCTCATCATAGCACTTTTCACAATAGCAAAGGTTTGGAATCAACCTCGATGCCCATCAATGGTGGACTGGATAAAGGTGGCACATATATACCATGGAATACTACGCAGCCACAAAAAAAGAATGAGATCCTGTCCTCGTCAGCAACACCGATGCAGCTGGAGGCCATTATCCTAAGCAAATTAACACAGGAGCAGAAAACCAAATACCACATGTTCTTACTTATAAGTGGGTGCTAAGCAATGAATACACATGGAGACAAAGAGGGGAACAATAGACACCAAGACATAATCGATGGTGCAGGGTGGGAGGAGAAGGAGGATTGAAAAACTACGTATTGGGTCTATGCTCACTACCTGAGTGACAAAATCATGTGTACACCAAACCCCAGTGACACACAGTTTACCCATGTAACAAGCCTGCACATGTACCCCCAAACCTAAAATAAAAGTTAGAAAAAAAAAAGGAGAACTATGCAGGAAAAACATAGAAAAGACTACTTGGCAATGTGATCCTACCATCCAGGCAAAAATGGAATTGTGCTGTGTACATTATTTCATCACTTGTTCTGTCACTTGCCCCTATGTACTTTGCCATGGTCAAGAGCATTTCCCATTCCAGTCTCCTCTATTGGAGCATGTTTAGCATCTTCACCCACTTCCTGTGAGGAAGATATTTTTCTATCAGTGATAAACAAGATGTATCATATGAAATTAGGTGCAATCAATGCTTGTTTGTTGACTTTTAATTTGGAGAAAGGATAGGCGGGCAGGCTCCCCAAAAGGAAAGATAGTCATGGCTTATTTTGGAGGTCAGTTAAGATAAAACATTCATTGTATCTACCCTTCCTTCCCAGTTATCTGCGACCTTCCTCGCCATGCTTTTGCTGCTATTATTTTAAGCACTGACCCAAGCAAAGAAAATGGAAGTAGGAATGGTTTCCTGGAACATCAGCTGATAGGAAAAATCATGTTAAAAAAATCAATATCAATGCTGTAGGTAAATTATTAGTATTTAGGAAAGAATGAGAACTGAGTCAACTGTCAACATTTCTTTATGAAGTATTAAGCTTTACAAGGTAAAGAAATTTTTTTTCTAATATTTGTTATATCAAATTCGGTTCAGTTAATTCCTATGATGTCTGTTCTGAATGCTTGAAGTGTTTCATTCTGTTTTCTAAAAAAAAGTTTTGGAAAAACAAAAAGCCTGTAATCTTTTGCATGCATTTTGCATTTAACACAATGATTGGAAAATCTGTAATTGGAGATTAGGTTTCCTAAGTCCCTTTTTGGGTCCAGTCTGCATTCCTGAGCAACTCATTACAGAGTGACTTCAGATTTTCTTCTCCCATGCCATGAAATAAGTTTTCAGAACTTTCTTTCTGAATCTCAGTTGTAGATATCAAATGTGCTGTCAACAATAATTGAGGATGTGACTGAAAGAAGTTACATTTTAAGAAGTTTCTGTTTACATATTTTATATGGATTGCAAAATGCCCTCTTATCCTCTATGGTTATGGAATGTTCACTCTTACCTTCCATAATTACTGCACACTATTTGATTTACAGGTTACACCAGAAATGACAATCTTGTTTCCAGTTACCCTAAAATAAATAAATAAATAAATAAAAATAAAAATAAAAACAGAATTTTTTAGCAGATACTATCCCAAATATGTTTGCCTGCCTATGGAAGGATTAATCCAACCTTGTATTTAAAATTTTTATTATAAGCAACAGATTTGATTCCTGGCTTGGAAACTTGCTATTCACTCTCTGTGGAAATTCAGTGTAGACTGCTTCAGCTGCCCTTCCCACTTCCACAACATGGCCACAACCAAATTTCCCCTATTACCTACTGTATTCCCAGCCTTTCTGTTTAAACAGAGCTACTTGCCATTCTTTAAGTGCATTCCAGTTTGATTTGCTTGTCTTTGCTCAAACTACTTCTTCTGAACATCTGCATCCTTTACTCCCTGCCTATGCTACTGAAATCCATCTCTTAGAATCCACCCGTCCTTCCAAGCCCTGTTCAGATATCATCTGTACTCTATGGAGTTATCAGCTAACTCCCTATGGACATAATCTCTCACTTCACTTGTTCTTCGGTGCTGTTTATAATGCAATAATTCTTTCATCCCCTCTATTATTTAGTAAGTCCCTTGACTATGGAGACAATACTATAACCATTTAAAATCTTTTGCAGCCCCCCAGCACAGGGCCTGGCACATAATATAGGTGCTAGAAAAATCTTTACTGAATAGACTGAGCTTCTTGAAGGGGAGCGTCACAGTTTGGAGTTCTTTTGCAGCCTCAGCATCTTGCATCTTGTGTTAACCCAAATTTGGTACTTAGGTAATATAGGTTGAATGAATTGAAACACAGAGCACTGACGTAGACATTCTACTTGCTCATTTTTACATATACCAGAAGAAAAGATCTGCAGATCTGTTAAAAATTGTGCGGTCTCTTTAAGAAGAATCCTCGTCTTCCCAGAAGGTTAGCAATGTCACTCAGCACAGAACACAGAGTGATCGTATCAATATTAATAAGCTCAGTGAAGTGCCACTGGCTTCAGTGCAATTTTGACACTCTGCAACCTGATTAATAAAATAAAAACTAATTCTAAAAATAATTTACCTCCTGGAGACCTTAAAATGGATTTTACTAATGAAGGGAAAAAACTAGCATGGATCTTTCCTTTGTGATAGGTGAATCAAACGTTAGGCCATAAATCTAAAATGACATATTCTAAACTGCCAATATCTTTTTTTGAAAAACATTTTGCTCACTTTTCATCCAGGTTTACAATTTGAGCCATTTTAGCAGCCAGATATTGATGGAAGGATGAGGGTGAGGAAATAGGTAACGTTAAATGAATTAGGCTTTGTTTTTATTTAGTCCATTTTGGATTCATTCATAACTTTAGCTTCAAGTTATCTTCCAATTAGCAGATTGCAGTATGGAAAATTAGAGAATAGCATGTGTATAACAAAAACACGAGATTATTAACACACAGAAAGATGCATTTTTTATACACAAATTCCTTTACATTAGAATAAAATCAGAATAACAATTGCTGAATGAACAGATTGTGAGAGAAAGGAAGATATCATTCTTTGGTCCTGTTGGTTAGCAACTGGGCCGGAAAGCAACTCAGAGGCCCTGTACTGCTTTCAATTCCTCTATTGTTTGAAGGTTGGCCCTGAGGATATTTTTGTGGTGGTTTGTATGTGTGTGCATGTTTGTGTGTGGGCACAAGTGTGTGTGTGTTCATATGTATGTGTGTGTATGTGTGTGAAAGAGAGAGACTTACAGACATGCAGAAAGAGAAGGATACCATTGGAGCTATCAAATTCATACCTATCAGTTAAGCAATCCTAGATTCACTCTTTAGTAAATAAAAAGGCATAACTGGAAACATTGAAGATGGAAACATTAATAACCCTGCATATTTTCATCATTTATCTTCCTGAAGGTATGGTGTTAGACCAGATACTTTAAAATATTTTCTTTCTGTTCTATTTTCTGAATTGAAATTATTCCTTAGCCCCCATACCTTATAATTCTTTCATCTCATGAAGTAAGTCCTATATCATGCTCTAAAAATACACCTTGTCAATGGAATTATAGAATATTGTCTCTGGAAAGCAGTTTGAACATAATAGCACTCCCTTTACCTGTTTTCCTAGCTTTTATGCTCAGGAGGGCTAAAATCCAGAGGGGTAAAATTCTCAAGGCCCCAGAATGTTAGTGAAACTCCGGAAATAAGAACATAAATCCCTATCTGCCCAGCTTATTGTTTTCTGTTTTGCTTTGCTTTATTTATTTATTTATTTATTTATTTATTTATTTATGCACCACTCTGGCTCTAAGTGAATTCATTCTCGTATACAAGAATATATTCGTTATTGCAATCAAAGGAAGAAGACTAAGTAAAAATATGAACATGCCTTGTATTTCTGGAAGACTTTCAAGAGCTTGATTCAATTATTTCATTTATTTAATAAACATTTATTGAGGACCTATTTGCTAGGTACTAGGGATAGAGGAGTGGATAAATCAGACTCCACTTTCCCCATGTAGAGTTCATTAACAAATACTTATAATTGTTTACATAAACATATATGTAATGAATATAATCTGACCTCATAGTAAGTGAAAGGCTATGGAACATTTTTGCATGCTAGAAGGTTTTAAATTGTCTCTACTATCCACACCTGACTCTTGAATGTGCATGCTGTGTCCTGGGGTGGGACTCTTAGATTAGGAAAACCACCATTCTTCCCTCCAACAAACACCAGCCCATTAGCATTAAGAAGGCTGGTACATATCATATATGTGCTTCTTCCTCGCTTTTGTACTTCTTCATTATGTCCTTTGTCTCTTTCACTATAATTGAATCTATTTCCCCACACTCCTTGCAGCTTTGTGCTGATCTGATGTCAATGCATGTAAACTGCTTTCAGCTCCTGGTTGAGGAGTTCACTAATGGAGGCGCTAATACCTGTACAGACTTTGCTTTTCAGAGCCATGAAAAGACTGCCTTCAAGTCCATGATTAATTTCCTCTGCAATGAAACCTGTTAGACTCAGTGAGTGCCCCTGCTGCTAAATTAAATTCTGACCCTTCTATGTCCTTGCTGATGACTCTTGGAATGTTTCAGATTTCTTCAATGAAATCAATAGCTTGAGAATGAAATCACATCACCATGGGCCACCTTTGAAAACTCTATTGAGGGCAGTGCACAGCTTGGACAATCCAGCCCCTGATGACTATGCCATTTGAAACCTCAGTGCTGAGCTGGCCTTGGCAGCATTCTGCCTGAGTTCTTTATTGAATATGCTTCTCCTTTGATCTGCTTCTAATTTACCCTGTTCTTTGTGCTGCCTCCTGCTCTACTGGGAATCGATGGATGTTTATTGTGCCACTGGTTGTATCACTAATTGCTTGACTATGAGCCTCTTGAATGTGGTTGGTTTATTTCTTCTCTACAAAATGCCATTTGCTTTCATATATTAATTTCTCCAGAGCCCTCAGAACTGAGTGGGGGAGCTTAAAAACCGTTGGATACCTGGGGAAATTTGAACTACAGTCAGGACAAATATTGGTGACTGGGTTCCCCACTGAAGGCTTCTGAGAGAGGCAGCTGAGCCATCCCTAGGAAAAAGAAGGAGGGTTTGTTCTAATTCTCCTGCAGACTATGAAATTTGACTCGCTTTGATGTTCCTCTGCTAGACATGCAGAAAATCATGGTCTCTTCTTGTTGTCCTTTCCTTACCAATGGCTTCTAATCACATTTGTCCCAGATTATTTCCAGAACTCTTGAAAGCTTCCTGAAACAGGTGTTTGTTTTGTAGCCCTTGTGCTATTCCTGTGTACCCAGTGATCATCTATAATAATGGATGTCAGTTCATTTATGAATTAATCACATCAGATTGAGGAATATGCTTAGATAAAATCGGATGGCTTCCACATTTCCCTGATGAAATATTCATGACATGATGGTTTCACCTTTATAAATCATGGTTACTCTATTGACTTTTTTTCTTTCACATTTTCCAAATGAGCTCATAAATTTTTTGAAATGTGGATCAGAGAAAACAACATGAATGAATAGATGAATGTACTTTTCAATTACATGCATTTCTGGTTTTATTGCTGCCTTCAGCTTAAATTAGAAGAATGAGATACCACATAGCAAGGGGATCTTCCAAACCTAGTAAATGTAGAGGCTGATTTCTTACTATAAAAATTATAAATCATGATGGTTTAATTTAAACTGAAAGATTAAATTGAAAAAAATTGGTTACTTGGGTCTTGACAATAAAAAGTATTACTTATAAATATGTATGAATTATTTTATTTATTTATTTTTTGTGTGTGTGAGATGGAGTCTCGCTCTGTTGCCAGGCTGGAGTGCAGTGGGGCGATCTCAGCTCACCGGAACCTCCGCCTCCCAGGTTCAAGCATTTCTCCTGCCTCAGCCTCCCAAGTAGCTGGGACTACAGGTGCACACCACCACAGCCAGATAATTTTTGTATGTTCAGTAGAGATGGGGTTTTACCATGTTGGCCAGAATTGTCTCAATCTCTAGACCTCGTGATCCGCCTGCCTCTGCATCCCAAAATTCTGGGATTACAGGCATGAGTCACCGTGCCCAGCCCATATGCATTCTTAATTATTGGCATGCATGTTTATTTGAATTTCTTTTTAATCCTTGGAAGTGACATATGTGAAATGAGTGGGGAAGGAAAATGTTTCAACTATATGTTGCTGCATAACAAGCCACTCCAAAACATAATGGCTAAAGCCACAAAAATTTACTATTGATTTTGTGAGTTGAATAGGTTCAGCCACGTGGTTCTTCTGCTCAACATGGGATCACCTAGAGTGACTTACTAGTATTCGTTCACAGGTATGGTCCTTGGTGCTTCTGCATCTGGTCTGTCCATGTGCTACTCACAGCAAGGTGATCTCTTACATAGTGGCCTGGACCTTTACATGGTGCCTGGCTTCCAGGAAAAAGGAAGCATGTTCTGTCAGTCTTCTTAAGGTCTGGCCTCAGGAGTCCCAAATATTACTTTTGCCACACTCTTTCAGTCACACAAGTCAGCTTTCCCATCTAGATTCAAGAGGCAGGGGAAATATTACTCTTCATAGATACAGTAAAATGCGTGAACATAGGAGTAAAAATTGCAAGCTATAAAAATGCTTTGCCAGAAAACTGTCTTCTTCCAAGAAGAGAGGACCTTGACACGTGATTGAAGTGAAATTGAGGTGTGTGGTGACCAAAGCACATTGATATCTATGTGTTTTCCCCTACAGTTGCCCAAAACTCTTGTTTGTTCCTTTTCCCCATCACGTCCCCATCAATAATCATCTTAGGAACTTGTTCTCACTACAGTGTAAATGACTGATAAGAATGAGTATGTTCTCTCCAGAATCATTTGCATTTTAACAAAAAACCAATACTTACAATGTGAATGCATTTCTTTTGTGTTTGGGTATCATTAAGCAAGTTGCAGAAGTAAACTTATGCGTTGGGGTTTATGACTTTCAGAAGATAAATCCAGTATATTTCTAGGTCATTTTGCTGTGTCTTACCACCACTGTTCTTTGTTAAGTTCTCAGAGAATGCAAAGTAATGGCATTGACATGAGAAAAATATAATTAGAAAAGCAATATTTCAGCGGGGGAAAAAAAAAGATAATTCCATCCAAAATGAAGAACTGTAGCATGTAGAGAATCTGGGCGCTATCCATTGTTTTAGAAAATCCGAGCCATGGCTCCTTATCATTAGCCCTGATATTGGAAGAAAGTAATTTTAGGTTTTTTTGACCTCCAAAGTAACTGAACTCTGCGCTACCAAACAATGCTGTTTAGAGTTTTCAGGACTTAATAATATAGTGCTTTGAAATAAATTACAAAGAAGGAGTTGCATATATTATTCCACATATTACTTATTTTTGTTTGTAGATGACATTCTTTGATATTTTGGATGAGGAAAGGAATAGAAAAAGTCAGGCATCATGAATAAATCAACAGTGAGAGATGATTGAATTGTGTGCTGTCATCTCTGTCTTTCTGGCCTTGATAAGCACAGTATGTGGCTGCTATTACCTTGTCATGGAACCGGCTAAACTAAGCACCAGTGAGTGGCAAAAGTAGAAGAATGAGATGATGGGATGATGGTCCACCCACAGTAGCCATACTGACCCTGGTTGGCAAATCAGAAAGCCCCAGACATGAATTTTGGTTCTGGGAAAATGTGCATGGATGTGAGGGAAGACTGGAAGGATCACTGACATAACAAAAGCACCAGCAGTGGTAAATATGTTGTTATTCTTGCAAGAATTTGTGATTTTTTTCTTCTTTCCTGAAAGTAAGTCTATGTCAGGCATTGTGTTAGGCAATTCACATAGATTACTTCACCTAATCTTCATGACAACTCAGTGAGGTAAATATTATTGCAATACTTATATTATAAACAATGACTCTAAAATAAGCCTGAATAAGCAAAATAATTTGCCCAAGGTACACAAATAAGAAGTAGCAAAGGTGAGATTTGACTTGAGCATAACAAATCAAATTTCAAAACCAAAAATCATTTTTAGGTATAATTTATATGCAGTAAAAGTCATCCTTTTTGGTGCACAGTTCTGAGCTTTAACACACATATACAATCATGTGACCACCACCATGCGGAAGATATAGAACAATTTCATCACCTCCCCAAATTCCCTCATGCTCCTTTGCTTGATTGTCAAAGTCTGTCTCCGTCATCAGACCTAGCAATCACTAACCTGTCCCCTTTCTTTATAATTTCGCTTTTCCAAAATTTCATATAAATGAAGTCAACAGCATTTGGCCTTTTGAGACTGGCTCCTTTCACTTAACATTCTTCACAGAGATTCATTGATGTTATTGTAGGCATCGGTAGTTCATGTCTTTTTATTGCCAAGTACTACTTTATTCTATGGATGTACTATAGCATGTTTATCCATTCATACATAGGAGGACATTTGGGTTGTTTCCAGTGTTTTTGATCCCAATATTTTAACCATGATAAAATCCTGCTATCACTCAGTCAGAAATTTTTTCTAATTAACATAGCCAGTGTTCCCAATTATATTTTGGTTTTAGTGTTCTCTTTTGGGTTCCCTGAGATCTTTTGCCTAGAGCTAGAAAGAAGCACCAAATCTTCTCTGGCTCAACATAGTTCCATAGAGTCAGGTTTTCTCTCATGAGACAATGCCATTAGATTTCTTTTTTTTCTTTTTTGAGATGGAGTCTCGCTTTGTCACCCAGGCTGGAGTGCAGTGGCCCAATCTCGGCTCACTGCAAGCTCCGCCTCCCAGGTTCACACCCTTCTCCTGCCTCAGCCTCCTGAGTAGCTGGGACTACAGGCACCTGCCACCACGCCCGGCTAATTTTTTGTATTTTTAGTAGAGACAGGGTTTCAGCGTGTTAGCCAGGATGGTCTCGATCTCCTGACCTCGTGATCCGCCCACCTCAGCCTCCCAAAGTGCTGGGATTACAGGCATGAGCCACTGCGCCTGGCCTAGATCTTTATTATAACAATCATTCGGTACCCATCACCTAGTAAGTGCTTAAAAGCGTGTGGAATGAATGAATAAAATAATGAATATTATATTTATTATCCAAATTAATCTTCCGGCACAGGAGGTAGAGAGGAAAGTAGTAAAATCAGGATTTGTAATTCAGTCTTGGATAGAAACCTATAGAGCTTAATAAATGGTACATGCTGTACTGAGAAACATTATTATCAAATTCTAGAAGTCCAGAGTTAATTTTCTTACTCTGTGCCAACACCATTATTTGAAAAGTGAAAAAAGAAAATGTGATGATTGTTGATCTGATTTCACAACTTCAAATAACTACCTTGCCTGCACCTTTTCTCAGTTTTAAACTTTTTTCTGATGTAACTAACTGGTAATTTAATTGAATTGACCAAATTAGCCATTGCTTTTTAGAATAACTGATGTTTTTCTAAAAATTTGTTTTCTTATGGTAACAAAGCTTCAGGATAGTCCTATTCAAACAAATTGAATTCAGGTTTAAAAAATCCTCTTGCTTTTAATAAGGTAATTTTCTTACTGAATTCAATCCATTGCAATAGTTATCATAATGCTTTTGATTAAATTCAACTGTGTGGTATAGTATTCTTTGCTATACAAAGGTCTCAGAGTCAGAAAAAAATGATTCCATTCTGTGTTCTGTCACTTATGAGTGGTGCGACTTTTGATTAGTTGCAGAACCTCTCTGAGCTTTGTTTCTTTATCAGTCAGATGAAGATAATAAGTTCGGTGCTCTCTGTTTTCGGATATTGTGAGGGTTAAAGGAGATCATGTATATGAACACCCTTTGCATTCTGTGCAACGAGTGTGTTACTGATGTCCAGGGCCACCCAGGTACAAGTGCTACAGTTTTCCTTGCATACAACCTCTTCCAGCCACGAAGTCCACCCACAAGCTATTATTCAGGGATTGTAAGTGTACCAGGCTATTTAAAATAAGCAAAGTTTTCTCAAAACTCAGTTGACACAGAGCTTAATAAAGTCTTGGACATGGAGGAACTTTTTCCTCATGACCTGGAAGAAGGCCCTCACCTCAGTGACCACACAAAGTGCTGCACAGGTAATGAGTGAGACTATCTGGACGGTGATAAGTTCTGCAGACATTAGAGGGGCTTACATTTTTGGGCTGAGTTTCCAGTCAGTTTTCTGCACAGGCCACACTGGGGGCTGAACCAGGTAGACCTTACTTCTCACCAAATATCTCACCCTTACCCCTATCAGGCCAGATTCCACTGAAGCTCATGCTCCATCCTCCTTATTTGCCAGCCCAGGTTACCCAGCTTTAGGCCCTAAATCCATGGGTGGGTGGTCTGTGTGTCTTTCCATAATTAGACCTTCACTTTCATTTTAAAAAATATGTTTTGAAACAACCTGGATGATATGATTTGGCTCTGTGTCCCCACCCAAATCTTATCTTGAATTGTAGTTCCTACAATCCCCACATGTCATGGGAGGGACCTGATAGGAGATAACCAAATCATGGGGGCAGTTACCCTTGTGCTGTTCTTGTGATAGTGAGTGAGTTCTCACAAGATCTGATGGTTTTATAAGGGGCTTTTCCCTCCTTTGCTGAGAACTTCTTGCTACCACCATGGGAAGAAGGATGTGTTTGCTTCCCCTTCTGCCGTGAGTGGAAGTTTCCTGAGGCCTCCCCAAACCTGAGGAGCTGCGAGTCAATTAAACCTCTTTCCTTTATAAATTACCCAGTCTCAGGTATTTTATAATGTCTTTATTAGCAGTGTGAGAACTGACTAATACACTGGATGAGGAAAAAAGTCCCATAAAATGTCTTCCTAACTGATGAGGAAAAAAGTCCTATAAAATGTCATAGAAAAAAAGAGAAGCATAAAGCTGCAGATGTCAAGACCTTATCCTTCCGGAAGGGTAAAGTTCTAGACTAATAAAAATACATCTTATTGCATATGTCTTCTCCATCTTTGAAAGCTGGGTTCCTGAAAACTCTCATGATAGGGGAATTACAGGTGATAAATTAGAGAACTTATGAGAAAAATAAGGCAAAGGGGACTGAGGTGGTAGGCGAAGCCATGGAAGCCTTTGAAAATATTTTAACCTTGATTAAATCATACATATAAAATAAAGAATCGTGCAGTAATATTTTACACATCTAAAATTAATAAAATTGAGACTCCAACTATTTTTCTGCTTTGATTTTTGTTCACTTGTAACTTTACAGGATCTTCCCTCCACAACAGGTTCTATGAGTTGCTTATAAATTTGTGTTGCTTGGTTGCAGATAGTATGCATCCTGTGGCATATGGTAGATATTGATTCATTCAACTCTGTTCTAATCCCCTTGTGATATGCCTTATTGCACGGCTGCTTTATAGCTTGGATTTTGCAAGTATTTGGTTCCTACCAAGCAGATGCATTTATTTAAGAACTGGCAGGCAAAAGTGAGATGGGAGACTTTTGCTAGTGGGCCTAGCCATGGAAGCAGTCGGCTTTTCAGCAACAGCAGAAGCAGGGGCCTAGTAACCAGTCTACTATCTTGTGGGTATTGAGAGTTTAGAGGAATATTCATTTTGTTGAGATGGCTTGTGGCTGTGGTGGTGTGTTTCTGGTGCCAGTTGTTTTAGCAGCTGCAGCTTTTTGATCCTCATATGGTGGTAGAAGGAGTGTGGTCCAGAGTCCAGAATTAAGCCAGTGGCTTCCTAGTCATCCCTCACTTTCCTTATTGTGGCTGAGGCAGCCACTTCTTTGTGGGTTAGTTCTGCAGTGTTGCTTTTAGATTTACTCTTGGAAGTTCTGCCTAGAGCTTACTCCTCCAGATCTTCCATATTGTTTAAAGCAACTAATTCCGTGAATTAAACCTTATCTGGAATTGAACTCTGATACGCACATATACTAAAATATATTGGTGTCATTTTTCTCCAGTTTTGATACCTTTCTAATTTACGATTTGAAATTGACTTTCTGCTCTGTAGTTCTGTAACCCATCCCAAGGGCACAAAGTAACTTATGCACCTAAGATGTAAAGAGATTGATGCCATCTTTATTTAATATGTTTACTTTTATTTCTCAGATGCTGTCCTCATGGACAGGGTTACTTATAGTATCTGCCCTGTTCCTTATAACTTCAAGCCAGAACACACTGAAACTTTGCTGAATTGGGCTAATTGTCCATCTACCTTTTCTTTATAAGGTCCAGTCCCCACTATAAAAGCAGGCAGCTGGAATGAGTTCTAAATGCAAAATCATTCTCAATGCTTTCATATTTTCCAAGTCTGTATTACAGAAACCTCACCTTCTACTTTGTCATGCTCTTTTCCTTCTAGTCATCCCCAAATTGAGTGGTTTGAGATTAGAAGATAAGCAAAGCTAAATTGTTACAAATCTGAGAAAGCTACAAAGTAAATTTATGTGTATACTAAAATGTGGTATGAGTAGCAATCTTGTATGGAGAAGAATTATTACCCTTATACTTAGATTTTTGATTGAAGTAATTGGAATACATTTATCTTCATTATTTTAAAATTTATTTTCAATTGGCAAGACAAATAAAAATTGTATTTATTATATAAAGCATGATGTTTTGAAATATGTATACATTGTGGAATGGACAAATCAAGCAATTTAACATCTTAATTACCTCACATACTTACTTTTTGTGGTGCACATTTGTCTTTATCATACAGAGAAAAGATCACAGAAGCACCTGTGAAAATAATTTTTTTAATTTGAATTTATCTCAAATCTCTGTATTGACTTAACTCCTAAAAATATAACATATCCATTTTATTTTATATTTTCTTAAATTTTTCCCAATTTTAGCTGGAAAAAAAATTGAAGATATATTTTCCTTCATTTTTTCCTTCAATATCTTTTCATATTATTGATAAAATAAAATCATTATAATATGTTTATGCTTTTACAAAATTCATCTGCCTATATTGTTTGATTTTAAAAAGATGCAACATGAACAAGGAAGAGGAGGGTAAGAGAGAAAAAGAAGTGGAAGTGGGAGGGGAGAAAGAAGGGAAGGAGGAGAAGGAAAGGAAGAAAGGAAGAAGAAGGAGAAGGAGAAAGAGGAGGAAAAATAGAAGTAAAAGAAGAAGAAGAACCAGAGGAGAAAGAAAACAATGACACAAAGACCTTTTTTTGGAGAGAGAGTAAATAATACTTGGAAGCAATGAAATCACAAGTTGTCAGCTAAAAACTAGTGAAAACATTACTCCCACAGTCATTGCCCCTGAGAACACACTCTGTGTCTGGTGTTTAATAGTCTGGCATTTTAAGTGGTACATTGAAGCCTATAAAATATATTTGAAAGTTTACTTTGGATTAACTTTTCGTTTTTCTATATCTGGAATTGGAAAAGAGAAAAAAGGAGAATGAGTTGGCTGGAAAAACAGTATGAGCAAAAGTTGAAACAAATACAGGCAAAGCAAAGCTTTTCCTCAGAGAAAACTTGGTCTGTCTTCAGTCACTAGTTCCTATATGCTAAGCCCATCACAAAGCATGTGTGTAAGTTGACTGCACTAGTTAGGGAGTTGTCTTCATTGTTGAAAGCCTTGTCTTGCCCTTGAGTCTCACTGATTAGTACATCAAATGACACCAAGATGCCTCAGATAACTGAGGTAAGAGTATCTTGCCCATGCCTCTTACATTCTTATCTCTTAGAAGTGCTGAGGGAATTTTAGAGAATGATATTTGCAAAGTATTTTAGGCTTTTTAGAAGAAAGTTCGAATCTCTCTAGTAATAAAAACATCACTGTAATAAATCCCAGACATGACACAGGTATAAAAGTTTCAACTTCCACCAGAATTCAGATTTCAGTGTATTTTAGATCCACCAGATAAAGAAAATACCAGCCCTAGGGGCAACAACCAAATCAACACAAATGGAAAATATAGCCAAAAATAGGATATTATTTAAAATGAGGACAAAATATTTTAAAGTTATAAGGATTAAAGAGAAAAGAAACTCTGTGTGGAAATAAAAATGTACTTTTATTTTTTAAAAACAAAGGTATTGATTAAAAGGAGAAATTGCATACCCCTGAATAGGACAACCTGATGTCAGATATTCAAATGAATCTGTAAGTTACATATAATTCCAAACAAATTAAGCTTGATATTTTTTGAGCAATCTAATAAAGTCTTCTAAATGTGTATGAAAGGGAGAACAGTTGGCAAAGGGGAAATTTGACCTATCAATTGCTGAAATATGTTATGAAATATTAGTAGTAAAAATCATTCATGCCCTAGTATAAGGACAGACAGATATCTGGAACAGAATAAGAGCTTAGTGATAAAATCACATTTATATATAGAGAAATATGACACATATTTTCATGGCATCACAAACCCATGGGGAAAGATGGACTTTTCAGAAAACTGTCTCCCCAACTCCCTCACTTATTCAGGATTAAGATCTAAATGTGAAAGATAATATAAATATTATAGAAGATAATGTAGGATGATGTTAAAAGCAAAATAAATTATTTTATGTTATTAAAATGAAAGATGTTTGTTCAATGAAGGATATTAGAGACAAAATTAACATACAAGTAACCAATTTGGAGAAGCTATTTGTAATGTCAAAAGTTTACAAGAAACTTACATATGCCATATACAAAAAACTAAAAGTTAACAAGAGAAAAATAAGAACCAAATAGACAAATGTGCAAAAGATATAAACAGGTCATTCACAAGAGAGAAAGGCTAGCAAGTAAAAGAAGGGATAATTAAATTCTTCAGTAATTAGATTTACTAAGTTTTCTATTCCAGACAATGGTAAGCATTGGTGGGGCTGCGCGAGTACGAAACCATCGTTTACTGTTGGTGGGCTACAGCCTGAGGAAGTCCTCCTGGAAACTTCTCTAGCCAAAATGAATCAAATGCCATGAAGTATGCCTTAGGAACTAACAACCTACCTCCTAGATATATATCAAAGAGGAAAAGCAGACAAATGTATACAAAGAATTTTAAATGCAGCATATTTTTAGATAGTGGGGAGTTGGAGGCAATTGAGTTATCCAGTTGGAGGACTGGATAAGTCAATATGGTAGATTCACCCTTTGGAATATTATGGAGCACTTAGAAGCAACCAACTAAATTATATACAGCGACATACATCTTAAAAATCAGTGCTGAATCAAGGAAATAAAAATAAGATTTAGAACATACTTACATTTGTGTATGCATTTAAATGCATATAGTTTATATTTTATAAGAATATATATAAATGAAAGAATACAATATCAAACATGCTAGAATGGCTGCCCGTTTGTTGATGAGGTAGGAGATGGGAGCAAGGATTTGGGAACAAGAAATGAAGGAAAGAAGGGAGGGAAGAAAACGGAGGGAGACAGGGAAAAACAGCCAGGGACCTTGCACGGACGAGGATGACCATATGCATGATTTCTTCAACTCTCTCTAGGAAAGTCCAGATCAACACAATGCAAAAAAAAAAAAAAAAAAAAAAAAAAAAAAAAAAAAAAAAAAAAAAAAAAACAGCCCTCAAGACATGCCAAGATCTTGGGTATTGGCTTTTGCTCCTTCCCTTAGGCTATTCTTAGCCATTTTCCCCTAAGTTTACTCCAATCCTCCAGAAGCTCCAACAGCTCAACCAACCTTCTAACTGATGACAGGGAGGAAGGGACCTTACATTTCACAGATGCTCTCCTTTAATCCTGCCTTTGCAAAAACGGTTCTCCGGGCCATTTCTTATCCACCCTCCTCCTTTATTTAGGGAAGGAATGAGTCAGATGGAGCAGAAGGGTGCAGCAAACTGGATGCTTTAAACTATGTGTGTTTTCCCCTGGCAAAGTGGTCATGGAGCCAGCCCTGGCTGATCCCAGAGGGAGCATGGTTCTGGGGGAGGAAAGCACTTTGATGCCCCATATTCTGCCATAATAAACACTTCACATCACCCTTTTATGTTGGCTATGATGAAAAACAGTATACCCTTGTAGAAACAAAGGGAAATGTTGCCACTTTGAGGGTCATCCAAAATGCTGTTTGGAAAGTAAACTTCACAAGCACATTCTCAGATGAGGTTTATTTACAGCTCTGGAGCTATCAATAACAAAGACAATTAAATTAGCTAGGTCAAAAGCCCATTTGAACTGAAGAACTCTACTATCAAATTAAAGTTTGTGGAGAGCGTCCCACACCAGCCATTCTCACATGAAATTGATGGAGAGGCTTTTGGGGTTTGTTAAAATTCAAAAAGGATGAATAGCTTTCATGTTGCATAATATTACTGAGAAAGAGTGCAAAGAGTTTAGAATACTTCTCCCATGTAAACGAGGATAGGTTTCATTGTTTTATTTTAGATATTGTGTTTTTTACAGAATCAATAGAAAAGTACTTGGGAGTAAGGGAGGTAACTGTACTCAGAGAAGCATATCTGACTGTTCCATGATGGTATGTAATTTGCTCCATCAAAGCCAGAACAGTCAATAAGTCAAGATGTGACTTTAGCTGCGTCTCAGAATAAACACTGGGTTTCTTCATTAACTGATCAAATACAGAGTTCAAATGGAACAGCAGTGTTCTTTTGTGTGGGGAAAAATAATGGATTGCAACAATATTTCAGGGTTTTGGAGGATACCCTAAGCACAGAGGTTAGCAAGACATTTTCTTTGTCAACCTCAGATCACACTGGCGTGATCACAATGGAGCCTGCATTTTATTAGGCTTCCTTTCTGACTCAAAAAAAAAAAAAAAAAAGAAAAAAGAAAAGAAAGAAAGAAAGAAAATGTGTCCCACGGGCGCGGTAGCCCTCAATGTAGCTTAAAAAGTGCATTCTAGCCAGGAGTTCTGCTTCTCTGAGGTTGGTGGTCTGGCACCCTTCCCACAGATTTTTTTCCTCCCCTCCTTCCCTCCCTCTCTCCCTGTCTTCCTCTCTCTTTCCCTTCCTCTCTCTCTCCCTTCCTTCCTTCCTTCCTTCCTTCCTTCCTTCCTTCCTTCATCTCTCTCAACCTCTTTTTCTTTCTTCTTTTTTTCTTTCTCTCAGTTAATATAGCTGATTTTAATCAGCATTTTCTTTTAGTCATGGTTTAAATGCCCAATAAATTAATCAAACATTTATCTCCAATCCAGATCTCTCACCTTGATGTTAAAGTAGTATTCCACATACCTCTTGGACTCTACTCAGATATCTGACATTCAACAATTCCAGTGTGGGTTGTATTCTCAGCCTCTTCAATATCCCCCTCTCTTCTATTCTCTATCATTTATTTTCTCTCCACCCACAGTCCCAATTTGCAACTGTGGGAGATCACTTGGGCCTTTCACCTTTCTTCACAATCTTTCACAAGCAGGCAGTCTCCACACTCAGAATATAAAATTAGGCAGCCTTCACCACTCTGTGACCTCTGACAAGTGACATAAAATCCCTAGCTTTGTTTTTCTCATCTGTGAAATAGCCATCAGCATGATACCTCCCTCAAGGGGTTTTAGGAATAAAGTAAGATACCCCAAGTGAGGTACATCTCACAGTGCCTTACATGTAGTAATGCTCTATGAATGTGAACTAATTTTATTTTTTTATTGTTTTTTAAATGTTGCATCCACTCTGTTTCTGTGTCCTCTCTGATGTCTGGTTTTGATAATCTCTCAGCAAAATGTGACTTCCTATCTGGCCTCTGCCCACTAGATAAATTCTCATCTTAACATTCACAGTCTGGCTGCCAATGTTATCTTTCTAAAAGTCTAATGTGGCCATACAATTCCATGGCTTTAAAACATTATTTGTATTAGCATACTTTAGACTAACGTGGACTTTTTGTAAGAGCGTATGAGACACTTCACACTAGCCCCAATTATTATCTGGCTCATCTCCCACTTCTTCCCTAATTAACTCTCAGCTCCAGGCACAGAGGATCTAGTCCCATGAACAGGTCACGCTCTTTGGTGCTTCCCTGATGTTATACCTCCTTTTCCTCTTCCTCTTCCTGAAATGCTCTCCCTCTCATTCCCATATAACAATCTTCATAATCCAGCTCCATCATCGCCTGCCTTATGAAGGCTTTTTCAGCTTGTAGCAGGGTTAGCCACATCCTTTTGCATGATCCTAAAGCACTTTGCTCTTGCCATGATAGCACTAAGCATATTGTGTTGTAATGATTTGTTTCAAAGTGGTTGTAAAAGCATGTTTGTATAAGACAGGAAAGAAGGCATTTGTTCTCTAATTTAATGATCCTTTCTTCCTGACATCGTGTCTTACATAGGCACGTTCTGCCTCTTAGGATCTTTTATGTCTGCTTTTCTCAATGGTGTTTAAAGTTTCCCCCCATTATTCCCACCAGAAATTCTAGTAGGTATGCTGGGTACGGTGATGTTCCTGCAATCATTCATCACCTGTACTCCGTGCCCCACCTTTTCACCAAACATATTATAACTAGGTAAATTCTAGCCTTTATTTGTAGCACTCAAAGTAAGACTATTCACTCACAGTCAAGGCAATTTTTAAAAGCAAATAAAGTTAAAAAACATGTAACTTAGAAATTCTTATATTAGTCTCAGAGATTGAAAGAGTTAACTATCACCCTTTAATAGGAATAGGGTTTATTATCGTATGTAACTTTAAACTTTCCAAAGCATTTCTGTACATATTTCATCTTCTCAACAATTCTCTGTGGTATACAGGGCAAATATTATTATCTCTACTTTACTGATGAAGAAATTGAGGCTTAGAGAGGTTAAATGATTTTTCAAGGTTACAGAGCTAGTGAATAGCAAATCCAAGAAACCACATTAGCTGATTCATAATGTACTATTCTTTCTGTATGTTTTTTCTCATACTTCCACTTACGTATTTCTTTTGCTGTATGTCATGCCATCATTAGGGCATTCACAAAAATTGCATGTATTAGTAAGGATTTTATTAAAAATTTCAGAGAGCCTTTTAAACAATATTTATATATTTTATCATTAGGGTTCTATTTCATGACAATAAAAATACATGCTCATTATTAAAAGTTTGGAAAACAAAAGTCCTGACAAAAATTAAAGCATAATTCAACCACCTAATAACAAAAGCTATTAATATTTTGATGAATTTCCTTCCAGTCTTATTTCCATGCTTGATTTTTGTTTGTTTATATTACATTATTATGGTTATACTTGTTGTTTTTTTTTTTTTTCTTTGAGACTGAGTCTTGCTCTGTCACCCAGGCTGGAGTGCAGTGGCACGATCTTGGCTCACTGCAAGCTCCACCTCCCGGGTTCACATATTATGGTTATACTTGTATTCAGTATATTATTCTCCTTTCTTGTATTTTATTTTGAGCACTCGTGTTTTGAGAAACACAGGATTATCAACATTATTAATGTGTTAAGAATATTCCATTTCATGACTCTATCAGAATTTATTTATTTTTGGTCATTTCCCATAATTTTTAATTATCCTTAATTACTTTATTCCTCTTAACACTGAATATCACATTCCCAGATGAAGACTGCAAATTAAATATAGTTTTATTTATTTATAATCTATGTGCCTGCATTACAGAATTCAAAGTTGCAGTCACTGGAAATGATTGGTACTCTACAGAGGTCAAAGCATTTTGAATAAGGGGTATCACATCATCCCAGACAAGGCAAGTTAAAGCGGCATTAAACCTTTACTTTGAACCATTTTGAGAAACTAGCAGTATACATCAGTAGGCCATGCTGTAACCGTGGGGTTCTGGCAGGACCTGGAAGTTATCATTCATATTTCAGTTCAGATTTCCCAGACTCAGTTTGAAAAATGGCATGTGTCCCATGTATGAATCCCTGGATCCTTCATTTTGGCTTTCTGAATATGAATCAAAGCTGTTGAAGTTAAGTGCCTTGTTTCCCTCTTCTGAGTCTTCCAAGGGTAGAGACATAGTGTCAGTATTCCAATGCCTCTAACAGTACCATGGAAGATAACAGACAACTGGTCAAAGGATATAAGACTGGAAAAGACTGTAGAGGAGGACATCCAGATCAAAGAACTAAAAGTACATGGATCTACAGTTAGACTGCTTGGGTTTGAATCTTAGGTTTTTCAGTTACCAGCTGTTTGACCTGAGACAAATTCCTTTATCTCCGGGTGCCTCAGTCTAATCTATAAAATGTTGATAATAGTAGTACCTACTCCATAGGACTGTTGTGATAATTCAATGCGGAAATCTATGTAAAGCACTTAGAATAGTGCCAGACCCATACTATGTCCTGAATAAATATTAGCTATTATTACTTTTATCATTCATTTTATGAAAGCAGGTACTGAAGCCCAGGGTTAGTAACCCAGGTTCAACCATTTTTCTATTAAACCAGACTTAAAATAAATGTATTGTCCATGCATTTTATAGACATTCTCAGCTTAGCCTGGGAGAAAATCATTCTACTATGGTTTGGCAAAGTTTTGCTTTTGATATTTTAAACCCGATATCTTCAAATTGAGCTCTTCTCTGAATCTTTAAACCCTTGTGTATTACAGAGGAAATTGAATCAATAAATTTCTGATTCACTTACCCTTAACTCATCAAACCTTCATTAGAGTTATTTGACGTCTGGGGAAGCCCTACGTGTTTGTGTGTGTGGAGGTGTGCATATCTTCTCCTTCTAAACCAATAAATCTTTTCTAGCCAGCCATAAATAGCAATCAAGTGTCCAAAAGACAGAAGAAACAACTCAAAACTCAGTATGGTTGAAAATCAAGGGAGCCTGTTTTGGGCAATCCACAGCGTTGGTCTGACTTAACAACCTTTGATTTTAATCAATAAGCATTTCCATCCCAGGATGCATGCACTTTTTCCCAAACAGTATTTATTGAGGTCTACTATGTATCAGGCACCACTCCATCAAAAAGAGAAGCATAAGCAGCTTTTTTCTGTTTTAAACTGGTTGTCTGTGGACATCATTTGAGTTGACACTGAGGTTCTTCTGGCTGGGAAATGAGCACTTGCATAGGGCATTAGAGATAGAGGAGTTTTTCCACAACCTGGTTTTGATTCCATGGTCTTTCACTGCAGTTCCTCCAGCTAATTTTTTTTTTTTTTTGCTAGTTTTGATCCTACCAATCATACATCAGTTTGGATTCCATCTTTTAGTCATCCACTAGATTTTCCATTTGGGTTTGACCCGCTTTATACCACTGGTTCTGATACCACTGGTACTCGCTTTATACCCCTGGTTCTAAACTGGTACTACTCAGGGATTTTACTTCTCAGTTCTCAAGTTCTAACACAGACTACTGCCAGCAGAGATACTCCTAGACAGAGTACCCAGACTCTGCAACAGAGGCTAGAAAGAAATAACAGCAAGCATTTTAGGCAGAGAAGCAAGAGAGAAATGAAATGGAAAGACCATCTGGTATCCCAGAGGACAATGAGCACAGGAGAACTGGTGGTTAGTGCTTCGCTTGAGTCTGAAGTGCCTGCAATTCCAAGAATATCATCAAAATTAGAGATAAATTGTTTTTCTGAGGCTGTGAGGGGACTAGTTTACCCCCAGAGTGATGTAGCCCAAGAAATAGCAATGTCTTTCATAGATATGCACCTGGGATTCTTTTATATTCATTTGAAACTTTATTTAGCTTTCTTAAGTCTCAGTTTCTTCAACTGTGAAATTAGGATCTAACTCATAGGACTTTTGTGAGAATTAAATGATTTTTGCATGTAATTCATTTAGAACTTATTAAATATTCAATTAATGTTAGCTACTAATATTATAGTTTATTTGCCTTAGAGTAATAAGATGCCTAAATGAATCCCAAACAATAAAGAAGACTCTGGGCAGGGGGGAATGCAGTCAAAAGAGTTGTCTACTGTATGTGTACAGAGAGGCATTTGTTCCTTGTGTCTTTATTTATTAAGTTGTGGAGATAGATAGACACGGCCATAGTTGACTTTTAAGCAGGGGAAAACATAAACAAACATATACATAAATAAATTAAATAAATTAAAATGCTGGACCAAACCAGGGAGCCTGATTAGTAGCAGCATCCACGCTGATGTCAGCCTTTCAACCTGCATGCTGCTAGAAACGCATCTCTGCTCGCAGTGAATTAGAACATCAAGAAACAGGAAGAACTCAAACAGGCAGTGCCTGGTGGAACTGTGCTGAAAACCTAACATAAATAAATAAGAACATCTCCCTTTAAAGACTTTGAAATAAGTAGCACAATGTGCCAAGAAAGATAGAAATTCAGTCTCTGCTCACTCTGGATGCAAATATCATCACACTGTGGCAATAAGGGCTCCTCTTTAATTTGGGAGGGGGACAGGGACTGTCATCTGGGGTTTTAGATTCTTAGGCAACTTATTTATTTTGAAAGGGTGAAAATTCTCATCAACATTTTGGTAGTATATTGGAGATAACAGACCTGCCACTGACTAAATGAATTATGGATTTTAAATAACTAGAACTCTGTTATAGGGTTGCAGCAGAGATCAAAAAAAAAGAAGAAGAAGAAGAAAAGAAAAAAGAAAAATCAAGTTGCAATTTTGGTGCAGGACATGGTGGGAGAAACACAGGCATTTGGCCTTTTTTACTGTGAAAATTTTTGGGTTCTTCTGCAAGAACATTTATTTTGTTTCTGAATATGCTGATGTATACATCATATATACATACATATTTATATTTACCCAATATATATGTGTGAATATTTACAAATAACACATGCAAAAAATTTGTTATTTATCAAAGTAATAAGACATTCATTATTAAAAGTGCAAAAAAGTGGAATAAAAATCAAATTGGAAAGAGTAGAAGCAAAAACCTTTTTTAGTCAGCATTCAGCATCAGATGATCAAAGTTCTCTAGCTAGTTTAAGCAGGAATCCATTCAACATAAGGAATTAGGTGTTCACAGAAACCTTGGAGAGCTTAAAGGAATAGGCTTAAGGCTGAATTTCCAGAATCAGCTTCCGGAATAATACTATGGAACTGGCCAACAGAATAGCAAATATCTCTGTCACCATTAAGAATCTAAAAGCTGATCCAGAAGCCAAAGAGTGAAATCCCCCACCATCTCTTGCCTCTGGGACCAGTCCACCTCTGCTATAATCTGCTACAATAAATCTCCCACAAATGCCTGAATTCTGCCTTGCGGGTCAACTCCTGGGCTATCCTGTATCCTGCTTCCTTAGAAAACCAAACATCTCCATGGCTGTACTTGCTACAGAAAGGGCAGAAGCAACAGAAGATCAGCCTTATAAGAATCGTTTTCTGACTAATAAATCTCAGCCATGTGTTTCTGATTAGCCGGTCTTGAGCCAGACAGATCCAGACCTTCACGTGCAAGGGAGTCTGGGAAATCCTCTAGACTAGCCACACAAGAAGCCACATTGGAAAAATTTTGGAACAGACATGGAGAGAAGCAATCCACTGGAAGTGCCACAGTACCATTCCAGGCAGAGAAAACAGTAAGAACAAAGACAGAAAGTCAGGAAGTTACATACCATGTTCAGTAACAAAAGAACTTCTTGGCTGGCTTGAATATCAAGTGGTTATTGGGGAACTATGGGATAAGTTACTATGTAGAGGTTTGATGAGATTATGAGAACAACTTTATGACCTACTAAGGACTTTAGATTTTATCTAGAAGGCTGACAGCTACCAAACTTCAAACATCTATATACCACTGACACAAATTTTGTCACCATTATAAACTATTATTTACGTACTTGATATTTTTTCTTAGAGTACTTTTAATTGGACTGTTTATACTTGAGCAATAACATATTGCTCATTCTCAGCAATATGTCTGTGAAATCAAAGATTTGATGTGCTAGCTATATTTTTTCCTAATATAAATTATATGCAAAACTTTTTAAATTAAAAAAAGTACACATCACCAAAATCATATTCTGCGTCACCAAAAGTTATTAGTATCATAGTTTGGGAAACACAGTTTTAAACAATGAGAACCACCAAAAGCATTATGAGCATGGATGTGGGCAAACCAGATATGTAGTTTAGAAAAATAACGGACAACGAATAGGTTGAATGAGAAACTTTACAGGCATGAGTCTAGGTAAAAGTGGAATATTGTTTGAACTGGGGCAATGTCCACAAAAATGAAATGGAAAGAACAGCTGAGATTTTAGAGCTAGTGTTCAAGGGACTTGGTGACTGACAAATCTAGAAATTCAGAATTAGGAGGAGTTTATACTGACTATAAAGTGTTAGCTTAGCTGACTGCTGACTGATGGATGCTGTTTTAGTAAGCAGAGATAGTGAACATGAAACTGTTTGATTTTTAGAATATGTATATGAGAGCTCCAGTTGGACATGTTGAGTTTTGAAGTACATTTGAGATATCAACTAGAAACAAGTTTCTTCATAGTTATAAACGTGTGTCTGGAATTCAGAAAAGCAGTCTCGGGTGGAGTTAAGTTTGTGGAGTCACTGGCCTATTTGTAGTTGATTAGTTAGAGTCATGAAGGTAGACATAGGCCTTAAGGAGAGATAAGCATAAGCATGTGGGGTTTAGGTATAGGGTAGAAGAAGAAGAATCAGCAAAAGAGACTAAAGAAGGACTTGAAGAGCAGTCCTTGTAAGCCATTGAAGAATGGGATTTCAAAGAGAGGAAACCACTGACAAAGTTAATTGTCAAAAAGGCGAGACTGAAACTAGACCACTGGATTTAGCCATTAGAATATTAGTGCTCTGTAATTAAGCAGTTTGCACAGAGTTGTCCAGAGCAGTTGTATTGCACTGAACTGAATAGCAATTGGGATGTAAACAAATGGAGACGGTGGTTCTCAACCAGGAATGGTTTTGCCCTCCGGGGAACATTTGGCAATATCTAGAGGCATTTTGGATTGTCACAACTGGGGAAGTGCTACTAACATCTAGTAGGCAGAGACTACACATGCTGCTAAACATTATACAAGACATAAGACAGCTCCCACAGCAGAACATTATCTGGCCCAAAATGTCAATAGTGCCAAGACTGAGAAATCCTACTTTAGATAAAGACAAAATCTAGCTATGAAGAGGAGAAAAGAAAGAGGATGGTGGCTTGCTATGGAGGAAAAATCTCATGGTTTTACAAAGAGGACATTTGAGCATAAGAAAAAGAGGAAGGATAAGGTAGGGAAAAAGAAAAAATAAATAAAGGATAGTTCGCCGAGTAATGTTTCATGGAGACTAAAGAGAATATTATATTCCAGAGCATAATTGAGGGATAAAACTTGGACAGCAAAAAGGATTTCCACCGCTCTCCTACCTCTTCTAAAATAGAAAGGAGGACAAACAACAAGGAAAACTATGGCTATGGATAAAAGGCATATAAAGGAGTATTAGGGGGGGTTTATGCCTGGGAAGTAAGAGGCTAATTCATCATGCAGAAGGGTGAAAATACAGAAAATGATCAATAAAACAGACCTTATGGAGGGTAGTAAAATTTAAGCAGTAAAAGGTTGGGATTGGAAAAGAGAAGTATGTAAATAATTGTTAAACATCACTAAAGAACAGGTTAAATATCAAAATTACAAATTTTGGGGGAAAATTGACTTAAATGGTAATATGATTTTATCAGGTAACACTCAGCAACCCAAGAACAGTATCAGAGAAAACAGACATTTATGATTGCCAGAATAAGGGAGTGCTTACCAGAAGATTCTGGTAAGCACATGGATTAAAATATGTTTGGAATAGTTGTCCTTGCCATAAGTCATATCTTAAAAGTAGTTATGTACTCCCAAATATCTAGACTCTTAAAAAGACTGTTGATTAATTTAAAATAACGCTGTAGGATCAGTAATAATATCTCTTGCTAATTACTTTTTATCAAGATGCTTCTATCCTTTTTTTCTTTTTGTATCTGCATAGATGCTAAATAAACCAGAGATAATTGAATGACGAAGCTGATGATCTAAACTGAATTTAGAGTTAGAAGGTCCTTTCACTCATTACTCACCTTTGGTTCTGCATTTGTTTTATTGTATTTTAGTTTTGCAAAGTCAGAGCCTCAGATTTTCTTTTTATTTCTATTCCCTCCAATGTGTTATAATTCCGTGTGCCTGATTTGCTCATTTCATTCCCAGTGCTTTGTTTGTTCTTTGTCCAGAGTCCCTAGGCTGTTTTTGGCTCTGGGATTTACACTGCACAACCTATTAATGATATCAGATCATTGTGTGGTGAGTGCTACATCCCTAAGATATTTACAAAAACAGCGAGCAAATTCTCTGTTGTAATTAGGTCAAATAATTCTAGAAAATGTCTTTTGTTGACTGATTGTATAGACTCATCATAGCCTTTATGTGCTATTTTTTTCTGGCACAAAGATAATTACTTCTATTACCATCCTCAAATAACAATGCTTTTCTTCTCCAGTCTTTGTCTGGAGCTGTCCATTAGCTCACTGACACCAGAGTTTCTAAAACGTTGTTTTTGTCCATTATTTATTTATCCCAGAAATTGCAGCTGAGTTGCAGGCATCTGGTTTTCAGCACAGGTCAGCTATTTTCTAATCCAGATCCCTTATCTTTTCAGTTAAGCATTTTGGAGGTTTGGATACATTCTAGATTGTGTGCAGAGGAGCCAATTTGCAGGCAGAAGTCCAGAAATTGGTTGGGACATCATCTTTTTTTTTTTAATTGCTGATTTATGTTGATTTAGTTACTCAATAATCTACTCCTCTTCAGTTTTCTCAAACTACAACTAGGTAGCCGCTAGTTTTATTCAAATGTTTACCCACCATATTATTACAGACCAAAGATTAGCAAATATACCCTTTGAATTTTCTTAAACCAAGGACCAGTTATTTCTACAAGCTCAATTATAGGAGAGTTATATAACAATTCCAATTCTAAAGTTCAATCAAGTAAGTCCCTTGGTCTATATAGCCAGTGTAGTCAATAATCAATGAATTTTAGCTACCATGTAGATAGACTTCCTCTAATCAGGGTTATGAAATTATTCAAGAGCTGTTGTACACAAACTAAAATGTGCATTTCCTAGTGAACTGATCTAGGATTACATTTATTCTTTGAAGTCACAGAAAATTTGACATTTAGCTGGTCTTAAAATATCTTTTGAGGTTTACTTGTCTCGGTGTCCATTTGCTCTTGTTTATCTACCGAATAAATCCTCACTCATACCTATGATAACAGTATCAATAATTATTCTTGGATATCTACCCTGTTCTACTCACCGTAAGATTTTCACATCACTCCGCTCCAGAATTTAGTCCTAATACATTTAAGTCAATCCTAACATTGCTACCACTCGCTGCAAGGTGACTGGAATGAGCAGTTAATCTAACCAGGGCAATAAAGTGCAAAGAGATATTTGCTTGGTTCTTTTGGGAAGGCTTTTTCTGCTTTATTTTTTGGTATTTAATAATAAAGAAGCTTTATCTCTGTTGTATTAAATGAGGAAGTATAGTGGTTAGGAGCAGGAACTTTGAAGACAAAAAGTACCTGCGTTTAAATCATGATTACTCTGTATGATCTTAGCAAATTATTTAATTTCTCTGGTCCTCAGTGTTATTAATATCATATGCAAAATAGGGATAATAATAATTCTTACCTGTGGCATTTGTTTGTGGTATTAATAATAATTAATACTTATTAATCACTGAAAACAGCACCTGGCACACTGTGAGGACTATTAAAAATAAATAAATATACTTCTAGGAAGCTGCTAGCAGTCATCTTAAGAGCAGACACTCTTAGGAAGGTGCACAACTTATGGAAGGGAGAGAGAAGTGAGAGAAAGTTGGGACTTCAGTGATAGCATTAACCCTTCTGAAGTCTACCTGGACGTTCCAGTTACGTGAGTCATAAGTTACAATCTTATTGGCTAAGCCAGTTTGAGTTGAACTTTGTTATTTATAGTCTAAAGATCCCTGACAAAAAAGTGAAATATCACCAACTTTAATAAACACTTTAAAACATCTATTGCCTTTAGATATAAAGATAAATAAAGCACAGACACTCTCTTAGATTCAACACATATTTATCGAATTCCTATTATATATAAGACAAAATGCAGTCGCTCAGGGCATCTCTCAGAGCCCTAGATAGGAGGCTTAGCATTTACATAAATAATTATAATGGAAGATGGAAGAGTTTAAGAGTTTAAGCTCTCTAAAACAAACATAGATGAGTTGCCCTGGAAATTTAGAGATGTCATGTGTAGATTGGGTTATTCAGTAAGTTTTGAGGGAATGCCATTTCTAAGACTCGAAACAATAGAATCTAGCCTAAACTGTTGTTTATCTATTCATCGATTCAAGAAGTATTCATTGAGTACCTATTTTGTACAAGAAACTTATACAAGAAGCTGGAGCTGAAACATTGAGGAAAATTAAACACGATTCCTGCTGTCATGGTGCATCAATGGGGGAAAAAGTTACGAATCAAAGAATCACACAATAATAGTACAAATACAACCATAAGTGCTATAAAGAAAAAACTCAAACAGCCCTGAAATTATGAGATAAAGAAATATGAAGCCTGCAAACAGATTTTCCAAATTTTTTAGATGAGGAAAGATCAAATCAAAGAGAATGACTTACTCAAGATCTCTCAACTAGTTAGAGTTGGAACTGAAATCCAGTACCCTTGAACTCTTACCTACTTCTTTCTTCAACAACAAATATCATGCTTTTAGGTGAAGTTATTCATTCTGGATTGAAATGATCCTAGGCCAATCATAGATCCTAGTAGAGATTTTATTCCCAAAAAACGCAACATCTCTCTCTCATGACCAATTAAAATAAATGCTTCAAAAATTATTTTAGTGAGAGTCTTCTTGCAGTAAGGTAGGAATGCCATTCAGCTAGAATAAGGAGGAGAAAATCTGTAATACATTTTTAGTACTAAATTAATGTCATTCCAAGTTATGCTGGCCAGATTCTTTGCCTTTCCTTGACAGACTGACAAAGAATGAAAACCAACCCAAATTATGCCTAGTAGAGGTCACTTGTGCCTTAACCGGACTCTTTGGTTGAAGTGTTGACATGTAGCAAATTTTGTAGAAACAAATGATCATTATGGAGAGCATGATAGTCAACACAAATAGCATGTAATTAGCATTTGTCATCACTGGCTTCTGGTAGAGTCATCTTAATAGACAATAAGCAATAAAGGTTGGTGTATTGAGACCAGTTCAGTTAATTAGTCCCTTGTTGTTCCTCAGAGACCACAGTAAGCTATTTTAATCTTTTATCTCTTCTTTTCAACAGATACTACTGCTCTCCATGGGCAGAGTCAGGGTCCCCTGTATTGTTTTTGGCATCTCACTTCCATGAGGCAAGCTCTAAAAATGTCTTTATAGTTTTACCACCTTCTTTGCAAAATATATTTTTTTATTGCATTTTTCATGCTCAAGGTATCCCAAAGCAATTTACTATGAGTTTCAAATCTGGATTGACGGTGGCTCAGTAAGCAATCATGTTAGCCATTATGCATTCAAGGCTAGCTTATACCCAGCCCTGAAATTAAAATCCAACTTGTCACAAGAGACAATATCTCCTGGGAAACTTATGTAATTTTCCTCTCTCTCTCTCTCTTTCTCTTTGTCTCTCTATCCCCCACCACCTCCTAACTCACCTGTCGAGCACTGACAGTTATCAGATGGATATAAAAGGATATGATATTTCTCTCTCTCACAGGGACATTTGATGATTGAAAAGTAAATTTGGAAAGTGCTTGAAGAATATTGGGAAAAATATCAATAGAAAGAACCAGATGAATGCAGCTTACAATGGGTCTGCTGTGTCAATGCCACCAATGCCTGCATTGCTGGGCTTGCTCCAAGAGGTCTACAGACTTGAAGTTGCTTCCCTCAAACACTCTATGCCCTGGGTTAATAAGCACTCTCTAAATCCCCTTTCATCACCTTTTACAATATGCATTGTATTTACCTGTTTACTTGTCTATATTTCTTATTAGATGGCAAACTCTGTAAAGGCAGCAACCTTGTCTAACTTGCTCATTACTGAACTCAGAGTAATTACAACGTTTCCTGACCTATGGTAGCTGCTAGGTGATTGTTAGTGAGAAGGAAGAAGAAGGAAAAGATGAAAGACAAAAGAAGGAGGCAAAAGTGGAAGAGAAGGAAGGAGAAGAAGCAAAGAGATACAGGTAAAATAGGATAGTTTCATGCACACATTGGAGTAAGATATGATTAGTCTGATTCAATGTAGACAATCTGGAATATTCAGGTTTTAGAGGATGACACATTTTTATGGTTTACTTTCTTAGTCTGTTTAGGCTGCTATAACCAAACACCATTGACTAGGTGGCTTATAAAGAACAGAAATGTATTTCTGACAGTTCTGAAAGCTGTTGAGTCCAAGATCAGGATGCCAGTAGACTCGGTATCTGATGAGGGCCTGCTTCCTTGTTCACAGATGGATTTTCTTCTTACTGTGATCTCACATAGGGGAAGGGGTAAGAGCGCCATCAAGGGTCTCTTTTATTCAGGGTACTAATCTCATTCATAAGGGCTCCACTCTCATTACCTAATCACCTCCCAGAAATTTCACCTCCAAATGCAGTAATATTGAGGATTAGGTTTCAACATACGAATTTAGGAAGAGGGGACATTCTGTCTGTAGTATTTACCTTCTTCCTAAGGCAGGAATGTCTTCTATCACAACGCTGATGAAAAATAATTCAGCCTTTGTCCAAAGTCCACAAACTTCCCAAAGTAGCCCTTAATATTTTTGATAATTCTTTATTATTGGAACATGTATCTCCAAAACGGCACAACCGATCTTCTGCAACTTATATGCATTTGCCTCAGTTTGTACATGTATCATTCATCAGAGTAACTTCTTTTTATGCATGAGAGCCTTTGGGTATTTGAAAGGTCTTCCTACATCTATCTTCATCACTGGCTTGGTCATTGTCTTTTGGGCATCCTCTGGTTCCTCTTGAGTATTGGCACCTGTCATTATAAAGAATACTGTATATGTACCCTCACCCTAGAGAGCATATGGCACTATCCTCTGTTCTAATCAGGCCCCTCTGCTTGTATTTGTGCAGCATCTCTTCTTCGGTTCCTTCCAAACTTGTGGTCCTCTAAAACATAAGATATTTTTTACATTAATTTTTGAAAACCCATGAATCCTATATTTTTATTTGCAACAGAGCATATTTTTGTTTTTGTTTCCGTTTTGTTTGTGTTCATTATTTTTTA
Organism: Homo sapiens; assembly: GCF_000001405.40. Lineage (NCBI taxonomy): Eukaryota > Metazoa > Chordata > Mammalia > Primates > Hominidae > Homo > Homo sapiens. The sequence continues at coordinate 8,184,569 of NC_000009.12, forward strand.
AAAAGTAGAAAATTTACCTTGATACCACTTTTATTTTACGTTGCTTATTTGAGTTTATCATTTGTGATTATTGATTTTTTTTAAATGTACTGATTTGGTCTTTTGTTCATTGAGGATACCAATCAACATAAATTAGTCTTAGAAAAGGACAGGATATAGCCGGGCGCGGTGGCCCATGCCTGTAATCCCAGCTCTTTGGGAGGCCAAGGTAGGTAGATCACAAGGTCAAGAGATCGAGACCATCCTGGCCAACATGGTGAAACTCTGTCTCTACTAAAAAATGCAAAAATTAGCTGTGCCTGTAGTCCCACTTACTCAGAAGGCTGAGGCAGGAGAATCACTTGAACCTGGAAGGCAGAGGTTGCAGTGAGCCGAGATCACGCCACTGCCCTCCGGCCTGGAGACAGGGTGAGACTCCATCTCAAATAAATAAATAAATAGAAAAAGACAGGATATAAATAAAATAATCAAAATTCTGGACTTTAAAGATACAGCATTGAATAAGATAAAGTGTCTGCCATAAGAAAAAAATTATAGACTAACAGACCAAAAAAAAAACCATAAATGTAATCAAAATATGGGGCTATATGTGAGTACAAAAATAGAGACATACCCAGACACTAAGAAAGTACTGAGAAAATAAATATAAATCAACTACAGGTGGAAGAAGAGAAGACTTCCTGGAGGAAGTGAGAATTTTGAAAGACCTATAGGAGTTAACTAGAAGAAAAAAAAAGGACAAGGATATTTTAGGTCAAATATGACATAGGAAATAGCTTGGAAGCATGAGAGCAAAAGAAATATTCTCTCATCTGTTGTATTACCTGTCCCTTTCGTCTTGGTCTCTGTAGCAACTTTGAAAAACATGCACTCTGTGATAGTTCATTTTAGTTGTTAACTTGATTGGGTTAACGGATATCCAGATAGCTAGGAAACATTATTTCTGAGTATGTCTGTGTGGGTGTTTCCAGAAGAGTTTAGTATTTTAATGAGTAGACTAAAAAGATTACCCTCACCAATGTGGGAGGGCATCATCCAGTCCATCGAGAACCCAAATGGAGCAAACGGGTAGAGAAAGAGCAAATTTATTCTCTCTTCTGGAACTGTGACATCCATCTTCTCCTGCCTAGAACATCAGAATTCCAGATTCTCTGGCCCGTGGACTCCAGGACTTGCACCAGCAGTCCCTCCTCCCCCATCCTCCAGTTGTCAGGCCTTCAGTTTCAGATTGGGAGTCACACCATTGGCTCCCTTGGCTTCTCAGGCCTTCAGACTCCAGCTGAATTGCACCACCAGCTTTCCTGCTTTTCCAATTTGCAGACATTTTTGTGGGATGTTTCAGCCTCCATAATATATCAGGCAATTCCCATAATAAACCCTCTCTTATATATCCCTATATAGCCTGTAGGTTCTGTTCTCTGGAGAGCCCTGATTAATATATACTTATTATTCAAGTTATTGATGAAATATTTCATATTTGCCTATGCTGTTTTAATGCTCTTGTATGTCATGATATGGTAAGAAAATGATTCATATGGGACAAAGTGACATTCAAACATTTAATAACCTATATTTTGAGAAGCTATCATCCCAAACTTTCTAAGTCAGTATTGAAAATTTTAGCAGAACAGAAAACAGGAAATGTGTTTACTCTCCTGATATTCTTGAAGCTGGCAAAATTAAAGAAGGGTTGTCCTAGCCATTTTAACCTTCCAGACACCAGGTCTTCTATTTTTCTAGTGGGTGAGAGAAGAATTGCAGCCAGCCAGAGCTTATCACCAAGAGACCATTAAGTCTAAAACTCATAGTGCTGTCAGATTGCCTGACTCATTTTAATGGGCAAACCAATGACTTCTCAGAGCTTTGACCTGTGTTACTTAGAGTAACACCAGCTCTAATGAAAACAAAACAAAATCAAATTTCAGTGTCTCTATATAACGGAAATTTATAAACTCACATAACAATCTGATAACAGTTCCAGGTCAATGTGCAGTTCTTTACCTAGTGACTCAAATGCCCAGGTCCCATTCATATTCTGGTTCCATTCATAGTGATTATATGGTTTCCAAGTTCTTCATACTCACGTTCACCAACTGGTGGAAGCAGAAAGAAAACATGAAGAAAGAACACTCATTTCTTAACCCCTCTGTCCAGGAAGTGAAACATATTACTTCTGCTCACATCCCATTCGATAAAATTAGTCATGTGACCATGCGGTACTCCCTTATTCGTCAGCTGTTTCCCTGTTCTCTGAAAGGGAAAGCCCAAGATTTGGTGTCTTATGTCAGCTGCAAGCCTTGCCAGTGGTGCCATGAGCTACAGAGGGGTCCAGTCATTTTTATATATTTTAAGCACACTCTCTGAGAACCAATTCAAATACTTTAAAAAATTAAAGAGCTTCAACTGAAAAGTATATCAACCATCTACCCAGCACCCACTGATTTTTACCCCTTTTTGTAATTATTAACCTATTATCGTTAGTCAATTCTCACCAATACACAATGTATTATTTCAAAATAACTTGATAATATTTGTCAATATAACAAAAATGACTTCCTAAAAATCTACCTGTAAGGTATCTGTTTCTTGCCAGAAACAAAAGGTTTTATTTTTTAAAAGAAAGAAAGAAGAAACAAGAATATTCTAATATAGCCTGGAGATATATAATATACACTAAGGTTTCCTCTAATATCATGATCAAAATATTTGCTAAAACAATTTAACAATCTATACATACACTATATTTTCATGCAATTGATAATTTTCTATATCATCCCAAAGATGTCAAGGATATCTACTTTGCCAAATGTTTCTGCTGAAGGGAAGCAACTGTATATATAAACTTATCTTGATTGCTTTACTCATAGTCCAATTTTCTTTCTTTCTTTTTTTTTTTTTTTTTTTTTTTTACAAAAAAAGAAACCAAATGTGTGCCAGGCTTCTGTGGTTTAGTGAGTGGGTTTGTACCTATGCTGTTTCCTAGTGAGAATTAAGTCTTTGCCAAAGTGTTCAGAAATTATTTATTGCTTTCCAAATATGCCTATAGAAAGAAAGGAGCTTTACAAGTCTGAGAGGTCCTAGAGTCCATCAGACACACAGTTGAAGACCTTTGGGAGCCTCCTGAAACTATCTTTAAAACCCCCAGTAAATGGGAACAGCCATGGCATTCAGATTTTCCATTTCTCAGAGTTACTAAGGCATAGCGAGAGAAAAAAAGTAAGTTATAGTGAAAGGAGGAAAAAGGATTTCATACTAACTATCCTAGGGGCAAGGACGTGATAGTATAACATCATAATTCCTCAGGTTTTTGTCTACCTAGTGGCATCCTCAGAGGGTCTTGAGGAGACAACAGCTTTGCTCACCATCAGAAGAAATGTTTGATTATCTGTTTACAAAGCTCTATTATAAACAGAGTTATATCTGCCCCTTTCCTTCTGGGAAACTACCAATGGAACTAATGTGATAATAATTGAACAGGCAGTATTTCCATGGTAGTGACAAAATGGAAAAATATACAGCTCTTGAGACTTTGTCAAGGTGCTTCTGCGGTAACTTGTGTAAAGCTGGAGATGGCTTCCATTTCTTGGGCCAATAATAGGAGAATGGAAAACCTTTGGTAAAAGATTTTTTCTTTCGGCTTCTTCATTTTGATGGCTGTTCTTGTCTAGAGCTCTTTGGAGTATTTACAATTTGGATTATTGATTGATTTGGTCCAGAACTTTTTTGGCATCAGTTCTCCTCTAGAAAGCCATAGAGGCAGAACATTTTAGTTTGAGCCTTCCTGACTTTTAATGATTCTCAGTGGGACAAATGATTTAATTATTAACTTTATTGAACCTCAGATTTCTCAGCTGCAAAATAGAGATGATGCTATCAATCTACTTTACAGGGATTGTGCCAAACTTAAATAAGCTATTAGAAAGCACATGAGATGCTACCTTTAGGAATATCTCCAAAAATCCGGAAATCTTACTTTTCCACGCAAGCAGTAGGTAAGCAAAGAAACTTCTCTGTGAACATAAAGGCCAGTATTTAGTTACAGTCATGATAATCATTCTGGTTACATACCTAATTTATTTAGAAAGGATGCTTATTTATGTCTTTGTTGTTACTGCTGTTGATCCTCTAAAAACAGGAGCGAATTAGATCAGTGACTGGAGTTTGCAACCTGGTGGCATGGAGGAGCATAAATGACGCAACAGCGGGTGTCCAGCAGCTGTCATTTCTGAACTGATGCATCATTATCAGTGCTGGGGAAAATCACATGGCATCTACTGACACTGATTAAAGCTGATTTTCCCCTGAAATGCTCTCTCACATCTATTGCACGGTAATGAGTCATGCCCAATGTCAGCCTTTCAGTTTCTGACAGTTTAAGTACACATCGTTGGATAGGCTCCAGCCAGGCTGACATCTGAAATATAATGAACAATGCCATTCTAAATTGCCAATGCGCATAGAAGTAAATGTGTGAGGAGCCATATGGAAACTGCTATTGTACTGGATGCTACAATGCATTGTGGAGCATTACTTAGCAGTGGGAGAAGTATACTGTATAGGAGGGATGACATAACTCTCAGTGTGATGGCAGTTTAGGCACAAAAGGCAACTTCTGAAACAACCATCATATAAAACTGTCCACATGTACTTTCAGACTATAGTAGTAACTGTCAGTTTCTCTCATCTAGAGCCTACGTTAGATGAAAAGAGGATCATGGCTGGGTGTAGTGGCTCATGCTTGTAATCCTAGCACTTTGGAAGACCCAGGGGAGAAGATCACTTGAGGTCAGGAGTTCAGAACCAGCCTGGGCAACAAAGTGAGACCCCCATCTCAAAAAAATTTTTTTTTTTTAATTAGCTGGGCATAGTGGCACACCTCTGTAGTTTCAGCTACTTGAGAGGCTGAAGTGGGAGAATGGTTTGAGCCCAGAAGTTTGAGACTGCAGTGAACAATGATCACACCATTGCACTCTAGAGCCTGAGTGACAGAGCAGGACCCCGACTCGAAAGAAAAAAAAAAGGCATTTATTCTCCAAAATGGTGGATTAGAGGCTTTTAGTGTGTCTCTGCCACTTGGAAATAGCAAGATAGTACATAACGATTAACTCTGTGAGCTTTAATTTAAGAAGGAAAATGGAAATCCACTATAATCATGAAAGCCTCCCCAGATCCTGGGGAGGAGAATGTAAGCAAACAGCACCCATGACAGTGTCTGGATGACAAAAATGAGTGAAGCCCTAATGCATGAGAGAGGCAGAGAGCCTCCCTCTGTGACTCACCTTCCCACTGGAGATCTCAACAACCCAGGCCAAATGAAACCACTTTGTTTCTCCCAAGCCCTGGAGCTAATTTGGGAAGAGGCTTAGAGAAGCCATGAGAGAAAGACACCAGGAAAAGTTGCAGGCATTTTCCCAGACCTAGGATTGAGAACAGGATGCCATTTTTAATCTGGGCACATACAAAGTCAGTCATTCCTTGTCAACCTGGCAGCATAGCTGTGTAAGCATTTTAGTTTTGGGCCAGAGATTGGAGTACTTTCTCTGGAGTGAGAGAGGGGCCTCCACAGCCAGAATTGTGAAAAACACTTCAGCAGTAGGCACTGGAATTGTGCTTTCCTCCATCACCAGTCTGGGACAGGAGACGAGCTGGTACAGACACAGTTTTTCCTGGATGATGAAACTTGCAGCCAAGCCAGCTTGGCAACCTGGAATCGGTCTGCATATATCATTGCTGGGTGTCCCAATCTGCTCCCCTTAGATTGTGCTGCAGCAGGGTCCTTTCTGCTCCATGCCCAGGCAGAATCCCAGGCGTTCAGAGCACCCGCTCCCATGAACTAGCAACCTGAGCTGCTCCACTCCACCCTTTCTGTGCAGAGATCCGCATGCAGAGGGGCCTTCCCCACTTCAAGCTCAGGCGGATCCTCAGGCATCCAGAGCACCTGCTTACCTGCTTCAGCAGCCTGAGACATCCCACCCTTCCTGGACATAGATTGTGGTATAGCGTAGCCCTCTACACTACATGCCCAGGAAGAGCTCCCTGTATCCAAAGCAACTGCTTGTCTGGATTGTCAGCCTGAGTTGTCTCACTCTTCCTGTGCAGAGATCATGGTGGAGCAGGGTCTTCTCTGCTTCATGCCCAGGCAGATCTCTAGGCATTCAGAGCACCTGCTCACCTGGATCACCTCACCTCCCTTTTCCTGATAATAGATTCTGGTGCAGGGGACCCCTCTGCCCCTGGCTCACCTCACCCCACTCTTCCTGAGAAGAGATTCTGGTACAGGGGGGCCCACTCCACTTTATGCTCAGGCAGATCCTTAGGCATTTGGAGTACCTGCACACCTGGTTGAGCAACCTAAGCTGTCTCACCTTCCTGGGTGTAGATCATGGTACTGTGGGACCCACTCTGCTCCAACCCGTACTGATCTCCAGGCATTCAGAACACCCTGCTCACCTGAACCAGCTGCCTGAGCTGTCCCTCCCTTCCTGTGCAGAGATTGTAGTGCAGTGGGGACCTATCAGCTCCACTCCCAAGTAGATCTCCAGGCTTCTGGGGCACACACTCTCCTGCATTAGGAGCTTAGGCTGCCCCCTTCCCTGTGCAGAGAACTTGGGATTGAGGAGGTTTCCCAGCTCCATGCCTAGGCATACATCTGGGCACTTGGTGGTCACTCACTAATTCTTCCTTGGCATTGGTGCTTGTACCTGCCACTGGGGGACCTGTAAGTGGGCCTACCTCACATGGCCCTTCCCATCTTGCCCCCTCACCCAGGCTGAGCAGTGAGCTCATACCCCTCTGTACTCCATGGATCAGGCCATTGCATGCAGCAACAGAGAGCTTCTCCCAGTAAACAGTGATCAAGTGTATACCCAGTGCCGTATACTTATGAGTAGAAGGTTTTTACTCGTAAGTGTCATCTACTGGCTTGTGGGTCACATCTCACATCCCAATATAAAATATGCTGATAGAAGTGCATAGAGCTATAGAAGCAAAGCCAAAAGACCCTACCCAACATTCTCTACAGTCACACCTCCTAGGTAGGGGGTAAAGAAAAGGAGAACAAAAGAAATAATAATACAGAGAAAGAGAGAAAAAAATCCTACCTACATGAAAATAAGTACAAAAATTAGAAGGGCCAGCATCTCCAGATGAGAAGGAACAAGTCCAAGAATTCTGGCACCATGATAAATCTGAATACAGTGACACCACCAAAGAATCACACCAGCTCTCCAGAATGGTTCATAACCAAAATGAAAACTAAGAAATGACAGAAAAAGAATTGAAAGCATGGACTGTAAGAAAGCTCAATGAGATCCAAGACAAGGTTAAAATCAACACAAAGAAACTTCTAAAGCAATGTGGGGAATGAAAGACGATATAAACATCTTAAAAATAAATCAATAGGAGCTTCTCGAATTGAAAAATGTACTTAAGGAATTTCAAAATACAGTAGAAAGATTTATCAGTAGACTGGACCAAGCAAAATAAAGAATTTCAGAGCTTGAAGATGGGTCTTTCAAACTAATGTAGTCAGATAAAAATGAAAAAAAAATTCAACAAATGAACAGCCTTTAAGAAATATGGGATTATGTAGAGAAACCAAACCTACAAATTGTTGGCATTCCTGAGAGAGAAGAAGAAAATGTAAACAACATGGCAAAGACTTCTGAAGGAATAATTCAGGAAAATTTCCTTTACCTTGCTGGAGAGGTAGACATCCAGATACAAGACATCCAGATACCACCTGCCAGATACTATACAAAATACACATCACCAATGCATATGGTTACCAGACTTTCCAAAGTCAACACTAAAGAAAAAGCCTTAAAGGCAGCTAGAGAAAAAAGTCAAATCATGTACACAGGATACCTCATCAGGCTAACAGTGGATCTCACAGCAGAAACCTTGTGAGGCAGGAGAGATTAGGGGTCTATTTTCAGCATTCTGCAAGAAAATAATTTATAATCAAGACTCTCATATCCTGCCAAACTAAGCTTCAGAGGAGAAGGAGAAATGAAATCTTTTCCAGACAAGCAAGTACTAAGAGAATTTGTTACCACTTGACCAGCCTTACAAGAGATTATTAAGGAAGTTCTAAACATGAAAATGAAAGAATGATACCAGCTACCATAAAAGCATACTTCAGTACATAATAACCCGCAGACCCTATAAAGCCACCAAACAATAGAAACTATAAAGCAATGAGTTAACTTCATGATGAGATTAAAACCTCACATATCAATATTAAACTCAACTATAAATGAGCTAAATGCCACCACTTAAAAGCACAAAGTGGCAACTTAGCAAATAGAATTATTAAAAAAAAAAAGACCCATCCAATACGGGTCTTCAAGAGAACCCTCTCACACGTAGCAACCCCCATAGGCTCAAAGCAAAGGATCAGAGAAGATCACTCAAATGGAATACAAAAAAGAACTGGGGCTTCTATTCTTACATCAGATAAAACGAACTTTAAACCAACAACAGTACCAAAGGACAAAAAAGAACATTACACAACAAGAAGACTTAACTATCCTAAGTATATATACACCCAACATTGGAGAAAATTAATAAAGCAAGTACTTCCAGACCTATGAAAAGGCTGAGACAACTATACAATAATAGTGGGGGGCTTCAACCCCCTACTTATTGTGTTAGGACATTGAGGCAGAAAACTAGCAAAAAATTCTAAATTTTGACACGACCAATTGGACCAAATAGATATTTACAGAATACACCACCCATCAACCACAAAATATACATTATTCTCACCTGCGCACAGAACATACTCCAAGATCAACCTCATTCTTTGCCATAAAGCAAGTCTTAATAATTTTTTTAACAAAAGCAAAATCATAGCAATAATACTCTCAGACCATAGAAGTATAGAAATCAATACCAAGAAGTTATCCCGAAACCCACAATTACATGAATTTAAACAATTTATACCTGAATGACCTTTGGGTAAACAATGAAATTAAAGCAGAAAGCAAAGAAAAAAAATTGAAATAATTGAAAACAGGGACTCTACATAGTGAAATCTCCGGGATGCAAAAAAATCAGTGTTAAGACTAATGCTCACAGTGATAAATGTCTACCTCAAAAAGTTAGAAAGACCTCTTATGAATAATCTATTATCACACCTACAGGAACTAGAAAAAAACAGAACAAACCAGCTCCAAAGCTAGCAGAAGATAATAACTAAAATCGCAGCAGCACTAAACAAAATGAGACCCCAAAATCCATACAAAGAACTGACAAAACCAAAAGTTGATTATTTGAAATGATAAACAAGGTATATAGACTGTTAGCTAGATTAACAACAACAACAAAAAGAAGACCCAAATAACTACAATGAGAAATGTTGGAGACATTACAATTGATCCCACAGAAATACAAAAGATCCTCGGAAACTATTGTAAATGCTTCCATTGACACAAACTAGAAAATCCAAAGGGAATGGATAAATTCCTGAAAACACACCATCTCCCATGATTGAATCAGGAAGAAATTGAAGCCTTGAACAGACCAATATTGAGTTCTGAAATTGAATCAGTAACAGAAAACTGCCAGCCACAAAAAGCCCCAGTCCAGATAGATTTACAGCTGAATTTTACCAGATATACAAAAAGGAACTTGTACCAATTCTGAAACAATTTCAAAAAATGAAAGAGAGGAGCTCCTCACTAACTCATTCTACTAAGCCAGCATCACCCTGCCAATAAAACCTAGAAAAGACACACAAAAAAAGGAAAACTACAAGCCAATATCCTTGGTGAAGATAGATGCAAAAAGTCTGAACAAAACATTAGCAAACCAAACAAGCAGCAGCACATCAAAAAGTTAATCCATCACAATCAAGCAAGCTCCATTCTTGAGATCCAAGGTTGGTTCAACATACGCAAATCAATAAATGTGATTCACCACATAAACAGAATTAAGAACAAAATCATATAATTATGCCAATAGACAGAGAAAAGGGTTTCAATAAAATTCAACATCCCTTCAGAATAAAAAGCTCAACCAACTAGGCATCAGAGGAAAATTCTCTACAATATTAAAAGCTATCTATGACAAACCCACAGTTAACATCATACTGAATGGGGCAAAGCTGGAATGATTCCCCATGAGAACTGCAATAAGACAAGAATGTTCACTCTCACCACTCCTATTCAACATGGTACTGGAAGTCCTAGTCAAAGCAATTGGGGAATAAAAAGAAATAAAATACATCTAAATAAGAAAAGAAAAAGTCGAACTATCTCTCTTAACTGATGATATGATTCCATACCTAGAAAACCCATTTAGAAAATCCACCAAAATGATCCTGGAACTGATAAATGACTTTAGTAAAGTTTCAGGATATAAAATCAATATACAAAAATAACTAGTATTTCTATACACCAATAATATTCAAGATAAGAATAAAGTTTAAAATGCAGTCCCATTTACAATAGCCAAAAATGTATGTAATGTCTAGGAATACAACCAACCAAGGAGATGAAAGATCTCTACAAGGAGAGATCTGCTGGAAAAAATCATGGATGACAAAACAAATGGAAAGACATTCCATGTGTATTGATTGGATAATCAACATTGATAAAATTATCATACCACCCAAATCATTCTATAGATTCCTATCAAACTACCAATGTCATTTTTCACAGAGCTAGAAAAAACTATTCTAAAATTCATATGGAACAAAAATAGACAAATAGCCAAAGCAACCCTAAGCAAAAAGGACAAAGCTGGAAACATCACGTTACCCGACTTCAAACTATACTCTAATACTATAGTAACCAAAAGAGCATGATACTGGTACAAAAACAGACACATAGAAAAATGGAACAGAATAGAAAACTGAGAAATAAAGTCACACACCTACATCTATCTGATCTTCCACAAGTCAACAAAAATGAGCAATGGGGAAAGAACCCTCTATTCAATAAATGCTGCAGAGGAATGAAACTGGATCCTTACTCTTAACCATATACAAGAATTAACTCAAAGTAGATTAAAGATTTAAATTTAAGACTTCAAACTATAGGAATCCTAGAAGAAAACATAGGCAGGAACACAATTCTGGACACTGGTCTTAGGAAAGAATTCATAACCAAGTTCTCAAAAAAAAAACTGCAACAAAAATAAATATTGACCAGTAGGACTTAAACTAAAGAACTTCTGCACGGCAAAAGAAACTGTTAGCAAAGTAAATAGATAACCTACAGAATGGTATAAAATATTCATAAACTATGCATCAAACAAAAGTCTGATATCCAGAGTATCTAAGGAGCTTAAACAATTGAACAAGCAAAAAACAAATAATCCTATTAAAAAGTGAGCAAAAGACATGAGAAAACTCATCTCAAAAGAGGATATACAAGGGGCCAACAAACAGGAAAAAATGCTCAACATCACTAATCATCTGAGAATGCAAATCAAAACACACTGAGATACCATCTCACACCAGTCAGAAGGGCTATTATTAAAAACTCAAAAATCAACAGATGTTGGTGAGGCTGTGCAGAAAAGGGAATGCTTATGGCTGTCGATGGGAATGTAAATTAGTTCAACCACTGTGGAAAGCAGTTTGGAGATTTCTCAAAGAACTTAAAACTACCATTCAACACAGCAATCTCATTACTAGGTATATATCCAACAGAAAATAAGTTTTTCGACGAAAAAGACACATACACTTATGTCTTCACTGTAGCACTATTCACAATAGCAAAGACATGGAATCAACCTGGATGCCCATCAATGGTAGTATGCATATACCATGGAATACTATGCAGTCATAAAAAAAAACAAAATCATGTCCTCTGCAGCCACATGGAGTGGCTGGAGGCCATTATCCTAAGTGAATTAATACAGGAATAGAGAGCCAAATACTGCATATTTTTACTCAAAAATAGGAGGTAAATATTGGGCACTCATGGACATAAGAACAGCAGCAATAGACACTGGGAACCCTATTGGTGGAAGTAGGAGAAGGGGGCAAGGATTGAAAAACTATTGGATACTATGTTACTACCTGGGTGATGGGATAAATTGTACCCCAAACCCCAGTATCACGCAATATACCCATGTAGCAAACCTGCCCATGTACTCCAGAATCTAAAATAAAATTTGGAATTTAATAATAATAACAATAATAAAATATTAACCTCTCCTCCCCACCAAAAAAGAAAAGTGGATCTCTAGGTAGCTTCCCTTTGAGTCAAGTGGGTTAGAGTCACAAAATCACCAGATATCTAGGCATCAGCTTCCCTGGGCTGCAGACTAGCCCAAACACTCACAATGTAGTACCTGCCCTCATGAATCCTATTCCCTAGAGAAAAAGTCAGACTTTAAACACTTTATTACTGTAGACACAGTGCAATGGAAGTGGGAAGGAGAAAACAGCTATGTTTAGTGGAATGAGATGAGATGAGGAAGAGGAAGAGATTTACAGGGGAAGCAATAAGTAAAGTTTCTGAGCATGCAACATTCACTAGAAAGATAAGCAGAAGGCAGGATTCATGGCACAGACCACACCACAATAGAGGTAAGGTGGGATGAAGTGTGAGCCTCCATGCTTAGAAACCAAGTGACTGCAGCTTGGTAAGCAGGTGGGGAAAGAGTGACAATTGAGGCTGGACAGGAACCAGATCACAAACCATAGTACTGTGAGAGCTAAAGATAAGATATAATAAATCTAACAATTTTAAAGTGTTTCCAAAAATTATCAAGCACACAGAAATGCTAGTTAACCCACAAAAAATGTACCTTCGTTAAAATCACATCGCTGAATGAGACTTTTCTCATTCACCATTTAACTACTTAGAAAAATGGTTGTAATATCATCACACCAGTTAAAATGGCAATCATTAAAAAGTCAGGAAACTACAGATGCTGGAGAGGATGTGGAGAAATAGAAACACTTTTACATTGTTGGTGGGAGTGTAAATTAGTTCAACCATTGTACAAGACAGTGTGGTGATTCCTCAAGGATCCAGAACCAGAAATACCATTTGACCCAGTAATCCCATTACTGGGTGTATACCCAAAGGATTATAAATCATGCTACTATAAAGACACATGCAAGTGTATGTTTATTATGGCACTATTTACAATAGCAAAGACTCGGAACCAACCCAAATGTCCGTCAGCAATAGACTGGGTAAAGAAAATATGGCACATATACACCACAGAACACTATGCAGCCATAAAAATGGATGAGTTCATGTCCTTTGCAGGGACATGGATGAAGCTGGAAACCATCATTCTCAGCAAACTAACACAGGAACAGAAAACCAAACACTGCATGTTCTCACTCATAAGTGGGAGTCGAACAATGAGAACACATGGACACAGGGAGGGGAACATCACACACTGGGGCCTGTTGGGAGCTGGGGGGAAAGGGGAGGGATAGCATTAGAAGAAATACCTAATGTAGATGACAGGTTGATGGGTGCAGGAAACCACCATGGCACGTGAATACTTATGTAACAAACCTGCATGTTCTGCACATGTATCCCAGAACTTAAAGTATAACAAAAAATAAATAAAATAAAATAAATGGTTGTAATATCTATCCCTGGGACCTCCTAGTTCTCAAGGATCCAAAGATGTACCTTTGGCAAAGATATTCCAACTTTTCCTCTGACACAGAAACCCATGAAATAAATGATTCAGTAGAACTTCATCAAAGAAGAGCAGGAAAATGTCCCTTGATCAGGAGATTGATTAAATATGTTAGGGTACATTTTTAAATGTCATACTCATTGCAGTTAAAATGAATGAGAGGCTCTTTACACACTTTTGCAAAGATGATCAAAATAACTTGCTAAATGAAGAGGTAGATTGAAGAATACTAAGTGCAGTGGAAATATACCAAAATATTATTATAGCTTTCTCAAAGGAGTATGATGGAATATATATATGTGTATATATATATATAAAATATAAGCTCATTGTGAAAACAAAACAAAAATATATAAAGTGAAAAATGAAATTTCTGTCTATTTTTTTTTTTTGAGACAGAGTCTCGCTGTTGCCCAGGCTGGAGTGCAGTGGTGCATTCTTGGCTCACTGCAAGCTCCGGCTCCCAGGTTCACACCATTCTCCTGCCTCAGCCTCCCGAGTAGCTGGGACTACAGGTGCCCGCCACCATGCCCGGCTAATTTTGTTTTTTTTGTATTTTTATTAGAGACGGGGTTTCACCGTGTTAGCCAGGATGGTCTTGGTCTCCTGACCTCGTGATCTGCCCGCCTTGGCCTCCCAAAGTGCTGGGATTACAGGCGTGAGCCAGCGCACCTGGCCGAGCTTATATTATTTTGTATTTTAAGTCTCCCCCCAGGAAAACCACAACAGACAAATGGAATAGGAAGGAGAAGCAGGAAGGATCAAGGTGAGATATTCACAAAAACCTTCTGCTTGAAATTCTTTTTTTTAAAATTGCATTATTAATATACTTTAAATTTTAGGGTACATGTGCACAATGTGCAGGTTTGTTACATATGTATACATGTGCCATGTTGGTGTGCTGTACCCATTAACTCATGATTTAGCATTAGGTATATCTCCTAATGCTATCCCTCCCCCCTCCCCCCACCCCACAACAGGCCCTGGTGTGTGATGTTCCCCTTCCTGTGTCCATGTGTTCTCATTGTTCAATTCCCACCAATGAGTGAGAACATGCGGTGTTTGGTTTTTTGTCCTTGTGAGAGTTTGCTGAGAATGATGGTTTCCAGTTTCATCCATGTCCCTACAAAGGACATGAACTCATCATTTTTTGTGGCTGCATAGTATTCCATGGTGTATATGTCTATCCAGTCTATCATTGTTGGACATTTAGGTTGGTTCCAAGTCTTTGCTATTGTGAATAGTGCCGCTATAAACATACGGGTGCAAGTGTCTTTATAGCAGCATGATTTATAATCCTTTGGGTATATACCCAGTAATGGGATGGCTGGGTCAAATGGTATTTCTAGTTCTAGATCCCTGAGGAATCGCCACACTGACTTCCACAATGGTTGAACTAGTTTACAGTCCCACCAACAGTGTAAAAGTGTTCCTATTTCTCCACATCCTCTCCAGCACCTGTTGTGTCCTATTTAATGATCGCCATTCTAACTGGTATGAGATGGTATCTCATTGTGGTTTTGATTTGCATTTCTCTGATGGCTAGTGACGGTGAGCATTTTCTCATGTGTTTTTTGGCTGCATAAGTGTCTTCTTTTGAGAAGTGTCTGTTCATATCTTTTGCCCACTTGTTGATGGGGTTGTTTGTTTATTTCTTGTAAATTTGTTTGAGTTCATTGTAGATTCTGGATATTAGCCGTTTGTCAGATGAGTAGGTTGCAAACATTTTCTCCCATTTTGTAGGTTGCCTGTTCACTCTGATGGTAGTTTCTTTTGCTGTGCAGAAGCTCTTTAGTTTAATTAGATCCCATTTGTCAATTTTGGCTTTTGTTGCCATTGCTTTTCGTGTTTTAGACATGAAGTCCTTGTCCATACCTATGTCCTGAATGGTATTGCCTAGGTTTTCTTCTAGGGTTTTTATGGTTTTAGGTCTAACGTGTAAGTCTGTAATCCATCTTGAAGTAATTTTTGTATAAGGTGTAAGGCAGGGATCCAGTTTCAGCTTTCTACATATGGCTAGCCAATTTTCCCAGCACCATTTATTAAATAGGGAATCCTTTCCCCATTGCTTGTTTTTCTCAGGTTTGTCAAAGATCAGATAGTTGTAGATATGCAGCACTACTTCTGAGGGCTCTGTTCTGTTCCATTGGTCTATATCTCTGTTTTGGTACCAGTACCATGCTGTTTTGGTTACTGTCGCCTTGTAGTATAGTTTGAAGTCAGGTAGCATGATGCCTCCAGCTTTGTTCTTTTGGCTTCGGATTGACTTGGCGATGTGGGCTCTTTTTGGTTCCATATGAACTTTAAAGTAGTTTTTTCCAATTCTGTGAAGAAAGTCATTGGTAGCTTGATGGGGATGGCATTGAATCTATAAATGACCTTGGGCAGTATGGCCATTTTCACGATATTGATTTTTCCTACCCATGAGCATGGAATGTTCTTCCATTTGTTTGTATCTTCTTTTATTTCCTTGAGCAGTGGTTTGTAGTTCTCCTTGAAGAGGTCCTTCACATCCCTTGTAAGTTGGATTCCTAGGTATTTTATTCTCTTTGAGGCAATTGTGAATGGGAGTTCACTCATGATTTGTCTGTTATTGGTGTATAAGAATGCTTGTGATTTTTGTACATTGATTTTGTATCCTGAGACTTTGCTGAAGTTGCTTATCAGCTTGAGGAGATTTTGGGCTGAGACGATGGGGTTTTCTAGATATACAATCATGTCATCTGCAAACAGGGACAATTTGACTTCCTCTTTTCCTAATTGAACACCCTTTATTTCCTTCTTGTGCCTGATTGCCCTGGCCAGAACTTCCAACACTATGTTGAATAGGTGGTGAGAGAGGGCATTCCTGTCTTGTGCCAGTTTTCAAAGGGAATGCTTCCAGTTTTTGCCCATTCAGTATGATATTGGCTGTGGGTTTGTCATAGATAGCTCTTATTATTTTGAGATATGTCCCTTCAATACCTAATTTATTGAGACTTTTTAGTATGAAGGGTTGTTGAATTTTGTCAAAGGCCTTTTCTGCTTTTATTGAGATAATCATGTGGTTTTTGTCTTTGGTTCTGTTTATATGCTGGATTACACTTACTGATCTTCATATGTTGAACCAGCCTTGCATCCCAGGGATGAAGCCCACTTGATCATGGTGGATATGCTTTTTGATGTGCTGCTGGATTCGGTTGCCAGTATTTTATTGAGGATTTTTGCATCAAGGTTCATCAAGGATATTGGTCTAAAGTTCTCTTTTTTGGTTGTGTCTCTACCAGGCTTTGGTATCAGGATGATGCTGGCCTCATAAAATGAGTTAGGGAGGATTCCCTCTTTTTCTATTGATTGGAATAGTTTCACAAGGAATGGTACCAGCTCCTCTTTGTACCTCTGGTAGAATTCGGCTGTGAATCCATCTGGTCCTGGACTTTTTTTGGTTGGTAAGCTATTGATTATTGCCTCAATTTCAGAGTCTGTTATTGGTCTATTCAGAGATTCAACTTCTTCCTGGTTTAGTCTTGGGAGGATGTATGTGTTGAGTAATTTATCCATTTCTTCTAGATTTTCTAGTTTATTTGCGTAGAGGTGTTTATAATATTCTCTGATGGTAGTTTGTATTTCTGTGGGATTGGTGGTGATATTCCCCTTATCATTTTTTATCACGTCTAGTTGATTCTTCTCTCTTTTCTTCTTTATTAATCTTGCTAGCAGTCTATCAATTTTGTTGATCTTTTCAATAAACCAGCTCCTGGATTCAGTAATTTTTTGAAGGGTTTTTTGTGTCTCTATTTCCTTTAGTTCTTCTCTGATCTTAGTTATTTCCTGCCTTCTGCTAGCTTTTGAATGTGTTTGCTGTTGGTTTTCCAGTTCTTTTAATTGTGATGTTAGGGTGTCAATTTTAGATCTTTCCTGCTTTCTCTTGTGAGCATTTAGTGCTATAAATTCCCCTCTATACACTGCTTTGAATGTGTCCCAGAGATTCTGGTATGTTGTGTCTTTGTTCTCGTTGGTTTCAAAGAACATCTTTATTTCTGCCTTCATTTCATTATGTACCCAGTAGTCATTGAGGAGCAGGTTGTTCAGTTTCCATGTAGTTGAGCGGTTTTGAGTGAGTTTCTTAATCCTGAGTTCTAGTTTGATTGCACTGTGGTCTGAGAGACAGTTTGTTATAATTTCTGTTCTTTTACATTTGCTGAGGAGTGCTTTACTTCCAGGTATGTGGTCAATTTTGGAGTAGGTGTGGTGTGGTGCTGAAAAGAGTGTATATTCTGTTGATTTGGGTTGGAGAGTTCTGTAGATGTCTATTAGGTCCACTTGGTGCAGAGCTGAGTTCAATTCATGGGTATTCTTGTTAACTTTCTGTCTCGTTGATCTGTCTAATGTTGACAGTGGGGTGTTAAAGTCTCCCATTATTATTGTGTGGGAGTCTAAGTCTCTTTGTAGGTCTCTAAGGACTTGCTTTATGAATCTGGGTGCTCCTGTATTGGGTGCATATATATTTAGGATAGTTAGCTCTTCTTGTTGAATTGATCCCTTTACCATTATGTAATGGCCTTCTTTTTCTCTTTTGATCTTTGTTGGTTTAAAGTCTGTTTTATCCAAGACTAGGATTGCAACCCCTGCCTTTTTTTGTTTTCCATTTAATTGGTAGATCTTCCTCCACCCCTTAATTTTGAGCCTATGTGTGTCTCTGCACATGAGATGTGTTTCCTGAATACAGCACACTGATGGGTCTTGACTCTTTATCCAATTTGCCAGTCTGTGTCTTTTAATTGGAGCATGTAGCCCATTTACATTTAAGGTTAGTATTGTTATGTATGAATTTGATCCTGTCATTATGATGTTAGCTGGTTATTTTGCTCGTTAGTTGATGCAGTTTCTTCCTAGCCTTGATGGTCTTTACAATTTGGCATGTTTTTGCACTGGCTGGTACCGGTTTTTCCTTTCCATGTTTAGTGCTTCCTTCAGGAGCTGTTTTAGGGCAGGCCTGGTGGTGACAAAATCTCTCAGCATTTGCTTGTCTGTAAAGTATTTTATTTCTCCTTCACTTATGAAGCTTAGTTTGGCTGGATATGAAATTCTGGGTTGAAAATTCTTTTCTTTAAGAATGTTGAATATTGGTCCCCACTCTCTTCTGGCTTGTAGAGTTTCTGCCGAGAGAGCACCTGTTAGTTTGATGGGCTTCCCTTTGTGGGCAACCCGACCTTTCTCTCTGGCTGTCCTTAACATTTTTTCCTTCATTTCAACTTTGGTGAATCTGACAATTATGTATCTTGGAGTTGCTCTTCTCGAGGCGTATCTTTGTGGCGTTCTCCGTATTTCCTGAATCTGAATTTTGGCCTGCCTTACTAGATTGGGGAAGTTCTCCTGGATAATATCCTGCAGAGTGCTTTCCAACTTGGTTCCATTCTCCCTGTCACTTTCAGGTATGCCAATCAGACATAGATTTGGTCTTTTCACCTAGTCCCGTGTTTCTTGGAGGCTTTGTTCATTTCTTTTTATTCTTTTTTCTCTAAACTTCTCTTCTCGCTTCATTTCATTCATTTCGTCTTCCATCACTGACACCCTTTCTTCTAGTTGATCACATTGGCTACTGAGGCTTCTGCATTCGTCACGTAGCTCTCATGCCTTGGTTTTCAGCTCCATCAGGTCCTTTAAGGACTTCTCTGCGTTGGTTATTCTAGTTATCCATTCGTCTAATTTTTTTTCAAACCTTTTAACTTCTTTGCCATTGGTTCAAATTTCCTCCTGTAGCTCGGAGTAGTTTGATCATCTGAAGCCTTCTTCTCTCAGCTTGTCAAAGTCATTCTCCATCCAGCTTTGTTCCGTTGCTGGTGAGGAGCTGCGTTCCATTGGAGGAGGAGAGGCGCTCTGAGTTTTAGAGTTTCCAGTTTTTCTGCTCTGTTTTTTTCCCATCTTTGTGGTTTTATCTACCTTTGGTCTTTGATGATGGTGATGTACAGATGGGTTTTTGGTGTGGATGTCCTTTCTGCTTGTTAGTTTTCCTTCTAACAGACATGACCCTCAGCTGCAGGTCTGTTGGAGTTTGCTAGAGGTCCACTCCAGACCCTGTTTGCCTGGGTATCAGCAGCAGTGGCTGCAGAACAGTGGATATTGGTGAACTTCAAATGCTGCTGCCTGACTGTTCCTCTGGAAGTTTTGTCTCAGAGGAGTACCCGGCCATGTGAGGTGTCAGTCCACCCCTACTGGGGGGTGCCTCCCAATTAGGCTACTTGGGGGTCAGGGACCCACTTGAGAAGGCAGTCTGCCCTTTCTCAGATCTCAAGCTGCATGCTAGGAGAACCACTACTCTCTTCAAAGCTCAGTTGGAAATGCAGAAATCACCCATCTTCTGTGTCGCTCACGCTGGGAGCTGTAGACTGGAGCTGTTCCTATTCGGCCATCTTGGCTCCTCCTTCCCTGCTTGAAATTCTTTTGATGCCATTATCTCAATCAATCATTAGGCAAATTGCTTGGTTAATTATTTTTTATTGACTTGATGTAATGCTTGGCTAAACTGATCCAATTGCCTGGTTGTTTTGGATCCAGAGTAATAGAACCCACGTTGTTTTTTGTTTGTTTTCTTTTGCCCCCCCCCCCCACTTTATTTTCTTTTTCTAGGTTTCTCTTCATCCATTTTCCTGTCATAGGACTTCACTGATAGAAAGAAGACTGCTCAGTTTTTGAATTTATGTTTCGAAGAATTAATTGGGGTGGGTATGTGGGGATAGGTGCTGAGGTCCTGTGGATCTGTGAAGTGTTAAAGGGTAGGATGGGGAAGAACAAAGATTTCCTGAGTGTTTAGTGTGAGTTACTACGTTGGTGCAAAAGTAATTGCTGTTTGGGGCATTGAAAGTAATGTCCAATAATAAATTACTTTATAAACATTCTCCAAATTAACCTTCCTAGCACACTTTGAGGGGCATATTTTTGCTTCTGTTTTAAAAATAAAGAGGGATTAAATAACTAATATGGTACCTAGTAAATGACGGTTTTCAAGATTTTAAAATAGGTCTGTCTAGATGAAAACACATAGGCACACAATGCTACCAGTATGAAAACTGATTCTAAAGAGATTAATAATGTGTATCAGCCTAAGATGTTTCAATGGTTGAATGACTTAGGACAGGAAAGGATGTCCTTGGAAATATAGTAAAAAGGCTGCAAAAAATGTGTCCAGTCTTATCCTCCACCCAAGTCTGCCCCACCTTTACTCCATTGACTGTTTCAGGTATGACATGAAATTATGTCTCAAACTGCATTAGAATGGACTGTGTAATGCATAGATATTAATATTTTGGTCTTGGATTTTCAGTACAAGCCTCTCTACCTCCCATAAGCCTCACAGGCAACTGCAGGTTGCATCCTTAAGGACCTGCATTAGATGACCATGTCTTTGTTTCTCTGATTCTCTTGTTTCATTTGTCTCCTTTTAATATTTGCAGCCAATTTGAGTTTGAAATGGTTAGATTCACTGCAGAGGTTAAAGAACAATTTTGTTTACTCTTAATTCACATGAACCCCTTAGCAGAGTTAGTTATCTCAGGCCTCAGGCCTTGCTCCAGGAAAGAAATCAGAGATTGTTTCCAGTCTCTGAAAACCACAAAGCCACAGATATGATGATATCCCTCCACCCTTTTATTTATCCTTGTATCCAACCATCAGTAACTGAGAAAGGCTCCAAACTGTTGTCAGTGGTTAAAACTTTTCAATTAGAGTGGGGGAATTTCTTGGGAGGAAGGGATTTGAATTCACATGGAGTAAAAGAGGCTAGAAACCCTTTAGGACTCTGGGAACAGTAAGTGTGCTGCGATCATATTTGAGTTTCAAGTCTGGTAAGACCCAGTCATACCAATGTTAGTAATATCTATCAAGTTTCTAAATTTATATAATTTTTTGAAGCTGGACATAGGGAAGAATCCAGGCAGAATTCCCTTAGATGTTAAACAAGATAAAAGAAGCACACGCAACGGGATCTCCCAAGATAATCATCTGTAAATAAAATGGAAAATTATAGTGGCAGGCTGATTTCTCCTCTCTCTCTTGGAAATACAAGGTTTACTCCATTCTCTGTCACTAAAAGAAATACAAGGAGAAGAGAATTTTATTTTTTTTTCTTCTCTGTATGTAAGTCTAATCCATGTTATTCCTTTGGAGCTTTGCTAGAGATGCCCACGTCTTTTGTTTCGTTGTTCAGCTGGATAGTTAGTCTTTGACCCAGATGAGTCTTTTCCTTTTTCTAAGTTATTCTGGCCTTCTCATAAACCCAAAGCTACTGGAGAAAGTGAATAGCTTAAGTAGCTTGTAATGTATTTTTTAGAAAATATTTTATAAAACCTTGGCAGCACAGGACTTGAAATTGAAAACTATTTCAACATCCTGGCGTGTTCTATTTTCAATAGTCAGGAAGCCTTTCTCTTGCTTTGTCAGGATGCATTTGTGCCCTTTAGATGTTCGATTCAATTCATCTCCATGCTGTACTTTTGTAATTGGTATCTAAGAATTTTCTAAAACATTTTACATGTGTGTTCTTATTCTATTGAAGTTCTGTTTTGAATGGTTTTAACTGTATTCCCTAAGCAGACAGACGGGGCAGGAGTTCTTTACCAGGGAAAGAACATGATCATTTCAACCTGATGACTTTAAGTGAGTAAGAAAAAAAAATAATCATCATAAGAAGGAAATGCACCATGCACTGGTAGGCAATGCATCTAAAAACCATAACCACTTCCGCATTGCTCAATCTGTAAGTTGGTGCAGAATCTCTATACAGATCAATATTGCTGGGCTTATAACACATTGAGAATGGAGATATCCTAGCTCAGTCAGCCATGTGTTCTTTCTAAGCAGTAAAGAAAGCAGCCCTTATAGCTGCATGTCCAATGCCTTAAACATTTACTGAAATGGAATGGAAACAGCCAGGCCCAGGACATTTAGAGCAGTCAAATCAGAATGCAAAAACCTTTTGAAGTCTGAAATAATGTAGAAAGTCATCAGAATAGCAAGGTTTGAATGGAACAAGGTACATCATTATCAGAAAGAAAAAACCATAGTGCACACAACATCAATATGTATAAATTTATCTCTAAATCTTATATGTGCCCTACTAAACCAGTAAATTATGTACTATCAAATAAATTTAAAAGGATAACAAAAATACAAATATATATAAATGCCTACATTTTCTTCCCAATGGAACACTTTGAGCAACCCCCTGGATGAATGTACTTTAACTTATTGTCCCCTGGTGTAAAGGATCCCTTTTTGCTCAATTAGAGCACTTCCTCTGGGTTTCTAGACAGTTCTACCATTAACCATATCACTGAGTTAAGAGGGTATTGAAATCTATGGCTCATGTAAACATGACTCCTTGGACAGGTAAAAGGTTAAGCTATTAAACCATCTTCATGAATTTGTTTTGCCAGCTAAAAGCAGCCCCTGAAAAAGGGAGATTTATCTCAGATATCTGAATTCAAAATATCCAAAGCCAAAGAGCACAGGTTTGAGGGCCTGATTACTGTATCAGGGAACCCTGGGTGGCTTTTGTCCCTTGGCTCTCAGATAAGAGGGTATAAATGCAGAAGCATAGAAAGCCCACATGTTGAGGAAGATTATCAAACATCTGTGTCTTGCCAGAGCTCAGTCCTTCCCTGTCAGTGAAGCCACATGATTTCTCT
Organism: Homo sapiens; assembly: GCF_000001405.40. Lineage (NCBI taxonomy): Eukaryota > Metazoa > Chordata > Mammalia > Primates > Hominidae > Homo > Homo sapiens. Next base: position 8,207,857 of record NC_000009.12, read on the forward strand.
GCATGCCTCCCTTCTAGAAAATAGCCAATATGGCTTCAAGGAAATCCTGACTTCTCACATCAAAGCCTTTAGCCCTCACCTTCCTAAAACCACCACAACAGTTCCTAATGGCTCCATGTCCCGCCTTCTGTGGAGGAGTGGAGGCGACTAAGTGACAGGGAAGGATTAGAAGATCTCATGCCTTTCACTCTTTAAGAGGATGGATGCATTTTGAGTTTCCTTCTTTCAAAAGGAACTCAGATGTTTGAGTTTGAAATCTTATAATAGATGGTGTAATTTTAGCTCACTTCTTTTTTCCATCAGGTTAAAAATAACTTTCAAATAATTTTCTTCTCATTGGATTTTCTCAGTCACAGATTACCTCAAACTCACATTTGGAACCCTTATTAGTTGATAGTGCCTTATTACTATTAATCATGTTCTTTGATATATATTAAATTTGACTTGATTTATTGGGAGATTGATACTGGTGACCTTAGAATGAACAAAAATTATTATGATATTTAATACTAAAGCCTGATCATCATGCAAGCTGCATATTAATAACCTGGTAGATTTGAGGACGCATTTGGAACTGAAATGTTAGGGATTTTTCTTTTCATTTTCCTGAACTATTACGGAAAAGCTCCATAGAGATACCTATGACAGACCACTAAAACATGTCACCAAAACATCTTAATGTTCCCTGTAGAATGCAAGAGGTCAGGGGTATAGGTTGGAAAGGCACTCTGGACATTCCTGGGAAAGTGATGCAACTTCATTTTATTGCTTGAGCAATTCCTGTTCAATGAATCAAACATTATTTGGGCGCTTAATATGTACTGAGTACTCTGTTAGGAGCTGGATACATAAATGAATAAGGTTGGTTGCTTGCCCTGGAAGAGCTCACATTCTGGCATGAGAGAGACACATACCAGATAAATTCTGAACAAGTACAGGGAGAGTGTTATGAGACCCCAAAAAGCATTGCTCAACCTAGCATGGCAAAGAGTTAGGAGTTTATCTGGGAAAAGATAGCCAGTGAGGGAACTGGGACTTACTGGAGAGTGAGGCTGAAGGAAGTATATTAAGGACACAGAACTTGAAACAATCACCACACATCTCCAAAACATAAGTTCCTTTCCTCTTGGTTCTCCTATTGGCCAGCAATGGAGAAACATAAATGGTGCAAGAGCTTACCTGGGAGTGTGAGGGGTTCCCAGATTCAGGATCAGCTTGTCAGAATAAGCATTATATTGTAGTCTCCCACTGTCACCAACAGATCAGGCCCAAGCCAGATCTAATAGTCTGGACTTAGCATTATTGAAAAGGTCCAGAGAAGAGAGTGCAATTTCCTTCCTCAAAGTTCACCCTTTACCCCCACTTCAGACAATGTACGGTCCTCACCTTAGGTACATGTGCATCCATATCCCAGCTTCAAAGGAGGCCCTGAAACATTTTAGTGCTCTTTCCTCCCTTCACTGAATCTTCTACAGGATACCTTCACACAGTACAAGCTATGCTTTTCCATTTGCCCATTCCAGTTCCTCTTTGTTTCTCTCTTTACTCCTAAGAACAGATCACTCATTTATCATCTTTATTTAAATGTTCAGGTAGTATGCACACTAGACCATATTTCTCATTCATTTTCAAATTTTACATTCTGAGATAAGAGGTTTCAAGACCAGGATGGGCCAGAACTTTATAAACATCCTGGTCTTCATTTTAAAATTTAAAATTCCAAATGATTTGGAGTCATATAACTCAGCTTTTTAAGTTAGATTTAGATACTCCTTTTTACCCTTAGGAGTGCTGAGACATTTAGTATTAATTAAAGTGTATTAAGATCCCCTCACTTTGCAGAATTTTTTGACAGTGAGAAAATTAGAGATACTCCATGGTGTTGAAAACCTGAGAATTCAACCCAACATTGCCTGATAAGTCTTAGAGTTGGGCTGGCAGATTTTGGCAGCTTCTCTATCAGCAAGATTTGTATGTCAGGGAGAACAGTGAAAGAGGTCTGGGAGCATCAGAGGAGTTGGCCTTTTTTTCACAGCATGGCATTCACCTTTAGAGCACCTCATAAGGTCACCAATGGGTTCATGCTATGATTCTCATCTAGAAGCTTGTGACTTAAAGCCTGAGGTATTTTCTCAAAGATAAACAAATATAATCCAATGGGAGAAAAGTGGAAATATCTTGTATTTATTTGTGTAATTTTTAGTATCAGCACCTTCATAAAAGCACTGTTAGACTGTGCTTCTAGAAGAAAGTTATTGGATCATTGAGATTGAGTCTACGATGTACATTCTGTCCTCAAAGATTAGTCCAAGGCAATCATGTGGCTCAGAGTCTCCTTGCCAACAATTGGTTTAGATATAAGGATATTATCTAGTCTTGGCCAGTAAGACATGAAGTCTCCACAGGAGGCTCTCAGAAACATTTTCTTGCTTCTAACTGGTAAATATGGGGAGAGATGCTCCCCTTTTCCCTCTCTGATATTGTAGTAGCTGCACATGATGGCCAGAATCACTGGAGGCCTCTTGCTGTCCCTGAGGTTGAAGCACACACAGGAAAGAAGGAAGAGCTCGGAGGATTGGAGGAGCAGAACCAAAGCTCGCTCATCTCCCTTTTGAAGCTGCTCCACCTCTGGACTTGTCATGTGAGCTGCTCATTTTCCTTTCTGTTTAAGCTGGAGTAAATGTTAAGTTTCTTGAAATTTTGAGAGCATCTTCTCTGATAAAAACAGACTCAGGATGTTGGATTTGATCCTTAATTAGTGGAAGGTAATCCTCAGTTACCATCACCTGGAAGTAACGAAGAGAGATGCAAAGAGATAAGAAAGCCATGCAGATGTATACTAGATGACCTAAGGTGCAGTGTGTGGCACATCCCTTTTGTGTAGGCAAGGAGTATGCATAAACAGCCTCCTTTCCTTTTCTCTCCACTCCAGAGGTTCTTATGTGTGTTCTCCACACCTTGGCAGTCTGATGATACCCAAAGATCACTTTTTAGATAAATAATTTTAAATTAGTAAAAGAAAACGTATATATAATTGCAAAAATTATATTGTAATAGCTATCAAAATGTTTAAAAAACTAAATTTGTGGTATATATTAAATGTGTTCTTTCTCTGTTTTACATAAAAGTCTATTCTATGTCTAAAGACCACTATTATTTTAAAGTAGTAAATGAAATTATTTTGAGATATTCACAAATATAAAATGATGTAAAATAATCTGCAGTTTCTATTGACCATAGTCAAAGATCTTGTTAATACTTCGTGGATTATTGTCCTGAATTCATAATTGAAGAAAATAGTTAATTTCAGTTATAATTGGTGAACTAATAATGTAATGGCTTTTTTATCCAATCTCATAGGCCCTCCGAACCCTATCTAAAGATCACTTGCTTAGGAAGCCCAGTTCTTACCTTTTTAAAAAGTAATATTCTAATCCACCTTGAAGGCAACCTTTTGTGTTTTACTGATTGGGCTTGCACATAGAGCATTAGAGCCACAAATGTGTATTATAGCAAATGTAAATTAGGACTGCTGCCATCTCTAATCTTGATCATTTATGTTTAGAAATCTCCTCCTAGTTACTTTGTCTTAACTAATTGTAATGTTGGCTGGGGATTTTCTAGACAGCTACTAGAAAGAACTTTTTGTTGTTATTCAGGGAGGGTAATTCCAATATTTCAAAATTATTTGCTTTTTCTCTATCATCTAGCAATTGAAAGGTTGCATGACTCCTGCTTGGAAATAAACTCTTTGGCTAGGTGGTATTACTAATCTTAGCTAGGACAGCATTAAGAAGGTGAAATTTGTTAACTGCTAGAATGCCTATCCCAACAATCTCAATTCCTATTTTCTTGGTCCAAACCTCAAATGTAATTTTCTAAAAATCACTTAAGGCTTTACTTTACACTTAATAAACAATCCAGAGAACAAGAAAACATTTTATTTTATGACTTAGTAGAGCTGTCTCACAAAACTCTATATTATGTTTAAGAAGAAGAAAACATGTTTAAGAAGATAGCTGCCGCTTGCCCTCCTCTCCAAATTCCTGTGGCCATAGTGTTTCATTTAGGACCTTTGTTTTGACTCATTCCAATGAATTTTGCAAAATATTTATATCTTCTCATTTCAAATAGGATTTGATATACAAAAAAATAGTGGCCTCTATTTATTGAATAGCACCAGGTAAATGAATAGAATTGTGGAAAAGGTTATGAGCTACAAGTGTATATAGAAAATATATATATATATGTTAATATATGTGTGTGTGTGTGTATGTGTATATATATATATATATATATATATATATATATAGAGAGAGAGAGAGAGAGAGAGAGAGAGAGAGAGAGATGGATTACCCAATTGACCTTGGGCAATCTTGTCGATACAGCAACTTTCTCAGCCCCCATTCTTTACATAAGTGGATATATTTTTAGTAACAGGGTTTATTTAAAATGAGCTGTCTGATGGTTTAATGATATCCACAGGTGTAACTTTTCCAGTAATTGAATTCTCATTGTTAGTGGAGACTGTTACAAACTACTGGAAGATAGTCTCCTTGGGGTTTCCATTTGATCAGGTTTTTATCATTTCCTGAAATGGCTAAGCCTCATTAATGGCTACTACTTCTACTTTCTAAAGAAACTGCCCTGGGTCTTCACCTGGACCTTATCAGGCTTCAATAATGAAAGATGTGAAAGAAACTGCTAGGCATTAGCATTAGAGCAGTCATTAGAGACAGGAATTATATCATTAAAAGTTACTGCAGCTATAATGAACATCAGGATAACAGACAAAAGAGGTAGCAGGGTTGATTAGAAGGAATCATACAAAATTGGGTAAAATGGAAGGCTTCAAGTTTTCAATTTACTTTCTTGAGAATCCGAATTCAACTGATTTCTTTTTGGGGGTTCAGGGTGGTATCAGATCTGCTTTGATAATAAAGCCATGAAGTCCAATTTATTCATCAAATATTTATTCATTTGCATGCTTATTGTTTAAGTAATTTTGCTTACTAAAACAACATGTGCTAGAAATTTCTCAACGTAATAAAGGACATCTATTAAAAATCCACAGCAGCCAAGATCACGCTTAATGGTAAAAGATCGAATGCTTTCCTCCTAAGAACAGGAACAAGACACTCTTGTTGCTGTTTCTATTAAACATTATTCTACAGGTTCTAGCCAAAAAAAAAAAGGCATGAAAATGCTATAAAAGGCATCCAGATAAGAAATGAAAAGGTAAACCTAACTCTATTTGTAGATAACATGATCTTGTATATAGATAATCTTAAATAATCCACTAAAGTACTATTAGAACTTATAAGCAAATTCAGCAAGATTTTAGGATACAAATATTAAAAAGTCATTTATGTTTGTATACACTAGAAATAATCTGAATGTCAAATTAAGAAAACAATTCCATTTACAATCATATGAAAAAGAATAAAATACTTAGATATGAATTTAACAGAAGACATATAAAACTGGAATTCTGAAAACTACAAAACATTTTTGAAACGAGTGCAAACAATTGGAAAGACAACCCATGTTTGTGAATTAGCAGAAATAATATTAAGATAGGAATACTACCCAATGTCATCTGCAAATTCAATGCAATTCTTTTCAAAATTTCAGCTGGGCATTTTGTAGAAATTAACAAGCTGATCTAAAATTCATATGGAAATGTAAGGGACCAAGAAAAGACAAACAATTTTGAAAAAGAAGAACAAAGTAGGAAGACACACTTCTCAATTTCAAGACTTACTCTAAAGCTAAAGCAATCAGCTAAGTGAAGCAGTTCAAAACATTTGCCTTGGCAGACTTGTCATTGTGATGCCTTAAAATTACCCATCAGCACTGAGGCTTGTGCTCTGTTCAGACAATATGGGGGGAAATCATTTCAAGAGTGTGGGTTCTGTTTCAAGGTCACTCATGATGTCGGGCCCTGCTGAGGTTATAGAATTTTCTATCTAAGAATGATAGGCTTGAATTTTGCATGGTGATTAAGCAACTTTATCCAGGAAAGGTGCTGCCTGTAATATCTGCTTCATACGCTTTCCATTCTCAGGTTGATGAGGCTCAGTGCATTGCTTTTTAGGAAGCCCAGTGGCTTTACTATTTACCTTCATGTTTTGTCTAGGAATAAAGGAAGTTGTATTTTCTTTTTTTAATGCTTTAAGAAAAACTGGAAAGGTGTCATTTATAGATGATACTCATATTTTTGGATTTGTCTGGAGACTAGTACTACTTGCTTGAGAAAGGCGTATGTGTGTGTGGGTGGGGAGGGAGTCATAATTGGAGATCTAATACTCTTTTTTCTTCCTACCTGAGCCCCAAAATAAAACTGACAAGTTGAACTAACAGAAATACTTTTGCTTTTGATTTATTTTCTATAGCATAGAGAAGACTATTGGTACTCTTTTAAAGCAAAGTTTCAGGCCAGGCCCAGTGGCTCACACCTGTAATCTCAGCACTTTGGGAAGCTGAGGCATGTGGATCACTTGAGGTCAGGAGTTCAAGACCAGCCTGGCCAACATGGTGAAACCCTGTCTCTACTAAACATATAAAAATTAGCCCCGTGTGGTGACAGGTACCTGTAGTCCAAGCTACTCAGGAGGCAGAGGCAGGAGAATCGCTTGAACCTGGGAGGCGGAGTTTCCAGTGAGCCGAGATTGCACCACTGCACTCCAGCCCGGGTGACAGAGTGAGACTCCATATAAATAAATAAATAGGTAGATAGATAAATAAATAAAGTTTCAGGCTGGATTCTGTAGTGTAGTAATCACATTCTCCTCACAAAGTTTCATTAAAGCTATTTTCCTTATCCTATCCTTATTACATCTAAAGTTTTATATTGTTTGGTGCATGCCATTGTATTTATTCCTGTTAAGAAGACTGTTGACCAGAGTCTTCTTAATAGGATGCAGGGTCCATGAAAAATCATATCTGTGCCCATTTCACTTTCTAGACACACTTTTATACAAGGGAAACATGGCTGGGAAGAACTTCCAAAACAACCTTGCTCATGGTACCAAAAGGATGAATATTCGGAAAATTAGTAGATGGAACTCCACAGTAAAGGAAAAGATACATTCATAGTAAGAGATTTCTGGGGGAATGCATATTAATGGGTGAGGGCGTTCTTTGGTGCTGGATGGTTGTGAAGCATGGTGACTATGAATGTGGGCTCTGGAGCCATATTGTGTAAACCATGTCTCAGCTTATCACCTGTGTTACGATACCTGTGCTATTGTAAGCAGGTGACTTGACCTTTCCGTGCTCCAGTTTCCTCCTGCAAAGGAGAATTAAAAATCATATCTGCCACAGAGAGTCATGATTAAATGTCTTAAAATGTGTAAAGAGCTCAGAATAGTACCTGGCATGTAGTAAACACTCAATAAATGTTAGCTCTTGTGGTTGTTAAAAAAAAAAAAAAAAAGACGTTATGGCACCAGAATGAGGTGCCACAATGGAACAAACTTGAGAGTCCAGATATAACACTATTTGTGGTAAATTGATTTCAACAAGGCTGCCAACGTTATTCCATGAAGAAAAAAGATAGTCTTTTCAACAAATGGCTTTAGGACAACTGATATCTACATATAAAATAATAATGTTGGACCACACCATACACAAAAATTAACTTAAAATGGATTATAAATATAAATGTAAGAGCTAAAACTATAAAAGTCTTAGAAGACAACATAAGAGTAAATTATGATGAACCTGGGCTAGGCATAGTCTTTTTAGACACAACACCAAAAGCACAAAAGAAAAAATAGAAAAAAAAGATAAATTGGAGTTTTTTAAAATTAAAATATTTGTGATTCAAATGATACCATCAAGAAAGCAAAAAACCCACAACATGAGAGAAAATATTTACAAATCATGTATCTGCTAAGGGACTTATATCCATCATATATAAAGAACTCTTGAAACTCAACAATAAAAAGACAACCAATTTGAAAAGTAGTCAAAGGATCTGAATAGACATTTTTCCAAAGAAGATATACAAATGGTCAACAAGCCCATAAATAGATGCTCATTGTTAGTCATTACTGAAATGCAGATCAAAACTACAGTGAGATACCAATTCATATCCACTAGAATAGCTATAGTAAAAAAAAATTGGAAACAACAAATGGCAAGAATGTAGAAAAAGTAGAATCTTCAAATGATGCTGGTGGGAATGGAAGTTGGTGCTGCTGCTTTGGAAAATAGTCTGGCAGCTACTCAAAAGTTGAAACATAGGGTGGGGTGTGATGGCTCATACATGTAGTCCCAGCACTTTAGGAGGCCAAGGTGGGAGGATTGCTTAACACCAGGAGCTTGTGAAAAGTTTAAATGTAGAGTTACCATATGACCTAGCAATTCTACTCTTGGGAATGAAAATTTAGATTAAAACATACACGTGAATATTCATAACAGCATTGTTTACAACAGCCAAGAAGTAGAAAAAACTCAAACACCAATAATTGATAATAACTAAATAAAATGTGGCACATTCATTCAATAGAATATTATTGGGTAAATGAATAAGTTACTGATACATTCTACAACATGTGAACTTTGAAAACATTATGCTTATTCTTTTTTAAGGATAAATAGTATTCCATTGTGTATGCACACCACGTTTTCTTTATTCTTTCATCTGTCAATAAACACGTAGGTTGTTTCCATATCTTGACTAGTAAAAATAATGCTGCAAAAAATGTGGGAGTGCAGATATCTCTTCAATATACTGATTTCATTTTCTCTAGATATGTACCCAGTAGTGGAATTACTGGATCATATGGTAGTTCTATTTATAATTTTCTGAGGAACCTCCATACTGGTTTTGATCATGTTCATGCTAATTTATATTCCCACCAACGGCTTACAAGGGTTTCTTTTTCTTCAAATCCTCACTAAGACTTGTTATCTCTTGTGTTTTTGATAATAGCAATTCTAACAGATCTGACATAATGTCTCTTTCTGGTATTAATTTGCTCTCATCTGGTGATTAGTGATGTTGAGTGTATTTTCATAGAACTCTTGGCCATTTTTGTGTCTTCATTTGAGGAATGTCCACTCAGGTCATCTGCTCCTTTTTTAATTGGGTTGTTTTCTTGCTATTGAGTTGAGTTCCTTATATATTTTAAATATTAACCCCTTATTGGATGTATGGCTTGCAAATATTTTCTTCCATTCCATGACTTGTCTCTTTACTCTGTTGATTGTTTGCTTTGCTCTGTAGAAGCTTTTTAGTTTGATGTAATCCCACTTGTCTATTTTTGCTTTTGTCGCCTGTGCTTTGGGGACCATACTTTTTAAAAATTATTTCCCAGACCAATGTCATGGAGCATTTTTACTTTGTTTTCTTCTACTACTTATACAGTTTCACATCTTATGCTTAAGTATTTACTCCATTTTGAGTTGATTTTTGCATATGGTGTGAGGTAAGGGTCTCATTTCGTCCTTGTGCATGTAAACATACAGTTTTTCCACCTTTTATTGAAGAAACTGTCCTTTTTCCAACGTGTGTTCTCGACATCCTTGTCAAAAATCAGTTGACTGTAAATGTGCGAATTTATTTCTGGGCTCTCCATTCTGTACCATTGGTCTATGTGTTTTTATGCCAGTGTTGTGCTGTTTTAATTATTATAGCTTTGTAGTAGACTTGAAGTCACATAATGTGGTGCCTCAGGCTTTGCTCTTTTTGCTCAAGATTGCTTTGGCCATTTGGGGCCCTTTATAGTTTCACACAAATAAGATTTTAGAGGTTAGAGAAAGACATTGTTGCTCCCATTTTCAAATGGAAAAGCTGAGGTTTAAATGGTCAAATGCCCAAGATTTCTTAGTGAATAATTAAATTCAGAAACTTGTCTTTATCTTATTCTAGATAGTTTTTAAGCAGAAATTTCTATTAATCTCCCTGAAAAATATCAAGACACATTAAACAAGGTCCTTATGTTAATTCTCATCTCCATCCCAGCCTATATTGCTGCTAGGTGACTCTTCCCAAAATAAGTGCTAATTACATCACTTCTTTGTATCCAAGGTTTTTTTTTTTTTAATGATTCTTTTTTGTCTCCTTAGTTCTTAATCTGCTGTTCAAATTCCCCAGCAACCTGCCTGTAATTTACTTTCTCAAAAGCTTAATCTAAGCTTATATACTTCTAGACACATTTTCTAAGGCCAAAATCAAAAACAAAACAAAGGAACTACTACTATTTACTATTCTTTACACATTTTCCTCACTTTCTTCATTTTATGCCTTTGACCATGTTCTGTTAGCTTGAAGTGCCTTTCCCACCTTTGACTCTATATAGCTAAAACTTGGCTACACCTCAGGTTCGTCTTAAATTCTACTTCTGTCAGGAAACATTCACAGAGAGTGGGGTTTGGGGTTGGCGGTTGAGGGGTGATCTTTCTCATCTTTGAACTTCCCCATACTTTATTGCAATAAAGTATTTGCCACTTTGTATTATAGTTCTTTGTAGTCTGTTTTATCCCATTTATGACTCCTCATTTCCAAAAATTGAAATATTAGCTAAGGGACTTTATTTTGGCCAAAATTAGCCTGTTGCTTCTAATGTTCTTTTATTGACAGTTCATTTATGTTTAGTCTGTGAAGGGCTATCTTGTGTGATTTCATGTATTTATTCATATTTTCTGTCAGTTGTTCTGCTATACCTTTTATTAATTATTCAGTAGTATGTAAATTAGTCTCATGTTTTAACCTATAAAAAGCAACAGTGGGTGAGCCAGTTAAATTTTCTTTGCGAAGCTGCTATTTTTGTCTTGAGGAATCCTGTTGAGGTTTTCTTGAGGTGAATGATGGAATATCAAAGAGGGACGTAGGACTAGGAGGGAAAAACAGTTCCCCTTGAAGACTAGAATGAGGAATCACAAGCGTGGTTTTCATTTGCTGCCTTCTGAACTGAGGAATGAGTTTAAAGTATTTGCATATATTAGATAGAAGCAGGAGAATTCCAGCTTCTAACAACGCTTCTTCCCAACTAAAATGAATTTATAGAAAATCAGGCTGTCTAGTGGTGACATTTGCATTTCCGATTAACCATCAGGCCTACAGAAACTCCTTCAGCTGGTCATTATTACTGACAGCTTAGTATATCAATACATTGTCAAAGAGGACTTTTTGTAATTAAACTCCCACCCCATTGCACCTAGATTCGTGGTCATGTTCTGGATTTATAAGTGCAGCTTTTGAATAACATGGCTTCAAATAAAATGTCTAGGTAACTTTAGAAAAATTTTTATTTCTGTCCATTTTACAGTAATATAAACTTTTCATCCAGCCCCTTAAAACTAAATCCTTATACTGTTTTGCCAATCCATAGTTCAGAAAACTTTAGTTTTAAGGATTGGAAATGTATTGAGTAAGTTTCCCTGACACTGCAATTGGCTGTTTACATGCTCATTAGGTTTACTTCTCAAATGTGCTGTGAGTTCAAAATTACTTGTACCTTATAAATATAATCAGCAAATGCTACTGGGGGATGAAAGAGTTTAGGACAACAAAAACTAGCATGCTGTAGGCTAAAGAATTCTGTCTTGCATTTGTCTTTCCTCCCAGTGGAGAATAAACTCCCAGTTAAAAAAGACTAGCATGAGAGTTTTGTCTTATTTCCTCATAGGATTCTTAAATCCATTAGATGTATTTAATCATGGCAATTGTTCCTGGAACATCTCTGAGTATAATCAAATGAACCAGTGTTCCAGCTTCTAAAGTTATTCTGAAAAAAAGGCAAACGTTCACAAGATAGATATAATCAAAGATTTCACTTTTTCTTCATGAATCTAACTAACCTAGGGATTCTTTGTAGCACTGAATTCAAGGTTTAGTATGTGGCCATGGGGAAAGAAATGGAAGTTCCACATCAACAATGTTCAACCTCCAAGCCAAAGCAACCCATTTGGCCACTTTATTCAAATACTTTGTTAGCCTAGTAAAAACATATAGGATGTCCAAGTTACTTGCTCAGTGGTTTCCAGGTGAGGCTGACCATCAGAATGCCCTGGCAAAGTTTCTTTAAAACACTGAGATTCCTAAGGTCCATCCCAGCCTTAGAGAATCAGAATCTCCAGGGATGGGGCCAGTGAATTTCATCCTCAAAAGATTCTGATTTGCAGCTAGGTCTAAAGACCAGTGGAGTAAACCACCATTCCCCAGCTACTGGTCCAAGGACACTGAGGAGTTACTTCAATGTCTTTTTTTGTATTTCCTTAAATTTTGATTACTTAATTCCTTTTATGAGCCTGCACAAGAAATAGAGTATGGCAAGTAATAAATTGCCTACCTCAATAAATTAACTCCTGTTCCCTACTCCTTAATAATCAACAATATCACCATTATTTTCTGATATCTCAAACCTACACATTTCATCTGCTAATAGTGACATATTTGAACATAATTAAAATATTGAAACCCTTCTCTTCCCTGTTGGTGAGTTGCTCAAGATTGGATTATTTTATGCTCCTGGAGCATATTTTATAGTTGAAGAATATACATTCTATTGAAAAAAAAGTTTTTAAAAAGTGATGCAATTTTATGTAATAATAAGTTCAATAATAACAATAAGTTTTTAAAAACAAGATAAGGGAAAAAAAGTAAGAAAGATAAATGATGACAAGTTTCAGGAAAGGCCTTTCTGAGGAGGAGACATTTTATATGACAATTCCAGTGCTGAAGATACTGTCTGCTATATTTTTTGAACCTGAGTAAATATTAGTTGAATGAATGAATGAATGACAAGAGTAAGGCCTCATAAGAATCTATGGGCTGAGCCTATACAATAATACAATCTTGGGATGTTCTAGGAATAGCACTGTCTAGGAACAGCATCGACTAGGAGAGATGGGCGGGGGCCCAACAAAGTGGGGCCTGGAGGTCTTGATAAAGAGTTGAGACTTTATTCTATGTACAGATGGGGATTTAGAGAGTTTCAGTCAGATAAGTGATATGTTTATGATATGTTTATGTTCTATGATATGATATGTTTATGTTCTATATGTTTATGTTCATATGATATGATATGTTTATGTTCTATAATGATTACTCAGGTTGCTGCGAGGAAAATGGAAAGCAGAGAGATGAGACAAGAGGACATTGCCAGGCTTTAGAACAGGGTGGAGGTTGTAGACTTGGAGAAAATGGCTCAGATTCTGGAAATAGTCAAAGGTGAAACAATGAGTCTTGCTAATGGAGTGGCTCTAGGAAGTAAGAGAAAGAGAAGAGTCAATGATTAACACATACATTTGGTTGGAGACCCTGGGTTGATGGTACAACCTACCTAACGAGGTCAGGAAGACTAAGGAGAAGCAGGGTGGGGGAGGGTAGAAAATCAAGAGTTCTGTCCTGGAATGGAAAGCCTATCAGACTTCAAGTACAGATGCTGACTGAGGAGTTGGATTTACAAGTCTGAAGCTCAGGGCTCTGGCTGGACAAAGGGATGTGGGAGTGATCAGCATAACATACACTTGGACTGGCCTTGCGGCTCCAGCTTGCCTTTTCCGCTTCCTTTCCTCTCCTCTTCATAACTACTCCCACCTTCCCTCTTCTACTTCCTCCCAACTCTCTTCCTTTGCCCCCTCCTCTGCTATATTAGATGCTCTTTTAGAATCCATTGCCCTCTTTTTTTTATCCTATATTTTTTCACCACGGGATGTGTTATTTCTGGCTTAGAAATATACAGTCACAAGAGAAGATTTGAATTCTACTGTATAACTCATTAAGTCACTTGCTGCTCTCTGGGCCTCAATTTTCTCATGTGTGAAACATGCAGTCAGGTTATATCAGTGGATGAGATGACAGCAGGATGCCCAGACACTAATCCTGCTTCAAGCCTTGTAGATCCGATTTTGTTGATACCATCGTTGTTGTTGTTAACAATGATGTTTAGATAAAATCCTACTGAACAAAAGTGTCCGTGAGCAGAAATGGAAGTTTGGAAACCACTGGCTTAAAATGATAAATGATCTTTAAGTTACTCTCTGTCACTGAATTCAATTTTCCATGTGACTAATGTGGGCTGAGAAAATGTAAGCAGAAGTGATTGGGGTTTAGGGTCTAAAATTAAGACTCAGTATTATGCACTGTCCTGACATCTGGTAAAATCAGTAGGGCTTCAAAAGGCTTAATCCCCAGCTCCTCTCCCCTCTCTGCTCCCACAGATAAGGTGCTCAAACCAAACAACACTTCTTATCAAAGGGAACACAGACAGACCTGTGTTTCCCTGAATAACAGGTTTCATTGCTTGCTACCCTGTGAAATTATTCAAACAAGTCAATCACTTCCTCCTGTGTGAATGAAGGGGCACCTCATCCTCTGGACACTACACTATCTGCCTCTCCCTGCCTTTGCTTATCCACTCCATTCCCAAGTACAACCCCCAGGTGGCCCTCCATCATGTGCAGTGTCCTCTACTCCAGGCTGTGAGTATAACCAACAAACTGCTGTCAATCTCATCTGTCCAGTGTCAGGTGTTGTGTATCCTGCCATCTCCATGACCCTAGGGAGGGAAGATGAAAATGAGGTGGGCTGGGCATGGTGGCTCACACCTGTAATCCCAGCACTTTGGGAGGCCCAGGTAAGTGGATCACCTGAGATCGAGAATTTGAGACCAGCCTGGCCAACATGGTGAAACCCCATCTCAACTAAAAATATAAAAATTAGCCGGTTGTGGTGGTGGGGGCCTGTAATCCCAGCTATTTGGGAGGCTTATTTGGAGGCTTAGGCAGGATAAAACCTTGAACCCGGGAGGAGGAGGTTGCAGTGAGCCGAAATCACCCATTGCACTCCAGCCTGGGTGACAAGGGCAAAACTGCAAGCAAGCAAGAAAGAAAGAAGAGAGAGAGAGAGAGAGAGAGAAAGGGAGGAGGGGAGGAAAGGAAAGGAGAAAGAAAAAAAGAGAAAAAGAAAGAAGGAAAGAAAGAAGAAAAGAAAAAAGGAAGGAAGGAAGGAGAGAGAAAGAGAGAGAAAGAAAGAGAAAGAAAGAAAAAATGAGGTGAATAGGAAGCCATGAAAACAGTAATGCAGGACACTTTTTTTTTTGAGATGGAATCTTGCACTGTCACCCAGGCTGGAGTACAGTGGTGCCAACTCCACTCAATGCAAGCTCTGCCTCCCGGGTTCACGCCATTCTCCTGTCTCAGCCTCCCGAGTAGCTGGGACTACAGGCACCCGCCACCACACCCGGCTAATTTTTTTGTATGTTTTTAGTAGAGACGGGGTTTCACCATGTTAGCCAGGATGGTCTCGATCTCCTGATCTCATGATCCACCCACCTCGGCCTCCCAAAGTGCTGGGATTACAGGCATGAACCACCGAGCCTGGCCTTTTTTTTTTTTTTTTTTTTTTTTTTTTTGAGACAGAGTCTCACTCTGTTGCCCAGACTGGAGTGCAGTTGTGTGATCTTGGCTCACTGCAACCTCTGCCTCCCAGTCCAAGCGATTCTCCTGCCTCAGCCTCCTGAGAAGCTGGAATTACAGGCATGCACTGCCACGCCCAGCTAATTTTTGTGTTTTTTTTTTTTTTTTTGGTAGAGACAGGGTTTCACCATGTTGGCCAGGCTGGTCTCGAACTCTGGACCTCAAGTGATCCACCCACCTCAGCCTCCCACAGTGCTGGGATTACAGGTGTGAGACACCACAGGACACATTTGTGTAAAAGTTTTAAAAACCGGCATGTAGTTTTGCCCCTCTCTTTTTTCATCTGACATCACAATGTCCCAGACAAAGGGTACTGTTTTAGCCTGAGCCTGATTGAAGAGCTGGAGCCAACCCTGAGAGGCAGTCACAGAAGTGAGAAACCAACATTGGTTGGTACAAGCCCCTGAGATTTGGGGTTTTGTTTTTTGTTACCTTGGAATAATTTAGAATAACTTAACATAACTTAGCCTAAACTGAGTTGAAAACAGATTTGTACTGGGGAGCAGAGGGCAAGTGCAAGTAGAGAGCATGTAGACACTAGGATACCAGGAGAAGAGGAAGGGGGAAGGGGACAGGAATTATCTTAGTACTGTACCTAGTACAGATATTTTGTACTCATTTCTTTTTACTTTATCTTTATGACAATCCTATAACTAGGATCAATACTTAGCTCTTCTCTTAGAAGAGACAAAGAAACTAGTATCAACCAGCAAGATGGGATTTCCCAACTTCAGCAGTCCTGACCTTCTGAGACAGATAATTCTTTGTTGCAAGGGGAGAAGGGCTGTCCTGTGCATTGCAGGAGGTTTAATGCTCTTTGGCCTCCTCCCAGTAGCACCTCCCAGATCATAACAATCACACATGTCTCTAGACAATGCCAAATGTTTCCTGGGGGACCAAAAGACCCTAGTCGGGAACCACTGCAGTAGAGTCCTGAAATCAGACAGAAGTCCACCTTGCTTAAATGTCTATGCCATTTCCATGAGGCCCTCCAGACAGCACTGAAGGTATGCAAAGAAGGAGGACTTGGCCCCCTCTTGACCTAGCCTGGGCCCTACCTGGCCTGTTTAGTGGATCAGGATGGAAGACAGATTCTCACTTGCCTCACTGACTTACCTGAGCTGTCATCTGGCCCTAAACAGCACAGCGCACACTGTGCATATGCTCCATATCCTGTTACCAAATAGCTGAGCTGTTCTTCCCCACAGAGGATGTTCCTAATAAATTATAGGTCTGAGCGAGTGATGAGCCTGAGGAAGGGTCATGATGAGTCTCTCTTTACTGCTATTAAGAAAAAATAAAACCGTGGTTAACCACATGGACCATATGGGGAATAAATCAAGGAAACTTAAATATGTACTAGGAGGAATTTCTGAGGCCAGGAAATGCAGCTCTAGCTTGCTCTCCTGCCAACCTGTGAAAAGACTCATGCTTGATGCATGGTGAACTGTGTCCTGTGGCTGTCAGCCAGGAGACTTCTGGTGAGGCCACGGGCATGAACAAAACATATGTCCATGGGGCCTCCTCCTGCCTCCCAATTAAGGGGCAGAAATAACACTCCACCTCATTGGGCCTTGGGAAGGCAGGCTAAGACTCCAAACATTAATTACCACAATGTCAAATGGTTACATCTTTCTCACTCTCTGAGAAGGAAAAGCAATAGGAAGCCACCAGTCCTTGGAGCCCCAAAGTGGTGTCCTGTTCTGTTCTATACTTAAAAGGACAGACTCGGCCAGGCACAGTGGCTCACACCTGTAATCCCAGCACTTTGGGAGGCCAAGGCGGGAGGATCACGAGGTCAGGAGATCAACAGCATCCTGGCTAACATGGTGAAACTCTGTCTCTACTAAAAATACAAAAAATTAGCCAGGCGTAGTGGCACACACCTGTAGTCCCAGCTACTTGGGAGGCTGAGGCAGGAGAATCGCTTGAACCCGGGAGGCAGAGGTTGCAGTGAGCCAAAATCACGACACTGTACTCCAGCCTGGGTGACAGGCTCAAAAAAAAAAAAAAAAAAGGACAGATTCCCCTCCCTTTTTCTGTAGCTATTTGGTGCCAGTTTGCCCTTCTCTTTCTTGAAAATGATGTCAGAGCTAAAGCGCATGCTCCCATCAGGGCAAATGCTTACAAGAAATGAAAACTCCACAGTCCATGAGGCCTGAGAGAAAAGATGCTGCTTTGTCCCATACCAAGTCCCTGCTTCTATCTAGCCCCTCCAAATGTCCTAGCTCCCATTCCATCTTCCTCCTTCAGCAAACCAAGGGTCCTCAAGCAAAACACCACGGGCACATAGACTACAATGGCCACCCGTGCTCAACACCTCAACGATGCAGTCATTTAAACTTAGACCTTTTTAAGATTAGCTAGAATTACCCTAGCTATGATGATTAACCCACAGATTAAGAAAATGGGTTAGAACCCAGTACCCTTCCCCACCTACTGTTACTCATTTCATTGTAATTCATATAGTTGTAAAGTTGGTGATACAAACCTTGCATACAGAGGGACTTGTTTGATTATATATTTTGAAGAATAATTCAAACTCATTATGATATATATGTGGGGAGGGGCATCTCAAGAATGTAAGTCTAACCTATAATCATGCATCATTATTGTGTATTTCCAAAAGAAAACAGCTAGCACTCTCCTGGGGAATTGCTACTGCCTGGTGAAGGACTTAGGAGAAGCAGAGTCAAGACAGGGTGGCATGTAATATAAGGTTCCCACTGCAGCATTGTAGCTGACAGTGAAATCCCTAGGTTGCTCAGTGATGTGTTTCTGATAGTTTGCATTTTGGTTAACTGTCATTGCTTAAATGTGTGCATGCAAATGTACAGAATTTCAGCTGTCTTAAGTTTTCTAGTTTGAGGATATGTTTAATCCTCTTTAAGGATAAGTAATTTTTATTATTTTAGAGTCAGTCTTCTACAGTGTAACAGCTTCCATTCATTTACGACGCATTTGCTATGGGTGGGCAGCATGAGCTCCAGGCCATTCTTGGTTAGAAGGGGGTTTTTGAAGAGGGTCTTATTGCTTAAGCAGGTTACTTCCTTAAATAAAATAAGTGAAACATTCTCAGGCCTTGGAAATTTATCTATGTTTGATGCAATTGCACCAAACATATGGGTCTTTAAAGGATGCCTAAGGATCTAATGTGTTTATCGGAATGTTGAATATGGATGTGGTATGTTTCTGTGAGCCCTAGATTTTAGAAGGTTCATAGTGTATCTTTTTCCAATAGCTATGAAACTTGATTCTTTTACTTTCGTTTGTTTGTTTTTTGTTCTTTGCTTTTGTGTGACTTTCTCTCCTACCCTTAAATGAATGTCATTTCTTTGAATTTCCTGCTGCAATAACTGCTTTGATAACAAATGAAAAAGCAAAGAGGACCTTGGGTTTACTCTCCCGGGTTGGACTCAGTTCCAGTAAATTGCAGCACTTAAATCTACTGATTTATTGTACACTTTTCCATGTCTACATGGCAAAAGTCCCTTATAAAGAGAAGCTAATCCACTGTTTATTGTTCTGGTTTTTTGTTCATATTTTAGCAATCTTAATGTTAATCTCAGATTGTCTATGTCAATAACAAATCAATCACCTGAAAATCAATCATTAAAATAACTTGTAAAAAAGTTTTGCATATAAAATGACCTGATTCTTCAATAAATCCCCATTTATTTTATTCAAGATAATTGTTATTATATTAAATGGTTGAAATATATATATATATATATTTATCCAAATAAGATAAATTATTCTTTTTTGCTTCTAATTTTGTTGAGTCTTTTCATCAGACAAATCTTCCTTCCAGACAGTTCTGAATGACATGTGATGGCTCTCTACTGAAATGCATGCAATAGCATTCAAATCCAGAGCTTAGAAAAGCATCCGGCTTTTCTAAGTAGGTGCTCAATAAATATTTGTTGAATTAATGAGATGTAGTTAACAAAATTATAAAGCTTCTCCAACCACAAGAACAAAACTGAATTTTTGAAACACCCTTAGATGCACTTCAAAGTATAGAAATGAAGGGGTTTGAGGAAGGATGAACAGCTCAGAAGCCAATCTTTTAATAATCACCTTTTAACATCACCACCTTTCCTCTACTCCTTTCATCATTCCTCATTTCAATTTTAACATCAAAATCATCTCAGAAAGCCATCTTAGGATCAAGGACAGGTAGAAATTCATAGTACATTAGCCATTAATTTTCATTTAAATTATATGAAATGTCACCACTATCTTCTCAATTTAACATATTCACTATTCACTTTAGTTGCATATGCTAGTATGTACAGGGGGGAAAATCCTATAAATTGCTTTCAGAGGCTTACTATGACTACATCCCCCTTACCTTATTTTCCCTTTAAGATCTTAAATTGTACCATGCTAAATCTTTATATCACAAGCAGGTTACAGAAGCAAACACTAATGATATTGGCATATGATTTGGTGTAGAATTGTAGATTTAGTGATTTGCCAGTTGTCAAAATGCAAATGAAAAATCCTCACCAAAAATATTCCAAGATTATGATTTCCGCTACCTGAAAAATGTCACAAAATCACCACCAAACTGAGCAGTTGTTCTAGTGCACAAAAACAGACTAAATTACCAAGTAGAATTCTTTTTTTCCTAATTCTAAGTTCAGGCAACCACAATAGGCAGCCTGTGACATAGTACGCCCTTGAATGATTCTTTGAGCTAATATTGATTGCAATAATGATTTTCCTAACGAGTCAAAATTGACTTCACAATACAAGTATAGTTATGCATGTTTTTCCGGAGTAGGACTTGGAACAAAGGTTCACAATGTCATGCTATGTATTGAACACTATTAGTATGAGTTAACTAACAGGTAATTGTATCCATTGGAACCGATTAGAAGGGTCTATTTTTTTAAGAGTCAGAGAATACTTTTTTAAATAACATAGCCTCTGACTAGTAGGTGCAGAAATTTATTCAACAAATATTGAGTGTCTACTTTGTGCTGCTGACTTTCCTATGCACTGCAGATATAGCAGGTAACATAACAGCAAAGTGCCTATTGTCATGGTTGTGCAGGGTTTTGTAAGTCACCATAGGGACTTTTACCAGGGAGGAGGTAGACAGCCATTGGAGAGTTTGAGAGAGGAGTAACATAATTTGATTTATGTTTTCAAAAGAATACTCTGCTGTGTCAGAAATAAATATAATGAGGTGAAGAAGCAAAAAGGGAGACCAGTTAGGAGGCCATTGCACTAATCCAGCCAAACAGGATAGTGAATTAGACTAGAAGGTGTACAGTGGACATGGGGCAATGTGGTTGAATTCTGCATAAACAGAATTTTGAAGATAGAGCCAAGTGGCTTTACTGATGAAATGAAGTTGTAGTGTGAGAAAAAGAGCGAGGAGTCAAAGATCACGCAAAGAATTTGGGGCTAAGAAGCAGGAAAACTAAGTTTTCCTCCATTTATCAGAATGGAGAAGACTACAGGACAAAAGAGTTTGGAAGGACTGAGACCTCAGTTTTGGATTTGTTATGCTTAGGATGCTTGTTAGTCAGCAAATGTTATGCGCAGCAAGACTTTTCTAGTTTATTCATTTATTAAATATTGGTTGAGCACATACTATGGGCTAGACATGGAGCATACAGTGGAAAGCAAAAATAGACATGCACTCTACCACACTTTGAGCTAAGGGCTAGTCAGAAGTCTACAATTAAATGAAGTCAAACAAATAAAAGGAAAGTTACAACTGTGAAAGGTGATATAAAAGAAAGATACATTATACAGATAATGGGGCTTTGACCTAAATCAGGAAGTTAGTAAGGGCTTATCTGAAAATGTGAGGGCTGAGATGAGACATTAAGAACAACAGTCAATACATACCATGATCTAAACCAGGGTGTCCAATCTTTTAGCTTTCCTGGGCCACATTGGAAGAATTGTCTTGGGCCACACATAAAATATACTAACACTAACAATAGCTGATGAGCTTAAAAAAAAAGAAATTACGCACAAAATTCTCATAATGTTTTAAGAAAGCTTATAAACATATGTTGGGCCACATTCAAAGCTGTCCTGGGCTACATGAGGTCCTTGGGCCATAGGTTGGACAAGCTTGTTCTAATCAAAAACATATTTGTGTGATGAACGACCAACACTTAATTAAAGCCAGCGTCCAAGATGTGGTGAAAATTCAGGAATTTAAACGTTAGGACAATAAAAGTTCCTAGCAAAGAAAATGAAAACAAATGGGGAAAGGAATGGTATGAAAGAAGAACCCATAGAATGAGAAATCTGAGAAAGAGATACTGCAAAGTGAAATTTCAGTCTTTTCTTCATTTCCATTTTGCTGAAGAGAAATGGTTGCCCTTAATATAGTACAACAGAAAGAACTAATTAGACCATCCACCAACAACTGAACACAGAGTGTTGATGTGAGCGGAACTGTAACATCACTAAGTTGTAAATTTTCCTCACCATATTTATGACAATTTGTCTTAAATTTCTTCCCCTGTCACCTTTTATTATACAAGATCACATTAACATTTTATTTGAGCCCCACAAATGTGAACCTCTTCACAGGAATTTGTTATTTTTATGCCAAAATCAGCTTGTTTTGTGATTATTATTTTATTGCAACCACATTTTGCTGTCATTTATTGTCTTTGCAAAATCAAATTCTGATAAAAACTGAGAAGGGGAGACTTGGAGGGGGAATACCTTTCCTATCTGTAAATGTAAGTATCTTGTAATGAGGACAGTAATTGATCTTGAAGAACTACAGGCTGAGTCAGAAATTCTTTCAGCCTCTCTATCCTTTTTGGATTTCAATAAAACATTTAAAAAAGATTAACACAGTATTGGATTGAGTGAAGGCATTTACAGTGTTCTCATTATTTCTTATCAACTACCAACACTAATTTCAGATAACTCTAGTGTGTAAGGAAGATATAAGTGATTCTGCAGTCACTGATTATCACTGTGAATTTTGAACATTAAGATGCTATTGATATCCTGAAGCCTTCCCTTGTATACTTAAGCAGTGGTTTGGATGTTGGCTGAAGGAGAAATGAACCCCATGCTGACAATTAGAATCTTCTGCTGTCCTAGAACTGTTTACCACAATTCTGTTTCTTGCCCTTCACCTATTAAAATAATTGAAAGTAATGGCAAAAACCGCAATTACTTTTGCACCAACCTAATCCTTTACTTTGTACCACTGAGAGATTGACTACTGCCTGTCACAGGGGAGAGGGATCTCAAGGCTTCCCAGGCCTGCAACTTTTTATAGGATATGATCACTCTACAGGTACCTCTGCCTCCCTCCTTCCTCCAAACTCTTAAATCAAATTTAAATAATAAGATATACTAAAATGTGTACAAGCAACATCAAATGCAAGCTAGGCTTAGGCAATTGTTCTGCACTTTTTCTGCTTTATTTTGTTGGTACAGAAAACTTTTAAATAAGTCACGGGCCATCTGTTGGCCTTAACCTCAAGGCACCAGGGATAAAAGGGACACCAAGTTTACATATCTGAGTACCAGGAAAAACTCACAGTGTGCTGATTTACTAAGGCTCTTGAAAGGAATACCCTGGGAATTAATTTAGCTCAAGATGAAATTCAATTTGAAGTTTTTCTTCTTTGGCTTTGAAAATATGCAAAGAAAAAAATAGTACTGTCATGACCATTCAATTATTTGCCATCATTCCTTAATTTGCTATTTTCAAAGTACAAATCCATAATATTTACAGAGTTGAAAGTGCCTTCATACATCGCCAACCATTCCTGAAATCAAAGCTCTGATACAACTACAAAATATCTTCAGTTATTTTTCTAACCAACTGAGGACTTTGTTATGTTTTCTTTAAAAAATACATACAACTTAGAGAAATTTAGAAGGTTTCCATGGTAGCATTTTTGTAAGCTGTGTAGCCATGGCTAAAGACAATTTTGCACTGGCAAGCTTTTTCTTTCAAATTTTTTCATTCCCTTATCTACTCCATTGGTACTGTTGGTGAAGTCTTATCCTTAAAGTCTTATGTATGTTGAGCACTTTGGCTTCAGAATTGCAGATAAGTGGCTTCAGAACAGAAGACAACACGGTGGAGGGGATCTTTGTTGAACAATAGACATAGAAGACATTCAGAAAGCCACATTTCAAGGAGCAATACTTCTAGAAGTGAGTTGGTGTTTTCTCAAAGGGTTGGATACTTGTGATAGATTTGAGTTCAGACAGCCACAAAAATTCTTTTCTTCAATATCACAAGGACCTTTCGGGATAGTTTTATCAAATTTTCCTACGCTAAGAGACTCATACCTGCTGGTTGTTCGATTATCAGTGGACAGCTTAAATAATCGGTTTGATACTAAATTTTATACAGATAATTTCAATGATAAAACAAAAAATCCAGGAGTTGATACCAGAATAAAAAGATCATGTGTGGGTTGGTTCCACAGAAGAGAGTTTCATACCTTCAGTGATGAATTCTAAGCCCGAAATTAGTAGAAGTGAAAAACATCCTCTGAAAGGCTCCTTTAATGTATCAAGTGGTTGGTTTCTACAAATAGAAATACCCATCATAATAAGTGACAAGCATGAAGAAGGTCATTCCAGTTCAAAAGAGAAAAGATTCTAAAAGTTAGGTTCTGAATTTCTATGTTTCTATCCGATGTGTTTCCTGGCTATTTTTGTTTCCCCTGTAAGTTACTAAACTATCATGACTTTTCTCAATTCTCCCTCATGGCAGTCACTGGGAAAAAAAATATGAATTTAATTACCCTAAGAGTTAAGGTTTATCTGAGGTCACAGTATTTATTGCTGATACCTGAACTGGAAAGTTGAGCTGATCTCCTTATTCTGCCGTTGGGTGTAGACCATGCGTAAGATCTTATGATGTCACCTAGAGGCTAATAGAATATCAAAACCCAACATGTCAGCACTGAAAGATATCAAAAACATTAATTTACCTCCACCTTGAAAAGAAACAAATAAATAGTCTGGACTACTCCAATAAATGATGGACTTTGCTTCCTCTCCCCTGCATTGTACTTTTCTTGTGTGCCTCTCATTTAGTGCCTCCAACAACTTACCGGATATTCTTTATCTGCATTCCTCATTTTTCCAGCAACAAAATAAGTTCTCCCAAGGCCAGAGTTGTATGTTGCCCAGCTTCCCAATGTTGGGTTTTTAATAGGCTCAACTCTCGTTTTCAAAGCTTATACATTTTACCTAGGGCAAGTTACACATGTTACATCTCTGAGTTTGATTTCTGCGCAGGTAAAAAGGAGATGATAATAATAATAGCTAGCTCACTGAGTGGCTGCAGAGATTAAATAAGATAACATAAAAGGAAAAGCACTTTACAAAAAATGTACAGATGACAGTTGTTATTACTAATGAATGTTAATGAATAGTTCATTAGTCAAAAGGCTAGAACAGGATAAACAATCTCAAAGGAGGTGTTTGTGACACCAGAAGCAAAGCTTTGGGCATGAGATTGGCAATTTGGCATGTAGCATCTGTGCTGAATGCTACCCCTGCCCTTCAATTTGACCAGTATTTCAACTGTAAACCATGATGGAGTTTTCTGTTGGCAGCAATACTACTCCTGCTGCTGCAGCTGGAATGGAAAGAAGTCAATTTCCGTTACGTTCATTATTGGCATGAAGAGCTCACCCTGTGATTCCTTCTTATTCATTTTGCCAAAATGACACCAGAACTCAGTGTGGGCCACCAAACCATTAAAGGCATTTCATAATTTCCAGAGAATCTTTGGGCCTGCTTGGTGCTAGAGTGGTAAATTTATTCTATTTCTTAAGTATTAAATCATATGATTGGCCAAAGTAGCTTGAGAGATTCCCAGTCATACTGCTTTTCCATGAGTCTCCTGTGGCTAGTCCAGTCTCCCCACAGAGCTTCTCAGAGCTTGAGAGAGGCTGGGCTATTTCTACTTTTTTAGTATACGGTGACATAATGTTAATGTATGAACAATAAAACAAATGAAAAAATGTAAAACAGAACTACACAAAGTTGGAGTGTATTTTTAAAGTTCACATTTAATAAATTAATCTTTTTACCACAAGATAATATGGTGCTATACAATTGCTATTCATTGGATAATTCTGGGACTCATTTTTAACCCTTCCCAGTAATTGGTTTTAGAAAATTTATATAACGTTTTCAAGACAATGACATGGGAGAGGAAGTCAGCTGAGAGTTTATCAGACTTTTTAAAAGAAACATAAGAAAGGGACATTTCTCTCTTCTGCCTTTGAATGGTGTCTTCAACATTTAGCCACTATGAAGTGTTTAAGGAATCCAACCTAAGGAAAAAAAAAAAGGCATACATCCCGGAGGATGGCAGAGAGGAAAGACTAAAGGACATTTGTCCTTGATGATGTTACTGAATTGCTGAATTATGCAACTTAGACACTTTCTGCTGAACTCAGCCCCATTCCAGTCTCTCTCTGCTCTTCCCATTATTGGGGTAGGCTGGGGTGCAGTCTCCACTATTACACTGTAATCTTCTTGAGGACTTAGACTCTGTATTTATTCATATTTATTATTCACCATTCCTTGCACAGTGACCTGCCCAGAGCAGGGGCAATTTATTCATGGATATTTTGAAACCAAACCAGAGGCATGATGCACACTTTCCTTTCTCCACTATTTGGAAGGACTTGAGGTTTCCTTTCACATTTTCAGATTCACCAGTAGTGAAAACAAATTAGCAACTCCAATCCTGCCTAAGCCCATGTAAAGTAGATGTCAGTGAAGTCTTTTATCTGTACGTTGTTGTGCTTTTTTTTTTTTTTTTTTTTTGGACGTAAGCAATGGCGATGGCGATTTTTGAGGCAAAACTGAAAATCTATGTATAAAATTCTGAATTGCTGAACCAGGCTTAACACAATTGATGGCTCTTTAAACAATCCAGCTTTCCCTTTAATGGGTCTTCATCAAGCACTCTCCATGCTTTCCAAGTGTTCCAAATGAATGCAGTAAAACCAAACTAGCGTAGTGGCCAATTTCTTTTTGGACAGTTTCTCCATCTCCACTCTCCCCACACTCGCCAAATCCCACCATGCAGCCTGCTGTGGTAGAAACCTGCTTACCAGGGAGGTGTGGGTGATGGGTTTTAAACAGTTCTAAGTCAGCAGAGGGGAAGTGTTAATGCTTCAGAAAATCAGCCATCTGGCCTTGGAATGAGAATGCCAGGAAGATTCGGAAGGGAAATCAAGAAAGAAGAGAAGAAAGGCCCTGCTGGGGCTCTGGGGAGAAGGGCACAGGCTGAGGGAGAAGGGATTCTAATGTAATTCCAGATCTGAGATGAAGGGGAGGCAGGCACTGCTGAGTAGAAAGGCTAGGGGTGGGAGGAACACTCTCAGAGCCGGCTTTATGCTAAGCTGCTTAAGGAGGATGTTAGTGAGGATTTGGACTCTGGGAAGGAACCTCTGCAGGGCAGCTTGAGCTTTACAAGTGCCTTCCGTTGCTACCTGAGAACTGGAGGGATTCAAATAAAAGTCTAAATGAAATGTTTGTATTTTTCAACTTAATTGTGAAATGAATGCTTGTTAGAGGAAATGCGAGAAATGCAGAAAATTAGAAAGATGCGAACACTAGTCTCACCATGTAACCCTCCTTCATCCTACCTCCTAAACATGGCCACTACCAACGATAAGGTGCATGTCTTCTATTGCTTTTCTATGCCAGGGTTTGCATTACAAAATGGTGATGATGCTATTTGTATATTGCAATTTTGTGGCTTTAACCTAATGCTATTTTGTAAGCATTTCCTCCATTATTTCTGTGATTTGTATTACTAAAATTATGAATAATACATCAAATATATACAATTCCTAACACATCTATTTACCTATAGTTTTGCTGTTTCCAATGTTTCACTATTATAAATAATGGTACTATGAACATCTAAATGTAAAGCTTTTTGGGTGTTTCAGATTAGGACAGATTCATACTAGTAGACTGATGGAGTAAATACACATGCATACTTTAGTCTATTGACACATTAAATAGATATTTAATCCTGAAAAACTTCTACATGCCATTAGAAATAAAATACTTTGTTCATTTTCATTCAAGAATACATCACCCCTCTTCCATCCTTTTCTTCCTGGCATAGTGTAGAATAACATCACTTAGGTTTACAAAGTTCTAGGTATCTTTGCCCCTGAAAAGCGAAATAGGGATATAGCTTGTAGTCTGTATCACTTGAGTATATGCCTAAAACCACTAGGTTTGTATAGTGAAAAATGACATTTCTGCCCCCAGCAGCAACAAATTATTCAATAGAAATGCAGTTCATTGTTGGGGGACTGAAGGGTTGATGTCAAATGCACAACAGGAAAGCATGTAATAGGTCAACAATAACACCAGTGCCACACCTGCAGTTAGCAGCCACTAGGTGAACAGAATGCTTTGCAGGTACCTGTAAATAAGCATTATATAGATAACAGAGAAGCAGAATAAATAGATCATATCAATGCATTATAACTTTCAAAAGTTTCTTAACCACCTAAAGATTTCTTTTTGCTTCTAAGTATAACAGTAATTTCACAAGTCAAACCACAATAAGCAACATTTTTTAAAACAAATGTAAACAGATTTCTACCTTTTACTAAATCTCAATTCCTTCACATCACTTCCCACTAGTAAGTAGTTTAATCATATCCTTCAACATCAATAGCCTGTAATGATTTGGCTTATATGTTATTAAAAAACATGAAAATTTCCTTTTTTCTCTCTTCCATTTTTGTAACTTTTAAATTCTGAGGTTCTAGCTCCTTTGTAGTGTGTTATAGAGCTGCTGAGTTTTCATATCAACAAGGCTTAATCTCTCCTTTTACATACAGGGGGATATGGCCTAGCTAAGGGAAGGAACTTAATGAATCCAGGATTAGAAATTAAAAATTTACCTTTGATTTCCCAACCCACTCTCTTCTGCTTCCCTATCCATAAAGAAACATGTTACTGATATCAACTACGTTTCTTTCTCCTTACACCATTTTTTGCCTGTTGAATGCTGTTATGGTTTGGCTGTGTCCTCACCCAAATCTCATCTCAAATTGTAGCTCCCATAATTCCCATGTGTTGTGGAAGGGACCTGGTGGAAGATAATTGAATCACGAGGGTGGCTTCCCCCATACTATTCTTGTGACAGTAAATAAGTTTCACAAGATCTGATGGTTTTATAAGGAAAGACCCCTTTCACTTGGCTCTCATTCTCTCTCGTGCCTGCTGCCATGTCAGATGTGTCTTTCGCCCTCCGCCATGTTCGTGAGGCCTCCCCAGCCACGTGGAACTGTGAGTCCATTAAACCTCTTCTTCTTTGTAATTTACCCAGTCTCAGGTATGATTTTATCAGCAGTGTGAAAATGGACTAATATAAACACTTATGAAAAAAATCATCATATTTTTCATTTTATTTTTCATAAATCATCATATTTTTTTCATAAGGAAATTACTAATCCCAGAAAGACTACCCCAAATAACTCATGTTCCTGACATTTGTAATGAAATAGTTCTAATTTATTACCACTGATAAAATATATAGGCAGAAAAGGATCACTGTGAGTCTATTAATCTTAAATTGAATGTAGCTCTAAATCGTTGGTCGCAAGTCTTACGGAGACCAGCATTATACGTATGTAAGAAACCAAAATTTGCTTGATATAAAACAATCATTTTAATCAATAAATACATTAATGATGAGATATTTTCAACCACTACAAAAATTGTAGAATAGGCCAATTCTTTCTTTAACAATAAAATAATTTTAGTTTCTGCATTGCATTTCTCTGAACAATTTCATGTGAAGAGGAGAATATCTTTGCAAAGTCTCTTATTAACCCAGTTTTAACAAGAAGTACAAAATAGAAGGCAATCAGCCTTTGTACATAGCATTATGATGATGGTAATCGAAACCATGCAATCACATGGATATTTTGCTCTCTATAACTAGCTCTGAATAATCAGTGATTTTCAATGCAAGAAAAGGGGCTATTCCAAATTGCAACACTAGCAAAGCATTGTGATGTTTACATTTAACCCAGATGTATTTTCTCTTGATGGTATTTATAAAGAACAAAATTCAATGGGAGAGAAGAGAACTAACAGTTGTTTTTAATATTTCAGATTAGTCGAGTACATGATTCAGAATTGTAAAAACACAGCAATACTTGCATGGTTTTACCAAATTACTTTTTAAAGTGCTACCTTAAGAATAAGATAACCCTCAGACATTGACTTAATTCTTTCATGTTCTCCAATATGGCTGGAAATGT
Organism: Homo sapiens; assembly: GCF_000001405.40. Classification (NCBI taxonomy): domain Eukaryota; kingdom Metazoa; phylum Chordata; class Mammalia; order Primates; family Hominidae; genus Homo; species Homo sapiens. The sequence continues at coordinate 8,237,577 of NC_000009.12, forward strand.
TGATTCCACACACAGAATGGAAGTAGCACAAGATTTTCAATCCTTTTCAATGTAAGGTGATATAGTCTGGCCTCAGTGCAGCATTTCAGGAGTACAACATACTGATGGTATTCACATTTCTTTATAACACAATTTACATGATAATTCCCTCCCTTATTAAGCATTGTTCACTTAAGGGACCAGAGAACAAACCTTGGGGGTCTAAGAGAACGAACATTTGACATGGATGGAGAGAACAGTAGTTTTATGAAGAAAGGTTTGATAATATTCACCAAATTCTCAAAGTCATATAAAAATTTGAACTGTCCAACTTTGCTAGACTTTGCTAAGGTTTTTCTTCAGGCAAATTTCTTCTAGCTCTCTGAGTTCCACATCCAAGACTTTGGAAGTTGTGTCTCCTACCTGGGCTATTTCAAAGTCCCGTGATATATCAAAACAGGTAATAATGTTATTCCTAAAGACTATCAACTTTCTAAAGATTAAAGAAATCTTTAGTCTTTTTTACTAGAAAATTACTGAATGATCCCAGATTACATAAAGTCCATTTCTAAAATTCCCACTACCACCATCAAATTTTTTGAACGCCGTTAGCTTTTGAAAAGAGGGAAAACATAGTCCATTAATATGAGAAGACGTGCTTTAGAGGGTTTCAAATGGAATATGGAGAAGAAAGTGATAGAAACTTGGAAACTCTGAGTGATCTCAATTAAATAAGCCACAAGAAGAACAGCAATAAGAAAAGCTTCTGAAAATATATAAAGAAAAATAATTGAAAAGAAGATCAAGAAATGTTCTCCCTTTTTGTGCATTAGATATCTATCTATTCACCAGCGTAATAAAAAAGGGACCTAGAAATTGTGAAGCAGAAAACTGTTCTGGAGAATTCTCAACCCAAACAGGAGATACAGATATCCAAGGAGCCAGCAAAACAGAAGATCATACAGGGACGTTGAAGTTCAAATCAACAACAGAGGGATGGAGAATATTACTACTTGTAGGGCCAGAAAGAGGGATGTAGAGGTGGAACAAGAAACCTGGGGCCAGAAAGATGACAATGAGATCAAGTTCAAGCAGAGATTCTAAAGGATCAAGCAGATCCTAAAGACATCTAGAAGTTCTGAGATTTTTTTTTAAATCTATTTTATTTTATTTAACTTGGTGTTTCATAAACATATTTAAGAAGAAGATTTAAATGCATTTTTAAAGTAATGCTAGTTAATATTCCATAAAACTAGCATTTTGTAGAATACACTTGGAGGAATTAGCATCTTTGACTTATGATCTAGCTGAAGCAATTTAATGATTAAGAAAGCAAGCTGTGGAATCAGAATGCCTGAATACGAGCCTGTTTTCCCACTTTATTTTGATATGATCTTGATCTTCTATACTTCAGTTTTCTCTTTTATAAAACAAGGCTTATGACAGCATTTATCTCATAATGACCCTTTAAGTATTAAATGACATAAAACCTATAAAGCACATAGCAGGTAAATGTGGTAAACTCTTGATAAATGTTATTGTTATCATCATCATCATCACTATTAGTGAACCCACTCAGCTTAAAGAACTAGGGGAAGAGTAGAATATTGGTCAGGATAGGCCACAATTTTCCTATGGTAACAACTTCCCAATTTTAGTGGTTTAGGCGTGCATGCTGCAGCAGAGAAAGTCTTCTCATCTTAGTTGCTCAGGGGCCCAGGCTGATGGAGCCCCATTTTTTTTCATGTGCTCCCATAATTGCTGAGCCAGAAAAAGAGGACACAGAGAATTACACTTGATACTTAAAGTTTCTAACCAAAAGTGACATAAATTCCTTCTGTTCACATTTCATTGGTCAAAGCAAGTCACATTTTTATATTTAACTTCAATTATATCCAGACACATTACCCCTCTTTGCCTTCTTTGTAGTTATTAACAACTTAGTGCCTTAATGGCTCTTCCCTTGGCTGCTCACCATGTTTATATCATATATCACTTTTGACCAGCTTTTCTGAAATGGTAAGCTTTGATGAATACTGTCCCTCTGACTCTAAAATTAAGACCATATAATCTTTAAAGGCTTTCCAGCCCTAAAATAGTGCAATTCTAAATCTTTTCCATTGTGTGTTTTAGGCCATTAGGTAGCCGCTTGTTTATCTACAGAATGACCACTGGGGTCCACTCTTATTTTTGAATAGTGATGAGTAAGGAAGAAAGAATATTGAAAAAACAATCCTGGAGTATAAAGGTAAAGAGTTTTAAAAATCAAAACATAAAATGTTTTCTTATTGGAACAAACAACTAGGCCAGAACGACATGAATAATGCAAAAAATAAGTTTCTTGTCCCCCATCAAATAGATAAAATCATGGATTTAGAGTACTTTTTATCTTTCCACAGTATATAGCAATCTTTCTAGAAGAGTGATCCACACTGGGATGCTTGCTGAAAATGCCGATTTCTAGTCTGTACATCAGATCTGCTGAACTGGTTTCTGTGCAGAGTTAGTAAAGTGTCTGGAGCATATTAGGTGCTCAATAAATAGCAGCTATTTCTATTATTAACAGGTAGAATGATCAAACTATTTTGTATTTCTTTAATAAAAAAAAGAAGAATGCAAAGGAAACAAAGGCAAGATTTCCCTTAGTTGCCAAAGGCAATATCAAGGCCACTTTAGCAGAAACCCAGGTGTAAAGGCTCAGATGAGAATGATGATGATAGTAATGAAGAACAAAAGGGCTGGGCATGGTGGCTCACCCCTGTAATCCCAGCACTTTGGGAGGCTGAGGTGGGTAGATCACTTGAGGTCAGGAATTCAAGACCAGCCTGGCCAACATGTTGAAACCTCGACTCTACTAAAAAGGCAAAAATTAGCCAGACCTGGTGGTGGGTGCCTGTAATCCCAGCTACTTGGGAGGCCTGAGGTGGGAGAATTGCTTGAACTTGGGAGGTGGAGGCTCCAGTGAGCAGAGACTGTGCCACTGCATTCCAGCCTGGGCAACAGAGTGAGACTCTATCTAAAAACAAAACAGAAACAGAAACAGGTAGGTTGAGGCAGGAGAATGGCGTGAACTCAGGAGGCGGAGCTTGCAGTGAGCTGAGATCATGCCACAGCACTCCAGCCTGGGCGACAGAGCAAGACTCCGTCTCCCGTCTCCAAAAAAAAAAAAAAAAAAAAAAAAAGAACAACAACAACAAAAAGAAGGGCTTTGGTAATTTAAGTCAAAAGAAGGAAGAGCAAAGGAGTAATCCAAAGACAACCCCAAGTTCCCAGCCTGTATCAGCGATAAGCAGGAGGTAACTAAATTTTCAAAAGAATAGTGAAGGCAACAAATGTGAAAAAAAAAACTTCAAAGAATTAGCAGAGCCACGTGGCTGACCTAGAGCATTTGGGCCAGCTTTAGGAAAGGGATATATGGGACCCGTGTTTCATAGAAAAAACGGATGGTAATTTGTGACAGACATGATATGGGAAGGGGTGACAGAGAGTGAGGGTAAGCTAAAGGTAACTTTGAGATTTCAAGGCAGCGTGTGTGACAAAGATGGATGGTGTTTAATGTGCAGCCAAAAAAAAAAAAAAAAAAAAAAAAGCAAGAGTTGGCTAAGCTTTGTTTTTCTGGTGGTAGAAATGTGGCTTCGAATCCACTGTAAACTCTGGTATCTCTGGTTTATTCTGTTCTAAAGGGGCAACACAGTTTATTAGTTAAAGCCAAAGGTTTGGTATTGCACAGAAGTCTGGACACACCGCCTAGCTCAAAGTTCCGTGACGCTTCTTTTTCATCCTTCTCTGCCTCTTTGACTTAATATGCACCTCCACTCCATGATTCACTTGGGTTTTGCAACAAATCCCTCCTGACAAGCCCACAAATCCTCCCAGACTTAGTGCAAAGTCATGGAGCTGAACTAACTTCCCCAGTTCTTGTTTTGACGTTTGGGTTGTTATTTCAGGTGTGCAGAAAGAAGGCATCCTAACAACAGGATTAAAAATCTTAGAGAAAGACTCCTGGAAGGGTAGTTGGCCCTGCCACAGGACCCGGAGAGCTGTTCACACCCACGTGAATGACAACTGCAAGTTTCGGAGAGTTCCTGGAGGGAACCGCACAGCAGAAAGCTCGCAGCTTGATCCTGCAGATGCCAATTTGAGCTTGCAGCCTGATATGTGTTTTGATTTCAGGACTCAGCAAATTGGATGAGAAAGCCATAAATGGGTGATGAATATGAAACACAAATATCCTGTTTGTAATAAACTATCACCTGTCTTTTGAGAGACACATGTTTTGAGAGGTGAAACGTGGCTGAAGTTGGAAGTTTGAAATTTGCCGAAGTTTGAAATTTGCAGAAGTTTGAAAGTAATGCTATGGGGACATTACTGTTTGGGAAAAAAAATAGTCCTAAGGATGGAGGGATTCTACATCCATCTTATTCTGACTTTGATTCTTTTCTTGAGGAAACTGCTCTGGAAACGAAAACCTCACCTCTAGACAAGATTTGGGGTCATGTCAAGCAGCCAGGTGTATCCTCAAGGAAAAAAGGAACAGACAGCTGGAGCACTCTGCTTCAGAAATTCCCAGCAGCGTTAATGAGGCGGTCAGCCTCACACCTGCTGTAAGAAGGCAGGCTTCCTCCCATCAGGTGCATTGTCCATGCCGGCTAGAGAAATGTCTTTGATAGAATTCAAAAAGCCTTAAGATTTATAATAAAAAAGCCGAGCCCCAGTTGAGAAATTTTCATGAGCCTAAGCCCTGCCATGGGAGCTTATTAAAGAAACATACTCTCAGCCCCTGAGATTTTTATTCAGCTGATTTGGGAATCTGAATTTTCAATGAGCACCCAGGTGATTCTGAAAGCATGTGCTCCAAGAATTACACTTAGAGAACCACTGAATTAGCAAAAGATATAAAAAAGGGGGGAAGAACTGACCTACCTTCCTTCCCCCCACAGATATTTTCTTTTAATTTTTATTTCAATCATTTTTGGAGAACAGGTGGTTTTTGGTTACATGGAAAAGTCACTTCCACAGCTATTTATTGAACCGTTGCTATGCCCAAATACTTTGCTACATAACAGGGATACAATGGTATATTAGTTTCCTGGGGCTGATGTAACAAATTATCACAAACTGAATGGCTAGAAACAACTGAAATTCATTCTTTCAGAGTTTGGGAGGCCAGAGGTCCAAAATCAAGGTGTTGGCAGTGTCGGTTCTTTCTGGAGGCTCTAACGGAGAAACTGTTTCATGCCTCTCCCCTTGCTTCTGGTGGTCACTAGGAATCCATTGTGTTCTTTGGCTTATAGATGCACTCTACCAGGTTCTGCCTCCGTCTTTACTTCACCTTCTCTGTGTCTCTGTATGTCCTTTTCTGTATCTTATAAAGATATTCACATTGGATTTAGTGCCAACTCTTATCCAGTATGATCTCATATTAATTCTTACTTTAAATACATCTGCAAAGACTCTATTTCCAAATAACATCACATACTGAGGTTCCAGGTGGAGATGAATTTGGATGGTGGCAGGGAGATGACACTATTCAACCCACAACAAATAATGAACCTAAACTGAGCTGGTCCCTGCCCTCACGGAGCTTATAGTCCAGTTGGGGAGATAGATATTAACCAAGTAATCACACAAGAAATATAAAAGTTCAACTGGGAAAGTGCTATAAAGCAAAGGTGCATCATGCTGAGAGCAGCCATGTGTAATCCATCAATCAAGTGCTATTTAATTTGCCCTTACTCTTCATTTTTCTAACTATTATTTGTTACTAAGGGTGCCAAAGGAAAAAGAAGTATAAGGTCTAATCTCCTGACTTCAGGAGGCTGACAATACATTTAGGGTGATGGGGCAACTATAATACATATTAACCAAATATAAAATAATAGCCTATATTACCCAATGAAGCACCAAACTGCATGGTAATATAAGTGCAATAAGTATTCAAGAAGGAGCAGGTACAGGAAGATGGGTAGATAGTTTTTATTTGGGCAGAAGAGAGAAGATTTCGGTAAAGGTAAATATTTTACCTTCTCCCTGTTGTAATTCATCATCAGCCTCATGGTTTCTAAGAGAGTCATCAAGACACAACAAATGCAGTAAACCACACAAGGGTTAGGTGCTACAGCAGTCATTCTAAAAGCTTGGATGGCTGGCTTTTACTGCCACCAAATTCATGGCTTTCTAGGGCAATAATTTCCATGTCCTGCAGCTGTGCTCTTCGTAATATTCCACTTAAGTCAATTAGGGGACTTTAAATATTTGATCTAATTCAATACTAGCCCTGCTTGGTCTGTGGGTAGGTCTAAGATCATGCCTCACACATAGTAAGAGTGTAATAATAAATGCTTGCTGAATTATTTAAGTAAAACAAGTCTACTTCAGCAAAACTTCTCTGTGTGTGTCTCTCTCAATAAAAAAGATAAGAAGAAAGGGCAGGAAAAATTTGGAGAACAGGAAAAGTTCTGCTTTCAATATTCTCTATTTATGTTTTATATTCTTTTGTTCACTAATTCAAATCTACCTACCATTTATAGATGATTTAACAGGCCTTAAACACTTTACTAGTGCTTTACATCCACTATCGTACAAACATCCTGCTAAGAGATGTTATTATCCCCATTTTACAGAGAGATCATTCTGAAATTGTAAGCCAAGGCCTCCTGATCCTAAAATTTATGCTAAGCTCTCTAGGCGTCTGTATCTGGGGAGGGGGACAACTTTCAACATATTTAATGTCAGTAACTGTGTCAAATTTGGGCACAGTAATTGTGCCCGAAGAAGTCTTACAAACCTACCCACTATCACAGCTCCACTGTGAGAACCCTATTGTTATAATGAAACAGATTCCCTTTACATTTCTTAACTTGGACTTCTGGCTTATTTTTCCTTCCTTTTAGGCCTGTCTTCTAAGATTTTTAACGTAAACTTTCCTCATTTAGAAGCCTCGTTCAGTTCGGGTTTGTCAATCTTAGGATAACCCTGGTTCAATTCCCTTCTATCCTGAAGTGCGAATTTGTAATCCCCATATTCCTATATCCCTTGGAGATGAATAGTGGGCGGGTCTGAATCCCAAGCACTGAGAACCTTTAAGGAATTGTTTCTTAAGGAGATTTAGGGGCACAAGAACAGACCACATATGTTGAGAGCACTAAATAACTCGAAGACAACAAAGGTCCCATTTTGAGCACTGCTTTTAGAAATAACAGCGTCTTGGTTGCCCATGAATTGCTTTTCAGTGAGCCAGACTGACCAATGTTTTGCCTGAATGTCCCTCAGTAAGTCTGCCTATGGAGAGTTTCTAGAGAGAAATCTGCCTCTGAAACTAAACTGACGATTTCTTTCCTGGGCAGTTTAATGCAGCCTGTTATTGCTATGCTAATGTAGCCTCTGTTACTACTGAGGGGACTTTATAGAATGCTAAGATGTGTGCGAGCTGCATTCTATAAACCAATTAATAATATTTGCTGGAGTGCAAAAGCCATCAATCTACTTGGCAACTAACCCAACCTTAAGCGCACAGTGGACTAAGAAAAGATAATTAGTGTGGGAGGTAGACTTTGGGGAAAGGGAGATGGCAGCATTTGAGCATCAAGAGTTACCCACCAATCTTGTAAGGAAATAAACTCCTCTTCAAGAAAATTATACACTCAGCATGTCTCCTTAACTATCCAAAGAAGAGGAATTCTTAAACAGCTGATTCCAGAATTCTTTTTCACTCAGCAGCAGGAATATCCCAATATGGAGGATGAGTGCAAGGGCACTTTTAGACTTCATAGATCCTACACCTTCATCATTTCAAACATATCCACATTCTCATTAAATATGTACTCTGAAGGTAAACATTTTTAAAAAGAAATTTATTTATAATTTTGCTTTCAAAAATATGTGGCCACAGGTCACTCATTTAATTTGTCATTGATTATAATGTCTCAGAAATCATCCTACATTCTCTGGAGGACTTGAAAATTATTTCCAACCATAACAAAATATAATAATGAGTAAGGTTGTCATAATGTTTCATTTTGTAAACACGTAAATGTACATGTAAGAATTTTGATTTTGCAATTTTGTTTTTGTATTTGGAGACATTTTCTTTTTAGGATTTGATCATCTTAGTAAGACCTTGAGAAGGTTCTAGCCCCAGGCATTCTATCTGCTGGATGCAACAGACAGAATAGCCCTGGATGGGTGCCCTCCTTTCTCTTCGGTTGATGACTATAGCCATTATGATTTTCTACTAAACGATCTTGCTTCTATTTAATGTTTTCCAAACAACCCCCTGGTTGTAACTTGACCATTCAAAATCTTTCCTACACGAATGAAATGTGCTGAGCAATTAAATATGGTACTGTGTATAATAAATGTGTGTGCATATAAGCATTACTATCTATAAAATTTATTGAATGGTAACTATGTCAGGCACGACTTTATTATCTCCCTCTATATGTCATTGTGCTTTATAAAAATAATTGACTAAAGGGAAAAAAAAAGAAAGAGCAGAGGTAAAGATTAGAGAATGAGAAAAATAGAGATGGTGGAGTATAATGGCTTAGCATTAGATTTCTAGAGAGAGATTCCAAGGTTCCACTACCAGATCCTTCTCTATTAAATTGCAGTACAACCTGGGGCAACTTATTAAACACCACTGAACTTTGCTTTCATTATTTATAAAATAGAACTAAACATAGAATCTAGTTCAGATAATTTTTATGAAAAATAAAGTACCAGACAATAATGAATAGTTAATAAATATTAATCATTATTTTGAAATCAGCTTGAAAAATTAACCTGAAATTGGATCTCCTTGAGCCTTAATACTAAGCAACATTTTTGGGGCCAGATCTGAAGAAAGCAAAAACTTTGTCTAGGATGTTATCATACAGTACACTCAATGAAGAGGAAAATGTTGACAAGTTTAGCATTTGGGCAGTCTTTGAATTTTCCATGACTCCAATACTTCATTTTGTTTCTGTTGCTTTGAAGTTAAAACATTTTAAGGCATTTTTCTTCCCTTACTCTTTTGAAAATGCAAAACATTGAACAAAGGAAGAAAAATACCCTCCATGGCTTAGACATTCTAGAGGTCACAGAATCTTCAAAGTTTCTCAATTGTGGGCCAGCTGCTCTGCTCTTCCATCTCCCAATACAGAACAGATTTTCAGCCCAGAATTCACAATGTTCCTTTCATGTCCTTCATTAAAGGATTTTTGCATGATAGCAACTCCAGCTTCATTTCTCTTTTTTCTCTTTTGGCCAGTATCTTATCTGGCAGCTTTATCAGTTAAATATTCATTGGTCAAATTAGAATTCAGCCAAATGCCTTCCTATTTAAAATGGCTGGGTGAATATAGTGATCATTTGTCAATGTCCCCTTCTGAATTGTTAGTGAGATAGACCTGAACACATTATGTGAGACAGAAAATGAATAGTTTTTGCTGCTATGGTTACAGCTAGGGTAGGGGTAGTTGTTTACAAGTTATCTTTGTTTTCAGACCCCATACATGCACATACACGCTTGGGTATTGAAGTCCTAAATATTCTAGTAAAGTATCCATTTCAAAGATTCTATCCCAATGTCTCTATTAATCCTCATATCATTGTTAGATTATTTAACATAATTTTCTCTTCAACAGTTATAATTTCATATAACTCTCAAATGTGATATCACAGATATCATATGGCTACTCTCCTCAAGCGGTCTGTGAATTAACAGATTTTTGCTTATGTTGAAAACTCATTTCTCAATATCATAGTTTATTTCCTTTTTCTTAAACAGTATCTGTTTAAACAAAAATAACATAAGGAGAATAGTTCAGCAGTTTATCAGTTTCCTAATGAACTAGACTCAGTTTCAGTTACTGTTGCTTGCAAGTAGAACTCCAGAGCTACAGAAACCAAGTCTGGCAGATTAAGTGAAAAAAAGCTGATATTAAAATATGTACAGCTCTTCCCCCCCCCCACCCCCAGAGTCATTGGGAGGGCCAGAGAATTTACCTTAGTCCTGTTTCCAGGAATAACCTCCTTAATCACTCTACAGAAGCAGTCTGATAAAAACAAAACAAAACAAAAACCCTGCCTCCATCAAGCTCCAGATGCTACAATTTGTGTCTCTGCTTCTTGAACACCAGGAACTCAACTTTACTGCAACCACATTGTCTGCCACTCCAACGCCAAAGTTCTATACAGGGCATCAGTTTGATAAGCAAGGAAGTCACAGGTGATGCTATCCTTGCCAGGAAATGAGTTCTACCCAATATGCTAGTCACTTCTAATTTTTATTTTTTATTTATTTTTCTTTTTGAGACAGAGTCTTGCTCTGTCGGCCAGGGTGGAGTGCAGTGGCATGATCTCAGCTCACTGCAATCTCTGCCTCCCGGGCTCAAGCAATTCTCCTGCCTCAGCTTCCCGAGTAGCTGGGATTACAGGTGTGTGTCACCACACCCGGCTAATTTTTGTATTTTTAGTAGAGACGTCACTTCTAATTTTAAGTCTCATGGATGTGTGTCTGATTGGAGGAACCAAGTTACCTAACCACACCCCAGCTGGGAGAGGAGGCTGGGAAATGAGTTGTCTGGCTTTTACAAGGAGGCAACACTCAAAAAAAAAAAAAAAAAAAAAAACTTCCAAAAAAACATAGTAAATGACCATTATAAATGCAATCTGACGTGTATATAATCGTCTTTTAAAACAGTCTTTTAGTTAAAATAATTAGTTAAATCAACCAGTTAATCTATTCAAGCAAGGAACAAGTTTTCTTGCTTCTATCTAAGGCCAATTCTTCTTGTTGTCTACGATATCCAGCTTCTCTCGGTTTCTTAAAAGCTTTGCTCCAAAAGCACATCAGAAATCTTACTCATTTTACCACATTATTTTCAACAGCATACAGACATGCTGCTTTCTCTCATCTTAAAAACACACAGTCCGATACTTTCACACCTTGCCACCACTTCTCCCTCCAGGTAGTGCCCTCTCACTACTGCCCCACTCTGTTACTCTTTGCAGCAAACTCCCAGATAGAAGTGTCCATATTTGCTGTTGTCCATTCATTTATTTCATTCTATCTGTAATACACTTTTATTGCACGTTGGCCTCCACTACTCTATGGAAATTGTTCTTGTCAAGTTCATGACTGACTTTCCATAGCTAACTCCAATTGATGGTCAATTCCTAATTTTTATTATAGTTGGACTATCAGAAATGTTCACCCTCCTCCTTGAATAACATATTAATTTGGCTTTCATCTCATCATACTTTTCCATTTTGTTATGTTTTGTTTTCCATCATATGGGCCACTTTTTCTCAGTTTCCTTTGCCTTTTCTTTTCAAAACCCTAATGTCTAACCATTAGAGTTCATAGGGCTTTCTCTCTTCTCTGTCTACACATTCTCTCATCCAGGTCTGTAAGATGTATTTATGTAAATACCATGTACACACCGAAGACTCCAAATTTATAGCTCCAGAATTTTCCCCTCTGAATGCTAGGCTTATATATACAATTCCATGATATCTCTCTTAGAAGTATAATAGGTATTCAGCCAGGCGTGGTGGCTCACCCCTGTAATCCCAGCACTTTGGGACCTGAGGTGGGCAGATCACGAGGTCAGGAGTTCGAGACCAGCTTGGCCAACATGGTGAAACCCATCTCTACTAAAAATACAAAAAATTAGCTGGGCATGGTGGCACGCGCCTGTAATCCCAGCTACTCGGAGGCTGAGGCAGGAGAATTGCTTGAACCCGGGAGGCAGAGGTTTCAGTGCACCGAGATCACGCCACTGCACTCCAGCCTGGGTGATGGAGCAAGACTCCATCTCAAAAAAAAAAAAAAAAAAAAAGTGTAATAGGTATTCAAATGTACATGAACAAAACAGAACTCTTGGTTCTTACCTTCTAGACTCCCTCTTTCTACATCTTAAAAAATGTAACCAACTGCTGAGGCCAAAAATTTGGAGTCATTTCTGACTCCTCTTTTTGCAAACCCTATATCCAATCCATTAATATCTGTTGGCTCTAACAGCAACAGATATCCAGAATCCAACCTTTTCTTATCAACTCCACTGCTACCACCAAATTTAAAACACCATCACTCTTCACACTGATCAGTATAGAAGCTTCTTAACTTGCTTTTCTGCTCCCATTCCTGTATCTCTATAGTGTATTTTCCATGCATCAGTGAAAGTAATCTTTTGAAAATATAATGATTTTATTACTACTCAAAATCCTCATCACATTTAGAAAAATCACCAAAGTCCTTACTCTCAAGAGTAAGCCTGAGGTGCTGTGTAGTTTTTAGTCCTCTCAAACCTCATCTCCTAACATTTCTTCCCCCATACTCACTTTCCTTCGGTCACATTACCTTAAATTATATTTAAGGAGGGAAACATACAAAAATAAACAATTCTGTCTAAGAGTAATGACTCAAGCTTAGGATTTAATGAAAATCAAGGTGAGGGGATTCAAGAAAGTGGTCATGGAGAAGTTGACATTTGAGCCATGTTTTAGGAATGGGTATAATGTTGAAAAGCAGAGCTCGGAAGATGGAAGACATGGTTGGATGTGTTATATCAACCTAAATAAACTGAGCACCTACTATGTCCCAGAGACTATGGAGTATAAAAAACTGAGTGCAGGTAGGAGAGCCTATGTATACCTGGGGTATATATGTTCCTGGTTTTCTGGGGAATGCTGAGTATCCTTAATGCAAATAGACAGTTGTCTACAACAGTTAAGGGAGAAGAAAAAACATGATATCCAGCGAGTGCACTAGCCAATGGCAATGCATAGCTTCTCTTCTTCCACCTTCCTCCACTCTCTCATCATGTTTAGTGCTCAGTAAATCAATTCTTGAATGATTGTATTAATGCATGCACACTTAATGTGTGCCAAGTACAATCTAAGCACTGGGTACAAATAATTTTAGGGTTATTAAGAAGTAGAAATTGGCCAGGCACGGTGGCTCACCTCTGAAATCCCAGCCCTTTGGGAGGCCAAGGTGGGCAGATTACGAGTTCAAGAGATGGAGACCATCCTGGCCAACATGGTGAAACCCTGTCTCTACTAAAAATACAAAAATTAGCTGGGCATGGTGGTGCACACCTGTAGTCCCAGCTACTCAGGAGGCTGAGGCAGGAGAATCGCTTGAACCCAGGAGGCGGAGGTTGCAGTGAGCTGAGATGGTACCACTGCACTCCAGTCTGGCAACAGAGCAAGACGCCGTCTCAAAAAAAAAAAAAAAAAAAAAAAAAAAAAAAGTAGAAATTTCTCCAGTATCCTCAATGGGCTTGCTTACTTAGGGTGATAGGCTTAAAATAATTACAGAAATATAGAATGCAGAAGAGAGGGCTTGTTTTGGGTAAAAGAAAGATCCCGTAGCACTGCTCACCCTATGCAAGTACTGCTCACCCATGCTACCATCCAAATGCCTATAAAGCACAATTCTTTTGAGCTTTAATTACCTTTCTGTCTCCTCACTGTGCCACCATTGCAAGTGTTTCCTTCATGGGATCAATTAAAATACTCACCTCAAAAATGTGTTTTGGCAAAGAGGGTATTTGAAACAATGAAAATAAATTACATGGGTATGGATTGTTGGATGTCAATTATAAAACCAGGTGGTATAGAACATATCATACATTAAACACACACAAACACACACACACACACACACACACACACAGAGAGAGAGAGAGAGAGACTTTGATATGCTTTGATGTTTTCCAAAATTTCAAAAGTGTATGTTCAGTTTATAAGGGGCCAGTAAATATTATTTGCCTGTCTATTTTTAAGAGTGAAAGCCATACTTAGATATATCTTAGAAAAATATTCTAAAACACATCATATATAGAAGAGGGAAATAACTGCTTCTTTTTATTCAGTGCTTACTTTCTGCCAGACGTAGCTGAACATTTTATATGTGCAAGCCCAATTAATTTCTCAATGACACAGATTACCAAAAAAAAAAGATGCTTAAGTTATGATTTGCCACGAAGTAGTGCAAGTAGAGAGTAGACGACAAAGCAGCCCAGCATGGAGGCCAATGTAGAAAATGTGATTCTTTTGTCCTTCTAGCCCCTCAGCTACTCTCCCATGTCAGGCCTTCACTAGACAAGCTCAGAGAGAATCACTAGACAACAGTGGTCAGGAGGCCTTTACACCTGTGTGCAGAGTGGGGAGTGGATTAGAAACTGGGAGATGACCTGGGGAGAACTGTGGGAAGTCCTGCTGTCCAGACCATCTGGGAGAGGAGGTGGAGAGCCACCCCAAAGCCAGTCCCATCCCCCAGCATTTTCTGTGGCAGACTGGGTGAGAGGCATGGGGAGAGTGTGGAGAGGCTGGAGCCCAGCTGAGAACATAATAACCTCTTTCCTTTTTATGGATCTGTAGGAAAATATATTAAGGGGTCAAAAAGATCCATCCTACACTATTTAAGGGAAAAAACTCCTTGCTAGAGATGATCCTTACCAAATAAATTCTTAGAAATTCTTTCAGAATTTCATATTCCTTTTCTGATTGGTGAGGAGCAGGGACAGGGATAATCTTCAGTTTATTCTGTCACATTCTAAAATGTCTGTTACTCAGTGCTCCATGTAGAAGGGATGTGGTTGCCTATTTGCCCTGACTGGGAAATAACAAATTTAACATGAGATTGACAGTTTAACTCTCCTAGACTTCAAAAAAGCTTTTCTATGCAAAGATATGGGAAATAAGAAAAAGTATCACCTCCAGTTTTACCAGCAGATATATTATTGTAAATATAGGAGTAGAATTAGAATAATCCCTCTTTAAATTAAAATCCTGGTTCTCTCTTCTTGCCATCCCTATTATATATTTGTAGCCTCATTTGTTTCTGGGCCAGGAAATTGTAGCAAATACCAGGTGGGAGAGAAGTACACTTTTCTACTGTGCCCATAGCGAGCGTAATGATGGCCGTCCTCTTTGTCCCCAGTGGAAGTCCCTTGATAAATATCAATGAAGTGATGTTTTCCTTCCCAGGGAGGAGGTGATATTGTGAACTTGCCACTGTGATCATTAATACTTAACAAGACCTTCTCTTCCTTTACCAAAGACAGCCCTGGGGACCATTCACAATGCTTTGTAGTGAAGAATGACATTAACCTTTTGTAGAGGAGCTCACAGGTCTATTAGAGAATTCATTATGCAGGGACTGGCTAGAGAAGGGGTCTGTATATAATCTCTTAGGCAAACAAAGTGACTTAATTCAATATTTGAGGTGTTAATAGATCTTCTCACAATTGTAGTTTAATTGAACCTGCCCCTGTCCCAAGTGACACGTGGACAGGAATAACAGAGGGTCTACAAACTGGTCACAATACAATATGGATTGGCCAGTCTCAACTGACAAGCCACATTCAGGGACACCGACTGAGTACTTCAGTAAAGCATTAGGTGCTTTGGGGAATGCACTGATGAACAATGGCTGGCAGGAGTACCCTCGATCTCCTATGACAGGCCTCATGATAAATACCAATACTGTGAAAGAACTGTTCCTTCTCGGACACTAAAATATATAGACCATGCATTCCCATGGAAATATCTAATAATCTGGAAAGAAGTGTACATTTCCCTCAAATACTATAGACTTGCATAAGCTTAAGTCCTGTCACTTGTGTAGCAAATAAATTCCTTTCTGATTCACGAATTCAACTGTGACTCCAATCAGTTTTAGGGAAGAAGGAAGGCAGGAATAAAAGTTAGCAGACATCAAATATCTACCTTATCCTGGGATCACACAGAGATATCTAATTTAATAAATGCTGGAATCCAGTGTGGTTCATATTCTCATCTCCATTTCACAAATAAAGAAATTGAAAGCATTCAGGGAGGTTAAAGTGGCTTGTTAAAGCTCACACCTTAGAAAACTAGAGGTGTAAAGTCAGAGATTCACAGCCTTGTGTTTCCGTTGTTCTTCAACTTGATTTTCGAAAGTATGGAAGAAAACTTCAACGATATCTAATGTAAACAGATGTTCTTATTTCTTTAGAAAAGAAGGGTTCACAAGAAGTTGGGTGTTAACAGCAGGACTGGAAATTTGGCTTGGTGTACCTAGAAATTAATCCTACCCTAACAAGCAAACCTAACATCTCTTCTTAGGCTTTTCACTTTTAAAACAACAATGATACGTGTAAGAAATGAATGCATGGCCGGGCACAGTGGCTTACGCCTGTAATCCCAGCACTTTGGGAGGCCGAGGAGGGCAGATCATAAGGTCAGGAGTCTGTCCAATATGGCGAAACGCCATCTCTACTAAAAATACAAAACTTAGCTGGGCATGGTGGCATGTGCCTGTAGTCCCAACTAGTCAGGAGGCTGAGGCAGGAGAATCACTTGAACCCGGGAGGCAGAGGTTGCAGTGAGCTGAGATTGCGCCACTGCACTCCAGCCTAGGTGACACAGCAAGAGTCCGTCCTAAAAACAAAAAAAGAAAGAAAAGCATTAGGTCATCCCTAGTTGTTGTTTGTTTGTTTGTTTAATTTGTGTTTTTTATCAAAGGAATGCATGTACCAAGTTTAATGTCAAGTAATGCTTAAAAAAAAAAAGCTTCCCCTCTTCCAAACTTCACTTCTGCTCTCCATAGGAAGCACTTCTACCTCTTTTAGATTTTCTGCTACTCACTGTAATATTGCTACATAGCATGGTTTACTGCTCTATTTTTGATTTATTTTATTTTAGAACATTATTTATTGAGAAGATTGTGAATAAAAATTTAGGTTGCCAACACCACACATACATGCACACGCTTTATCTACCTCTATATTTAAATATTAATTCATTAAGATAAATTTTTGAGACGTATCATATACTCAGCACTACCATAGGCAATTTGGGAATACAGTGGTGGCCATAATAGACCAAGTTCTTATCCTCATGAAGCTTATATTTTAATGAGAGAGACAGACAAAAACAAACAAACGTATACTATCAGACAGATAACAGCTAGGGTGAAAAAGGCAGGGTAAGGGGATACAGAATGGCAGACAGAAAGTGATGGTTTCGGTAGGATAATTTTTGTTTAAATCAAATTTCAATGTTTAAATTATTTTGACTGTAGATTTATTTTACACTGAGCCATATGCATGATGACTACATTTCTTGTACAATTTTTGTTTTCTTTGGAATTAATCCTTGCCTTGGCAAGAGAGTTGGGTGGGGCGTTGGTTTGCCTCTCTTTCTATTACTGAATCATCAGCAGAGTCTCTTCCAGGGTATAAAAACACTTCTCACAAGGACCCAGCAAGCAAGAAACCTACCAGTTCCACATGTTGCCTCCTGCTCGCCCAGATTGTCATTTTGCCGCTTTCCTCCATCATCATCTTGAGAAATCTTTTTGCCTCTCTCATGTGCCAGATCCCCTCTTTCTTTATCTCATCTTCCTCTCTTAGTTTAGTCCCTCCCTTTGATGGGACACATCTCCTCCAGCAGTTTCCTAAGAAAAGGTGCATGGGTGGCAATTTTATTCTGCATATTTTGCTTGAAAACATCTTTATTCTACCTTCACACTTGAGCGTTAATTTCTGTGGGTGAAGTATCTTAAATTGAAAAATATTCTTCTTTAGAATTTTGGAGACATTGCTCTGTTATCTTCTAGCTTCTAATGTTGCGCTTGAGAAGTCAAATGCCATTTTGAATTTTTAATCTTTTCCGTGCAGACTTTTTTTTTTTTTCTTCACTAAGACTTTTAAGATGGTTTCCTTATCACTGGTTCTGCAATGTTGGAACAGGGTGCCTGGATGTAAATACGTCATCACCAGGTCCTAGGTACTCAAAATCTGAAATTCAGGTCCAATTCTGCAACATTTCCCTTGTATGATGTTTCCCCTCTTCTGTTTTGTTTTGTTTTGTCTCTCTTTCTAGAATGCTTATTTGTCAGCCATTGGTTCTCCTGAGTTGATTCCTCAAATTCATTGTCTCTCTCTTTCTTCCTTCTTTGTTCTCTTTTTGGGAAATTTTCTCAACTTTATATTTCACCTTTTATATTGAATTTTCCCCATATTTTTAATTTTTTAGGAAAGTTGTAAGATTTGTATAGTAAACACGCTCTTACTTTTGAATTTTAAATGTTCCCTTATTAATTTTTAATTTTCAATATATTTTTATAGTTCTCTGGGTATTTCTACATATAGCATCCTGGTATTCCTTCATGGATGAAACATTTTCTCTTATCTCTGAGGAATTTTTTTCCAGCTTTCTTCTACTCTTTGTCTCTGCTTCTTCAAGGCTGCTTATGTTTTTCTCCTTGGTTTTCAACTCTTTAGTGTTAGGCACTTTCTTCAAAGGTCTGCTGATCCTTGGCTATTTGTTCACATTAACAGTAAAGAATGGCTGCAGAGATATAGTATTTTCCCATGCTTCTGGAAATCATCCAAAAATAACAAAAAGAACAGGAAATATTGAAAACAACAAATTTCAAAATATTGAAATTTTTTGTAAAATTAGGCAGCAGACTCCAAAATATTTTCAAAGGCAGCCAAAATAGCTGACTTTGCACTAAAACCTCCTAAAGATAAGTAGAAACAAGCAGAGGAGAAATTTCAGTGGAAAGCAAATCCACCAAAATAGGTCCTAAGAACTGGCCACAGAAAATATTATCTCCTGATGGTAAGCAGAACATGCTGAGGGGCCAAAACTATATTCCTTGATTTCCAGAGGGTCTGGAAGTTGGGATGAGCAAGATAAGAACAGGATCCTCCCTCCTCAGCCCTTTTTTTTTTTTTTTTTTTTTTTTTTTTGAGACGGAGTCTCGCTCTGTTGCCCAGGCCGAGTGCAGTGGCGCAATCTCGGCTCACTGCAAGCTCTGCCTCCCGGGTTCACGCCACTCTCCTGCCTCAGCCTCTCGAGTAGCTGGGACTACAGGCGCCCGCCACCGCGCCCGGCTAATTTTTTGTATTTTTATTAGAGATGGGGTTTCACCATGTTGGCCAAGATGTTCTCGATCTCCTGACCTCGTGATCTGCCCACCTCGGCCTCCCAAAGTGCTGGGATTACAGGCGTGAGCCACCACGCCCGGCCAGACCTCAGCCCATTTTTTAAAGAGAGGCAGGGGAGGCAGGACTATCTGAAGTGTCACAGAAAAATCCTATTTTGAAGGAATCAAACTATCTCGCTGATAACTGAGAATGTGAGAGCCTTTTGTTAGAAAAACCTACTAGCCTGGAAAGCTGC
Organism: Homo sapiens; assembly: GCF_000001405.40. Classification (NCBI taxonomy): domain Eukaryota; kingdom Metazoa; phylum Chordata; class Mammalia; order Primates; family Hominidae; genus Homo; species Homo sapiens. Next base: position 8,256,729 of record NC_000009.12, read on the forward strand.
AAAGCTGCCGTGGTTCTTCCACATTCCTGCAAATTACTGGTCTGGGAAAGCAAACTCATTCAAAGACAAATACATATGTATATACATCTCTCCAAACTAAATATGTATGTGTGTATATATATATACACACACACATATATATATAAACACACAGAGAAAATATTATATCAAAAAATTAGAAAAAGAAAAGCAAAATTTATTAACATTTAAAAATTCCCCCCAAAAAATGGTGCCATGGAGAAGCTGAGAATTCTAAACATCCTAACCCAGTTTGAGACAGTAATCTTGGCTTCATCTGCTTTTTGGAATCAAACTTTCCTACAGGTGAGCTGTCCCTAGGACTTGACCGGGAGCCAAAGAATTGGGCAAGGAATAGTAAGAAGCTCTTTTGGTCACAGATTTAAAGCTGTGATCTCCAATCAGCTTATCCAAACTGAAAACTGACATTCTGATGCCCACTTATCATTTTCGTATGCCTTATTTCTCAGTTAATTTGGATGCAGGAAAATAAAGTTGGCTATTTGTTGTATGTAACTAAATAAGAAAGCTTAATGTGTAATGTAATAATATTGGAGGGCTGCCCCAATAAGGAATAGTCTTTCTTGCTCCTTATGACATGAGTAAGACTGAACCCTGTTTAAGTCCTGCCACTGCTCTGGTCTGTATCCTGTTTGACAGAATGAGATGCTGAGACCCTAGCTGGCCCTTAGCTGCCCCCCTCCACCTTTGATATGCAATGTAATGGCTTAGAACAGGACACTGATGACAACCTCAGCCACCTCTGCTGAGACAGAATGGCCCAGTAGACTCTTCTGCTGTCAAAGGTAGGGGGTTGAGGAGACAGGGGCACTGTGTACTATTTCTTCTCTCTTTGTCCATTGGACCCAAATACATATGTTTGTTTCATTTTTAAAAGTCTAATGCTAAGACTGGTCAATCCCATTGATTCCTGCATGTGAGTATAGAAGGACTGAGATGAGAAGCGTTTACTACTACGTTCCCAGTATTGCCCAGTAGTATTCCTTAATGATCAGTCCTGGCACCAGTATTATAGGAGCAACAAGAAAAAGATTTTTGAAAATAACTTGATATTTACAGAAAAAAGTATTAATATCTTCTTTGTAGGAAAAGTAAGACATTTGTTTTATTTTGAAAGACTTATGAGTAGAATATCATACTCATTTTAGTGAGTATGGCCTGAAAAGATCACAATCAAAGTAGCCTATATTTCCCCTTGTCTGTAATTCCTCTAGCTAAACCAGGGAGCCAATTTTAACAGCTTGATAGTTCTGCTTCTGATAACAAATGGGGGAGGAAATGGCACTGTGATTTATATATTCCAGCCCTATGTAAGTGAATTAGTGTGAGTTAGCCTTCTTAAGTCAAGAAGCACTTTCTGAGTGGATGTCTGAAGGCAGACCCTACCTAGACAATTGGTGGTATCACCAAAGCAAAGGCTCCCGAAGACCCTCCAATCTTGATGCCTAGTTTCCACTCAAACAGGACCTCTTATTGTACAATGGCAGGGAGAACCATTTCATGATTCTCTGTGTAAAAGGGACTTTGAATACTTACCTTGTAACTGGTGCCCCGTGAAGTTACCACAAATGGGTGTTAACAGTTGTAATCCTTTTGTTTTAGGAAGGTGGAAGTGATAATTTAGGTCCTGAAAGATTTTGATTTTAGCTAAAAGAATACTGGGCTGTGTATGGGAGAACAGTTTTTAACAAACTGTGCAACCGTGATTAAATAACTTTTCTTGGCTGCAGTGATCGCCTTTACAGAATGAGAAAACTATTAGAGGATCATGAACTCTAGGAGTTAGCGCTAAGCTTTATATTCTTTACTATACATTTTACAGGTCATTGCTCATGATCCCACTATTTGTCATTTTATTAATTCCAGGGAGGAGCCTCTTCCTGGTTCCTGATGAGAAGCTTCTACCTTCTCTCTGCAGGGCTTCTACCATTTATGTGGTTCCATGGCAAAAAAACAAAAACAAAAAACAAAAAACAAAAACAAAAAAAACAGGCCTAGAGGTAGTTAGACCCTGGGGCTAAGGTAGGAACTGAGGCAAGGAGGTGTTCCGAGAACAGATGCCAGAGGACTAACACCAAACACCTCCTTGGGAAGGAAAGGGCTAATTCAATAATTAGTCAATGGAAGGCATGTGAGAGCATTGCAGAAAAACAATGATCAGTGTACTGGGAGAGAAATGGGAACTAGGCTAGGAGAGAGTACAGAAAGGAGCAGGAGAACACAGTTGGTACCAATGGAGAGGCTTGCAGCAGGCATTAGGCCTTCCCAGCACGCAGCCTGCTAACAGCTGCGTTCACTTAAAGGGGCAAGGATGGAGATGCTACATTGCATGGCTCTGTTTCCTTAGGACAGTCCCAGAGGGATAGGATATAAAGAAAATGTCCCAGAGGCTGGGAACAGACAGAACACCCAGACAAGCAGGCATGGGGGAAGCGCTGGCCCACATTCCTCCCAGCTCAGCTGGGTGCTCTGCCTTTTCACTGCCCTATGATCAGTGTGAGGAATGTTGACTGTCCTGTGACACTGTGCGGGAGAGAGGTCTCTACCTCCATGGGTCCCACCCTGATGCAGGCCTTTAAAACAGGGTCTGGCAGAATGCATATTCCCTCCATCCTTCTCATCCTCAATACTTTGGCTCAGTGGCCCCAAACCAAGTTTCTGCCCCTGGCTCCCCTTCTTCGAGTTACACCTCACCTGAACTGCCCACCTTGCTCCCACTGGCACAATCTCTCGGGTCAGCTCCTATCAGATCAAATGGATGTGTTTATTTTTATATGTATCATCTCTCCACCAACCAGATTAAAAATTCCTTGACTGCAGGAAAACTTGTCTTGTTTACCGTAGGATTTCTAGCACCCAGCACATATTAGGGAGAAAGCAATGATTTGTGGCATATGGAAAGGCATCAGCCTTCATGCTTTGTGACTCCCCTCTTCTTCCTTGCTCACCAGAATCCGAGACCCCCCAGTATCACTCCAGCTCCTCAGTTCCCTTTGCCTGGAAAAATGACCAGCATCTTTCCCATTTTTCTAGTGGAAACTTAGTTAAATAAAATTATTCCAGTATATTAAGGAACTTGCACACTGGAAGGGCATCTCATCATTTGGTTAACCTTCCACAGATAAAGGTATCGGCTTTGTCAGACCATTGACCTTGGGGGTCAGGTTACAAATCCTCTGGAAAAACCCCAAAGGGTAAGTAAGAAAGTTTTTACAACTTTACAGCTGGCTGGGCTCCATTTCCAGAGATCTTTAATTAATTGATTTGAGGAAAGGCCATAGTGTTTCCATTAGTTCCCTGGATTCTAATTAGAGCCATGGTTAAGACCCTCAAGACTTAGCAGACCTCGGTCTCTGCTGCGGTGTCTGAGCCACGGGGCAATGGAAGAAGCACAATGGGTCTCAGGTGAGTCTCCTCAGCCTTCACCATACACTCAGACCCCATGAGCGAGCACACGCCGGAGTAACCTCGGCGCAGCCAAGAAAAGGTACGGACTCTCTGAGATCCAAGATCCTTAACCTGAGGTGTGGCTTCAACTCCACTAAAACATATTCTGATCCAGCAATCTCTACAACTTCATCACAACCCTGAGGGGTGAAAATGGAGGCTTCGTCATTTTATTTGTTCAAATTTATTCTACTAAGTGATACAACTGGAACCACCAACCAGGTATGTCTGACCCTAAAGGCTGTGCTTAGTCTTTTATTAAAGACTGAGCTATATACAAGCTAAACCTTCCTAATATCTTTTTAGAAAACTAACTGGTAACCAATAGGATCTTCTGAGTCACAGCTGGGCCTTCAAGCATGCATGCCAGGGCCACTGCCTCTGAAACTCAAAGTCAAGTCAGATCTCTCACAAAGAAATCCACATACCTGGAATTTTCCTTGTGGGCCAGCTCTCCCTGTCTTCAAGCACGGCCCAGAAGGACCTGCCTTGTGATTAAGCCTGGAAGTGCTGGGCTTGAAGGGACTTGGCAACCATTTGTTTCCTTAATGCCCAGCTATAAGCAACAGAGTTTATAGTTGCAGATGAATTTTTTCTCTTATTGCAAATGGCTTTGATTTAATAATAACATTTTCCAAGCCATTGGCCCATAATGAGGATTATTGCCTGTGGGTATTTAATACAGGGGAAAAGAAATGGGCTCACTTCACTATGCAAATGGCTGCCACAAACCCTGCAGCAGGAGGGCTCATGTAACCTTTTTACTACAACACTGTCTGGGGCTGTGGAAAGATGCAGGCAGTTAACGTCTCTTTTCATTGAGCCAGAGTTCAACCAAGTCTCGATGGATAACTTTACTGGGAACTGGCTTTCAAAAGCCAAAGTCCACTTTATTCTGGTGCCCTATGCAGGGTCTGAAAAGAGTTGTTGAGTTTGCAAGCTAACTCAGAAGAGATGGAGCCAAGGCAAGGATGGGTGGTGAAGGGGGCTAGGATGGGCAGGGAGGTGGAGGGGGCTGTGCTGAATTTTGAAGATGAGGAAATGATAAAACAATGCCAGATGCAGAACTAGGGCTTTCTCTAATGTGATCTCACTTAATCCTTTTATCAGCTCTGTGTGGTAGATATGCCTATTTGATGAGGAAACTAATGCTTTTGAGATGCAGAGGAACTTTTCTCAGTGCAAAAATAAAAAGCAGAGCATGAATTCCAACGCAGGTTTGTCTGGCGTGGAAACCTATGATCTTACTGCTGTGCGGTGTGGCCTGTGTGCATCTGGCTGTCTGCTTATGGCAAGGCAGCCTCAGGCACTCATTGGAAGCTTTCTGCTGTTCTACATAAGCATCTCCTCTTTCTGAACCCTGAAGTTCTCAGCACTCAGGGCCAGTTGCTCAGCTGTCCTGTCTCATGCTCCTACTTGGAATGGGCTTCCTAGCAGGCCTATGTTCCCTAATAGGAGTTTGCTGGGGGTTTCTGTCACCTGAAGGTACTGACCGGTTAGGCGTTGTCTAATTCTGTGTGAGGAGAGGCAGCTCCCCACTGTACTGGACAGAATGGCAGAGAGGAGTTTGAGGAAATAAGACACATTTCTAAGTTTCTAAGGGAGAGCTGCCAGCTGGTTAAACCTGTCTCCGGTAACTAGCTTTCTCTGTGGAGGCAGTGGGGTGGTAGTAGTAATTAGGAGTAGAGAGGAGGGAGTTAGGAAGCAAGAAAGAGGAAATGGAAGGCTTGAGGCCTGGGGACACTTCCTCTTTATCTAGCCATCACTGAAGGGTCTCTGCCTCGGCCTCCAACTTCCACCCCTTGTGTGTTTACCGGTTCACATTTACTTTGTGGGCCAAGAAGTGTGTCAAGCATGTTATGTACATTAACTCACCTGCTCCTATGTTAATCCTGGGAGGCTGCCCTTATTATTATACCCAGTTTGCAGATGAGGACATTGAGATAGAGGCTGAGTCACTTGCCCCAGGTCATGCAGCTGATCAGTGGCAGAGTCAGGACCCTAGACAGGGGGCCTGACTCTCAGTCAAGCTATCCCCAGGCTCGCAGCACTGCCTGTTGTGATGGCTGGGTTTTCTGAGGCCAAGAAATCCTGCCAATATCCCCTCAGTGTTCTACCCAGACCACGTCCGCCTCCCTTCTCTGTCAGCGTCACGCACAGCATCTTTGTCTCAGATTGCTTTTGTCACTGGATCTCAGCATTCTGTAGAGTTCTAACCTATTTTGTGGTTCCTGAAGTGGTTTTGAAGCGATATTTAAAATGCAAAAAGAGAAATTCAAAAGCCCCCAAGTGCTGTCTTAAAAAAGATTACAAAAACATCTTCTGAGCTTGGTCACAAGAAACTGATGGTAGAGTCTGTGTAATCTGTTGACAACATGGTAGAGCTTTTATTTTTTAAAATTCTTCCCCTATGTTGTGATTCAATTTTATGAATGTTTTCAGATAGTGTCCTTTTTATTTATAGTGGTAATACCACCCTTCCAAGTGCAAAGTTTTTCCATCTGTCCAGTTATCTAATACCCTCCGGGGCCCTAACTGACTTTGAGCCCTAGCAGGAGTGCTGGCAAGGTGGTCCATGCTGAGGTTTGGAAAGGATATTTGTCCGGTGGCCAGAAGTGTAAGGAGCCAGAGGGAAAATGTCAAATATGTCCTGTGAGTGTTGAGGACTCATAGCCTAGTAGCCAAAGCAGTCATTGAGTCCAAGAGAGCAAAGGAAAGTGGTAGAAGAAGAAGGTATCTAGAACAGGAGATGAAGGCAAAGAAACTGCTAGATATTGGAACAGAACAGTATATGCAGAATGCAGGCAAGGAGACCCCACAGCCATTGCCCTGTGTGGAGCATAGAACGCTCTCTCATTTGTGCAAGTCACATGGTGTATGCATGTGTGCTTATGTGTGACTTAAGTCCAGCTTCAAACAACAAAAAATGTGACAAAGTCAAGCTGTTCAGAACTGTGTCAGCAACTGGATAGGGAATGCTGTCTGCTGCTCACAGCTGAACCAGGAAGAGGGCAGACTGTGGGCCAGAAGCAGCACCTCTTCTACAGCCATGCTGAGGAATTTTCCAGTTATCCCTCCCCAGGGTGTTTACTGCCCGGGAAGAATGAAGGTCTGACAAGTTACAGTTGCTGCAAAGCCCTTCCTAGGCAAGTTTGATCAGAAGAGTCAGGAAGTGTTCCTTTCACTTTGGAGGAAGGTTGAATAAAACTGCCCAGGAGGTGTCAGTATCTAAGGCTCACACGAACAAAGAGAGGGAGCCCGACTTTGCAATCAAATTGGGAAGGGGTTTGGCACACAATTACTCAAATGTCCCAAAGGCCAGAGAGGTCTGGAGAAACAAGGGATGCATGTCAAAATCTTACTTCTGACCTTCAAATCCCCTCCCAAATTTTATTATCTTCTATTTCTGAAGCTCCTTTTTATCTGTCACATAGTAGTATTACATTAAATTGTCTGTATTGCTGTATTACATTAAATTATCTGTATTGCTGGCCGATGATTGCAATTTGCCCTATTTTCTCTCAGTCTACCTCAGTGGCGTCTTCTTCATGCCCGTTAATCTTTTTTTATGTAAAAAAGATTTACATGTCAGCTGGGGCCCTTTCCCCCTAGATTTCTAGACCTCCTTGATTCCATCCCATTATGTAACAGAATCCAAAGTCCTCCCATGGGTGTCTAGTGAGTCCTGAGGGCAAGTGCCCCCACTGAAGAGCATTCATGGTAAAAATAATAATAATAATAATAAAATAAACATCTCTTCTTGCCAGGCCATAAAATAATTAGTTGGCTCTTAAAGGTGTGAGAAAATGTTTCAGATCTCTAACGTACAGACTTGATCAAAGGAGTTTTTCCAACAGCGTTTCTCTTATTTTTCACTCAAGAGAATATCAAGTAATAAGATATTTCCTATCCTGATTTGTCAAGCCTCTGCTAGGGAGGCTTCTGTCTTTGCTTTAGAAATTCAAACAGTGGAGGCTTATCTCTCCTGTATCAGGAGGGTGCAGTATTAACAGGAGCATGAAGAAGAGGCCATTGCGGTAGAATAAGAGAAAATACAGCAAATTGCAATCACTGGCCAGCAATACAGACAAAAAGGAGTTAGTCGACATCAAAGCCGACAGTGCAATATACAGTCAAAGCTTTAGACAAAATGGTCTGCTTCCAAGGTGAGCAGACTCCATTTTTTAAGAGTCAAGATGATTAACAGGAGTGACATCCAATTATAATCTTTCCTTGCTATCTGTGTCTCTGAAATGTTGACTTCATATTTTTTAACAGAAATATTACAAAATAATCAACACAAATAATACTCCAGGACAAAGGAAAAGATTTTTTAAAATAAACTCATGGAATATCTTGTGTTTTTCTTCTTTTCCTTTGTTGTAAGCTACATAAGTTACTGTACTGTTCTAAGCTTCAAAAACACTAGCAATGATTTATGAAGTCCGTCATATTTTTTCAGATTAAGAAAGGGTTTTTATATAGCTGAGGTTCATGGCTATGGACTTTGAGGCAAGGTTTCTTCAGGCCCTTGGCTTCTCTGTCTTTGGTTTTGGTATCTGTCCATGTTATCTCTAATTCTTTCATTTTCAACCTGGGGTAAGAAATGTAGATCATTCATAAATTTCCATAAGAAATTTTTTCACATAACAGGAAACATAATCTTCCACCACCTGCTAACTCCCTTCATCTCTTTTTCTCTATATGAATTGCTGTCTTGGAATTCTTATTTTTTTCCTCTCTATTCAGTTATTGGAGGTTTGCCTTGTTCCTGCACCAAGCTTTAGTACCCACTCCCTCAAGACCCACAGAAGCAGCAAGAGTCCTGTCCTTAATGTAACCCTTCTCCTAGAGGGCAGTCAAGATTATAACAGCAACATTTGTGTATTGCAGTAAGTTTGCTCCTGCATCTTTCAACTTCTTGCTCTTTTATTTCTGCTTTAAATGCAAGTCCTCTTATTGATCTTCAAGACCTAGAACCTGCCAGGATGGAGAACTGCACACCATCTTGGGTCTTTAATTGAAAAGTCATAGCAAGGGTGAGATTACCTGGAATAGGAATCTGCCAGAGGGATTTAGTTGCTATGCCAGCAAGCTATACTGTGTCATTTTTGTCATGCTGTTACTGCATCCTGGGTAGACCGAAAAGCCTCTCAGTTGTCTTTGGAGCTAAACTTTTCTTAATTGAGGGGAAAAAAAGGTTTCTCAATGCTTATCTGACACAGCTGGATGCAAGAGGGTGCTAATGGACCAGCAACTGCCTCAAATACATTTTAATTAAGTGATTTCCAAGAAGCCATGTGCAACTGAGATAAGACTATGAAAGAAGTCCAGAAGCTGGAAGGAGGTTAGAGAGACAACAAAAAAGGGTCAATGTGTAGGTCTTATGGGGAGTAATGAAGTCAGGCCTTGAAGGGCCGGTGTCTTTCAAAAAATTCTACCCAGGGCTTGCTTTTTCTTTTCTATCCTACAGGCTTGGTAGAAGTGAAAATTGCTACTCATTTATGCAAGCAGTAGAGAGTAGCTGCGTGCTATGAACCAGGATAATTCATTTATTACAAACCAACATATATTGAGCTATTCTATGGACAAGTCCTATGTTGGACACTGTTACATGTGCAAGGATGAGTAAGCCCACCCCTAACCTGTAGGAGCTTCCAGTCCAGCAGATAGACAGATGACCAACTAACTATAGTACAAGACATAAATTGAAGTAGATAGGAAAATAGATACAGTAATACAGAGCAGGGAATAACCAAATATTTCATTATTACCAAGAAAATCAGGGAAACTTAAAAGAAGTGATTTTTTTTTCAATTCAGCTTTAAGGAGTAAATACATTTCAAAATGCTCAGAGGGGTGAGAAGGTAATTCAAGAGAGAGCTGTAAAAGTATGAAAGAAAATACCTTTTGGGGGAGGGCTAAGGCGTTAAATATACAGAAACACAGGTTGTGCAGAAGGACCCTAGGAGATAAATTTGAAAAGATATTTTGGAACTTGATGAAGGTCTTAGGAGTTTAGACTTTTTCCTCTGAGCAATGGAAGAGCCATCCAAGGTGTTAAGGCTGAACTTGATAAGAACTGTATTACAATAAATCACACTGGTAGCAGCATGGATGGAATGGGATTGTATCAGAGGCAGAGAGGCTAGCATAGTGTAGAGGCTCTCATTCTGCAAGTAAAAAATAAATCATCTAAGAATTAATGAGGATCTGAGCTGAAATTGTGATTGTGGGGATGAAGAGGAAGAGAGCAATTGAAAGTATATTTTTGGAATAAATTGGCAGGGCTCAGGAATGTGGTAGAATGAAGAAGATAAGAGAATTCTTGCACTCTCTGGAAAAGCTTTCAGCACAAGGAGAATGGAGTTTAGCTTTCCCTATACTGGATGACCCTCAGTAATAATTAAGGTATTTGAATGTTCTGTCCTTAACACCTGAGCTTGATAAAGAACCTACTTTCAGTTCTTTGATCTGTGTGTAACCCAGCAATGCCTCTCATCCCTAGTGTTCAACCGAGTTTATAGTCTTTGCCAGAGAAAAGAAAGCATCATTAGAGAAACAGGCCACCAGTTTCTTCTCCTGACACTTGGATACTTCACAATGTGAGTTAAATGATTACTTACATGCAGTGATTTTACGTGGTACAAAATTAATTTTACATAGCTCACATAAAAATGGGTGGTGGGCATACAGAATAGGGAAAGCAGAGATGGGAAGGCGGAGGGGAACATGCTCTCTTGTTTAATGGATAGTTCTGGTAGGCAGAGGAAGTATCCAATTTGGACCATCAGCCAAGCCTAAAATATCCTCCTGCCCAGCACCTGGCCTCTTTGGCTCTTTTCAACTGTTTTTGGAAATTTTGGAAACATAATTTGGCTGGTATGTTTGTTGTAGAGCTCTGCCTAGGGTCAGGTCCCAGCCATCATCACTGGCTGAAACAGAATGTGAAAGGATAATACCCACAGTGAAAAATATCATCAGGGACTTTCATGACAGGTTTTAGCTTTTTTTTTTTCTTTGAGAATAAGTAAAAGCAAGAAATAATAACTTTATGGACTCAGCCCACACAGCACATAATCAGCTAGAGAAAGGCCATCCTTGGAAATGCATAGATGTTATTTAATTTTTGTGTTTAATTTAGAGGGATCTCAAGGAAAACGAAGGTATGTCAGGATGGAGAACAGCACACCATCTTGGGTCTTTGATTGAAAAGTCATAGCAAGGGTGAGATTACCTGGAGTAGGAATCTGCTAAGGAGGACATTCTATCAAAGGATCAGTTTACCTGAAAAATCTCCTTACTGATTAAAATTCTTCTTATTCCCTACTTTCTATGTCCTTCTCTAAGCATCACATCTCTAGATGAGTGCCATTTTTCAAATTCAGTGTGCATAAGTGTCATCTGCAGAACTCAATATAAACCTCAAAGATTCTGACTCAGTTGATGTAGAGTTGGGTCCAGGAACTTGAATTTTTAACAAGCACACTAAGTGAATCTGCTCCTTCTTTGCAGTTCCTTGCCCTCTATTTGGAAGCTCATGGTGTTTACATTATAAATTCCTCTTTTCTGGCATCTGACTTTCCCTGTGATGGAGAACAGGGAGTCTGAATAGGAAAGCACAGCCTGCCATGAGTACATTTTCAGGCTCGTTAAGTCTCATATTCATTTGCCGCAAGGAATGAGAAAAGAAGAGAGAGCAACTAAAGACTGCATGTTTCAAACATGGGTGATCATCATTTCTCCTGGGGTAACAGGCTCCCCTTGGAGAAAGAAATTACAAATTACTAATAGATCATATGGCAGAAAATTGCAAATTCCAAGCAAAATAAATATATTCTTCCATTTCTAGAGTTTTAAATTGGCTATAAGGTAGGAGGGTGCAGTATTAATAGGCAGCTATCAAATAGAACAGTGGTGTTAAATTACATAATCAATTTAATGTTCTGGGTCAGTTGACAAAGAAATCTGTTCTCTCACTGCCACTAATTTAGAGCTTTCAATATCCCATTCACAAGTCTTTTTAAAAAACTTTTGGGAAAGATTTTGGTATATCAAATTCTTCCATAAACATCTGTAACAGCTGTGTCAGGGATCCCAGACTAGCTGACCTTTCTCCTTTTGCAGTCTGAGGGTGGAAATGAGAACATAATCGCCCATGATGAGCTGGCTGAGCAAAGTTGGGCCAAGCCATCAAATGCAGCTGTTGACTTCCCACAGGATTGATCTCTCTTGCCTCACAGTTCACTTCAGGAGGAAGGTGTGTAGAATATGAGGCCACATGTCCTGTGTGAGTGTGCATGTGTGTGTGAATACAAGCACACATGTTCATATCCACATGCATCCAGGGTGAGGGGGATGACAGGGATACAGAAATTTAAAGTACACATTATTTAACTTTGGAGCTAAAGTTTTTTTTATTGGAAAGCCTTCTGGCTCTTTTGCTCTAGACAGTGGTGAAAATGTGAAGTTCCTTCTCAAGTAGCTCTAGCAAGTAAGCTTTATCTCACGTGCCAACTGATTGGTAAGTGGTTCTCTGAAGCCCTGTTTTGAGAAGGATTCTGAGAAGGAATCAGGCTTAGCCAGAAGGATTGATTGTTGGTGCATCCTATTATTCCAGAGTGGAACATGGAGGTGTACATTGCAACCTTGGGGAAGGTTGTACCTACATGCTTCAAGCAAATGCCATCATTTAAAGAGTAGGACTGGATAAGCACAAGTCTTTAGGACATAGTGTTCATTCTGGTGCCCATGCTCAAAATAGCTAGATGTTACTCAGCACATCCATTATTCAACTATTTATTTAGTGTATATTAACTACCAGGCACTGTGCTATCCCCTGGAACTACAGAGGAAAACAGGAGAGCCAAAACTGAGAGCTGAGCCACAGCCAAAAGCTGAGTAAGCCAACAACCAGTGAGGTCACATCAGGTCTCTGATGGGTTTAATGTAGTAAAATCCACCCCCTGAGTAAGCATATAGACAGAAAAATCATTGATTATTAAATACATCTTTGTTTAATGAAAGTCTGCATGTATGTTTGTTAATATACACGAATGAATTAAAATACCTGCAATGGAATCAAAAGTGGGCATGGCTGTGATGTCCTCAGATATCCTGTCCAGTTTGGGCTCAGGTCCAATAATGTGAACTAAAAAGATCTTAACCATTGCAATTCATCATTCTGAAAGGCTTAGGGGCAGAAAATTCCATTTGCTGCTTTGATCATATTTTCAATTCCAAAAGTTTCCCAAGTGAAACAAGGCATAGTTGGTTCAACAAGGAGAATGGTATAATGATATTGCAGTTAGCAGTTAGGTTTAGGAGAAAAAAAAAATCAAAAGTTTTTGTAAGGTTAAAGACTTTTGGGGAAAAATTCACTCCTACAATATGCTTGTTTGTTCAGTATCTAATTCTTCACAGTCCTGTTGGCAGGGCATCAAAGGAGTGGCCCTATGGTCTTCTCAGGCATTCTGATGGTGCAGGCAATATTGATTACTTTTCTATTTGAAAGATAGGGAAAATGTGAAAACCAAGACCACTTCCTTCTGCTCTTCACCATAAATTGGTATATACACAGACAGCAGTCATTAATTGGCTGAATCTGACAGATTTAATAATTTAATTCTGCTGCAAAAACAATTATTCAACTTTTTTCTGATTTGTTTTTTCTTTTAGTTTCCTCCTGCTTTATATTATATATACTTCAGCTCTTCTCTGCTAACACATATTTAAAAGACTATTTTATTTTGGAGGCTTAAGTGCATAACAATGGTCCCCCAGTCACATGCTTAGTTGCCATAGAAATAGCTTCTGTGTGTTGACTATCTCCATACATCAGGTACTATGGTAGGCAGGTTAGAAGAAAAGTTGTTCGCAACTTCATCAGAAACTTTTTGCATAATTTAATTCACAGTGTTCTCTGGGAGGAAAATTTTATTCCCAATAAAATGTTTAAGGAATTTTCTCATGTGCTTTAAGGGTAATCAGTTGTCTACCCAGTTGACTGTCAGCTGCCCATCAGTTAAGACTCTAGTGACTTTTTTTGAAAGATGTTATTTTTCAGAACAGTTTTAGGTTCACAGCAAAACTGAGGGAAAGATACAGAGATTTCCCATATACTCCCTGACCCTACACATGCACAGCCTCCCCCATTATCAATATCTCTGACCAGAGTGGTATGTTTGTCATAGTTGACAAAGGTACATTGACACATTATTACCCAAAGTCCATGTTTACATTAGTGTTCACTCCTGGTGTTGTACATTCTGTGGGTTGGACAAATGCATAATGACATGTATTTACCTTTGTAGTATCACACAGAATTGTTTCAGTGCCCTAAAAGTCTTCTGTGCCTGCCAAGCCATCTTTCCCTCTCCCTTAGCCCAACCATTACTAACTGTCTTCATATTTTTGCCTTTTCCAGAATTTCGTATAGTTGGAATCATACAGTATGTAGCCTTTTTAGATTGGCTTCTTTAACTTAGTAATATGTGTTTATAGGTTCTCTATGTCTTCTCATGGTTTGATAGCTCATTTCTTTTTAGCACTAAATAATATTCTATTGTCTGGATGTACCACCATCTATTCACCTACTGGGAGACATCTTAGTTGCGTCCATGTTTTGGCAATTATGATTAAAGCTGCTGTAAATATCTGTGTACAGGTTTTCCTGTAGACATATGTTTTCAACTCCTTGGAGTAAATACCAGGAAATGTGATTACTTGATCTTATGGTAAGAGTATATTTAGTTTTGTAAGAAACCATTAAACTGTCCTCTAAAGTGTCAGTATCATTTTGGATTCCTACCAGCAATGAATGAGAGTTCCTGTTGTTCTACATGCATGCTCACCATCATTTGGTGTTTTCAGTGTTCTGCACTTCGGTCATTCTAATAGGTGTGTAGCAGCATCTCATTGTTTTTATTTGCCCTGGTGACATATAATGAAAAGCATATTTTCATATACTTATTTGCCATCTTTTATATTCTTTGGTGAGCTGTATGTTAAGGTCTTTGGCTAATTTTTATTATCCGTTGTTTGTTTTATTCTGTTTTACTGTTGATTTTTGAAGGTTCTTTGTACATTTTGGTTAATGGTCTTTTATAGAATGTTTTTTGAAAATATTTTCCCCCAGTCTGCGCCTTTAAAAAGAAATTATCTTGACAATGTCTTTCACAGAGTAGAAAATTTTAATAAAGTCCAGTTTATCAATTTTTTCTTTCACAGTCCATACCTTTGGAGTCTTATCTACAAAGTCATTGCCAAACCTAAGGTCATCTAGATTTTCTCCTAGGTTTTCTTCTTGGAATTTTACAGTTTTTTATCATTTACATTCTGGTCTATGATTCATTTTTAGTTAATTTTTGTGAAGGGTGTAAGATCTGTATCTAAATGGATTTTTTTAATGTTGTTTTTATTTGCACGTAAATACCCAATTGTTCCAGCACCATTTGGTGAAGAGACTGTATTTTCTTCACTGTATTACCTTTATTCCTTTGCCAAAGATCAGTTGACTACATTTATATGGGTCTGTTGCTGAGCTCTCTATTCTGTTCCATCAATCTATTTGTCTATTCTTATACCAATACCATACCATCTTGATTATTATGGGTTTATAGTAAGCTTTGAAGTCTACTTGTGTCACTTTTCCAACTTTGTTCTTCTCCTTTAGTATTGTGTTGGCTATTCTTGAACTTTTGCTTCTACAAATAAACTTTGGAATCAGTGTGTCAATATTCACAAAATAACTTTCTGGGATTTTAATTGGGATTGCATTGAGTCTACAGATCAAGTTGGGAAGAACCGACATCTTAAAAATATTGAGTCTTCTGGCCGGGCGAGGTGGCTCACGCCTGTAATCCTAGCACTTTGGGAGGCCGAGGTGGGTGGATCACGAGATCAAGAGATCGAGACCATCCTGGCCAACATGGTGAAACCCTGTCTCTACTAAAAATACAAAAATTAGCCGGGCGTGGTGGTGTGTGCCTGTAGTCCCAGCTACTCGGGAGGCTGAGGCAGGAGAATTGCTTGAACCCAGGAGGCAGAGGTTGCAGTGAGCTGAGATCTTGCCACTGCACTCCAGCCTGGCGACAGAGTGAGACTCCATCTCAAAAAACAAAAAACAAAACAACAACAACAACAACAAAAATTGAGTCTTCTTATCCATGAACATGGGACATATCTCCATTTATTCTTAAATTTCTTTCATCAGAGTTTTGTAGTTTTCCTCATATAGACCTTGTGCATATTTTATTAGACTTATATGAGAGGACTTCAAATTTTTGGTTGCTAATGTAAATAGTATAGTG
This sequence comes from Homo sapiens, assembly GCF_000001405.40. Taxonomy (NCBI): domain Eukaryota; kingdom Metazoa; phylum Chordata; class Mammalia; order Primates; family Hominidae; genus Homo; species Homo sapiens. The sequence continues at coordinate 8,272,526 of NC_000009.12, forward strand.
CTTTAAATTTCAAATTCCTCTTGTTCATTGCTGTTATATTGGAAAGCAATTGACTTTTGTATATTAACCTTGAATATTCTACAAGATTGTTATAACTGCTTATTAGTTCTAGGAGTTTTCTTGTTAATTTTTTTAGATTTTCTACATATACAGTTATGTCGTCTGTAAATAAATAATCTTAATTTTTTTCTTCCCAGTTGGTATCTCATTTATTTCATTTCTTATTGCATTAGCTTAGATTACCAGTACTATATTGAAAAGCAGTGAGAAGAAATATTCTTGCCTTTTCCCTGATCTTACTGGGAAAGTTTCAAGTTTTTCACTAATAGTGAAAATGTTAGTGTATAGCATGATGTTAGCTGTGGGTTTTTTGTAGATATTCTTTATCAGGTTGAGGAAGTTGGCCTTTATTCCTGTTTACTGAGAGTTTTTACTATGAAGAGGTGTTTGGTTTTGTTAAATGCTTTTTCTACATCTATTGATACAATCATGTGGTATTTCCTCTTTAACATGTTGATGTAAGTTACATTAATTTATTTTCAAATGCTGAGCCAGGTTTGCATACTGGGATAAATTCCACTTGGCTGTGGTATATAATTCTCCTTATACATTGTTCGATTTGATTTGCTAATATTTCATTGAGGGTGTTTGCACCTGTCTCATGAGAGATATTGGTGTATAGTTTTCTTTCCTTGTGATGGCATTGTCTGCCATTGCAATAATTTCTTTTTAAAGGCACAGACTAGGGGAAAATATTTTCAAAAAACTTATTCTATAAAATACCATTAACCAAAATATACAAAGAACATTCAAAACCCACTTCTGGGCCTGGTGCTTTCTGTTTTGGAAGGTATTGATTATTGATTCAATTTTTAAAATATAGGCCTATTTCTTCCTGTGTGAGTTTTGACAGATTGTGTCTTTAAAGAAATCAGTCTATTTCCTGTAGTTTCAAATGTGTGGGTGTAGAGTTATTCATAGTATTCTTTTATTATCCTTTTAATATTTATGGGGTCTCTAGTGAAGTCCCCTCTTTAATTTCTGATATTAGTATTTTGTGTCTTCTCCAATTTTTTTCTTAGCCTGGCTACAGGCCTATCAGTATTATTAATCTTTTCCAAGAACCAGCTTTTGTTTTCATTCATTTTCCCTATTGACTTCCTGTCTTCAATTTCATTGATTTCCGCTCTAATTTTTATTATTTATCTTCTTCTACTTGCTTTAGGTTTAGTTTACTTTTCTTTTCCTAGTTTTCTAACATGGAAGCTTAGATGATTGATTTTAGATCTTTTTTCTTTTATGATATATGCATTCAACGCTGTAAATTTCTAAGCACTGATTTTGCTGCTTTCCACAAATTTTGACAAGTTTTTAAATTTCATTTAGACCAAAATACTTTTTAATTTTTCTTGAGATTTTGTATTTTGCTCGTGTGTTATTTAGAACTGTGCTGTTTAATCTCTAAGCATTTTGGGATTTTCCAGCTGTCTTTCTGTTACTGATTTCTAGTTTAATCTTATTGTAGTCTAAGAGTAGATGCTGTGTAATTTATAATATTTCAAATTTGTTAAGGTGTGTTTATGGCCCAAAATGTGCTCTATCTTGTTGAATATTTTGTGTGAGCTTGAGAAGAATGTGTATTTTGCTGTTGTTGGATAAAGTAGTGTATAGATGTTCATTATATCCAGTTGGTTGATGTTGTTAAATTCAACTATATTCTTACTGATTTTCTGCCCACTGGATTTGTCCATTCCTGATAAAAGAGTGCTGAAGTCTCTAACTATAATAGTGGTTTCACGTATTTTTCTTTGCAGCTATATCAATTTTGCCTCACATATTTTGACACTCTGTTGTTAAAGCCTAATGACTGTTAACAAAATATTTTTGTCTCTTTACATCTTGCTTAACAGTGAGTGTGTAACTATTCCCTTGTCGTATAACATGTTACTACTACAAGACAATATTCAAATTGTCCCAAGAGGAATATTTTTCCCCTTGTGTGCAAATATGTAGTAGAAATGTGCTCTTAATTGACTGAATACTTTAGCTAGAGAGACTTTATACACATTGTCTCTTGTCTTCTTAACGTCCTATTGATTATGTTATCTCATTTACTTACGGGAAAAGTAAGGTCTGGGAAGTTTGCTCAGAAAAACATAGCTAATAAGTAGATGAATTCGGTTGAATTCAAAACCCTATTTATGTGATTCTAAAATATTTTCCAAAATGCATCTCCATCTCTTTTGGTGGGTTGATGGTTTGTGTATTAGTCTGGTCTCACACTGATGATACAGACATATCTAAGACTAGGCAATTTACAAAATAAAGAGGTTTATTGGATTTACAGTTCCATGTGGCTTTGGAGGCCTCACAATCGTGGCGGAAGGTGAAAGCCATGTCTCATGTGGCGGTGGACAAGAGAGCTTGTGCACGGAAATTCTCTTATTTAAAACCATAAATCTCATTAGACTAATCCGCTATCAAGAGAACAGCACAGGAAAGACTTGCCCCCATGATTCAGTTACCTCCCATTGGGTCCCTCCCACAACACATGAGAATTCAAGATGAGATTTGGGTGGAGACACAGCCAAACCGTATCATTCAGCCCCTGACTCCCCCCAAATCTCATGTTCTCACATTTCAAAACAAATCATGCCTTCCCAACAGTACCCCAAAGTCATAACTCATTTCAGTGTTAACTCAAAAGTCCACAGTCCAAAGTCTAATCTGAGAAAAGCAAGTTCCTTCCACCTATGAGCCTGTAAAATCAAAAGCAAGTTAGTTATTTCCTAGATACAATGGGATTACAGGCATTGGGAAAATACAGCCCTTCCAAATGGGAGAAATTGGCTGAAACAAAGGGGCTACAGGCCCCATGCAAGTCTGAAATCCAGCGGGGCTGTCAAATTTTAAAGCTCCAAAATGAACCCCTTTGACTCCATGTCTCACATTCAGGTAGTGCTGATGCAAAAGGTGGGTCTCCATGGTCTTGGGCAGCTCCACCCCTGAGGCTTTGCAGTGTACAGCCTCCCTCCCAGCTGCTTTCACAGCCTGATATTGAGAGTCTGTAGCTTTCCAGGCAGACGGAGCGAGATATTGGTGGATCTACATTCTGGTGTCTGGAGGATGGTGGCCCTCTTCTCATGGCTCCACTAGATGGTGCCCCAGTAGGGACACTGTGTGAGGGCTCCAACCCCACATTTCCCTTCCACACCACCCTACCAGAGGTTTTCCATGAGGACCCTGCCCCTGTAGCAAACTTCTTCCTGGGGGCTTTCAGGTGTTTCCATACAGCCTCTGAAATCTAGGCAGAGGTTTTCAAACTCCAATCCTTGACTGCTGTGCACTCATAGGCTCAATGCCACATGGAAGATGCCAAGGAGTGGGGCTTCCACCCTCTGAAGCAAAAGCCTGAACTCTACCTTGGCTCCTTTCAGCCTGGCTGGAGTGGCTAGGATGCAGGGCACCAAGTCCCTAGGCTGTGCACAGCATGGGGATCCTGGGCCTGGCCCACAAAACCATTTTTTCCTCTTAGACCTCTGGGCCCTGTGATGGGAGGGGCTGCCATGAAGACTTCTGAGATGCCCTGGAGACATTTTCCCCATTGTCTTGGGGATTAACTTTCAGCTCCTTGTTACTTATGCAAATTTCTGCAGCCAGCTTGAATTTCTTCTCAGAAAATGGGATTTTCTTTTCTAATGCATTGTTAGGCTGCAGTTTCTAAACTTTTCTGCTCTGCTTCCCTTATAAAACTGAATGCCTTTAACAGCACCCAAGTCACCTCTTGAATGCTTTGCTGCTTAGAAATTTCTTTGGCCAGATACCCTAAATCATCTCTCTCAAGTTCAAAGTTCCACAGATCTCTAGGGCAGAGGCAAAATGCCGCCAGTCTCTTTGCTAAAACATAACAAGAGTCACCTTTGCTCCAGTTCCCAGCAAGTTCTTCATTTCCATCTGAGACCACCTCAGCCTGGACCTTATTGTTCATATTATTATCAGCATTTTTGTCAAAGTCATTCAACAAGTCTCTAGGAAGTTTCAAACTTTCCCACGTTTTTCTGTCTTTTTCTGAGCCCTCCAAACTCTTTCAACTTCTGCCTGTTACCCAGTTCCAAAGTCACTTACACATTTCTAGGTATCTTTTCAGCAGTGCCCCACTCCCAGTACTAATTTACTGTGTTAGTCTGTTCTCACGCTGCTGATAAAGAAATACCTGACTGGACAATTTACAAAAGAAAGAGTTTTATTGGACTTACAGTTCCACATGGCTGGGGAGGCCTCACAATCATGGCAGAAGGTGAAAGGCACATCTCACATGGCAGCAGACAAGAGAAGAGAGCTTGTGCAGGGAAAGTTCACTTTTTAAAACAATGAGATCTCATGAGGCTTATTCACTAACACAAGAACAGCATGGGAAAGACCTATTCAATTACCTCCTACCGGGTCCCTCCCACAACACGTGAGAATTCAAGCTGAGATTTGGGTGGGGACACAGCCAAACCATATCAGGTTGTTTATTCTAATTTCCTTGGGCATTTTGTGCTTTTCAGATGTGCAAAGGCCTGCTTCAGTTTCTATAGTAAGTAGGCCTAAATGGTACCATCCATTTCACATGGCAACATGCATCAGTATTTCTGATGTCTGTGTTCTGGGAGGCCACACACAGGTGCTTACCCTAAAACATAGAGTCTCTTCCTCTCTTTGTATGAGGAACACTTATAGCTACAGTCTATTGAGTAAGGTACTCTATCTAGATTATGTCCTTGAACCCTATTACAGAAGATAATAATGTCTACTATATTGTAAAGTAGATATTATTTCCCCTTTTATACAGTGGAGGAAATTGAATTTCAGAGAATTAGATTAATGTGCCCATGCATACAAAGCTGCTAAAAGCTGAGCCATATGCTTTTCTTCAGTGTATGAATGAAGAAAAGAAATTTTAGTGTTTTTCCCTTTTTTCCCGTTTAACAGCACCTTTACCATTCTGCCTTCTGAAGTTACCACAATGATGCCATTTCTTCAGCAGGTGAAAGCCTTCTTTGTTTTTGTTTTGTATTGTTTTAATTGTTTTGGATTCATTCAGGTTTGTTGCATGAGTATATTATACAGTCTTGGTGTTTGGGCTTCTGTGGAACCCATCACCCAAATAGAAAACATAGTACCCAATAAGTAGTTTTTCAACCCCTTCTCCTCTTCTACCCCATCCCCTTCTAGAGTCCCCAGTATCTATGGTTTCCATTTTTATGTCCATGTGTACCTGGATTAATTCATGTTTATAATTTTCCAAGAGAGAATGTGGCTGTCCTTTGAACCACACCTCTTTCATTCCATCTATTTTCTGTCTCTTGGAATACAGCATAACCATTTCTGAAAAGTTCTCCCTCACTTTCCAGGAGAAAGGGGGGACATATTTCAAGAGTTTCAATACCTATTAGAGGAATAACAGCGATTATTAATCAGGTGGCTGCAAAGCTCTGTACAAGATCATTTTTGGTCCATCAAGTTGTCTCTCATGGCTTCGTATGAACATGGTACAGGTGATAGGGTTTGGGGGTGGATTCCTGATGGAAAGGGGAACCCCGGCTCAAGGCTGAAAAATGGACAGGCAGCCTGATGGGAAGGCTGACTGATCAAACAGTTCCACTGAGCCCCAGGCTGGGGAGTCTCCTAGTTATGATGCATACTCTGTGCTGTACTTCTGCTTGAATTTGAATGACAGCCTTGGGCAAGCTTCCAAATCTGTTTCCTCACCAATAAAATGAGGGTCATAATAGCACTTCCCTTATAGAATTGTTAGAAGACGTAAATGAGATAAAGCCTCTAAAGCCCTTAACCCAGTGTCAAACACCAAATAAATGCTCAGCAGCAAACAGAGTGATCCTATGCCCTGTGTATGTCCAGTGCTATTGTGGTTTATGCCTATTGTGGCATACTTTTTCACTGTCAGAGCATCATGGGTTAGGCAATAAATTATATGGTCGTCCAACTGTCAAATGCTATTTATTATATTATATTTGACTGTAAAATATCATCCATTTTCAATGTAAGAAACCCAAAGATTGGTGAGAGGATGAAGCTAGAACAACTGTGGTTAGCTGGATGCTGGCCAGGTCAGAGAAAGTTTCTGTGAACAGTCGTTACGAGCGGCAAAGATGGTCAGTAAATATTCTGTGTTCTGAAGTGTTCTCTCTCTTCCTTGCTTCTGAAGTGAATCTGAAGGACTCCAATCAGTGGACATAAGAAACAGTGACAGAGGCTAAAGGCAGAAGAGGAAAAGAGTAATACATGTCTACCTGTTCTCTTGCCTCCTTGCCAACAAAGAACGAAGTCTGATTAAGGGGAAAGCTAGGGGAGTTCCCTCAACTTCCTAAATGATGCTCACTCCCTGTCTGCCCCTGTTATTTCCCTCTCTTTTTTATTAAATCTCATGTCCACAGTAAATAATAGTAAATTTTATAATCCTGGTTCTCATTTTGTTATCTAACCAGTTAACCTATTGACTTTTTGACTTTTAGTTCATTCTAACCTTATTCACTCTTGTTTTATCTGTCTGCCTAGGACAAAAGTGATCATTTTCCATGAAGTGTAACTACTTTTAAGAATTAGACCACCTTGTTCTTCAAATATTTGGAGGACCTCTTACTAAGACCCTAGCAAGGGGAACTCTCTGCTCCTGAGGGCTCTGCTGTATTGCTGAATAATCCACTGGGCCATCCTAGAATATACTCTATTCTAGGAGATGATTCCAAAGTGAAGCTGTGGTGCTGCCCCTCTCATAACCCCTACACCCTCAGCACTGCTGCCCCTGCCCACATTGCTCTTCCCTGCCTAGGAATGGGATTCAAGATGTATCCTCACACTCCCTTGGCAGTAGCCTGAATCCAGCATAGGATACTTCATTGAGAAAGCTGGGCAACCCCTTGTCCCAGAACTGATCGAGTGGTGCCATTCTGCTCAAAAAATGAAGGGGATGCCAGGCCACAAGGGGCAGAGGCTCAAGAAGTCTTTTTTTTTTTCAGCCTACACAGTGGTTCAGAATTCAGACCACATGAGCTCAAAGCCCGACTCTACTACTTGCTATTTGTAAGACATTTAGAAGGGTATTTAAATTCTCTATGCCTTCACTTTCTCATCTATAAATTGATGATAATAATCACATTTACTGATTTTTTTAAAAGATTATAGGTGACAATGTATGTAAAGTACTCAGGACAGCACATAATGTTCAAAATATTACTATCACCGTCATGATTTTTAAGTTGGAGTTAGACTTCTTTGGAGTATAATCCACATACCTTTAATGGTTTCATTACATGACTGATGTGTTATATGTATATTATATGTATATATGTAATTGTGAATATAGATACCGCAAATATGTGTAATTTTTTAGTCATTTAGCTAGGTCCTATTCTGCCCCAGATTTTGAGCAAGTCATTGAATTTTGTTTTTTCTTTCCCTGTCTTTGCTTATTAATATATATGTACAACCCTTAGAACAACTCTATGATACAGAAATTATCATTCTCTTTTTTTTTTTAATAAGTGGCGGAAGGATGTTTAGGGGAGCTAAGTAACTTGTCCAAGGTTACATAGCCGATACATAGCAAGATTTCAACTGAGGTAGTCTCTCTCCAGAGATTGTACTATTAATAAGACCATCAGATTCTTCAGAAGAGGTTTCAACTATATACTAATATGGATAAAAGAATAGTAATTTCTTACATCCTTACAAACAGCTTTCCTTTTTTCACTTTTTTCTTTCTTAAATTTAAAATACTTTGATTATGAATGTCAGGACTGACATTGTTGGGTTTATGTTAGACATCTGAATGTAAGAGAGCAAGAGTCAATGACTTGCTCAGGTCCTGGAATATGGGCCTTCCCTACAATCATAGACCACAGAGATGGACTCTTATTTGGAGCTCAATACATGTTTGTGGAATACATGAATGAATTGTAAGTCTTGCATATTTTTCATCTTTTGATCAGACATTACCATATCCATTTGAGAAGTGAAGAAATTGAGTCTTACAGAAGGCCAGGGTCTTGCTCACAGTCATAAAACTAATTAATAAAAGAAACAGGATTAGACTCCAATCCCACTTGCTTCCAATCCTGCACTGATACCCTCTTATCGTCTTGGTCCTGCTACGTACAAACCAGAGCACAGACAAACCTGGGAAGGAAATCGTTCTCAGAACTGCAATTCCATCCAGATTGCTCCTCTCTTTGGAGGCTGCTTCCCCCCTCCTTTATAAGTTTTTCTTTTCTGGATGACTGTCCACACTCCATAGCAGGCAAGCCGATGCTCCCCAGTAATGTCAGCTGAGGTCTGGTGCCTCCATTATGTTTGATTAGGCAAGTTTCTTGTTCTGTGACAATCTGCAGAGAACACACATAATAAATCAGAAGTCTATGGAAAGTTTAGGAATGAAAGACATCTCTTGCAGACCTGAGGAGCTGAGAGCTCATTTTTGAGACCCTGCAGGAAACAAAACAAAACAAAACAAAGCTGCGGCCTTAAAAAACACATTTCCTTTGCTTTCAGAGGAACTTGTCTGTACCATTTTTTTGCCACTTAATATATTCTCCTTTTTACTGGCTGAGTTCCAAAAGGGTGGACCTCCATTCAGGACCCAGGCTGAGGAAATAGAAAAAAAAATACAAGAAGCTGGGATACAAGGAAGCTAACTAAGCTGGACAGTCAGTGTAGGATATCAACTGTGTGAATTTCAGCATCACATGCCTAGGTTCAAATCCCAATTTCTCCACCAGCCAGTATATGGGAAGCTTCACTGTAGAAGTTTAGTTTCATGTATCTTATTACCAACTGGTAAAATCCTAGGTCTTGAGGTCCTGTGGTGGTTGAAAAGGCAGGATGAAGAGATGGGTACATGGTATCACAAAACTAACATTCATGCTGTACTTTTCTTATTCTGAGCACTTGCTCAGCACCTATGAAGTATTAGATTACAGTATTTTATTCTTTCCATTTACCAGATTCTTAGGAGTCCTCCAAAGGGCCCAGGGTTCCTAGACCCAGGGTTCTTCTTTACTCTTTGCCATGATACTTATTTTGCAATAATCCTGTCCTAACTGCCTAAGTTGAATATCCTGGACTTAAGGTTTAGCAACAAAAGGAAAGTTGATTTCTGATGGAACACAAGAACATTTTAGAAAGGAGAAATCTTTTCTCCTAAAGGAAACCGTGAATGAAACTGAAAGAAACTTCACCTTTGCTAATTATAATCTTGATATGCCCAGGCTTTACTAGCATGTGATGAGAGATGTTATCACATAAATATTACACCTGGATTTTGCTAGCTTGAAGCCTGAACGTAATGATCGCTTACAAAGTGCCCCAGGATATTTAAGTCCTCACAGTCTCTACACCTGCCACAGAAGGGTCTATGTGGACAAGTAAAATTGTGCTACAGCCAGCACTGAGTTTGTCTTTGGCAGGTTCAGGTGGCATCCCTGAGTATAGATTCTCACTAATTACTCTAGTCACTGGCCCTAATTTTTCATAGTGCAGAGGCAGTCGGGGGTTATTCAAAAAGAGGGAGGTTGCAACCTCTAGGTTATGCTCGGTCATGCATAGTTGCTTAGTATTTTAGAGTTTACTGAAATCATTCTTCTAAATTACACACACTTAGCCAATTTTTTGCCCGAGCACACAAACACCATCCAGGTGATGGTATTGGGCTGGATTCAAGTTCTGTATTACCTGGAACACTACTGGCCTCAAGCCACTGCTAGATTATTGAGTCTGCCTCAATATATCACAGTTTTTTTTCTTCATGATGGCTTTTGGGGGGCTTTTAGTAGACTCTGGAATAAATTGGCTTCTAGTACATCCTCTCATTCCTGTAGGTTTTCAGTGCACAGATGGGATCTGAGAGGGAAACAGTTGTGAAGCAGCCCCAAGGGATGGTGCTCCCAATGGCTGCAGCATTATATAACTGGAATGACACAGGGCACAACTTACACATACTTAGTGCCCCTTTCCCTAATTATTTCTGTCAGACAATGTTATGGACTGAATTGAAGCCCCTCAGAATGCATATGTTGATGCCCCAACTCTCAGTATCTCAAAGTGTGATTGTCTTTAGAGACAGGGTCTTTAAATATGTGTTTGAGTTAAAATGAGGCCGTTAAGATGGAGTCCTAATTCAATGTGACTGGTGTCCTTGTAAGAAGAGAGTGAAACAGCAGGGGCACATGTGCACAGAAATGCCTTTGTGAGAACAATGCAGTGAGAAGCCTGCCATTTACAAACCAAGGCCACAGGCCTGAAACAGATCCTGCCATTACGGCACTCAGAAAAAAACAATTCTACTAGCATGTTGATTTTGGACCTCCAACCTCCAGCAGTGTAGGGAAATAAATTTCTTTTTGTTTACACCACTCAGTTTTTGCTAATGTCAAGCTTGGAGAATGATTACAGGCCACTTTAATCCACCTCCAATAAATAAACCAAGCATGAACAGATTTTGCAAATGTAGCTTCCAAACTAATACATTACATCTCAGGTCCAATCAGATTGCTGCCTAACCCCAGACCCACCTGCCATAATACTCTCCTATAAGAGACTTTCACTATCTTTTTAATTACCTCCAGAAATAGCTACCCAGATCATGCCTAGTTACTAGAGGCATATTGCATGGCTCTGAACAAAAGCTATATTCCTCCTCCAACTTGGGACACTCTATCTCTTCCCTATGGGGTCATTCTTGTATCCTAAGCTAGTGCCTTTTATTAGGCATCCAAGGTCTATGCAGTTCCTCTACTGTAGTGATACTACACATACCACTAGTTGTGATATGTGTTCAGGCTCCCAAACCAGACAAATGTAACCCTGATATTTACTAGTTGCATAATCTTAGGGTTGTCATTTATCTTTTCAAAACTTAAGTTTTCTCATCTGCAAAGGGCATGATAGTTGTCTTAGTCAGTTTGAGCTGAGTACCATAGATTGAGTGGCTTAATAACAACATAAATTTATTTCTCACAGTTCTGAAGGCTGGGAAGTCTGAGCAGAGCATCAGCATGGTCTGTTCTAGTGAGAGTCCTCTTCCAGGTTGCAGACACAGTCTTATTGCTGTGTCCTCCTTGGTGGAAGAGAGGTAGCTAGTTCTCAACCTCTTATAAGGACACTAATCCCATTTATGAGAGTTCCACCCTCATGACCTAATTACCCCCTTGAAAGCCCCACCTCCTAATATTATCACATTGGGATTAGGGTTTCAACATATGAATTTGGGGGACACAAACATTCATTCCACTGCAATAGTAGACACTTTGTTGGGCTCTTACAAAATCATTCATATAAAATTCTTGGTTTAGTGCATGGCTCATGGTAATCATTCAACAATTGCTCAGGTGGGAGGTTGATCATATTATTGTTAGTGTTGGAACCTGCTGTTCTCATCTTCTAACATTATCTGATTCACTTTCATTGACGGCCTCAGCATTCTTTCAGTATATAAAATAATTTCTCTGTTGTGGGGTATTTTCTCACCAGTCTTTATTTTGTTATTAGTCGCCATAGAGGTAAAATCGATGTTTTCCACAACACTCTAAATTTATAGGGCTGGGAGAGCCACTTTCCATTCCCCTCAGAAGACACAGGATGAGGCAGAGTAGGCGTGGGAGAAACCTATTTTTCTCTTGGCAATTGCCTCTAGGACACATTCTTTATTTAAGAATAAGAACCTTTAACAATAACCCTGAGTCACAAGTATCACACACGGCAGACACTACATTTACAAAAACACCTCAGTGAAGGCTGTATAAAAACCTAAAGTTTGTGCATCTCATATGATCTTTTTTATCAGTTTCATGGCTGACACACGAGTTTTCTCTGAAGAGGTGTACGCTTTTCACAGTCACTCAGTATTTTTAAAAAAGGAAATTAAAGCATTTAAAGAACATGAACTATATGCTGTGCTATGTGCCATTGATTTCTCACAGCAGACTTTTAAGTTATTTTGTTTCCACGCTACATATGAGAAAAATTGAGACTCTGAAGAGCTAAACAACTTAACCAAGGTCATAGACTGGTTTATTTAATTTTAAATAATCTATTCTGGAATTTTTATGAACACCATGAAATTTACCCTATATTAAACAGTGATTAGGTAGAGGGAAAAGAGGGAGTTTTCTTGGTCTACAAAGAGAATATTATCATTTAAAAATATATATCAACACCATTGAAAAACAAAAATTATCTCTAATCCTACCACCTAGAGATCATCACTTCCCACATTTTCATCAATTAAACAATAATTGTGATTTGTATAGGAAACTTTCAATCGTTCATATCAATGCAAGGGAGAGAAAAGGGTGGAGAATCTAAAAATCATTTCTGTCTGCATTGCGTGCTTTTGGGAGTAGAAAATTAACCTTTTTGATCATGTTCTGCGTGGGCTAATGACTAAAATTGCTTTTCCTTTCCCAACTGATCCCAATTCAGGGCAGAGTCTCAGAAGCATTTTGCTGACAAGGGATTAAAACGTGCTGCGGCTAATTCAAGAAGTGGAAACTCCTCACATGGATAATTAAGATCTGACTGCAGAACAAAAGCTTGAACGTTGTTGTAGACTGGGGGCTCTCCAGCGTTTCAAACACTTTATCCGCAGAGCCATCTTGAAAGGTAGATTCCATTCAATTTGCCTGGCATTCATTGTGAGACTGACTTACTCTGCAGTGTGTTAAATGTCCAGGAAACAGTGTCTGATTATAAGGGACAGGCAATCTAGTGAAGGAGGCTGGTATGCATACCACTAACTTTAATAATAGTAACAGTGATCATTTTAGCTAACATTTATTAAGCAATTACTTTCCCTAGGTCCAGCTCTATTCTAAGCTCCTTAAATGTATTAACTCATTTAATCCTCATATAAAGGATAGTGGAACCAGTGGAAAACACTATTCATTTAGAGAAGAAATGGTTTATCCTGAAGTAGGAGCTTAGAAGGGCTTCAAGTACTATTGTCATAGCTAGAAGCTCATATCCTGACTGGACCATATTTCCAAATCTGATATTAGCGATCTCTCGATAGCTGAGGCACGTACACAGGTGGTTCGGGCAGGAGTCCTTCTGCTACATCTGTTTATTCCTTTTCCTCTCATTAACAGTGACCGCCTGGTTCACAATAAGTCCCTCTCCTCTAGGAACAGTCTCCCCAACACATACAGTGGACTCCACTTGCCATGCCTCTGTGACCACATATGGCACTGCCTCTCTGGACATAGCTGATTAGACCAGGCATTGGCACCAAATGAAGCTGGGCCATTTAGATACTAATACTGGATTATTTCCACTAAAAGTAAGGGGAAAACATCAGTCTTTCTCTGGTAGTAGGAACTGAGGAATGTGGATGTTTGAGAGCTGTTGGTAACTGTGGTAGCCATGAGAATAGGCCACTCAGATCTCTGCTTAGGGGAGTGTAATGAACCTGACCTAGAGCCCCAGTGCTGACTATGTGTCCACTGTCTGTTCACATGGAGGCCACACTGCTCTCAGCCTGTGACTGGGCGCAGCATGAGAGGGAAGACAGACTATCTGTGAGACAGGCAACTTTGGCTCCAGGACTCCCCACAAGCACAGCTGAAACTTTCTTAGAATAGCATGCAGCCCAAACTCTACCCATCCAACATTCCTTCCTTCCTCCTCCCCTTCACAGGGGTCAGGTGTGCTCACAGTGTGGTACCTCTCACTGTCTCTTCTGGTTCCCTCCCCTTATTCCCTCCTTCCCCAACAAAAGCCATGCACATCTGATCCCATCTTGGCATCTGCTTCTTTGAAGAAGTGAATTAATGTCAGGACTTTCTCTTTGTGTGATCTTTGATCCTTGGGTACTAGACAGTTTCTTCATAAGGTAATGGTAATGTTCGAAGTATCACATTTGCGGATGTCAAATTAGCCACCCAGCCAAGACCAGAGTCTATGGTGGAGGGGATTACACAAGGTTGTGGATACTCAAAAGTGATTCACTGGCCATCATCAGTATAAACATCTACTGCAGCTACTACCAAGAAAGTTACCTGCATTTCCCAAAAACTGTAATTTATAGAGAGGTAATTTTATGTCCTGTCTTCTGGAGAAAAACCACATGCAAATAGATACACGGAAATGACAAAGATTGTTCTGGAAATTATCATAAGTAGAAGTAATTTTTAGAAAAGAAACTGTATTTGTATCTAAGTGGCTCATTGAAATATCTCTCTGGAGGTAGGGCTGGTATTTCTAAGTCTTCTTTAATCTTTGGGAACAAAATAGAGAAAGGAGGACAAACTGAAGCTTTGGTAATGCTGAGTTAATTGGTGTTTTTTTCAATATGAACCATGCTCTGTGGGCAATCCTTCATTCAGCAAATCACCTGTGAGGCTATCCCACAAAAAGACAGTGGACAGAAGTGTAGCTAAGTTCTACTGTTAGTGGAAGTAAAGGTGGGAGGAATAGGGAGGGCCTTGTGTTGCTGTTCGGTAGGAAATTGAGCACATTTAAAAAAGTGTTCCTTTTTTGGGACCTTTCCTATGAATTACATAGTCTTGGTCTCACAGTACTTCTTCATCTTTTAAAACTGGTCTTAGCATTCATTATGTTGCTTGAGGAATTGAAAGTAAGCCACTATTTAGAGCAATTGCAATAGATCCCTTTTTCTAAAACCACTATCCTTCTAATCGGGGGATGTTACATAAAAATAGGTGGACTGTGCAGTAAGAAAATTTAGTGATGAGTCTGGATTTTCTTACCTGTCCTCTTGAACTCCATTTTAACAATGTGGGATCTCCAGTTGAATTATGTACTATGGCCATCAGTAACATTGAGGGGATCATACAGAGTGTTCTGTAGATTGTGAAGTACTCGTTTGTATATTTTTAATTTTTTTATTGAGGCCCAAAGCAAATGAAAAGAGAGAGGTTCATTGATCCTGTGCTGGGTAAGAGAAAAATGACAATTCCTCCACTCTGAGGTCTTTTGAAGAAAGTTGAGAAACAGTGTTGTATCTTGAAGCATTTCAATGACTCATACTCTTCCATCCAAAGTTCAGAAATTTATGGACAACGCACTGAGTCCATATTCTAGATTATCAGAACAAAGGGAGCAGGTTAGACAAGTAATTACTTCTTTCCTCATTTACACTGCTTCACATGTACTTAGCCCCCAGGGTCCATTTCCTGAAGTTCACACTATCAGAAATGTTCTGTGTTAACACCTTAAGTAGGCACAATACAACCTCACTTGGCGTTAGTATTGATTCTAGCCTCCAGGTACTTTATCTTGGGGGAGAAAAGTGTTTCAATATTTACCTGTGTTATGTAACCACACATATCTGAGAAAGTTAGAATTAATTTCTGTCTGTGCTGCATCAGCACAGAAAGTAAATTAAATAAAGACTTTTTTATTGAAAAGAAAGAGTCAGTTTCTTTTCTATAAACTGAGTTGATTACCTCAAGGTTTCATAGGTGTGGGCAAGTTGGGGGCAACTCAAAAACTCAAGCTCGTCTCCTGGGCAGTCACAAAGTTTACACCAGCCATAAAAATCCCAAGGCATTTGTGTTTAATGTTAATGAGGAAGTGGATCAGGTGAATCTACAAATCTCAACAGGTGACAAATTACAAATTAGGCTGAGCTGCTTTTGGCCCCCTGGTGAAGGAGAACAGGGTTGCTGGGAGAAGGTGCTAGCTGATCCTCACGTTTGCTTACAATAATGTGATAATGAAGTTCAACCCAAGAAAATCAGATGGAGCAGCCCTCTGGGAAGGCTGCCTCCTTCTTCTTTGCTACATTGTCTTTCTAAGAATGTCAGCTACAACTTCTCACACCCTATATTTCAGAGGCCTTCACAATCTGTTCCCAACTTGCATGAAGCCTTTTGCCTTTTTATTGCCTATAGGGTAATGTGACTTCCAGTAGTTATGGTATCTAAAGCCCTTCTCAGATGGTTCCCAACCCTCTTTTCGCATCTTCTCTCTGACGACTTTACTTGCTCCTTCTCTTCAGATAGGCAAGCGACTGGACTCCGTAGTATTCCACCCATGCCATTATTCTTGCAATTTCCTCTACCCAGAATATTATCTTGCTGTTTCTCTACCTCATCCACCAATGAATTCATCATTGTACAGTGAAGTCCTCACTTAACATAGGTTCGTAGAAACTTGGACTTTAAGCAAAACAACATACCGTAAGTTCTTGAATAATATCATTTCATTCAAGGTTGTTTCATTATAAGGTTGATTTTTAAAAATTGGTTTTCTTATATTTTGTTTAGCTTAAAGTCGCAATTTCCAAGAACCTATTGATGATGTTGAGAACTTATTGTATTCTTCAAGATACAGCATAATTTCGACTCAAATTTTCTTTCTTTCACCTTCCAACAGATGGAATTAATACCTCCTCCTCCTACTAATGCCATTCTAGCATTTTGCATAGACCTACCCATTATAAAGACTTAGACTTATAATCAAATAAATTTATTCAACGTGATGGTTTTTTTTTTTAACCTAAATCAGAAGTTCCTTCAGGACTGGGTCCAAATCCCTTTCAGATACACAATGCCAATTTCAGATTGTCTCCCCACTCCCAAACATGACATTAGGGTGATAGCTTAAAGATGTGGAACCAGTGGCAGGACCTGAAAGTCGTATCCTAAATTATCCCCAAGGTAAAATAAGATGAAATTTATTTCATCTTGAGGTTAAATTTTATATGTAAATTTGGCTAGGCTATGGTACCCAATTGTTTGGTCAAACACTAGCCTAGATATTGCTATAGAGGTATTTTATGGTGATGATGAACATCTACAATCAGTGACTTTGAGTAAAAGAGATTACCTTCGATAATGTGGGTGCAACTCATCCAAAAGTGAAAGCTTGAAGAGCAAAAATTGAGATTTACTGGAGAAGAAAAAATTCTACTTTCAGACAGTAACATAGAATTCTCAGTTTCCAGCTTGCTGGGCTGCTCTACAAATTTCACACTCAAGACTTCAAAATCAGTTCCTGCTTGAGTTTCCAGCCTCCCTCTTTGCTCTACAGATTGCAGAATTTTCAGCCCCTATAATCACGTGAGCCAATTCCTTAAAGTAAATCTCTTTATGTAAACACACACACACACACACACACACACACACACACACACACACACACACCTTCTTGGCTCTATTTCTCTGAAACTCTGACTGAATATACAAACCAACTAGTTAGAGTAGAAGCTGAGGTATGCAGCCAAAGTGGGCACGAGAAACTGGAAAGTTAAGGAATAAAGAATAGCAGAGAAAGTGATAGGCAGAAATATATAATGTCCAGAGGTGAAGTGCAAATGCTCGTCAAGGCTTTTTATGGCTCTGAGGCTTGTGCAAGTCAATTTGGCAATTCTTATGACATAGTACATATCCATTAAATGTTGCTGAATAAACTAAAGAATGCATTTATGAATGAATTCATCAATACTGGCCTTCTCTTCTCTTCACAAAAACTTGATAGTTGGAAATAACAAGAGTCAGGATGTCTAGGACAATTCTGACTCCTGGACAAAGTAATCACCAATCAGGCTAAGTGCTCTTTATCCCTTTCACAGCCACAAGTTGAACAGTGAAATAACAAGCCTACACCAAGGTAAAGTAATAATGTTTTCCTATTTAAAGTTTTACCATGTTAAGTGAGATAGCTTTCTCAGCATAAGGGTGACGCAGACAAGCAGAAAATGGCTGCCTGCTAGTGCCGGCTTCTTTAGTTTGGCTGTTGAAATCATCATAGAAGCTATCAAGGGCTGGGGGCACTCCTTTGCTACACACATCATCTTTCCAGTAACATCTGCTCACTGGGCCAAGGATCAATTATCTCTATAGAGGAGATATTGCTGCCAGTCCTCAAGGCAAAACCCTGCATGTGAGGCCAGTCTTGGACAACATCCCAGAAGCTTGATTTTACCCTCTGGACATCATTTAATCTCAGTCAAAGGGTTTTGCTCTTTGTCCCCAGGTATATGCAGAATGCACACCTCAGAGGAAGTGACAGAACAGATTGTGGCTTTTAAAAGAGTTTGGGTACTGCCATGAATGGCAAGGTTCTCTTGACTACTATGTAGCTGTCATCAGGGTAGGTATAGCAGTCCAGTCTCTCCTCTATTGAGGACTGTATTTTGTTGCCAACTAGTAGCTCCCACTTTATCTTCTATTCTTTCATTCAACAAACATTTATTGAGCACCTACTGTGTGCAAGGTGTTACTGAGAGAAAGGAGGCTACAGGGAGGAATTATATGTAAAACTTCTACTGCTGGCAGAAACACCAAGTTATTACATTGCACAGATAATGTGGCAAGAAAAAAGATATAGATTAATCCATAAGAATTTAGGGGGACAAAAAAGGCCGGGCGCGGTGGCTCACGCCTGTAATCCCAGCACTTTGGGAGGCCGAGGCGGGTGGATCATGAGGTCAGGAGATCGAGACCATCCTGGCTAACAAGGTGAAACCCCGTCTCTACTAAAAATACAAAAAAAATTAGCCGGGCGCGGTGGCGGGCGCCTGTAGTCCCAGCTACTCGGGAGGCTGAGGCAGGAGAATGGCGTGAACCCGGGAAGCGGAGCTTGCAGTGAGCCGAGATTGCGCCACTGCAGTCCGCAGTCCCGCCTGGGCGACAGAGCGAGACTCCGTCTCAAAAAAAAAAAAAAAAAAAAAAAAAAAAAAAGGCCAAATAACTTCAAATAGGGCAGTTTAACCCAAACCTCTATAAGCATAGAATCATTTTACAGAGGAGCAGTATGCACAGATAAGATTTCAAGAGGCATTCTTTGGGAAATGCTGCAATCAAGCTTTTGGATGTATTCTTTCCCTTGAGAGTTTTATATTTATCAATTATTTCCCAAGCTATATGCCTTGGAGCACTAGACTTCTACAAGATATTAATCACAGTTCTATATGGATTCTCAGGTCAAATAAATTTGGGATTAAGAAAAGCTGCATATTTACTCCCTCCTCTGCCCTTTCCAATAGATTTTTAATCAGTTTTTGGTGTCTCAGCATTTTTCAGGATGTTGAGAGATAACCTATTAACACGTTAAAAATTTTAAGATATCCAGCAGAAAAGAATTCTGATTAGGAAATATTTAAATGGAGACTCAGCTTGGCTTTATGGTGGCATCTAAGATGAGCCTTAAGGGGACAGAAAGGATTGTTGTTGAGAACAGGCCTTTTTATTTGGGCAGAGTATGTTGTCCTTGCTGTCATATTCTATGGCCACAGGCCTCTTTTGAAAACTGGCATTGTCTCTGTATCTTTCCTTGTCATTTCTTCGGGTGAAGAGCCTGAGGAGAGGCACCCCATTTCCCCCTCCACCTCAGCACTGCTGTGCAGTTCCGAGATTTCTCTAAAATGACTCCCAGGTTCTGGGAGTTAATGCCTGAGAGTTTGAAATGCTTCCTTTGTCACTGCCAGTTATATCTCCAAGCAGTAACTTCTCAGGATTGCTTAGTAAGAGTTCCACCTGAGCTGAGGAATGGTGTGTTTTCTATTGATAGAGTTTTTAAATGGGGAAATTCATTCAAGTGGAGCTTTTTATGGCTTTGCTAGGTTAATTGGGAAATTGGTGACATTGCTACTAGTGTTCTTGAGGATGAAACGACAAAGAGGAAGATTGCAAGCAATCTGAGAGGTTGAAGTCAGCTACATGAGAAAGCAAGAAAGAGATGAGGTCATCTAGTTCAACTATTGGAGTGCAGATCTTAAGATGTCTATTCTGTTGGAAAACATAGATACAGGGGGGAAAGGAAGATAATCGAGAAGGAGAGAAAGGAAAGGAGATTAAAAATTTGACTTTCTCATATGCTTACCCACTCCAGGAATGGGCAATCTTTACTGCCTCAGTCTGAGAGGTCTCTCTTCTCTCTAGCCTGTCCTTTTGCAGATCTTTATTCTCTCATCCCCACATACACACAGCCCTCATTTATATTCTAGCTTTTACCCAAACTTCTAGAAAATTCCCTGTTTTTTTTTTTTTTAAGTCACCCTTTTGTTATCTAACTCAGCTCTCTAACTTTAAACAGAAGGTCTGATCCTTGCATCGTAAGGCCAGGATACAAACAAACAAAAACAGCATTTGGCCAATCCCTATTTCTTTAATGGTAAAAAATATTAATTTATTTTAGGGTTTCTTTAAGACTATTCAATAATAACTCAGTTATTTCCAGCTTATGATTTAGTTCGAATCAGTCCTTCCAAACCCAGTTCCTCCTCAGAGTGTCCTCATCCAGATTCTCATCCAGATTCCTAAAAGCCTTTGGCAGCAGCCCAGAAATGATGCCAGAGAGGGATTGGTCCACTTCCCGGAGGTCACTGATGCAACATGGTTTTTGCCCCTTGGAATGCCCAGTGCTTGCTCCAGAAGGTAGTGACTGGTTGTCGTTGTTCCTTCGGTACTCCCTTAACTCCTTGATATTGGTAATCTTTGGTAAACTGCAGATATGTCCTCCTTCAGTCCCCAGATTGGCAGTCTACTCATATGTTCTGATGTAGAGTCCTTCCTGGCCCAGCCAAGGTAATCCCCAAGAAGGCCCTCAGGCTCTCTCTCAACAAAAGCCTTTTCTCATGGTGGTCTTAGCCTCCTCTGATGCCAAGATATGCCTGTCACCATCTCTGTTGATCTCTGTCATCACCAAGGCATATTTGCCAACTTCAACTCTTTAAAAAAACACACACACAAAAGTTCCAACATTTCATAAGGGAAGCAGGGCACCAATCTGTTTACTCTAGAGGCACTCACATTTCTTGGTTATTATCTACCATTCTTCTCAATTTATTTTACTTGTATGAAAAATGAGCAAGACTCATTCCTGTACAGCTTCTTCCTCTATGAGCTCCTCTGGGTCAGAAATAAAGTGATATTTTCTTGTTAGCATCTCTGGAAAAAATCACTTTTGACCCGTACTATGTTGGTTCTTTTTGAATTTATATGCTTAGAATGTGGCATTTCCGTGGGGGTTGTCTATACTGCACATGCCCCTTTGTTTATATACTATGTGACCAGGGGTCTGCAGCTATGATGAGTCAGACCAAATTACCCTGCCAATGCATACTTTGAAATAGTATTTTGCCTCATGTGTATAACTATAAATTGATACAGTTATATAGTGTCCCTGCCCAAATCTCATGTCAAATTGTAATCCCCATTGTTGGAGGTGGAGCCTAGTGGGATCATGGGAGCAGATTCCCCCACTTGATGCTGTTCTCATGATAGAGTTCTTCCAAGATCTGGTTGTTTAAAAGTGTGTGGCACCTTCTTACTCTCTCTCCCTCTTCCTCTTATCCTGGCCATGTAAGACATGCCTACTTCCCCTTCACCTTCCACCATGTTTGAAAGTTTTCTGAGGTCTCCCCAGAAGCCATCATGCTTCTTGTACAGCCTTCAGAACCATGAATGAATTAAACCTCTTCTCTTTATAAATTACCCAGTCTCAAGTATTTCTTTGTAGCAGTATGAAAACAGACTAACACAGAAAAATGGCACTAGGAGTCGATCATTGCTATAAAGAGACCTGAAAATCTGAAAGCAACTTTGGAACTTAGTAATGGGCAGAAGTTGGAACAGTTTGGAGGGCTCAGACTTTCATGGGGCCTGTAGCCCCTTGCTTTTGGCCAATTTCCCCCTTCTGGAAAGGAGCATTTACTCAATGCCTATACTCCCATTGCATCTTGGAAGTAACTAACTTGTTTTTGATTTTACAGACTTAAAGGCAGAAGGGACTAGCGTGATCACAGATGAGACTTGGGACTTGGGACTTTTGAGTTAATGCTGGAATGAGTTATGATTTTGGGAGACTGCTGGGAAGGTGTGATTGCATTTTGAAATGTGAGAAGGACATGAGATTTGGGAGGGGCCGGGGCAGAATGATATCGTTTGGAATTGTGTCCTTGCCCAAATCGCATGTCTAACTGCAATCTCAGTGTTGGAGGTGGGGCCTGGTAGGAGGTGATGGGATCATGGGAGCAGATTACCCCATTTGGTGCTGTTCTCATCATAAAGTTCTTACGAGATCCAGTTGTTTAAAAGTGTGTGGCACCTCCCTACTCTCTCCTTCTTCCTCCTGCTCTAGCCATGTAAGACATGCCTGCTTCCCCTTCACCTTCCACCATGATTGAAAGTTTTCTGAGGCCTCCGCAGAAGCCATTATGCTTCCTGTACAGCCTGTGGAACCAAGAGCCAATTAAACCTTTTTTCTTTATAAATTACCCAATCTCAAGTATTTCTTTATAGCAGCCAGAGAACAGACTAATACAATAGTCTGAGAACAGACTAATACAATAACTCAGAGATCCTAATTTTGCCAACCTTCAGGAGCTACTCTCCTTTAAATTAAATAATTGAGGACCAAGACAGGTGGCTATAGACTTTATCATGTGATTATGCCTATGCATTTATGAGAACTTCCCAGGGAATATTTTCAATTGTCACAAATATTTTTTATTTCCATAGACAGCATCTTACTCTGGACTGCTACTGTTTTTTGAAATTTCCTTCTGCTATCTACCCCAATTGTTGAAACAAAGTTGAAACAGTTCCCTTGCTATTTCCCCAAAATATATCTAAGACCAGCTTATAATATTAACAATACAGAAGGTAATTACAAAGAAGAAAAGAACATTTTAAACTGAACACTATAGATCATTGTACCCCAAATCCTCAAGCCATGCTCCTCCACACCATCATTCTATAGACGATGTGTCACCCCAGTCTCTACCATACAATATATTTCAAAAGCTACTCTATTCTGCAAGCTGAGCTAGAAATGTATAATGGCTCAAATGTGATGGACTTTTATTTACCACTCACATAAAGTTCAAGGTGGATTTTTATACTTGGAAAGTAGATCTTCATGCAGCAATTCAGGGATCCAGACTCTGCCATCTTCAAAAGATTGTTTCCAAGGAGACTGTGCTCATCTGCATCAAGCCATAGGATAATGAAGGAGCACAGAGGGTCATATTTGGGAGATCTTTATGAATTGGGCCTGGAACATTACTCTTTTTCATCTTCCACTGGCTAGAATTCAGTCACATGACCATACCTAGTTGCAAGGGAATTTGGGAAATGTAGCTTAAGTGCACGCCCAGGAACAAGAGAAAATAGACTTGGTGGACCTAGCTTAACCAGTTTCAAAGGGAAAAACCAGTTGA
Source organism: Homo sapiens (assembly GCF_000001405.40). Taxonomy (NCBI): domain Eukaryota; kingdom Metazoa; phylum Chordata; class Mammalia; order Primates; family Hominidae; genus Homo; species Homo sapiens. The sequence continues at coordinate 8,295,711 of NC_000009.12, forward strand.
TCTCTTCTCCATTAAGCTGTCGCTATCAGATAACACAATAAATCAAAGATAATAAATCTCCTTACAAAGAAAGCGATCCTTTTACAGGATTATATTTATCATCCATTATGGAATAGGAACTTTATATTTGGTCACCTGAGAGCCAAACAGAATACCTCTTTAAAAAACATCTGCCCTAAAGGTACATTTTGCTTTTGTCTCTAGAATAATAAAAATATGTCAGTTTTTAGAAATAGTGATATCCAATTTTAGGTAACGCCATCATAAGTATATCTATATGTATAAATAAGCCTAACTTTTTACTACTTATAATTAGAAGGAAGTAACTTCTGTTTTCTTCTGTGGATGAAAGAAGCTTTTCATTCCCTTTATAAATAAGTCTTTTAGAACTACAAGCTTATTCTTCTGAAACTGGGATGCAGGAATAAAGCAGAGACAAGGGTCATAATGCTCTTTGACTAGGGAGTAACTTCAAGGCATTTATGTGTGCATAGAACATAAAGTTAGCACAATCATTTATAACAAAATCATCACAGAACTGATGTGTACATTACAACTTAGATGACTAAATTCAATTTGCTACAACAAACATATTCTAACAAATACAATTTCTTATAAAAACATACAGAGAGTCAATACAATATCCAATAACAAATATATAAAACGTTTTTGCAGTAATTGTAGCCTCAAGGTTAAGGATTCTATTCTATAGGAAATAACAATAAAACATTATACTTAAAGAGGAGAATGTTAAGAAGTCTGGTCATTTTTGGCAAATAAACTGCCTATAAACTCAATGTCACATTGTCCAGATATAGATTATGTTTAGATGTACCTTTATCAGGATATTCCCTCAGCCAGTGCTTTGCATTCTCAAAGGTACTTGTGTCATCCATCTTCTTATTCTCTAAAGATTTCTCACTAACTGCAATTACGATTTCTGGTCAATGATATCAATACAAATGGTTTTTTATAATTGCTGAATACAAAATTAGGGGCTTATAATTTTCTATTTTCATACTTTCTTTTTAGAAAATATCCCAAAGGTGTAGCTACTTCAATTATTGAGCAACATGCTAGAAACTTGTCAAAAAGCCAAAGTTAGGCTATTTATTGCCTTCACCTATCCTTATGTGTACTCTACAAATGTGTTAACCCTGCTCAGAGTGTATGCGCAGGGTTCATGTATGTGTGAGTGAAAATGTGTGCATGTCTTGGCTAGTAAACTAGTTAGGACTCTTCATTGCAAGCTATAGAAATTAACTTTGGGTAACTTAAGCAGAAAAATAATTTGTGGGGACATGTCATTTGGCTCTCAGACAGATGAAAAGCCTGGGGAACCCAACTTACCAAAGAGGCCGAGATTAAGGGAGGCAGGTTCCTGGGCCTATAACCAAGATCATAAAGTAAGAAAAGTGTGGTTAGGGCACCAGAGCCACTACTGCTGTTTGCCACTACTTCTATTTTTGCTCCTGTGACACTGGGCATTGATCATGTTGGATGTACACAGCAGAAAATCTATATCCTGCTTGACTTAGTTAAGGTTATCTAACCACAGGCAAGCTTCCAGGGTCCAGGAAGAGCCCGTGTCTAGGCTTTTTGACTCCTGGCCTTTGGAAGGCAAGTACCTATCTGCCAAACCTAAGAGGCTCAATGGTGGGTTAACTAAAAGCAAAGACAGCAAATGGTCACTATAATGCATTGTAATGTGGAGTCCGACTCAATTTTTGATGCCTGACTACTGACAGCTTTGAAGCTTCATCCCTTCATTGTCCCTTTGTGCCCTACATTTGGACAAGCAGATAAGAAAGCCTGGGTGCTCCTGCCTTTGATTCAAACCATGAAGCCCCTGCCATGAAAAACTCTCACCTCAGCGCTACCTTCTAACTATAATAAAAACCCAGGCAGTCACTTTTCCTTGCTCACTTAAGCCATCTCAGACCTGCTTGAGAGTAATGCCGTGCTCTCCCACAGACCTCAATTATGTAAGTAATAAACCTTTTAATACTCTCTTGGGGTGTGTGTGGTATCATCAGTCACAACATCTGAACAAAACCTGGGTGAAGGTCCTTCTGCCTCTACAGATGACCATAACATGGATTCAAAATATGGTATATTAGAGTGACTTCCTAAAATTCTGATGAATTTTTCACAGGATTCCTTTAAATAATAAGCATCCTTAATGCATTCAAAACATGATCTACAATTCCAACAGACTTTCCAGAACTTAATTCTCTGCATGATGGAAGTAAAGGCAACTCCAAGGTCAACAAGCCACATCCCCTCCTCAGCCTTTTCTGTCTTTCCTCTCCTATTTCCTCCTTCTCCTACCCCTGCTAGATACTGGGATTACAAAGAAAAGCTCCTTGCTCCTGCTCAATGTCCCAGTCACTTACTTTAGTTTACCCTTCATGATCCCTTCCTACTCCTTCCATCCTGCTCTATAACTCCCTCTTCTCCCCACCCCGGCACCACCCACTGTACCCAACCACCTTCCTTACCAGGGAGAAGACAAGAAGGGTTTAATGCCAGAATCAAACTATGTACAATGAACCTCTGAGGAGGAAGACAGGGGTGATTGCTGGGCTGAGCCTGCTGTTTCCTTGCCATTCTTTCTCCAGGTCCTCAGATGCCATATCATCGTGGGTGTGCTGCCGGGTGGGCATCCCACCTCCAGCCCACAGTGTTCAGTTTCACTTTTTAGTGAGCTGTAATATCTATTTTTCTTGCTTTCTTTTCCTATTTATTTTGTAAAAATGTACTGAGTTTTATTAAAATATACACCCATAAGAAATAAAGAGATAAGAAAAAGAGAAAAAGAAACAGAAAGAGAGAGAAATACAGAAAAGAAAGAAAATATTCCAAGTTTTTGAGTGTGAGAGGAGCCTAAGTGCCCAGCTTTGCCTGATGGATAGATGAGAGAGTTTTGAAGCTATCTGAGGCTTATTTTCCTGAATGAATAGGAATGAGCTCTTCGTGTGAATTGTAATTTAACTTATACTCTGAATGAAATGATTTAGAGCATGTGAAGATGGAAGGGGCCTTAAGTGAACATCTAGTCCACCCATTCTTACCCCAACTCCCCTTGTAACAGCCTTGGCCAATCTAGCATTCTTGATGAAGTAACCAACCAACTTCTACTGGTACATCTCCAGTGAAGGTTAGTTCTTCTTTGGATGCATCTGGCTTATAGGAAATCCTTCCATTTTTGCTTCACTTGAGCTCCCAATTCTTTTTGGGTCACCCAGAACAGCCCAATATATCTTTTTATATTCAGAAGCCCTGCTTTGAATTATCCAGTATCTTGTCTGCTCACCTATGCCCTCCCCTTTGCCCAGAAATATCAACTGAAGACTGTAAAGACACGTCTGCATCCATCCTGCCCACTGACTAAAAGCATCAAACGAATACATAGATGACCAAATATTTCTTCCCCGTGATGAGCTGTCCATGTGTGCTCTTTAGCCATAATGATTGTGATAAGGGAAAGCCCTTTCTGTGCCATTAAGAACTGATCATGTGATTTATGCTCCAGCTCCAATAAGCATGTTGAGTATATTATGTGCTGCCTTTACTGGCAAGGAAAGCCAGTTTACTTGCTTCTTCTATAGTAATAAAGCCTCCTTTCTTACTCTCTGCTGAAAAAAGCGTCTGAATGTGCTTTGGGTTCTAAAGCACCCTATTTATAGCCCCATTGTCAAATGATGTCTATTCATTACAATGCTGGATTTGCAGGTTATCATTCTGTGTCTGTGAAGGCAGGCACAGATGTATGCATGGGGCATTCCTGGCTGACACAGGAAAGGGAAGTCTTAAGGCTGTCTAGTTTCTGGGTATCTTCTGAGGATAGGTTGGAAAATATCGTATGAGTTTAAATAAAAGTCCTTCTTAGTCCATAAAGAATGGAGCTGACATTGAATCGACACACAGAAACCAGGTAGGCTGTGGGTCCACCCAGAGGAGTTTTTACAGGTCAAAGCCTCCTTGTTTTATTACAGACTCTCATCTTAACATTAGAACTTGATATTTATCACAGGTGCACTTCTAAATAAAGTGTTTTAAGAACAATCCATGATTTGTTATTTCCTTGATTTTATTTGATTTCTCTAAGGAGACATTATTCTGGAAGCTTGTAGAAAATACATTTTGCAGGAATCTTTCATTTTGTACACCTTCCAGTGATCTGGTAAGAGAAAGGAAGAACTTGAGAGAAAAGGCCTAACAAGTATTTATTTGGTGTTGGAATCTATTCTTGAAGACCAAGAGAGGTAAAAAGCAAAGAAGACAATTTATAACGTATCATCTAGATGCAAACTGGAAAATGCATGGTGGTACGCTGGCCTGTTGGAGATAGGAGAATTAGATATTGAGAACCTGGTGACGAAGTGAGGGTGGACTGAGAGGAGACAGAGAGGTGACATCTATACTGGGGCTTGATGCTTCTGGCTATGAGGATTGATGACTTGTTCCTGCCTTCAAACCTTTGTCCTTACTTCCTCCACTAGAATTCCCTCTTCCTAGATTTTTGTCTGTTGAAATGCTCTCCTTTCTTTGTGGTTCATAGTAATCTGGAATAGAGGTCATTTGTGCACAAGAGAAACATTTTCCTTGAGAGATTCAAATCCTGAAGTTGGATATTTAGTATGTCAAAAGAACCGTTCTCACCTCACTCTATGTATTCCCAATACCATATCATATTCTGATTGCATCTCTCTTAAGGTTCTTGTCATATTCAGCTGTGTATTAGTTATTTCTCTCTTATTACGAAGTTATTTTAAGGCAAGTACTGTATCTAACTCATCTTTTCATCCTCAGCCAAGCAAAAATGTCTGGTATATGGGACCCACCCAATTGGTATCAATTGTCAGACTTACTGGGCTTTTTGAGACACATCTCTGGGTGCTTTTTACAGAAGATAATCTGAGTATTTGAATGTGGCAATGTTTGCCCTTTTGACAGGCTTTGAAAGGTTAAGACAATTGCTCAAGTATGTAGTTATTAAGTTGAGGAGCCGAGATATACATCCTGATTGCTCTACTCTAAATCCCATGTCCCCTAGACAGAACTATCTTTTGAAGGTTAAACAGTTTCATAGAGTTCCACCTGGCCTTGTTTAACTTAACTTTGAATTTTGTTCCTGTTTGGTGAACTGAGCCCAACGTGTTTCAGATGGGTGTTGTCTCAACTTATTAACGACAAAGGTATATATTTTAATGATAAAACTTTTTATGTTCCCATTTGAAACTTTGAGCTATCATAGTCCTAGAATCTAGATATCAATGATCTCTTTGAGTCCTTCTGATCTTTTTCACATGAGAAAATGAGGCTGAGAAATTATGTGACCTTCCCAGATTACAAAGCGAGTGGCAGAACTGAGATTAGATCCTAGACCTCTGGGTTTATATTTTGTAGATCTTACCATTTCAGCAAACTAGGTCCCCCATTACTGTGCAGTCTTCACTGCCACCTTTAGTGAATGTCCTTCAGCAAGTTATATGATCTTTTTGTGCCAGAGTTCTAATTAGTGCACCAAGAAGGTTGCAGTGGTCCACTTCTCAGGGATATTGTGAGGACAATAATTAATAGCTATAAAACATTCTGCAATATGCAGCAGTATACAAACACCAACATGGCACAACCAAATCTATTTCACAGTAATTAACTTTATATCCAATAAGGAAGAAATCAGTAGAGCAATTCCTACATGACTTGGCAGAAATGCCTATTGTCTCTGTATCTTAAGAAAGTGGCCGACAGCCAGAAAAGAGAATCAAACTGTGCTTGCGAATTTATCACAAGATGTTTTGTAGATGAATATTGTTTTTCTTCTTAAATATTGTTTTTTAAAGCATGTGCCTTTTCAATGGGAAGGAAGTGCTGATATTTATCAACCATGAGCATAAATCCTCCATGAATAGTAACTATTATGCATATCGCATAAATTTAAGTTATTCCTTGGTATGCACAGGGAATTGGTTTTAGGACCCTGCAGATATCAAAATGTGTGAGTTCTCAAGTCCCTTATATAAAATGGTATAGTATTTGCATATAAGCTATGCAAATACCTCCTATATACTTTAAATAATCCCTGTATTACTTATAATACCTAATACTATATCAATGTTATATAAATTTTTGTTGTACTGTATTATTTTTCTATTTGCTTTATTTTTAATGTTATTTTTATTTTTTGAAAAAATACTTTTGATCTGCAGTTTGTTGAATTCTCAAACACGGAAGCTGTGGATATGAAGGGCCAACTGCATTTTTATTATAAAATAAACGCACAGCAAAGGTTATTTTATCCCCATTTTATAGATGAAAGAATCACGGCTCAGATTAAGTAACTTTATTAGCATCAATTCAGCTAATAAATGCTGAAGGCAGGATTTCAACCTGTATCTACTATATTCCAAGGATTTTTTCTCCAAATTTTTAACTGTTGTAAATACATATAACATACAATTTACCATCTTAACCATTTTTAAGTGTTCACTTCAGTGATATTAAGTACACTCATAATGTTATGCCACCATTACCAATATCCATATCCAGAACTCTCTTCATCTTGTAAAACTGAAACGCTATGCTATTAAACAAAAACTTCCCTTTCCCCTGTCTTCCATACCATCAATCCCTATTCTACTTTCTGTTTCTATGGTATTAACTAATCTAAGGACCTAATATAGGTGGAATCACAGTATTTGCCTTTTTGTTACTGGATTAGCTCAGTTAGAAAAATATCTTCAAGAATCATCCATATTGTAGTGCATGTCAGAATTTCATTTCTTTTTTAGGCTGACTGATAACCTATTGTATCTATATACCACATTTTGCTTACCTATTCATTCACTGGATGAATAGGTGGACATTTGGGTTGTACTATAGTTTGGGTGTTTGTCGTCCCAAACCTCAGGTTGAAATCTGATCCCCTGTGTTGGAGATGGGGCCCACTGGGACGTGTTCTGTTCATTGGTGCAGATCCCCTAAAAATAGATTAATGCTCTCCACTGTAAGCAGGTGAGTGAGTTCTCTGTTGGCTCCTGGGATAACTGGTTGTTGAAAAGAGCCTGGCACCTCCTTCATCTCCCTCTTGCTTCCTCTCTTGCCATGGCATCTCTGCACTTACTGGCTACCCTTCACCTTCTGCCATGAGTAGAAGCAACCTGAGGCCTTTACCAGACACAGATGCTGGCACCATGCTTTTTGTACAGCCAGCTAAATCGTGAGCCAAATAAACCTATTTTCTTTGTAAATTACTTAGCCTCAGGTATTCCTTTATTACACCACAAAACAGACTAAGACAGGTTGCTTCTACACTTCAGCTGTTGTGAGTAATGCTTGTATGAAATTGGGTATACATATGCTTTTCAAGGTCCTGCTTTTAGTTCTTCTGGGTATATACCCAGAAGTGAAACTGCTAGATTGTATAGTAATTCTATTTTTTAATTTTTTGAGGAACTTTTATCCTCTTTTCCAAAGCAGGAGTACCACTTTATTTTCCCACTAATAGTGCAAAAGTTTTTAATTTATCTGCATCCTTGCTAACACTTCTTATTTTCTGTTATTTTGATAGTTGTCATCTTAATGGGTGTGAGATGGTATCTTGTTGTAGTTTTGACTTTCACCCTAATAATTATTAATGTTGATCATCTTTTCAAGGGCTTATTGGCCATTTTTATACATGTTATTTGGAGAAATGTTTAAGTCCTTTGTACCTTTTTGAATCAGTTTTTTTGGTAGTTAAGTTTTAAAAATTCTTTATATATTCTAGATATTAATTACTTATCAGTATATAATTTGTAAATTTGTTCTTCTACTCCATGGGTTGCCTTTTTAACTATGTTGATATTGTCCTTTGATGGACACTTTTTTTATTTTAATGAAGTCCAAATTGTCCATCTTTGTTGTTTTTGCCAATGCGTTTACTGTCATATCCAATAAATTATTGCCAAATCTGTTGTAGACATTTTGCCTTGTTTTTCTAAGAGTTTTATAATTTTAGGTCTTATGTTTAGGTCTTCAATTAATTTTGAGTTAATTTTTGTTCATTGTGTTACATCAGAGTCCAATTTTTTTCTTTTGTATGTAGATATCCAGTTTTCCCAGCACCATTTGTTGAAGACTATTCTTTCCCCACTGAATGGTCTTGGCACCTTTGTAAAAAATCATTAGACCATATATGTGAGGGTTTATTTCTGGGCTCTTTGTTCTGTTCTATTGTCATATATGTTTTTTATGCCAGTACTATATTGTTTTGATGATTGTAGCTTTGTAGTATATTTTCAAATGAGGAAGGATGAGTTCTCTAGCTATGCTCTTTTTCTCTTTTGTCTTCAAGTTTGCTATTTTTTCCAAGATTGTTTTTGTCGTTCTGAGTCCCTTGAGATTCCATATAAATGTTAAGATGAGTTTTTCTAGTTCTGCAAAAACATTATTGGAAATTTAATAAAGATTGGATTAAATCTATAGACTGCTTTGAGTAGTTTTGATATCTTAACAATACAGCCTTCCAGTCTGTAAACATGGAATGTATTTATTTCTTGAATTTCTTTCAGTAATGTTTTCTTTTGGTTTTTTGTTTGTTTGTTTGTTTGTTTTGAGATGGAGTCTCACTGTGGCACCAGGCTGGAGTGCAGTGGTGCAATCTCAGCTCACTGCAATCTTCACGCCCTGGGTTCAAGTGATTCTCCTGCCTCAGCCTCCCGAGAAGCTGGGATTACAGGCATGTGCCACCACACCCAGCTAATTTTTGTATTTTTAGTAGAGATGGGATTTCACCATGTTGGCCAGGAAGATCTCAATCTCTTGACCTTGTGATCCACCTGCCTCAGCCTCCCAAAGTGCCAAGATTACAGGCATGAGCCACCATGCCCGGCCTCAGCAATGTTTTATAGTTTTCATTGTACCAGTCTTTCACAACCTTAGTTAATTCCTAAATATTTTATCCTTTTCGATGCTATTGTAAATGGCTTTATTTCTATAATTTCCTTTTCACGTTCTTTATTATTAGCATATAGGAATGCAACTGATTTTTTTGTGTTCGTTTTGTATCCTGCTATTTTGCTGATTTCATTTCTTAGTTCAAATATTTTGTGTTTGTGTGGAATCTTCAGGGTTTTTCTGCATATAAGAGCATATCATCTGCAAATAAAGATAATATTAGTTTTTCCTTTTGAAGTTGGATGCCTTTTATTTATTTTTCTTACCTGTTTGCTCTGGCTAGAATTTCCAATGCTTTGCCAAACAGAAGTACCAAGAACAGGCATTCTTTCTTAAGCTTTAGGTCTTTCACCATTGAAAATTATGTTAATTATGGGGTTTTCATATATGGCTTTTATTATGTTGAAGTGGTTTCTTCTATTCCTAGTTTGTTGAGTATTTTTTATTTGAAAGAATGTCGAATTTTGTTAAAAGCTGTTTCTGCATCAATTGAACAGATCATGTGGCTTTTTCCTTTCATTTTGTTAATGTGAGGTATTACATTCATAAACTTTCATATGTCGAAGTATTCTTGCATTCAAAGAATGAATGCCACTTTGTCATGGTATATAATTTTTTTAATACACTTCTGAATTCAGTTTGCTAGCATTTGGTTGAGAATTTTTGGATTAATATTGATAGGGAATATTGGTCTGTAGTTTTCTTGTAGTGTCTTTGTCTGGGTTTGGTATCAGGGTAATGTTAATGTCATAGAATCAGAAAGTGTCCCCTCATCAATTTTTTTGAAAATATTTGAGAAGGATTAATGTTCTTCATTCACTCATGAAGACAATAGGTCTAGGGATTTTCTTTGTTGGGATTTTTTTTTTCCTACTGATTCAATCTGCTTACAAGTTACATAGGTCTACAATGTAGTCTGGTTAGGTTTTGTGTTTCCAGAAATTTGTTCATTTCATCCCGGGTTATTCCATTTATTGGCATAAAATTGTTAATAGTTCCAGCAGCGTGATCTCAGCTCACTGCAACCTCCGTCTCCCAGGTTCAAGAGATTCTCATGCCTCAGCTGCCTGGGTCACTGGGATTACAGGCATGCACCACCATGCCTGGCTAAATTTTTGTATTTTTAGTAGAGATGGGTTTTCACCATGTTGGCCAGGCCAGTCTCAAACTCCTGACCTCAAGTGATCCACCTACCTTGGCCTCCCAAAGTGCTAGGATTACAGACATGAGCCACATCTCCCAGCCTATTTTCCTATTTTTTATTTCATTTATCTCTGCTCTTTATTGTTTCTTTCCTTCTAGCCTTTGGTTCAGTTTGCTCTTGTTCTAGTTCATTTTTTAATGTGTTTATAGTCATAAATTTCTCCCTTAGCGCTGCTTTCCCTGTGTCCTATAAGTTCTAGTATGTTGTATTTTGGTTTTCATGTATCCCTAAGTATTTTCTAGTGTTTTTTTCTTGTGATTTCTTCTCTTATATATTGGTAGCTTAAGAGAGTGTTATTTAATTTTCACAATTTTGTAAATTTTTTCAGTTTTATTTCTTTTACTTCTGCTGATTTCTAACTTTATCCTATTGTAGTTAGAGAAGGTATCTTGTACAATTTATGTCATTTAAAATTTACTGAGACTTAATTTATGGCCTAACATATCATCTATCCTGGAAAATAGCTAATGTATACTTTTGATAAATGTGCGTGTGGTATGTTTGGATAGTGTTATGTATATGTTTGTTAGATCTAGTTGATTTACTGTGTCAAGTCTTCTATTTTCTTAATTATCCTCTCTCTGGTTGTTCTATTCATTATTGGATTACTGACATCTCCAACTATTAATGTAGAATTATCTACTTCTCTCTTCAATTTTTTTGTTTTACTTTATATATTTTGATTGTCTGTTATTAGGTGCATATTTATAATTGTTATTTGTTGTATCTTCTTGCTGTATTGAACCATTTATTAATATGTGTTTTTGTTTCTCATACCTTTTTTGATTTGAAGTAATTTTGCGAGAAGTTAGCATTGCCTATTCTGCTGTCTTTTGGTTAATATTTATGTGAAATATCATTTTCTGTCCTTTTACTTTTAATCCTTTTGGCTCCTTAAATCTCAAGTGAGTCTTACAGACAACACATAATTGGATTATGTTTTTTAAGTCCAGTCTGCAAATGTCTGTCTTTTGATTGGAGAATTTAGTTCATTTACATTTTAAATAATTACTAATAAATACTTCCTTCTGTCATTTTGTTATTTGTTTTCTATATGTCTTGCAGCTTTTTTGTCCCTCGTTTTCTGCATTACTGTCTTTTGTGTTTAGTTGATTATTTTGTACTGAAAGGTTTAAATTCCTTTCTCATTTCATTTTGTTAATATTCTATAGCTATTTTCTTTTACTTACCATGAAGATTACATTTAATATCCTAAAATTATAGACTCTAATTTAAACTTATGACGTCTTAACTTGAATAACATGTAAAAACTTTACTCCCTTAAGAGCTCCATCCTCACTGCTTTCAGTTGTTCGTGTCACAAAATTGTATCTTTATACATTGTGTGCTCCAAAACACAAACTAATAATTATTCTAAATGCATTAGTCTCTTAAATTATGTATGAAATATTGTTTTACAAACTAAAGTTACAATAATGCTAGCTTGCAGAGTAATAATTGTTTTTAAAATGTATTAGTCTCTTAAATTATGCAGAAACCAAAAAGTGGAGTTACAAACTATTTTTGCAAATAATACAAGATTTTATAATTGCCCATGTATCTAACTTTAATGAGATCTTTCTACAGCTTCAAGTTACTTTTTTAGTGCCCTTTCATTTCACCCTTCATGACCTCTTTGGTATTTCTTGCAAGGCAAATCTAATGGTAACAAACTCCTTTAGCTTTTTTTTACCTGCGAATATCTTAATTTCTTCCTCACCTTTGAAGGACAGTTTTTTCCTTGGATTTTTTGATTTTTGTTTTGTTTTGTTTTTCTTTTGGCACTTTGAATATATTGGCCCATTGCCTTCAGGGCTTCGCTTCTTTTGAGAAATCTGGATAATCTTATTGAGAAATCTGGATCCTTGTACGAGACAAGTTGCTTCCCTCTTGTTGTTTTCAGGTTTCTTTTTTTGTCTTTTGAAAGCTTGATTATAATGTGTCTTGATGTGGTTCTCTTTTTTGTCTTACTTGGAATTTATTTGATGTCTATATTTATGTATGTTATGCAAATTGGTCACAACCATCCTGGACAACAACCCAAAACCCTGTCCCTAACAAAAACATTAAAAAAATATTAGCCAGGTGTGGTGGTACATCCTTGTAGTCCCAGCACTTTGGGAGGCTGAGGTGGGAAGATCACTTGAGTTTGAGGTTACAGTGAAATATGATTGCACACTGCACTCTAGCATGGGTGACAGAGCAAGACCCTACCCCTAAAATAAATAAAGACATAATTTAAAATACCAATGTTGGGAAGTTTTCAACCATTATTTTCTCAAGTACATTCTGTACCCCAAATATTCCATCTCTCTCTTCTCTTTCTGAGGCTTCCATAATGTTAATGTTTCTCTGCTTGATGGAGTAACATAGGTCCCTTAGACTCTGTTCACTTTTTTTCTTTTAATTCCTATACTCAATAATTTCCATTGTTCTATCTTCAATTTTGCTGATTTTTTTCTTCCACTTGCTCACATCATCCTTTGAACTCCTCTAGTGAATCTTTCATTTCAATTATTGTACTTCTTAGCTCCAGAATTTCTTTTTTTAGGTTGTCAGTCTCTTTATTAGTATTTCCATTTTGTTCATACATTGTTTTGTTCTGTTTTACCTTCTCCACATCTTCTTTAGTTATTTGACTATCTTTAAGAAAATTATTTTAAATATTTTGTCTAGTAGATGCTTGTATGCCTTGTACTTTTCTTTAACTCTGGAAATCAGATTCTCCCTCTTCTCCAGGGCTTGCTGCTTTTTGTTATTACTTTTTATGGTTTTTGTTTCGATTGTCGTATGTTCTCGGTGCCAGTCATCAGAGTGAGGTATAAACTTAAGGTCTTTTTGGATATTTTCTGATCCTGTGCTTTTTCCTGGGTATGTATGGTCACTTTCTAATTTTTCCTGTATGTACAGTTGTTTTTTAATGTTTTTTAATATCTGACTCACAAAAGGGAAAAATAAGAGTAAAAAGAGCACTGGCCCTCTACATGTCTTTGAGTTCACTTCAGCTGGAGAGAGAGAGGCTCACAAACATAGGACAAACAACAACAGCCGCTGGCCTGTTTTTCTACACCTCTCTAACTAAATGCAGCAATTGGTGGTCAGAACACAGATGCCTGCTATTTGGAGAATAGGGTATTTTTTTTGCTCATCCTGACTCCTACAAGCTGTGTGCAGGTTGCTCCAGGAACACATGCACAGCTGCCATGGGGCTGAGGGTGGGGGATAGGTGGCTGCTACTGTGCAAAGAGCTGAAATGGGCTAAAACTAATTACAGTTTACTATCCAAGCCTTCTCTTTGAAGTTGCAAGCCTTCGATAGACTCCAGAATTTCAAAATAGTTACATCATATTCTGTCAGTGCAATTTTTTTCTAGATAGGGAAATTACTAGGGCTTCCTATTCCACCACCTTCCCAGAACCCCTTTTAGGATTTTTGTTTTTTTTCCTTCTACATGATATTTTCATAGTCAATAGACTTTGTACTTTTAGTTAATTTTCTCTCAAATGATATAAATCTAGCATTTATCCAGCCATACTCTCATGCTTGTCTGTTAGCCAATAGTTCACAGTTTTGAACTTGCTGGATAGGTTAGGACAATCTAGAATCATGACACACACATTTTGTTTGTTTTTTTATGCAGTTCAAACCCAATACTTTAACTTTCATGATCTAACCCAGAGTGAAAAAGTCCCTATGTCTCATCTATCTCCTTTATTTCCAATTATCAGTAGAAAGACAATGTTTATAATAAATAAATTGAGAGACAAAAATTATTTTGGTTGCCCCAAAATTTAACAAGAAAAATTTATTTAACAAATGGTAGCATCATTTAATAGCTCACCCAGCTATGATTGAGTAGTCACTACCACATAAACATTATATGTAATTGCATGTCATTCCCAAGATCCTCTGAGGTCTGACAGTGAGCTGGATCCTGTATATTGACAAACACAGCTGAATGCTTGCTTTTTTTTTTTTTTTTTTTTTTACATTTTCATCAATAATTTTCAGTCTAACCCTATGATTACATGCTTGCCACCTGCCCCCCAAAATAAGTGGTCTATAGCCTTGTTAGCAATTCTTCACAATGATACTTATCATCAACTGGACATACTTCTACATTTCAATTTCAAGATCTATAAGTGGAATTTTAAACATAGTTTTTTTTTTTTCATTTTCAGTAATGATACAGAACAGATGTTCACCATCCAAAGTATGGCAGGCTTTCATATTTTTAATACTAACTTATTTTAGCCATGTGTATATATATGCATAGGTAAGAGTCATTAATTAAACTTTATTGACATATAAAAATAGGAAAAATGCACAAAAGTAAAGGTACAGCTCCTTTACTTTTTTTTACTGAAAAGTAGTTTTACTACTAAAAAGCAAACACTTTTGAAATGAAATCTAATTAAAAAAAAAATTACTAGCACAACGGAAATGTGCTTTTTGTTCTCCTAATCAGTACCTACCTTTCTGCTCCCCAAAACTACCAGGTATACAGTATACATTTTTTGTGTATGGCATTTTTTGCTCAATGTTGTGTTTGCCAAACTCATTCACTGCTGTATAGTGTTTCATTGTGTCATTATACCACCATGTATTTATCCATTTCATTGTTGACAGAAACTTATGTTAGAGTTCTTGGCTCTATGAGTAATGTTGAAATGGACAAACTATTATTTATGTCTCTCATTCACACGTGCATGCATTTCTACTTGTTACATAGCTACAATTGGTATAGCTACTGAATAAAATGTGCTTATATCCTACTTTAATATGTAATACTCAATAATATTTCAGAGTGCTTGTAAAATTGCACTCTAGCAAGCATTGTGTGACAGATGTATTACTCCACATTCTCACCAACACTTGGTATTGCTAGTCTTTTTAATATTAGCTGTTCTTGTGAGCATGTAGCTGTGCCACATTGTAGCTTTAATTTGCATTTCCTTGATTACTTGTAAAACTGAGTACTTCTTCACATATTTTTGAGCAATTTAGCTATCCTTTTTCTGTGAAGTATCTTTTTAGGCCTAATGCCTAATTACATTGGATATTCTGGTTTTTTTTAATTGATTTATGTGACATGGAACCTTTGTTATAATGGTTAATATTGGTAAGAGCTGAAGCACTATACTCCTTTCAAGTTTCTGATGTGAATGATTTGTCCATTGCTTTTGTTTAAATCATTTTGCTAGGGTTTATCAATTTCATTGCCTTTCAAATAATCAACTTTTAACTTTAATCTTTGTTGCTATCCTCTATTGAATAATTGTTTGCAATTAATTTTTTTCTCTTGTCTTTTTTATTTCCTTCTTTCTTGAGGGGCAATTAGCTGTTGTTTTTTTAATTTGTAAAAAATAAGATCATTAGCTTTTAGCCTTTCTCATTTTCTAACATATGCATTGAAAGCTATAAATTTCACTGTAAAACCCATAAATTTTGATATAATTTCATAATTTTATCATAATTTATTATTTCCATTGGGATTTTTTTTCTGTGAGCTATTGGCTTTTAAAAGTTATTTCTTAATTACTACATAGAGGGCTTTTCTAACTATCTTTGTTATTGATGTCTAGTTTAACTATTACTGTGGCCAAAGAACATATTTCACATTATTACAACTCTTCAAATATGTTGAGACTTGCTTTATGGTCCAATTTCTAGTTAATTTAGGTAAATGTTTTAAATGCTTTTATAAATAATGTATATTTTTAAGTTATTGAATTTAGTCGTCTACATAGCTCACTTAGGTAAATTTTGTTAATCAGCTTGTTCATATCTTTTATACCCTTACTGAAGTTTTATTTGGTTTGTTCATTTTATACGTTAATAAGAGAAGCGTTTAAAATCTCCCATGATAGCTGTAGATATGTATGTAACTCCTTTAAGTTCTATTTTTGTTGTCTACATTTTGAGGCCATGTTATGAGGTTCATACACACATATAATTGTCACATCTTCCTGGTGCATTGAAGTTTTTCATCGGAAACTGACCCTTTTATTATTTGGTAATGGTATGGCTGATATTAATATAACTCAGTATAGCTTTCTTTTGGCTATGTTTCCATGGTATATCTTTTGCATCCTTTTACTTTGAGTAGCCTCATGTTCTTACAAGCATTATATAGCTAGGCTAAAAATCTGCATCTTTAAGTTGAATATACTTTATTTACATTTGAAGTAATTACTGTTTTAAATTTTAAATCTCCCATATTACTTTCTATTTGCCCCCTCCTGTCCTAGATTCTCTTTTCTCTTCATTCTTGCCTTGTAAATTGATTTTTTAAAAATTATTCTATCTTCTCACATATTTCAAAGCACCCACAATTTGCTATTTTGAAATACTTATTGTAAAAATTTTAGAAAATGTACGAAGTGCAGCAACAAAATTTTATCACACAGTATCATTTAATAATTATATTTCTTTCCAGTCACTTCTTTGCTTTAAGATGTGTACATAATTTTATATCCCTTCTTGAAAAGTATATTATAATAATTTTTAATGTAGCTATCTTTTTTCCAAAACACTATTTAATAGTGAAATGCTAATGCATTATAAATGGCATTATGGTGTGTATGTAAAATAATATATGTAAAATTACATGTAATATATACATTACATATATGTATTGTATATATAACTGTAAAACATTTTTACACATACACAATTTTACATATTTTAAGTCTTTTTGTATTATTAAACACAAGATTTCACAGGTCTTTGCCTATTTCCTCAGAATTTGCAGAAATTATTTTAAACATTATAAAGTTAAATATTTCTCAGATTCATAATTTTACCAATTATTGTAATTAAAATTCTCATAAAGTTTAATTATGGATACAATTAAGTGAAAGTCCCAAGCTTATAGTTATTATTAACTATTAATTCTGTGTGTGTGTGTACATGTATACAATCAGATCATATTTGTTATTCTTGGTATTCTATCAGATATCTGTTTAAAGTTATGAATCACAAGGAACAAAATATCAAATCTGATACACTTCGAAGTCTCTGTCCTGTTTTTACACAATCAATCAATAGGGTGGTCATATCTGCAAAAGTAAAAGCCAATTAGGTGAAGTGGAAAAAGAGGAGTCTGGTTGTTCATTCAATAACAGGATTTCCAAAATAATGTTTGGATAATGGAATTGTTTTATTCTGTCATCATTTCTAACAAGTAGTTTTAACATTACCAAGCATACCTGTGCTTTGCCTTATGTTAACAAATTAGGCTGATCAGCAGCCAGTTGTTGGTCCCACAATATTCACTGGGGTTTGGCAAAGGGACAGCCACCTTAAACCCTTCTGGATTTGATAACTCAATGCACACATTCTCGCCTTCTGTCCATACTTGTGTTCCTGAGATCATCGCTTACCCCAAGACAGGTTCAATTAGGATCAAGAAGAATTCACTCCATTCTAGGACTTTTGGTTGTGTTGTTGGGGGAAGTAAACTCTTCCACTTGTCTGCTCTGTGGTGTTATGATCCCAAAGCTTCCAGGGACTACAAAAAGGGAGTTTAAAATTGAAACTGTGAAAGTAGAATCAGGCTGGATGATGGGAAGAGACATCACGTCCTGAAGGCATCACTGAGCCCTGAATCAAGTTATGCCTGAAGATGATGTATTCCTACTCTTCTAGTAAATGAGTCCATTCCTAATCTTTTAGTACATGAGTCAGTAAACGCCTTTCTTTTCCTGTAGACCAATTTGAGTCAGACTTTCTGTCACTCACAATTGAAAGTCCTAACTTCAAGGATCCTACACTTTCCTTCATAGCACTGGTCCCATGTGATGTTACTATTACTTCAGTGCCAACCTCTCTCAGTAGACTGTAGTCTGTATGCAAACAGCAGCAGTATCTCATTTGTTCAGAGCTGCATTTCCAATACCTAGAACAATTCTGACCCATTATTGGTACTTGATCATATTGAATTACTGAATAAATAACGCAAACCAAGTATTTTCTTAGCCATGTTCCCAAAGGTATGAATAAATTAACACTATGGAGCTATTTTTATGTGCATGAAAGTTGTTTCGAGATGAAAATACATACATACATATAGATGTATATATACAGTTGTGCACTTAAATTTCTATATAGTAATCTTCCACAGAATCAAAGATTGCCTGTGATCTCTGATATGAATGAAAGCAATGCCTCTTTGTTCTGTGAACTTGGAAAAACTATTTCTCTGAGTCTCTGTTTGCTTACCAGTGAAAAGTGCTTACCTCAAGGTAGATATTTGTAAACAGTAGTCTCTCGGTAAACAGAATTCTTACTAGTACAAGGAACTAACTAGATAACCAGAAGAGAAGAGAGAACAAATAGTCAGTTCAAAACCAAAGTGTTTGCATGGACAAAAGCAAAGGCCAGGGCTGCATAACACTGACATTTTTATTAGAATTCATTTGTAACAAATGGAACTTGTGTCAGCAAAGAACTGATTTTCATACAGACTTCTTTCGCCACCAATGTAACGAAGTAAGAAAATAAAAAGCACGCCTTTCATTCTGTAAAACATTTACGCGTACTACTAATTAGAGGTAATTGTATTTTTTAACAAGCCATTTTACAAGTTATTTGTTTTAATTTTTCAGTCTATGCATCCAAAACGAGAGCAAAGAACACAACTGTTATTATCTTTGTAAAGACACTCCAAGCTGGGATGGCAAAGCCACATAACGGATGGATAGAATGGATCTGTAGCCTTCTGATCTCTGCTGGAGTATCAGGGCACCCATAAACCCAAAAGGAACCAAAACCCAAAAAGAAAAACAAAAAGGGAATTAAAAATAAAAGGACTTAAAGCAAAACCGAAAATAAACAGGAAAGAAAAAAAATACGTGCATTACTGCAGACTTTTTTCCCTTCCTGTTTCTATGTTGTGTTATTTACATACACACAAATGAATTTCCGAAGCAGTTTCTTACAGATGGGTTCAAGTAATATCATTATTGGGTGTAGAATCAATAGGGCAGTGCATAGTACAAAGGTATAGAAAGTGCAAAGTTCCCTAGAGGCCCTTCCCTCCCCTGGCTGTCCTCGCCGTTTTCTAACCATGCAAATCATTTTTAAAAAAGAGCTAAAATAAAGTTCTGTACAAATCACTTTTTATATATTTTGATTTTTTTTACCATTGTAACTAATTACAAAATTATACATAACTACACGTACATAGGTAAATAATAGCACCGTACTGGTTATGATGATGAAAATAACTGGAAACTTGAAAGCTTGTGGTAATGGCAGATAAAGATGGTTCACCTGGGAAATTAAAACTTGAATGGTTGTACAGAAAAGCACAGAGTGGAATGCACATCAATGACAGTAAGGGAGTTAGTTCTAGGAACAGCTCCTGAACAGTAAGATTCCCGCAATAGTCTCCGCCTCGTTCGTCTATGGTATGCATCCCATTCATTTTCTTCTTCTGATTATTGTCATCTTTCCCTTTGCCAAATGGGCAGTTATTGTTTCAGGGAGAGAAGCTGCTCATTGGCCAATCATTCTGGTGTGCAGTGCTCCATCGGATTCTACATGTCCAACAAGGCATGTCTGGATGATGCAATGTCTGTCTGACCCCCTTTGTTTAACTAAAAGAAAATTATAGCACTGAGTAATCTGGCACTTGGATAAATCTCCAAAAAGATACAAACTAAAAGAAAATAATGATAACAGACCCACATAGTGCACATTCTTCTCTGGTTCTGATGTAGGTTAGAGAGTCTCATTCTGAGGTAGCCTTCTAGATACTTTTTTTTAGTATTATATATATTTTCTTTTTTTTCTTTTTCTTTGTTTTTTACAAAAGTGCTCAAATACAATGCTTGCAAATGTTTGGTCTCTTGGATTTCACTCTGCTAGCAATGGGAAAATGTGGAAAACAAAAATCCTTCCATGCAGAACATCCATGAAGCTAAAATTAAACCAAAGTAGTATACTCATACCAAAACTCTTTAAGAGTTCCTTGGGTATTTTGAGGATTATTTAAAATCATGTAATATGTGGCAAACTTATGCCATCATCCATGGCTTCCTATAGAAATTCTGTTGGAAGAATTGGGGGTAAGATACATATATATATATAGTTTATTTCCCCTTTTAGAAAAATCCTAATGGAATATCAAATATATTCCAAAGTTGCCAATGATATTTGTTACTAAAATAAGTTTGGTGCAGTTACTGCATGTTCCAGAGCGGATTTGGAAGGGAATATAAATAAAACAAGTAGCTTTTTCTGATGTTGATGATTGATTATAAAAGGAAGAAGGGCCCTGATTATCCAAGTGCTTTGGGCTGGTACAATCACTAACATCCCCGACTTGGCTGAAAACTAGGAATGCATATTATTCAAAGAGTTTTTGTACATGTGGTAAACAGATAATGCTTTAATAGAAAGTAACAGATACGAACAGTGAATGGAAATACGAACCAAAAGCTAAAAAGAAATGCTATTAAAATAGGCATCAATTATAAGGCACTCTAAATGCAAAACTAAAACCAAAACGAAACAAAGTACAGCACTTCCCAGGAATGCTGTATGCCACAAAATGTTTCTGACTGAACAGAGTAACATGAATTTGGCTTTGCCCCTGTTACATATCATAAATGCAAATTTCATAGCACATACTATAGACAATATACGATTGAATACACTTTTTTTAAACAACTCGATAGCTGATATATTACAACATTCTCCCCTCCTAAAGGGATATGCACTGACCTTTCCCACATGCACACCTCTTAGCTATTTAATAATAATTTTTATTGCACTAGAGTGTTAGAAATATTGAACTTTGTTGGAAGCCTGACTAACAAACAAACAAAACAATTTGTGGATGTGATTGATTGGTTAGGTGGGGGTAGATTAGGTAGGAAATCAGGGGGTGAGGTTTGACAATCAATCACTGATGTGCATTCCTCATTTCCCTTTAAAGAAATACCAATATGTCAAAAAATTAAGAATAAATGGAAAGAGATGTTTACAATAGCTTTTCTACGTTTAAAAAAACTAAATCATGGAAGAACTGACTGACTGATAACTGTATCTATTTTTTGTGTGGACACACTGTCTATATATACATAGACACCCTTATAAAATATGGATATATATGTATATATGTTAGCAGCAACTTTATACTTTGCGCCTCCCTGTTGATTCCAAAAACAAAACAAAATAATAATTATCTTTGATTATTTGAAGAGAATGGGTACTTTCTCACCAATCAAAACTGAAGTGTAAAATTAATATATCTGACGAGACTGATACTGTAGATTGAGTTTTGCACAAAAATGTGCAAATTTTCAAATGATTTGATATTTCTACAGCAAGATATTACAGATAACAGTTCTACAGCTTAAAAAAACCTACGATTTGGAAATAAAAAAATGAAGAGTTATGTAACTTTTTTAAAATTCACTTTATCGAATGATACATTTTGTTAAAAAAAAGTTTACACAGTTAGAAATGAAGCACAGGTCAGCAGTATCTTTACAATACTAAAAAACTAAATCAAGGACTTTCTTTTTAAACATTCCCTCCCCTTTCCCCCTAAAATGTTATTATGAGCAGTATGGTGGGAAGGGGCGATGTCAAAGCAGAGTCCGTTTCATTGTGAGAAGCCACACCAGCACATATCTTGTGCTGAACTGCAGCATTCTGGCAATTTCTCCTTGCACCTTTCAAGCAATCCTGAATAAGATGGTGGTTCTTTGCTGTGATTTCTTCTTCCCTTGATTTTGAATCCTTGAGGTATCTGTAAATAAAATCCTTCAGATGCCTCATCAGTCAGGATTCTCTTCATTATTTTTCAGGTTAGATTATTAAACTGTGAATTCTTGGTCCACCTGGAATAATTTGTTTTTAATTTGTTTTGTGTGTAATAGTCCCACTAAGTAGTTGTTAGCTAGAAGTTAAGAAGGACTTCTCAAGTGCCCTGTATGGCTCAGAAGAGACTCCATGGATATTGAAGGGCCTGTAGTAAAAATCCAGAATGGGTCAGGGGTTTCTACGTTGCATAGTGGTCAAAGCTGCCCAGGTACTCTAGTGCGGCACGATAGGAAAACTGATATTGATCCTGCAGGAGACAATGAATGGGGAGAAGCAAAAGAAGGGACCATGAGCATATTTTAATAGAAAAATAAAAATCAATATTGCATAACAAAATAACATCTATATAGGGGCAAAATCACTACTTTCGTCAACTGGTCTAATCCAATGACCAATTGTTTATAGTGAACAAAGAAAAAGCCACATGGGGTGTTGATTAACTTTGCCAATCAATTTGACTAAAACGATCTCCCAATTCCAAGCAGTGGCAGGTCGAGTGAACATTACCTTCCCAGACAAGTGTTTTCCAAGTAGTATCAAACCATTACCACCAATTGAACACATAAACTTCTTACATGCCTTATAAGCAGATAATGATGAAAATCATCCTTTACAATTATCTGCTTATTCAAGATAACTAATTCTCAGTTTAAATATTTAAGAGAGGCTGATACAGACACAAACTGTCCTGAGAAAAATCTGAATTTACTTATCTTCTGAACTACTGCCAACAGAATTTGAATTTTTAAAAAATTATGTTTGGACAGTAGAGCTTGCAGTGAGAATCACTCACAGTCATTTCAGCTACCCTTTGGCTGTCTCTCTCACTTACATATGATGTTCATATACAGCCAGAAGGTAGCTGGTGCGGCACACCAGGCACACAAATCCATTTACACAGGGCACTGGACTTCCAAGCTTTCCATCCCTGAAAATGGCTTCACAGGACTGGCTGCCCACATCAAAAAATACCTGTAAATTCAGCCCAATTCTGTGTGATTGCTAGTTGTCTGTTTTAGAGAGGCACACACTAAAAAAAAGCAGTATGAAGCATGGCCTTTTTCAGACAACGAAGAACACTATCATATTGGAATAAATTGAAGCATTGTTGGAGAGATGGAAAAATCACAATTTACAGCTCTCTATAGGGATGAGGAAAAGGATTTTCCCCATAAAAGAAACCTATTTTCAGTGGCCAATCGGGCTGAAAGTAGACAGATAGTTTCTATTTTGCTTAAATGTGCATTTTTCTGTAATAAAAATGGTTGGTAATGCAAAATAAATGGTGTTTACTTTCCTATCTTGTCACAGTAAGTTGCTTGGCTGAGTGTTAAGGCTTTTTAAATGTCCAATTTCCCTCTGTAACCCCTAAGACCCATTAAGTTTGTCAAGCTGGCATAATGTTTTGACTATTGCAAGCCAAACACTTGCACTACTTTGAAATCCGTCTGAAAGATACTGTGGATGATGAATTGAGGAACACATATAAGTTGTATAATTTGGTGGCCTTTTGCAGAACATAAACTCTATCAGTAATATTATCTTTAGAAATGAATGCTCAATAGACCAGACTGGCTATATCATAAACTCTTATTATTACGAGAAATATCCAAATTTCCATATTAATTATTGGAATAGGAAATGAGGGGCTAATATTAATATCTCTAGGCTTATCCAGAATCAAAATGTTTTGAATGGCCATTGTTAAGACATGAAATATAGAAGAGCTGATACCTCTGTAGGCATACAGAGGGAGAATGGAGAAGTTAAATGGGCTGAGATTATATTATGTACTAAATATTATGCTTTCTATATATTTATATATTTATATTATAGGACTATGAATATAACGAATTTTATGAAATTGCCATTTTATTGGTCAAAAATGGTCCAGTAGTAAAATTTAACATAGCTCAATCTAACATATAATCTCACATAATTTCTATAGCAACACTAAGACACTAATAATCTCATCCCATTTAAAAAGGGGGAAAATGAGGTTCAAAATTATTAAACAGTTTGATGCTTTCCCCACAGTATTTTGTGTCTGGTGTTGAGAGAGTATGGAGTCCGGGAGGTCCAGGCTAGCAAAACGTAGGCTCTTGAGATGCGAAAAATGCAATGGATTTTCTCACCTCTGTCTGTACCATAGCTGGTCGTTGTGTTCTTAACATTTTGACAGTCTGGAAGATATCTACAACTCCTTCATATCTCATTCTTTCCAAAACAATGCTTAGCGTTATGAAGACTCCAGTTCTTCCAACGCCCGCGCTGCCACAATAACAAAGGCGATGTTACTGGGTGAGATGTTCACAGTCTTGGCCACATTTGCTTGGGTGTGGACATACTTCTACCAGCTTCCACACTCCGTATCTCTTTATAGCCATATTCAGGAAAACATGGTATCACATTCATCAAATGATTACTCTTGGGATACTGAGTTGTAACAGCATGTGATAATGAGGATGAAGTAATTAGGAGTAAGTCTAATAAAAGGTCTTTTCAATGGGGATTTATACCATTTTAGAAAGACCAAGGAAACATAACAAATGAAAAGAAAGGGTAAATAACATATAGGTTTATAATATTCATGGAGATTCTGAAATTTACAACCTGCCTACTTAATATTTTTAAAGTATGAAATAATTCAGAATAAGGTGAAGTGAATTTGGCATCTTCAACTTTTCTATCACACTGTTCACATTTTGCAGTTACTTAAAATACATATGCGATGCCCATAACCTAAATGTATTTGCCTATAACTAGTCAAATGTTTACACTGGTTTTATTATGAGAAAAGAGATGGTATAACAGGGTATATACGTGATTTTCACTTAGTCTTCAGGAGGGTTTATGACTATCCTGTAAGTGTACGTACACATGAAGTAAATACTATGTTGTTTTCTTATTTCTTGAGACTTAGAACTTTCAACAGATTCTCACAGGGGTCTCTAATCTTAAAAAAAAATGGTTAAGAGCCATTGATCTCTGAACTTAGCTACCATTTTTACATGATCAGCAACTAAAACCACATTAGAAAGGTTTTGAGTTTCTCTCTGTTGTCTTCATTGTTTTAAGATAACTCCAGAATCTTCACGGTAGCAAGAAAGAAAATTAATTCATAGCTCTTGTGCACTTAAGGAGGAAAGCAATGGGAAGTTCAGATAATGAGGGAAACAGTGAATAATCTGAAAAATCCCTGCATTTTTGGATCCTAATTAAACAGCATGTGTAACACTTGGGCACGGGCTGTAGAAAATAGATGGATTCATTTACTGGAGGGTGTAGCTGACAGGCATATATAAATAGTGTGTCCCTTTATAAATGGGGTTTCTACAGTCTAAACAGAAATGTTAAGTGAGGTTTGAAAATCCAAGCGGAGTCAGTCTTTAAGAAGTGATTGAAGATGTCTAGCGGCAGTGAAACCTTCTGTTAAGATGAAGCAGATGACCTTGAAGGTCCCTTTTAACCTTGAAAGTCTCTCTTAGTTGTGAGAAACTGAGATTTATTATCTTTTTGTTGAATGATCTAGGTACTCCAGAGTCTATCTTACCTTGCCAGAGTCTATCTTACCTTGATTTGATAGCTCGAATGCAACAAAAACATTGGGTTACTTTCTACTAAGTATTTTCAAAAAAAGAACAGACATTGGACTCACAACTTTTCAATTTACTGGTTTTATCATCTTACTTTAATAAGTTATAAATAAGAAAAGTGGTATTTTCAGAACATTCCTAAATAAGAGGAAATATATAGAAGTCTTCTTTGTGTGTGTGTGTGTGTGTGTGTGTGTATATATATATATATATATATATATATATATATATATATAAAAGGTATATGCATCGCAATTCCTTTAGCATTATACTAAAGGAATATTAAAATTATTTTATGACAAAAACAATGAGAACAGGCACACATAACACATTTATGTACCTATACATATAAGGATGCCTAAAGTTAAGAAGATGTATTAAATTAAAGATACTCTTTTCCTTAGAGATTATTTTAGAAAAGTTTAAATTAGCATTTGGGCAAATTATGAGTAAAGATAAAAGAAATATCCAGGTAATTCAATCCCAATATATACCATCTACTTTGTCTGAATATGGGTATACACTGTTTTATTGTGCTATACTTTATGGAGTTTTGCAGATACTGTGTTTTTCACAAATTGAACGTCTGTGTCAATCTTGCATTGAACAAGTATATTGGTGCCATTTTTCCACCAGCACATACTTGGTTTGTGTCTCTGTGTAGCAGTTTGGTAATTCTTGTAATATTTCAAATTTTTTCATACTATTACATCTGTTAAAGTGATCTGTGATCACTGATCTTTGATGTTACTACTGCAATTGGTTTGGGGTGCCATGAACCATGACCATAAGACAACAAACACTTAATTGACAAATGTGTGTGTTATGACTGCTTCACCAACCAGCAGTTTCCCCATCTGTCTTTTTCTCCTCAGGCCTCCCTATTCCTTGAGACACAACAATATCGAAATTAGGCCAGTTAATAACCCTACAATGGCCTCTAAGTGTTCAAGTGAAAGGGAGAGTCGCGTGTATCTAACTAACTTTAAATCACAAACTAGAAATAATTAAGCTTAAAGCCCAGATGTGCTGAAAGCTAGGCCTCTCGCACCAAACAGCCTAGTTGTGAATGCAAAGTTCCTGAAGGAAATTAAAAGTGCTACTCCAGTGAACACATGAATGATAAGGAAGTAGAACAGCTTTACTGCTGATATGAAGAAAGTTTTAAAGGCCTGCATAGAAGATCAAATCATTTACAACATTCCCTTAAATCAAAGCCTAGGCCAGAGCAAGGCCCTAACTCTCTTCAATTCTATGAAGGCTGGGAGGTGAGGAGGCTGCAGAAGAAAAGTTTGAAGTTAGCACAGGTTGGCTTATGAGGTTTAAGGAAGGAAGCCAACCCCATAACATAAAAGTGCAAGGTGAAGCAATAAGTGCTGTTACAGAAGCTGTAGCAAGTTATCCAGAATATCTAGCTAAGATCATTGATGAAGGTGGCTACATTAAAAAAGAGATCTTCAATGTAGACAAACATCATTATATTGGAAGAAGTTGTCATCTAAGACTTTGATAGCTACAGAGGAGGAGTCAATGCCTGACTTCAGAACTTCAAAGAACAGGCTGACTCTCTTGTTAGGGGCTCATGCAGCTGGTGACATTAAGCTGAAGCCAAAGCTCATTTACCATTTGAAAATCCTAGGGCTCTCAAGAATTACACTAAATATACTCAAGTGAAAGGAAGAGTTATACATCTCTCATTTTAAGTCAAAAGCTTGAAAAAATTAAGTTTTAGTAAGGAAGGCACGTTGAACATCAAGACAGGCTGAAAGCTCGACCTCTTGTACCAAATAGCCCAGTTCTATAAATGGAACAAGAAAGAATGGATGATAAGACATCCGTTTATAGCATGGTTGACTGAACATTTTAAGGCCACTCTTGAGACCTACTGCTTAGAATAAAAGATTCTTTTCAAGATAATACTGCTCATTGACAACATACCTTGTTACCCAAGAGCTCTGGTGGAATGTACAAGGAGATTAATGTTCTCATGCCTGTGAACACAATATTGATTCTGCAGCCCAATGGATCAAGGAGGAATTTCAACTTTAAAGTTTTGTTATTTAAGAACTACATTTTATAAGGCTATACATTCTATAGATAGATAGTGATTTCTCTGATAGGTCTGGGCAAAGTAAATTGAAAATTTACTGGAAGTAATTCACCATTCTATATGCCATTAAAAACATTTGTGATTCACGGGAGAAGATCAAATTATCAACAGTAACAGGAGTTTGGAAGAAGTTGATTCCAATCTTCATGGATGACTTTGAGGGGTTCAAGACTTCAGTAGAGGAAGAAATTGCAAAAATGGTGGAATAGCAAGATAACTAGAACTAGAAGTGGAGCCAGGAGATGGGACTGAACTGCTGCAATCTCATGATAAAACCTGAATACATGAGGAGTTGTTCCTTACGGATGAGCAAAGAAAGTGGCTTCTCAAGATGGAATATACTCATGAAGATGCTGTGAACACTGTGGAAATGACAACAAAGGATTTAGAATAGTACATAAACAAAGTTAATAGAAAAGCAGCAGGGTTGCAGAGGAATGACTCCAATTTTGAAAGAAGTTCTACTGTGAGTAAAATGCTATCAAACAACATTGCATGGTGCAGAGAAGGCTCTTGACTTTGTCACTTAGTCACTTGATGTGGCAAACTTCATTATTATTTTCTTTTAAGAAATTGCTACAGCCACCTCACCCTTCAGAAACCACCGCCCATCGATTAGTCAGCAGCCATCAAAATAGAGGCAAGACCCTCAACCAGCAAAAAGATTAAAACTTACCGGAGGCTCAGATGATGATTAGCATTTTTTTTTTTTTTTAAACTTTAAGTTCTGGGGTAGATGAGAAAAAAGTGCTGGTTTGTTACATAGGTATAAATGCACCAGGGTGGTTTACTGCACCCATCAACCCATCATCTACATTAGGTATATCTCCTGATGCTATCCCTCCCCCAGGCCCCCACCCCCTGGCAGGCCCTGGTGTGTGATGTTCGCTTCCCTGCGTCCACGTGTTCTCACTATTCCACTCCCACTTATAAGTGAGAATATGCGGCGTTTGATTTTCTGTTCCTGTGTTAGTTTGCTGAGAATGATGGTTTCCAGCTTCATCCATGTCCCTGCAAAGGACATGAACTCATCCTTTTTTATGGCTGCACAGTATTCCATGGTGTATATGTGCCGCATTTTCTTTATCCAATCTATCATTGATGGACATTTGGGTTGCTTACAAGTCTTTGCTATTGTGAATAGTGCCACAATAAACATATGTGTGCATGTGTCTTTGTAGTAGAATGATTTACAATCCTTTGGGTATACACTCAGTAATGGGATTGCTGGGTCAAATGGTATTTCTGGTTCTAGATCCTTGAGGAATCACCAAACTGTCTTCCACACTGGTTTAACTAATTTACACACCCACCAACAGTGTAAAAGCATTCCTATTTCTCCACATCCTCCCCAGCATCTGTTGTTTCCTGACTTTTTAATGATCGACATTCTAATTGGTGTAAGATGGTATCTCATTGTGGTTTTGATTTGCATTTCTCTAATGACCAGTGATAGTGAGCATTTTTTCATATGTTTGTCTGCCGCATCAGTGTCTTCTTTTGAGAAGTGTCTGTTCATATCCTTCGCCCACTTTTTGATGAGGTTGTTGTTTTCCTGTAAATTTGTTTAAGTTCTTTGTAGATTCTGGATATTAGCCCTTTGTCAGATGGATAGATAGCAAAAATTTCCTCCCATTCTGTAGGTTGCCTGTTCACTCTGATGGTAGTTTTTTATGCTGTGCAGAAGCTCTTTAGTTTAATTAGATCCCATTTGCCACTTTTGGCTTTAGTTGCCATTGCTTTTGGTGTTTTAGTCCTGAAGTCTTTGTGTATACCTATGTCCTGAATGGTATTGCCTAGGTTTTCTTCTAGGGGTTTTCATCATTTTACATCTTAGGTTTAAGTCTTTAATCCATCTTGAGTTAATTTTTGTATAAGGAAGGGATCCAGTCTCAGTTTTCTGCATATGGCCAGCCAGTTTTCCCAACACCATTTATTAAATAGAGGAGCCTTTCCCCATTCTTGTTTTCCCTCAGGTTTGTCAAAGATAAGATGTTTGCAGATGTGTGGTGTTACTTCTGAGGCCTCTGTTCTGTTCCATTGGTCTATATCTCTGTTTTGGTACCAGTACCATGCTGTTTTGGTTACTGTAGCCTTGTTTGAAGTCAGGTAGCATGATCTCTCAAGCCTTGTTCTTTTTGCTTAGGATTGTCTTGGCTTTGTGGGCTCTTTTTTGGTTCCATGTCAAATTTAAAGTAGTTTTTTCCCATTCTGTGAAGAAAGTCATTGGTAGCTTGATGGGGATGGCATTGAATCTATAAATTACCTTGGGCAGTATGGCCATTTTCACGATATTGATTCTTCCTATCCGTGAGCATGGAATGTTCTTCCATTTGTGTCCTCTCTTGTTTCATTGAACAGTGGTTTGTAGTTCTCCTTGAAGAGGTCCTTCACATTCCTTGTTAAGTTGGACTCCTAGGTATTTTATCTTTTTTGAAGCAATTGTGAATGGGAGTTCACTCGTGATTTGGCTATTATTGGTGTATAGGAATGCTTGTGATTTTTGCACATTGATTTTGTATCCTGAGACTTTCCTGAAGTTGCTTATCAGCTTAAGGAGATTTTGGGATGAGATGATGGGGTTTTCTAAATATACAATGTTGTCATGTGCAAACAGAGACAATTTGACTTCCACTTTTTCTAATTGAATAACATTTATTTCTTTCTGTTGCCTGACTGCCTTGGCCAGAACTTCCAATACTGTGTTGAATAGGAGCAGTGAGAGAGGGCATCCCTCTCTTGTGCTACTTTTCAAAGGGAGTGCTTCCAGTTTTTGCCCATTCTGTAGGATAGTGGCTGTGCGTTTGTCATAAATAGCTCTTCTTCTTTTGAGATACGTTCCATCAGTACCTAGTTTTTTGAGAGTTGTTAGCATAAAGGGCTCATGAATTTTGCCAAAGGCCTTTTCTGCATCTATTGAGATAATCATGTGGTTTTTGTCATTGGCTCTGTGTATGTGATGGATTACGTTCATTGATTTGTGTATGTTGAACAAGCCTTGCATCCCAGGGATGAAGCCGACTTGATCGTGGTGGATAAGCTTTTTGATGTGCTGCTGGATTCGGTTTGCCAGTATTTTATTGAGGATTTTGGCATCGATGTTCATCAGGGATATTGGCCTGGAATTTTCTTTTTTGTTGTGTCTCTGCCAGGTTTTGGTATCAGGATGATGCTGGCCTCATAAAATGAGTTAGGAAGGAGTCCCTCTTTTTGTATTGTTTGCAATAGTTTCAGAAGGAATGGTACCAATTCCTCTTTGTACCTCTGGTAGAATTCGTCTGGTCCTGGACTTTTTTTGGTTGCTAGGCTATTAATTACTGCCTCAATTTCAGAACTTGTTATTGGTCTATGCAGAGATTCAACTTCTTCCTGGTTTAGTCTTGGGAGGGTGTACGTCTCCAGGAATTTATCCATTTCTTCTAGATTTTCTAGTTTATTTGCATAGAGGTGTTGATAGTATTCTCTGATGGTAGTTTGTATTTGTGTGGGATCAGTGGTGATTTCCCCTTTGTCCTTTTTTATTGTGTCTGTTTGAGTCTTCTGTCTTTTCTATCTATTTTGTTGATCTTTTCCAAAAGCCAGCTCCTGGATTCATTGATTTTTTGAAGGGTTTTTCGTGTCTCTATCTCCTTCAGTTCTGTAGTGTTCTTAGTTATTTCTTGTCTTCTGTTAGCTTTTGAATTTGTTTGCTCTTGTTACTCTAGTTCAATTGTGATGTTAGGGTGTCGATTTTAGATCTTTCCTGCTTTCTCTTGTGGGCATTTAGTGCTATAAATTTCTCTCTACACACTGCTTTAAATGTGTCCCAGAGATTCTGGTACATTGTGTCTTTGTTCTCATTGGCTTCAAAGAACATCTTTATTTCTGCCTTCATTCTGTTATTTACCCAGTAGTCATTCAGGAGCAGGTTGTTCAGCTTCCATGTAGTTGTGTGGTTTTGAGTGGTTTTTTTTTTTAAATCTTGAGTTCTAATTTGATTGCACTGTGGTCTGAGAGACTGTTTGTTATGATTTCTGTTCTTTTGCATTTGCTGAGGAGTGTTTTACTTCCAATATGTGGTCAATGTTAGAATAAGTGCAATTTGGTGCTGAGAAGAATGTATAATTCTGTTGATTTGGGTGGAGAGTTCTGTAGATGTGTATTATTAGGTCTGCTTGGTCCAGAGCTGTGTTCAAGTCCTGAATGTCCTTGCTAATGTTCTATCTCATTGATCTGTCTAATATTGACAGTGGGGTGTTAAAGTCTCCCACTATTATTGTGTGGGAGTCTAAGTCTCTTTGTAGGTCTCTAAGAACTTGCTTTATGAATCTGCATGCTCCTGTAGAGGGTTCATATATATTTAGGATACTTAGCTCTTCTTATTGCATTGACCTCTGTACGTAATGCCCTTCTTTGTTGGTTTAAAGTCCGTTTTATCAGAGACTAGGATTGTATCCCCTGCTTTGTTTTGCTTTCCATTTGCTTGGTAAATATTCCTCCATCCCTTTATTTTGAGCCTATGTGTGTCTTTGCATGTGAGATGGGTCTCCTGAATACAGCACACTGATGGGTCTTCACTCCTCTTTATCCAATTGGCCAGTGTGTGTCTTTTAATTGGGGGCATTTAGCCTATTTACATTTAAGGTTAATAAGGTTATGTGTGAATTTGATCCTGTCATTATGATGTTTGCTGGTTATTTGACTATTAATTGATGCAGTTTCTTCCCAGCATCGATGGTCTTTACAATTTGGTGTGTTTTTGCAGTGGCTGGTACCAGTTGTTCCTTTCCATGTTTAGTGCTTCCTTCAGGAGCTCTTGTAAGGCAGGCCTGGTGGTGACAAAATCTCTCAGCATTTGCTTGTCTGAAAAGGATTTTATTTCTCCTTCACTTATGAAGCTTAGTTTGGCTGGATATGAAATTCTGGGTTGAAAAGTCTTTTCTTTAGGAATGTTGAATATTGGCCCCACTGTCTTCTGGCTTGTAGGGTTGCTGTCGAGAGACCTGCTGTTAGTCTGATGTGCTTCCCTTTGTGGGCACGCCGACATTTGTCTCTGGCTGCCCTTAACATTTTTTCCTTCGTTTCAAGCTTGGTGAATCTGATGATTCATTGTGTGTCTTGGGGTTGCTCTTCTCGAAGAATATCTTAGTGGTGTTCTCAGTATTTCCTGAATTTGAATGTTGGCCTGTCTTGCTAGGTTGGGGAAGTTCTTCTGGATAATATCCTGATATCCTGAAGAGTTTTCTCCAACTTGGTTCCATTCTCCCCTTCACTTTCAGGTAAACCAATCAAAGTAAATTTGGTGTTTTCATATAGTCCCATATTTCTCGGAGGCTTTGTTCATTTCTTTTTACTCTTTTCTCTAATCTTGTCTTCATGCTTTATTTCATTGAGTTGATCTTCAATCTCGGACATCCGTTCTTCCACTTGATTGATTTGGCTATTGATACTTGCGTATGCTTCACGAAGATCTTGTGCTGTGTTTTTCAGCTCCATCAGGTCATTTATGTTTTTCTCTAAACTGCTTATTCTAGTTAGCAATTCCTCTAACCTTTTTTCCAGGTACTTAGCTTCCTTGCATTAAATTAGTAACATGGTCCCTTAGCTCGGAGGAGTTTGTTATTACCCACGTTCTGAAGCTGACATCTGTCAATTTATCAAACTCATTCTCTGTCCTGTTTTGTTCCCTTGCTGGCGAGGAGTTGTGATCCTTTGGAGGAGAAGAGGCGTGCTGGTTTTTGGAATGTTCAGCCTTTTTGTGCTGGTTTCTCCCCATCTTCGTGGATTTATCTACCTTTGACCTTTGATGATGGTGACCTTCAGATGGGGTCTCTGGGTGGACGTGCTATTCCTTTCTGTCTGTCTGTTTGTTATTTTCCTTCTAACAAACACCCAGGCCTCTCTGCTGTAGGTTTGCTGGAGGTCTATTCCAGACGCTGTTTGCCTGGGTATTATCAGCAGAGGCTTCAGAACAGCAAAGATTGCTGCCTATTCCTTCCTCTGGAAGCTTCATCCCAGAGGAGCACCTGCCAGATGCCAGCCAGTGTTCTCCTGTATGAGGTATCTGTCAGCCCCTACTGTGAGGTGTCACCCAGTCAGGATACATGGGGGTCAGGGACCCACTTGAGGAGAGAGTCTGTCCCTTATCAGAGCTCGAACACTGCACTGGGAGAAATGCTGCGCTCATCAGAGCTGCCAGGTGGGGATGTTTACGTCTGCTGAAGCTGTGCCCACAGCTGCCCCTTCCGCCAGGTGCTTTGTCCCAGTGAGATGGGGGTTTTATCTGTAAGTAAGTCTGTGATTGGGGCTGCTGTCTTTCTTTCAGAGATGCCCTGCCCAGGGAGGAGTAATCCAGAGAAGCAGTTGGCCTTGCTGAGCTGCAGTGGACTCAGCCCTGTTTGAACTTCCTGCTGGCTTTGTTTACACTGTGAGGGTAAAACAAACAGCCTACTCTAGCCTCAGCAATGGCAGATGCCTCTCCCCTCACGAAGCTCGAATGGCCCAGGTGGACCTCAGACAGCTGTACTCGCAGTGAGATTTTCAAGCCAGTGGATCGTATCTTGCTGGGCTCTGTGGGAGTGGATCGTATCTTGCTGGGCTCTGTGGGGGTGGGACACACCAAGCCAGGCACTGGAGGGAATCTCCTGGTTTACCAGTTGTGAAGACTGCGGGAGAAGTGCAGTATCTGGGCCAGAGTGTACTGTTCCTCGTGGTACAGTCTCTCACGGCTTCCCTTGGCTAGGAAAGGGAAATCCCCTGACCCCTTGTGCTTCCTGGGTGAGGCAACGCCACACCCTGCTTTAGCTCACCCTTTGTGGGCTGCACCCACTGTCCAACCAGTCCCAATGAGATGAAATGGGAAACGCAGAAATCCCCTGCCTTCTGTGTCAATCTCACTGGGAACAGCAGACCAGAGCTATTCCTATTCAGCCATCTTTCCAGCTCTTGTAAGTACATTGTTGTTTGTTTAGACCTAATGCTATTGCACACTAAATAGACTATAGTATAAAGTAAACACAACTTTTATATGCACTGGGAAACCAAAAAGTATGTGTGACTCCCTTTATTGTGGTAATCTGGAACTAAACTCCCATAACGTCTCTGAGGTATGCCTGTATTTGATTCCATGTGTCATTTCCTACAAGCTCTTTGGTTGGTTTGCAAAGGATGTTTAATAACTCAATAGAAAGTAGAAAGCAAATGTACATAGATAAAGGTTTGCTTCTTATAACATGCCTGAGAAACAAAGGATGCTAGAAGGGACTTTAAACCTCAGCTAAGATAACTGAAGTCCAGAGAAACTTCATTATCATAGAGCCAAATAATAGAATTGAGATTAGAACACAGCTATCTTAGCCCAAGTCTAATATTTGTCCTATTTTGAGATCCTGCCTTCTATGTCGTAAAGAACTATAGTTTTCTTTGATGTGCTGAAGCAAAATATATTTTTTAATAAACTCTCTCAAGAGTTTCACCATAAAAAGATTAGATGTCAAGTTGCCAGAACCCTAAAATATATTAGTTTAAATAAAATTAGATGAATTGCTTTTGTTAGAAGGTTTTTGCATAGCAACTTCCAAAAACACTAAATTTATGGTGAATGTCTGAACTATTTACTTGCTATTTATTTCTATTAACTTCAATGACTTGAGTTATAAAATGCTCTAGAAACTATTGAAAATAATTAACTTGAAGGTGCTTCATTTTCTGATATAGCAACAATTTTCAAGCAAATTGCATTTTTTAACTGAGGTACCATACTAAGCACTTATTGACTGGCAGAACTTAATATTGTCATTAGGATTTATTTGATAGCTATTCATGAGGTTTTCACAAACAGAAGAAAGACAGTTATCAGTGCATTGCTATGAAAGCAAAAGCAAATATGAAATGATTAACAACGAATTATTACTAGGGGAGGTACCAACAATTCCCATTAAGGTAAAATTGGTAATTTGGTTTGTCTAATAGGAAGCAAATTTTTTGGGGGATAAACATTTTTTTGGGGCTAAACATTTTCCTCTGATTATTTTCACTTATTTTCACTTTATGAAAAGAAAGAGAAATCAATCCTGCTTTAAGTTTTGTAATACATTGCCAAGAATAAAATTTCAAATAAGCAAACTTACTACAAAAAGTGTATACAGACAATGAAGAAACACCACCACTTATCACTGCTTTATTCACAAATGGAAACTTACCTGCAATGGACTGAAATGGGTCCATCTTGGCCAAACTGTTCTTTTGTTTTATGGACTTGGCCGATGAAGTCAATAAATCCTTCTCCGGACTTTGGCACTCCTTGCTCTGGCCAGTCAGTGAACTGGAACTGCCTTACTGTTCGGGACTGGCCGTCCTTTAGAAGGAAAGCCACATACCCGGCCGCAAAGGAAGACGCCAGGAGGATTCAGCAAGCATACGGACCACAAGAACAATCATTTTCATTTCCCGAAAACAAAAAGGGTAGAAAAAGTTAGGAACATGTTTAAATAGAAACTTAGTTATGGTTTATCTGCTATAAATATTGTCCACACTCACATACCTTTAAATCCTAAATTTATTTACTCTTGAAATCCTAAATTTATTTACTCTTGCAGTGCCCAGTTAAAAACCTGGTTCTCGTTAGTAGCCATCCACATAGTTCCCCCATTAACAAATGTTTCTGAGACCCAAAGTGGGGGTTCGTAACCATTCATCATGTCTGCATTCCTTCCAAAATGGAACATATAAAATGGAACATATATATTCCATTTCAAAAATTTCAGAAACTAATTACTTTGTAATAAATATTGAAACAAGCACCTAGGCATGTCATCCAGACCAGAGCTTTTGCAGTTGTCGCAATAACTTCACATCTGCTGTGCTTGCGTATTTCTACCGTTGTCAAATGACAAATGGTGAAATTTAAAGTATCTGACACAAACCCGGTAGTTGCTGTTAACCTGGATGCCCCCCATGTCTCAGAGGAATACCATTTCTAGCCATGGCAGGGGACATAGCATGAACCATATGACTGTGCTGTTAAGTGGGAAGTAAAGCATCCCTCAAGGATACCAACGACTATTAGCAAACAAATGCCCTTTTCTGAAAAAGAGCTCTCCCTGGCTGACCACAGGAATTAACAGTCTGTGGAGAGCTTTAACATAGATAAACCAAAAGGTAGAAAAAAAAGCCAGATTGAAGAGCAGTCTTTCTTTTTTAGAGTGATTAGGTAAAACTGCTCTGACTCACGAAGTATATCTGGGTTGAAAAGAAGACACTAAGGCATTTCTGATCTTCTGATCCCTTGTGGAAATTTAAGGTGTTTCTAGAAGTACAAGAAAAGTGGAAGGGAGCCTCTGTTTATAGAAGCAGAAATAATACATTGCCCATCAACCTTCTCCCCTGACTCATCAGCAGAGAGAAATAATCCAAGCTTAGAGAGACCGATCTCATTTCTCATTTGAAGAGGTCCTACTCCTAAATGGTCTCTTCTCATTAAAGAGCCTTCAACTTGTTCCTCCATTGTTTCTGTTAACACATTATTTCCTCATCAAACTTTTTTTAGATACACGTGTGCATGTTCCCA
Organism: Homo sapiens; assembly: GCF_000001405.40. NCBI lineage: Eukaryota > Metazoa > Chordata > Mammalia > Primates > Hominidae > Homo > Homo sapiens. Next base: position 8,332,949 of record NC_000009.12, read on the forward strand.
AGGTTCTGGGTAAGTGAACAGGGACTCAATCCTTTATCATTCACTCATATTGAGAAGAGAGAGGATCTCAGTGTGAGATGAGCACTCATCACCTCGCCTGGTGGTTTTCACAGGGACATGCCAGATTCCTGACTGATGTTATTTGGGGATGGAGATAAACAGGAAGATGACACCAAGTGTGTGGGAATACTGAGAAATAGAGAAAACTATTTGGCCCCATAAGTACTTTATGGATGGTTACCATGGAAGCATGATTTACTTCCCTCTGTTTCTGGAAAAGATTTGGAAAGCACAGGAAGGAGACCCAGAAGCTAGGTAATACAGATTTATTCTCCTCTGAATGTCCTGGGGATTTCATTTCTGACCACAGTTGCTTTCAATAGCAAGAAGAGGTCATGTGTGCAAATACCTTCTATTTGGAGGAGAGACTGCCTGACTTCATTTAAAGGTTACCTGTTTAACAATACTGTAATTTTCAACCCAGAATTGCATATCCAGCCAAATTAAGCTTCATAAGCAAAGGAGAAATAAAATCCTTTACAGAAAAGCAAATGCTGAGAGATTATGTCACCACCAGGCCTGCCTTACAAGAGCTCCTGAAGGAAGCACTAAACATGGAAAGGAACAACTGGTACCAGCCACTGCAAAAACATACCAAATTGTAAAGACCATCAACGCTATGAAGAAGCTGCATAATTAATGGGCAAAATAACCAGCCAGCATCATAATGACAGAATCAAATTTGCATATAACAATATTAACCTTAAATGTACATGGACTAAATGCCCCAATTAAAAGACACGGACTGGCCAATTGGATAAAGAGTAAAGACCCATCTCACACGCAGAGATACACATAGGCTCAACATAAAGGGATGGAGGAAGATCTACCAAGCAAATGGAAGGCAAAAAAAAAGAGCAGGGGTTGCAATCCTAGTCTCTGATAAAACTGATGACTTTAAACCAACAAAGATCAAAAGAGACAAAGAAGGCCATTACATAATGGCAAAGGGATCAATGAACGAAGAAGAGTTAACTATCCTAAATATATGTGACCCCAATACAGGAGCACCCAGATTCATAAAATAAAGCAAGTTCTTAGATACCTACAAAGAGACTTAGACTCCCACACAATAATAATAGGAGACTTTAACACCCCACTGTCAATATTAGATCAATGACACAGAATATTAGCAAGGACATTCAGGACTTGAAGTCAGCTCTGGACTAAGCAGACCTAATAGACATCTACAGAACTCTCCACCCCAAATCAAGAGAATATATATTCTCAACACCACATTGCACTTATTCTAACATTGACCACATAATTGGAAGTAAAACACTCCTCAGCAAATGCAAAAGAAAGAATGGAAATCATAACAAACGGTCTCTCAGACCACAGTGCAATCAAATTAGAACTCAAGATTAAAAAAAAAACCACTCAAAACCACACAACTACATGGAAGCTGAACCACCTGCTCCTGAATGACTACTGGGTAAATAACAGAATGAAGGCAGAAATAAAGATGTTCTTTGAAGCCAATGAGAACAAAGACACAATGTACCAGAATCTCTGGGACACATTTAAAGCAGTGTGTAGAGAGAAATTTATAGCACTAAATGCCCACAAGAGAAAGCAGGAAAGATCTAAAATCGACACCCTAACATCACAATTGAACTAGAGTAACAAGAGCAAACAAATTCAAAAGCTAACAGAAGACAAGAAATAACTAAGAACACTACAGAACTGAAGGAGATAGACACACGAAAAACCCTTCAAAAAATCAATGAATCCAGGAGCTGGCTTTTGGAAAAGATCAACAAAATAGATAGAAAAGACAGAAGACTCAAACAGACACAATAAAAAAGGACAAAGGGGAAATCACCACTGATCCCACACAAATACAAACTACCATCAGAGAATACTATCAACACCTCTATGCAAATAAACTAGAAAATCTAGAAGAAATGGATAAATTCCTGGAGACGTACACCCTCCCAAGACTAAACCAGGAAGAAGTTGAATCTCTGCATAGACCAATAACAAGTTCTGAAATTGAGGCAGTAATTAATAGCCTAGCAACCAAAAAAGTCCAGGACCAGATGAATTCTACCAGAGGTACAAAGAGGAGTTGGTACCATTCCTTCTGAAACTATTCCAAACAATACAAAAAGAGGGACTCCTTCCTAACTCATTTTATGAGGCCAGCATCATCCTGATACCAAAACCTGGCAGAGACACAACAAAAAAGAAAATTCCAGGCCAATATCCCTGATGAACATCGATGCCAAAATCCTCAGTACTGGCAAACCGAATCCAGCAGCACATCAAAAAGCTTATCCACCACGATCAAGTCGGCTTCATCCCTGGGATGCAAGGCTTGTTCAACATACACAAATCAATAAACATAATCCATCACATACACAGAACCAATGACAAAAACCACATGATTATCTCAATAGATGCAGAAAAGGCCTTTGGCAAAATTCAACACCACTTTGTGCTAACAACTCTCAATAAACTAGGTACTGATGGAACGTATCTCAAAATAAGAAGAGCTATTTATGATAAACGCACAGCCACTGTCATAACGAATGGGCAAAAACTGGAAGCATTCCCTTTGAAAACTGGCACAAGACAGGGATGCCCTCTCTCACCACTCCTATTCAACACAGTATTGGAAGTTCTGGCCAGGGCAATCAGGCAAGAGAAAGAAGTAACGGGTATTCAATTAGGAAAAGAGGAAGTGAAATTGTCTCTGTTTGCAGATGACATGATTGTATATTTAGAAGACCCCATTGTCTCAGCCCCAAATCTCAAGCTGATAAGAAACTTCAGCAAAATCTCAGGATAAAGAATTAATGTGCAAAAGTCACAAGCACTCCTATATACCAATAACAGCCAAATCATGAGTGAACTCCCATTCACAATTGCTTCAAAGAGAATAAAATACCTAGGCATGTGAAGGACCTCTTCAAGGAGAACTGCAAACCACTGCTCAAGGAAATAAGAGAGGACACAAATGGAAGAACATTCCATGCTCACGGATAGGAAGAATCAATATCGTGAAAATGGCCATACTGCCCAAGGTAATTTATAGATTCAATGCCATCCCCATCAAGCTACCAATGACTTTCTTCACAGAATGGGAAAAAACTACTTTAAATTTGACATGGAACCAAAAAAGAGCCCACAAAGCCAAGACAATCCTAAGCAAAAAGAACAAGGCTTGAGAGATCATGCTACCTGACTTCAAACAAGGCTACAGTAACCAAAACAGCATGGTACTGGTACCAAAACAGAGATATAGACCAATGGAACAGAACAGAGGCCTCAGAAGTAACGCCACACATCTGCAAACATCTTATCTTTGACAAACCTGAGGGAAAACAAGAATGGGGAAAGGCTCCTCTATTTAATAAATGGTGTTGGGAAAACTGGCTGGCCATATGCAGAAAACTGAGACTGGATCCCTTCCTTATACAAAAATTAACTCAAGATGGATTAAAGACTTAAACCTAAGATGTAAAATGATGAAAACCCCTAGAAGAAAACCTAGGCAATACCATTCAGGACATAGGTATACACAAAGACTTCAGGACTAAAACACCAAAAGCAATGGCAACTAAAGCCAAAAGTGACAAATGGGATCTAATTAAACTAAAGAGCTTCTGCAGAGCAAAAAAAAAAAAAAAAAACTACCATCAGAGTGAACAGGCAACCTACAGAATGGGAGGAAATTTTTGCTATCTATCCACCTGACAAAGGGCTAATATCCAGAATCTACAAAGAACTTAAACGAATTTACAGGAAAACAACAACCTCATCAAAAAGTGGGCAAAGGATATGAACAGACACTTCTCAGAAGAAGACACCGATGCGGCAGACAAACATATGAAAAAATGCTATCACTGGTCATTAGAGAAATGCAAATCAAAACCACAATGAGATACCATCTTACACCAGTTAGAATGGCGATCATTAAAAAGTCAGGAAACAACAGATGCTGGGGAGGATGTGGAGAAATAGGAATGCTTTTACACTGTTGGTGGGTGTGTAAATTAGTTAAACCACTGTGGAAGACAGTTTGGTGATTCCTCAAGGATCTAGAACCAGAAATACCATTTGACCCAGCAATCCCATTACTGAGTGTATACCCAAAGGATTATAAATCATTCTACTATAAAGACACATGCACACGTATGTTTATTGTGGCACTATTCACAATAGCAAAGACTTGTAACCAACCCAAATGTCCATCAATGATAGATTGGATAAAGAAAATGTGGCACATATACACTATGGAATATTATGGTGAGTGAGTATTCCATAAAAAAGGATGAGTTCATGTCCTTTGCAGGGACATGGATGAAGCTGGAAACCATCATTCTCAGCAAACTAACACAGGAACAGAAAACCAAACACTGCACTCAAAAGTGGGAGTTGAACAATGAGAACACACGGACACACGGAGGGGAACATCACACACTGGGGCCTGTTGCGGGTTTGGAGTCTAGGGGAACGATAGCATTAGGAGAAATACCTAATGTAGATGATGGGTTGATGTTGCACCAAACCACCGTGGCACATGTATAATTAAATTATGTAACAAACCTGCATGTTCTGCACATGTATTCAGGACTTACACTCCAGGAGCACAGACAAACAGCAAATGTAGTAGCTAAGAAAATTATACAATCACAGGGAGACTTTAAAAAAAAAAAGGTGAGCAACTTCCGGTTTCAATCTTCTTTTGTTTATTGTGATCAGATTTAAGTTGTGCATGTGTGGAATAGGAAAGGTGTCTCTGCCATTGGTGGGGCCTGGTGCCTTTTCTTTATCACCAGGAATAGTTGGTGAGTTTACTCAAAATGCACTTTCTATTTTCACTCACATACCTAGCTTCAAATTCTGAAAGAGCACTATTTTTTTTTTTTTTAAACGGTGGGGCAGGTTACACTCAAGACCTAGAGATTTAACTGCTGCCTTGAATACTGTCACCTTCAGAATAGTTAATATAACTTTCTGGGATTAACAGGTCTGTCACCTAGGCCAACCCTCCTGCTAACCAATTTCTCTTTCACTTAAGGTCAACAGCCAGGGCCAGGCTTTGGGGATTAGCAGACAATCTCCAAACCTAAGTTTGGAGAAAGCTGCTTTCCAGAAAAAACAATGGATCAACTAAATAGCTTTACCCTGGAGTTTTATTCAACCCACCCACTGTGACAGTTCCAAACACAAGGCAGGTCTTTGAACTGACCTGGTCTCCCTTAAGATGTGTTTGTAATCATGGGTTGAAAGTGGCCAAAGGCGAAGATATCAGAGTTTATGCATAGAACATCTTACATCAGGGCTGAACCTTGGACTCAACAATCCAGATAAGAAATGCAGGATGAAAATTAGCCAACAAGGGTCATGGGAGCACAGCTCTCATGGACAGACACATTAGCACACTGAGGAATAAGCCATGCCAGGAATCAAATTAGAATGTGCAAAGCTTGTCAGATTTTTCTAAAGAATGCCATTTGCTCTGCGGTTTTAAAATCATACCAAATTAACCTCTGGGTCCATATGACCTAAAGGGCTTTGCAAAACAACAACATATTTAGAGCCTCAAGTAATGAAGAAGTCAAAAAAGCTCCAAAGAGCATGAGCTGAGAAGGTGAATGTAAGCACAGCCAACCAATCAGTAAACACTTCCCAGCACGAACACTCACCAAGTGCATCCCCAAGGTTGAGCTGCCAGATGTTATGTTTGAATGAAAGCCAAACTAAGGTTTGTGAGAAAGCTTGCCAGACAGAGGAAAAGTTACTCTTACATATTAAACATAAAAAAAAACGTTCTCCAGAATGAATGATTTCTCTTTGGGACAACAGTCAAGTGGCAAGTGCTTCTCCCAGAGAGAGAGAGAGAGAGGTATCTTAGACTACTTTTCAGCTAATGGTTAAGAGTTGAAGACTGTGCCAACTTACCCTGGCATCTGTGACCTTGAATTCCCTTAGGATATACTGTGGCATGTTGTACTCAGCCATGGGATCTACAACAAAGTACTGGTATCTTGCAGACCGTTCTGCTGGCCAGTATTGGTGACATTTCTCCTAAAAGGAGAGAAGATTAATGTTAAACTATGCAAAGTATAAAGAACATTCTGTATATTATCTATCTATCTATCTAATCTATCTAATTTCCTTATCCCATTAATAAAATTTCAAAATTCAAGGCAATTCCAATTGCATATGACTCATTTCCTCTTAGAAACCATGAGCTCCCTTCATAGGGAAACCCTTTGGTTCAGTATTTGCCTATGGCATCCAGCACGGTCTCTGGCAGATAGTAGCTGCTTAATATACACGAGTTGAATTGAGAATTGAATACTTTCATAGGGTAAGCATCTTCATACCTACAAGTTATCCAAATAATTACATCAGTCCTTGGACAATGCTGGCCATGACAATAACACATTGCACCACCACAGCATACTTGCACCACTATGGTTTGGAATGAAGAGAACCATCAGTATGGACATAGAAAGAAACCTCCGAATTGATTTGTTCCAATCTTACTTGTCAAGGAAACGAGGGGCCCAGTCCATTTTAATGACTTGGCTAAACCCTGCAGAGTCATTGGCCAAATCAGAGTAAGTCAGTTACTTTCCTCGTCTGATATTCTTTTTGTTCTCTCCGGGGGCTCTACAAGTTGGGCTTTAGCTGCACTTCTATTTAATTTACACAAAGAAGACAGAAAGAAAATATCTGAAGCAAATACGAAATAATGCTTACATCAAGTCAATCTAAGAGGTATCTCTAAATAATATTAGGTCATAGTGGTAGAGCAGTATTAATAGTAGAAACCTTAAGTATTTCTAATACTATTTTATGTGTATTTCAAAAAAAAACAAACCACTTTTTTCAAAAGTGGATCTGGGATTACCAGGTTATATCCTTAGAAAAACTATGTTGCTTTCCAACACTTTATTCAATGGGAGTGAAAGGTAGGCAAGTAAGAATTTGCCTCAGGAAGAAAAGAAAGTCAAGTTCCTTCATAAGTAGAAATGATGGCACATCAAACTCTAGCCTGTCCAGAACAAAAGGCAGTAAGAATATGCTAAAAGAAGTCCGACATAAGTCAAACGGGGACACCTGCTACTCATTTGTCTCCATGCTTGTGCTTCACTGGAAACAAATCACTAGATCTTTCTTTAAAACACATAAATTTAAACACTTGATGTGGCTTTACAAATTTAGAAACTAACAAGGAATGATGGTCCGGATTATGTCCAGAGTGCACTGCATTTCAAAAAAAATGATCTAGCACAAGAGTTATTGAAACAAAGTCTTCATTTCTCCACAGAGTAAATGTCTTATGAGGAGACACACAAGGGCCACACACTTACTCTGCCCATTTCACGCAGCTTGGTGAGCATCACAACTATGGTGGAATTGTGTTCCCAGAGCATCCGCCAGAAGTCTTCAGTGGTCTCTGCCAAGGGCCCCTGGGTAGCGATGTAGGCTTTCTGTTGTCTGAATTACAGAGAATGAAAAGAATGTGTTAAAGTATTTAGAGAACATGCAAAAGCTCACACTGGATACATAAACATCAACCTGCTAATAAAAAACGAAAACATATTATTAATGCAATTGAGGTAAATTCCTGCTAAGATTAAATAATCAAATAAGAGCATTTAATACATTTTGGGGACTTCGCAAACTAAATTGCTTGTTAATATTATGATGTATGTCTTTATCATTATTATTTGAATTTTAGCGCAATGCTAATAGCTCAATTTCATTGTCATACAAATTACTTAAGAAACACTTAGATGTGCAGCTTCATTTTCTAGAAATTATTCTCACACAATCTATTAAATTTATGAAATATGGTACAAAACAGATTCTTTATTAACTACTTACATATCCAATTGGCTTATGAAAGAAGAGTGCAGAAGGCCAGATTAAACACTTCATAACTACTACTCCTAACTCCTATCCAAAATAACAAAAAAACAAATACCAAGGGACTAAATGATGACCTATGCAGAAAGAAAATGTCTTTGAATGGAGATGAAATTTATTCTGGTTATTAAACTAGGGCACATGTAAATATCAAGGCTTTGGATAGTCAGGGGAGCAAAAGTAGATACCTGTATCCATCAATAAAACTGGCATTGATGTAATCAGATCCTTCTACTCCACGGATAGGCTGCAGGCATACCCTTGTGGATTCATATGGCATAATATTAACAAGGCGATTTTTGAATTTATTACATGGAAGATTGGCACTGATAAACCTTGAGGTGTGAGCTTTTGAGCTGGCTAGACGCTGTTGAATAGGAAAAAAAAAAAAGGAAAAACCCAACAAAGATCATTTTCACCTACAGTTTGAATGCAGTGTACCCCAGATTTCCCTTTTAGATATAAATCTTTTGTTTACTTAAAGTAAATGACTATTCAAATTGTACTGCTTTTCACATCTACCTAATCACTCTCTATAGCCTATTGGATTTCTATATATTTTCTGAAAGTATAGTCTCTCAAGTTAGGAGACATAAGGGCTCAAGATATTGTTAGGAAGCAAAGAATAGAAGAGGAAAAGGGGAGGAATACATTTTATAATCATACACCTGAGGGAAAGGTCAAATGAATCTTGTACTTCACAAATTTGAAAGGTTAAAGTAAAGCCACGACTCAAAGACAAACCCAGAATGACTTGCTCCTGAATAACCACATCACATCCAATACCATACCTTAAATTCGAGCTCCATTCCTGTGACATTCTCTCCCGTTTCTATTTGTGTCAGCTTCTGAATGTAGGCATACAAGTTTCTAGCTGGCACTTCGGTATTTCCACAAGTCACTGCTTCTAACAGTGCATCATGGATAAAGATGTATTGGTCTTCTGTTTGAACCATATAGTTCCTCTGGGCTCTCATTAAAGTTACATGGCCATAAATATCTACAGTTTTTTCATGCTTTATTCTTTCTAACATGGCATCTATGACGATGAAGCAACCAGTCCGGCCAACTCCCGCACTATGAGGAAAATAGAGAAGAAAAGCCCAAATAAACCTATCAGAAAATCAATACATAATAAAAGTATTTTTATTATTCTTATTAACTAGACCTTACATCCATTACTTCTACTCAAATAGCTATTGGGATGACTTTGTAATACTCTAAAGTCAAAAGTATTATCTAGGCACCATAATCAGAGGACAGGGAACAAAAGACTGAGTAAAATTAGTTTAGTTTTAAAATGTAAAAAATATTAAATCCATAATCACTATGTTCCTTGATCATGCAATACAAAGTGAACATTATTTCGAAAACTTTTGAAGTCATTATGAAAAAAATACAAACATTTAGTCTGTCCATATTTAGAAGATAGTTTTATATATTGGTCCAGATCTGGCTAGGCTATAGTTCTTGCAAACTCTCTCAATCTGTTTTCGTCCCATGTACAAAACATAAAGATTGTTTTTACAGTCTCAAGCTAAACCTCGCATGCTTCCTATTTATCAAACCCTTCAGGCTGAGGACATTTATGTGTCAAGTATGGTTCAATCCAAAATACTTTCTCTTCCTGATCATGCGGGTTTATCAGGCTGGTAAACATGTCATCAACAGGAATAGGTATATAATAGGTGTATATTACCATCTTAGGTAACAGGCAACAGACAGCCTCCTTCATTTGCTACATGCTATGTTTCCTGTCATCTGTGTATCTATGTGTTCATTTATTGTCCATCCCTCATTGATCTGTCCATTTCTTCATTCAATAAACAATGAAGTACTCTGCTAAGTGAAATAGGGGATACGACATAAAGATGACTTAGATGCTATCTCTAAAGAGCTCAGAGTGTATCGAAGGGACATAATACTTTATACACAGCTATTTCTAAACAAGAAAGAAAAAGGATGTATTAGTTTTGTATATGATGTGGCATTTGAAGTAGGACTTGAAGGACAGGAAGGATGAGGAATTAAAGATGTTGTAGTATGAACAAAGGACGGATGGCTTTGGTAATCACACTGCTGGCTCTGGGAGCTACATGTGAAATTTTCATAGGTCTGGCAAGGCACCTTTGCAACGAAGATACCAGAACTCCAAAACAAATGAGTTAATGCTCACCAGGGTGCCTGTCTCAACTGAAATGGCAGTTTCTGTTTGGTATCATAGTGGCTGCAAGGCAGTAAGAGATCATTTTTTTTTTAAACAAAATAATACCTTTATTTAACTGCTGAACAGTGTATATCAAAGCTAGCTTGCATACAGGAGCTCTGTGGTTTACAGACTGGGCTAACTAGCTGGGAATTTGATATAACCACTACTTTAAAATAGGTTACTTTTTTATGTCCTATGCCAGAGGGCTCCTGAATACTGATGCCAAGAATCCAATCCCAAGTATAAACCCACAAATTGACATGACATTGATATATCATGCAAAAGCCTTCTGAGACAGAGAGTCCTACAAATGATAGCACATACCTTAGCACAGACCAATTGGCAACCTGATGCAAACATTAATATAGAGCAAAGTCGGCCTGGTGGTTCCAGTTCCTTGAGATCCATGAAGTCTCATTTTATTTAGTTGGTTCTAAAGAAACCTGTTAGATGGCGAGTTTTCCCTGACATTCCCCATTCCTACCCTCCCAGGTGGTTTTAATCATCCTCTGCCTCAGATCCCTGGTTGCCCTCAAATACCCCTTTACTACAATTCTAACCAAATTATATTATTAATTTAGGGCAGCCATCCATAAACAACAGCATACATCTTGAGAGCAGGAACTGCATTAAAAAAAATATTTGTGTGCCCTACACAAAGCATGCAGTAAGTGCTCAACAGTGTTTGTGAAATAAGTAAACAAATTAGTGACTGGCTTGAGATGCCTGCAGTAATGAGCAGCCCGTCCCGGTAAGGTAAGCCTACTTAGGAAGCAGGACTCTTCAGACCATGCAAAATCCTACATTTGACAAGGGTTTGGAATTATGTAAGGAGTACCCGAGGACTCCTCTGCATAGTGTTTGATCAGGAATAAAGAGACAGGAAAATCACTTTAAGTAGTCTCTTTGCTGGTCTCCTGATATGCCATCAGATTGCAGTTAAAGGAACCTAAGTCAGACTCAACCTGGAAAAGATTTGTCTTTCTGGGTTTCTTTCAAACTCCATGTTTGGCAGGTCCTGAGACTCCAAGTAACATCTTTCGTTCTTTCTGTGTTGTCTTTCTAAATTGTCTTCATTGCAGCTGTGAATCGTTTCTCATGGACACAGTTTTATGCAGTTCTTCCCAGTGGAAACCACACTGTAAACCTTAGAACTGAGCCCTATACATCAAGTCAATTCTAGATAATGGCAGGACTATTTTCTCAAAATATGCATCAGGGACCATTCAAATGTCTGGATGATGCATGGTTCTATATTCTGGCAGAAAGATACTACAGAATCTTGCAAAATTGGTAGGAATAACTCCAACTCTAAACAGTATCAACCTTTTCATAATGGTGATTTTTTTTTTCCAAAAAATAAGGGAAAAAAATCAAATACGTGTGAGTCCAAATCATGAATTGTGGGATGAAAAGAAATAACAGAGGCTATGACTTGAACAAAACCTATTTTTTCCCCCACAATTCAAAATATTGTTAACTGCCCAATCCTGCTATTCATATGGAAGATAGGGAAGGAGCTGACGTTTGGAACTTAATGTGTTACCTTCTTCTAGGATGAAGAATTCTTGAGGGATTTAAACATTAAATAAGTGTTTTCGCTTGAAGCAAGACCTTGAGGCTTAAGGTACCTCTTCAGACATCAATGGCTGTGTGTCCTTGAGAAAGACATTTTAACCCCTTCCTTATATTCCCATATTTCTTAAATGATAGTGACAGTTAACTCTTATTAACGTTAATTTTCTAGTGAGTCTAATTATCCAGTAAGTCTTAAGGCTAAATTAAAAATACCAAGTGTTTTGCAAACATAATGGAAAAGGCAGTTACTTTCTAGGTACAAACTCCATTTTAACATTCAGTCTCTAAAGCTGACAATGAGAAACAAGCAATGTAATGCTGGGAAAATTATGACAGAATTACTTTAGAAACATTTGAGATTTGGCTTTTAAAATCTTGCTTTCGTCTACTCTCTCAAGCTGCTCTTCCTTTCCTCTGCCTTCTTTCCAATAAATGTGCCTTATACCTGAGGAGCTTTCTGCGTTCACATTTATCATCGTGGCAAATGAGATGGCAGGCAAGGGCCTTCCTACCACAGTGCTTGACACCTAAGAAGCATTCAGTAAATGTTGGTTTCCTTTCCCCTTCTCTGACAACACTTGGGAACTGCCCTGAAGTCCTACAGTCATGCACGCCATACCTGGATAGCAGAGAAGACTCAAATGCAGGTTCTGAGGTGTTAAAATTTAGCACCCTGTTCCCAGCACCCCCAGTGCTTCACAATGCTTTCCACCATTTAGGTCAGCAGTCATTGCCAAATATGGTGACTTTCCTGTAGAGCGCTCGTCTGTGATATTTCATTGGCAGCATTTGACTATCCCTAATGCAGGTTCCTAGAAAAGCTTTCTATCCTTGGTTTTAAGGACACTAGTCAAGGGAGTATGGGAAACATCAGATACTCCCTTGGGGTTAATGGTAGCAAGGGTGGAGATTGTGTCATTACTCCAGACACAAAATAATCCAAAACAGGTAGTACACGAAATCAGCCCAAAATAATTGTATCATGATCCTGTATCACGGTTCCATTGATTCTGTAACAGGGTAGAATTCCTACCACGTTTGAAATCGAAATCAAAGATGAACTCTAAATGTCATCTTCAGAAATCTACTGGCATCCGTTCAGACTGTGCCTCAGTATGTTTCGTTTTGTTTTTTTTATTTGACTCCAGTGCTAATTCTCTACCTGCCTCTCTGGATTCTTCCATCTGTATCAATTTCACGGATTACATATCTCTGCCAGTCCCCAAAATGTAGATAATGCTCCAAAAGTTCTGTCCTTCTTTCTCTCAGTAGTAGTCTCCAAAGGATTCCTAAAGTGATGCCTTTCTTTTTCAGCACAAGTGGAGATCTATATTTCAAACTGTCTTCAAGTTTATCAAAAATAAAGATTCTAAGCTTAATCAGTATCTTCTCCTTTCAAATCTGCTCCTCCCACTCTCAGGCTCTCCTTGACACTCAGGTTTAAAACTGAAAAATCATCTTAGACTCTTTTTGCCTCTTACCCTGCAAAATAATAAATTATAAATTGTTATGTATTCAAACTCCACGATTATCTTCAACTCCCCATCAGTGGTGTGCTAGAGCTAGCAAAAGCCAATCCTTACATTTTCAGGGATTATTTGCTGAAATAAATATATTAAAAATAAAGGTAATATATAAAACTCATTGTTTCTTAATTGTTTCAAATTATTTTATGCTCTTGAGGTGAAAACATCATATAGAGTAGTCCCCTTTTATCTGTGGTTTTGACTTTCTGCAATCTCAGTTATTTGCGGTTAACCACGGTCTGAAAATATTAAATGGAAAATTCCAGAAATAAGTTTTCAATGACATACTTTTCTGAAAAGTGTGGTGAAATCTCAAGCCCTCCCTTTCCATCCAGCCCAGGGTGTGAATCAATCCCTTTGTCCAGTGTATCCATGCTATACAGGCTGCCTGCCTGTTAGTCACTTAGTAGCCATCTCGGTTATCCGATGGACTGCCCTGGTATTGTAGTGTTTGTCTTCAACTAACCCTTATTTTACTTGATGGCCCCAAAGTGCAAGAGTAGTGATCTGGGCAATTTGGATATGCCAAAAAGCAGCTGCAAAGTGCTTCCTTTAAGTGAAAAGGTGAAAGTTTTCAATAAGGAAAGAAAGAGAAATCGTATGCTGAGGTTGCTAAGATCTATGGTAAGAATCAATCCTCTATATGTACAATTGTGAAGAAGGAAAAAGAAATTCATGATTGTTCTGCTGTTGCACCTCAAACTGCAAAAGCTACGGCCACAGTATGTGATAAGCACTTAGTTAAGATGAAAAAGGCATTAAATTTTGGGTGAAATACATGAACAGAAACATGCCATGACTGATGGCAAGTGAGCTTGGTACTCTCTGGGGACTCAGGCATCCACTGGGGATGTTGGATCATATCCCCTGCGGATAGAGGGGGACTACACTAATAATGTGCTGGTGATCGTCTCTCTCTAGTGACCTCATGTTTGTAGCTTGAAATCATCCATGGGAATATTTACACCAAAGAAATCAGGAAATACTACTTTTTTTCTCCCCAGAGAGCAGGTTTTTACATATTTACCAGCACATATGACTATGCTAAAGCATCCATTCCCACCATCCAGGGACAAAGAGGAAGAGTTCCTAACTTTGTTCTTCCATCCATATTTGTTGTATTTTCATGACTCTGTCGCCTACTATTCCACAAACATTTACTGAGTGCCTACCATGTGCTGAGACATCGAAGAAGGAATGAGCAGAACAAACGTGATCTTTCCTGTCGGAGCTTACAGTTTAGTGGGGGAATCTGACATTAAATAATCACATGAATAAACATCTAATTACAAATCTCAAGCGGCGCTGTGAGGCAAATGTGAAGGATGCTGGTAGAGCACCTTTGAGGAAGTGCCATTGAAACTGAAATCTGTTATGGGCTGAATTGTGTTTTTCTTCTCAAAATTCATATGTTGAAACGCTAACCCCCAGTGTGACTGTATTGGACACAGGGCCTTTAGGGAGGTAATTAAGGTTACATGAAGTCACAAGGTGGGAGCTTTAATCAGATAGGATGGATGTCCTTGTAAGAGGAAGAGACACCAGAGATCTTTTTCTCTATGCATACACAGAGGAAAGGCCGTGTGACGGCACAGTGAGAAAGTAGTCATCTAAAAGCCAGGAAGAGAGGCCTCTCCTGAAACCAACTCTGCCAGCACCTTCATCTTGGACTTCCAGCATCCTGAATGGTGAGAAAGTAAGTTTCTGTTGTTTGAGCCACTCAGTTCGGAGTATTTTGTTATGGAAGCCCCAGCAGACTAACGCAATACCTAAAGGTCAAGTAACTGTTTGCTAAATAAAGAGGGTGGAAAAGCTTTTGAAAAGATATCCTAAAAAAAAGTGCTAGAATAGACAACATAGCACATTTGAATAACTAACAGAAAGCCATCGGCTGAAAGGCAGTGAGGGAAAAAGAGGGCATGTTCCACATAGTTATTTTCCATTTTAGGGACTGGCTATAACATTTTTATTAAACTTATAACCACATCAGCAGCATTTATTTAGAATAATTCTGCCTCACATGTTTCACAGTTTATCTTTCTGACATGGCTCATCTATTCTTGAGTTTATTTTGATGCATCTATTGGTTGGCTGGAATATGTCTTTGAATAATGCTTTATATAAGATATGCATGGATGCCACTTTTTCTGATGCCTTATATATCTGAGAAACCCTTTGTGGGTTTCTTTTTTTCTTTACATATGACCAACAACTTGGTTTTGTGCAGGATTACTGGGCTCCAATATTATCTCTTCAAACTCTAAATACATTGCTTCACGGTCTTTGTTGTCCTTTGACAAAGTCATAGGCCAGTCTGGTTTCTGGTCTTTTAATAGTAATTTTTGCCCCAAGTAATTGGGGGTTGTTTCTTTAACTTGGAGGTTCAAAAATTTCATCTAGATATGCTTTAGGCATTGATCTCACTGTTAAAACCGCAGGGCCCTCAGGTAATATTTTCATTACAAGATTCTTGGCTGTTCCTCAGCACTAGTTCAAATTAAACATGTTTTATGCTTTCCCACCTCTGGGCGTTTGTGACGCTGGACCTTCTACCTCCTTCTCATCTGTTGACATGTACTTTCCTTCAAGATTCACCTCAACTGCTGCACCCTGAATCAACATTTCCTTTTGATTTATTCCTCCTTGGACTCTTTTGACAATTTATAACTATTTTTTCAGCAACTGCCTTACTTTAGTTTTGTTTTCTGGTTATTATCCTTATGCCAGTTGGCGCTCTCCTCCAGGGAAAAGACAACAGCTTCGTTGTCTCTACTGTTTGGCAATTTCCATGCCAGGGAAATTGAAGGTGCTCAACTCGAGTGACAAAATTTATAAAAAAAAAAAATTTAAAAAACTTTAAAAATAGGAAGCCCTCTCCCAGATCAATAACACATAGGGGAACATTTCCCCGAAGCCCCCAGCATGGGAAAATTCCTTTGATACATGTTTACAAAGATAAAGTAATGCTTATAATTTGATGAGATGCAAACAACCTGTGCTTATGCTTCACTCCAATTGCTGAGAAATAACAAACCTCCGGCACTTATTTTTCCTTAAGAAATTGAATGTTGAAAATTCAGAGCTTTTAAAAGTATCCCAGCCTACTTTTGTTTGAATTTCCAAGTTCCCACAGCAGCATATATTTATTTTGTTTCCTTCTCCAATTTACTCTTTTTTTGTTCACCCATCAGTATCTGAGTGCAGTGCACCTCTCAAAATGAAGGATTGTACTTCTAAAAGCAAATGCATTTTTCTTTGATCCTGAAAAACTCAGCTCTCCATTGCAGTGATAATGACGGAACCCTATTTAGTGCTGTTTGTTTTTCATCATTTCAACAGCCTTCAACTTGAAACATGATAAGAACAGCAAAACTGATAAACCACCCTTATTTTTATCTGTTTTCTGTCAGAGTAGTTGCCAAGCACTGAGACAGATTTTTCTAAATATCTTTTTAAAAAAGGAGTGCATAACCCTGTGCTTCAGGCTGAGGCCAGCACAATTTAGTACATTTATTATGTTATGTTACAGAAAATTCCAGCAAAAAGAGAACGGCAAGTTTAAATGGAGTCTAGCATTATGTTGGTCTCTGTTATCCCTAAAGTAAAATCAACTTTTTATTTTCCGGTGAGGACAACTATTCCACTAATGAGAATCAGAACACAAACTCTATATTTGTTTGACTTCAGCAGCAAACCAAATTATTGCTAAACTTTAGTGGTTTTTTTTTTTTTTTTAAATTTCAGTAAGTGATAGACGTTCCAGTGTTTACAAGCTGAAAGACTATGCAATCCATTAAACAAGTATGCCTACTAGGAAATTGTTATTACTTCAATATTATCATTCATCCAGTTACAACATTTGTTTTCAATTTCTAAAAACATGATTGAGTTAGTCCCACGAGTTGAAACGGGCTTAATGTCCCGTGATGTGATACAGTAGTAATGTGCAAAAAGAAAAAATTAAGAGGCATACAGGGACTGTTTTATGCTAAAGTCATTCTGGAGATGTGTTTAAAAGTTGGCTTTTCTGATTAATGTGGTGGAGTTTTAATGCTGACCCTTTCCTGGTACTTCACTGATCTGGCAAAGAAAGACAATAGAATTAGGATATTTCACACATCATTTAGTTGGGTGCCAAGACAGTAAAATATGGACTAAAAAAATCATTGTGAGCATTTTGTACATATGTCAGCTTATAATTTGATTGGATATAGTTCACCTATCATAATGGTATATGAACTACAAGTATTTGACATCTATGAGAAAAGATTGAGTTTTACGACTCAGGTTTATAAGATTAATTAGGTGACTCTTTTAATAAAACTGTGATGTGACTCTGATGAGGCTGCCATTGTGAAAACCTTCTTTCATTCTTTGATAAAAATCAACATTTAACTTTATAAGCAGATACTGGGCATCTCTACGATATTTGGGGTTCACTACAAAAAACAGACCCACAGATAGGTTAGTTTCTTCTAGCATCTCTTTTACCTAGGATAACTAGAGAAATTATATTAATTTCTTTGACAAAATATTCAGCTGTCTAACTTTTATATATTACAAAATTAAAATGAAAAAAAATTGAACAAATTGTCATTGATACGCAGTCAAATTTGTCCATGCTATTCAACATACACTATATCCCTATACTAATTAATATATAGTAGTTATAGCAGTTTTAAGGGGTAGTTTTGCAATCTTCATTAAAATTTCAAATGCACATACTCTTTGACCCAGCACCTCCAACTCTAGAAATCTAGCACGGAGGTCTATCTACACATATGCACAAAGAGAGTAGAAAGAGATTTTATTGTAGCATTGTTGATGTAGCAAGTTAACTTAGTAAAACAATCATGGCTAGGGAACTAGTTGAATAAACTATGGTATATCAATACCATGGATGTGATGTAGCAGTTAAAAAGAATGAAGCGAATCCATGTATTGACCCTCTCCAAAATAGCATCTAAGACATTGTCAAGCCCACTTAAATATATTGCAGAACAATATATATAACATAACACCACTTACATTGTTTTAAAAGTCCATTCAGGATTACATATCTCTATTTGTACACATGTTAATGCACAAAACATGGTCTGAAAAGATACACAAATCAGAATAGTTCTGAGAAGGATCGGTAATGGTGGCAGTACAGATAAACTTTCACTTTAGTTGAAGTATTTTTTTGTAGCTTTTTTTTTTAACAAGGATAACATAATAATCTAATAATGGAATTAAGAAGAAATATAAAGCAATGGGTAAAAAGTTACTATAATAAATATCATAATTACAGTTCAATAAAGAGTTGAGGCTCCAAAGACACAGAGAGAAAAGATGGAACCTAATTAACTCTAGCTCAGGAATACTGCCTTGCTCAGTGATGGACTGTCAGAAGTCTGGGTGATGTTGGCAGCTCCTGTGTAGCCCAGACTTAGTCCTGCCATCTGGTGCTGGCTTTTAAAGAGTGGATATCAGAAAGTAAGGGGATATAGGAGTCATTGTAGAGAGGAGACTGCTTGGCAAAGAGTAAAAAAAAAAAAAAAAAAAAAAAAAAAAAATCTAGAGTTAGGGAGATGACCCAGAGCCATGATCACTCCAGAAAGGTAAAATGTAGTACACTTGAGTGGTGTCTTCTGAGGATAAAGGAAGTTCACATTTCATCAACAGAGAAGGGGCAGAAACTAAGCACAAAGTTCCCAAACTGCCTGATAAGGATCCTTGTATAGAATACTGAAAGATCAGGGATGAGCTACCAGGTTATATCCCTTTGGGTGTTTTATTTTTCCATGCTGGGTGAAAAGGTAATTTCCTAAAAAACCAAAACTCCGTCTCGAGAAAGAAAAAAAAAATCCACATGGGCCTAATCTGATTTTTTTTTTTTCAAATATGTAGACTCAAACTAAAATCTTCCAAAGACTTCTGCATGATCTTGGCTTTGTCCCAATATTATCTGCTGAACACACTCCCTATTATTCTTAAAATGTGATTCTCATGATAAATTAGAAGGCTAATGTGTTCGCGTAAAGAACACCTGAATATGCCGCAGCAGGTCTCATTTTACAGATGGATAGAACAGGCCATTAGGCATGGATAGAGCAGACTCAGCTGGCTCTGATAATTGGTAGTTGACTTGAATCTGAATAGAGGTCAATCAAATGATGCTACGGAAGTTTAGAGAACTATATCATTCACACAGAGATTTTCCTTGTAAACCATACCAGCTCACTCCGTATTCTAAATTCTGTTTAGAGTGATACAAAATTGCCCACTTTTTGAAAGAGGAGACAACCATTTACCAGGCCTGCCAAGTAAAGCTGCGTGGGTTGTATACTGCTCAACCCAAAGGAAGTTACAATCACATGGACTACGTACAACGTGTGCAACCTGCTCAGTCCACACAGCAGGCTTGTCATTAGAAATATAAATGCTATTACTCCTGATTCAGGTTAAGCAAGATTCAAAGAGAGGAGCCACTGGAAGGTACTTGGAGGGCATTTGAACTTTAGCAACTTTGATTAGTTTGTAAGGCATATCATTTTCCCACACAGACAAGATTTTACTATGTACACAAATGCCAGGAGTTTTTTGGTTTTTCTTTTTAAAAAATGCTATTATTGCCCAGGCATGGTGGCTCATGCCTGTAATCCCAGCGCTTTGGGAGGCTGAGGCGGACGGATCACGAAGTTAAGAGATTGAGACCATCCTGGCCAACATGGTGAAACCCCGTCTCTACTAAAACTACAAAAATTAGCTGGGCGTGGTGGCACATGCCTGCAGTCCCAGCTACTAGGGAGGCTGAGACAGGAGAATCGCTTGAACCCAGAAGGTGGAGGCTGCAGTGAGCCGAGATCACACCACTGCACTCCAGCCTGGCGACAGAACAAGACTCCGTCTCAAAAAATAAATAAATAAAAGAAAAAGGCTATTATCGTTATTTAAATGGTATTGTCCAATAGTTTGGAAGGCTCTAAATCTGTGGTTCCTTGTTTCATTTTGTCCTTTTGTTTGACTCCTGCAAGCTTTTATAAGGCAGTGAGAATCTCACTCTCAATACAATCAGTTTATGATTGTTTGCAACACCCTAGCAACCTCCAGCAGGCCTTTGTGTTGGTTTTGTAGAGGCCTGTTATGGCTTCTGATCCGGCTTCTTAAACTCATGGGTTTCTGAATTATGAATCAGTATGCCTATTTATTTATTTATTTATGAATGTATGAATGAATGAATGAATGAATGAGATGGAGTCTCACTCTGCTGCCCAGGAGGCTGGAGTGTGCTGGTGTGATCTCGGCTCATCGTAAACTCCGTTTCCTGGGTTCAAGTGATTCTCCTGCCTCAGCCTCCTGAGTAGCTGGGATTACTGGCACACGCCACTACACCCGGCTCATTTTCCTTATATTTAGTAGAGATGGGGTTTCACTATGTTGGCCAGGCTGGTCTCGAACTCCTGACTTCAGGTGATCTGCCCGCCTCAGCCCCCCAAAGTGGTGGGATTACAGGCATGAGCCACTGCACCCAGCCAGTACTGCCCATTGCCTCTTCTAACCCTTTTGCCTACTCACATTCGTATACATATACAAATTTGAGACTCCTTCTCAAAAAAAAATATATGTATATATGTATATATGTATATATGTATATATGTGTATATATGTATATATGTATATATGTGTATATATGTATATATGTATATATGTGTATATATGTATATATATGTGTGTGTACATATATATATATATATATATATATATGTTTTTTTTTTTTTGAGAAGGAGTCTCACTCTGTTGCCAGGCTGGAGTGCAGTGGTGCGATCTCAGCTCACTGCAACCTCCACCTCCCAGGTTCAAGCAATCATATTTTTTAAATATGTCTTTTATTTATTACATAATAAATTGAAATTTTTAATACCTTATTTATATTTATCCAAAACTTAGAAGTTTAAGATCATTGCTAAGTACTCCTTATTCTTTTTTTCACTTTTTCATAACTTTTCTATTGTAATTATAAGGTGCTAGAATCCATAGTTCATCAATGCAAAATGTAAAATGGGATTCACTTCCACAAAGTCAAACACAAGAAGTAACAGCAAAATAAACAGAAAAACTTTATGTAACACATTCATCCAATGAAATAACTATCTACCATGACTGGTAATGGTTGTCCTACAAGATGGACGAAAATTTCATGAAATAACACCAATACGAAAAATTTAAATAATAGTAATGTTTCTACTTTTCAATTATAAATGGCTATCCACATAACTGAATTTTCTTCTAATCTGCTTCAAGACTTAAAGAATTTTCTTTTTCTTTCCTGTACTAATCATTGAACCTCAGTTTCTAATAAATTTTGGAGCATCTGGGCCTTTGAACTCCTTGAATAAAGGTACTGTTAAAATACTAAGGTTTTCCTGTTTGTTGGTTGGTTTGACTCAAGTAGTTGCATATATTTACAGGCTTAAGAATTTGATGAAGATCACGTGGCTGTCACTAGGGAGCTAAGACTTGGGTCCACGTCTCCCCTTCCACCAGACTCTCACTTCCACCAATGGGAGTTTTACTATGAACAGATGACAGTTTTCCTTGGAGCTCCCCAGATGGACCCAAGGTCCACGATTCTATCAATCAATTTAGGCTGTAAGAATGTTGGTCCAAGAGAGAAATGCTGTTCCTGTAATTGTCTTTTATTCATGAAACATTAGCTCTCCCACTCTACTGCACTACTGAAAAATAAATGAATTAAGTGGTTTTTAAAGCACTGCCAAAATAGGTCTTTGTGAACCTGGTGATATAGTTTGGATATGTGTACCCTCCAAATCTCATGTTGAGATATGATCCTCAATGGTGGAAGTGGAGCCTGGTGGGAAGTGTTTGGAGCATGGGAGGTGGATCGTTCATGAAGGCTTGGTGCCCTCACGGTGGTAATGAGGGATATTGAGTTTACATGAGAACTGATTGTTTAAAATAGTGCGGCACCTCTCCTGTCTCTCTCTTGCTCCCTTTTGCCATCTGATACACTGGCTCCCCTTTTGCCTTCCACCAAACTTCCTGGGGCCCTCAACAGAAGCAAATGCCAGTATCACGCTTGCTGTACTGCCTGCCAGAACAGGTTGTAGGCCAAATAAACCTCTTTTCTTCAGACTAACATACCTGGTTATGTATCAGCTAGTTACATTTATGTCAGCTCTATCTCTTTTAGAATATTTTGGTCTATGGTTGACCTTTTAGTTCGAGTGGTATGCATACATACTGACGAATAAATAAGAGCTAGTATTAAGTGTATTTAGAATAACCTACTGGTCATGTTTAAGGATGACAGTAGAGAGGACAGGGTTTGCCTCTCATGCAGAATAATACTAGAAGATGGGAAACAGTTAAGAGACTGTGACACCAAAGAGCTGAAGGTTAATATTCAATAATTCAACTCAATGGATGCAAAATGGGAGATTCCTCTTCTATGTATCAATCGCCATGCAGTGTACCCCAGGCATATATACATTATATGTTCAAGTAGTCTGAACATGCTGCTAGGGACTGTGAGAGCACGGAGACCTGGGCTCTGTCCCAGAGGTTCTTATTCAGTAAGTCTGGGGTGGGACCAAAGATTGTGCATTTCCAACAAGTTCTAAAGCCATGCTGATATGGCTGGTCGCTGGGCCACACTTTGGGTAATGAGGATACAGGCACATTGCTAACATTTTTATATGTAAATACAGACAAAAAGGTGCACAGAATACACTCATAATAATGTACATATGTGTGTGTTTACATACATACACATAAATTTAAAAAAATCAAAATCTCTCATTCATAAGGATTTTTTGTCCTTAGCAATGTAAAGTTCAATGGAAAGGAGAGACCGCAAAGGGCTGCTTTCAAAAACGCAAAGTTTGCTTTTCATTTTTTTTAAGACCAAATACTTTACTATCTCCAGATACCTGAAAATATATGGAATTATCTTGTAATAAAACTCAGATGCCCAAAGCCCACCTTTTGAGTTTTCTTTGCAAGAAACAACCCCAAATGCGAGCAAATCAGATACCATGTAATAAGACCTAAAAGTATTTTTCCAAAGACAGAAAGAAAAATATCTAAGCAATAGAACCCAGATTGGAAAGACACCAAACAAAGATAACAGAACTATTTTTAAGCCTCATTTTATGACCAAGGGGCACAGCAAAATAGTTTGAAATAGAAAGTTTTCATGCTGATTACATGAAATCAAAATACACACTGTTCAAAGGCAGCCAACATTATTATTTTTTAAATGCAGTCTAGTTCATGCAATAAGTTTCAGTGTTCTTTCAGTCTGGGAACATTTCAAAATACATTGCAGGTACAGCTGGGAAAACTCAGTGATACCCCTGTCCAGATCTCAGCTATTAGGTTATAAAAATATTTTCACATTTCCTGCAGATGTCTAGATTCCTTTCTTTGGTAGTAATTTTAATTCAGACCTCATTATTGACAGCTGTTTGTTCTGATAGAACTTAATTGCTCTTCTACCAGACTCAGCTGCAGGCAGGCTGATTTCCTTTCCTTATAGAGTATATTACATATAAACACAGGCAGGAAAAAAATAACCAATTAACTAAATACGTGTGCATAAAATGATTCATTGAGAGCTCTGATCAAGTAATGTATCCAACTGCAACATAGGTCAAAGGAAATTACAGCACTTATAGTTTACAGTATTAAATATAATTATATAGAAATACTCAAAAGCACTAAAATATATAGATGATGAGTGGCAGCATCTGAAAATCTACTTTTATCAAAGAAATTTATAAAATTACTATATTTGAGTAACTGGAAGGGTATTTATTCTGCTGACGGATTAACTCATGGATATCTATTTTACATAAGCTATACGCTACAAAGAACCTGAGATGCCTTCCATAACTGACAAAGTCATGAGGAACCCAGCATGCTGTGGGATCACACTGCAATGCCAACAATTCTTCTTCGAAGGGCAGAGTTTCTGGGGACACACCAACTCTTTTCCTCATTCTCCAGTCACTGCTGTGGATGAGCTGCTTTTCCTAACTTTACCAGAAAATGAATACAAATTCTTTGAAGTTAAAGCTATTCCCTCTGTTTGAAGACAATGCCTCATTTTAGCAGCTCACCAAGAGATGCAGGAATAGCTTGGCAATTTTCATTCTATCAAATGCCTTGGCAGCCTCACTCATGGAGTCTAGGCCTATTTGGAGACCCCAAGCTGCCTTCCTTACTGGACTGGAACCCCTGAAGAGGGATAAACCGAGGGCTGAATTCATCAAAGAACATATAAGCAGCAAATATACTGCATTTGAGACAAGCAATAGTTCCTTTTATTGGCTCTGTCTGTTTTGGAAATGGAGAGAATGTGGTGAGCAGGGAAGAACAAACTGCTCCTTAGTAAGGAACCCACTCAAGGAAAATGAAGTTTTTTTCTTAATACTAGGGACGCTATATGGTGCATCCCTTTTCGGGGCCAATAAATGCTTCTCTTTGCAGACTTAATCTACCTCATATAGGGAGGAAGATATTGGGAATAGGATGCTTATTACCCTGATAATTCTCAGGGATGCAGCATACATTTCCATTAATACTAGGCATAATGCTAATTACAATGCAAGCCCCACACTCAACATTTACAAACCCTGACAAAATGAATGTAAGTATCCTACAGGGTTTGGTATCCACAAAATCTGGTCAATAGCCTACTCCCAGTCCCTCCCTTTCCCCTAAGTAACAAAGGAAACCAATACTTCTTGGTCTTTGAGAGTAATTCTACTAAGTCCCGTATTTTTTAGTCTATACATACAGATCATTATACCCTTCAGATTCTTGCATGGTATGACTCCTGGCATCGTTTTGGATTGTGACACTTCTACTCTAATGCTCACTTTATTTAGTGTCTGTTTCACACATGGCATAGTTCTAAGGGAGGATGCAATGTGACCTCATAGACACCATCTCCAACCACGTATCTCTAACGGTTGAAAGTTACAGCCTGGGGAAGAAATTCAGTTTTGGCTCATGGAATTAAAGACTTACTACACTTTAAAATTCCCCCCATCATTTTTTTTTTTCTTGAAGGTTCACTTCTTACTGGTTAAAATAGTTTAAACATAATTTAAAGTCCTGACTGAGTTGATGATACTGACTATTTTGTTTTCAATTAAGCATAACAGAGCAAATGGTCTTTGATGTGATGTACTCATTTTATGAAAGAACCAGGCTGGCAAACAAAAATTTTATGGAATTTAGAGATACTAACTCTGGCTCTTCCACCTGCAGCTTGTATCTTAAATACATCATTTATTTATTCTTCCAGAGCCTCTGTTTTCTCACCTGTAAAATGTAAACCTATTTCCTAAGTTTTCTATGATACTGTCAGCAAAATACATTTTAAATAATAGCTTCTTGATCAATGTTAATTTCAGTACTCTTTTTTCTATGAATTGAGGACCTAGAATTGAATATTTTAATTCAGTTAGCCTAACCACAGAGTAGATATGCAACCTTCCTATTCTTGCATAGTTTATTAGACTTCTACTAATAAATTTTATGAAACCAATATTTAACTTTATTTTCTGGTTTAAATCCTCTCAGGAAAAAAAAATGTAATATAAAATTGAATCAGATTTCTTGTAATCCCAGCACTTTGGGAGGCCGAGGCGGGCGGATCACGAGGTCAGGAGATCGAGACCATCCTGGCTAACACGGTGAAACCCCGTCTCTACTAAAAATACAAAAAAATTAGCCGGGCGTGGTGGCGGGCGCCTGTAGTCCCAGCTACTCGGGAGGCTGAGGCAGGAGAATGGCGTGAACCTGGGAGGCGGAGCTTGCAGTGAGCCGAGATTGCACCACTGCACTCCCACCTGGGCCACAGAGCGAGACTCCGTCTCAAAAAAAAAAAAAAACAAAAAAAAAAAAAAACAAAAAAAAATTGAATCAGATTTTAGATTCGGCAGGGATCTTAGAGATCTGGTGGTTCTCAAAGTGCGGCCCCATGACCAGCAGCATCAGCAGCATGTAGGAAACTGTTAGAAATGCAATTTTTCAGGCCCCACCCCAACCTAGAGAATCAGAAACTCAAGGGGTGGGGTCAAGCAGTTTGAATTTTATTATTTCATTATTTTTGAGACTGAGCCTCGCTCTGTTGCCCAGGCTGGAGTGCAGTGGTACAATCTCAGCTCACTGCAACTTCCACCTCCCAGGTTCAAGCAATTCTCTTGCTTCAGGCTCCCGAGTAGCTGGAATTACAGACATATGCCAGCAAATTTATAAAATAATTATAAATTTTATAGTTTTAGTAGAGACAGGGTTTCACTGTATTGCCCAGGCTGGTCTGGAATTCCTGGTCTCAAGTACTCCACCTGCCTCAGCCTCCCAAAGTGCCAGGATTATAGGCGTGAGCCACCCCACCCGGCCAGCTATTTGAATTTTTAAAAGCCCCTAGGTGATTCTGGTGCTTGCTAAAGTTTCTGAGCCACCCATCAAGCCATTCTCTTGCATTTTACAGGTGGAGAGACTCAGGAACAGAGACTAAAATAAAATCTCTGTATTTCAGTTGCATTGCTTTGTTTGTGTCAAAGTTCTGTTTTCCTCCCCTTATCTCAAGTACCACTTAGTGTTTGTTCCATCATTTCTTCCTTTCCTTAGGCATATGGCTATCAATATGCATGGTCTTATCTGACTTCCATTTAACCAATTTAACTCAAGCTTTCCTTTTCCTCCAAAAAGCTCCTCCCATTGCTTACTGCACTAGGTCAGCTCAATGTTTGTTAGGAGGCTACTCTCCAGGTTGTCTGTGGCTCTAGAATGTTTGTGGTGTCATCATGTTTATTCCAAAAATAATCAGTCATTTCATTTAAGTAATGTAATTCTTAGATAAAATGACGAGATATAGTTACAAAATAAATGAGTTGTTTCTGTAAAAACCAAGTTAATTACTTTGGAAAGATAGACGTAAAAGTAATTTGTGTCCCGTCATAGCCAATAAAGTACCATTGAATTAGGTAAGGGTGACACAACTGCAGGTAAATGGAAAAATATTTATAAACATCTAGATGGATTCTAAAGTTGCTTAACTTTAGAAACAAACTACTGTTTGCTGTTGATATTAAAAACACTAAATCTGCTAATCATTGGTCATACTCAAATAAGAGTTCTTAGTCCCAAATTTTAAAAACTGGTGAATCTAATATACAGTTATGCATTTGAGGTTAATGTCAACTGTATACATACATTTTAGGGTTCTTTGCTTCACTTGAGGTTTTGTCTAAATGATCAAGTCTAAACTGAACATATAGATCAAGGTTCCTTCTGAATGGTCTTGATTGCTTTAGATCTCTTCATATATGATGATTAAGCTTTTTGAAGGAGATACCATACTCTATAACCCACAGTTTTGCACAGTGAAGTTGTAATAAATATTTACTGGTTATATTTATATATACATTTTATTGAATGTTGCTAATTGATTAGCCAATTACACTTAGTAGTTCATCATCTCGTTTTATTACTGTGAGCCAAATTATCCAGGCTATGAAACATTTCTTTTATGATAGCACTTCCTGGAGTCCTTAGAGAAATTCCAAGGGGGGACAAATAGTTCTATAAATTTCCTCTTGAAGGCTCACAATGCATTAGGCTGAGAAACCCTGCTGTAAAGAAACCAGTTAAACTTACTTTTACCCATACTTATTTGACTACAGAAATTCACCCCCCTGCATCAATTAATAATCCATGATTCAATGTGCACATATATTGATGAGGTATCCCAAATTTTCTAAGTGATTTTCATTCTTATGTTCAAACCTTTTTTTCTGTTTCTGTAGATTTTCTCATACTTCTTATAACCCAGAATAGGTGTGAATTATGTATGCCAATTATGAATGCGTCAGATTAAATGGTCAACATACGGATTTGTAAAACTTAGATTGGTAAAACTGCTATTTTTTTCTATTTTCTTCTTTCTTCTCAATGAAGTAGCAGAACATTTTAAATCTAGCTCTGCTTTCACAGATTAAAAGAAAAATTTTAGCAGGGGAATGTGAAACTTAGAATGTCAAATAACAGGCAGTGGTGGAGGCTTTGATGAACTGAGCCTAATTAAAAGTAAAGGTGCTGAGTGAAAATTTTAAAAGACTGCAAGCCAAATGTTGCTAAGGACAATTTGGGGTACAAGCTTTCCAAAGAGGGAGGTGGTTTTAATACTCTGTAATCATTTTGAAACTTCATGCTATAAAAGACTTCAGATGTAGAAAAGCAGTCTAGGTATCAGATTATAACAGCATAGGACACCTAGTCTAGGAGCACTCAACCTGGAGTCGAGAAAGCAGTAATAAATGCCCTTTACACTACCTCTGTCCATGGAAATTGAATATTTACCTGAGATAAGGTTGCCCAGGCTATTAAAATCTCAGATGTTGAATGGCAGTTATGTAATGAGTTTCTTTGAAAAACAGAAAATGAATTGCCATTTAACAAACACTGCCTGGAATGTTGATAATTGAAGCTGTGTGATGCGTGCTTGGGGGTTCATTATACATTCTCTCCACTTTGGGGTATGTTTGAAAATGACCAAACTAAAAAAAATTCTGAAAAAACAGCCTCCTTTGTTCCCGCTTAAGGTAAAGCACTTTCTAAGTGTACAGAAGTCCCCCACAGGGCAGAAATAACAAAGAGGATCGTGTTCAGACCCACTCACCTTCTTCCAATAGCTAGGACTGGACTATTGGTTTCTTAAGCCATAGCCAAACTGTGATATGGTGAAGCTTTAGCAGAAAACCATGTGACTTGATGAGATTGCCCATGCAGAAATGCAGGCAAAGAATTCAGCAAGAGGTATGTAGACCACCTTGGGAATTTGTACCTTTGTACAGTATGCAGGCCACAAAGCTTCACTCTAAAAATGACTTACATGTAGAATTATTATCTCAGATTTTAAAGATGTGTTTATTCCTAAGCCTTTAGAAAATATAAACACAACAACAAAGGCATACATACCTATCTCTTGTAACTGGACTACATTCACAGAGCTCCTTACTAAATTCTGGAAGAGGTTTTGCTAAGCTTGTAGCTTTACTATTGTACCCTACAAACCAATAAGTTTGAGTTTAATTGAACCAAGATAGCAAATGGATTTCAGACTATAGTACCTCAGAGAAAATAGTCTGAAACCAGGTCAATCATTTTCAGACACACGAAAGAGGGATGAAATATTAACCATAGATTGTAGAGGAGGATTTTTGTGGTTTGTAACATGATTGGTTATGGTTTTTCAAATCTAAGTAGCAAGCATGAGTCCAGACTGAGAAAGCCTCTGCCCAATTGATTAGAATTGGAGTTGGTTCAGGTTGACAAAGTGAGAGTTTAGGATGTGAAGAATGACTGACCACCTATAAACCAAAATTTGGACTGAAGTTGTTTCTTCAAAGAAACAGATTTCTAGAAAACCAATCACCATCATCATAATCATCATCAGAGTAAACAAGCATTTAATCTATCTGATTTTATCCAGTTTTCCTCTGAGAAGATGCCATTGGCAAATGACCAGACTGTTCTCTACCTTTCTACAGAGCTATAACTTCAGTCAAGTGAGTGACTTGCACAAGATCATACAGTTTTATCCAATATCTCTTATTTTTCTACATTTCTACAATTATCATTTTTTTGATCCTGAAAGCTAAGTATGTAGTGAAAGTCATGGAATTCAGAGTTGTTTTTATTAAGACACACTTAAAATGAAGATTTAAAGATCCAGGAGCTTGATTTATCAGTTTAACATTTTAAAATTGCCTACTATATATGCAATTGCCTACTGCTTTAGGAAGTATTTGATTTTTACTAGGGTTTTTGAGCATGTGTAAAACATAGATTATATCTGGAGACCATTCGTGGTCTCTGTTTGTCCATACAAAAATCCAACAACCCTAGCTCTTGATAAAATTTGGAGGCTTACCATTGTGACCATTTGAGGTTGCATCTTATATACATTTATCTTCTGCATTCATTTACAGTATTCACTCTTAGCTTGGAGGACAGTATAATTTAAAAAACCCAGCATCTTCAAATAATCTGTATTTAGACAACACATAGGTCAAATCTCAATATAAGCTCTGCTTCAGTGACAAGGAGGAGCCTTACCGCAGTGAAGGGAAAAATCACAGAAAAAGGCACTCCAATTCACAACTCTTCTATACACATCTAGGGGTAGTTAGGGATTCAAGAGGAAAAAGCAAATCAACCAGGTGAAAATGGCAACAACAACAAAAAAGATCAGGTGGCTGTTCTGAAAAAAATTAAAAGGCCCTTTTTCCTCCTCTCTTACCTATTTTATAGATTGACCAAAAAACCCTCAGTTTGGGTTGTACTTGGGGGTTTTGCTCTTCTCATCCAGTCCTGTGAAGGAAATTCACATTGCACTTAACTGGGTGATCAGAATAGAGCAGTGAGAAAGAAATTAATAAGCCTTTGCAGGCTGACCAATGTCCTATTGGGGCTCAAAAGTTTGATGGGATAACTTGGAAGGTCCAGCAACTTAGGAGAGTTTGAAGACAGACAGCCCCCACCCCCAGCTATGTTTTGTATCCAAAAAGAAATTTTTGCTAGCTGAATTCATCATCATTTACTTTGTCCTCAGCACAGAGACTGCTTGCATATGCAAGCTTTTATTTCAAAAGGGATTCTCTTCTGATTTTGGTGTCACTTTATACATTTCTGTAACAAGAAATTCTCTCGGCAGCTGTACTTATGTTAGAAACACAAATGTACCTTATTAATGCCAGTTATCAAGGCAAAGGGTTTGAAAATACTTGCTAAACATTTGTTTATTTATATACAATATTTCAGAGTTTTACACAGCTAAATACTGGCATATAACAAACACTGTGAGTGTGTGAAAGAAATATAAATGATTCCAGCAGATGGCATGGTCAGAAGCAAAGGGTTTGCAAGTGCAAGAAATAGCACAAATCCAAATTGAGAAATCTGAATGGCTGTAATTGTAACACATCTACAATGGAATCAAGAAGGTCATTTACATTACGTTAAGAAATACAGAAGCAGAGTCTTATATAAGCGTGTTACACAAAATGGAGATTTGGCACATGGGTTATCATTGGACAGTGTACCACACACAGTTTTTATTTCGGTTCCAGCAGAAAAACAATATTGACAAATTTCTTTCTCTCTTTGCTTCCTACTTTATCGAATAGAAGAGGTAACAATAGCATCTGCTGCAGCTGGCTGGAGCCTGAGATGAGGAAATTGTAGCTGATGGGCCTCCCAAGCATATCGACACTAAAAAGCTCATGCTACAGCCACGGCACAGCCAGGCTAGCACTCCAACGGGAGCGGCAGATACACAAGGCAGCCACTGTGAACCAGAGCAGGGCCTGCCAAGACAGCATGTCAAGTAATTTTTAGTGGCCTGAAGTGGTTTCCACCATCACAGCTCCAGGCACTGCCGCAAGGCAGGACAAGTTTATCTATCTCTGACATCTTCTCCATCTCCCTTTGGCATCGCTCTACGATTTTCTGCTGCGGTAGCCTCACTGACCAAATTGGTACCCAGTGCATTCAGGGTGCTCCCTGGCTACCCATCAGCCTTTCTTCCCATTATTCATGGGCTTGAAGATCTGGGATGCTTAATTGGGTCTAATGTGTCAAAATTACCTACTCCAATCATCTTGGTGTCAAACATAACACTTCCTCTCAATATACAGGTGCTTTCTGGTTATTTTCCTAATGCATCTAGAAAATGTTAAGGGACCCTTTAATCAAATTGATTTGAACAAAATTTTAAGGACCATACTGCAGTGGAAAACATACTAGACCCGCAGTCTGAAGACTTGAGTCCAGCAGAAGCCTATGGGAAAGCTGTCAACCTCATTGGCCTAATTTTGTTTTCTCAACTCAACTCTGAAATTTAAAAAAAAAATTAAAAAAAGAGAAGGCTGCAGGAGGGGAAGTGGTCTGAGAGTCTGGAAATGTCCCTTCCACGGCTATGATTCACTGTGAATGAATCATAGTCCTGTTTCTGAGTTCAAAAAGAGGCCCACTAGCCCCAGTAAATCTTGAATTACAGGAAGATGTAAAGAAAATATTTTTGAGTTAGGATGTAAGGAGAGTTAAGAGCACAAGTTTCTCCTACCCACAAGCTAATATTTTACCAGAAGTAATCAGGTAGCAGTTATGAAATGCATTTTTGAGAATGGACTTTTTTCCTACTTTCTTACCTATTTCACATACTATTCATAAACCCTGTATTTTGGGGTCAGCTTAGGGGGCTTGGCTCCTCTCATCGAGCCTGGGGAGGGAAATTCACATTGTATTTAGCCAGGCTGATGAGCATGGAGAGCAGAGTTCCACCAATCCAGTAAATAAGGTTCAGCAATGTGGCACTCAGAGGTAGAATAAATGAGGTCATAAATGAGTTGTTGTTTTCCCATCCAAAGGTGGAGTATGCTTCCCCATTCCTTGAATCTGGAATGGCCCCTGACTTGTTTTAAACCAAGGAATGCAGCAAAAGCAATTGTCTCAAAAGGCCTTGTAGCTTCCCCTTTGATGTCCTCAGAACCCTGAGCCCACTGGACCAGGATGAAAAGCCTTGGGGAGAAAGAGAGACCCCATTTGGCTTTCCCAGCCCTTCAAGCTGACTGAGAAAAAGAGCTCAGGAGAGATAGGCAGAAGATCCATGTCCTGCCCCAAGTCAACCCACAGACTTGCGAGAAAAAACAAATTACTGTGGTTTTAAGCCACAGTGTTTTGGGTTGGTATTTGTAGGTAGCAATGCTAACTGACAGACATACCCTCCGTTCTGCCAACTCCTGTGGCACACAGGTGTACCAGAAACAGAAATACGGTTATAGTATTTTAAAATATGATTCAATGCTCAACACCAAAACAAATGAACAAAAACAGAGAGAAAAGAAATATTCTCAAAATAATCATAATTCTCATCATCCTCTCCCTTTCAGACATTAAATGAAATTTGAGCAAGAGCAAGTGGCTGTTTACCATTGGAATGGAAGAGCCACAGTTAATCCTGACTCATTTTATCTAGTTCTTTTTTTAATATACTAGAGATATGACAAACCATACACTCAGCAAGCACCACTGTGCACTGGTGAAACACTTAACTGCTGCCTCTCCCTTGATGAACTGCAATGTAGAGAAGAATTTTGGGGGGAAGTGGAAGAGGTATTGAGGGAGGTGAGATGGGAAGAGACAGAAAAAGCAAGACTGCTCATGTCCCTTGGAAGAAAGTAGACAAAAACAAAAAATGAAAAATATTTAAGTTTTTCATAAGCAACTCATCTTTGGTAAATTTCTGTGATTTAAAAATAAGTGTGCTGTCCCAGAAATCTGAACCCTCAAAAATCAAAGGGCAAAGAATTTCAGGAACCTGCAAGCTTGAGGAGGCAGTCTGACATTATGACTCACTTTCTTTCCATTCATCTCATCTGTTATCTTTGGCCTCCATTAAACAATGAGAAAGGGACAGTCACTAAGTCATATGCCACTTGAGGGCACTCCTGGGGCTTATTGTTTGGAACTGCCAAAATGCTGGACGTCATACCAAGTGTGAATACGAAGCAATGTGACTAATATCATAGCACAAAAGACTAGCATTTATCAACTCCAAAGAGCATGGCCCTTAAAACTAGCCACTTTGAGAGGACAAAGATTTAATGCAACGCTGCCATGGTGCAAAAATATTTTTGGAACTCCTTCTTGGCAGTAGAGTTAAACGCCTACGGCCTGTTCTTTTGAATCCAGTAATGGTGGCACATCTTTGTCCTTGAAAGTGGATTTATTTATTTATTTTTCTAGTGCCAAGAGATACCTGGAGCCAAGCGTATGGTTTGTATGGTTGGTGACCAAGGTAAGAAACACTATTAGATTTCTTTTCAAGTAATGAGCCTAGTTCTCTGTATGCTTTAAAAGGTTATAATTAAAGTAAGTCTCACAAAGAAGTTCTCCAAATATTTAAAATAAGAGTTGCATTCAAATAAGCATTTTTTTTTTAAGTTAGAAGCTTTGAGGTGGGTTATCGTTTGGACCCAATAATTCTGCCAAAATTAAAAATTAGTTTTATTACCATAAGCAGTGGTTTTCATGTAGGGGCGATTTTATATCCAAGGGGACATTTGGCTATGCCTAGGACATGTTTTTATTGTAACAATGTGGGGGAAGGGAGGTGAGGGTGGTGAGCAAAGCCCAAGGACGCTGCTAAGCATCCTATAATGTATAGGACGGCTCTCATAGCCAAAATTCTACGATCTAAAATGTCCAAACTGCTGAGGTTAAGAAACCCTGCTTATAGAAACAATTGGTTCTAATAAGCAAAGCATTTATTTTAGTGCAATGATATAATTATAACAGTACTTAACACATTTTTCCGTGTTAAATATTCCAGTTGCCACCCATCTTCTATGTTAATGTATACATGCACATGTTTTCTACTCTTCTGAATCAACAATTACGTAGAACTCAAACTCACAGTCCAGAAAATATAATAGTATTCTTTGTGGACATTAACAGAGTCAATTTAAATAACTGTGAGGTAAAACAATAATTTTTAAAAGTCAGTAACTGTAAACATTTGTTGACTTCTTTCTATGTAACAGGCTAATGAATCACTTTACACGGCTCTTATTTAATCTTTAAAACCAATACTATGAAAGAAATACCACTATTATCCCCACGTTACTGATCAGGAAATTGAGTCTTAGAAAGATTGTTTAATGTGCTCGAGGTCACAGATGCAGTAAATAGTACAGCTAAGATTTGAACTCTGTTTGTTAGAACAATTTCAATTGCAGAGTTTTCACTACCATACAATGCTGGCCCCTAAGAGCAGCTCTATGTGCTAGGAGCCATCTCATTTGTAGGTTAGGGACAGTTCTACCCCCATTTGTAGGATACACATTGAGCAAAATGGAAAATGGCAGTATAATATACACATAGATCAGAAAGGGGGTTCTCCTTCTGATTCCGCTTACTAGTTAAGTACGTTTTCTTCAGCAAATCACTTAACTTCTCAGGGTCTCAATTTCCTTAGCTGGCGAGTGAGGAAAGTAATAATGCACATCTGCCACTCTTATCATAAACATCAAATAAAATAAGTGATGGGGAGATGCTCTGTAAACAGTCACTTACAACACAAAAGTGAGTTGGTTGCTATTCTTAGGCACGAAATGGGAACAGGATTGGTGATAGGTTCTCAGTTGCCCTTGAAGGAACCTTCATCAAATAGACCTGATATATGATTTTGAAGTTAGATAGTATTGTATTACTATTGGCCTCACCTCTCTTCCACTGCATTTATATCTATTATGCTTCTTTTCAAATAAATTCTGCATTTCATCAGGCAGCCAGAATGCTCTTCCTAGCACCTCAACTTCTCCATTTTGAGTTTTACACTTTATACCTACTGGGGACACTATGCAATTCCTTTTAATGCTTTTTTTTTTTTTTTTTTGGTTCCATTACTTTTAAACTATTTTGGCAGAAGGAAGATATTTTTCTATCATAGGACTGTGCCATCAACAGACTGAAGACCCAGCCTCCTGTTTTTAACACTATGTTGTTTCATAAACTACGCATTTGCTTCTTATACAGAATTATTGGTGTATGAAAACAGAATCTGGCATAATGGGTTCCACATGGCATAATTATTTTTCCTTACCTTAAAATGTTTCCATAAATAAGGACATAATTTGTACACTCCACCCATTCTTATCGAGATGTTGGCATTTTTAACAATCCTACCTTTCATCTACAGAAGGCTAGCATCTCCTATTCCGTAATTTACACATAAAGATAAACCCCAGGTTTAAGGAAAACATGGGTCTATGGTTCACGTTTGTCAGCATCTCAAAACTATCACATGCTTTGGCAATACTTGTGGTCTTTGATCTGAAGAGACATTTGAATGGAACATTAGAAGAAATAAAAATGGAATTTAGAATGAATGGTTAAAAATGTATTAAACAATTTTCCACAGCACTCTTAGCTTCTTTGGATCACAAGGTCTTTTGTTTTTATGCTCTTATGCAATGCTTTCCAAAATCTTTCTTTTGACTTTGAAAAGGCCATTTTCATCACTATTGGGTTGGGCTTAGGGGTACATGGTTATGCTATGAATATGGCCTACATAGTTTCCTGGTTGTGCTTCCATATGCAAAGTCAAAAAGTATTATGAAGATTGGAACTTAGGAGTTTTTACAACCCCAAACTGGCATCTGATTTTTTACTGGGCCATTTTAGTGGCCTGTTGGTGCTTCTAGGACCTTATTGCTCTCTATGTGGTATGCAGTCCCTATTCCTTCCAGTTCTGAAGAGTGGTTTGATTCTATGATTGTGATAGATTTAAGTGATACTCAGGAAGCTTATTTTATTTTCCTTGAGACTGTTTCACTTAGAAGATCAATTCAGGAGTTGTGATCTATCCCCTTTTCAATTTTTTTCATAAATAAATGTTTCTCTTATGAATAGAAAGTCTTCCTTTTGTCTTAAAAAGAGTTAATGTGACATAAGATTTAGTATCATGGGTCAAGGTTTTATAACTGATTCACTGAAATTACAGCTTTTTCCCAATGTATTCATTCTAGTATCATGGGTCAAGGTTTTATAACTGATTCACTGAAATTACAGCTTTTTCCCAATGTATTCATTCCTAACAAATGCAAATACTTAGAGCAAATCAGTTGTCATGTCCCTCTGGTACTAGAATATAGTCTTTATAGAATATGTGGTTTAGAATAAAGCCACAAATTATTCTATAAAACAACATAAGGAACAAGGCTCAAAAGTGGAACAAAACGGCCTTAGTTTCTAAGTGGAAGACTAAGACGATATAGGAAAATGTAATCCATGACCTCTTAAGAAAATCTCAGTTTAATAAATAGAAAGTTCTGCCCCAAAATCACATTTTATAAATAAGATAAAAACAATACTATATGTCTCTATTCATGCACTGCACATATATATATACACACACACACACACACACACACACACACATATATATATATGTGCTGTGAAGAGATAATGGCAAATATCTGACAACCTTTACACATGTGCAGTAAAGAGCTAAGTATAAGGGACTAGGTGGTCTCTGCAATACGAAGAGTAAGAACTGGATATAATGATGGGTAAACAGGCCATGGACTTTGAAATCAGGATGAAATGTATATGCTGTATGACCTTGAACAAATCACTTATTACCTCCCTGTGCGGAATGCTCTTTGCAAGCAAAATATACTATTTTCTGGATTAAATGACTGCTCAGTAATACTTGGAAAACAGTAATGGCTCCATGATTGGTAGCTATTGTGATTATTTATGTTCCAGTGATTAAAGAATGGAAAAGACTCACATGCTAGCAATTGCCTTTGATTTAGAAAGAGTGAAAGAAAGGCCAGAATATAGCAATGTGGTATGGAATCAGAAAGGAAGGAGTGGCTCATTCTGACCAGGTCACCAGGGAAGGCTTGACAGAGAAATCAGAGAAATGCCCCCAAAGGGACAGCAGAAAGGGGAGCTAAAAACCATCATGGGACCTAAAGTCTGGAGAATCTGCCTGATTTATAGGGCCATGCAACATGGGGAACATAATGGCCTTGCCACCACTAGTAGTATGAGCTCAGGCAAGCAAGCTGATCTTACCTGGCCTCTGCTGTTTTTTCTTCTGTGAAATGGGAGACTAAAATTACTCCTTGTAAATTACCACGGGAAGCGAAAAGCAGTAACACATATAAAGCACTTATGACAGGGCCTCTTCAGTTGGCAAGAAAGATTATTTGATGTTGAATAAGTGCTCAACTATCCTGAACTATTAGTATTGCTACAAAATGGGGAGCTATGTCTAAATTTAATCATGGAATAGATGGTATGTGGGAAAGAACATGAAATGTAGAGTGGTAGAAAAAGGAACTCAGAAATAGTTATAAGTAAGGCAAAGGCAATTTAAAAAGTAAGCTCTCATAAAGAAATACCCCAATATAAAGGGAAAAAAATATAGTCTCTAAGGTGAAAACACAAACCAAAAAAATCAGTCCAGCCTTGAAACTCTTACTATTTTTGTAAAAATTACTAAAATGCCATATGTAATTCAACAAACTTGGACAAGCAATTATTGAGTGCTTACTAAGGTGTAAGAGCTGGGGGTAAAAATGTACATAAGCCATGACTCATGCCTTCTGAGATCTCAAGGTACGTATGATCTGCACACATATAGCTAAACTTGCACAGTGTGAACCTATTCTATGAGAATTTACAGAATATTTAATTCTTCCTGTGGGAAGATAAATGGGGAATAAGCTTAAAATGTTTCTCCAGAGTTACAACTCAAATGTCTACAAGATAAAGCAATGTCATAAATGTGTGTAAAACAATAGGGAGTGGGAAGGGTTTGCAAAACTGGATAGTGCATTCCAGCTTAAAGAAATTCATGCTCAAATTTTAAAAAAATTATCGTGTATATCAACAAAACTATCTGAAGCCAGTTTGCAACCTCTGCAATACAAATAGAAAATGCTATTTAAGTTGGATTATGCATCAAGGTTGAACACCATCAGGTAGAGAAGGGGAATTGTTGAAATTCTAGACCAGATAAATATCTTTGGCTGAGATCCAGAGATGAAGATATTTGGAATGTGTAGCTATCAGAAGATGGCCCAAGGAGTCAACAATGAGGTGCGAAGGGTGAGATCAGCCTAAATTACAAAGGGGCATGAATGCAATGATAAGCAGTTCACACCTCATCTTGAAGGCATCAAGGACAATGGCATTAAGTTCCTTTAACAGCATCATTTTAAGAGTTGAAAGGTTTCTCAGGTCTTTATACAAACAGATGTATTATTATAAATGATCCTCTCTAACACATAGCATCAACATGTTCTCTCTCACTGAGAAAAGTCTCATGGGATTGCCATAGTAGAAAATATGTACATTTGAAAAAATCCATTCATTTAATGATTTGGATGTTTATAAACATCTGTTATTTAATAAAATGGATGGCTCAGGTTACGTAGATGATATCCAAATTCATGTTGAATTTTTCTTCTCAGAGTTCTAAATATACACACAGCTTTTAAAAGGTACTCAGTAATGAATAATTATTAATAATTTAAAATTACTGCATACTTCTATATGCCATGCACTGTCTCAAGTGCTTTATATGTATCTATTTTATGTCATCTTACTTAATTTTTATAAAATTCTCATTGCTATAGCGTTATCCCATTTTACAGGTGAAGAAACAGAGATTAAATAATTTGTCCAAAGGCATACAGCCAGTAAGTAAACAAGCTGACATTTTACTTAGGCAGTCTATCTCTCCAGAGTGTGTACTCTCAATGTTGAGATTCTATGCTCTGTATGAACTGATAGATAACTAGAGTTGGCCTTTCCTTGCTTGCCTGTTTGAACTAGACCTTCTTTCTTTTAGAAATCTGGTAGACTCTGTCCTCCTTGACCTTCCAAGGCCTTGTCTGCGCTTGTTGCACTAGGCTATCCCTAAAATTCTTTTTTGTTGTTGATTGTTAGAATTTCTTTTACTTAATGGCTCATTTTTGTCTTAGTCCAATTACAGCACAGAATCATTGGAGGACCATAATTTCCTTTTTCTGTACTGCACCGCCAGCCTGACCTTTTTTGGGCTACTACCTGACTTCTTTGAAACCTCCTCCATTCTCACAGGATATATTGGGCAGAAGGCTTGGATCTACTTTGTCACTACTTCTTTAATATAGAAAAAAAGTTTAGTACATAATAAAAGAAATCACAACACAAAATACAGTATTCACCTTCCAGACTATTTTTTGTGATTATGTGTAACATGATCATGATTAACCGTGATCAGTATCCCTTTGTAACATGGCTATTGTGGCTTTTTGCATAGTTTCTTTCTGCTCAGAAATGGTTTCTAAACTAGCATTTCTGGGATGCTACACGGATAACTGTCATTTAAGAATGACTTTAATCTGCTGCTTTGTCACAAAACATTATACTGTCAAGTTTTAACTTGGCTTGTATTCAACTCAAGGATTCAAGATAACATGGATGTTGACGATGTTGACATGACCCTCCTAAATAAAGAGGCCAAAACTTCTTACCAGACATGTAAAATTACCTATGGGTAATTATTTCACAGAGCTCAGTTTATGCAGTTCCTTTCCCTCATTGTTTCGAAGTTGCTAACAAATTTCTTCCACCAATATACCTACTCTTCTGTTGTTTGTTTCAATAAGCAGCTTCTCCAGAGCCTCAGGCACAGCACTTCCAAATGTCAGCAGCTATTAGCTCAGCACATTCATCTTTGTTTCCTTATTTCTCCTGAGTAGCCTGTCTCTCTCAGAGGTGAGTCCAGGTGGCTTAACATAACATGGATGCGGGTGTGTGTGTGTGTGTGTGTGTGTGTGTGTGTGTGTGTGTGTGTATTTTCTCAAAATAAGGCATTACAGCTATTTAATCTTATCTCTCATATTTGCTATTTGCTTGCAAACATTTTTGTATCTGTCACGGTGCCTAGCATGAAACCCATACCTTGCTTATAATCTACAGAGGGTGAAATGCATTTTAAAAATTATGTATGTATGTATGTATGTATGTATGTATGTATGTATGTATGTGTATGTGTCTGTCTGTCTATCTATCTATCTATCTATCTATCTATCTATCTATCTATCTATCTATCTACCTACCTACCTATCTCAGTTTTCTAGTGCCTCCACTTTAATTTACGGAAATGGGAAGAACATTTGGAGAAAGCACAGATTCTGTATTTTGAAATGCAATGTGAAAAAAATCATCATGCTGTTTTTCAGTGAAAACTCCCAAATTATGTGTCTCTAATTTTTGTTCCCATTATTTTAAACATATAATTACACACGTGTCTGTGTGTGTGTGTGTGTGTGTGTGTGTGTGTGTGTGTGTACCGTATTTTTGCCATTAGGCATATAAGGGCAACATTTCTTCTGCTAGACCAAATTTTCTGTTTCTCTATCCTTTGGCCAAACTCTATCTGAAAACAATTCATGTGTTTCATGTGTGATTTTTATAATCAAGGTCAGATCTGACCAAGCAGAGGCACCATATAATCAGGTACATTGGCTCTTTGAGGCCTGCAAAGAACTGTGAGCATACAGACTGATCAAACTAGCACCTGAATTAAAACCAAAAGGCAGGAGAACCAGAAGTCTACTTTCATGATGTAAAACCACTTGCTCAAATTAAAAATAATTTTTAATGTTTTACAATCATGCAGAAAACTGCAACTGGAGTGGCCAGTCCTCAAAGGACCCTGTCTTGGATGTAGGGAAACAAGAATCTAGATAAGACTTGAGGCCGATTACGCCATCACCTTCTTAGTTATCAGTACTTGAAGCAAACTTTGTAGCCTCTCACTTCTCTTGACACGACATAATTCTCTTAACCCAACATACTGTTGTTATGAACATCAAACAAAATAAAGCATAGGGGAGTGCTTTGAAATTAGTAAAATACTCTCCATAAATACAAGGTAATGTTATTACTAGTTTTTATCTAGGAAAACATTTGCTGGAAAAGAGAAACTTTATCCTGTTTGGAACTTGCCAGCTCATTGTTTAACAATGAGCATTGTAGCATGGTTTGGCTAGGTGAATTTCACTGCTTTTATTCTGATCAGCCCGTTGACCCCATTTCTAAAAAACTAGCTCCTTTTCTAGGGTCTACTGTATTATATTTATATTATAGTATAATATGGGGTATGAAAGAGAGTGATGGTATTAAGTCACGATAGAAGTGATTTACGATAGATGCTTTCTTGGGTTTTTCCTATACTCCCAGACTTCTATTTTACTTATCTGTGGAAGAAGCAATATTTTCTCATATTTGAATTTCTCAGGTTATAAAGAACTATCATGAAATTATATGCACTATACATTTATATAGTAATAAATAGACTCTGACCAGATAGCTTGAGTAGTCTGCTAATAATGATACTTAAGAGGCACTCAAACAACTGGAAGAAATCAGCTTAATATTTAAAAATCTATAAACATTTATATATATCGCAATCTGAGTGGTGATGTAGCTGTTAGAGTTAAGCAAAAAATACAAACTATACATTTCGAGAGAAATACAACTTATTACCTTTGAGTACATAAAACGACTTCTTCCAAATTATAGAACTTGTATATATTCTATTAAATACATTTTTAAAAATCAAATTAGTGATTTGTCATGAGACTTGATATTACTAATGTA
Source organism: Homo sapiens (assembly GCF_000001405.40). Classification (NCBI taxonomy): domain Eukaryota; kingdom Metazoa; phylum Chordata; class Mammalia; order Primates; family Hominidae; genus Homo; species Homo sapiens. The sequence continues at coordinate 8,375,468 of NC_000009.12, forward strand.
CAGAAGGCATCTTTAAGCAATAAGATAGTCTCCCTAAAGCTTGTATGATATATTATTATTTTGTTCAGTAATTTTTTTCCCCTATAAATAGTAAAAAGGTTGTATCAGTCCAGCCCACAAGAACTTGTCAAACAATACAAATTTGTTTTTAAGAATATTCCCCCACATATTATTTTTTGTTTTACATATTTATAGCCATGTGCCCACTTAATTTTGTGTTTATTTATTTCTCTTCACTGGGAAAAGACAATAGCAGTGGACCATAGCTACCTACTATCTCCAGGGGAAATATGCATCTATGTCAAATCCATCCTATTGATGTTAGCATAGGCCTCATTTGACCAAAAGAGAGCTGTATTATTTATGAAGACATTTACTATTCCAGAATGTCAAGAAGTTGCAGAAACATCCAATGAGAGTCAATTTAGCTTTCTGTTTCCTGACTGCAAGTGAACAAACGCTTCTTACCTGCAGTGCACAACCATCGGACCAGCATCGGGAGGGTTACAGGTTTTGACTCTACGTAAGAAAGCTAGAAAAGGTGTAGGGTGTTCTGGAACACCATGATCAGGCCAGGCGGTGAACTGGAATTGTCTCACTTCTCTCTTCTCACTTGAACCATTCTGTGAAATAGGAATATCAGCTGAAATTCTGTTTTCCAAGCCTCAGGTGGTAATGATGAATAACAGGGAAGAGGTAATGCTAAAATGTGCTATTTTAATTCCTTTCTACCACCCTGTAGCCTTTGGGAAGACACACTCTTTGGAAATAGAAACCCCAAGCTATTTGTAAATGACAAATATTTGCGCAGGAAGACAAAATTCTTAGGTGAGAAGCATTATATTTTTCAGGTTTAACTACCAGGAGAGCTCCTATCACATTTTACAGGAAGAGCTAGTTCTTCTTCATCTACTCTTCATTGGCTGAAACTTTCATTTGGAGCAAGAGTTTTATATTTACTGATAAATCGCCAGACAAGAAGAAAAATGGCTGAGTGATAATGGAAGATCTATTTCATTCTTCACTGTTGCCATTGAGATCAAGATTTAAGTAAAGCCTTAAGAGATTTCATTTCTCAAAAGAAGCTTTCTTTAAACAATAGAGAAGGGAAAGGGAGGAGAAAAAGATGAAAAGCAAACCTTGTAAAGTGCAAATGTTCGAACACAATATGTGGCCAGCTCCACAGTATCAAGCAGCGTTACTTGAACGAGTCCGTGGGTTTCTGTGCCTCTGCTAGGCCAATACTGGTCACACTTCACCTACAAGAAACAAGTGACACATTCAGGGCAAATGCTCATCAATTTCTCTATTAACTTTGCTTTGAGTTGCTGTTGAAGGAAAACAGCTTTTCTGCACTTCATTTTATGTTGATCTTTTTCTGGCATGCATTTTTGTTATCCCAATATATGTAAATTACTGCTCTGATGCCAATATAAACCACATTTTTCAAACTGGTAGGAATACTAAACAGTAACAGATTCAATTTTCCTGGAGAAAAATAAGTTGCAGATTGTTGCTGGGTAAAATACAGAGAGAGGGATTTGAAACTTCAGTGAGCTTGAAGAGAAAACAAATTTGTCCTGGGATAGACGTTATGAATCACATCGGGAGGATGACACTTTGTCATTTAAACTACATGGTAAGATAGTGTTACTTCATCAAGATTTAAAAAGCACAACTTCCAAATATGCTTGTTTAAAGAAAAGTAGAAATAATTGGAAAATCTATCAAAGTATAATAAACAACATAAGCATGTGCTTTTTTTTTGAACACAAGATAAATGTTATTTGTATCCAAAGCAAATTAAACCTATAATGTCTGCAGGAAAAAGAGTTGTCTGTTCCTTAAAAAGAGTCTCAGAGGGTCACACACTAACAGTGCAAAGTTTAAATAATTTAAAATTCATCCAAGATGAATAATCTACAATTTCTATGTGAAGTGGAACAAAAGCACATAAAAAGTTTTCAGCCTAATTAGTTTAACACACAACAAAGAATAATTCCAAGTCTGCAGTAAACCTCAAATTCACTGAATGAGTCTGTTGGGCATTAAAAAGTATAATGAAAAGTAACAAACACAGCACAATATTTTTGGAGTAAGGCCATAGATCTGACTATATTTACCCTTTCTATCTCAGACTTTTTTTTAATGGGACTAATTCTTAAGAGAACCCAACTGAAATACATTTCTCTAGGTAAAGAAAGCTCCTAGCAGTATTTTACAATAGGGAATACACCTTTCTATTTGAAAAAGAACAGAAAATCACAATCTTTGGATTTAAACAAAGGCAATAAAGCATTATTATTAGAGACACTAGAATTTTTTGGGTCCAGCAAATAGAATTATTACATAATGATTTGCTTTTATGTTTAATATGAGTATTTGTAACATTCTGTGAATAATACTGTAATTTTCTCTTTCACAGAGATAGCATTTGCTCCTCTGAGAATTCAGGCTCTTTCCATGAAACTATTGGCCCTTCTAAGAAAGGGAGAAGTTTTATCCTGTACAGAATTTCCCAGACAAGACAAAAAAGAAAAGCACTTTATAGCTATACAGTAAGCTAGATATTAAATTCACAAGGTTTGATTCCTATGCCTTGATTTCAACTTTGAGACCACACAAACATCATCTTTTTGATGAAAACAAACAAAAATTGTCCACAGTAAGACAAAAATTTTGCCTTAATAAGATGTAAAGAATATTTTGTGTGTTTCCTAGTTGTACAAAATAGCCTTCTGTGTTTTTTATTTCTATCATTTGCCCTGACTCAAAGAGATAACAACATAGGGAAATGATAATTCTTGAAGGAGAATACTGACGTAGAGTGACCAGGCATGGGCATCTCTATATGTTCTTTCACCATAAGCTAAAACCCAGGTCACAGATGACATATTTAGCAAAAGCTACCATCTGAATAGAACCAACACTACTTCAGCAGTCATGATATAGATGAGAAAAAAAAAATTAACAAAAATTATGCCAAAGGCTTTGTTTTAAACCATGAAATAGATGTCAGGTGGATGTCTCCCAGCAGAGGACAAGAGGAACTCTGGAGGCCTCATATTGTAATATTCAAGAAGATGCCAACAATGGGTTGAGTTGAAGATTCAAGAGAGAAACTCAAATTCATCATTTAACAGTCTCAGCTGGAGAGCAACCCTTTCGGTTTAAAATAAACTAATGAAATCCCTAAGGACAAATATCACTATGATATGCACAAAAACAGCACATTAATGCAACAAAATGATCTATACAGCCAGTTCAATGCACTGAACCAAATTCAATATAATTATATTTTAAAACTGGGACTCGATTACATTTAGACCTTCTAGTGAGGTAAGAAAAGGAGATGAAGGAAAGAATGAGAAGGCAACCTTCATACAACTTTTGGAAAAATGACTCTCCATCTACAAATCTTCTCCATTCCTAAGATGCAGGAAGAACTAAAATTATACTAATCCTTACATTTCTAGTAATAAGTTTCAAACTGCAACTATTATTGGCTTAGACTCTGACCCCTTTAGAAAAAAAATACCAGGAAGCATTACTGTAAGGAGTAAACGCTGTGAAAATTTCTAGCTAAAAGAAGAAAAAAGTTGCTTTTGAACAATGCATTTTTAGTATTTACCAAAAGAAAAATAAACATTTCAAACTCAACTGCAAAAATCAGAGGCAATTTTTTAAAGCGGATATGTCTAAATATTACCATTTTCTCTCAGGAAATATTTCTCAAAAGGACCTTATGAAAAATAAATATCCTAACGTATGTGGAAATGCACACACATGGCCTCAGCAGTGGGATTAGAAGCTTTTCCTGAGCTTATCTGAATAGTGACAGCAATACATTTTTCCCTTTGCTGGTAAGCACCTCAGTACTTCCTTTCTCGATCTCATTCTCTGAGTAGCCTGCACACCTTCATCTGATTTTGGAGGGCTGAATTTAAGGGCTTAGAGTTACTGACAAATATTATTTTAAGTCTCCTTTTTTGCCATATGCTAAACATATGATTTCTGATTTCAGCATTAGGGAGCAAGTATGAAATGTAGTGAGAAAGAAAAAGGAGAACAATAGAGATATTTTTTCTTTCCTCATTAGCCAGTATAAATGAACTATCTCCATTTTCCTCTCTTAAAATGTTTTCCTTTGACAACTTTCCTTCCCCTACTCGGTCTTCTTAAGAGAAAATATCATAAGGTATTTCTAGAGAGAGTTACTATTTGTTAGGCTTCACACATAAAGCTGATTGTGAGATGAGAAATGAAGGCAGCTCCCTTTGAGTACATAAGAACTAGAAGGCAGGAGCTACTGAATACGAATACGGTTTTTTGCCTTTTTCTATTTGATTTAGAATGGATACAAGCGGCCTCTAGGACTGATTCATGGAAGGTCAGGCAGAGTCTCCCTGGATGCCTGGAAAATTGTTTCTCTGTTTCCAGGACCAAAGTCTGGCCGCCTCATCTGTGAAATGGGAACAGTGTCTCCAGCATTACAGAGCTATTGTGGGGATTGAAGTGATGCCCCTAAAACACTTAACCCAAATGGCTGGCACAAACAGGCATTCAACAAACACTAGCTATCATTGGTTATCAGTTTGATGACATTCTGGATTTTTGTGTGTGGGGGGTTGTTGTTATAAATTACCTAAATCAGTCTAAATGTGAAAAAAAAGAACATGTTATTAATTTCAGCAGATACTGATTTAGGATTTTCTAGGTGCAAAGCAAGGTGTTAGCAGTTGTGGGGCATCAAGGTGACATAAGACCCAGTCCCTGCCCTCAATCCATTAGCCTTACTGACTAAGTGGGGTGTTTCTAAACCTCCTTGTTCTTCAAATAGGTGGTTCTGAGATTCCAAACAATTCTCTTCATCTATGTGGGCCCCAATGTCTTCTGAAAAGAGTATGTGTTCAACTCAGAGGTGGAAAAGAAGAACAGCAGAACTTGTCACTCAGGCTGTGGTTTAGAAACATCACCCAGTAACTTTACTTGAAGCTTAAACTGAGACAGTTCAGATTTTTGGCTAAATTTGCGGGAGGCATTTCTTTTCATTATCACAAAGTTATTACCCTTAAGTGGAGCTTTCATTTTTCTATAATTACGGAAAGAACAGGGTGACCATTGCTAAATTTATGCAATGGAATTAATTTATTTTACCTTTTTCATGACAAACTATCAAAATCAAGTTGATGGAATAATAAAACATATTTAAATTTATTTTTAAAACTCTTGTCATTGCAAATATCTGGTAGGAGCTGATCCATTAGGTCTGCTGAACATGCTTTGGGAGAAGGGCTCTCGTTCTAGGCTATTTTTACTCCCATATGGCTTACCTTGGGAGTGCTCAGCATATTGTAGGCACTTAATGAGCGGTAGCCAACTTTATAATCAATTAACTAGATTGGCTTATTTTTAAATTGTCTACCACTTTCTGAAAACAAAACCTCCTCATCTCAATTTAATAAAGACTTACTGAGCATGGCAACATGGCAAGGCATCAGAATTCCAACTGTAACAAACTGATACCTTGAAAGGGTTCTAGCATTGCTAATCCAAAACGTATTTGCCACGAGATTATTTAGCCAAAGAAGGACTTAGAAGAGGCAATAAATGATACGTGGGATACCATAACTATTGCTAAAAGTGACTCTAAATTCGTACCTAGTAAGTTTGGGCAGAGTGGTTGTTCAAGCATTAGTATCCTGTAAGGAATGGACAAACAGGCTAACATTAGATAACACAAGTCACAGTTATTTTTGGGAGTAAGGAAATGTTGGTACCCTTTTGTCAATACCCATTTAATGAGGGAGACTATAATAAAGGAAAGTTTTAGATAAATTTCATTAATTTTAGTGGGCAGAAAAAATAAATGCTGAACTATTTATTTCTACAGGTTATAGTAACTATTCTGGAAATTTTTAAGACCAGATTGAATACTTGATTTTCCACGATAAGGACAGAGAGCATCTCAGTGATTCTCTTTTAACAACAGTGTAGTTCTCTGCACTCAATCAATATTTGGCTATATCTATTCCCAACTGGCAGTCAGTCTGGTTTGTGTATTCCCCCATTTTATTATATCTTTACTAATCACTATTTAGTGGAGGACAAAGAGGCACTACAATATTTGAAATGAGAGTGATATTAAAGCATTTGACCACCAGTGCAGCTTTTCATATATACAGCCATAAAGTTGAAAAATATTATTCTCAAAATAAACCAAATTACATGTCATAAAATTGCCTACCAGTTCATTGAACCATTCGCACACTTTCTAAACTGCTTATTAACTTTAAAAAAGTTATTCCCTTTTGTTTGATGTGTCTGCCAGAAGTTGACATAGGGAGCTGCCGTAAACTTTTCCAATGACTTCCCCCATTAAACTGAAAGTCATTAAGTCTCAAGTTTCTGGCACTTTGTCCTAACCAGAGCAGAACTGTGTGAGGTGCCTCTTTCTCGTGGCCAAGTAGCACTTTGATATCAGCTCTTCCCACATGAGGTGGGTCCTCAGAGTATCCACCTCAGACCTAATCACTCCTGAGGATCACCTGGGTGCCCCACATAGCCCTACAGCCACCTCTGCTTCTGCCTTGGTCTGCCCAGCAGTTGCCTTTGACTCCAGTGTCACCTCTTCCAAACAGTATCATTAGATGACTCAATGTTTCAATAAAAATATAATTTATAGGTACCAGCCAGCATCAATGCAGTTCAATATTTTAACAACCAGTACAACTATGTTGGGTATTTACCAGTTGAACATCAGCCTTTCCAGACATTCTGCTGATAAAGAACAGAGAAAAACCAAACATTGGACCCTAAACACTAGTAAACAGAGATTAACACATACTTCTGAAAACTTTAGAAATGAGACCTAATCCAGCACAGGAGAACCACAGACATGAATGCAGAGAATGAGAGAGGCTTTGTACAAAGTCATCAGGAGCAAAGTTGCATCTCCTCCTCCCATTCCAGCTCTTTACTCAGGTCATCAGGACTCTAACTGGCTTTAAGAGGAATGCTTTGAGCCAGAATCTGTCAGCTGCCTTTCTAAGTAGAGCAGGTGGGGTGGGGAAAGAAGGTAGATAATCCAGAAAGCTAACAAACAGCAAGAAATTGGTGGGATTCTTTCTCTTTTATCTGACGCTGTGTCTGCTGACAAGAGAAAACCAAAAGTGTAGAACTTTCTAGATAAGGACCCCAACATCCTTTAGATTGCCAACATGAGCATCATTCTTTTTGTTGCCAGCGTCCTATTTACATTAAGTATCCACCACTTTCAAAAACAATCCCATACATCATGCAGACTCCAAAGGCAATGTTTGTGCTGCTGGTCCTAAAGTTGCTTAAGGAAAAAAGCAGTTTCTGTTGCCCTAGATAGGCAGCACTTTAGGCTGCAGTTTGAGAAATTAAATGTTCACGGCCTTTGGCGCTTCCAGTTCCATTTGGAAAAGGACACAAACCTGGCATTTGGAAAGCATTTGCTCTCCATTAAACTTACCGAACCTTGACAAACCAGAAGGGCCAAGAATTAGTCTGCCACTGGCCAAGGCTGGACTTTCCAAAACTGATAACAGCAATGAAAACAATAGCACTGCCATTTATAATCTTCAATGGGATTCTGTCAAATTTTAACCCAAAAGGATCTCACAATCTGAAAAGAATCTCAAGCTTTGTTTTATAGGAAAAGAAGAAAATGTTTGAGCACAATCTCTTTTTCTACTGCTTCATGCTCAGAATTGCCCTTTTAGCCATAGAACAAAATGTGAATGTCTCCACCTCACCTTCACTTTGTGCTAGGGTAAGTTTACTAAGGTGACATTCAAGGACTGGGGAAGACATAGGAGGAGGAGTGAGTGGTCATTAGGTCAGAAGTGTTCCACCAGCCAAATGTCAAGTTCCCTAAACTGTTAACAAAGTGAAGTTAACACCAGCCCAGTCTCTTTGGCCCTGACAGCATCTAACCTGCATTCATTAGCACAAACCACAAAATTTAGTAGGGCAGGAATTTTCCCATTCTTTGGCCTAAGATAGAACTCAAGTCACGATGCACAAAACATTTGATCTGCTTTACTAATATATGGCATCATCTGGTTTGTATGATTCCCTATTTGGAAACAGAAAATGGGACTTAAGATAGCTTGGAAACCAAGAATTAGGATTCTTCATTTCTAGCCCTATATTTTCACTACTAATTGGCACAGCCCACATTGGATTACAATAAAAATCATGACTGATTTGTTAAGTGTCAAAATTTCACTCCCCATCTCCAACATTTATAACGCTAAGTACATTTACAAACAGCTCTTTAAGTGAATCAACCCCCACTATAAAGCTTGCAAGACAAGATAAACATTGAGTCTCTACTATGGGCAAGGAATGAAGGCAAGCTGGTGAGGTGAAGTAAAAGTCAGATATATTCTAACCCTGACTAAGCCTTTCAACTGCTAATACTAATCAGGGTTACTCAAGAATTTTCTAAGCATGAGGTTGATGCATTCTCTCTGTGTTCTGTATTTCAAGATGGGAGACAGAGTAGGAGAGAAACAGTCAAGAGAAGATAGATGAAGGGAAAAAGGTGAACACTCACACACTAAATAATAATTTAATATACACTTACTTAAAAAAGCAGATGAATCCTACCTCGGAGATGCCAATTCTGCAAGCAAGGCTGCCAATCATGTGCCCCAGTCATCAAAAATAATATCCTTGGAGTGGAAATCCCAGCTGTATACATTTTACTTTCCCTACAAAATGCTTCATTTTTTCCAAACAGTTTCCTCCTTCCATGTGGTTGCCCAGACCAATTCGTGTGCTTATTGGCATGTTATGAAACATGGAAACAATTAGAAACCACATTCTAGGGAACTAGAATGACTTGCTACAGAATCAATGAACTACGCAAAACTTGAGAGGATTTGGCAATAAAGATGGAAACTAGGGAAAAAAAACCACTAACAGTATTTCATATTACACAGTACATTCTACAACAGCTTTAAACTGATCTGTGTGTTTCAGCAGAACTCATGCTTTCCCTTCAAAATCTCCAGCTTCTATCATTGTTTTTTTGTTTTTGTTTTGAGATGGAGTTTCACTCTTGTTGCCCAGGCTGGAGTACAATGGTGCAATCTTGGCCCACCACAACCTCTGTCTCCCGGGTCAAGCGATTCTCCTGCCTCCGCCTCCTGAGTAGCTGGGATTACAGGCGTGTGCCATTATACCTGGCCAATTTTGTATTTTTAGTAGAGATGGGGTTTTTCCTTGTTGGTCACGCTGGTCTCGAACTCCTGACCTCAGGTGATCTGCCCGCCTTGGCCTCTCAAAACGCTGAGATTACAGGCGTGAGCCACCGCACCTGGCCCGTTGTCTTTGTATTTCTTTATATACCCTAATGAAACTCATATGAAATATTCAACTTATACTTTTCCTTCAGGGTTGATAGCTGAATGTATACACCAGGCAAAGAGTCTTCTCAGTTAAGATTGGAATTCTTTAAAGGCCACATTTGAAGGGAAGTAATAGCATTTGAAAATCAAAGAACTCATGTTTTCAAATAATCAACTTAAGTCCTAAGTCATAGTTCACACTTATAAGGGTTTCTTTAGCCATGCAAACACTAAGAATGATCAGTTCTCAAAACAGATGCTAGTGAAACTTCTAATACCTGCTAAGGAATCCAGAAGCCTTTTGTCTCAGTGAGCTGTTCTAACTCACCAAAGGTATTAATACAAGCGCTGTTGATAAACCTCAGACCTGAGCGACAGCTTAAGAGTGAGCCAGCCAGGCACGGGCTGGCTCAAGCCTGCAGTCCAAACACTTTGGGGGGCCAAGGTGGAAGGACTGCTTCAGGCCAGGAGTTTGAGACCAGCCTGGGCAAAAAAGTGAGACTCTGTCTCTACAAAATCTAAAAATTAGCTGGGGGTGGGTGCTGTGCACCTGTAGTCCCTGCTGTTCAGGCAGGATTGCTTGAGCCCAGAAATGTTAGATTACAGTGAACTATGACCACACCACTGCACTGCAGCCTGGACAACAGAGTAAGACTCTGTCTCTAAAAGAAAAACAAAAACGAGTGAACCAGGCTGTGGCAAAACAGAACGCTTGAAAAGAGAGATGGGCTCTAAGGCAGGACAATTTCGTAGCACCATAAAATAACCAAAAAAGGGGAGAGGGGATGTAAAACTGAACAATAAGGAAACGTATCTTCAGTGGCACTTATCACTACATGTAACCCATGTCTATATCACTTATGATTTTCATGTTGTATTATAGTCAATGTAGCAGCCGGAATGTTCTATTTTGGTCTGTTCCCCGGCTGATCTCTATTCTGGAGATCCTGTCCTGGGGGAGAGCAAGTAGGAAAGAATCCCATGGTCTGAGCTCCTCTCTCCTCTTGAATAAAATGCATGGGTGTGCCACACTGGGAAACGTGGGCATAATTAACCATGTTCAGGGACATGGAGAGGTTGGTCAGGATTCATCGTCAACCATAGAGAAATAAACTCTTTTCATTTGGGAACACAGAGTGAATTATTTGGAGGCTATCTTTTGGGGAAACTGAAGTTGTCACTGTAAAGCCCCCAACTTCTTTACCAAACAATACCATTTGAGACTCACTGAGCCACCTTGCCACATCCTTTATCTCAGTCAATACCCACAATAACCCTTCCGCATAATCCAAAAAAGGAAAAATGAGAATTTGAGGAGTCAAGTAAACTTGCTCATTGTCACACAGCTAGTAGAGGCTAGAGTTGGTATTTGAACTCAGACATCTGACTGCAAAGTGCCCTACTTGGAACTGTCCCATAGCTGTCCTCTCTCATGGTGGTATCCCCATGCAGTCCTGCGTAATATCAAGCTATCTTCTCTTCTCTTTCCTTTTCTCCCCTCTTCCCTGCTGCAAATCTATGGTCAGTGGCAGTCTAGCATACTTCTAATTCACAGCAGCATTTACAAGACGCACACATATTTTCTTCATGTACCATAGGAATGAATATTATTTTAAGAACCTGAGCCTTAATCTAAATAATGACATTTCAAGCTTCAGCTCTTGGAGAGGTAATTTGTTTACGTTACCTGGACTACCTCCCTTTATGAGGAAGACTGGTGCCACTTCCCTTCATAGGGCCAGGCTAGTTCCAATGTCTGCTTTGAAGTTGGCTGCTGGGAATTGAAAATTCACTGAGTCCCAAGGTCAGCCCACAGAACCCACCACGTTCCTGAAGTCTGGAGCTATAGATTTCACTAACAACTCACCCCTAGTTATAACATTGTTTTTATAGTGAAAGCCAATTCCAGCTCTTGTTTGGGAATCCAGGAATGCCTTCTCCTTTCTTCCCGCTACTTTAGGTAAAAGAGCAACTGGATAGGGAAAGGGTGAGATGGGAATGATGGGAGGGAGGAAGACGGAAGAGCAGATGAAATAATATGAGGCTCCAGTGCTTTGTTAAATCTCTCCAGGACATGTGGTCATTTAGTCCCAAGTGTTCTGGACTGGAGAACAAAGGACTTTTGGGCCTTGGGGTCCAGGGCTCATGTGTATTGTCAGATTGGTGGTGGCTGAGACTCCCCAAATGCCTATTGGCTTATGCAGGTCATCACAAATCTGGGTACAGGCTGAACCACCACAGAATAAAAATCACAAGACAGCATTTTAATTGGCTTCCTTAGGCCATTTAACAAAGGAGAAAGCTAACTTGCAAGAGCAAAGAGTAATTAATGAAGGGAGCAAACAGAGGTTCATTTAGTAACTTCCAAATAAGTTCCTCTGGCTGAGGGGAGTTGGGGGAGAAGGTAGCCTGCAACAGAAAGATAAACTGTAGGTATTTAAGTCACAATGCCTTCCGCCAAGAACTGCTCATTACCATCAGATGTTGCAGTGGCAGTGGGGCCAGTTAGAACTAACTTTATTATTAGAAGCAATTAGGGAGAAAAGGGGCAGAATTTCATTTGGTTATTTCAAAACAAGTTTCTGTGCACAGTTTAATGAAGGCCTGCAGTGTCAAGATAAAATGTGTGTTTTACTGAAAACAGCTTTTGCAAATGACTGCTTGTTACCAGCAGTTATCTCCAGGCAGAACAGACTGGGTAGGTTGGATTTACATGCATGCCGTAATATAATAGTTCAGCTGTCTCAGTTTCACAGAAGTGTCAACAGGCAGTATGGCTTGATGGTGAAGCACGTGTGTTCTGGAGCCAGACTGTCTGTCTTCAATTCCTATCCCTGACCTTGGTAGCTGAATGACCTTGGGCAAAGCTTCTGTAATGTTCTGGGCCCCAGTATACTCATATGTAAACTGGAGGTCACAGTAGTGTTTCTTGTAAAGGGCTGTTATGAAATATCAATGCACCTAATATGTTAGACATTATTATAGTTATGAACTATTATATCCAAGATCACTTGGGAGGGGAGTTGTTTTTAAAGAAACTGCTTGATATATAGGAGTTACCTTAAGTACAAATCAGTAACAAATCCATTTACATCTTTTGAATTGGGTTTGCATGTAAAGTATGGCAGATATTTGTCTTCAGTGTCATTTTTATCTTAATTCCCATTTTAGACAATATTTCAACATCTCTATACAATTCAGATGTTTTGAAAAGATCTAATTGCTTTTTAGTTTTGCTAAACCAACCATTTATCACTGCTTTTGATTTCCCACCTTTGAGGTTACAGTTGTGGCTTTTTAATATGTTTCTGTCTGAGCTTTTCCCTTATAAATCTCTTGGGCAGCTTTTAAATTGTCCCTCATATACACGCCCAGGCTTAGAGAAACTTCCATGTGTTGAGCTTAGAAGAACATTTACAGAACCTCAACTTTCACACAGTAAATGGGGAATCAGGCTTTCTTCCTTCTAAATATCCTTTTTGAGACTACTATAACCACAGTAAAAGAGGCCTCTCACTTGTGGTTTCAAATTCTGTCTTGAATGTCCCTATTCTTCAATGAAAGTATCTGCTGTCTTCAATGAAGTTTCAGAGATCCCATCATTAATTTCTCAAGGTTAAAGGTTGATTTTCTTCAGATGCTACAAAATGTACACATGTACTCAGGAATATGGTATACTGCTTACCCATTATTTTTTAGTCCTTCAAACCAACAGCATTTAACTAATGTGCCATGCACCATAATATTGGACCCATACGATGAATAAAACTCTTTTCTTGGACCTTACCAAGCTATGACTCCATTATTAAAATCTACTCATTTTGGAGAAGTTTAAACTAGCAAAACGCCCTCTATGCATTTATGTTTTCTCAGCCGTGTATTCAGCCACATCATTTTTCCAGCTGCCCTGACTTAATTTATACTAATGTGAATAATTTAAGCAAAAGCCTCTTTCACAGAACTTAAGTCTTATGCTGCAGATTTTAAGAAAGAAAAAGTTGAAAATAGTGGAAGTACATATTGGTGGGATTCTCCCCAAAGCCCGTAGGTTCTTGTTCAATGGTGTTTTTGAAAGAGGTTCAAGCAAATATTTATTTTCTCTAATCAAGTTGTCTATTCCTGTGAATATTCCTTTTTTTTTTTTTTTTTTTTACTTTTTAGCAACCACACACATCATAACATGGGAGAATTTCTTTTGTGAAAACACCCAGAGGAGTTTTAAAGAATGGTTTAATTAGAGTTGTTGATGCCCATTCATAATTAGTATCTGTTAGAAAGATAAGCCTTAGGGAAAGGTTAGATTCTGAACAGAATAAAATATGCAACATAGGGACTCTGAGGGAAAATTTTTAAAAGGAAAGAGGTGGATACTTATTCTTACCCTTGATCTTTCTTCTAGTTTTGTCATCATGACAACTGTGGCACTCCGTTGTTCCCATATCATTCTCCAAAAGTCCCCAAATGTTTCGGGGAGAGATCCCTGTGTTGCAATATAGGCATTTTGCTTCCTATACCCATCTATGTAGTTGGCATTCACATAGTCACTTCCTGGGATCCCTGGAAAACAAGGAGTGTTATTCAACCAGGTGAGCACATCACAAGAGGAAACAGCCTGGGACATGACCTAATGGCAGTGCTATCTTACTGTTCCACCTCACACTAGAGAAGTCACAATATATTGAAGGTCGGGTTTCAAGCAAGATTAAAAACAGGTCCTATTAGAACCGTCATGTTAAAAAAAAGTATGCAAAAAAGTGTCAGGTCTTTATAATACGACAAAGAAAAAATACAATAGATGGTCCATAGAATGCCTTTTCCTTCACTGGTTGTTGGTTTTCTCTGTTGCACTGGCAAAAAAAATAGTTTCCAAAGAACAATAAACAATCTGGTAACATTCCTCACCCATGTGCTTCCCAGGCAAAAACTAGATAAAAGAATGCCTGAGTCTGAAAATACAAAATAGAGTGGAACACACCATAATAATGAAAAATTCTTTGTAGATTTAGTTAACAGGAAACTCATATATAAACTCATTTAATATTTACAACAACTCTGCAGTAAGTCCTGTTATGAGTCCTGTCAGGAGAAAACTGAGGTGCAAAGAAGTTAAAGAAACTTGAGCAAGTTGCTCAAGTTGGTGGAATCAGGTTTAATCCTAGGCTACTCGTATGTGTCTTGACCTCTGTAAAGTATTGCTTCTCATTTAAAACTCGTGATTTGTTGTAAGCAGCACATGAACCTCCTGGATTAGGACAGCTGCCCCCTAATTGGATGTCCATCTTCTACTTTTGTCCTCTCCAGTTTGTTCTCCATCTAACATGAGAGCAGTTTTAAGAAATTTATTTCAGACACTGTAACTTCTTCAAACCCAACAATGGCTTCCCCTTATACTTCAAATAAAATCCAAACTCTGAACATCGCTTACAAAGCTCTGCAACTTCCCAAACTCATCTCATTCCACTCACCTCCTTGCCTTTAAAACTCTAGACACTGGTCTGCTTCAATTATTAGAAAACATTTATTTCCCTCCTTAGCTCAATCCACATCCTAGAATATACTCTGTCTCCTTCCCATCATAAAACACCCAGCCGCCATCCCAGAAGGCCTGCCCTGGAGTACCCTGAGACATCAGAACTCCCTTGACAGCCCTTTATACTACTGATTAAGGTTGTAATTATATATTTACTTGTCTGTTAAGTTGCTTTATTGCCTATTTTGACCATGTCTCTTTTATTCACCTTTGCTACCCTAATGACAAAAGAGTAAATAATTTTCCCCAGTTCCAACATGTAATCAGTAGCAGAGATGTAATTTAATGTAGATATTGTGATTTAAAGCCTAGTTTTCCATCAGCACATGCCTTTAAGAGAGACAGAGGCAAATTTGAGCTTCTTCCAAGAAGAGGAGCCACAGTGATTAAGGGAATGAAAGCTACTCCATAAGAGAAAGAATGCATATTATAGCCTAGCAAAGGAAATGGTAGGAATTGGGATAAGAGCTGCCTGTGAGAAGAAGAGAGGTTTAGAT
Organism: Homo sapiens; assembly: GCF_000001405.40. NCBI lineage: Eukaryota > Metazoa > Chordata > Mammalia > Primates > Hominidae > Homo > Homo sapiens. The sequence goes on from NC_000009.12 coordinate 8,390,878, forward strand.
TTACTCTGTTGAGTTCCAAGTTTTAAATTCTGAAAGATTTAACTACAGAAACATGAATTTCATCTCAAATACAATAAAGCATTTTCAAATGGTCAGAATCAAAAAGGGAGTTAAGTTTCCTTGGAAGGTCATGAGTTGGCTATCTGTAGGGGAGAACAAGCACTTTATAGGAATGTCAGCATGATATGGGAAGGTACACTAGAACTTGTGCATGATCCCTTCTACCCTGGGAAATATGAATCTTGGAATTACGGGGTAACCATTTTTTTTTTCTTTATAATGAAACATATGTTCCCAAGCTCAAATTGTTATATTTCACTGATTGCCACTTGCAATGACTTTGACTGCTTTTCTGATTCCGGTTGTAAAGTTGATCCTCTCAAGAAAGGTAATGAAAATCAGATGGAAACTACTGCACTCTGAGATGAACACACGGATATGGAATACCACCAGCATTAGTTGAAAAGCCTTTTGAGCAAAACTTGAAATGCATGGTTGGCTGTAACATTATTCATCTATTACAGCTACTCAAGAAGCAGTTGGGGTTTTGGCAGCTCTTTGTTGATAAAGATCCTATTCCTCCCCAACACCAGATTACTGTAGATTCAAATGACGGTTTAAATAAAATTCTCAGGTTACAAACACTGGGACGTGCACACATCTTACATATCCATAGGATTTGGTTCTGAGTCAAGAATGAATCCATCTAACAGGAAAAACCTACTTTCAAAACTTTAATTTAGCAGTTAGCAACATTAAAGAATTGATAAAAAGGATTCTGGCTAAGGGCCTCACTCAGCTGCCAATATACAGAAAACTTTTTTCTAAGAAAACTCAGAATGGAGAAATCTGGGCTAAATGACTCAGAAGATTCATCACCTGGGCCCTGTGCCACCTCCCCCCTTATCAAGGAAAGCAAATGTGTCTGAACAATGCATCTGAGGATGGAGGAGATGCACAGGAGAATCATTCCTAAAGACAGGGAATCAGACCCATCCAACCCTCTTTGGGTAAAAATGTTAATCAGTTATTATGTAATGAATTGGGGTTTTTTGCATACTGCCCAAGTTTGAATAATAAATTCTTTTTGTTTAACAAGGAGGGGGTAGGCTGCTACTGAATAATGATTGCACTTCCCAGGATAAGAATACAAAAATGTTGCCTGAAGACTACTAGGCACCAGGAATCAATACTATCACTAAATGCTTTAAGAATTTAGGAATTGGGCAAAGTGTAGTAATTCATGCCTATAATCCCAACATTTTGAGAGGCTGAGGCAGGAGGATCACTTGAGCCCAGGAGTCTGAGCCAGTCTGAGCAACATGGTGAGACCCTGTCTCTACAAAAAAATAAAAATAAAAAATTAGGCTGGCATGGTGGCTCATGCCTGTAATTCCGACACTTTGGGGAGGCTGAGGCAGGAAGATTTATTGAGAATAGCACATGACAAGTCTGGGCAACATGGCAAAGAGACCCTGTCTCTACAAAACACTAAAAACTTGGCTGGATATGGTCATGCACGCCTGTAGTCCCAGCTACCTGGGAGCCTGAGGTAGGAGGATCATTTGAGTCCAGGAAGTCAAGGCTGCAGTGAGCCATAATTGCACCACCACACTTCATTCCTGGGCGACAGAGCAAGACTCTGTCTCAATAAAAGATAAATAATTAATATTCTGAAAAATACGTAATTGAAAACAAAATGGAATACCTGGTAGAGCAAATTATTAAGCCAATGCTTTATGTCCTGAAAATAATGCTAAGATTCCTCTTATAGTTTGATACCTATTTGTAAGAAGGTAGTACATGGAATGAAAGCCTCCTTCTGGCAAATCTCTTTACGCGCTCTGGTGAAAAGACATTTCAGGTAAGTTCTCTCTCACAGATCCTCTGCAAATGTGGAGATAAGAGAGATGGCTATGTTCTCCAGAAGCTCTAAGATCTAATGAGTCCTGTATTCATAAAACCCAATATAACACACTGTGCAGAAAGATGAAGGAGAAAAAATTTTAGAAAGGATGGTGGTGTGTCCTAAAAATATTAACCCCAGATTGGAAGCTAAAGTTAATCAGCAGTCCATTTCAAGTAGATGAGACTCTGGTTTTTAATGTGACATATTTAGAAAGACTTTTCAACCAACACTGTGAAAATAAACAATATGCTGCTTTCCAAATGTTTTGGTGCCATGAAATGCTTCTTCAGTAGTTCTTGATTAGGATGTTTCTGCTGGGAGGCTGGATCTAACATTCTTCCACTTTTTGGGGGGTGACTTTCTCTAAGTAGTGCATATTTATTTAATTTTCAATTCCCTGCCTTTTCCAAAAAATGATTTGCTTCTGCTAATGCAACATTAATCAGAGTGCACTTCTAATCCAAGAGAAGTGTGTGAGAATTAACTTAATTCCTTTGGGGTTATGAAGGATGGAAATGTAACTTGAAATGTAGTACTGAAAGAGTATAGAATTACTATAAATTAGGTGATTGCTTTTCATTCTTGGAGTCAAGGAGACCTTCCTCCAATACTAGAATAACAGTGCTTGATTTGTTTTTTGGGTTTCCTGTTTGTTTGTTTTTTGGTTGGCGAAGGAGCTATTAAAACAGGAGGAACATGACAAAGATGTTTGCCTTCTGCTCCTCATAAGCAAAATTTTAGAACACATTGGCCCTGCTGCAGGAACTCTCTTGGAGTCAGTTGGTCTTAGTGTCTTTGTTCAAGAACAGCTTACCTCTAAGACTGGTTCTTTCCTAGGAGTCCATGGCTCTACTGCATTTATAAAACTGAGTGGGTTTTCATGATTTCTCATGCATTGTTTCATGTGCATTCTCTAATTAATAACAGTGATGTCAATAGTTGTAACCCCATAAATAATTGTTTAGCCTTCTAATCTTACACATGAGAAACCTAAGGCTAGACCCTCTAACTTCATATTATACCAATATGCTCCATTCCTGGGTTAAAGTGTATTTCCTCAGTTAATGAACTGTTCTTTCTTGTGGCATTTAAAAATATTACTTACATGCTTTATACTGGGTCTTTGTGTTCTGGGCTAACTAAACCTGGCTGTTAATGCAAGCCTGTAAAGCCGACAGAGATTGTGATGAGGTGAATGATTGGTAGAGCTGTGCTTCTGTTGTTTTTCATGCACAACAAGCCATAGCAAACAGCTATTTGAACAGAATTAGGCACGTTTTAGGCTCTCATTTTATTTGCTGTTGATTGCTAGTTACAGTTTTCAGTGGAAAAATGAGCCTGGATACAGACTTTGAATAATGGGGTCATGTGGATTTTTTAAAACCACCAAGAAGAAAAAAAAAAGCAAACAAACACCCAACTTGCTATGGATTTGATTTTTGGGGCCAGAAGATAATTCGATTTGAAAAGATGTCTCTTGTTGAAGGGGTGTTTACAATGATGAGGGGTTTATAATAAAGCCTTAAGTCCTGATATTAAGTGAAAAAGCAGGATGCAAAATAATACATGAATTATTTTGTGAAATCAAGTAATCCTAAGGGGAAGGATCATAATTTTGCATCACATTACACTGTAGGTAAAGTCACGTGTGCATTTTAAAGTCTTGGGACAATAGCAAGCACTTGCTAAGAATTTAGAGAAACTGACCAGGAAACCTGGACTCCTGTCTAGGGCTGCTGGTAGTTTACTCTGTGATCTTTGGCCAGTTACTCAACTTGCCCAGAACTGTAATTGTTTATTTGCTAAACAAGATGTGTTGGACAAACTGATGCCCTCCAGTTCTTTTGAGTTCTAAAATAAGGTGTCTGTCTGTGCTATTCTTAACCTTCTTGGACTCAGACATCTCTGTGAAGTTATTTTAAGATAAATAGAGGCTTTGTGTCTCTCAGATTAGGTAGGAACGCACTCTGATGCTCTTTCAAGCTGATTCCTATTGCTTCTACCTTTGATGTGCTGAGATGAGATTTTTCACTGAGGCTGCTACTTCACATCTTGATTGGAACCTGATGGGGCAAAAAATAAACAAAAAGCAAGAGGAAGTAGTGGTACTAGGTGGTCTGTCCATGGAAAGAAGCTCTCCTTGGACTTTAGCGGGTGATAATAACTAAGAGGCAGTCTTGGAGGGAAGGCAGAATCCCACCGTGGCTCCAGTGGATGCGGCTGCACTACAGAGATGGAGATGGATGTTCAGCTGAGCGTCTTACCCTGCTCCAACTCACAATTTGGCTTCAAATCCCAGGTACTTTTATTTTCTTTAAGTTCTATAAATCCCTAATGAAGTAAGGACTGTGTCAAAAAGAAATTGCTTTTTGGCAAACAAGTTTGTTCTTTGTTGTAAGACAGAAGTACTCAAGACCCGACAGAGCACAAAAGCTACCTTTCATTTGTTAATGTCCCCTCCTCTACTCCAACGCACAAACGAAAAAGCATAACACTATATTGCTGTTAATATAGGTTAAGACCTAGATTGCAATTTTACAACAATGTGGCAAAAATGTTTACTTTGCAGTCTCCAGAAAAACTAGAAAACAGGAAATAGGAAAGCAAAATCTAATAAACATTTACAAGCAAATTGATTAAATTCTAAAGGACACAGGCCTTTCCCCCGACCCTTCACCTGTTCAATGACAGCCACACGTGGCTGCATCAGACCTGGTGACATGAAGGATTCTTTCTGCAACATACCAAATAAAGCAAACATTTATTGCAAAGACACAGTCTATTGTTTGCCAGGGTATCCCCTGGTATAGCTGCAGTCTTTCCAAGTTTCTACAAAACACATAGAATTTTTTTTTTTAAAAGCATGCCTGTTCTGTGGGCATCGTAGCTCAACCCCACAGTGAGCTAATGGAGAAACAGATGATATTCAGAGTATTTGAACCCAACCTGCAACTCCTCATTAATGTATGTCTTCCTCTACTTGATTTTCCATACCCCCACACTGCTGAGGAGGCTGAGTTTTGAGAATGGACACAGGAAAGTAGACGGCTGATTGAACTATCTTTGAATACATTGCAAGATCAGCAACATGAGTTGGGGAATTACCAGCACCTGTGATAGAGGGGCGTGCTTTTTGGTTAGACAGCAACTTGCCTTAAAATACAGTAGACCTTAGGCCACTGAAGCTTAACTTTCAGCCACATCATGGAGTTGTGGTCCAATTAGCTTTATACTAATAAGGAGGCAATTATTATAGAGGTTCATCAAGCAATGAAGTAGTCAACAATCAAGCATGAGACATGACTACAGAAGCTCTATGTGTAGGAAACACTCAGATGCTCAGTCTCCTCATCACTAATATGAATATCATAATCAAAAAGTCCTGGAACCAACACCTCTGTGAGAATTAAATGAATCAATACATCTGAAATTTCCAAAATGTCATATGGATTTTAGTTACTATTATGATTGACGTAAAAATGGAAAAAGTCTGCTTATTCTTAATGCCCTCCTGATAAAAAGTAATTCCAAATCTGGAAGGCCCCTTTCTAGCTTCTACTTTAAGAAAAACTATCAGACAGGATAAAAATAATTCTTTTACAATTTCCCAGCAATCTGCTACCTGTATCTATATTCTAAAAACAGAACCATAGATGATGTAGGTTTATCTACGGCCTCAGAGTAATGAAGTGTAGATTCATTAGAGTAAGCTGCATAGATGTACAATTAAAAAAAACAAAAAAGCTCCAATGAACTGAAGACAATAGAGATAAAAATAAACTCACTCCCAGAGCTTTCTGATTTTACTCTTCGATTAGCTTTCTGAGAACAAGAGTAAAGCAAAAAACAACACAGCCAGCCAGCCCTTAAAAATGCTTTTTCTCTTTTCCGGGTAAGAAACATCAGCAGGTATAGTCTAAGGTAGGAGCTAGGGAATAACAGATATAACAGCACTTGCTTGGCTACATGTAAGAGAAAGATGCCATTTACACAGCTCTAATTAGACAGCTCTTAGAAAGACTGCAAGCAACCTGTGAAACTGCTCCAGGTTTCCCAGGCTAAGTGCTATCTACCTTTCTATTTAAAAGAAATTAAGCTATAAAAATTTGTCTATTCACTGCTACTCAAAAAAAGGAAGTGCTTTTATGTATTTTTTTAAAAAGTACCACGAAATAAAATGATTAAACTTCATCACAGTTGCAAACGATTAACTTGAAAATAGAAAAACTGAAAATGCTGCAGAAACCATGTTATCAGCCTAAATCAATGATTTATGCTCTGAAGAGTGTGAGAAAAATGAACTCAACAAATAATTGGACAGGATTTATTGTTTTTAAATGAGTTTTTTAAGGGATGGGATATACATTCTAACAAATTTCCTTTAGTACCTTAAATAGAATTTCAAGAGCAAGGTAAAACAAACATGAGGTGCCAACAAACTATTCACTAGTGACTGGGAAAGAGAGGGAGAGAAATCCGGAGGGAGAAAAAGGGATCATATTTATTGAGGTAATATGGGAAGGAGCACACAGCAACTATCAAAGGACTTCTTTATTGGGTGAAATAATTGTAATTGTTTTGATGTTAGAACTTCACATGGAACATTTATATTCACTATAACTAACATTCCATTAGAAAATGTTGGATAGACTGTATTAACATATTTTCCTAGGTTTTTTTGGTTTTGTTTTACTTATTGAAAATACATCCAGTTACCAGATATGCCCCTTGCCCAAAAAAAGAAAAGAAAAAGATATTTTACAGCATGGGTACAATGTGAAATTGGAGAATACGTTAGCATGTGCTCACAGCTGTTTCAAATGAATTGCTATAGACTTACCCACAGAACACTCTGCAGAAGAGAGGCTAAGACACAACTGAAACCTAGAGCACTAGTGTGGTGGCAAATGGTGGATAACATTACAGAAGGAATAGCAGTAGTTTCTTGTCTTTATTTATTTATTTTTAACTGGATTTATCTTAGAGGTGGTGATTCCATGTGAGCAGCTTTCTCATCTTAAAGGTGCTAAATTGCCCATCTCACAAATAATCAAGTTATTGTAACATCATCTATATTATTTATGCTTGGATTTTTTTGAATTGCTCCTGTTTTGCAAATCAAACAGCAGATGATATATATTTGAATTTCCATTTAAAAGAATAGATTCTTGCCCCTGTTGAAATCTGTAATGCTCTTATGGGTCTGGTTTCCATTTATCAAGCACCAGTGTTTTCTTTTGCATTACAGAGTACTTCAAATATATGCAGCTTTCTCATTTGGATATTAGTTTTTCCATAGATCACATATCAAAGAAATTTTGTCTGCACTTAAAAGGGCCTATCTGTAGTAGTAATAAAATGCATAACACTAAAGATAATCTTAACAATTCCCAATATTTATTATGTATTTTCTTGGTGCCAGGCACTCTTCTAGGTGCTTTACATATGTTAGTTTATTTAATCCTCCTAGTAATTGTAGGAAGTAGGTACTATTAATAATCCCATTATACAGATGAGGAAAGCAAGGCTCAGCAACTTGTCCGAGCAAGCTCTGCAGAAGCAAGCAGAGCTTCGGATGCGTTATCAGGAAAGAGGTTCCTGAGCAGCATATAGGCCCTCCTAAGAAGGTACTTACTTTTACTTATTAAAGAGATGAAGTGAATAAATATATTTATGTTTTGGAACTTTAAATATATGACCCTTTCTGTAAGAAAAAAATAACACACTGCTCTGATCAGAATGTGTTCCCGTAAATTCATATGTTAAACCTAATCACCACTGTGATAGTACTGAGAGGTGAGGTCTTAGGAAATGCTTAAGTCATCAGGGCAGAGCCCTCATGGGTGGGATTAGGATCCTTATAAAAAAGCTTGAAAGATTAAGTTTGCCCTTTTTCTATCGTTTTGGCCATGTAAGGACACAGCATTCTTTCCCTCAGGGGATGCAGCAAAACAGAGCACCATCTTGGAAGTGGACAGACTGGGCCCTCACCAGAAAGCAAGGCTGCTGGCACCTTGATCTTAGACTTCCCAGACTCTAGAACTACGAGGAATAAATTTGTATGGTTTATAAATTACCCAGTCTGTGGTATTTTGTTATAGCAGCACAAATGGACTAAGACATGGATCCCTATTTTACTAAGCTTTTTAAAAAAAATCAGATTAATAAGCACTAGTGTTAAAGAATGCATATTACATACTAGGTTTATTCTTCATCACTTCTAACCCTCTCATGGATAAAACCATTTAAATCTGTTTTGGTGAGAGTCACATAGTAGCCAATAATCCTATTTAGAATAAGCCCACTAAGCTTTTTTTTTTTTTTTTTCCTTGAAGAAGCTAATCATCTCATACTGTCTAAGATTTAATATTTATTTGCCTACTTATCTTTTGATCTCAGGATTTAGAATCAATGTTCAGAATTCTGGAGATGGTAGAGATGGTCTTACACATCCTTGTTTTATAAGAAAACAACGAAAGACTCTAAGTCATAGGTTCTTCCTAAACTGGAGAATGGGCTTGCAAAGAGATTGTATATGCATGAACTTTCTGAAATTAGTGTACAAATAAAGTATGTAAGTGCTCTATGTTTTCAAGTGGGGTTTAAATGTTCGTGAAATTATCAAAAGGATCCAGCTTCCCCAAAGAGTGAATGTTAACTGCATTAAGTGAAATGCTCAAGGTCACATTGTTGTTTAAACTGAAATTTAGTTTTCAGTTTTCTGTCTCTTTATTCAGTATATTTCCCAATATACCTTAAAACGTGAGATTAAACAAACAAAAAAACACACCTGAAAATCATTTCTGTGTCATTTATTCTTTGGAAAAATTCATTTTGACTTGGAGTCTAAGAACACAACTGAAGATCTCTAGTTCTAAGATTTCTATCCTAAGTGTTTCAAAATGTGTATTTGAAAATTCTTACACAATCTTCCCAGCCAAAAAGGCATCAGTTTTGAATTAGGTTTGATGTACACAGGCAGGGCTATTATGATTTCAAAAGCCGCTCTGGGCCTGCGTAGACTAATGGGAAGAACAGCTGCCTTGAGACTGACATATATTAGTATTTTGAATTTGTCACTTATTAGCTATTGATCATACTTAAGTTTGCTGACTTTTTAAATGCTTCCATTTCCTCATCTGTAAATTCAGATCATGACAACTAGCTTTTGGGGTTGGGCCTCCATAACATGGTGCTCGGCATGTAATAGATAACCAGATAATCATATCTATTATAATGTCTTGTCTTTGTTGTTGAATTGAAAAGCAGAATTTTAATTTTGCTTTATATTTAGACTTGGCTAACACTTTTCTAAAAATCCATGTCAATAGGGCTTTTAAAACAAAATGTTAATTATAATCCTACTAATGGAAACAGTACTGGCAGCAGTGAAGATTAATTATACTTTAGAACAACAACCTCTTTTTTATCCACAACTGCAATAATTAATTTTTGCTAATTAGAAGGCATTATAATAAATAACCTGCCACTAATTGATACCCCTTGGTCAACAAGAAATTAAAGATACATACAACAATATTTAAGGTAAGCAGATCACCTGTATTATCATTAGGTTTACATGTACTTGACATTTGTTCTGCAATCTTATGACTCTGGTCCACCTGAATGATGCATTTGATGATTCCCATATTGTGTCCTTGCCTCAGGTTAGTCATGCCATAAAATAGGAAATGAGATAGGAAATAGGAAATGAAGTTCTAAAACCTAATATTTATGTTATCCATAAGGCTAATGCCAAAAGATAAAATAGATTTTTAGGCAAAAAGATAAGACTGAGCTTTTCCACCCATGCTAAGTGACTTCAGACACTGTCACATCCTGCACCGGTAGGAAAGTGTTATGAGTGATGTGGGAAAGTGGAAGACCCAGACCAGGAATCAGAAGAGCTGGATTCTAGCAAGTTATATTATTTATATTCTGTGTGACTGTGTGACTCTGGGCCAATCCTGTCTGAGCTTCAGTTTTCTCATCTATAAATGTGAATACCTATATATCTAGTAAAATACTCACACTGCCGCTTCACTAGACTGTTGTGTACAGCCAATAAAACAACGGATAAGGAAACTACATAGAGATAACTCTTAGAAGTCAGAAATGAAAGAGATTACCACTAAGAAAACTGATATTCAGAGAAGTCAAGGTCACCTAGCTAGTTAGTGACCCAACCTCAGATTTCCTTGTTCTTCATCTTTTGGTTTGTCCATTTTCTTTTCCTCATAAAAACATACTTTCTGAACAACTTTGGATTCTACAAGTTTAGGCATAATATTATATATTCTGTTTATGCACATCCAAGTATTAGCTTCCAATATCCAAGTATTAGCTTCCATTTGGTCTTTATTTGAAAATATTTACCTTTTCTTTTTTTTTTTTTCCAGATGGGGTCTGGTTCTGTTGCCCAAGCTGGAGTGCAGTGGGACAATCTCAGCTCACTGCAAACTCCACCTCCCAGGCTCAAGCAACCCTCCCACCTCAGCCTCCTGAGTAGCTGGGACTACAGGCACGTACCATCATACTAGCGAGTTTTTTGTAGAAAATATTTATCTTAACTCATTACAATAAATCCTATTGCCCTCTTCTTCAGGAATTACTATTTTCTCTTAAGAACTGCTTAAACATAGAGGGGATGCCAATGGTAATTGGATTTGTCAAAAATTCAATTCTGTTTCCATACTGCTTACCCTATAATTAAACAATTGAAACCATTTTGTAATTAGGACTCTTTTGAATTTATTCTGCATTTTTCCTAGCCTAAATAAAATGACTGTGATTTGGAAAGATGTCACCAAGTGTCACTATTTTCAAAAAGTTCAATAAGCACATTACTGCCCACACACAATTCCTGATTCTTTTAATTTTTCCCTGTTATTCTCTCAGTGGAAGTAGGATATACACTTGCTCTACTAAACAAATATAAAGACAACATCAATCACTGCGGCCACTTCCAGTTTTTGTTGTTCTAATGTCTGTCAGATCACTTTGCAAAATAATGTAAGGAGTAACTAGCACCACTGAGAGAATAGAACAAAAACACCCAAATTAAAACTCTCAACCAAAGTCACTTAAGTTAGTAACATTGGTTGGAACACAAAACAAGCACATTAAGTTTTATAAATTGTGCATGAAGTCACTTAATATTTCAGTATACTAAAAGCTGGCCCTGTATTATCAAAGCTGTCTTTAGAGGAGAAGCCTCAGTTAGTGGTTCTGTGGTTCCAGTTGCCAGTATTTTCTCTTCTGTGTTTAAGATACAGGATGATTGACTGCCCTCAAGAATACCTGCTGGTTAGCGCTTAGTTTAAGATAAAATGCTGTTCACGGTTGTAATTTAGATGAAAGCTCTCTATAGCTCATGAACTTCAATTAAATGCTTCTAACCTTTTGCATAACACTTAACATGTTAGGTCAGCTCTAGATTTAGGGTGTATTTGTGAACACAGCACTATAAAAAGACAGGTTTTCGTGTGATTCAAGTGCTTTTGCTTTTATAATATAAAACCAGCATAGGAACGAAATGTGCATAGTTTTCAACCATCAGAATAAAGATACAAGGAGGTATAGTTTTTATCCCTCAACATACTTTAAAGATGTGGAAAATAACAGGTTAAGAAAAATAATGACAAAGTGAGCAAAAGTACAGCGAAGTGGTAGTTATTGAATGACCTAATTCTTAGTGGAAACAATGCTACAATAGAGCAGAGGCAGACTGACAAGTTCCCCAGGCGAGACCATGCCAAATAGATTCTCAACTTACATTCATTTATTTTATTTCAATAATTTACCTTGCTTTTGCTAATGGAAAAAAGATTTCTCTCTGCTATTTGTGACTCAGTTTAGTTTTTCATTTATTATGGAGATGATTTAAGAGACTTGAGACCCCCCACAAAAAAACCTGTATTTTTTCACACTTTAAAATGGAAAACATAGAGATAAATGTAAGGTAATCATCCACATATGTTAATTACAGTTTTTAAACAGAATTTGAAAAGAAGCGATTACCCATTTGACATTATTATGCCTGATCTAGTATTGGTAAAATTTTAATAAATTTAAATAATTGTTTTCAGTGTGGAAAAAGGCTAACTCTTGAACACTTAGTATCTGTGGGTGCCTAGAAAAGGGATTATAGTATTTTCCACCATCCAAAGTAAATTTATTATGAGAATTTTACAAAATATATCTATGCAAAACAATGCCATGTTGAGGTAAGGAGGGCCACAGGTATAGGATTGTTCAAATGCTGAAAGATAGTTTTTCTTCCCAAAAAAACTGGAAACAAATGTATTAATGGCCTATGGTGCCTACTGAGAAAGCTTTTAAACAGTTTCACTTTCAAATAAATTTTGGACGTTGAGGAAGCAGGTAGGAGATGTGGTCAGAGTTATAAAATAAAGCGGTGGTCAGCAGAGATTTTGGAAGCAGAAAACAGGGACAGGTACTCGAACAACTACAGATGAACATCTTTCAACTATAAAGTCCTTAAAATAACTGGGTCTGAAGCTACTATAATTTATTTGTTTTCTAAAATATCTTCAAGAATGTAAACAGTGAACCTTCAAGTATGAAGAGGCCATAAAACTCTTCTGGGCACTAATGAGGGTGAACATGGCATGTGCCAAGGGTGACCCAGGTTGACTGTTAGAGGCACAGATTTAAGTGGCCTCCTAAACTATTTTCTAAGGACTTTCCAATCCAATGTGCTCCTGTAGCCAGAGTAACTAATGAAATACTGTGTGTTGAAGATGAACTTCTAGTTGTTTTAATATGCCACACAAAAGGGATTTATCATTGGAAAAATGATCCGTCATGAATCCTTAATGAAGCTGGATAGAGTTGAGGAGCAACCCTCATCTTTTAGGAACAATCATGCCCTCTGGAACACACTCCTTACTGCAATTCTAAGAGGCAGATTACCAAGCAGTCCACAAATTAGATAAATTAGACATTTCCAACATACTTAATTTATATTAACCACCACATTATCAACTTTGAAATTTTAGACAGTCCCCAGTGGATATCCAGATTTATTTACAAGCAAACAATCCCCTCTCCCCTTTTAAAATAACCATTTAGTTTATGGGCCTCTTCTGACAATCACCTGTTCATTCATAACAACCAAAACCCATCACTAAAATGGGCAACCTCAATTCGCTTCCCATATAAAACATCAACTACATTATCAAATCTTTAGGGTAAAGGCAAGAAGGTAATGAGAGATGCACTTCTGTCATATGGTGTCAGGGATATTGTGGCCTATGTATAATTTATTTGTGTGAGAAAGAAAAAGTAGGAAAAAGCTATGTTTGAATCTTAATTACTTTCTTTTTTTCTTTGAGATGGAGTCTCACTCTGTTGCCCAGGCTGGGGCTGGAGTACAGTGACACGATCTCGGCTCACTGCAACTCCCGCCTCCTGGGTTCAAGTGATTCTCCTGCCTCAGCGTCCTGAGTAGCTGGGATTACAGGCGCCCACCACCATGCCCGGCTAGTTTTTGTATTCTCAGTAGAGATGGGTTTTCAGCATGTTGGCCAGGCTGGTCTCGAACTCCTGACCTCAGGCGATCCACCCGCCTCAGCCTCCCAAAGTGCTGGGATTACAGGCGTGAGCCACCATGCACAGCCATCTTAATTACTTTCAGAGATGGTTAATAACCTCACTAAAACAATATTCTCATGCACATACTCAAATCCATGAAAATAAAGGTATCAGTGATGTCTGCATTTCCTTACCTTCTATAGCTGATAGGAGAACCCGGGAATGATCATATGCGATTACATTCGCGTATCTATTCTTTGGTTTGTTTACTTCCAAGTTTGAATGTTCCCAAGTGAACTGCTGGCCAGGGTCAATTGACTTTAAAAGGAAAACAACACATATACACAAAATCAATACTGAAAACCACCAGATTATAGGCATTTATCACATGTAATAAACATGATTTAAAAGGAAAATTCTGAAGCCATACTTCATCAAGATGATCCTAACTGTGAAGCTGAACACTAATGTAACCAGCATAACAAAAAATGGTTAATCACTGCAGAAACAGTGATAGTCACCAACATTGATTCAAATGAAAAAAGAAATCAATACAGATGTTCTGTTAATATTGGAAAGGCAGGTTCTTAATTTTACTTTTCCATTTCCCTCTCTGCTGCTGTAGTTTACAAGTCATCTTGGTTCAATATTCCTTCCGGTTCTGTAAACCTTATTTTATATTGATTATTCTTCCCTATTCTTTCCTATCTGGACCTAAGCTGAGTCTTTAAGTTAACTGGTCTTTCACTGGCTTCAATGGACACAGGCTTTACTGTTCATTCTTTATCTACATGTTCACAACTTAATGGCAACTTAAGGTTTTGTCTGTTTCTCTGTAACACACTAAGACCAATATTACAAGGCAAATTGTACAATTTAAATAGTTAACACGAACAGTAAAGAAGGGAGGTCAGTTAATTTAATACTCAGATGAATAAGATACAACCCAATGCATATAAATTGTTTTTCTATTTATCATTATATATTTTCTATTTATTATTATGTGTTATTATGTTTATAGTTTGCTTTTTATTCTTGATTTTAACATTAGTTTTTTTTTCTGATTTTATCCCTTTCTTTGATGGTACATTTCAACCAAATTATTCAACAATCTAAAATAAACATCAAACAGGTATATAAAGTATGTAATTTAAAAATATTTAAGTAGAATCATCATTTCAAGACCAAATTCAGGTTTGATCATAAAACTCTAGGGGACTTCATTTCCTGAAACGTTATGGAAATCAAAATACTTTTTCTTTCATCATAGGCTACTGATAACATTTAAGATTTATAATTTCATTGTTATATGGAAACACAAGTTCATTAATGACACAAACATGATTTTAAACGATCAAAATCAAGTTTTCAAGAATGATAAAACAGGTTTATACCCAGGTAATTTTTTTAAAATATACTCTATTATGTTAACATAATTTTTAGCAGTTATTTTTGATGCCGGGTATTTTTCATGCCTTTATGTGTATATGTAGAAGTTGGGAGTAAAACATACCCCCAACAGCATCAAAATACTAAAGATGTGCACACTTTCTGTCAAAAGGCACAGAATTTATCACAACAGTAAAACTCACAAGTGTCAAAAGTCAAGTCTGTTAGTAGTCTTGAATAGCCTCCAAGCATTCTAAAATTCTCAGCAGTACAGATTCCAGCCTCTAATTTACTAAGGATTATTAAACTGTTTTCCTTTCTTAGCCTGTGTTAATCTATATACAAAATAGTCAATCAATGAGCAGTATTCAGGAAAATATTAATAATTATCCATACCTTAGAGTCTGAAAACTAATATAATTAAGGGACTTTCTAGTTTGCTCTTCCAGGGAAATTTTTCATCTCCCTTGCAGAAATTAATTATCTCCAAGCATGCTATGAGCCGAAGGTATTGAAGCATTCAGATGTCCTGGTGGAAGCCTTCAAGTCAACCTTGAACCATGTCCACACAGAACAGCTCCACTCAGTGATGAGGGCCTGCCTTAAAAATCTCTCAAATTTGCAATCTCATTGCTACTTCCTACATCCGGAACATTGGTATCTGTTGTCTGATTGAAATCCCTTCTCTAATCTCTTATTCCAATCCACTCTTCATACTGCTGCCAAAGTTGTCTTTCTAAAGCATAGCTCTGGACAGGTTGGCTGCCTGTTTAATAACTTCCACTGGCTCTGTGTGACCTACAGCCTAAATTCTAAATTCCTACCTATGCAGCTTTCGTCATCTTTGCATCTACACTACACCTGGCTCAGTAAATGGTCCAACAGATGTTATTTAAGCAAATGAACAGAATTGATGAATAAATGTTTTTGAGAAAAGTTCATAAAGAGAAATCATAGAGTAATTCCTCTATATAACATGAGAGTTAGAGAACAAATTATGGAAACTTCATTGTACAGTATACCACAATTATCATACTTAACACCCATTATCATATGGCTTAGTGATTAAGTATGTGATCATGGAATTATAACTACCACTGCTATTCCACTTTATACTGATGAACATTATTGGATACATAAGCTTCTTACACATCATTTAAACATCCCAAGAAGCTACTAAGCTCACTGGTATACGTACAGTGCTCCCTCTGATATCCTTGTTTTACTTAGACTAAGATCACCCACAGATGTATAAGATGGCATGCATTTACTTATAGCAATGAAATTGCATCTATTAACTGAAACAAACTGTTAACTCATGTCCATTTCCACTCTTGCCACATGTTTTCAGCCTTCTGTAGGACTTACTTGATACCTACATTGAAGACTTTAAAAACGAGTAACAGAAACATGAGTTGTGTGCCACCTATGTTAGATAATACGCTTAGGTTCAAAGTGTGGCCCATGAGATGAAGACCAACAAATAACAGGATAATTATAAAAATACGTGCTAGGTCATTATGCTTTATATGAAGAATTATGCTTGATTTTCACAATTGTTACAAGGTAGGTATTGTTTTTTTCCATTTGGCAGGTGAGAAAACTGAAGTAAAGAAAGATTAATTTAATTATTCTTACTGAGGGCCTACTTCGTGACAGGCTCTGTGCTACTTGGTACTTAAGTAATTTGGCTAAGCTCACACAGCTAGATTCATACAGTTACCCTCAAACCAGGTCTGTGTGATTCCAAAGCTCAACTGATAATTAACAGCTGGTAACGACTAAGCCATGATACTACTTAACTATCCAGAATGCCACTGCAAAAGGAAGAAGCCCAACTTAAGAAACACACCTACACATCACTATCCTTTATTTCACCAATCCAAATGATATTTCTTCCCAACTTATCAGCCTGTGTCATTCTGGGGCAATTACATAAGAAATCAAGTTTTAAAAATGAGGTTGGCTTCACATGGATGATAAAACAGATGGGATGCAGCTTACGTTTATACTCGTTTTACACGGATCAAACAAACATTGATTAAATAATGCTGACTTGTCTTTGTGCAACACAGCACTCATCCATCTGTATCTATCTGTCTGACTGAACGTTTAACAAAACACAACACGGGTCATTATTTTTGGAGCTTGTCAGAATGCTGACAGCAGTAAACTCAGTAAAGAATAACAACTGAAAGTTGGTGAGGTATACTAAGATCTTTCATATTTCAAAAAATACATAAAACTGGTTGAGGAAAATCAAATTTCAGTTATCCATATTACTAAGACAAAGAGATCATGAATGAGTAAGACCCTAATTGCTGGTGACAGACACAGTTGCTTTGCCTCTCTGTTCTCAGGCTTCTCTTGCTGCTGTCCTCTTAAGGAAGAGTGAGATGGCCAAAATGAAGAAAGAGCAATGTAGACCCTGAGGAATGTAAAAGTTGACTTTCACTTCAACCCTGTATTTTCGGTCAGTCCACCCTGACCATGCATCTTTTTTACTATAAAGCTAAGCTGAGGTTACCCAAATATTAATTATTCAAAACAATTTGAAATAAGCACCTTTGTTCTTAATGGACTCAATTCCTTCTTTTGGGTCTGCTGCTGTTAGTGTTTGGTTTTCCTGAGCTTGACTCCTAGATATGTCTACTCAACTCTGTCCACCCAAATAATCTTCCATGGGATACCCTTGCCTTCCCAGCACTCAATCTGAAGTTTTACCTTCCCAAGCTGAAATCCTGGCCAGGCTTTCTTCAGTCTCCGTTGTGGAGAATTTTGCAAGTTAGAAATAAAGCAAGCTAGATTTATTTAAGTAAAAGTTGATTAATACACTTTTATACATGATACGAAATACATAAATTATCACAGAATTCACAAAAATGCTACTTCGTCGTATTTTTTGTGTCTCCAGCCAATCAAAAAGCCTCTTGAAAGACAGATATTGGATGAACCCCATATAGCGTCTAAAGTTTTACCAAGATGCCGCACCATTTTACATTGCTTCCCTGCCTGCACACTGGGCACTTGACTCCTCCTCCCCACCGCAGCTTTTGACTAAACCTTTCTAACGCTAACAACAGATCTTCAACTCAAAGGCTTTGCTTACTCAGAAAAAATGACCCAATAGAAGAAAAAATCCTATTGTGAGTGATTTAAAGAACAACGGGAAAGTCTCAAGCAGATACTTGCTAATATAAAACACTTTGCATTTATTTAGTCTTTAACTTGATGGTCTGAAAGTTCTAATCCTTTTTATTTGATCAACTAGAAGTTTATCTCAAACTAGGTAACTGAAAAAATAAGCTATAGCAGATGGATTAGAGGTTTGCATTGTATTCTCGACAAAAACTCAGAATTAAAATATAAATATATCCAATAGTTGTAACTAATACTTAGATAACATTTACTATGTTTTCTTTGTGCTTTGTACATACTAACTCATTTATCTTCACAAAGACCCTAGAAGTAGTTGCCATTATGATTACAGTTATGTAGATGAGGAAACTGAGGTATAGATAAGACAAATAACTTTCTCAGGGTCAAACAGCTAGCAGGGAGAGAGGCCAGGCTGGGGGTCCACATATTCTGGCCCTGGAGGCTGAGGGCCCAGCCACCATAAGATGCTTTCTCTCTAGTTAAGCTGGAGAAGATTCCTTGAAGGTTTCACACTTGCCTTTCAACTATTCTCTTGAAACACAACGCACAGAAGGTTGGGAACAATCTGTGTAGTACTGCTGAACTCTATTTGTAATTCTAAACTCCAAACAAGAGAGTGATCATCAATTTGCACATCAGATTACAGTCACCAAGTAAAATTATATCCTGATATGGGAGTAACCTTTTTCAATAATGCTGAAGTCATTATCTTAAAGCAAAGTCCTTTAATCATTCTGCAAAATTCAACCTTTTTACCCAGAAGAAAAATATAATTCAAATGTGCAAAACACCATACAATACTAGTTGCTCTGTGTTTCACTTTCCCTCATCCCGCCAAGAGAAAAACCTCAAAATATTCCCTTTAGAAACTCATCAAAGAGAAACCACAAAAAAAGATCATCCTGTTTTTGTGTGTTTTTAAAACAACTAACAAAAATTTAATTATATAGAAGGAATAGACCAGTTACTTCACTCGTCAAACCATGGGTCAGACTAACCATTCTTTTTACAGGGAATTGAACTTTCAATGACCTTAACTTCCAAAGAAACAGTATCTTTTCACATATCTCCCCTTCAGTAGGCTCATTTGGTTCTTAGTGTGGTTGGCTCTGAGATATTCTCAAGTCCTTTCTGAGGTTTAGAAGAGCAATCTACCATTCACTGTGTATTCTGCAATTATGCCTTTTAAAATTCTCATTCATTGTCTCTCTCTTCTCTGTTTGAAAATGGTAAATTAATATATGCCCATTTGGAAAAGACCACGTTTGCATAGATGGGAAGGGCTATATTTTGCACAATTAGTAAAAGCCTGCAATTGGCATAATGAATACTTTCTTCAAAGAGAAGAGCATGAGTTCAGTTGAATCCTATGATGTTTTAGAAACTGAAATGTGAGGAAGGAGTGGAAAGTCCAGTGGTGAACAAAATCTGGAAGTCAGAGAACAGGGTGTTAGCTTTCTGGCTGCCCCTGGTTAGCTCTGGCCGGTCAGGTAACTTGGGTCTGTTTGCTCTGTGTTCCCTTTTCCTCTTAATGTCAACCTAGTGTCAGGTGTGTGTCCTCATTTTCTCTTATCTCTCTTTGTCCAATTAGTTATCAAATCTTACTGAGTCTCTCTCTGTAAGAGCACCTCTGATCCAGGCCAACATTAGAGTGTGAAGGATTGAAATAAAGATTTTTCAAGACTCTCAGTATTAACAAATGAATGGATGTGGGAGTGCCCCACCTTTAGTAGTAGAAAAGGCATAGAAAATGTATAAATATACCACACTCATTGAAGTCATCAAAAAGTGTTTCAGTCACATATTTTTGTACACAGTTAAAATTCTGGCTTCAGATAAGTGATAAAATGCATCAGCTTTACCTGTTGTCTAATGGTTGCATTTGAAATTTTGACTCTAACATACTATATAACAAATACGTATAGAAAATTACTTAAAGTAATAATATATATTATTAGAACTGACATGCAGGGAACAAAAAGGATAAACTATGCTCATAGTAAATCATTCATCCATGGCAAGTGAGTAAATATCTGAGGTAAACTTTTGATAAACAATTTATTCTAAATTATATCATAGTACTAAAGATGAATTAGTTTATTTCACTGAGGAAACCATTGATTCCCAGAAGTATATTAGAATTATCTTAATCTAACGTGGATTAAAAATGATGAAAAACAACAACAAAACCAAAAATACTTAATTCTTTTTTTTAACTCAGTAGGCCAACATGAGGTACTCTCTAGAATTCAGATAAAGTGTTTTACTATTTTAGTGTGTGACTGTAGAAAAGATTATTTTTGAGAGATCGTTCCAAATAAGAATCCAAAAAAGAACATACAACTTTAAGATTAAAGATTTAAATAACTAGATTTTTTACTATATACTTTTTTAAAATTTTTTATTTATCTTTTATTTTTATTTTTATTTTTTTTGTGGCAGGGTCATGCCTGTCCAGGCTGAAGTGCAATGGCGTGATCTTGGCTCACTGCAACCTCTGCCTCCCGGGTTCAAGCAATTCTCCTGCCTCAGCCTCCCAAGTAGCTGGGATTACAGGCATGTGTCACCATGCCTGGCTAACTTTTGTATTTTTAGTAGAGGCAGGGTTTCGCCATGTTGGCCAGGCTAGTCTCGAACTCATGACCTTAAGTGATCCACCTGCCTTGGCTTCCCAAAGTGTTGAGGTTACAGGCGTGAGTCACTACACCCAACACTATACATGGCTTTTTAATATGCCAAACATTTTCCTGAATATTACTAAATGCAGAAGAAAGACATTTCTAGTTTCCAAAGACAATGTGCTAGAGGAATAAGATCAGCGATATGTGTTAATCCTAATGTTTTCATTTTTAGCTATTTATCTCCTACATCAGATAAGGTGAATAATAAGAAAGAGATGGACAGATTTATAGGTGATGTTCTTTTTTTATTTCTTCACATCTTTGAATTCTATATAGTTGATGTTCTTAAGAATAGAATGTGTCATTGGAAATCACTTTACAAATACAATTCACAGATTAGAATTTCTGATGTTATTTGAAAAAGCAAAGAGTATTAAAGAATTTCCAGGCAGTTTGGGGCAAGCAAATGTATTAGAAAGTTATTAAACTGCTTTGTTTAAATAGACAATGTTGACTGAATTGGTAAAATGTAATTACGATGACTTATAAGAAGAAGTCACTTGATCTGCAAATCACTTATAAAGTATGATATTTAATAATTAAAGAGGATCCTGGTGAGGTGGCATGTGCCTGTAATCCCACCTACTCTACTCAGGATGCTGAGGCAGGAAGACTTCTTGAGCCCTGGAGTTTGAGTCCAGCCTGGGCAACACAGCAAGACCCAATCTCATTAAACAAAATATTAAAATAGGTTATGCACACCTAGAAACATTAAAGAGTATGGCAACATTAAAGAGAATATTATTGAGTATAGGTAACAGACAAAATTATCTAGCAAATACAATCAATGTGCAGCATTAAACACTAATTTACGGTGTTAGTAAATTAGTGTTTTAGTAAATTAGGAAGAATTAATTCACAGCTGCATCCTTTCTTTTCCATGGATAACAAGGTCCCAGTTTTTGCCACCAAATTAACTAGATGAATGCATTAATTCCTCACTGCTCTTTGAAAATGCTGACACATCTGTATAGATCCCAAAGTATTAAGCGAAAAGTACCTGATGCACAGTTATTACTAAAAGAATGCTAGATGTTTTGCCTTCTCTTGCCTCTACCCTGTGACTTGTATAAGAACATCCCTGATAGAAGACTATCTTAGCCTCCAAGGAATATCTGCATTCTCCTTGATGCTAACGGTGCCTTTTTTGATACTGAAGTATAAAACTGAGGCAACTGCTCAATTTAACAAATAAATCTATTTCTGCTCTCCTACTTACTATATAACATGCCCATCTATGTAATTTGCAAACTGATTTACTTTTCCGGCAGAGACAACAAAAAAGAGCACAGCTGCATATGGTTCTCACTTTTTGCATTTCATATAATAGAAACTTGACCACTCAGAAAACTCAGTACATAAGTAGATTCAAAAGAAAAAACAAATTATGAATGAATAGCTTGGTTTCACAATTGTTGTGCGACTGATATTACAACATCATTTAAGAAACACTATAAGGAAAATTGTTAAGATAAATCATCTTCATTTTTAAAAGTCGGATTAGTTGAGCTTAAGTGATAACAGTAATTCTTTTAATCAAATATGAAAATGTCTAGCCTAATTTTAAACATACGATTTTTCTTCCTATTATTTTTACTTTGCATCCTAAACATAGATGTATTTTAGGCTTTCATCATTGCTTTGCTTGTCATTTAACAGAAAGTTTCTTTATTAAGTCTTTGTTTCTTTTTCCATATTTAGTTTCAGATGCAGGTGGAGGGAACAGATGAATTTCTAAATTGAAACATAAATTAACTTTTGTTAATGTTCAGTCAATGCATTTCAAATCTCATTTTCTGATTCAGAAAGAGATAAAAATTCTACATCCAAAATGAAATAAGAAAGAGTAATGTTTTCTCCCAGTCTTTGTCGGAACTCAGAAAATCCCAAATAATCACTTAAAAAACTCTTGTACCCCATTTCATACCAAATGTATTTAGTACAACTATCTCACTAAAAAACATGACTATCCACATGTGCCTTTTGGGCACAGTATATATACCAACAACCCCTTGCCATTAATACCATTAGTGCTTGCAGGTAAGGTAGCAATACACCATACTAAATATAGGCTTCTAATCAAAGAAGTCACACAGGATGATCATTAATACTTATATCCATGGTGCTCAGGTGTCTTAGAAAGTATTTACAATCTAAAGTGTCAGTATATTTGTCTCTTACATGTGATAAAACTAGAAAGGCTAGAACAAATTAACACAATCTAGAATTTTAGAGTTTAGTATCTTTCTAAACTAAAAGATTACTCTCAAAGATTAGTATTTTTAAATGTATATTAGTTTTACATTGTAAAATTAGGGACTCTTCTAAGTTAAATATTAGAAAAAAAATCAGTACATTGATGATCTTATGTATTAGACCTCTGGAAAAAATGGAATCACTTGAGAACACTGCTATGGGGTTGTGATTTATCTGATGTTGTATATTTTGTATTTAGCATACAGTGAATTTTAAAATGTATTTGTGGAATGAATAGCTAAGATACATTACAGGTAGGATACACAGCAACAATTACTTTTACCCTAGTACCTTAGAACTAGTTAAATAAATTTCTCAGCCAAAGGTGTGATGATGAAACAAATATATATTGGAATAGACCAGAGATATAAAAAAAAAAATTTAAATAAACAGAATGGCTCCCAGCTCACAAGTGGCTACAACCCAATTCATAAAAGCCATCTTTGACTTTTTGTGCATCTGAAATTCATTCTAAGCTATCACCTGTGACAGCCTTTTGTACTGTGTTTTCCAATTTTTACATATGTACTTAATATTTGGAAGTAACACATAATGGCTACTTGCCAATGACAGTTCTGTATAAACTGTATTACCCAATTTTCTGCACAGCAGTATGGGTTTATACAATTAGTTGGCTATTTTAATACAATAGTTTTTTTCATTTTTTTGGTTTGTTTGAACAGTTGTGCTCCCCAAAGATCTCAAGGCCACTTATGTTGGGAGTTATAGGGAGAATGGAAGGAATGTGATCAGATGGAAGGATAAATATTCCAGAATGGAGCTCTACAATAGGCTGAGTTTGAGTTAGGTAGTCCCTACATCCCAGTTTACACCTACTGTCCCAGCGTAGTTATTAATAGGACCCTTTCTCACTCTCAAAGTATCCCAGTTTAGGCAAGAAATTACATGGCCACCCCAAGGTAGAGCTGGTTCTACCTAACTTCCTCATATTCACATCTATATCTAGGCAAGCTTCATGACAGTGTCATAACCATCAGTCAGGCATGTACATGTACGGGGAGGGAAGGCGTGCAGGGGAGCAGGAGAGAGGGAGGGAGGGAGGGAGAGAGGGATGGGGAGGGAGGGGGAGAGAGAGGGAGGGGGAGAGAGAGAGAGAGAGAGAGAGAGAGAGAGAGAGAGAGAGAGACAGACAGACAGGGGGCAGTCTCTGCTAAAAAGTAAGTACACTTACAAACTATCACATGGATAGGTGGGTGGGAAAAAGTAAAGAGAAATTTCTGCAGTGCAATACCTATCTCCAATTATCTAACACTATTGATGCAGCAATGAGATACTGAATCCAGAATGAGAGAAGGTAGCTGACCTTACCATGATTCACCCTTGTTCACCTTAACTATGGTGCTGCACACAAGAGAGAAAAAGGAAGAAAGCAGAGAATGTGTTTCTCAGCACACATTTACTGTGCTCTCTAACAAACCAACAATTTAGCCCTTTCTGATAATTGCTTTTTCCTCCTTCTAAGACAGCATTGGAGATGGAAGGAATGTGCAGTACATAAGCTGGCTGGATATGTATTCAATTGTGATTGGATATGTATTCAATTATGATCAAAGTAAACGAACTAATTTTACAAACTGATAATTCATTCTATAGACATGATTTTTAATCTTGTATATCACCTATAATATTTTATAATATTTAAGGCTGTGATTGGAATATTAAATGTAATTATGTCATAATTTCTTTTTTAATTTTTAATGCTTTGGAAGTAAAACCATAGACCTATTGTTTGAGTATTACACAATTCAACCATGATACGTGTCTCCAAATGTAATATAATCTAAACAGTAAAACATAAATTAACATGTCCTTTAAAAATCTGTGTATTAACATATCTAAAAAAATGCTGTGTCAGTTAGTAGGAGAGAAAGCAAGCCACAGACATGCAGACAATGGAGGGCCAGGGAGGACGATGACCATGAAAATCTGGTCCTCTCAGAATGACGGTAGCATTTAGACGTCACAGCTTCATTACATGGCCACCAAGACCACACAACTAATGCAAGTGAGGTTTCCAGAAAACAGATCTCTCTCAAGTTTTAGAACTAAGAAGCAAGTTGTAAAGTGACCATATCAAGGTATTCTCAAGGTCTGGAAGCCTGTCTTGGGATCACTTTGCCTTCTCTACCTGGCTCAATTCACCCCACTGTGAAGTCAGTCTTTGATTCATCCATTTCCTGGTGTTAGACTTCAGATACTAAACTCTGTCAGAAAGCCTTAAAAGTGAAAAAAAATATTTCCCCTGAACACATGTATACAATCATTTAAAATAACTTTGAAAAGCTTGGAAATAGCCTTAATATAATAGTAGATTATATGAAAAAGTGTGAAGCTATTAAAATTGTTATGCATCTAGTGACGTGGAAAGATAAACTTTTACTGTTAAAGAAAAAACATGAAACAGTACTTTTGTTAAAATATATACATATGTATACACATGCACTGCATACATACATGAATACACACACATATAAAAACCTAGAATGTTATACACCAATGCTATCAGCAGTTATCTCTGAGCTGTGATAAATGACAATTATTTTATTTCCTTATGTTTACTATCCATGTTCTTTAATTTTTCCATTTATGAACATTGAACTACTTTCCAGGAAGAGGGAAAAAAGAGAGTTGCAGAATACTTTTCACAACTGCACATGTGACTTCCTCTTGTCATGTCAGAGGCAGAAGGAGCAGACTGTAGGACTCAACACTCTGGAGGGGATTTTGTGAAATCCATAGAAAATTTTTCAGCTGGCTTTTGGGGTCCATGAAGGTAACTTCAGTGTAGATTTATGACCAGGAAAGAATACTGAAGGGCCAACACAAGACTAGACTGTCTTACTCTAAACTCACCAAAGGATGGTAGTGAGAAATAATCAGGTTAAATTACTTCTGATTTTGAGGATTATGATGACAATGAGGGGTGGATTATCACTACTTACAGAATCTCATGTAATTCTTAAAACAAATTTAGAGGTATCTTAGATATTGTTATCTCCATATTACAGATAAAGAAATTGAGGCATAGAAGGGTTAAGATACTTTCCATGAGTCACTCTTGGTGGTCCATAAATTAGGAGAACTGGGATGTAAATGCAGAGATTCCTGACTTTGAAGACAGAGCTCTTAACTACTACACTCTAATAGATACGTAAATTATAAATTTATTATCATGGAGCATAATTCCTTATTTAAAAACTGTGGACAGTAAGGAAAATAGATTAAACACCAGATACCTCTGCCAATTTTGGCTTAATGATGCATTCATCCCACAGTTGTTATTGCCAAAATTTTTTGATAATGAAAGACAAGCCACAGCTTTCTATAATATATCGTTAGATTCTAACATGACTCCTATCAAATCCAAAAGAGTGGGAAGTTAAGTATAATCTTTACTTTAATAATTGGGAACAAAAAGACACATCTCAAGTTCTCCCTGGTTTCTACACACCCAACAGTGCTGCCCCAAAACCCTCACACACCATAAATTCTGCGGGAAAAGAGAGAAAGCTGATGCACATTCATTCCTTAGAACTGAATAGCCATAATGCAGCAAAGGGTAGAGCTGTATTGGCAGAAACTACTAAGAATGGTGAGAGACCAATAACTCATGAAAAACAAGTCTACACTAACAGTTTTAATGACTATTCTAATGGTTTAATGGATAGCACTTTAATAGGATTTCTAGTAGAATCTGAAAGCTTCTGAAAGCTTGTCTTCAATAAATCTGTCATTAACAAAGAACTGCATTGCTTAACTACATAACCATAGTTTACTGAGTCTGAACACAGAAAAAGTATAGCAGTTGTCATCCTGTATTACCATCACCTTTTCAAGTATTCTATTAACTACTGTGAGAGAGACAGCTACAAGATCAAAATGTAGGCTGCCAGTGAAAGAGGCATATTTATACTAAGGGGATGCAGTAGACATTAAATAAAATACAACAGAAAGCTCACAATTATAGCTTGTGTCCAAAGAAAAAGCTGAAACAGTAACTGTAATCCAAATACACAGATATACTAACAATGAAATTTCAAAAACTAGCTTTAGTTCTCTTTGAAAGAGTATTAAATGTTTTGGGGTGATTTGTTTTTGAATGCCTATTGCACTCTGTGTCTACATTTGACTTATTTTGTATTATGTTGCTTCCTGTACTGATTTAATGTTCTTTAAAGTCAGGAATTGCCATGTTGTGGTGCTCAGGGTACATACCAACTCAATATAAATATTGGATTGGCTATAATCAGTCCTAGTGAATAATTTTAAATTCCAGCCTTTGGCTCTGTTTTCCTCTGTCCATGTCTGAGGTTCTCATTTCTGACTTTTTTGCACTGGAATATTTCTTGCTTGGAGAGCACTTTCTTATCCTTTTCTTTTTTTTTTGCTTCTAAATTCTACCTTCCTTTCAACAAGGTTCAGCTTAAATCCCACTCTCCCAATTCATTACTGCCTGGAGCTTTCTCTTACATGCTTCCATGTGTGCCACTATCATGTGTTACAGACTGGAGCATCCATTTGGCAACTAGCTACGTTTAGCCTTGTAGCATTTCTTCTTGTAAAGTTGTTTGAATTCATTACCATAACTTATCTTTTCATTTGACAATTCTTTATTTCCCCAACTCTATAGTAAGTTTCTCAATGGAAATACTGTCTGGTATATATCTGTGTAGTCTAGAAAATGGCTAGCCCAGTGCATGTAAAATGTATGTAAAATACATTTTTTTTTTTTTGTAATTTTAATCATTTCTTGTCTCAATTTCTGTGAAAGTCTTTCAAGGTTGGGAAACTTATTTCTTTCGGAATTACACGTAGTCTTATATATACCAGGATCACAAACCTGAGGATAACAGACTGATGCATTCTTCGAGTATGTTCTATCAATGCTGATAGCTGTAAATTCATAGACTTTACAGCAATTATACTGATTATCAAAATTACTGAAAATAACCCATTGGCTAAGCTATGAACCATTCAAGTTGTACAACTTGAACAAGGCCTAGAGTATACTGGAAGAATAAAAATACCTTCTCAGATCCAATAGTAGGCAAATTTGAGT
Source organism: Homo sapiens (assembly GCF_000001405.40). Taxonomy (NCBI): domain Eukaryota; kingdom Metazoa; phylum Chordata; class Mammalia; order Primates; family Hominidae; genus Homo; species Homo sapiens. The sequence goes on from NC_000009.12 coordinate 8,418,908, forward strand.
AAATATACCCATGCTAGGAGATTTATATATGTCTGTCTGGTGATAATGTCCTTGTAAAAATGGCTCCTTCATTCAAAATCAAAAGCATTATCACTTGAGGCAGGAGTTCGAGACTGGCCTCAGCAACATAGTGAGACATCGTTTCTAAAAAATTTTAAAAACTCATCACAAAAGATGGTAATGCACACCTGTAGTCCCAGCTACTTGGGAGCCTGAGGCAGGAGAATAGTTTGAGCCCAGGAGTTCAATGTCGCAGTGAGCTGAGATGAGATCATCTCACTGCACTCCAGTCTGGGAGACAAAGCATGACCCACTCTCCAAAAAATTAAAAAAAAAAAAAAAAGAAAAGAAAAACAATATTATTAATCAAGCTATTCAATAAAAGTAAACAGAATTTTATTCTGAAAAAGACAATATGTTTGAGGTCATTTAAAACACCTATTGTTTATTAAGAAAACTTATTAAGTGATAGATTCAGTCTTTACACAGAGTGAGTCTTATTTACTCCATTTCAAGGGTATGCTTTGAAAACCAAACAATATAGCGAACAAAAAACAAAAAGCCTAAACAATTTCATAAATAACAATATGGGTAAAGTAACAAACATAAATGGCACGCTCTACAAGATAGAGCCTCTTTTACCAATATAAATATTAAAATATAAGCAGGTCATCTTAACCAATGATTTACAATAAGGGAAGAAAAGAAAAATATCTATATGATTCTTTGGCATCTCATATTTCTTTCTCGGGGGGGCATATATTTCATCCAGCTAGGGGAATTTTGGATGAAATTATAAAACAAAATACTATGCCTGTTAACTGCTCCCACAGCTTAGAGAAACCCTAAGAAGTTCTGCCAGGGAAGCATAATAGAGAACAAATGCTGTTCCCTAATCTTATTTCACATACATTCAAGTAACAGAATATGAGAAAGAGAAACATGAGTTTTCCCTACAGCGGGTCCAAAAATCTGAGAGTCTGAAGGATTGATTTTTCTGTTTAAAAAATTAGGAAATACTTTGAAACACACATTTTAGACAGTTGCTAAGACACTAACTGCCCTGACCTACTGAATTTCCACATCTTTGTATGTATTGAGTGTCAGAAAAAGAAGAAATCCCATCACCCCTCACATGGTACATGTAACAAACGTAGACAAAAATGCCAGTCCCATTAACCATGGAGTAAAACTCATAGCTGCATACCAAAATCCTGACAAATTCTAGTTATTGTGGCTTTGGTTAAGTTTGGATAAAAACACTAAAGGAACCCTTGGACTCAGAATTCAAGGGCAAAATTTATGCATCATTTATTTTTGTACTGCAGAGTCTAGCAAAGTACCTGGCACATTGTAAGAGCTTAGTAAATATCTGTTTTATGAGATGAGCTGAATATAAAGCTGGAAAATTATATAGACTTTTAAAGAAGGAGCATTCATGATCTTGAAAATTGTTTCTTAGGTAGCTAAAATTTTTATTTTTATTTATTTTTAAATTTTTTGTAGCTAAAATTTTTAGAATTGGTCTTCTTGTTCTCAAGGCCATTTGGGAGAAATGAGCAGCTTTGTTTCAAAGTTCATCTGTTTATTCTCCAGCGAAAATTATAATCCTTGGTCTGTGGCATCACAATTGGTTGCTGTGGGAATGATTATAGATCAAAAACAAAACGATTATATCCCTTTTCAAGAGCAAATGAGTACCAAGAGCAGATGAAGACTTAAGGAAACAAAGATGTTCTTTTCATGCAAATATTTTTACAATACAACTGTGGAGAGATAAATACTGAAGCTGGTAGTCTTTATGAAATTTATAGGCAGATTTTTAGCTTTGGGGAAAGACAGCTCCCTTTGCCCTCAGAGTTAGCTTTGAGACATGAATACTACAGATCATTTTTCTTTTTTTTTTTTTTTAAAAAAAGAAAATATAAAGACACTGAGAGCGTAGGAAAAGTGAGTTCTGTGATCAGTATTCCCCTGTTGTTTTATTTCAGGCAGAAGAATGTCTTCCTCATCTGTGTACAGGATCACTGTCAGGGAGCTTGATGTCCTGCACTGTCCTGGCAATATGTTGCCCAAGGGAGGTCCACCAAGGAAAGCCAAAGGTGAATTCTCCACCTAGAAAGAGGACCATGCCCATAAAGTTGCTGTTCCTCCGTCTCCAAAAGACTTCTGCTGCAGCACAGTAGTAGTTAAGAGTTATAACCTAATGAAGCATGCTTATTCATGACTTGATAAATGATATCTCTCTATATATCATGTGACTATGCTTGGAAAGTGGGAGATGCAAAGAGCAAACTAGACTCCTCCTTCTTTCTCTCTTTTGCAGGAGATGCAGAGAAAACCAACCTCCTCCCTCTTTCTCTCATTCCTTCCTTCTCTCCCTCTCTCTTCTTTCTGGCTTTTCTCTTCCTTCTTTCTTTCCTTTTCTTTTTCTTTTCTTTCTTCTTCTCTCTTCTCTTCTCTTCTCTCTCTCTCTCTCTTTCTTTCTTTCTCTCAACTTATGCATGTATTAATTCCAGAAAATTTTACCATGCTAGTCACAGGAATATCCTGATAAACGAGACACCATGAAGAAGCTTTCATAATAGCAGAAGACACAAAAGTAAAACTGAAGACCCTGTAATCCCTTGCAATGCCATGGATTCAACACAGCAAACAGCGAATCAAATCTGCCATATACACAGTGACAGGCACCTGTATCACCCTAATCTTGGCCTTGTACTCAAGCCTCAAGCTGGAGTTTGGCCCAAATTGACAATGGCATTTTCAAACAACTCCTCAGTGCCCTTAGTTTCCCTCCATCAAATGTTTAAAAGCAATACAAACAAAAGAAACACAAATATTCACCAAAGGTAGAAAAAAAAGCCCAGTGGTCTTCTTGATTCTTTATAATATACCCACTTAATATTTAAATATAAAGTACATTCACTGAACTTTTTTTTTTTAAATGGTGAATTTGCCCGGGCGTGATGGCTCACACCTGTAATCCCAGCACTTTGGGAGACCAAGGCAGGTGGATAGCCTGAGCCCAGTAGTTCGAGACCAACCTGTGCAACATGGCGAAACCTCATCTCTACAAAAAATGAAAAGTTAGCCAGTGGGGTGGTGTGTGTTTGTAATCTCAGTTACTTGGGAGGCTGAGATGGGAGGATCATCTGAGCCTGTGGAGGCAGAGGCTGCCGTGAACCCTGATGGTGCCACTGCACTTCAGCCTGGGTGAAAGAGAGAGACCCTGTCTCCAAAAAAAAAAAAAAAAAAAAAAAAAAAAGGTAAATTTTATATGTGAACTATATTGCAATAATAAAATGATGAAGAAAAACATATAAAATATATCACACAAGTTTATTTCTCCCTAAAACTGCCTTATTTCTTCCCATAAGTAAAATTCCTACTTTATCACAATCCTTGTAATGTTTATAATTTGGGTTCTCACATAGAAAAACAAACATCCTTAACGTTTCAAGTTAACATGACTTTAGGAGGTAATATGATGGTTGTTTATTTTTCAGAAAACATTTTTATGTGTTTGTTTTTATCTAGGGAGTCTACTTAGAAAATGTCATCTATTGCATAATGTTAGATGTAAACTTGCAGAGACTTCAGCCACGTCACTTAACTGCCCTGAAAATGTCTTCTCTACAGTAAAATAACAGCAGTGAACGAGGTTAGAAGATTCTAGAAATCCTCAAATATAACTTCACAGTAGAAACTTTGTGACACTGAATTTAAACTTAAACCTCTAAAATTTTATGAAGGATTTTTTAAAGATAATAGGATGATTTCTTGAGCTGTGACAACAAGGATCAATACAGAAGGAATAGAAAAAGAACAAAAATGGAAATCAATGCCCAGTTGCACGGCAACATCCACCAACTCTAACACTTAGACTGAAAATTTTTATTCTCCTTGTGTCTCAACAGATGACAAGGAGGTCAATTAATTACTGGTAGTGGGTGGTAAAATCTTCTACCTTCCCTTATGCAGCACCCTAACTGCTCTTAATAAAAAGGGAGGCAGCATTTCATTGTTCATTAACTATACTAATTATAGCTTCTCAATCACTGCAGCCACATAGGCACTCCTGAGTTGTAGAACGGCAATAGAAGAGACTCGACCTAAGCCTGCAGGGATGGGAGTAGGGGAAACACAGCATTGAGAAAACAAAAAGGGAAACCTGACATCAGAATCTGAACGTTATTACATTTACATTAAATCATGTTTCATAATAACCAGAGAAACAGAATTTCAGCAAGAGAGAAAGAATCTAAAAAGATCGTCCAGTCCAATCACCTAAATTATGTTTGAGCTTCTGCCTCGTCAATCCGGCTCAATAAGTTATATGCCACCTGACATACTGTTCATTTTAACAGAACTAAAAGCTGGAGCAAAAGCAAACAAAACAATAATAACAATAAATTCTTAAGCTAATGGAAATAAATGTAGGTAGGCAGTGGTTTTGTATCCTCCTGCCATCTTGAAATACGGCAAGCATCTTCTGATTGTACAGTAACAGCTCCTATCTTTTCAAATCATTTAGCAGCTTTTGTATGAAATTAAGTTGCAGAAACATGAAAGGATTTTGCATATATGAAAAGGTGTTTTTAGAATCTTAAAGGTGAATATTACTATGTATCATATTAAAAGACTTATAAATCATAATTTATTGTGGTGAGCAAGTTTCCCCTTCTTCATTGGTCTTATCTAAATGAAACTGGAATCTGACTCGTGATATGTAGTGAGAAGGGCACCTTGCCAGTATAGGTCTCACTTTTTTTTAATCTTCAGGGTTAGACAAGTAGGTAGACTCTGGTCTATAACTGACAATGTCAAAACAAGAAACAAGTCAATACCAACTATCCCCTGTGAGAGTTAAGGCTGAGTCTTTACACCTTTAAATCCCATCAACCATCTGCTTTTTTTTTCCTTGATTTTATTTACCTAGATCAAGATCAGAAGTCAAAGGCAGTCACTATAATATAGGTAGTTATAGAATCAATCTGATGAATTATTTCTAGCCCAACTAATCAAATATATTTTTCTGTTTGACAAGCTTAGGATGGAATGCTATTTGTTTCAGATATAAACTATAATCCTTTCATCATCTTCAAACTTGCTAATTTTTAATAAAAATTAAACAAGAGCATGAAGCGGGTGGCTGGGTATAAAGGTTCCTATCCAAATCATTTAAAACTAAGTCGTTTTGTTGTTGTTGATAGACTGTCTCTGATGTTGAAAAGCAAAAATAAAATATAATTATAACAAAAAGAAATTTGGGACAATAATCCTTCCTTGGGGTCACCTGACTACTATGTGATCACCTTAACAGATAAGTTAATGACAACAAATTTTCCATGGTGAAAACTGTGGTGAAAGGAAATCAACTCTCAGAGGCAACTATTTATAGTGGTCAGAACATTACCCAGACCTCAGACTACACGGGTTCATATCCTAGCTTTGCCATTTACTAGCTGTGTGACCTTGAGTAAGTTACTTAACTTTCATGTGGTTCAACATACCTTCTGTAACATGGGGAGACTAACAGTACCTACCTGGAAGGACTGAATGAGTTAATGTTTACAGTAATGCATTCCGAAGAATGTCTGGCACATGGTAAGTGCTATACACATGTTTGCTATCACCATCATCCTTGTAAAGCACTATCTAGACTCTGAAACTCTATGGAAAGACTATTATGATATTAAAATGTGCAGTTTAATACTAAAAAAATGATATAAAAATACTCTGTTAAACTGGCAGAAAATAAAGAAGGGGACTGGGAAGAAAAGGGAAGGAAAGAGGAAGAGAAGGGGAATAAAAGAATGAGTGAAGGGAGGAGGGATCATGAGAGAAAGAACAAATTAAATCAGGGGTGTCTGTGAGCCACTGGTTGAAGTTTAGAGGACTGATGAGTGCCTGCTGTTAAGGAAATTTTTTTAGCAAGTGATATATAATAAAGTTCTGATTATGCTTCATGCATGAACTTTTAAGCTAAAGCCAAATACTCTGATTGCTGCATCTGTGACGATGGAAAGACTAATGTTTCCCAAGGCCTAGCCAAAACTGCAAATTCATGTAATCTCTTAATGCTTACATCCTTCACTTTCATCTACACTCCCAAAGCATGGTGGTGTGCCCAACATTTGTTTTTTCAAAAAGAATGACAAACTGTTTAGCCACAGTAGAAAAACCATGACAAATAATACTGCCACTACCATTTTATAATTTTACAATTAAATACATAAATAAGTAAAGTCATCCCTATGATGCTGGGTTACATCAGGCTCTAGGCAGCCTTGTTCCAATCTCTTCTTGCAGCATTGTTAAAATTTTCCCCGAAAGCTGTTCCCAGCAGTGACATAAACATAGACGTACTCATTTGGTCCCTCAGGTACTTGGAGTTTCAGGAGGAATTGTAGGAAGTGATTTCCATGACTTTTCTGAACATTTTTGAAATCACTTGGTTGCAGACTCCTTCCTATATTGTTATGACCTTTCAAGGGTGTAATCACCTTTCACACCTCACCTCTCAGCAGCATGACCCTGAGCTGCAATGACAGTCACAGAATATGTTGGGAACCCCTGAGCAAGCCACGCTTCTTCTCATCTCCATGCTTTTGCATGCACAGATCCCTCAGCCTGGGGGCTTGCATTTCTGGCAAACTTCAGTGACTCTCCAAGTCATGGGTACTCTGGGAAGACTCTCGTCAATATTGTCCCACTCCCAAGATTAACTTAACAATTATTTTTTGTTTTGTTTTTTTGTTTTTTTTCTGTTTCTCCTAGAAGACTATGGACTCATTCAGGACAGCTTATTTCTTGATTATTTTTGGTTCTCCAGTAAATGTTAAACAGATGAAGGCATTCAAGCTACTCCTCTTATAAACAAAGAAACTGAGATCAGGAGAGTTAAATAATGTGTCTAGGGGCATTAAAACTAGCAGAGACATCAGGACAGTTTCCATTCGTCAGTGAAAATACCTTTTTTTGATATTTTAATGTGGATATAATTTCCAGAAATGATATTATGTACAAAATATGAAAAGAACTCTGTAGTTCTTCATAATTACCCTCCATCCTTGTCACCCTTTACCTTCCCCTAATTGCTTTCATAGAGCTCCTTTTTGGAAGAATGAGAAGAGAATGTTATAGAAGATAAAAATCACTTGAGAAAAAAAAGTCATGTTAAGTGACTGACAGATAGGTCATGCATATTGAAGTTCACAATAACAAGAGCCACTTCTGTTGACCAAGCGCAGAGGGCAATGGGCCAGGTGCCTAACATATATTCATCTTCATAACAGTCTCATGGGTAGATACTAATCTTCTCATCTTAAATAAGAGAACCAAGGTTCTGAGAGGTAAAGCAACTGGCTCAGGATCAAGCAGCGTAGCTACTAATTGGCCCAGTCAAAATATGAACCTTGTTTTCCCTGACTTCAAGGCCCTCCCCAGCATCCACTATGGCATCCCTCTAAGTACACACTTAGCATTCCGGTGCTAAAATCCCAATTTTACTTTGAAATAAAAATGCAACTCAATAAAGAGTGTCTTTTTTCAGTCCTTGCTATGGTCTCTTGGAAGTTGAAAGCTTGCTTTGGAAGCAGAGACAGAGTTGTTTCCTGAGAGCCTTGGGCTCCACATGGGAGCAGGTGAAAAGACATTTTGGAGAATGTCCAGTGATGGTCAAGGGCCAATTAGTTATAGAGAACTTGTATGAGAACAACGACTGAGAAAAAATGAAAGTTGAAATTGTATGAGAATAAGGACTGGGAAACAGAAAACGAGTTATGTGAGAGTCCCTTAAGACGGGTAGGACTCCCACAAGAAAAAAACAAAAGGCTCTACTATGAAAGATACGAAGTTTAATGTTAGTAAAGAAAATGTCTGAGGTTTTTTTTTTTTTTTTAATGTGGGTGAAAGAACAAACATTTTAAAAGTCTAAGTAGAACTAAGCTTTGGAACTTGAGAAATTACTTGCACTTTGAGTTTTCACAACTATAGAAGATCAGTAAGAAAAAAAGACTATAAGCGCATAGACATACGCCCTGTTTTGGATGCAATGTTTCTTCTAAGGTGAGCTGCTGTGTCTTTGTGTTCTACTAGATTTGTTTATAAGATGCCAAAAGCAGCCCACTGGGAGGGGACTCTGTACTTTTTCATTTTACTTGGTGAGACTGGTCCTTAACTGCAGAACAAAGACAGCATGTTCTCAGATGGCCGACTGGTAGGCCAATCTTTGCTATAAAAGCGGCTCAGGGACTTTATTCAGTAGGTACTTTTGAGTTAAATCTGAGAGGTCTGCATTAAAATGTAATCACTTCTGCACTGTCTAGAGATAGTAATAGCCTATTTTCTGAGAGAAAAGAGCCTGAAAATAAGGCTTCACTGCTGATAGATCAGGTGGGGATGTCGACTGGAAAAAGCAGCTCTTTACAGCAGGACACTCTTTCTTCTGTTTGCTCCTGTTGTTGATACTAGCAATTTTGATCACAACAAAGAGTTTCTATGAACTGTAAATTTAGTTAGAAATTGATCCAGACACACACTTTGGTTAATCACCTGCTGTGTGCCGAGCGGTGAGCTTGTTACCACGTGGCCAACAGCATACCGAGAGGCCAGACACCTGACCAAAACACCTGACCCAGAGAGGCTTGATCACAGCAAATGACTGGAGAGTAAGAAAGGGCAACATAACAAGTGATAATTGCACTGGTTTAAACTAGCAAGTTTCCATTTCTTTCAGTCTTTTATTCTTCTTCTTCTTATTGTTATGATTATTATTATTATTTTTTTTTACTGACATCAGCAAAGCCCTAAGGGTTTGGCCTGGGATAGGAAATGGTAGGGTTTCATTGATTCTAAGACATACATTTCCTTTCCACATTCTAACATCTCTGAAATTGATGTGCATCTTAAAATTGATGGCATCGTGCAGTTATAGGGGTGATATCTTTTATTCCTTAGTGGTACATGCAATGATGGAGTATCTTAAAATTGATGGCACCTAGATGAGATAAAATAAGTAATAGTTACTAAGACTACTGAGTACTGGTGTCAGGAAACCTGATAAGCATGTATGTGTTTGTTTTTAATGATTGTATGAAGTAAGTACTATGACTGCTTCTTTATATAGAGATGAACAAACTAAAATACAGAGAGGTTCAGTCATTTGCTTAAGGTCACACAGTTTGAGCTAGGGGCCAAACTGGTGACCTGAGCCAAGGGCCTGTATACTTAGCAACTGTGTCATAATATTTATTCCCACTGCTGGCTCAACAAGTAGAAAGCCCGGAGTGGCAGGCAGAGAGGTTTGGACCCAATCTGAGAAGCAGAAAAACTGCCATGTTCGTAAGGAATTGGGCAAAGACTCTCCCACACCCACCTCCAATCCCAGTGTATTAGGAGATTCTGATCTGGAATAGTAAATTTAGCCATTCATCTTCCTCAATTTCATCCATCCCAGGTACAAAAATGTTGTTACTGCTTTTTATTTCACAAAATCGCTCATTTTTCTCATTCCATTACCAAACCACCATAATTTGTTCTCAACTTTTTTAAAAACAATCTTTTATCTCTTGTGACTCATATGTCAAAAATACTTAGAAATGGAGGCCTTCCCTTAGAAATGGAAGAGTCTATTCCACTCTTCCACTTTGCATAAAAGATGAAAACAGATCTCTGTCGTCCACCACTTCCTTCCTTCAAGAAAGTGGGGGAACCACCTTCAAGAAAAAATCCAGTGCATTCGAAGTTGGCCAAAAAAAATTGTGTGTGTGTGTATGTGTGTGTGTTTGGTTTCTTGTTTTTGTTTGTATGATTCTTGAATACATGTCCCCCCTCATGAGCTTACACATAAATTATAAACTAATAGAAAGCAGATATGACAGTAGTTTTGCATTATAAGTGCTCAGAGGTTTACAAAACCTAATAATGATGACTGTTTTACTAATGATGGTTCTGCGCCTGTGAATACACTGTGGCACATGTGGTCAAATATACCAAGAGTCTTTTCCAAGGGAAAATAGAAATGTTTTCTTTTGTGGTCATTGCTTAGATGACAGACAATTTTTGTCCCCTCTGCGGAGAAATACAATGTTTACTATCAGGAGTGAACAAATTATCTATGGAGAAAAGCAATGCGTCCTTAGCATGTCATAGAGAACCACTGGGTTTTCCCAGGAATAGTCATGCAATGGAAATTGGTAACTATGACATTTTCACAGAAATTTTAAATATCAATATTTTGATCTAGTTTGATACTAAGGTTTCTGAACTCTATCATCAGGGCATAGTAAGAAATAAAGTGTGAAACATTTAAGTGTTTATATCAGGTAAGTTAAGGTGCAGTGAAGAAGAACAAAACAAGATGAATTTGTGACCTGGTTTTACCACACATAGTAGGTGTGTGACCTTGGGTAAGTCACTTCTTTCTCAGTCTTATGCTCCTTACCTCTATGATGGGAGAGTGAAACCACATGATCTCTGTGGTTTAGACAGCTCTAAATATTAAAAAACATGACCTAAGCAATGTTTTTAATGTCTCTATACGTCTCAACACTGTCTTGATGTATTTCATTATTCATCAAGGAAATATATTTTTCCTTTATCTGTCTTACTGAGTGATGGGAAGATTTTAACTTACTCTACAAAGGTGTAATACATATTGTTATAAAAACAGAAGGACAGGGCTCTGATATCTGAAATATTTCATATAAAAGGGTCATTATCATCATCACAGACAGGAGATGTGAGAGTGCTGCCATGAGAACAGGAAGAAACTCAGCACATGTGGGTGCTGAATGGTGGGAGACATGTGAGCACTGAGACTGGAGACAGTCCACATCCAGAGACGGCAGCAAATGTGTTGGGACTGGGCTTTGTGATGAGAACAAAACAGATCAAAGAGGCCTTCTTCAGGGAACACTTCTGTGAACCACAGAGTTTCTTGTCCCTCTCCAATGGCAACAGAAAGATTGCTCCGAGTTAATACATAGCTTTAAGGTAATACTACTAACAGAGCTAGTGCTGACTAACTTGAAACTAGATGTCTGATGACTGTTCATCTCTGTGTAACTACCATGACAGGATGGACTGTGGTCCAAAATGTGACTTGTAAGTGAGCTGACAGGAACTCAGAAAAAATGCTGTTGTTGTAACTACTTAAAAAGGGGTTATTATCTCAACCCACACCACAAAATGTATAACATCTAGAATGTACCTGAAGTAGAGTATGTGATTTGGGACAGTATTTCTATTAGAAAACTGTACCTTGAGGACCACATTGGGAACTAGTTTTACATTTTCTCTAACTTTATAGCTTTTCTTGATAGTGACCACTGGGATGCCCATTAATTTTTTTTATTTTTTTTTTACTTTTTTTCAGACAGGGTCTCCCTCTGTCACCCAGGCTGCAGTGCAGTGACATGATCTCAGCTCACTGCAGACTCAACCCCTTGGGGGTCAGGTGATCCTCCCACCTCAGCCTCCTGAGTAGCTGGGACTACAGGTGCATGCCACCACGACAGGCTAATTTTTTTTTTTTTTGTAGTTTTGCAGAGACAGTTTCACCATGTTGCCTAGGCTGGTCTCAAACTCCTGGACTCAAGCGATCTGCCCGCAGCGTCCTCCCAAAGTGCTGGGATTACAGGTGTGAGCCACTGTGCCCAGCTGGGATGACAATTTATTACACAAAGACATCATCAATATCTTTTAAAATGTAGATTCTGAATCAGTAGCAGTGGGGTAGTACCTATAATTCTACATTTCTAACAAGTTCCCAGGTGACGCCAATGCTGCTGGTCTGTAGTCCACACTGACTATGAGACTACCAGAACGTTCATTTCTCATGTGCCTTTCCCTTGATAAAATGCACTTCACTCCTCTTCCTAGTTCCACTAAGAGTGCCATCTTCTCTTCAATACCTTTCTCAATTCTCCAGATCATTATGACCTTTACTGAATCCCAATAACATTCCAGCACTTAAGATTACCTCCTTGGTGTAATTCTCGTTTGATTGTATATACTTGTCTTTGACAACTACAAACTCCAGAAGTACAGGTTTCTTACAACTTCTATATTTTCTCAGCACTGAGCACAATGCTTTTCTGTAGTACTGTAGTGGATAATTATTAGTTCCTCCTCCCAGCTCACAAGCCTCCTTACACAGAAACTTCGCTCTCCCCCATCTAAGATCTGTATGAGTGGACTGTTAGCAGTTACGTCCCAATGTGTGTCACCACAACAAACAGTCAATTAGATAGAGTTCAGAGTTTGCTCTCTGGCATTTAAAACATGACTGGCAAGTACAACTTAGTCTCTTTATGGGGCCTGTACGTAAATGAAAATATGATTACAGACCATGTTTTCTGTGCGTGGGTGAGAAAAAAAGAAGACGCTGGCTTGTATAAGGGGAAGAATAAAGCCACCACAGAGAAAGCACAAAGATGAAAGCTCCAGAGAAGATATCAGGAAATTGCCACAGCCCTTCAGTTTTAGATGATAGTTCTTAATGTGTACCTTTACTGTTAGCCTTGGCCCTATAATACATCAAAAATGCTCTTCTGTATTTCCTTGAGAATTTCTAGGGGCTGCAGTTGCTTACGATCTATCTAGTCTAAATAAGATTTGTATATATATGACTGTGATGATGCCTACTGATTAAATTTTAAATATACTAGTCTATATGCTATCTCAGAAAATGGTGAAATGAAGACTGGGGGTCATGTTCTGTAATACATTACCCTAAACCAATGACATTCCTCAAATTGAAGTCTTTGGAGCACCTGCATCAAAGTCACCTGAAGAGCTCTTTTAAAATGCAGATTTGTGGATACCACAGCTGACCTATTAAACTAGCATTTCTGGGGCTGGGACCAGGAATTTCAATTTTATTGTGTCTCTGCCAGGTTTTGGTATCAGGATGATGCTGGCCTCATAAAATGAGTTAGGGAGGAGTCCCTCTTTTTCTATTGTTTGTAATAGTTTCAGAAGGAATGGTATCAGCTTCTCTTTGCACCTCTGGTAGAATTTGGCTGTGAATCTGTCTGGTCCTGGGCTTTTTTTGGTTGGTACGCTATTAATTACTGCCTCAATTTCAAAACGTGTTATTGGTCTATTCAGGGATTTGACTTCTTCCTTGGAATTTCAATTTTAAATAGGCAACCAAATGATCTGTAGGCGCCAGCCTAAGATTTTGTTTGGCAAGGTCTACACAAATTACTCTGATTTAAAGATTCACCAGCCTAATATATGGACTTTAACAGCCATACCAACTTTAAGGAGGACTTTCTTCCCTGCATTCCAGATGCCATTCTCAAATTGAGACTACTTAAATTCCAGCAGGACTTTTCAGTTTCATCTCAGAAAATGGACATCTAAAGTGTTTATAAAGACCTGCAGAGATGGGGTTACACTAATTTATCAAGTCCATTCTTCCAGCTTTCACTAAATTCACTGTTGGAGTTCAACGGCCTTTACAGTACAGGAAGTGTCTCATAGGATCTAATAATACTGTGCTACAATTTAACCTACTTCCTCGTATTCTGACCTCAGGATCAGTGCAAACAGCTTTCACGCCTTTAACCTGTTTTAGTCTTAGAATCAGAGTAAAAAAAAATTAGCTTCGTGCATCTTACAAGTTCTGAGTAAACATTTACTCACAGTGATTATGCCAAAATAATCAGGTGTTTGAAAGCAATGTGAGTTTTCTTTCCTCCATTTTCTTTGCTGAAAGCCAGTAAAAATCTATTCAAATTTATGTAGAAGATAATAAACAATTTTTCCCCACAAAATGTTGCTCTGAGCCTAAATTTTTATGTTGAGGTCTTAATCCTATTATCACAGTTGAATACAACACTTAAACATCTCCTTCATGCCGGTTAAGGCACAGTAGAGTCAATTCATGCCCAGGGAGCTTTAATCATGGATCATCATCATGAACATCAGTGAAGAGTCTATGTGGGCTATCAGGTCCACAGCTAAGCCTACTGGGGAAGCTGTGCATAGCAGCATTGCCAGCATGCAGTTCATAACTATTTTCAAGAAGCACTTCTGATCTAATGGCTAAATGAGGATCATTAAAGTATCTTTACATGTAGCATTTCTTGAAAATTCCACATTTAAAAGAGGCCAGTTATTGCATTCAATAGATGCAACTGAGATTGCTTGAGTGATGGTTTTATAGCCATGTGCTGCATAATGACATTTCAGTCCACAACAAACCACAAATAAGAGACTGATCCATAAAACTATAACAGATCTGAAGAAATTCCCATCACCTAGGGATGTGGTAGCTGTCGTAACGTCCTAGCACAGTGCATTACTCCTGTGGTTGCAGAGATGTTGGTGTAATTAAACTTATTCTGCTACCAGTCACATAAAAGTCAGGCACATACAATTAGGTACAGTACATAATATTTAATAAGTGAATATGTTACTAGTTTATGTGTTTACTACAGTATACATTTTATTGTTATTTTAAAATGCACTCCTTTTATTAAAATAAAAAGAACTTTAAAACAGCCTTAGGTAGGTCCTTCAAGAGTTATCCAGAAGAAGGCATTATCATCATAGGAGATGACAGCTCCAGGCTGTCACCCTGAAGACATTCCAGTGGACAAAACGTGAAGGCAGAAGACAGTGATATTGATGATTCTGACTCTGTGTAGGCCTAGATTAATGCATGTCTTTGCAACTTAGTTTTTAATCAAAAATTCTAAAAAGTTAATATAATTTAAATAGAAAAACGCTTATAAAATAAGGATATAAAGAAAAAATGTTTTTGTATAGCTGTACAGTGTGCTTGTGTTTTAAGCTAAGTGATATCAAAAGAGAGTCAAAAAGTTTAAAAATTTTATAAAGTAGTTACAGTAAGCTAAGGTTAATCTACTATTGAAATAAACTTTTAAAATAAATTTGGTATAGCTTAAGTTTATAGTGTTTATAAAGTCTACAGTAGTATACAGTAACGTCCTAGGCCTCCACATTCACTCACTACTCTCACTGACACCCAGAGCAACTAAAAGTCTTGCAAGCTCCATTCATGCTAAGTGTCCTACATAGGGGCACCATTTGTTTGTTTGCTTGTTTGTTTGTTTGTTTGTTTCACTCTTGTCACCCAGGCTGGAGTGCAATGGTGCGACCCTTGGCTCACTGCAACCTCTGCCTCCCAGGTTCAAGCGATTTTCCTGCCTCAGCCTCCCAAGTGGCTGGGATTACAGGCACACGCCACCACGCCTGGCTAATTTTGTATTTTTAGTAGAGACGGGGTTTCACCATGTTGACCAGGCTGATCCCGAACTCCTGAACTCAGGTGATCCACCTGCTTTGGCCTCCAAAATGCTGGGATTACACAAGTGAGCCACTGCGCCCAGCCTAAAAATCTTTTTTACAGTATTTTTTACCTTACCTTTTCTTTGTTTAAACACACAAATAGTTGGGTATAGTAACTTGCTGTAAAGGATTGTAGCCTAGAAGCAATGGGCTATACCATATAGCTTAAGTGTATAATAGACTATACTATCTAGGTTTGCTATACTCCACGATGTTTACACAGTGACAAAATCACCCAAGAACACATTTCTCCAAAGGTATCCCTGTCATCAAGTGGTGCATGACTATATTATTGCCCATGGTTTAAAGTTATATTGGTGGAGAGTGAATTAACGGCTTACTAACAGGTCGAGCTATCATATTTCCGTAATTTGTAACCCATTACATAACTTATAATCAAAAATAAATAATTAAAGCAGGGCTATGAAAAAATATCACATGGCAAAATAATAAGAATCATATAACAATAAAAAGTAGGTTGGAGTGATGAAAGATTTCTGGTTCATAAAAATTGACATAACTAAGAGTTTTTTATGGTGCCCCAGGTGCTATTTATGATTTGCCTTATTTTCTCTAAACTCACTATGGAGCCCTAAGCCCTAAATTAGAAACTATAGAAAGTGTTTTAAAGGATACTGCATAATTTTAAAGGAGCTATTCTGATCAAGAGGAAGAGCAGGAAAGAAATAAGCTGCGACCATTTGAGAAAAGAAGACAACGTGCAATCCGGTGTGAATTTTCCTAGCATTGAAAATGTTCTCCTGAATGCTTGGAGCAGAATAAAGGAAGATATAACTTCACCAAGAGGCAAGGAAACAAACAAAATCTTTGCATCCTATCAAATATGTGACAAAGATGCTGCAGTATGCAAACTGAATGAAACGTGGTCTGGCTCTTGAGGGTGGAGGTGAATGAGACTACAGATATGTTTTGGTTTTCCAGCACAGTAACTTAAAATAATGAACATTTGAATATTTGAAGATTTTGGGAAGGCCATGCCACAGGCCTCACTGCTCTATGTTCTCTTACATGGAGCTTCTTCTTATTTTTGTGACCCCTCTAAGCCACTTGAGGTTGGGGGTCCTCTTAGAGGTTACTACAGAATGTGACAGGGTAGAATGTTAGCGCTGGTAGGTCCAGTGCAACTGCCCCAATTAAGGCTGATACAACAGATACCAAGAGGTAACAGGATGTGTTAACGACTCCCAGTAAGTAAATCAATAGAAACCCCGATGGTGAAATTTGGGCTGCCCAGGTACCCAATAACCTTTTATTATTTGGTATATCTACAAGATTTTAGTTGTACATTTTAATCTTATGTTAAAACTGGTCTAGAAAAAACAATTATCGTCCAGTTATCAACAATGCATTAATTGGCTTCATTAAGGGTCCTTGTTGCTGGAGAATACCAGAAATACCCAGTTTTATAACTTTTTGATTGATATATACCACAATATCCAAATACACACACACACACACACACACACACACACGCACGCACGTGCATACACACAGGCTTTTAATTTACCTCCATCAAGAATTCACAAAGAATCTTTAAGGATTCTGGAATTTTAAGATAGCATTCAGCGCACCATTCCTTCAAAAACAAGCAACTCTCTGAAAATACATTTCTATCTTAATATTAGCTCTAGCATTAATTTAGATTGAAGGATAAGATAATATACACATACTCAATAATTACAGAGTTTTCATGGCTTATAAAACCAAGAGTCTTGAGAAATGTACTTAATCTTCGTAATCTTTCTTTCTAGATGAGGATTCTTATCACAAATCAGTGTATTTGGCACCTATTTGGTATGCTGGAAAGCTTATCAATTTAGTATATTCTAGGAACTGAAAAATCAGAAGACAAATACTGCATGATCTCATTTATATGTGAAATCCAAAGAAGTCAAACTCATAGCAGTAGATAATAGAGTGGTGATTACCAATGGAGGGCTGGCAAAAGGGGAGATGTTGATCAGTTTTAGCTAGATGGCAGGAATAAGCTTTAGCGATCTATTGCACAGAATGGTGACTATAATTAATAATAATGCATAATATGTAAATATATACAATTATTGCCAATTAAAAATAAAATAAAAATAAAAAACAGAAAATTCATAATCTCAGCAAGTAATATTGAACAAACATAAAATTAACTTTTTCAAACTGTAATTACTATATTGCTTGTGCAGACACTTTTAAGTTGACGGTTCATTATACATTTTTATATCATATTTGAGTCATATTTAAAGGGAAAAGCACTGATGAAGTTAATTTTCAAGAATATGGTCAAAAAAAGAGAAGAGTAACTCTTGAAATTACTGTAAAGAATAAACACAGTGAATTACCTCATATTCCTGGGAAAACTTCAAGTTGTCATTTGCTTTCAATCTTTCAATGTGGTCTGCAAGTTCCAAGATGGGTATTGGAGGATGGCTAGCCATACCTATTGAAAAAAGCAAAGAAGAAACACATTTGAAAACAAATGAAAATGATGCTAACTATTCCAAAATATAGAGAATACTATAGTTAGAAATGGCCTGAAAATATGTGAGTAGTAAAGATGTTTTAGGTGAGGAAGCAGGCAAATAGTTTGGTTACTCAAAGCAGGACATGCTCTGGGAAGATGAATTTTGTAGCCAAATGAAAAGTCACCAAGCATAATCTCCAAACTAACACTCCTAGTGTAAAAGAAAGCGTTATTGTGCTATGAATCAATAAGGTTAGCTAGTGGAAAAAACTGACAGTCAGGCTTGATGTCAACTTCTGCTTTGAGTAATGACTTTTATGCCATTTCAAACTCCTTCTCCTGCACTGTGTGAAATGGAAATTGTGTGGAATTAAATGGTGTAAAGTGAAATAAGAAAACAGACACTGAGAAAGGCCTAAAAGGGAAAGAGTAGTAGCTTGATAGTAAACATAAAATGACTTATGCATAATCAAGGAAAACTAACTTGAAGAATGAAGGTTACCAGGGTAACCGGAATCATCTGAACCTGCAAAGGAAATGATGGTGTAAATAAAATAAAATAGAACAAATTCTTCAAAAAAAAATGAAATGGAAAGCCTGATATATTTTTTAAAAGGACTAATTAAAATGCTGCAAGTTTTTACAGAATTCACTATACATTGTGGCTAGTACAATGTGACTACTACATTAAGATCGCTAATATTTCACAAACCTGTAGGTGACTGACATTCACATGCAAACACAGACACAAAGAATGACATGCACCACGACTCACTGACGATAATCACTGACGGCACAATCAGACACCAAACTGAGCTTCAAAAATGTTTCCACTAGTAGCAGATTGTAGAGGTTGGGGTTGCAGCCTTCTCCTGGACATTTATAAATGGCCACACTAACAACTCTGTGATATTTTGCCCCAGGTCCCCATTATTCAACCCCCAGCAAACCTACAATCTACTTCAGGTGTAAACATCTTTGTCCACTAATGAGAAATGGATTCAGGGAAGTGAGCAAATGGTGAAAAGACAGGAGGGAAAGAGGGTGAAGAAAGAAGGAAAGCAGAGATGGGGTGACACATTCTAGTTCATTCAGCCAGCGGAAGATATAGTAATTTCATAGATTCCATGAAAAATAATCCACTATTAATTTTGGTGACTCCTGTGTCTTTCTGATGTTTTCTCACTTTTCATATGATTTGTCTTTTATTTCTTTCCTATTAATTTTACAGAAGTATCATGAAAGAGCATTGCTGACTCTTATCTTACAGATATAAATTCCAGCTGGCTACAAAAACCTGAACTAGCATGTCCCCAGGGAAGCCACTGAAGCAGGAAAAGAATGAGGGAGGAGCTCAAACTGGAAGCCATGTGTTGACATTCTGCTGTCACTGTGGCTCTTTGGAGGAAGGCTACAGAATGATGGCCATTGAGTCAACATGACATGTGACTACTTTAAGAGCATTTTAGGAATTATACCATTGTTAAAAGTCACCCAGTAAGTTCCTTTATCTCAAATGCCAAATTATTAATGGTTCTGGTAAGTTAAGTAAAAAGCTACCCTGCTTTTTGAAGACAACCACTTTAGCAAGTGTTGTGAATTGTGGTGGTTTAGTTTTTATGGCTATGAAGGTCTGCTTCCAGTCAGCTAAAATTTTAGTGGAGAGCCAATAAAACTGAATTGCTTGCAAGTAGAAACTCTTTGTTGGTGATATAATAATGCCTTTGGAACAAAATTTTGGAACCCTTTCTGAAACTTTTCTGTATTAATGATAGAACTGAAATAATTTACATTCTATGGAGGAAGTGTGAGGGTGACAGTGATCTGATAATTACGTGATCTTATCCAGATGAGGCACCCCCAACGAAAAGAATGGAAATGCAAAGGCATAGGTGACTTTAGGCTTATCTGGAAATGGAAATGGACTGATGTGGACATCATTACAGTGCTTTCACAGAGAAAATAATAGAGACAAAGATGTTTAGACCTTTTCGAGCGGATCGTGGGAGAGAGTTATTATCATATATGGACTGAGTGGTGGTTTGGCTAGAGAGGGAGGACACAGAGCCAATCAGGGAGGCGTAGGGGACTGAATTACTGCTCAAAGCTGCAAAAAGTAAAGCCAGTTGGAGACGGGAAAAGTATTAGTATAACAGCAGTAGAAGACCATAATAATAACCAAAGATGTGATCAACATATTTACTTGTGGCATGCACTGGCACATGGTCTGGAAGTATTATATTGGAAGTTTATTAAAGAAAAATTCAAGCAGACCTACATTGAGTCATTATATTCCACATCAGAATATATATACATATATGTATCACATGCAAGATATCACAGCATTAAAGAATCGCTACATAAAACTTATCATTGGATACCATATTGCACTCCATTTCTAAGACAAGTAAAAATGGCAGATGGATGTTTCACAGAAAAGGGAGGAGAATCTGTGTGAATCCAATGGTACAGGAGAAAGAACCCTGGCTTAGAATACTGGACATGGGTTCTACTTCTGGTTTTGGCATCTACTAATAGGGACAAATCACCTTTTGTGAAGCGCCTTGATTTCTTTAACTGTTAAAATAAGAGTATAGAACTAGATAAATTCAAGAGCCATTCTCTTCTTCATAACTTTCATTCTTCCCACATATAGACAGAACTTCTGAACAGAGAAGGGTCTATTGGTGCATATGTAAGGGTTCTAAAAGTTATCGTACCTTTTCTTTGAAGGGAGAGAGTACTTACTTTTTACAAAATGGAAAACTAGTATGCAGTTGAATTGTTTATTTTTTGAACTATTTAAGTTTGTTGCTATTTTCTTTCATTAGCCAAAATGTATACACAGTCTATTATGATGTTATATCATATATCAGAAAAGACCGAATGTCGGCATAAAAATAATCATCAAGAGTAAAACTCCTCTAAGTTGAAACTGTTTAGCTCATATCAGAAAACAATGACCAAGGATCTACTTCAAAATATTGTTACACAATTCTGCAGAAACATCTCCGCTGCCCAATATTGAAAAAAAATGTTATATGATATAAACAAATATGTTAGATTTTGAATGAAAAGGTAGACACTAAGAAAACTATGAATTTGACCTCACTGTGGTACCTTTTCAATGTTTTGTCTGGCAACCTGACCACTGCTCAGTCTATAAACCAAAGTCTTTACTACATCAGATTTTACACATTTAAATTACTTGATGTGCTTTAATTTTTTTTTTTTTTTTTTTTTTTTTTTTTTTGCAGGCTGTACACCAGACCAATTAATTCAGGTCTGTGGATGTGGGAGCTATATATTGATATTTTTAAAGTTCCTCAGCACTGGCTCTTAGTCCTATAGGATTCATGATGGGGGGCCTATAACTCCATTTATTCCTTTTTTTCCCATTTAGAAATCATATCAGGATTTATGAGAATGAGATGAGCTTTCTCTTGGTGATATTCTTGAATCCTCTCTAACACCCCATTAGCAAGCTTTAGTACTCAGCTATTATTGGCAGCAAAGAACTTGAAGCACAGCTAACAAACAGGGAGGGCTTGCCAGTGTCATGACCTCATCAGTTAGAAGCTACAAATGTACAATAGAAATGTATTATTTTTTTTTTTTTTGAGATGTAGTCTCACTCTGTTGCCCAGGCTGGAGTGCAGTGGTGCAATCTCGGCTCACTGTAAGCTCTACCTCCCGGGTTCAAGTGGTTCCCCTGCCTCAGCCTCCTGAGCAGCGGGATTACAGGGACGCGCCACCACACCCGGCTAATTTTTATATTTTTAGTAGAGATGGGGTTTCACCATGTTGGTCAGGCTGGTCTCAAACTCCTGACCTCATGATCCGCCTGCCTCGGGCTCCCAAAGTGCTGGGATTACAGGCGTGGGCCGCTGCGCCCGACCCATAAATGCATTTTAAAGGCACGCATCAAATCTGTTAAGACTTTTTATTTTGAAGCTATGATCTCCACAATATAGAGTCAACATGAAAAATGACAGATGCGGTCACTGAAATCTGCCTTAGGTTGGAGGAAAAAACAAGATGGCTCCCTTTAATAGGGTACATATTGGTGAGACTGATGTCACGGTGACTTCCTTATAAGAAGTAAACTTTAAAATCATGGCATTTTAACCTGAGAGGCACCTTAGAGATGACTTAGTCCAGCACTTTCACTTTATACAAGAGGACTCAAATCCAGAAAAGTTAGATGACTTCTCTACATAAGCCCAGACAGTAAATAACAACATCTCAACATGCAGCTTGGGCATCTTTCTACTGTACTATTCCGAGAACGGCATTTGCGATCTTCTAAATGAAGTGGGGGGCAAAGTCTCCACAGATGGAATGGGCTAGGCTGGTAAGATAAATGACTGAAGAGGGCTAAGTATCATATAGTCAACATTTTCACACACAGAAAATACGCTCATTCCCATTTCCTCACAATGAGCAGGTTTCCAGGGCTGGCTTTTGTGTCTCTACTTTGAACAGAGACTCCAGAAAGAACAGTAATTCTTTACTATGTGAAAAACAGCCATAAGCGTGACATAAATGGCAACTAACGCTCAGTCTCAATGTCACTCATCTTTAGGGCTAGTGTACACATTGGGGGGCTTCTGAAAAGGGTGAAATTATTCAGCTCCAGGACTTGCTCTGCCAAGTGGGAATGCAAGGCCAATCGGTTCAGACTGTTCAGGTTTTCAACAGCCACTCAAAATCCAGAGTATCGTGTGGCATTTCCTCAGTTTTCAATGTTGACTCAAAATTTTGTTGAAACTCAGTCCATGTCAAACGATAAGCTCTTTTGCAGACCACATACGGCTAACTAGATTATGGCCTTTGTTTTAAAAGAACAAAACCTTCTTTAATCTGTGTGTATGTGAATTAGAATCAAGGAGTGTTGGGAGTGACAGACTGCATGCTTGTATCCACAAGGCAATGGACTAGATACTGCTTTGTGCTGGGGATATAAAGAAGTATGCTTCTTGCATGGTTCATCCCCTATGGGTTCATCTACCTCCCCTTCTCTCTAACCTGATCCCCCATTATCTCTACCAATTAGAAAAATGAAGCCCAGAGGAGTTAAAGAACTCGATCAAAGTCATCATTATCAGCAGAACTGTAGCTACATGAGGAATCTGATCCCATACCCCGTACACTCTCATTTAGCACATTTCACATGACGCCATGCTGTCTTTCCAACCATTTAACACCCCTGGACAAGTGGTGACATGTACATAAAGCTGGGTCTTTAAGACTGTTTGGGCTCTCTATGCAGCAAGACAGAGATCATAAACCATCCTCAGTTTGTGAAAAAGTGTCAATACAGGGCCTTAACCTAGGTCATCTGTTTCAGTGGTGGGGAAGAGGAAAAGGGGATGCAAAAACACGTCTGTATTTTCCAGTTATTTCTTGCCAAAATATCCTAAGTTTCCAAGAAAACATGAACTAAAGGTATTAATTTAAAATGTTAAAAACTGGAATGCTATTTGGCAGAATATTTCTTAGAAGCTAATTTATGGTATTTTTGCTTTTCAAAAGTCCTGCTCTGTTTTACTAAGTCAGTAAGGCTACTGAATGCTTCAAATGATTTTATTATCCATAGAAAAATATTTATCAAACACTTGCTCTATTTTCATATTTTTAAACCTTGCATTAAATGCCAATAGGCACTATATAACTATTCTGCTAAGTAGAGTTTTTGAAGTCATTAATAACGGTGGTACATCTTTTACATGATTTTTTTCTGTCACTATATACGTGTGTTTGTAATGACTCAGTAACAGTCTCTTCATGATTTTCCTTACTGATAAATTGTGATAAAGGCTGGAGAACAGTTTGTGCTTATGGACCAAAGAGAAGCTAATTTTTTCATCAAATCAATTACCACAGTCTTAACAAAAGTAGACTTCTATGAGTTAACAGCCAGAAAGAGAAAATTCATTCATTAAATATTTGTCATATTTTTGACATAATGTATGCACTATTTAGAATTCCCTGAATCAAATACAAATACTCTGCTATATTTGTTATTTGTATCACAAACTAATGATAAATTAAAGATAAAGAGAATATTGATTTGTAAGCTTCCTGATACAACCATAATGACAATTAGATTTAATTTGTGACTGGGGATCATCATTAAATGAAAGAGTCACCAACAGTGCTTTTCTGGGTAAGCAATGAATGGCATAATTAAAATTCAAAATTTTTACTTCATTCCAGGAGTTTCTGTCCAGCCTGGGCAACAGAGGAAGACCCCGTTTCTGCAACAAAAATTTTTTTAAATGAACCGGGCATTGTGGCACATGCCTGTGGTCCCAGCTACTTGGGAGGTTGAGGTGGGTGGATTACTTAAGCGTGGAATGTTGAGGCTACAGTAAGCTATGATTGTGCCACTGCACTCGAGCCTGGACAACAGAGCAAGATCCTGCCTCAAAACATTTTAAAAAATTTTTGTAAAATTCAATTCTAATGGAGAGTTTCTCAAAATACAGAATTTGAACAAGCTGTTTCTTTATATCAGAAATTTCAGAAAATAAAACAGAAAGGACACATCCGGTATTCTTAACCTAGGTCATATGCCTAAATTCCTTACTGTATAAAATAAAATATGAATGTATGAAGAAAGTATATATAAAAATGGATCTTGTTAGCATTGATCCAATTAATAGTATTAATAGATCAGAAGAGACAGCTCAAGAGCTTTTTAAAGCTTATTCAGTTGCTGTGCAGACATTTCTGCTGCTGATACCACTATTTCTGATCCGTTAACTTTTTATGAGTTTGTTTCTGTTTTCACAGCCCATCAATCACCTACCATCCATGTATGCTTTAGGGCAAAACATATTAAGGTCATCCACTGAATGAAAATGAGGTCTTTGTGTTGTAACATCTGATCATCGAGTTTTAAATCTCTTTTCCTAAAAGGTGCAAGCATAAACACTATAGTTTTGGTTTTGTTTGCAGGTATTTTTGGGCCAGGGAGGAGGTATGAACAGGGACAGCAGACACTTTAATATTGAATATGCAGGCAGAGGGGAAGGTAATGATTGGTGCACCACCAATGCTACCAGTAGCATCTTCTCTTACAACTTTCTTTGTACTGAAAAGAAAGTGAATTTCTCTAAGATCCTCAACCTCTAAATTTTCTTTGCTGGGAAAAAGAAGAAAAATGAACACATATTAGTAATTTGTTTGGTTTTCTTATATATCACCATCTTTTAATAATATTATGTTTATTTTCATCATTTTGCCCAATTCTAAAGGCCATGGGCCAGAGGGTGTCAAACCTTCAGTAAAGGATTTTTACAGTATTTTGAAAAGTCTGTAATTGGGTCTCTCTATCAAAATGGTAAATGTGCCTACCCTAGGACCCTGCTATCATATTTCCAGGTGTCTGACATGCAGAAATAGCAATGATGGTGTCAAAATATATGGGCTCAGTAATGCTCATTACAGTAGTATCTGTAATAGCAAAACATGAGTAATAACCTAGCCTCCATTAATAGGGAATGAGTTAATACATTTTGATATCTATAGAACTGACTACCATCATTGTCATTATCTGTTAAAAAGAAGACATAATACACTCACTTGAAAAAAGTCCATTTTTATATAGTTAAATGTCACAACAGCAAATTGTGTGTGTATACATACATGACATACACACAGACATCCCTACCTACTCTATATTATATCATTTAAATAACTACATACACAAATTAATTCTGGAAAGGTATATATGAAACTCTATATGGCAGATATTTCTGGAGACTTAATTGGAGTAATGACACAAAATATTTTAATTTTAATTTTAAATATGTCAAATAAAAAAGAAAAAAAAGTGGTGGAATGAAGAGTAATTTTTCTTCTCTAAAAGTGCTTTTGTTGGACCGTTTCCCACCATATAATTATAAAAATTTTCAAACGTACACAAAATTAAAGAGTAACATAATGAACACCTAAATGGTCACAATCTATATGCAATGATTGTTAACAAGCTTATTTTCTATTTTCCAAAATTTCCCCAATAAACATGTTGCTTTTGAAATTAAAAAGATGTTCTGGGACGGAGAGACTAAAGTAATTTGGAAATTGTTTATAAAAGAAAGAAAGAGAAAACTTTCCTTGCAAATGGGGCTAACACAGTTCATCTTTGTTTAACAAGCAACATATCTATTCACCCATCCTAGTGCGCACCCAGTTACTGCTGTCTACAGAGATGTATGGAGCTTAATGGACATTTCCTTTAAATGCATCTTTTATAAGTGAATATTTTCTTCCCTTCTTCCATAGATCTTAAAGACTTGTAAAACTTGATCAGCAGTTAATAATTCCAGTAAACTCCTCTACTACGTCACCTCTCTCTTTTACTTATTTTGCCCATCTTATTCCACTATCTGTTAGAATTAATAAGTCAAATCTTAGCTAAATGATACCTTCCTATATACTTAAGTCCCCATTTTAACTTGGTAGTTATTGGTGATACAACTGATGTTACTTAAATTGCCTTTTTCACACTAATTCTGGCTGACCTTGTACACTAATAATGATTTATTGTTTAAATCATTATTCTCTTAAATGATTAGGTAGCTCATGTTGTCTCAAATATAACTTGGCTATACACTGCCATCTGAACCACAATAAGACAGACACTTACAATCAATCATGCAAAATACTTACAAGCTGAGGTGCCTGCTTTCAATTGTGAAAGCATGGGCTTCCCCGACCTGTTCAGGTGTTTACATACAGTGTTTCACAGACTGACAGGATATTTTTTTTCATTTTAAAGTATACTTTAATAATGAAAGTGTACAAGCACAAAAAATGATAAATGTTCCCGTATATTTGTCCAGACTTACCATGTGAACACATCACTTAAGTAATAGATTGGTCCTAACACTATGCAGCATCCTGGGATCCTATCAGACTGTTTATCCTGAATCTAGTCCTATTCCTAGAAAAACTACCATTTAGGGGGAGAAAAAAAATTTATTCAACAATTCCATATTGTCTCTGATGCAGCAATCGGTTAAGTCACAATTACATTATGCTCAATAAGAGAAAAATAAAATAGTTTTTCAGAAGGGGCTGGGTTGGTGATTCTTTTTTCACTCATCTTAATGCTAAAAAAGACCAAGAACTTTGTTGCCACTAACGAACTAGTGGGCTTCAGCCCTGAAGTACCTCTAGCTGCCAGCACCATCAGTGACTTCAGAATGAGAAGATACAGCAACTCCTTAAGGTGCTCTGTACAGATTCAAGTCCAAGCTACTTCTTTGGAAGGCTCTCAGCAGTGTCAGAGAGTGACTTGATTCTTGTCTAAAAGTTTGAAAATGTGCTAAAGCAATGTTCCTCTCCACACTCTCCAACCTCACAAGGATGGTTATACTGACAAAAAAGCAGGTTTCTCTGTCTTTTCTTTGTGCCTTAGCTGAGCAACGGTGGATGGAAATCTAACTTTTTCTGATCCAACTATGTTTGTGGTACTGCATTTAAGGGTACAGTTCTTTGACGTACTTAGATTGTTGGAATGCTATATTTATATGAAATGGGGAATATCGGGCAGAATTAAGGAAAAAAGATCTGACTTCTTAAATCTCGATTCTCCAAAAGAATAAATAACTTAGAATGTAAATCAATCTTTCATTCACAAGATGACTTTTTTGAGAAAGTAGAATTTATAGAATCACTGAACTAAGCAATGTGCTTTCTTTACCTTCTGAAAGGCCTACTGAATTTCAAATCGTAATGTTTGTTTGCTATTTTATCATTCATAACAGACCCATCAGAAGCAGAAATCAATTTGCCTTTGGGAACAAATTCTGTACTAGGTACTGGTTATATAAATCACAGGCATCTTATTTCATTGAAAGACATTTTTTGAACAGAAGGTGTGGATTACTAATTCTCTACTTATGTATATTATTAATAAATATTCTCAAGCGTTATAATGTTTGGGGATAAGCAATTATACATTCATAGTAGATATATTAAAAAGCCACATTTCAGAGAGTGAAATGTAAATAATTTAAAAACCTAAAAATTAGCGTCATAGCACCTGTCATGCAACACCTAATGAAGGATTATTTTATTTCATTATCCAAGAAAACCCTTGATTCTTCGTGAAAAAGAGGAGAAGAACAACCACAAAAGGGTTACTGGGTTAACAACCCCACATTCTGCTCTCATCCTATTGGCAAGTAATTATGGTAATTAACAGCCGCTGGCTAAAATCTATGCAGGCTGAAGCAAATGGTCACATCTCTATGAATTTCATATTAACAGCGGAGTCTATTTCCTTTGTAAAATGGTAAAAATGTTCCAGACAGCAGGCCACAACATAGAGCTTGGATGGCAAATAAACAATTTCAGCAAATCAAGCTTAAGTGAATTGCTTACCTGAGCTAAAGGGCATAATGTACTGCTTCCTGAGTGAACAGATGTGCTAGGACCTTAGGACAATTTCTCCTTTTCTAGTCTCCTCCTCTACTACAGCTCCTCTCTTATCTCATTTTGTCTACTACAGCTCCTCTCTTATCTCATTTTGTCTACTTTATTCCCTTATTCATTTGAGGTGATAAGTCTAACTTTAGTTAAATGACACCTTCCTTTATACTCAGGTCCCCATTTTAATTTTGTAAAGTCATTGGTGATACAAGAGATGTTACAATTGTAACATTCATTCTTCTTTCTGGTATCTTACCTAAAATTTAACAGATTCTCTCTATAAATGGATATAATATTCCCAAATACATTGGGAAAATTAAATTGCTAATAGAATTCTTGAGTTTGGCCATATTTGCAAAATTACATCTGAAAGTGAGAAGTACTTGCAGACAGAAGTCTCCTGGTTGAAGACATTCCTATTCTCTTACCTGCAGTCACCAGCACCTCTTAATCATTCTCTCTACACAGTTCCCATTCTTGCTTTGTGTTTATTCCCGGAAACATTTTCTGTTGGTGCGAGAGGAGGTGAGGTGTAGCAGCACTCTCACTGGCTCCCTTCTTTTGGGGGTACCCTTGCCTTTCTGCTCAACCTTATACTGTGTTTCTGCCTCCGGTGGAAGACCAAGGTTGGTTCCAGCACAAATGACATTTATGTGAAAAACAGAGGAAGGAGGGGCAGTGGAGAGCTAGCAGCAAGGTACTGAGAAATCTGATCCGTTTTTCTATTTCCACAACATGTTGCTCTTTTACAGGGTGATGAGGTAAGAAATGCAAGGAATCATGTAGCAGATCATTTCTTCAGCTTTTGGGTCCTCTATACATTGAGTTTGCTAAATTGAAAGGAATATAAATTCCTGGGTCCATTATTAAGAAGTTGCCTGTAGGCCAGGAGTGGTGGCTAATGCCTGTAATCCCAGCCCTTTGGGAGGCTGAGGCAGGTGAGTTGCTGGAGCCCAGGAGTTGGAGCCCAGCTTGTGCAACACGGCCAAACTCCACCTCCACAAAAATAAAAAAAAAAATTGTCTGGATGTGGTGGCGTGCCCCAGTAGTCCCAGCTACTTGGGAAGCTGAGGTAGGGGGATCACCTGATCCCGGGAGGTTGAGGCTGCAGTGAGCCGTCATTGTGCTACTGCACTCCAGCCTGGACAATCGAGTGAGACTCTGTCTCAAAAAACCCATCAATCAAACAAACAACCAAAAACAAAAAGAAGTTGCCTATAGGCTGAAGTAGTTAGTATCCACCTATTTCAAAAAGCGCTGACCCAATGAAATTTACTACAGTAACTTAATTCATATCAAGTTGCCTTAATAAAGTACTGAGTAGGTGACTCAACAAGATGCATCCAGAGGGCTACGACCTATCCTGGAAGATGACACAAGTTTGTTCAATCATCATGTACACGTTCCCGGTGCATGATGAAATAATTTTTTTTAAAGTCTAACCTCATATGAGTTAGAATTTTTTTTAAATACCGACATTATGATGCTTGTATAGCCACACTGAAAATGCTAAACATTTCTTTCAATTGAAGAGTTACTAGTTACTATGTTACATCTACATGTAAAAGAGAAAATATGCTGAACATAATAAACCATGTTCAAAATAATTCACTGTAAAATGTGTACTGTAATATATCTGCAGTGTATCATACTGTGAATCAGAACATCCATATGGCACAAAGAAACTTGTCTACAATTTGTGGGACAACACTGCAACCACATTTTAATCCCAAAGACTTCTTAGATTAGCTTTTCACTTTGTTCATTATCATAACATATTAAGATAGGGTCACTCGGTTTTATATTTTCAGCTCCCTCTGCCATTCATAATTTGCCATTCATTTGGTATAAACATGCTTTAGTTGAAAAAGTCAAATAGATCTAGGCATGAATAAACAATATTGTGCAGAAGGCCCCTCAGTAGGAATAGTAGTGTTCCTCTGTTGAAGCACTTAATGTTCTTTATTTTAAGAAACAAGTATATTTTTTGTTATCCTCAGTCACTTTATGTTTCTCTCTAGTAAGAAGCCTGAAGTGATCAGTGAAATTTAGTATAGGTAATATTTAAAAATATTTACCTCATTTTCCTCCCTCCCTCCCTCCCTTTCTTCCTTCCTCTTTCAGAGTACCATAAACACAAACAAAAAGGAAAATATAGAACAAATCTATGCTTTCCCATGGGATGAAAGATGTGTACAGTCATCCATTTACTCATTCATTCACTTGATGAGAAACTGAATTCTTTCCAGAGTGGTGTCATTGGAAATAATAAAAACAATAATCAAAGCCCATAAAAATGGTAGATATTATTATAAAGACTATAGTTCTTCCAAAATTTGAAGGATACCCATATTTCTTTTTCTTCCCTACCCAATTTCCGGTTTGCAGAAAGAACTTAATTTCCTTTCAGACTTTTGCTTGGGCAAGTCTCCATAATAGTAAAATAAAAGAGCAGGATGAACAAAATGGCTCAAAATAAAGTGATACCTTCAACTCTTAATATCAATTGAGCTGTACAACTTCTGGGAAAGACTGTGTGTGGATTAGATGTGTGATGCTTCTTACCCGGTGTTTGAAAGTTAAGGCGCCTCAGTTCTACAGGGTCTGTTGGGTGGTGTGAAGGGATCTCCTTATTGTTCGGTATGCTGCTTTTTCTAGAGTCGGACTCTGCCCTCTTCCTATAGGGGGAAAATAGAAATTTAAGAAGAAAAGAAAAATCAATTGAAACAGATAGAAAAGCAGAGAATTGCACCTGCACTCCCCCCACCTCCCAAGTTTTCAGTTTTACAACTTTTCAACCCAGCTGACTTGTGACCCAGTTCGGGTTGCTTTTCCCCCCTGGCCTAATTGTTCTCTCAGGTCTAAAATTTTTGTTTAAGTCAATGATCTCGAAGTCCTCCTCCAACTGCAGGATTAAATAATTCAGCAACTCTGCCTTTTGGTTTCAAAGGGATCTTGGTGAGATACGCATGGACCCTTATTGAGCAATTCTCTCTTATCTACTAGTTCTATTTGTGAGGAACAGGATAGGATACCCCTAAGTTGCCAATACTAAGACTGTTGTTACCATAGAGAAACTACCTGACCTTAAGCTGAACAGCTAAATCTGTCCCCCTTAGCCCTAAGTATATATAAGTGGTGACTACAGAGAGTAGATGCCGTAGATTTTCCCATAAGGCAGGTAAACACAAGTGCATTTTTAAGATGCCAAGTTATCCTAATGCCTAGGATAATCGGGACCAGGTAAAACAGAACTCCCCTTTCTCTTTCAAATGTGAAGGAAAAAAAACAGTGTTAGCTCTTAACAGTGTTAAGCTAACTGTGATTAATATTTTGTTAATGAAAGGTTCACAGAAAGATCAGAGAAAAAGTAATTTCACCTGGTGGGTAGATCAGCGCTCCTGATAATCATTCAAGGTGCCATTGACAGTGCCTTGTTATAAATGTGATTCTTCACACAATACATTTTAACTTTGTTCTAAAAGCTATCTACTAGCTTTATTAGATATCCCCATTTAAGCTCTCATTATGTAATTTTAACAAATTTCTAAGCAAGAAATGTCAGATCTGTATATAAGATTTCTTTATCCAATAAAAAATTAATCACAGAGTCCTAACTATCTTCTTCCAGTTTGAATTAGATTAAAAACCCATTGAATCAATAGAAGCCATTTTCAAACAGTGCTTTTTTTCCAAATACTAACGCCTGCAATCTCTACACCACAGTCACAATCCTAGTATCTCACCCCTGCTCAAAGCAAAGGCGTTTTTACTGTGGGGGGGAAAAGGTGCTGCACAGTGTTTAGGAACTTTCCTTTTCTCTGTTCGATGTGACTGTGGTACAGCTCATTAGTGTTGCTGTGGCAATGGGGTCTCATTCAATGCCACCCAGGTCGTTCTATGGTTAGCCAGAGGGCTCCTGTTAAATAGCCTTTCTTCCCATTTCTGCTCATCTGTATAAAATAAAACTAACCAGGGGGTGAAGAGAAGATTGATACAAAGGGGACGTGCACATGATTTGCTCAAGTGCAGTGCCTTTGGCAAAACATCCTTAATGGAATACATTTTCATGGCTAAGTCCTATTAGACATGTTGCTTTCTCGGTACCTTAGATTAACCTGTCTGAGGATTTCTTCTTTCTACCTAAAGGTGTCAGATACAGCCTTGGGACAAAATGTGCTGCCAACCCATTCCACCAATCAGAGGTGAGCAGTATTCTGCGACCTGCCAAGGTACTGGCAGCTCCAGTTCTATGGAGTAGAAAGGAAGAAGAAAAGAAAAAGAAAAGACAAAGGGCTGGTGAAAAAGATATGAGGACGAAGAAAAAGACAGGCTCATAAGACCATGCGAAAGGAGGACATGATGGCCAGTTTCAGAGTAGGCAATGTCACTGTGTCTGTGCTATGGGTCTTCGCCTCACCACACTAAGAGATTCCTTTTACCACTGAAGATGCAAAATCGAAATGGGTTAATGAAACGTCACTGGGTGCAGCCAGCCAGTCAATTCCACGTGAAACATATGGTTGGTCTTCTCACTTCAAATAATACCAATGGCCCTTCTCATGTTTTGATCATTTTGCATAAGTTGGCAAGGATGCATTTCTTTACTAATGTGTCAGGCCCAACGACTAAAATTTGGATTTTTCTCCCTTCCCATTGTGGCTCTGCCATTCTTGCAAGATTATGGAAACCAGAATTAGAAATATCTATCTGGGCAAGAAAACTACTTTACTCTTACAGGTATTGTAGGGTAACCTCCTTATCTTCTTTTTCCCTGTGGCTGGGGTGAGTGACACTGAGCTGGAGGGTAGAAAAGAAAACTCTCTAAAGTAATTTAGCCCATTTCTCTGGTGCAAGGAAAGTTAGGAATTACATCTTGTTGCAAAGATGTGAGTCTCAGAAAACTCAAGACATGGGACTAAAATTACAATTCACAATTTGAATGAACAGGGAGGGATGTAGTGACATTTAATAACTAACTTCTCTTTCACTGTTTATTCAAATGAAATTATTTCCAAGACCTCAGACTCCTGAAATCCTAGTCAAATAGAAAACCAGCTGCTTAAATGTATTTTGCTTAGTTTTCTTTCGATGATCACAACATGGATAATTCTGGCTGTCCACATTCTTATCACATTATTTTTAAACACTTATTATGTGATGTGCTAGAATGATTGTTTTCTAACACAGAAACCATTTCTAGGAAAGATGTGGAAGATGAAGAGTTTGGTCATCATTGGTAATAATACTAAAGAGTTTTAAAACGTTGTCATAAAATATTAAAAGACATATAATGGTCTAAATTAGGCCCAACATGAATGTAACTAGTAACCTTTTTTCCTGATAAATTTCAGAGGTCTCATCATTCTCATTTTCGATTTGAAAAATGGAAAGAATAATGAATAGAAACAGATTTTAAATTTTGCCTTGCTCTATTTTTTTTCTATTAAGATTATAAAATGTTAGTGCGAGTTTATTTCTTGCAGTGAGAACTATCTACTATGTGGAGGAGTTATGTAGGTGAAAAGGAAATGGAAGATCACTTGACATTTTGGATCTGTCAGAAACTGCTAATACTATAAAAGCATGTGGTTGTTTGGGATGTGGGTAATACACAATACAAATGCTACTCTGGTCTACGGGGTATTTTGCTTTCACCAGGCTCTCATCTGGGGGGAAGAAAAAAACAAAGAGAAGTTGAGTGAAAGATCAATTCATGGTCTTGAAACAAAGATATACAGACATGTGAGAAGAGGCTTTTGAAAGAAACATATACTTATTAGAAATATCTACCATCAATATTCAAGTAAATCAATCAAAATATTTGTTTCTGTTAACATTAAGAATGTAATCCCAACTCTGCCACTACTGGTATGTGTCAACTACAAATTTTCTTTTCAGTTTATTTGTGTATAAAATAGAGGGAGATTAGAAGAGGATGTCTAAGTTTTGGTTCAACTCTCTCATTTTAATAGAAAAAGAAAGCATTAAGTTGTAAAATATGAAAAGTGTTATGATGAAAGGTACGGAGTCCCACTCTGTCGCCCAGGCTGGAGTGCAGTGGTGCGATCTCGGCTCACTGCAAGCTCTGCCTCCCGGGTTCATGCCATTCTCCTGCCTCAGCCTCCCGAGTAGCTGGGATTACAGGCGCCCGCCACCATGCCTGGCTAATTTTTTGTATTTTTTAGTAGAGATGTGGTTTCGCCGTGTTAGTCAGGATGGTCTCGATCTCCTGACCTTGTGATCCACCCGCCTCAGCCTCCCAGAGTGCTGGGATTACAGGCGTGAGCCACCATGCCTGGCCGATGAAAGGTAGTATTTTAAGTGAGTTTAAAGTGTTTTGTCTTTTGGCTGAAAAAACAAAAACAAACTATTTTGCACGTGTTTTTCTGCTGGACAAATGGATACTAGAGATGTCCACACAAAGAAGACACCCTCATAGAGGTTTAAAGATTCTTATCATTGAACATGAGGCTTGCTGACCAACATAAAGTGATTTTAGTGTAAATAATGCAGCAATAGTTCTCAAACTTTAGTATGCATCAGCATCACCTGGGAAGGCTTGTTAAAATACAGCCTGGTGGGCCAATGCCTAGACTTTCTGATTTAGTAGGTCTGAGGCGGGGTCCAAGGGTGTGTATTTCCGTCAAGTTCCCTGGTGGTGCTGACGCTATGGCTGCTGGTCCAGAGGCCACTCAATGGAAACCACTGGAATATGGCATTGGGAGAAAGGTAGGTGATCTTCAAGATGTTTTTTGTAGTTTAATTTTAATCGGGAATTTATATATATGTTACATGTGTATATTTATACATAAGTGTATATGAATATATAGATATGAGTTAGAAAGCTAGAGGGTTAGTTTGGATTAATCATTCAATAATCACATAGTGTATTTTAGCTATTATTATTGCTCTTATTATTCAAGACTGGGAGACATGGATAATAATTTTGAATTGGGGAAGAGTTCTCACTAAGGCACTGTCATCAATATTTGCAGGATGTGAAAATGCTAATATCATTAGGTGATCTGTACTCAAACTTGAAAACTAATCTTTGGTAAAAACAAACAAAACAAAACAAAACAGTTTATGAGACACCTCACATGTCTGCTCTGTAAACACATCAACACACACAAATGCCCATTTTAATCTTGACCACAAACAAAACTCAGATATTGGTTTGTGTACTATCTTTTAAACTTCGCCTTTAATCTGTTTTTTTCTAATGTAAACAAAATATTTATTTTCCCCAGAATCATCTTAATGAAGTTACTGTGTATATGTAGGCTTTGCCCATCTTCCACGTGCCAGGTATTATCTTTTGTGTGCAGCCCCGCCCTCCCCTCTTCAACAACTCTGAAGTCTACCAGTTTATTTTTTTCTTACTGAACATTAAAGGGGTTTGTTCTCTATTCCTCACCTGTCGGGTTTACTGCTCCATTTTAATGCAGCAAAAAAAGGAAAAAGAAAGGCTAAATGTTAGTTGGCCAATGGTAACAAGGATAACCATGACAACCAAGATTTAAGAAATAGTGTTCACAAGCAAGGACACATAACTGACATACATTCAGAAGCGACAGCGAATCAAAATATTTATAGACCTCTGATTATGAACTAAACAGAGGACATGAAGTTACATCACTGAATACATAGTGTGTGTGTGTGTGTGTGTGTGTGTGTGTGTGTGTGAATGCCACGTGCACTTTTATCCATCACCTATAAAATACTGCCACAATTAATTATATCCCAGGAAGTGTTCGACAGTGGAGAGATAATTTGATTTTTAAAAAACATGCTATGAGAAAACTAATGTACTCAATGGGAATACAGCATCATTCCATAAAAGAAATTCGTTCATTTAAAATAAAAAGCCTTCAATTAAGAGGTATGTCATTCCTTTCATGATATAAAATATCTGCAAATTGTATTGAACTATACAGAAATTTGCACAATTGAATAATACACCAAAAGGTAATAAGGTGGCAGAAATGATTTCTTCAAACACCTCTTGCCACATCTTTTTTCCCATGAAGGATTAAGTGCATCTTCAGTTTAGGAAAATATAATACCCATCATTATAAATCTACAGAGCATGGCCCATTTATACAGTTGGGCTAATCCAGAAAAACATTTTATTACCAGCCATTGACAGAACATGTATTTTCCTAGTCTGTGGTGCTGTCTGTGAACACAACTAGTTCATGCTTATAGATCCTTTCACCTGTGATAATATGTTGATTGTGTAAATAACCATATTATTTCTGCAGAGTATAACCTTTTCCTGAAAACAATTAATCTAAAAATCTTCACTTTGAGGCAAATTGCAAAGTTTTCAGTGAGTTCCCAGTTGCAAAATAAAGGTACTAAGTTTTTCTTAATGCCAATGAAATATATACCCAAGTGGCTGGAATATCTGGCCCTGTGAGATAATTCAATCCATCTCTTTTCAAAAATAAAAAAATCCACATTTAAATGGTACAAACACACACATACAAAGTAAATGATGAAAATGATATCAAACACATTGGTTAATTCTTCTTATTCTTAATTTTATAGTGATTTACGTAGTGTGCCAGGTTAAAAAGAATTCTATATAAATGTTTCCAATTTGCTCACTTTTTAAAATCAGTGACTTTATCAGGGAATCAGTTGTAGAAAAATCTATGCCTCAGGATGGAAAACCATCTAGTGAATTATCAGTTCTATGTATTAAAAGGCTGTTTTGAGTATTCATATGCACAAATTCATAGTTCCAGATAAAGGTCAGCCTCACCATACACCTGGGTACATATGTGGTACAAATATCTAAGTTTGAAAGCTTTCACAACTGGTAAATTTAAATTATAGGCCGAGGATTTTATTGCAACTCTTGCCAGCCAAAATAAAGTTGATATTGAGTGATGGAGTCAACATGTAGAAGGAATTGAGTTTGTTTAATACTGTTTGACTTGTATACATTTAATTATTCAATATTTTTGTGTGCCAGGCACTCTACTAGGCAGTAGCAACACAATAATGAATAAGACAGAGTCCTTGACCTGCAGTTTAGTGGAGGCAAAGTGCCAAGAAAAGGGGCATTGACAGTAACGCAGTAGGTTCTACAACAGACAAGTAGAAAGTACTTTAAGAGCTCAGGAAAAGTGATCCTAAAGCAGCCCGAACTGCTAGAGAGGGGAGGAGAAGAGAGGACAGAAAATGAGGCAGGCACCCAGAAAGGCTTGATTTAGTAGGTAGCATCCTAGCTTACTTCCAAAGGATGAGTTGGAGTTATCCAAGCCAAAAGGAGTGGCAGGGGAGTGACAGGAAAGGCATTCCTAACCTAGGGAGGGCCTACTCAGAAGCCAGAAAGCAGAGTCAACCAGCAGCTTCCAGTATGGTTGGGTGTGGCCACATATTTCTTCATAGCATCTCAAAATATTCTGGACTGCATTTCCTTGATGAGGGCTTGGAACTGTATGGAGGGTTGATACAGAAAGAGAAGACTAAAGACACAAAGCTTGCAGAGAGCCAGTGTTGGAGCAGGAAAAGGCTGGAAAAACTGAAGCCTACATTTCAGTCTCATCTAGCTCATGGTTTCCACATCCTGGGATGGGGATGGAAAAATAGTGTGCATGCAGGCTAGATTATTACCATTCAAGGATGTTAATTTTGCCTGAAGTGCATCTCAGACTTCTAGGACCACCTGATCTACACTTTCTTTGATTCCATAGTATGTAATAAACACTTTTTATCCATCTTGAAATGCTTTTCCATAGAGGTAAGGTTAACAGTTTATTTTTAAATGTTTATTTTTTATATAAATAATTCTTGGACAGTTCTGGAATAAAGTCTGAAAAGCCTTACATATGTAACAGATATACAGAATAAGAACTTTCAATTGCCTTGTGAATTTTTTGTTGGAGTAGATGGACGTGCAGTACCAATACTATTATCTGGTGTTTAATGTTTTCAGATTATAGCGCATTATGATTAAAAAGGTCTAATTATCTGGTCCACCCACTAACTTTGTAATGAAGAAATGTAGGCTCAGAGTGTTGGCATGAATTTCTACCCCATGCAACCAGCTAGTCACAGAACTGGGACTTGGATTCGGGTTTCTTGGCTCCTCAGTCCAGTACTTGGCCGAACGTTGCTACTATCTTATCTCTGGAATGTGTATTTTAAGTCATGGGCCATATAATATTTTTTCAAAATTATAGTACAAGAAAATTTATAACATTAAAGATATACCAAATATATTTTAATTTTCTGATGATTCAGAGGGTATTTTAGGGATCTTACCAAGCCCTGGTGATTTTTTTTTGTTACTGATTATCAATGTATTATAGGTATACAGATTACTAGATTAAAAACAAAAGTTAAATGAACAGAATGCCAGATCAAAGAGTATGCCATTTCCACATGAATAGATCTAATAGGAATAAGTCTCAAAGTCTCCTCAGACAGCTGGGTAAAATATACTTCTTTATATGATAAAACTATCTGTAGCTACAGACCTATTGCTAATGCTAGCATCTTAGAAGCAGAGATATATGATAAAGTGGATTATCAATATAATGTGAGTCAACAACGTTTTATTCTCATTCTCTTCTCAAAGCAGTATTTGCATATGGGAAGTAAAATATTCTGACAATAATAATAATAATAATACTTTCAATTCTGAGTCATTACCAATGACCTGTATATAAACTGAAAGGCACCTAAAAAGAGGGAATGGACTATTTATTATGTAATTAACTTTGCTCAGAATCCAAGCTATAAAAGACACTATTCATTGGGTACAGAAGATTTCCTTTTGAACTGCCTCATGATAATCAAGAAGGACATTGTTGGTTCTACTTGAATTTCAAGTCAGGAATGTTCTTTACTGCTGAAGCAAGCATTTCTATTTCAGAAATGCTTCATGGGCCTTCAGATGGTTAGCTAAATATACTTAGCATTCGAGGATGTGTGCATTTCCCAACAATTGCATTAGACGATGCTTACATAGGCCCACACTAAAATGCTACTCTATTTTAACAGAGTCATAAAACCTTTAAATATGATACTTCTTTTTGTGGGATTAGGAAAAATTATAAGTGAGTTGATTTTTTAAGCACTTGCAGATGAAGGAAGAAAATAGTTATCTTTTAAAAATTATTAGGGCTATAATCATATTTCTTCAAATTTACATGACTGATTCACAAATACCATATACATCTGTTGCTTGGTATGATTTAATGATAGCTATGTATATCCAAATAAAACATAACTTAAAAATAAGGCATTAATTTTTCCCATTTCAAATAATCACAAAATGTCATGTCATATGGTCTAGAAATACACCTGTCAACAATCCCTTGTTTTTTGACCTACTCCCATAGTAGTATGTGACTACCTAAATCAATATTTCCCAGAAAACAATTAGAATTATACCACTGCTTTTTATTATTGAATTCTCTTCTGGAAAAAAGTGCAGCGTACAGACAGCAAAGGACACCAGCTCCTGCTTGGACTCAAACAGGGTCTATGATTACTCACGGGGCAGGTGTGTACCTCATGCTTCCTGCCCTTATCTCTTACATGGAGAGAGGTAATAAAATACAATGGGTTCCTTAAGATACATGCTTATAGATACAGATTGGAATGGAAGATTCAAATCATCAAATGAGAGGAGATTTTGGCTTTCCACACTTACTTTTTCAGCTATTTTACAGCACGGATAATTGAATGATGGCAGTGTTCATGAAAAAAAATAATGATGGATATATCTTTCATTCTTTATAACTCTAAAATAGGATAGGCAATTTAATGGGTTATGGTTATGAACTTCTTTCATTTGTCCTTTATTTTCTCAACCCTCTCTTAATGCTGGAATAAAATGAAATGGAGCCTTTTAAAAACAAGTTTTTCAAAAGAGAAGAGTTTTGAAGGAGTTTCTTTTTTTAAGAGTCAAGATAAGAGGTTATGGGGGAAAAACGTTATTCCAGGGACAGAAGAGCAAGGGAGTGAGGGTGAAAATAATTAATATAAACCCCCCAAAAGGGAGCTAGATGGGTAGGAAAAAGAGTGAATGGAAATGAGATTATTAGATTAAGCATGTAAGCAAGAATCAAAATGAAGATACTCTTTTTAGATTCTGAAGGCCAAGGTTAGGGACAGGGAGAGAAGCTATCTTGTAGTAGAAGGATGAGATCAACTTCACAGTAGCATTTCAAAATATAACACACCACAAGGAAAACGAGAACATGGATTAAAGTTTTGTGAAAATACAATTTGGATTGGAAAAAAATAAAAATCTATATAAAGGGAAGTAATTTTGAATTTAGTCATTTTAAATGTTTAAGAAAGTATATTATATGCTACTCTTTATAAGTTCATATTTATATTATAATTATATTCTTAAGACAGAAAGAATTTATAAGAACAATTACTAATGTCCTCTATCTAACTGACTGGCCAGTGCCCTAGGGGAAAAAATCTTATTAGAGATTAGATGTTAGAGGCAGAAATAAAATTGAAAAAGAGTGGCATATCAGAAAAATGTGGGTAGACACAGATTATTTGCATCCTAACTGTAGTCAAAGACACTACTCAAATCAACACATGGGCATAATAAGACTGAGATTATATTTTTTAAAAAAGGAAAATAGTACCTTGGCATCCCTTTTTGGACACATACACGAATTCACCAGTGCAGATGTGGAATAAGAGTTAGAAGAAAATTGGGAGACGATTCATTCTCCATCCTTCTCTTTTTTTTCCCCTTCCTTAATCCTTAATTTTTATCTGCTTTTGCTAAATTTTGAGAAATAGCTACAGGGAGCTATCTCAACACTTGCGCAAATTAGAATTATGATATGTATACAAATTGCAAAATCGTGATAGTGTTTCAAAAAACACACTGAAATCGAGCAATTAATTATCTAAAACAATCAAATGAAAGCTTGCATGGAATTATTTGCTTGTGAATGCACTAATGCCTCAATTGTTATGAAAAGTGCTTATCTGCATAAAGCAGCTCAGAAGATTGGAGGCCAGAATAGATGCATGTTGGACAACAGAAGTCTATACCAAAACTGAATAAGATTCCAAATAGTACAGTCTTTACATTTTGATCTTACTGTAATGTAAACACTTTTCCAAAAATAATTGAAATGGCACTGAAGTATTTCTACTAAAATCAACCACCTAAGGACAGCAGAACAATGATCAAGTCTTCAAAAATAAGGCAGCCTCCAAAATTACAACAGAAATATTGGGCAAACCTACCTTTTATAAAGAAGAATAGCAATGACAATGCAGATGATAAAGACCACTGCAAGGACAGGACCTACAACCCAGATCAAGCCTTCTTCTTCATCCGTGATTGGCTGCGGATCCAGATCCATTGACACCACGGGGTCGGAGTAAGGGCTGGTTGCATACATCTTCTGAGGAAAAGCAGAGTCTATTTCAGTTATAAAATAATGACTTTCTAGATAAGTACCTTTAACATTAGAAGAAGCAAAAAATCCAGGAAATAGTGGATTTAATGATAAGTGTGTGATGCAATATTAGCAAAACAGAGGGGAGGGGAGAGGAGAATAAAGAAAAGAAAGGATGGAAGATGTTTTGTAATACAAATTTCCTTATAGAGTGAACTATTTTATAATAAAATCATTTTGATAGTA
This sequence comes from Homo sapiens, assembly GCF_000001405.40. Taxonomy (NCBI): domain Eukaryota; kingdom Metazoa; phylum Chordata; class Mammalia; order Primates; family Hominidae; genus Homo; species Homo sapiens. The sequence goes on from NC_000009.12 coordinate 8,460,812, forward strand.
CAAATTACTTCATAGACACTTTTTATTGGGCTTTCTATATGGTGTATTAAATGATCCTATGAAGCGTAAAGTACCAGTAATTAACCAGTTGCAAAATGTTTAATGAACATTTACATTGTGCCAAGGCGTTAGGTGCTGTGTGAAAATCAAGAGAAAAACTAGAGTTCTAGCCCTCAAGCCATTATCATACAGTTAAGGAGACCAAAGTACATATTTACAATGCAAAATAAGTCAGTATTTAATTAAATGTGAATATCGGTAGTCATTAGTACTACTGTGCTTCTTAGTGCTTGGTACTACTTAATACTACTGCATATTAGTTAGGAAATGGAGGCCAAAGCATGAACAAATAAAGTCTACAATTTCAAAAGAGAATTCCACAGTTCAAATTACAGATGCGAGATGTACAGAATTGATGATATGGCTTTATAAAATATAGAATTTTTAGAACTTAAAAGAATTCAGCAGTTCTCACTTAGTTTTATTACAGTTATTGCTCAGAGATTGGTATGTTTGTTCTCAATAGACAACTGATAATATACTTTTTAAGAATACAGTTACTTGGAGAAGAAATGGACTAAATATCGATGATTTTTATTTCTATGATATCCGATCCCATTTAGTTCTGTCCTATTTTAGCCTATATTAGGAAAACATCTTCTTGGCTCTACCTGCCCCCTTCAAGGCCCTATCTTCCACTTTCCAATCCAACAGAAACTAATCCATATCCACTAACTGCCCTGCTTCTACCACTCACTCCTCATCTCTTCTCACTCCAAACCACCATTGGTCCTATTTTTTTTTTTTTCATTTGCCAAATCTAATTGCCTTTATTTACTCTTTACCTTTCTAGACAATTTTTCCAGATTTGCCTTCTTTAAAACTTTTATCTCTGGCTCTCTCAATTTTGAATTAAACCAGTCCCATCCTCATCTTTCCAACTGCTCATGCCCTGCTGAGTTAATTATCTCTGACTCCATCCTATAGACAAACATTCTTTTTTTAAAAAAATTTTTTTTATAGAGATGGGGTCTCACCATGTTTCCCAGGCTGGTCTCGAACTCCTGGTCTCAAACAATCCTCCAGCCTTGGCCTCCCAAAGTTCTGAGATTATAGGTATGAGCCACTGTGGCTGGCCCTGAACCCGTATTCTTAAGTTCTATTCTCTACTAGCATCTCTTGTCCTCTCTTATCTGGCAAGGTCAGCCCAAGCTTTAACTATCAACCTCCATGCAGAATCTGTCTCTTCATTAATGTTCCTAAACTCAGATACTCTATGAAATCCCAGATCTTCATTTCCAATCATTTCTAGAGACCCCTACATATATGTTCAAATTAGTATGAGTTTCTTAATTTTTCCCAGATCCTTCTTCCCTTCCTCCTCACTTCCCAAATTCTCTCATCCTCTCAGTATCTAAGAATGGATACTGATTTTACCTTACAGAAAAAAGGAATAGAATGGAAACACTGATATTAGCTAATCAGTGTCCCCCAGGTCCATCTGCTCTTCTTCTAGTCTCATGAGTGCCACTTTTCTTTAGGCCCTTACTTATGTGCTCCTAACTATACCAAGAGCTTCTTCCTTCCTCTCATAGTCTCCACTGCTGCTAGAGGTATCATCCTAAACTGCAACTATAAAGCCTTCAAGAGGCTCTCTCTTGATTCCCAAATAAAACGTAGATAACTTAGCATGGTTCTCAAGGGCATCCACAATTTTACTTTAAACTTGCTTACGACACACAACACATTCCATCACAGTGGGCTTCTTGCTACTACTCCCTAAAGGCTCTATTCTTGTTCCTCAACTCCCTCACAAGTTCCACAACATTTAGCTCCTGAAATTGAACAACTCTCCAGGCCCCCACTTGAATACTGCCTCCAATGAAACCACCTCTTTTTAATTGACTGGCAGTGATCGGTCATTCCCCTCTACTAAAAAAACCAAAAAAGATAAAAATAACACAGCTAAATTTTTATTTAGTCCTTGTTTTTTTAAATGGTACTCACCAAACTGTATTTTGGCTTTTTATTTGTATATATACTTCATTTTCTTTGGCGAAACTACAGACTCCTAGAAGGTAGGGATTTATATATTATTTGTGTTTATATGCTTAAAGCAGCTAGCAATGAACCTTGTACTTAGTGGGTTCTCAGCAAATCTTGGCTGAATAAGACAAAAAATGTTCATCTTTTCAAATGGCTGAAATTGTCAAGACATCAGTATATATGCTCACTTTTCATGATTGGTACATATATTTAAATGTTTTAACCTGCATCTTTAAAAAATTTAGTTTATGGCATCTATTCTGAATTTAAGTACAATGAGCTTGGCCATCAAGCAGGAGAACAGATGTTCCACTGAATGCTTGTATACTACTCTTCTCTCTCATTTTCGTCATTGTGCCCAGGAAAGAGACTGACTAGATTTGCAGATTTTCTAACGCATTACAAGAAGATAAAAACTCAGTATATATGTCCAAGCTTCTCAGAGGCAGCCAAAAAAAAAAAAAAAAAAAAAAAAAAGATGTGTATGGTATGAGGATTGACACAAAGGACTTGGCAAAGAACTATATATCTAAGAAACATGATTTTTTATATAATTGTTTTGGTTTATGCTTTACCCACTCCATTTTGTAGGTGATGTTAAAACAGTTTCATAGACAGAACTAGGCAATACTGTCTCATTTGAAATTCTTTACCAAGAACCTTTAAGATAATAATCACGGTCCATTGAGATGGAAGTCTAAGCACAGGTTTTCCCAAAGAACATAGATTTCCAACCCATTCAAGAAACAGAGACATATGAAAATGAAAAGAAAACAAAATCATAAAATGATACCAGCCTAATGAAAAATATAATTTCTTGTGCGTGGCAATAAGAGATTAAATTTTGGATAATTCCAAACCAGTTATCTGACATTCTTAATATGAGACAAAGGATTAGGGGATAGCTTGTGTCTTTGAGAGGGACGGAGAAGTATTTTCTCTTTGCAAATTACCAGTCTACCCTTGGAACATTGTTATAAACTGATATGGAAATTTGAGGCTTACACAAAGGCTTTATTACTGCAAAATGACTCTAGCTGGATACAAGTCTCTCCTAGGCCTGCAAATATTTATGATATATAAAGAAAATAAATATCATAGATATTTGAAAGCAATGCTGAGAAAGATGATAGAATAAAGGGGCAACTTCATTAACAAATTTGGAAAAAATTCTTGATTCTGTAATTAATAAACAGATGACATACTAAAGAAAGGGGCAGACTCTTTATCAGTTGTGACACATTTAAAACACTAGCGGAAGACATCAGAAACCACAGTGTGTAGTTCAGTGGTTCAGTCTGCAGGATCGAATGAGATTTCTCTTCTTTGCTAGATTCTCTGATCTACCTCAATGCTCTAAGTATGCTTTTTGAAATGTTCCTAGAGCTATTAAAAGAAATTTCCTCTCAAATATTTAAAAGTCATTTTTGAATAAAAGAAAAAGATGATTTCTTAACATTCCATTCCCTTGATGTTCTGCCTTAAAACCTTCAACTAGAAAGAGAAAGCATATCTGAACATTAAAATTCCAGGAAGGCCATTACTTTGTTTTCAAATGACATTCTGAGCACAAAGGTAAACCAGGCAGAGAGGCTGCCTTTGTGTTTTGATTTTCCACGGGGGAATTCTTTCAGTCACTTGAAGAGAGGCCCCACTGTACACACTAACACCTGATGTGGAGAAATCTTTGATACATTGTGAGCTGCTTCTATATGGGAAATGACTGGCTCAACTGGGTTGCCACACCTGTCATATTTAGACACCGATTAGAAAACGAAGTTTATAATATGTATATTAAATGTTCATGTGTACTGCCACTTCAAAATTCACCCCCTGCCTATCTACAATATCTCTCCCCTTTTTTTTTTTAAACATTCAAAGTAACTGAAGCATAAAATGACATATAAGCAAGATGGATTACATAAAAGAAGAAAACTCATTATTTAGAATACCTTAGGAATTCTCTCTTTTATTAAATTATTTTCTAACTTTCTTGGCTTTTCACTGATACAGTCACTCATAAATTTCTACAATTAAAGAGGCTGCTGTATTTGCCTCTTTCTAGATAGACCTTCCTCATGAATCCGGGTAGAGGCACTGTGGTCTCACTTGGCAGATATAGGAGAATAAATACAATCACCCCCAAAGTCAGTATTTTCAGAAATATGCCATGTTGAATGGCCAAGCTTGTGAGTTCCCATTGCAATCACAGGGGCTAATGTCAACCAGGTATTATGCAACAGTCTCCTTTTTTGGACAACAGTCATTTTGAAAGGATGATGGAAGGAGATTGTAAGCAATGATGGTTCTAACACCATGATATTTGTGTTACATCAGAAGGTATCAAGAACCATGTCCTATCGATCTGGAACTTCATAAACTAGAGGGCCACCTAAATTTCCTTCATCAGAGACATAGTCTCATTTGTAATGCAGTCTCAAGGAGTATATTGAGCAATGTTCAAAGAGTAGGCAGCCTGTTATTACACTTAATAACAGTTCATGAGAAATAATGAGGATGGATATACCCACAAATCCCCAAATAACCACATTCCAGTGAAAATGTATAAGCGTACCATAGGAAACAGATGCCATCATAATTAACTTACAGACTCTGCATGTTCCATTACTGCTAACACAAAGAAGACATATTCTTGACCACTTTGGAGTTGCTTGTTTGTAAATCCACCATAATGCTTGTCATCCCCCAGGGTGAACTCAGTGGGAAGGACATCAAAGTGAGCGGCAATATATGGCTTTAATTCAACTTCTCTCCCATAACGGATGCTTCTGCGCTTCCTAGATATCTCCTTAAGCAGCTTAAGGAAAAAAGTGGGAAACAGAAAAAGAACTGTAAATAATAACCCAGCTTATTGATAATTTAATGAGATAAATTAATTCAGAACTGGGAACAACCCAAATGCAATTTGTTCACATTTCATATAGCACATCAGCATCACTAAATCTCAGTTCTCTCAATATTTCAAATGCTTCTCTTCCTGTTAAGGTAGAGGTAAGATACTGGACTGCTCTGACAAGGTCTAGGCTATAAACACAGGGCAATGAGGTCCTTTGCTGTAGCTCATTTCATTTCCTACACTAATGAAATTCTCTCAAAGTGCATCATAACTTGTCTAAGGAAAAAAGTCAGCTTGATTCATAAAAGCCTTGCCCTGCAGGAGATTTATTAAATAAGTATTAACCTCAGACAAAGCCATCTAAATCTTTAAATATAGCCACATTTTAGAAGAGGTTAGTGCCACTTTAGATTGTTTTGAGTAATGAGATAACTCATATGATACAAATTCCCTCAAATCAGCAGAAGCAGAATCCAATAAACAATTTTTAATATACACATATTAAATAGACATTGTTACTCATTTACCAATTTCTGACTTGACTTAGCTCCCTGGTTAGGCAATTAGGGTGCACTTCCTTACACTTTATCATGGAGTCAACTTTTTCTAGAATTGACCTCTCTTGGGAGTGTGTATATATTGCCAGATAATATAGGCAAGGTAGATGAAAATTAATTTTAGTACTGCCCTGAAGAAAACACACATGCACATGTATATACAGATGCTTCATGTATTTCTAAAGAAAAGAGATAGAGTTTATTTCTGGATAACCTATTATTTTTCATTGACTCCTTCATTACGAGAAAATCATACTAACAGTGGTTATGAACACTGATTTCAAAGTTACCTTTGACTTCTCCAATTAAAATTGGTATTTCACAGGGTTTAACAAGGGAAAGGTCTGTATTAGTCTGGGATGCCTGTTGATGTAAGCAGCAGTCTTTTCGCCATTTTCTTGGGAAGAATTTTTATTTTATTTATTTTAATATCTATGTATTAATAGAAAAGTCTATGTATTTGAGGACAAACTGGAAAAAGGAATGAACCTTGTCTTCACCTTGATAAACAAAATTAAGATACTTATGGAAACAGTGCAGCAAAACTATTTACTAGCCCTGTTTTTGTAAATAGAAATGATCTAGTAAGAACCAAAGTGTGATCTCTACTTAGTAGAATGAGAGCCTGGCATGATCAAGGCTAGGCTTCTGTGATAAAATGGCTTCAGACTGTATATATGATAAACACTGAATTCTTCCATTAGGAATTTGATCGTACGTTACAGTCCCTCCTACACTGGGAGTAGTAAATGTGTTCAGCTGGTTCAAAATTGTATCCTAAAAATGTAAAAAACCAGTTTTTCAGTTACAGGAAAATTTTGGCCGACATTATTTTTCAATAATATTTAATTTATAACGTGCTAAAATTTTCTGTGAATTTAAGTTTATTGATGCAATTAAAATTACATGAAATGTAAGCTGTTTTAGGAAAACCACGGTAGATTGGGCATCACTTGTTTAGCAAAATTGGACCATCCCATAATAAATTCAGTTATGCTGATCAATTATGCACCAATTGGCCAGTAAAAACACAAGGCCAGAAAGGTAGCACTATCTTTTAATCTTGTTGTCAAATTTAGCTTTACTTATAATACTGATAATTATAACAATAATAGTTTTCATTTATTAAGCAATTACTGAGTGCCAGACACTGTTCTAGGGATCCTAAACATGCATTAGCTCCAATTTACTCCTCGTAATAACCCTATAAGGATGGCTAATATTATCCTCATTTTATAAATGAGGAAACTGAGGCACAATAGAAGAAAGTCTCAATATATAATTAGACTCAATTACTGAAATAAAATGAAATTCCATGTTAGAGATTTTTTCAACTATAATGTAATTTACTTAATGATTACACAATATCATAAGGAAATATAATGTTTAAGCTCTGATACTCTAAATTGTTCTAACTCTGTGTATTTATACATATAATTTTTATGTATCTGCTTACATCAAGGCAGATGAATGTATTATTTCTTTTTTCTTGATTCTTTTCATATGCTAATTAAAAAAAATCCGATACCAAATATTTAATGAAGTATTATAATTGAAGCATCATTACACAGCTTATTGTTGATATGTAGTTAAGGACAGTAGCCTATTACACCAAGAAGGAAAATGCACTGCAGAGGTGCTGAACAGTTTTTGAAGCTGGGTAATCAAAAACATTCATCATGAGTTGTTTATGTGACTGTGTCCCCTCTTCTACTTCACTGATCAAACCCTACCTTGGTTTTATTCATACTGCAGATGTAGTTAATAGTCGCAATTCATCCATATCATTGTCATTCCCACAAGCACTTTCTGCTAGGGTTTCTTTAGAAGACTTATAGGAAGTAATTCACAATAAAATATTTGAGCTTTTGGGTATTCTTAGACCCAATGCAGTCATTCATTAAAGTCAAACCTGGAGCATCACTCTGCCCCTTTAGGTTGCTCTAATCTCTGCAGGATGCTTCCTGTGTTACACGTTAAATGGTTCAAATGGGCTCAGATGACACCAAAGTCAGCCAGCATGTTGCAGTTACAACCACAAATGACCACATTATTTTACAACAAGCCTTTGAAGTACAATGCAGTGAAAAGCTCATGATCTATTACATGACCTGCTCTGAATTAAATATCACTAACATTCTGGGAGTCATTCTGCCCCAAATTCATTTTGACTATCAATGTCTGCTCTACCCAGTTTGACCTTGACAATAGGAGTTTCAGTTTATAAATGTATCATGTGGAGAGCAGCCCGGTAACAAAGGATAAATGAACTCAGAAGATAATTTTGAGAGTAATGCTGTTTGGAAAGCCTCTTTCAATTTCTTATGGGCCTAGATATGAGGTATACGTGTGGAAATCCCCTTAGGCCACCATTCTATTCAATGATATGGTTCCAACAATTTGAATTATAGGCCTTTCTGAAAAATTACTTGATCAAATACATTTAAGAGAGGAACACTGCTTTGTCAAACCTGGCAGTATCAAGCTATAGATAAAATTACTACAGTGCTTTTATTATCCATGGTAGAAAAAAAAAAAAAAAAAAACTCTCTGTAGGGATCAAAAACTGGATGAGTAAGCATAAAGTGAGGCCATAGCCTACTTTCATTTGTTCCCCTCCACAATGGTTACAAGATGTACTGGAGGTAATTCCAGAAGATATATCAAGGGCTTTAGTTCTTTATCAGAAATAATTTTCATTTTCCAGTCAATGCATATCTTATTTCTTCCACCATTAATTCTACAATGTGGTCTCAATTATATCAGTAAGAAAAGTGGGAAACAACCCATCCCGACCCAAAAATTTTGAATTAATAAAATGTTCTTTATCAAACCATTATACAGATTAATGCACCACAACTTGGATGATTAAAATGACCCTTTGTTATGGGAATCAGCAGCGGAGACCCACAGAATTTAATTGCAAGAAAGTTCAAAGTCATATAGCCCTATACTTTAATCCATTAGTGTTGCTGTGCATTTTGGAGGTTAAAACCTGGCTACAAAAGAGAATCACTTTCTATTACTTACTACCAAACGGCTTTACTTCTAAGGAAAGCTTATTAGTTAAAACTATTTGATGTCATTCTGGCTTGGATCTCAGTGCCTTAAAAACTTTTTTTTAATAGGTAGAACAATTCATAGATTCTACAAGTTGCCTTTGCATTTTAAATTCCATTTCAACTTAAACAGGATGATGACACTTCTGTAGTTCAGCTGAGAACCAATTAAAATAGTAAAGAATATATCAAGATTAATTGATTAGTCAGTTGCAAGTAAAATCATGTTTGGCTTCAAAATGCTTAGAAAAGAGCAGCTGATCATTCTGCATTTTCAGTTAAAGGATTACTATTTTCTGAATATCACAGAATAATGATTTTGTTCCTTCACCATCAAAACAAAACAATTAAATTATAACATATCTAAATTACTTGATGACATTATTGAAATAATGTCTCATTTTACACAGCTCCAATGATCATCTAATCACTAGTGACACAAAAGCATAGGCCTAACCTTGAACTCATCTCCTCGTCTGAACACGATCAAATTTAATTCAGATAAATGAAGCCAGTGATCATAAATCCCGCTTCTAGAGATGACACACGTCTGCCAAAGAAAGCTAACAACCTTTCTGGTCAGATCACAGTCTCCTTTGTGCAGACATAGATATGAAATAAGCATCATCTCTCTGTAATGTAGGTAGGGAATTTATTCTTTTCCTTGCTCTGTTTGTACTAATTTGAGGTAGAAGAAATACCTAGAAATAAAAGATTGTACTACAAGATGTGGCCTATGCTATAAATAATCCCAATAAATTAAAATCTCATATTTGCCAAATGGGGGCGTTACGGTTATTTGCCTTATGAACTGATTGAAAACAGCATCATGTTAAAATAACAAAGGCTCTTCTGTATTTTAAAATGTGAATTCTACTCATTAACTTGCTGTGGTCCTCTGGGGATCTAGCTCAACACTTCTGGATCATATTTTCTTGCCTAAATAGAAGTATGTAGTAATTATGTCTTGTTCTTCATGTTATGCATTACCTTTCAAAAATGTCCTTATACAAGAAGAGTACCAATTATAATGCACCTGCTGTTGCAAGATTTTGGAAATCCACGTTATATATTTAGTATTTGTTGTTTCTTATTCTATATATTCTGCTTTGCTCACAATTTTGTCATTTGTTTTCTCTATAGTTAAATGCATTTTTGACTCTGAAAACCTACAGAATATAGAACAAGGCAAACATCTGATAATCAACAGAATTCTGTGAGAAACTGGTTAAGACCATATCGTAGGTCAAATGAACTCTGCTGCAAATTGCAACTTGGTGTTTGTGACAGCCTCAGCAACTGTTGCACTAATGAAGGGGACCTTGGGATTTATACCAATGGTGATTAAGTCTTTGCTGACAATTCACTTCACCTTCCACACCTCTACATCATGTTTTACAAGGAGCAAGGGGCAAAATGTTAAGGCCAACAAAGATTAGACAGGTTGTAAGCTTTATTGCAGCTTAATGTTTTTTAATTAAAGCCAAAGGATCTTTGTTGGGATCCCCAGGGGTTAGCATGCCCATAGCACTGAACCATCCAACCAGCTAGGTATGGAGAAGCCAGCACCCAGATTAGATCCTGAAAGGCCTCCAAGGGAGGGGGGCGGAAATGCAGCAGATTAAATAACGAATAAAAGACATGGCCAACAATGACACAGTTACCTCATCTAATTCCATTTCATCTGGACTCTCCCATGGCTTGATAAATTTCCCGCGAGATTTCTTCAAAGGCACAATTATTATGTAGTAACCTCTGCACAAGAATGAATAGATAAAAGTTAGGTTAGTTGAAAGGAGGAAAACGTGGATATACCCTTAAACCTTCCACAGACCAATGAGGTTGAAGGCAAATTATGGATATGGGGTGACTTGTCCATTTCTTACATCAATGACAAATATCCACCTGTTTGTTCAATTTTAAAAACAACACGGGAAGACATTTATGTGTGATTGCAGTGATCTTGTATGGTAATATCATCATGGTGGACTGCTCTTTATTAGGTATCATAAACAGAGCAGGCATAGTTTGTTAGGGCCCTGGTGCTGGACACATACAAGGCTAGAATACTGCAATCTACCACCACAAGCTGCTGAACCAAATATTTTCTATGACATGAATTTATAAGAAGATGTTTTTAAAAGGAGGATATAGATGAAAAATTTCACTCTTAGCCCACATAAATACCTAGTAGTGCTGTTGTTTATACAAACCTAAAATGCTTTTTATTTGAATTAAAAATTTTTAAGTAACAAAAATTAGGTATAATTGCACAGAGTAAGATATTAAAAATTCCCTTCTTTTTCTACCCATCAAATTGCAAATCTCGAGGTAAGTACCGCAGAAAATTGGAGAAAATCACGACTTAAGGGCCTTCAAAACAGCTATCACTATAATGACATCTATACGAAAAGACAAAAGTAACTGAATACTTACACTGAGAACAGTCAACTAAAATTTAAGGAATGTATAAAGGCACCCATCCACAAATAGGTATGGGTTATTTGTAAAGCTGTTTTGTCACTTCAGTCTAGTATATACTCTGCTTTCATATTCCTGTTTAGGGATTCTGCTCATACTGATCTTTAGTAGTAACTATACAAGGACTTTGAACATACTGTTTAATAATAACATATTAATCACTTCCTACTTCTCAGGTATTATAGTAAATGCATAATCTGGTTTTGTCCTCCTACAGAGAAATTCTCTGAGCAAAGCCTAGGTATAGCCTATAAGGCTACAAGGACTGGTCACAGGCAAAAAGACAGATCTGTAGAGATTAAATAATTGCCAAATTAAAACAGATAGTAATGGGACGCAAAGCTACATTTATCTTAATGGTGGCAGTGGTCTGTCTCTTTTTCTTATTTACTCTATGTGTCATAAAGTATTTTCTAAGGACTCCATACACTTCGTGGAGATTTACTGTGAAAATGAAAACACACACACACGGACCTAAACATACCCCCATACCTTTAAAAGAGGAGGCCACCACACAGGACAAAGAAACAAGAGGAAGGACACTCCCAACCCTGTGTCACACTGAATCACAGAGACCAATCACAGAGACCACAGAGGCCAGCAAGGCCTCTTTCTATTCATCTCAAAGCAAAACCTGTAATAAACTCAGTAAACTCTCTGTGATTAAGAACTCTGTTTCCATTAAGAGTCTAGAGCAGAGCTGTTCAGCATGGTATCCACTAGCCCCTGGGGGCCATCGGGCACTGCCAATGTCACTAGCCCAAACTGGGACGCACTGTAAATGTAAAAGACATATTGCATTTCAAAGACTTAGCATTAAAAAGAGTGTGAAATATCTCAGTAATAATTTTTAAAATAATGATACATTATAAAATAATCTGGATGTATTAGGTTAAATAAAATAAATTATTAAAATTAATTTCACCTGCTTTTTATTTTTTCACTGTTGCTACTAGAAAACTTAAAATGTCACATGTGACTTTCATTATATTTGCTGGACGGCACTGCTCTAGAGCATTCTGGTGAAGAATATGGCACTTGGAGATATGTCTGGCTGGGAGTTTGGGCTGATCTTTGGCTTAGACCCCAGAATCTGTTATATATTCTGAAATACGTGAGTAAAAAATACCAGGCTGTGATATGGGGGGAAATAAACCAGAGGTGCTCAGCACAGTGTGTGTGGCATGTAGCAGTAAACAGATACCAGCTGCTACTGGCTAGTATGAACATCACAGGCCGGAGAGACGCATCTGAACTATCTTATTCAGTAAGACTGCATGAAATTCCGTGAGCTGCAGGTTAAAGAGCTTGTCAAACTTCTTTTCCCCTAATGGAGAATTCAACTCAAACCAGACAACTATACCACAATGCTTTCTCCATGGTGCCCTGAGCAACTAATCAACAGATACACAGGATTACACCAGCTAGCCATTCATTTTCTTTACTACAAACAATCATAATGATCAAGGAGGATGAGGAGAAGGCAGAGGCTTCTCTGCGTATGACAGAGACCAATATCTTTTATGTTATGATCCAGAGTAAGCTTCCCCCTCTCCTGTCCTCCCACCATCTGAAGGATTTACCGAACAAGTCCATCATGTTAAATGAGCATGGAGGAGAATGACAGAGGCTGCAACTGAGCGTACAAAATCACACTGCAGATGTGCTTGATAAACACACTTGTCAAGGAACCTCTTGCTTTTCACTACCAACTTCTCAAAGTCAGAAGAGCGCTACACATAAAGCAATGATACTGCATATTATCAGAGTGCTACCATTGTCCTCCTTCAGAATCTTGTAAATCAAGGTTAAGCTGATGAGTTTCATTAATTTTTTCTTCTGCTTTCATACTTTGAGTTGCCATTCTTGTACATGAAAAAAAAAATCCATTCTTTCTTCGGCAGCACTCCCCCACTATTCATTTTACTTGTGGCTGGGATAAGAATTGAACAGCCTCCCCCACGGCAATTAATTAACGGTGCGGCAAGATATCCACAACCTTTTTTCTCCGCTGATCTCTAAAGCATTCATCTAGGGCAGTCAAAGTGAAGCTTGCTTCAAAGCAGCTCTTGCACATTGAAAGAAATAGGGCAGTGGCAATTTGAAATTCTGTATCATACAAAGCCTCACCTCAGTCTAAATCCACACATTTCAACTGTGCTCTCTGCAACTATAGCTTTGTAAATATCAACTTCCTTGCCTTACCCGCAACCTGTCTCTCCCCTGAGGGTACTGCTTCCTTTGCAGCCTTCTCATATGGCAGCTGTGGATCTATCCCTCCTCCCCTGCCCATGAACCTCAGAGTCAGGGTTTGGGGTTTCTTTCCTGGCTTCCCATCGCTTCCTGCAGGTATTTTTCTTCCACTCTCTTGCTTTTGTAGTAACAAACCCCTTCTTTTTTGAAGTTCATGCAATCCAGCTACATTATGATCTTCTCTGGCTGATTTTTGCCATCTAGTACCTCCCCCAGCATCTCCTTTCTCTCAGGGAAGATTCTTTTGCGGGGTTCATGGCCTTCTTTTTTCTCCAAACTCTGTCATCATCCTGGGTGATTTCAACCTTCATAGGTCGGGCCCACGTACCACTGAAGCTCTCAGATTCTTCAATTCTCCCTTTCCAAAGCCCGTCTCCTCCACTCTACCTTAGCTGAAATCTACGCTTGCCATTCTCTGTGCCAGAATCCAGGGAGCTGAACACAGCTTGAGAAATAAAGCACAGGGCAGAATAATGCCATAAATTCATAATCAGCAACCCCAGTTAGGCCTTCAACACGGCCTGGCAATCTTACCACTATCTAGTTTCCTAATAACTGCTCCAATTGCCTAGTCCTTCCATTTTCCACAGTAACATTTTCACTTTCTCCTCTAGCCTGAAACCCTGGACGTTCAAACCACCCCACTAGAAGATGGCCTCATCTCTTATATAAAGAGAAAATGCAAAGATTCAGACAAGAATTCCCTCATCATCTGTCTACCAAAGTACAAGTCTATCTAGATCTGTAAACAAACCACACATTTTCTTTTGGTAAAGTAGAAGGGCTGGCCCTACTTTTGAAGGCCATTAACTATTTCTTGAATTGTTTTCAATCTTCTCACTTTCTTAGGAAGTTTACCATACATTGTACTCCTTCTCTCTCATATATCTCAACTTCTCCTTCCCCATTTGATCCCATCACTTAGGTTTCAACCATGTACAAATATGTGTCATATAGAGAACAAAACAAACCACATCCCACTCTAGTCACCTCTCTTTCTCCCACTCCTGACTGCCAAAATTCTGCAAATAGCTGTGTGTTCCTGCTGCTCCCACTGCCTCCCTTTCCCTTCACTTCCCAGCTGACTAGGCTTTAGCGCCTGCCTCCTCACTCCACCTCACTGCCATTGCCAGGGTGCTCAGTGATCTCCAGGGCATTACATCAAAAGGGGAGTTTCTGGTACTCTTCTGTCCTTCTTGCCCTCTTAGCAGACCTTTTAAGATGTTAACACTCTCCATGAAACATTCTGAGCCCTTTCTCTGTGATATTCTTCTGTTATTTCTATGTATATCTCCTTCCACACTAACCTTATTTCCTTAGCAGAATTTATCATCTGCGGCCCAGCTACAATGGTGACACTCCTCAAGGCTCTGGCCAAGAACTTCTATCCAGACCCTATTTTCATCCTAGATCTCATTCCACCTCAGGGCATCAGTTCTTAGCTATATGCAAATGATTTCCAGACTCATATCTTTAGCCAAGAATGTTCTTCTGAATTCCACTGGTTTATCTGACTTTAAGTTACAAAAGTACCCCCAATTTACTGTGGTTAAAATAAAAGAAATAATATGCCTTTCAAAATAAACCCTCCCTAACATTGCACTACAATCCATTTCAGTGCACAAGCCAGAAACCTAGGTGTTATCATTGACAATCTGCCTTTATTCTCTCCCTCTGTCATACTTAATCTATTGCTAAGTTCTATCACTTCCAAACCCTATCTCCAGTGCACGTGCTTTTCTCCATCTCTACTGCCACTCTTCTGGCCTCATTCCATGTCTTATGCCCAGACTGTGACCTTACTCTCTCAACTCTCTCTATTGACTTTAGCCCCGTCTAGTGCAGTCTCTGAAATTTTCAATTCACAATACAAAATTTGTTCTGCCATTTCCACTTTTTAAAACATTTCAATGGATCCTCATTTCTCTTAGGATAAAGACTGAAAGGTATCAGAAGGCCAGCAGGATCTTGCCTGAATCCCTCTGACTGTGCCCTCTCAGCTACAGCTTGATAGGCTTTCAGTTTCTTGCATTTACCCTAGTCCAGTGGTTCCGAGCCTTTTTGGCACCAAGGACTGATTTTATGGAAGAAAATTTTTCCACGGACAGGGTGGGGATTGGGGGGATGGTTTTGAGATGAAACTGTTCCACCTCAGATCATCAGGCATTAGATTCTCATAAAGAGCCGGCAACCTAAATCCCTCACATGTGCAGTTCACAATAGGGTTCATGTTCCTGAGAGATTCTAATGCCACCACTGATCTGACAGGAGGCGGAGCTCGCTCCAGTGGTAATGCTCCCTCCCCACTGCTTACCTCCTGCTGTGTGGTCGGGTTCCTAACAAGGTTAGGAATTGGCACCCATTCATGGCCCAGGGGTTGGAGATCTCTGACAGTCCATTCTGTCATTAAACTATCGATCATTCTGTTCCACCTGCCTAGAACTTTCTGTCACTCCCACCTAGTTAACTATTCTCTCTCCTTAAATATCTACTAACTGATTATTTTCTAAGTGAAATCTTCTCTGATTTTTTTTAAACCTATTACCCCCATTATATGGTCTCTATGAACCATTTTTAATCTATACATTTTCTTATACAACAAATTTATATATTTATAAAAACATTACTAAAGCAGACATACATATAATACCCCCAACATTTGCTTAACTTTGCTATTTTATCATGGAATTATTCTTCCACTGTAAAGAAAGTGGGTACAAGAGGTGGCTCTTAGGAATTAATGCCTCTCCTAAGTCAGGCAGTCAAAAATATTTGGCGGTTCTTCTCCATCAGAATTTTCAACTCTCAGTCTCATCAAGCTTTTTCTCCTTTCTTCAAACCAGCAATGGCATGCCCAAATAGAGTTTCTAGAAAATATAACTCCTTATTGCAAACGTTCTTTTCTTTACTGGCCTACTCGTGACCCTTGTTCTAATCTCACAGGACATTAAGAAAGATAAGATGATTCATATTGGAGGAGTGAAATGGGCAGCTAATATGTGCCCTACAAATTCATATCAACCAAATCATATGAGCTGAAAGAACTTGCTTGAAATGAAAAAAAAAAAAATAAATTGCTTTTGGAGCTAGCTTTATATATGGGTAAAATTAAACTCAATATTCTGCTTTGCCCGTCTGCCTCAAGCCTGGAGTTTAGACTCAAAACAGCTTTTCAACATAGACTTTAACTATTAAAGTAATAGAAAAATAAATAACTTCAGAATCAATATATCTGGAAAGCCCTTGACTACTTATAAAGTAAGCTGTGTTTTCCCAGTATATTAGATTTAATTAGATAAGTTAAATCTAACCTTCAGAGTTTTAATTATATTAAGTAAAGTTTTACTGATTTCATTTAATATGTTATCATCAAGGGGCCCAGTTCCCCATAATTATATGAGAAGGCAAGCTCTGGTTTTTGTGGCAGTCCCACTTCAAATTCAGTCAGGCTTTTTGTGTTAGTGTGTATTAGCATTCTCAAACATGTTATTTAACTGGGAGGTGAAAAGTCCGTCTAGGAGTTTAATGATGAATGTCATTCCTTGCGTAAGCCTCCTGGCTTTACCGCTCCTTAAATTCTCATGGCAACCCACTGACTTTATTGCTTCATGACACTAAACACACACTTCTGTGATCTGTACCCAAGCACATATGCCTGGTCACTCTTAGTTCTAAGGTTTGTCTGGGGCAGTCCTGTTTATGTCTACTTCTTTTGGAGTTTTAATCAGTTATCAATTGACCTAGGAAAAAAAAAAATTCTATTTTGACCAATAAACTTATGGGCACAGAGGCAGGGCTGTGGTTCAGAACATAGGCTCTGGAGCCAGACTGCCTGGATTCAAGCCTTTCCTCTCTGGTTTTGTATTGCCAGCTGGGGCAAGTCACTGTATGTTGTGTGTTCCTCAGCTATAAAATAAGGAGCACCATTCCTGTGAGGATTACATCAGTTAATGTGTGTAACATCCTTTGCAAAGCACCTAGTATGCCCTCTGTTCGTATTAACCATTACTAGTATTAGCTGTATGATCTTGGCCAGGACACTTAGTACCATTGGTCCTCATTTTACTCATATGTAAATTAGAGGAAGAATACCTACCTCACAGGGTTATTGTGAGTCTTAAATGAAACCTAATATCCTCAGTAAATTGCAAAGTACTATACAAATTTAAGCCTTTGTGAGTTAAAGTAATTTAACTCACAAACACATGATTAATTACTCTTCATTAGGCTGCTAATAGTGGAACACAAATCTTATGAAGCAACACTGTAAGCCATGCTTCCACAAAAATCTTCTTGTTTAAAAGAAAAAGTTGAGAACAAATTAGTAAGACCAAAGAAATTGAAAATTTCATAGAATACCCTTATTCTTTATTTCAATTTTTTATAAACATAAAACGGTTGTTATAAAATTAATTTACATTGAGTACCTTCTGGTAGTTTTTTCTCCTAGTATAATCTGTGTTGTGCATTTTTTAAATACCCAGAGTAAAATTCTGCTCTATAAAGTCACAGAAGTTCCCTATGTCATTACAACTTGCTTCTGAACAACAGTAGCACTGCTAGATCTGACTGGCATTCTGCTCCCCAAATCTACTTAAATAGTAGGTTTAAGCACCACAGAATTCCTGATACCAGAACTTGCAGTATCCTTAAGGCTGTTACAAAAGAAATTTAGCCTTTCTGTGAGGGAACTCTCCTGATGTGGCACACAAAAAATACAACAACCAAGTATGAAAGTAAAGAGATATTAAATTAATTAGAAATCATTAGACACTTTTTCGGTGTTGAGGAGTTAAGGAGTAGGGGCCAAGACCTCCTCATTAACTTGGCCAGAAATGACAGCATGGTTTCTGTTGGTCAAGAAAACAGGTGTCAATCACCAAAACTGCATTTTGCTTGAAAACAAATAGGAAGCATTTTTCTGGATAGCTTTCATCTAAATAAAAGTTAGCAACCTGCCCACCGTTCTGGAATGAGTTCTGTTTCTTCCTCACATTTTTTCTAATAGAATACTGAATAAAAAGCTACAACCTTTCCTAATTTCTAAACTTGCCAACCACGGCAAGTGACACAGCATGGCACGGAGCTTCTTGTAATACCTGACCGTGTTACATTAACCAGTCTAGAAAACAGGAGTAGTAACCTTACACTATTATCCCTTTAAGAATTCCAATAAATAGAAATCATCTAAGGCTTTTCACTACAAGATTTGCTTTTCATTTTCCATTTCTTTGATACTTTTCTCACTCAAGTACTTTCCTGATTTAGTCTTTCACTCATTTCTTCCCCAAAGTGGCTGTAATATATTTCTGAGAATCTTTTATTCATTCCTAGAAAACAAAAAATGTCCAAAATAGTTTGCTTTCTTTTTCTGCTTTGTAATGGTCTCATTTCTGTGATGTCAAAGTTTTATACCTTTTCCCTGACTCCCTTTTCAAATATAGAAGCGGAAAGTGCATAAATAAAACAAAAAAAATTGAACAAGCTAAAAATAAAAACTGACAAAGGTAGAAAACATTCTGCAATATTCTCAACTCCTTCAGAAATTGGAAAATGAAACTAAAGTTTACCACCAATGGACTAAAAGTGCCAATTTCCAATAATAGCTAACACATTCTAGCAACACAATTTGGTGAACAGCCTCTAAAAGGTCATTTTTATATAAATAAAAGAAAGTATTGAAAACTAAATTAATAGTAAATGCTGAAGAATATACTATACTATTTTCCTCTTTCAACTGCTCTTTTCCTGAAGAGACATGCATGTTTTTTTAATGGAATGAATTTATAGTCTATCATTTCCCTGTTCCTTCATTATTTGTAACTTTTTCACCTTTCTTAAATCTTTCTCACACTATCAGACTCAGATTAGATATGATCTCCTTCAGGAGGCCTCCCCTGACACCCAAATTGGGCTAAAACTTGATATTTATGTTTTCACAATACCTGGCAGTACTCACCCCATTATATTCACATTATCTATTTTCTGAATCTATTCTCTTACTATAAGGTAGGACTTAATCTCAGTCATCTTTCTATTCCCAGAAATAGTCCTGACAAAACAGTGTGTATAGAATATATATTTGTTGGATGCCAGCAGGAAAGTCTTAAGAGGTAGACAAGTACAACGTGGCCAAACAACAATTGCTAGTCTTTCTCTTGCCTCTACACCATCAGAGACGCTCTATCCTCTGAGTGAACGGCTGTCTCTCCACTCCCACTCCCATGGCCCAGCTAACTTCCTGTCACTTTTTAAGCCTCAGCTTAAAAAGCCTCATTTGTCACTTTCTCTAGGACTGCTGAACTAATAAGCCGGAGTTAGGAGCCTCGTCTACAGCCTCCCTTATCTATCTAATTTTCTCTACTATAGGACTCTGCTTCAGTGAACTCTTTGCTTGTCCAAATTGCCCAATTAACTATGCTGTATGAGAACAATGAGAAAGGACACACTGTCGCTACTGAATCCCTGAAACATTAACGTTGACTATTAGGGTATGTGATCAAGAAATAACTGATATGTCTATGGCCTTGATGGTTTTATAGGTAAATACGTATCCCCAAACTCATTGAGTTGTATACATTAAATCTGCACAGTTTCTTACATATCAATTATATTTCAATAAAGTGGTTTTAAAAATTCATAAATATCCTTTATCTGTCAAGATCAATTAATAAACATTCAGAATGAATACACAAATCAAGGAATATAATCCCGCTGTCATACTGAAATTGCTTGGGATAAAAATTACACAAATACTCCATTCTCATTTTCAGATTTCTAGATAATAGAAGAAGGGCCGGGCGCCGTGGCTCACGCCTGTAACCCCAGCACTTTGGGAGGCTGAGGGGTTGGATCACGAGGTCAGGAGATCGAGACCAACCTGGCTAACATGGTGAAATCCCATTTCTACTAAAAATACAAAAAGATTAGCCAGGCGTGGTGGTGGGCTCCTGTAGTCACAGCCGCTCGAGAGGCTGAGGCAGGAGAATGACCTGAACCCAGAAGGCGGAGCTTGCAGTGAGCAGAGATGGCGCCACTGCACGCCGGCCTGGGCAACAGAGTTAGACTCCGTCTCAAAAAAAAAAAAAAAAAAAAAAAAAAATAAGAGTAGACAAATGTGAAGACTTTATTTTACACTGAATTTATTTTGGGAATAATGTTTTAGAAATTCTTTTCACTGAATTTATTTTAGTAATAATCTTTCAGAAATTCTTTTCACTGATTTTAGTAATAATCTTTTTGAAATTCTGTCACCTAGTTGAAATTCATCAATTATTTTATCAAATAAACAATAATTGAAAGTGTACCCAGGAAAGGTTGTTTTAGGATGTGTATCAGGTCTGAATTTATTAATTATACCTAAATTACACAAATTATACTATTTTAAAACTTCTTATTTCTGATTTTGTTTTTTAATACCTGATTTTCTCAGCCATCTGCTTTAAGTTTTCTGGAGTTTGGGGAGTTTTTGACCACTTTTTGAATTTTTCTCCTTCTAGAAAATCCCTTTGCCATGCTGCTCTGGCTCAGTTCTCCTGTTAGATTTCTAATAATCCCTCTCTGTGTCCTCTACTGGCTCTCTTCTTCCTATTAACGGAGACCTTTATTTTAGTCTTTTGCTTCACATTTTCCCCTCATTGCTTCAATGATTCTGTCTTCTTCCACGAAACCATTGCTATTTTGTTAACAACTCCTAAATGCATATCTATAATCTGTTTTGTTTTGTTTTGTTTTTTGAGACGGAGTATACCTCTGTTGCTCAGGCTGAAGTGCAGTGGCACAATCTTGACTCACTGTAATCTCCACCTCCCAGGTTCAAGCGATTCTCCCGCCTCAGTCTCCTGAGTAGCTGGGATTACAGGCATGCGCCACCATGCCCGGCTAATTGTTGTATTTTCAGTAGAGACGGGGTTTTGCCATTTTGGTCAGTCTGGTCTCGAACTCCTGACCTTGTGATCTGCCCGCCTCGGCCTCCCAAAGTGCTGGGATTACAGGCATGAGCCACCATGCCTGGCCATCTTTAATCTTAATAACTTCTCTAAGCCCACACTTCTAACTAGGTATTTCACTGATATTTCATATTAATACACACAACGTTAAACTCATTTACTTCTGAATTTTTTTATCCTTTAGGATGACACCATCATTCATTGTCATCCAAGCTCAGAACTCAGAGCCATATTTTACTCTCTTGATCTCATCATTAAAGCAGCTACCAATAATGTATGCTGTACTACTACTCTAGTGTAACTCATGTCTACCTCTGCATCCTACTTCCATCATCATCATCTTCCTTTAGAATCTTGTTATTTGCCTAGAGTCAACTATGTGACCACCTCCCAATAATTTTCTCTACCACTATCTCTATGGCGCTCCCATCTATCCAAATTCCAACAATGCATGAACTATGAATAAATGCCTCTCTGCTTGACCTTCAAACCTGGCATAGCAAGTTTCACCTAAACTTGAGGGTGTGAGATAGAAGAAATGAGAAAGGATTTATTCTTATTCCAAACAGGTAGCACAATAGATGCTCAACAAATATTTCCTAAAATGGAATTTTATTATGTATTATTGAAATGTTATCATGCCACTCTCCTGTGTAAAGAGCTGTAATGGGTTGCCATTGTCTAGAGGATATAGTTTTCACTTCTGGGTATACCCTTGGCTCTTGTATGCCTCCTTCTTCCTTCTCTTGCCACTTGTGGCCAGGCGCTCTGGGATCCAGCCGTATGGCACCACTGGGTGCCTTTAGTAATGGGCCTATGCACTTACCACTCCCTTTGCATATAGTCTCTCTTTTATTATTTGTATGCCTCCTATTTATCCCTTAAGATTTAAGTTCAGAAACTTTATTGACCCATTCTGAATTAGCTGCTCTTAAGATAAAGCATAATTCTATCATTAACGCTTACTACATCTGTCTGTTTCTCTGTATCTCTCTCACTCTATGGTAAGGTCTTTGAAGTCAGGAATCCATCTTTTTTTATTCCCCGGAGTCTACCACAGTACTTGTAGTTCATATATTTTGGTGAAAATACTTTTTTCTTCTATTAGTTATTCAACCAACTAGCTATATGTCCTTGGACAAACTTATTTAATTGACTGGATTTAATTTTCCACTTCAGGCCTGTTGGCCTCTATGCTGTGCTACATTCAAACCAGAAAACTTGAATTTTCTAATGTTTATATTTTTTCCAATGTCATTTTTAACTTTAACTTTTTGGAATTTTTCCTACTTTTAATACATCAGTGTCATATACCATTATCTAATTTCCCCCCCTTTTTTTCAACCTTTTAGTACTTTGTAAGACTTCTTCATAATTACAAAAATATTTTGCCAAATATTAGAGTTAATCACCTATTCACCTTATTCCATAAACTATGACATAAAATGCTTTGTAGTAGCCGGGCGCGGTGGCTCATGCCTATAATCCTAGCACTTTGGGAGGCTGAGGTAGGTGGATCACAAGGTCAGGAGATTGAGACCATCCAGGCTAACACGGTGAAACCCGGTCTCTACTAAAAATACAAAAAATTAGCCAGACATGGCGACAGGTGCCTGTAATCCCAGCTACTCAGGAGGCTGAGGCAATCCCAGCTACTTGTGACGCTGAGGCAAGGGAATCTCTTGAACCCGGGAGGTGGAGGTTGCAGTGAGCCGAGATCGCGCCACTGCACTCCAGCCTGGGTGACAGGGCGAGACTCCGTCTCAAAACAAAAACAAAAACAAAAACAAAAACAAACAAACAAACAAACAAACAAAAAGCTTTGTAGTAAGAACCATGTTCTATATGTTTTTCTGTTTCTCCTAAATAACACTGTCCCTGCAATACAGATTAAAAACTCACTGTTAAATTAATGAAAATCTGTGTTACAATGAATACTAGGACACGTTGTAAAAGAACTCGGATAGCAAAACTGGGAGTCTGAGCAGAAGAATCTTTCACTACATTAAGCAGTATCTTCTTTTACGACCTCTATAATTTTGAGATATAATGTTCCTATTTACCTATAATTCTTTCCTTCAGCCCTAAGCCTTCAATCAACTTACTTTATATTCTCATTTGCAGGTACTTCAGGCAGTTGCACAGTAATCATGCCATCCAAGTTGGTCTTCCCAATGAAGGCAGGCTTGGTACGTAATACATCTGGTGCAGTCTTTGCCGTGACCCTGTGCTGCAGCCCACCAGCACTGTTTCCACGATTTGTCAGCACAAATGAATATGATTTCTCAGGCTTCAGGTTGACAATTAACTTCTGTGTGGCTCGGCCATCCACTTCTTCTACCATTTTCCCATCATCATAAAGAATCTAAAGAGATAAAACCAATAAAAAAAAAATCTGGTTATCAGAGAGGCAAAATATATTTTCTAAACCAATGTGCACTAGCTTTTGGAAAATGTATATATAGTCAATTCTAATTTTAGGTGATTTCTAAGTCCATGAGTAGTCATAATTCTGGAGATCACATCAATTTTCCTGTCATTTCCTACTGTGTAATGATAAAATGTTTCCAAGTCTATCAAAAATACACAAAGATAGATATATACATATATATATATAGAAAATAACTTATCAATATTAGACCTGTCAGTTGTATGTGATCTTAATGGAATATGTGCAGAAAAGCTCTACGTTTCAACGTATTATGAATATTGCCTATTTTCTAAAGGTTTTGGTTCCTCTTTCTAAATATACTTTTACTTTCAAAAATGTTTCTCTATTTCTTATTTCATAAATATGTACTTGCTAACATCTCTTAATGGCAAGCCAGAGTTTAAAATGTGCCAAGAATACAGGCCAACAAACAAATTCAGAAACTCCCAGGGTATTATAATATAAATAGGTAGAAACCATGTAAATTTCATTCTCTGGCTGAAAAACAAAAGCACTAGCTTAGATGTAAAAAGTTCAAGTTCAAAGTAGTAGGTAACCTACAAGTGATGCCAGCCCTGGATTTAAGCTCCTGCTCCTTCTTCAGAGTGTAAAGGACACACTTACAAAGCACCAAACTGTCTCCCATGTGAAAGTCACAAATGAAAATAGCAAGGACACGTGGCCAAAACAAAGTGGTCTGCTTGCTGTGCAAATAACTTACCCAGATAAACTGTCCCCTCTACTTTTATCTGTGATTTCTTACAAATTAGAAAACAACTTACTTTGAAAGGCATGGCGGAGTTATAATTCTCTGGAATCTCCCAAGACAGCAACACGGAAGTCTTCATTACTGCTTTGACATGAAAATTTTTTGCAAACACTGCTGGAAAAGGAAAAACAGTGTATTTAAACTATTCTTAAAACAGATGACCTGTCCTTTCCACCATGGACCATAGGGGCTTATGCTAGATGCTGTCTACTTTGATCAGAGAGAGAAGTATGATTTTCCTACCTGTTTAGAGCATTCATTTTAATACCCCATTCTCACAGAGATCTTTCCTTTCTCTCCAATTCAGCCAACTCTATTGTGTTTTCCTTACCTGAGGACATTGGGGTGCTGTCAGCCAGACTTGCTTGACATTCTATAACTGAAATCTAAGGCATCCAAGACGTAGTAAGTTTTACATACTTTACCTTTTTGTTTTTGCTGAACCTATTAATATGAATGGGCTGATCAGTTATTATAGCTTCAAAATACTGATTTCCAAAGACTGACAATCCTTTAAAGGAGGAAGGCCGTAAGCAGACAAATCCTACCTTGATCCACAGGCAGTGTCCTGAACTGGACACTGGGACTATATGGCCCGGGCCCTTTGCTCGTATGAGCACGTACTTTTACATCGTATGTGGTATCTGGTTTTAAGCCAGTGAGTGTCATAGTGGTGTCAGCTGGAACAATAAGCTGCTCCATCGGGAGAAGGGGGATGTTGATATCCCTATAAAGAAGGGTATACTTGGTGATAATGCCATTTCTCTCTGCCAGGACAGGTGGTTGCCAAGATAACTGGACGGAGGTTGAAGTGGTGCCTTCTGAGTGAAGGTTTTGAGGGAATCCAGTTGGTACTTCTTCTGGAATGGAAATCTCCTTCACCATCTCCTCCCCAAAGCCCACTTTGTTTCTGGCTGAGAGCCTGAAGACGTATGATGCTCCCTTGTGGATGTCTGTAGCTGTAAAGTGATCTTCTTTTTCAGAGAACTCAAGAGTAGTAAGTGGCTCCATATCCTTGCGGCCAAATTTTAGACGGTAGCCCTGAAGAGGTCCAAATGTGTCCACCGGAGGGTGCCACTGAATAAGAGCAGTATTCATCTGAGTGTGGTTAATCACAAGCCGAGGTTTCCCTGGAACTGGAGCACATGGGATGGAGTGGTAAGACCAACCAATCTGAACGTTCACATTTCAGTCATTGCCAAATGAGGGAGTTCCACTCTACTGGTATTCCCATTTTCTTACTTACCAAAACAAAACAAAACAGGCAATGTTTGACCTACATACCTTTGTGGAAATATGCTCCTTGTCTTACTTTATTAAAGTAGGCTGAGATACTAGAATTTGATAATGGACACAAAACAGAAATTATCATTGAAACAACAGCTTAAGGGGATTTTTTTGACACCTGCACGTTTTAAACCTTCACACATAAAGGTTCATATCAAAGATAAATTAATTTGAGCAAAGATCAGCCAATTAGATATGGCTAATAAGAATAACTATAATGATTATTTATTCGTTGAATATGTGCAATGTACCGGCGTCACGCTAAGTGCATTGCATATAGTATTCACAATTGGTTTACATTCCTGACTCCTCACTACATTCTCGGATTAGTTATTATTATCTCTATCTTCTATAATGAGAAAATGAGGCCCAGAGAGGTAGAAAACTTTCCAAGGCTAGCATGTAACAAGTGAGAAATCTATAAGGCAAACCCACCTCTGTCTGGAGTCGACTGCTTAAATGCTTAATTGTGCTGCTATGTTGCTTAAAAGTTTAAAAAAAAACCAAACTACAAAATAATATCGTATTGACTTACTATGAATTTAATTTGCACTTTCTAACTTTACTATCCACATCATTCATCAAGTTCTTCATCTGTAAAATGGGAATTATATTAAGAGCTATTTTATATTGTTCTTATGAATAATAAATGAGGAAATTCATGTAAAAGTCTTAGCATGAGGTTCTGCATTCTATCAATATTAACCATAATTATTAATAATCTGAATATTAAACTTCTTATGGTGAAAGGCTAGCTTCCAATGAATACATAATTTATTTACCTTTAAGTTAGATATGTGAAAAGGTCTAATCTACTCATTCAATGTATTATTATGTCTGTATTTATTTTTAATGGAGAGCAATTATTATTGGAATCCACAGTGAAAGACATTGAGGGATGATCATCAGAATAAAAACTAAACCAAGTTAACAGAAAGAAGAAGAAAGGCCAAGTATGGTGGCTCATGTCTATAATCCCAGCACTTTGGGAGCTGAGGTGGGAGGACTGCTTGAGCCCAAGAGTTCAAAACCAGCGGCTGGGTGTGGTGGCTCACACCAGTAATCCCAGCACTTTGGGAAGCAGTGGATCACCTGAGGTTGGGAGTTTGAGACCAGCCTGACCAACATGGAGAAACCCTGTCTCTACAAAAAACACAAAAATAGCCAGGTGTGGTGGTGCATGCCTGTAATCCCAGCTACTCGGGAGGCTGAGGCAGGAGCATCACTTGAACCCGGGAGGCAGAGGTTGCAGTGAGCCGAGATCATGCCACTGCACTCCAGCCTGGGCAACAAGAGCAAATTCCGTCTCAAAAACAAACAAACAAACAAACAAACAAACAGCTTGGCAACATAGCAAGACCTTATCTCTACGGGGGGAGGGGGGAAGGCATGGTGTCACATGTCTGTAGTCTTAGCCACTCAGGGGGCTGAGGTGGGAGAATTGCTTGAGCCAAAGAGTTTGAGGCTGCAGTGAGCTATGATCACACCATTGCTGTCCAGCCTGAGTGACAGTGAAACTGTGCCTCAAAATTATGAATGTGAAGAAAAAGAAAGATGGTAGGAAAGGAGGAAAGCTTACAGTAATGGGAAACAGGTGATAAAAAATCATACCATGGGGATATAGATGAAGGTAAAAAAATCACTAAAAAGATTATGAGACAATACATAGAATATTAACCTCAGAGATGGACTGATTAGCCTCTTCATTTTGTATTTCAGAAAGTGAAACCCAAGTGGAGATGTGCTCTGCTCTAAGAAATATCATTAAGATATTTATTTCCTTAACCAATGGAGCAACAGTTTTGTTTCACATGCTGGGAAGATTCATCACATGCTGATATAACTCAGCTAATCTACAATGTATGAAAACAATAGTTTCTAAAGTTTTTAGATAAATAATTATTCAACAACATGTGTGCTGTGTTATACATATAAAACATGTGTGTTGTGTTGTATATATAAAACATGTGTGTTGTGTTGTATATATAAAACATGTGTGTTGAAGGTAGGCCCAGGAACCACATCATTGTGTACTCATTGTGTTCCTCAGGAAAAATGCATCCAGAGATCTTAACGACCAACACACACTCTCAGAACACCACCCATCCATAAGTTGGAAACTGTGTGAACTATTCCACTTGCTTTTAATATATTTACAATTATCTTAATTTTAAAATAGTACTTTAATGTAGGGACATTGGCAGACATCTTTAATTCCCCTTTATGTGTATAGAGCATTTACATGATTTGTCCAAATGTCAGTGATGGTGTCAAGGATTAAACACCTGAGTCTCTGCTGAGAAAAATCCATGGTGAAATAGAGCTTTCAACAGAGAATACAGCCTTCAATATATGAAACTCCGTTGAAACGAGTGGGTGGAAACACAACTATTAATTCTCAATATTCTCCAGAGGCAACAGATTAAACATATTTATTAAAATTTTTTGAAATTCTAGTTCCAACGAACTGCATAATAATATATACACCGTGTATCCTGTTTCCGTGAGATGCACGTAAAGCTAGGATAAATAAAAATAATTTTTTGATCTAAACCACAAATAGAGACTGCATTCTAATATTTGTCATTTATGAGCATGTTCTTAGTAACTGATGTTTCACTTTATAATATTGCTATGGTACACATTTGGATAAATCTAATGGGCTGGCAAAGTCTAGGAAAAAACCCACTGACTTTGTAGATGTATACATTTACTCTTCTGTGGGAGTTAAAGCTTAGGATGGAGTAATCTCTTTTGTTTTTGATGTTGGCATGACCTTTCTTATCCTGGGACAGAAAGGCTTGTTGGCTAGGAATCACGAGATCAAAGTAATGATATAGAAATAAGAGCATTAGCTCTGACCTACTGGCTTCCCCTGCTGTACAGGAGGATCTCAGTCTGCTCTCTATTGCCAAACCCACAACAGTCATTCCTTCCCTGGGCAGAAGTTTTACTAAGCCTGAAAACTATGAGACAACCAGCCTGGAAGTGCCACAAAGCATAAAGGAAGGACTCAGTAAAGAAATGAATGCTTATGCAGCTTGGGGAAGAACACCCAATATCACCTCAGGAGAGGCTGGCCACATGAAGGGTCACACGAAGCGATGCCTAAAATTTCCATAAGCATGTGAATAATAGAAACAGTAAATGCAGTTTAAACAGGCTGGAGTAAGGGTTTGGGACAGTTGTGGTATTTTATCCAGGGAATCAGGATAGGATAAAAAAGGGAAAAGGAATGAGGAGAGTTCTACATCATTGAATACATAGTTAAAAAGAATTCTCCCAAACTCCACAGATTGGCAATGGAACTCACTGCATTCCTGGCTTCCAGAAACACTATAGGTATCAAACATTTACCAACAATTCACTTTGTGCAAATACTTGTACACTGGCACACAGGTAGTTGAGTGAGGAAATAAAGACGGATGCAGCAGGGTCCATGTTCTCTAATACAGGCATATTCTAGTTGGGAAAATAATCAGGTGGAATAGATTGTGCAATCTGTGGAGTCAGGTTTCTAATGCCTTAGGGTTATTCTGTAGACTACTTTTATAAGTCATGCCAGCTGTTGGTTCAATGGTTCTGCTCACTCCAGCACTGGAGCTTGAGGGTTGGTAAGATGAAAGGGTCTTAAATAATTACTCAGGGGAGTTGGAAGGTCATTTTTCAGCAGGGTCTTAATGAACACATTGGAAGAAGCAGAGAAGGTCCAGTTACAAAGTAAATAACTCTAAAACTTACGTCATGACATATAAACTCTTCTCCCTTTTACATTTTCTTATTCTCTTACATTCTTTTAAAAATTTCCTAGGACTTCAGAATTGGTACGTATGTGTGGTTGCCCTTTACTTTTTAGCAATTGGAATCATTGGAGATCAACCGAGGTACTCAGTCCCAGTGGCTCTAAATTTAGCCCCAATTTAAACTAGTACCAACGCAACAACAATCACAATTGACTAGACTTGGGCTAATATTTCCAAATTCTCCCTGTCACAGTCATCTTTTGATTATCCTTAAACATAGCTGTTCAATATAGTACTGAAATTCATGTAAAAATATACAGAAAATGTCAAACCAATGAATTTTCTGTTTGCCTTTAACCTCAAGAACTCAGACAGTAAACTAATTATTACAATACAGAATAATGGGAGGATTAACAAAGAAAATACAAATATTTCATAAGCATTGAAACATAAGAGCCAACATTTTCTTCAGAAGCATCCTTGAGGTTATATGAATCTTACGTAGATTACTTAAATTATGATCAGTACTCGTTTCCAAGATATGATTCTTTACAGGTTGTAGAAACAAGGTATAATAAACAAATATCCCACAATCAGGAAGTTTACTATTAAAATAAAATTTCACAAGAATTCCTGAATTCTTTGTGGGAGCTGTAACTAAATACCTTTACAATTATGGTTATTAGGAGCTCACATCTGTGAGATAAACTCAGTAATTCTTCACAGTCACATAAATATACGAGGATTTTTAATACAGTAGACAAAACAAATTGATATATTCACTAATTGCCTAGGGATAAACCATGAGTAGCGGCTGCTTATGCAAAGGAAAACTAGAGCTTCGCTCTTAAAGGAATTAAATTTGGATTCTTCTGCCTTCTTCCCAGATGCAGTGGGGAGGTCTTACAAAAGTAAACGTGTAGGCATCTAAATTACAAGCATTTTCTATCTCAATACCGAAGCCTCTATTGATTAAGAAGGATCTAAAATTGTGAATGAAAATTCCAAAGGAATTCTATATGTGAATAAGTTCCAAAATTCTAAAATGTCTACTGCATGGTAAATAAAAAGGGATGAGCTAGCCTTAGTGACGTTAAAATAGACAAAATCATTCCTTTCTCTAAAATTCATATTCCTCGGCTATAAATCCACTACTTTCTTGTCATCATAACATGACCCCATTTAATGGGCAACAGGGGAGTGGTGCTTCATATAAAACATTTCAGAGTTATTATGACATATTTATAAGTGTAGGTAAATAAAATGTATTTTCTTCCATTTGAGATTCAATTCTTTGTTGTTGACGTTCTAACAGAGACTGGATCCACAGCCAGATAGTCATCATGCCATCATGCCCCTCACTGAATACATGCCTGCTCTTCAGGGCATTAAATTAGCTTGATACAATGGTATTTAAAAAAAAAAAAAAAAAAAAGCCCAGAAGACTCAGCCTTGAAGGAGTTTTGCCATCTGTAATCCTGCTGTTTGAGGCAATTCCAGGTGGCAGGATGCGAGCGAGGCAAATCTTATGACATTTAGACAAAGCTGGCAGTGAGCATGGCACGCAGGAGGGCACTCAACATCACAGCTGTTCTTTACTTTATGCCTTTACATAGAGGTATGTTCCTAAAAAGATATTTGAGAAGTGATTCGGGCAGAGTAAATCAAATCATGGTTTACATGTTCACGGGAGATTGCCATATATGAGGATTGAGGAGAATCCTTCTGCAATTATCTCTTAATTTACTCATTCTACAATGCCAGATTTTCCTTCATGCTGGCTTTTCCTACTGTGGCTGACCAAAGTCATCCTAAAAAGCATTGAAGAAACCTTATTCTTTAGAGGGGAGTAATTTTATACTATTTAGCCTTCTTGCTTTTCTTCTTTTTCTTTTTTGTTTTCTATCTTTTGTTCAGTTTGGCTTCTTTAGAATCCCCACAGCAGGGGGTGGGGAAGACAAAATGACAAAAGGTAGAACTGTAAGTCATGAACCCAGTTCAAGATGGCAGCTCTTCTAAGGGGATTTGTTTTCCAGGGAAGTTGACATTGTTGCTTGACTTCCCTGCCCAGATCCCTTCCCTCCAGATCTTCATGGGACTTGATCCTTCACGTCATTTGAGTCTCGACTTAAATAATCCTTCCTCTACCAGAACTTCTCAGCCCCTAGAGGCTGCCTGATCCTTAATTGCCTATACGCTTTTACTTTTCACCTTACCACTTTCTGACATTTTATTATATACTCGTTTTGTCACTTGTTAATTATCTAGTCCTATTCAGAAAGTGAATTTCATGAGTGTAGATTCTTGTTCTGTTTTGTTGATTGCTTCATCCCCAGTGCTGGTAACAGTGCCTGACACACAGAAGGTGCTCAAAAAAAAAAAAAAAAAAAATACTTATTGAATGACTGATTGAATAGTTTGGACAAATTATGCACTTGGACTATTTTTTTCCCTGATCTATTTTTTTTTTTTTACCCCTGAACTAAAAACACAAAAGTTGACCATAGTCCATTTATTTCCTCTGATTTTACTATAATAAAAGCCTGCTAGAAGCTACCTATACCATTTAAAAAGTTAGTATTACTGTTCAAGGCACATACATGCACAGACATGATTACCTGCCCCAGTGGTGGACACCAGTTTGGGCTTGCTGCGAGCACCATCTCCTTTGGTTGTGTAGGCTGTGACGGTGAGGGAGTAGGAAGTTTCAGGCTGGAGCCCAGAAATGATCATGTCCTGAAATGACAAAATAGAATGTCACTGATTCAAAACATGCTACTAATGCTCTGGGGGAAAAACAAGGCCGTCTGCCTTCATTCTGCAAATGCTCGCACATCCCTTGCAGCCATGCTAAGCCCTGGAAATTTCATGCCTGAGCTCATGCTATGGAGATCTGTTTTCATGCTGATATCGAAGGGGCATCTTCAGGCATCTTGGGAGGTAGATCTTAGGGTATTAGTCAAAGACATGAAATCTGGAGCCAGACTTCCTGAATTCTTAAACTTAAACTTGCATGTCCTTACTAGCTTGGACAGACCAAGTATGTTTACCTATCTGTGCCTCCATTTCCCATCTGAATGTTGGAATTATAATAGGACCCCATAGGATTATATGAGTTATATCAGGTAAACTCACAGAACTATGCCTGGCTTATAGGAAGCATTCCATTAAAGAGTGATTATTTTATGCCAACAGCTCTCCACACATATCCACTGTAACCCACAGACTACAGATGGGGCTGATGCCAGCATAGTCTGTTTTATCACTATAGACGAATTTTGCCAAATGGTTGTTGTTGGACCTAGATACCCTGAGAGAGAATTTTCTTAGGACTCTCTTATTAATGGATTGTATTATCATTTTTATTGGTTATTTGTATAGGCTATGAGCAGAAATCATTATCCACTGAGGAGAATTTTCACACACATTAAAAAGCAGCCATAAAAGCAAAGAATACAACAGGACTTTAGTTTTACCACATCACTAGTATGTGCTCAATTTATTTTGACTTTCTAAAAATTGTTAAATATCACATACTATTTACCTAAATTCTTAGTTTTCTCTTAGTCAGGGCCCAAAGCTGTGGTGGTTATAAGACCAGATGCTCTTTGATATATTCCTTTAAACTGCAGGTTATGGGATTCTTTAGAGATTCTGGCTATTAGCTTATTCTAGTATTTTAAGAACAAATACCAGAGCTGCATGTACACATGCGCGCGTACACAGACACATGCGCACACACACAGACACACACAGACACACAGACACACACACACACACACACACACACACACACAGCAATATAAAAACCCTTTCAGATTTTTGGCACAGCTGTGTTTTCAAATTGAATATGGATAAATTTAGGAAAATGCACAATGTCATTGTCTTCCAAATCTAAAGACAATGTGAGTGACGAGTACGAATTATATTGTGTGAAATACAGTAGGTTTTTTTTTAGCAAGGCTGTAACAGATACCGTAGAGCTCAATTGTTGAAGCTGATCCCAAATATGACAGTTTCTGGGAACATGCTTTCTCAAAAGAGTAGGAATATCTCACTGTGGAAATTCAAGAAGTTCAGATATCATCCTGAAGAGTCACTGGAAATTTTATTCTGCCAGATAAATGGACTATTTGGGAGAAATGTTGTATTTCCAGGACCTTGGAATGGTTTCCCTAACATTCCAGAGGATAGAAAAACCAAGTAAACTACCCAAGAGCAGTATTTTAAATGACAGCAGACACACTGGCTATCCCAAAAACTATCATGAGTAAATGCCAACATTATGGTTTCCAAGGTTCCCCTCACATGCCACTGGAGTACTGCTGAAAAGCAGTCATGGCTAACTGGAAAAAGCAGCAAGGCTTGCTTCCATCACCAAATTTTGTAGCAAGAAATTATGCACTCTGAGACTTATATGTTTCTTATCATGAAATTGGAGTTAACCACACATATCCATTATCTTGCCCAGGTTGTTAGAGGATAACAGACATAACGCAATTTGAAATGCGTCAAGTTCCCTGCAGTGGTATAATCTCGGCTGGACACACCTCCAACTGCCACGGTCATATCCTTTCTTGGATTACATTTTCTTTCTTTAAGTGGTGGGTGCACTTCCTTCCTTGGTTGTTTCAGTATGCTCTGTGAGGTGATGTGCCTGATATTATGGCCATAATTCCTCATTCTCTTTGTTTCCTCCTGTCCTGTCTCCACTTTGCTTCTTGTCCCTGACTGTTAAAAGTTGGCATACCTGAGGTTCTGTCACAGTCACTGGTCTACTGTTTCTCTAATCTTAAAAAAGAAACTGCATTCATTTCTAAACCTTAAATAATTATTTCTGCCCATATTCCTGATTTATTTCCAGCTGTGACTTCCAATCTGAGCTCCAGTGGCATATACATTGTAAATATCTGCTAGATGTTTTCCTGTGACTACCCAGTGTTACTTCAAGTTCAAATGAACTAAAACTTAAAAATCATTCCTGGAAGTAGACTCCCCCTCCTTACTTCCATATTTTAATGAACGGTAACACATCTGCAAAACTTATGAGCTATCTTTGACCTCTTTCTCTTCCTCAGTTCTTAGCAAGTTTTTGCCAATTCTTCCTTTTATTGATCCTAACTATCACTTTTTCATTTCTACTGCCTCAACTCTGTTGCATTTTTATCACTTCATGACTAAATTAGCAAAATAACTCTTTTTACCTGCTTTCCTATCTGCCACCTTTTTACTCTCTAATCTATCCACTAAGTCACTGGATTTTAAACTGCAGGTAATGACCCATTTAGTAGGTTGTGAAATCAATTTAGTCAGTCATGACCAGAATTTAAACAAAGAAACAAACAAACAGAAAATGAAGTGGAATAAACTTGAATACTTAATGTTAGTGTTTATTATACATTTAAAGCATGGTTCTATAAAAATTTTATTTTAGTTAAACAGAGGTGTGCATTGAATCATGACATACAATAATGTATTTCTTACTGTGAGTTATAGTCAAAGAAGTTTACGGTCAAAAATGCTGCTGCACTGGCAATCCCATGAGAACTGATACCTTGCACACAGTTACAAGATTCCCAACAAGAGCCATGTGCATTGGCAGTAAATATTCATTCAGTGAATGGAAGAATACCGTCTTGCCAGCCTTTAACTCATTTTTCTTTTTATTTCTTCTATATCACTCTAATATTGAAGAGTTAAAGACTGACCGGCCAGCTTTTTAGCTTGACTCTTCTGGTTTTCCCAGTATTATATTATAGTTTACCTCTTAGCTCTATTTACCACTGAGTTACTTAACACGAAGCCTTCATTTATATCAAATTGTCAGGCTCACTGTCACGTGACTATACCACATGCTCAACTGTCTCAATGACTGGTTTTGCTGTGATCAACTTTAAAAAATATGTATGTTCCACCTCCAACTCTCCAACACACACACACACACACACACACACACACACACACACAAACACACACACACACACACACTTTTTCACTTATTCAGTCTTTAGTCATCCCTTAAATTCTCAACTAAGCTTCAGGACTTCTTTTACTATCTTGGACCACTGTCTCTGAATTCATAGCTTTTATTGACACTGTCCACTAATTTACTAATGCATGGTCCACTGCTGTAGGCCATATATTTTGCTGCGTTCTATGAAACTTTTCAGAACTTTACTCTTCCCTAGCCACTTAGAATGTAAACACTAGAAAGGCAGGTGTCACATCATGTGTCCCTTGCAGTGGCATATACATAACAGTCCCTCAATAAATAACATAGAGTTTTCATTCAAATATTTTAAAAACATTCCTCCCTCAGCGACATACTTTCTACTTCTTGGCATAATCCATTCACCATTCAAATATGTATGGGTAAAGTGAAGAACAGCCACTTCTAGTTAGAGTTAATCAGTGCCAGATCTATATCTTGTTATCTACTGGATATGCGATCCTGGAGTCAGATTTATGAGCATTATGAGCAGCCTACACCAAACAATCTGACATCTCCAGTCTGCAATGCCTTCATTTAAAGCAGGCTTATCCAACATGCAGCCCAACACAAACTTGTAAACTTTCTTAAAACATTATGAGATTTTTTTCTGTTTTAGCTCATCAGCTGTAGTTAATGTTAGTGTATTTTATGTGTGGTCCAAGACCATTCTTCTTCCAATGTGGCCCAGAGAAGCCAAAAGATTAGACAACACCCCTGTGTTTTAAAGCATGCCTCCTCTGACTGTCACAAGGCAGAGTTAGTAGCAGCCATCAAAACAAATATCACAAGCCCATGACATTTCTTACGCAGTCAATAGCACCATGCTGATTTCACAAAACAAAAACCAAAATAAAAAGTGCACCACACAGTGAAGATAACTTAAAAATAATTTGTTAGTTCATGCATCCAAGCAAACTGTGATGACAGATCACAAATAAGTGAAAGGATGTCAGAGAAAACAAGCATATATAGTCTGCTTTTGACAAAACAGTCAAAAATTACTCACATGTTCAGTAGTATCATCAAATTCCCACTGATTGAGAATAAGAAGGTTGGGAGGAAAACAAAATAAAAAGAAAAAGAATTTAAAGCCTTATACAGGCAGTGTTGCCCTTGTTAGATTAAAAAAATCAAAAAAATAAAGCAGTGTGTACAATAAAATTCCAAAGAATGTGTGATTTGCTGCCACCTCCACCTCTGATTGGGAAGTCAAATTAAATATCCTTTGTTACTGTTATCACTAAAACCAGCTAACATTCTTTAAATGTATGGTTCACTGAAACATAGCAATGAGGCACAGAAAAAGTTAATGTTTCTAATCATATCCTACTCGTATTTATTTTGACTTCTATCTTAAGTTACACAATTAAAAGTCACTATTTAGATTAATATCTTTCATTATATTTGACACTTATAACTTCAATGAAGTCCTGTGAGATGTAATGAAATTTCAGTGAAGAGTCAAGGAAAGTAAATGAGATGGGAAAGAAAGAAAATACACAAGGAAAAACAGCAATTAATAAAGAAAAGCCAAAGAAGAAGAGAAAAAAAGACAGAGTTCACATTTAATGCATTTGGTATTATATAATTTCGTTAACTACCATATTTTGCAATGGAACTAGGGAGAGAATTACAGTTCTGTAATGTAAAATATCTAAGAACCAAAGGAGAACACCAAAGCACACTGGTCATATTGTTTTCTTTTCCATAATTGTAGACTTACAAGATAAAACGTAGCAATGATGGCTTTAATTTTATACTACGATAACTTTCTTTTTATAGGCACTACATAATAATTATTTATACAAATCAAGTCAATGGCCCCTTTCCAGTGTTGAAGGGGTATTACGAAGCACTACTGCATTTACAGAAGTGGCCTCGGGGTAGATAAGTGAGCAATGAATCCAGATCCCTTTACTTAGAATGTTTCAAAACTGAAGAAAACATAAAGACTTCTGAGAGTTGACTTGTATTAAGACTTTGGGGGTAAGTACTTTCCTTAGAGGCACAGGGATATTTATTGCTGTCTTATTTTTTTATTTTTTTAATTTTATTTTTTGAGATGCAATCTTCCTCTGTTGCCAGGCTGGAGTGCAGTGGTGCGATCTTGGCTCACTGCAAACTCCACCTCCTGGGTTCAAGTAATTCTCCTGCCTCAGCCTCCCTAGTAGCTGGGACCACACAGGCGTGTGCCGCCACGCCTGGCTAATTTTTGTATTTTTAGTAGAGATGGGGTTTCACCATGTTGAGCAGGATGGTCTCGATCTCTTGACCAGGGGATCCGTCCGCCTTTACAGACGAGAACGTAGAACTGGGCAACCTGGTGCCGCAGTTTTCAACTTGCTTCATAACCTTTCCAACTTTCACACAAAGAAACGCATTTTCATTTGAAATAAATTTCAAATGTTTTTACAAACTCCATCCTTTTCCCTGCCAAGTCACCAATTTCTTGGATAATGAAAGTATTCCAATGATCATAATATCCTATCCCCATGACATCTCATCACCATTTGACACAGCAAAGGTAAGCCAGTACATGAGTCATGTACAATTTTCAGCATGGTGGTTACAAGATGAAATCTTCATCTTCCTTTCAGGAAAATATGTAAAACTCAAGCGAATTTATTATGGGACTATCTTTGAATCACCTCTAATTTATGAAAAATTTTGGAAATTTTCAATGCTCTGTTTTAAACAACTAATTATAAAACCGGGTTGTGATACCATAGTTGCAAACCACTGCCCTAAGATCAATACAATTTCTCACATACTCAACTACTCATTTTTAGTACCTTTTTTTTAAACCTTGGTTCAACGTAAGGATCCCACTTATTTGCTAGGAAATTCTGATTTAATTTTTAATATCATTGTAACGATCTTCATTTGCTGGGACATGAAACAATGAGTTTCATCAAATATGTAATTTGATGAAGAAGTACTAAATATAATACTGAGTACCTGTCCCTGAATAAAAATGTCTATTCTTCAGTGGAAGAAGACACACATTTAGAAATTAGAACAACTAAGTTGCAAGTTGTTTTAGCACAGAAGAAAGTAGACTCCATCAGCAAAATTGCAGTTTAGAAATCTTCCCTTTGACTCAACTAAGTCAATCATTTTTTGAAGTCAGAAAGGCAAACTCAAATATGGTTGTAAAGGGTTGAATATCTGTATTTTAAGGAAAAAGTAACATGTTTTTAATCAGACTTGAGTGTCATTTCATTACAATTCCCTTCCTCACTTGATAGTAACTCTGATTGAAAAGATCAATATACATCAATGTGAAATGAAAACTAGAATTTTGTATAGGATTTTTTAAATGTCGAAAAACTAAAATAAGAGCAATTTCAGGATATGAACTAAGATAAACTTATTATATAAAAACAGAGGTACATAATTTCAGAGGCTTACCTGTGCATCAGCCAGCATGACATCTTTCAGCATGGGCTGGCCCTTGGGCTCACCATTTTCCATCCTCACATAATGCACCTGATATCCTCTTATCTGGCCATGCTGTTTATTGGGCACGGGTGAGCGCCATGAGACTTTAACAGATGTTGAGTTGACAGCCTCTACCTCGACTTTGCGAGGAGGACCACTAGGAACTGGAACAACATCATTGGATAAAAGAAATTATAGGCACTTGTCCCACCCTATCAGAGCATTTTCTGCATTTTCTTTACTTAGGTTTCTCTTTCAAAAAATGGGTAAACCCACTATGTTTTCTTTGAAGAATACAAACATTTTCAACCAATGAAAATGCTTAACCAATCTGCTCTACCTTTTAAGAAAAGATCAAAAAACATGACCGATGCAAAAAAAAAAAAAAAAAATGGAAGAAAAAAAGAGTATCAGAGAAATAGAAAAACATGTAAAAAATGTACAAAAGCCAAGGAAGATGCTTTGAGGTTCAAAGCATTAAAGCACAAAGAGGTATAGCATTGAAATAATAACAAAAACTGGCTGTTGATTGTTGTGTGTTTTTTAAAGGTTTCTTTTTAAACGGCAGAATAAAAAGATTCTTGATTATATGTATTATCTTCTCTTTTTTTCTCATATCAAAGTTATTCCATACAAAAGATGCCAAAAATTCAATGTTGAGCATCAATGTCTCTGAAATATGTAAGACAAAAAGGCAACAAAAAGGTAAGAAGGTAGTTTTGAAAAGTTAACTTCAAAATGTAAAAGAAGTGACTACAAAAAGCCAAGAAAAACACAGAAGACTTTAGATGGAGGCACAGAGACGGGCTGGACTGCAAGACCATAGGAGCCAACAGTTCTTTTAAAGAGAAGCAAATTACTGCATTGAGATTGAAAAAAATGAAAAAAAAAAAAAAAAAAAAAAAAAAAAAAAAGGCCAGGCTGTAGCAAAGACAAGTCTTTGGCAAAAATACTAAAGTAACAGCAATGCTGGGTAAAAAGATGAGCAGAGAAAAAAGATTACTGTGAGCCTATTGAAAGACAGCAGATCAAGACTGTGTCAGAAGGGTGCAAACTGACGTAGCGGAGGCAACATACCATCTTCATTGGTTCGAATCAACACGGACAAGCTCTCAGGGCCAGGGCCGACATCTGTATGGGCTGTCACAGTGATCCGGTATTCAGTCCATTTTTCCAGCTGTTCCAAAAGGTATTTGGTAGTGTCCGAAGGAATTCCCAAAATCTCGTGAGGCTTGTCATCTTCCCCATCCACTGCAGTGTACTTGATGGAGTATTCAGTGATAATGCCATTCTGTTTTTCCACTGGTGGAGGTTGCCAACTTACCAAAATACTAGTGGAACTTGGGCTGGTGCAACTAATGTCTTGAGGAGGAGCTGACGGCTCTTATTTTGGTAGTGAGTTAAAGGAGGATTTAAGTGAAAGGACAGGAGTGGTTGAAAAAAAAAATGATAAAACAAAAGAAAAGGCAAAAATAAATAAACGAACAATAAGGACAAAATGAAAATAAGGCTTTGAAACTTAAATTCTAATGACAAATTATGTACCTTGGCTTAGTAATATGAATAAACCAAAAAGAGAATTAATGACCAAAAATAATTGTTAAATAATGGGTAGGGGGAATATGTGAAAATGAGACCTCGAGATAATGGAGCCTCAAATAAAATTACCTACCTGCGATAAAAATTCTTCTAAACCAATCCCTCAGTATCTCCCACCCCCACTATACTGACTACCCAGCTTCAAAAAAGCTGCAAATAGTGCTAGTATTTACTTGAGGGTCTGATGATGCCTCACAGATGTTTCCAAGCTTTCACTTCTATATTCTAGAATGAGGATGGTTTACATACAGTACTCATTTGTGAAAGGCTTCTTAAGTGTGAAAAGTTGCAATAACTGCTAATGCCCTTCTACCAGTTCCAATTAAAAATAAATAAACAACAAACATAAGAGGGTTCACTCTATCTGAAAAACTGAGTTTGCCTGACCAGTTTTAATAATAAAAAAAATGTTAACATTGATCATAGCCCATATACAGTGAGCATGCAGAATCAATAAAGGATGAAAATGCAGAGTCCAAGATTTACCTACCCGAGGGTAATGTCAGGATTGTTGATTCTGACTGTAACTTGTACTTACCCTACGTCAGCTTTCAGCTTTTTAATTATAACTCTTCTTGAGACACCATTGCTAGTGAAGAATTAGACCCCACCAGCAAAATTTGGTAAAATCAATAATAATCATTTATCCCTTACAAAATGTCAATAACACAGCCATTAAAAAGAACTGTTTTTTTAAAAACCCAAGTATCAACTGGAAAAGATATAATTTCTGTGCAAAATTTCTTTCATTTTGTACATAATTATTCATACAATGTAGGGTTTATATTAGAATTAGAAGACATACTTTCTTACTGCCCATTCTAAATTAAACTAGTCACTTTCTGAGCAATCATTTTCCATCAAATTAACCAAGCATTATGATTTTAAAAAATTAAAAATCAATAAAAGACAGCACAATTACTATCATTATTTAAAACTTAATAATATTATGTTCCTAAAGAAAAACAAACAAGTGGGCAAAGATAACACAAGTCCATACACACACGCATATATTTTTAAAGCAATGTATATGGTAGACTGAATAAAGCAATCCTATATTTCATATTTGAATGTGTAGTCTGGGGATTTCCCTAGACTTTGTGACTCTTAACATTACGGAGTGCCAGGTGTATCCAATTGTTCAGGGGATTATCAGTCTTTCTTAATGTACGTGCCTTGTGTTCATTATTACAGTCCATCAAAATAAAAGCTCTCTGTACTGACAAAAAAGAAATCCTCATAGGACAGCCTTGTAAATTTGGAATAAGATTTGCAAAACCACTAGAATCTCATTTTTATTGATTCTGACTAGGGGTTCTTATATCTCAAATTATAAAACTATTTTACATGCATTATCATTATTCATAATAAATTGAGTTGTTCATGTAACAGCAAGGACTCATCTGTAATTCTTTTTAAAAAGCTGATTTGGTTTTCACTAGGGCTATCTTCAGACCTCCTATTTTGTGAGAATATATTCAACACCATTTGAAAATTTTACTTTAATAAAATAAGGAATAGATAAGTGTTTGATGTGCTTATAAAAAGTCTATTCAATATGTATGTGTGTGTGTATATATATATATATACACACACACACATATGTTAAAAACTGAGGTTTGTAAACCATGGGAAATATAATATTGAAGCATGTAACATTTCTCTTAATTAAAGGCTTGGTTTTTAGAAATTATCTTCTACAATACTATTTATTAGCCTGCCTGGAATTCAAAGCAGACATACAGAGAACGCATTAATTTACATGCTTACGCCTTTAAATGAAAGAAAATTTTATGGGAATAAACGATAATCACTAATAGATTAAACATGATCCTAATCATTTTCATGTGAATAATCATGCTTTAAAGAGGGAAAAACATAAATTTTATTATCAAAAAACCCTGAAAGTTTTCAAGTTTCTATAGAAAATGAAATGGTGGAAAACTTGCTTATTTGTATGGAAGGAAATGAATCTTTTAAATCACAAATTTCATGTTTGCTGATAGGTCTAAATATGAGGTTAACAGAGCATCTTCTTGACAAAATTCAATGTATTTCTACTACAGATATCTATTGTATAATTCACTATGTCAAAAAGTAAAGACAAAATATCACACAAAGAAATCTAAGAAAATAACTCAACAAAACTCTTCAATTCAAGGTAAATAGTATTTTTTATGAATGAACTGTAAACACATACTAATAAAAAGCAATTAATAATAATAAGCCACCAAACTTTCCACCAAAAACAAAATCCTGTATAATACTTTATGCAAAACAATCTGCCCTGGGAACAATTAACCCCCATTGTGATAAACACAGCTATGCTTAAGGGTAACAGCTCCAAAAAGAAATTGAACCCCAGGAAACAAAATACAATTTAGAATTGCAAATATGTTTGCGATTATTCCATTGTTTCTTAATTTGTCCACATACAGATTTTCTGTCAATGTTCCAAATTTCCACAGGTACTACACACAGAGTTAATAAGAAACAAGTCATCAGAGCTGAGCTTTTCTTAGTAGAAACAAATACATGAAATAAGGACTTGTTTGATTGCAAAGCTAAAGCCTGTGTGCTTAAAAAAATAAAGTTTTTTTTTGTCTTTTGCAGCCTCTTTCATTTGCGAAGCCCTCCTATGATTATTTTACAGGGTTCTCAATGTGAATTTTGCTTTAAAGACTTGTAATTCATTAAACA
The DNA here is from genome assembly GCF_000001405.40 of Homo sapiens. Lineage (NCBI taxonomy): Eukaryota > Metazoa > Chordata > Mammalia > Primates > Hominidae > Homo > Homo sapiens. The sequence continues at coordinate 8,503,976 of NC_000009.12, forward strand.
GGGCTTGATCTAACTCCTTTAACCCACATTTCACCCATGGACGTCTACTACCTTCTTTAAAAGTCTTTCAGTGTAGGAAGTGGGAAGGTGGGATCTGTTATTTGGATCAAGTGATGAGACCAAAAGAAGTCACAGTTACACTTTCACCTGTGAAGTGTGATGCATACTAACCTAGAGACTAACTATTAAGCATATTAGCAGGTTTGCTTATTGGTGAAGGTGAAAGCTAGCAACATCTCCCCGAGGAAATAAAAAGGCAGAAAGTAAGCAAAGAGAGACACCTACTTGACTGCATGGTTCTAGCTGATATTTCTGCAGTAGAAGCACCCAGGCCTTGAGGGGAGCGTGCAGCCAGACGGAAATAGTATAAGCTGTTTGGTTTCAGTCCTTGCAGCCTATATGATGTCCCTGGCTCAATGGTAATTCGTTGCTGGAAGCAATAAGAGAATGTGGTCATCTTCATTAAGGTTCATGCAAATACTTTTTAATCATACTGTCTGGACCATCAGATTTCTATCATCAGGATTATAATCTCATCAAAATATCACCAAAAGAGTCAATAGTGAGTATCCAGGGCTATACTAAGGAAATTATATAATGAAAATATCAGTTTAAAAGGCAAGTTTCTACAAAGGTAACTGGAATAAGGGAAGTCAGAGATCTTTTTAATGTTGACACAGTCAGCCAAATACATCAGATAAGACGAAGATTGAGAGGCCAACACCCATGAGTATGTTCTGCCGTTAAATGTGTGTATGTTGCTGTGACACAGATCACAATAGAAAATGACACCTGCCCCTGGTAGTGGAATCTGCCCAACATGTGCAATTTTAATTGAACAGATGTCTACTCATCTCCCATGACCTTCTGAAATCTCAATTGGAGGCAAAGAAAACATGACCAGAAGTAGCAACAGTAACCAGTATACAATTTACAGGAGGTTGCTATAAAAGAGATTTGAAATTGCCAAGTTTTAATGGGTAAAATATCACGTTAGTCACTAAAGAAAGTTGAATAATTTATCTGAAACCACATTACTACCCTAGGTTGATCTAAAATAACTGAAAACCTTACTTTCTTTGTGAATAAAGAACCCACAGCCAGAAAAAAAATAGATTCACAAATGTTTGTGGACTTTTGATATACGATTTCGTTAATCAAATGCTATAACTCTCACCTTCCGTGCTTAAAATTTGTCATTTAGCAAAAATATAAGTGTCTATGGGTAATCAATCTTGAACATCAGCCTGCAGTAAACCTTAAAATGCAAGTGAATACATAATCTAGTAATGGTGTGTGTAATCTTAACACTTTATCAAATAGTGTTTGCTATTCACACAAACAAATCAGTTAAGAAGAATTCAAGGCCGGGCACGGTGGCTCACGCCTGTAATCCCACCACTTTGGGAGGCCAAGGCGGGCGGAACATGAGGTCAGGAGATCGAGACCATCCTGGCTAACATGGTGAAATCCCATCTCTCCTAAAAATACAAAAAATTAGCCGGGTGTGGTGGTGGGCGCCTGTGGTCCCAGCTACTTGGGAGGCTGAGGCAGGAGGATGGCGTGAACCCAGGAGGCAGAGCTTGCAGTGAGCAGAGATCGCGCCACTGCACTCCAGTCTAGGCGACAGAGTGAGGAGACTCTGTCTCAAAAAAAAAAAAAAAAAAAAAGAAGAAGAAGAAGAAGAAAAATTCAAATATAAAACTAGAGAAACCATCCCTAGGGTGTTCTGACTTACAAATACAAAAGTTTTCAGGAATTTTAGATCCACCAAGTAAGAAATAAAGAAATTCCCTAAATAAGCAATTGTGGAGCACAGTAGCTATGCCAACATTTAAGCATCACAATTCTCCTTTACTCTTTGTATATATGTATGTTTGTGTCTATGTATGCCTGTATTTTAGTTTGGTGGTCGTGATGAAGGTTTAAACAATTCAGTGCTGATTTACACCTTACAGAAAACACCAATAGCTCAAGTTGTACCATGAAAACTTTAAGTCATATCTGCATTTCAACTATATAACTTTTTGAGTGCTTGATTTATATTGGCTTTGTTAGCTAAATCTAAAACCACTGCATTTAAAACCTATTCTTTTGAGATTCTGCTCAATTCAAACAGATGGAATAAAACAGAAGTTTACAAGAACATATTAATTTATTATAACATCCAAAATTATGTACTACAAGTTAATTGAGAGTAGTTCATTTAGCATGTGAGTTTTTTAAAAGATATTCTTTATTAGAACACAGGGACTGTTTCACTTTGTGAAGATTTTTTTTTCAGATAAAAAATGCTAAGAGGCATAATAAAATGAATATATGTGTGAAGTTCTCAAACACAGTGCCATTAACTCCTTTTGTCCTAATGTTCCCCATTGGATTTAACAATAATAAAAGAAACATACTTACTACTATTATGTATTCTCATTCTGAAAATGTTAGATGTATCTTAATATCGATTTCTATCATGTATTCAAACTGCACTCAAGAAGCAGTAGACCCTAACCGTTAACAACACAGACTCTGGAACTCGACTGCCTAGACTCAAATCCCAGCTCTGCCATCCACTAGTGCGAGACTTTGAGCAAATTATTTAACTTTTTTTCCATGCCTCCATTTTATTATACGTCAAATCGATTAATAAGAAAGGCTAGCTCCAGTGCTACTATAAAAATTACATGCATTATTGATGGTGAAACCCTTAGAACAGTGCCCATTAATGAGTTAATTATATTGATTTTCATTTCTCTTTTCAGTGACGATCAACAATTGCCATGCCTTCTACAATCTGTTATTTCATTTGCACAGCATACTCAAATGTTATACACACTCACCTTCATACCAAATACTTTTTAGCAAACAAACATTTGCTATTGGGGAATCTTTGAAACCAGGGTGGAAAAATTCATCTAGCCAAGGACTTTCATTAACATATAGAGCTAATTTAGTCACCTGTCCCCACAGTGACTTAAATACTTTCATGAAGAAGAGAAAGTCCTCAAGTCTCATTGAGTATTTATTCTTCCATAACCTGATACATCTATGGAACTTGGAACTCTGTCAGAAGCACATTCCAACAGGAACAAGAGTTATTTTGTTTTGTTTTTCCCCAAAGCCTCCAAATAACCACTGTTTTTTGTCATTGTTGTTGTTTTGGGGTTTTTCTTGGGGGGGAGGGGGAGTCAAGTTCCTCTTTTAATTAGTAAATCTTTTCCATCAAGGTCCTCAATAGCTCTCTGACCAAGAATGTGGATAAATACACAAAAATAAAAAAGTGGCCCCACGTAATGAATAATTCCCAAGGTGAGAAGCACTATAGTCTTACCTCCTCTCCATGCTCCCCATCTTTGTAGACCAGTTCATAGTTGGCAATGGTATCTGAACGTGGAGGTGTCCAAGAGAGCAAAATACTTGTTTCAGACTCAGGTTCTGCTTTGAAGTTTAGTGGCTGCCCTGGTACTAAAAACAGGGAGGCAATGGATTGAACTCACAATCACCAGGAGTATTCACAAAGTTCTTCCATTAGCGTAACCTGCTTAAACCTTTCGAAATCTGTACACATGTACCAGCTTAGTGGAAAACAAGCTCCTTTACCTTGTCCAAGTTAACCTCTTTGTGTACAGGGCAAGTACAATGTTATAAATCCTGCTCTGGAGTAGTAGAACATCTACACAAGATATAGTAGAACTAATAAGTATAAAGTATATCGGCCTCTGAATTCAATTTTAAGGAAAAAATTCTTTACTTCATGATATGGTTGTTAGTAATAAATAATATAATTTACATAAAGCACTTGAAATATTGCCAAAAGCATAATAAGTACAAAATACCTAAAAGTATTGTTATTTACAACTGAGTAGGAACTTACTCTCTAGCACTACATGTAACATTCAAAATTATTTCCAATTAAATTTATGAAATCCTACCTTTACGCCAATAACAAAACCTAACAGGCAAACAGAATCACTCAGCATTTTTTCTTACCAGCCCACATTTTGAAGAAGAGGTGTAAGAAAGGAAAAACAAAACAAAACAAAACTCTATCACTTACAAATAATGACTTCTAATCTCTAAACTATGTTAAATTATTTAAAGAACTACACCTAATACAAACAAAATATCCTCTCTAGTGCCACAAAGCTAAACTACTACAAAAATTAAGAAGTTTATAGGATACACTTATCAGAAATATGGTAACTTAAAGAGATCATCTATAATTCTCATGTTAGCCATGTCATCTATTCAACAGACAATTTGGAAGAGCTGTTTATCAGCTGTAACAAAGAATGGAAAGTCTATTCAGTTTAAAACACCTTACTCAAATGAACTAGAATAATTAGTAACCTAAACTTTCTAGTCCACACCTAAGCCTATCAGTTCCCCTCTATCCATTATACACAAGGCTGAGTCAGGGTGTCGCTGGCACATCTAATCGTACATTGTTCTTGGCCACTGTCTGCTCTGATTGGTGAGTGCCTATGCTTTCCCAATTGTAAAACATTTTGATCATTACCCTTGATATTATGGCATGTCTCAATGTGCTGTGGCTGAACATATGTTCATATTCCCTCAAGTTTAAATAAGAATTCCATTTATATTTAAAGAAAAAAAGAGAACAATAATACTTCATAGCAGAGGAGTAAAAAAACATCTAAAGTGTGCTTTAAAACATCTAAAGTGGCAACCTCAGCAAAAATATTTAAAAATACATATAATACAGTATAATTTGTAGTTCAAAAGAAGCCTTTGGAGAAAATGTATTGCTTTCCTTTTCTTTTATAGTTATGTCTGTGTACTATGGCTTTAAAAAATGCCCTTTGTTAAAGCAGTCTGCAAGAATGATTTGTAGAATTCCTAATGATAATTTTATTCCTCTGGTAAGTCAGCCTGTGTATATATATGTGTGTGTGTGTGTCTGTGTGTGTGTGTGTGTGTGTGTGTGTGTGTGTGTAAAGGAATATATGTTTGGACTGATGCTTAAGGTCACAAATAATCAGTGCTTCATATTTCTAGTTGCCTTCATCATCTTTTCTCTCTCTCTTTTTAAAAATCACAGGCCTTGAGAGTCTCATTGATTTGATGCCTCTGGGAGCTTACCTTCTGAACAGAGTATCACATTTTTTTCCCCAGTACCTGCCCAGTGGGTGACCTAACACAATCATTTAGATTGAAAGGTGGAAGCGAAAGAAGATAAAAGATTGAGAAGCAAGAGGCAGAGGGACAGAGGGGAACAAAACACAAATAGGCAAACTGCAAAGCAAATGGAAAATGCATTATTTCTAAAAGGGAAATACCAAAAGCACTGGCAGGAGCAATAATGGAAACAAGAGTGACCAGATAGATGGGAAAATTATGATAGGACCTAACCTAATATTCACATGATAAAAGGGTTTCTCAGGCTAAAAATGCACACATATGCCTATGTATGCAGTCACTGATTTTTTTCCTAGTTTTATTTGCTTCTTTCTTTCTCCCAATTTCCTGGGAAACAAGAAAGTTTGTGTTAACTCCTGACTCAAACCAAACCGGACTACAGTATGGTCAAGAATTAGAAACACAGACAACACTGAAGGGCTGCTCTCGGGATAATAATTGCTTGTTACGCATTTCTTCCCTGCCTAATGCTAATAATAAATTGACATTGATTGAAAACATCTTGGAAACCTAATTAACTTTTTCTTACTTAAACTGTTTACTTTTTGCTTTTAATTTGTCTTGAGTAAATTCCCGGTTGGTCTCAATATTTCATTCTTGTTTAGTGACACAAGCTTTGTCTGATCATCTAATTCTGCTTGTTTCTATTAAGAGCCCCTTCCTTCTAAATAATGACTTAAGTAGGCACATCCAAGTCTCAGAGAGTACACTGTCCTTTTTATTCTTGCACAAAGCTAAAGGTTGGCTAGACGACTTGATGCAAAGTGTCTTCATCTAATGTACAGGGGGTTCTCTCCTGTTCTTTCCTTATCCTTCTTTTGAAATGGTTCGGAGGTTAACTTCATTTATTAGATTTTAAACTTGTGGTTCAGGCTTAGGCATGGTAACTCACATCTGTAACCCCAGCACTTTGGGAGGCCAAGTTGGGAGGATGGCTTGAAGTCAGGGGTTCGAGACCAGCCCAGGCAACATAGCAAAACCCTGTCTCTACAAAATAATAAAACTTAAAAAAATCAGCTGGGCATGGTGGAGCATGCCTGTAGTCCCAGCTGCTTGGGAGGCTGAGGTGAGAGGATCACTTGAGTCCAGGAGCGTGAGGCTACAGTGAACGATGACTGAGCCACTGCACACCACCCTGGATGACAGAGTGAGACCCTGTCTCTAAAAATAAATAAATAAATAATAATATATAAAATAAACATGTGGTGCGAATACAAATGCTCAGAGGTGTCAGGTAATTTAGATGAGTGAGAAGGCCATATGGGGCCTGGGGCCCGGTGGAGAGTGCCCACCACCTGAAGAGGGACCGCAGGCCATGCTCAGTGACAGCAGGTTGCTGCCTTGTGAAATGTGGGCGCACTCTTGTCCCAGCTTCCGATTTCCTTCACAGAAGTTGATCATGAACCTTCCAGGTAAAACCTTTCCATTCTTAATTACTAAAAATTAATTGAATTTTAAAAGCACTGTATGGGGCAAAATGTGTCTACAGGCTAGATTCAGCATATGGGCCATGAAATAAACTTTCATGATCTCAGGCTCCAGGCTCATCAATGGCTTAAGAGTGCACTACCCACACTTCCTCGGGAACTGAGGGTGTACCTAACGATATCACTTCCTCAGGGCATTTTGTCATATTTGAATCCACAACCATGAAGCTGAGGACACAAAGGAATTTTTTTAAATAAGGTATAAAATGAATGTATTTTTAAATTCCCAACATATTGGTCCTAATGAGCATAATATATGTATATAAGAAAACACTTTGTTTTCTCTGGAACACTTGAGACATGGGACTACTTTCATTATCTGTCTATTGAATTTTTATACCAAATATTGGGTCTACAGAGGTTCCATTTCACATTTCTATTAATGTTTTCTCTCTATATATGTATTTATACATATAAATGTATAAACGTAAATATTTACCTACATTTTATTTATATATTTATTTAGTTTTGAGACAAGGTCTTACTCTATCACCCAGGCTGGAGTGCAATGGCACAATCATGGTTCACTACAGCTTTGACCTCCAGGTCTCAAGTGCTCCTTCCACCTCAGCCCCCTGAGTAGCTGAGAGTACAGGTGTGTGCCATAACACCCGGCTAATTTTTTAATGTTTTTTGTACAGACAGGGTCTCAATATGTTGCACCAGGTTGTCTGAACTTCCTGGGCTCAAGAAATCCTTCCACCTCGACCACTCAAAGCACTGAGAGTATGGGTGTGAGCCACTGTGCCTCGCCTTCTTACACACAGATATTTTATGCTCTTGTAATCACTACACATCACGGTTTCTCACTGGTATTTTTTTTTTTAACCTTCACTTACCAGTCCTTTGTCTATGTATATCTTATTTTATTTTTATTTTATTCAAGAGTTTTTCTGTGTTGTAACATTTCCTTCACTGATTAACTGAACATAAATTTTATAAGAAAATGTGAGATTCTGGGAAAATCATGGGCAAATAAAAACAACATATCCAGACCTTTAAGCAGTTACTTCATATTCAAAGGAGAGATATGATATTGACCATAAACCAGATTTACAATAGGACATGGAAAGCAAAAATAAAAGAAGCAAAAATTTTTCTTTAATATTATATTTAAGAAGTCATTATATACTGTAAAAGTATGTCCGCCCTCTTGATTACTTACTTAATGTCCACAAGGAAATAGAAATGTGAGCTATCGAGTCCCTAAAATGAGATCATAATCCTACTGATACATGTTAAGTACTTGAGTATTACTATAATTACACTCTATATAAATATGTGAAAGCAACTCCAAGACAAGGGATGAAAAAGACTAACAAGAGAAACCTTCACATTATCAGATGCTGATATATTAGAAGAGATTAATATTTGAATAAAATGTAGAGATTATCTCTAAAGAAAGGTTGACACATATTGCACTGCTAAACAACAGTTTCATCTTGCTATAGTATAAATATGAAATATGACCAAAGATACTAGAAAACCCATGATTGCTAAAATATCCAGTATTTTATTAAGGTACATGTTTTAAAATGTGTGTATCTAGCATATTGATAAATGATAATGACAATAAAACCGACAGCCAGAATTATAACGGTAGTAAAACAAAGCAAAATTCAAAACAAAGAGTCTGATGTGTAAATGCCACAAATATATCATTGACAAAATAAGTACTTAATACACAAGCATCAGCACAAATCTTATTCTCAACAGTCATTAAATATAAATGAGAAAAAGTTAAATTTTATTATAGTTGTATTTATATCCAGTGCTCCTTTACTCATTGCTAAATCTATTCAGAAAAAGCATTTAAATTGGACTCATAACTTTGGTTATTAGAAAGCAGTCTTTTTCTAGTTTGCTTGTATAGGCCTGTTGACATACACTAATGAAATGATTTATAAACTTCTGGAAACCTAACAGACTTTGTCTCTCAATGTCATAGCTTATATTTTAACACTTTTGCAATGCCCAGAATTTGTAATAGCATTAACATCCCTAAAATGTTTAAAGTTGATACTAGTCATTAGTATTTGATAAATATATATAATTCTTTATCTTTTGAAGGCATATACTGTTAAAGGTATATCCATATAAGTCAGATGATTTTCAAGAATCTATTAAATGAATAGATGTAATTAGAGGTCAGACATGCTTTCTAAATACAGTTCAGAAAAAAGACACATATTAGGATTTAAGATTTATAATGCCTCTAATTAGCATGAACATCAAGCAACATTTAATGCATTAGGTTTGAGATTTAACTTACTACTTCTTTGTCAGAGTTTTATTTCTACTTCTTCTATAAAATATAGTTACCCTATGCTTTTGGTACAATTACCTTTACAAGAAAACTATAGGAGGTCCTTTTTTCCTTCCTGAATGTGTTTTCTAATAATGAAAATATTTTTCTAGCTTAATATAAATACTTTCCTTGTCAATGGCCATATATTCCCCATATTTTCAAGGTAAACTAGTTGCAAGTGACTTTGTAATGCCAGAAGTTAGAGCTATGGAGAACTGAGAAGATTGACCCATATTTCAGAAAATAATCATCTCAATGAAAGTCTTTTCATATTTAAAACCATTTAAAGATTACTCAACACGGTCAACTGTACTAATGTTCACAATCAAGGAGAAAAACTCTCTGACTGTAAAACAGACAGATCATATTCTCATTTTCTGTATTACCAGAAATACACAAATTTACATCAATCCTTCACTTATGTCCATCTGTGTGACTCATATTAGATCAAATCAAAAGTGAGACTTCTCTCTTAAACTCACTTTGATCCTAAATACTGTTCTTTTGGAATCCGGTTTCAAACAAAAACAGGAATGTGAATGTCACAGAATGAAAGATAATAAAATTAAATGAGTACCTTTTAGACACAGAAGACATCAAAATGTACATTTCTGTGTATTTGTATTTAAAATGTACTTCAATTCCTACATATTATTGATCAGTAAATTTTTATAGGGTTAGAGGAGAAAAATTGCAGTGAAAATAATCATATCCTTAAATTTTATATCTCATAATGGTTATCGTCCTAGCAATCATCCTAAGAATTCTTTAGTCAGTAACTTTCTTGTTACTCCTTTTTCTTAAGGAGCAGCTCGGCATTAATTACATCAGAACAAACATCATTGTTTTTGGTAGGTGTCCACTAATATCCACTGGCCTTTTTAATTAAGCCTATAGAACAGATCAAATCATTGTGCTATTTTGGAAGGTTTTCTTAGCTTATTGAGCTTGGCAGGCAGTCATTACATCACTATATATCTTCTCAATCAACATGTATTAAAAGTAAAACTATTATGGAAGATTCTTGGAAACATCTTCATGCAAAAAAGTCAGTTAAACAGAGTGGGAATAACTATTCTAATATATCCATGTCCCATTCATCTAGATTTTCTGAGTTCTGTCATTAAATTAAATCAGAGCTTTTGAAAGTAGAGTCCCCAGCTCACAGTAACTCAGTTGCCCCTCTGATAATGCTACCTTCACTGAGTTATGATTCAATGTCATATTCTGTCCACTGGTCATATAAAAAAATAAAGATATGGTCTGTCTACTTCAACATTACTTCTATATTTTTCAATAGATTACGACTGAAGGCATCAGGGTTTTTCATTTAGCATTCTAAATACAAGGATTCTCACAATTGTCTAAGATTCACATTTTGGTTGGATTAGGTTTAGGAAAAATTTTGTTTCTCAGATAATCTTCCTACCATCAGAAAATAAAAATATGAAACACTATAGATTTCTATGTTTAAACTGGTGCTTATAAAACTTAGAGCCAAATTTATTTAAATTTAGTTAAATTTCAGCCAGATTTACTGCTTGAGTGTAACGATCTTTCATAAAAATGTTCTTCCTTCCACTTCTTTTAGATAAACTTAGTTTTTTTTTTTTTTTCCATTTCTAAATGTTTTCATGTACTTCTGCACTGGAATAATCTAATAGCTACCTCAGTGTTTCAGAAGTAAGTTATGTATAATTCTTAGATAAATATATGAATAAATGAAACAATTGCGTTTTTCTCTCTTGCCTCTTTTCATTATTGAATACCTACACTGGCATAAAAACACAAAAACTATCACATTAAGCAAATTATTAATTTAAAAGGTAATGGTAGTTGATAATGATTAGGCTCTGCGTCCCCACCCAAATCTCTTCTCAAACTGTAATCCCCATGTGTCAAAGAAGGGACCTGGTGGGAGGTGATTGAACAATGGGGGTGGTTTCTCCTATGCCGTTGTCGTGATAGTGAGTGAATTCTCACGAGATCTAATGGTTTTATAAGGGGCTCTTCCCCCTTTGCTCTTCTCTCTCCTGCCACCATGTGGAGAAGGTCCTTGCTTCCCCTTCACCTTCTGCCATGACTCTAAGTTTCCTGAACTCTCCCTAGCCATGTGAAATTGTGAGTCGATTAAACCTCTTTCCTTTGTAAATTACTCAGTCATGGGTATCTCTTTATAGCAGTGTGAAAATGGACTAACACAGCAGTTAAAAGTATCCAGAATCCCTGGATTTAAATTCTGCTTTTGCACTTAGTAACCTTACGACCTACGGCAAGTTTCTGAATCACGTTTTATCCTCTTTGATCTTCAATTTACTCATTGGCAAGTGGGATAATTCCACATCTGCCTAATTGGTTTGTGAGAATAAATACATGCAAAGTTCATAGTATAGTGTCCTCCATATGTTAGCTACTATTATGATGATTACATATTAATAATTTAATGTTTTACATATTAAGTTACAAAATGTTTCCCTCCATTATCTAATCTATACCCTGTTATGAATTTTATTGCATCCCACAAAAATCCATATGTTGACATCCTCATCCCCAGTACCTCAGAGCATAACCTTATTTCAATATAGGATCTTTGCAATGGAATTAGTTAAGATGAGGCCATAAGAGTGACCCCAAGTCCGTTATGACTGTGTACTAGTGAAAAGGGAAATTTGGGCATAGGCATGCTTTTGGGAAGAACATAATGTAAAGATGAAGGTAGTGATCAGATGATGCTTCTACATGTCATGGTACAGCAAAGATTGCCAGCAAACCAACCAACAGAAGTTAGGGCAGCAGCATTAAGTATATTTCCCTCACAGCCTTCAAAAGGAACCAATCCTGCCAACACCTTGATCTCAGACTCCCTAGGCCCCAGAACTGTGAGACAATAGATTCCCGTTGTTTAAGCCACCTAGTATGTGGTTCTTTTTTACAGGAGCACTAGAAAACAAATAGAACCACTACACTCTATAAGGTGGTTATTATTATAGACTAGAAAACTGAAGTTCAGAGAGAGATGACATAAATCACCTAAGGTGACAGCTAATAAACGAAAGCTTGGGCTTCAAACCCTGGTTATGTTACTCCAAGACCAGGGATTGAAAAAATAATCACAGCTGAGAAATTTAAAAAGCTCAAAGTGGAATGTAAGTTCCCATATAATTTCTTAGAATTTTTTAATTGTTATGTAGCTGCTAAAACAGTATAATAAAAAGCAATCTCATAATAGTTAACCACTTTTAGTCAAGAAAAAGCAAAACAAGATTTACGGATGTCTACATTTCCCAATGAGAAGCTTTTTTGGTAAGAACAGCCTACAGTATTTTTTTTCTGCATATTACTACAGCAAATAAATACAGAAGTACTGCAAATGGCACACAGAGAAGATATATGGATAGTTTTTAATACAACTGTGGTGAGACATATTTTTATAGCTGGCTTTCCTACAATGTCATAGAGAAAAGAGTAAATCCATGAACAAGCCAATAAGAACCAAATAATGGTATGAAAATAAAGGCAGGCGAACTATTAATATAAATGTGCTCTGAGATTCCTAGAAGCAAGGACAAATAGTTAAACATACTTCATATAAAGACCATGCCATGAAAACAAGTCAGTGATTCACAGGTATCAGTGAAATAGATGATAGGTACATTATCTAGTACTGGCATCTGAGAAAATTTATTAATTCATTGCCAGGATTAGCAATGAGTTATGTCTACAGATTATACTGTCTCCAATAATATGATTATTATGTAGATTTCAAAACAAGCCAACAGCATGATGCCAAAACATTCGTAGATTAATGCAGGTTTAAAAGATGCCAACACAATAAGGAGTCAAAGAAGTAGCTCTCAGATGCTCAAGAATAAACTTTTTTTTTTTTTTTTTTTTTTTTTGAGATGGAGTCTTGCTGTCACCCAGGCTGGAGTGTAGTGGTACAATCTTAGCTCACTGCAAACTTGCAAACTCCATCTCCCAGGTTCAAGTGATTCTCCTGCCTCAGCCTCCTGAGTAGCAGGAATTACAGGTGCCTGCTACCATGCCCAGCTAATTTTTGTATTTTTAATAGAGATGAGGTTTTGCCATTGGCCAGGCTGGTCTCAAAGTCCTGACCCTCAAGTGATCCACCTACCTCCCAAAAGTGTTGGGATTACAGGCGTGAGCCACTGTGCGTGGCTCAAGAATAAACTTTAGAAGAGGCCTGTTATTTTATATTAGCCCAAAGCCAAACTGATCACCTTGACTCAAAGACCAAAGAGGTTTGATAACCTCTTAGAAAAATAAAACCACTGGGAGGGCCAAGTTTTCCTTCATAAAATAGTCTAATGTCTGCTGTAGCTCTTAGCAAAGTTAATCAATCAGGCCCAATGTTCTATCTGAGATCTCGGTAACTGTCTCTCTTTATCCACTGAGGCCATACAGAGAAAAACAGAAATTAAAGCCACTCAGAGAATACTTATTTTCAAGCCAGTAGCTTCTGGCAAATATAAGCCATTTAAATACCCAAGGCCCTGTAACAGTTTTATTTTTTAGCTTTGTCTTGAACCATCCAATCTTACACAAATTAAATACTCTTTTGAGACCACTCTACCATACTAGCTATTACAAAGAAGTGTCGTTTTTCTATTCTCAAAACTGGGCATGGGGGAGACATTGTTCTATCTCACATAGAGAAGTCTTCAAGTCATTCCCATACAAATTAAAAAGAAGGGGTGTTAATGCATTGTTCTGCTCAAAATGATTAGTTTTTCAGATGTCCATGCTTGTTCCTTTTCAGATATCTATCATCTGTTGCTTTGAAGCCCTAAATCTCAAAAATTAAAATTCATACCATCTTTGTTCCTTCTTTGTTTTTGTCCTTCTCACCTCTTTGCACCAGCCCTTCCCTCCTGCCCTATTTCCCTCCTCAACCAAACTTACCTCCTGTCTGAGTGATGACTTGTATGTCACTTGAAAGGGGACCATCTCCAATTGAGGTAAAAGCCAGGACTTTGACAGAATATGTTTTCTGGGGCACTAAGTTGCCAATAGTAGTGATTTGGCTGTCAGCTACATTGTGTTTCATCCAGTTGTTGACATGTTGAGTGGGATCCATTGTATAATAAACTCTATATCCTTGGATCTGTCCATTTGGCTCTTCAGGTTCCTTCCACTGTACCAAAATGGTGGTCGAACTCAACATTCGTGCCTGGACATCCCTCGGGGCACTGGATGGTGCTTGCTCTGAGGTTTGTGTTAGCACAGGTTCGCTGGGAGGCCCCCGCCCAATGTTATTGACAGCAACAACCCTGAATTCATAATCCGAGTAGGGACTTAGTCCAGCGACACTGTAGCGTGTGGTCGCCACCCCATCAATTTCTTTGTAAAGTTCCTCAGAGTTTTTAGGTTTATGCTGAATTATGTAATAAGAAACAGGCTCAGGGTTCCCAGAGTCCCACGTCAGTGTGATGCTTGTAGCTGTGCTCTCGGTCACTACAGGAGTTCCTGGAGGTTTGGGTAAGGCTTGGATGGGGGAAGATAAAAGACAATGACTACCCATCATCCCTATAATATTTCAAAAATCTATAAACTCTACTATGAAAATGACAGGATTATGTATCTACTGAAGATTTAATTAAATGAAATTATAGCAAAGAGTAGTTTTCTGAATGGCCAAGAAGGACAGGAAAACATTCATAGGTGACACAAATCCTGCTTTCCTAGAAGGGCTTGATAGCATATTTTTAGGCTTGTATCCAAATCCTCTACTTATTAGCTAAGTGATCCTGCACGCATTTCTTAACCTCTCTTTGCTTTAGTTTCCTCATGTGGAAATGGGAAAAATATTATTATTTAAGTCATATTATACAGCTGTATGTAACTGTATTTCATGGGTTTGCTGTGAAGACTAATGAGCCAATCCACTAAGATTCTTAGAATGTAACTGGAACCCACAAAAAAACCTTAGTATTAGCTGCAGTTATTACTATTATTATACCAAAAGCTTGGCCAATTAGCCCCTTGCCCCAATAAATAAATGGTATAACTGAAATACCGATAAACATTGAAAAGAACAAAATGTGGAATACATTGAAATGAAATTAAATTGCGATGAAACAATAACATCTATATTCTGGTAAGACACAATACCATTACTAAAAATTTTCTTGTAAATGAAAAACCAAAAATTTTAAGGTGCAAAAGAATAGAAATTTCAAATCAATGCTTTATTCTTAATATTTAAAAATTGCTGAAGGAAGTAAATTAAGGCACATTCACCAATCACTTTTTAAGGTATGTTATGGTCATATTAATATGCATTCTATATTCCACATCAGAAATATCCAATGTAGCTACATGACAAATATTTGCAATAAAATCCATCTTTTTAGAGGTCTAATTCTTTCTTTTTAGCAGAAGAATACAAATCAAAATACTACTAATTAAAAATATAAACTGTCTGCTTTGCTGACCTCATATTCAAGTGCCTTATTCTAAACAATGATTCTGAAACGCAGTGCTATTAGGGTAGGAAGGGGCATTCTAATAGTTGACTCTTTAGAGAAATCTCAAAGGGTAACATTCATATAATCAGCCCATTAGTGTCCCTGTTTCCTTGCCAACATAAAGGCAAGAAGTATAACACCCCCTAGAATGGCAGCTTTTCAAGAGCAGCAAACTTGTACTTCTGACTTACTGTAAAATTGTGAATGCCTAGAATGCTGCCTGGCACTCGGTAGGTTTTTAATGAGAATCGTTAAACAGTTAACTGAATAAATGAGTCAGCACCCATTCACCTCATTCTCTTCAACCTGTTCTTTTGTTTTGATTTATTTTAATTTGCCATTAAGATTCACTCTTATGTTTTATTTGTTTATTTTTGAGGTGGAAAAGACAGGGAAGTGGCAAGAGTCAGGAAAACAAAGATGAGAAGGTGAACAAAATATTAGTTTAAAGTGGCCCCTGCTTTTGAATTCTTAAAGGTCTTCAGCAAGCCTTCAAATATTTAAAGCTGAAATGGTAATTATAAAAAAGGTGATTCAATATTTACACACTACTCAAAGAACTACAGAATGATAGTATTTTGTCAAGGGAATTTACTGAAAATAATAATAAAATGAAATTTGTTTAAATATTCTGACCTGGCATTTTTCAAGGCTGTGTGTGCTCCAGATTTCCCCTACATGTCTTTCTGAACTTTCAAAGCAAATACAAATATTGCTAATTAAAGCTGTGCTCACTGATATTTAGCTGACATTATTAGTTTCACTAAGTCACATTTATTGTACAGTACAGGTTTTATGTCTGTAATGTACGGATAAATACATGTGTGCTTATTATATTAAGGTTACACAATATAACATTATTTCACGATTGTAAATGTTGACAATGTGTACCTTTGTTCTCATGTCATTAGTTTTATATAGCATATATTTGATATATACGCTTGGTTAGAGATGCGATACCAATTATAACGTGTATTGCATTTTCTAAGATCACCCCCTAGAATGGCAGCTTTTCAAGAGTAGCAAACTTGTACTTCTTACTTGCTGCTGAATTCCAAATGCCTACAACATTGCCTAGGAAAAGAAGATAATTTGTGTTCATTTTGCAATAGTTCTAGCCATCTGCAGAAAACTTAAGTTGCCCTATGTCTGACTCAATTTGCAAACACTTTCTAGAATTCTATAAACACTAGGGGAAAAAAAAACGGTACCCTTACATGCTTGTACTCTTTCTCTTTAGTTCAAAAATATTCATGTAATATAGTACTTTGGTTATATTTAGTCTGTTTTTTAAAGGAAAGAATATTCCTTGAGCACTCATCTATGCAAGGTGAAAGATAAAACTACAACAGAATATACTCTTACTTGCCTTTTGATTTTTAATAGTAGGGCTCACCAAAAAGTTAAATCATCTATTACTAGACTATGTTGATTTCAACTTTTTTTTTCTTCTTTTTCCTTTGTATTTAGAAATTTTAAGCATTTATTAATGCTCATATTGACTTTTCTTGGGGTTCTTATCAAGGTTCTGGTCTAGTATGTAGACTGTACACATCAGTCCCACCATAATGGTCGACCATGTGTAAAATTCCTAGTTCTGTCTGGTTAGTGCCTGGGCCTCCATGGACTGTCTTTTAATATTCTGATGATTATCTCTACATAGGCTGCCAGATACTTCCAAGAAAAAATCCGCCTATCTAGGCTTATGCATGTTATATAATACCACAGATATGATTAGGTTATACACACATTTAAAATGCTGAATAATGAATTATTTTAGATTTTCAAGGATGGGCTTTCTAGAGGCATTAGTCACTTGGCTTGAGTGTACCCAGATCCTCAAAGCATAATCCATTGAGCATACCTTTGACAGTGATCTGTGCTATTGCTTCAATGACACCCAGTGTTGACATAGCAACACAGGTGTAATTTGCTGACTGTCTTACATCATTCAGTTCTAGCACATTTCTTCCTATTGGCATATCATCTTCAGGTGTCAGATCTTCTGCCCCCAACATCCACTTTACATAAGGCATTGGTGACCCCACGGCCACACAGGTGATATTAACGCTTCCGCCTGGCATGATTTCATGATTAGTGGGTGGGATAGAGAATCTTGGTGGGACACGGCGAACTGGAACAAAACACAAGGGAAATGATAACATATACAAGGCAAGAAAAAGTGGATTATTAAACACATGACATGCACCGTACAGACACGATTCAACAATTGAAACATTGTGGATTGTCCAAAAACAAAACATAAAGAAAAACTGTGGATAATACAGACCATACAAGTATGGTGTGTGTATACACAGAATTATTTATTTAGTTTAGTCATTGATATCTTAGACACACTAATACAAAAGTTGATTCAGACCTACAAGGGCCCCACAAAAAACTATCTACAAACTAACAATACACAAACATCATGCATAAGATAAACACAAAAACATATACATGCAGGCATATAACAATGATTCTATGCAGGCATGTATATGCAGAAAAGGGGGCTGGAAGGTCACCAGCATGTTTAAGTTGAGTATCAAAACCAACTTCAGTGCTGTGCACTTCCAGTTGATGTGAATGTAGGTGTGGGACCACACTGTCACATCCCAGCCCTGGAAAACATCACCTAGAGTACACTGAAAGTGCACTTTATGTTTTCAGATTCATAGTGGATGCAGCCTCAAGACCTCACACTAACACTGGAACAAACACAGAAATGTATATACATATTGATTTACAGTCACAGAAGAAGAAACAGGCTAACACCAGTAGAGATACTGGATTGGGTCATGCAAGGCATGCACAAGATGGAATCTCAAGGCCCGTGCTAAGGATATTGAAAGAATGGCTGGAATCCAAGACAGCAATGACCGCAGAAGAAATAAGGGGGCAATAGAAATAAACGTGAAAGGGGGAGGTAAAGTATAACGATTGAAACACAGGGACTTAGGGGATGACAGGGTTGAAAGACAGAAGATTAAGCTCAAGTTGTTAAAGGTAAGGATTGCAAATTCAGAAAGGGAGCTGGGTGTTTCACATACAGGATTCCATTCAATTCATATCAAAGGTAAAACAACATAAATGACAACAAAATCTTTTAAAAGGCTTTTTATGCCCACATTCAAATTGAGGGACACTGGATCTAAAACATACAGCAGGACATGACATTAAGAGAAGAGATCATATTAAAGCAACATAACACAGAAAAATTACCAAGCAATTTCAGTTCAGTGTTCCTGCTTCAGATAATCTGCAGGTTTATGTGTGTTTAAGTAAATGTGTTTTGGATGTGATACAAGGAGAAAGTGAAAGATAAATTGGTTTCATCTGGGGCTTTTACTGGCAAAATGTCATACCATAAGAATTTGAGATCTAGAGGGTAATCTTTAGGGAGCACACCTTAAATACATTTAATAAAGATTTTTTAAAAATTATAAATAAACTGATAAGTAACCTCATAACCCCAAGAAGAAGATAAGTAATTCTGTCTGAAAACTTTTTGGCTGCTCTTAAGGTCGAGATAAACCTCCGCTTATTTGAGATGGCTCACTGCAATGGCCTCATGGGTGAATGACAGTCATAGGAGAAGAAGAGAAAGCTAAGCATGCCTCCTGCAGCCAATTCACAGAGGTTACACAAAGCAAGCAGGAGCCAGTGTAGACTCTGAGGTATCAAAGAACATATCAAGAAAAATGGAGGAGAGTTTAGTCTTCATGCTTGGGATTAGGGGAGAAACTAGAAAAAGTCATTCTATGGGCAGCAGGCATCCTTATAAGACAGAAATTAAAGGCAGGGTGGGAGATGGGGACAGTGGAGCAGGAAGGAAAGCAGGAACACTGACCAAGTTCACTGGACCTTACAGAGTTAAGTGTTACCAGTTACCATGCACCCAGGTACATTCTCTCCCACCATGCACCACAGTTAGATACCACCAGCAAGCACCAGAAGCCATGGCCAGGGCATTCTCTGCTAAAACATACCATTAACCAAAAGAAGAACACAATGCAGCTACATTCATTTCATTTGTATTCTTTGTTATTGGTTTAATTAATAGTTTTGTAAGGTGGGTAAAAAGTAAAAAACACACCAACCTTCTCGCAGCTCTGAGGGATGTAGGGGGTTTGATGCAGAACACAATGAAATGAGGAAAGGAGAAAAACAAGGGAAACACAGAGAGAGTAAAAAGGCCATATCAAGGCTTTCAACTGCTACTTGAACATCTTTATTCGCTCTAGTTCATCCTTCCTATCTCAGCTGGAAAAGTTAGCAATATCTCACAGACTAACATGGTATTAGAAACAATAGCTAGCATCATTTTGAAATTTTCCATGGAAGAAGGTACACATGCCTCATGCAGCAAGGGAGGTCACTATTGTGGAAAAAGGATCAAGGGACTTTCGAAGAATTTAGAGAAGAAATGACTTTCTTCATATTTCCCCACCCCAGACTCCATAAAAAAAGAAAGGAGAGAAAAACATCCCCAGGGAAACAAAATTACCTCTAACAAAAATTTCAAAATCAAGCTAGGTATTTTCTTAAGGGAACCCATCCTATTGTAACTTAAAGCCCTCTCAGTCTTTTCTTTAATCCCACCCCCACCCATGCCTTTGTGGTTATTCACAGATATGTAGACCAGGAATAAGAACACTTCCACTGGATAAAAAAAACTACAGGAACTGGCTTTGAGAACTCTCGGGAAGAGGAAGTACTTCTTTCTAGTTGAATGGAAAGGCATAGCCATTCATAAGCTCACAGTTTAATCATTTCTATTACTTCATGAGAACATATGAATGTATCCTCATAATTCATTCTTGTCTCAAGGACAACTCACATTACTATTTAAAATACAGTTTTCCATTGCAATCAAAAAACTAAATGTTTCGGTAAGTCTTAATAATTCAAACAAAAAGGTGTACATATGTGCACATATATGAATACACATGTATATATAATACTATGTGTTTATAATTAAGAAAGTATACGAAGACAGAAATGCAACTGTGCTATTTGCATGTAGCACTTGTTTTATAGAGTTAGCAGCTTTATCCTTACAGTTTCAGCAGCAGGGGTCATGAAGACATAAACACCTTTATGCTTGGAATTGCACAGAGAACTGATTAGTAGCACACCAAGCAATTATTTCAGGGGTTTAATAAGGAAACAGAAGAGAAACAACAGAAAAAAAGAGAAAGAAAAAGAAGAAAACCTCAAACAAATGCAAAGCACAGTTCAATCAATACAGTAAAAATAGAAACCAAGATGTAAAAATGCAAATATACTTACAAACTCCAAGCCTCAGGACAGATTATACTCAAGAGTTGTCTTTTGGAGTTAAACAACACATTTTAAATTTTTAACTTTTCTATTTACTAACATGTTTCAGCTACGGTCACTATTACCAAACCAGCTTGTTAACTACTAATATAACAACACGGACCCTGCGGCGTCTCAACTCCCCCTGAGCCTGAATGAAGAAGCGATGCCAGGGTTATGTCATTCCTACCTCTGACATATAAATTGGCAGGAGCGGAATAGCGAGTGCCCGCGCTGTTGGTGGCAACACACTCATATTTTCCTTGGTCAGACTCTTCACTCTGCTCAATCTGAAGGGCTCCTGTATGGATATAAAATATATTGCCAAAGAGATGATCAGAGAAGGCTTTCTCAGTTCAGAAAGCTAAACCTCTTAACAATATGAAAAGCCCTGCAAAGCGAAGGTCCACTCAACGTCGATTCAATCTCTTGCTAAGTTGCACAGACAGAAAATGATGCGATGAGAAAAACATATAGAGATTATTTTTTTTTTTTACATCATCAATGCTAGCATTAGAAATCAATATCTCTTTTCCCAAGCAAGACTTCTAGTCATAATTAACACTCTTATTTCCTAGACTAATAAAATGAAGATGGGTGAGACTGCTTCAAGGAAGTATGGCTTTTAAATAAAACAAAAGATTAATTTTTGGTTTTGTTTTGTTTCATTTGGGTACCAAAAGTGGCGCAAAAGATAGGTACGCTCAAAAAAAACCAGGCTGGGTTTTCAAGAAAGTCTTCTGCTGAAGAGAGCCAAAAATACGCAGCGAGCACAAAAAGGCTGCACAAAGCAAAAAATTAAAATTAGTCATTATAAATTATCAAAATATCACTTAAAGAAACAAAACTCCCTTAAGACATGCAGATTTTTAAGAAAAGAAAGACAGTTTTCCACGACTTACAATCATTTATTACGTTTGCTGAAAAACAAAGAGCAGTTGAATTAGAAGATTTTTAAAAAGTTAAAAGGCATGGCCTGTGCCACAAGGAAGAGCCAACCAACCACTGCTTGAGGACCCTGAGATGGATCCCCTAAGACACCCATCAAAATCCACCAGTGGGATTAGCAGTGTGGTGTCACAAAACCCCAAGAAAAATACAAAACAAGAATTACAAAAGAAATGCACACTGAGTCGAAGTATGAAAAACCAGCAATACCACATACCACCAAGAATACTGAGCACCTTTTGTTTCCATAGCCTGAAGGACAGAAGATCCAAAAATCCGGAGACGAGTAATCCAAGAAAAAAAGAAGTGGGGAAAAAAGCATTGCTGTCAGATTGTAGACGAGTGGGATCAGGTGGAAAGGGGAGTCATTCTTTGACTTTTAAGACATTAAGAGAAAAAAGAATTGAAGAACAAAAGCAAAAACCTTTTGAAAGATAAAGACAAAAAGCAGATGCTCCAGGGTGTCTTCTGCATGTCTGCCACTGTTCTCCAGACCACCTTGGCTTTGGTCCAGAACAAGAACAGCTAAGGAAGAAAAAAAATGATCTTTTTTTTTCTCCGGTTGGACAAAAAAAAAGGAAAAAGAAGAAAAAAAAAAAGAAAAAGGAAAAAGGAAGAAGAAGAAAAGGAAAAAAAAAGAGGGACAGATGGTACGCTGTGACTGGTCTGTGGTCTAAAGACCTGGATATGCTTTCTTTGAAGCATATCACAACTTAAATAATCATTTTCATAAAGAAAGAAATGAACAAAACAAAGAGAGAAAGAAAAAGGAAAGGAAAGTTCACAATATGAGAGTCACTGATCATAACCAAACAGTACAAAGAAAAAAAAAAAGTTGATGGACATTATTGGAATGACGCTGAAAACAGGACAAAGATGAGAGGGATGAAAGGACAGAAAGAATGAGTAAGATCATTCTGTGAACGTTAGTTCAGCACTCTTACCTCTTATTGGTGTACCACCTGGGTGGATAATATGAATGCAAATAAGATTAGAAAGAAGAAGCATTAGTACGAGAAGAAGGAGGCTAGGGCTGGGGAGAAGAATTAAATTAGATTTACAGAATTAAATAAGGTCTTAAAAGAAACTTGAATTACTATATTGGTAAAACAGGAATATATTAGATAGTATTATTAGATCATAAAAAACAAGTTGCATTATACCACAGAGGGTAAAGACCGCAATAGGCAGCATTGCCTTTCTCAGAGAAGCAACTGAGTTTTCAGGTCTGGGGTCATATAGGGTTAGAATTATATCTTATATGCCTCATATCTCTTAAAAAAAAACTATACAATATTTTTAAAGACATAGTTTAGGAAAATACTGGCTAATCTATTTAAGTATATATATAGATATGCATATATATATATACTGTGATAGGAAACACTAAAGACTAACTGGAAACAAACATTGTTGATTGGATATCTTATACTACTTGCTATGCTACATTGGTGTGCCATAACTTGTGTACTATTTAATTTTTCTGCACAGTGTTCTTACGATAACAGTTCTGTGGAGGTGTGTGTGGGAGCCACTACAGAGATCTGGTGTCTACACTGACAGTTAGTAAAATGCATGCCATGCATTTTATTAATAATAATAATAATATTCTGGATATGGAAATTAGTGGGGTTGAAGTGCGCTTCAGAACTAAGCACTTACCAATAGATTCTGGAGATTTAAATACGGAGAGAAGAAAGACAGCATAAAAATATTATTATATTCCTTATAATTTGGTACAAATTTTTCAGAGTTAAAGCTTTATATACTAAATCATCTATGTTACATGTGAATAATTAATTCTTCATTTACAATAACAGAATGCTAATCTACACAATTCTGCTGACAACAAGCAAAAGAGGCAGTTAACAAGACGCTTTAACATCACAGGACAGGTCAAAAGCTGAGAATTCTGGGAAGACAGGCAGTTAAACAACTTAGAATTCTATACCAATATTACTACCAATGTCAAAGTAAACAGCTTATTATTATATATCCCTGTGAAATTACCTAGGGACAGGCTCTAAAACTTAAGAAATTTAGAATTATCTCTACTTTTAATCTAAGAGAGCAAAGGCATAAACTTGGGATGGGAATGGGAAAAGGAGAAAAGGGTAAAGAGAGAGAGAAAACAGCAAAAGCTGGAGTCTACACCAAAAGCAGACTTCTGTAGATCCAGTCACTGGAGGGTTCAAAAACCTTGACGGGCGCACACTACTGTGGCTAATGTGTAGAAAATGTTCACTCACAATGTTATTATCATAGTATTAATAAAAATCCCCTCCTTTTACTGGTATTTTCTAAAGACTTTTAAAAACATACATCTGGTTACTCATGAGATAACGTTTCTGTGTTTTTATGTATTAGTGAAAAGAAAGCAGATGTGCCCAGACTTACTAAACTTTGGTACTTTGATGAGTTCAAATGTAGAAAAGATAGCAGAAAACATACTTTAATAAAATTGAAACATTTTAGGGTTTAATATGAACATTTTATTTTTTAATGGATACAACCATTGGATCTCCTTGCAAGTTCTGAATGAAGTCCAATGTTGAAATAAATTTGTTTCAAAAGAAAACAGAGAAAGAAGAAAGAAAGAGGAGAAAATGGATCCATCAAATACTGCGAAAAAGCAGTAAATTAAAAAATTACCAAAAATACAGTCACAGCAGTGAGCAATGTGGATTAAACAGAAGCTGCAAAACACACAGAGAAAAGGAGAAAGACAGACTCTGAAACAGGCTATGACATCACAAACATGGACCACCCATTAAGTAACAGAGAAAGAGAAGAGGGAGAAAAATCAGTACCTAGAAATAAAAAATAAATTAAAATTAAAAATAAGGAGAGAGAAAAATTAAAAAAAAAAATTCTCTAGGAGTTAGTAGAAACAGTAACAAGACCCTACCTGATCGTAACTGCTTAATACGACCATTGTTGTTGCTTGTGTCCACAGGTAAGAAATCTTTAAACCAAGTGATTTCTGGATCCGGATTACCACTGGCTGCACAAAGCATGGTGGCCGTGCGAGTACGCTCAACCACCTTCAACTGTGGGCCCATGTCAATGGTAGGGAAGCCCCTGGGAATTTGATCTTCTGCAAGACAAAAGGTGATAGAAACATTCAGTTAATAAGTCAGATGCTCCAAATTCAAGAGATTCCCCAGAAATCTCTCTTTACCTTACTCAGTGCTTGTTGAGAACCTAACACAAACCAGGCACTAATAAATTAGAACACAGTCACAATGCTGCTACTGATCAGAAGAGTAAACACTCTATGTAAGAGGCCAACAGACTAACACAGAGCTCAGACGGGGCCGACTATGATGAGGGGATGCAGTGAGTTTTCCAAGAGCAAAGAGGGAGAAATAATTATAGGGTTTGTGCTTGAGATCAGTGAGTACCCAGAGGAAGCTCTGATTTAAAGTAGGCATTTAGGAAAGAACACAATCGGCCAAGTCACAAAAAGGGGAGAAGGAGATTTTAGAAAGATTCGGGAATGTCACAAGTGTAGGCATTGAGGTAGGAAAGGTTTTGCCGAGAGAGAAGCATGGAAGCCAACAGTGCCAGCTTGGAGAGTACTTGGGGAACAAGCAGAAGCTAGGTCACGCTATCTGTTTCAAAGCTGGTATGTTTTTCTTATAACTCTGTTTTCCCTCACAAGTATAAGGTTCAACCCAAATCGATTACTTTGTAAGAGCTTCAATTAACCAGAAAATTGTCTGAGGATGCTTTGAAAAAGAAGAGCAAAAGCAACTCCTTATTAATGGCACAAAAACACATGTTCCTTACAGGGATAAGAGAATGCTTTCCTCCATCCCAAAGATCTGCATCATTTTCAGTAATTAAAAAGTTGAAATTCCTAAATTTTGAATCTCCAACTCATGCAAAATTCACTTTTTGCTACCCACATCGAAACTGTTCCAGATCCCAGCTCTTGAGAAATTAAAATCACTTAAATCCCACAATCATGCTCCACACTGATAACTGACATTGCCAGCTCTTCTAGCCAGGATTAGAAAGGTGTGTTCTATCTAAGCATCGAAAGAATTTTAGTTAGATGGGTGGCAATTATCCAAATTAGAACATGGCCATTTGTTTGAAGATCATGAATTTTTGTTATTATACTTTAAGTTCTAGGGTACATATGCACAACGTGCAGGTTTGTTACATATGTACACATGTGCCATGTTGATTTGCTGTACCCATTAACTCGTGATCATGAAATATTTTTACTTCCAATTGAGTCTGGCATTGATTTAATCAATACCCCCTCACGGCCACTGATAAATTTTCATAAGCCACCAATTCTAAAATTACTCGAAAGCATAAACAGCAGCGAGCAGAACATTAGATATCATCAGATCTGGCATATCGCTTCTCCTTGGGTGCCTCCTACAAGCTCCAGTATAATCCATGAATTCACAGTTGATGGTGAATCATACTGAGGTTATGTTAGAATTTCTAATGAAGAAGCTCCATTTTGATGCCTCCACCGTGTTGCCAGTCAACAGCATGTGTTCTCCAACTCTCTCCCTCTAGAGCCGAGGGGTAAACTCAGTCTCCTAAACCTCACTAGCAAAGTCCTTTTCAATCAGGTCTCATTTTTCTCAGCCTCTTAGGGATCAACTCTCTCATAGGAAATTTTTCTTCTGCCCACATTGAAATTCTCACCACTTCCCAGACAAATCATGTTTGCTGGGTACTCCGTGCTTCTAGGAAGCCACGCAGCCAAAGTCACCTTCTTTGTAAATCTTTTCCAAATTCTCTCAAACATATTTCATTCTTTCCTCCTCAGAGCTACCATAGCAGCGGCTACTCAAATCCACTGTCTTGTACTTATTAACTCATGAGTTTATCCCTCCACACCAGGAGTTCTTCCATGTTTTATCTGTATTCTGCTCCCTTGCAATCATGCTAGCCTGGGTTTCCAGATTTTAAGAGAAACTCCACTGATTCCTAAGCCTAAGTATGAATATATATCAGTGACTGTTTAAAAAATATATATATCCTACTATGCAGAACTTCTGGTAGAGAGGCAACCAGTTAAATAGTTAGGGACCAGAGAGATTCTGAATGTGAATGGCGAAAGAATGTAAGATGCTACCAAAGATTAAAGCTCCCAAGAAAGAGAAATTTCACTGAACAGATGCAGTTATTGTAAGATAAAATTGATGGACTATTAAGGAAAAGCGTAGACTCTGGCTCTCCCGCTGGGCAGGATAGAAAGTTTCTATCTTTTACTAACACAGTCTGTGAAGGACCAAAAGAAGCTGAGGCAAGTTTGATTTGACACCTGATTCATGACATAATACCTTCCTATCAGACCAGGTAGTTAGGGCCGGGTACTAAACACACTTATAAAAATAATTAACTGCAATGAGCTGAACTTCACTTAAGTTGAAAGATGTGGCTCATTTGTGGAAGCAGTAATACATTGTTTTTGTGAATGTTTACACATCGTCAGCCAAGCAGAGGTCTACAGTAGACAAGTGTCAGAAACAGTAGTTAAAAATTGAATTTCAAGATGATTTTTCAAGGCTCCAAGAGAAAGTTAAAAATTAAAAGTGGGATGCAAATTAGGCTATGCTGGTTTTAATAATCTATTCCACATGAATTTCATCAGGCTGTTCTTTATGGCTTTAAAGGTTTTGCCAATATATTTACATCTACAACATAGTTCTGATGTTGCTGGGGGGAAAAAGGAGCAGAAAGATCAATAGCTGCTATACCACACACGTTATGTTATTAAATATCTCACTTGGCAGCTATTGACACAAAGTGCTTCAAAGGATAAAAGTAATTTACCTCAAGTGCTCCAACACCAACTATACCGCCTTCATAAAAATGAGTTTCTGAAAAAGCTCTTAGATTTTGTTGTTGTTATGTTCCATTTTTAAAGCAACCAACTTAGGTTAATCAAAAATCACCTTGCGATTCCTGAGTGGTTTCTGTATGTCCTAGGACACTGTATCTCTCCCATGGTGTTTAAGTACTAGTTACATTTGCCTGCATAAATACTGCTCTGCTAGTCATTACTTTTCTTCTACAAGTTCATCTCTCGGAAGAACTGAGCCAATATTCAGTGCTGATCAGTGGCAAGTGCCAAAGGCTTAAGATTGTTAAGCCACTTACTAAAGGCTCTTACCAAAGAAATCTAGATTTAATAACCGTTTATAAGAAATATAGTCCTCACCTTGGGGATAGCCGACAAAATTGACTTGTACCTTCCTGAAAAGCAGTCTAATACATTTTCATGACCTTTCTCTTCCTTCCTGGCTCATAAAGAACACTCCAGAGCCCCCTTTTCATATACACGAGTGCACAACAAAGATAATCTTTCTTGCATACTAATGGGACAGAAAATGTAAAGAGCGTTCCTTTCTTATTTTTAATAAGGGTAATTAAATTCTATCCATCCCCCTTTGCACAGAATCTCTTTGAATGCACTTTCTTCGTTAAATTTTCATGAGAAACATCACAATGTAACAGATTCAAATAGCCAGAGCTGTTACACGTTGACAGTTGTGGCTTGTTTCCAATTTGACTGTCAGGTATTTGGCAATAAAACTCAGTATTCAACATAAAACAAACTGTAGAAATAATGAAATTTCTAATTGGAATGCTTATCTCCGTGGGTGTAGTTTAGAAGACGTTAATTGCTTTTTTCTTCACCTTCCACATTTATTAGTGATTTATATAAAACTGCCTTGGCCATTTGATAACATCAATTTTGACGGCTCCTCAAATGTGTGGTACCAGGAACTTGGGAATCAAATCAATATCCTTAATAACTTAACCACACAAACTTTCACAGGAAAAAGCAGCTAGCAAAAATTAACAAATTGTCAATATGCTAGTAGCTTTAAACTTTTACATGAGGTGAAAAGAAAAACATTTTGTCCTATTCATTAATGTGCTCATTAAGCTTTAAAGTGCCTTACTTATCACTGTTCCATATTAATATTCAATCATGCAGAATTAGCTACTAATTCATCAACCATTTAAATCAGACTTGACCTTCACAAAGCCATTTGTTCTGTCATTTTGAGAGGCCATTAAAGGGCAGATTACTACATACTTGTGCTTAGTGAATCATAGAGTCATACATATTTTGTTTGGAATGGCAGCTATAATAGACCTGGAAATATAGCACCCTCTTTGAATCTGTTGGTATCTTAATGAAATATGCTGATACAAAACTTTCAGTTCCATTAAGGAAAGAGAAAAATGAATGTAAGCATCTTCCAGAGTTAACTTCCCATTGTGGTAGAACTTATTAACAACCCTGACCTACCCAGGACTTGAAAGGAATGAATCCATGAGGAAAATAGTCTGACACTGTTTTGTAGGTAGTCATGCCTTACATATCTGTGAATGATCAAGTAACAGGTTTTACATGATTTGTTCACTTAAACTGTTTTCACTGTTCATGCATAAACAATATTAACGATGCTCTTACTTTCACTCCACTTTCACAAACACTGAATCTCTTCTTTGTAAGGAAGCCAGGAAAATCTGAATTGCCTGCTAAGGCTACAGGCTCCTTCCAAGGTGGTCCTAAGTAGCTCTTCTTGCCTAATCTTGCTAGGGCTCTTGCTGCGTGAATTCAACCAGACTAGTCCTTTGACTCTGACCCCAACTGATTTAACGAAGTCTTCAATAAAGAACTGTTTGCCATGGTATTGGGAAAAATCCCAATTTTTAAGATTAATACAAATATGTTTATAAAGAAAAAGCGTGTCAATTACATCAATTACATCAATGCTTCTTCAAGTGCAGTATTTAAAAATTTGGCAAGTATACCTGAACACTTAGATATTATTGACAATACAGAGGTTTTGGCAGTAATGGCAGTACAATAAAACAAAAACACAATATGGATGAAGAGACAAGCAGCTGTTATCATGAAGCATTCATCCCCTGGAATTACTTTTCTAAGTTTCAAACAGTTCAGAGTGGCTCCTCTTTAAAAGTCCCCAAATAGTGTTATCAATAAACCGTAATAATAGTTAGTATGTAAGTGTGAACTCTTACAAGCTCACAGGAGGGCAGGAGCTATTTGTTACTTTCTTCGTAACCTTCCCAATGTTCAACAAATACTCACAATTAGACATTTTTATGATGCTTTGACAATTACTTTTTCAGCACTCACTCATGAGGTATCTCTCAATTCCTCCTGGAATGTCATTCATTGAAATACCATTCCTCAATGCCACTCACTGAAACAGTCATTCTTCAACTGTTTGTGACTACACATTTGGCCTCCTTGAGTATCAGTCTATTAAGAGGCAAAGCTATCTCATAGTCTCATTATTTTAGTGTCATAAGGAGTATTAGAATTAGAGACTTAAAAAATGGCTGTTTGTGACTTTATTTTCACAATCTTTAGTTTCGTCAGCAAGTGATTTTCCTTCCATTGAGAATATGCAATTTATGCTTTTAATTTATCACGGTTGCTATGTGAGAAGCACACAATTTAGTCCTTGCTTCCTTCATTTTACAGGAGGCTTTCCCTCATATATTGGTTTTCAGTTCCTACGTGTCAGAAGCATGACCACATGACAAAACCACATGTATAAACACAATGACACTGCAAAGAACACAATAGAACACGTATCTATATTCTACTGTTATTCTATCTATAGAATAACAATGGAATTCTTGGTGTTGAAACTAATGGCTAAAAAAGCCCAGGAGTGAACCACTCAGTTTTTTTGTTGAGGCAAACACTGTGGGTCTTCCTTCACTGACAGGAATACAGATTTCTAAGTCACTGGATATCTTACGGTTTGAGTCATTCATATACTCTCACAGAACAAGAGTGATTTCTTTTCTTTGACGGGTGGAAAGACTGAGTGAGAAAAGTTTTCATTAACATAAGAAAACAAGAAAAATGATAGACGAGTAATATGCAGCGTATTTTTAAAATGACATTCCTAGAGTATATATATATACACACACACACACACACTAGGACTGTCATTTTAATATATATAATACATATATGGACTTTTTCACGTGTCAGAGAATCAGTAGTGTTCTATGCAGCAGAAAGTCAGTGGATTTTTATACTTAAGAAAAAGTACGAACTTTCTCGGAAAATTTAAATACACATTGGTCTTAAGGTGGTCAAATAAGGTGGCCAAATAGATACTTTAAAACAAGATATTTATGAAAATTACACCATATATTGAAACAAGAAGATAATTTGAACTATTAGTTCTAAAAACCTACCGGATAGTCAACAGATGGCATCATTCATTCTACAAATATTTATTGAAGGCCTCCTTTGTGCTGGACTGGGCCAGGCACTGGGTATGAAGTAATCTAGATAATCTCTATATTGTTGTGATTTAATTGTATCTGCAGGATAATTAGCTTCTTTGAAAGTAATAATAGTACCAAGCACATACACAGGAAGATTGAATTAGATGATGCATTAAATGTGCCTAGTGCTGCCTGGCACTAGTGTCTGGCATCTAGTAAAATACTAGCATATATGTACTTGCTTTATTCCAAGCTCCATCAATAGATCTAAAGGGATCAGAGGCATGTGACTCTAAGGCTTGATCAAACAAGTAGTGCAGCAATAAACTGCAAATGAGAAATTATTCTATGCAAATCATAAAAAACAGGGGTTATCTAGACACGCAACTAAATTTAAAGCATAGTGTTTGTGCCAAGTAACCTCTGCAAAGCCAATAAATACCCTCTTTTCCCTTTGAACAAGATTTTAGGCTCTTTGATTAATCAACAGTACAAATAAATAAAATCCATATTGTCAGATGATTTGTTCCTAAAAATGAATTTTAAAAATAGCTCTAAATATTTGGGATGTCAAAGGTTGTTGTGAACAACTGAAAACACTGGAACCAACTGTTTTTCCCTATATCATGGCAGGCATTTTTCTTTTAGTTATTCAGGGAAGGGGCATTAAGTATTCCTCATCTTGGGGAGTAGGTCATGTTAAGAAGGCTATATGGCTTTCTTAAAGAAAATAGTTTTTAAAAAGATGATGCCAAGAAGTCAGAGTTTTGTTTTTTCATCTCAAAAGTTTCTTAACATTCTGAAAATAACTGTTTGGGGAAAATGATATAAATCAAGAAACACCTCTGTACAAAGTCTCCATAAACTAGTTCTAATAGCTCCATTAATTGTTCAGCTCTGGAGAGGGGAAATCTCTCGATGAGATTTGTCTAATATGATGCTCTTACTAAATCCCACCTTTAACAGAATGGAATTTAGTCAGAAGATCATATTAGACAAATTTAAAATTTTACCTAATGCAAAGCACTATAATGCCCAGTATCTCTAAAATACAAATATTTGAACCTTATTAGAGTTCCTTGAGGTAAATAAGGATGGTATCATTATCATTTTTTTGTGGCTATAAAACAAAAACTCAGTAATATTGTTATTTGTTTCATATCCTACATGTAGTAAAAAATTAAAGAAAGTCTTTCAGCTCTAGATTTGGTGTCTTTTTATTGTGTCATGTTTCCTCTATGCAAATTGCTATTCTTCAAATAAATCTTCATCATGTAGTGATGAAACTCTTAATCACAGTCAACTCATGAATGGGACAACAAAAGAGTTTGAATACTTGGTCATCCTTTACTTTTATTTTTTAAATGGCATGGACTAGATACGCAAGTTCCATGAGATGTAATAATACTTTAAAAATAGATCTACATTTTAAAAATCCACATATATATACATACATACACACACACATATACACACACATATATACGTATATAAATGTATATATGTGTGTGTGTATATACATATGTTATAGGCTTCTCATTCCCTCAGGATTGGTTCTAGAAGAGACAGAATTCTGCCATGTCTGTTAGCCAGTACAAGGTAGATGAGAAATGGAAGAGTGTGAAAAGGCTGATAAATGTCAAGTAATTTTCCTAGAGAGCTGAGATTTAGTACTGTGCCTATACCTTTAGCCCTTCTGTAATTTCTACTTAATTACCTAGGAAGGGCTGAGAATGGCGGGCCTTCTGCCATGAGCAGGCACCAAAAGTCAGTACAGAGACCAGAAAAGCAGATATAAGTAGACCTAACATATCTACCCTATGACTTTGGGCCACAAGGTCCCTCTTCGGTTTATGGGACTAATAATGACTACTCCAAAGCTTTATCTGGACAGGGAGACAGATCAGTGTCTCAGAGGCTGGAAGGCAGAGGATTATCATAGTGTATTTGCTACTTTGTCGAACAATGAGTTTTCAAGTCATTACATTTCAAAATGAATCACAGTATCAGGCTACAAACAAGGACCACCATTTTCTTTCCAGAATACAGTCCTTGAAGAAGAGGAAAAAACATTCTTTTCTTAAAGGAAACAGTGTAAATAAAGCTTTTATTTTCACCATTCCAGATGGCAGCAGGGTATAATTTGTACTGTGTTGACATCATGACCATTATTATTCAAAGTCAATTTTCCTGTAAGTGAATTGAATAAGGGACTGAAAACAGAAAAATAAAGAGCAAAGAAATAAAAGCTAAATCACCGTTTTCTAGCAAAGTTGGGCTCTTGGGCCATTATCGAAATGTTACGCATATGAATAAAATTGAAAAAATCATATAGTTTCTAATTACAAATCAAATGCTAGTCCAGTCAGCAAGAAACTATATAAAGCAGAAAAAAAAACTGACAGTTAATACATGACATTCCAAATGGAACATACGATAAATATAAGATCTGTTCCCAAAAAAGTAATTATGAACAAGATACAAAAATTTTTTTCCCAAGGTCCTCTTTGCAAGTTATTACATACAGATAGTATGCTTGTCTTAATATGGCTATAAATCAATCAGCTAAGCTTTTATTTCAGAGTAGATTTAGGTATCTCTTAAAGGCAGTCACTGGATACAAGAGTCTCGAAAGATTTCTCATAGAATTATGCCATGCAGGAATAGAAAATTGGACATTGTTAAGCTAAGAGCCTCATTAGCAGCTACTAAATATTCAGCATACCAACCAGCTACCCACAGAGCATTCCAGAGCAAAGCTCCATTTTATGAAATATTCCTCACATTTTGAGGAGTTTGCAAGGTACTCCGGGCAGAGAATAAAACAAACTGTTTAGAAGCAATGCATGCAATCATCCTACAAATTACAAAGTAATGTCTACATAGCAGAACATAAACCCCAGTTAGATTTAATTATCATTTGTCTAAATGTGGTAGCTCCAAGTTTACATTGCATTAAGTTAAGGCATACTGTTATTAGTGCTCGGCCTGAGCAAATGATTACCCTTTTTGTGATTCATAATCAAATAAACGCATTGAGAAAAAAAAGAAGTACCTTCTCCTCCTACCTAGTAACACTATTAATACCTGAACGTTTAACTAAATACTTAGGCATCAGGGAAACACATTTATTCCCTTCTTTGGGATTCATTTAGATAAAATCCAATATCCATCCACTTTCACAAATCTCATTATTCCCTATCAATTTATATTTATCAACAAGCAGGTGTCATTATACTCACCCTTTACATCCATCCAAATGTTTACCTTACTTTGAATATTCAAATAATTAACCACTTTACCGAAATGTATATTTAAATCATAAAATGAATTTTATTATTTTTAGAAAATAATTTTTTATTCTTGTTTTTTAGAAAAAGAGGCACAAAGACAAAAATAGTAAACAAGGAAAGAGACTTGGATTTGGATCCTGCATCCATTATTTGTTAGCTTTGTAAAAAGTTACAAACCAACAAGCTCAATCAAATGGGACTACAGAAAACATTCAATGTGGTTTCTTCACCATATTTTGGTAAATATAAGTATATATGAATAAATTTTCTAAGCCATCAAATGTTATAAAAAAAAGAAAATCAGAATCAATTGTGTAGTGTTGGATTGGAACTAATAGTGTTGGTGTGAACACCTAGTTTTAAATATATATGTACACACATATATATATACATTTGTATACATATACTATACATATTTTAAATATATATGTATACATATATATATGACTTGTAAATGAGTATGCATGCACAAACATACATTCTTTATATAAACTTAGCAAAGACATCTTCCCTAGCTGAACCAAGAGAGGCTGGGAGCAGTAATACCCAGTAGCAATGGTCACACCTTGTATTCAGATCTTGGTTTCTAAATACCATTCTCCAGTTGAAAGGAAACACTTTCCTTTCAGAAAGCTTCCCTTCAGAAAACTCCTTAGAGAAATCACTGATTCCAATTAGGACTGGAACAAGCAAAGAATGAGACTGGAACAAGCAAGGAATGAGAACAAGCAAAGAAGACACAACTTATCCTGTTGTATAAGAAAATACTCAAAGAATGAAAGGTATATACTAAATGTACACAGAAGCCAGCTTAAAGGGGCTCTTATTGACCAAATATTGGACAACTTGAACACGAAAATTAAAAAAGACAGTATTAACAAGTTATAACACACTGAATAAAATAAAGACATGCATCCATACTGATATAAATAACTGAGTAAATTAAAAGTTTCAGGAGAAATAGTATCTTTACATAGTATCAAAGGGACTCCCTACATAAATTTATTAAATATAAAGAAAGCAGTCTGTGAGAGATTAAATGATAGGGAAAGTCTTAAGCATCTCCTAGATTTGCAGTATGCAATTAGAAACCAAAAATGATGCTCCTTATGCTGCTGCTGATGCCAATGATATTAATTTAGAAAATAATGCTCCCATTTACATGATTTTGCTGTATTCTAAGCACGGTAGTAGTCCTAAAAATACCATTAAAGACAAATAATTTTGAAGTTTTAAATTTTAAAAATTTTAACTATTTTTAAAATAATAATAAAATATGTAAAGAAAAATTAGTAACTTTACATTGGAGAAGGCTTACAGAAACAACCTTGATTAAAAAATCAAAGTTAATAACACCAGTAAAGGGATAATTCAAATTCTTGTGCTGAGAAAAATATAACATCACTTCCACAATATTCCTGGAAAAGAGTCACAACCTAAATATGACCACCAGTAAACATCAGCAAAACCCCAAACAAGAACATTTTGTTAAATAACAGGCTCGTTATCTTCAAAACTATCATGGTCAGAAATGTCAAAGAAAGACTGAGGAACTCTTCCAGGTTGACAAGTACAAAATACAATTCTGAACTGGAGCCTCTGTGGAAAATTATAAAAACTTGAATGGCGATAACTGGTGAAACACAAGTAAGAACAACTGGAAAAATGTGATCAAAAGTGAATGCGGATCTAAGAATTAGATGGTTATGATGCATCAGTGTTTACTTCCTGATTTCGATAGTCCCATTGTAGTTAGGTAGGAGAATGCCTTGTTTGTATAAATCTGAGTATTTGGGAATGACAGGCAAGGCATCATGTCGGCAATTAACTCTCTAACAGTTCAGGAATAATAAGTTCTTTGTACTGTAGTTTCTACTTTTCTATAAGATTGGGATCATTTCAAAATTTTAAATTATATAGAAGTAAACTGTTATAATTAATTCATATTATCAGAAATATATAGACTTATTCCCAAAGCATCTGGGTAGCTAGATATACTCAAGCATTGCTTTCCCAATTGTGACAAACATTCTTAAATATATACTTTATTTGAGGCCCTCTTGAATACCATGACTATTTAAATGACACTCCAACTGTTATTACCAATTTCACACAAATGATGACAATATCTGAAAAAAGTTAACTCTAAAAATACATGAATTCCTATAAAATTAAGGCATAAGTATTTAATTACAAACAATGAACAAAATTGAGTGATAACTCAAGAGCAAGGTGCAAGCTCATGAAAAGAAAATGTGAGAAATCAATATTCTAATAACATAATGCACGTTTATTATTTTTATTTAGAGAAATGATAAAGTCTGATAAAAATTTAAGATAGAAGACAAACTTTTTGAGGATCTTCCTTCCAATTAAAACATAATTAACTTAGAATAGCTTCAGAAATCCAAATGTTATTTTTTTAAGCCAAACTTTCAAAAATTTTAGAAACAATCCACCTTCCCCTCAGCTCATCACAGTTCTCTCTTCCTGAAACAAGAACACATTACAGAAAATGGTTGTTACCCTCTAGTCTTTAATAATGTAAGGCAATGGGAGCAAGAGGAACAAAATAAAGTGACTCAGATATGTCTAAATAATTTTTCTAAAAAGAGCATTTCACTATTTTACCACATTCAGTAACAGTTTTTATAGTTTTAAAGGCAAACTGTGGTAGGTATTTGTTTTATCTGACAGGAGAAAATTGATTCTGAAAACAGAGGTAATGGCAGTTTTCTTTAGAGGGTGTCTTGAAAGATGAAAAGATCAAAATCTTAAAACATCAAACATCACATATAAAATGTTTCACTGAAAAAATGAAAACTACAGGAGTACATGAATAAGCAGTTAAAGATAACTTATATGTCTCAGAATGTATTACAGATCTATGGGGAAACATTTCCCATAAATGCAAATAGTTTTCTATTTATATGGCAAAATTCAGCCTGAATTTAACACCAGAGAATAACCAAATGGAACTAGGTTTTTTGTTTTGCTTTTTATAGATAGGGTCTTGCTCTGTCACCCAGGCTGGACTGCAATGGTGCAATCATAGTTCACTGCAGCATCAACCTCCCAGGCTGAAGGGATCCTTCCACCTCAGCCTCCAGGGTAGCTGGGACTACAGGCATGTGTCACAATACCTGGCTCAATTATTTTTATTTTTCATAGAGATGGGTCTCACTAAGTTGCCCAGGCTAGTCTGAAACTCCTGAGTTCAAGTGACACTCCTGCCTCCACTCTGGAGCAGCTAGGACCACAAGCACATACCACCATACCCGTCTTTTCTTTTATTCTTTTTGTGGAGATGGGTTTTTGCTATGTTCCCAGGGCTGCTCTCAAACTCCTCCTGGGTTCAAGTAATCCTTCCACCCTGGCCTTCCAGTGCTGGGATTACCAGCATGCGTCACTGCGCCCAGCCTTTGTGTTTGTTTGTGTTTGTGTGTGTGTATGTCAATGTATGTTTTTCTTCAAAATCTTTGAAATCACAGGACTATCAATTTATGAAACTGCCCAAAGAAGTTTACAACTATGATTTATTTCTTTTCGAAATGTTTGAACTTTCCTCTCTATCAAAAGAATATCATATATAAAAGCAAACACAGGATAGAAATTTATTCACTATGCTTTCAAATATCAAAAATATTAAGAAGCTATTCAACAGGAGTTCAGACATCTGGAAAATAACCCAATCAAAGTAAAACTGCCAAACAATGGCCAAAACCACTACCAAAAGTTACATGAATGAAATCCCTTATCTTTTGCAACTAGATGGAAGAGTTGTCAAGCATCCACATAAATTCTAAAACCTTGACCTTCTTCTTCAATAGATTAAACACAGCAAATTAGAAAAAGGGTTTCAGGCAAAACCTGAGGGCATACATAAAGGATTGCGATCTTTTTCCAAAAGCAAATGAAAGGAAAGAAGGGTTTTGAAGGTAAATACAAGTGTGTGGGCACTTCGGTGCTTGCGGGCATGTGTACTGGGAGTGTATGTCGCTTATCACAAAATTGGCATTAAAAAATGGCTTTTTAACTGCATTATGAAAAATGCATTGGGGAAAAGCAAAAAATAAGAATAAAGTGATGTAGGCATGTTATTTAGGATAGTACCGAGATAGCCCTGTGGCAAGATAAACTTACATTAGGAAGATGTAAGGAGATAGGGAGAAGTGGAAAAAGTTCAGAATAATTTGAATGTCAATTTTACAAGGGTTGGTAATATTTTGAAGATGAGGAATGAAGGAGAATTATCAGGGATGGCTTTCTGAAATGTTATGATTGTTTGCATATGTTTTCAGTCATGTCTTCCCTTGGGAAGCAATGTCATGTATTTGAGGCACTCATGAAACAGTATGCCTCTATGAAGGACTCTCACCAATAGAGCTGCCCCTGGATGGAGCACAGCACTAAGTACAAAGCAAGTGTCTGTCAGTTGAACACTGATCCAGCTTTTCCTTCAGGAATTGGCAAAAGGGGCTCGTAGAGCAAGCCGTTTGCCTCCTTATCTGCTTTGTCTCAGGATGAAGGCAAGAAATGTCTGCTTCAGCCTACACACGTGAGCTCAGCATCCTCACTACAGACGCACCAGAAGTTCCCTGGGAGCCAGTCTAGAATGGGTTGTAAATACCCATGGATTTGCATCAGTTTTCTCCACTAATAGCTCAATTCCTGCAATTTGAAGACAGTTGAGCATGCAAGGGTAGTTTCTCCCTAGCCAGAAAAGGAATTCACAAAATATTAGAGTATGACAGCCAATGGTCTCCTGAATAAGAGGAAGAATAATTTGAGTTGTGTTCCTATGAAGACATGAAATTAAGAATCTCCTTATAGATAACTCACGGCTGTCACATTTTAATATACAACATGCCAATTAAATAGATATAAGTTTCCAATGATAAGATGATACTCAGAAGCGATGTAATAAAACCTTTTTCTTACATATTGAAAACAACCCAGAGCTGCTCATTTTCGTTTAGTTGTAATAGACTGACACATTGTTATAAATTTGGGAAACATACAATCTCTAATTCTTAACAAAGTGACAGCAAATTGACAACAAAAAAAGTTTTCTCAGCCTTGAATTCACTGGCATAGCAACATGACATAATCCACCAATCCCCCAACAGCCACGAGTGGATGGTTTTGATGTTTACCACAAGATTAATGCCCCTTCAATTGCTCAGTGATGATGGCTATGAGGCTGCTGAATAAATAATGTATGTGCATTCACTAAAGGAAGGAAGAATGTGTATTTCAGCCACTGATCCCTAATATAACCAATGCTATTTAAGTGTTTGTTGTTAATAAAGATAAAATACTATGCAATACAGCTTTGTATATTATACACGACAGGTTTTGTGAGCAAATTATAGTTACATGGGCACATGTTGTCATTTTTCCGGAATTAACTCAGAAGATAAAATATAATCAAGAATGTTTCCCCAGTGGGAAAAAGACATTTTCTTTTCCTTTTTTTCTTTTTGAGACAGAGTCTTGCTCTGTTGTCCAGGCTGGAGTGCAATGGCATGGTCTAGGCTCACTGCAACCTCTGCCTCCTGGGTTCAAGTGATTCTTCTGCCTCAGCCTCCCGAGTAGCTGGACTACAGCTGCGTGCCACAACACCCGGCTAATTTTTCTATTTTTAGTAGAGACGGGGTTTCACCATATTGGCCAGGCTGGTCTCAAACCCCTGACTTCATGACCTGCCCACCTCAGCCTCCCAAAATGTTGAGGTTACAGGCATGAGCCACCATGCCTGGCCAAAACATTTTAAATTTAGTTTTATTTTCATGGATATCATAGCCCACCATAGTACTGGTTTTTGGGGGTTGAAGGTTCATAGACTTCCATTTGCTGGGAACCTATTGGGTATATCACATGCATTAGGCTGGTGCAAAAGTAAGGTTTTGCCATTACTTTTTTTTTTTTTTTTTTTTTGAGACAGAGTCCTGCTTTTTGCCCAGTCTGGAGGGCAGTGGTGCCATCTTGGCTCACTGCAACTTCCACCTCCCAGGTTCAAGCAATTTGCCTGCCTCAGCCTCCCGAGTGATCTCGAACTCCCAACCCTCAGTAATCCGCCTGTATCGGCCTCCCAAAGTGCTGGGATTACAGGCATGAGCCAACGCACCCGGTCGCCATTACTTTTCAATGGTAAAACAGCAGTTGCTTTTGCCATTGATATGAGCAGGAATTACCTTGCAGGAAAATAAAAAAAATAACTTTTTTTTTTTTTTTTTTTTTGAGACAGAGTCTCATCTGTTGTCCAGGCTGAAGTGCAGGGACGTGATCTCGGTTCACTGCAACCTCCACCTCCTGGGTTCCAGTGATCCTCTTGCCTCAGCCTCCCGAATAGCTGGGATTACAGGCGCCAGCCACTGTGCCCAGCTAATTTTTGTATTTTTAGTAGAGACAGGGTTTCACCATGCTGGACAGGCTGATCTGGAACTCCCGAACCTTCAGTGACCCACCATTGTCGGCCTCCCAAAGTGCTGGGATTACAGGCATGAGCCACCATGCCTGGTCGCCATTACTTTCAATGGTAAAACAGCGGTTGCTTTTGTACCAACTTATACATAAGTTGCATGATTTCTCACAGACTTAATCCTTTGACAATAACAGCTGGGTCATACTAAAGACAGTCCTTTTTTTTTTTTTTTTTTTTTTAATTGTCAGGAGGCACTTTTGTATCAAAGTGCCTTCTTCAAAGCTTAATTCACTTTCCTAAAACATGATGACCAGGGTTTCAGAACAAAACTTTCTGGGATATTCACTTTCCTGGTGCTTCTTAATATGACAGAGACTTAAACATATTCTAGCACACACAATCGTAGTTTTTAAATGTTTATCTTGGTTGTGAGGAAAAAATGCAGCTAGTGGTAGATTTAACAAACAGCACATTGCTCCACTCTCACCTCTCTTTTACTCTCCAGAAATAATTTTTGTTGATTTTCAAATTCATTTCCCAACATCATGGATATTATTCGTTTTCATACTTATATTTTGTCCTTGACAAAGATAATATTGTTTGTTCAGACATACAGGGACCCATTTCTGATAATTCAGTTTTTCGTGATTCCAAATGGAACCTGTAACAGAGTTAATCGGGGGTACCTGGACTCCAGGATCCCTAAGTTCATGAGACAAGCTGTTTTCTGGATTATTCTTCTAAAAAGCAGATCAAATGGAAAACTTCTCAACAAAATTATTTATGAATTGCAGGACATGAGGTAGTTCCGAGGAAAACCATGTATCTTGATAAAACGTATAACATTTCCTAGAACAGAGTCAACTATCACTGATTTCATCACAGTGATTTTCAGAAGGCAAGGACTATACAGATCAACTGTTTTACAGTCAAAGTCATGCTCTTTGGTAAATATTCTGAAGTGTTTGACTATTTTCAATAACTGAGTCTACAGAGACATTACCTCATTCAGTTTATTAAAGTACATTATTTCTACTGATTGATCACCATTGAAAGTTCAAATGGTGTTTAAAAGGGCCTTTTAGCTTTAAGTTGAATGAATGACATGGATACTTGTTTATAATTTCATAATAGTTTTTCAAGTTTGAATTATTATAGACATACTTTATGGTATAAATTGGTCATTCCTTAATTTCCCATTAAGCCTGTTCAAGAAGAAATCCAACAAACTTTATACAAACTCTAGCTAAACGTAGAAGTGCTCACTTTGTCCACCTCAATTTATCAGGTGGCTAGCCTATCCAAGCACATAATATCACCAACCTCTTTAGTTTTCATAAGAAGATGTACCTATTTAGCCTTAACACAGATCAGTGGTAACATCTGAGATGCTTCACTTAACCGACCACATAGTGTTGCTTTCATCTGTACTTATCAGGGATCTCAATCTTAAAATGACAGTCAAAACAACTTGGCCAGAGGAGTAATATTTATGGAGAATTAGCTGAAGTTATGCAATTTCATCCACTCCTCCATATAATATAAAAACTGATTTTGGTTAGCTAAAGGATGAGAGAGCTAGAAACCAGGACTGTTTTCTCTCATCTGCTGGAGAACAGATTAAACTGACATGTGTTTTGTTATAATTCGACAGATTAACCTGAGGGACTTTAGCAAGCAACTGCCCTATAATGTTGTGAAATTAAACATGCATATGATGCAGAGAATAGCATTTACTATTTGACTATATCCTCGTTCTCAAGAACTATGGGAGAGAACTTTTCCCCTGGTTTCAGGGGAATATTATGGTTTTTCTTTCTTTTTTCTTTTTCTTTTTTTTTTGTGAGACAGAGTCTCACTCTGTAGTCCAGGCTGGAGTGCAGTGGCATAATCCTGGTTCACTGCAACCTCTGCCTCCCAGTTTCAAGAGATTCTCCTGCCTTGGTCTCCCCAGTAGATGGGATTACAGGCGTGCGCCACCATGCCTCGCTACTTTTTTGTATTTTTAGTAGAGATGGGGTTTCACCACGTTGGCCAGGCTGGTCTTGAACTCCTGACCTCAAGTGATCTGCCTGCCTGGAGCCTCCCAAAGTCCTGGGATTCCAGGCGTGAGCCACCGCACCTGGCCATACTATCATTTTTCTAAAGAACTGATTTGTTATTTATGTTATGGACATGATGCATCTGTGTCACAGTTTCCCTCTTTCTCACGTCTAGAGATGTTAGTAGATTTGGAGCTAAAATTGTGGTTTATTTAGCAAAGGCACAGAAGTCCATGGCATGGACCGTATGCACGTTCCAACTATACTCCTAACATTAACCTGTCTTACTACAAAATTTTCCTGCTCCACTGTCATACCATTTTATCTTGCTATGTGAAACATTCCTCCATAAACTCTTCTATCTCTTTGAAATAAAGTTATCATAGACACAGGCATAAATATTGTAGATACAACCTTTTAAAAATATATAATGTACAAAAGTGATGATCTGAAAGATGTCAGTACATGTCCAAATGAATCCACATTTCCCATAACAGTCTGAGAAATGTTAAAGTCACCCAAAGTTATGCTAAACCAAAAACAATAAACTTATTAAAGTGAGCTTACCAGAAAGGATATAAAAAACTTAATTTAGTAAACACTAACTTAAAGGAAAAAATAAAGGAAGAAAGAAATAAAGATAGGGTTAAATAGGCATAGTGGGCCAGGCATGGTCCCAGCACTTTGGGAGGCCAAGGTGGGCAGATTGCCTGATCTCAGGAGTTTGAGACCAGCCTGGGTAACATGGTGAAAACCAGTCTGTACAAAATATACAAAAATTAGCCTGGTGTGGTGGCATGTGCCTGTAGTACCAGCTACTCTCGGGGCTGAGGCAAGAAAATTGCTTGGGCCCAGGAGGTTGAGGCTACAGTGAGCCGTGTTCACACCACCGCACTCCAGCCTGCGTGATGAGGTGGAATCCTATTTAAAAAAAAAAAAAAAAAAAAGAGAGTGACTATTATTTCTATTTTAGAAAAGTCACAGGCATTGGATTTAATTCCAATATCAGCCCATGATAAAAATGATAAATATCACAAAGATATATACCCACACAAAAATACATATATAATTATGTGTGGATATGTATGTTTGTACAAAGCACATGTTTACATTACTTGCAGAAAATTATAATCACATTTAACAAACATTAAATAGCAGTGTATTATTTGTTCAATTTAACAAATATTTATTGAACACCTCTCAGACTCTCTGTGTAAAACATTGCTCAGCACCTGACAGCTGCAAAAACAGTCCCTTAAAAGTTGTACCATGTAAGGTGAAAACGTGCATGTGAACACAGAAAATGTGTCAACTAATCAAACCCTAAGGGAGCACAGGGGTGAATAACGATTTTGCTGGAGACCAGAGAAGGTAGATCTAAGAGCATGAATATAATTTTGATAGAAATGTAGTAAAGGGCCTTCAAGGCACAGGGAAAAGTATAATCTAAGGTCCAGGAAAGATTAAATAAGTGCGAGGTGGATTCAAGGTGAAATGCGGTCACTGCTTGAATGCTTTTGTTTGCGGACAGGGGTAGGAAGACAGTGTGCAAGGTCTGTTGAAGGATGATGCAAAGATGGCTGGCCAGGTCCAACTGTGACAAGCTGGAAGGAATCTGGGGTTCATGTGTTAGGTTGTATATGCATGCAGCTGGAATTTTGTTTTTTTTTTGAGAGAGGTGTTCACTCTGTCACCCAGGCTGTACTGCCGTGGCACAATCT
Organism: Homo sapiens; assembly: GCF_000001405.40. NCBI lineage: Eukaryota > Metazoa > Chordata > Mammalia > Primates > Hominidae > Homo > Homo sapiens. The sequence goes on from NC_000009.12 coordinate 8,548,436, forward strand.
CATCTCACTGCAACCTCACCCTCCCAGGTTCAAGCGATTCTTGTGCTTCAGCCTCCCAAGTATATGGGACTACAGGCACGCACCACCAAACCTGGCTAATTTTGGTATTTTTAGTAGAGATGGGGTTTCGCCATGTTGGCTAGGCTGTTCTCGAACTCCTGACCTCAAGTGATCCACTTGCCTCGTCCTCCCAAAGTGCTGGGATTAGAGGTGTAAGCCATTGCACCCAGCTGGAGCTGGATTTTTTTTTTTTTTTTTTTTTTTTTTTTTTTTTTTGAGACGGAGTTTCTCTCTTGTTGCCCAGGCTAGAGTGCAATGGTGCAATCTCGGCTCACGGCAACCTCCGCCTCCCAGGTTCAAGCAATTCTCCTGCCTCAGCCTCCCGAGTAGCTGGGATTACAGGCATGCACCACCATGCCCAGCTAATTTTGTATTTTTAGTAGAGACGGGGTTTCTCCATGTTGAGGCTGGTCTTGGACTCCTGACCTCAGGTGATCCGCCTGCCTCGGCCTCACAAAGTGATGGGATTACAGATGTGAGCCACCGTGCCCGGGCCACAGCTGGATATTTTGAACCAAGGAAGTAAAAGAAAAATCTTCACATTCTAAAAAGCAATCTCTGTCAAGGGAGTGCAGTGAAGGGGGACAAAGAGAAAGCCCAGTTAGGTAGTTACTATATTAGTTTAAATGTGAGATGATAAAGTCTATGTGCGGATATAACATAGAATTATAATTATGATCGTTGGAAGAGAAAGGAAGAGATGAGTTAGACGCATACTGGAGAAACATTCCACCAGTTTTAGGGAGTATTCATTTTACTTAAGGAAAAATGGGGTAAGAGTCAGTGTCAAGTTTCTAGCCTCTTAGTTCCTTCGTGAATGATGGTAGGTCAGCAGGCAGGGATGATGTCACTAATATAAAAGACACAAGAAGAGACAGAGAAAGGTCAAGATTTGTGTTTCTCTCATATGAAAATGACAGCTGGAATCATGCAGATGGATGAGATGACCCAGCAAAGAATTTACAGTGAGAAGAGTATGGGAAACAGGGGTTTTGCAATGTTCCAAGTATGTTTTCCACACAGTAACATTTTTGCATATTCCTATTAAATAACTAAAAGGGATAAGAACAATTATATTATTTTGCATTGTAGATTTTAAACATAGAGAAAAATATGTGTGAATATTTGCCTTGTGAGGAGGGGCATATGAGAAAGTAATGCAACTTTGAGAGGGGAGATGAAGTAAAATAAACACAAGATATAAACCCCAAGGGAAATTATTTAAATAGGAAATATAAAATTATTCAAATTGTAAATTATCTAGGAAAAACACCCAATAATTCTAATGGTAGCTTAGGATATTGAGCCAATTTTTTAAAAATTATTACAAAAGAAAGATACTATTCTTAACTCTTGCTTCAAGCCATGCAATCAGACAAAAAGGGTACCATTTCAAGCTCTTTCATTTAGCGTATCTATATTCAGATCTCCATTCATATAGTTCCTGGCATGAAGCATCTGAAAGAAGATTAAAATTAATGTAGGAGTGCAACATTAAGACAAACATCACTGATTAACTTGAACTGAACCAAGCTCAAAGCAAAAGCCATAACAGGGAATCAGTCAGAATTGAAAAGAACAAATAGAAGACTTGTTTAGTTTTTACTGTATTCCCCAAGAATTTGAAAAATTTAGGGTCCAATTTATATTATTAGGAAAACAAAAAGTTGTTTTTCATGTTCTATTGGCTTATGATTGCTCTGGCCTTTTAAATAGGCCTACATTCCAATATAAATATTGTCATGTTCCTAAGATTAGTATAGATACCTTACATGTATATGGTACCTCCCAAATTTGAAGTGTCATGAGTATTAAATGATTTAATGCATGTATGGCACTCAAAAGTAGATTTGTCATATAGTAAATACTTTAAAAATTTACTATTACCACTACTGCTGCCACTACTGCTACTACTAGATTGTATGAGATTAACAGTAAAATCAAAACTATATTCTGCATTATTTATTATAATTAGTTGCCCTGAAATATTTTAAGGCCATCAAAATCTTAGTTGGTTAAATGACCTACTGGATAATGTATCTACCATACACACAAACAGATACGTATGTGCTTATGTGCACACACATTCTCCAACATAATTTGTGGAAAGAGTAGCAACAAATTAAAGAAGAGATCATGATTTTCAATCACCTAAATAAATCTAAATCCATATGCAAGAGAAACCTAGAAATATGGTATAATGTAACTGATAGTATAAAAGCTCAGCCCTAAGATTTCTTAATAGATCCATTGGCCCTATAGTCTACAGCTTTAACTATGAGAACTCCTGACAAGAACACCCAAGGCAGATCCAGTGTTCAATCTTTCTTTTGTACAGGCCTGGGTCAGGCTCTTTAGAGAAATAAGAACGCAACAGCACCAAGGCTGGGTATGAAAAGAATATTCTCTCCACGGGCCTGTCTTCGACAGTGAGCTTATGCTATAGCTCTCATAACAATTACTCATCACCAACAATAGCATCCCAGTTCTGCAGTGACAGTGTGGTTGAATAGATTTCACTCCTGGCACTCCCATGATACCATAATGGCAAATCCCTATGAAAACATATGATAAGACTATCACTTGGGGGTGGTTTTTGCTCAATAGCTATTTTATTCCCTTGGAGTATTTTATCTTTCTTCATAATTATATCAAAGGGTACATTTCTAATAACTGGTAATCCCTTCCTTAAGTGACTTTAACCTCCGTAGGCATTGGGCCCCATGACCCATAGCACAAACATATTTTGTAATTAAATTTTTTTTCAATTTCAGAAGCCATTGAGGAAATGTTCTGCTTTATATAATTGTTCTCCATTAACAGACATTTAATATGAAAGTTTTCATAATTTAAACCCATTTAATCTCATCCTTATATGCTTCATATCTCATTTTATTTTTGCTGTTTTCAACAATCAAAACCCTTATTATTATAGATAAGAGAGTATATGGCAGATCTTTTTTCTTTCTCTTTTCCTTTCTCTTTTCCTTTTCTTCCTCTTTGTTTTTTAACGAAGGCTAATAGTTCTTAACTTTAGAAGACTAACAAGGATGCAAGAGTGATACAATTTTTCAGGAGCCTGAAGTACCAGTCATTTTAAGTAGCTTCAGATTACAACCTGTGTGGGAAATAGCATGATCATTTTCAATTACTTCATCATGAAGGAGAACCATTAATTAGTTTTAACTGGAAATTGCTAACAACATTTCTACAAAGTTTATAGGTGTAATAATTCAATTTTCCAAACATAATGAAGAAAGTCCACAAAATGTTGACTATGAGGACCAAATCAACCTCTTTTTGCCTAGAATAAACCTGCACAGACTTTATCAACATATAATCAGCAGAATCAAGCCTGGAATAGATCAAACCAGAAATGTGATCCAGTCATCCTGTTCCAATTAAAGAATGGACCATGTGTTGAACTAAGCAAATAAGTGTAGATAAAATAATCTATGTTGGGATTTGAGTACAACTTTTCTGGCTGTACTTCAATTGTAGCTAAGATCCAAGTTGAAAAGTTCTGGCAATACTGCCCCCATACCCACCATATATTTTAAAGGAAGCTATCAATGACCTGGACCAGAGGCCTGTGACCATCACCTTGCTTTTTTCAGGCGATGGTCACAGGCACCTCCTTGCACGGTTTCTAACAGAAGACAGAACTGACCTATTACCAATAACCACAACCCTAGCAAAACCCAAATCCAAACCCCATTTATATACAAAACTGAGAAAAGGAAAAGTCACAGATCTTTGGAAAGTACAGGGTTCTTTCTCTCTGGGAAAAATCATTGTATGGTTTGGCGGTGCCTGTCAAAAAGGGAAAGTATTAGCAGGTTTCTCTTCTTGCTGTGTCAGAACGGACCAGCGTGAGAGAGTTTTTGACAGAGTATGACATGTGTTTTTGGATTTGGTATCCACTTTTCTCCCAGAGCACTGTATAAAGAAGCCTCAGTGAGGTGCATGGAAAGAGGACAGAGGCATTCACACCAAACCACCTTCATTGCACTCTTCAGAGGATGAAGAAGCAGCCCTGGGAGACTTCTCGCAGCTTCAGGAGAAGATTCATGATGAACGGAGGCCAAGCAAATAGGAAATCCAACCAGCGACCAGATCAGGTAGGCAGCATAATGGCTGGGACTGAATATGGATGATGACCCTTCTCTGGGGTGTTCATGAGCAATGCTGGAGGAAAGAAGAAGCCAAATGCAACCCCAAGAATACCTACTCTCGCTTTGCCCTCTGTGGTGGATTGATAATGACCATAAATTTAATTCTGAGTTGGCTATATGACTTGCTTTTGACAATGGGGCATTAGTAAATGTGTCACAAGTAGATACTTGGCAAGTCACTAGCACTGGGGCTGCTTGTGAGCCCCACGACTGCCGCTGTGTGACAAACACTTCTGGAGAACAATTGCCTCTGTTGCTAGAGCCAATAGCATGCCACATCCCAGACACATTCTGCATTACCCAGCCATCAGCTACCCTGCCACATGACCACAGACCCAAGAGAGAGACAGTATAAATCACTTGAGCTGGCCCAGACTAGAATAACTGCCCAGCTGAACCACAGAATATGAAGAATCGTTAGAATGGCTGCTGGGTTAAACTTGTTATAACCAAAAGTTGAGCAAAACACTAGTGACCTGCTTTACAAAGTATATTATGGCACCCTATAGATTACAACTAAACTCGGATCCCAAATCAACTTAAAAATGCTATGATACAGTTTTTGTTAAACTGTGCCTTTATAGAAATATTAGTGAAAGAAAAAAAGGAAAACACAGAGTAGAAACCCTCTACGGAAGCAGAAAATAGTCAATGTGGAGTTGCTCTGACCTCAAGCAGCTTGAAAGAGCTCAAACAGTGGGCCTGAGTCCCCTGGCGTGGCGTGAAAACAAGGAGCAATTTGGTTTGCTTTCATGTATCTTCTGATAAGTTGAAGTAGTGGAATGCATTAATTCCACTCTAAAATAATTAAATCAATCCTTTATTTATCAGTCGTTTACTGGACACTTACCCTATGCAATCAACTACACTATCTACCAGGAGATAGTAATAATAAATACGAAAGCTATAGAAAAGAAATGAGAGAGGGGAACTGGAGTATACCTTTATGACAGGTACATGACTCAGCATTCTAAAATGTATGCTCTCATCGCTTCTCAGCCTTTTGGCTAAGATCAAGCGTCTAAAATGTATGTTCTCTTTTTCTAACCATAAAGCCCTATAAGAACCTTCTTCTTATGCTCAGAGAACCTATATAACCCTATTTTAATAAGCTATGACCTTGTTGTTTGCCTGTAAATTCTATCCTAACTTAAGGAGATGGAGCACCTACAGTATGGTACAAAAAAGAAGGCGGCCAGTCTCTTACGAAATTCAGAGAGAAAAAGACCACAGATTAGCCGGGCGCGGTGGCTCACGCCTGTAATCCTAGCACTTTGGGAGGCTGAGGTGGGCAGATCACGAGGTCAGGAGTTCGAGACTAGCCTGGCCAACATGGTGAAACCCTCTCTCTACTAAAGATACAAAAAATTAGCCGGGCGTGGTATTGCACGCCTGTAATCCCAGCTACTTGGAAGGCTGAGGCAGTAGAATCACTTGAACCCAGGAGGCGAAGGTTGCAGTGAGCCAAGATCATGCCATTGCATTCCAGCCTAAACGACAGGGCAAGACTCTGTCTCAAACAAAACAAAACAAAACAAAACCCACAGATTATAGTTGGGGAAGGAAGGATTTAAAAAATAAATAAAAGCTTTGTTAACAAGGAGGATTCTGAGTTATGAGGAAGAGAAATAAATCTGATATTGCTAGAAATAGAAAAAAATGATTATTCTCATGTTTTGATATCACAGAAATTGATTTTAATATAGAAATATTTTAAATATGGGAAAGTAAAAAGTAGGGAAAAAGTCCTTGTTTTCCTCTAAATGAGCTATAAATAAATATCCTTTGGGTCAAGGAACTTAAACTTGGAGTGTAGCATGTGCTGGGAACACAGAGAGGTATATGATCACCCCATAAAAAGAAGAAAAGTGGTTTGACTGACACAGAGGCCATACTAAGTCCAATTGTGACACATTAATAGGCTAAGAAATGGACTTTGAGTGCCAGGCTATTGAAGCAAATTTAGATGGCTAGGTATAAACAGAAATACAATTTTATAATGGTTCTGCTAAAAAACAGAAAGCTAATCCTGGGATAAGAATTCATTCACTGTCCAACACGTTTGTTTATTTTGACCTGTTGGTCCAAGCACTGTAGAGCTGTCAGAGAAATATATGAAGCAGCACACAGAAGCCTGCAAACCCCACAAAACACTAACATATTTGTGTTTTTATACGCTTTCTATCATTTTTACGGGCTTTGGTGTTGGAAGAGTAAGGTGATCCAGGATCAGAGTCCATCAAGTTGAAACTTAAGTCTCTTTGTACTTATGAGTATATATGACTTAGCTATTGAAAATCCAATTATGTATATATACACTATATATATAAAAAATTGTTCCTCCAGATACTTGCTTCTAATTTGCTAAATGTTACTATATCAAGAGAATAACATTTCTTCTATTATAATTTACTAACTTCCCAGAATAAGTCAGATGCCTCCTCAAATATTTAAGACTCAAAGGGGCCAGGTGTGGTGGCTCATGCCTGTAATCACACCAATTTGGGAGGATCACTTGAGCCTAGGAGTTTGAGACCAGCCTGGGCAACATGGCAAGACCCTGTCTGTATAAAAAGACTTTTAAAAATTAGCCAAGCATGACAGTGTGTTCCTGTGGTCCCAGCTACTCAGGAGACTGAGGTGGGAGGATCCTGCGAGCACAGGAGGACAAAGCTGCAGTAAGCTGTGACTGCGCCACTGCACTCCAGCCTGGGCAACAGAGAAAAAACCAAAAAGACTAAAAGGGAGTAAAAGCAAACAAACTCTTACTTGGTAATCAACCACATGTTAGCTTTGGGAAGCTGAGAGTTAATGCAGAAGGTTTTTATATGAGTCCATGTGTATTTCCCCATGGGTAATTTGATGTTAAACACTAAATCCAAGTTTCTCAGAGGAACACAGTCTTTAAATGGCAGCAGTATCATCAGCCTTGCTGCCTTCTGGCTTTCTATCATCTTCCTTTGGACATCTCTCCAAAATGGGATCTGGTTTTTATTTTAGACACAACTTAGAATGCAGTTTCCTATAGTCAGGCAGGGACAATGAGGATGTCAATGAAATCTGAAGTAACAGGAAGGATGCTTTGTCTACATCTAGAAAGAGAGTCTACACGTGTAGGGGAAGCACTGGAGCACAGATTGCAGATGGACTGAAAGTGGGCAACAAATAAGAAGACTGATAAACATTCCACTGGACCACGGGTCAAGGTCCATCTTGGACTTTATATTGCACCCTTGGGGAAGCATGGGAGTACAGAAATGGGTCAGAGCAGATGCAGATCTGTGAAGACATCTTCATTTCTCTGATGTGGAACAAGGACAGATGGATGTAAAAAATGTGTCTTGGCGGATCTGGAAAGAGCATGCTACCCTTTGGGAAAACATCTGGGCTGTTACATTGTTTTACAGCACAGAAGGCAAGAATTTCAAGCTCTCTCGCCCTGCTTAAGACTTCTGTCATTCTTACACTACTCTGTCACTGAGAAAGCTAAAAATTTATTCAAAGGTCTCTTCAATGAAATGCAGATTAAAGGCATTTTGTGCATATAAGTCTGGTCTCTTAGGCAGCATTTAACTTTACTATGTCCAGAGCATATGTCATAACTAATTTGGGTCATGTTTGATTACTCACTATGGGTCAAAGTTGAAATTCTGTTGCAAAACACCAGAGTAAACTTAACCATGAATGTTTTTCTAACAGTCTGTGACTAAATGTGTAATATACACTAACAACAACAAAAATCTGTGGCCAATCATGGACTTTCTAATGCTTGGAAATGGCTGAAAGTATATAGAGGATATTCAAGGCCACCAAAATATACTGTGCTAAAAGCACTTAATTAGCAAAGGCTAACTATACATCTGCATGTACACATACTTGTGTATTTTATATTTCTTTATATATCTGTTAGAATAAATATGCATTTAATTAATATAACCACACATTTCTTTCCTATCCAAGGAGTCCACTTGCATATATACAAGGGTTTGCTATATTATAAGAGGTCACTTTCACTATGCACTTAGTTACATATGCTTATTCTGTCTTAGAATGTACAAATTTATCATTTTGACAGGTAAAAAAAGTGTAAGAATCCAAGCAGAAAATATTTGAAGTTACAGCATCTGGATTGGTAAGGAGGCTAAAAGAGATAGCATAGGTGACAGAATCGAACCCATGTCTTTCATTGATGGTACAAGGTGAGTAACCTAATGAATTAGAAAGACAAGCCAATAAAAGGTCCCGAGTTGACCTTTATAGTCCTTATATGCACATACATCTTTAAATTCTCCCATTATATAAATTAATACAATATTGGCAATATTGGTTGTTTCATATCAGCACAATTTGTAGCTGAAATTGATTATTAGGAAGTGGTTTGTGGTATACAGTAAAGGAGGACCAGTGAGAGGAAGGAGTGCCCATTCAGAGAGCAGGGCCACAGTGGAAGGGAGGCAGACAGAGTGATGCAGTTTGCTTCTGTTAGCCGAGGTACAGGGGAACCTACTCCTTGATGAAGATGAACCACTCTGGCGCCATGAATACATTGAAGATTACTCAGTGGTCTTGACAACGGTCATTACTAATGAGAGCGAACTTCCTGAAATCAACAGCTTGCCTAAGACTAGCACAGTGTCTGATATGCAGCAAGAACTCAATACATGTCATGCTCTGTTATTGGAAGCAAAATGATACCTATTCTAGTCCATTCCAATTTTGAAACTTATTTTAGAAACAAAACTCTTTATTTTTCATTTGTAAATACATATATATATATATATATATATTTGGGCCGGGCGCGGTGGCTCATCCCCGTAATCCCAGCACTTTCGGAGGCCAATGTGGGCGGATCACCTGAGGTCAGGAGTTCGAGACTAGCCTGACCAACATGGCGAAACCATGTCTCTATTAAAAATACAAAAATTAGCCAGGCATGGTGGTGGGCACCTGTAATCCCAACTACTGGGGAGGCTGAGGCAGGGGAATCGCTTGAACATGGGAAGCGGAGGTTGCAGTGAGCCGAGATCACGCTACTGCATTCCAGCCTGGGTGACAGAGCGAGACTGTCTCTCAATAAAAAAAAAAAAAAAAAAAAAAGAAAAACAAAATACACACACACACACACACACACACACACATATATACACACACACATATGCATATATGTGTATATATATAAATTTATAAATTTGTAGGTATACATATCAAGAAACAAGGAAATAAACATAGAAGTAAAGATCATTTTCTACTTACTTAAGTTTACTCTAATTTTTTTGTCTCCTTTAAGCCACCACTATAAATTTAGAGAACGCTTTATTAACTGTGAAGCCTGAAAAAAAATTATGTAACTAATTAATCTATTATTTCTGCTACAATAAGTGAGCCTTTGATTCTTTTCCCGATATAGAAATAATGATGTGTGTCAGACAATTTTTAAAAATGAGAGGTACAGAGAGACGGACAAAGCAGGCCTTGCCTCCCTACCTAGGTTTGACTGTTTTAAACTTTAAATGAATACTCAAGGATTTCCTCCAGGATCATTAATTAGCTATTTCCTTATGCAAACGGAGACAACTAAAGATGTTTTATTTTCTTCCTCTATATCTTCTCTCCTTTATGTTTTTCATTCAGCCTTGCCAGGAAGAATAAACATGAGCTGAGTCACCTGTACTATTTCCTAATAGTGATTCATCACCAAGAAGCAGTAACAGACTCTCCCTCCTTTCTTCCCTCTCAGGATGTGGTACCAACAAGGCAAGTCTCACAGAGCCATGCCACGTGCCACATCCTAACCTTGGATTCCCCATATAGCACCTCCCAGAGAGCTGAAATAGCCTGGACATCTTTCAGGCCTGCTCTGATGGAGAGAGCTCAGAAACAGCCTTTTCACATGTGTCAGATTTTCATCTCTCTGAAACGTATTAACAGTTTACATGGCAGGCCAGATGAAGCCTAGAACCCAGACAGTCAACGGGCTTGGGCTATTGTACAAACCGTTATCTAATAAAAAATGTCTATTATTTTAGGTCAGTTGTCATCACTATCCATTTAGTTTATGGTGAGTGTTCATATTAATGTTACCAAAATAGGGTGAACATCCTTTATGACACCTTATCTTACGTGTAATCATGACTTGACTTACATGCAATGGCGAACTGAAATAAAATGGTAATTGCCACAAAATGGTGCTTGGCATTCTAAAAAAATTAAAATTTACTTCAAAATTCCTTTAGAGGTAATATATATTCATCAGAACTTATCAATTAATTGAGTAAATACAAAAACACTCAAAATAATAATATTCACAAGAAGTACAACTGCGTTTAAAATCTGAATGCCTGGCCTACATTTACATAGTCTAATAGCTAACTGAAGTTTTACTTGTTTCTATCTCTTTTATGCCAAATTGTTTTTATTCTGACTGAGATGACATAATATTTTAATTTTCCCAGAAAAGAAAAAATTAATGCAGAAAAAATCAACAAAAATTCAGTTAGAAGAAATAAGTTCTAGCATTCAATAGTACAGTAGAAAAATTATACTTAGCAGTAATTCGTTGTTTATTTCAAAAGCGCTAGAGGAAATGAACTATAATGGTCCCAACACAAAGAGAAATGTTTGCAGTGATAAATATCCCAGTTATCCTAATTTTATTGTACATTATATACAGATATCGAAATATCACATATACCTCTCAAATATGAACTATATCAATTTAAAAATTCAAATGTTCATATTGTATCATGTGCAATCAAATTTTACTTAATGCAATTCACTATCACTTTGAAACCTGCTCTTGGGCTAGGTTTATGCTTATTTCATCTGAATAGAGAAACCAGAAGTTATCATCCTTAAATACCATCCTTTGTGGATGTTCCCATCATGAGGACAAAGTAATAAATTTCAGTTCTCAAGGATGAGAAGCCCAACAGATTCACTCCTTTTCTGCACACAGAACCATGCTGGCAACAGTCCCAATGCCTAAGCTTCAGTCACAACTTTCAGAAAGGTGCTATCAAGTGGGGCTGCAAAAGAATCCCTCTATCACCTTTCAAACTGACACCTGTGTTGATTGCTTGAGCCCATCACAGTTTAGCTCTCACAGCTTTAATTTACTAGCCCATGAGAAGTCAGCTTCAAAGAACACCATTTCGACTCTCAAAGAACATTATCAATGTACATGGATAGCTTCCAACTTCATAAGGTGTTTCTCTCTACCTAGAGCAATTAACATTAATTTGCAGAATAGTGTTTATTGAAAACCTTTGTGTATCTCCAACAAAGTAATAGTGTATTGATTTCATTCCTACTATCTTCAACTGTATCATTAAGAGGAATTTCTTAGGAAAGTCTATATGCAGTAAGCAAGTAAGATCGCAGAACATCAAGGGAGAAGTAAATCCAAAACTGATTTTACTTCTTTTCTTAGTGAGGAAAGAATTATGTTTTAAGCTTGCCTCTATTCATATAACCTTAAAAGTAATCATTCTGCTTTTTGTGGGTTTATTATAATTTGAACAATGTTTATAATCTCTCAATTCAAAAAATCATAATCTGTACATGTTGATCAACCAAGTTATAAAAATGAGATGAATTTTTAAACTCCATGCAAATCTTTAAGAGATAACATGATCTATCTGTCCATAACCAAGTTTAAAACTTTGTTGATAACAAGGCCAAATGCAAAATGGGGGGAGTGGAAGAAAACAATACAGGTAATTTAGACAGAGGCAAGTCAAATGATCAGTACCAACTTAAAAAAAAATACATACACACACACACACACACACACACACACACACATATATACACTGTTTCATTGTCAAGGCTCTTTCATATTAAGAGTAATCAACATATAATTAAATTTAAAAAAATGTATGTATAGATGAGTATCCAGCTATATAACCCTGCAGAGGAGCTGAACAAAGTCATTCAATGAATTGCAGATGACATAGCAATGGAAAGAATGAATTACCTTTGTAGTTATCTTCCCACACCCAACCATTAAACAAACAGGACCCTTTAAAGACTTTAAGGTAAACAGTGGTTTCTCAAAGTGATGCAATGATCATGCTGTGCCTGTATAAGGAGCATAAAATGTTCTTCACAACAGGGTTATCCAGTGTTTAGAAGGAAATCTCTACTGGCAAATGGATCTGTCTTTTTGAGGTTACAGTTTATAGGCTGGATTCAAACGACAAATTCCTCAGGACTCTTTAGCCTAAGTGTAAATAAAGATGCAGAAAGGCATTCCTTTAAAAAAAAAAAAAACACTCCGTAGACATGGTGATGACAGTGAAAGGAGGCAGTCAAATGCCTAGTCAGATGGGGCAGGATCCCCTTTTAAACTCCACCTCCAAACTGAAGACAGTTTAAAGCCTGAAAGCCAAGCTAAAAATTAAATCCTTGGACCAGACTGAGAACCTGTCTTCCCATTTGTTGCACTTTGTTCTGATTGATCCCCACCCTTCATGTATTTTACTTATCCCTACCCTTTCCTAATTGGTTTTCTACACTGTCCTGCCCACCTTTGAGTGGTGTCTTCGCTTTAATCTTTTTTGAATATTCACATACCAATCAGCACATACTCCTCATTCTGAGTCCATAAAAAGCCCCAGACCCAGCCACACTGAGAAAAAAACCACCCGACTGAAGGGGTGAGGAATCCTCCCACCCCACCGCTGCCCCTGACTGTGAGCTGTTCCATTGTTCAATAAAATTCTTCTCTGCCCATCCTCACCCTTCAACTGTCAGCCTACCCTCATTTTTCTTGGACGCAGGATAAGAGCTCAGGAACCCCCAAATGTGAGTACAAACTATAACACAGGTGGGCTAGGGTGCACCCAGCTCAGCCATGGGCCAAGCCGGTGTACAAGCGAGACTCAGCGGGCTGACTGCCTCCAGCAGCAGGCCCAGGGCTGAGCAAGGTGGGGGTGAGGGGGGGTGGAGAGTGGAGGGCACATCACCAGCTGGAACCCTGCAAATTGTCAGAAAATTCCTGCGTCAGTGATTCAGTGATATATAAATTCAAATTTCAAGAATTCATTATTTTTATAAAGTCTTTAGGAAAGGATCCTTGGATTTTTTTTTTTTTTCCATTCAGGAGCAGTGTTGGCACCATTGTAAAGGGTAAGGGTAACGGTTGAGATGTCCAAATATACATATATATTTATATATATTTAGTGATCTAAATGTTTCCAGTGCCAAAGTTAGATGCTTTGCAAAACTATAACTCCTTTAAATGCCATCCATCTTGAAAAAATGCATGTCACATCACTAGAATGTTACTTATAGTCCTACTAGAGTTTAAAAAGATGTTTCCTAAAGACCTACCATTTAACCACAAACTGGGAATAACCTAATATCAATTGGAAATGCTGTTAAACGGAAACAAATGTAACTGATACATTTGAAGCAAGAGGAGATTGAAGATGAAGGTATATATCCAAAATGGTGACAGTGACAGATTCTGATTTTCCCATTTTGATTAACAGAATTTCCTATAGGCATCAATAAGCTATAAGGTGGATAAGATAGTTCTGTTGTAAAAGTACTGAGGACTCATTATCTGGACTCTCAATTCTCATTATTCAGTTTACTTAGTTTCATAAAACTTTAAGCTAAATCTATATTCTATAAAGTACATATGACAATATTAATTATATTGTCACCTTTCTAAGATTAAAAAATTAAGTATTTTTTGAAAACTTCTCAGTTCCTGGCTTGGTTTTTCCTTCTCATAATAATTTATTTATTTATTTATTTTATTTTATTTTATTTTTTTGAGACAAGGTCTCATTTTGTCATGCAGGCTGGTGTGCAGTGGTGCAATCTCAGCTCCCTGCAACCTCGAACTCCCAGGTTCAAGTGATCTTCCCACCTCAGCCTTCCAAGTAGGTGGGACTACAGACATGTGCTGCCACGCCTGGCTAATTTTTACATTTTTTGTAGATACGGGGTTTCACCATGTTGCCCAGGCTGGTTTCAAACTCCTGAGCTCAAGTGATCCACCCGCCTCGGCCTCCTAAAGTGCCAGGATTACAGGCCTGAGCCACTGTGCCTGGCCAATAATATGTTTTGAGGAGAAAATTTTAATGCAATGTAGGTTATCATTAAGATTCATGTTTTTGGTGTTGTAGCTGAAAAACATTTCCTAATCCAATCTGCAAAGATTTTCTTTTTTTTTTTTTTTGCAGAGGTTTTATGGTATTATGATTTACATTTAGATCTGTGAGTTAATTTTTGTATTTGGTGCAAGGAATGAGTCAAACTTAGTGTTTTTTGCATATGGGCACCCACTTTTTCCAGCACCAATTGTTGAAAAGGCAGATGAGTAGATAAATAAACTGATATATCCATGTAATGGAATACCATTTGGCAATAAATAATAATAAACTACTGATATGTTGAACAACATGAGTGAATATAGAAATAATAAGCCTGAGTGTCAGCTTGGCACAAGAGTATACACATTGTAGGATCCCATTTATATAAAAGTCTACAATAAAAATTAATATATAGTGACAGGGTGATGACTGTTTGCCTGGGAAGCGTATTGGTGAGGCTACAGTACAGACAGCCAAGATGGAGGAATTACAAGTGTGGTGAAGTTTCGCAGGTCTATGCATATGTCAAAACTATCAGACTGTATGTTTTAGATATGTGCAGTTGATCACATATCAATTGTATCTCAATAAGTATCTATACATATATACACACATATGCATATACAGATGGTCTCCTACTTACAAAGTTTTGATGTAGACTTTTTTTTTTTTTTTTTTTGAGACAGAGTCTTGCACTGTCACCCAGGCTGGAGTGCAGTGGCGCAATCTTGGTACACTGCAACCTCTGCTCATGGGTTCAAGCAATTCTCCTGCCTCAGCCTCCTGAGTAGTTGGGACTATAGACATCTGCCGCCACACCTGGCTAATTTTTGTATTTTTAGTAGAGATGGGGTTTCACCATGTTGGCCAGGCTGGTCTTGAACTCCTGACCTTGTGTTCCACCCGCCTTGGCCTCCCTCTGTCACCCAGGCTGGAACGCAGTGGCACAATCTCAGCTCATTGCAACCTCCACCCTCCAGGTTCAAGTGATTCTTGTGCCTCAGCCTCCAGAGTAGCTGGGACTACAGGCATGTGCCATCACACTCAGTTCTAAGTTTTTGTATTTTTAGTAGAGACCAGGTTTCACCATGTCAGACAGGCCAGTCTTGAACTCCTGACCTCAAGTGAATCTGCCTGACTTGGCCTCCCAAAGTGCTGGGATTGCAGGCGTGAGGCATTGCAACCGGCCTCGGCATACAATTTTCAAACTTTAGACGGTGCGAAAGCAATACATATTGAGTAGAAACTACACTTTGAATTATGAATTTTGATGTCCCAGGCTAGAGATATGTGGTACGATACTCTCTGGTGATGCTGGACAGCAGATCCAAGCTGTAACTGCCAGTCAGCCACATGATCTGGAGGATAAGCAACCAATACACTATATGTACTGTGTTTCCTGATTATTTTTTCTAACTGTTAGCTAATGTAAGTATTCTAAGCATGTTTAAAATTGGGTAGGCTAAGCTATGATGTTCAGTGGGTTTGACATATTAAACGCATTTTTGATTTACAATATTTTAAATTATGATGGGTTTATCAAGATGTAACCTCATCAAAAATCATGATGCATCTGTATACATACACACATACTATCAGGCGTGTTTCAACAATCTTTTTAAAATAAAAGTTGATATTCAGGCCGGGCACGGTAGCTCACACATATAATCTCAGCACTTTGAGAAGCTGGAGGCGGGCGGATCACTTGAGGAGTTTGAGTTTGAGACCAGCCAGGCCAACATGGTGAAACCCTATCTCTACTAAAAATACAAAAAATTAGCCAGATGTGGTAGTGCGTGCCTGTAATCCCGCTACTCAGGGGCTGAGGCAGGAGAATTGTTTGAACTTAGGAGGCGGAAGTTGTAGTGAGCCAAGATCGTGCCACTGTACTCCAGCCTGGGCGACAGAATGAAGACTCTGTCTCAAAAAAATTAAAAGTTGACATTCACAATCAAGTCATGTTACATTGATCTTGATTGGACAAGAATCTCCGGAAATTTTTATTTATCCAAATGCATATGTAGGTATGGTGGGTTGGTGTGCATTCACTTATTGGAGGGAAGAGTCTAAGAAAGTTTTTTTTAAAGGGCCTAAATAATCTAAGCAAAATAAATATTAATCCATGCTAGCCACATTGTAAGTGTTAAAATGGAAAGAAATCATGAGATTCTCAAAATGTAGCCACTGGTTGGATAAAAATCCTCAGCAAAATTTGTCTCTAGAAATACAAAAGCTCCTTCATTGAAAAATGCCCTCAAATGAAAGTAATTATGAAGCTACTCACAAAATTAGAAGTAAAAACTCAATGACGGGGAGAGACGAACATGTGGCCATGTAATCTGCTCCCTGCTCGTGGAGTTTCAAGCTAACCGCAGTGGTTTTGAGTATAAGAAATCATGGTCACAGGAACAGGGAGGAAGTGTGGAAAGGGGTGGGCTGGAGGACCGGGGAGTTTACACTGCCAGATATGACAACTCTTCGCACAATGAAGTTTGAAATGTAATCAACTGCTATTTTAAATTTGACCTTTTTTTCCCTAGAATAGTAATTTCCTATAGACTGCTTTCATGTGAGAACCATATTTGGTTGCTTAAGAAATAAACTATTAATTCACTACCCACAGAAAGGATAACATTCATTTGTTATCAAATACTAAATGCTGCACATTGCATTAGACTCGAATTTGAAATGTAATTCCTATGCATGAGTAGTGTTTCAGGAAACATTTGCCTCCCATGTTTTCTCCCCTTGACACTTCACGTTTTAGATCTTTGTTGCTACCATACAGAAATAGGTGCATTTGGTTTTTAAATACTGGAAATACCATACTTGACATAAAAATTATATGAAAAAGAGCACATCTAAAATGGACATCAAGAGGAAGGAAAAAAGAAAAAATACAACAAAAGATTCAGTTTCTTCCATTAATTATAAATTTAAACTGCTAAAGATCCTAAAATATTTCACCTTTCTGGCTAATTGTTCTGCATAGTTTATGAGACGCTTATCAAAAAGAACTGGGGTAAGTTATTCATCAAAGTTTTATCATTAATAGCATTAATAGCAAAAGCATACCTTTTGGAACCATGGAATATTACAGAAATAGAAAGTTGCAGTTCAAATGCTGTTTGTATATAGAGAGAAAACAAGAAGACAAATTTTATGAGATTTCAGGTACCTCAGGACTGGTTTTGAAGTATTATAGATCAAATATGTGAAGGTTATAAACCAGGGCTCCCAGGTAAGCTGGTATAGAACAAAATCACCAGTGGAACAGAAACTGAAAATACTTCCGCTGAAAAGATATATACTGAATGCAAAATATGTGTGTGTGTGTGTGTGTGTGTGTGTGTGTGTGTGTGTGTATAGCAAGTTTCATTTATAGACCAATGCATTCTCTTTGGCAGGGGTAGTTTTTTAAGCTACTGTTAGAAACATATGAAGAGGGGTGTATGTAGGAGAACTGCTTGCTCTAGGGTTAGGTGTATTTCTACTTCAAGAAGAAAGCCACCCAAAGAATTGCTGTTTCGAAATCTGTACGAATAGCTGAGCCTCTCTTGTTTTCTTCACTCATGTTCCTAAGTAACAGACAGCAGACTAGGATACTTGGGAGTTACATCCCTTATTTGGCTGTTTGAACTATAAGACTAACAGCATATCAAAAGCTGATCATTAAACCCTCCTATTTTGATAATATCCTCAGTATGAAACAGCTTAGTGAAAGACAGAGGTTGGCCCTAACAGCAATGTTCATTATAGCCATAACTTCACCTCTGAGTAGGGCAAGAGTTGAAGGAACAGATCTGAGTAGATCACCAGTAGCTCTCACTAACTGAAGCTTCTTGAGGGCAGGATTATCCAATTCATATTTGATCCTCAGCGCCTAGCAATGAGACTGAAATACGTTAGACACTCATGATTATTTGCCAAATAAGAATGGAGTCAAATTCATATCCATTGTGAATTACCCAGAAACTATACATTTTAAGATAAAAAGTGATTGTAAACATAGTTCCAGCCCATTCCTCTTAAAAATTCTAGACAAGGTATATTGATGGTCAAATGTTGCAGTTCTCAAAAAGTCTCCAGCCTGGACACTGCCTTGGGTAGATCTGGTCATCAGTCCTGGTTGCTGCTCCAAGTAAAAACTTCATTCTTGATTTGGGGTTTTCTTATCACCTGAAATACCCTTTTGCAAGGTATGTTTCTTACATCTCTCCTCACATAAACTCCGTAAAACCACCCCTCTCGAATGCTACCTTCTCCAACGAATCTCTCCTATTTATCTTATTTGTAAGTAATTTCTCCCTTTCCTAAATGACACAATATTTTATCAGTACGTTATAAACAATGTTTCACATTGATGCAATGAATAACTACCAGAAATGCAAAAAACACAAACAATGCAGATGGGTTCCATGATGAATTTGGCGGTACCTGCCTTTTCCAGGCTTCAAGGCTGCTCTTATTTTTCATTCACTCTATTGCTTCTGCCTCAAATATCACAACCTGCCTGTAATCCTGTTCCCTCCTCTCAGACAAATGTTCTTTAAGGCATAGCTCAGGAGTCACTTTCTCCAAAATAATCTTCCCTGACCTCTTCTCCAATTTCAGATGAGTAAGGTGTTGTTAACGTGTCCTACTCACCTGCTTCCATAGTACCATGGGCACATGTCCTTCTTCACTAAGGATACCACATTGCAGTGATCTGGGAAAGCACGTCTTCTCACTGACCTGAGTTCTTTGAGGAATGGAATGGCACAGTCATCATGGTATTTCCAGCATTTTGCTAGGCCTCAGTGCCACAGTGGCTGCTCAATATTTTATGAATAAATGAATTCAGTTATATTTGCGTGTAATCTCCTATTCTAGACTGTGTGCTCTTTGAGCTCAGTAAATTCAGTATTTTTGGTACACAGTAGATATTTTTAAATGCCTCAATGAATGAATGAATCATACAACCTTTAGGCTGGAAGTAATTATAGATATTTTTAGTCTTATTTCTCTCTCTTACAAATAACATATGATGACCAAGCTAGGTTCTATACATTTATTCATGGAATCAGGATCAAGGCATAGGTCTTCAGATTCCAAGCCACACAATTTATTCTTGTATACTGTGACATTTTTGAATTAATTAATTCTATATGAAGACTAAAATATTAAAGTCATCACTATGAATATATATTTAGAAATGAGACCTTATTTTCACGGAAATTTAACAAAACTGGCTGTCAACCATTTTTAATGGATTCTCCTAGTATGTATCAGAGGCTGACAGTTACAGGCAATCCATTATAATAGAAAGAGAAACATGTTATATTCTAAATACTGCAAATTAATCATTAATAATAATTTAAAAATCCAATAGATTTTGGTTTAGTCAGCAAAATGTTTTAAATACAAGTGTTCTATACATTGCAGAGATGCTAAGTTACATTTAATACCATTTATCAAAACCTTAGGGAGTTATTCTTTGGGTCTCCAAATCTCAAAGACATTAAACCAGGACCAAGAATTTCATGAATACTGTGGCAGATTCCTCCCTCCCTCCCTCTCTACTAACAGTGATTTCAAGGCAATGTGACAGCAACTTACACATTACCTGTCAATAGCAATGACTTAGCCATCATCTCCCTGGAACCTTTCATTCCTATTACTCCTAAATCACCTATAAAGAAATTGGTAATTAAGCTGCTAGAGACATCTGGGCTAAATGGATTTTGAGCCAAGAAGTTTTGAAAGGCTGATTATTAACCTTCGGTAAAACACAATTAAGAGAACACACCAGACTCATTCTCAGCTTCAGTAGGAGAGAAAGGTCAGGGCTATATGTGTCTGGTAGATTTAATTTTCTATATCACTATTAGACAGCCTAGAT
The DNA here is from genome assembly GCF_000001405.40 of Homo sapiens. Taxonomy (NCBI): domain Eukaryota; kingdom Metazoa; phylum Chordata; class Mammalia; order Primates; family Hominidae; genus Homo; species Homo sapiens. The sequence goes on from NC_000009.12 coordinate 8,568,658, forward strand.
TATTTTTAATCTGGTTACAACAACAAATTCTACTGATTTTTGAATCAAAAGTCAAATAAAAACCTCCAGTATAAACCTGAGTTTTCTGCAAGTATTTTCTTTCAGAGGCATAACAGTCTCCATTTTCTACAGAATTCATAAATATGAATATTTTAGAAAATGTCTATAAGTGTTGGTCTTCTAAGTTCTCGGTGCTGCCTAAAGTAAATATGGTAATACTCAGTTGCCCACCTATGAGCTTTTGTGTGTCATTAGCACAAATCTAATGCTTCATATGCAGCAATACAAACACTAACATCATTTCTTTTATATAGAAATATGCTTCCCAAGTTTAAGTTCAAAAACACATCTGACTTTAAACAAAATCATGTTTGTTGTCAATGTTTTATTCTCTCTCCCAAAAACCTTCCTTCCTACCTCCAGAGGCTTCCTCTCCCAAACTAACACATCTTTCTTCAGCCTAGGGAGTTCATTTTAACCCACGTAGGTGAAACTCTCTTTAGATACCCTCTAACAAGGAGGGTACAACTCCTCCCACCCCAAGAACCGCTATCTCTTCCAGCCTTAAAACTTCCAGAGGAAAAGGTTATGCTAGTGGTTACAGAAAGCAAGACCAATATTTTGCAGAAGGAAGCCCATTCTATCCAATGTTACCCAAATCATATCAGGCAGGCAATCATCCTCCAAACTGCTTGAAATTATGAATGCAGAAATTAATGTTAAAATGAAAATGCCTATAGTCCTCTGCTACAGACAGGCAGAGAGGGGAAGAACTTTACTAACCTCTACCTCAGAAGAACTCTTTCTCTTTGAGGAGGAACATCTTCCATAAAAACTGGAGAAAAAATTGGGCCTTCCAATTATCACACATCTCCGTTCCCCTCAACAATTGGTGTGTCTACAGTCCCCTCCATCTGGTAGTGATTTATTTTCAAAGGATGAAAATTAAAAAGAATCACACCTTGCAATTTGGCTTATCGATTCCTTTTCATTTATCTAAACTGAGCAGTCATATAACATCCTTAAGAAAAGAGACTTTAAAACTTCCACTGCTTAAAAACATCCCTAAAAGAAAGGACTTAAGAATCACCTCTATCAAAGAAAGTTTGTTTATTATTTTAAGGAAGATATAAATTGGAAAAAACCATACTAATTAGAAACTTGTAAAACTTCCATTTGAATTATAAATTCATGATGAAAACTAATACAACACAATATTTGGATATTTTGTTATACATAATGAAAGTTTCAGATTTGGGAAACTGAAAAATACAGAGCAGATATCAACAACATTTGGGTACATAATGCGGTGAACTGTTAGAAAAACCACAGTTTCCGTAATGAAGTTGTAGTGGAAGTACAATCACCATCGCATAAGTAGATATCAGCCACCATACTATGCATCCTCTTACAACAGCAAGAATGACTGTTCCTATAGCAGAGATCGAGTCCATTAGAATTTCAACCACTGAAAAATGGGTTGAGACCACATAATTTGCTAGTATATGTGACTTCATTATATTAAATAGGGAGATTTTTATATGTAAATTGAGATTATTAACAGTAATGGTCATAATAAATACACTCCTCATAATTTATTGCACTTCAGTAACATACTATTTGCCACAATACAAATACTTTCAAAATCCTAACAAGATGTGCTCAAAACTAAATTGCAAAACAAATAAGCCACCACCTACTGTTAAAGGTTAGTTTAAGTATTTCAAAAGCAACAATTTAATAAAGATTAAGGAATTTAATAAGCTTCCCTTTTCCTTTAACAAAAAAGCTTTCAAGAGTCAATGAGCAACAACAAGAAAGGGAAAACACTAGCACATTAAAATGTGGTGTGTAAAGTATGGTAATAAATACACTTAAGAGAGGTAGGTTTTAATAATAACAAATACATTTTTTTTTACACCAATGACTGCCCGTTAGGCACATTCTTAAGTCAACTTGCATGGTTGTGGCTATTTGTCAAAACTTACTTCATCATTTACAGTCTCAGAGTTCTTTTCCTTTTAGCTCAATGTTGTGATGGAATCAATACAGATCTGCTCTTAAAATATCTGTCTCTGACCTGTGTTTGTTTTAAGCTGTATCATTCATAATGGTGATGGATTGGTAATGCTATTCCTCTTTGTCTGCACAAAGCACCATGGCATAAAAAGCACATATATTTTATGCCCAAGGTCAGGAGAAAATTAATGGATAAAGAGCTAGATAAAATGGAGTTCAAGCTGAATGGGCTGAGAGCGCTCTACAAGGTACAGACCAGGCAGGCAGTACAAAGTCCATTATACTTAAACACTCTTGAAGCATTTCAGAAGTGAAATTGTTTCCACAGGCTAACACATAAAAGCACCAAGCTCTCACATGGCTTCCACTGAGTGCCCACAGGTATGGGCAAAGTACTCCTGCTCACGAGCTTCCACGGCATATTCCATTTATCAATTTTTACCTTGAGCAATAAGCCCATTTGGTGTTTATCACCAGAGTTGAACAAGTTATGCTTTGTTGTCATTAGCAAACTTCTCTTTTAACACTTTCCTACTAATTCTATTTCTATTGTTCACTCTCTTACTGTGCCTTGTGAATACTTAAGAGTTTAGGGTCTCCCTTAAGAGGCAGGGCCAGCTGATTCCAACAAAAACAAAGCTTCATAGCTAACAATTACACGCTATTTTCCATAACATGCACTCTCAGACATCTAAATGGCAGCAAACTAAGTAGAAATTTAAAATAATAACAAAAACAAAGACCAGTAACTGAGAATTCTAAAGTTTGGCATGCAGAACACCATCAAAATCATCCATGACAATTTGGCTGATAATATCTATGCATAAACATAAGGAAATAAGCATTTTGCCTAGTTAAGCAGTCCAAAAATCAATGGTTTTCTTCACAAACCTTGCTGAGAAAAGCAATATTACTATTTTGTTGAATATAAAACAACTGAGCAAAGCCATATTAGAATTTATCCTAAATACCTCACTTTCAGATTTAGAAAAACAATATTTAATAAATAGATAGTGTAAGTGGGTTCTTCCATTTGTTCATTTTAAGGGGAATGCATAGTAACAGTTGTGATTTGTCCTTATAGTTGAGCCTTCAACCCTGTGACACTATAAATAAACTGCTCCTGGAGCTGCGGAAATTGCCCATTATCTCCAAGAGCATGTTCTGATAAGAGTCCATCAACATGAAGCCAAAACTCATTCAGAGCATCAAGAGAGGAAAGTTTCTAGTGATGGTTTGGTCATGGTCTCTTTCAGGATGATTGCATGGCAGAGGAAGGAATAAAACTGTGAAAGAATTAAAGTTGGTGGATGCGGAAGTAATGTGTACAGTGATGATATAGATATTAAAGCCAAAATGTGGCAACTCTGTTTGACACCGCAAAGCAAAATGCATTTTTTCACGTAATTTAGAAATATATTCAGGTAGCACTCAAAGAGCTCATTTAATATTAAATATAATAGGCAAGTTCTGAGTGTCAGTTAAACTGGACTGAATGTTTGAGTTTGTCATAAATTAGGTGTGGCTCACCCAAAAGCATAATCTTTCCATTTTAGTTTCTTTATTTGTAAAATTAAGAGTCAGAATATAGCCTCCAAGGACTCTTCTACCTAACTAAAAAGCAAAACCAAACCCTTCCAAATATCTTCCATGATATTCTCTTAACATAAAAAGTCCCAGGTTTATGATCCAAAGATAGAGATCTTGGCATTTTAACATGAGTGCAGTGACAAGACTTTCTGACCTGAGTCCACAGGGCAGTTACACACATAAAATGACTTCAGGGAAACTCTTCACTTAGGGAAAAAAGCAATTATGAGGAATTTGTAAGTATTATAAAACTATTTTTAAAATAGTAATAGAAAGCTGAAATGAAGAGTAATGGTCTAAAGCTAAAAAAAGGAAGAAATTAACATTAGACAACACAAAAATTCTTCAAGGGGAATTAGGCACTAGAATAACTGCTTAGAGAGGTACTTGAGTCAACCTCATTGGAGGCATTCAGAAATAGATTATATCAAAACCTAGCAGGAAGTCTAGTGTTACTCCTTAACTTGAAAAAAATAAAAAACAACGTAGCACATTTCCACTACCTAACTTACCATATTTTGCATATTATTTTCCATATATTTCATATTACTGTGTATACTTGGTGCTCTGATTATATTGGTTTGCATGATTCTATTTTCACATATATCCTAAATATTTCCAAAGTTTCAACACACTGTTATTATAAGCTTAACATTTCAAAAGCTGGTTAAATATTCAACGTTGTTGATATATTTTAACTTCTTATTCTGGTAAAGTACATTTAGATTATAATTTATTGCCATCATAGCAACTCCTATGCTACATATTTTTGTTCATGATCTGTTGGTTTCTATCAAATTGAATCCTCAATTTAAACTCCTATGACTAGAAATACCAAATCAAATGAGTATTTCACACCTCTGGCTATGTATTGCTACTTCTAAAGCCCTAGGTATGAATGAATGCATGACAACTCAGTGCTGCCATTTTAACATGTGCTGATAATACGTTCCAAAAATTCTAAAAAATGATGTGCAAATTTTGTTATTCTCTTACATAACTAAAGAAAGGTATTGGTGCTACTAAAGATATACATATTTATTTCCAGTATGTATTTAATATATTTATTCCTGAAATGAAAAGATAGGCAAAGTAGTTTTAAAATAATCTATAATAGAACACTGCTTTAACAGAATGAAGACAGACTTAAATTTCTTGAGTGTTAGGAAATTGGGGAGACCCTGGATCATCTCAAACAATACTGAAGATACTCTTCACAAGTCAGTTCACTCTGGGTCAATGGCAATCAGCCAGATAAATCTTGTTAATATTAAAACTGGCTTAAAGCCAGACAGAATTCATTTTTTTCTCAATTAAAATAGATGGAGCCATCTTTCTTGACTATTAAGCATATCTCTAATGTTCACAAGCCTGCCTTTGTTTCATTTCCTCTCCCTATAACATAAAAATGATAAAAAATATTCTCTTTATCCAAAAAAGTTGCATAATTTTTATCACATTAGAAAAAAAGCATCAGTAGGAGTATTTATGGAACATTACTCTTAATTCTGCATTTTTACCTATGCAGAACATTTTGTAACCAGTGTTCAATATTATGATTAAAACATAAATGAGGTTAATATTTACAATTTGTTTATATTTCAATTAGAACAATTTTAGAATTCATGTGTGCATAAGCTTGGCAGAAAATAATTTCTCTAATGCATATTTTAACTTCATTTAGGGCTGACTATGGTAATACTAATTATTCATCCTTGTATTTTCAGATAGTTGGAAGAAATGGCAGTTCCAGGGACTTTCTGGTTCCTCCTCAGTACAAAACCATTTATATCATATTCTATTATTGCTCCATCTCAACTCCTGTGCAAACCTATTAATACCTACAGATACTGCACGGAACATGCTATGCCATTCACAATTTAGTCTTTCAGATTGAAACATGTCTTAATTCATCTCAAGAAAAGACTAGAAGAAAATGGTAGTTGCTTCTTAAAATTACCAAAATCATGATCATCACTATTAACAACTGATAATACGCCATAATGAACACTCTTTGGCACTGTCTATCAATAAATATTATTTTAATTTAAACTATTCATTTTGGACATCATCTACTATTGTAGTTATTATAATATTGTCCTCTGATAAAAACATCTGAACATTTTAATTCATGATGATGATAGTTGGGAGGCCCTAAAAATTGGTCCAACACTTTAAAATAATGTATAATAAATTAAACACCAAAAGGCATTAAGCAATAAAATGTCCATTAAAGCACTGTATCTCAGCAGCTGGAAAACACCTAGGTGGTATATATAGCAAAATATAAGTATCAAATATTTGGTGGTACATATAGCAAAATAAAGGCTAACCACTAAGAAGAAAAATATTTTTCTTGCACTTTCCACATACTTTGTTATTACTTTTAAAGTTCAAGGCATAGTTTCCTGTGGGTTCTTTTCATTTTTCTTCATTCAGTAAAATAAATATCCATCTTCAGCCAGACATTCATTCCTCCCCCTGAGCTATTAAAACTCAATTAATTGCTTAGTTAATTGCCAATCCCATTTAAACAACTCACTGCTGAACTCCAAACAAACTTATAAAATGAAGTGATATGCTGAGATTCATAAGCAGTCACAAATGTAAAAATAAATTTAAAAAGGAAGAATATGCATGCCCAAGAAGAAATGGCTTCATTAATTAAAAAATCAATATCATATAAATAAAGACAAATAAAAGCAAATTAATTCAACCTTGGCAATAAAGGCACAAGATAATTTGGTCATCTATTTCATTAACGCGTTTGCAAATAGATCACACTTCATCAGAGGGTTTACAGAACTGTCCTCGTACTCTACGAATAGCTGTTCAAGTAGTTCAGGCTGCAAACAAGTACAAGACTTCTGACCTTCTACTTAAACAGAAGTTTTTAAAGTTGGTGATTATATATCATTTACCAAGAGTAAGCTAAATTGTTCCTGAAATTAACTCAAATCACTTGTGTTCATGAGAAAAGGAAAAAGGCGATTATATATTTATATATTTCAAGCAGGGTCTGAGTGAATTGAGTATCCAGTACCAACACACTCAAGTATTCTTTTTAGTCCCTAACCGCTTACTTCAAATTTTCATAGAAAAAGCAGCAATTTAATTCTAAGAGTATATCAAATGCATTAAATAGCCCTGTACGGAGTGGCCAATGTACTAATTCATATGTGCTGGTGAACTCTTTGCCTGTTGCTGTCTTAATTCTTGAAAATAAATTACAGGCTAGTAAGTATCCTTCGTTACTGTGACCTCCCTCACCCTATGGATTTTACCAGACGATAATCTAGACCAGTGTCTCTGCAAAAACGTGGCTGCAGAAGAGATATATTCGTTTATTTGGTAAGCAACAATGAAGTACTTAAGTCCATAAATTTTCCATTACAATGTCAGAAAAACAAGAAGGCTCACTTTTTGCTCAAGAATAATTCAGAAAGGAAAAAAGCAACTGCTCAGTTTTTCAAAATGAGTTTAAGTTGCAAAAACAAATGGGAAATTGTGCAACAAATGTAGTGACTCTAAGTCATAAATGCATTAACTTAAATTTATTAACTACAGTACCTACCATGTGCTAAACACTGCACAGGGTACCAAAGATGCAAAGACTAGCTAGGGATGCTTCCTCAGAGGGCTGAACTCCATAATCGACTCTGCTATACAGGAGATGTACTACAAAGATTTCAGCAGAGAAATAACTTAGGTCAGTTTACATTTACAAATGAGATAGTCCTAACAGCCTTTAAATCCCCACATGTTGTAATGGATGATACTTAGTATGCATGAAAGCTTGGGAGCAAATAATGTTTGCACAAACTGTTTATCTATCCTTATAACACCAAACCTTGAAGTGTTGGAAGATTATTGAAGGCTTTTTTTTCCTTTTAAATATTAATGTGCACACTTTTCAACCAATTGTTGGCATAGAATACCTGCAGCAATTCTTGATTCTATCATATTTATAAAAAATAATGTCAATACCTATAATAACTATAAACACATAATACTAAGTTTTGTTTTATGGCCATTTTGAACTTCCTGAAATAATTCTGCATTTAAGGCAGACTTCCAAATACAATGAAAGACTCTTACTGATATTTGTGGGGAGAAATAATGGTTCTTTTATGGTCATGATTTGCATTTTTACAGATTATCTATTATACTTTATGTCTTTTCCAATGTTTCCTAAAGCTTCACATTTTGGTTGTATTGTAAAACCAAAGTAAACAAAATTTCTACAGGTTAAGGTCATAATAATTAGAGTTATGTGTAGTTCTCTTTTTGTGTGCATATATACACCCACATACATGTATATAGATATTTAATCTTGTCTTTGATCTACAGCAAGGCTAATGCAGCAAAAAAAAAAAAAAAAAAATCCATATTTGCATATCCGTGTCTCTTTCCTAAGTATCTCTAGTTGCATGTTTCCTGAAAAGAGCAAAATTCAACAGAGCCAAAGTAAATTATTCCCTACCACCAAACCTTCACAGATATGTTCCCTGCAATCCTAATCTCAGTGTATGCCACCTATACCAAACCAATGCCAACCCAGAAAGCATCTTTGGTGACTCTCTTCCTTAGTGGCAATATTCAACTGCTATTGATGCTACCTTTTGAGTTACTGTGTATCTCTTCTTGCCAATCCCACTGTCAGCAGAGCCATCTGGACCTTTATCACCTGTTGTCTATTTTAACTTCAGTACTAAAACCCTCCAATCCATTCTCCTTCCACAATGCAGCTAGAGCCAAGCTTCAAAACAGCAAATATATTACTAAGGTTTTCCTGATTCAAGTCTTTTTGCTTCAAAGACTACCCAAACTCTCCAGCTTCCTTTTTTCCACTCTCCCCACCATGACCTGTACTCCAGAATCTGAGCTAAATTAGAGTTCTGTGAATACACATCACTTGAGCATATGCCATTCTTGCTGCCTGAAAGAACTTGAACTCTTTTATTTTTTATTTGTTTGTTTGTTTGTTTATTTATTTATTTATTTTGAGATGGAGTTTCGCTCTTGTTGCCCAGGCTGGAGTACAATTGGCGTGATCTTGGCTCACTGCAACCTCCGCCTCCTGGGTTCAAGCAATTCTCCTGCCTCAGCCTCCCGAGTAGCTGGGATTATAGGCATGTGCCACCACACCCAGAAAAAATTGTATTTTTAGTACAGACAGGGTTTCTCCATGTTGGTCAGGCTGGTCTGGAACTCCCGACCTCAGGTGATCCGCCTGCCTTGGCCTCCCAAAGTGCTGGGATTATAGACGTGAGCCACTGTGCCCAGCCTACCTTTAACTCTTGTTAAGGATCTCTCTCACCAAGAGATCCTTCAAGACTTCAATCAAATCCTACCTCCTTTTGAAAGCCTCCCCTGACTTCTCTAACATACTGAGCATTGCCTGTCTCTATTCTGGAAACGACTTTAATACATCTTTGTTATTCTACTTATACTCAACTGCAGTAGCTATAAATGATGGTTCCAGAGCAGCAGCCTCTGCATCACCTGGGAACTCATTAAAAATGCAAAATCTCGGGCCCTACTCAAGACCCGCTGAATCAGAAACTCTAGGGATGTGGGACTCAGAAATTTGTAGTTCAACAAGCCTTTCAGGTGATTCTGATGCGTACTGATGTTTAAGGACCCCTTTTCTATTGAAATCCTGTGTGTCCATCAGTCTCTACACATAATTGAGAAGGACTTTGATGGTTTTCATCTTCCTTTCATTCTTCTGAATATGCAATACACATTTGTTGAATACAGAGCAAATAAACTGGTAATTAAAATTAGAATTTTACAGTTAATTTCATTGCGCTTTATACAGATACAGATTCTTAGCATGCTATCGGTCTGTACATAGGATACACACTTGAAATGTGAAGATGATCATGTCAAGACGATAGCAGATATGATGCATTGCCAATAGTTTTCTTATGATAATATTCACCATGAAAAATGAATAAGATCATATGAAGTTATTTTCATGTTAGACAATAGGGAAACTTAAAAGATGCTACTAAGAGTCAAGGGCCATTTACAACTTTTTAAGTAATCAACTAGGTATACTGTTGATCGAACAGAGCCCCCACCCTCCAACCCCTATATATAGTCTATTTATTAAACAGAGTTTAATGTTTGCCCTTCATAAAACATTTCGTATATAACTGATATTAAAAGCTGTAATACTATTATTTGATTCATAATTTAATTCGGTGTTTGCAAACACGTGAAACAAAAACTCAGAAAAATTCTCTAGGCTGTCAATACAACAAAATGCTCTACCTATATGTTAAGAGAGTGCAGAGGCTTGGTTATCAGCCAGCTATGACATAGATGGGGCTGAGAAGTGGAAAGGCAACAGGATCCGCCCACACTAGCTTCAAGTATTTAGACACATATATCTAAATGGCAAAGTGTTTGAAATCAGGACTGGGCTTAACATGTTGTACTTTATTCCCCATCCTCAAGTGTCAATTACAGGATGTCTGCATATAATAGTTATTTAACATATTGACTTAAACAGAATTTCCATGTAATTCTTCTTTGCTTACCATTTTGATTAAAAAGTACAGGAGTTAAACTTCAAATTACATGAAATTAGTAATTTAAGTTATTTAAAAGTCAATTCATCTCAGGCATTGTATTCTGTTCCTACTATTGTGTACTACTTCTGTCACTGATCTCAATTTATAAATGTATTAAGCTGGATTTATAAATATTTCAGAGGTGCTCTAGGACAGAGATGATATATTTTTACCTCTGTATATGCAACACTTACAAGTCCAAATCTGTAGTCGATTTTAAAACTTAATAATAATTTGATTAATAAATCATAGCAAAGAAACAGGGAGAATAAGGATATTGCTATAGCATGGTATCATCTAAAATCAGTTGATAGAAACAACACAACATTTTCTTTGTAAATGTGAAAGCACTGCTTAAAGTTCCAACCAACTGTCCATCTAATCTTTTCCATAGCTTATTCTTCATAATACAAAAGCTTCTTTTCTCTTGGATCTAATGCTAATGCTCTCCTGGTATATAATCCTCAGTAAGAAATAATTTTAAAAGAAAAGATATAATAAAAGTACTATCCATGAAGTTTTAAAACTGGAACTTTGCTAAATATATTATCCTTATTAGTTTTAAATACCTTGGGTCAAAATATGCCCAAGAAAAACTGGTGACTGTTCATTCATTCCACGTTCATTTGTTCACACTGACATTTATTGATCACCTGCTCATGCCAAGCATTTTAATAAGTCCTGGGCAATAAAAGTATAAAAAACCCACAGTGCCTGTCATAAAAGAAGTCACATTCTAGGGGAACAAAAGATACATATATAGTTGCAAACCAAAGTATTTTAATGGAATAAGAGACATTTACATAAAGGTATTATCAAATCAAAGTAGGGTATTGACCAGATCTGGGAAAGGCTTCATAGAGTAAGGTTGCAGTGGATGGGAAAGATTTATCAGGTGTTGTAAACAGAGACCAGGAAATTAAGCTGAAGGAGTATCATGCAGACGTACCTTGGAAGGAATGTAGTATGTTAGATGGAAACGGAACCAAAAGTGTTCATGATGGGAAGAAAAGCTGGTGAGGCAAGTGGAAGCCTGGTGACCAGGCTAAACAGTTCCCTCTTTTTGCCACAGGCAAAAGTGAATCATCAGAGGTGTGAAACAGGATAGTGGCATGATCAGATTTCACTCCTGGGTGGTAGCTATGAACATTCATCAGGGTTTGCAGGGATTACAAGTTTCCAGTCATTCCACAAATTATTGACCAAAAAAATTATATTAAAGGGAAAATATATTTCTATTAATAACAAATGTGTCATGATAATGTCAGGTATTAAGACAGAATATACGAAACAAATGTTTATGGAAAGTGTTATCAGTAGCAGTAGACATGTGAAAAAAGACTAGTTTGCCTTTGGAAAGATAAAGGAACAAGGTAATATGCAAAGAAAGCAATAAGCATTAGAGGGAGATAACTGACAAACCAAGACAGATCCGAAATGATACATGACTCTAAAACATTGAAGCAGTAATAAGAAAATAGTTTAGAACAAACAGCCTAATCACCTGAAGTAATAGACCTAAAAAGTGGAGTGACGATAGCAATTAAGTTTCTCTTGTAGAATATAGACCCAAGGTATGAGAATTTTCTTTCTTTGGTTTTAAATATATGCTATATATGCTGCCGTCTGCAGACCCTGATGGACTTTTTATTTTTGAAAGTGAATACAGCACCTGAATGTAAAGATACCAAAGTACGTGATAGTCTGAACTATCAGGGAAGTCTTTGACAGGTTAATTAAAAAGACTTAAACTTGAGGTGTTGTATTCCTTATGACACCATTTTTAGCACTAAGTAGTGAGTGATGAGTGAGAAAATTGTGTAATTATTGGAATAGCTAATTGGTGGTAGGACCATTTGTAAGTACAACAAAATAGGTATTATGGTCAGCCAGACAAAAGCAGCTATTTGTATGTACTCACGCACACATACACACACACACGCTTATATAAACAGCAAATAGCAAATGTGGATACAATTTTTCGCAATGATAGAAATACTGTTTTGCAGTGATCCTGTGGAAGTAGGAAGCCAAACAGTAGATCACATATCACTGACATCCTATTTCCCAATAGGTTTGCTGAAAAATGAAAAGCAGATTTGTTGTTGGTAATTGCAAATGCCCTAATTTTCAATAATGTAAAAATTAGAACTTGTATATATTCATATTTATCGTGACAAACACACTCTGCAGAAAAGAATGTTGTTTAGTTCAATTAATTGGTTTGGTACTGGGAATGGCCCTAAGAATAAACTCCAGGGTGAGTTCTACCTGGAAGCTGGAACAGAGAGTCAAGTTAAAGTAACTGTAAGTAAGATGCTGTAGATGCCTTAGGAATATATTATAAAAAAAAAATCAAACCAAAAATTAAAGAGTTAATATTTCCAGTCATTAAAATGGAAAAAGAGACTCAGTAATTCTAAAGAAAGCAGAAATTAGCAATAGGTAAAAATAGAAATTGGTGAAATACAAAAACAAAGAAAAGGGAGGACTGACAGAACTAAATTCTCATTGTTTGAACACAGTAATTAAAATCCTAAACTTCCAGTGAGTCTGATCACAAAAAAGAGGGAAAAGGGACACATAAACATCATAAAGAAAGAAAAGGGTGGCCGGGGCCGGGCGCAGTGGCTCACGCCTGTAATCCCAGCACTTTGGGAGGCCGAGGTGGGCGGATCACGAGGTCAGGATATTGAGACCATTCTGGCTAACACAGTGAAACCCCATCTCTACTAAAAATACAAAAAATTAGCTGGGCATGGTGGCAGATGCCTGTAGTCCCAGCTACTTGGGAGGCTGAGGCAGGAGAATGGCGTGAACCCAGAGGCAAAGCTTGCAGTGAGCCGAGATCCCGCTACTGCACTCTAGCCCGGACGACAGAGCGAGACTCCATCTCTAAATAAATAAATAAAAGAAAGGGAAGGGAAGGGAAGGGGAGGGGAGGAGAGGTGAGGGGAGGGAAGGGCCCGGTGGCTCACGCCTGTAATCCCAGCATTTGGGGAGGTGGAGGCGAGTTCCTGTCACTGCACTCCAGCCTGGATGACAGAGCATGACTCAATCTCCAAAAAAAAAAAAAAAAAAAAAAAAAAAAAGAGGGAAAAAAAGGAGGACAGAGCTATAGATAATTTACAAATTTTTAAATACTAAAAGAATAAAAGTTTATGTCTATAAATTTCAAAAATGAGAGGGCACTGATAACTTTCTAGAAAATATAAACTATTGGAAGTGACAAAGATTTGAAAATGGTAATGACAAATCAGAAAAAAGCTCGGACATAAGTAGGGAAATCTGCTATGAGACAGAGGCAGTATTTCACATCAGGAGAGAAAGGTTGGGACTAGCCAATAAACAGTGTTGGGACAACTATGCATCCATGTAGAATAACAAGATTAGATCGCCACTTTACAACAAACAGAAAAATCCATTTCAGATGAGTTAAAGACGTAAATGTGAAAAAGTAAATCTGTTAGATATATTTATTACCTTGAGTCAGAATATTTTTTGAACATGACACAAAAAAGCAATAATCATAAAGGAAATCTAATACTGTATATTTGACTACACTAAAATTAGGCTTTTGTTCAGTCAAAAAACAAACATCATAATGAGGTAGATAGGCTAGTCCCAGACTGTGAAACTATTTTTTTCAATGCATTTAACTGACAAGGAATTAGTAAACAAATGTGCATACCTTATTGAGAACAATGATATAATAGGGAAAAAAGGAAATTAACTGGCAATTTATAGAAGATGAAACATATGGAGAATAAGGATAAGAAAGATGTTCAGCCCTACTAGGCACCAGTGGGGGGAAAAACAAATTTAACAATAAGATACTATTTTATAACCCTTCAGATTGTCCAAATGTAAGCCTCTGAAAATACAAATATTGGCAAGGATATGTAGAAGAGGTAAATCTTAGTTATGCTGGTAGAAATATAAACTGGGACAATCACTGGAGACAAATGGTGATATGTGGCAAAGTTGGTGGGCTTTGTTTTGTTTTTTGCTATTTAATTCAGCAATTGGATGTTAAGGCAAATTTCTGGAGAATTTCTATCTTAGGTAAATAAAGAGGTATGTATGAGTTGGAGCACTGCTTGAAATTGGAAATAATTAAAAACCACTCAGAAGCTCATTAACTTAAAAATGGATTAATAAATTGGGGGTTATTGATTCAATGGAATATTTAAGACAGTGGTCCCCAACCGTTTTGGCCAAGATGAAACTGTTCCACCTCAGATCATAAGGCATTAGATTCTCATAAAGAGTGCACCACCTAGATCCCTCACATACACAGTTTACGATAGGTTTTGCACTCCTATGAGAATCTAACGCCTCCACTGATCTGACAGGAGGCAGAGCTCAGGCCATAATGATCTCTTGTCCGCTGCTCACCTCCTGCTGTGCAGCCCAGTTCTTAACAGGCCAGAGACCAGTAATGATCTGTGGCCCAGGGTTGGGGACCCCTGATTTAGACAACATGTTTCAACACGGATTATTTGTTTTTAGAGACAGCATGTTAGCATGTTGCCATGTTGCCAGGCTGGACTTGAACTCCTGGGCTCAAGAAACTCTCCTGCTTCAGCCTCCTGAGTAGCTAGGACAACAGGCACAAGCCACCACGCATGGCTGGATAATTTATTTAAAAAAAAAGAAACATAATCTTGAACAAAAGAAAAAATCATGTTGAAGAATGATACCAGTTATGTAGATTATGATACCAATTTATGTAAAGTTTGAAAACATGAAAACCTATGCCATAAACTATTTAACATATATGCACATGTAGGTGTAAAACCTTTCATGGAGATAATATATACCTAAATTACGTTGCTTTTGTCATCTGTTATGGGAGGTGGGAGGATGGAAATGGGGAAGAAGATAGAGTAGACTTCAACTGCAATGTTTCATGTCCTTATTCTGAAGTATGCATGACAGAAGAGTAGAATTTAACAGATGTTTGTTCATTGTTGTTTTTCTGTACTTTCTTCATTTCATATCTAAAAAGCAAAGTTCAGCTGGGTGCAGTGGCTCATGCCTGTAATCTCAGCATTTTGGGAAGCCAAGGCGGGCAGATCACTTGAGCTTAGGCGTTTGAGATCAGCCTGGGCAACATCACAAAACCCCATCTCTACAAAAAATATACAAATTAGCCATCGGTGTGGTGGTGTGTACTTGTAGTCTCTGCTACTTGGGAAGCTGACACAGGAGGATCACCTGAGCCTGGTAGTTCGAGGCTGTAGTGAGCCATGATTGTGCCACTGCATTCCAGCCTGCACAACAGAGTGAGATCCTGTCTCAAAATTTTTAAAAAATTTTAAAAAGTAAAATAAAAATAAATAAGAAGCAAAGTTTACTAGTACCTCCATAGCAAATATATTTTCCATACCCAATCATAAAAAGCATTTAACCATTTCTGCAGTCATCAATGAGAAAAGAAATCCCTATCTATAAATACGATGTCTTTTCTGGTCACATCTTGCAACCAAACCCCAGACCATTAGGTTGGGTAGAAAAATGCACAGATGCTAGCCTCCCTTAGATTGCCAATATGTGTGTGTAGTACATATTGGTATTGGTACTAACTGATTAGTTACTGAAAAAAAAAAAAATTTACATTCTTCTCTATTATGTTTTTACTTATTATGCCATTCCCTCAAAATGTGGCATTCTGGTATTCAGCAAAAATACTATTGGTTTTGATTAATGCCAAGAGGAAATCTATCATTCATGCACTCATGCTTTCATACACATTTAATTATGTATTATTTTTCCAATGTTCTAGAGACTCTGGTTAAGAAATCTACCCCAGCATTTCCTAATAAGTTGGGTGTAAATATAACAAACAGCAGAAAATAATCCAGTACTGTATTAGTCCATTCTCATGCTGCAAATGGAGACATACCTGAGAATGGGTAATTTATAAAGGAAAGAGGTTTAACTGACTAACAGTTCAGAATGGCTGGGGAGGCCCCAGGAAACTTACAATCACGTTGGAAGCGGAAGCAAACATGTCCTTCTTCGCATGGCAGTGTCGAGGAGAAGAATGAGCAAAGGGCGGGAAAAGTCCCTTATAAAACCATCAGATCTCATGAGACCTCATTCACTATCATGAGAACAGCACGGAGGTAATCTCCTCTATGATTCAATTATCTCCCACTGGTTCCCTCTCATAACACGTGGGGATTAGGGGAACTACAATTCAAGATGAGATTTGGAAGGGGACACAGCCAAACCACTGTTAAAGTACTTTAAAGTACTTTAAGGCTCAAATGAATACAATGCTTGCCACGTGAAATTTTCAACGTAGATCTTCAAATATGAAATATGAAATTCAGTTAGTCAACTCTACTAAATTTTTTTTAACTGCAGAGTTACAAAGGGAGAAAAAGGGGAAGAGTAGACAGATGCTTGAAGATAGATGGAAACAAATTTATTATATATTTAACTTTATAAAAAGAACAGGAAATTGTGAGGCTCTGCAGTCTCCTGGGTCAGTTTCCTGATGCCCTGGTTCTGTCAAGGTTTAATCACTAAACTACACCAACTATAGTCACTACTTTGTTTTTAAGCCACTTTGAGATTTTCGCTATGGACTGGAAAGTCTGGGATATGAATGCCTAAGCATGAAGAAAGGCTGGACACCATAAAAATGTGTAAGAATTGGTGGGATTTAATTTCATTTGGGTCACATTAATGGCCATGAACATGACAACTCTGTACCATACCAACCACCATACATTGCAAAGTAGTCCTAACTCTATATGTAGGTAAGTCAGATTTCTTAGTATCCTTTACTTGCTCAGATGAAATGTATTTATTTATATATTCTGGTAAAACTATATGAATGTCTGCCATGTGTGAAAGTTATTTTTCTGAGTGAAATTTACAATTGCATTGAAAAAATGCTTGCATTTTGCCAGGCACTTCTGATTTCTCTGCCTGTACTATTTCATTACACCTTTTAAAAGCTCTATGAGGTAGACTATGTTCTTATGTTAGAGATCAAAACATTGTTATGGAGTCAGTCATCTCATAAATCCACTTGTCCTCTCTCTGCCATGATTGTGCCATCAGTCAAAGATTAAAATTTTATTATAACCAATTAAACTCATAAACAATTTGTGGATTTAACAATAGGCATTACTTTTAAAAAATAATTTATAGGCCAGGAGCAGTGGCTCACACCTGTAATCCCAGGACTTTGGGTAACTGAGGTGGGCAGATAACAAGGTCAGGAGATAGAGACCAGCCTGGCCAACATGGTGAAACCCCATCTCTATTAAAAATACAAAAATTAGCTAGGCGTGGCGGCGTGTGCCTGTAATCCCAGCTACTTCGGAGGTTGAGGCAGGAGAATTGCTAGAACCCGGGAGGTGGAAGTTGCGGTGAGCTGAGATTGCACCAATGCACTCCAGCCTGGTGACAGAGCTAGATTCTGTCTCAAAAAATAATAATAATTTATAATATCTTGTGTATTATAAATAGACTCTATAACCAGCATTGATTCTTCTGTATTAAGTCTTCACCAGCTCATATTTCTTCCCTTCTTCACCATAGCAGTGTCAGCCTCTACCACTCATTCCACATTGGAATCTTTCATTGTTCTTTGTGTTGTCCTTATTTCATCCACTTCTGCTAGGCTGGGATCAAAGGCAATTATCAAAAAAAGGGAACCTAACAGGCTGACTTGGTTAAATCATTCCATTTTAAATATTCAAAAGTTGAGGCCCCCACAACACAGTATGACTTTTCATATGGGTAAATCAAGATGAGAATCCATACCTCTAGCTCTGCCTCACTACAACAAGCTGCCTACCCTCCTACCCCCAGTCACTGTCTATGCCTTTGGTTTTCTATTGCTACCCACACATTTGCCAACGGCATTGCTAGACCAAGTATGTTCTTAAATATTTTATATTAATACTAGATTTTAAAATATAAAGTGGTAAATAATAAAGTCAGCGAGGTTATCTTGCTCTAACTCCTCACTTAATAAAGAAACTGAAGCCGGCTGGGCGCCGTGGCTCAGGCCTGTAATCCCAGCACTTTGGGAGACTGAGGTGGGCGGACCATGAGGTCGGAAGATTGAGACCATCCTGACTAACACGGTGAAACCCAGTCTCTACTAAAAATACAAAAAATTATGCGGGCATGGTGGTGGCGGGTGCCTGTAGTCCCAGCTACTCGGGAGGCTGAGGCAGGAGAATGGTGTGAGTCCAGGAGGCAGAGCTTGCAGTGAGCCGAGATCACACCACTGCACTCCAGCCTGGGCGACAGAGCGAGACTCCATCTAAAAAAACAAACAAACGAACACAAAAAGAACGGAAGCCTAGAAATATTAAGAGACCAGGGTTACACTTTTTATTTTTATTTATTCAACTACTTACAAATAATAAAAATCTGCAGAGGCACTAGTGACATGTTATGACAACTGGTTTGATCATTATTTAGATTTTGGATTTATTTAGATTTTATATTTTAATAATTTTGTTCACCTCTGTAACAGTACAAAAATCAGCAGCTTTTACAGTAATGCAAGGTTTCTTCTAATTTCACTGACCTTTTCCTAATACTTCAAAAGAAAAGAATAAATACATATTGGCTTCTGCCACCGTTGTAGTTAAACAAACTTGTAGAATTCGAAAATATTTAATCAAAATGTTTTGAGTAAAATGAGTAAAATATAACCTTCTATATAATATTCCTTAAAGTTTCCTAATCACATAAAATGGAAAGCTGAATTTGGAAAAAAATCAAATTAAGTTCAACAGACTAAAAGTTCTCTTATATCCCAAAAGGAAAATAAAGATATGCTTAGGTATGAAATATCTGACCTCAACGGCCTTGGAAAGCTGTACATGGTCCTTACAGCCAAGTAACAAAGAAATTTGAAACATGTGTTACAAGAAAGGAAAGAGGAAAACACTTAGTAGGAAAGGACAAAACTTAAAGATCCATAAATATAAATCCCGACTGTGGCAAATAATTTTCTGAATGTCTGTTTCCACTGACCAGATGAAAATCGTAAATCCTCAAAGATGCCAACAAGTACTTGAAATAATCAAGTCACGAGAATTAAGGAGTAAATAATAGCTCTGTGCATCTCAGGCTAAGAAGCCAAGAGCCTTCAACAATCTACCAGCCAATGGGCAATTCTCCTCAGAACACATGCAGCTCCCCCGTGACAATTTTAGGTAAACCTGATCTTTGCCTATATGGTGTAATTGGTTTTAATTTAAGGATTTTGTTTTACTCTGTGACTTCTACCCATGAGAGCGAAAGCCAGCAAAGCTAGGCTAATCTGCATTCTGAAATTTCATTCTGTGTTTTTATTTTCCTTTGGAGGGTTCTTGTTACAGAAGAGCTTCATTAACTTAATTAGGCATGATCCAGTGGGCCCATACAAATTAGGCTAGCCACAGTATCTTTAGAATGGACAAAAATAAGAAGCCAGCTGTAGTCTTTATATTTTGAAGAAAATCTTACCAGCTGACATTTCTTTGTGTCACAGTCATATTAAGCTTATGACAACTGCAATAACCAAAATGTGTTTTGGAAGTTCAAGTCTCCAACACTATGAAATATAAAAGACACAACAGTGGATAGGGAATGAACTGTTTTTTTTAAACCACAATTCTTTTTGTAGGCATCTAGCTCTTTGCTTTATTATAGAAAGAATAATCCTTTGGTAAAAGTGTGCTTATAAATCAATTTATAACTACTAGCAATGTGATAACTGTATCAGAAAACATTTAGGAGAAAAGATATTTTCATTTTCTTCCTAGAACTCACAGGCATGTGTACACCTGTGCATACACGTACCAAGATAATATAATACAAGATAATACATGTATCAGATAATGCAAAGAAAACCAGACACTACTTGACCTGCAATCTTAGGAAGTTATTGATTTTGCCTCAATTTCTTCATCAACCAGCAGAAATAAGAATAACCCTCATTCTTCTTCAGAGAAATCTTTAGGCAACTTCCCTGTTTCAAAAGGATAATCTGGATAATTGTTAAAATAGAGATTCTTGGACCATATTTCAGACATCCTGAATCAGGCTTTCCACCGAAGAGCCAAGGAATTTGTATTTAATAAAAGTTATTCTTAGTGGGTCACTATAAACTAAAATATAAATAATGTGAAATCCCTATAGATTCTTACTGGGTTATTATAAACTAAAAATAAATAGGAAAGCTCTATAGAAAATTTTGAGTGATATATAAGTATATACCATCAACATTATTCAGAATTTCTAGCGCAAAGGAAAATGTTGCAAAGAAAGTATTCTTACAGGAATTTATTCTGGCTAACCTTTACACTATGAAGAGTTGCTGTGCTGATCAAATCAATCAACCCACCAACCAAACAAGCATCTTCAGGAAGCTCAACATATACCCTTCTGCTTCTCAGATAAGTACAAATTTTAACCGATAAACACTAAAAGTCACATCTCATACAATAACATTTAATGTAGCAAAATACTCTAGATATGGTTCTCGTAAGTCCTGGAATTCTGGAACTAAATCATAAACAATTAAGCATAATCACAGCGACTTTCTGACTTGTCGCTTGATTCTTTATAAATGTATTCTCAAGAAATACAATAAGAAAACATGGAAGAAAAAATATGAAAACCTTCCAACCTAATTCTAATTATCTGAATTAACCATGTTGAAAACAAGATACTACTTGGAGTAGGAATTCACTGTCACCATAAGCTATTTGTGACTTAAAAACTAGAACATGGAGTTCAGAACACAATCCAATTTCTGTAGATGACAGTGAGTTCCCAGCAGGGGTTGTTCCTCTCCAGAAACCTGTCTTGGATAGTATCCTGGTACTTGGTTGCGTTGGCACGTCTGCCACCTCAGAAATCAACAAAGTCATGCTTCCGTTTGAATGAGAAACTTGACACATTCCTCTGATTCCTGAACTGTGCCTACACAACCTGTTATAATGTTTTGTAGATTGCAGTGAATACTGCTGAAGTCTCACAGTGGCTACGTTCAATTTCAAACGTATATTTGCAAATTTGGAAAATGTAAATTAGGAAATTTTCTGGAAGAAAATTATGCTGGAAATAACAGAAATTGCTTGCGTTCACTTGGTCAACTAATAATGACTGAACCTCGGTAACAAAGATTTCTGGGGTTATGAACGTCGGTTTTTGCAATGTTCACGAGGTTCCAAGGATTATGACCTAGGCCATACTTAAGGGTACATAGATATTATATCTATACAATCTGTATAGATATAGTACAGTCATAATATGAGCTGGAATTGATTTTATTAAAGCTGATAATAGAAACCAGATGGTCCAAGTATCTGAATCAAATATAGACTTCCTTAAGCTAGGGTTGAAAATAGCTCAAGAAAAAATGAATGAAGTTCTAAATATGACATAAGAGCTCTGCGGAGGTAATATAAGTGTGGATATCCAAGAATAATAATGACTTGTTCTGAACTAAGTTAATTACGTCTTCCAAGGTATTTTATTTGGAGAACGCTGCATGGTTGTGTGCTATATCCTAAAATTCAAGTGTGCAGAAGACTTATCAGAGGGTGGGTAGAAAGTTGCAACCAATCAAGTTTTACATGCCTTAGTCTCTTTCACTTATGGGTGATAGGATTATCAAGTTTCCTGTCCTTCTCTTCCTAGAGATTATATTTTTACATTTGAAGCCTGTAGCTACTTTCCCATCTTGCAACCCAAAAACCAAAAAGACACTGTGTTCACTAACTGGCACTAGGTATGAACAGAATGGATGTTTTCAAACAAATGAATGACTCAAAGGAATTCTTAAAATGTTTCTTTGGTGTGAAGAGCAGGGGTCACAAAGGCATATGGATAGTAAATATAGAAATACTAGGGATTTGCATGCAAGTTTAACCAGCTACAAACCAAACAGAATAGTTCTGTCTAAAATTAAGGTAGGTAATTAGTTTCCTACTGCTGTTATAATTAGCTGTCACAAACTCGATGGCTTAAAACAAAAACATTTATTATTTTTCAGTTCTGGAGGTCAGAAGTCCCATATGAGTTTCACTGGGTTAGACTGAGGTGTCAGCAGGACTGATGTTAGCAGTCCTTTATGGAGGCTATAGGGGAGAATCTTCCTTCTTGCATTTTCCAGTTTCTAGAGGCTGCCCACATTCCTTGGCTTGTGATCCTTTTTCATCTTCAGAGCCAGCAAAGGCCAGCTGAGTCTTTCTCATTTTGCATAATTCTGACACTGACTCCTCTGCCTCCAATTTAAAGACCCTTATTATTACATTAGGCTCACCTGGATAACCCAGAATAATCTCCCTCACTTAAGGACAAATGAATAGTAACATCAACTGCATCTGCAACCTTAATTTCCCTTTGCCTTGTAGGGTAACATAGTCATCACAAGGTTCCAAAGAATAGGAACTAGTCGTGATTTGGAGTGGGATGGTCAGGGCCATTATTTGGTCTACCCACAACCAAGAATAATGAAAATCATATTTTGCTCCTGCCTGTGAATGGTGAAAACTTCAAAGGAAGACACATCTGACACTCTTCTGTTGGGAGAGTTTATTCAACTTCATTTTGACTTCACTGACTTCTATACACTGATCCAAGGTGTTTTTTTATTGGCAGGTTGGATTTAATTTTCAAAAGATAAACTGCTTGATTGCAATCAAAATCAAACAGAATAATTTATGAAAAATGGAAGCAAGAGGAGAAAGAATGTAGGAGGAGGTGGACATTTTCCAAGTGATTTAATTGAATATTATCTTAAGAATTTCTGAAGCTCAAATTCAGAAGGACACGTCTAGTTGGCTAAATTACCAAGTCTGAGAGTAATGAAAGAGTTGCCATTCCATGAGCCTAGAGAGCAAACCAAACTAGAAATAGCAATCTCACTTATATATCACAGAATTTCAGTTTAAGCATAGGATACAAGACTAAATCAAGCTTTAAATGTGAACTCTGTATTCACTATGTAAACCTTCTAACGGAATAGCCTTCAGTGTAAAGAGCTAGTTGGCCATAAATAAGTTTAATTCCCTTCCTTTAAATTTAGATTTGACTCAAGCTGCATGAATTTCTGGACAGAGAAAAAATAAATTTGGGGCAGCTAGCTGTTGGTTTTACAGAATTAATTCCAGTCCAGCCTTGTAATCGCATATATTTATTAAAATAACTTTGAAATAAAATGTACGGGGTCAAAAAGTATCAAAATATGGTGACTTTAACATGGAAATTTAAATTTTAAAAGAACTATGTGGAAAAATTAAAAATAAGACATATTGACAATACACTTAATCAGACAGATTTGTCTTGATACTAAACCCTTTCAGCTAAACTCAATGCCCTCCTTCTAGCTCTTCTTAAAGTTTCACTCTTCAAACAACTACTCAGACTCAAAGTACACCCCCAAATTCAACCCACTCACACAAACCTGACTTGATCATGTAAAATATCCTTTCCGCTTTAGCTGACTAAACTTTAAAACCAATCTAAGCACCTGGTGTGTCAGTGATAATGAACAATAGTGCATATGGCCTATAGGGAGTTAGAGTTGACTCCTAAGTGAGTAACTGCTTGCCACTGACATACAAGGACTTGAATAGCTCTGGGAACGTGCACAGCTCTTTACTTGCAGAGTAGAAATTCCAAGGATTCTACATCTTTCATTTTGATTACAGTCGACACCAAAGGCATTCACACTTGAGATACTGACTGTCCTGATTCTACAGTTCTTTAAAGTGTCTCACCAAAATAATAAGCAGGCTTCCTGATGTCTTTTCTTTATTCACATGACAAAGGTTGAATATCGTGGTTACTGAGTGGCAGATATTGAGATAATTGGTGTCTCGAAGCACATAAGGGTTGCTGTGCTTGAAGATTTTCACTAAATTAGTGCTTAAAAGATAACAAATAATTGTAATATAACATGCTGCGTGTTAATGCAGCTATTACATAATATAGACTCAACGAGAAGATAACTAACTTTACTGAACGAAGTCAAAGACAGGTGGTAGCACCTAAGTTGAATCGTGAAGGATAGGTAGAGGTTTGACAGAAAGAATCAAGAAGGACAATATAAACAAATATGAAAGCAATTTCCAACAGACATAAATAAGGGCAGTACATTTGGGAAGCTCAGGATGTTTTTATGTGGCTGGTATGAAAGGAAGAAATAGGGGAACAGCAAAAGACAAGGCTGGAAAGGATGGCTGAGGAGAAACTAGGAAGAGCTTACTTACTGTCACTGATGAGGACTTCTTTGGAAAGTCATATTCTCAGAAGTGTTAGGAAATCATAAAAGAAACAAAATTTTCAACTGAAAGCATTTGATTGAAAAAAGACCTTGCTTGAGGGCGTTTATCTTTATCTTTGTGAGGTCAAATTTTGCTAAGGATGGTTAAGATGGTAAAGTCAGCACCTGATACAGAAGATGCTTGACTACAAATTCATAATATATCTATGGTCTCCCTGGACCATTCAGTTTTAATGCCTACAGAACCAGTGTGGAACAAAAGGTACGTAGACCTGGTGAAAGGTCACACTTGTTTATTGTAAGCTTGCCTTTGTTGTTGCTATTTCTAATTTCAAGTAAGAAACAAGTTTCCAGACCTCAAATAAGGAGATATAACTGGTAGATATAACTAGTAGATCTTCTCAAAATGACATTAACTTCTTTTTGTAAACTCCTACTTCCTCATAGTATAGCTGGAGAAACATCTTACCAATGTGGAGTAGACAGTGATATCTTAATAGCAGAAATGTCTCACAATTTGATTCTTTATTGGTGTGAAACACTGTATCATAAAAGGTTTCGAGGCCATATCCTTAAGAGGAGTGGTAGATTTTCAATGAAAGAGCTGTTTAGTATTTTGGAAAATGCAACTTCTAAAACCAGCAAACAAGTATCACAAATGGTGATGATGATCATAGCACCCTTGGCAAATGGCCTCCAGAGAACCATCATAGCTGGTGAAATGGATACAACATGATTAAAGAGAACTTCCATCTTTTCTTTCTGAGCATTTCATTATACCACTGATTCTCAAAGAGCTGGCCCTGGGAACCTAGTGAGGTCTTTCCCAGTAGGATACATATATATGCATATCTCATATATTCACATATAGTAGTTATGCATATACTACTGATATGAGTGATAGGGACTTCTCTAGATCCCAAGTTAACTTCCTAATAGTAGAAAAGGCACTACATTGATGTAATATATAATGCCCAGTAATTTCCACTAATTCTAGTGTTTGCTTTTTTTGCTGGATTGGTTTGACATGTGAAATCACACAGAATAAATCTAATCTCCAATCTCCACTTTACAATCCCCACTCCATGACACTCAATTACTTTAAATGTTTTATCCTCTACTCCAAAGTCTGCTGTTTTTTAAAGACAAAAATCAAACCAAATAAACATAAATCCTAATTATCTCACTTTTCTATAATAGAAAACTTACAAAGAAATTTCAAACAAATGGAAAAGTTTACTTTATCAAAGATCTCCTAAGAATCTGTAATCATTCTCTAATATTAAAATGTTTGGCACAAACATCAGAACTCAAATATATAATATAAATCCTGGCAAACAACTCCACAATATATTGAAAAATCCACCTAATCATTTGATACGGTTTGGCTGTGTCCCCATCCAAATCTCATCTTGAATTGTAATCCCCACATGTCGAGGGAGGGACCTGGTGGGAGGTGATTGGATCATGGGGGCAGTTTCCCCCATGCTATTCTCATGATAGTGAGTCCTCACAAGATCATGGTTTTATATGTGTTTGACTGTTCCTCCTTCCGACGCTCTCGCTCTGTCTTGCCTGCGGCCATGTAAAACGTGCCTGCTTCCCTTTCTGCCATGATTCTAAGTTTCCTGGGACCTCCCCAGCCATGAAGAACTGTGAGTTGATTAAGCCTCTTTTCTTATAAATTACCCAGTCTTGAGTATTTCTTTATAGCAGTATGAGAATGAAATCATATATGTTTAACCCCTTTTTTTTTTTTTTTTTTTTGGGACAGAGTCTCACTCTGTCACCCAGGCTGGAGTGCAGTGGCGCAAACTTGGCTCACTGTAAGCTCCGCCTCCCAGGTTCACTCCATTCTCCTGCCTCAGACTCCTGAGTAGCTGGAACTACAGGCCCCCACCATCATGCCCAGCTAATTTTTTTGTATTTTTAGTAGAGACGTGGTTTCTCCGTGTTAGCCAAAATGGTCTAGATCTCCTGACCTCATGATCTGCCCGCCTCGGCCTCCCAAAGTGCTGGGATTACAGGTGTGAGCCACCACACCCAGCCCCTAAACCTGTTTTTTTTTTTTTTTTATGGCAAATTAAATAAAAAACTTTAAGTCAAAATGTGTGAAAAGATTGCAGACAACCAAACTATGGCAGAAGAGTTTGATCACATGATAAGCTTACTCTGAAAAATAGTTTTTTAAAAAACAAGAAGGATCAGCCAGGTGTTGACATACAAAACCATATAGCCAATCAAAGCTTATTTGAACCATATACCTATGTTGAGAGAGACAGTTTAGAATTTAAATGCCATACAGGGGCATTCAGTGCTTAGAGGGAAAAAAATTAGTACTGCTTTTATCTGGATATAAGCCATGAGTGGAGAAAAACAATGTACACACATGTAGACTTTATATATGTATGTATAGTCACATAATCTTTCATATATATGTAATATAACAAACCAATGTCTGGGAAAGTTAATGGCAACAGTTTAAGAGCATCAAGATAAACTCTTTGTGCTTAGAAAGTTTAGTTTTGTCTTAATGCTATTCATGAAGTGCATCGAAAAGTTAGTTTAATTCAATAAACACTCTTCTTTAGAATTATTTACTAAGTTTACTGTATTGGAGGTCATAATAATGAATCAGAAGGTGCTCTTGTTTTCACTGAGCTTATAGCCTAATTAATAAGAAAAAGTAATGATGCGTAATCCATGTGTGTTGACTTTTAAAAATTCCTGCTCTATGTGTCTCTCTTTAAAGGTGTAAGTTAGTATGTCTTCAGTAGGCTAGACACTTATCTTAGTTACCCACAACAGATGCAATTCTATGTTGTGCCTATGCCATTGTATATCGCTACAAATCATAGGTTAAGTTCCTGGAAGGAAATAACAGGCTGATCAAGGATTTTCTTAAAAGCTTCAATATGTCTTAAAGGCACAGGTATCAGAGATTCTAAACATATTTATCTTTTTCACAAAAGTAATATATCCTATTTGATAAAACTATAGAATTCATAGTAATGCAGGGTAATGTGAGGTTCACCAATCATTGTAAGATATAAAATACAAGAAAAAATAATATAGTATTTTGCATATCATGAATTATCTTAATATGAAAATAATACTCCATCACATAAAATATATGGATTTTATGGATTATATGGATTATATGGATATATGGATTATATGGATAAATATACGCATTTATAATACAGTCTCAAAAATAAATTAGCAAGTGGACAAATACAATAATTACTTTTAAAGCACTCTGGGGAAGATCTGAAAAAAATAAAAAAGATGCTTAATATACTACATTATTTAAACAAATGTAAATTACATTGAGTTCATGGTTCTATTTATGAACTTAGAATAAGCATCGTTAACACATAAAGAAAAAAACAGACGACAAGAGGCCTGCAGAGGAGCAGAAACAATGCGGAAAGTGAGAAAGAAAAGTCCAGTTATTTTGAAAAACAAGACTGGTTTCAATATTATCATTTGGCCATCTTAAGGAACTGCAGGTTAATCAATACATTATAATTGATTAAAAGGAAGTATTTACAATATATACAATAGTACTAATATATTTAGACACATAAACTACATTTAATAAAATCTGTGTTAAGAGTCCTAAACAATGCTATAATATTTAATCCTTATCTAAGCTAGGCAACACAAAGCAACAATATTGTTGATAAACAGCTTTGCTACATAAGGTATTGGGAAACTAAGTAAACTTGTGATAGCTTTGGTTTTTAAGGTGCTATGGTTGGACTCCATTTGACACATTTAATAAATGGTGCATACAATTTTTAGCTAAATATCTAACAGGATGTCATCCTAAAACCTCATGTTCCTATATTACTGTGCTGTTAACAGAAACAGCTTGCAGAGATTTATGGCTTCTATTAATTACACTAAAAAATATGGTAGATTTGCTCAAATAAATCAATTGTAACAGAAAAAAAGCGCATTTTTAAAATTACAATCATGCGTTACAAATGACTGCCATTATCAATTCTGCCTTTTCATTTATTCCCAAAGTGAAGGGTTAAAGGGGGAATCTTTCTGTTTTCCTAGATTTAACCCTGGAAGAGCAGTCTTTGAGTTAGTACTTTAAATAGCTTACAGGGATTCTAGTTAATAGCCTCAAAAATTGGAAAGAAATGAGACAAAATATCAAGACAAGAATAAGATTGAAATATATAAATTTCTGCCTATCCCTGTTTTTATAAAGTAAGTTTCCTCCCCTTACCAATTATGTTTCAGTTCTATATTTCCATTCAGTGCTACTTTGGCTTTTTTTAAAATTATTCATATACCTGTTAATACACCCTCCTTGTTCCACAAAGAATTTACCAATCTTTGCATTTATACAAACAATAAAAGCAAAAATATCAAAATAAAACAAAAAAAAGGAGAAAATATTTTTACAACAGTGAAAATAAAAGGAAGAAGGAAAGATCAAATAAAAAACAGAATGCATTCAAGTTTACATTTAGAACTACATTTCAGATTTCTGAACACTTTTTGTTGGGCTCTAAATCAATATCAATTTCATGCTCACTGATGTTCCCAAGGAGTTGTGTTTCTTTATTCAATATGGCCCTGAACACTGTGAGCCCTAGATGTAACTTATATTCTCAAATACTTATGTGGCTTGGCATTCATACAGAATCTGTCTGAATTGGTAAAAATACTCAGATTTGTTTTTTCACTCTTCATTAACCTCCTATGACAAGTATAATCCACTATCCCAAATATTTATTATTATTTAAAAGAAAAATGTACTCATTTTTCTTGGACCAACTTGTTTAAAGACACAAAGGACTCATCATCCTGAAGAAAATTACAAATGTATTAATAACTTTTTATGCCATCTATAAACATCTCTCATTTTGGTACTAAAGAAGATAGGGGTCTTTTTATCCCCTTACTAGTTAGAGAAGAGCCAAACATATAAATATGCATGGAGAAAAGCCTGAGAGAACATCTACCAACATGTTTACAGTATTTATCTGAGTCACTGGATCATGATTAGACTTTCATACATTCTCCAAATTTTCTACAATGAGATTATTGTTCAAAAATAGCCAGTGCACTCTGGGAGGCCGAGGAGGGCAGATCACCTGAGGTCAGGAGTTTGAGACCAGCCTGGCCAACATGGTGAAACCCTGTCTCTATTAAAAATATGAAAATTAGCCCAGTATGGTGGCATGCTCCTTTGGTCCCAGGTATCCCAGTTACTCGGGAGGCTGAGGCAGGAGAATTGCTTAAACCCAGGAGGCAGAGGCTGCAGTGAGCCGAGATCATGCCACTGCACTCCAGCCTAGGCAACAGAACAAGACTGTCTCAAAAAAATAAAATAAATAAATAAATAAATAAACAAATAAACCCAGCATCTGAAAAGTATCAAAGTACTGAAACAATAAAGGACATATAATCAGTCAATATGAAAGCATAATATTTTTGACCCTTAGAAAACAGGCTAGGAAAATGGTCTTTCTATCAGATCATGCCTTTTAACACAAGCAATTATTTCCAAAAACCAATCAAATGTACAATGCTGCTTATACTTCATAGCACTAAAAAGTATCCTTCATCATGAATGGGAGAGGATCTTTCATTGGAAGAGCCATTTGTAAAGGAAACCACTGTCTGACCTTCTCAGAGAAATGCTGTCTTCCAACGAGTTAAAATGCTTGGGTTATCAATCTATGAGCCAAGTTGGAATCATTAATCCCAAGTCTAGACATTTCAAGACGTAGAAGCAAAATAGCAAAAGATACAGAGTGTATAGAGTTCTGCTCCTTTGCTGGAAAAGGAGACAAAGGTTGAACTTTAACTGAAAAATGATACGGTTTGTCTGTGTCCCCATCCAAATCTCACCTTGAATTGTAGCTCCCATAATTATAACGTGTCCTGGGAAGGACCCGGTGGGAGATAACTGAATCAAGTGGGCAGGTCTTTCCCAAGCTGTTCTCATGAGACTTAATACGTCTCATGAGATGTGATGGTTTTATGAAGGGGAGTTCTCCTGCATACATTCTCTTGCATTCCACCATGTAAAACATGACTTTACTTCTCATTTGCCTTCTACCATGATTGTGAGACCTACCCAACCATGTGGAACTGTGAGTCAGTTAAACCTCTTTCCTTTATAAATTACTCAGTCTCAGGTATGTCTTTATTAGCAGCGTGGGAACAGACTAAAACAAAAAGTAAAAACTGTCTATGGCCATATCTGTCTATATCACCCTGAATGCACCCCATCTCTTCTGAAAAGTAAAAACAAAACAAAAGTCATTGAAGCATCAGTTACCTATGGAACATCTTGTGTTTGCAAAACTGATGCAAACAATAACTCTGGAGTAATGAATTTTTTTGATACTTTTTTTTCTTAATTCAAAAGTAGAAAGTTACAAAACACAAAATTCACAGAAAACAAAAGGGGGAACGCAAGATGGATGAGGGCTCTACTGATGGCCCTTTCCCCCACCCGCCCACCCTTTTTTTTTTTTTTTTTTTTTTTTTTTGAAACGGAGTTTCACTCTTGTTGCCCAGGCTGGAGTGCAACGGCGCGATCACTGCAACCTCCGCCTCCTGGGTTGAAGCGATTCTCCTGCTTCAGCCTCCTTGAGTAGCTGGGATTACAGGCGTGCGCCACCACGCCTGGATAATTTTGTACTTTTAGTAGAGACGGGGCTTCTCCATGTTGGTCAGGCTGGTCTCAAATTCCCTACCTCAGATGATCCACCAGCCTCGGCCCCCCAAATTGCTGGAATTTACAGGCATGAGCCACGGCGCCTGGCCGGCCCCTCCCCTTTGGTAGAAACCAAAAATCAAGTGAGCACTCGCAGTGCCTAATTTTGATTTCATATTGTTGAAAGAGGCACTGAAGAAGGTAGAAAAGACAGTGGTGAATTGCCCACGCTGCCCCTCCCCCATCCCCTGGCTGCAGCCTGGTAGTGTAAGGAATCTATGTGCTTGGGATGGGTGGAGCACAGTGAATGGGAGGCTTTCATCCAACTCAGTGCTGCCCTCTCACAGTGGAAAGCAGAACCAGGCTGTATTCAGCCGACACCTGCCCATGGAGGGGGCATTTGGACTGGCCTAGCCAGACGGAGGGGATTGCCCATCCCAGCAGTCAGAGCTTGAGTTCCCACAAGCCTCACCATCACAGGCTGAAGCACTCTGAGGCCGTATGTGAACTCCAGGGGCAGTCTAGGCCACAAATACTGAAATTCCTAGGCAAGTCCTAGTGCTGCACTGGGCTCACGGCCAGTGGACTGGAGGGGCATGTAACCTACTAACACTCCAGCCTGGGTAGTTAAGGGAGTGCTTGGATCACCCCTCCATCAACACCAGGCAGCAAAGCTCACAGCTCTAAAAGACACCCTTTCCTTCTGCTTGAGAATAGAAGAGGAAAGAGTAAAGAGGACTCTGTCTTGCATCTTGGATGCCCACACAGCCACAGTAGGATGGGGCACTGGTCAGGTCATGAGGTCCCCATTATAGGCCCCAGGTCCCTGATATTTCTAGACACATCTTTGGCCAGAAGGGAACCTGCTGCCTTGTAGCAAAGGACCCAGTCCAGGCAGAATCCAGACCCTACTGACTAAAGAGCCCTTAGTCCCTAAAGAACCAGCAGTAATACCCAGGTAATATACCACAGGCCTTGGGTAAGTCTCAAACACATGCTGGTTTCAGGTGAGAACCATCATATTACCAACTGTGGTGGCTATGGGGAGAAACTGCTTCTGCTTGAGAAAAGCAGAGGGAAAAATAAAAAAGAAACTTTGTCTTGCACCTGAGGTACCAGCTCAGCCATAGTGGGGTAAAGCACCAGGCAGGCTCTCCGGGTCCCCAGCATCCTGGATGGCATTTCTAGACCTGCCCTGGGCCAAAGAGCTGATCGCCTTGAAGGGTGAGTCCCAGTCCTGGCAGCCACAAGCTGACTGAAGAGCTTTTAGGCCTTAAGTGAACACTGGCAGGAGCTTGGCAGTACTCCCTATGGGCCCGTGGTGGTGGCCATGGTGTGATGTTCCTCTATCTGTGGAAAGGGGACCGAAGAGTGAGAAGCACTATGTCATATGGCTTTATTGCCAGCCCAGCCACAGCAGACTAGAACACCAAGTAGACTTCTAAAGTTTTTGACTCCAGTCCCTGGCTCCCAGATGGCATCTCTGAATCTGCCACAAGCCTGGCAGAACTCACCACCCTTAAAAGAAGGCCTGGATGGCTTTGCCACCTGCAGACTGTAGAGCCCTATGGCCTTGAGCAAACATAGATAGTAGCCAGGTAATGGTTACAGCAGGCCTTGGGCAAGACTCAGTGCTATTCTTGCTTCAGCTATGACACAGCATAGTCCCAGTGGTGATGGCCACAGGGTTTTTTCTATGACCTCACCCTTGGCTCCAGGCAGCTCAGCACACAGAGACAGACTCCATTTGTTTGGGAGAAAGTAAGGCAAGAGAACAACAGTTTCTGCCTGGTAATGCACAGAACTTTTCTGGAGCCTATCCAAGACCAAAATGGCAAAACATCTACAAGTCTCCAAGAACCACTGTGCTATTGGGGTTGGGATGCTACTGATGGCAGTATTGTTTTTCCTACTGATTGACAGTGTTGTCACAGAGTAAATTCTTAAACGAATAGCATAGAATTCAAATGATCAAAAGCACATATTATCAGGGTTGGAAAAGGAAAATTAGAAAACCATACATTTATTAATTTAGTCAGTTAAGAAATATGTATCAAGCACCTAGTCATTGTGCCAGATTGGGGAATCTAGGTACAAAAGGTACACAACCAGCCTGGAATGGACCTCCAGTATGGAGATGAAAATAATTATAGGTAGTGACAATGGTGACCCAATGTAGTGCACTGCAAGGACAGAAAAGGGTAGAAGATATCAGATCTCCATCTCTACACTCAGTCACTTACACTTAGCAATGTGCTACCAAACAGAAGATGAAAAGGAGGGAAAAATGGAACATGACAGGAACTCCCTCTGCATATATTTACAGGCACAATGTCCAATAAACTGGTGAAAGAAAAGTGTTTCTATAAACGACCTTAGCATTCTATCTTTCACCTGAGCCAATAGTTCTAAATAGAAAACTGTGAACATGTTTTCACAATTAAGGTGTTTACAATTACATCTATCTGTAAAGACCCCTAGATATTGCTGGCATACACCTTCCTCATTGCCCAGGGCTTCTGAGACTTCACACTACCTTGTCTGTATAAGCCTTTGGTGGTGCTTCTTCTCTCCACTTATAAATAGGATGACAACAGCAACTGTGACTCTTGCCACATGATATAAACTTACTATGAGCCTTATCAGGAATGAGAATACCAGAGACCATTGTTTCATGAGATGATGAATTCCCTAAACGTGTAAAAAGACAATATACAAACAAATATTTAATTTTTAAAATTGTTTTTCAAAACTGCAGCAGGAATCAGCATGTTTTTATCTGACATAAAACCAAAACGGCCTTCAACATCTCTTTGTAATAGTCTCATGTGCTCAGACACTACAGACAATCGTCAATAGAAAAGACTGTCAACTTGAATGAACTCAACCTGCATCAATATTTTTCCAGAGTCAGCACCATGCCCAAACTAAGAGAAACATGCAGTTACATAAATAAATGAATATGGATGCATGTGCATATATATGCATTTGTATATACACAAAATGAATGTGAATATCTTTCTATATCTGTATCCTAGCTTTAATTCCATCTCCATCTCTATGCACCTGCATATACTCATTCAACTAATTCATTCATCTGCATAAACTCATTCGATATAATCCCCTTTAGTCAAACCCACCACTGAATTAGTCTTCCTTAGACTGCTGCCACTGGAAGATGAAGAGATTCCAACAACACTGCAAAAAAATATAGCAACTAAACCTGTCTTAATCAATTTTTAGGTTTCAAACAGAGGTTCTTAATCATAAGTAGTATTCTATTACCTGCAAGATGATTTGTATTCATGGAAGTATACTATAATCCTTACCAGAAACTAATAATGATTTTAATAAACTTGCATT
The DNA here is from genome assembly GCF_000001405.40 of Homo sapiens. Taxonomy (NCBI): domain Eukaryota; kingdom Metazoa; phylum Chordata; class Mammalia; order Primates; family Hominidae; genus Homo; species Homo sapiens. Next base: position 8,603,171 of record NC_000009.12, read on the forward strand.
GACTTCAGAGGTTTCACCATTTATAAGTTGCTTAATTCAGTCTTTGTAAAATCATTCATTACTCTTTACAGACATCAGCTGGGGAACTACAAGGCAATTATTAGATTAAACTGGATTTAAAGGTTGCTTTTATTGTAATTGCAAAAGAAAAAAATCTAAGTTTTCTTAAATATTATATTGTACTTAGACAACAGTTTAAACTCTTGGTGTGAGTAGAAAGGCTGGGTCTTTGGCCCTATAGACAGCTTTCTCCAGTCAGTGGTTTCAAAAGTATTTACTTTGTAACACTGGAGCTACATCTCCTTAACGGTTTGCTTTCTCACTTATTTGAGAACTTTTTTCCTATAACGTGAATAAAAAGAAGAACCTTAGCACCCCAAGCACCATTTTTTAAGTTAAATACTTCCTTTATATGAGAAGCAGATGCTGTCAATAGAAGTCACCCGAATTCAGCAAGCAGTTAGACGATTAATCAACTTAGAATATAAATCCAACTATAGTTGTTACTTATAAGGGAAGTTGATGAAAAGTACATGTCCTAACTCTCCTATCCATTGATATAATCAATCTATCAATAATAAAGTATTAATTAGAAATATTTTCAGGACTTTGGAGGAAACAAACAATTATACATTGCTTCCACATGCAAATATTTCACAATTTAGTTATAGTGAAATCCCTTAATGGAAAAGCCCAACTAATTAGAAGAAAGGCTACAATGAAAACATGTACTTTGTATTAAAAAGCATTAGACACTATAATGTGTTTCCTATCAACCATGCCTCAAAGTTTCTCCTACCTGTCCTGGAAACACAATATAGCTATTCTCACAACTACATATATCCAAAATTAAACAATTATGCTGAGAGTGTTTAATTCTTCACTTCAGCTTCCAGCATATCATACTGTCAATGAATTAACATTCATTGACAATCTACTATGTGCCCAGTACTGTTGTTGTAAAGTAAGGAACTCAAAAACAAGACATAGTCTCTAACCTCAAGATCCTCCCAGGAGAGGAGGGGAGACCCATGCATGAAGTAAAACACAATGCTTTAAGGTATAGTCGAGGAAAGAGCAAAGTGCCACAGTGGCACACAAGAGAGGACCATTAGATCTCAGAAAATAGCCAGGGAAGTAATATATGAGCTAGATCTTTTTCAGAGGAATAGATTTCCCAGTAAACATTAACTGGATGAATCACAGATAGGGTGGGAAAGGAAGAAGACTTACTAAGGCAGAGAAATACAAGCACAGCATGATATTTTTTGAGTGGAAAGTTCAGCCTGACAAGAGCATGAAGTACATTACATCAGATAAGGGTAAGTCCAAGATGAGGCCAGCAAGGGACCCTGGCCATACTGCCTCAGGGTTTTCTCCTATAGCCACTGGGGAATGATACCAAAGTGGACAGTCAAGGAACAGATGCCAAAACCCTTGCAAAAATCCCCAAAGCAATAAGGGGGACTCAAGCTAAATCAGATAAATATAGCATGAAAAGAGGAGGTCAAATTTAAGATGCATTTCTGAAGTAATCAATTATCTCCTAAGCTATTGCCTACTGAGTTTGGTGGAATAAGGAGGAAAAGAGAAATCAAGTAAGTCTGTGAGTTTTCAGGCTTTCATAAACGGGTATGATGATGCCATTAACTGAGATGGAAAATATAGAAAATGGGAGAGAAAATAAGGTCATCCCTTAACATGTATAGCCTGAGATTACTGCAATACATTTAGGTGCAAATATCCAGTGAGGAGGTATGGGAAAGTAAGCAAGTTATTTTCCATGCAACTTATTTAGGAACAATAGCAATTTGATTTCTGGGTTTTCCATTTATTTAAGTAACAAAACAAAAATAAACTGCCATCTTTTAATCTATTAGTTGAATCACTCTTGGTAACCTCTGGCCTATCAAACTGTGCAACTGCCCATGCTCCCAACCCAACTGCCACAAATAAACTCTTCTTCTATCAACCTCTTCAGCAAGAAAGCATTTTGCCAACATAATATGCCTCAGCAGACCTTAAAATAATGAAGTTGGAAAAATGTGGGTGAGCAAATTTTGAAGTATATTAAACCTGACAATTTAATATTTATGTAAGCTGCAAGTGCTAAGCATAATTGGACTTAACTATTGGCTTAGGTTTAATGGGTTGTGAATTTAACTTCATTATCATAGTTTTGCCTGCTCTTTGAGCTCATTCAACCGAACTAGAGAAAAAAAACTGAGAGCCATTTTCTACCTCACCAAAACCATTTTTGAGATGACCTGAAACCATTGGGTCAAAGAAGGCGGATTCTTTCATTTCACAAAAGAGAAGAGCTTCAGTGAAGACTCCTCAGTGGTTACAGTCAGAAAACAAACATGGGTTTACTCTAGATGGGCTAGTTACTGTGAGTCTTTAGGCAAGTTACTAAGCCTCTGGAAGCCTCCATCTCTACATAAATAGGGATAATATAAAACTTTCAAGATACTGTGAGGATGAAAGGAGAATGTACCTAAATCACCTGGCAGAATGCTTTTGCACATGATGTGACATCAGTGCACGTTGGTTCCCTTCAGCACTCATGCCATTACCTTGTGCTTCAACAGACTTACACCACTTCCAGGCCTTTCTGCTCATCTCTATGGAAGTTGGCAACATAAGCATACTCTACTTACTAGGGATTGATCATCCTACCAGCTATTACAGCCACCTCTCTGATACGATTTGTAGCATGTAAATCAGAAGCACAGGTGTGCCACAGCATGGATGAGTCCTTTGGGTTTTTTTGTTTTTGTTTTTATTTTTCGGGGAGCGGGGGTGTCGAGGGGTGGGGATGTACATCGTATACTATATCATCCTAAAGAACCTAAACTAAAAGGATCCTTATTTCATTCCATTTTATGCTTTATAAGCACAAAACAATGAATGGATCTACATACAATTGTGGACAAAATCTCTCTGAAGGCATGTCTCCAGGAATTCCTTTGTGGAATGTAGTGATGAGGAAAGGAGGAAGGAGGTTCCAAGGGAAGGAAAAGAAAGGAGGGAAAAGTGTCCAAATAACTGTCTTTACATGCATTCACAAACACACACACACACCCCCTCACAGTAGCCAATAGGCATGATTCTACAATTAGAGAATGCTAATGTAATGCCAGTATGCCTTGAGGAAGATCACAGTCTAGTCCTTTCATGTGGGGAAGAAAAGCCAAGAGAAGGAAAATCAATTACCTGTGAATAGCATCTTACAGGGGCCTCTCAACCTAACAAATGAAGAGACATGAAGCATATGCAGAGACATACGTTTCCTATGTGCAAGCATCAAGAATCCAGACCATATGATGTATAAAAGAGATGAAATAAGTTTTCAATTTATTTCCAGGGAGTAAATAAGTAACTGTTGAAGGAGGGAAACCAACCCCAGATGCTATTTAGGGCACCAAGCTTTACTTCACTACATGATGCTTGATATTCTGAAATCCATTCTGCCTTTCTCCCTTTCTCCTAAACACCTCCACCCCTTCTGCACATGAAAACAATGCTAAACAGTCTTTTCATATTTTGTTTATATTTTATGCTAGAGGAAGGTCATTTTTATATCTATACAATAATCTCTCTCACCTCCTTAGTTGCCACATTTTAAGTTACAGAAACTTTATTCAAAATGTTCACAAAGCACATTGCTTAAATTATAAATGAATCCAGGATCTGTCACAGTTTTTTTTGTGTGACCAAATTTGGGCATCTCTCTCTGTAGAAGCAGGACAATAGTCTTAGGTAAAGAAAACCTTACTTGAATGCTTAACTTCAACAGAAGCCCAATGGGGGCTGGAGCAGACACATAAATCAATGGTAGAATGCTGACTACCTGGGGCTGCAGGGTTTGGAATAGTTGGGAAGACATTGGACAAAGGATACAAAATTTTGGTTAGGAGAAACAAGTTCAAGAGATCTATTGTAGAACATGGTGAGTATAGTTAATATTATATTCTTGAAAAATGCTAAGAGGGCGGATATAAAGAATTCTCACCACAAAAAATATAACTAGGTGAGTTAATGCATATGTAAATTAGCTAGGTTTAGTCATTCCACAGTGTATATATACTTAAAAACATCATGTACATGGTAAGTATCTACAATTTTGTCTATTAAAATCTGTAAGCATATAAACAGCAAATTAAAAAATTCATAAAATAAGTAGGAATAGGGCCGGGTGCGGTGCCGCATGCCTGTAATCCCAACACTTTGGGAGGCTGAGGTGGGTGGATCACAAGGTCAGGAGTTTGAGATCAGTCTGGTCAACATGGTGAAACCCCGTCTCTACAAAAAATACAAAAATTAGCTGATCGTGGTGACACGCGCCTGTAATACCAGCTGCTCAGGAGGCTGAGGCAGGAGAATTGCTTGAGCCCGGGAGGGAGAAGTTGCACTGAGCCAAGACTGCGCCACTGCACTCCAGCCTGGGAGACTGAGCGAGATTCTGTCTCGGAAAAAAAATTAAAAAATAAATTAATTAATTAAAAACGAATGGGAGTGGCCCCTGGTTATAATGCCATTTGCAATGGAGAATGACCATCTCCTACTAGAGCTGCCATGCCAAACCTCGTGGAGATTCATAGAATAGTCACTTAATAAATAAACACAAATATTTATTTTATTACAGTTTATTGCAAATCTAGGATATATAATTTTAAGGCAACCTAGCAATAAGTTTAAGGGATGTTTTTACATTATGGTGGACTTTATAGGAAACAAATATTATTCTTGTGTCACATGTTTACATGTCAAATATAACTCTATTCAAGTTAACATGGAGGCTGCCTGCCACACTTGGGCTGCAAACATCTGTGATTACAGGATGTCAGCTTTTACGACGCACTGCATTCTAATCCGATAACCCAGTACACTGTTTTTCCATTATTCAATTCCGCATATAGCTGAGAATAGGACACAGTATTTCTAAACCTTTTTTTTTTTAATCTAGACTTCTGTATAGGATATATCTATACATTACATATTGAATTGAAGATATTACTGTTACCCTATTAACCCGGATAATACAAATAGTTGAACTAATTCAAGTTCCAAAGTAAAATTTCATGACTTGGATGATCCAGTTCAGCTGTCATGAAATAGGGATGAAAAACGGCACATTATAAAATTTTAGTAAAGTATTTTGCTTATACTACAAAAGGGCCAGCATATGGTATTCCTAATAAAGAGATTAGATAGGAAGAACGAGAGGTATTTCCAAACTCTAGAATGCCACTTAGCAAAGCATCACTGTGGTATATTTTAGCGCTCCCTGTTCACCCAGCAGAGCGCTCAAATCTAAAGCAACTGGTATATTCCAAGAGAGTCACTTAGAACCACTCAGAGACTCTCAGTGTCTCTCCCATATCTTCTTATGGCTTGACCCATCCCCTGCTCCAGGGCAGCAGGGAATCTGAATCTGAATTAACTGTCCACATATATCAAATCAGCCAGAATACTGGAAAATCACGGCGTTTAGTACATGAATAGCAGTTGCCATTAGAGTACTGACGGCAAATGGATGATGTAAACAGAACTTTGAAAATGCACCGAAAAAAATAAAAAAGGAAGAATAGAAGTACTCCTTTAATTTTCTTAATTCTGGAGGGGTTTATGGAAATTTCTCTTCAGGGATCTTCATGAATCGGGCCATATGTACTTTATCTCTACAATTGGGAAAGGATAAGTGGCCCAAAGAGAGTGAATCAGCACAAGTCAAGTGGTTGAGGCATTTTGCAGAGTGATGAGACTCAGACAGGACTTCGCAAAGAAGCAACCAGGTGAAAAACAGGCTTCTCAGTGTTTCCCACATATCACCTCTATAATTCAGAGGACCAGAGTCATCTGTGGGCAAAGTGCAGCACAACCATCAACAAAAACAAAATTCTCACATCTTGTCTCATCTTAAAAGTGAATGAGAATTTTACGTTTGTCTCCTCAATGAATGTAATTTTAATATTAAATAATCCTTGTTTTCCTTCAATCTCTGAGAAAAGCTGATATTCCGGGAAGATGAGACATATTAACTTTATCATTTCACATATGCTTGGCTGCATCCCAGGACTTGAGTGTGTTCACGTGGCAGCACTGGACAGGGTGTTTAGGAGGTAACTCCATAAAGGGCAGCAGCACAGAGCATAGGAAGGATATGGGATGTGAAGTCAGTTTCTTCAAGGTCAGGCTCTGTTTCATGTTTTGTGGTTTTGTCATCTTTTCTTACCTTTATTTTAGATTGATGAGTTGTGAAAAGCATTGCCCTTATGATAGAAGTATCATGAAAATAAACTAAATTAATATGTGACAAGTATGTAACTGGATGCCTGAATCAGGTGGATGTGCATTCCACGGAAGCTTGTGTTACCATGTGAAGATCTCTGCTCATCCATACACAAAAACCACAGAACAGGAGCAATTTAGCACCACTCATAAAACAGGGCACTTAAAGAGTAAAATTAAATAAAAATTATAAATCAACACAAAATCCACATTTGAACATCACTATTTAACTCAAGTTTATTTTTACTAATAGCTGGTTATAGGTACTAAATTACCCTGCAATAAATGATTTGCTCATAATTCATAAAAATGGAAGGGATACTTGAGTATTTTGAGGTTTTCCCTTAATCATTTGACTTTTTCCTTCCTTTTAACCGTATTTTTTCCTTATACAAATAATATAAAGGAGAAAAAATTCAGTATATTTCCTACATTAAAAACTCCAACATAAATGTTGAATAAGACAAGATTAGATTCATATTAAGTTCTGATTACGAGCTGAGCTACTAAGGCTCACTGTAGCTCAGGCTCCCTATTAGTAAAGTGGGAGAACTAATTTTCTACCTATCCCTCAGGACTGATATCGAGATTAAATGGGCTAACCTGTAGACTAAAGTGGTTTAAGAGTAGCACACATTTTAAGTATTTTGGCATAGCAGCACACTTTTTGTTAAGTGATCTTTATCATCATCATTATTATTTGTTGTTGTGCAAACACTGCTCTTTCTGAACTGCAGTGCACCCATCTATTTCAAAGAGATAATACTTCACAGGATTGCTGTGAAAAGTAAAACACATATATATATTTTTTGTAAAGCACTTAGCATACTGTTCGGCACATATTAAATACTCAATAAATGGTGGCTATTATCAATTTCAGTATTCAGAGGAAAAAATCTGAGGCACTGGAAAGCCTAGGGTTTTTGTTCAACATTACATTGCTAGTTAGTGTCGATTCTGGGATGGGATCCTAGTTTTTCTGGTGCCCAGCCCAGTGTCCCAGCCACACCACATGGTCTCCTATAGATACCTGAATCCAAACTAAAAACCAAGGGCTGATGCTTCTTTCCTCTCTGTTAGACAAATGAAAACTTAAACCATTCTATTTGAACAGCAAAAAAGCTGCGAAAGTCAAGGAGTGGGCATGCTAAGCACCACAGACTGACCTTTAAAGTATTTACTCATAAATATTCAGTTCAATAGCCAAATGCCAGTCTTGGTGCACCACTGTGGTTTCATTCACTGTTTGAAGTTACAGGGACATTATTTCATCCAGTCTAGTTCTGCTGTGTTATTCTACTTAGTTTTTAGAAGAGCTTTAATTTCCTGGCACTTTTTATTTTCCATATAATCATTTCATTAAACCATACAACAGGACGTGATCTGGTTTAGATGAAAGGGCAACAACAAGCCCCAGAAAAATAACTTTACTAGCCAGCTGCTAACATGCTGAAAGTAAGTTTTTCTAAGCCTAGCTAATTACATTAACATTTTCCACATCAACAACCATTATGGTTTTATATTTTCATGTTGAAATATTATATGGTCCTCCATCTAAATTTATGGTTTATTCTTTTCATAAATACTAGGATACTCAAAACACGTGATGAAAAAATAACATATCCAAAAGATTACATTTCTTATAATCACTAAAATAGATGTAATTCCTTACTTTTCACAACTGAGAATGTTTTTCTTAATGGTATCCCCTGTAAAGTAAGAAAATAACCAAAAAGCTGATTGTTCATTTGTTAAACAAGAATATCAAAGTTAAATGAGCCTGACTCTGTTCTAATCAGAGGATATATATTTTTTTAACTATCACAAATATTGGTAGGACTTGCCAGTTGGGCAAAGCTATCCTTATGATGACGTCACTAAAAGATGAGGAAAATGGAAGTGACCAACCAGAACATGGGGTAAAGGATGGAAAGAAAGGGGAATAAAAACCAGAGCAGGGCCAGGCGTAGTGGCTCACACCTGTAATCCCAGCACTTTGGAAGCCTGAGGAAGGTGAATTGCTTGAGCCCAGGAGTTCGAGACCAGCCTGGGCAACATGACAAAACCCTGTCTCTACAAAAAATACAAAAATTAGCAGGGCATGGTGGTGTGCACCTGTATTCCCAGCTACTGGCAGGGGTCAGGTGGGAGGACCACCTGAGCCTGGAAGGTCTGGGCTGCAATGACCTGTGTGTGATCCAGCCACTGCACTCCAGCCTGAGTGACAGGGCAAGACCCTGTCAAAAGAAAAAAAGAAAAGACAAAAGAAAAAAGAAAAGAAAAGAAAAGAGAAAAGAAAAGAAAGGAGGGGAGGGGAGGGGAGGGGAGAGAAAAGAAAAAAGAGGAGAGGAGAAGAGAGGAGGAGAAGGAAAGAGAGCAGGAATAGCATTCATTATCACTTCCAGAAAGATGATGTTTCAATGTTAACTACTCCTTTTTGTACCTAAATATCAAGACCTTGTGAAAAGAAAAGAAAAGAAAAGAGAAAACAAAAGAAAACAAAAGAGGGGAGGGGAGGGGAGGGGAGGGTTTGGGAGGGGAGGGAAAGAGAGCAGGAATAGCATTCATTATAACTTCCAGAAAGACGATGTTTCAATGTTAACTACTCCTTTTTGTACCTAAATATCAAGACCTTGTGAAAAGAAAAGAAAACAAAACAAAACAAAACAAAACAAAAGGAAAGGAAGCAGGAATAGCATTCATTATAACTTCCAGAAAGATGATATTTCAATGTTAACTACTCCTTTTTATACCTAAATATCCTACAAAACATATCTCCTTTACACGATTCATCCAGTAAGTATATTTATATTTCATATTCCATTGTTTGCTTTTGTATGTTTGGCCATATCAATTCAAAAGCACTGAAAAATGTTCATTTCATTTAAAGGCCAAGATTAAATGTATGAATTTGAGTCTATAGGCAAAGGATACAACTGGCAGCTGTACCTGAATTAAGTGGAGGTGTTTGAGTGAAACTGTAGATAGATCATTTGAGAGGCTGTACAATGGAGAAAGGAAGCTGTTCAATTAAGGTGTTAGAAGCAAATCGGAAGGTAAGGAAAAACACAAGGGTCACTTGTCAGTTATTACATGGGAATGCATTGGTCAGAAGAAGCAAGACAGAAGAATAAGTTAATGAAAATCCACATGCTTCGAACTTGGACACAGGGAGAAGGATGGCGGTACTATTGACTGAAATAAGAATGCAGTGTTTTGGAGGGATGTTCACTGAGGTGAGAAGAGGATGACAACTTCTGGGGGACCCTGAGGCTGGTGGGACCACCCACATACAAGTGGTACCTGCCTCAACTTTTCTCCAGTAGAGAACAATGAAGACATTTCACATTCTTTTTTATGCAAGACTATTAGCATGTTTTAAACAATTGCCTCTAGAGTGATTATTTAAAATTATAATCGATTAGTTTAAATCATGATGTGTTCTGTGATTGGGTATGGCATTGTTATGAACTACTACCGTGCCTTCAGACTGATTAGGTATTAAAACTTACAAAAAGGAAAGGATTATTAATAACACCAGTAGTTAGTACTTTCATGTGTTTATATTCAACATTCTGTCAATAACAAAACCCTAACATTTATTCATTAGTAAAAAAAGACTTATATTTTACTTATATTTGGTGTGCGTGCTGGGCAAAGGGTAGGATGTCTTAGCTCTCCATTACTTCCAACACATAACAGGTATTCAAAGAATGTTACTTTTGAATAGACTGAATAACAAATATAAAAAAGCACATGTAGATTAAGACAAAGTTACTCTGCAAATGTTTTAAAAGAGAAATGGCATTCTTTCATCTCAGTGGCCTCTTCCATTTCTAGAAGAGAGAGCAGGAAGGGGAAGGGAAAGGTACTATCCCTGACATTAATGCTAAGGGTGTAAACATTATAATATCTTACTTTGCCTTCCTTCTGGGAAACAGAGCACTTCAACCATATCTAGAAATACTTGAGAGACTATTCTGCTACTGACTTATTTTTTTTAAAACTAAAAATAAATCCAAGTGGGAATAAAGGGCAGATTAAAATATCATAGCATCACAGACTCTCTGACATCATCATGCTGTGTTTTTTACCCAAAGTTTGAATCTCCTGCCTCTCTAGCACCCCCAGAAAATGATCACTCACCTCTACCTCCTAAAATTGCCCTGGTAATTTTCAGGAAGCTGAGATCATTCCAGAGTTCTTCCTGGGACCAATCCAAAAATCTGCCACTCGCTGAGCCTGATTTGGCTGTCTGCATGAACACAAAATGAGTCTAATCCCTCTTCTACATGACAGTCCACAGAGGCAACCACCAGTTTCATAACTGGTTTAGTTGTTTTTCTTACACCCTGAGGGACCAGGAGAATTACATTTTCACATTCTCAGCCCAACTGTCTTTTCTGCAAGAACTTTCCTAAATGAATAAATAGTCTGTCATTTTAGAACTAGCTCTTATCAAAGAAGAGTATCGCTATTCTTGCAGTTTTTTTTTTTTCTATAAAATAGTAAAGTTGTGTCCTTCACATTATGGTAAGTCTGGGAGGCTATTAGTGAGAATATGAGTTTCTCTAGTTTTGTTCTGTTATTTGATATAGTGTTATTTTTAATATACTGTCATTCAGATGTGAATATGACATGATTAATACATTATTGGTAAATGTCATTTAAGATATGCTTCCAGGAGAAGCAATGGTATTACACTGAGCTTTTTGACCCTCATTCTTCATATTTGTGAATTCACCTATTTGCTAAAGTTTATTTGTAACCTCCAAGTCAATACTTATGGTGATTTCAGCCATTTCATACAGTGGCAAAATATTTGAGTTGCCCAACACATGCAGTCACAGCTAAGGTCAAACAAGGCAACCAGTTTATGCATTTGTGGCAAATGAGACTAATGAGTTCAGAGGTTTGATCATCCCATGACCAGGTATAGGTTTATTCATAGTAAAAGACCTCCCTGCCTGTATTCAGTTTGATAAGATGCCACACAGATTAATGCTGAATGTTGTAAGGAAGGCCAGGATAAATGAGGGTAGACTGAAATAGAGAAGATAATCACTTAAGTACTCTTTAGGACTGAGTCAATTTCATTTTCCTTTTATGTAGAGCCCTACAATGTAGAATCCTACAGCTTCTCATATCTTTGCAAAGATAACTACTACAAAGGAGTTTATGCAAGAAATAAGAGGGCATATAAGGGATCTGGCACATTGGGATCTTGGACCTTTAGACATGAGACAAAATGACAAAATGAGACAAAAGACATGAGACACAAGACAAAATGACAGACATCCGGTCACTTTCAGGAACAAGTATCTGTTAGCCAAAGTCTACGACAGAGTTGGACAATTACTTAGCCCTGACTAGTCCTCATATTTCACAAAAAGTAATCTACATATGGCAAGTAACTCCACCAAGGAAGAGGGCTTCCTATTTTCCCACTTTCTGAACTAAATCAGCTCAAGCTACTTTTAAAGAAAGGAGAGCCCACTCTTGAGACTTCTTTGCTCCTTCTTTTGTTTGGCCTGCTAATTCTTTCTCCATCTGAGGGGTGAGAAAGACTTCTTTTTAGCTGTCTCTTTCACTGCCAACCTGCTTTGATAATGTTCTGGGGGCTTTACCAGAATGACATTTTAGACCACTCTAACTCAGCTTAGCCACTGAAGCTGAGCACAGCTGAAGAAAGCACTCAATTAGCAACTCCAACTTCAAAGGCTATATTATTCTCTCCTCAATACACATGTGTAACTCCCATTAGCGTTAATGGGAGCTGTGGGAGCCCACGGCTCAGAGAATATACCTCCAAGTCTGTTTGCTTGATGAGCATGCAATTAAACCTTATGGCCCAAATTTTTCAAGGAGGGCATAGTAAGTACACCAAGCACTCATGCAAAATCAAGTGTGCTTACTTTGAGAAAAAGTAAGCTATCGCCACTATTTAAACATGAAGAAAGAGCAGTCTAAATTAGGTCTATTTTAATTTCATTTGTCCTCTTAGGTGTGGACAATGGCCTTTCATGGTGTTTTGAGGAAAGTCACTCCTCTTTTTTAAAAGGTGAATTATATGTTTTTAGAAGCATTAGTTCACATTGCTTAAAAGACTAGCTAGCCTCAAGGGTAAAAATGTCTAATAAGAACAAAACCATTCTAAGTGAATTTCGTACACATAAAATCCAGCATGGCACCTATATACACTCAGTGGCTTTTCCTGTCTTTATTTAATAGCTGTATTCTAACTTAAAATTAGGAAAAAAATTGATTTGACATTAAAAAGAAAAAAAAATTTTGAGAGGAAAATGCATGCCCCAATAATAAATTTGTCCTTATCAGGAAGTAATAATTTCCGTCCCTTTCTTGCATTCTAAAGAGATTTGTCCATATATTTTCAACATGAAATCAATATATATTTCAGCTTCAATGAAATATCAATATATGTCAGCTAGTCTGTGCTACAGCCACAGTCTTGAACAACATCTTCATGGGGAAAATAATCTTGATAATTTAGTACCATTTAAAACAATTCCTTTTCTATTATTCAGACATTTTCCCCAAAATTTAAAAAGAAATTTATGAATGAAAGTTTTTACATTTTATAAAGGAGAGTTAGCTAATCACTTTTAAAGTCATACAAGTGAATTGTTGATCTACTATTGACACATAATTCACTCTACCACCAAACCTCATATCCTGACTTTCTAACCACATGAGGCTTTTTTAGGTACTGGACCATCAGTACAAATCAATTGAAGTGCAACGGGCCAATGAACTTATCAGAAAGACAAAAGCGTCCACACTAAGCTTATGGGAATGTCGAGATGTCAGGAGACTTTTCAAGTTGTAACATGGCAGATGAGCTAGAGGAAAACTCCTTTAAAATTTCATCTAGTACATGGTCTTCATAACTTCATTTTGCACTAAATATTTAACACCTTGCTTTACAAGTTTGATAACTACCATGTCTTCATAAAATTTCAAAGCCCATGTGTTAAAGGAAAGAAGTATTTCAAAACTGAACACAGGGATCCCTTACTTCAGACTCTAGGCAGACTGAATAAAGAATGATAACCATAGATTAGATAATAAACCGTGGTCTGTGGTTAACAGAATTTTTAATGATGACAAATGTGAGAAACATTCACTATTTCTTATCAAAAAAAGATTGTGGTTTTTCTCTCATATCTGCAATCTTATTCATAAAGTTGAAAGCTACTACAATAGATACCCTACTTTCAGAGCATATCTCACATACAAAACTACCTTTCAAGTGAGAGATAAAGACTGCCGATGTTATTACAGAGGGGCTAGACAGTTTTATTCTTAGATGTTTTGGATGTGATTTACTCTGGCTAAAAATACTAATAATTTAACTATGCTATTAATCCTGCTGAAGTGATTATGCCCTCCATGAGAGGCTAAGCTGAAACTCATCCAGACCTTCAGTTGGCACAGAACACACTGATTTCCTCATATAGAAGTTCAGTTGGTAGTGGTTTAATCGGGGATTATCAGTGTATAAAATGGCATTTATTCGAACACCCCTGTGAGTACAACCGTACTCTACTTTCTATAACTGTTGTCCAAAATACTTATTTACAAATCCTTTTTTTCCCAATCTGGCTCTTCTATAAGAGATAAAAATATATTTTCATTTGATATAAACCAAAATACACTGAGAGTTCATGAACCTTGGATGGGTCAAGGGATGTGAAGTAAATCAATGAGTAATAACAGCAATTACCTAAAATACTTGCAGAAAGAAGGAAGAGAGAGAAGAAAGATGGGAAAGAAGGCTGGGAGAATGAAGATGTCTACTCAGTGTCTCTGATGAGGGTTGGTCGATGAAGCACCCATATTATGATCTGAGAGGCAGCTGAGATTTGTGCACTTCTCAGGAGAGAGAACTGCTGTCTCATTTTGGAGAAATGCTTATAACTCTTATCAAGTGGATGTGCAAAACCTGATGTACATAAGTAATTTATTCCTATTCCTGATTACTAGGCTACAATCAACATCAGATATGTCACTTAGATGTCCCAACTTTTAAAATTTACTGACATGTATTATTTCAGCAACATATTTGAGTCCCTTCTCTGTAGCACCTCTTGTCTAAGTACTGGGATAAGCAATACTGATTTCATTCCTACTTAAAAGAACAAACAAAACTACTTTGTTTTTAAGTCTTACAGTCTTGATTTTAAAAATCCAAAAGGCTTGAATTTAAAGAGTCTAAAAATCCTTAAAATGAAACTCTTGAGTAGATAAACTTTCTTAAAAATAAGTATTTCTATAAGTGTATTTATATATGTACATAAAAGGGTGAATTCAACTTCTCTTTATCTTTAGACTCTTGTAAAAGTTGCCATTGAAAGGCACATCTGATACGGCAATTTCAGCACAGAACATACTCAATAGGAAACAACTAACTAGAGAACTAAAGATGTACCGTCTTTGAGTCTTGCTCATTTTTTAAAAAAATCACTAACTTTGAAACTGGTAGGTTGTCCCACTTAAAGCTCTTGATTTTTAATTGCCATTTCTTTTTACACCCAATTAAATTGTCAGAGTAGTGAAGAATTGCCCAACTGAGTAGAACTGTGAGGATCTTCTCACTGCTGCTTTCCGCAGTCTTAATTTGCAGATGCTTTTGCCTAAAATAAAAATTTAAAGTCACTTCCTCAACAATAAGACCTGTAAAGCTTCCACCAACTGCTGTTTAAGACAGACGCAAAAAGAAAATTTGCTGCACGAGTTTGGGGCCATAGAAAAAGGAATATTTTCCTATATTTGTAAGATATTTGGGTTCTGAATAACAGATTACCATGTCCCTTAATCTGATACATATTAAATGAAGACCACATAGGTAAAGGGCTTGGTACCTTTCAATTAGCTCAGCAAGTCTATCAACTGGTAATATTCAAAAAGAACAAACAAAACTCATGCTGGACTGTTCATTTTCATGAAAACATATTGTGTATAAAGCCATGAATGGTGATCAAAGATTCCTGTGAATAATTTTCTTAATGAAAGAGGACTAATTACTTGCTAGATTCTCAGACCAATGGTATGGTATCTTGACAATCTCCATCTACCAGAGGTTTCAAAGAGAAAGCCATGGAGTCATAAAACACCAAGACAACTCAGTTCCAACATATCTGAAATGACTTGCCCTCACCTTTTAACTTCCTGTGGTTGCCTCAAACATTTAAGAAATATCTTTATTAATTTACTTATTTATTCTTGTTTTTAGACAGAGTATTGCTCTGTTGCCCAGGCTAGAATGCAGTGGTGCGATCTTGACTCACTGTAACTTCCACCTCCTGGGTTCAAGTGATTTTCCTGCCTCAGCCTCCTGAGGGGTTGAGACTACAGGTGCATGCCACCACACCCAGCTAATTTTGTGTGTGTGTGTGTGTGTGTGTGTGTGTGTTTGTCTGTGTTTTTTTGTTTTTTTTTTTTTTTTTTTTTTTTTACCGGAAACAGGGTTTCACCATGTTGGTCAGGCTAGTCTCAAACTCGTGACCTCAAGTGATCTGCCAACCTCAGCCTCCCAAAATGCTGGGATTACAGGATTGAGCCACTGCACCCAGCCATACATTTATTTTTTAATTGAGACATAAAAGTGTATTTACCACATACAAAATGATGTTTTGAACTATTATGTATACATTGTGAAATAGTTAAATCTTGCTCAGTAACATACGCATTATCTTACATAGTTACCACTTTTGTGTTTGAGAATACTTTGTACCCATTCTCTTAGCATCTTTCAAGAATACAAAACATTATGAACTATAGTCACCATGTTCTACAACAGTTCTCTTAAACTTACTCCTCCTAACTGAAATGTTCTATCCTTTGACCACCATCTCCCCAACCCCCACCCCTCAACCTGCTCAGCCTCTGGTAACCAACATTCTACTCTCTACTACTGATATCAATTTTTTTAGATTCCACAAATCAGTGAGATCCCATAGCATTTGTCTTTCTGTGAATGGCTTATTTCAATTACCATAATATTTTACAAGATATAAAGAGGTATAACAACCAAATGCATTAAAAAAAGAAGTACCCTCTTAACTAGCCTTTCAGTGATAACTATGTCTTCTTTAATGCCTTTTTAATGCATTTTATTTTTCACAACCATTCAGCTCTTACATCCCACTCCACCCCATCTTTTTGTGTTCTCAGAGCTCTCTTTCTACCCAGGTTACACAGAAACTCAAGGACGATGACTAAATAAATCTCCATTACACAACCAACTCAGCAGCCCCTCTTGGTGGAGTTAAGGTATCTTTTACACATCTTCATCCTTTTCCTAGAGACCCCCAAAACAAAAAAAATCAACCCTTACACTTTTCTATGTCACATTACACTCGATTGTATCCTTTGCAAGATAGCATTAAAGGGCAATATATGAAGTAGTAAATACAGAATAAACTTTAGAGTCAGAAAATCTGGTAATCACCACATTTACCAGCATGTTTGGTCAAGCCACCTCTGAATCTCAGCTGCTCTGAACTTGTAGCCTCTCCAGACACTGCACACAGACCCCCTTTAGTAGTCAGTAAAGCACTTAGCAGACCTCTCCTTTAGGGCTAAGAATCTATCAGAACCTCAGATGGAACACCTATATATTAAAATTCACACATTCCAAAACTGCATTGAACGCTTGGTAATTACTAATTCTCTAGGATTTTTTTCCTTTGTTTGATCTTTGCTTTTCTAATTGCCAATAAAACCTGAGCAAGCAAATAGAGGTTCTGTATCATTTGCTCATTGAGAAAAGAAATCTGAAGATCTTCTAATATTTATCTTACAGACAAACGCTTTAAAGAAGAAGCCTAAACCATTCCTGCCTTCTACCTGTCTCTTCTCCTTTAATAAACAAGACAGCATGCCGCTCATGGAGAATCAGTTCAGAAATTCATTTGTTGAATTTTAGTAAATAATGCCACTAGACTTTAGAGCTAGTTTACATAAAAATAAAAATTAAGAATTTATAGTGTCTAATGTCTTGATGAAAAGGTTATTTTGCATCAGTGATGGTGGTGGTGGTACTGTTCAAATGCAATGAGAGGAGATAGAAACCTTGACCTTTCAGAATGGAGAAATTTTAACCAGGTACAGTCCAGTTAATGGCGGGGGGCAGGGGGTGGCAGGGAATCCTGTGTAATGTGCAAAACCATCCTGTTACAGGAGAGAGCAGTGGATGTGTACTGCCTGTGTAGTATTGTATGTTAAACAGTAAAGGAAAAAAATAGTACCAAGATGTTCTCCATAAATTTAGAAACAGAATTATAAACATTGGGCAAAGTCCTTTCAAGTCTATATTAAGCCATGGAGGATTGTGATTCAGGAAAGACATTCACCCCTCTACGTGAGACTCACATTCAAGTGCTGATGTACACAAGTAATTTTTCTTCAATCATATGTAAAGTACAATGCAGTTCTTAGATCCCTTGGCCCCATCCCAGCAGCGGACCTAGATATTATTAAGTCTAAAGCTTACGAAACTTTAAAGGACTACTTTATGAAAACAAATGCAAAAATCTTATTTTTACAAATTTTAGAAAAATATATAATCAACCGGAGATACTAGTAAGTCTTCCCGGGTCTTTGGAAGGCATCGTACAAGGGAGGGCCCTAATTCCAAAGATTCCTCAACTGCAGGGTAAGCCTGTCTCTGCTTCAACTCCACACCAATTACTTCCCCTCCACCATTCTGAGAGAGATTTTCTGGCACCCGAGTATGGCAAGAGTTTGGTGGGGGTCTTCGAACAAGAATTCATCTCACTGGAGGACACAGGAAGCGTGGTCCCTGAGCTTAATCAATGCTGTTAGCATATAGTTAACCAGGCTTGTGTAAAAGACATCACATCAGCATTTCACCATTATGCGGTAAAGTAATTTTAATTTTTAAAAAAAATTTGTTTGTTTTTAAATAATCACAATCATATCTTAAAAATGTTGATAGGGAATTAAGAAAAGATTGGCTCAAACCCCAGTCGTACTGGGCAAAACCCCAGTCCTACTGGGCAGCATTTAGTGTCCTCCTTGGTTCTTTGTACTAGGTTTATGGCAAATCCTTGAGAATAATCATTTAAGTCAGAGTGAATTCTTCCTCCCAGATGATGATTTATCTGTTTGTAAGCTGAGATGAGGGAATTCCATTTGCTATTGAGCCAGTGAGTGTTAACTTTATTAACGCATCTTTGCAACTAAGATTAATGGGACCCATAGTAAGTCAGCTGTAGCACTTGATGTCAGTTTATAACAAGCTTGGCAATACCTGGAAATTCAGATCTATCATCATAAGTTATAATGACATGCATAAAAATTTGAGTGTAAATAAAAGGCTCTTTAGGATACAGGGCTCTAATCCAAGTTGTTCAAGCCTTAAAAAGTAACTTATATAACAGTGTTCCTGTTTTGGAGTACAGTATATGCTAATGGCCTTTCCTCAAGGGTTAAAATGCCTAAACTACCATCTTCTAATAAATAAATATTTTATTACAAAAATCAATTTTGCTTAATGAAGTCCTCTGAGGGAGAAGATGTTTTAAGACATTTTACCAGTACACTTTAAAATCATTTTGTATTTAGGTATGCTCTGTCATCTCCACCTAGAGCAAAAAAGAATCATAAAAAATGATAAGTGCAGCAATAAAAAACTCCTCTTACTATTAGTTGGGAGAGAAACAAATGGGTATATTACTCTGAAGGTAATTACTTAAGTTTTTTTATTGCACCATATTTTCTCAAAACCGAACCAAAGTATATCCCAAATCTTCCTACAAATGAAATACAATTTTTCTCTCAGAACATTTTTACTCATCAGGACAAAAAGGTGAGCTTAATTCTTCTGTCAGCTGAGGCTTCATGTGTCAAACACATCTTACATTTCAACAAACCTTACTGTCATATTGATGGAATATTCAAGGAGACATTAGTTCTTACGGCAAGTACTAGCTTGAAAAGGTGTAAGCTGAATTACTGTGAGAGCACTTTTCTTCTAAAAATAGACTTTATTATCTCCAACCACAGTATATATGTATAACTGCCTTGTCATTTTAACCAAATTTATGGCTTCCCATCAGAGATTGTAGCTTCCTTGAAGGCAAGTGGGGGTAGTTTCTTTCCATCTTTTTATTCCCAACACTTAGCACACTTCCTGGACTAGAGAGAGCTAGATTATCAAATGAATAAATTCATGAATTAATACAAATTGCTTCTCATATATTGTATGCCTATCCGAGATGTGGAAGCAACATCTCCTGACATTTCTAATTTTTAAAAATAAACCTTAAATCCAGCAGTCTGCAAGAAAATAATATTTAGAAACTTTTTCCTAAAACTTGTCATTCATTCATTCCATCAAGAAATTTTGGCTGGTAGCAGCGGCTTATGCCTGTAATCCCATGACTTTGGGAAAACGAGGTGGGAGGATCGCTTAAGCCAAGAGTTCAAGACCAGCCTGGGCAATATAGCAAGACCTATTTTCTAAAGAAAATTTACAAAATACAAAAAAAAAAATTAGCTGGGCAAGATGACTCATACTATAGTCCCAGCAACTCAGGGACTCAGGTGGGAAGATCCCTTGAACATAGGAGTGACAGGTTACAGTGAGCTATGATCTCACCACTGCATTCCAGCCTGGATGACAAAGTGGTACCCTGTCTCTAAAAAAACAAAAAACACAAATGTTTATGGAAAATGTCAGGCACTGTGCTTACTGCCATGTGTACAGTCTAGAGCAAAACAAAGCCATGCCCTTATGGAACTTCTAGTCTAAGCATGCAACTAACTCTGTTTTTTAGGATAAAAGGAAAATTTCATCTAATTTTCTCTTAAGTATACTCCCCTATCACTTATGACAGAATGATGTTCAAATTTCAAATATTTTGTGGATCCTACAACAGCCAAATGGTGGCATCTGGACCACATGATTATTTAGTGGACAAGGTAGCTTGACTTAAGGATTAAAAAATTTGTGTATTCCCAGCCTTAGCAAGATAATTCTGCCTGTGCCAAAAAGTTCTGCTTCACAAATGGGGCAGTTCCCTTTAATCAAATAATTTGAAATTAACTCTTAATAATAATCCTACTGATCATAGTAATACTAGTGATGATAATGATAATCACAACAACAACTCACATTTCCTGAGTGCCTAGAACTTTGCTAACAGCTTTACATGGATTATCTCCTGTAATCATCCTCTTAAGTTTACTCAATAGGTCTTCTTATCTCGACTTGATAGACAGATGCTGAAGCTTAGAGAGGTTAGGAAATGTGCACATTTGCCGCAAAACAAATAGTGAAGTTAGGATTTGAACTCGGGTCTGTCTGTTTGCTGAACCTACACCCATAACTACACCTTCTATCACTTCCTACACCAAGGTTGGTAACAGAAATAATCAAAAAAACAAAACAAACGAATAAACGAAAAAGCAAGAAAATGTTTCCTATTATCTCTTTCAAAGTTTCAAGGATATTTGAAATTCTTCTGCTTCTTCTAAAATATATCTAATGTTACATTTTCACAGAAATCATAAAACAGTTATAGATTTTTATCTAGTCTGTGACCTAGATGTCATAGAACAGAAATAATATTCTAGTACGACAGTGTGACTCTAGTTTGAGTTAGGCAGTTGAAGCAATTGACTACCTGGACCTACCTAATGTATAAGCATTCTGAAGAATATGGAAATGTGTGTTAACGTAACAATAAGCACAAATGTAACAGGGGGAAAAAAAGGAACTAAAATTCTTGGGATTGTGTACTAGCATAGCACCAATAAATGATTTTCAGTCTTTCAAAATAACTTGGTAATACTGTATGTTTTCAGATTGTTGTATCATCCTATTTCCTTGTGAAAAGCTGTTTTTCAGTCCTTTGGATTAAGGACTATTTGAGAAGACACAAAAACTTATTTTTCAGAGTTCTTCACCCTCCCTTCCCTTCACCATAGCCACGTATACATATAACACTTACTGAATTACTATGTGCCTAGCACTATTCTAGATGCTGGGGATTCAGTAGTGATGGGAGAGCCAAACCAGCTAGCTCAGCTTCAAAGGGATAATAAAGGGAGAAGGAAGGAAATTAACATTCTTTGGCAACTTTATTGTTAGTTACTCTGCCAGATGATTTAATATGTCATTAACTTCCCCCAAAACAGCCCTAAAAGATAGCCAGGATCACCCCCAACCCTACAGATAGGAATTTAACATTCAGACTTGAGTAATGTGTCTAAACCTATACAGTTAGGAAGCACTGGAAGGTTGATACAAATTCATGCTTATGTAGCTAGAAAGAGCATCTCTCTTCATTCCCTCTGTTTCACTCTGTCTTTGTAGTTCTCTTTCCCTTTGCCTCGACTTCTTGACTCTCAATCACGCTCTTCATCTTGCAGAGGCCACTGAAATAATGACTATTTTGTTCATTATATGTAAAGTAAGACTCATTCTTACCCAAATGGTCTCTTAATGCATTGTATCTACATAACCATATCTATAGATCCCTCTACATATGTACCTGTTCATGCCACAAATATCTCTTGGGTGCCCAATAAATGCCAGGAACATTTCTAGGCCATAGAAAACTGTAATGGAGCTTATACACAAAGGAAGAGGTATACAGGATAAAAGTCTCAAGACATAAAGAGTATAATTTCACATAGTAAAAAGTGCTATGAAGCAAATTAAACAGGTCATATACAAACACACTATATATATATATACTACATGTACAAAACATACATATATGCAAATATACCTTCTCAAGTTTTTGTATAAATATTGATAGTTAATAACTAGCTTTATTAAAAGCCATCACGTTTTTATGAGCACATACTTTTCTACTATACTTAATTTTCTAGTTGACCAGTAAATGACAGATCTGCAGTTACCCACGTAATTAAACAAATACATAAACAAACAGAAAGAACTATGTATGCCGATACTTAGAAAGGTAGAAAATATCTAAAAACTGTTAATATTGATTTTCTGGTCTCACTTATGATTTATAGCTTCATTTTTTTAATAGCTCTTTTGGTATTTATGCTCCAAGAAATATAGGATCTCTTCTGGGAAAATACAAACTATGATCAAATTTTCAACCTGAATACAGACATCATCAGACATGTGAGAAAAATCTCAATAGTGCTACACTTATGACCAAAAATCTATCAATTAAAAAAAAATCTACTGTGTTAAAGGGTGAAAATAACATTTATGTAATGCATGGATAAAGTTTAATAATCAAAGGTAAAGTTCTAAGAAACAAAAAAGAAAGGCATGGAAAGTTTTTAGATATAAATTAAAACACAGCTCATTTTGGAAGATGACAGATAAGAGAGTCTTGAAATGATATGACTATTCCCCGATTGCCCAGTAGTTAAAAAAAAAAAAAAAATCTTGCTATCTTTAACAAAACATATTAAGAATATGGGATGTGTGTCATCATAGTTGTGTTTAATGTGGCATTAATTCACAAGTCATTGTTTTTTTAATAAGATATAATAAGTTACTTGCTCTTCTAAGGAGATACGTAATTAGGGCTTTGATAATTAAACCCTAGATGAGGCATTTGGCATATCTGTGCCCTAAATACCAATAAATTATGCATGTACAACTTTTAAAACTACATCTTAATTAGTAGCTTAAAATAAAACTAATTTGGAAAACCAGGATACTGAATTTTTAAAAACTGCTCAAATTTTATCAATGAAAGCCAACCAACTACCTAGTTTTAAATATAAACCTCAATTATGTATGAATGACTGTTTGATAGATTACTTTAAGTGAAGTATTTTAGTAAACTCCTTTGTAATTTTCAGCTCACATAAAGATGGCCTAGGTTAACTTAATCACACCTTTTCTCACTTATTAGGTTTATCTCCTTAGCCAATGAGTCACGTCCCAACCTCATTTTCTTTTACTACTACTATTTTACTTCTGCTCAATTCTGACCTACCATTGTTTATACCCACCTGTAATGGTTAATTGTACGTGTCACTTGATTAGGCGAAATATCTGGGGTGCTCAAATATTTGGTCAAATGTTATCTTGAGCATTACTGTCAGGGTGTTTTTGGATGCGATTAACATTTAATTTAGTCACCAAGCAAAGCAGATTGCCCTCCCTAATGTGGGCAACCCTTATCCAATCAGGTAAAACACTAAAGAGAACAATAAAGCTGAGCCTCACCTAAGGAAGGAAGAACTCCTCCTACCTTCAAACTGGGACATCAGCTTTTTCATGCCTTTGGACCCAATCTGAAACATCAGCTCTTCCTAGGTCTTCAGCTTGCCAGCCTGTGGACTAGAACTGCACATCAACTCTCCTGGGCCTCCAGCTGCCAACTTTGGCAGATCTTGAAACTTCTTGGCCTCATTAATAATGTCAGCTAATTTGTTAAAATAAGGCTCTTCCTATATATGTATATATTCTGTTGGGGTTCTCTTTCTCCAGAGAACCCTAATACACTGCACACACCTACCATCAATACTCAGTGATTTCCTCCCTAAGCCACTTTGCTCAAGAAGCTTCTAGTTTCTACTCCTCTCTCAAGTTAGCTCTGTCTCACAGACTCCTAAATATTCTTCATGCCCCAACCCAGCAGTCTCCTCACTCTCACAGTGTATCATCCATGTAGCATTTTACACATTTTGCACCCATGGCACTTGAGCACTTTTTATTTCCCATCATGCTCATCTGTCGACATGTCAGCTGGAAGAACATTGTTCTTCCAGGACAATATCTTGTATATAAAGTAAAAATCTGAAGGGCTGAAACTCACTGTCACACGTACTGCAGCAGGGATCACTTCAGACTTGGCCAAACCCGATGAAAATCTTAGCTGTACGACCAAGAACAAATCATGTCAAACTCTCTGGACCTTGGCTCCTTACATCAAAAATAAGTAGTGAGGCTAGGTAAACACCAAATTCCCTTCTAGCTCAACATTTCTATGGTTCGGTTAACAAGTTAAGCAGCAGTAAACACTCGCATGAGTTGATGTTCATTTCAAAATTATTAAAAATAATATTTTAATATGAAGTCAAAAGAAGAAAATTGTTCTCACTTCAATGCAATGATTTACAAGTGTGCTCATTTTTTCTGAGCCCTTTTTAGACATGATCTCAGTGTGGCAAAACAAGTAATAGTTCCAAGGAAGGAGCATGCATCACCAACATAACAGTCCTCAAAAGATAGATCAGAAGGAAAATGAATAGCGTCTCCTCACAGGTACACTTTCTCCCCCAGATTTTCAGTTTTAATGTCTCCCCTTACTAGGGTCTCTCATAGACTATCCACATGGGCTTCTGTCTTTGTGACCACTGATACCCAAAGAATCACTGTTTTTAAATTCTAAAGATTACACCAACGAAAGTCAGGAGCGTCTGTTCACTTAAAGTGGCTCTGCCCACTACCACCTTTTCCCAGCATGGAAATGAGGTACACACGAAAGCTTTATCGTGTTGGTATCAATGTATTCCAAGTACTCAACTATTTTATAAGCCTTTTCAAGTAATCTTCAGTCAGTACCATAATTGTCAGCACGTTTGTTCTGTGTTGGCCACCCTTCCTTTTGTTTCAGTCTTTCATAAAAATCCTTTTGTGTGACAGTCAAGCAGCTGTGCTTTGTTCTTTAATGTTCCTAGCCTGGATCTCCAGCCGAGACCACTTTATAACATAAACGGCAAAGTACCATTTTCACAGCGGGGACAACTGTGTTCATCTTCAAAAAGAGGCATTAATAAAATGAGACTGTAATCAACATGCTAATTCTGATCACAGGGTACTGCACAATGGCAGAGATAGTTGACTGCCTTCTCCCTGAAAGATTGTAAAAGTTGTATGTTTTTTTTCCTAACAACTGCCATAATGGCTTACATTTTTTGAAACAGACATATTATGCAAACATTTCTATTTCCCATTGCAGTGCCTTCTCTGTCTCATCCAACTGCTCACTGTGTGTTTTACTATCTCAGTAACAGTCACCTTCAGGGAGCAAATTTTTTCCATCTTGCAAGAACTGACTTGCTGAAATAGGCATGTCAATGAATCACGGAAAGCTGGAGAGGGGTGATCTGAGTGATTTCATCGCTAATCCAAGGCCTTCCCAATGCATATCAGGCCAAAAAAAAAAAAAAGAAACAGAACAGAACAGGGAAGTTAACGTATTTGCTTAAGAATCCAGTTATTTTGTGACAGAGCTAAAGCTGGAATTCAATTTCCCAAGACCTAGACTTGGGTACTTCACGTATTATCTTTTGTCCTAATGGTGATCATTCACAAATAATATATTTATATGTAAGAGTAGGTACACATAAGTATCACTTGATGAAATATATTTGCTAAACTAGGTAACTAAAATGCCTCATATCTGGTAAACTAGCATGTTTAGACAATAATTGTACTGTAGATATGTTCTATGAACAAAGCCAGTTCCCTATAAATAGATAAGAGCAGCAGTGTTGTATATCATACCCTGTTCTGTTGTGCTAGTGGTGGTGGTGGTTTGGGGCAGTGCTATTTGAGAACAGCCCAGTCTAAAAATAATCTACTAAGATTTTTTAAATGACCCATTACATGCTGTTTGAGATAAGAGCAAAATAATGTATTTTCTGATTACTCCCCTAAAAAAAATTCTAAGTTCAAGAAACATGATGACATTTAGTAAGATGCTTAGATTCAAAGTTGATTAAATGGTTCCAGAACTTTGTCTTAGAGAAGGGAGGTTATGTAAGTAAGAATAATTATTGATGTCTTTCCTCTTGCCCAAAAGAAGCAAGTACCCTTGGACTCTTACTAGAAAGAAAAGTCTATGGATGGTGATATCTCATTTTCCCTGCCTAGTGATTGATAACATCTATCAGAGAGAATATTTTCATCCTCAGTTATCACTGCATAAATTTGTATTACATGGTTTCCTGCTGATATCTTTAGTCAGGAAGAAATTGTGACCAGCAAACTAACGAAACAGACAGAACCAATTCCATTTAGATGACAATCCCTGTTCTTACAACACTCTCTCTGGTCCTATGCTTGCTCTTCACTGAAAGCCTGATAGTTAATTCACTGTCCTTAGTAGCATTCCACAATTAGTTAAGGCACAGTCCTTAGTAGCCTCAGTACATCCTAAGGCCTTCACTTAAAGTTCTGCTTAGGATGGGAAAACACAAGTAAAACAGATATACTCAGCCTCCTAAAGTGTTGTATCATTAGGGAGTCAGTATTTTCTTGTGTTTCCATAGCCAAGACAACTAAAAAATTAAAATGACTTGGAAGACATAAGCCCTACATTCACCTCCCCCCTCTCCTACTTCTTTCGTGAACCACACTCTATGGTATAGTTAATTGCCCAAATATCTTATTTCGGGGCACATTCAGCCTGAGCTTGTGGTTATCCCTCCTTATTGAAACACAGTTTTTGAGAGTAAGGGTAATTTGAAACAAGCTACGAAGGGAAACTTGTTCCTGAAATGCTCCCTTCGAGGCACATGGGTGGTCAGAGTATTATTTCAATGTCTTCTTCATTAACCATACAGGTCAGATATTTGAATCTCCAATTAATTAGTTTCTCTAGTAGCTTGTGTGAGATAAATCAATGATCTTCATCCAGTTCACTTAGATAAAGCCCATCATGAGAGCTGGCACATTTTTGGCATTTGTCAGTAAAGCAGGGAGAAAGTAAATGATCCACGTGGACGAAATGGGAATCTAATGAGGCCACTGGACGAAAAGTGTAAAATGGTCTCCATCTACTGCAGAACAGAGTGCCTGAGTGTCCGCCAACATGATTTGCAAGAGAAAGTGAACCTAAAATCTCCTCAACTGTGGTATAAACCTCTTCACACTCATTTATTTAGCTATTCATGATGTTCAAAGTCTATGAATGTCAGTTTACACTGGAATATTATTAAACACTACTATTAATAGAAATAACAATATTTAGAAGTTTTAAGCAAACAGTGACTCCAGGAAACAAAAATAATTTCCATCCATATTTATTTTATCCTAAAAGGATATATAAAAGTATTCTATTTTAAGATTATGTTTAGACTACCTTTCTGTCATCTAAAATACTTTTGAATTTTTCTCATGAAAGTTCTAAAACTGCTCAACATAGTCTTTAAAAAAATGGAAAGGGTTAACTACTCAAATCATAAATTTTCATACAAGTATACTTACATATGACAGATGTTCACATAGAAAGTTGAGACCATATTAAACATTTTTGATGCATTTGTTTTATATGGGGACTAGCTGTATAAAAGCAGAGGAGATGATGAAACTCCAGCCAACTGAGAGACAGGAAAACATTAATCCATGTAAATTTCTAAGTAAAGTGATATTTTGCTCCAATTTTTTGTTAATGTCTTCATTGGATGCATAAAGATAAGTCAAGCACATGACTGCCATTAATTCCTTTTAAGGAGTTCAAGGGATTTGGAAAGTGAGAAAACTCAAAAACGTTTCTGATAAGTTTTATTTTATTGTACCTTTTTAATATACCTTCTATATGATGGCACTGATTCTAAACTAGGTAAATAAATGGAGATTAAAATTTTTAAAGCAGATGAACAAATGAGCCAGATTTGGCTTCAAATATGAACACCTGAAAAATGACAATTTTCAGACAAGCTGAAGTGAACTATGTATGTATATTCAGAAATATGTATACTTTCCATAGTGCATATTACAGCACATATAAACATAGTCTCTAAGATTCCTGCCAGTTCTAAAATCTAATTTCTAACTCCTATTCTTTTTTTTCCCTAATGTCTTATTCTTGCCTATTAGACCATTCCTTCCTTTCCCTTTTCAAATATTTTAAATATATTTTGAAACCCATTCATACAGTTCAGTTACCTGTGGATCAGAGACTATGATTTCCACCCTTGATGGTTGGGCTTACTGTCGCTTGCTGGTGGTAGCTGACTTGATTGCTTTAGAACTGGTGTTCATTAGCCCATCTGGGTATGAACAACCTTCTCTAGGGTTGTGTATCTGGATTATCGGAATGTCTCTGTGGGGTGAGTGCTATTATGGGTGTCTGTTGCACACTCTATGGGACTCACTGTTTCTGACCAGCTTTTATGTTAAACTATTTGGTCCTGAGTATTGCACAGTAGGAATAGTGCTGGAAATCTCACTTGTATGCAGAAAGCTGATCTAGTCTCTGTTACTCTCAACTTATTTTATATACGTATGTATCTTGCTGGAGTGTTAAAACTCCAGCACTAAAGCATAAGGTCCATTTTGTTATTATCTTGGGTTATTACAATTGTCTTTTCTCTAGGAAATCCCTCCCTTGTTTTTAGCAACTGGAAATTTCAATTTCTTGTTTGTAAGCCTAATTATGCTTTTAATTTTATTTTCAGATACTTTGTCAACATTTCTATGTGTTGGTCAGGGAATGGGGAACTTCCTGCACCAACCTAGCTTGTCATAACAGCCAGAAATGTAGCTCAAATCTCACTTGTCTGTTTTAAAGCAGCATCTGTTACATGCATTTAAAAGATATACATCCAATTGTCAATACTTTCCCTGCAACTTAATAAGGTGTTTATACTATTTCAAACGTAATTAAGGATATATATGTAAATAATCTCATTTTCTCAGCCTCTTGAATTGCTTCTTTGTGTGTGTGTGTGTGTGTGTGTGTGTCTGTGTGTGTGTGTGTTTAGTTTCAAAACCACCAGGTAAATTTGACCTACATTACTAATTACTGCTGGCCTCCAAATAAATAAGTTCTTGACAATATCAATAGGGCTTACCTCCTTGAAAGAAACCAAGATGTTTATCAAATCAAACTTTTTTATTTTATAAAAGATATAAAGTAAAACCATCCCTCCATGGGGGTAAAAAAAATGAAATAGTAGAGAAATGTACTTAATCTACATAAGTTCCTCTATGATTCTGATTGTTTCCTTTCCAATTTCTTTCATGTTAGGAAAGTCTATTCTCCTAAATTTTGGAACAGAGGAAAATACAACAAAACAAAACAAATGAGTTGTGTGAGGGAGAGAAAGAGATAAAGGCACAGAATAGTTAATCTGGAAATGTCAACTGTGAGGTGCCTAATTGGGAATGTTCGTATCTCTATACAGAAGCCTGAATTAGAGACATACAACACAGTCTTCATCATAGCTTTATTCTCCAGCACTCTCATTGTAAAGGAAGTCTACAAACTGAACACACTGTACTGGAGATCTGGCAACTCACCCTGTGCCTTTGTCAAATTGTGTAAGCAACATTGTTGGAGACAAAGAAAGGGATTTGTCAGCCCAGTTATTTAGATCAATACATATTGGTTTAAGAAAGATAACAGACAAATAAAAAATGTATTTTTTTTCACATAAGACAGGTGCATTTCTTATACTTGGTTCTGACCAATTGCTTAAGGAAAGTTCATCTTTAGGCTAAGGTTCTTTCTTTAATTCTGCAAATATCAATGTCAGCTGTGGTAGTTGTAAAAAACGTAGCTGCTGAATACAGTATGAAAAATCCATGCACGAGTAATGCCAACATATAAAAGAGTACCATATCCTGTTTCCTTTCTAGATGCTCTGCCAAAAATCAAAATGGTATCTGGCATTTGAAGTCAATGCTTTTTTCAGCTTTTTTACCTCTGATATTCCCCCTGAACTCTAGTTCTGTAAAGACCCAAAACTAGAGAAGGTATCCACTGTCTAATTAAAGTTCAAGTCTTACAAACATTTAACTGAGTTTCCCATTTAAGCACCATCACAATGCTAGTCTTTTCAATGATGCTACAAAAGAGATACAGAATTGTAACAATGACACAAACGACAACCTTCACTTGAGCACTTACCCCGCAAAACTGTGAGTCTGGTGGATACACTTATTTCTCCCACATTATTTGAGGCCACACATTCATAAATGGCCTCATCCCTCGGAGTCCGTAAGGGTTGTATTCTGAGAACTGATCCAGACCCATCGTCAAACTCTATTACCTATTAGAGGAAACAATAGCTGTCACAGGTGTTGTTACAATTGTCTACCTCTCAGCTAAAGCTCTCAATACAGTGGTGGATCCGCCATTAGGCTCATAATAAACTAGGCATCATTCTGAAACTGAATTTTGATATAGTGGTGAAAAAATATTTGGTCTAATTTAGTGAATCTTCTACTGAACAAGGAGAAAGATATGCAACTACATATGCAAAACATGGAGATTTCTAGTCCCTACTAAAAACTACCAGGGTTTATTCATTAAAATATTTCAGTATGTTCATCTAGGGCAATTTGACTCTATTAATTTTGCAAGAGGCTTGCAGCTATAATGGATAAACTTCTTAAATTATTCTTTCTCTCACAGCACATATACGAATGTGGATTCATTCAATAATGGGACTGTAAGGTGAAGAATTAATGCATGCCACCACAGATAGCTCTGCTAGTTTAAACTGTCTCATCCTGAACAGTATAGATAGGCAAACCACGAAAAGAAATTGCATAAATCTAGTACTTAGGCAGCCAACGAGACAGCTTTCACAACCCAAAAGCCTGATGGTGTGCATTAATTTTGCCATAAATCATTCCAGTATTTGTTCTAGCTTAGCATTTTCTGCATTTTTAGAGCATTCTTGCTGTAAAATGGAGGCTTGCTTCACCAGGCAGAAAATTAATGTCCTAAACACTAAGCCTGAATTCACCATCATTAGGAACTCTTCTTGGAAACAGTTTAGTGACACTGATAATCCTGGGTACTTGTTAGCTAATTCAAGTACCACTTAAAAAAAAAAAAGATGATGATATTAACAAATATGTATACAATATTATGGAGTCCTCTGTCTTTTCTGTAACTATGCTGCATTCCTTCAGCTGTTCACTGAGAAGTTGTGCCTTTTTTCTCTTGTATTTCACTGTGAATATTCCCATGTGCCTAAATTATGAATAAATTGAGATTGCCTCATATATATATTTATGGGGTGCTTAATTCCAGATTTTGTGTGTGCATGTGTATATTAACACAGAGAGGAAGGACATTCATATTTTCAAAATATGTCCACTTCAATCTTTGTGCATTCCATTTTTGTTCAAAATTCACAAAAATATTCAAAATGGCCCATTTCTCAATGCACTACAGTTTATTTTCAACTCTATAAAGCATACACTTTAAAATAAATCTACTATGCATCTTAGGAAAGAAAAGTTTCATAGTTTCATATTGGAAGCTTTGTTAAGCATTCCATAATTTTAAAAAAGTTATTTATGATCATTTTATGATTTAGGTAGGAAAAGGTTAAAGCAACTATAAACCCAATTTAAATGTTGACTAATTTATTAATAAATGTCATTGTATGTTTACATTTGTGAACTATTTCCTAGATTTAGATCTATCCTCTTACAACATACAATATACCACACATTACACGCCAGTGATGTAATTTCCAGTTTGAAAATATCCAGTATTGATTTCATGCCTGCCATGGACCAGACACCATACTTAGCACTGGGGATAGAAGAGGGAGCAAAAACAGTCAACATGTACTGCTCTCAGGGACCATACAGACTAGTAATACCATATATATTGTTTAATAATATATATTTAATAATATATATTAAATATATATTATATATATATTAGTGTTAAATATAGTAAAGATTTTCAACCAAGGACTTGATACAGTTTGATGAAGCTGCTTTGGGTAAAAATAATTCATTTACCCCAAAGGTGTTTATATGACTCTCATGGGGAATTAGGCATTGAGCAGAGATCATGCTGTGAAATATTTAGTAGTATAATTTCACTTTTGTTACATGATTTTGTCAGGAGCCATTGTCATTAGAAAGCGTGATGTCAAACTTCTCTTTGACAAAAAATTAACTTCATTTAAATTTTTTTAATGTGCAGCAAAGATGCATACATACATCATTTTCTACATGACACAGGAAACATTTTCCAAATATTAAAGATATTTTTGTATTTAAATAAATTATATTTCAATAATAATCAAGTATTTGATTTTCAGACATAATTTTAAACTTCTCACTTGTAAACTACAACCCAATTTCCAATGGCAAATTTCTAATTTCACCATTGTAATTAATTAGGTTCTCTATACATTTGAACCCCTGATCACCCTGTGAGTTCCTATGAAAATAAGTAAAATAAAATTGTTCTGAATTTGTAGTTGCTATATTTCTTTTAACTAGAAATTGCCTTTAATCTGCCAAACTGTAAATTAGGTCATGAAGGAGATTAGAAACTCAGGTAAAAGGGAGGTGAGTTTCACAATTTCAGGCAGTTTGGGGGTATTGGTAGCCCCTAAAATTAAAGCTATCCTTCTCATGTCTTAAATTATGGGCATGCTATTGTGTGCCCATAATCTGTGTAGCTTTCTATATATCTTATTGCCTATATTTCTCCTCCAGAATGAGCAAATTTCTAAACCATCAGCCTTCTCACAAACACTCAAAAAAAGAATCTTTGATTTATGTTTCACCATCTTCGCTGCACTGAGCTCTCCTGAATAAAGAAAACCAACTTCTTCGATAGGTTTCTCTGCAATATCAACCTGTTTGCATGTGTTTCTTTCAGAATAGTACTTTAAAACACTGGAACAAATTTCTCATTCTAGTTCACACTACTTGTAAAACACAGGTGCGAGGGGCAGTGGACCACTTCATTTGCTGCTTAGCATCCATTCCCATTCTTCTTGATAACGAGGATTTAAATTTCCTTTGGGAAAATTCTGCTCTTTCATTCTAAGCCATGCAATTGGATGGGACTGTCCTCATTCCCAGAACAGAGGTAGATTCTGATTGGCTTAAATTAAGTAGGCTACACTGTCCACCTATCCACACAAATTGTCTCAGGGATGCACAAGTAACGTAATAGGAGCCAATGGGATGAGAGGCTTCTGGAAGAGACAAGCTTTCATACATCCTACAGACGTGGTCCTGTGAGGTTGCAGAGCTCCATCTTGCAACCTGGGGATGAAACTGACAGACTAATCCTAGGAATACTATTGAGCCCTGGCACAAGTAGAAACAAAAATCAGCCCTTGAACCCCCAAATTTCCTTTTTTAAAAAGCCATTTAGAGTTACATTTTCCATCACTTGCAATGTAAGGAATACCATATATCAGTGACACCTTTTATCAGAGTAAAGCAAGCAAGTAACGTAGAAACCAAAGACAGAGCAGATACATTCTTCCCCCAGAGAAACAGAACAATGGACCTAATACCTCAAATCTCTGATTGCTGACTTTCTTTCCTTTTTTGTTCCAGACAATTTTAGGTCTTGGGTCTCCCGTAGCTTGGCAGATGAAAGAGGCAACTCCGCCAGAGACCCCTGTCTGATCAACGGGTGTTCGTGTAAACCTTGGAGGTGCTGAAATAAAAAATAAACATCACAGTTAAATTGAAAACTGAAATACAGACTATTATCCTACTACCGCTGCTCTCCCCACCATCCTCAACCACACCGCCATCAAGACATACATTTTTACAATGCACTATGGGATTACAAAATTAGAAAAGCATCTTTTACTTTTGAGGGTAGTTTAAAGGGGAAGGACATAACTTTCTGGTTAAGTTATCTATTAGTGCTTTTATTGCTGAAATCTGTATTAAGGTAGAGATCCAATAACATCCGAAAAGCAACATCACACATTAATTTTTATTACCAGTATATAAAAAAATCCAATTTGTCCTCTAACAAAATGAGCTCATCAATCAAAGTGGGTAAAATTTTAGCGCTTGCTTTGATGCCACTATCAGGACACTGCCAGAAAGCAGCATTGCCACTGCTGAGCTATTAAAATTAGTGACATTTAAGAGAAATGCTAGGAAATTTTAAAGAGACAAGAAATATCGCCCTGAATTAGAAGGTTTCGCAAGAAATAGAAATAGGGGAAAATGGTAAAGTGACTCTCTAACCCAGATATTGTAAGCTGTCTTACTTGAAACTTAGCTCCACAATTTGCATAAAAGAAGATGAGTCAAGAAGCCTCCAAAGTCATAGTAAAGCAAAGAATATTTTTTATACAAAGATGTAGACTTAAAGATTACTAAGGCTAGCAAGATAGACATTGGAAGCTTGTTCAACATCCTCCATCTCCTTTAAATGTTCCTAACATTCTTCCTCCTTCTTTAAAAAACTTACTTATTTTTCATCTTGTATTTCAAGATCTAGATAGCTATCATACAAGAATGATATAAAATGTAAATGAATACTTATGCACAAAGATATTCATCATATCATTTGTTTGGCAAAAGAGTATAAGTAGTTGAAACATTAAACAGTATGGGATTTCTGTCACAGTGAAATAAAATATGGCATGAAGATGGAACATCATACAAGTAGTTAAGTGTTATAAAATCTGTATCATACCACATGAGAAATGCTTATGATGCAATAATAAGCCACAAAAGCATACTACAGAGTTATATGTGGGGATAGCAGATAATGAAAAATGCACACACACACAAAGATTGAACAAAGTAAATAAAACACTAATAATGGTGTTCAGGAGGAGGCATTTTAATTATTTCTCCGACTGCTTTCCATCTTTTACACTTCCTTGAGTTTTTACAATTATGTTCTGGCTGAAAATGTTTTAAAGCCCCAAAACATTTTGCTGTTCCTTCTTTTTTTTTTTTTTTTTTAATTTCTAATCCCTGTTACAGATTTTCTCTTCTCTCCTACTGTGTTCTACTTACATGTCATTGAAAAGTGGTTTTAAATAACCATAGCTAAAATTGATTTTGAAAACAATCCTTGGATTATAAAAAAGAAAAAAGTCATAACAAAGTTTGTTCTTCTTGGTTCATCACCAGTATCTTCTCTGTATTGATTTCATGTTTCCCACATGGTGTTCCCATTAACTTGATGGTGTGTTCTGACTCTGTTTGGTTTTCTTGGAGTCAAGGAAGCCGGATTCCTATCTAAGCTCCACCAATACATATATGGATAATCTTGGAGGAAAAAAAATCATGTAACTTTACCATTTCTTGGTATGACATATGAAATACATTAATTTACAAAAATTGCAAAACTATGACATATGAAATAAATTAATTTGCAGAAATTGCTTCCAGTTTCAAGGTTTCCTAGCTTTATATATTATTTCCAAAGGAGGGAAGTTCAGAAGAGGCATATTTGCAATGCTGGTCCTGGAGAATGAATTACCACCTCATCAGCAAATTCAACTTGTTGGTGATCCTGGAACTGCGGGCCTGCTTATGTTCAAAAATATTAAGAAAGCAAAACAGCCTCTAACAACCCTGCTAGAGATCATAACCTGTAGCATCTCAGTGTAGCAATACAGACTAGATGATTACTAGGAGCTGTGGGAAGTACTTAAAATAATTTTATTTTTTATTTATTTTTATTTATTTATTTATTTTAGATGGAGTCTCACTCTGTCGCCAGGGTGGAGTGCAGTGGCACAATCTCGACTCACTGCAACCTCCACTACCCAGGTTCAAGCGATTCTCCTGCCTCAGCCTCCCAAATAGCTAGGACTACAGGTGCGTACCACCACGCTCAGCTAATTTTTGTATTTTTAGTAGAGACAGAGTTTGACCATGTGGGCCAGAATGGTCTCGATCTCGTCACCTCGTGATCCACCTGCCTTGGCCTCCCAAAGTGCTGGGATTACAGGCGTGAGCCACCACGCCCGGCCTCAAAATAATTTAAAATTGACTAACAGTGA
Organism: Homo sapiens; assembly: GCF_000001405.40. Taxonomy (NCBI): domain Eukaryota; kingdom Metazoa; phylum Chordata; class Mammalia; order Primates; family Hominidae; genus Homo; species Homo sapiens. The sequence goes on from NC_000009.12 coordinate 8,639,171, forward strand.
GAGGATTACAAAACACTGTACATTGATGTCACTTTTCTGGAAACAAATGAAAAATATATTACAAGTTTTTATATTTATCTTTCTGCTGTTTCAAACAATGCAAATTGATAATAACTACTTGCTTGTCAGTAACCAATGGAAAAATTATAATTATGCAATTAAAATTTCTAGGGAATTTCCCTAGAAACACAAAATAGATTGCTGTATTAAATGGTACAATACTGTCATTTTTAGCTACCTTCCTTTTCTTGTCCATAGCCTAAAAACTGTCAACCGGGAAGGAAAATACATTGTAAGAGCCCAGCTTCCCATTTAAGTTCTGTTCTGAAATTTCTTGCAAGAACATGTGAATACATTGAAGGGCTGTTGCATAAAATGAGTGTGCACTATATTAGAAATTAAAGAAAACTAGAAGTAGGATACCCTTTTCCCTGCATCTGGATATTTTTTAAGGGATACCGTTGCATTTCTTAACCCAAAGAATGAAGAAGAGTTGGCAATTCTGACAATCTGCAACTAGGCAATGGATGCTTGGGTAAGTGCTTCATCTGTCCTGTTGCCATGTAAGGACCTAAATTAGAAAGCTCATCTGGAAATAACTGGTGGGTGAGGACAAGTCAAATTAAACATAGAAATCTTATTTCTAAATGGAGTGCAGAGAGACAAAATTCCCATACACTTGGAGAATAGGTATGAGTGCCATTTCGATGTTTTCCAGGTATGTGTCTCATTTATCTTTATTTTCTGGTCAGGCATTGAAGTTTTTTGTTTGTTTTTTGAGACAGGGTCTTGGTCTGTCATTCAGGCTTCAGTGCAGTGGCACGATCAAAGCTAACTGCAGCCTCAACCTCCCAGGCTCAGTCAGTCCTCCCACCTTAGCATCCAGAGTGGCTGGGAGCACAACCACACACCACCATGCCTGGGTAATGTTTTTATTATTTGTAGACATGGGGTCTCCCTATGTTGTTCAGCATGTCTTGAACTCCAGGGCTCAAGGATCCTCCCGCCTCAGCCTTACAAAGTGCTGGAATTACAAGTGTGAGCCATCACGACACGCAGAGAAGTTTTTGTGTAATATTGACAAGTATAAAAATATGCCACCCAGGAGGCAGAGGTTGCAGTGAGCCGAGATCACGCCACTGCACTACAACCTGGGTGACAAGAGTGAAACTCCATCTCAAAAATAAAAAATTTAAAGAAAAGAAAAAGAAATGACCATTGGATGCTACTGTAGGATTTTATTTCTGGAGACCAAGTCATGGAATGAAATTAACCTATTGAACTGTGGTAAACTTATTAAAATAACCAGTTAGAATCTATTTTAGGACCTGGAACTATTTTTCTAAATCCTACCACTGTATTGATGTGATATTCTTAAAAAACAAAAAAACAAAAAAAAAAAAAACAAAAAAACCTAAAAGGGCTCTTAAATTTATTCTTTGAAAACAAGAAAATAAAATTGATCACACTACAGTTAAATAATTTCAGGGGCTTTTACAGAGAAATTCTGTAAAAAAAAAAAAAAAATACATATATATATATGAAAGACATCGGCCTCACTGACAAGAAAATCATGACTTTCCTATGGGACCCAATGTCAATTTTTCTAGATTCGCCCACAAGATCCGAACTACAAAAAGGATATATGTCATCATCCTATGATACAAAGTAAGACTCAAGATAATATAGTAAAATCCTTTCACTAAGCATGGGTGGTGCATATATAATCATTTTTGCTGGTCAAACTCTCAGATGGTGTCTGTCAATGCTAGGCAGCCAGCCAAAGGAAAGATATGAGGTAGAGAGAAGACTAAACTTAATAACCCCAACAAATGCTTGAGGCAAGTAAAAATCTTTATTCTCAGAGGGATATAACAACACACATCACCCACTTCCCTTCTCCATATCTCAGTTTAATAAAAGGAACATGATGAATCGTCTGCCTTATTTTGTCATAGATATTGTCCAAATTTAAGCCATGCTCTGAAGATGGGAAGAAAGGGAAGAGAATTCAAGTAAAGCATAAAACAAGGGTATCTACTAAAAAGTCACAACATAGGACAGACTAAGATTTGAATCGTGAAAATCTCCGTTTTTATCCCATGAGATACAACCATCAGTATTATAGTTAGTGTACAAAAAAAAGAAATATCAAGGTATAAAGATGGGGAGAAAGGCATTAGAACTTTCCAGTCACCATTATTTAGAGAGGCATCCTTCCATTACTGCTGTAGCTAATCACCATTGCCATCTACCTGAAGCTGCCAATGCTGTACTTTGCAAAATGCATTTGTGCTCAAGTTGGTTTTGACAAGTGAGGAGTATGATCTTTTATTAAACTAATGCCAGGTACTGCACAGGTCAAATTACTGGTCAACCCAGAAAGTCTATTTTCTAAATGGAAAGTAGAGAAGCTACGCATGCATATGCGTCACAACAGAGACATGGCCGATATTCTAGAATGTGTCTGCCAGGCTCGCTTGCCATTTTCAAAGACTGTACATTCTCAGGATGCATTCACAACACAGGCCATAGCTCCTGGAATTTAGTAGATTATTATTTGCTACACAGCTCAAGAGAAGCCACAAACTGCGCACTGATTTTTGCTTTTAAGAAGTTAGATTGTTTCTTAAAGTCTAACCAATGCACAGTATCTTTGAACCTAATGGGTCTAATATTTGGATGCCATATCATGTTTCAAGTTGCTAGGCACTCTGAAGACAAGGTGATGAGCTCAATGTGCACTTATAGCTATTAAATGTAGGTGAGAGAACCAACCAAGACCAGCAAACTGCTTTTGTCTGTCCTTAACAAACTGCCGTACTGAGGACAAAATCCTCCCTTTCGTACACTATACTAAGTAGTGCTAGACATAAATCGGGGAGAGCCATTGAAGTCCACCAGTAACATCCACAGATGAATGCAATTTATGAGAAATTCCTAAAGGTTAAGTAGATAACTTAGAGTTGAGGTATATGATTGGCCAACTGACTTAAAACAGATTCATAGAAAGGATCACATGCTACAAAAGTGAAGAGACAAAATGAGGGTGCCATTTATCTAATTTAATTCTAATTAATAAGCTGTTTCTTGTGGACATCAAGAAAATATGTGGCATGGGGAACAAAACTAACAGCATGTAACGAATTGGCTTTGTTTCTTTTAACTGATTAACATTTCCTTAAATACAGAGTTTTGTTTTTAAAGGGCTGTTTGTCATAACAATGTACTTAAAATTTTTAAAGGGGAAGGTGAATATTGCTGTTAAATGAGACAGGGAGAGAATGTTCAGTGGGAACATGCAGGTACCCCTGTCTTTAGCAATCTGCTTCCTCCTTAAAAAGTGCCTGTAGAATTTATGAGAAGATCAGCTGAAGTCATCTCTGATCTTTCTTTCTCTGTAAGCGTCAGGATGAGAGCTCTGAAGGAGAGCTCAGGAACAGGGCCTTTGGGGTCTGGTGGGAAATGCAGTGCATAGCAGAAGAGTGAGGGGTGGTTCCAAGGGTAGTAGCCTGGTCTGAAGGTTTGAGGGGAATGAGTTACCATGGGACTTTACATTCCCTTCCAGCCACAGCACATCCTATTGACACTTTCGCAAACATGGGGCATCCAGAGTTTGTGTGGATGATAGGTTTTTGTTATAATTAGCTTCATTTTCACTGGGACAAGGGTAGTGACAGACAACCTGCCCAAGTCAACAGCACAACTATACCAACACATGACGAAAGGGAGGGAGGTCCCAAAGTTGATGTATCATTGCTTAGGAGGGCAAAAGCATGGCACAGATACCACCTGGGGTAGCTTCCATAGCAGAGGTTCTACATGAACCAGGGCCTGTGGGGACAGTGAATCTGTCACATGAAATTTGAACAGGGTCACCTGTTGACATCTGTGGTCAGGATAGATCTTCAAAATCAAACAGACTTTCAAAAAAATTGTTTATGGTATTTCTTTTTAAATACAGCTCCCAAAACCACCTGTTAGTTTTAAAATTTGATTTAAGAAGCATTATACTTTAGAATGGAATAAAGAAATAACTGCTCCTTGAGTTCCATGCACTAGACTAAATGTTTAATATATCTTATATACGGTGTTTTCAAAGAGTCTTGCAAGATGTTATCATTACTCCTATTTTATAGATTTATAGAAAGCTTTTTAGTAATATAGGTATTAGGAAGGGAGGGAGGGAAGGAAGGAAGGAAGGCAGGAAGAAAGAAAGGAAGGAAGGAAAATATATGAAAAGACAGTAAGGAGGAGTCACTGAGGTTATGAGTGAGAGAACTTCTGATCTAATTGTGAACCCCTCATGATGGCAGCAGCAGCAGGCCATGTGGAGCGGCCACTGCCCTCACACTGGCTGCAGATGGGCTGCCTCAGGGACGCAGGGCATAGGGGAAGCGGGGAATAGGGGACCCACCACCACCACTGCTGCCTCTGCAGCCACTCCTGCCACCACTGCTCGCAGCTCTGATCTCAGAGCAGAGTTGAGGCCGAGCCTAGGTGCTGTCAGCCTGACTGAGTGTGCACATGTTGGGGCAGCACTGAGACACCAGCCCCTTGCTGCCTCAGCACCCCCAGACTTTAGGTACTGACCAGGGTGGAAGGGAAGCCAAGTGGGGAGCTGAGGGCAACTCAGGGCCTGCAGATGCCCCTTGGCGTGAGCAGCCTGGGTGCCACAGTTGGTGGCAGGAGGCAGACAGGCTCCTGGGCAGAAGGGGATGGATCCGGTGAGGTCCCACCTTCAGGCCAGGGAGGGCCTGAAGTCTGAGTGCTGGGCTGTCAGCCCCACAGACCATAGTGGGAACTGGTGGTGCCTTTTCTGGGACCGCCCATGGCTGTCCATGGACCAGCTGGCATGCACTTCATCCCCTCTGAGGCCCATAAAAGTTCCAGGCTCAGCCAAAGCAAAGCAGATGGGACAACCAGCTGCAAAAAGGCACGACTCTCTCTGTTGTTAGCTGAACACCTGCTGGGATGACCAGCTGCAGAGAGGAGCTACCCTCTCTGATGAGAACTGAGGACTTGCTTAACAGAGAGGAGCTACCCTCTCTGCTGGGAGGTGAACACTCCGGACGACCTGCCTAACAGAGAGGAGCTACCCTCTCTGACAGGAGCTGAACATTCATCAGGACACCCTGAGACGGAGAGAAGATGCCCACTATGGGTCTCCTCTGAGCTTTCCTATTGCTCAATAAAGCTCTTCTTCGTCTTGCTCATCCTCCACTTGTCTGCATACCTCATTCTTCCTGGTCACAGGACAAGAACTCAGGACCAGCCAACTGGCAAGGCTAAAAGAGCTGTAACACAAACAGGGCTGAAACATGCCCCTTGCTCACCACGTTGCAGATGAAGAGAAGGAGAGAAGGGCTGTGGCCCTTTGAGGACCCCAGACCTGGGAGCTCCCCAAGCCAGGGCTGTGACTCACTCTTTGGGGCCTAGTGGTTCCTGTTGTTTCCAAGTTTCCAGGTGCCACTGCATTCACCAGTGCCAGCCAGGGAAGCTGCTGTGGTGCTCCTGGTCCAACCGCTGCCTCACGGAGAACTGGCAGCCATACTAGCACCCGGAACCGCCCACCCCGTGGCAGCGGCCAACATGTCTGACTGTGCAGTGACCAAACCCCACGTTCACTCACACACCCCTTGCCATTCCATGCCTGACTCGCAGTCTCCCTTGAAGACATGGGATCCAGGCCGGTAGTGTGAGCTGAGTGCAGCCTGCCAGGCCAGGTGGGCAGAACAAGACCAACGGGCCTGAGCAAAACTTGGATAAAGGTGCCACTGGCCACAGAGGTTTCTGGCCAGGAAAATAACACCCCAAAGATCTTGTAACACTAATATTTTCACTGTGCCAAATTACAAGCTAGAAAATTATAAAGATTGCACAGATAATATATCGCAATTTATTAAATATTTTGAAATATCTTTTATGTAACTATAAAATGTATACTGATTGTCTTCTCAAGGGATTGGCACGTACTTTGTGCCATACTACAGCAATTATTTTTCACTAGCTAAGTGAGAAACTTCACCCAGAATATGCTGTATTTAAAAGTTCTCTTAAAGTGTAACATCATCCCAGGATCCAATTGAAATCAGAGATTACGATGTCTGACCAAGAGACAAAAATCAATGTCAGAAAATTCATAAACAAATCACCCAAATTCCAAGTTTAGCATGGTAGGCTACTTTGGTATTATTTTACTTATACATTCCATTTGCTCATGATTTAAAAAGACAAATACCTCAATACAGTTCTTGACACTGATTAACTCTCTTCCATTTCAAGACACTTCAATGACATATTTCTATGCATGTCTATACCATTAATTTTATTTAGGCCTCAACTCTCAATTCCTTTAGAATGAGTATTAAAGCATTTCCCATTTGGTAGATAGATATCTATGCCTCTGTATGACTACCAATATCTAATTTTTCAAAGGGCTGATAGGCACACTGACAGACAGGAACAGAAAAGGAGAGAGAAGAAGAAAGGGAAGGAAGAAATGAAGAGAGGAAGAAAAGATTTAATTTAGTGAAAAGATTATCTCCCACTTGCACTTTCTATCAATGTTAGGTTATTATTTCTAACTGCTTGAAAGATTACCTTCCAGCATCTCAAAATTGTTGTGTTGAAAACATACCATGTCATTTGCCTTCCCAGTCCTTCTCCTCTTACTGAGTGTTCATTTCTGTTTTTGGCATATTCACTCTCCCATATACCCCACCTAACAGCCTCAGCCTCCTCTTCTGCCTTCTCCTTTGCCCACAATACCAATTATTAAGTTCTACTGATTTATCACTAATATGTCTTATCCCTCTTTTTTGTACCCAAAAACAATGGCCATGGTTCACTCCTAAACTGGACATTAGAATCACCTGGGAGTCCTAAAAGAAAAAAAAAAAAAATGAAAGCTACAGGTGCCTGAACCCCACCCTAAATCAATTAAAACAGAAAACAGTGCATGGGACTGGGTAATTAATTTACAGAAAATTCCAACATGCAACCAGGATTGAGAATTACTGAATGATGCCATGATATCCATAGCTTCCCATCTGGTCACTCTCACTTCAGGTGCTTCATCTCGACAATCAATATTACACTTTACTATGGATCCTTCTTTTGTTTTCCCTTTTCGTTCTTTGAGTTTTGTTTTCTAACGCATCTGTGACTACAGCTCTTTTCCGCTCAAAAAATAATAAACCAACTTTAATAGCTTACTCCTGCAAACTAACACCAGAAATACTGTTTGGCCTTTAAGATATTTCAGAGCTGCTGTCAATCTATTTTCCCAAATACATTTCCACCATTGCCCACGGAGAACCTAAAATTCTCTCATCTCGATGCCTCAGTACAGGCTGTTCCCTCATGTAAAATGCCTTCTTTCCCACTTTTGAATTTACAGAATTTACCCACATTTTTCAATTCTAAATTAAGTCCTTGGAAGCCTTCTTTGATCTTCCCCATCTAGATGAAATGTACCATCCTTTCGACTCCCCTATCACGCTTTCTGTATCTTTTATGAATCACAATAGTCTATATTTCATTATAGTTATTTTAAGCACATGTGTTTTCTCCCCTTTCACATTCATAGAACCTTGAGAAAATTATACATGCCCCTGGTCATCTATGAAGTCTTATAACTCCCAACCATACCCAGCACATAGTTTCAATGCATACATGAGCTTGGTAAAGGCTGTCCCAGATACTATCCCCTAATCCTGGACTATACACTTTTGAGTATTTAGGACGGATAATAATATCGTAAATGTGATCTTTGCACCTCTATTACACGTATATTTGTTTATAGTTTGGCGAATTAGCTATGGAATACAAAGTCTATGTGACATACCTTGCCACTGCAATACATTGATATGACATAGTGAGAGACGAATAGATCCATGCGAAGCCCTAAGCTGGCAAATGTAGCACAGCCAGATTACAGATTCATGTGTATCATCATAGGACTGAAGTTTAGATGAAGCATAATATAACGTGATGAGTCTTTTCTCTTTTATGAATATCATTCCACCTCATTGTCATCACAGAGCTCTCTTCCCCTCTACCACCTTTTGTGTTTTTAATTTTTAAGTAAAATGACTTTACTCTTCTAATTGTACGTATTTATTATAAATTAGAAAATGTACATGAGTTGAAAGGAGATATTCTAATGGTGATCACCTTGATGAATAACTTTTAAGAATTTTCCATGCTTATTTTACATATTTTTTAACAAGAAAGAGGTTATATCGTACCATTATTTTGTAACCAACGTTTCATTTAGAATATACTGTGAATATCTTTTATGACCACAAATAAATTCATCATGTTTATATTATAAAGAGTAAAGATTACATTTAAATTTATTGTTAAACATTTAGGTTGTTTCTGCTATTTCAATCAGAAAAAGACTTCAAAACTTTTTTGTAATCATATCTTTGCACATATATGTAATTCCTATATGTGAATTACTCCTACATGTAAAATTACTGAATTCAAAAAAGTATATTTTTAAGGCTTTTGATATATTTAACAAATTATACTTTTAAAATAATTCATATATTCATAGCAGCAATGTGTCAGAATGTCCAATTACCTAGACCACTGCTAAAGCTATAACTTAATACTTTATCATTGGCCATATTTTTATCCACTGTCCAAAATAATGAATTGCAAACATTTGGCACAATGTCTACATACAAACTAAGCAACCAGTAAATGTTCGTAGACCATTAGCACAGCTGACCAACCTTCTAGCTCTCGCATCATACCCATTCCTCCATTCCAGTTGCCACCATGGGACTTCCCTGCCAGTTGCCTTCAACATCTCTGATCTCACCTGGGATTATTTCACATTCCAGAACAGCATGCAATCCCAGCTTCTGCTATTCACAACACAAGCACACGCATTACAACAGGACAATACACATGCATGAAGACCATAACGTGGGTCAGAGCAGAAAAGTGGAAATGGTATGTTCCAATGTTTGAGGGAAATTTGTCATAATTCAAGGTATAATAATACCTGGATCATAAACACGTGTTTTACAGCAACGAAAACTGTATGATCTCACCATCATAACTTTTTATTTAATAAACAGTCATGGGATATTATGACAAAAACAATCACCTACATTCTGTGTGCCCGGGCAATAAAACTTCCTGAACTATTGATGTGCTTAGTAAGGCTGGCCATTCTGTTTTGGTGTAAGACACTCAAAATAACCACTGGTTTAGTGACATAAATTTCAAGAAGATGGCCTAAGTGGTTTTGAATCACTCATAGACAAAATCTGTGAAGTCATTCTTACCATTCCTTATGCCATAGTCATGCATTCTTAATGAAAACATGTTATCAGCAACACCATTTAGACATTCACTTAACATCTTCCACATTAAGCCTCTAGATTTGCTTACTACCTATTTATGCATTCAAAATACTCAGACTGTGCATCCGTTTTGTTCAATAGAGTGATAAAAGGCCCTTATACTGAAACAGATGAGAAAGTTATGCATTACATACAATCTCCCAGGCTCATTCAGCAGAGATGTAGGCAAATGACACAATGCTTATCAGCTTTTTTCATATTTCCTTTAAGTGGTAACATACTCAGGAAGCCATTTAATATAGACACACTATTTGACCAAAAAGAACCTCTACCAATGCTTTAGCATCTTTTTGTAGAGTTAGTTTTCAAAGCAGATTCATTTACATCATCCACTGCTAATTTACTCATTAATCATAATTTATCACATTAGATGTGCTGATCATCATTAAAAATAATCATTTATTCTCTATTCTAACCTGCTGCTTATCATGTACCTGCAAATTGGGTCACACAGGAAAGGTAACTGGCTTATTTGAAAAGGAACATGAGAGCGGATAAAACTGAAGTGGGAAAGAAAGAGAAAAATAAAGAACAATGCCATCTTTCCCAATTTTATGTTGCCAAACTCCAGAATATCCTGCCACTTCTTCTATACAATATTTCCAGTGTATCAACTACATGAATTTTTAAGAGGAACTAGTGTGATGAACTGTACTAGCTTCACTTTAGAAACAGTAGTAAACCAGTTCCACAAAGAGAAGATCTGCTGGTGTCACTGTATGAGCTGAAAGGCTTTGAGCCAATATGAATTTTTGTAACGCTTGCCTTCCAACCAAAGTGAGTTATTACCACAACTTACAAAAACATAGACCATTTCTTTTAAGATAGATCCATCTTACAGGATAAGCTGACCACAACTTCTCATCTATCAACTGCACACTGGTTAAGTTGGCAAGATACTTTGGGAAGTGAAAGTAGCTACTATATCCCCAAAGTAGCTATAACACAGAAGGGAGACGTGTGTGTACACATGCAGACACTTTCAATGAGTAATAAAACAGATTTAAAATGATGTTTGATTGTATTTACTGGAGAAATGTAGAAGTGTATTATAAGAAATCTTTGTAAACAAAAAAACATTTTTATAGATACACAATTTTGATACATAACAAAAATGTTTCATGTAGCACAAAATACAATGGAAAGTGATTTGCCTGAGTTTTTATTACAAAGATTAATTATAGAATAGAGTTTTACAATACATATTTCCTAAGGAAAGTCTATAATTAATATTAACTTCTAAATATTATGACTTTTAAAATATTAGATGATTCCAATGATAAGATGCTTAAATATTTGGCTATTTAAAAATATTTTCTTGGTACGCAACATTTTACTTTAAGGGCTATTTTTTTAATGTTTTAATTTGTTTTTTTGTTGAGACAGGGTTTTACTCTGTTGCCTAGGCTGGACTGCAGTTGCATAATCATGGTTCACTGCAGCCTCCACCTCCTGGGCTCAAGCCATCCTCCCAGCTCAAACTCCCGAGCAGCGAGGACTATGGGCACATGCCACAACACCATGCTATTTTTAAAATGTTTTGTAGAGATGGGGTCTAGCTATGTTGCTCAGACTGGTCTCAAATTCCTGGGCTCAAGTGATCCTCCGGCCTCAGTCTCCCAAAGTGCTGGGATTACAGGCATGAGCCCACACTCAGCAAGGGCAACTTATTAATAAGAATGTGGATATGTGGACGGGCACGGTGGCTCACGCCTGTAATCCCAGCACTTTGGGAGGCTGAGGTGGGTGGATCACCTGAGGTTAGGAGTTTGAGACCAGCCTGACCAACATGGAGAAACTCTGTCTCTACTAAAAATACAAAATTAGGCACAGTGGCACATGCCTGTAATCCCAGCTGCTCGGGAGGCTGAGGCAGGAGAATCGCTTGAACCTGGGAGGCAGAGGTTGCGGTGAGCCGAGATCGTGTCATTGCACTCCAGCCTGGGCAAAAAGAGCAAAAAACTCCGCCTCCAAAAAAAAAAAAAAAAAAAGTGGATACGTGATGGATAAACAACGGGAAACATAAAAGGCAAAGTAAAAAATAAAGTTGACTTGCCTATACACCAGTGTTTTTGCAAATGAAACAGTGACTTAAAAAATATACTGAAAAATGCCCAGCATTATTCACATTTAGACCAATACCCTGACAGAGATCATATTCTAAGTTTATAAGGTTCATGTCAGTTTTATTTTGTGCAATACCTAACATGTTGTAGGCATTCAATACCTTTTAAAGTAAGTATAATTATTTTTGGTCCTATGGAAATTTTAGGTATGTGTCTATGTCCCTTCCAGATATTTTTCACTAAATTTAGCATTCTTTTTTTTTTTTTAATTCATTTCTCTGCAGACCCAAAGCTCTAAGCTGAAAAGTATTTGGCAATGATTTGCAGGCTTCCAAATATTCTCATTCAGTATCAGGTAACCATTAGAACCAATAACATTTTGTAGGATATTAAAATTCTTATTTTCTGGTATACTTCCAATTGAGCACATGTAGCAAGAAACCAAACGGTATTTATTTTACATATTAAGTCCATCTTTTCTACACAAATATCCAAATTCTTTTTTAGAGTGAAGAGAAAGAATCTATATTCATATATGCAAGATGATTATGAGAAAAGCGTTCTGCAGATGTCTCCCCACGTTTAATCTTGCTAACCACGATGGATCTCTGCATTTTCACACAGTGGCCCCGCCCATTCACAAATTCTCCTGAGTGAGCTATTTGGGGGTACAAAAGATGGAAAGCATGACAACTGGTTCTATGCTCGGGCTCTGAAGGCATGTACAAGCAAGCAGTGATAATAATAGATGATAACCCAAGGCCATGAACTAACTCTGTCCACACAGAGAACTCAAATTGATGTTAATCGGAACCTGGCACACGGATAGAGGCTAGGGTACGATTCCTTGGTTTGTAGATGGAAATAAACCCATGAAGAACTTTAATAAAATGAGTTCTAGATGGAACACAGTGTAATGCAGTAATGTAGTTCTTTTGCTTTTTTTCCTTCCCAGCTACATCTCTGTAAAATAACTCTATCAACATTTCCATGACAGCATTTTAAATCTGAGGAGAAAATGTTTCATTCTTGCCTTCTGTGAACTGAAACACATACACACTACAAATTTAAAAAATCAACTCAAAGAGGGGGAAGGGCCGTTTTTTCTCCCTCACCGAAATCTGTTATGTTTTGGCCAATCTTTTTGTTACCTTTTTCCAAATGGCATTAAATTTGTGAACATGAATATGCATTTCACCTCTCCTGGTAAGAGAACTTGGATAACACTTGGCACTATAGACACAAGGTAACACTACACGAATATTCTTGAAACAATTTTCAGTTGGATTACTTTTCAAATATCAAGTCCCTAATTTGTATCCCCAGGCAGTGCAGACCCTGGTAGCAGCTCATTTCAGTGCCGATTATGCACGCTTTTCTAGAGAAACACATTATCTGAGCCCCAGGAATATGGGAGGCTTTCCAAAGAAGCACAGACAGTAAGGACCTTTATTTGCCAGCTAACTTTTTCCCCTGTCCTCTAATTTACAGCTCAGGGTATTAGGTAAGAAAACAAAGGATTTTCCCACACAGAAATAAACTTTTTGAAAAACCTTCAAATGAGATTTTAATGACACTATTTACCAATATAGAATGCATGCCGAAATAAACTGAAACACTTCTGGTGGTGGATTTTTCTTTTTCCTTTTTTCTCTTTTTCCCCTAATTTAACTATTGCAGGCAACATCATAGCAATTTAAGTTGGTTTTGTGACAAATTATTAGGACACTTATTTTAGAAGGAAAATCAACCAATAATTACTGCCCTGGCACACGGCTATTGTTCACAGCATAAACAGAAGCTGTGGCTGACAGCTGATGGGCCCAGCCCCCTGCTATCCTTAGAACACATTTGCAGATACCCAAGCCTCTTGCCAGACTAAGACATGCTGTAGCAATGCTTTTCATCCAACAGAGCTGCACTGACCAGGTTATGCTGGCTACAACAGAATGACACCATTTTAGGACCTCCTCCCAGGTTGGACTTAGCTTTAGAAGCTAAAAATACTGTTATAAATACTAGGGATTCCACTTGTATAATAACATTGGCCTTTTTGCACCACTCTAAAATATGAATGTGTAATCCCAAGTACTTGAGTGTTAGATACAAGATCCCAAGTGTTTTTTTAGTGTCCACAGATCATGATGATAAGAAGAAAATGCTTTCTTGTATTTGAGTAACAGAAGCATTTGGGAATGTATGCCAGGTCACACACATGAGATTCTAGATGAATTTAATCTTAGAGAATTAGAAAAGGGGTCTGCAGGTTATTGTGAGATAAGCCTTTATTCCATACCAAATGTAAAGATAAAGCCTCTGGGATCTCAAAAGTTGAGTGATACATGCTGCTTCTTTCCCTCCATCTTTATATAACCCAGTCATAGTCACTAATTTAATGAAAGGAAAGGTGCTTTAAAGCTCTCTGTAGCACCTTTGTTCAATTTTACTGTCTGAAGTTTTTTGGTAACCTAGACAGAGTAAAAGCTGCCTTTTGAGATGGATCTAAAAATGCCATGAAAGTAGATCTCCTTTCAGGGCTGTTGTTTCAGAGGGAAAAAGACAAAAGAGAAATCTAAAGGGATGGGCTGCAGTTAATAATTAAATATCTATTAGTTACTCCAATTCGCTACATAAATGGCCTCTGGGGGCTGCCAGAGCATCTTTCCAAGTCAAAGTAAACTACAGGGAAAGACAAAAACAGTGTTTAGAAATTGCAAAACAACACAGTTATACTTTTACTTAGACTGGATTACATACAAAGCATTCGGTAATATAGTCATTATTTTTTTAAAGGGTCAATATAAAGGTTCTGCCATCCTTCACTACCCATCCCATGTTCCAAACAGTCAAACAGCTCCCACCAGTGGTCCTGAACCCTTTAGTATATTTCCACACAGTTCCTTTCCCTTAAGAATCCCCAGTCTGTTCTGAATGGCTAAGCTTTGCCTGAGAAATCACAACACTGTAAGGGCTAGTACCGTTGCAAATTCATGATCTACAGCCTCAACTATACCCCTCTGTCATCTATCAATCAACCTCCCACCCTTCACTACTCTCCAGCAATCAGCACTGCACTGACCTCTCACCTCCAAGAGATCGATGCTTTTGCCTCCTACATCAACAGATAAAATAATGCCATCAAACATGAACTTGATGGCAAGTCACATCCTATTCACTGTATACGAATTTCTAACTTAGAAACCATTTTTCCCTTTATCTTATTCAAGACCAATTGCTTCACTTGTGCTCTTGATCCACCTCTTCGCCATGCCCTAGGAACCTTGGTGCATCAATTGTCCCATCTCCCTACATAATCAGCACCTTCACTCTCTTCCTCTTTAACAGCTACTTCCCCTTAAAACAGGGCCTTTCACTACTGACATTTTGGGTCAGACTATTCTTTGTTGTAGAGCCTGTCCTGTGCATTGCAAGAGATTGAGCAACATCCCTGGCTTCTACCCAATAGATAACACTAACATCCTAGCTACCAGTTGTGACAATCTAACATTATCAAATGTCTCCTGGGAAAACATCCTAAGTTTTAGCACCAAAACTACTGACTGTATCTCAAGAAACCACAGGATGGTTGGTCACCCTAGCTCAGATGCCTCCAAACATAGTCAACTACCCCCTACTTGGTACTGCTCTATTCCATTTAAATATTTTAATTTCTGCACATTTCACCTAGCTTATAAGTGTTCATCTTCTCTCTCTTCTGCTAGACTGTGAGCCAACAAAAGGCATGATATGTAGTGGGTACTCCTCCGATATTACAACGCTCACCAAGGATCATGCTTCCACTAAAGTTTATGGAGTAAACGACGAGTTCATAAGATTTAAGCATATACCCTGTACATATGAGCATATTTGGTTAAAGCCAAAATACAAGAAAAAGAAATACTTATGAATTAGGCACCTACTTATGCTTTTATTGACAAAGCTATATAATCATTATATATACATGTAAGCCAGTGTAAAAAAGATACATACAAAGATTATATTCCCTCTGTCAAATTCAAACTGCCAGAAACTTAAATGTATTTTCAATTTTTCATAAGCATTAAGGGTTATAATAAAGAAAAATTACCTAAGTGAAACAACCAATAATTATTTTTGGTAAAAAATAAACTTAATACATGACTACAGTAATTGGTTTCCCTTCCTATGTATTTATTTATCCTTGGATTTTAGTCATTAGGAAGGCAATATTGTTCAAGACCATTAACTTGCCAGAACTGTACTAGCTTCTCAAGTTGACCCTAATATGTGATATTATTAGCTCTTTTTTTCTGTTAGACTTTCCCTGTAGCATCTTCATCAATCTTTCTAGCAAGATTGTTTTTTTCATAAGAAAAACAATTTCACATACTAAAACGTAGGATAATAGGAATTCATTCAAGATTCCTAAACATAACTTGTAAATGTAATTGGAATTAGATTAACAACAAGCAATCAACGATTCAAAAAAATTAAATAGTTAAAAAAATAGGAAAGATGAGAGGATAGTCTTCACAAAGTGGCAATCCAGCCTAGTTGATAAAGTACTCAACTCTCTGGTTATCCAAAAAGACATGGAAGGTTTCCTATGTAAGCAGGTTTCACATGTGATACTTCTCTAAGGCACCTAAATAATCAACAAATACAACTTCTGCTTTCCTCCCCTGCCTCTTTGGGGAAATGTGTTTTATAATTGTAAGTAGAATTCATAGTTTGATCGCAGAAAGGCTGATGTGTCTTGTTTTGTGGCCAGAATTTATTGTAACTTAGGGGTTAAAAAGAGCAAAGCTGCAACAACATAATTTGTTTTTAAATTCACAGTGGTCCTTCACCCCTGAATAATAAAAAGCATTTTCTGGAAATAGTGTGCCTCATTTTACCAACTTTAGATCTTTAACATCTGAACTTCAAATTTTAAACAACAATATGAATATGAAGGTGTGTATAGAAAAACATAAAGGAGATTTAAACATAAAGCTTTGAAAAAGTCAGTAATTAATGAACAAATATATTTCAATCACCAGCAGAGCCCCTGGAAATGCCACATATATGAACTTTTTCACAATCTTTCTATTTTTTATATTCCCTAGAGCATGACTCTCTCAACCATTCCCACTTGCTTTTTTTTTTTTTCTTTTTTTAATATCTCCTTCACCCTTTTCTTTTATATTACTGTATCTTTGGCAGCACTTGCTTATTCTTACTTCTGGTCTTTCCAAACTCACCCAAACCATTAAATAGACAGTGCTATCCAAGAAACGTGCAGTTGCAATCAGGCCATGACCTTGTTCGAGAATCTTCCATGGTTCGCTACTATTGCCTACTTAGTGCAGAAGAGAAAGTCCTGTTCAAAGAATTTGCTAAACCTATCAGACAAGACTTTTTACATCTCTAATTTACCCGAGATAGCATCAACTCTCACTATTCATAAACAAATCAGACTCCTAGCCTTTTATGAAAAAAACATTTTTTAACATTTTTATTTCAAAATACTGCCCAACAGCCCCCCACAACTGAATCACCTGTTGTTACTTGTTAAAGATGCATATTCTCTGAGACCAGATCCTGAATCAGAATGGCACAGTAAGGCCTGGGAATTTGTGTCACAAATGTCTCCTCCAGATGATCTTTTAGCATACTAAAATTTTACAACCTTTTTGTGTATTTGTTAAGACTATTCCATTATTCAAAAATATTTTCACTAAAACACCTGCTTCTTGAAAGCTGATTCCACTTTCAGAGCCATCTCAAATGCCTTCTCCTGGGTGAAATCTTTTCTAATCCCCAATCGAATATCATTTCTAAGGGCTCTGAACTCATGTATCACTGTTTGGCCTCTCTCATGGCCAGAAGTAGATTTACCTTGACCTTAGGAAGCTTCAGCTTCAGGACCCTTTCCTTGCATAGGTACCACACGTCACACTGGCATGGTCAAATACATTATACAATTTGTAATAGTGAGGTATTTCCCTCCCAAGCATTTGAAGGCCACTCTTATTTACCTTCACACACAGTGGTGTTAGAAAGCTACAGGAAATTTTGCAGGGTCCAGCTAGGGAAGCTGAATTGAAATATATTTGTTTTGGATTTAGCAGAATATCTTTATATGGTTCACAGTTAAATTATTACTGGCCTTCCGGTATAGGAAAGGTTTCTGGGAATACTCCCTACTGCTCACTTTATTAACTCATCCAGTTCCTTAGATGAGGATGTCAGTGACAAACTAGCTGATATGTCATAAATTCAAAGAGTGTTACAACCTGTCACTGTACAAGAAAACTGGAACACCCTGAAATCACATAGCTTTACATCACAGAAATTATCACATTACCAATAGTAAGTTGTAAAGATGAAAGTTTATGAATTATTAATTTTAAGAAATATAAACTTAATAATTACCAATCTGACTGGCGAGGGATGGTAGCTCATTATGGTTTTGATTTGCATTTCTCTAATGATCAGTGATGCAGAGCTTTTCTTTCATATGTTTGTTGGTCACATGTATGTCTTCTTTTGAGAAGTGTCTGTTCATGTCTTTTGCCCACTTTTTTTTTTTTTTTTTTTTGAGACAGAGTTTCACTCTTGCTGCCCAGGCTGGAGTGCAATGGTGCAATCTTGGCTCACTGCAACCTCTGCCTCCCGGGTTCAAGTGATTCTCTTGCCTCAGCCTCCTGAGTAGCTGGAATTACAGGCACCCACCACCATACCCACCTAATTTTTTGTACTTTTAGTAGAGACAGGGTTTCACTATGTTGGCCAGGCTGGTCTCGAACTCCTGACCTCAGGCTATTCACCCACCTTGGCCCCCCAAAGTGCTGGGATTACAGGCGTGAGCCACCGTGCCCGGCCTGCCCACTTTTTAATAGTGGTTTTTTCTTCTTGTAAATTTGTTTAATTTCCTTGTAGAGTCTGGATATTAGATATCTGTCAGATGAATACGTTGAAAAAATTTTCTCCCGTTCTGTAGGTTATCCGTTCAGTCTGGATAATAGTTTCTTTTGCTGTGCTCTTTAGTTTAATTAGATCCCATTCATCAATTTTTGCTTTTGTTGCAATTGTTTTTGGGGTATTCATCATGAAATCTTTGCCCGTGCCTATGTCCTGAATGGTACTAAGGAAAGCATACATTTTACTAAGTCTAAGTTTTATATCCTCTGCAGAAATTGGCACATGGGTTTTTTTTAAAGGCACACAGTAGTCTCTCACTAAAAGTCTATCTAACTAAACTGACTTATTTCCATGATCATAACAATTTAGATTTCATTTCAAATTATTTCTTATAATAATGTTTTACATCCTTTTGTAATACTTTATAATAAATTATCAAATTATTTTTTCTGGATTTCACAAATTTATTTGGGCTTGGCCAAAAATCTTAGCAGCAAAATATTGCTTGTCTTTTTAATTAATGATGTACAGAGAATATGCTTTGTTCTTTTATCTCTCCCCGAAATAACTGAATTGAGAGAATAATGCAGAAAATGTAGAAGTTAAACTGATTCTTTTCAGCTTATTTGGACCCTAACATGTTGCCTAATTACAATAGCAGTGAACACCCACAGATAACATGTATAACAGATTTTATGGGAATTAAAGGAGCTCTATAAAGGACTGATGTTTTCTTAAGCCTATTATTATGGAAGTTTATATGTAAATAGCAATTTAATTTTTAAAATCCTTACTACTAGTTGCAATAAATGTTCAATATTTGGTAAATTAACAAGTGCTATATGAGAACCACTGTGAGTCCCTCTCAGAACTCACATTGTGTCCTATTAAATTGTTCTGACCTTTCCCATTAAGGCAATTTTTCCCACAAAGGACATATTGAGAGCTTCAATGAGCAGTTTTTAATAAGTTAACTATCAAGAAAGATATTTTTCTATTAGTACCAGTAGCCAATATGTCTATTTTTAAAAAATGATTTCAGTATTTCCTCCAAGAGGACTAGATTCTCTCATACGTATCCTCAGAGATCCACAAAATAATATGAATTTGGCCCCATAATTAGTTTTGCAATTTTGTGCAGCATCTAGATAAAAGCACATTTGGAAAAAAAAAAAAAAAAAGGTGAAGACAAGTCAGAAATTCTCCTTTTTTTGTCCTTTTTTTGTATCTAGATGGAAACACTACCCTAGCTACAAAGGATGAGGCGGTATCTATTTCTACCATTGTAGAGTATTTCCTTCAAGAAGGCTGGAATACTACATTTCCTTGATACGGAATCCCTGATATATAAAATGACCAACATAAATAAATACAATTGCAATGGATATCTAGACAATTAACTAAAATGCTAATGAGGCTCCAAAATCCAGCTTTAGTGCCAATTTTTACATAGCATCTCCTCTAATCGTTCATGATTATATTTTTGCCGCAGGCCCTTTGCTTCCTTCATCCTTAGGAAGCCTTGAACTTATTCTCATCCTTCAACAATGTCAAAAGAAGTAACTGGAAAAAAAAAAAGTGACAAAATCAAGAAGGACACTGTGCCATTCCTTTGAAGCAGAACATTTCTGAATGAGAGGGGCATGATAATTATGCCTCTCAGATGCATATCCACATTTTTGCTAGCCATGGTCCTTGAGGATTTGGAGACATTTTTAAAATGAATTTCTTCAAGTGAATGCTGAGACACTTTGGCTGCAAGAATCTCAGGAGACTGTGTTGGCCAGATGGTGGCTACCATGCCAGAGAAGTCACAAAATGTTCCAGCTGAAAACTGATTTAAGACAAGGCAACAATTCCATATTTTATGAGCCAAAATATTACACTATCCCATCAAGAGTCCTCCAGATTCCAACCTGTTGTTATCACCATGACCATCAGTATTTTCAAATACTACTACTAAATAAAAACCAGTCAAGAGGAAAGGTTTCTAACCCTCTCCATCCAGGAATATATCTTTGAAGGTTTCTATCACTTCTAACTTATTTTACACCATGTTCTGAAGTAACAAGCTATCTAAAGTTTAAATACCAGTAGAGTGGATTCCCATCTGTGGGGTCTTGGACCAAGAAGAGGGTACAGAAGTAATTGATTGGGGCAAATAGAAAAGGAAGGAAATCCTTAAAGCAAATATGGGGCTGTTCACAGCCATTTCATCATTTTACAGGGATCTGTTTGAGAATAAAGAAGGATTCCAAATTTAAAAATTTTCTACCTATGGTTTTAGATGTCACTACAATTAATATCAACGTTCTCTAAATTATTAGAATCATTCCTCTTCAATGATGATATTTGATCTAGAGAAAGAATATTATCATGGCAGTGTAAAGGAATTATTCACCAATGAAGAATAAATGTAGAGAGAGAGAGAGAGACTGGTTCAAAAGATAATGCAATATCATACCTATTATAAGAAAAAGAATTGTTCAAAACAACTTCATCCAAATTGGTGGAGACACCCTCTGTTCCTCAGGTACAAAAATGTGTAACATAGTCATTACCACTTCCTAATGAATTGCAAATGTGTTTTTCAGAAATTATTTTCCCAAAAAGCAAACATACCCACCTCAGTTTCCCCAAATATTAACCACATTTGGTTGAAATCTTTCTGAAATATAGCATGTACATGCTCTTGTCTTACACAGGCACATATCCTATAGAAGAATCAATAATCTAAGCTAAGCAATAATAGCCATACACGTAACAGGGATTTATTTTTTACCATCACAAATATTTAAAGGTTATAGGACTTGCATGTATTATTTGTTTTCCTTTTCCGCTTTTGATTCTGTGTGGCTCCGTTCGTAACAGTGCTTTGAGGGTTAAGCCCACTGGTGGCAGATGACTGGGTCAGATGCATTCAAAAAGATAACACTTATCCAAATTAGTTGGAGTCATAAAAAACACTGTTTCTCACATTCCTGTCTCCTATTACTGAGTCTGCTTTATTGGTTACTGATCTTTGGCTCCCATTTTCAGTTATGCCTCCAGGATCCTCCCCAGCTGGCTCCCAGCCCCTCAGTGAACTTCTCCTTTTGACCCTGGCAGACTGCCATGATTCCACCTCTGAAACCACAAACTAAACTGGACTTGTTCTTTCTTCTGCAATGACTTCACATACTCTGCATTTGGTCCTGCTAAGCCCTATATTGTATCAGGCAGAGCAATCAAAAAGCAAACCTCAAAGAAGTAAGGTTTTATATACAAGGACTCTTGACTTTCCACTTACTCTTTACCTTTTTAAATTTCATTCCTTCCATCAACTTACAGGACCTTCCACAACCTGACAGTTGTCCTGGATAGCAGTAACAGTGAGCAATATGACTCCCTAAAAACTAACCTTCATATGGCATCTCAGACCTCAGAAAATCACATGAGATTTATCATTTAACTGAGACACACACACACACAAACACTTGCACTCACTCTGGCTATGAAAGAGCTTGTATCATTTCCCTTTTGCAGATGATGAATCTGAGGCTTATTGTTCTCAAAATCAGACATTTTTCTGGTTATAGAACAGTCCCAAGTTCAGATATTGTATCTATAAATACCCTGCTCTTTTTCATATGCCAGACCCTTACAAGCTGAAGAGACAAAAATGCTCTGGACATAAAGATCTACCTGGCCTGAGGACACTAAAAAGAATCAAACCTTATTATAATGGTCAGAGAAAATCCTAAAGGAGAAATCGCCTCTTCATCATGGTCAATACACAGTTCAGCCCAGGAATATGATTCACTGTTCTAAATTGCATTGTCAAGTATTCAAAATCAGTCTCTTATTTCTCATTACCAATTATAGCAGAAGGTTGTATTTATAGTGGGGGCATTTCCACATCTAGTATCAAGGCAGTACTATGCCTGACATATAGAAAAAATGACTTTGTATTCCAAAGGGAAATTTTAATGTCTAGGAACAATAAAAGTGTTAGAATATAAAATGTTTACAAAGAAATAAAAAGTTCACTTTAAAAGTTTAACACAGGTAAGAATAGCTGTAATTTTACAACACTTGTTCCTTTTCACTAACGTTTAAAAATTTTGTGCATGAAAGCAGAAAACAAAAAATTGCAATACCATCAGCAATTATATTCTACTATTACTCTGCCATATGCTGAGAAAAGCAAGATAAGAATGTTGATTTATACTTTCACAGTTATTTCTGTGTTTGTGTTTTATTTCTCCAACCATTGACACTTATTGAGTGCTTGTGACCTATGCAGTTATAGTAAAGTAAAAATGAAAAATCTCCTCCTGGTTAATTCTAAAACTTCATAGCATTTTGTACATTTCACTAAATATTGAAAGGGACAGCTAATTAAGTATTTGGTCTACAACACGGATCTATTTATTTATTTATTTACCCATTCATTCATTCATTCACTCATTCATTCTACAGGTAAAGCCTTGCTACGTTGCCCAGGCTGGTCTTAAACCTCCGGGTTCAAGTGATCTTCTACCCTCAGCCTCCTGAGTGGCTGGGACTCCATATGCATACCACCAGAGCCAACTTTTTTTTGTTTTGTTTTTCATAGAGCTTTTCAAAACCTACAGAAGAACAATAACTTATGAGGATTTGATGTATTTTACATAAGTGAGAGACAACCAAGTCACAACTGCATGTTTAATTACATAAATGTATATGAAGAGCACCGAGGTTCAAACTCTCAAAAGGAAGATCAAAATCGGTCCCTACATTTGTTACTGGGGAAACGGGGTCACTGCTATGTTGGAAAACAAACAAACAAACAAACAAACAAACAAAGGTCAGACTCCAAGAACAGGATGACAAGAGAATGCTTGAGGAAGAACACCAATCTTGGGATCAAGAGACAAGGAAGCATCTCTGCTGCTGGTTATGTTCATGGTATGGTCTGGGTACAACAGGGAAGAGATGACATACAACTATAGTCTATCTGTAGCCCACACCTGTTGTCTAATTGTAGACAACTCTTCAGGGCTCTGATACAGCCTAGGAAAAATGGAAATTTTCATCCTCTGGCTTTTCTCCAACCTCCAAACCTAACCCTCACAAGGGTTTCACTTCCTACTTGTTCATCCCAGTAGCATAGACTCACCAATTCACCATAGGCCCCAATACTCCCTACTGCCTTTCCCTCAAATCAGGACCATTTTTTCACTTTTATCTGGACCCTGTAAGCATCTGAATTTGTGATTCTCAAACTTTTATCCCGTACTAAAATGGATATTTTTTTTCCATTTTGCAAATTCATTTCTGAAAACAACTGTTTTAAATTTTGGTTCTGTGGCACACACATTTACCTTTTTATGATGATTATCTTAAAGGAAACCTCTTTCTACATATGTATATAAAAGTTAAATGCTAAGCATATTATCTAAAGTCAGTAGAGACACACCAGGGAAGGAATTCCTGGTGTCTGGAATATACAAATAAAAAGGTTTTGTTTTCATACACTTGGATAACTCTAAACTTCTCAGAATAATTAGTCTGTTAGCAATGATAAAACCTGGTATAAAAAGTCAAATACTTTTTATTTTATCAAATAAAAACTATTTGGAATTGAGCTTTTGAAACTGACTCTTCCAACTGGTCTTTTGATTGAAAGCTAATTTTTTAAATAATATACTTCTTATAATGAGGAGAATATTTTTCAAACATGTTTGAGGAATGGAACACCCAAGAATCTTGTTTTTTTTCTTTCCAAAACGAAACTAGTATTGAGATAATTGGCTTTTTTTTTTTTTAATTCTGGGTCCACAAGGTAAAAGACTCACAAGGAAAAAGCTACTATTAAGAAAATTAAAATTTTGGTTAACTTTTTATTTACCAAACTAAAAAAAAAAATATCACTGTCACTGAATGTTAGGTGGGAAATTTTGTTCTGCATGTGATTGTAAAAGCATAGCTGTGATTGAGGATTTTAATAGTGTATTTTTGTTGTTGTTATTTATTTATTGGGAGGCAGTCTCACTCTGTTGCCCAGGCTGGAGTGCAGTGGTGCGATCTTGGCTCACTGCAACCTACGCCTTCTGGGTTCAAGTGATTCTCCTGCCTCAGCCTCCCCAAGTAGCTGGGGTTACAGGCACCTACCACCACACCCGGCTAATTTTTGTATTTTATTAGAGATGGAGTTTTACCATGTTGGTCAGGCTGGTCTCCAACTCCTGACCTCAAATGATCTGCCCGCCTCGGCCTCCCAAAATGTTGGGATTACAGGTGTGAGCCACTGTGCCCAGCCTTTAATAGTATATTTGAAACATGATGGTACTATATTTGCTTAAATGAAATCACAAAAATGATTAATTAAAGTGTAGATATTACCAATTAAGTCTTCAAAGTGCATTAAAAAAAAAAAAGCAAGCTTAAATAATTGGCGGAAAATGTTTTTTAAATCACTGTGTTTCCCAAGACGATCTCTGATATTTCACACTGCTTACAGATCTTTCCGGATGTCATGGAAAAATATTTCCTGCAGTCTTTTCATTATCTCTACCATGTCGAGAGGATATTAACTTTTATTTTAACCAACATCATCTGGAGACTGAACACTACAACACAGTGCAAAACCAATTGGCTCTTCATCCTCTCCAAACTTTCACTAGAAACTTGAAGATATGCAAACGTTTACACCTATCATCAAATAAATCCATTCAAGATTCATATCAGAATCTTCTCTTAATAAGCCTTTAAAAAAATGACCAAGCATCATATTCCTTCTCATTTCTCATCACCATCATGTGTATCTATCAACTCTTCTGAATCATATTAACCGTGACCATCAAGGTTCAAAATTTTCTTAGTGAATACGGACATTTTCCTATAGAGAACACAAGTGTGTAGATGCTGCCAATCTTTTCTTCAATAAAGGCAAATTGTTGTTTAAGCACTATGGGTACAAATACAAGGCAAGCACCCATCCCTGATATCAAACTGCACACCAAGAAGCATGGAAAAACAAGCCTTTATATAGTACTCCCTCCAATGTGATAGATCAGCCAAGTGGCATGAAAGTTACACCTGCCAGTCAATCTATACTTTCCTAGTGAGCAGAGACCACCAGCTCATATACTTCCAGATAGCTCTGGTGTTTATGGTATATAATCCTCTTAAATGCATGTTTGCTGAGACACAGTAATGACTCACATTGTATATATCCCCACACTACACTATTCCTGCATACAGCCAGAAGCTGCTTTAAAATATTTCCCCAGTCATATTCATATACAAAGATAAATAAATTTTTCAGTTTTTCACCAAGTTTTAAATGCAATCTCTTGAGTCCCATGGTTTTATCACAGAAAGGTACACTTCAGCTTAAGAAGGGAAGAATTAACCATTCAACTTCTAACAATAACAGTACACTGAAGACCTAATTCAATTGGCACAGTCTGGGAAATGTTCACCAACTACACACAATTGAGTGATAGAATGCAAAATACTTCATGCTTTCTTAGCAGAACACTAAAATCTATCAGAGAATGCACCTTGATTTTGTCAAACTACAGCAATAAAAGTAAAGCAGCAAAAAAAAAATATGTTCGCTCATTCTCAAAAACTGAGTTCGAATTTTTTTGGAGGGAGGGTGTGGTTCTTTCACAAGCAGTTTTTAATCAAAAGTAAGATTTTGTTTATTTGTTTCAAATGTGTCAAATTGCTATGAAAAACAGAAACAAATATTAAGCTAGCCATTGTGTCCCCACGAAAATGCAGCAGGTCTTAATACTCTCCCAGCTGTTCTGACAACCACTGTAGGCAGCCCTTCCCCTCTGTAGACTTGGCTGCATTGCACTGGGGAGTAGCATGATGTCCACTTGAAACTGTATTATCTGGAGCTTGCTTTTAATGTAATTACTTCAAAACAGAGAAAAGAATTAAAAGGCAGGGTTTTTTGTTTTTGTTTTCCATGAGCTGATCCTTTGAACAGCTACTGAGAGGAGGACAGCTTACCTGAATTAGAAAGAAAAGCTCAACTGTTAAGTCACTTACCCTAATTAAAGATCAATACAGATATTATTAGACATTCATTCTACCCATCTAATCCAGAGTTGTGATGTTACTTTTCATAATACCTGTATACACTTACTGCCAAATCTGTTTTCCTGCTTTTCCTATTGTCTTTTTCTCTATTATTTCCCTTCACCCCACTTTTATTTCTCTTCACAGAAATGCCCCTGCATGACACATAGTAACAAAAGTCACAGTCCCTTTGCAAGAAGGAAGAAGCTTGAATTTAAGCAGTTCTTTTAAAAATTCAATATCCAAAGAAATACTTTACTGTAACAGTGTCATTGCTACTCCTTAGACTTGTTATTATGTTTGTGAAAGTTAATTATCTGATAAGATACACTGTGGTTACTACTGTCACAAAAAAATGCATGGGTATGTTTATTAATTCAAAGTGTTCCAATGAAATAAAGTGTGTTAACTAAAGAACTGAACAATTATTTCCCCGTAATTATTACTGCACATTTAGGCGTTTCATAACTGTTTTTTTTTTTTCTGAATGAAAATCACTTTATATTTAAAACTATCAGCATTTACAGCTTTGTATTGTAAAAGAATATGCTATTTTGTCCATATTTTTATACTAAAGGCCCAGGTTGAAAAATCCAACAATTTAAATTGAAGATTTTTTTCCCCTGCTGTAGAAAAGTGTCAACATTTGAGCAAATCATTAAACATACTAGAACAAGAACCTACAACTAAAATGCTGATTATGATTCATTTCAAATATTTTAAGTGTTAAGTCAACATTCAATGCAGGATAAAATGAAATGGTTTGTTCAGAAGGAATAGTTAGAGATCTGCTTACTATTCTTTCTATTTCTGTTATTTTCCTGGGATAATCCATAAAAATCTTATGTGAAAGGGAAAAAAAGAGAAGATAGTTTAAAAATGAAAGCCATAATCTGAATGGAATTCGTATGGCTTCATATCAGAAAGCCCTTATAGGTGTCACTGCCTCATAAAATTCTAGCAATAAAATTGAAGCCAAATACTCTCCTTTCACAGAAACTACCTTTTTCTCAATATCTAAAAATTTGTTCTAAGACAATTGGAAGAGAAAATACATGCACTCCTCTAGCCAATAGATCTGCAAACTTCTAGGTGACTCATTTGATAACAGGAGACAAAATTGTACAACACACTAAACTCTATTATTTCTACATCCCAGTAGTTTCCAGTATAATGAATGTCCTGTGAGTTTTCTGCAGACATCTAGCAGAACATAACTGCCCCCTCGAGTGAATGCTACACCACCTGGATTCAACAATACATATCACTTTGGCCATCCATGACCTCCGCCTTCTCAAACTGATGTACGACTAAAAACTTAATATTTTCACACTAGCACAAGCATTGTGTCTTGTGTACATACATTATCTCTAACAAGACACAAGCATTGTGGCTTGTGTATGCACATTATCTATAACAATGTTATTTAATATAATTATACACAAAAATAAAGGGAATTTGGAGGGCCAGTTTGAAACAAAACCAGAAGGCCAGGCGCCATGGCTCACGCCTATAATCCCAACACTTTAGGAGGCTGAGGCGGGCAGATGACCTGAAGTCAGGAGTTCAAGACCAGCCTGGCCAACATGGCGAAACCCCATCTCTACTAAAAATACAAAAATTAGCTGGGCGTTGTGGTGGGCGCCTGTAATCCCAGCTACTTGGGAGGCTGAGGCAGGAGTATCGCTTGAACACGGGACGCAGAAGTTGCAGTGAGCCGAGATCATGCCATTGCACTCCAGCCTGGGCAACAAGAGCAAAACGTCGTCTCTAAATAAATAAATAAAACAAAACCAGAAAATTCAATTTTTTTTCCATCTTGTTTCTTAAATCCAACCAGTTCAACATATCCTCATGTACTGGTTAAGCTTCCCTAAACCAAAAATCTGAAATCCAAAATGTTTCAAAATCCAAAACTTTTTGAGCACTGACATGACACCGAAAGTGAAAAATTCCACATCTAAGTACTTAACAGAAACTTCATTTCATGCACAAACTTATTTAAAAGATTGCATAAAATTATCTCTGTGCAATGCATATAAGACATATAAAATATAAATGAATTTTATATGAAATTTCACATACATGAAATATAAATGAAAGGTAAATATAAAATATAAATGAATTTTGTGTTTAGACTTGGGTCCCATCCCCAAGATATCTCATTATGTATATGCAAATATTCCAAAATAAAAAAATAAAATAAAATAAAAATCCAAAATCTGAAACACTTTTGGTCCCGATCATTTCAGATAAGAAATACTCAACCTGTATCATAATTACCCTGATTCTACAGGCAATTAATGCAGTTTCAGTAAGAAAATTAAGAAAATAGGGAGTCTCTCTGAGCCTATTCTGGCTTGAGAAGTTGCCCAGTAAAAAATAATAAAAATAAAATAAAAACTAAGAAGAAATAAAATATACAGATCACTAATTAGAAAATAAACTATAAATCATGGGGTTAAGTTGGTCACTTTTAATTTTTTGCAAAAGTGAAGATACCCAATGACCACTGGCTACCATGTTGTGCTAGTGTAAAAATATATCACCCTGGAAAGAAATTCCAGTGGTAACTGACTCTTTTAGCACCATTTTACTCAATGTAAGCAACACCAAGAACAGTGTCATGCTACCTAAAGAGGTACTAGGTCTGAAGAAAGCCACATGCTCATTTATTCTTTGTAGTAAAATCTATTCTTTATCATCATAATTATTCTTCTAACCTAAAAGAGGCTTTAATTAGATGTTCAAAAAATAGATCAAATTAGGTGAATATTCAATTTGCAAACTCAGCCAAACTCGACAGGTTTCATTCTAATTACATGCAGATAGATACATGGAGACACATATGTTCACCACAGTTTTCCATGTGCTTCCTCTTTCAGGCAACTGCAAGATTAAGCCAAACTGTATGGCAAAGCGTTCCAGAAAGTACCATCTTACATAGAATAAGATAATTTCTGATTTTTAATCTTAACTGTAATACTAAGAGACTGCATCAAAACAAAGACTAGACGATTTACTTGTTTAAAATGTCAATTATATAAAGAGATGGTGAAATTACTACTAGAAGAAAAAATGCAGGCCGAAAACAATAAAAATAGTGAAAAATATTTGGAAAATTGCAATGTATATGCACTGTGTTAAGTGATTCATAACTGTCTTTCAATTAAAACTCGAATCTTTACTATAATAGAATTCCAAGAGGGATTTTCTTAGTCTCAAAATTGTGTCTACAATCTGAAATTGAGAACAAAAAGTGCAAAGTATTCCAAAAGTTAGAGATAGCTTGCAGTGAGCAAGCCAGAAGCTTGTGGGAACAATTACATACCTTGAGCTCAGACCAAAATATACCAGAGCAGATCCTGCTACAAGTACCTCCCCTCAGCCTGTCCACCCCTTCCCCAGCTGTCACAAGAAGAGGATCAAAGAGGAGCACTGAACAGCTTTGTGGGGAGTTCAGCGGAGAGAGAGAAGACTCAATTCTCTCTCCTCTCTATGGGAAAGGGGAGGGAGGTACTCCTTGCCCCAAAGTGATGAGGTTTCAAAATCAGCACTCAGAAGATTAGGGATGCATGTAGGCAGACAGTGGCCTCTTATTCCTTGGTTGGATGCACACAGCCCCACTCTGGTACTGTTACTAGAGGGTAGCGGGGTGAATTTCAAGGAGAGCTTCCAGAGAGCTCAGGAATATGGCATCTTATCTGTTTTACTCCCCCTCCACTATGGAGAAAAGAAGTTTCTTACCATGTATCTCCTGAAGGCTGGGGTAGACCTGAGCAGAGAGACTGGCGCTCACTTCTGCTATAGAGATTTCTGAGGGTATAAGACCCAATATGCAGTCCATACCAGAAAGACAGACAGACAGTGGTGAGGTGTACCAGGGAGAAGGATGTGGGAAATCCCATCCCTAGAGTTTGGGTTGGGGGCTGGAGGAAGTCCCTAGTATTTTCCATTCTCCCATATAAAAAGACACCAAGGTTAGTGGAAGGAAATAGGCTGCTGTGCTATCCAAGTCACCTCAAGGAGAAGTCGTGGAAACCCCAACTCATGCAAATCTGGAAGTTTCAAAGAGAGACAAGGACCTTTTAGGATACAGTAAATTAGAAGAGTAAGAGTAGAGAAATAGGTTTGTCCAAGAACCAAGTGAGTGATAATCCAGGAAAAGTAGGCTGGAGTCACAAGGTGGGTCACCTGGAATGCCAGTTAAAAGAAGTCATAGAGGTTATGAATAACGTGGAGGTTATGAATAATGTAGAGCCTGTGAAGGTTTGAAGCTAGAGAGTGAGCAGTACTGTAGGAAGGAGGAGTGGGAAGTTAATCAAATATCAAGCAAGAACTTTGCAAGTCCCTGTGAAATGATGTCCTGCTTTCTCTCTCCTCTCCTACTTGTGCCAAAGAAGTTCAGATTGCTAAAGAGAAAGATTATAGGGGTCGGTGTTTTCTGCCTCTTTTTTTTTTTTTAATTCATCAAGTAAGACAAGTGAGTAAATTATCAAAAATCACTCAGCTCACTAACAGAGGGACAGTTCACTCTTTGAACCCATGGTTTTCTTCTCTAACCCCTTGACTTGGGCAGGAGGAAAAGGCATCAGAAAAAGATCTACTTATTTAACGAAAATCCCTAATAAGACACAACTGTATTAACTTTAGGCATTATGTGGTACATTAGATATTTAGACTTGTTCGTCCTATATATCTGCTATTTTGTATCCTCTTGACCTATATCTCCCATTTCCTTTCCCTCCCCTGACCTGTAGTAACCACTGTTTCATTCTGTATCTCTGTGTATTACATCCATTACACAGAGAATGAAACAGTGGTTACTATAGCTATATCAGCTTGAATGTATGGATTATAGTCTACATGTAAGTGAGATCATGCAATATTTTGCTTTCTGTGTCTGGCTAATAAGTAGATTTTACCTGCTTTTGTCAGCTAAAATATGTGAGATGACAGATGTTAATCTGCTTCACAACAGTAACCACTATGCTATCTATATGTTTCTATATATCTATAAGTATCCCATACTTTCGCGTTCTAAACTTTAAATATGCATAATAAAATTTGTTTTTTAAAAATCTATTCAGTTGACAGAAATGGATGTCATTTACAGTGTTCCAAAAGAAAGGATGACAAAAAGAGATTCAGTGCCCCAATAGCAAGAAGACAATAGGTCACCTGCCAAAGCACTGAAGAACTAAGACTAGGGGTGTGGATGACCACTGGGTATGTGAAATGCTACAGAGAGGCGACAGAGAATGAGACCCAGTAAAAGCACATTTCTTTCAGTAGTTAGAGAGGATCACTGGTACATTTGAGAGAGCAGCTGAGTTTTTCCGGAGGAAGACAGATTGAAGGGAAGTAGGTGGTGAAGAATTAAGGCAAAAATTTCTTGAAAGTGTGAGGACAAACACAGCCTGTGTGTGTGGATGTGGAGGTGGGGGGAGGATGTTTCCTTCACTTAATACTGTGGCAATAGAGACATTCTTGTATATTCCATTTCTACCTATACAGTGTGCTTGGAGAGTATCAGCTTGAAAAAGGAAAGTGAAGAATACAATTAAACAAAATAAAGACAAAATAGAAAATAAATGTATTCTAAACGAATAACCCAAAATTTGAACAACTTAATTTTGCAGAAAAATGATGCGATACTTCTCATTTAATTTTTTAAAAATATATGCAAGGTATCATCCCTAAACTAATATTCACTAAATGAATTTAAAATACAACTAAAGTAAAATGAGAGTGGAAGGCATATAAATTAGTAAGTCTTGAAAAGGTGTTTTGGAAAAGGGGAAAAGTAACAATGGTAGGAAATATGTATCATGTAAATTAAAAGAAGCAAAAGGGAATGAAAGTTCGCCCAGGATACAGAACATATTAAAGATACTTTTAAAGCTTATTGCTGTAAGTATACTTTTAAAACTTATTGCTAGAATTTTCCTGAATCCATTTTCTAAACTGTAAAGCAGTTTAGAAAAAAAAGTCCACTTTTTAAAAATGTACCTAGCCAAATATTTTATCTGTAGGAATCAGAGAAATGCCTACACTGAATACGGAAATACATTCACTTCCAGTAACCTAAAAGGGCACATTTAAAGAGGCATAGACCTAAAAAGAAATCTCCAGAAATTATTTTTTACACACCTATTGCTTGAAGAGACTGCTGCATCAAAAGCTGCAACTTACGACTTTTAGAAAACACGCCGCGTGCCTTTCTTGTGGTTCCATATGAAAGAACTGTATCTAGAAAGGACCCTATTTTTATACTTTGCACTATTTGTCCTGAATCCTTTGAAAACTCTCTTGGACAATTTCAAAGATATTGGAGTAACTAAATGTTGGAAAAGATACATTCTTTACATACATACTCAAATATTCATCAGGAAAGGTAAACATCTCACGAGTCCATAAACATTCATGGGTACAAAATGTTTTCATTCACAAGTTTTCATTCAAACTAAATTACCAGTTAAGGCTATTATCTCCTCATACATGTGTTAAATTATCTATTTGTGTTGTACCATCTTTTTGGTTGTTTACTGTTCATGTTCATGACAATTTGAAGTCAATCTAACACTAATAAAACCTTTGATGTAACCTTCTTGGTTTAAGTTACCTCTAGATCTTCTTAAATCCATTTCTTCGCTGAGACGTGAAAATAATTTTATTAGTACAGAAGCTCTCTAATTAAACAGAATGAGATTCAAGTAGTTTATGCAAATGGGTTTTCATCATATGATACCAAATGCAAATTAAAGGGAAAAGTCACCTGAGACAGACATTAATTTTCCCCAAAAGAATTTGACACTACACATATCTACAAAACATATTGACTAAAATTTTCATTTCAGACCTTCAACTTTGTCTAAATGTAATCTTTCGTGCTTTATTAGGGTTGGGCAGGATGTTACAGATATTAATAGTGACATGCTAGGGTTCCTTGTAACACACATTTAACTCTACCTTCTTATAATTACTCATTAATTTGCTATTTCACTTCTTAAAAATATTAAAAAGGGTGTAAAGTTAGAAATTGAATATCCTCTAATGAACAAATCTCCAGTTATTAAATACTCTTAGGAAAGCACCACTTCACAAATAGATGATGTCACATACTGTCCCTGAAATAGTATTCCTTTCAGATGAACAGATAAAAATGGCAACTGATTATGAAATTTTTAGTTAAGGACCTAAATATAATGTCCCTAGTTAGCAAGGAACATGTAACATACCTTCATTTTCCAACATCTTAATTTTTGTACTCTGTGTGGGGGGGGTGGGTGGGTATGTGGGGGTGTATTTTTAGAGGCCTAAATCCTCTCAATCTTTCTGTTTCAATTCTGCCAATTAAAAACAGTAGACACAGCAAATAAATGTAACTGGAAAATTTATATGGAAAAGAATCAGAAACCTCCTATCCATTTCCTATATTAAAATGAGCTTATCAAACCTGCAAAACTTAGGTATTTCATAAAACACTTGATTTTTTTTCTACTAAGATATCCTTACACATCTTACCATAGATATTTCAAGCTAATTTGTATTAGCTGATTTTTTTTTTTCTCTGAGAATATCAGATCATCTCTCAAAGTATTTTTCTCTATGAAACACAGCGGCTGTCTCCATTTAAAGGAAAACACACACATACGCACAGCTAAAGGTTAACTGAAACGTAAGTAGAAATTGCACAAAACAAAATTTGAAGCAAGTTATGACCTCTTTCTCATGTTGTCACCTATTTTCCCCATCCTAAGCTTGAGTTGGCTCCATCTGCCTAATTATAAGCTTAAAACCCTCTGGGTGGTGACTGAGTCTATATTCTGCACTGCACTTAACACATTTTTCATGCTCTATAAATTATTAATAATAACAGTAGTAATAGCATATACTTTTCCTACTATAAAAGAAAATATGAACCTCACAACTGCCACTTATTTACACTCTCTTAAGCCTTCCAGATAACAGACAGCTGGGTAATGGTTACTAAGATGACTTTGCCTCTTCCTTCTATTCCATTTTTAATTCTCCTTAATGTATCTCATTTATGTTTTTCTCTTTCTATATTTTTAATTTATCCCTCTAATTTCTTGACCTCGTATATTTATTCTCTTATTCTGAATGCAAAGCAGCACCAGTATTTTTTAATTTAGCTGCTAAGGAAAATATCTCTATTTGTGTATGTTCAATTGGCATAACGAGTGCACTGAAGTAGTGTTTCTCAACTTTGGTGCTATTGACATTGGGGGCTGCATGATTTGTTATAAGTGCTATTGACATTGGGGCTGTCCTGTGCCTTGCAGGATGTTCAGCAGCACCCCTGACACCCACCCAGTACATGCCAGTAGCACATCCTGCCCCCTATTCTGACAACCAAAAACGTCTCCAAACGTTACCAAATATTCCCTGGGAAACAACTTCCCCACCAGGTGGAGACCCACTGCAATATGGTAAAACTATTCCCTTCACTGTGTCACATTGCTGGAGCTAAGACGGAATAAAGATGTGATAAATATGAAATGGGAATAACAAAAAATCACATAGACACACACACACATATACGCATCCAAAATTATTTTGAATGTGCAATTCAAGCATTTAAAAAGCCTGAAGTTTGGCTCATGCCTGTAATCCCGGCACTTTGCGAGGCCGAGGCAGGCAGATCACAAAGTCAAGAGCTTGAGACCATCCTGGCCAACATGGTGAAACCCCGTCTCTACTAAAAACACAAAAATTAGCTGGGCGTGGTGGCACACGCCTGTAGTCCCAGGCACTCAGGAGACTGAGGCAGGAGAATTGCTTGAACCCAGGAGGCGGAGGTTGCAGTGAGCCGGGATCGCGCCACTGCACTCCAGCCTGGTGGCAGAGCAAGACGCTGTCTCAAAAAAAAAAAAAAAAAAAAAAAAAAAGCATGAAGTTAATACAAGCAAAAATAAGTAAAATTCCAATACTAAGGATTATTTGATGGCTAAAAAATTAGTTCTGCTACTTTACTTATGAAAGCTAACCTGGAAGAGCTCTAAGTAAGGCACTAGCTGTGATTTAAGACCAGTATGTTTTAACATCCAATTAAAATAAATCCTTCTAACAGCACTTTTATAAAATCACTTAGCTTGTTAAAACATATAAAATGTTTGGCTCCCCTGGGCTAGATTATGATTAAGGTACATTCAGAGAGGAAAAAAATGCTTCTCATTTCACAAGGTCACAGTCCATTTCCAAATGAGCTTATACTTCACTATTTTCCAAATTGGGTTGTTTTTTGTATGTGTTTTTTGTTTGTTTGGGGTTTTTTTGCTTCCTTCACTAAACTAGCCAAGGTCCTCCTACTTCTGAGCATTACTGTAAATCTAGATACTGTCAAATAGCATTTAATCTCCAATGAATTTTAAAAGCCTTGTAAATTACAAAAGAAATAACCAGGGTATATTTTTTTTTCCTTTTAAGTTTTCTCTCCTGTGGTCAGTAAATACATGTCAACATCCACCTTCTTTATTTTAAGCACCAATGCAGATAGCATTAAGTGGATGTCGCATACACTTGGGACATATGGGAAGCCTCATGAGATAATGTTTACATGCTTGAGATCCGCAGTTGATTCCACCCGGGTTTGAAATCTGGCTCCCAACCTTTCTCCCCTATGTGTCTTTGAGGATGTTGCCCTCTCTAAGCCTCTAGTTCCTCAAGTGTGAGGGGTGGAAATTTTTGTACCTATTTTATGGAATTGCTATGAAATGGAAATACAAAGGTTTTATCACATATCCTGCAGAGTGAGCTGTATAATAAATGTTGACTATTACAGATTCATTAATCAATAGATGAGCTTCAACGTAAGTATTGTCTCACGCAAAAACCCCACTCCTCCCCCTCCTAAATCTATGTAATCCTGTATTTCTTTATGTCATACCCCCACCTCCAGGTACACACTACACACATATGCACACATACACACACACACACACACAAAAAAAAAAAAAAAAAAAAAAAAACCTCACGCCTGGCAATCCTATTCCCTCCATCACACTCAATACCTCAAGTTCCTATCCAAGACATGATGAAGCCCTGTGCCTCCTTCAACATCATCAAAACATTCCAGTTACTAAGCTTGTGGACCCATCATCTCACGTCGCCTTCAACATCTTAGACAGATCTTATCTCCATCACCTTGTCTCCACCCCTGCCGTCCCCACTCTGATTCAGTCTCTTGCCTTCTACAACCAGGGCAATTTTAGAAGCATTCCAACTTATCTATATTTACAGTAGCATCCCTACTCTGATACACTCTTCATAGTGAAGTCAGAGTATGTTTTCTAAAGAACATATCCCATCATTACTTCCCTCTGTGACATACTGCAATGTGCTCCTGGTCCCTGACCTTCGGGATCAACTCCAACCCTCAGAATCTAACAGGTAAGTCTATTTATGACCTGAGCCCCGTCGTTCTATCCCATTTTGACCAATAGTGAGTGCCTTTCATACAAACCTATACAATAACCACAGCAAACTATCTCCAGGTCCCTGAATAAGTGACATTACTCCTAATACTTTTTTGTATATTAAGACTGTTGCCTGGCATGTAAATCTCCATGCATTTGTTTGCCTAGCTCACTTTCTAGACCTCCTTTAAGCATCACCTTCTTCATGAAGCAGTTTCAGAACCCTCTGAGGCTGAGAGATGCTCCTTCATCTGAATTCCCTTCTTACAACTCCCTAAGCCCACCTTAAGGAGCTTACCCTCCATTATAGTAGCTTTCTCATCTATCACACCCACCAAAATTCACAGCCAAACATTAGCTCATTTTCATTTTTTTTTTTTTTTTTTTTTTTAGATGGAGTTTTGCTGTGTTGTCCAGGCTGTGGTGCAGTGGTGTGATCTCGGCTCACTACAACCTCCGCCGCCCAGGTTCAAGCAATTCTCATGCCCCAGCCTCCTGAGTAGCTGGGATTACAGGTGCCTGCCACCACATCCACTTGATTTTTGTGTGGGTTTCTTTTTTTGTTTTGATTGTTTGTTTTTTGATGGAGTTTCACTCTTGTTGCCCAGGCTGGAGTGCAATGGCGCGATCTCGGCTCACCGCCACCACTGCCTCCTGGGTTCAAGCAATTCTCCTGCCTCAGCCTCCCGAGTAGCTGGGATTACAGGCATGCGCCACCATGCCCAGCTAATTTTTGTATTTTTAGTAGAGACAGGGTTTCTCCATTTTGGTCAAGCTGGTCTCGAACTCCTGACCTCAGGTGATCCACCCGCCTTGGCCTCCCAAAGGGCTGGGACTGCAGGCGTGAGCCACCGTGCCCGGCCCATTGTCATCTATATTTTGTTGTTGTTAAAAAAACGGAGTGCTTGGCACACAGTAGGCACCCAAAATAAGTCTGTAAAAAAGAATGCCTGAATGAAATGAACGAATAAAGTGAATATTAAGGAAATTAATCGTTTCATTTAGTTATAAAAAGCCATAATGGACAAAGACATAATCAAACGGCATTTTTAAATGGCTTGCATACCTAAGATAGCCATAAAGGATGTTGCACTTTAATAAAAAATTAAAGATCTGAAACACAGAACTGATTTTCAGGTTCCACTTAATAATTTCTAAACTGGAAATCTCAACAATCAAAACATGGGAGCCGTAAGGATGCATGCACACATACATTTATCACAGCATTATTCACAATAGCAAAGACACGGAATCAACCTAAATGTTCATCAACAGTAGACAGGATAAATACACTGTGGTATATATACATGAGGAAATACTACCCAGCTATGAAAAAGAATGAGATAATGTCCTTTGCAGTAACACAGATGGAGTGGGAGGCCATTATCCCAAGTGAACTAACACGCAGGAATGGAAAACCAAACACCTCAAGTTCTCACTTATAAACGGGAGCTAAACATTGAGTACACACAAACACAAAGAAGGAAACAAGAGACAACAGGGCCTAATTGAGGGTGGAGGGTGAGGAGGGTGAGGATCAAACAACTACCAATCAGGTATTATCTGAGTGATGAAATAATAAGTACACCAAACTCCCGTGGCACACAATTTATCTATATAGAACCAATCTGCACATGTACCCCTGAAACTAAAATAAAAGTTTTAAAAAATGTGATAGCCAGATTATTATCAGAAACCAGCAAGGCATAAAGTGGAACATCAAGTACCACTTTAATAGCAAAATGTCTGATTTCCCCATGACAATCTGTAGTACTCCCTAAATTATTAACAGACCCAGGCACCACAAGCAGCGGGGACTCACTTGGGAAGCGAGCAACACATTTATTTAGTTCTAAGATTGATGAATCAGAGGAAGGGGAAAGCAGCAGCAGTTATTTTGATCTGTGGGGGGTCTTGGTGCCTTTTGTATCTCAGCCTCTGCTGGTGTTGAGGCTCTTTGTGGGTGCAGGCCTGCAGGCTGCTTGTGTCTCTCTCTCCTGCTATCTCTGCTGACAGCTTCTCTGTGTGACAGCTTGGAATCCCGGCAGTGAAGTGTGAAAATAAAACACAGGCAAAACTTTACATGGGAATTTAAAATTGGAGTTATATTTTTGAAAGTTTTGAACGCATTAAACATCCAGAAAACTGCTTCCTTGTTAGAGCGCACAGGGAAGGAGGAGTGAACAAGGTCAAATCCAATTCAGACATCATTTCACACGAGGCTCCACACCACCCTCACTGTCCTTACGACCCCGGGAGTCCTAGATTAAATGTTCTGAGTCAAGTTAATGTCAACTATTTGACCTTTTCAAAACCACGGTTTTCCAAAAGTTAACATCTACCACATCACACTTATGTTCCTTCTGTTACATGGTTTGCTCTTTTAATAGAAGTTTTAAAAAAACTTTGTCATAATCTAAGGAGATGAGAGAATCTATACTCTCTTGTCTCTTCTTGATTCAGTCTTCTCTCCCCCAGCCCCCTTCACTTTCAGGGCATTCCAGAATTCAAGTTTAACGAGGGCAAAAGACAGTCCTGCCAAAGTCAACAATCAATACTTCTCAATAATAAAGGAAATACAGTATTTTGGCCCATATTTGCTTTCTATAGGATAAGATTCCAAAAGCGAAGAGGAGGATAATTATCAACTCCAATTCCCCAAAACCTTTGT
This sequence comes from Homo sapiens, assembly GCF_000001405.40. Classification (NCBI taxonomy): domain Eukaryota; kingdom Metazoa; phylum Chordata; class Mammalia; order Primates; family Hominidae; genus Homo; species Homo sapiens. Next base: position 8,678,682 of record NC_000009.12, read on the forward strand.
AGTATAAATGTTTCTGAAAGGCACTGTGTTTTGCAATGGTTTGATAGAACAAACTCCCTTATGTATAAAATGACATATTTTTGGCCACAGATACATAAAAACACAGAACACATTTATATCCAGTCTAATAACATAAAATTGATGGCATGGTTTGGAACCTATTCTCTGGATTAAAAGTAGGGTCCAGTAGTAGAAAGGGTGATTTAAACAACCTAAAATAAAATGCTTTGGTAAAGAATAAAATGTTTCATGCAAATATGCATTAATAATACTGTGCCAATAATATCGAGAGCAGTTCATGTCACAATGCAAATCAGAAAAACAATCTCAGGAATTTCTGAGTTAAACAGATGACCCTGTTCGAAGTACATAGAGGGTTGGGATGGAAACCGATAAGAAATGGAAGGTGGTAGTACAGGAATAGCAACCATTAGCCTCAACAGCCTATAAAAAGGATTCCATCTTTAGAGGCAGAAACTAGTCGCTTCCTACTGAATTTCTGGAATCCTAAAATGATGCATTCTCATCTAGCATCATCCCACAACTTCAAAGCAGTTTGTTCATTATCATGCAATTTCAGCAAATCACATCCTCTTGATACGATTTCTGATCTGGAAATTCAGATATTTAAATAACTGTTCTCCAAATTCCTATTTCTAAAACTGCTTCAAAATTCCTAAACTTTCCCACAGTTATGAGAAAAATGTGTGATCCTTGATGGTCATCACTTCATATTCACTGTGATTATCTTTGCTCTCTCAGAGAATGATGTCAGCAAAAGTTTCCTTTCACCACTTGCGGGTATCTATGAAACTACAATTTTACACAGGATGCACTGTCAGACAGCATAGAACGCCTTCAACTCCTGAGGCAATGTTGCTTTCAAATTGCTAAATTATCTTTTAAAAGATTCACCAATTATGTTGCAGGAAAAACACATGTGGTTTAGAATATAAATATTTACAACAGATACTGAGATTCAGAGGTGAAAGAATGAATAGTGATGTGATGTTTTCTCCCAAGAGACATTTGCCATGACTGAGACCACTGCCAAAGAAAGCTTTGTTCTCCATTCCCTCTGTGTTCCTGCCTGCTGAGCTCTTCTTCCACTAGTCATTACAACTACTTCTTTGGATAGCTTATGACTGTTGAGCAAATATGGCATTTGTGCCTTACAAAGCTTTCAATTTAACAAAAATTTCTCAAATGCACAAATGTACTAATTCTAATTACCAATATCTTATATTTCACACTGCATGTCTACTAGAGAAAAGATCAATTGGCCAGAAAGCAAATTAATCTCATTAAAATCCTTAATGTAATCCAGTACAGTAACAAGGAGATTAAATGTAATATTGAAACATTTCTTATAAATCATATTTTATATATTAGATACTATGATTCTTTTGTTTCTACTGCATAATTACACATATATCATTTTGAATAATTTATATTATCTATTTAAAATCTATTTAATTAATCAAGAGAAATAAAGGAAAGAATGAAATTGAAAAGAAAAATTTATCTAAAAGCCGTATGTAAGAAGCAAAAGCGCTAACACTGGAAAACCAATGTTGAAAAGAACCCACAGTTTTCAATGATACCACCTGTTCCTCCTTGAAAGCTAATTAAAATACACCTTAGGAAACATAATTGCCTACAGCTTTAATTACATCTCTTCCAAGAATAAAGGGCTACCACTCCCAGGATATGTTTTCTCACTCAGCTACTGGTGTGTCTTCTCTCGTGTTGAATCTCTTTCTGACATCATAAGTGACTGCCCACCTTTCCATATATGTGCAATCATGAGATTCAAAGCCTGTATCATTTCAGAACCTAGTAAATTCAATAGCAATTTTATATTTATACCTATCTCTACATTGAGTATATATACACACAAACATAATGTACGTACATCTATATACTATATATGATATTAAATATACACACACAGCTACAATTATACTACCTAGCAAAATACAGATACTATATAAATACATAAACACACATACACACATAAATACATACAAATATGCCTATACTTCTATATCTATGTCTTTCCATTACCAGAACAAATTATGATATGCATCTGTTGGCAAATACATTGTTTGACATTCAGAACTAATTTTCCACTGGAAACAATGTCCCAGACTAGCCCATGGCAGGCTTACAAATCCAACATGTAGTCGAATGATTGGCCTCACGGGACTGATTTGAGTTTCAGGGCCCTGGAAGAAGATATGCTGTGAAAGCAGCAGCAACACAATGGAGGATAGGAAAGGGAAGAGGAGAAAGAACACATTTTCCTATATTTCCTAGGTTCAAAAATTTGAAACAGTCACTTTTTGGTATTCCTCCTCTCCCTTCCTTCACCTATCTCCTGACTTTGTTAGTGCCCTCAAGTGTCCTCCACATTCTGCCTGTGGCCCTCTACCAAGGTTACGTCATTCCCAATCACGCCTCATGCCAACACATCCACAGCTTCCCTGATCAATCATCCATAGACGCAGACACTCAGTGTAGATGAACTCTTTTAGATGTTAGAAATCAGTTTTTAGTTAATGGTAAAGTCCGTATAACCAAAGCAAACACATTTTATTTACATGTTTGTTTCTTAAAGAACATGCTTACTAATGCAAATAAGAAACTGAGAGAACTATAGCTAGCGAAGAAAAAAAAAGAAAGAAAAAGAGAGGGCATAGATGCAGTGGGTTACAGTTTTACATATTTTGGAACAGGCTAGTTTGAAGCAACAGTTTAACCAAGAAGCTGCTAGAACTTGAGATAATTCTGTTATTCCCAGCCTTCTCTTTTTCCACTGAGAGAAGCACCATGTCTTTAAAAGCTTTTGTCCCTCAATCTGTACCTCCTCCCCATCTCCATACACACACGTATCTAGACTGCTTAGGAGAAGCTTCTCCAACCAAGATCAGGTTAGCAGCAGAAGAAAGTGGTGGTGCAAAGCCGCCAGCCCTGAACGATGTGCATGCGTCATATAGACAAGTTGCTTTTGTAGAGATACCCCACTGCAAACATTCTTTTAAAGATGACCTGAAAATTCCCATCCTTGAATATAAATTCATTTCTCCACTGTCATTATTGTTTCTAGCAAACTACTTAATATAAAAAGCAACTACAGCAATAAGAATTCAGTGATTGCCCTTCCCCACTTAAAATACATAATATCTACTGTTTTCATTATTACATTCTTGGAAACCAGTACATTACTTCAGCTCTAAAAGGTGCTGAACAACCGACTACGGTAGGAGAAGACAATGGAAATCTCCAAAAAGTTCTACAAACATTTCCCACAAAACATGCAAGGATTTTTTTTAAACCCTTAAATATGAAAAATCACTTCATAGCCCACATTTATGAACATATGTACGTAAAAAATTCAATGAGACAGCAAAATAGCGATATAGACACCTTTGTCATTCAGTACAAGCTAACCACACAATGTGCAGAATGTATGTGACTCATCAAAACATAATAAAAATGCATTATGCATTAGGTAAACAACAAATAGTGTTTTTGCACGAGAGAAGTCTAAATAAGAATGTAAATTTATTTATTAAACCTCTTCAATGAGACTTCGACTCCTACCGGGATATACCCATTCTTAGCATGACAAACAAAAACTAACAACAGGAGTTCCCAGGGAGGAAGCCTGAACTTGGGCTTTAAATAATTAACACCTTTCAAAGAAAACATAAATGTTTGGGGGGATACATATCCAAATTACACCAATATCACACGTACCCCCAAAATATGTACTATGTCAATAAGAAATAAATTAAAAACCCCTGTGGTACACAACATATACATTTTTGCAATTAAAAAGAAAACTATATGAAATTATAAAAAACATTTAAAAATAATTAACACCCTTTTTTCCCTTAATTTATGCCTATGGCAATTTGTTGTTAGCAGTTAAGCCAAAATGTTATCCTAGTGTAGCAGGTGATGTACAAAGCTCTTTCTTAAAACATTGAACAGAACATCACATTTAAGGAAAATTAAGGAGGCTGAAATGGGGGAGGTCTGAGTATATTTTCATTAAATATCAAAGATTTAGTAATACTAATTACATGTTTTCTTCCCACTCAGTTAAGTGTATAAAACAGATATTCACTATTTTAGCTCTTCTAATGTAGGCCTATCATAGGTTTTTGCTGTTCCTTTCTGAGTTGTTGTTTATTTTTTTGTAAGCGAGTTTCTGCTGTTGCTATTTTGTTTTCAGTATTTGTTTCAAGCATTCAAGACTATGACTTGCAGGTTTCCCAAAAAAAGTGTCTAAAGGCTTTTAAACCTGGGTTCTAGAGAGATGAGTTTTAACAATAACTCCAACAGTTACCTTAATCACTGCCTTAATAGGTCCACATGATTTTCCACATCTTAACTTTTGTAAGAGGAATATAAAAAAAGAGCAGCAGGCTTGGAAGAAAAGGTGGATCTGGCTTAAGAAGGCATACCACTTTTGAGTGCCACACACAAAGCTGTATTTTCTGCATGTGCTGTGGTGTCTCTCTGAAGGAATTCTCTTCAAATCTGACTTTGCATTCATGATTTGACTGTCAGGTTTGAAAGCAAAATTTATGAAAACATAGGGAGAATATAAGACCCTAAAAGTTAAGCTTCTTTGAAAAATGTTAATTCATAACTTGGATAAGCCTCTCTCTTTCATGGAGACACTCCTTTCTCAAAAAAAAAAAAAAAAGTGTATACATAAGTGAGAGAGAGAGAAAAGGAAATTACAGAGGACATCAGTTGTTTGCAAACAGTTCACTTTTTTCAGGCTGGTTTTAATAAGCCTCCAATTCAGCTCCAACCTGACTCTCAGAACCCACCTCCTCTATATGTCATCAAGGAAAAGGAGGAAGAAATAAAATTTAAAAGTCCTTCTTGCCAGTCCTATGGCAGGTCATATTTTCCAAAGATGCACATATCTCACGCCATAAGGTCTCCTTCCACTAGCAGTGGGGAGTCTATTCCCTCCATTTGAATCTGGGCACAGGGTTGTGACAGCACTGGCCATAGAGTATGCTGGAAGTGATGCTATGTGAGTTCCCAGCTAAGTCGCAAGGAGACACGGCTTCTGCCGACTCTCCTTCTGGCAGTCTTCATTCTGCCTTCTTCCCTTTTCTTCCCCGACCAGAACCAGGAGTCCTGGGCTAAGACGTAAGGGTTCCAACTACTCCGAAGCTGCCATGCTAGAGAGAACTCATCAGGAGACCAAATACAGACAGAAAGGGAGGTGTCTGAGGAGTCCTAACTGTACCAGCAGCGAATGTTCAAGAGGTCCCAACATCAACCAGTGGGCTTGTGAGTAGGTAAGGTCAGAAGACTCCAGCTACCCACCCCTCCTTAGAGTCTTCTCATTGCAGCTAAGATATGGTGGAGCAGCGAAAAGTCATCTCTGCTGCGCCCTATCTGAATTACTAACCTATAGAAATCTGTGATAGTAACAGATGTCTTTTTATAAGCTACCAACGTTTTGTGTCATGTATTATACACATACAGAAGCTGAAACACTCCCAATGTGATTGCCAGCAAACCCAATTCTCTGCAAAATAAAAACAAGTATTATGTCCCAAGAACTATATTTTGTATATCATCACTTCTCCTCACAATGATTTTGTAAGCCATCTCTATTTTACAAATGAGCAATACTGGGCTGGGAGAAGCTAATAAGGTGCTCAATGTCACACAGCTGACAAGTGAACCAAGATTGGAACCCAAGTCCCTCTGACTGCAAACCCCATGATACTCCTCTTTCCTTCAATGATATCCCTCTTTCTTTCCCCTACAAGTTCACACTGCAGAGGAAATCATGTGACTAAGGTCTCAGTTATAGTACTGGGCTCAGTAAAACTAGCCTCACTCATTTCTTCCTTTCCAACTAACCTACACTGAATCCTATCATTTACAGACTAATACACAAATTATAGTAATTTCTATATATGTTGAAAAATAATAAAAGAATGAGGGAGCTATGTTAAGATTGATTAACAGGAAACTATTTACAAGAAGACACCTATTTAGAACAATATTAAGGGTGCCTGCTGTGTTTTGATTTTAAGGGTTACAGATTGCACTTTGACAAAAGTGCTTCTACGAATTATAATTATATTCATTTACTTCCCAATGAATATTTTCATTCAAAGGATTTTACTGCTCTCTGTGGGCATATGATTAATATGCATGTGCTCAAACAATATTCACAAACTTCACAATCCTAGAGAGAGAAAAAACAGTGATCAGCTTTCCCCAGTCCGAGTAAATTGCTTTGAGTGAATTTCTGCACCTGTAAAGATGCTCTTCTGGGGATGGGCTGTGTTTGCATCCGGGGCTGGATGTCAAGATGCCCTTCTGTCCTGATATTTTTCAAGGGCAACAGCATTACATTGTTATTCCAATGGACAGAGCTCATAAAAAGACATCCTTATATTCTGGAGCCTTTAGGAGAAAGCTTTTCTTTGGCAGTGAATGAAAACAAAGGCAAAAGATGAAAGGAACCATCTTTCAAAGGAAACAAAAAGGCCTCTACAAAGAAGTGCATAAATGTAGAAAGCAGAAAAAAAAAAAAGGTACATTATATTTGGCGTGAGAGTAGAGACAAAGCAAGGCCCAATGGAGCAATACTCTTTCTTTACAAATACTGTCAGAATTTTGGGGAAAAAAAAATCATTTTTGAAGGTTCCAGGAACAAAACCAACAGACGAGAGCTTAAAATATACACAGCCACAATGTTTCCATTTTGTTGGAGTTTCAGAAGAACTCCTGTGGGCAAACGCTGCATGTAAAACAGACTGGGTGTGATGTAACTATATCAAGGCAACAAACACATCAGGAACAGTTGGAAACCAGCCAATACTTTGGTTTTATATAATGTCCATCAACTGGTTGGGCTGATTTTTTACCATAAATGGCCTGTTTTAAAACTGACTGAACAGTGGACTTGAATAAATAGTGTACCAAACTAACACCATAGAGAAATATACAGAATCAAAGGTGTTCAAGAATGTCAAGCAACAGCACAGCCACAGAAGAGGTACAGGCCGATATTAATAAACCAAATCTAATCACATTTTCATTTTCCGACTGAAATCTTTCCCAAAGCAGTACCTTTACATACAGTGCTTTTTGTTAAAAATAAATAAATAAAAATAAAATGCCAAACGAGCACTAGGCTCCTCTTTATTATGTCTTTAAAAATAAAAGACTCAAGCCAGATTGGACAGTTTTCTTTGAAATTCTAGTTTCAGCTGCTTTCAGCGGCTCATTTTGAGAAACATCTGTCCAGTCTGGCTCTTGGGGAGATGTTCAAAGACAAGTGTTCTCATCTGAATGCTAAGGGACTCTCCTAAGGGAGTCAACAGTCCTCTGAAAGCAAGCAGAAACTATCAAAACATCTATAACCCTTGAACTTCTTTATCAAGTTCAGTGCACAGCGTACAATATGACTCAATTTCATCTTTAGTAAAAAATAAAGTTTGTCTGCTTCACTGCCACCTTTAAGACATCATGTTGTTTTCATATTAAAAACTTAAAATATTCAGTGACCAATTAATTTGGAGGCAAAATTGGCCAAGTATAAAGTTATGCAGGGGAGAATTCAGATTTGAACACAGCTAACTTGGAATCTGAGTTCATGTACAACATATGTATATACAAACCCACATGTTGCATTTGTGAATGTAGGCACAGAGTGAAAATTCTCCATGTTTAGGTCCACAACACAGAGCCATGTCACGAAGAATTAACACATGTTCTAATTCTCACCAGAAGTGATCCAAATAGGTTAATGAACACCTCCTACATTTCAGATATAATAATATACATTGTCACAACAATTTCATAAAGTAGGTAATAGCTCCATTTTAGAAATAAGTGAAGGGGGGTCAAACAAGCCAAAAATGTGTCCATGTTCACATAGTTGCAACTGGCAAAGCTAGGATCGGAACCAGAGTTATTTTGACTAAGAGGTCCAGAAACTTGGCTCTACCAAGCCACCATCCAAGTAGAAGGTTACCAAATACCAAAATGAGGAAATGGTAAAATATTATCCATGAGTCACTGAAACTACATAATAAAAAGGAAGCCAAAATAAGTTTTGACGCATTTAAAGCTAACTCTCTAAGGCATGGGTTAAAAGTTGAAAGCTAGCTATCAGAAGTTTAATTTTATATTCTCTCAAGTAAGAGAACCAAACAAAAGTAGATCAACCAGACCAAACTTTTAAAACACTTTAACTTCTCTATGAAGCTAATGTGTAAGATATGGTATTTCCCCCGGGGGAGAAGAGCCTGTGTAACATTGCTTTTCACTCTCATGATTGAAAGAAAAATCAATTAAAATTATCCTGGGAGACCTTTCATACCATTCCAAAGAGCCAAGAAAATGCTGGATACATTCTGAATGCAGCAAACACTAGACTCTCCTAAAAAATATTCCACATATATTGTTTGCTAAATCAAATTCAGTCCTTAGATTTTACAGGTTTAAGAGAATCTCTGGAATACATGGCAGAAATCAGAAAAAAAAACAAGCTTATCCTACATTTGGTTTCAAAGCGCTTTCTTTCAAGATCTCCCAATTTTTCTATGTTAAAATTTGTGATGGCTTCTCTCAAAACTCTGCCAGAAATTTATGAGGAATGAAAAAACTCTTCTAACAGATTCAGAAATAAAACTATGGCATTTTCAAAGGAAAACCAATATGAATGCCTTTTAAATAAAGTTTGGTAAGGACAACACAAACCGTATGTTCCAGGTATGTGATGTGAACCACATGGTCTGTGAGGCTTCTTGCACTTGATATGCTCCTCCTAAGGTGCCAACATCAACAAACAACAATGTGTACTGTGACTGAAGTTACAGCCAAGGTCGGATGGAAGTGTGGGCTCTGTTAGCCTTGATCTAATTTTTTAATGTCAAGCAAGAAAACTGACATTTTGGGGTACAATATTGCTATCCAAAGCAAATATGTGGAATGGAAAAAAGGCAAATATTAAATTCTGAAGTAAACAAAATAAGAGGTCCTTAGGTAAAATAAGAGTTTTTTTTTTTTTCTCAACTAGTCTCCTTTTCTCAGAGTAAGTTTCACATTTTATATACTACTCATATTCCCTGAGAACTTTACGTACATCAGTGTCTACATTTGGAGATGATGAGGTTATTTGATTTAAAATTGAGAGGCCTTGGTTCAAATCTTTGTCTTTGATAATCTATATGTATAATGTCCCAAATAATCAGAAAAATAAACAATTGAGTTATATCACTTTTACAGTTTTTTGAAATTCTGAATGCCTACAAAATTATTCTTTATTACAATAAAAAGTTCGCTATATAATGACAATATGAGAGTTATGTGGCTTAAAACAATTTTTATTTGCATAAATAGTCATCCTAGTCCACTTACTTGGCGAGTGATCAGTAATTTACAATGCTGAATAAATGTATCGTTTTCATAAGGGACAGATGTATTTTTATTTTTCCTTCTTATCCTTCTCATTTCCCTTATCCCATTATTCTTTCAGTACATAAGATCAAATGATGAATACACTGAGTTATCCAGATGTGGTTCAAAAAGGAAAAATATAGCCAGGCGTGGTGGCTGACGCCTGTAATCCCAGCGCTTTGGGAGGCCAAGGCGGGCGGATCACAAGTTCAGGAGATCGAGACTATCCTAGCTAACATGGTGAAACCCCGTCTCTACTAAAAATACCAAAATTAGCCGGGCGTGGTGGTGGGCGCCTGTAGTCCCAGCTACTCAGGAGGCTGAGGGAGGAGAATGGCATGAACCCAGGAGGCAGAGCTTGCAGTGAGCCGAGATCGCACCACTGCGCTCCAGCCTGGGCGATAGAGCGAGACTCTGTCTCAAAAAAAAAAAAAAAGAAAAAAATATATATAAGATGGTATCTGGATAGCAATAAGTTATAAAAAAAGAAAGTTATGTAAGAAGAAAAACATTTAGTAAACACGTATTCTTCAGGTTTCTTATTCATAACACACAGGCCATAATAACCCTTGCAATGGATACATTCTTTTTGTAGAACACCAAGCTATCCATCCATAGTCAAATGAGGTTATAGGAGATTTACCAAAAAATATACATCAAACTACATTCAGTCTCAATTTTCTCATCCATGAAAAACGAATGGTTTTATCCAAATAATCTCTAAAGTCCCTTGCAGGCCTATGACTTTATCACTCTAAACATCTATGCCTGTATTCATATCATTAGTACCATCAACACACATGAATGCATTTGAAGAATGTTCTAAATTTTATAAATCAGGGCATGAGAAACTAATACAGGGGCAAAAAAGAGGCTCTTCAAAATTATGGATTAGAAGCAGGATGGATTCATTAATGTTTTTAATTTCACTCCTCCTGAGAAATGGAGATGTCTAAATCAGGCTGGGCAATCACTAAAGTGACTCTGAGAATCATCCTTACAAAAAAACTTTCTTGTTAAAATACAGCAATATGATTCCACCTCTAATTGATACCAATATCATTATTAAAAAATAAAAATAAAAAATAAACTGTGTGGATAGAAAGATGAAAACAAAATCAGAGTAAGAGTATATGACTACAGAGAAGGGAATATTTTCCCTCTGTACTAATTAGTTCATTTCTTGCTACCTGAAGACTTACTGGGTTAATCTGTGGCACCACAGTGTAGTAGTGTTTTTACACTGCTGATGAAGACACACCCAAGACTGGGAAGAAAAAGAGGTTTAACTGGACTTATAATTCCACATGGCTGGGAAGGCCTCAGAATCATGGTAGGAGGTGAAATGCACTTCTTACATGGTGGCGGTAAAAGAAAATAAGGAAGAGGCAAAAGTGGGAATCCCTGATAATACCGTCAGATCTCGTAATACGTATTCACTACCATGAGAATAGTATGGGGAAACCACCCCCATGATTCAAATTATCTCCCATTGGGTCCCTCCCTCACACATGGGAATTATAGGAGTACAATTCAAGATGAGATTTGGGTGGGGACACAGCCAAACCATATCACACAGGATGTAATATCCTATTTGGTTCATCTCTTCTTTAGAATATTACTGTTTTTCTACACTTTGAGTGAAGAGGGAATACTTATTTGGATAGAATATTTAAAATTTGGGCCAGGCACAGTGGTTCATGCCTGTAATCCCAGCACTTTGGAAGGCAAAGGCTTGTGGATCAACTGAGGTTAGGAGTTCAAGACCAGCCTAGCCAACATGATGAAACTCCCATCTCTACTAAAAATAAAAAATTAGCTGGGCACAGTGGCATGTGCCTGTAGTCCCAGCTACTCAGGATGCTGAGGCAGGAGAATTGCTTAAGCCCAGGAGGGGGAGGTTGCAGTAAGCCAAGATTGTACCACTACACTTCAGCCTAGGAGTTACAGCGAGACTCCATCTTAAAAAAAAAAAAAAAAGAAAAATTAAAAAAATTCCTCTCCTAACAATTCTAACTCCTTCTGCAACAAAGTCACAAAGGTAGGATATTTTTTCACATATATGACTTTACATAATTTTCTTCTTTAAAATATTTAGATTTGGCCGGGTGCGGAGGCTTGTGTCTGCAGTCCCAGCACTTTGGGAGGTCGAGGCGGGCAGATCACAAGGTCAGGACATGGAGACCATCCTGGATAACGCAGTGAAAAGCTGTCTCTACTAAAAATATAAAAAATTAGCCGGGCATGGTGGTGGGTGCCTGTAGTCCCAGCTACTTGGGAGGCTGAGGCAGGAGAACGGCATGAACCACCAGGAGGGAGAGCTTGCACTGAGCCAAGATTGCACCACTGCACTCCAGTCTGGGCGACAGAGCAAGACTCCGTCTCAAAAAAAAAAAAAAAATTAGATTTAATCATATGGTCAGTAATTTATCCATAGGGGCTAATTTTATTCAAGAGAACACAATATGTTTCTCATAAAATGGAGCAAAATGCCCAAAACGATGTTAAAATTAAGAAAGAAGATAGTAGGTAACTGACAGAGGGGGGAGAATGAAAAACAAAAAATGTAGAGAAAAGACATAAAAAATATTAATTTCACAATAGTGAAATCTACTCTTAGTGAAAACTAAGAAAACTCTTTTAGCAACTTAAAAATATACAGGACATTACTTAATTTCAATTTTCAAAATATGCCAAAGGACTTTGAATATTCAAGTACCTAGACCTCCCTTTTAACAGACAATTTTAATCTTGAATATTAAGCAGACTTAATAATTAAGTGGAAAAATGGATTTGACTGGGGCATTTCTGTCTTTTCCTCCATCAAGGGAGGTATTAGTAAATTTCACAAAAGTAAGCCTCTGAGAACATGTGAAAGAAAAAATTATCTTTCTCTCCTAAGAGTTCAGAATGGAAAACAATTTGTAAACTAAGAATGAGAAGAAAGGAGTTCAAAAAAATAATGAAATGGCTTTTGACAAAACTATTCCTCGTGGCCACATCCCCGAATATTCCCCATGGCCACTGTTCTAAAATATGTACTAACTCATTTGATTCGAGAAGGACCTAAGGGAGAAGAGAAAAAAAAAGAAATGACATTTTGATTAAAGAGGTCGTTTATCCAAACATATGCGTATCCACTATTGGTTTCTTCCTCTCCATCCTACTGTGCTGCCTCCAAGGGAAACAATTTCTGAGGAGAGTGTCTACAGTACCATGTTCAGAAGGATTCTGAGGCTGTTCTTCTCTAGAGAAAAAAAAAAAAAAATAGAAGAGTGCTATTATCAAATAGTAATGTCTGTTTTGAACAAGGGATAAAGAGAGTAGCAGCAACATACAAAGGAGAAAAAAAAAATGAACAAACCTCTCCTGGTTGGTCAGAATCTCTATAAATCTTGAAATTTCACAAGTCTTTTGAAACCTTCATTACATAAGAATTCTATTGGATTTGAAGGTGATTTGCCTGAATATACTTATTGGTACAAACAGCATTCTGAATTATCCTTTGAGGTTGTAAAATAGTAACCAGATTCCAAGAGGCCAAACAATTTTTACCTCAGTACTTGCCAGCTTTCTTAAAATACGTTGGTTATGACTTCCTTTCACATTTTCAATGTGATGTGATCAAATCCTCCTGTAATCTAAACTAACTTTATACCAAAAGCAACTTTATGCAACTTTATTTTATTCCTTCATATTAGTCCCATCTCACACCAAGTATATACTGGCTTGCATTTCAACAACAAAAGTCTTGAAATAGTGCCATTCAACTCATAATCATGTTGGTTTTTCCTTCATACCTCCTATTTCTATCATTCTATTGCATACTCACTGGGTTCAGAACTGAGGGCATCTACTTCCTGGATTTTTACTATTCTCCCTTTGGAAAATTCCGACTCTGATGGTCTCTAAAATTCCTTCTTCTCTTTTTGATCATATTTCCTTCTTCAGACTCTCAAACAGCTTTGCATTAATTTATAAATAAAAGATTTTCACTTACATAGATTAGTAATAAAAAATAATGAAAATAAACTAAGTAAAGAGCCAGCAGGTGGATTAGAGAAGGCTGACTGCTGTTATAAACAGTCTACCATCTCAGTAGCTGAACACAATAACATTAATTGTTTCATTCATGTCACAATTTAATGTGAATTGTACGGAGGCTTTGCTCCATGTAGACTTAAAGACTCAGTTTCTTCCATCTAGTGGTTCTATCATCTCTTCCTGGAATCTTCCATTGGACCTCCTGTCTTCAGAAGCCACCTCCATTCTTAAAACAGCTTAGCCTAGAGGTGGCACCACTCACTTCCACATCATTTCCAATCACATCCCATTAACCATTGCCTCATCTTTCCTAGCTGAGAATTTGATTTAATGATGTGCTCTTGAAAATAAAGAACGTATTAGTGAACACTAGCAATCTCTACCATAGGAAAGCTACTTTGATTTCCAAGAAAATGGCATATTGAAATTAGCCCTATCTGTCTCAAAAAGCTGTCATGAAAATCAAGTAAGTCAGGAACGTGAAATACTTTTAAAATTGTTAAGTGCTGTGTAATGATATGGCACACTGACCTACGCCTCCTTTTGATACCTTCACTTCTATACTTCCACAAAAGATTATTTTCCAGACTTTTAAGAACCCCCAAATTCATAAATTTTCAAAAAGAAACACAGTTTTTAACATGTGTCAAGAGTTACTGTCAACTTAATCCACAAGACAATAGAATAAACCTAAATCAAAACATCAATGTTTGGCAGTAAACTAAATTCACTACTCAGTTTTGGGTTCCATTCATCACACCAGGCTTAACGCCAGTGTGATTCAAATCCAAGCTCCAAAGATTAGCAAAATGTATACAGACTGCATGTCCTGACACTCTGAGGTATGTTATTAAAAACAGTCAAAATTGTAAATGGTAACTCTATGATTGTTAGGCCTATGTGGTATTATGCGCCGGGAGTTTTGGGGATACTTGCTCGTGTCCTTTGCACCTGAAGGTTGAAGGTAAGTTTCACAGTTTTTTCCACTGTCTCTCAGTCCACCACCACAACTCCCACCTATACTTTTCAAGCAGCTCTGTAAATCCTGTCTACTTCCTGAAACCTTACTCAGTTGAGTAGTGGAACACCTCATCTTCTTGTCTCCTATGGACTTGAAAGAAACTCCCACACGGGATCATTCACTTTCCTCTCATGACAAACATATCCTTCTTCTCCATGTTGACGTACGCCAATGAAAATAAACTGGGATATCAGAGAAAACATGGAAAGAAACTGTATCCTAGCAACTCATGGCCAAATATAGGCATTAAGGTGCTTAAATTATTAGCATTCACTATGTTTTTTCATTTCCCTAAAGTCTTATTCTTTGCAAGCACTTTATCAGTACTTAGAAAATAAGGTGGTTAAGCTTCCTCCAGGAGCTCATATTCTACGAGGGGTGTACATCAATCAACTGTCCATATTCGATGTAAGTGACAGAAGTCTGAGAAATCGCTCTCTGGTTACGAGGAAATGTAGCGTGTTAATCAAGGTAAGTGAGCTGTTTCTACAGAGCAAGTCCTGAAACTGCTTTGCATACATTTGCATGTTCATTGCTCTGAGAAGTCCCATAGTAAAAGCAAAGCAAAGCTGAGAAAACAACACCTACACACACAAAACACTTCCACAACAAAACAAGCCAACAGAACAACTTGCGTTGCTTGAATGTATTTTTGTAGGGTGACTTTTTTCTCTATAGACTTGTTAATAGCCCTCAGATTTTCCTAAATGCTAGATTGAGAAGCACTGAAAGATGCAGATGTTTTAATAATTTAAAAGTAGATAATTTTTACTTTACAAAAGCATTGGAAATCTCAAAAGAAAAGTCTGTGTCATTAATATTCAAATGCTTGTACGTTTAAGTCTTCTTGTAAATAATCAGGTAAATCTCTGAATATCTTACCTAGATGTGAAAACATGATTTAACAATGGATAGTGATGGGATGTATTTTAAATAAGAGAATATATTTAAATGCAGAGCTAATAAATTTTTAAATCTGAATGAAATAAATAATTTTCTGGGAATTATATAAATTACTTCTTTTGCCTCAAGAAGGAATGGGAGATATGAATAGAAAATAGCCATGGGAGAGAAATTTTAAAAGTTGTAATTTTTTTTTTCATGTTTAGCAAAAGGAAGCAGAATCCATAGAGGTATCCAATTTAGAGAAGCCTCTAACCCCAAAACAAATGCATACTGATAACATTCATACAAACAACACTTCTACAATAAAAGTCTGATGGAAAACATGATTTGTAATCGGTCCCACTGAAATAGAAATGTTCAGGGATTTGGTATTTTCCATAGAAAAGTTAAATGTATAAGAAAAATATGTTTAGGTAGGATCTAAACATGCTCACCAGCAGAAGATAAAAATGACAAACAACAATACATTTTATTCAGGATTAAAAACACTTGTTTTCTGCATATGCCAAGGAAACTTACTTGCTTGTGCTTAGACATTTTTACCCACATTCAGAAAATGAAGCAAAATTCACAAATTCAATTCATAATTTCTTTTTAAGCTGCATATAATAAATACCTATTATTCATGGGTGTTGGCAAATCTGTATACTACCTATTTTTTTTTCTATGTTTAGCCTTCGGAGCTGCTTAAATCTTAAAATATGTACCTTCTTTGTTGTTCTCTTTCTTACTGTGGAGCCCCATGGCTTGGAACTGTAAGCACTGCTACAGTCCCAAACAATTCTTTACTTGACCCAACAAACATATCCGTCAAAATATTTTGGGCTATAGATAACAGAACATCCTACTAAAAGTGGTTTAAAAAATAAGGACATCATTCTGTCACATAAAACCTGAGGGAGGGTGATTTATTCAGCTACTCAATAGCAGCTCAATCGCTCAGTCTTTTCCCATCCGTCTGTCCCCTCTGCCTTTCTCATTGTGCTGGTTTGTCTCCTTAGACTGGTTCCTCTCATGATCCCTACAGGCCTGCAGCAGCTCTAAACACCACATACAGAGGAAATATTCAAGAACAGAAAAGGAAACATCTTTGTCTTGGTGCCAATCTTGTGAGTAAATAAACCCTTCTCAAAAACTCCCCAGTGTATTTGCTCTAAATTTTCATTCACCAGGATTGAATCACATGGCCATGTTTAAGTGCATCACTTAGCAGGAAACTGAGACCACTTCACTTTTTTCAACCAGTAAGATTTGCCACTTAGGAGCCAGCCCCACCCCCGCACCCCCACCCACTGGCATACACAGCAGGTTACTATAGAATGAGAGTAGATAAAATCTGGGTCAATGTTATAGGCAAGCAAGAAGGAAGCGTCTAACAGGCAAACAACAATGTCTGTCAATAGTCTGTTTATATGCCCAGACACTATCAGATACCAATTTATATTCCAAGGAGTCATTCTCATTGGTAGGTAAGTTGCATAAATGATTATATATAATTTTTGAGTAAGTGATAAACATTTTATTCTATTTTCTCATCTATATATCAAAGCTACTATAGCTGAACTTCATAGAATCACAAAATTCTAAGGCAGAAGCTCCTAGAAAATTAATAAACTGATCTATGATAAATCAAATCATATTTTAAATTTCCTAGGGATGCTCCCTACTTAAGAAAGCCTTCAACTGAAGTTTGCTTTCACTTTGTTTTAGCATATCCAGTTTTCTTAAGTTGGAAATTACTGTAAGTAAATGTGAGAGTGGTACACGCACAATCATTTGCTTTCTCTCTATTCTCAGATTATCTTGTTGGACTTTTAACCCAACCACCTGCTCCAAACCAAAATCTAGATCAAAATAAATGTTATTGACTCCTTACCCTATATAGGATTTCTATTTGATTGCTCAGAAACTCCAGTATGACACCTGACATAAGAGAGTAAAAGCACAACCCAAGAGGCGCTCCAGAAACTGGATCAGCAGAGACATCTTCAGAGGCAGCAGACCTCAGCTGGGTTGAGGACCAAACACCACCTTCACGTTATGTTTTTCAAGGTAACAACACAACACAACAGAGAGAAGAGGACACGGGATGGGAAACCAAGAGGGCTGGCCTCTACCATTCTTGCTTTCCAACAGATTTTCTGTGGCAAGGCTCTTTCCCTTATCTTGCAGATGAAGGAGTAAATCATCTTCAGTGAAATTCAGCTCTCTCCCATTAACTCATTGATTTATTCACTTAACTATCAAATGTTTATTGAACACCTACTTGCACTAAACTCTACATTAAATTCTAGATGTGTGGAGGAAAACAGTTAAAGTCCCTCCAGTCTTGGGGTGGGGGGACAAGTAATCACTGAGCAATCCAGATGGGACGTGTTATGAATTAGATAAACTTGGTGATTAGCAGAAGGAAGTAGAGGAGAGAGGTCCATTTAGAGTGGTCAGGAAAGGCATCACAGAAGAGGGGGCAGGGGAGAAAGATGAGTTAGGTTAGACGGAGAAAGAATTACAAGAACAGGGAAGACAATGGATGAAAATGTCAAGAGAATTAAAATGTCGTGAGCTAACAGGGTCTGACATAAGATGACGGCAGAGAGGAATGCAGAAGCTAGGTCAACCAACGGCCTTGTAAGCCAAGATAAGGAGTTTTTACTTCATTCCAAGTTAAATTGATACATTTTAAATCCACATAAATTGCTTATGCTGTAGAAGGTTCTGAGAACTGTAAAAACCGTTCCCTTTCTTAGTATTCCTGCCAGAATTGTCGACAAACATCACAGCTACACAGAGGTGCACAGAAGAAAGAGATGATACCTTGAACTTTCCAATAACGGTTTCTTCATTTTAGTTTTCTCTTTCTTTTAAAAAATCAAATGGGTTACAAAATGCTTGCGGAAGCGTGAGAACAACAGTAACAGTTTCTGCCTAGAAGAATCCTATTTTTGCTTCCACTAAATAAGCACAAGTCTGTTGTCTAGTATTTGGCTTTTGGACAAAACATAAGAGTCAGAAAATCACGACCATGGAACTAGGGTCAAAATTAAGTAGTTGATTGGAAATAAAAGAATAAATCTAATTTCTGAGGACTGACTATACGTAGGGAAGGGAAAAGGGAGAAAAGGGCTTTTACATTCCCTTCATGTACCATCCTCAGCTTAATAGCCAGAGAAATCTAGAGGCCCAATGAGATGGATCATGGGGCTCTTTAAATATATTTTAAAGCATTCTTTTCCTGGTGGAATTTTCAGATTGTAAGTTTGTTGTTGATTTGGGATTTTTTATTATTTATTTATTTTTATGTACTTTTTTTTTTTTTTTTTTTTTTTGAGACAGAATTTTGCCCTGTCACCTAGGCTGGAGTGCAGTGGTGTGATCTTGGCTCACTGCAATCCCCACCTCCCAGGTTCAAGCAATGCTCCTGCCTCAGCCTCCTGAGTAGCTGGACTTACAGGTGCCCGCCACCACACCCGGCTAATTTTCGTATTTTTAGTAGAGATGAGTTTTCACCATGTTGGCCAGGCTAGTCTCGAACTCCTGACCTCAAGTAATCCACCTGCCTTGGCCTCTCAAAGTGCTGGGATTACAGGCATGAGCCACCACGCCCAGGCCTGGATTTTTTTAAAGACAGGTGTGTATGTGTGGGTGCGTGGGTGTGTGTGTGTGTGTGTTTGGGGAGGAGCACACACAATTGTATGCAATGACATTATTGGTGGGAAGAATAAACAACTGAAGTTATCAAAACTTTCTACCAGAGCACTGGTAAATATGGGTTGTCATTTAAATAACATATCCCTAATTTTCCATCCACTGCCATAGTGCAGAAACAACTTAATTACAAGTGTCCATGGGAGGCTCTAAACTTCTGAGGTCATGGAAAGTGTCATTCACAGTCCTCTGTAGTCTCTGCTATGATTATCACCATGTCCACAGTAAGCATTCAGTATAAATTTGTGAAACTTTATTTTATACAAACATAAAGCTTTATGTCATTTTCCATTTAAGGCAACCAGTTTTAAATACAACACTCAAAAAATGAGGATCAAAGTTGATGATGTAGATATTGTAAAATGCAGAGTACTAGCATACTGAATGCATACTTATGCACTGAATACCTACTGTGTGATAGATGTTTATTCAGTGCTTTACTTACACTGTCTCTAACTGCTGTAGCTTTTAAGACTATCCATTTTTGAAAATGCTGGTGAAAATCAAGAATCAAGGACAGCGAAGACGACAGTTAGTGATAGTGTAAAAAACGGTGGCTGTAGGCATAGTTTTAAATGTTCTTGAGAAAGGATTACTGTTAACTGCGGAAATGTAGCAAGTGTATCTCCTATGATTCATGTTACAAATGTAAAGGTGGTGTACATTTATTAACAAATAGCTGGATTTAAAAATTCTTCAGTCATTTTCTGTTGAAAGTTTTATCTACATCTGTACTTTATCAAGGCCTATTTAGTTTCCTACAAAACAACAAAGGATACGTTTTATCTTTAAACTCAGGAAGGCTGTATGACCACAGGTTCAAAATGCATCCTGAGGGGATTCTACACCTGCCGCCTCATGGTGAAACTGCCTGAAAACTGTCTCCAGGGAGAGCATACAGAAATACTCCGGCATAATACAGAAATCGCCTTTTCGCAGGAAACTAGATAGCTTGTTACCAATCTGTTTGGTTGGGGATAACGCATAGCAATCCTATCCTTTGTTTTTCCTGATTTTTACTGTTCTTAACATGCCCAATAAATACCTTCTCACTGTTCAAGAACAGGAGTGCTGATAAACATCATCTCAAAACTGGCATCTACACCCATAATATTATATTATATAATAATATTAGAAGCACTCTCCAGCCACTGGGCAAATCCTTCATGAGAAAACAGCATCCATTTGAAGTTGTGAATTCTTTTCTTCTTTAAGGATGGATTTCTCATACCCTACCAGAATTTTTGTTATCACAAAATGCACACTCTTTTTTCAGAATTCCTGAATAATGAAAAATACAGAATTTATGATCCTTTGAGTAAATTTCTAACAAGTGATGAAATTCCGATGAAGTGTATAATGATTCCTCATTTTCTTTATGAAATCTATCAGTTCAACTCTTTGCCTTGAGGACAGATGCTAAACAGTTGCTCTGGCAAGTTATTAAATCAAGTTTCTGGTTTCTTGCAGGGCCTTTCAACATATCCCCACAGAAAGATGAGGCAGACAAAGAAACTCTGTCAATACACCTCATATCATTAAAAGTAAAAAAGATTAATTCCTGAAATAATGTAAATACATGGTATTTTTCATGATAAGCATTTGAGGACATTTTTCCCCCATATCCCTTAACAACTAGAATTAAATCCCTCTATAATGACTCATTTAGAATACATTTATTTAACAAAGGAAAACAAAGTAAACTGACTCCATTGGACAAGTTTGAAAATAATTTTATGAAAACATGTTGAAATTAAAACCAAGTGTTTCTGATTTGTGATTCTACTTGGTTGGGCCAGTAACTTTCATGAATATAATTTCATATACCAATATGAATGCTTAATGTACTAAATAAACAAGTTGTAAAAAATTAATTCTTTTCTGAAATGGTATCCATCACATTGCTTCAGTAGAATCTTTATTGAAAAGAAAGGCCAGTGCAACGCCCAAAAGAAAAAAAAAAAAAGAACACATTCATACTCCATGGTAATATTTTGCACAATTAGGTAGCATTTTACATTAAAATCTGCAGAAAGCCTAGCAAGAGTTTCCCATTGTGATAAGGGCAAAAACTAAACATGGCCATTTTGTAGGCCCTGATTGATTTAACCATTTTTTTCTCTGTGTATTTTCAAATATCAGTAATGCTGAGAACCCAATTCCAACATTTATGATGGCGGCATTCTTAAAATATGGGACATACAATACAAAATCAGCAATTTCTGAACAGTGGTACAACTGCCAGTAATCAATGGTTTTTTAAATTCCTTATTATCCCATGGGCCATTTCAAATAGTTTGTATTTTCCAAATTTCACTCCCTTTTTAATCAATGCATGTGACATTCTGCTGCTGTAAATCTTAATGGAAACTATATAATTTGATCATCATACTACAAAATTACTTTCATTTAAGAAACTATGCTGCCATCAGTAAAAATGCATCTAAATTATTATTTACTGAACTGTAGTAAAACCCTCGAATTCCACTAAGAAGAGTAGTCAGCATAAAGGAATCAAAACAGCTTTTCCATTTCAGAACTTTCACAATTGTCAAACAACTGCTTTATCATCATGATGTACTTAAATTCATTTCTACTATTGAATATCACCCTCTACAAAAAGTGTTATTCAATTACGTGGTTCCACAGCACACTGGAGGTCAGCTGTTAATAGCAAAGATGTATTATGATGTGCTTTTATTATTTCTAAGGAGTGAGAAAAATAATACGTTGTATTACAGAACCTCAGTCACAGTCAATGTTTTCATTCATTTGTAAAAACAGGCAATTGAATCCAGAAGCACACAAAAGAGAAAAAAATCTTTTCATGGAGAGTAATTAAAGAAAACTCTTGACTTTACCATCACTAAGCAGTGAACAAATCCACACACACACAAATCTGAAGTTGCATTAATGCAGACATACAACTTTCAAATACCCTTTAGCCAATGTTTGAGTTGCTAAAACACTAGTAATATTCATTCAAGGTGTCTTGTCCTTTAAATACCATTGCTCACCAACAATTTAAATTAAAAAGAGGAAGCATAAAGTTTGGGAATTTTTTCATGAAAGTAAAATTTTTCCTGTAATCCCAGCACTTTGGGAGGCCGAGGCAGGCAGATCACAAGGTCAGGAGTTCGAGACCAGCCCGACCAACATGGTGAATCCCCGTCTCTATTAAAAATACAAAAATTAGCCAGGTGTGGTGATGCGTGCCTGTAATCCCAGCTACTCAGGACGCTGAGGCAGGAGAATCACTTGAACCCGGGAGGTGGAGGTTACAGTGAGCCAAGATCATGCCACTGTACTCCAGCCTGGACGACAAAGCAAGACTCCATCTCAAAAAAAAGAAAGTTAAATTTTTATTTTAGTGCCATAATTCAGGGGGAAAAAAAATAAGAATCTTTTCCATTGCTCTGGGGAGAAACAAAGTATCCAACCATGGAAAGGTAAAAGAGTACATTTAATATTTCAACTCAAGTATTATAATGACAGAAAGTAAATTTCTCTATGTTAATGCATAATAATTTCCCAGCCGGGCTCAGCGGCTCACGCCTGTAATCCCAGCACTTTGGGAGGCCGAGGTGAGCGGATCACTTGAGGTCGGGAGCTCGAAACCAGCCTGACCAACATGGAGAAACCCCGTCTCTACCAAAAAAAAATAAAATTAGCCGGGCGTGGTGGCACATGCCTCTAATCCAAAGCTACTTGGGAGGCTGAGGCAGGAGAATCACTGGAACCTGGGAGGCGGAGGTTGCAGTGAGCTGAGATCGCGCCATTGCACTCCAGCCTGGGCAACAAGCGTGAAACTCCGTCTCAAATAATAATAATAATAATTTCCCAAAGATTTTGTGCCATTTGCTACATACTGCTCTTCCTTTGTCACCCTTGGATGCCCAATTCTTATGCAATGCATTCCCAGCCCCAAATTATTTTAATCTCCCTGAATACTCTGATGTGTTTACCACAATACTATCTCAGTTACTGCCACCATTAAAAATAGAGTATTCCATATAAAAGTGAGGGTTTGTTTCTCTAAACTATACCTATTTTCATACTTTATTGTAATCTTTATTCTTTTCTCAATGTATTAAATGTCGTTCTGCTTTTTTGAACAACAGAATGATCATTTCCTGATAAATCAGGGTTTATTTATACTGTTTAAGTAAATTCATTTATACATTTGGCTTTAGATCTGATAGAAGGCCTTGGCAGACCACTTTATTTTTTTTAACGTGAGGACTCTCAATTACTTTGTGTCACTTTAGTTTGCTCTCCTACTTTTTGTAGCTTTTGTTCTCATCTACTTTCATAGCTTTTAATTTCCCTGTCAGACGGTTGCTTGGATTTTTCTGGAATTTATCAGTGGGTCAGCAGTTGGTCTACGTTTATATAGGACAGAATGGCTGCCAGATAAATAAGCATTTTAGTGTGTAAAGTAAAAAAAAAAAAAATGCTCTGAGTGAGGTTTCTGGGCTTTTACTTGAAATAAAGTACTGTGCTTATTTGGTGTGCCTTATCTTCTGTGGTCTTTTTTTTATACTTCTTGCTTCTCAGTTGGATCAGCATAGTTGAGGTTCATGGATTCATTCAACAAACATTTACTGATTACCTACTACGTGAGTTCATGAGAATAAAGAAACAGTATCCCTGTCTTCAGAAAGCTCCAGTTTTGAAGAGATAAAAATAAAGCCAACAAGGACAGTTGGGAGTTTTTTGATAGACATCTGTAAAGGAGAGCTGCACAAGAGGTTCTCCCTGGGTCTTTAAGAAAAGCCACAATATAAGAGGTGCAATTTTTTGGGTTTCTTTTAGACAGAGTCTTGCTATGTCGCCCCAGCTGGAGTGCAGTGGCACGATCTCGGCTCACTGCAACCTCCCGTGTTCAAGCGATTCTCCTGCCTCAGCCTCCCCAGTAGCTGGGATTACAGGCGCCCGCCACTACGCCCAGCGAATTTTTTGTATTTTTAGTAAAGACGGGGTTTCACCATGTTGGCCAGGCCAGTCTCAAACTCCTGATCTTGTGATTCGCCCGCCTCGGCCTCCCAAAGTGCTGGGATTACAGGCGTGAGCCACTGCGCCCGGCCATAAGATATACAATTTAGTTCAGCCTAAAAACAAGAGGAAGGAGGACATTTTGGGGAGAGTTAGCACTACTGAATCAACTGGATTGACTGGAGAAGTTTGTATTATTCATAAAGACAATTTCCAATTACATAAAGAATTTTAAGCAGTTCACCATAAAAGGGTTCCATCAAATCAGCAGAAGAGCTGGTCAGATACCAAATTATGAAAAAGTACTTGGGGATTATACCAATAGTGAATCTGGAAATCTATTTAGACTTCCTCTCCAGACCAAATATGCAGGATGGTAATAGACTATTCTTTGAGGAGATCAGCAGGAAAGTGAAGAAATATGATAAAGTCTAGAAGCCTAGAAGTTTAAAGTGCTCTTTTTTTGTTAAATGAGTACTTATGATATTACATAAAAAATATTCTGCTTTGAATTGTCTGAGTTAAATGAATATTCCCAGATTCAGAATTCTCTGTTCCACTTCTCCCTTAAAAATTATTCCTCTTTACCCTTTCAGTTCCACCATTCCACCACCTCAGTCTCCCTGATGTCATTAATGTCCCTGCTATTACCAAGTCCAATGGACATGTTCAGATCCATCAACAGCATTTGAGAGCAGCTTTCCTCCAAACCTCTATGCATGCGGCCTCTAGGACACAACCTTCCCTGGATTTTCCTCCAACTCTATTGTTTTTCTTTCTCTTTTCTCCTGTTTCCCCTCGACTTCTCATCCTCACCTCTATTAATTCTATTAACTGGGGAACCCAAAGCTTGGGTCTTGAACCCTACGGCATTGTTATTCTCTTTTTTGTTGATTTTGTCTAATCCCGTGGCTCTGTCACCATTTATATGCTAGCGACTTCCAAGAGAATATCCCCAGCCCAGTTTTCTGAGTTCTGGATTCAAGTATCAAATTGCTTATTTGGCATCTCCAGAAGGTTATTTAACAGACAGATAAAATTCAATATGTCCCAAACCGAGCTCATGATTCTCCATTCAAGCCAAACAACTCTACCCTCCTCCGAGTGTTTCTTATCAATAAATACTACAATCACCCCAACAGGTGCTCTTAACACAAATCTGGGAGTCATCCTTGACATTTCCTTATATACTCACCCTCAATATATGAGGAAATAATTTACTTCCTCTTGTTTATTCAACCTGCCTACATATTTCTGGCATCCATCCACTTCTCTCCAATTCCACAGCCACCATAAGAGTAGGGGCCAGCATTCTCTCTCACCTGATCAACCACTCTTCCCTTGATGAACACTGAGTTTACAGAGCAGGCAAAGTTCACACTCCACACCAGAGCCAGCAACGTTGTGCAGGGTTGGCTGCCTTCCCCCCTCCCACTCCATCCTCTGCATCTCCCTACACACTCCCTAAACTCCAGCCGAATTGGTTTCCTCTCAGTAATATAATCTCAGTAGGCATTTCTGAATGAATGACGGAAGAAAGGAAGGAAGGAGTTACAGGGAAGGAGGAAAGCAGAGTAGGAAGGAGGATGGGAAGAAGGAAAAAAAGGAATAGGCTTAAGGTCATTAAAAAGAAAATCTGTTCCTGGAATCAGAAAATCTGAGTTTGAGTCCTAGCTCATTACGTAGAGTATCATGAACTTGAAAATGGACTTAATGTCTCCCTTACAGGGGATGCATTAAAGGTTAAGTGAGGTGATGTGTATGAAAGTTGTCTGTACACTATCAAAGCACTGTACAAACAGAATATGGAAGCTTAAGACAGGTAAAATACCCGAGGAGCCTATCACAGAGATAATGCAATTTAGATGGTAAAAAGAAATGAGGCGAGCGGATCACGAGGTCAGGAGTCGAAGACCAGTCTGGCCAAATCTCTACTAAAAATACAAAAAAAAAAAAATTAGCCGGGTGTGGTGGTGTGTGCACCTGTAATCCCAGCTACTTGGGACGCTGAGGCAGGAGAATCATGTGAACCCGGGAGGTGGAGGTTGCAGTGAGCCAAGATCATGCCATTGCACTCTAGCCCGGGCGATAGAGCAAGACTCCTTAAAAATATAAAAAATAAATAAATAAAAAGAAATAAAAGAAAGTTCAATGGCTCTCAATCTTTTTCTCCCTCTATTGTCCACAAGTCATAACTGTATAAATTCATCATATCCATGTAAAACAGGTTATAACACACTTCTATCTGAGCCTCTCCTTATATTACTGCAATTTTCAATAAGTTTAAAAAAAGGGCTCAGTGTTGACCACTCCCTGACCCAAGGATTTTCAAATTTGTGTAATTCTCACAAGAAAAATGTATTATTCCCTTAATGAGTATGATCACTTTCCTAAATTTTTGTTGTTGTTACTGTTGTTTTGTTTTTTGAGATGGTCTCACTTGTCACCCAGACTGGAGTGCAGTGGCACCATCTTGGCTCACTGCAACCTCCGCCTCTGGGATTCTGTGATTCTCCTGCCTCAGCCTCCCGAGTAGCTGGGATTACAGGCACCTGCTACCACGCCCAGCTAATTTCTGTACCTAAATTTGTTTTGAAACAAAAGTATTCTATAATTTTAACAAATGCAGAGGAGCACATACAAGAAACAAATTCCCAGAAGTTAAGGTATCAAGTAATACTAGTTTTGGATTTTGAATTATTTCCTGATTACTTGGGAACATCATTTTCCATTTCTAAACCAACATTTCCTTGTCTCTTAAAATTCATAAGAAGCAACAGCAAAGAAGACATAAAAGATATATCTGCTTCTTAAGTTAGACAGCAGTTAAACACATAACAAATTGAGAATAAAAAATAATTTATCATATTCACATAAAATAGTTTTAAAGGAAGCACATACATGTCTTGGTAGAAAATGTCTTTATAATTATGTATCACATGTTTATTACTTACTAGATTAAAACAGTAGTAATAATAATCTACTGCTGATATAGTAAAGGCAATTCCCTAGGTGTTTCTTTTGGTAATAGCACCTAGCATTTATATTTGTTAAGTGTATTTTTCCATGAGCAGAGTTCTCTGAAAGCTCTATCAATAGTAATAAAAATGGCCAACTGTGATTCGGAGCATTTAGTCAGCACTGTATCCATATGTGTAAATTCCAAGCCAGGCATTCATTTCAACTCAATTCTGCTGCTTCACTACTGCTATCTTGTCGACCAGAAAAGTACAGGACTCAAATTCTCCCAAAGAACTGCCAGACTCACTTAGTCCAAGCAAAGGAGAAAAGAAGCCAATTATGAATTTTATTACTTCCACAATTCTCCTCAAGAGAAACATTATAAGAAAGAACACTGAATTAAAAAAAAAGAAAACTGCCTCGTTTCCAAGGGATCTTGATCAAACCAAGCTTACTACGGAAGTTCTTCTGAAATTAGATATAATAGGATTTTCAGGGAGGTTTGATATTTATCCCAAGGTAAAACAACTTCTTACCGCTTTACCTTTCCTTTATTTAGTCTGACTCGAATATTATTGTAGTTATTGGATTAGAGATTCATTTTAAAAAGCAACTTTTCAGACTTGAAATAGCTTTATGGAAGCATCTCACATTTCAGCAGCTAAAGACAAGTGTTCATGGTTTTGCCAATTCAATTCACTAGAAGCCATCTAAGTCTGCATGGTCTCTCTTTTTTTTCCTTCCCCTACTGTGGCTTTGAAGTTTAAAAAGAACTTCATATATTTAGGAAACAGAGCGATTATCCCAAGGCTCTGAACTTGAGCTTAAGAAAAAAAAGCGCTCATCTCAGGAGCAGAGATGCGTGAGCATATGCCAGGCAGGAATGCATGTCAGAGTCCTTTGATGGAAATTCACAGTCTCAGAGATGTACCCAAGCAAAGCACAACAAACAATGAAAGCTAATTGCCAAGAGTCAGGGTTGTCTTCATAATGCATTGCATCTGCATAGCTTGGCGTCCAGTGTTAATTAACCACAGCCAGGTTGGGATTGCTTCCTGATTTCACTGCAGCATGCCTCTGAAGCAACAGCAATGTCCACAGGTTAGCATTATCCTCCCGTGCCACTGTCCCCGCTGGACAGCACAAAACACCACAAATGAAGAGGCGAATGAAGAACTGAAATGGCAGTTCTTATGGGATCAAACAGAAAAGCACTGAGTTTTACTATTTTATTACTTCCTTTAGCAGGGATCAGCTCCAATCAATTAATGATTTAATTACCTAGACTAATTAAGATAATGAACAACAGCAAGCCTACAATCAATTAGCTTTATCCAAACTTTCTATTTTGAGTATAGGACCTTAAGGACTATACTCTATGTCTTTGTTGCAGCAATAAAATATGTGGGTATATTACGGAACTGCCAGGGATGTGGTCACTCCCAACCTTAAGCAAACATACAAGGTCACTTGAATAATTCTTTGGTGACAGAAGGTTGTGAAAGGATGTTACCTGGATGGGCAATGGATATTTCTCCATCAGAAATGCAGATCTTAAATTGAATTATGTCTCTCAAAAGCAAGTAATGGACCAAAGACAGGAACATGCCCTTTTGGTCAGCCAGCTTCTGTGATTTGAGTTACTTCAGAGTAACCATGTAAAAATAAAAAGCCCCTTTCAAACATCCAGCAGAAAGTAGCAGTGTTTCTTGATTACATTGTTCTTGGGACAAAGTGTTCCTTAAATTACTTAGCATGGGCTAAGAAATTCATATATTTCCTAAGAAAGAAGTACAGACAAGAAGCAGGCAGTTAGGGAGGTGAGTAGTCTAAGTTCTAGTTTTTCCTTTCCATCTGTTACATCTACTTTGAAATTTAAGGCTTAATGATCTGATTCCCTAATTATATTGGGTGTTCCTCACAGAGAGAAAAGGTCTCCTACTATTGGGTTTAACCATGGCCACTACTAAAGTATAATCTATTATTGTCTACAATAAATATTTTTCAATAACCTTTTCCTCAAGCAAGAAACCATATAATGCATACCACAGTGTTCACATCTGTCATCTCCCAGGTACCACATCTCTCGGCTTACCTATACTGGTTGTGTATTGTCTCTCTCAGAATAAAAATGATCATAGTGCAAGTTTCCTTGTATGTGCCAGCAGTATTGCACTATGCTTTTAGGGGAACTTCAAACTTGCCCATGGATAAAAGGCATTAAGATTTTATACCTCACAGGCTAAGCTAGCTCTGCACCATGCAAGAAAACTGACTCACTTTCCAAATGCCTTCTAAGGCACCTCTGAAATAAAGGGGAAATCTCAATCCAACAAAAATGGATGCCGTGTATAAAATTTATATCTGTTCTTTGTTCAGCCAACCAGTTATTGAGAGTATACCATGTCTCAGCCAATGTGCAAATAGAACATAGAAAAAGTTATTTAATATCACCTCATGTCTGTTAGAGTGGTTGTTATCAAATAACAAAAGGTAGGTGTTGGTGAGGATGTGGAGAAAAGGGAACCCATACACGCTACTGGTGGAAATGTAAATTAGTACAGCCATTATAGAAAACAGTATGGAAGTTCCTTAAATATGAAAAATGAAGCTACAGGCCAGGTGCAGTGGCTCACATCTGTAATCCTAGCACTTTGGGAGGCCGAGGTGGGCGGATCACCTAGGGTCAGGAGTTCGAGACCAGCCTGACCAACATGGTGAAACCCCGTCTCTACCAAAAAAATACAAAAAAAATTAGCTGGGCATGGTGGTGGGCACCTGTAATCCCAGCTACTCAGGAGACTGAGGCAGAAGAATCACTTGAACTTGGGAGTCGGAAGTTGCAGTGAGCCCAGATCGCACCAGTGCACTCCAGCCTGGGTGACAAGAGCGAGACTCTGTCTCAAAAAAAAAAAAAAAAAAAAAAAAACAGAGCTACCATGTGATCCAGCAATCCCACTACTAGGTCTATATATTCAAAGGAAATGAAATAGGTATGTCAAAGAGATGTGTACATTCCCCTGTTTATTGCAGTAATACTCACATTAGCCAAGATGTGGAAGCAACCTAAGTGTCCATCAATGGATGAGTGAATAAAGAAAACGTCCTATTATGTACACAGTGAAATCCTACTCAGCCTTTAAAAAAAGAATGAAATGCTGTCATTTGCAACAATATGGATGAGTCTGGAGACCATTATGGCAAGTGAAGTAAGCCAGGCACAAAAAGACAAATACTCCATGATCTCACTCATATATGGGATCTGAAAAACTGATTTCATAGAAGTAGAAAGTGGAATAGTGGCTATCAGAGGCTGGGTAGGGGGTTGGGAGGGGTTGGGGAGATGTTGGTCAAAGGACGCAAAATTTTACTTAAGAGGAATAAGTTCAACAGATCTACTGTACAACATGGTGACTACAGAAAATGTGATACTGCATTCTTCAAAAATGCTAACAGAGGCCAGGCGCAGTGGCTCGCACCTGTAATGCCAGCACTTTGGGAGGCTGAGGTGGGCGGATCACGAGGTCAGGAGATCGAGACCATCCTGGCTAACACAGTGAAACCCTGTCTCTACTAAAAAATACAAAAAATTAGCTGTGCCTGGTGGCAGGCACCTGTAGTCCCAGCTACTCGGGAGGCTGAGGCAGGAGAATGGCATGAACCCAGGAGGCAGAGCTTGCAGTGAGCCAAGATCACATCACTGCACTCCAGCCTGGGAGACAGAGTGAGACTCCATCTCAAAAAAAAAAAAAAAAAGAAAAAGAAAAAGAAAAAGAAAAATGCTAACAGAATGGATGTAAAGTGTTCTCATAACAAAAATTATAATTACATGAGGTAACACATTGGCTACTTAGCCAAATTTAGTCATTCTACAACATATACATTAAAATATCCAGTTATATTCAGTAAATACATATAATGTTGTCTGTCAATATAAAAAAATTAAAATAAAAAAGAAATCATTTAGATCCTAATGGAAGAGTCAGTCTACATAACCAAATACAGGAATCAAAGAGGAAAAAAGTGACTAGAGTTATAAAATATGTTTGGTGTGCTAAGGGAAAGGTAAATAGGGCATCTTTAAGTGCAATAAAGATGGGCAAATGAAGATAATAGAGAGTGCCTCAGGAATTAAGCATGTGATCTCTGAAGTCAGACAACCTAGGTATGAATCACAGCTTATTATTTATTATGAACAAACAGCGAACAACTACGGACAAATTACTTAACCCCTCCAAACTACAATTTACCCTATCTTAAAGTCTAGGCTAATAAGGGTTCTTAAAACACATGATTGTTATTAAATAATCTGCGTGAAGCAAGGTGCACGCACATCCTAAGTGCCCAATAAATATTAGCTCTTTGTTACTAATATTAGAAGCTTTTTTCCTGGCAATAGTGGACCATATATGCTCCTGGTAATGAGCTACAACCCTTTGCAAGAAAGCAAATTTCTGAAAGACTTGGCTCTCTTAAAGGTCTCAGGGTCAAGTACATTCAGCTCATGTTCATTAGCTAATAACATTCAAAAGGTAAATCAAGAGGATATTAAAAAATAAGGCCATGCAGGGTGGCTTATGCCTGTAATCCTAGCACTCTGGGAAGCCAAGGCGGTGGGTCACTTGAGCCCATGAGTTTGAGACCAGCCTGGGCAACATGGCAAAACCCCGTCTCTACAAAAAATACAAAAATTAGCAAGGAATGGTGGCAGGCGCCTATACTCCTAGCTACTCAGGAGGCTGAGGTGGGAGGATCACCTGAGCCCAACAGGTCGAGGCTGAGGTTAGCAGTGATTGTGCCACTGCACTCCAGTCTGGGTGACAGAGTGAGACCTTGTCTCAAAAAATAAATAAATAAAAATAACAATAATAATAACAGTAATAGGATATCAAAAATGTGCCCTTTCATAATTATAAATGAGTTTTTATGTCAGAATTAACAATTAACGATTTTATATCAGAAATAATAATTAGTATAATCTAAATACTTTAGATAAGTCTTATTAAAAAGACTTTATTTCTGAGAACTTTACATATGAAGGGCCTTCAAACATTTAGTGTTCACAGAATTATTCTCAGGATCTCCATCAAACGAATAAAACTAGCCTTAAACTTTAGGCTGAAATAAAAATTCACCTTGGTAAGCACTTTGATTATCAAAATATATTGCTTTCAAGTAACATTTCTACTAAGTTTGGGAAATTAATTTAAACTCCATGTGTTCTTATGTAATTAATGCTAGATGTGAAAGTATCTTACTTTATTTTAATGTCAGATATCCAAAATGTCCAATTTATAGTAACATTTAATGTTATTTCATGCCATAACTCAACATAATTAATTAACTGGTTGTTAAATATCATTATAAAACACTGTAAGAATCACTACCAATATATATGTAAGATAATAATATATTTCATCAGCAATATAAAATAATTGTCTTGGTAATTAAGGAAGCTCATTTAGTTCTAGTAATAGTTTATTCAAACATATAATTATACTGTATAGCTAACAAGTACGCCTTTTAATCAAATATATAATTATTAAAATATTCTTGAGGGATATAATTGGCATATTATAAATATATTTCTATCATGACTACTTAAACCTCAATAAATGTACCTTTAAAAAGGCCTTGATTTAATTAGCATACAGTAACTCTCTCCTTGAAATGAAATTAAGTCCTTAAGAAAAACAACTAATATGAAGCATAATCTTATATTACTCAAATTACTAAACCTTGCCAAGCAAAAATAATAATAAAAACCCTTCGAGAGCTCATTTACCAAAAATACAAAGATCACGTCTCCAAGCAATAATTCTCAGCCTGATTGCCCAGCAGGACCATGTAGGGAGCTTTTATGAAATCTATTAGCCCAGACCCCATCTACAGAGATTCTGATTAGGTTGGTTGGGAGGTGGGCCCAGGTATCTGTTGGTTTTGCTTTTTAGAAAGTCCATAAACCACCACACCAGAGACTGATAAAACGTATTTCTCCCAGCCCATAAATGTTTATTGTAGCTTCATTCATAATCACCAAATATTTGAAACAACCCAAAGGAATAAATAAAACTGTGATACGGATATAATGCTACGCAAGCAATGATCTATTGATTTATGCAACAACATGGATGAATCTTAAATGCATTCTGCTCAGTGAAAGAAGCCAGACCCAAAAGGCTACATATTGCGGCAGTGTGAGGGAAATTCTGAAGTGAAGGAACTGCTACATGTAATTGTAGTAATGAATACATAACTATGCATCTGTCAAGACTCATACAACAGTACAACACAAAGAGTGGATTTTACTCTATATAAATTTTTTTAAATCGACCAAGAAGTAGGGGAGGGAGGGAGATGCAATGCAGAGTGTGACAAATGAAATAACTGTCTTACAAATGTATCACATAACTATATTGAAGGAGACAGGGATGGAGCTGTCCTTAGTAATTTTGGTAAACAGTCTTTTGGCTGGATATTGTAAGAGTAAAGACAGCCTGTATCAACAGTATTTTCTTGTTCTGAATGAAAAAGAAGTCATTATTTATTACAAATATTTAGCTTACTGTTTATCAATTGTGTGTCTTTAATAATGAACAACACTAAACAATCTTAAAATCTGAAAGGTTTTGTAAAAACTTTTTACTGGTGTTATTTTCGTCACTATGTGCCTTTTTTTTTTTTCTTTTTGGAAAGAAGCTGGGCAGGATGAGCATGTAAAGGCTTCTTCAAAGTGTGAAAGTGGACAGATACTGCCTCCAGGATCCAGAACAACAGTCATTTACAAAGCTAGAGACAGAATGCACTGAAAATACAGCAATTTTACAGGTAGTTCCAGCAGGGGATAATTTATCTAATCAAACAGCTGATCTCCTACATATTCTACTGTATTCAGTCTTTTCATGTTAATAAAATTTGAATATGCAAAGATCGTATCAATTCTTTTTTGGGGGGTGGGGGGCATGGACTTTCCCTCCTTGTTGCCCAGGCTGGAGTGCAGTGGCACGATCTTGGCTCACTGCAACCTCCGCCTCCTGGGTTCAAGTGATTCTCCTGTCTCAGCCTCCCGAGTAGCTGGGGCCACAGGCACCCGCCACCACGCCTGACTAATTTTTGTATTTTTAGTAGAGACGGGGTTTCACCATGTTGGCCAGGCTGGTCTCAAACTCCTGACCTCAGGTGATCCCCCTGCCTCGGCCTCCCAAAGTGCTGGGATTATAGGCGTGAGCCACCGCACCCAGCCTGATTCTTTAATATGTTACAAATCTCAAAATAAAAATCTCAGAAATCTAGGTATGTGTGTGTGCTTTTTATTTATAAAACAGAATCTGAGAGGATTAAAAAGACTTAAAAACAACAACAACGATAACAAAACACAACTTCTCCTGCATAACTGTCAGTGCCAGAATTTCAGGGTCAAACATTTGATCTGAAATTTGGTATCCAGTTCGCTCCTAAACTGAGTCTCCAATTGTCCACTTAAAATCTTTATCCACTGAGCTTTTGCGGGTGGCGGCGAGCGCGGAGAGGACGCCATGAAGGCCTCGGGCACACTAAGAGAGTACAAAGTAGTGGGTCGCCGCCTGCCCACTCCCAAATGCCACACACCGCCCCTCTACCGCATGCGAATCTTTGCACCTAATCGTGTCGTCGCCAAGTCCCGCTTCTGGTACTTCGTATCTCAGTTAAAGAAAATGAAGAAGTCTTCAGGGGAGACTGTCTACTGTGGTCAGGTGTTTGAGAAGTCCCCGCTGCGGGTGAAGAACTTCGGGATCTGGCTGCGCTGTGACTCCCGGAGCGGCACCCACAACATGTACCGGGAATACCGGGACCTGACCACCGCGGGCGCTGTCACCCAGTGCTACCGAGACATGGGCGCCCGGCACCGCGCCCGGGCCCACTCCATTCAGATCATGATGGTGGAAGAGATCGCGGCCAGCAAGTGACGCCGGCAGGCTGTCAAGCAGTTCCACGACTGCAAGATCAAGTTCCCGCTGCCCCACCGGGTCCTGCGCCTTCAGCACAAGCCACGATTCACCACCAAGAGGCCCAACACCTTCTTCTAGGTGCAGGGCCCTCGCCCGGGTGCGCCCCAAATAAACTCAGGAACGCCCCGGTGGAAAAAAAAAAAAATCTTTATCCACTGACGCATAACTTGGAGGACCATGGTGAGAATTAGTGAGGCCTGACCTTGGTACACAGTGACTCAATTTCAGGCTTTGAATCAGTTAGTCCTATCAGAATGCTACAAGTCAGAGTATCCTGGCAAGAAATTTACTATTGGCCATAATAATGAATAACGGCCCTAATTAAAGCCTAAGGTGGATCAGATGAGAAGCGGGTCACAAACCTAAAGAGATGATCTATATAATCTACTTGTTCTTGGACATCCATCACTTCAGGAGAAAATTTTTGTGTCTCAGTTATCAGTGCCATCAAGAGCAATGATTATTTTCCATATTGTAATCAGAGTAATCCTAACAAAGCACAAATATAATCATCTTTACCTTTCCCCTTTAACAGCTTATTGGGTTTTTTTTTGTTTTGTTTTGTTTTGTTTTATATCACGGCCTCCTTTATTCTGCCCTTTGCAGACACTAGTCATATTCCTTTGAGCCTTGGCACAAGCTTTTTTTTCTGCCTGTTGGCTCTTAAATCCCAACATCACTAGCAAACTCCTAAATACTCCTGTTGCTTCCAGGAAGCCTGACCTCCAGATAGCTTGGTGCGCAGTAGAATACCTCCCCATTATAGGATCTCTGTACAAGGTTTTTCTCCTAATCCTTTACATTTTCTCCATTCATTCCCCTTGCTATTCCTAGAACCTGCTAGTCAAGGTCCTGCCCTAGGGTCTTTGGACTGGCTGTTTTCCTGGCCTGGAATACTCCTCCCCATGGCTAACTTCCCTACCTCCTTCAAATCTTTGCTTAAATGTCACTTTCTCACTGACCTGACTACCCAATTTTAAATCACATCTGAACCCCTACCCACCCCCATCATGCACCCTCCTGATTTCCCTTACTCTGGTCTTTCTCCCACCATAATACTTAGGTCACCTTTGAACACATAATATACTTTCCTATTTATCAATTGTATTGTTTATTATATTGTATTTATTGTTCAATTTCATAATTTAGAGCCCCCTAGAATGCGACCTTAATGGTGCAAGATTTTTTTTTTTGTCTGTCTTGGTCACTGTTGTATCTCAAAAGCCTAGAATAAAAAGAATATCTCTGAAATGAATGAGTTGCTTAAGGACCTATATACAAGACATTCAAGAAGAAAGAGAGAAAGCTCACACTTCCAAGACCTGAACAATATCTGTGAGTTAAAATGTGAATGCACAAAAGATCTATGAAAAAAAAAAATAGCTGCTGTAAATTTAAGGTAGCAAATTAGAAGGTGTCATCAACTAAGCTCAGCAGAAAAAGCAAATCCTACAGCTACATCGACCAATTATGAGCCTCTAATCGCTGCCAGGACCTCAAACACATTATCCCAGTTAATTCTCACACAACACATAACAACTGCAGGATGAGGTTCTCACACCCATTTCACAGATGAGCAACCTAAGATTAGCCTGGAAGCTACAGGAGTGCACAGACCCTACCTGTTCCCATCTTGCCATCATACCACCAGCATCCAGCGATATGCTGGCGGGCAGTAGGTGTAGAATATATAGAAGCTGCATAAAATTAAAAAATATATATGCTCAGAGAGGTTAACAAACTTGACCAAGACCACTTATCCAGTAAATAGCAAAATACAGGATTTGAACTCAGATCATTTTATTTAAAAACCAATGCTCTTCCCACCACACCATATTTCTTCTAACTAAAGTTATAAAACACATACGGACCTACAAAAATGCAACAGTCAGGCCAACGATCTACCACAGTCATTCCTCAGGGCCTCTTAACAGAGAAAAATATAAATTGATATTCCTAATTAGTGTCACCTCAATAATCAAGCAGCAATCATGTTTCATTTGATCTCTTTAATATTGAGACAGGCAAAGTACATTCTAGAGACAATTACAACAAAATAGATAAGTTTAAAGTTTAGCACCAAATGTTTAGCCTTCAGACAATTCAAAAGTCATTTTCACAGAAATAGTACACAGACATTACAGTATGAGTAAATTCCTGCTTCTACTTAGCTGCTCACTTGGGCAATGCCCTTTGGAGCACTGGCCCTTGAAATGCTAATTCACTGGCTGAACTACTGTTCACCTGCTCTTTAGCCTTAACAGGTCTGTGGCTTCACATTGGGTAGCCACAGCAGTCCCTAAGAGAAAAAAGGAGCTCCAGCAACCAAGCTATTTAATTGCGAAAACCGCAATTACCTTTGCACCAACCTAATAACCTAATAACTTGACTCCAGAGGATGGATGAAACCAGGAGAAGAGAGGGGGAGCCTCTCTCCCCACCCTTGGGCTAGGAGACACCTAAGGTCTGTAAACCTGGCATTGTTAGAACCTACAAGGAGAACCAAAGGATTTAAATGAATAATTCATCATCCCAAATTCACATTCACTAGAAGTATCTATGTAATTGTGGTTAAAGTACTTCAAATGTGTCCTTCTGCTTCATATTTTAGTGTAAGATACTAGGTAATAGAATCCATTCTCTAATTCACTTTACACAAACAGAATCAGCCCAAATGTTTGCTGCCAATTCTTACATTTCCTATTGTTAAGCACAGAAATAGCTGGAAACTGCTGGTATTGAGAAATTTTATTCATTTCAGTTCTACAAATTTCTAGAGGCCCTACACAGAGATTGAAAGCCTATAGTCGCAGACGAGATCCATCCCAAAGATGTACTTCCTTTAGCCTCAATATTATTGTAAAACCTAGGGGATGGTTCACATATAAACCTAGACTTTAAGCTGCACTAGGAAAATCAAAGGATCCGGAGCATGCACTCCCAAATAGGAAGAAGAGAATGGGTGGTGGCTTCCCTCATGAGATACAACACAAACTTTCGAAACAGTTGAACTGGCCTACCTCAATAATGAATGTTACTCTCCTGGTCACTGGCTGTATGGAAGGCCCAGTATTGGAATGTAGGGGGTTGGGGGTGAGGCAGAATCTGAGATGAATAAATAAACTTGTATGAGAATTGAAAATTTTAGGCTGGGCACTCTGGGAGGCTAAGGGGAGCAAATAGCTTAAGCCCAAGAGTTCAAGACCAGCCTAGACAACGTGGCAAAACCCCTTGTCTACAAAATAATACAAAAAATTAACCAGGCATGGTGGCATGTGCCTGTAATCCCAGCTACTGGGGAGGCTGATGTCCTTGAGCCCAGAAGGCAGGGGTTGCACCTGTACCCCATCCTGGGTGACAGAGTGTGTCACTGTCTCAAAAAAGAATTAAAGAAAGAAAAGTTAGACAAATACATCTAAAAGTAACATATGAAAACTATGATACCTCTAGGAGAGACACAAAAACCGTATCAATGTGCATTAGGTGTGTTGGGGGGAGAAGCAGGGATGGAAGAGAAATACACAAAGTGTATCCTCCCCAACCTACGTCTCATCCTCTCTGGCTGTCCCTTCTATGACTCATCAAGCACTTATAAAGTCAACTCATCATGACATCCTGCAAATTCCACCTCTTGAATAAGTTTTGTATAGGGTCCTTTGGTATCCCATATTCAAAAATACAGTTCAGATCCTCAAGACCCTCATTCTATTTGACTTCACAGCAGTCTCCTAACTGGTCTTCCACCCTCCAACGCATCCTCCACATAGCTGCCAGTGACCTATTGAAAATTCAAGTCAGGCCACAACACTTCCCAGTTTAAAACTTTCACTGGGTTCCCTAGTAATTTGTAATACTCAGCCTCACTTGAGAATAAACTGAGGGGCATTTTTTAAATTAGCTATGCTTGATCCTCACCTTCACATGTTTTTATTAAATTAGTTGGTGTGGGGCCTACATGTCTACATTCTATTCCAAGTGATTCTGATGTTTTATCAAGTTGAGAATCACCGTTTTACCGGACAAGTTCCAAGATCATTAGCTTTGCCTTAATGCCCTCCACAATTTCTCTGTCTCCGGCACACCTATGAACATTCCCTGTAAATTCCAATAAGGAACCCGCTCCTGGTAGCATCCTGTGCATATATCTACCTCCTGCCCTGAATTCCCTTTATTATAATTATCTTTACCACTAGTCTGACAGCAGTGACTTGGGTCTATCTTCCTTGTAACTCAAATGCCTGCAACATAGTGAGCACTAAATAAGAGTGGATGAAGACAGCAGAAAAAGATGGACCTGGAAGAGGAGGTGAGACCTGAAAGGCAAAGCTGTGAAGTAAGAAAGGGAGAAGGGGAGAATGCTTGTAAAGCTGGAAAATCAGAAAGCACTTTTTGGGCTAGCAAAATGTTGGTGATCATAATTTGTCAAAGCTTTCTTCAGGCTAGAAAAAGCAATCTAGTGGCCTGAGTAAATACACCAAAGGGATTTAAGCCAATTATTCCCTGCCCAGTAGGGGTGTCAGATTCATTTGTTAAACTACAAGCTCTCTAGAGAAACTAGATCTCAGAACGCAAGTAACTGTTTTATTATAATTATCATAATACCCCTCGTTTCCCTCTCACTCCAAATCACAACAATTGAAATGAAAAAGAAGTATGTGTTGTTCAGTTGCTAAATAGTCTTTTTATAACCTTTTCTGATGTAGTTTGGATTATTTCAGAAATAGTAGTTCTCCACAGTGGTTTCTGCTGCTTACATCAAATGAGTCATGCTGTGGGGCTCTCACTCTTTCCCCTGAGAGTTTACACCATAGTTGAATAGACTTAACTATTAGTCATTTTCCTTCATATTAAGCCAAGAGTTTTGTTTAATCTAATTAGTCCGCCTTCTCTATACAATTCTAAACAACCTCAGTCCTTACAAGAATATAGGTATGCCCTTCCTACATCTGCAGAAACGTGTGCCTCCTATTTACTGCCAGGACAAGCTGACCATAGTTCGTTCTTAAATTTTCCCACGTGAGCCAGGGATTCCAATTCTGAACCTTCTCATTCCCACCTCCCACAAAAGCGTTTCAGTTTGCTGGCACGATGGAGCGTAGTGTTATTTCCGAGCGTTTGCTGCTGGATCAATGGTGTTTTCTCATTAGTTTTATTTTGCTTTTGATTTATAAGCACCAAAATGGTACAGAGTATATCTACACCAGAAGCATCTATAATGTGATCAAATTCACCATGACTTTTGTGCTTTTATTTGCCTTTATGAAACCAATCTCAGGCTTCGAGACCCATGATTACAAACTGTTTCTTCACAGACCCCTTACAACTTTCCAAGCAAATGTAATACTTTCCAGCACTTTTTTCCTCTTTTTTAAGATGTTCATAGCTCCAAATGTCAGGCACACCGTGCAATGAAAACTATCCCTCAGCTGATAAATTATTCATTTTTCAGGAGTTTGCAATTTGAAATGGCACTAACAGCTGAATACCTGAAGCACCCCCAAAAGACATGAAGAGCAATAACATGCAAAGCTTTTTCTGCATACATTTTAAAGGTTAAGCGCCATTAGACATCTATGTTTATCAAGAGATGTGCTCCTTGAACATATTTCTTCTAATTAATCTGCTCCCAATAAACATTACTAACAAAGCAAAGTGATAAAGGAGGCTAATCAAACTAATCTCTTCCCTTTAACTAACTTCATCAGGTTAAACAAGGTCCTTTGCTGATATTCTCCACTTTCTCCTGTCTGATGAGGAGTTGCAGGTGAGTAAGGTCAAAAGCAGGAGTGATCAAACTAGGACTCTTGAACAATCTGGCCCACTGCACGTATTTTTAAATAAAGTTTTATTGGAATACTGTTTTACCCATTTATTTTGTATTGGCTGTGGCTACTTTCTTGTTACAGTGGCAGAGTTGAATAGCTGTGATAGAGACCCACAAAGCCAACAATATTTACCATATAGCTCTTTACAGAAAACATTTGCTGACCTCTGGTCAAAAGGCATGCAAAATGTATAAGGCTTTTAAAATGTTAGCGCCAAGTAGGGCTTTAGCTAATGTATATCAATGTGTTCATTTACTCTAAAAAAAAGAAAAAGAAAAAAAAAAAACCTTGCATTTAAAAGTGTGTTATCTAGAATACCATCTGTGTTACAGTTCCAGAGGAAACTGCAGGTCTAAGATTGTTCCTCAAGCTGGTAGATGCTTCATTTTGATAACAGTAATCACCATGTGTTTCAGCTATTTATTGCTGTGTTAAAAACCCCTTCAAAAATGGCTTAAGGCAAAGATTTCTTTGCACATGATTCTTCCCTCCAGGCCTCAGCTAGAAGATTTTAAACTCCACCTCCCATGTGGTCACTCATATGGCTTATAGTCATGAAGAAGAGGCTGGACTCTGGCTGGAATGCCAAGATGGCTTGGCTCTTATATCTAGCTCCTCACCTGGGACAGCTGCAACAGGTGTGGGCTGGCTGAGTATTTCTCCCTCTCTGTGGGGTCCCTTCAGCAGGGCAGTTGAGCATCTTGCTATGATGACTCAATATGTCAGAGAGTGAAAGTAGAAGCTTCCAGGCTGCTGAAGGGCCAGGCCCAGAGCTGGTGTACTACCACTTCTGCACCCTCCTATTACTGATCAAAGCCAGTCAGGGGACTAACCCACATTCAAGGAGTGGGGAAACGGACTGCACCTTGATGAGAGGAACTGTAAAATATTTTGGCCATGATTTCCAATTTACCACACCATGATGATGAGTAAAAAGTGACAACATGATCACAATGACAAAATCTTGAAAGCAGACCTTACTGCTGACAATTTATAATCAAATTGACAAATAAGAACAAGAAAGCCTAATAAAAGAATGGAAATCATTTTATAGTGAAACACTAGTCACACAGAAATCAAAAATTTCCAAATTGATGTGTTTTTTTTTAATTGAAATTAGAAGCCATTCTAAAAGCCACTCAGTGCTTCTCAATTCTTACACAGTGTGTAAGCTGTGACTGTGACATAACTTTCCTCCATGACTCTAGGGCCTGAAGATGACTATCAATGAGGGGCATAGTAACTACAATGAACCTGGATAACTCTGGACCTGATGCCCACTGGCATCTCTTGGGCCCTCTGGCTGCTGTGCATTTTGAGCTCTCTTGCCTGCTCTTTTCAGCTGTTCTGCCTCTTCTCTGGACAGGGAATCATGAGTGTGTGTTTTAGGTCCTTCCCCATCACCTATTCACCTTTTTGCTCTAGGCAGGTCATCTACTCTGACCCTTGGATTTTTTTTTTTTTTTTTAATCTGAGAAGTGAGGAGGATAAAAATTATGTTGCCTACACTTAGAATATTCAGGAACAAATGAGATTAAGAAGATAAAGTGTTTAAACTGGCTGGGCGTAGTGGCTCACACCTGTTATCCCAACACTTTGGGAAGCCGAGGCAGGGGGATCATCTGAGGTCAGGAGTTCGAGACTAGCCTGCCCAACATGGCAAAAACCCCATCCCTACTAATAATGCAAAAATTAGTCAGGCATGGTGGCACATGCCTGTAATCCTAGCTACTCGAGAGGCTGAGGCACAAGAATCGCTTGAACCTAGGAGTCAGAGGTTGCAGTGAGCCGAGATCACACCACTGCACTCCAGTCTGGACGACTGAGTGAGACTCCATTTCAAAAAAAAAAAAAAAAGAAAGATAAAGTGTTTAAATCATTATTCAAGTATTCAAGTGAAAGGTATCACAATCACTGTGGTAATTAATTAAGATAAAATTAATTTTATTGATAAAAATAAAATATTAACAAAATTAATATACCATAAAATAGTTTATAATAATGGCTAATGTTTATTTAGCATTTACTATGTGCAAGGCATAGTACTAAACACCTTACATTGCTTAACCTGCTTTTGTCTTTACAGCAATCCTATAATTATCATCTAATACTCCAGACAACAAAAACTGAGACATAAAGTGATAAGGCAATCTGCTTCTGGTTTTACAGATATTACACAGAACTACGATTTCTCTTTCCCAATTCGCACAGCTGATTTCAAGAGCTTGTGAAAGGTCTATCATATTTCTAACAAAATTTCTCCCTTCCAAACCCCATATTAATTAGAAGGGCATTATCTATCTCTCCTAACCTCTGCTCCAACCTTCTGTTCCAAAGCTTTCACAAGCAACATCAGTGGTTCTCAATTGGGTGATTTTGCCCCCCTCAGGGGACAGTTCTCAATGTTGAGAGACCACTGGGTTGTCACAACTGGACTGTAAGCTGCTTCCTGAGTAGAATTCCTTGATAAGAAAAATCATCTCAATAGGTCAAAAATGTTAA
The DNA here is from genome assembly GCF_000001405.40 of Homo sapiens. NCBI lineage: Eukaryota > Metazoa > Chordata > Mammalia > Primates > Hominidae > Homo > Homo sapiens. Next base: position 8,722,091 of record NC_000009.12, read on the forward strand.
ATAGCTGATTTCTCCATACATTAAGTATTACTCTGTGTGTGTGTGTGTGTGTGTGTGTGTGTGTGTGTGTGTGTGTACAGAGAGAAAGAACAGAATGAAAACTGAACCTCACAGGACTTCACATTCAGGATCTCATTTAAACTTCACAGGAGCCTGTGAGAGCTGTGAGCATTGCCAAAGGGTCAGAATTCTCCTACCTATTCTCAATTATCCTCCCAGGAGAATTGAGAAAATTGCTCCTGGTAGGCAAGGGAGCCATTATTTAAGGCAAATCTGGTTACTAACACCATGTACTATTTTAGAGAAAACATTTAAGTTATGGTTTAATAATCATTTTATGTATTACCTTACATTCCCATTGGTCTTAAAATAAATCCAAATATGTTAAATCATATAAACAATAAAGGGTTTTTTTTTTTCTTAAATGGAAGAAGTTTACCAGGAAATATTTTATTAAAAAGCTTTAATCTATATAGGGACTTCAACAAATCACTTAGGAATCCTATTGCTGTAATTTTGACAAAATGGAAGCATATAGGGAAAAGCCCTATTGAAGTTCCTTTCTTCCCTGCAATTCTATGTTGACCATCACCCTCCAATAACAGCCTTACTTTACAAATGTACCGTCCTTCACTATCTGCAGCTATGGATATTGATGAAGGAAAGTGTAGACTTAATTGCATGTTTCCAATGTAAAACTATCATCTGCTTTAAAAGAAAAATAAAACTGACCAGAGATAACGAGCTAAAAGCAGACATTTGTGCTTTTATTTACCAAAGTCTTTGGTGTTGCAAGTCTATATCGGCTGGTGCAAAGAAAATTTCAGTTAAGCTGTTTAGACAGTGAGTTTATAACTTGATCAGGAGGTTGTATCAAACCTTCAATGCACTATTTGTGGAAAAATATATACACATTTTGTCCTAGTAGAGAACAGTAGTACCTAATTCAAGTTTAATAAATAGATGTCCCAATAATATATGTGTTTCCCTACATACTCTCCTATACCTAGCCCAGCAATCCGAACCCTTTATACGACCTCCAGGGCCCCATGATGTGTCTCCTGGACCTTATTTTGTCCTTTGAACACACTAGGCTCCCTCCTTGCACTAAGGTCTTTACACTCATTCCCCCATCTGCCTGGATGCTCTGAACTCCATTTTTTCATAGCTGGACCCTTCCCATTCTTCGGCTCAAGTGTTGTATCTCACTCAGTAACACCTTCCTTGACATATGACAAACCAAACCAAGACCTATCCTCTCCCTTCATATCCTCTCTTACTCTCATATTACATCATGCTGTTTTACGATCTTTGCAGCATTTATCACTCTCCAAAGTCACGCCGTTCAGTGACTTGTTGCCCATAGCCATGTCTTGCTGCACTGCTCCTTTCTCCACAACATCCCAACTAGAATATAAAGTCTGTGGTAACAGGAATCTGGATCTGGCTTATTGGAGGCACACTGTAGTCATGCGCTGAATGAAAAGTATTATTACTTTTAAATGAAATGTTACTGAAATTTGTTTTAAAAGATAAGTATAGATATTAGAGGAGTTTCTATCAACCTAAAATCACTGTAGATTAAAGGTTTAAATGACTTTTAGTGACAAACAATGGCATTTTATTTTTCTCTCACTCCTTTATAAGCATCTTAAAAAGGTTTAAGTATATGTTTCTCTATATATTTATCTTTACACACAAAAAAACTAAGAAAACATACTTGGTTTAGTAGATTTGTTATACTTTCCGTATTTTTAGCTTAAAAGGAATAGATTGTGTGCTATTTTTTAAACTGACGATTTAAGTACTTAGTGTATCTTAAAGCCACATTTAATAACTGTAGTTACTGTAAATAACTGCCACAGTACTATGTTGATTTTTGAAAACCTATTGCAAATTGTACAGTGAATTTAAAACTTTTATGAGAGAACAAAGCTAAATTGTAATGTCTTTTGTAGTAAGGCACTGAACTTCATTGTTTTAAACTGATTCTGGATTCCACATTTTTAACAGATATTAACAAAAAGATAAGTTTAGATAAAACTATCTGAACTTCATGATTAAAAAGTGAAATTACAAGACTGAGTAAAGATAAATTTGGGGGGAATTTTTTAAATGCCATGTTAAAAACAAAGGATTACTTATAAGGTACTGAATACACTTTAGGTCCCTTCTTAACATGGTTTTCTCCTTCACTCTAAATTTTAACAATCTGTTGGTGGTTCAGTTTTAGAATAATGCTTCTTCACAAAGGTCAATTTTAAAAAATGTTTAAGTGTCAAGCAGTCTAGCCTCCTTAAACCTCTATCACCCTGGTCCCTTGTACCACATCTACTCCGTAACTTCCAACTAGCCTCTTAACAGATCTCAAGGCCACTCTGGCTGGCCTCCCTCCAAAGAATTTTTCCACCATGCTGCCTCATTGCTCTTTTAAAGTTGTAAATGTCTTCCTATAGCAGCTTAAAAATAAGTCAGTGATTCCTGCAGTTCATAGAATAAAAACCAAGATTTTGAACAAGGTTTATGGAGCCTTGTCTTACCCAGTCTCCACCACTTAGCCAGGCTCATTTATTTTTATCATGTCTGTAATCTCAGCACGTCGGGAGGCCAAGGTGGGTGGAGAGCTTGAGCCCAGGATTCTGAGACCAGCCTGGGCAACATGAGGAAACCCCATCTCTAAAAAAAAAAAATACAAAAATTAGCCGGACGTGACGGCACGTGCCAGTAATCCCAGCTACTAGTGATGCTGAAGTGGGAGGATCACCCGAGCCCAGGAGGCAGAAGGTGCAGTGAGCCGAGATCGCGTCACTGCACTCCAGCCTGGATAACAGAGTGAGACCCTGTGTCCAAAATAAATAATAATAATAGCTAAAAATAAGTGCATGTAAAAACTGGTAAAATCTAAATAACACATGTAGTTTAGTTAACAGTACTGTGCAAATGTTAACTTCCTGGTTTTGATAATGTACTGTCATTATGTAATATATTAATATTAGGAAAACTGAATGAAAGCTACATGGAAAATTCCTGTATGATTGTTGTAATGTCTTTTAAGTGTAAAATTATTTCAAAATAGAAAAAATAAATCACTCCCTCAGGAAAGCTGTGGATTACTTTTCAGAACAGATGAGCCACTTGGCTGCTTATTTTCTTCCCTTTAATGCTTGTTACTGTTAGAAAATGTAAATTTTAAAAATTAATGTTAAATATTTGGCTATGCCACTAGAGTTTAAGCTTTTTAGGGGCAGGGATCATATTGCTTTTAATCCACATTTTATCCTCAGTAGTTAACTCAATGCTTGGCACGGGAAATGTGTCCAATAAACATTTATTAATGGGACTGTGAAAGACATGAATGAGCCAATCAGTCAATGTCCCTTGAAATCATAAATGTATATAAATATACATATTTACATTTTAAAAAGATTCTGCTCAAATTGTGAAGTTAATGGGATAATATATGCCAACAGAGATCTAAACAAAGATGCTTCTAATTTGGAAATGACACAAACTAATGAGAAAAAAAGGCATAATAGCAACTAACAACATTTAGTGAATATTTAATCCTATTATTCAAAATGCTTTACAAACAGTTATTTCCTTAGTCCTTGTGATAACTGTATCAAGTGTGTGCTATATTTATCTTCATTTTACAGATGAGAGACACATAGAGATTTGTACCCTGTCTGTGGTCAGAGTAATTATACAGCAGAAGCAGGACTTGAACACAAGCACTCTGCTCCAGGGTCCACATTCTTTATGCATTACTTACTGCCGAGAGACAAAGTCTGAGAAGATTGCTTGAGAGCATCCTAAACACTAGCTATGAATTCTGAAGATAGATTACAGGCTGGTGTAGGCCCACACTGTTTAAAATTTTTATATTCCCACCACTTCACACAGAGCTTTCCACATAGCAGACAGACAGACAGACAGACACACACACACACACACACACACACACACACACACACAGTTTAGTGAAGAAATAAGTGAAGCTAAAGCAAACTGAAGAAAAAAGAATATACTAAATTTTAGGTTAAAGAATTGGTTCTAAAATGGTATCTCCATCCAATCACAGGACCTTTCTCTTTAATTCTTCACTTCATGATAGAGGCTGGCTTGGAGTTTCTGAATTAACAAGAAACACATCTACGTAGGCAGGAGGGGATGGGGCTCCCAACCAAGTCAAGGTTACTTGAAATGGGTCAGGTACAGCTGGGTGTGGTGGCTCACGACTATAATCCCAGCACTTTGGGAAGCCAAGGCTGGCAGATCACTTGAGCTCAGGAGTTCGAGACCAGCCTGGGCAAGATGGTAAAACCATCTCTACAAAAAAATATAAAAATTAGCCAAGAAGGCCGGGTGTGGTGGCTAACGCCTATAATTCCAGCACTTTGGGAGGCTGAGGCAGGTGGATCCCCTGAAGTCAGGAGTTCGAGACCAGCCTGGCCAACATGGAGAAACTCGGTCTCTACTAAAAAAAAAAAAAAAAAAAATATATATATATATATATATATATATATATATATATATATATATATATATATATATATATATGACAGCCAGGTGTGGTGGTGGGCACCTGTAATCCCAGCTACTTGGGAGGCTAAGGCAGGAGAATTGCTTGAACCCAGGAGATGGAGTTTGCAGTGAGCCAACATGGTGCCACTGCACTCCAGCCTCGGTGACAGAGTGAGACTCCATCTCAAGAAAAAAAAAAAAAAAAGATTAGCTAAGCATGGTGGCGCGTGCCTGTAGTTCCAGCTACTAGGGAGGCTGAGGTGAGAGGATGACTTGAGCCCAGGAAGTGGAGGTTGCAGTGAGCGGAGACTGTGCCACTGCACTACTCCAGCCTGGGCAGCAGAGCCAGACCCTGTCTCAAAAAAGAAAGGGAAAAGAAAAAGAAGTAGATCAGGTACATAGAAACAGAATGAGAGGAAAATTAAAGAAGTTAAGAATGTTAAGGGAATAAAACCAGGAGATCACACAACAGTAGAATCAAATACCACCAGACTATTACAAATAATAAGAATTAGTTCACAAATACTGTTGATAATTGTTCCATCCTTAGAGTTTAGGGCCTATTCCCAAATAGAGATAACAAACAGGTCACACTTTGGAATTGTTTAAAAAAGCAAGTCCTACTATACTCAATAAAAAATGCTTTGAAATGTACACGTGTTGATTTTGTGACAGAGTCTTAATCTTACTAGGTAGCTACAGCTCTGCTGGGAGCAATTAATTCAAAAAGCCACAGAAACTCCACAATGAGGCTAAAGGATCAGTAAAATAGCTGGAATACTTTCCTTGCTTCAGACAGCTGGATGCTGCTAATTTAGCTACTTTAAAGTGAGGGGAGGAAGGAAGAGGGAGTAATTTTGCCACACCTCTACTAATTTAGAGAAAAGAGAAACAATGAAGGCTGATAAACATGGCTACGTGTTTATCATGTAAACATACAGGTTACTTTCAGATTGCATATACTAAAGGGACTCTAACCAAAGAACTAGGGTAAGCAGAAATTGCTTTTTGTTTTGGTTTAGGTGTTTTTTGTTTGTTTGTTTGTTTGTTTGTTTGTTTTGAGACAGAGTCTCTCTCTGTCACACGGCTGCAGTGCAGTGATGTCATCCTAGGTCACTATGGCCTTAAACTGGGCTCAAGCAATCCTCCCTCTTCAACCTCCCAAGTAGCTAGGACTACAGATATGTGCCACCACAACTGGCTGTTTTTTTTCCTTGTTTTAACAGCTTTAGTGAGATATAATTCAAATACCATAAAGTTCTCCCATTTAAAGTATACAATTCAATGGTATTTAGTATATTATGTTTATACTCAGTACCAACACTCTAATCTAACTTAAGAACATTTTTGAGGCCAGGCGCAGTGGCTCATGCCTGTAATCCCAGCAATTTGGGAGGCCACGGCGGGCGGATCACCTGAGGTCGGGAGTTCGAGACCAGCCTGACCAATATGGAGAAACCCTGTCTCTACTAAAAACACAAAAAAATTAGCCAGGTGTGGTGGCACACGCCTGTAATCCCAGCTACTAGAGAGGCTGACGCAGGAGAATCGCTTGAACCGAGGAGGCGGAGGTTGCGATGAGCCAAGATCGTGCCATTGCACCCCAGCCTGGGTAACAAGAGCAAAACTCCATCTCGAAAAAAAAGAACATTTTCATCATCCCAAGCAATTTATCTTTTAAAGGATACTTAAATGATAGAGATAACACTCATAATCTAAAACAAAAACAAAAAGACATTTTTATTTTACTTTCTAAGAATTTTTGTGCAGATGAGGTCTTGCTATGTTGTCCAGGCTGATCTTGAACTCCTGTCCTCAAATGATCCTCCTGCCTCAGTCTCCCAATGTGCTGGAATTACAGGCGTGAGCCACCACACATGGCAAAAACCAAAATCTTTTTAATAAGATATGTTTCTGGTGTAAACTGACTCTGCCTACTGAAATGTATGCATTTTAATAATATAAGAAAGTTATCCTTTCCTTTCCTAACTTTTTTGGGAAGATCTCGCCAATTTCTGCAAGATGCAATCATTTGCCCTGCTTTCAACATCATCATTTTCCTATTCCTTTAAAAAAATGTTTTTGGCTGGCACGGCGGCTCACACCTGTAATACCAGCACTTTAGGAGGCTGAGGCAAGTGGATGATTTGAGGTTCGAAGTTCGAGACCAGCCTGGCCAACATGGTGAAACCCCGTATTTATTAAAAACACAAAAATTAGCCGGGCATGGTGGCAGGGGCCTGTAATCCCAGCTACTCGGGAGGCTGAGGCAAGAGGATTGCTGGAACCCCAGAGGTGGAGGTTGCAGTGAGCCAAGATCACACCACTGCACTCCAGCCTGGGCAACAGAGTGAGACTGTCTCAAAAAAACTAAAAAATGTATTTTTTTCCTGCAAGATAATTCCTGGTCATATCAATGGCCACTCACTCTCTTTCTCACCAAGCTCACCCCCTACCTTCAGCTTTCTGAAGAGGCACTGTATTACTGTGTTTACCTACAGTAAATTTCTATAGTTCCTTCCTGTGAGCTGCTCAATAAAATGTATGTAAGAGGCAACCGTACAAACAGAGGAAACGCCTTCTACTATCCATTCTACCCAAGCCAAATTAATTTTAAATGTGTAATTCTAAGAAGCCTTTTTTTAACCACTTTAGACTAAAGTAGATATGCTTCATATTTCCCCTCTTGATCTTCAATTTAATGCCCGGAAGCAAGGGTTTATAAGAACTCCTACATATAGGACTTTGCAGAGAAGCAAGCTGGAGACTTTAACTTGCTACAAGAAAACCTGGCTTATCCACCACCCAAATTTTGATAACCTCTAGGTCAAATTAAAAAAAAAAATTAGCACAGTGCTTCACACGTGCTCAATAAAACTGTTTGCTAAATCTTGTTGAATAATGATATAATAACAGCTAACATTCACGAAACACCTACCTTGTGTTATCTGCTAATCTATGAGTTTTCTTTTAATTCAGCAAATCCTCGCAAAACCCAGGAGTATTATATCATGACCATCACCGTCATCCACATTTTAAAAATAGGAAAACTGAAGCAAAGAGCAAGATTGATCAAAATGACAAAGATATGGGAAACTGAGGCTAAAAGCATGATTTACCAAATCACAGCCAGACTTCAAAACCAGACTATGGCTTCAGAGCTCACATTCTTAACCACTACTCTATGCTGCCCATCAGGAAATACTTAAGATAGCAAATGATTATCTTACAACACAGATGTCAGTCTATGCTCTAATGTCAAAGAAATAAAGAAACTCCATGGTCTACAGTGATATAATACCAAAGGGGTTTGAGGAGGGACTCACTGCTTCCATAAAAGACAGAAATATTGTGAGTATAGGCCGGGCGTGGTGGCTCACGCCTGTAATCCCAGCACTTTGGGAGGCCAAGATGGGTGGATCACGAGGTGAGGAGATCAAGACCATCCTGGCTAACACAGTGAAACCCCGTCTCTACTAAATATACAGAAAATTAGCCGGGCGAGGTGGCGGGCACCTGTAGTCCCAGCTACTCCGGAGGCTGAGACAGGAGAATGGCGTGAACCCAGGAGGCGGAGCTTGCACTGAGCCGAGATCGCGCCACTGCACTCCAGCCTAGGCGACTGAGCGAGACTCTGTCTCAAAAAAAGAAAAAAAAAGAAAGAAATATTGCGAGTATATAGTGACTACAGCAAGGCTCTTTAACAATAAGGAAGGAGAATGAAGAAGTATTCACAATCTGAAGTGGAAAAATGACAAAAAGCAACAAGTAAATGGATGAACTAAACCATCTGAGGAATTAAATTATGAAGAGTGTGTCTCTACAATTTAAAAAAAATGTTCTATTTCTGAGATCAGGTAAACATTCAGGTTTAATTATAATGACCACAGTGTAAACTCAGGTCTAGAATGTAACAGTATGCTACAAGTGATTTCGTTAGAGTGAAACTGGTCTGACAAAGAAGATGCTAACAGTAGGTTCTTGGTCTGCATTTAGTTTTTCTTTTTTAAAGACTGGTAAATAGCAAACGAAATTTATGTATGAAATACAACTAACAGAAGCTATTATGAAAACTCATCCAGAAGAAAAACATTCACCTGAGGATTACATTACTATAATCTATATGAATCTTTAATCTGCATGCATCTTACAGCCGAATGGTTCTCGGAGCACTACCTAAACCACAAAACTGGTTGGCCAGCCCTGAAGAAGAGCTTACTCATGCTGCTCGAACAGAAGTCGCATATGCCCTTCCCTGAGATCACAGCTCTACTGTCCAGACATGCATTCAAGAAACAACAAGCAAAATCATCTGGGCCATTCAAGACACCGGAATGAACAGAAATCAGATACAAACACACGTCTAGCTTTTTCAAATAATAGTGGATATACAAGGCATTTTAAACTGGCAATGGCAAAGACTATAATTTTCTGCTGAGGGATATTATCACAATTTTCCAACCTAGGTTTGAACCAAGGCTTATAAGAGCCCTCCTCCTTAATGCAACATCACACCCAGTACTTTGCTATGACATTCTATACAGCAGATTATAACCCTGACTCTCAGGCTTTTTGGAGTTAATCATTTCAAAAGAGAGTGAGTTGGACACATTAAATTAACATGGCAAACTAGAGTGGTTTCTTTCCATTCCCATCCCCATATGGTCTTCTTTTTCAAAGGAGGACAAACATTTGAAAAAATTATTTCAGAGTTCTAAAATGACTCTGACAAGCTACTATTAATAACTCTTGATCCTTTGGATCAATACGAAACACAGTTAGGTAAAAGGGAAAACAAAGAAGGCTAGATGTGCTAATGAAGGCATAAGAAAACAAATCAGTGACCCAGGCAATAAAAGCCTGAAAAATATTATCTTTATATATGATAGTGAATAAATCAAATTTTTCTGTAGTGTTACTTATAACTTTATTTTTATTTCAGTGTTTGAAGAAAAGGTAATGACAGTATTTGATAAGTTATAATCTGGATCCTATTTTACCAATTGTTTTTAAACATTTTTAGTGACTAAAATGATATCTCCGACTCTACCATGTGCTTTCACAAACCACAGGTATCTTCTGGTAGATTGCAAATGGATGTCCCTTCTTCTTTTAAAATGTACCTTAAAAGATATGGTTAAATTTTCCTCTTTCGTCAATAACTTTCAGAATACACATGCTATTCAAGAGTGCCAAATGAATCTGTGAAAAGGAAAATATACTACATGGAGGCTGATTAGACAAGGACAAAGCTAATCAAAATTGATTTGGCCAAGTTGAAGCCTGCTTCCTCTTTTTAGCTATAATGGGAGGAGTGAGAGGGAGTAGATTCTTTTTCAAGGGACATCTTAAGGTTGAAAGCTGGTATCACAAAACATACAGCATGATAAATATCTTAACTAAAAATTGCTAACAAGGGCCTTTGTGATTTCTTTTGTAAGACTACACAGCATAAGAAGTGTGATGAAGAAGAACGAGAGGAAGATGGAGGAGAAAACCAGTAAGATGACGGTTATCTGCAGAAAAGATTGTTTTTTCAAACACAATTTTAAAAGTCTTCCTTTCTAAACTCCACATCTGTCTGCCACTTTTCACCAGAGAATTAAGCAAAGGCATCACTCCTCAGTAGAAGAACATTTTTAGTTATCTGGAAATATAACTTCATGGACGTACAATAATTATATCTAGTAACTTTAAGAAAAACTCTAGCTGTGATCTGACATTAAACTGGGCTCCCAGGGTCTAAATGGGCTTTTGCCAAAAATTAACAATGGTGAAACAACTTACTTTTGCACTCTAGCCAAACAAAAATAATAAAACCATAGTCTCAATTTCTCTTTAATAAACTAAATTTAGATTACACCTTTAAAATAAGCTTTGACATAAATGGCTTTAAAATAACAAGAACATCTAACATTTGGGTCTTTTCCCAGTTAATTATTTGCTGGCATTAGACTCGAAATTCCTTGGCTTCACCTTAAGTTGACACTCCCAAGTGCTAATTAGGAAACTATATACATTATTAACCAGAGAATGTTGTGCTTAAAACATGCATATTACATATGTATCTTCTTATTAATGTTATTCCTTTCACTTCTCAAAATACCTCTTTAGAAAATAGAGCTCCTATTTCCATGAAGCAATTGGTGGCTCGTGAGGGAATTCCTGTCAAAATGCAATTAATAGAAAGGGGCCAAGATGACACAGGATACTTGTCTTGGAAACATCCTTAACATGAGTCAAATTTAATCTCACTGAAATAGTGGAGAGAAATGTTAATGACTGCAGATGTCACACATTTTACTCATACTAGGTGATTCCCAAAGAAAATGGCTAACTCATGTATGAACTAAACCACTACCAAGGAACCACACATGTCAGGGAGTACAAGGCCGAGACATGCCTTTCTCCAATACTATCTCTTCCAAAAAGCCACAGGACAGATGGGAAAATAAATGCAGGTAAACAAGGTAGACCTAATGATTTCCTAATTAGGAAGATGTGATCTTCTCATTAATTGTCAAGTTAATGGACCACAATAGCAGTTTCATAAATTGAGTCCAGTAATCCAAGCTTTGGTGTCTCTAGTCCACAGAATTCTCCTCATACTTCCAGACCCTTCATCCAGCCACAAAGTTGTCAGTTCTGCTTGATTTGTTTCAATACTGTACTCGACGACAGCTGTCGGAAACAGTACATTAGAACAGCTGCTATGACAGCTACAAGGGGCTTGGAAGTTTAATTAGGCTCATTGTGACATTGTGCATTTTTCTAAACACGGAATGATCCACAAAAATAAAGAAATTTTGAGTGGGTCTGAACAATGTTTACTTATTGGCACCACCAACTGGTTAACCTCAGTTTGAGTTATATCCTTGGTCTCATAATATCTTTGCTACCAGGCTGATAAGAGGTATAAAAAAATAAATAAACAGGAGGAGCAGTTAGATGCACAAGAAAAGGGGCATTAAAACGGAGAGGAAATGGTGAGGAAGTCACGTCAATAATCTCTTTCAAAGGCTGGCTGGTAGCCAAGGAGGATCCCGCAGTGTCTCAGGATTTACTTCCAAAGGAAATGTATTCAGAGGCCCTGAGCCTGGTGCCAACTGCAAACAAAACCACTCATTATGGTCACAGCCCCCTAGAGAAGGGGAGAATGGCTTACTCTCAGCATCCGTGCGGAGGAAGAAAGTGAGGAGCAGCAGCAGCAGCCTGGCTACGTGCACCATCCTGCAGCTTGGCAGCAGCGTGCGCGAGCAGCTTGGAATCACTGCCTCCGGAGCCGCAGCGAGTCTGTCCGATCTGAAATTTCAGCTGGAACACTTTCAGAGCCTGAAAGCGGGGAGGAAGAGAAAAGAAAAGGAAGAAAACACAAAAGTGCTTAGATTTCTTACTCTTTCCCCCCTGGTTCCATCACAATCACCATGACAGACACAATCCATTGTAAATACACAATAAATTGTAACTGTCATACTTTGTTTGTATTAGGAAGGAAATAACTTGGTTTGTAAAATGTAGGAGTCTTAGACTATCCGGGTTTGTGTTACGTGGGAGCTCTCGCATTCCCAATTTTAGGCTCTCCTAAAGCCAACCACCTTGACTTTCATTCTTTGCTTATGCCACCTTTTGGGCAAAGACCTAAAAAAGGAACTGTCACTTCTTATGAAACATTACGTAAATACATCAGTGCAAAGAAGCACACCAGTGCTATGAGAAAGATTTAAGAGAAGTTCCTCCATGCAGGATAAAAGTCTATTACTGACACAATAATGGAAGCTGCTTTTTTGGCATCAGTTGAAATGACAGGGCTAATTCAACTTCTCCAGGTAAATAGCAGAGGTTAGAATTTTTTACACTAGCATATTTGGCTTCTTCCCTGAAGACACATCAATGTTCAAGTCTAGTTTGGCATCAATAAGTCAAAACAATAGTTAGCATGAGCCTCTTTCATTTAACAGGATTTTTATATGCCTCCTGGGCAAGGGTTTAATTTCCTCAGTCTTCTCTGTAAAATCAAAAAGCCACAAACTATTTTTAGAGCACCTACTGTGTGCAAGGCATCAAGAGTGACAGCACAAGGTGTCTCAAGGCAGAAAGATGAGTCAGGTTCTATTATTTTTGTTTCCAGATTAGTAGGGAAAATAAAGCAGGTACACCAGATGATTAGTACAATTTAATAAGTGATTAGCGCCAGGAAGGAAAACCAGATAATGCTATAAAAGATAGGATCAAGACTGACATCATGGAAATAGTGTCTCAAACTAGGCCTTGAAGTTTAACCAGGATTTTAACAAGATGACGAAAAGGCATTCCAGGAATTCTATGCAAAGGCAGGGCAGTGGGAAAGGAACTTTGGAAAACCTGAGTTTCCTGGTTTGGTTGGAATAGGGCCTCCCAAAGGTCAGCATGCACGGGGCCCCCTGGAAGCCTTCTTAGAACAGATGCGTGAGTACTACCATCAGAGTTCGTGGGTCAGTAGGTCTGTGGTGGGGATCCAATAATTCAATAATTTGGTTTTTTTTTGTTTTTTTTTTTCTGTTTTTTTTTTTGAGACAGTCTCACTCTGTCACCCAGGCTGTAGTGCAGTGGTACAATCACGGCTCACTGCAAACGCTGCTTCCCAGGTTCAAGTGGTTCTCCTGTCTCAGCCACCCAAGTAGCTGAGATTACAGGTGCCCACCACCATGCCTGGGTAATTTTTGTACTTTTAGTAGAGGCAAGGTTTCACCATGTTAACCAAGCTGGTCTCAAACTCCTGGCATCAAGTGATCTGCCTGCCTCAGCCTCCCAAAGTGCTAGGATTACAGGGATGAGCCACCACTCTTGGCCTACCAAAGTGCTAGGATTACAGGACTGGGTCACATATTTGCATAAATTTGCATTTCTACATGTTCCTGGGTGATGCTGATGCTGCCAGTCCAGAGACCACACTTTGAGAACCTTCTGGTTGAAGTCATGGGAAACCATCTTCTATTAGGAAAACCAGAAGATGAAGCAAAAGAAAATGGTTCAGAGTCAGGCGCAGTGGCTTACGCCTGTAATTCCACCACTTTCGGAAGCCGAGGCAGGAGGATCACTTGAGGCCAGGAGTTCAAGACCAGCCTGGCCAACATGGTGAAACTCCGTCTCTACTAAAAACACAAAAAAATTAGCCAGGCGTGGTGGTGCATACCTGTAATCCCAGCTACTCGGGACGCTGAGGCAGGAGAATCACTTGAACCCAGGAGACAGAGGTTTTGGTGAGCCAAGGTCCTGCCACTGCACTCCAGTCTGGGTGACAAGTGAGACTTCGTCTCAAAAAAAAAAAAAAAAAAGAAGATTCAGACTTTAAAAAAAAATAGGTCACAGAGAGCCTTGGATGGCGATCTAAGTCAAATGGCCTTTATTCAGCAAACTACAAAAAGAGCCATTTAATGTTTTAGAGCAGAGGAACCATGGAACCAGGCTTTGGAAAGATTAACTGACAACTGGATCAGGGATGATTTAGAGAATGCTATTAGGCCACAGCAAGAGTTTCAGGTGAGAAGTGACACAGGACTTAAGAGTAATGGTGGTACTGGTGGGAATTAGGAAGGGAGGCAATGACTGGCTCCAAGCAATCATTTGAAGTATAATTCTTCACGTGTTAAATAATTGTACCTATAGAACCCTCAATAAATCTAGCACAGCCTCTTATGCAGAGTACACTCTTAATGAAAAATTTAAAAATAAAGAGAGTAGATCACATCCTACTGCATCCTCTATTACTGCAGAAAATATCTGAAAATGACTATCAGTATTCATTTGCAAAATGAAACTGCATACCTTTAATTTTTAAAACTGAAATATTTGAAACATATACAAAATTTTTGACAGGAAATACTAGAGATATCCAGCAATAACCTAATCCACTAAAATAACTTGTACTTTAAAAAGAATTATAATGCAGATACCATAGTATGTCATTTCTGAAACTCAGCTTAAGCATGAGAACAAAAATTGTTTTAAAGATATTACCTTTTTTATTAGTATTCATAAGCGGTTTGAATGCAGGAAAGATAAAACTAAAAAGGAGAGGAATCACTCTACCATTCTATTAGATAGTCTCCTTTTTTTTTTTTTAAACAGTGGGTTGGCATGAAGAAGCAAGTGGTACAGTGGAAAACTTCTTGAATCCAGAAGCTGGCCAGCTGTTCCAAATCAGCTATTGTTATCAATCGCCTCTGAAAATCAACTTATCAAGCAGTTCACAGCTATCAGATGTTAAAAATCTCAAAAGTTCATTGGAAAAGTGCTAAAGGAATCAGCTCTCCCCTCCCCATTCCCCTCCTCCCGCTTTCACTGCTCCCATCCTCATGCCAGCATTTCAAATGACAGCAAAGTCCAGGAGACATCAGTCCTGTCGGACTCAATTTGTGTCTGTGCAAGCGTATCAGAGCCAACTGCTACATAATGACTCCGTGTGATCACAGAGATGGAGACCTATGAATGCTCACTCAGGGAAGAAGTGATTTGGCTTTTCCTCCTACTCAGCTGAAGTGCATAAGAAGACCAAATTTTTTCAAATGAACCTTCAAATGTTACTCCTGGACTAGCAACAGTGATAGGATCTAGCACTCTAGAAACGAATGCAGGTATAAACATACATATTTATCCTTAAATGGGTTGTGCCCAAAGGAGGTCAGAGGTGTGAAGATGAAACGTATTCTAAATGTTCATTCCAGCTAATCTCCATTCCTTATCTTGTTTATTACACAGCAACATTGCCAAAAGGGAAATGCTAGCTGCCTATCAGTAAGGTGGAATTTAAATTTAGGTACAAAAATTGGAAATGGATTCTTAAGAAAATAATTAAACCAAAAATAAACAGGATAAAAGAATATTATAAGGAGTTTCCATTAATCTATAGTAAGGCTTGCTAAGTACTCTGAAAAAAAAAAAGAGCAAGGAGGTTCAGTGATATTAAAAGTACCACGTTTTACCTTACTTCCATCACACATTATCCAGCATTTGTCCAATAGCCTCAGCAGAAGCCAACCCTTTGATTTTTATATGTTCTGCTCCTTCTTTCTTGAGACAGAGTCTCACTCTCTGTCAAGCAGGCTGGAGTGCAGTGGCACAATCTCAGCTCTCTGCTACCTCCGCCTCCTCAGTTCAAGCGATTCTCCTGCCTCAGCCTCCTGAGTGGCTGGGATTACAGGTGTGCGCCACCACGCCTGGCTAATTTTTCTATTTTTAGTAGAGGCAGGGCTTCACCATATTGGTCAGGCTGATCTTGAACTCCTGACCTTGTGATCCGCTCGCCTCGGCCTCCCAACGTGCTGGGATTATAGATGTGAGCCACTGCACCCGGCTCTCTGTCTTTCATCAGCAGGGACATGCAGATAGAACTCAACCATGTATATGAATCTAAAATACAATTTCAAAAAATTTATAACTCCCCGGTTTCTTATTTCTCATACCACAAAGATCTTATGAAACAATAATTTTGCTGAATTCCAATTAACTGAATTGTATATCAGCTTCTGTATATCTGTACATGGGTGGTTGGAGAAACTAACAGTTCAGAGGGCAATACGATGCATGTAATATAATTTGAAATGGAACAACAAAGAGCGCACTTGCCTAAAAGCCTTAACAAATCACGGTTTCAAGCGATCACATAAAGTGACACCTATCCAACTCTTTTTCTTCAACTTACCATTGTAACACTTTTCTGTAATAAGTATATTCATATTCAAACCAATATGAATGTTGAAGGATTTGTACTATTTTTTCAGCTTTCTATACTGTTATTTGTGTCTAAATACTGTATTAAAATTTTCTTTAAAAAAAGACAAACTAGGGCCTAGAGTCCCTTAGAAAATGGCAGATTATAGGCTTTGTATGGGAAATGTAGAAAATTAGTCAACATCTTGCCATACCAGAAGCAAGGAAGTTGTCGGAACTACTAGGCTATATTAAAAAAAAAAAATCCAAGATGATGAGGTGCCTATCAGCTAAATGTAGGGAAATCTGAGTGACAAAAAGAATAATAACTGCAAAGAACTACAACAAATCACATTATAATCTATGAGTTCATAATTTTAAAAATTTCACTGGTTACTCTAGGAGAAAGTTAGAGAACCAAATCATTACTCTGAAAACGGGAACAGAAAAGGAAAGAATTAAGCATTAAAAAAACAAAAACAAAAACTACTGCTGTCACTTAAAACTAGGTATCATTGTTTATCTCTGAACATTTTTCATTTTTCTATCATAACAAACCCATCCTCTCAAGTCTAGACATCTCAGAAGCAATATCATAATGATATTTAACCTGAACATACATGCATAAAAGATATGCATTAAGTTGGGGGATGGTATGGGAAGGAGTATGTCCCCAAATTACTTCTTTTTATCTACCTCCCAAACCAGGCCTCTGTAAATCAGCTGAATGTGGCTTCTAATTATTTAAGAGAAGGATCCATTTGTACAAACGATGTGCTGCTAGGACTCTCCAATTTGTAAAACAGACAAAAGCAGGGCTGCTCTGGCTGAAGCCTGAAGGAGGGGAGGGGCCTGGAGCCTACAGCAAACCTGACAGAGGCTTCAGGGGGCACCCCAGGAATTCCCTAGGCCCTCAGTGTCCAGCTACAACACAAGTACATGAAAAGAGAAGAGAACCCAAAAGCAAACTTTCAACATTTCACTGACTTGTGGATTTTCCAAGAGAAGGGAGCCATCTAAATATTTTAACGTGGTATAAAACAAGAATCTTCCAGTACTGACAGATATAACTTTCTTCAGGATAGAAATGTTTTTTTATCTGCATTGACTAATAATTGACCACTTTAAACGTAGCTAGTGCGACTGAGGAAGTAAAGTTTTTATCTTATTAAAGTTCAGTTTAAATTTACACAGCCACATGTGGCTAGTGGCTACCCTATTGGACAGCACAGACTACAACTACAGGTTTACAGCACTGAACAGAAAGTCAGTGTTTTTTGGAGGTGTAGACTGAAACAATGAGGTGAGAATTCTGAGTTCTCGTAGTCCTTGGCTTCCCAATAACCAGACACTAAAGATTCACTGTGTTATGTGAGGATACCCATTTAAGCTTTGGATCACTCACTAACTGATATGGTTTGACTGTGTCCCCACCCAAATCTCATCTTGAATTCTCATGTGTTATGGGAGGGACCCAGTGGGAGATAACTGAATTATAGGGGCAGGGCTTTCCTGTGCTGTTCCCATGATAGTGAATAAGTCTCATGAGATCTGATGATTACGTAAGGGGGAGTTTCCGGGCACAAGCTCTTTTCTCTTGTCTGCTGCCATGTGAGATGTGACTTTCACCCTCCACCATGATTGTGAGGCGTCCCCAGCCATGTGGAACTGTAAGTCCATTAAACCTTTTTTTCTTCCCAGTGTCTCAGGTATGTCTTTATCAACAGTGTGAAAGCAGACTAATACACTAACCCACCCATGTCCCTCATCCTGCCAAATAAAAGATTTCATTTTTTTTAAATTATTTCATAGAATGTAAAGGGAAGATCAGTCTATGACCAAACTACCCTGAACACGCCCAATCTCATCTGATCAAGAATGCAAAGGGAAGATCAATAAGTGGTTGAGTATATAACTGGAAAATATCCAAGTAGAAATAGTGTTAACGAATGTTCCTTTAATATTAAAGGAAAAATTATGTTAAAGATGGCGTTTCATACTTCATTGTATTTCTCACTACTTCTGGCAGCAAAGAACTGCCACATTCTATAGACATAAAGGACAAGCATACTTCTAAACATCCTCATGAAATAATTTGTATAGTTGTATAGTTTTTATAAAATGGCCACATTCGATTAATATTAGCGAGGGATACGGGAAACACATTCTTAAATGTATGCAGGGCACCAAAAGCTTTAATGTCAATTACGGAAAATATTACTGAGAAAAGGGGCCATTGAACAAGGTTATTGAATTTAATAAAACTATGAAAAACAACCACAAACCAAGCACCTCTGAATAAAATAGTCAAACCTAAAAATATAAGAAATTATTTGTATGAAACTTGTAACACCTCAAAATTATACTCCACATAATCAGCACATCAAATCAAAAACTCCAAATTTTTCTGTTTTGCCCTAAACATGTTTTTATGACAATCAGTTAGGAAAAACAACAAGAGGTAGTTTAAGAGCTATTACATATAAACACAAAGTGATAATTCAATCATCTCATTTTTGGCTTAGGCTATGACTTAATATGAAGACCCCAGGGGACTATAAGCACACAATGATTCTTTGAAGAAATCAACTGAATTTTAAGAATACCCGAAGAGTAAAACAATTCCTATCAATATAGACACTTAAAAGATCCCTTATATGCCTAACTCTAATACACAGAGAAAAAAAAGTCAATAGCTATTATTCTGAGCTTTTTCTATAGTTTATGATTCACTTTCCAAATTATTATTGATGCATCCCTGTAAGATATCAAGTGGCTTTACATTGGAAGCACATATAAATATTAGTTATTTTCAAGGATGGCAAAATGACATTATTAACTTTGATTGTTTCTTTCTCCTTTGGGAAGAAAAAAATGAGGTATGCCGTGAGAAATGAACAGATAGAAAGGAAAAAAAAACCTCATCTCCCTTTGTATCTATTGTTCCCCTACAAATAGAACTATAATTCTGATTTGAAAAGAAGGATAGCTTTAGAAAAAGAATCTAAAATTTCTTTCAGTTATTACTGCATGTCATAGCTTCTATCTAGTTTTATGTGATGCCAGTAGAAACTGGCAATGAAACGGTTAAAATACAAGTCTATTCAACATGCCGTTGGAACTCTAATATTTGTTCCTTTCATCCAAAAAGACACTGTACAAGTGAGAAACAGATCTTTCTCGCAAAGTGTAGATAGATATGCAATCCAGCCACTTTCCACTCAAACAGAACATGGATTCTATTATTTTAATCTCAGGCATTTCTTTTTTTTTTTTTTTTTTTTTTTTTTTTTTTTTTTGAGATGAAGTCTCATTCTGTTGCCCAAGCTGGAGTGCAGTGGTGTGATCTCGGCTCACTGCAACCCCCAACCCCCACTTCCCAGGTTCAAGCGATTCTCCTGCCTCAGCCTCCTGAGTAGCTGGGACTACAGGCACACATCACCATGCCAAGCTAATTGTTGTATTTTTAGTAGAGACAGGATTTCACTATATTGGCCAGGCTGGTGTCAAACTCCTGATGTCGTGAGTGGCCCATCTCAGCCTCCCAAAGTGCTGGGATTACAGGCGTGAGCCACCGCGCCTGACCGGGCATTTCTTTTTTTATGTTAAATAATTTATTAGGATATTCTGTTCAACCAATCAAAAGAAGTAATTAATATGCCCTTGATTAAGAGGTCTAGACAAGACATTTTCATGCTAGGAGTATCACCATAAGCCTAATTTATCATGAAGCGATTATGCACCTGTTCCAAAATTTCATATTATTCCCTATATTTCACTTTTAATAACCTATATACATCAAGCTATAAGACATTAGTTATGACCAATAAACTAATATGTCAGTCAAGCTTTAAAATTTCCTTGATGACAGACTGCACACATTACAATAGGATCTTATCCTAATAGTAATGTATGATTTGTTGTTTTATTTTAAATTGATATATAAAACTGTATATATTATGCACAACATGATGTTTGAAGTATATATAGTATACATTGAGGAATGACTAAATTTAGCTAATTGACATATGCATTACCTCATATAGTTATCATTTTTATAATGAGAACATTTTACATGATCTGTCTTGGCATTTTTCAAGAATACATGGATATGAAACTATCATTTCTACATCAATATAACTGATTTTGTCATCTTTAAAAATCAAAACAGGTTTTCTTAATGAATGCAAAATATCTGTAAAATACATTTACTTTTCAAATGTTATGGGTAATAGGTTTTATTTATTATTGTATCTATTTTATTTGTTTTAGCCCTATCAATACATAGTACGGAAAAGTCTGGCAATACATATTTTACTTCTTTACTATGAAAAGCAATTTTAAAAATTCACTTTGAGGAGAATTTACCACTCTCTAAAGGGAATAATCTACATTGATCTCTTTTCCTTAGGATTATTTTAAGAATAAAGTGAAGGACCTTTTAATTGTTTTTTAAATAGTTCATTATGATAGCTCAAAGAAAACTAATTTAGCGCCTCGCAGGTGTAATATTTATTGGTAGCTCCATCCTCAGGGTGATCAAATCTCTGGGCCAGCTGTAAAAGTGACTTTGCCCTCTCCCTCAGGGAATGCCTAGAGACAATTTTTGTTGTCACAGCGCAAGAAGGGTGACCCATGGCACCTAAGGGTAGAGGCCACAGATACTGCCAAATACCCTATAACACACAGAACAACTACCTGCCCCCCAACAAGAAATTATCCCATTCAGAATGTCAGCAATGCCAAAGGTGGGAAACCCTGTCCTAGAACAGCTCATTGGCACAGAGGAAAAATTCCAAATTAAAAAAAAAAGGGGGGGGGGACTTTTAAGACATAATCTAATACATTGCTTTCTAAACCCACCAATTTTAGGTGTTTTCATACATAAACTCAAAACAGATTTGAATTTCTGGGCATGGGAATATGGATGACACCCAAATTTCCCTTTTTGTCCTAAGTTAGAACCAAAGTTGGCTTGCCTTAAAAGTTTAGTTCACAGGCTTAGGCAGCATAAATATTGTCACCAATTAAAAGAATGAAGCTGTTAAATGGAACAGACATTGCACTGATGTCAGTCAGTGAATAGATATGGTTCCCATGTCTCATGATGGGAGCTTAGCTCTTCTCTAAGGGAACAGTCTCAGGAAAGAAATACTCAGTTTCAAGGACTGTTTTCTCATATCACTGCTAGCAATAGAGATCAATAGTGGAACGGTGAAAGGCTGTCATAAATGGCTAAGGAAAGTGGAATTAAAGAATATTCTCTTCATACCTCTCTCACCTTATACACAAATCGACTGAAGATGAATCAAAGAGTTATATCTATGACCCAAAACCGTAACAATTCTAGAAGATAACATCAGAAAAACCCTTCTAGACATCGGCTTAGGCAAAGACTTCATGACCAAGAACCCAATAGCAAATGCAACAAAAACAAACATTAAATAGATAGGACTTAATTCAACTAAAAAAGCTTCTGCACAGCAAAAAATAACAATAATAATAATAATAATAATAATAATAATAATATCAACAGAGTTAACAGACAACCTACAGAGTGGGAGAAAATCTTCAAAATCCATACATCGACATAGGACTAATATCCAGAATCTACAAAGAACTCAAACTCAAATCAGCAAGAAAAAAAAAATCACATCCAAAAGTGGGCTAAGGATATGAACAGACAATTCTCAAAAAAGATATACAAATGGCCAACAAGCATATGGAAAAACGCTCACAAAATGCTCCCTGATCACTAATGATCAGAGAAATGCAAATCAAAACCACAATGCAATACCACCTCGGTCCTGCAACAATGGTCATAATCGAAAAAATATTTTAAAAAATAGATGTTGGTGTAGATGTGGTGAAAAGGGAACACTTCTACACTGTTGACAAGAATGTAAACTAGTAAAACCGCTATGGAAAACGGTGTGAAGATTCCTTAAAGAACTGAAAGTAGATCTATCATTTGATCCAGCAATCCCACTACTAAGTATCTACCTAGAAGAAAAGAAGTCATTATCCGAAAAGATACTTGCACACGCATGTATACAGCAGCACAATTTGCAACTGCAAAAATATGGAACCAGCCCAAATGCCCATCAATCAACGAGTGGATAAAGAAAATGCAGTATACTTATACCACGGAATATGACTAAGCCATAAAAAGGAATGAAATAATGGCATTTGCAGCAACACAGATGGAATTGGAGACTATTATTCTAAGTGAAGTAGCTCAGGAATGGAAAACCAAACATTGCATGTTCTCCCTCATAAGGAGGAGCTAAGCTATGAGGATGCAAAGGCATAAAAATGATATAATGGACTTTGGGGACTCAAGGGAAAGGCTGGCAGCAGGGTGAGGGATAAAAGATTACACATTGGGTGCAGTGTACACTGCTTGGGCGATGGGTGCACCAAAATCTCAGAAATCACCGCTAGAGAACTTATGCACATAACCAAACACCATCTGTTCCTCAAAAACCTATTGAAATAAAAAATAAATTTTAAAGGCAGAACATTATAATCCCAACGTTGTCCTCATGACTATTCCCACATCTCTCTAAGATACTATTAACAATTTACATAGTAGAGAAAATAGGTTGTGTGGGGAAACTAAATAAATGACTATCAAACCAAACAGAAACATAAAATCTAAAGAAAGGTAAAGAGGACAAATATTAACCATATATATATCCAAAATACACTCTTCACTTCTCTCACTCTGTACATATATTTCATTCAGTTATATTGCACTCATCTTTACTGTTAGTGCCCTCTTCACATCTACTCCCTCCTTCAATGAAACCACAGACTGATAAAAATCAGAAGAAAAAAATAACATCATTTTGGGCAACCCTCTCATTTAACAGACAATGCATGAAGTACAAGGACATAATGGAATTAATAACCTCAAAATGCACAAGTGAGTAGTCTCAGAGGAGGGCTTAGAACCAATTTTCTTTCTTCTATAGCATGGTGTATCTACTTTTACTATCTCTGACTTACTGCAACAGAAATAGATAGCTGAGGCGATGTCATGATTAATTCCAAAGTGATCAACATAAAGAAAAAGTCCCTCCTTTAATTAGCAAAGAGACAATATTACAATGGGCATAAACGAAAGGGGAAGGCAACCTTAAAGGCGGGGTATAGGAAGGCAGGATGAAAGAATCTCACTGAATGAAGGTATTTGGCAGTCACTGTCCTAGACCAATAAATAATTCACAAATGAAAGTTTATCCTATGAGTCAAAAATTTTCTAAAGGGTCAATCTTTAACTTGGTACCTGTTATTATGTACCTGTGTATCTTAGAGTAAAAGTTTATAGACGTGCTTGGAAGGAAAAATGATTAACCAGTAATAGATTTTCTAAATTCTCACGTTTGTAATTGAACGAATAACATGCAGACACATGTTTATACCACCTTAAGGTATACCTATTTTGCATATTACCATCAAGTTCTATTTTATGGAGTTTCTCTCTCTCTCTCTCTCTCTCTCTCTCTTTTAGATAGGGTCTTGTTCTGTCGCCCAGGCTGGAGTGCAGTGGCACAATCACAGGTCACTGCAGCCTGGAAATCCTGGGCTCAAGCTATCCTCCCGCCTCTACCCCCAGAGTATCCGGGAATACTGGCAAGTGCCACCACATTTGGTTTTTCAATTTTTATTGGGAAGGGGTCTTGCTATGTTGCCCAGACTGGTCTTGAACTCCTGGACTCAAAACAATCCTCCCAAACTGGCCTCCCAAGGTGGTGGAATTACAGGCATGAGCCACCATGCCCAATCGATTTTTTTTTTTTCTCTGTAAAATTTAAATGTCAGCAAGGACATATGTTGAGTAATTGTGACAAGGTGGGAACGGGTTAGATTCTGAATTCACAGAGTTATACAGTCTGGTTATCTCAGTGGAGAGACAACAGCCTGAGTGCACTTTATTACGAAGTTGCTGAGGGCAACATGGCCATATTGAAAGAAGAAATGAAGATACACAATGGTTATTTTTCAAAAGAAGTTGGCGTTACAAAGTGATTTGATAATAAAGTACGAAAATTTCCTGCAGCAATAAAAGCACTATGCATTTCCCATACCAAGATGTATCAGAGTGGCAGCGAAAAAAATATTATTCCAATACTCACTCCTTTAGAAAATATATTTGAGACCTCTGGAAAGACTTTTTAAAGTACTGTCATTTTTATTGTACTTCTATAAAATACTGAAACAAAATACACAATATGGATATCAAAAAGGGAGTTTAAAGTCATTAAAAGCCTGCTAGCAAACTAGCTGTAGTAACTTTCTCAACACCAAACTTTCTAGAAACCAATTGTTATCTTAAATGAACAGCCCATTAAACTAAAAGAAAAGAAAATGTTGAATAAAAACATCGATCAAACTTCTCTGCTGGGTCAGGCACGATGCCTCATGCCTGTAATCCCAGTGCTTTCAGAGGCTGAGGCAGGAGGATCACTTGAGGTCAAGAGTTCAAGACCAGCCTGGGCAACATAACAAGACCCCATCTCTAAAAACAAACAAACAAAATTTATCTGTTGGATATGGGTCTCACATAGGCCTTTTGAAACCCAGATATTTATATTTCAAAGTAGAGGAGTAGTCATTCTAAAATGAGTAGGAATAGGTTCAGGAAGCAAGCCAGGAGTGTGGCTGGCAAAGATGTGCAAGGATGGGTGGAAGAGAAGTGCAGGGAATGCCTAATTGTTATCTGGTGCAGGATCAAGCCCCAAATTAAAATGCCATCTTTTTAAGAATTTCTCTATCTTTTGTGGTGTACCTAACAATGTTTCCATCACAAACTGAATATAGACTGACCCTTTCCTTTATTATGTTTCCTTTAATATTTTTAAATCATAGGTTTAATCATGAATATTTATATTGCCTTGTTTAAAAAAATTGAACAGCCACACTTTAGAAAATGTGCTTACTTCACTAATAGCCCTCACTCAGGCACTAGAATTAGGAAAAGGAAAAAGGATAAATATATATACAGGCTCTAAGTATGCTTACCTAGTCCTCCATTCCCATACAACAATATGGAAAGAAAGGGAATTCCTAACTTCCGAGGAAACACCTATCAAACATCAGGAAGCCATTAGGATATTACTATTGGCTGTACAGAAACCTAAAGAGGTGGCAGTCTTACACTGCAGGGGTCACCAGAAAAAGAAGGAAAGGGAAATAAAAAGGAACCGCCAAGCAGATATTAAAGCCAAAAGAGCCACAAGGCAGGACCCTCCCTTAGAAATGCTTACAGAAGGACACTTAGTATGGGGTAATCCCTTCCAGGAAACCAAGCCCCAGTACTCAGAAGAAGAAATAGAATGAAGGACCTCACGAGGACGTAGTTTCCTCCCCTCAGGATGGCTAGCCACCGAAGAAGGAAAAATACTTTTGCCTGCAGCTAACCAATGGAAATTACTTAAAACCCTTCACCAAACCTTTCACTTAGGCATTGATAGCACCCATCAGATGGCCAAATTATTATTTACTAGACCAGGCCTTTTCAAAACTATCAAGCAGATAGTCAGGGCCTGTAAAGTGTGCCAAAGAAGTAATCCCCTGCACTGCAGGCCATACATTTCAATCCCTGTATCTTTAACCTCCTTGTTAAGTGTGTCTCTTCCAGAATCGAAGCTGTAATATATATGGTTCTTCAAATGGAGCCACAGATGCAGTCCATGACTAAGATCTACCGCGGACCCCTGGACCGGCCTGCTAGCCCATGCTCCGATGTTAACGACATTGAAGGCACCCCTCCTGAGGAAATCTCAACTGCACAACAACTACTATGCCCCAATTCAGCAGGAAGCAGTTAGAGCGGTTGTCAGCCAACCTCCCCAACAGCACTTGGGTTTTCCTGTTGAGAGCGGGGACTGAGAGACAGGACTAGCTGGATTTCCTAGGCGGAATAAGAATCCCTAAGCCTAGCTGGGAAGGTGACTGCATCCACCTTTAAACACGGGGCTTGCAACTTAGCTCACACCCAACCAATCAGAGAGCTCACTAAAATGCTAATTAGGCAAAAACAGGAGGTAAAGAAATAGCCAATCATCTATTGCCTGAGAGCACAGCAGGAGGGACAAGGATCAGGATATAAACCCAGGCATTCGAGCCGGCAACAGCAACCCCCTTTGGGTCCCCTCCCTTTGTATGGGAGCTCTGTTTTCATTCTATTTCACTCTATTAAATCCTGCAACTGCAAAAAAAAAAAAAAAAAAGAAAAAGAAAAAGAAAAAGAAAATGCGCTTACTTCTTCCCGTAATTGTCACTAGGGTCAAAACTATTCATTGCATAAATCTTCATCACTGGCCAGGCGTGGTGGCTTATGCATGTAATCCCAACATTTTGAACAGCCAAGGCAGACGGATCACCTGACGTCAGGAGTTCAAGACCAGCCTGACCAACATGGAGAAATCCCATCTCTACTAAAAATACAAGATTAGCCAGGCATGGTGGCGCATGCCTGTAATCCCAGCTACTCGGGAGGCTGAGGTGTGAGAATCGCTTGAACCCAGGAGCGGGGGTTGTGGTAAGCCAAGATTGCGCCAGTGCACTCCAGCCTGGGTAATAAGAGCAAAACTCCATCATAAAAAAAGAAAATTCATCATTTTCTAACTTGCACTTTAGATTGGTCCATACACTCCATCACACAAATTTAGTGCTTATTTCAACACACATGTGAAAATATGTATTTATATATTATATACATTTACTATGCTACTAATGAACTAAATACATTTTCAAACACAGAATTAGAAATTTTAAAAATAAGAAAAAAAAAGTAGAAGTTCTATAATTCTTTTCCTAGGCCATATAAATAATTAGGGGCCCATTGCCCTAGATATAGTTGGGATTTTTTGTTTTTGTTCTTTGTGTTGAGACAGAGTCTCGCTCTGTCGCCCAGGCTGGAGTGCAGTGGCACCATCTCAGCTCCCAGCAATTTCCGCCTCCGGGTTCAAGCAATTCTACATTCTCGTGTCTCATCTCCCTGAGCAGCTGGGATTACAGGCAGGTACCACCATGCCCAGCTAATTTTTGTGTTTTTAGTAGAGACGGGGTTTCACCACATTGGCCAGGCTGGTCTCAAACTCCTGGCCTCAAACGATCCACCCACCTTGGCCTCCCAAAGTGCTGGGATTACAGGCGTGAGCCACCATGACCAGGTGAAGTTTGGATTTTTTTAAACCTATATTTTAAGTGACCATAGACAAAAATGACATATTTTACTAGTCTGTCCACCAATCTCTATGTGACAGCTGATGTCAACAAGACATATTATAACACATAGAGAAGACACTGTTGTTTGGGATTTTCAGACAATGTCCTCATGTTATCATTGTAAACCATCTACATTAAAGTAGAATAACTTTACACACAAACAGTGTTTGTGCTTTAAAAATGAATTCCTTCATTCTTTTATTCCATGAATATTTCTGAATACCAGGCAAGGTGATAGGGACAAGAGACTTATAATAAACGTACAAGACAGCAAGGTCCGGCTGGGTGCGGTGGCTTACGCCTGTAATCACAACACTTTGGGAGGCCAAGGAGGGTGGATGATCTGAAGTCAGGAGTTCAAGACCAGCCTGGCCAACATGGTGAAACCCCATCTCTCCTAAAAATACAAAAAATGAGCCAGCTGTGGTGGCGGTCGCCTGTAGTCCCAGCTCCTCGGGAAGCTGAGGCAGGAGAATCGCTTGAACCCAGAGGCGGAGGTTGCAGTGAGCCAAGCTCGCGCCACTGCACTCCAGCCTGGGCAACAGCATGAGACTCTGTCTCAAAAAAAAAAAAGCAAGTTCCCTGATACTGATACATTCTGGTGCTAGGAGATAGAAAAATACAAGTAATTTTTTGAGACAGAGTCTCATTCTATCTCCGAGGCTGGAGTGCCTTGGCAGGATCTCAGCTCACTGCAACCTCTGTCTCCCAGGTTCAAGCGATTCTTCTGCCTCAGCCTCCCAAGTAGCTGGGACTACAGGCGCGGGCCACCACGCCCGGCTAATTTTTGTATTTTTAGTAGCGACAGGGTTTTACCAAGTTGGCCAGGCTGGTCTCAAACTCCTGACCTCAAGTAATCCACCCACCTTGGCCACCGAAAGTGCTGGGATTACAGGCATGAGCCACCATGCCCGGCCAAGTAAGTTTTTTTTAAGGTACCTGGTAAGTGCTCGAAAGAAAATTCAGCAAGTTAACAGGGGTAGAAAAATAACTGGTATGTGGGAAAAGAAAGGGGAGACTTTAGAATAGGGTGACAGGAAAGGACCCTAGAGAAGGGTGGGGCATGTAAGCCTGAACCTGAATGACAAGAAGAAATGCAGAAAAGCTTCCCATGTGAAGGCACAGACTGCCCAGGGCAGAGGCTGGGATGCAGGAATGAGCTTGGTTGTGGCTGGAGCCCAGAGATTCCCAGCAGAGAATGATACCAGGCAGACTGGGAAAATAAAGTGGGCCCAGGTTGCACAGGGCCTGTAAGCAACAGTGGAGAGACTGGATTGCATCTGAAATGCAGTGGAAGACACTGGAGGGCTTTATGCTATGGAGTGACACGGTCTGATTTATATTTAGATGACTTCTCCAGTGGCTGTGTGCCAATGGTCTAAAAAAATGCAACCTCCCCCGACTGCCCTCCCTGTTCCCAAGTCTCTGTAGAGACTTCCAATCCATTTACTTGGACATAGCCATTAAGCTCTATTGTGAAGTCTTTTGACCCTTTATAAAAGGCTCACCAGTTTCACTTTTCAGTGATCCTATGGCAGTCTCCTCTTCCCAATTCAGAAAACAATCAGAAATAATGTGTCGCTTTTTAATGTTTTCAGCTGCCCTTCTCTGTTCCTACACAGCAACCTGCCCTACAAAATCAAATGACTTTTTTTCTCCCATTTCTCTTCCATAGAGCAGTTTAACACACTTTAGAATTTTTACTTAAAAAGTAAAGTACCTGACATTAGTTCTCATTTGCGTTCCTGAAAAACGCAAATGGAAAAAATCTGCTTTCATGTACAAAGAAACGGTCAGCATTACGGATCTCTATGGCCACACTTTTCAATCTGTGATTCCGGAAAGGCTTTCTACACTCACTTAAAAAAAAAAAAGAAAAGAAAAAAAAATATTTTTAGGTTTCTGAAGTTTTGTAGATCAAAGCCTTTTTTGTTTGAACATTTTAAACTCTGTAATGTTAGCAGTGATACTAATACCCAATAGTACACTGGAATTCAGGCTATTAGAAAACAGGGCCCTTCCAATAATTCAAACATTCTTTCTTTCAGGATTTAGAAGCCAAGGCCTGCTGTGAGTCAATTGCTGGCTATCTTTCCAAATTAGCTTTTCAGTCTTAGTTATCTTTTACATTTCATCCCTTAGTCTTCACTCCAGGATTTCCTCCATTATTGAAGCAAGGCTTTTAACACCCCAACATGAAGTCATTTAACTCCTCAGTGTTTCTTATTAGTTACCTAAATAGATTTGAGACTACCAGTATTTAACCCTCTGTCTTAAAAATGCATTATAAAACGAGACAGTTTGTTATATGGAGGGTGTAGAACCTGACACACACAATAATGCCACCTTATTCTGCTTCTCAAGTAGAAAAGTCTATTCCCTTCCTGGATTGACCTTTCTACATGCCTTGGCCAAAAGAATGGGACAAAAGCAACGTTGTGTGCGTCTGACCCTGAGCCTCAAGAAACCCAAGAAACATCAGGAAGAAGCTCTGCATGGTCCCTTCCACTTGCTGACCTGGGGTCCCCTGCCACCGCTGTCAGAGATGTGTGAACCAGAGCAACTTTATCTTGAAAAGGGGCTGGGTAAAATGAGGCTGAGACCTACTGGGCTGCATTCTCAGACGGTTAGGGCATTCTAAGTCACAGGATGAGATAGGAGGTCCGCACAAGATACAGGTCATAAAGATCTTGCTGATAAGGCAGCTTGCAGTAAAGAAGCCTGCTAAAACCCACCAAAACCAAGATGGCCATGAGAGTGACCTCTGGTCGTCCTCACTGCTACACTTTCAACAGTGCCATGGCAGTTTACAGATGCCATGGCAACATCAGGAAGTTACCCTACATGGTCTAAAAAGGGGAGGCATGAATAACCCACTCCTTGTTTAGCATATCATCAAGAAATAACCATAAAAATGGGCAACCAGCAGCCCTCAGGGCTGCTCTGTCTATGGAGTTAGCCATTCTTTCATTCCTTTACTTTTCTTAATAAACTTGCTTTCACTTTACTCTATGGACTCGCCCTCAATTCTTTCTTGTGCGAGACTCAAGAACCCTCTCTTGGGGTCTGGATCGGGACCCCTTTCCTGTAACACCACCACCACACAAACGAGCCCAGACTAGCCTGGTGGAGGATGAAAGACCATGGGGAGCAGAGATGAACTAGCTAACTGACCCACTGTAGACCAATCATTCCCCAGAAGACCTGACAGCTGGTTGCAGACTCAAGAGTAAGTCCAATCATGATCATCTAAGCTGGGCCACCAACAGCAGAACCACCAAGTTGAGCCCAGCTCAAACTGCTGATCCAGAGAATTGAGATAATTAAGTGGGTACTGGGTTAAGCTACTAAGTTTAGGGATGGTTTGGTATACATCAAAAGCTGACAATACAAAAGTGTTTAATATTTTCCTCATGCACTATAAAACAAAGATAAATAAGTGTATGTTTTCTTCAGTACATTTACCCTACTTTAAATACTCAGGTAGGTAACTTGGCTTCTTACGGTTACATCTAAATTAATTTGGTCTTCTGGCAGCAACCAACTAATAAAATCACTAGCTTTCAGATCTTTAAAGTAAGGTACGTTATTCTGTGATTTAGAATATCAGAACTTATTTGTGCCTCTTGGCCCCTTTTTCCGATTATAAATATTTTCTGCCACATAGCTCAGGGACAGCAAAATTGTCCTAAAATGTCCTTAACCACTGGCTAAAACCATGAAGCATGATGTTCCTTTCTGGTGATATAATGGAAGTGACGTATGTATCTGAGATGTCAACTGATTTCACCAAGTACACTGACAGGTAGTAGTTAGCATAATTTTAGATGCTATTTTCCTTAAGCAGGTTCTGCCGGGGGATAAATCCCACAATTCAAGTAGGGTTGATACTTTAAAAGCAGAAAAGTTTTCACTCAAGCTTCTTAAAGGAATGATATTTTGAACAATCTGTCTGTGCTCCTCTGGCCGGTTTCTAACAGCATGTTGTATGTGCCTCTCCTTAAACAGGAGCTAGTCAACTTGACTAGTTACTAGAATGTGTGAAAAAGTGAGGAGACATGATAACTATTGAAATAAATAAATGAATTTTGCAAGGCTGCTAAATACAAGATCAATATAAGAAACCAACTGTATTCAGAATAATTAGGTATTTCTTAAATGTGCTATTTATAGCAGCATCAAAAATATAAAACACTAAAAATGTAACAAAAGTTCACAAGATTTCTATGCAGAAAATTAGATAGCATGATCAATAAATTAAAGAAGACTTAAATAAATGGATGATTATAGTATGTTCACAGCTTAAAAGACTCATTATTGTAGGCCAGGCATGGTGGCTCACGCCTGTAATCCCAGCACTTTAGGAGGCTGAGGAGGTTGGATCACCTGAGGTCAGGAGTTCAAGACCAGCCAAGCCAACGTGGAGAAACCCGGTCTCTACTAAAAATACAAAAATTAGCCTGGCATGGTGGCACATGCCTGTAATCCCAGCTAGTCAGGAGGCTGAAGCAGGAGAATCACTTGAAATCGGGAGGCAGAGGGTGCAGTGAGCTGAGATCGCACCACTGCACTCCAGCCTGGGTGACAGAGCGAGACTCCATCTCAAAAAAAAGACTCATTCTTATAACGATGTCAATCTTTCCCAAGTTTATCTATGAATTCACTGTAATCCCAATATAAACTTCAGCATACTATTCTTGTGAAATAGAAAAACTAATTTTATAATTTATAAGAAAATGCAAAAACACAAGAATAGCCAAGACAATCTTATAGAAAAACAAATGGTAAAGAATTTATACTACCAGTTACCAAGACTTATTATAAAGCCACAGAAATTAAGATGGTGAAGTGTTAGCTCAAGGACAAGCAAAATAGTGGAACAGAAAAAGAAGTCTAGAAACAGACCCACCCATATGTACTCTCAGATGATTTATACACAGCTATGTCCCTGTATTGCAATGGAAAAAGAATCTTTTCAATCAGTGGTGATGGGTTAAATGGGTATCTGCATGAAGAAAAACATACACTGACCCTCTACCTCACACCATATACAAAATAACATATTAGAGACCTAGATGTGAAAGATAAATAATACATCTTATAGACAATGGCACAAAAGAATATCTTTGTAGCCTTTCTCAAAGCATGTTTTGAAAATAAGGTAATGACAATAAAGATTGATAAATTTCAATTAATTAAAATTTAAAATGTCTGTTCATCCAAAGATATTATCAAGAAAGGGCAATCTACAGAGTGGAAAAAGATATTTGCAAGAAATATGTCCACAACAGCCCTGAAGCTATCCATTTCTATTGTATTCTCTATCCTTTTGGGGAAATGGGGTGGAGATAAAAGCCTTAAACAGGCAATTCACAAAAGAGATAACCCAGATGGTCACTGAACATATGAAAAAGGACTGAACAATGTTAGCCATTAAAGAAATGCAAATTACTATCAAAATGAGAAACCACTCCACACTCACCAGAATAATTAAAATCAGAAACTCGACACCAGTACATGTTGGGAAGGTTGCAGTGCAAATTAAAACTCATATACTGCTGGTTAGAGTGCCAACTGGTAAAAACTCCTTTGAAAAACTGTTTTGCTAAACATATACCTACCACATCAACCAGCAGTTTCATTAGGTTATACTCAACAATAACTTAGATGTTATTATTAAAAAAAAAAAAAACAAAAAAAACAAACAGGCCAGGTGCGGTGGCTCACGCCTGTAATCCCAGCACTTTGGGAGGCCGAGGTGGACGGATCACATGAGGTCAGGAGTTCGAGGCCAGCCTGGCCAACATGGTGAAACCCTGTCTCTACTAAAAATACAAAATTAGCCGAGCATGGCGGTGCATGCCTGTAATCCCAGCTACTCAGGAGGCTGAGGCAGGAGAATCACTTGAACCTGGCAGGCAGAGGTTGCAGTGAGCCCAAGACACACCACTGCACTCCAGCCTGGGCAACAAGAGTGAAACTCTGTCTCAAAAAAAAAAAAAAAACAGCAGCACAAATTAGAAATAACTTACATATTCATCCAAACTAGAGTGAATAAATAAATTGTGGCATATTCATAAAATCAAATACTTGTTTACAGCAATCAAAATTTAAAATTTCTGCTGAGAAAATATAGCTTTTCTAGAAACAGCTTATTAATGCATAGTTTGTCTTAGTTACCTTCTAATCATTTTGAAGAAACTAAATTGATCACTAAGAATAATAAAAGTCAAAGTTACACACAAAGTAGAATTGAACTCAAATTGTCTTGGAAACATATACAGAAGGGAGAACAGTAAATGACCAGCCCAAAGCACTGAGACTCTAAAGACTGATTTCAGTAACTAGCCTCTAATAAATTTGCTTATCTGAAAATACAGCAATATGTAATATTAGTAAAGCATGATAATATGTGTTAAGACCCAAATAAATGGTCTGAATGATAAACATTAGTATGTGTGTAGAAGAGGAAAATATGATCTCAGACTTTTAGTTCATACTGGTAGAGGAAAAGATAATGAAACTTGAAGAAAGAATCCAAATGGGTAGAGGGAAGGCCCCTGGGGCCAAGAGAATCAGTGTAGTGCAAACAAAGGAACCGAGACAGTCAAAGAACCAGATTCTAGACCAACTTCAGCACTGACTTTCTTATATGCCTTGGCCAAATCACTCCCCTTCTCTGCCTCTAGTTTCCCTGGTTGCTCTGTTTTATAGCATTTGTTACCCTCAACATGTTAATATTATATAATAGATTTGCTAGGTTTTGTTGTCATTGTCCCCACCCCCGGGAGACTGAAGTTCCACAAAGACAAAGATTTTTTTTAAATATTGTTAAACATGCAAGATTTGTGTGAAAGTACATATATGTAACATGCATGGAATAATCTTATTTTGCAAGATGCATAAAAAACAATACAGCAAATCCATCTGCAATTTCTTCTAACTCACAGATCAAAGGAGACTGTGGTATCCATGTTAAAGCTGTATCAGTTGGCTACAGTGTTTACTTTTTGTAGGAAACAATACTGGGCTATTTGAGAGTGGGTTTTATAAAGCTCCGGAGTTCTAACGTTGTTAGGGAATTAAGGTCCAATCACCAAGCCTAGTCCATGCTTAGGAATTTCCAAGGTACTTATACAGGCAAGTGAAAGGAGGTAAAAATCCCCAAAATAATAACCTATTTTCAGAAGCATGTATTTTCTTTCTTTAAATATTAATAGGGAAAAAATAATTAAAAAAAAATTTAAGTAGTTAGAAAGAAATTGTTTAGTGATAAAGCCAAAGAGTTGAAATATGGCTCCAAAGAATCTATAAACCAGGCCAGGCGCTGTGGCTCAAGCATGTAATCCCAGCACCTTGGGAGGCCGAGGTGGGCAGATCACTTGAGGTTAGGAGTTCAAGACCACCTTGGCCAACGTGGTGAAACCCTGTCTCTACTAAAAATACAAAAAATTAGCGGGGTATGGTGATGGACACCTGTAATCCCAGCTACTCGGGAGGCTGAGGCAGGAGACTCACTTGAACCTGGGAGGCAGAGGTTGCAACAAGCCAAGATCGTGCCAGTGCACTCCAGCGTGGGCAACAGAGTGAGACTCCATCTCAAAATAATAATAATCTATGAATAAATATTTATTGTCAACTCTCTGTTTCTCAGATCATGCTAATACATGTTAGACAAACAAAAAAAGGTCAAACAAGGACAATGCCTCTAATAAATTTGCTTATCTGAAAATATAGGGAATGTGAACAATTAGAAAAGCACGATAATATGTGTTAAGACCCAAATACATGGTTTGAATGAGAATATGTAGAATTTTGAGTAAAAAGCGTATCAATAATCAGCATAAGATTTAGATGTTGATATGTTCAAAACATTATCAGAAACTAATAAATCGGCTATTTTACAAATACCATATACCATACAGTTTGGGTGTAAGAAGGAATTAAGATGTGAGTAAAGCCAATTTGTGGGAGACCTTCAACACCGGCTGAGTATCCCAGGGAACAATAAATCTCAAACTATCAACAGGAAAAGTAGTGATAGAGTTGGAGTTAGAATTCTGCATATATATAAATTCTGCATATATATATATATATATATACATACATATATACATATATATATACATACATATATATATATACATAAAAACATTGAATGTCTTAAAGGAAAAAGATTAGAACTATACTGATAGCAATGAGCTGTCATGTGGATATTGGTGAACTAGATAATAACAACTCATGATACTGCATTCCAAAAAACTTATTCAAATTAAACCTTTGCCATCAAAATATAATCCCAATTTTGACCTGTATGGCATGAGACATTTCTGATTTCCTTGGGATCTCTATCTATATAAAACACATGACATTCATTTTATAATTTGAAATCTGGATCTCACAGAAGCAGACTGGTGGTTGGGCTGAATGGGTGTTACATTCTCCACTTTCTCATTATCTTATTTCAAGAAGGCTCTGGAGACAATTCCTGACATCTCCGTGCTTCAACTTCCATCTGTGTGAAATGAAATAATGGCTGCCTCCAGCCTACCTCATCAAAATCAGTGAGCCACAAAAGCACATTAAAATCAGAGATGCAGGAAGGATTTTGAGGAAACAAGCTTCTGTCCATTATCATTAAAAACAAAACAAAATGTAGTCAGCCTTTCTCAACTGCGGTTCCACAAGATAATCATGCCCTACAGAATATAATTTGAGTGACTCCTCAATTCTCCTGAGATGGTACAAATGTAGTACCACTCTAGATGCATAGGAAAGAAGTTAACTCATTACATACAATAGATCCCTTAAGGCATCAGGGCTGAACTCTGTGAGTTCAGGATGGGAAAAGCTGATACCTTATGTTATATACAAATTAGGGTATGATATTTGATATCATTTTGTTTTAAAAAATAAAAAGCTATGAGTTTACAGACCTATAGATCCAAAGCCTCACCACATTCCAGAATAAAAATAAAACAGCCTAGAGAAATGCTAGAATGAAAGGCTCATAAATTTTGGGCTGTCACACAGAAGTAACAAAGAAGCAAGAAAAGACTAAGAACTCATACTTTACAGTTTACAAAATGTTTTTTTAAAAAGAATTTCTGACTTAATTGTCAATATTTATGGAGCTCATTTAAAATTCTACGCAATATGCTACAACAAGACAAACATTTCTTGTTTGAGAGGAGGAAAGAACGAGATATTAGAAAATAACCTTTTTTTTTTTTTTGAGATGGAGTCTCGCTCTGTCACCCAGGCTAGAGTGCAATGGCGCGATGACAGGCGTGTGCCACCACGCTTGGCTAATTTTTTGTATTTTTAATAGAGACGGGGTTTCACCCTGTTAGCCAGGATGGTCTCGATCTCCTGACCTCGTGATCCACCTGCCTCAGCCTCCCAAAGTGCTGGGATTGCAGGCGTGAGCCACCGCACCTGGCCTAACAGGGTCATTTTTTTAAGCTCACAAAGGTGTTCTTTGGTTTTGGGTTTTTTTTTTTTTAGAAAGAGAGCATCTCACTCTGTCACCCAGGCTGGAGTACAGTGACACGATCAAGGCTCACTGCAGCCTCAATCTCCTGAGGTCAAGCGATCCTCCTGCCTCTGCCTCCCAAGTAGCTAGGATGACAGACACGTACCACCTTACTTTTTTATTTTTTGTAGAGATAAGGTTTAACTTTTTTATTTTCATAGAGATAGGGTTCTACTATGTTGATCAGGCTGATGTTGAACTCCTGGCCTCAAGTGATCTTCCTGCCTTGGCTTCCCAAAGTGCTCAGATTACAGGTGTGAGCCACCATGCCCGGCCTAATGTTATTTAATTGTAATTTTGATCTCTATTGTGTCTTGGAGGAGGCAACTAATATTTTAAAGCTTCTGTTCTCTGCTCTCTCTTGTTTTCATCTCTCTCATCTTTATCAAGGTATTGTCTGGTCTTCTGAATCCTGTGAGACCTGACAATACACTGACTTTACATAATAATTTTTCAAATTTTTTACACTGTCAATCTTACTCTGTTCTAGCTCCCAGTATTTTAATCTGCTGTTGGCATCTTTTGTTCCTGTTACATTTCTTTTTTTTTTTTTTTTGTCCTCATCAATCTTCTTTTCCTACTCATTTCACTATGTTTTCTTTTCACTCCATCCTGCTGCTCATGACTTTCTGCTCTTTCATCAAGACTATATCTTCTTCCTTTCTGCTGAGGAAGTAAAACATTCACTTGAAATTCTCTCCTGGTCCTATAATAAATCCTATTGAGAAAAGTGGTTCTTCTCTTCTTCCGAGGTCTCCAGACAAGCATTCTTTCCCTTGTGCTGAAACATTATTTCCTGGACTCGTGTTTGTTTGTATGCTTCGATTTACTATCCTCTAACTGACAGGACCTATCCAGACACTGTTTGTTGAAAGATTCCATGACAAAGTTTGTCTGTGTCCCTTCTCCCTACTAATCAGGAGAAGATTATTGTAATCTCCTCAGATGTGGGACTCAGTGGTGCTTGTAGCTGGAATCTAAGGTAGCTGGGATTACAGGCGTGCGCCACAACGCCCAGCTAATTCTTGTGTTTTTGGTAGAGACCGGGTTTTACCACATTGGCCAGGCTGTTCTCAAACTCCTGACCTCAGGTGATCCACCCACTTCGGCCTCCACCGCGCCTGGCCAGCCTAACACCTTTTTAAAGGAAGAAGCTTAGTCAGAATTTTAAATACACACAGATACACACACACACAAATAATTTTATTTCAATCATCAGCTTTTTTCCTTATTATAGTATCTAAACAGATAAAAATAAGTGAGATCAATATTCATGTTTGGAGTTTTGTTTGGTTTCTTATTTCACTTACTTTTGCTGCTAATCTCTATTTTAAACAATTCTTTGTTATGAATTCACTATTCTAGTTAAAAATAACAGGTATGTTATTTCATTGCTGAGCTATTAATATCCCCACCTACTCATTTTCTATTTCCTCAAAATTTTTTTGAATGTCAGCATTACAAAATGTGGAAATGGAGAACTCAGTGTGCATTTTCTCTCTCCCTTGCTCCCTCTCTCTGTCTGTGTGTGTGTGTGTGTGTGTGTGTGTGTGGCGGTGGGGGGATGTATGCATGTTTTATGGAGGTGCCTAGTCTGGCTAGCAGAGCTATCACTTTGATTCTTAATGGGAATGTATATCTCCCTTTGATGTTTCTGTGGGTCTGAAGAATGCAATGGCCTTTCTAGTGATTATTCTAGGAGATCTGGCTTCCCACAAGAAAAAAACAAAAGGTTTTATCTCGTACAAGTAAAGTAGAAAGTAAATTGAGGTAGGAAATTGTACTATGGTTCCTTGCTGAAATAATTTTGGGATTAGTGAAGATGTGAGTAGTTCCACTTCTATTTCTAGTGCCTACTGCATAATAGGAATAACATTTTTAAAATATATGATTTCATGAATGAATCATTTAATCTTTAGTCCCTTTTTTCACTAAAAGGTTTATAATTTGGGGCAAGAAGGACACCAAGCTTTTTACATCTCATGTGTCAGCAGATGACTGTGGGATGAAGCTACAGGTAGAAAAATTTAAAAAGACAGAAGCTGA
The DNA here is from genome assembly GCF_000001405.40 of Homo sapiens. NCBI lineage: Eukaryota > Metazoa > Chordata > Mammalia > Primates > Hominidae > Homo > Homo sapiens. Next base: position 8,761,122 of record NC_000009.12, read on the forward strand.
TTTCATTTATTTGCCTAAATATAAATGATCTAAAAGATAAGCCAAAAACATTTTACAAATAGAGGCAAATGTGGTTGTCCTTGCATCCTAATAAGGCAAAAAGGCAATTATCAAGTAAGGTGGGGACAGAAAATAGAAGTTTTAACATGGTAGCTATAAAAAGAGACTAGGACACTCTAGCAGAAGAAAAAAGGTGGTTAAATAAAGAATAATTTGATAAAGTGATAACATATATTATAACTAACAAAACTGAAAGACTTCTGTCTTTTTCACAATTATAACATTTCTTTGTGTGCTTTTTTTCCTAAAGTGACATACCACACAATATGGTTACTGTTTATAATGACCATGGATGGAGAGAGCAAGCAAGCTAAATTAGAATTGGAGGATAGATGCTTTTTCATGAGATTTTAAAACCCAGGGTTGCAGCACAGAAAGCGGAGCTGCAAAGGTTAGTAGAAAGAACTAAAATACATCAAATGTGTCTCCTAAGGAGTTACAATCCTAAGAACGTATAACTAATCGCTAACTGTAAAGCTCATCTACATGGATAATTTTATAGACATCTAATAATACTGTTAATAATAACCATGGTCAAGGACGAGAAATGAAAAGATGTAGGGTCTATTAAAGAAAATGGGAAAGAGATGAATCCTCAGAAGAAAATCATTTTAAAGGTCACTAAATTCTGCCACAGTAGTGGAAGAAGGAAGATGAGATTACAGTTTTAGTTTTAAATATATTTGCAAAGTGGCCTACATGTGGATACAGTCTCTTATCCCTAGCTTCTCTGGTGAGCTATAAACCAAGGTCCCTAAGGCACCATTATTAACACATGAATCACAGAGGGTCAAATAAACTCAGATGCCCAATTTAGGTACATTAAAATATACCTACTGGTGGGAAAAGTGAGTAGGGAGATTGAGACTGAAGACTAAGTCTAACCTTTTTAATGTCCATACTATAGCAGTTTAGGGGATGTGTGTGTGTATATATATACAAAGGTTCTGTCTTTCTAGGAAAACATTCCCCACTAAATTAAATATATTAGTATAATTCTCAATAATTTTTCCTCTGCATTCAATAGAACTGTATCATAACTAATTTCATGGAGGCAAGAGAGATCAAGTTTGAACATCAAAACGAGATTGACTTTTGGGAATTTGTTTGGTTTTGTTTCCTACTGACAGTATAAAAGAAGCACCCTTATTGTTAGGACTATATCAATAAAACTGCATATATCACCTTCATGGAAATATTTAAAGCATGCAGAAGTCAGCTATGTTGATAGAATACAGATTTACAAATCAAATAATAATAAATAATGAGAATAAATCTTTTATTATTTTCTTAATTTAATTCAATTTCAAGCATTTTCATATAATAAAATAAATAATTTGTTTTTCTAACACTTCTCTCTGGCACGGAGGAGAGAAAGCAATACAAACTAACCTATCATGTCACCAGATGAACGGGCTCCTTCAATAGAAAACCTCTTTTAAAATTAATGGCCTGCTGCAGCATGATGAGTGCTCAGGAAAAGAAATATTTATGGGTTTTCTCCTAACTTCTGACCCTTGAAACTAAAAGCACTTTCTCCACCTCCTCTGTTCCAGTTAACCCATAGGAAAAACGTCTCTCTTTATGGCAGGGAGAAATTTTTATGATACTCAGAGATATAGCTATATAGATAAGTGAGCCAGTACACAGCTTCCCCCAAAAGCTTGCCTCCCAGCGGTGAGAAAAAGCACAGAATGCCTTGGGAAAGAGGGTAACTGGAACATGCATCGCCTACTCATCTCCCAGCATGGGATGGAGCCTCCTTCCAGCGTGACACTGAAATGCCCAGGCCATTCTTCAGGCTATCCAATGAGTCTCTGTAGTTAATAACCAACCTGAGCATTCAGGTAGGCTCAGGATCCTGGCTCAGATATAAACCCAGATTCCAGCAGGAGTAGCCACTGAAAAATCAAGCTTTTTGGATGCTCTGCCAAAGATGGTTTCAAGCTACTGAAGATCTCAAAAAGAAAACACTCTTTCTCTCTGTTCTCATTTGTTAGCTTGAGACAGTAGAGCAGACTATAAGACTCCAGTCATAAATAATGGTAGGCCAGGGATAGTGGCTCATGCCTGTAATCCCAGCACTTTGGGAGGCCGAGTTGGATGGATCGCCTGAAACCAGGAGTTCGAGACCAGCCTAGCCAATATAACGAAACCCCATCTCTAATAAAAATATACAAAAATTAGCTGGGTATGGTGGCTCATGCCTGTAATCCTAGCTACTTGGGAGGCTGAGGCATGAGAACCACTTATATCCAGGAGGAGGAGGTTGCAGTAGCCAAGATCACGCCACTGCACTCCAGCCTGGGTGACAGAGTGAGACTTGGTCTCAAAAAAATAAAGGCAATAATTATGTATTAATATAACATATATACATTATATATAACATATATAGTATAACATAACACTATAATGCATTGCTACAAATGTCATTTTTGTTTTGAAAAACAGGAAAGAAATAGCACACCTAAGAGAAAGTGATGTTCCCTAAAACAAAAAAAAAAAAGGTCACAATCTTCTTTTGGAATTTTGCTATTTTTGAGAAAAGTTTTTCGTTTTCTAGAAGAGAATGATCATAAGTTACCCCTCTCTTATATCAAATAAAAATGTCCCACATCAAAATGAGACCATGAGCACAAAGACAGCTAGTCATACACACTTCATAAAAAGCCACAAAATGTATTTCCTTTTTAAAAATTCTCTCTCATTAGCTTACTAAATATGGTAAATTCAAGACAAGACTGAACTATTCTCTTGATAATTTATTTTCAGAAAATTAATGCTTTTTAAATATCAGTTTCAAGAGTTCATTAAAAATTATTGAGGGATTGTTTCTTAATAATGAAATGCAAATATTATAAGTGAAGGGAGTGTTAATTACTTCAAAATGTGAAACCATTTGCAGTATTTAAAATAAATTAAGGACACTCTCACTCTAATTATTCCAGGACTGCAGTTAAGTCTCAGTCCTCTATGGTTGTTGTACATATGGCATTACATCAGATATGACACGTATGTGAAACATGCTTTTTCTTCTTCCTACTCTACATATTTTACTGTGATGTGAGCCATATGTTTCATTACAAAGGGTGGTATGAAAAGGCTATTGCAAGAGAGGAAAACTCTTGATTCAGATTTCAGCAATACAGAAAGGCCTCTTCATTAAAAACACATTATTGTTTGGTTTCAAGGCATTTACCTTATGTTCCCAGTAACACCCTGACAGTTTAGAGATTTAAAACATCTGGAATTTAGGCATTAAGATTTTAGGGATCATGGATCTGACACTAAAAATACGGACCATTATGGGACACTCTAAAGAATGGGTTATTTGAGCCAGGCATGGTGGCTCACTCCTACAATCCCAGCACTTAGGAAGGCCAAGGTGGGTGGATCACAAGGTCAGGAGTTCAAGACTAGCCTGGCCAACATGGTGAAACCCCATCTCTACTAAAATACGAAAATTAACCGGGTATAGTGGTGCGTGCCTGTAATCCCATCTACTCAGGAGGCTGAGGCAGGAGAGTTGTTTGAACCCGGGAGCTGGAGGTTGCAGTGAGCCGAGATTGCCCCATTGCACTCCAGGATGGGCAACAGAGAGTTTGTCTCAAAATAATAATAATAATGATAATAATAATAATAATAATAATAATAGCAGCTTATTTGATGGCAATAGAGATCACATGATGCATATATTAATATGTAATCATTTAATAATTAAACACATCTCATGATTGGGCATGAGGATACATTTAATGAGTTATAATTCTGGGTCCCAATATTATCTCCTGTTTATTAGCCAGACAACCTTTAAAACACTGTTCTGCTCTATTAATTCCAGAAGTTTATTTCAGTTGTGTGATTATGATAAAATGATTATCTAGCTTCCTTTCAGGGCCAGGAAGTGAAATAAAACGCCCTTTGAGCAGAAAGTACAAATTTTGCAATTACCAAATGCTAAATACGATTTAAACATATGTGTAGTAGTTTAAAGATATGTACACAAATTATCTGATACTCTTCCCCTCAAAAGATGGAGCATAATTCCACTCCCCTTGACTGTGGGCTAGACTTAGTGACTGCTTCCAGCAAACAGATTATGCCAGAGGTAATGCAATAACATTATGCCAGAGGTGATGCAATAACAATAACACTATAAGTTATATAAAAACCATGACTTCCCTCTTGGGTGCAATCTCCCGCCATCTTCATTCTCTCTGGCATAAGCCAACCTTCATGTTCTAAGGACACTTAGGCAGCCCGTGGACAGCCCCACATGGTGAGAAAAACCAATCCCTGCCAGCAACCATGTGAATAAGGTTAGAAGCGGGTATTATCAGTCCTGCCAAAAGCCAAGTAGCAGAGCCTACAAGCCAATATTCCCCCAGCCTAGCCTTGAGATGACCACATCTCTGGCCGACATCTTGACTGCAACCTCGTAACAGATCCTAAGCAAGAACTACCTGGTTAAGCTACTCCCATATTCCTGACTCACAGAAGCTGTGAGATAATAAATGCTGTTTTAAGTTGTTAAACTTGGCAGCAGTAGCTAACTACTACAGTATTAGTAGTCAGAAAAAGCTAACTACTACAATTTGTAATCAGAATAAGCTACAGTGGGTCAAGAATGAGTCCTGTTCTCCAAACCCAGCATTATGACTTTTCAGCTGTTTGATATTGGACAGTGTATCCACAGCTTCTGGGCCTCATTTCTTCATCTATACAACAAATATTTTAACCAAAATGATTTCTAAGACTCCTCTGGTCAACAAAATATAGTACTCTAAAGCTATAAACAGGTAGTTCTAAACCTGATGTAGGAAAAAATGACAATTGGAATAGCCCAGCATCAGGGACTGTCTTTAAGGCCCTCTTGGTGGATAGTCATTGGTAGTGTCCATACCAAGAGTTTCCTTACACTAGGTGGGAAATGTAGGCTGAAAACCTAACAGCAGGTCCTCAGGTAACATCATTTGGTTCAACCCCATTTCGTTTTACCACTGATGAAAAAAAAAAAAAAAATCAATCCCCAGCCGAGGCCACTGTCTTTGTGGAGTGTGTGCATACTCCCCAAGTATGCATGGGTTTCCTCTGGGTACTTGGTTTCCTCCCACATCCTAAACATGTGCACTGTAGGTGAGTCAGTGTATCTAAAGTGTCCCAGTGTCAGTGAGTAAGTATGTGTGAGTGTACCCTGAGATGGGACGGCATATTCTGCAGGGTCAGGTCCCCAATTTGCACCCTGAGCTGCCAGGGTAGGATCCAGCCTCCTGCAATTCTGAACTTGAATAAGTGCATTGGAAAATGAACAAATGAATGATTAAAAATTACTATCAAATAGAAAATTAATAATTTATCTATAATCATACAAATACACGACAATAAACACTGCAGCACAAAAGCACTCACCTATGTTTGTAATTGATTGCTTTTGAATTGCATGGTGGGAAAGGACACTTCTTACAATTTTCACTTTGCAAACATTTATTCCTTGATTTAACCCACCACCACTAGGAGCATCATCACTCATGGATTCACCAAAAGTTGGGTAAATAATTGTCTTACTTGTTTTTATGAATCTTTCTTAAATGTATATAAAGCTCACATTAATTTCAATGTTTAATATTAGAAGTGTTTATTTAGAAGTTTCGTGATGTGTTTGTGACCAGACATATGCCATAGGAACTTAACTCTTGTTTATATCAATTAGCCGATGGTGAAATTGGCTTCATAGGTTTCGCATAAGGTCATAGTTTTCAAGAACCTATCAACAATGTTAAGTGAGGACTTACTGTATATGTTTCCTTTCAACTCTGGTATGCTATATTTCTGACCCTAAGCTTTAAGAAAAAGAGAAATAGATAATGCCCCCAAATCAAACAAAACCAAAATGAAGAACCGCATATGTAAGAGATTTAGATAAAATATTTCCCCACTTTTTTTTCTTTTTTTTGAGATGGAGTTTTGCTCTTGTTGCCCAGGCTGGAATGCAATGGCACGATCTTGGCTCACCGCAACCTCCGCCTCCCAGGTTTGAGTGATTCTCCTGCCTCAGCCTCCCGAGTAGCTGGGATTACAGGTGTGCACCACCACAACCAGCTAATTTTTGTATTTTTAGTAGAGATGGGGTTCACCATGTTGGCCAGGCTGGTCTCGAACTCCTGACCTCAAGTGATCCACCCGCCTTGGCCTCTCAAAGTGCTGGGATTACAGGTTTGAGCCACCACACCCGGCGTCCCACATTTTTTGAACCAGTATTTCCCCTTGTACAACTCTACTCAAAGATCATTTATATAGGAACTCAAAGACACATGTACATTTGTTGCAGCATTTTTTTTGTAATGGCAAAACTAGAAAATATCTGAGTGACTATCAGTGAGGGTGCACCATACGTTGAGTCATAATAGATGGGTGGCCATGATCAATCTTCAACAAAGAAAACAAACTCTAAAAGCTTTGTTAGGAATCTCAAACTTGACCATACAATAGAATTATCAGGGAGTTAAAAATTTTGTGTTTGTTTTTTTAATTCGGATGCTCAGGTCATACTCCACAATAATTAAGTCAGAATCTTTCAAGGGGAGACCCAGGCATCTGTGTATTTTTGAAACTTACCAGGTGATTCCAATGTATAACTTAAGTTGAGAACCACTCAGTATGGTCTCATTTAAGTTACAGTAAAAAGAAAAAAGACCCACTGCTGTGTATGGGAAAGATGAAAAAGGAAACATATATAACTAAACATGGTGAGAATTAGGATAAAGAGGAAGTTTTACTCCTTACAAATTTTTTACAACAAATATACTACGGTAATTAAAAAAGGTCAGAGGGAAAGAAAATATTTCACCAATTTCTCAAATACAGTAGGGTCTGGAAGAACAAAGACAGTTGTTACTATTTGGCCTGAATTTGCGTCTTTAAAAGATATTAAGTGTGGGCGTGATAGCTCACATCTATAATACCAACACTTTGAGATGCCAAGGCAGGAGGCTTGCTTGAGCCCAGGAGTTTGAAACCACCCTGGGCAACATAGTGAGACCCCCATCTTGATTAAAAAAATTAAAAAATAAAATAACACTGGGTATAATGGTACGTGCCTATAGTCCTGCCTGTAATCCCAACACTTTGGGAGGCTGATGCAGGTGGATCCCTTGAGCCTATAAGTTCAGGACCAGTCTGAGCAACATGGCAAAACCTTGTCTCTACAAAAATACAAAACAATTAGCTGGGTGTGATGGCACACACCTGTAGTCCCAGCTACTCAGGAAGCTGAGAGGTGGAAGAATCTCTTGAGCCCAGAGGAGGAGGCTGCAGTGAGCACAGATTGAACCACTGTACTTCAGCCTGGGTGACAGAGCAAGATCCTGTCTCAAAATAAATAAATAATTTTTAAAAATAAGAAATAAGAGTCATTAAACCTTTAACTACAAAATGACACCCAGCTAAAAAGTAAAAAATGTAACTAATGGATTAGACACTACAGAAGACTACTGTTGTTACTGTTTTATTTTTCCCATAAAACTTACTTTCCTTCTAATAATGATTCCATAAAGATATAGTCCAAAACCCTTCATTGGAAGAAAAATAAACCAAATATGTACAGAATTTATAATCTGGAATTAATATTAGAAATGAAGTAACCTAGCTCTTCTTTTAAGATATAAGAAAAATGAAACTCACTGAATAATCATTAAACAGTTTGCAAGGGACTAGTACACTGACTTACTAAGGGTAGTCTAATGCCGTTCTTACCATGTTATAGCACTATATAATAAAAACAGATTTCCCGTGTTTCAAGGGTGTTTGTGTACATGGCAGGGAGGCACAGGGGAGGTGTTTAGCCAAAAGCAACCCACCTAATTCTGTGTGTTAGCATAACGCCAACTTTTGTCAATGATTTATGAATCACCCAAGGAAAATGTTTTATGTAACAGTGGAAATATTTTTATATATTTAAATGTGCAGCATGAAGAAAAACTAATAAAGATAAATGATTTATGTTATAATGTTTACTAGGCATTGTATCAGGAAACATTTGTGTCTAGTATTTGTTTGAGTTCATTCGGAATTTCTTTATTTACTCACTCACTATTTATATATCTTTGTTTAGTTTCCTCACAACGCTACAGTTTTGTAAACACTAGTACTGAGAACTAAATGAAAATTGCAAAAGCGTAATTACAGCTGGATGAGAATGTTAAGCACTCACTCCAAGTTTTAACCTGAGAGTGTTTTCAGTGAATAGCATCATCAATCAATATTTATTGAACATCCACAAAGTGTGTGATTTGGCCGAGGCAGTAGACAACAAAGGCATTTGTAGTTGTGTGGTTCTCCCTTCTTCTTGCAAGTAGTGGAAAACTGCCAAAAACTTAATGTGATAAATGAAAAAATGTGTCCCCCACCACTCATCTGAATACCAATTGCAAAGTAACAGGTTTCTCTCTAAACATCAGCCCTCAGTGTAAAAATGTAATGGTTCTACTGTGAGAATATTGATGTCAGAAGGAAAGCAACTCTGTTCAACAGTTTTCTATCTCTTAAAAAACTTTATTGTTTTATATTTCTAAAACAAAGAGGGGAGGGAGAGTTTTTGCTTGTAAATAGTTCAAAATTTACAATTAGAAAAAAAAAAAAATACATAGAAATCTGACCGCACTCCCCTGCTCCCAATCCAAGGATGCCAGTAATTGCAAGCTGGTAGATACACAATGGGTTTAAAAAATGGACATTCACGTAAATAGGAATAAGAAATGATCTGCCAAATATTACAGTGCTAAGACAGCTATGAGTGAAAACTGTCTGATTGAAAGTACCGGTCAGGCACGGTGGCTCATGCCTGTAATCCCAGCACTTTGGGAGGCCGAGGCCGGTGGATCACCTGAGGTCAGGAGTTTAAGACCAGCCTGACCAACATAGTGAACCCTCGTCTCTACCAAAAAACACAAAATTAGCCAGGCTTGGTGGTGCACGCCTGTAATCCCAGCTACTCGGGGGGCTGAGGCAGAGAGAATTGCTTGAACCGGGAGAAGTGGAGGTTGCAGTGAGCCGAGATCAAGCCCACTGCATTCCAGCCTGGATGACAGAGCTAGATTCCGTCTCAAATAAATAAATAAATAGAAAGAAAGAAAGTACCTTCTCAATTTGCTATGATAGTGTAATAAAAAAAAAAACACGATCCACTATCTATTCTAATACAATCAAATAATTAGAAAATACAAGAAAATTTATTCAAAGAATGAAAAAATATGTTCTATGAGCTTTGTCTATTTTCTATTCAACAGCAATTCATTTTTCTCTCATTAAATATACTCTCTAAACTGTGTAATATGGAAGATTTAATTATTATTAGACAATGGTGTAGTCAATCCCTCTAGGAAACTGACTGAGAAGCTTTCACTAAATCCAAAATCTTACACTTCAGACCAAACTCAAAGAAGATCCAAAAACAGATCTACTTGATACTTGCTTGACCTTTTTTTAAATTAAATACTTTCGTGGAAATATATATTGTATGTTTTATGTAATGTATGTTCCACTAATTATCTGAAGTCTTTTCCAAAAAATGTTCATATATTAATGGGCAAAAACGTCAAATATTCAAACTCAATTGAAAGGCAAAACACAATAGAAACCTGAAAACTTTAAGATGTAATCAGCATTCATTGAACGGAGTAAAACTTCCCATTGCACAGTTTCTTTGATAACAGTCTTTATGCCAGGCGTGGTGGCTCACGCCTGTAATACCTGCACTTTGGGAGGCAGAGGCGGGTGGATCACAAGGTCAGGAGATTGAGAACATCCTGGCTAATACGGTGAAACCCCGTCTCTACTAAAAATACAAAAAAAATTAGCCGGGCGTGGTGGCGGGCACCTGTAGTCCCAGCTACTTGGGAGGCTGAGGCAGGAGAATGGTGTGAACCTGGGAGGCAGAGCTTGCAGTGAGCCGAGATCACACCACTGCACTCCAGCCTGGGCGACAGAGCAAGATTCCGTCTCAAAAAAAAAAAAGATAGTAGTCTTTATTCTTTATTAAAAATTTAAAATTCTTTCTATTCTAACTGAATACACTGATTTGTAAAATATTTTCCTAGTTATTTACAAAAGTTTTTCCCATTATGGAGGAAAACCAGGCATGTATGCAAGTCCGTGTACACAAAATACTAAAGACTATCACTGTACTTTTAAAAATTCTTAGAATTTAGAACCAAGGAAAGTGTTTTATTCCTTAATATATCTAACAGTAGTGCTTTGTGTGTCATGGTAAAACATGAAATCTTTTTCCCACCAAAAACAGGTGACAAGTCTAAGTCAGTGTAGTATAGTGACACACGGACTTTAAATAAGTATTCAGTAAAACCCAAAGACCTCATAAATTTCCAATGTAAATTTTCTCTTTGGTTTGTCACTTGGAGATTTGTGGAGTGGAAATAGGTATTGGATGTTTGTTTTATGAATATAAAATTTACTCAAAGTTCCAAAGTCATCTAAAAAGAAAAGTCGAATACTTAAAGGATAATTATAAGAGAACACTGTTTTCAAATTGCATGCACGTATACATATGTTCAATTATAAGCATTCAACCCTTGTTTTAGATGACCAAACTAGTAGCCACAGCTGTGACCTGTGCATGGCTTTAAAAAAAAAAAAAAAATTCAGCCATCAGTCATTTACTAACATCATCTTATAAAAAAGCCCAACGCAGTGTACCTCACGCAGAAAAGCTGGGTCATAAACCAAATGCTTTATCAACTAATCAATATTAGCAAATATCAGACTGTAAGAATAATTACTAAAAAAAGAATAAATGCTTGAGATGGATACCCCACCTACCCTGATGTGATTATTATGCATTATATGCCTGTAAAAACTATCTCATGTACTCCATAAATATATACACCTACTATGTGCCCACAAAAATTAAAACTTAAAAAAAAACTATTCCTTCCTGAAAAAACAACAACAACAACAACAACAACACAGATTTTGAGGCCAGAACTCTTTTAAATTCTGCTTATTTTTACATAATTTTATTGTGATGGTTTCAAGTTCATTAACCTTTTCTTCTGTAATGTCTTGTTGGCTATTAACTCATCTTCTCTAATTTTCACCTCAGACAGTGTAGTTTTTTATCTCAAGAGCTCCAATCTGGGTTTTTAAATATTTGCATGTCACTACTTACTTTTTAAAACATAAAGGAGCACAGTACATAAAGAAGTACAGTTAAAAACCTCAAGCAGAAGAACTGCTTGAGACCAAGAGTTCAAGACCAGCCTGGGCAAGATAGTGAGACCCCATCTCTACAAAAAATTGAAAAATCAGCTTGGTGTAGTGGTGCATGCCTGTGGTCCCAGCTACTCAGGAGGCAGGAGGATCACTTGAGCCCAGGAGTTTGAGGATGTAGTTAGCTATGACTACGCCACTGCAATCCAGCCTGGGCAATAGAGCAAGACCTTGTCTCTAAAAAAATAATAAAAATAATTTTTTAAAAACTTGTTTTAATGTTCTTGTCTGCTAACTCTAACATCTGTGTCAATTCTGAGTCAGTTTCAATAGGTTGATTTTTTTTTCTCATGAGTATAACTTTTCTGCTTCCTTCTATATCTGGTAATTTTTTATTAGATACCAGATATTGTTAATTTTATTTTGGGGGTGCTAGATATTTTTGTGTCCCTATAAATATTCTTGCTTTTTGTTCTGAGATTCAGTTAAGATTCTTGGAAACATTTTGATAACTTTAGGCCTTGTTTTTAAGATTCTTTAGTTAGGACTCAGCTTAGGGTTTAACCTAAAGTCAATTTTTCCCCACTTCTGAAGCAAAACCCTTGTTCTACTCTACTGAATGCCCTATGAATTACTCTATGAATGTACTCTACTGAATGGCCTATGAATTATGGAGCTTTCCTCTCTGGTGGGAGCAGGCAATATTCCCAGCCCTGTGCAAGCTCCAGAGATTGTTTCCTTTAGTCTTTTTGAGTGGTTCTTTCCCCAGCCTTGGGTAGTTTGTTCACATGCATTTGCTGGTCAGCACTCTCTTGAATATCAACCAGAGAGGAAGCCTCTGTAGATCTCCAGAGCTCTTTCTGTATAGCTATCTGTCCTGGTACTATGTCCTGCAGACTCCAGCTGCCTTAGCCTACCCAGACACTCGGCCCCATCTTCCCAACTCAGGAGTTTGCCAAGTTTTAATTGATCTCTTCTGTTTAAACCCTAGAAACTCTCGCCAGGCAGTAAGCTGAGGCAATCATGGTACTCGCTTGTTGGTTTCTCATCACTCAGAGGGCACTGTACTTCAGGACCTGAAGTCCCATGTCTTGAGGACCACTGTTGCATGTATTTTATCTGTTTTATGGCTTGTTTCACACAGGAGAATAAATTGGTCCCTATCCTACTTGCTCAAAGCTGAAGTCAGAATTATCTTTTCACAACAAAAATCTGATAATGTAAATCCCCTGCTTAAAACACTTCATTGAATTCCCATCATTAAAATAAATTCCAAGCTCTTTACATTGATTTAGAAATTGACTTCATAATTTAAATCTTGTCTACTTTGCTAGCTAATCTTGTGACTTGTTTACAATAACTATGATTCAAAATAAAATAGCTGCAGTTTCAAATATACAAAATATTCTTTCATTACACTTGCACATGCTGTTTCCTGTCTAGAACTCTCTTTTCTGCCCTGGCTACTGAGAAAGTCTTATTCATTCATGAGTGATCAACACAAATGTAATGTCTGTGAAGCTTTCCTTACATGACACACTTCCAGCTACCTTCTCCCTCTCTCCTGACTCCAACCCCAAGAAGAGTTAGGCAGCCCTCCTCAACGCGCAAAGGAGCCATCTATTATCCAATCTCCTGTTACAGTGCCCATTACTTTGTACCACAGCTATTTATGTAAATATCTATTTCCCCACCTTGGACAAGCTCCTCAGATATGTTTCCTCATTTGTAAACTGGGGATAATACAGGGTGTCAAAAAGTTGGGGTGCACAGGATAAATATATCTTAACTGGGATGATACTTGCATTTTCAACCAATATGCTCAATTTGGTTTCCTTCAACGTCCGGATATCTTTTTTAGGTAGCATACCTTATAAGAAATTGGATTCAATTGCTAATTTGAATAACATATTATTTAATAAAAACACTACAGAGAAAATCCTAAAACATGAAAGACCTCAGTGCCTTCAGAAAGGGAGAAGATTAGAGATTACAGGAGAGAGCTGACAAGATGAAGATGAAGAAAAAACAGGGAGCTTTAGAGACTTTGTAAAGGATTTTATGATGTAACATAAATGCAACAATGTTACACACGCATAACCAAAATGCATGTGAAAAGTAACTTTTTTTTTTTTTTTTTTTTTTTTGAAACGGAGTTTTGCTCTTGTTGCCCAGGCTGGAGTGCAATGGCGCAATCTCGGCCCACTGCAACCTCCGCCTCCTGGGTTCAAGTGATTCTCCTGCCTCAGCCTCCCGAGTAGCTGGGATTACAGGCATGCGCCACCACACCTGGCTAATTTTGTATTTTTAGTAGAGACGGGGTTTCTCCATGTTGGTCAGGCTGGCCTCAAACTCCCAACCTCAGGTGATCCCCCCGCCTCGGCCTCCCAAAGTGCTGGAATCACAGGCATGAGCCACTGCGCCCAGCCATGAAAAGTAACTTTAAAGGGAGAAAATATATTAGAGGTTAGCAATAATTCAAATGTTGATTACGAAGATACTTCATTATATGGTGCCATATTTTCAATTGAAAATATAGTGAATATAAAGGAAAAATTAAAGTCTCTACCACCCTGTACTAGGGATGGCAACAGAAAGGAACAATTTTTGATCGGGCGCCATGGCCAAATAATAACCCACAAGTCTCCAATTAATTGCTATGTCCAGTGATGCCTTAAGTGATGCAGGTACTAACATCTTTGGAATGAACTTTGAATCAATTAATTGTATTGGTATTTAAAATAAAATACATCATTAAAAAATGTCTCATACGTCAGAGCAAACAGCAGAAGGTGAGGCATAATTTTTAAAAACAACATTTCAGGGGGGTCTTTTTTTCTGATATGGTCTGTTTAAGCTTTGTTTACTTTCTCAGCAAGAATAAAGACCTGGGGCAACATTTAATTAAAATGTTGCCTAAGCTTTCATGCTTCCTGAGGCAGTAAGACTGGGGACACTGCTATAGTCTTCTTGCTGTGGACTAGGAAATAAACAAGGATGGATAACTTTGAACTCTCTGCATAATATGTAGAGCAAAGCCATATCCCTGGAAAGGCCAAAATTAGGTGAGATGCAGTACATAACAGGTATGGAATATACTAATGCTTTGGATTGGGAGCAAAAAAAACTGGAAAGGCCTTAGTCACATGTACTTTCTATTATCTCAAATATTATTTTTATAATTTCAACTTTTATTTTAGAGTCAAGGGGTACATACACAGGTTTACTGCATGGGCATTTTGCATGATGCTCTGTTATCTCAATTATAAACCACTAATTTCTAAGATCCAATAACCTGGCTGGGCATGGTGGCTCACACCTGTAATCCCAGCACTTTGGGAGGCCAAGGCAGGAGGATTACTTGAGCTCAGGAGTTCAAGACCAGCCTGGACAACATACTGAGGCCAAGTCTCTCTAAAAAATAAAATTTGAAAATGGAAAAAAAAAAATGATGCAATAATCTGCAGGAATGAAGAATAGTAACAATGATATAAACTACTATTCACATGAACAGCTTGATGTTTCATTTAGGCTGGGCCAGTCCTAACTCCTAGCAGTAGGTAAAGTTGATGGACAGTAAATCAAAAAATGCTTCGAAACTATGAGTTAAAATTAAAAAGAAATGAAGATTTGGTTTGGTAGTGCTTCATTTTCTTTGATTTTTAAAAGCAGACAATAACAAATGTTCCCAGAGACTATCATAGAATTTCCTTGGCTCAATAACTAGAAATAATTATAGGTCCCAGGATGGAAGAGTAGAAGGACCGCACCCTGATTTTGGGACAGTGAAAAGGTGAGATTGGACCCTGCACAAGGCATACAACTATACTAAGGCTCAGTTTGCCATGGGTAAAATGGGATGTTGTCAAAGTTAAACTAGACACCTCAAAAGTAGGCATTTTTGTTTTTATTTTTGAGACAGGGTCTTACTCACATCGCCCAGGCTGGAGTGCAATGGTGCAATCTTGGCTCACTGCAGTATTGATCTTCCAGGGTCAGGTGATCCTGATACTTAGCGTCCCAAGTAGCTGGGACTACAGGTGCACACTACAATGTCCAGCTAATTTTTGGTTAGTAAAGATGGGATTTCGTCATGTTGCCCAGGCCGGTCTCGAACTCCTGGGCTCAAGCGATCTGCCGGCCTCCCAAAGTGCTGTGATTACAGGAATAAGCCACTGCACCCAGCCTAAGAATAAGTATTTATTAAAATGAAAGCAATGATGGGGGTGATCCAATGGGCTCTGTAAGATTATTTTAGCAGCAGTATGAGTGATAGCCACAAAACAGGACATTTGAGAGGCAGGGATTCCATTCAGAAACAAAGACATTTAAATTTTTAGAATAGGCTATTTTTTTTTTGAAGTCCTACCCTTTAAAAAATATGTATTATATATATATTATATATGTATAATATATAAATATATAACATAATACATAGGTATAATATAAAAATATTATATAATACATATGTATAGTATATGAATATTATATAATACATATGTATAATATATGTATAATATATAAATATGATGTAATACATATGTATAGTATATAAATATATTCTATTCATATATATATACATTTTTTTCTTTTTTTGATATGGTCTTACTCTGTCACCCAGGCAGGAGTGCAGTGGCAGGATCACGGCTCACTGCTGCCTCAACCTCCTAGCCTCAAGAGATCTTCCACCTCAGCCTCCCAAGTAGCTGGAACTACAGGTGCGTGCCACCGCGCCTAATTTTTTGTTGTTGTTTTTTAGAGATGGGGGTCTTACTATGTTGCCCAGGCTGATCTTGAACTCCTGGGCTCAAGTGATACTCCTGCTTCCACCTCCCAAAGAGTAAATTATCATTTAAACTTTTTTGTTAAACTAGTATGCTTAAGAATGAAATTTAAACAGAGGTATTACCCAACTGGTTGACAAATTAATACATTTGTCTTTTATATTTCCTTCTGGAAAAAAAAAGAGCATTAAAGAAAAATGACATCAATGTAAACTAGCAGTAGTTAACAGCAAGACATTTTTACGTAATTTTGAAAGTAGTTGCCATACCTCCTTCCTCAAAATATAAAGACAATTTTGTGGATTATGTTTTCTGTCAAAAGAAATTTCATAATCTAGGAAAAAGTTTACAGCTAGTGCATTTGTTTTTTAAGATACCTAAAACTGTCCTGAGAATGTGTATCCCATTTTGAGTGAGTCATACATTAATTTTTGTAAGTCAGTCCAACACTTAGCAATCTTAAATAAATGACACATCTGTAAACATTCAGTGGTATGAAGGTCAGTGATAAAAGAGAGCTGGTCATATATTAAATTGAATTGAAAGCCTTATTTACTGTACTTCCTGATTTATGCAGTCCTATATTCATTGTACCAAAGATATGATCCTATGGGACCTAATTTTAGTGACTGGAGCAAAGCATAGTGATTATCTCTCATTTTTTATCAAATTGTAGTTTCACATGAAATCCTTCCTACAACCCACCATGAAAAACATCCTCTATACAACAGAAGAAATTTTGGGCTCCATCCTGAGGTATTTATTAACCAATCCACAGAGCGTCTTCCATATCAATGCTTTCAAAACAAAATACAATGTCTAGGATTGGTTACTTGCTTTCTCAGCAGAAGTAATTCAGATGTGGGCTCTCAGATTAGAAACTACTGTTGCTCTGTGGTAATACATTACATTTCCATCTGAAAGGTTCATGCTACTTTTTACTGTTTAGGTGGTTTTATGTCATATATATGTATGTATGTATTCTAATTTAAGGCCGGCGTGATAGCCACAGGCTAGACAATTTAAACTGATTGGCAAATTATAACATTTCACTACAATGAGCCAAAATTAGTAATAAAGATTATTCCCTTCTTAAAACTTGAGATAATTGCCTTTTTATCATATTTTTGAGACACCAAAGTTCCTTTCTTCTTTGATTTATCTTAGGCCTCAAGTCTTGTCTTTTGCCTGGCCAATATCTGTTGTATTCCTGACAGCTCAGCCTCCTCTAACTTCTGAGAAGTTCTCGCTACCTCTGGATAACAGAGCGACCGTGTCTGGACAGATTACTAGCTGCGAATCTGCCCAACACTGAAACTGACTTCATGCTGCAAGATCACTGGTGTCTTTTTGCTCTCATTCTTGCGCTGGGTCCTGGGCCGTGACTTCCAAGCTCCACAGGACCAATTCTGCTTTGTTGAGGAAAGCACCTTCTACTGCCTAAGAGATGTGGATTCCACTGTTTACTTAAGCCCTTTTCTACTGGAAACAGAAAGGAGATCTGCTTAGAAAGATCAGTAATACTGAAACTAGGAGGCCATGGAGTGTTTCCCACTTGTCCACTCTGAGACCGTGGCTACAATATTCATCCACTCTGAGCTTCAGTTTTATCACATAAAAATGGAAATAATATCATACAGAGCCCATAGGGTTGCTCAATGGATTCAGTGAAGTAACACATGTAAAGAATTTACCACACTGCTCAACACATGGTAAAAGGTGTTTTATTACCACCACCAAGAAAATTACTTTTCAAGAGCAGTGTTAAAAAGCAACACAATGATTCTTTATGATATCTTCACTCTAAATCATGTAAAAGCTTATTTAAGATCCACTCTGAAACGTAAAGCTCAAAGGGAAAAAGAAGGTGGAGGGAATGTCAGAGGCAAGCCCTGGGCTAAAGACAGGAGATGAGAGGAGAACTAGTCCCTTTATACCCTGATGGAAAGACAGTATACCCATAGCAGAAGGCTGACAGAAAAATAACAGCAGGAAGACAGAGAGAGCGAGCGAATAATATAAAGAACAACAAGAATCTGTTAAGCAAAATACAATAGGAAGCCATTTTAATTCATTCTCCCTTTCCAGTTCTTTTCTTTTTGGAACCTGTTCTACCATTAACCAAGGCAACCAAGTACTTACCCAGCCCCTCCTTTAGAGATGAAAACATCTCTCAGTTATCTGTCAGCCTTTTCAACATCACATGTCATGGGCTGGGTGGGGCCGGGAGGTGGGGCGGGGCTTCAATAAAACCTAATGTGTCGTCCCGGGGTTGGGTTTCCATGTTAATTTTATCCTTCCAATTATTAGAAAGAATGTAAAGCTAGCATTCACCACCAAAGACTGTCATACATATTATTACAACTAGGAATAACACTACCAAGGCCCACTCTCTTTCTCTAATTCTCCCATCCCTGCTCCTCTCTCCCTCACACACACAGAGCCAGAGATGCCACTATCTCCTCAGCCATTTCAAGCTTTCCTTTTAATCAGCACGGTAAACAAGCTTCTATGCCTCAGGCTGGCGTTCCACAAACTCAGCCAAATCGTGGGGTTTTGTGAATGCTGCAGTCAGCAGGGCCCAAGAAGGCATATTTGCTCACACATTATGTCGATGTTTTGTTGGTTTTTTTTTTTTTTTTTTTGGTCCTAAGGATACTCCTTGGACTGTGGGTATGATCAACAAGAGATGTCATTTATCTTACAAAGACTCTAATTCCATTGGATTTTGATTAGCAGTGGTAACCAGGTGAACTGAATAATTACTGTTACTAACCATAATATTCTTTACATCTTACTGCACAATGTAACATCAAAATCCTAGTGAGGGAAAAGTTAAAGTGTCAAACATTCAAAGTCATAAGCCCTCAGTGCTCCAGTTCTGAGAATATCTGTAAAGGATCTCCCTTCTGGGGAAAAACTAAGAATAGCATTTTCCAAACAAAAGGAAATAAAACGACTCTAAATTCACCAGATCATAATTATTGACACAAAATTATAAAGTATAATACCTTGTGTTCAGTAAAAATTCTAGATAATTATTCCACCGCACAGGATTAGGCCATTTATTCAAGAGGTTCTCATTTGATAAATTTAGGAACTCTTACCAATCCATCCCTTTTCCCCGAGAGTAGGTGTAAACATGTAAAAATATTCCTTAAATACCAATTCTGAGCTCAACCTGCGCTAGGCACAGCAGACACAATAGCCAAGAATTTGAACTTTGTTACTAGACTCAGGTTTCTAATTTAATCAGGAGCCTCCTGAGTGTTTGAGACTAGGTAATGTTTTCCTCAGACACGGAGGGATTAATTTTGCAACACTGGGAGAAGGAGGTACCGGAGAAGTCTAACAAAAAATGTCCATGGTAGTTTCTGCCAAGCCAAGGTGCTTTTATTCTCTCTGTGAGGTACCCGAAGCAACCCCAGAGCCAGGCTCTCAGTGTGTGTCAGTCAGTAGAATGAAAAACTAGACTCAGGCAAGGCCTGAGAATCTACCTCATGTGAACATGAATTATCATGCATGACCTTCAAGGCCAAGAAATATTCTATCCTCAAAATCCTGAGGTAAGTAAAGAAACAAATAAGTCATCCTTAAACCCCAGTTTATAGATGCCAGAAAAGGAAGGAGATTGTGCCAAAAATAATCTCGGAAGTGGTTGTATGTGTATCAATTGTGGAGGTACGTTTGCTTACAGTATCTCCAGTGCTTCCTTCTGCACATCACAGATTTGCTATTGATCAGCTGTGGTCAGATATTGTAAGTATAAATTAACCTGCTCCAGTGAAAAATACCCAGGGGAGCTATTACACTCTGAAGAAATCTTCTCTTTAGGTTTAACTGTACTTACAAGTACAATTCAATAGGAGGATGCGGGATGGTTAGCTCCAATTTCACCAACCACTTTTTTTTTTCCAGTCCCTGATTAAAAGATTCTGCAGTTTATGACCAGCAAAAGGCTTTGCCTTGGTACCACTTCAAGACTGAAGGAATGATACAAGAAAGAGAATTTATCATCGGCAGGGGGCAATCAGCTGTCCAGAGGTGCACTCTTTATCTAAAGAATCTTAAGAGTCAGGGGGCTGCTCTTTAAATGACTTTGGCAACTCCTCCAGAAGGCTTAAAAGCTGTCTCTGAAGCCTGTGGTGTGGTATCCATATTAATCCATTTGAGTGAAAATTACCAGTTCCAAGGAAAATACCCTTAGGAGATAAAGGTAGTAAGGGAAAGAAGAAAGACACAGTCAGGAGACCTGTGTCCTAGCTGAGAAAAAGATATGTCAAAAGATTTACTGAAAACAGAAGGCAGGTTTTAAAGTAAGAGTACAACTCATTAGTATAGGAAAACAGGAAAAAAGCATTATCCAAAGCACTAAAATAAAGAAAGAGTCAAACTCTATCATTTTCTAAGCTTTTAAAGGTCACATGGAGCACTATGCTAATATTTTGCAATAATGGACTCTGGGGCAGTGCTTTAATGAAATGAAATGAATTCCAAGGCTCTCTGAATCTTAATCAGACTGTGCAGGGGATGCAGGAAGGTCAGGCTGACAAGCAAATGATGCAAACTATACTTTCATATTACAATGAGTACGTTTTCCCAAAACAAGTTTAGTGTCTTCTCTATATTTAAGGTCCTAGTAACTTATCACATTGTGAAAGGTCCTTCCATGTCACTCTGTATGCCTAACAGGCCAGCAAGTGGGTCAGCTCATGGTCCATCCATAAGACATTCTAGTAAATCAATTTAAAAGTATGGTGTTAGCAGTGGACATCCTCAATTTCTTTTTTTTTTTATTTTTCAAACGGACAAAAACTGTATATATATTATGCATATTATGTATGTTTATTATGTATACATAATGTTTTACGTTTATGGTATAAAACATACCATAATGTTTATGGTATAAAACATACCATAATGTTTATGGTATAAAACATACCATAATGTTTATGGTATAAAACATACCATAATGTTTATGGTATAAAATTGCATATGTGTACATATACAAAATATACATGTATATATTGTGGAATGGATCAAGCTAATTAAAATATCTATGCCTCACTTTTTGCGGTGAAAATATTTAAAATCTACTCTTAGCAATTTTCAAGTTTATAATACATTGTTATTAACTGTAGTCAACAACTTTTTTATGGTGAAAATATTCAAAATCTACTCTTTTAGCAATTTTCAAGTTTACAATACATTGTTATTAACTGTGTCACCATGTTGTGCAATACATCTCCTGAACTTACTCCTCCTATCTAACTGTAATTTTATATCCTCAATTTCTTTTCATCATATGGCTAAAACATATGCCAAACACCCTTTTCAAGGTAAATGGGAAGGGAACCCTCAACCTATTTCAGTGCTGAGACACTCATGAAAACAGAAATACTTAACGCTTTTTTTTTTTTTTTTTTTGAGACGGAGTCTCGCCCCGTTGCCCAGGCTGAAGTGCAGTGGCACAATCTCGGCTCACTGCAACCTCCACCTCCCGAGTTCAAGCAATTCTCCTGCCTCAGCCTCCGGAGTAGCTGGGATTACAGGCGCACACCACCACCTGACTAATTTTTATATTTTTAGTAGAGACAGGGTTTCACCATGTTGGTCAGGCTGGTCTCGAACTCCTGACCTCGTGATCTGCCCTCCTTGGCCCCCCGCAAAGGGCTGGGATTACAGGCCTGAGCCACCACGCCTGGCCTACACTTCTTTTTCATGTGAAATTCAATAGTCTACGTAGCCAGAAAAGCTCCAAATAGGTAAGCAGTGATGTTTTATCTCAAAATAGGTTTCTTCTCTACCCTTGCAGTTTTTCTCCATCCAACTAAATCTTACCCATTCCTCAAGACTCAATTTCAGTTTTAAATTCAACAACCCACCACAAGAAGTTCGAGCAAATTACAGCATATCAACATGACCAGAATATTAAACTTGAAAATATCATATATGAATCATAACGAAGAACGGAAATTTTCATAAAGAAATCCATTTTAAAGTCAGAACAAAAAAAGTTCAAAATGATTGTAATTATATAAAAAAGTTGTACATTGACATTCACAAGTGAATGAATAATGACATAAATAGAGCACAATGTTGGAGTTATTAATTTCCCACAAAGTTAAAGACTTTTCCTAGTATTAGTAACTTTCTGTATATCATAAAGTAACTGGTGTTTCCTACTCAAATTCAACTGAAAAGTATGAAGTCATTACGGTTTATTTTGCTACATGATGGATGCTGTACTGAAGTTTTATATGTATTCTTTCATTTTATCCCCAAGTGATTCTATGGAGTAAATAAATACTATTACTTGACACCGTTTTGCAGATAAAAAAGCCCAGGCCTACTTAAGTTACATAACTTGTCAACGGTGACATTGTGACAGAAGTAGGAATTTAGTCCCACCATACCCTGGTCATTAGAACACACTACCTCATACCTCAAGGTGAAGCCCACTGGTGCTTGAGAGTGGCCACTGCTTTGGTTTCCCAGATTGTTAAGATGACAAACGGCTCAGTTCCGTTTCAATATTGCAGTACTGGTCTGATGGCTGGATTCTACTGTCATAGGATTTTCAACTGTATTTTATTCCTTTACAAATTCCCAGATAGAGCAGGAGGGCAGGTAAAGAAGACATATTACCCTCCAAAAAAGAAAAATAAAAAACTTGAGCATCGAGACACTCAATATTTACGCTACCCCTTCAGTGCTATACATCCTAACACAGCTTAAAGTTTTTATTTTACTCACAAGTCCTGCTGCTTTGGTAATTCACGAAAGGGTTGTGCGCCTGACCTCTAATGATAATTCGTCATATATCCTCATGCTTTCTTATTGGAGCTGTGAAACAATGAATTAGCAACAAATCCTCCACTCTTTGCCCCTTCAGCCCTTGGAGTTTAACTCCTCTCACATTACAGTATTTATTGAATTTCCCAGCCAAACGGTGTTGTGCTCCATAAAATTCTGACAAGTGGACTCTGCCAAGCTAATAATGGCTTCATTCTGCTGAAATAAACTTATTTCACTGTGGCAAACAAAACGACATGACCTGGAAAGGTTATTTTTAACTGGGTAATGACTCAGTCCCAACCAAGCTTTTCTCTCAAGGTTCCCAGTTTTAAATAAATTTCATTTCTTAAACGTAAATGCATGCTATTACGTGTGTTCTTGTCTGTCAATCTTTCACAATGAAGTAAAGGCAGATATTTTCATTGCTTAAGGTGTATGATTCTCTTTATTCAATAACTTGGTCGGCTTATCAAACTATTCCCAAGGATCCTGGCATAGAGAAGCCACCCAGAGAACCTGAAAGACAAGGCTACATAAAGAAGCAAAATCCTTTTAAACAGAATCTGGTTTTATTGCATTTTTCTTTTAATTAAACAGCGTCAGAACCTTTCCAATTCGGCAAAACTTTTAAGAGTGTGCCTCTGAGAAAGAGCTCTTATCTCATGTTTTTAAAGCGTGAATAAATTTTGCTAAGTTTGCTTAGCCTGCTTACCAAATAAAGATATGCCAGGACAAATTTCTCTACATCCACATTAGTTAACATCCCCCCTGTATCTTAAACTCTCCATACCAAAAATGTCTGCTACTAAAAAGTTTGAAAAGCAGAAACACGCGTTTTTCTCTATACTGCCTCCATATCTTACAGTTATCATTTACATCTTTTTATCTTGCACTGCGAGCCCCTCAAAAACAAACAAATGAACAAACAGAAACAACTTCCATGATAAGGTCAAATTTTCTTCAAGTTTCAAATGATCAGGGACTCCGAGAGCACCATTACAACAGCTGGGATCTTGTACCAACATGCTGCACCCTGCCAGTCCTGCCTTCTGAGACTAATAAAAGAGAAAACCCTTGACAGCTAACAGCTGGGCTCCTTATGAAGCTGTTCAATAGAAACAACAAGGCCTCCCACAGCCCACCAAAAATCAGGACTTGGTGTATAGACACAAATATGTACAAGAAAAGAAATTTGGTAAGAGGGAACACATATTTAAAAGAGACTGAAACAAGGAGATGATGAAGAATAACAGGGGAAAAAAACACTAATCAATGAAAGAGAAACCCAGTCATACCGGCATAACTATTGAAGATGTTAAGAGTTAGTGCAAAAGGAATTACCCATGGTTTTAATCTGGCTGGAGTAGGGGACTTGTATTACATATGATTAGCTACAAAGGCAAAAGAACAAGAACCTTTTCAGTAAATTCACATAGTCATGGTTCTGTCCAAACCACAATACAAAATCCTGAATATCCTTTTGATGACCTATAGTGTGTATTCACACTTGCAGTAAAAGAAACTAATGTGAATCGCCTTACTATTGCTTCCTGCCAGCCCCTCTGCCTCCATATTAAAGACCATCAGCTAGGCTGTGGCTACCAGCTACAACTCCTCAGTCAAAGCCATGTCACAGAATTACTGCCAGTCGGCTTAACAAATAAAGTACAAAAATAAAAGCACACTGAAGCCATATAAAAGTACTGTGGCTAAACAAGGAGTGGTTATGCTGGCCATTGAGTAAAAATATCTGTAATTCCTTCAAGTTCAGTAAGTTAAAGTAAAGCTTCAAACTAGGGTAGCTGAGGTTATAGTCAATATACAGATAATACAAATAGAAACTAGCAAAAGCATAAGGAACACAAAAACTCTCCTGTAATGTATTACAGATGGTTTTTAAAAGTTTCTATGGCTACTAGTAAGGAAACAAAAGCAAAATCTTTTTCCTTTATAATGTGCACTTTAGATGGCCCAACAGAATCACTTCCAATTGCTACAGATAGATAACAAACACCAGACAGGCAGTCTGAGAAGCCGCTTAATTTGTTGTGTGTGTGTGTGTGTGTGTGTGTGTGTGTGTGTGTACCTCATACACATTGTTCACCGCTAGTGGCAATTCAGATACTGACCCAGAATATGAACAAGGTAGGGTGGGAGGGATTCAGCATTACTATGGAAAATGGCCATGGAACCATTCATAAATTAACGACTCAGAGATAATTGAACTTGTTCCTGTGTTAACTATGAGTTTCATTTTGTTAAACAGTCAACACTGAAATTGTTTTAATCCTATAAATTCAACTAAAACAATTACTGAAGTGTGTTCAATGCCGTGGTTATTTCTATTTTTGCAGGTATTAGGCACTATGTTTTGAAATTTGTTCCAGGCAGACAAAAAAGGAAAAGTTTGGAGTTCTTTTTTTTTTTTTTTTTTTTTTTTTGAGACAGAGTCTCGCTCTGTCGCCCAGCTTGGAGTGCAGTGGCTCCATCTCAGCTCAACTGCAACCTTCGCTTCCCGGGTTCAAAAGATCTGTTCTCCCACCTCAGTCTCCTGAGTAGCTGGGATTACAGGCGCCCGCCACCACGCCCGGCTAATTTTTGTATTTTTAGTACAAACGGGGTTTCACCACGTTGGCGAGGCTGGTCTGGAACTCCTAACCTCAGGTGATCCACCCGCCTCGGCATCCTAAAGTGCTGGGATTACAGGCATGAGCCATCACACCCAGTCAAACATTTGGAGTTTTATACCTGAATCCTCAGGGAAAAAAAAGGTGGGGGGGCGGGGGGCGAGGGGTGTATTTTCATTAACAAACTGATTCCCAGAGCGTGAATCTATTTTAAGTATCTCACCTAAGGAAATGTTTATTTCAATTATGATACCTAGGTGTCTGCTGAGGAAATATAAAGCATGGTGAGAAAACTACTTTATTTATTTAGAGACAGGGTCTCACTCTGCTGCCCAGGCTGCAGTGTAGTGGCAGCTGGGACTACAGGTGCGCACCACCACGCCCAGCTAATATTTTCTTTTTTTTGTAGACAGGGTCTCACGATGTTGCCTAGTCTGGTCTCGAACTCCTGGGCTCAAGCAATCCTCCTGTCTCAGCTTCCCAAAGTGCTAGAATTACAGACATGAGCCACTACGCCTGACCTGAGAAAACTATATTAAACAGCCCAGAACTTACACATTCCTATTGCTATTGCATCCTTTTCCATAGTTACCTTGGGAAGCTAGACACTCATGCTGCTTAAGCAGATTTTTCTAGCAACACTTTCAACACACAACTTCTAGCTTTACTCAGCTTCTAGTTACTCTACTTGAGCAACAGCAATATGGAGTCAAAGCTGCTTTGAGGATTATTATTTCTCTAATATTAAAAATGGGTACTAACCCCTTAAACATCCCTCATTTCTGACGATGACAATTTGTTCCCTGCCCTTTATCTTAAAATTTTTTACCTTCTCATTTTCCCCCAGTTGACATGTATAATTTGTGCCTTTTTCTAGTCTATTAATGTCTAGGACAGGGGTGTACACAATAATCTATATTGGTTAAAAAAAAGATATTGAATAAAGCCTAGATCCATCTGGATCTTTCTCAATCCCCCTGGAAAGATATGTGAAATATCTAAAGTTGAAGAAGGTAGAGAAACGGAGCAGGAGAGAAGATTAGAGGGGAGTCATGTGGAGATGACAGGAGGGGAAGGAAGGAGAGATGGGACAGGACAGGAAGACAGGAGAGAGGTCCCTATTAGGTCTCATAACTACATCTTTGCAAGTATGTGTACTGACTCTACCCTTTATGTCATGTCTGCCCCAGCAACACAACTCATGCTGCCTCCACCCCAGTCATCTTCCAAATGAATGATGGATAATCTTGCTTACTATAATTTCAACCTCTAGAAAGGAAGCATTTTGCACCCTATCACCTTTTTTTAAAACTCATTTTAACCCTATCTACAAGTGTTATTTACATTTAAAAGGTGCTTTTTGCTAACTTTGAGAAGTAAAAGATTTGCTAACTTTGAGAAGTAAATGAATCCAGTTTAGTTACTTACTTTTGTGAAAATGTTCCATTACATCAAAATAAGGGAGAAATTTTTTTCTTAATAACAGGATGTATCGAAAACATTCTGTGCTTGATCACATCTGTTATTCTGCATTCAAAATTCATTTAGGACAACTAAATTAAGAAAGCAAAAAATGGTTATGAGTAACCATGGCCATAATGGAAAAACATAGCCAAATATTTTTGGTTCATATAAGATGATTTTTTTTTTTTTTTTTTTTTTTTTGTGTGTGTGTGTGTGAGATGGAGTTTCGCTTTTGTCGCCCAGGCAGGAGTGCAATGGCACAATCTCAGCTCACCACAACCTCCGCCTCTCAGGTTCAAGCCATTCTCCTGCCTCAGCCTCCCGAGTAGCTGGGATTACAGGCATGCACCACCACGCCTGGCTAATTTTGTATTTTTAGTAGAGACGGGGTTTCTCCATGTTGGTCAGGCTGGTCTCAAACTCCCGACCTCAGATGATCTGCCCACCTCAGCCTCCCAAAGTGCTGGGATTACAGGCATGAGCCACTGCGCCCGGCCAAGATGATATTTTTTAACTTAGCCTAAAAACGTTTCCCTTAAAATCAGCAAAGGAAAAGTTATGGAGGAAAATCAAAACAAACATCTACACTGATGACATTTCTTATCATTCGAATCAGCCATAACTGTTTTCAAGTGCAAAATCAAATTTAAAATATCAGGAAAAATAGCCCAAGTCAATCCTATTGCTTCCAACCCACTTCCGAAGAACAGAATTCATTTATCAACCAACTGTTTACTCAGGAATTGATGCAATGTGCAGTACAACTTTGGAAGTTCATGGAAATTTAATCCAGTACAGGCAAGATGTCTTACATGTTATGATGTTCTTATATCACCAATTTAATGTTTACTGGACCTTATCAATGTCACATTACTTTACATAAAAATAACTTTATCTAGCTATATATATGCATCACAGTTCACAGCTAAAACAGACACAGGACTGAGTCATTCCAATTATTATAAGAAGCAGTACTGTGAGAGGCCAGTAAGAAGCATTTGCTTAGAGGAAGCCAGTTGACTGCCTGAAGGATGACTCCAAAGGCATCACCAAAGATGCCATTTTATGGGCTCAATTAGAGTATGAGTAAAGGCACCCCGAGACACAGATTATACTTAATGCTTCTACTAATGAATTGTTTTTTCAGCATTTGGCCCAAAAGTTCTCTCTTCTCATCTGCCACATTTTGCAGCAGAAGCCACCATAGCTGATTGGCACAGAGGTGGTTGTCTGACCCAAAATGTGTCAATGAAAATGTGGGACATAAATGGAAACAGACTTCCTTCAGTAGTTGGATACATGATATGTAAAGCTCAGGAACTGTTAGTAGCCGTAATTCCCACTGACCTGCTCTGTAGAAAAATGTATGAATTGATGTACACATAGCAGTAGAATTTCAATCTATTCCTAAGGCTGCATCCCTGCCTTAAGGTTCTGTGACCCATATTAGCACTCCTGTCTTCTTTGGTGTTTGTTTTTAGCTAGTTCAAGTTTAAATTCCGTTATTGGCAATGTAAATGCCACTGGGCATTTAAGAGGTGGTTTAGAAACAGTAGAGCAATTTTTTAAACTGCTAGTACCTTATTATTGAGGGGCAAAAAAAATCAATTTAATGAGTTACAATCAGAAACATCTTTAAAAAAAACCAGAATAGCAGAGAATTAGCATCCCATATCGGGAGGGGGTGGAATTCAACCCGTGTCTCACACCATACACAAAAATAAATTCCAGGTGGATTGAAGACTTAAATGTGAAAATTAACACTATAAAACATTTAGAAAAGACTAGAGTGTATCTTTGAATCTGGAGGGTAGAAAGCAGTTCTTAAACAAGACACAAAAAGAACCATATGGAAATGACAGATAAATTCCACTATACCTTCTAATACACTATACAATACTATACAACTCACTTTCATTGTGTTTATTATTTATTTACTTGCCTTTTTCTTTTTTTTGAGACAGGGTTTCACTGGGTCACTCAGGCTGAATTGCAGTGCTGCCATCATCACTCACGGCAGCCTCAAACTCTTGGGCTCAAGCAATCCTCCCGCCTTGGCCTCCTGAATAGCTGGGACTACAGGCACGCATCACTATGCCTAATATTTTTTTTATTTTTTGTAGAGACGGGATCTCACTACGTTGCCCAGACTGGTCTCCAACCCCTGACCTGAAGTGATCCTTCTACCTCTGCCTTCCAAAGCATTAAGATTACAGGTGTGAGCCGCTGCACTTGGCCTCATTTATAAAAAAATAAATAAATTTATTATTTATTATACATTGTCTTTCTTGTCCAATAAAGTGTTAGCCTCAGGAGAGTAGGGAATCTTGTCTGTTTTTTGTTTTATTTTGTGTTTTTGAGATGGAGTCTCACTCTGTTGCCCAGGCTGTAGTGCAGTGGTGCGATCTTGGCTCACTGTAACCGCCGCCTCCCAGGTTCAAGCAATTCTCCTGCCTCAGCCTCCCGAGTAGCTGGGACTACAGGTGCCTGCATCTGTTTTATTCACAGATACATCTACAATGCTTTGTACGTACTAGATGATAAATTAATACTTGTTAAGCATGTATGAATATCTAAGCATACCTTAGTCACAAGAGAAAACATTTTTTAGTGTGGATTGAGGTTAAAAGGTTGCAAAATATTACATTAGATACATACAATTTGTATATTTGCTTAGTATGTAGGGAAAGGAAAAAAAAAAGGGGGTAGTGACAAAACAGAAATGTTGTACTTTATTCTATAGACCTATGCTATCCAAAGCTATTTAAATTAATTTAAAATTAAAAGTAAAAATTCGGTCCCTCAGTCTCACTATCCACATTTAAAGTACTCAACCGCCACGTGTGGTTACTAGCTCTATACTGGACAAAACAGAAGATACAGAACGCTTTTGTTATTGAGGAAAGTGATAGTAGGCAGTGCTGCTATAGCCAATAAAGACTCACACCATATTTGAAGCTGGTGAATATCAAGATTACATCAGGATTTTTAAGGCAACTGGCTTCTATGGAGAGAGTGAACTAAAGGCAGAAGAAAGTAGAATCCTCAAAGAGGCCAATTACATGGAAATTAAAATGGTAAACATGAGAAACAGTGACAAAGGATGTAGAAAGAATACAATGCAGAGGAGAAGACAATTTTTTTTTTCCTTTTTCTTTTTCTTTTTGAGACAGAGTCTCGCTCTGTTGCCCAGGCTGGAGTGCAGTGGCGTGATCTCCGCTCACTGCAAACTCCGCCTCCCAGGTTCAAGTGATTCTCCTGCCTTAGCCTCCTGAGTAGCTGGGATTACAGGCGCACACCATCACACCCAGCTAATTTTTGTATTTTTAGTAGAGACATGGTTTCACCATGTTGGTCAGGCTGGTCTCGAACTCCTGACCTCACGATCTGCCCACCTTGGCCTCCCAAAGTGCTCGGATTACAGGCATGAGCCACCATGCCCAGACTTTTTTTTTTTTTTTTTTTTTTGAGACAGAGTCCTGCTCTGTCTTCCAGGCTATAGTGCAGTGGGGCGATCTCGGCTCACTGCAACCTGTGTCTCCCAGTTTCAAGCGATTCTGGAGGAGAGAAATCCAAAGGAATTTCAGAGCTACTATCATGAGGGTTTGTGGACTGAACATGAGATTTGAGGGGAAAGAAAGGAACGTGAGATGACTGAGGATGCTGACTGGCTAACTAGGTGACTGGTGAAGAGAAGTCATTTTTAATGGACGGATACTAGACAGGCTAAAAGCTCTTTTGACCCAGGTGTTTTAACTTAGGGAACATTTCAAAATGATCAAATCAAAATGCGGGAAAACAATGTGTTTTAAGGCCAGGGAATGACTGCAATGGACAGCCAGACCTTTATCCTTCCCTGACGCAGGTCTCAGATAAAAGGGAGAGTGAAGGTCAGGGACTGAAGAGGTAATGAAGCAAGAAATGTGTGAGAATTATGAGGGAATGTGTGAAATTATCTGTCACAATCATTTCTTAAGGGCGGAAAAAAAGCTGAAATAGTTCGTTTTTAGACAACGTCAAAATGACCTCGTCAAATAACTATCAATATAGCATGTATATGCAGAGGGTAGATTGAGGGGATAATGCATTTGGCCTTGGACACATGAATTTGAAGTACTTATGACTCCACTTGGTAAATGGTCTCCAGTCACCTATTGTACTACAGAGATTGTTACTTTGATTCTAAAAGTAAGATGTCTCCACAAATTGGATGCCACAAAATGAAACTGAAAGTCATCCATAGGGGAAATGAGTTCCAGAACATACGCATTAAAAATGATAATAAATGCAGTCACTTTCTAGATTCTAGTTTATACGGAGCCAAGGTCAGTGGCTTATGGAAATACTAACGGCTACCTTAGCTGTCCTTTTCTAATGGGCGGCAGAAGCATTTATAATGGAGGTGAGCATTCAGTTCCATTTTTGAGGAAGACAATGAGGAAATATTGGTGCTGATGACTGAAATCTAGCTTTTGGACTACTGACTTAAATTCATTTGATTTTACTCAAATCTGCCCCAGCTGAGAAGAGGGGCTTGTCATAGCCTTTCCGTTGTTGTTTAATCCTTTAAAAAATGAAATTATATATCTCGAGGATATATTTAAGCACACATTTTGTGAGCAATTAAATTTAACTATTGATAGAAGAAGACGCAAAAGCCTCCACTAGAGGTAAAGACCTCTCGTCCTTGCTCATAAAAGACACACTTTCCTTTTTTGCCCCTTTTTCCTTTTCTCCATTTCTCTCCATTCTTCTCTCCCTCTTTTTTCTTTCCTTTTATTACTGCTAAAAAGTAATATGATTCCTTAATCAACCCCCACAGTTACAGCTACTTCACATTTACAAAATGCTCTCACATCCATCATTTAAGATCTTTACATTTCAAGGGATCAGTAGGAAAAGTGGTACAATGCCCCTGCTGCCAATAAGGAAACTCAAGCTCAAGAAGCTGGCGACCTATGTAAGGTCCTGTAGCGCTTTAGCGGCAAACAGATGACTCGTACCTGGGTAGCCAGCCTCCTGGTTGGCCCTCAATTATCCCTGCTTCCAACTATGCACATATTGTCTGTAGCCCTGTCATTGTAACAGGGTTACTGCATGCCATACAATGATGGTATGTTACTTCTACAATTAGGTTATAAGCAGCTTCTATCTTTGGCTCTTACTCTCTCTTCCTTTGATCACTCATTTTGGAATAAGCCAGCTACCATGTGAGCAGTCCAACGGTGGAACTCAACTGATAAGGAATTGAGGGTTCCTTGGTCCAAAATGGAAGTAAGAATGCTTGTCAACAAACTTCCATCTTGGAAAAAGATCCTCCAGCCCCAGTCAAACCTTCAGATGACTGCAGCCCCATCTAACATTCTGACTGCAGCTTCATGAGAGACTCTGAGCCAGAACTACACAGATTCCTGACCCTCAGAAAATATGAGATAATAAGTATATACTGTTGTAAGCTGTCAGGTTTGGGATAATTTGTCATAAAGCAATAAATATGACAATGTCTAAGTCTTCTCATTCTGAGTCCAGTGCTCTTCCTACTCTACACAGTTACACCTGCATTCAGAACACTTTTGTTTGCAGAGGTTTGCCAAATAACCATAATATTCTGTTAGACATCATTTTTAAAAAGACAGACAAGACTGACAACATTTGCGCATGTAATTTAAAATAACGCAAGTGCTTTATTTGGATATTAGAACAGAAAAAAAAACCTATACTGAAAGTGTGCTATAGATACACTATGTATCTAGGTTTGTATTTTTGAGTTCATTTATAAATCCATAACCACCTGTCTAAAATCAGTCTCAAAACTGAAGGCTATCAGAGGAAGAGGTCTGGCTGGATTAACTTTTACCCAAAGGAGAATTACCAAGAGCTGAAGAAGTTCTTCGATTCCCTGCAGCACAGCTGTGATATTGATATAGAGTACTAGGAAACTAAAGAAACGTCTTACTTGACTGCAGTTGTCACATTATCATGCATTACAGTGCAGCAGCCTGAATCAAAGAGATATGCAAAATTCACCAAGGACAGCAGCAATGCATTTTTTCCCCCTGTATTTGTGGAAAGACATCAGGAAAAGGAAGGCAAGTATGAATGCAAAAACATCTGCTCCCTAAACTCATTTAAAAAATATCACTGCAAAAAATAAATGTGAATCATCTATAGTGTAGAGCAGATGGAAGTGCAATATGTTTAACTTAAGGCAGAAAGGGGATGCAACTGAAGAACCAGAGGATATGGAAATAAAATAATACTTAAGCCCATTTTACATACTGCTGCCCGTTAGGTTACACTCTGGTAAAATGTGTAGAAAATCATCTTTTATCTATATCACACTACTTTGAAAGAATTCCAAATAATTACAGTAGACTGTCCAGTGGCACTTATATTCACACTCTCTAGTGACATTTATATTCACAGAAGCCATTTTTTTTTTTTTTTTTTTAGACAAAGTCTCATTATGTTGCCCAGGCTGGACTCCAACTCTTGGGCTCAAGCAATCCTCCTGTCTTAGCCTCCCAAGTAGCTGGAGCTACAGGCATGTGTCATGGCCCCCAGCAGAAGCCAAATTTGAGGGCAGCAACATAACTTCCCCCTAAAATGAGAAATAAATTACAGAGTTGTCTTGGTTTCAAAGAGATTTTAAGTTCACTGACTTGCCTCAGAGGAACTTAACAAGAAAGAGCAAACCGAGGAGTAAGTTATTTTAGATAATTGCAGCAACAATGCAATGACTCAGGATTTAGGGAAAAATTACATATGAACTTATGATCATGAAAAAAAAAAACATCAAACTGTCCAAATGCCTTGGGATAAATGGTCAATGAGTGACAGTATACAAAGGAACATAAGTCAATTTTTTTGTACTGCTGATTAATTATTTGGAACCCAATTTTAAAACAAAGTTGTTTATCTTCTTGGCATGCACTTACATTTCTTGAATTCATAACATCTCTTAGCCTCAAAAATGGAACCTTTTCAAATCTTCCGCATTCATTTAAAGGCGTCATTTTAATTTCTTGGGCACTACCAAAATGGGAAAACATTAGTATCATCCACCCCTATGTTTATTTTATATGAAGAAAAAAAAAATTTTTTTTGAGATGAGTCTCACTCTGTCACCCAGGCTGGAGTGCAATGGCATGATCTCGGCTCACTGCAACCTCCGCCTCCCAGGTTCAAACAATTCTCCTGCCTCAGCCTCCCAAGTAGCTGGGATCACAGGCACCACTACTACTCCCAGATAATTTTTTTCTATTTTTTAGTAGAGACAGCGTTTCACCACGGTTGGCCATGCTGATCTCGAACTCCTGACCTCAGGCAATTCGCCCACCTCAGCCTCCCAAAGTGGTGGGATTACAGGTGTGAGCCACCACACCCAGCCAATGAAAAAATTAAATAGCCTACTTAGGAATTACACAAAAGAAAGTATGATGGAGAATTAATTTCACACATTGGATACCACCACCAATACCACAGTCACTGGACTGATAGATGAAAACTTTTGGGTTGTGGAGACGGAGTAACAGCAATCAATATATCATTTATCACTATCTCAGTAATATTTTCATCATAGCCCACGTAAGAATAGATTGCAATGTCCTTTTAAGACAGTCCAAAAATTTTAGAGTTAGAAAATTATTACAAAGTCTTATTTATGAAGTGGAAACGCGTAAAATTCTAAAGTCAAAGTTATCTAAAGCAATCTATGCTACTGTTCACTATGTAACATATAAGATCTAGAGGAGAAGATTATTTGTTAATATACTCTCATTTTGAAAAATAAGCTCAAACAAAATGCATAAAAGTATGCACCAAGTCGCATGTTCAAAAAAAAAGAAAAGGCACTTTTTACCTTGTATAGTTACACTATGGAGCAAAGTTCTTTTAACTTCGATAAGAAAACACTTCTGAAGAAATTAAGTGCCAAATGATAAACTATGATGACCACAAAGGCAGGTTTAGGTTTCTAACAAAAACGTATGAAGTTAAGCCTTTCCAAATAATCTATGCATACTGTTGGTAGCCACAGCAGAAAATGCTATAGGCCAATAGATGTTTAGGAATATACATGTTTATCTATATCTGCATGTTTAAAAACATATAGATGAAGGGATAATTAGAGATGAACTGCCCCAATTCTTAATTGCCAAGTTTTAAGTAAATTTTAATTATACTGGAATCTAATATTTCAAATTTCCTTGGGGGATAAATATTTAAATATATAAAACTGAACAGTATTCTATAATAGGGGCTAGTGGAAGCCTGTGAAACATTTGACCTTTACCATTAATACAAAATGTTCTTCAGTAGGCTGACACTGGGATGTAAGAATGGTCCCACTAAATTACAATTATCAGCAGCTCAGAGTAAGTGAGTATTGCACAGCCTACAATACTTATCAGTCATCAGAGTACTTGTGACTATCAAGTAGAAATATGGAATTTAACTGTCTCTCTCCTCCCAATATTTAATTTCTTAAAAACTCTGCAGTTATCTGTGGCTTTTTTATTTGGATGACAGTAACTTAAAAGCCATAACTTATCACATCAAATCATCATGTGCCTGATAATCATGGCTTTGAAAATGAGTACAATTTCTATTTTATTCACATAATAGATTTATGTAGGAGACTAAACATGGAAGCTCTAATCTTCTGGTTGAGAAATTCAAATTTCCTTAATCCAGGATTATGTCAAGTTCCCATAATTTATTTTCTAGAAAATAAAGGATAACAAACACTTTCATTGGTAAACTCAAACATCGCCTAGAACTTGAAAGAGCTTTCTAAATAATTAAATATAAAATTCAATTCAAATTATATTCAGAGTATTTTCCATGTTAAAATTTTTGTTTTTTTTCTAGTTTATGGAATTGAATAATCCAAGTAAAATTTTCTGTAATCTCTTAGCTACTATAACATTAGATTAATTGAAACAGTCCATTCCCCAACCATTTGGGATAAACTGAAAACTGCCATAACATGATACGCCTTACTATTAGTACATATTCAAGAGACTTAAAGCACACAAGATTTGATCATGTTATAAAATAAATTCAAGCTTTTCGAATTTGTCTAGCAGGCTTTCCAATTTTTGCCAGAAAGCCCCCCACCATGAAAAATAAATAAATAAAATAAATTCAAGCTACAAATGAACGTAAATCCTAATACGATTGCCTTATGGCCAAGAGATTTACTCCTAGTTCTTCTCACGATAACCATAATGTACAATAATATGAAAAGCTCATTTAAAGGAAAAGTCATGAATACCAAACTCTTCCACCATCAATTCATTTTCCAAAGCTATCAAATAGATTGCTTAACTTTGATTTGTTTATTCGGTGCTAGCACACAGAATCTTGATGATATGCAAAAAGGATGTCTAAGCGATATATGATGCAGTTAGGAAAAGTTCTTTCTGCACCATCACACACTATGAAGATCGCCTTGCCCTTGAGATCCCTTACCACAGGGTTCTATCTTGCTTATCAAACATCCCACTATCCAGCAGAAACTCTCTGGAACTGTCTCAAACACTATCACATCTGTGAAGCTCTATCTCATCCACCAACTACATGTGATTTTCCTGTCACTGATCTCACCAGGAGCAAAAGCTGAACCATTTATCCCACTATGCTTTGTATTAAAGATATTTGCATATTTGTCTTTGGCTCTCTGTTGGACTCCAAGGTCCTCAAGAGTAGAGAATGTGTCTTCTCATATTTGTATTTATTCACTTTAGTGTCTAGAACAGGACAGACTCTCAGAAAATAAATTTAACAGAATTTTTTTTTTTTTTCATTTTTAGAGAGTCTTGATATGTCACCGAAGCTGGAGTGCAGTGGCAAAGATCATAGCTCTCTGCAGCCTCGAACTCCTGGACTCAAGCAATCCTTTGACCTCAACCTTAACAGAATCTATCTTGCAAGAGAAATGGTAACTTGAGTCAAAGCTCAAAGTCTTATGCTGGTCTTACGTGGAATTCTACCCTATATGCTTTATAGAATGGAATTCTCTCCTTTTTTACTTCATTATATGATAATTAGAACATTTTATATGACTAAGTATACATCTATGGATCAAATTTTCTTTTTTCTTCTTTGGTGTCTCTTTTCCCAATCAAGTCTTAATACATTAGATCTTTAAATAAAATAACTAAACAACCTGATCATATAGGGTAAATCCTAGGATCATTAAGTCCAGTTCTCCAGCAACTCTTTAAGAAATAATCAAGATAATCATCACTTTAAAAATTTTTTAACAGTTTAAATCATACCAAAGTGCCAAGAATGCAGATAATACTGCTTTCAAACGGATTAGAGAATGGAAAACCAAACAATTCTGGGTTTGCTGGCCTAAGCACAATAAATCAGCAGAGAAGTTCTGATATTTACTCACAGGAAAAAGATTATAAATGGAAGATGTTTAAATCTACCCAAATCATTCTGAACCATCTTTAATAAAGAATAGCTTCCTGTTGCATTCAAAAGCTAGTATACCATATCGTCTAAAAGCTGTGACTTTTTTACTCATCCATTCATTTAACAAACGTGTATTAAGCATCTACTCTACGTTAAGTGTTGATGGTGGGAGTTGCAATTCTGCAGTTCATACAAGAAAGCTGTGCCTTCTTGAAATTTACAGGTAGTTAAATGCATTTAATCTGCAATATTGGCTCCTACTAGTGCTTCGGTGATCATATTTAATAAATACAGTTATTTTAGTCACAGACTTCTCATTGATATAAATTTACAATGAACTATAAGTCAGAGTATCTAGGTCCTAGTCTCATTGCTGCAGTTTAAGTGCCTATGAGATGTCATAATAACGACTCAGAGCCTAGCTTTCACATGTAAAGCCTGAATGCATAAGCCCAGCCTGCTTTCCTTACAGGGTTATTATAAGGATTAATACAAAGATCCAATAAAGTGGTAATGCACTGAGCATATTTATCCTAGATACTATATTAATTTCACATGCATTGCTTTATTTAATATTAATTAGAGTCCTATGGTACTATAATACTCTTTATCTACATGTCAGAGTCCACAGGTATCTATAAGAAACTTCTCTTTCAAATTTGTCTGTTTTAAAATAAATGCATGTATTTATTTACACAGATAATTATCACCAGTAGTCTGGTAGCAATCACTTCCCATGTTCACTGTCCTTAAAGGTTTCCTCAAGGAACCTTAGCACAGATAATGCTAGAAAGTGTTTCAGTTTTGTTGTAGTTGGTATAAGAAAGAATCCCTGGAGGCAGCTTAGAATTCATTAAAGAGAACTGCCTCAGGGTGACCCCTGAAGTTCTTTGAAGTTTCCCTGCTGGAAGAGACCTGGAATTGTCCAGTTTGGAAGATATAAGCACTAAATACATCAGCCTAATAAAAAGAGAAAAGAAAAGGAATGCATTTGGTTGACAGGCAGTAGGGAAGAGGAAGGAAGTGTTACCTTGCAGATTCCTAGTATCTGTAAAGTAAGCAAGGAAGTTTGTTGTTATTTCTTTCCAGAAATCTAGCTCAAAGTCTTAGCAACCAACTGAAAACTCCAGCTGCCCTTTCAACTTCTGCCTTCCTTAATAAAGATGGTATAGCAGATGTAGCCAGGTTCAATTAACTTTTCTTTTATGAAAAGAATTATTCTTTTATGTTTAGATACATTCTGTAATGAATATCTGTCACTCTTATTTACTCTACCAATGCTCCAGAGAAATCCTCCTTCTTTAATTACACTTCTAATGTTTTGATCTCCCAACTCCCCCACACACTTTTTTTTTCTTTTCAAGTTGGTATGTGACTTCAGTCAATCCAGGGCAGATTTTCCCAGACACACAAAAAACTTTTTGTTTTCAGGCAAATACCAGTAAGATTCTGTTAGAAATAATAAATATAGTGCTGCCACCATAATTTTTTAGAGAAGATGATAAACAAACATTCATATCCATGAGTTACAAAAAGTATACAAGCATAGGACGGCACTACCATTATTTGTCAAGGCTCCAAAGGTGTGATAAACAGCAATCATCACTTCTTCATTTCCCTACCTTCCACATATAAGTACATATGTATGTATGTGTGCATGCATCATGCCTTTCTGATGACTGCTGAACACCAAAAGTTTTAATGACTTCATTTTTTTGGCTTTTTTTAAGGCATGTATATTTAAAAAACACGTGATTCTATTTGACATCATGTCAGCCATTCTGTCAGAGGCATGTGAGCCAGAGCAACTCCATCTTGAATAGGGGCTGGGTAAAACAATGCTGAGAACTACTGGGCTAAATTCCCAGACAGTGAAGGCATTCTAAGTCACGGGATGAGATAGGAGGTCAGCACAAGATACAGGTCATAAAGACCTTGCTCATAAAAACAGCTTGCAGTAAAGAAGCCAGCGAAATCCCACCAAAACCAAGATGGCCACAAGAGTGACTTCTGGTCATTCTCACTGCTACACTCCCACCAACACTATGACAGTTTACAAATGCCATGGCAATGTCAGGAAGTTATCCTAGATGTTCTAAAAAGGGGAAGCATGAATAATCCACCCCTTGTTTAACATTACATCAAGAAATAACCATAAAAATGGGCAACCAGCAGCCTCGGGGCTGCTCTGTCTATGGAGTAGCCATTCTTTTATTTCTTCACTCTCCTAATAAACTCACTTTCACTTTACTCTATGGACTCGCGCTGAATTCTTTCCTGCAGGAGATCCAAGAACCCTCTCATGGGGTCTGGATTGGGACCCCTTTCCTGTAACAATTCCATTCTTTCTCTGAAATGGCCAAAAGACATTTCTCAGAAAATAATATTGGTAAAAATTGTATGAATGATATTATAAATGTAGGAGCTGGGAAACCTAGGCAGGCAGTCCTGGATTTGAACATCAATGCTATGGGGCTATGATACAAATACTTAATCTCTCTAAGCCTTAGTTTCTTCATCTGCAAAGTGGGTTTGTTTTTGCAAGGATTAAGATGTGCAAAAAATAATATGTAGCTTTCAAACATATAATTTGCTCCTTTCCCAATTTCTCTCTTGCTGGAGTCACAAGATCATGATGATGGTAGTTCAGGAACTAACCTTCCAAAGGGTCACAAAAGTCAGGATAAACTCAGAAATAAAAATGCACTGGCAGTTTTTATTGACTCACATAGTAATTACTGGTTCTCAAATCTTGCTATAGTTAATAAACTTCCCTTTGTCTCATATTGATCATTTTGGCATCATCTGATGGAATTAAAAATGGAGCTTAGATATTTGTTTCACTGATGTTTAGGTAACATTTCAGTCATTCTGAATACATTTTAATCATTTTGATGATAACGTGAAATAAGGGTTGCCCATCAAACCTGGCCAAGCACAGTGGCTCACGCCTGTAATCTCAGCAATCTGGGAGGCTGAGGCGGGCGGACCACCTGAGGTTGGGAGTTTGAGACCAGCCTGACCAACAGGGAGAAACCCCGTCTCTACTAAAAATACAAAATTAGCCAGGCATGGTGGCACATGCCTGTAATCCCAGCTCCTCAGGAGGCTGAGTCAGGAGAATCACTTGAGCCCGGGAAGCAGAGGTTGCAGTGGGCAGAGATGGCCTCACTGCACTCCAGCCTGGGCGACAGAGCAAGACTGTCTCAATTTAAAAAATGAATAAATAAATAATATTTTAAAAGTGTACAGGAGTGTTACCCATTAAACCTGGCTCCTAGTGTTACTTCTTTCACTGTGTGCCATGTGGCCTGACCTCTGTTTAGTCTCAATATTAACCCTTAATGGTATTACCACAGTTATTTGCATACTGTACAAACTGAAAAGCAGTTTTTAAAAAAGAAAGAAAGGGAAGGGGAGGAGATGGGAGAGGAGGGAAATGTGAACTGAGATAATTCCCACTTACTTTACCTCTCAATGAGGTAAGGGTAAAGATTTTGAAAATCCTAAAATATTATTTATTATCGCCAATCTGAAACTTTTATATCACCACATAACTGGAGTCAGACTGTATAATGATTAAATTGCTCTCTTAATATACTCTTTAAATGTAGGCTTTTTCAGAGCCCTGGTCCTTCCATCCCCCCATAGTCACAGATTAATAAACTCTAACTAGAGAAAGAAATACAGGGATTATCTGAGTAATGTTCCCCCACACCCTGTTATAGATGCATCCATTAAAGTGAAATGGTGAAGGGTTTTTTGGTACAAGTCTGAGTGTAGAAAGCAATACAGAAATCTCTACTTCAGACACCATGTATCACAGGGATCCTGAGGTTGCTTCCCTGACTCTCACGCCATTAATACGCTTCATATGCTATCCAGCCACACCTAAAGGCCCTCAAATAGAAGAACATTCACAATCGCCTTCCTTAATGACGCTCCCTGCCCTAAAGGCAAAGAAAGGAATCACAAAAGAAAGTGAAAGGAGATGCACAAATAAACTGAGTAATAGCCTGTGCCTAAGGGAAATCTGGATTTTCCTGAAAACTGGCCTCACTCAGCCTGCAGGAAGTTCCCAAAAGTGGTAATATTTCCAATTACAAATT
This sequence comes from Homo sapiens, assembly GCF_000001405.40. Taxonomy (NCBI): domain Eukaryota; kingdom Metazoa; phylum Chordata; class Mammalia; order Primates; family Hominidae; genus Homo; species Homo sapiens. The sequence goes on from NC_000009.12 coordinate 8,802,615, forward strand.
CTAGCTCCTTCCTTCTAGGTCAATTTGTAGATCCTAAGGCCATATGTTTTTATTCGGAAAAGGCCCTGACAACCCACAACTAACATTTAGGAGTTATGTGGTCTTGGGGAAATTGCTTAAATTCTTCCAATTGCCTCATCTTTAAAATGGAGATGGGCTAGGAGTGGTGGCTTAAACCTGTAATCTCAGTGCTTTGGGAGGCCAAGGTGGGAAGACAGCTTGAGCCCAGGAGTTCCAGAGCAGCCTGGGCAACAGAGCAAGATCACATCTCTACAAAAAATTTAAAAATTAGCTTAGTGTGGTGGCACACACCTGTAGTCTCAGCTACTTGGGAGGCTGAGGTTAGGAGGATCACTTGAGCCCAGGAGTTTGAAGTTATATATAGTGAGCCACAACAGCACCATTGTACTCCGGCCTCGGCAACAGAGCAAGACCTCAGCTCTGAAATTAAATAATTAAATAAATAAAATGGACATAATAATTATACTTACCTCCTAGGGCGGTTAAAAGAACTACACAAGATAACGCATGTAAAGCAATTGACACATAGTCATCTTATAGCCAATGTTAGCTATTATTTTTATTTATGAATGAGTACACACATCTGAAAGTGTTTGTGAAAAAAAGTCCCCTTCTCTCTCTGATCTGAGCAAATGTACACCTTAGATAATATGAATAATAATGTATACCATAATTATTAGGCTTCCCTATAATTTAATTACCTGAGGAAATAAATAACTATGATTACTGAAATCAGTGAAATTAGTTTTGCCGATGAGAAAATCAAACTCAATTGGAAGCTCTTTGACACTCCCTTTAGTAATCTACTCTGTTCAGATCCTTTTAGCAATGATATCTTCTAGCATTATTATCTTTAACCTTTGAGTTCTTTACACTTACATTTATATTATAAAAATTATAACGCCTGAGCAACATAGTGAAACCCCGGTTCTACAAAAAATTAAAAAATTAGTCAGGCATGGTGGCACAGGCCTATAGTCCTGGAGGCTGAAGTGGGAGGACTGCTTGAGTCTAAGAGGTGAAGCCTACAGAAAGCTGTGATCGGCTCACTTGTAACCACTGCACTCCAGCCTGGGTGACAGAGTGATACCCTGTCTCAAATTAAAAAAAAAAAAGAAAAGAAAAAGTACGAAATCATGTTTGGTAGTCCTATTCATAATACCTTTTTTTGGCAGAAAAATAAGGAAAAAAGCCTATTGCCAAAAAGCCATGTGCAAAACCTATTTATTGGTAAACAATATTCCAAAACTTACACTAAAAGTGTTTTTTCTTTTAATATCTACTGGATTTTTTTTTTACGTTTGAAGTCCCTCACTTCTTCCCTCCACCCCCCCACAGACGGAGTCTCGCTCTGTTGCCCAGGCTGGAGTGTAGTGGTGCAATCTTGGCTCACTGCAACTTCTGCCCCCTGGGTTCAAGCAATTCTCCTGCCTCAGCCTCCTTAGTAACTGGGATTAGAGGGGTGTGCTACCATGCCTCACTAATTTTTGTATTTTTAGTAGAGACAGGGTTTCGCTATGTTGGTCCGTCTGGTCTCGAACTCCTGACCTCAAGTGATCCATCCGCCTCAGCCTCCCAAAGTGCAGGAATTACAAGCGTGAGCCACTGTGCCCAGCCCCTCATTTCTCTTAATAACACAAATCTATAGGCACTTTAAAACAAACTATCCTTATTTATATTGACCAAGCACAGTGGCTCACACTTGCAATCCCAGCATTTTGGGAACCGAGAGCAGGAGGATCACTAGAACCCACAAATTTGAGACCAGCCTGGGCAACATAAGAAGACTCCGTCTCTACAAAAAAAAATAAAACTAGCCAGGCATGGTGGTGCATGCCTGTGGTCCCAATTACCTGGGAGGCTGGGACGGGAGGATTGCTGGGCACTGGAGGTCGAGGCTGCAGCAAGCTGTGATCACGCCAATGCACTGCAGTCCCGTGTGACAGAGAGACACTCTGTCTCCAAAAAACAAACACACCCCCTCCCGCCCCACCCCTTCCAAAAAATATATATGTATCTCCTAACTGGAGAAACGTGTGGCATGAACTTTTTCTTACTCAGAATACTCTAAAACTCTTACTTCTTTCTAGTTCCACAGACCTTGATGAGTGGCCACCTTTTAGTGTGCTGAAGAAATAAGAGTAACTGCGACATGATCCCTAGCCACAAGGACTTTAGCTCAAAGTCCAGGAGAGAAGACAGATAGGTACACTCATAAAAATAGCTTGTGTTGACTAATGTGATGTTTTAACACCTCCCAGATCTCATAACATCCTGGGCTTTCTAAATTTGAAAGAGAATCCTGGTGAATATACTCAATTAGAAAGCTTTTTCTATTTCTGCTGTAACAGAGGAAAAAGAAGGGGAGGCTCAGAAGGGATTACAGCATGCTTTTGGTAGAAATTCCCATGGAACTTCATTTCATGAGACCTGTGCTGATCAGATCAAAGCCATGGGATCAGAACCTATACCTCACAGATAGTATCTGGAAAAATAAGAAGAATGAAAGAAAAATGAACCAAGATCACCTTCCTTTTGTGGGCCTAGCCCCACTTAATTTCATAACAATTCTATGAGGTTGGTATTACCCAAATTACAGTAGGAAAACTAAAGTTCCAAAAATTTGAGTAGCTCAAGTCCACAAAGCAAGTTGGAGCTGCAATTAGAATTCATTTTCCCCATTTGAAGGTTCTGACCAGGTGGTCTCTCTCTAAATTCTACATATCCTTGAAGGCAACATGAACATCAGAGTAATCCAATCCCATTATCAGAAATGAAAATATTATGCACATCATCTTTATACAATAATCGTAGTAAGAAAGCCAGTGGCTTGCCAATTTTGGAAAATGATTATAAACCTCAATTGCAATAGAAAAAAAAAACAGAAAAATAAATATAGACAGAATAGGAAAATCTTTTTGATATCAATGCTATAATTTACAGCTTACAATTTTTATTTTTTATTATTATTATTATTTTTTTCCGAGATGGAGTTTCACTCTTGTTGCCCAGGCTGGAGTGCAATGGCACAATCTCGGCTCACAGCAACCTCCACCCCCTGGGTTCAAGAAATTCTCCTGCTGGGCACGGTGGGTCACACCTGTAATTCCAGCATTTTGGGGCACTGAGGCGGACGGATCATGAGGTCAGGAGATCGAGACCATCCTGGCTAACACAGTGAAATCCCGTCTCTAGTAGAAATACAAAAAATAAGCCGGGCATGGTGGTGGACACCTATAGTCCCAGCTACTCAGGAGGCTGAGGCAGGAGAATGGCGTGAACCCGGGAGGTGGAGCTTGCAGTGAGCCGAGATTATGCCACTGCACTCCAGCCTGGGCTACAGAACGAGACTCCGTCTCAGAAAAAAAAAAAAAAAAGAAAGAAAAAAAGAAATTCTCCTGCCTCAGCCTCCTGAGTAGCTGGGATTACAGGTGACCACCACTATGCCCAGCTAATTTTTTGTATTTTTAGTAGAGACGGGGTTTCATCATGTTGGCCAGGCTGGTCTCGAACTCCTGATCTCAGGTGATCCACCCACCTTGGCCTCCCAAAGTGCTGGGATTACAGGCATGGAGATACTGCGCCTGGCCAGCTTACACTTTTTTTTTTGGTGGGGCGGGGGGGGGATTTTTAAGGAGCTAACTTAATGTGCACATATTAATGTGTGCATAAATATCACACTTTCATTTCCAAAGAGTTATAAAATGCTGACATCACCAGTAAATTGATTTCAAAATTCAAACTGCAATCATATAATTTTTTGAAAAAAACACAACCAATATTCATATGTAATGAACAGATTCAAACCTATCTCTTATCAGCAACACTTCCAGAGATGTAAATAATACCTGCTACACTCAAACAAAACCATCTTACCCCCTTTTACATTGACTTCTATGAGTCATGTAGCTTTAAAAAGTGTATGCTATTAGATTATCTGTAAATATCCAGCAAGTATTGACAAAGCCTTCCTGAAATTAATTCTATATGTTTAAGACTAGCCAATATTTTAATTTCATACCTTGGCTGGCTTAAGAGATGACATGATCACTCTACTGTAACTACCTGAGGTTCTGTTCTGATGTTTTAATGTGTTCCATCTGATTAAAGGGGTTTTAATAGAAGATACTTAGATTACTGTTAGAAATATATTTTAAAAACCACTTTGCCCAAATTAAGTACTCAAACACACTCCCTCCACTTGGCTACTGTACTAAGATTTACTATAATGGTGCCAGAAATACATTTGCACTGATATAACTTATTTGATGGAAATAAAAACCTAATTCTGTCATAGGAGTAAGTAGGACAACTAAAATGTAGGAAGACCCATGAATTGCCTTTGTTCCATCACAATTACAGTGACAAAAATATTTATGTTAAGAGAATAGCTGCTGATACTGAAAGAAGTGGGAAGTAGGCCAGGCACAGTGGCTCATGCTTGTAATCCTAGCAATTTGGGAGGCCGACGCAGGTGGATTGCCTGAGCTCAGGAGTTCGAGACCAGCCTGGGTAACACGGTGAAACCCCGTTTCTAATAAAATACAAAAAATTAGCCAGGCATGGTAGTGCATGCCTGTAATCCCAGCTACTTGTGAGGCTGAGGCAGGAGAATCGCTTGAACCCGGGAGGCAGAGGTTGCAGTGAGCCGAGATCGCACCACTGCACTCCAGCCTGGGTGACAGAGCGAGACTCCATCTCAACAACAACAACAACAAAGTTAGAAGTAAGGCTTTAAAAAGATGAAAATAGAAGCTGGGAGTTTTCACAGACTCCAGCTTATTTGGAGATACAAACCACTGCACCTACCTACCCAATCAATACTAATGAACACTATAATCACTATAATCAAACAAACAAAGCAACTACACATGAGGAGAGAATTAAACTATTATTTAGAAAGTTTCACTAGTTTTCTGTGTGGGTAATTTTATTTGTGAATGGTTAAAGAACTTTGAATAGCTTTTTTTTTTTTTTTAAGGATTTTGCTTTCTCTAATATGGATTTGGTTAGAGCTCACCTCATATCTTAATCATCACCCTTTTAGATATAAGTTTATGAAATAAAACACAAAACGTCTTTCATGGTTATTCAGAACTTGATCTTACTAACAGTTCCAACGAGTGTGGTCTGCTCCTTTCCTGAAATTTGTTTCATATCCACAGTCCTTCCATTTCAACTTAGAGATGAACCTTTAATAAAATATACAATGAAGGTGGGCAACAGTGGTATGTATGGCGAGACAAGGCAAAATGGGTCTAAAGAGAATCTGTATTCCACTGAATGCACTAATTCAGTCTAGTGTACTCACTCTTGTATGTTAAGTTCTACATAAATTAGAAACCTAAATTTCAAACACTGCTTGGGGACATGTATGCTCTACAAAATGAAAATGCTATGCATTTTGCACAAGGTCATGAAAGTCCCCAATTGATTTCCCCCTGCTCTTCATCATTGACACCACTTTAAACTCAAAAGTATCATCGTGTTTTGTCTTTTTCTTTCATCAACATCCTGTTCACATGTCTAACCGATTTAGGATTTAGAAGCACACATGAGTCAAGGATGCCACCATACCACTGGAATAGAGGTTTCTTTAGTTAAAGGGGAATGGTGTGAGAGGTGAACAACAGCAACCACAGTGCTGCTCCCATTTGCTCCCTCCACCACAATCCTACTCCGTGCAGACACTGCGTCAAGTCTTTTTCATGGTAAGCACTTTTGGGAAAACGCTAAGCTAACCCCACATTCACTAACTCTAAAATGATTCTGATGAAACACCAAATACAAAATTTATATGCCAGTAGAATTTTAAAAGCCCCCCACCTTTTTTTTTTTTTTTTTTTTTTTGGCTTTCATGGAGAAAACCAGAAAGAATATGACTTACGTATGCAAAACCATAGTACACTAAAGCCCAGAGACACTCAATAATCCTGGTTAATCCTGGCCCACTGTATTTATGCAAAGCCAATTTAGTAATGGAAGTAAAGCAGTAGACTCAATACAAAATAACAATCAAAATAATATCTTTTTGACCTTGTAAATTATTAATAAATATTAATAAAACATGAAATGTATATATGTTCTACACCAACGGTTATCAAAAGACCACCTGCACTAGATTTAAATGGGATGTTGATAATAGTTCTTCCTAGGACCCAGACTGGACTCAATGAATCAAACTCTCTGGATATGGTGTCCCGAAATATACATTTTCAAAGAGCTCCCCAGATGCCTTATATGCAATTAAGTACCGCTGACTGAAGCATGAACAGTGTTTACACTTCCTGATCACAAAGATGAAATAACACTGTGAGATGGAACACAAGTGCTTAAGCAAAAAAAAAGTAGCCACTATTCATAGAACAAAAGAACGGAAGGAAAGTCAGAGACCACTGTCCAGTGAAACTAACTAAGACCACAGCTTGGTTTTCAAGGTCACCAAGCTAGTTGTTACACCACTTAGACTTGAAAACAGATCTCCTCATTCTGCTTGGTGCCCATTCCAGCATCCTATACTTCATCTATCTCCACAAAACAAAAGCTTGAAAATACTAGTTGTTAAAATGTCACATAATGTTTTGTAATATCTGTATATTCAGAGACTGAAACAATACTACCGTTGTATGTTTATACAGTTCTTTGCCAACCAAAAAAAAGTGCTTCCAAGTTTCTTATAATCTCTGACATACAGTGTAAGGTAGCCAGGGTAGAAATTGGCATCTGCATCTTACAGGTGGAAAAACGAGATTTCCAGAGGTTGACTGACTCCTCCAAGGTCTCATAGGCCTAACAGTGGAGCCAATAACCCAATAACCAACGTCTTTCCATTTTCCATATTCCAAAGAAGCTGTCTGCTTTCCATTTACACCTCCCTGAAATCTGTAAAACTCTCAGCTCAACCACTGACTATTTTCCACTTCTTAAAGATTTAGTCCTCAAAGATATTATTATGAAATAGATGTTGCCCTCTGCAACCAGAGTCTCTGAGCAGATACCTGAAAAATTCCAGGTGTTAACTACATCTTATCTCCATTGATTTCTATGATATAGCTGGCATAAGGTTTACTCTGCGTACAAATCCAGCAGATACAACACTGCTGTCGAGAGCCAGTGTTCATTGTATTATCAGTTTCAGCCTGATAATTTGATATGACGGGTGTGAGGCACAAGCTACAAGTCTCTCCTTCTTAAAACAATAATTGTAAGCCTTTATTCTTCACCAGGAATATCAAGGTCATTGTCTGGTTCAAACCTAAAAGGGAGCTTCCATCAACAGATGTCATAAGAGATAAGCTCCAATTTGACACGCTCTTGCAGAACTATCACCTGCTATCAGAGAAGCTATGACAGCTGTGTAGTAAGACAATGTGGGCCAATTCATCAGTCCTCTGGGCCCCAAGTGCTCCCCTAATGGATATGACAAACATATGCCCCACTGCCACACACTGGACGTTTACTACTGCAGGGCTGTTTGTATAACAATCCAATTAATCAAGGTAGATAGTCATATTTTTTGTAATTGATGGAAAGCTAGAATTGCATAACTCTATTGAATGACTACATCTTTTGCCATAGTATGATAGACTTTGGAAAGAAAAAGGTAGACTATTGCACACAAAAAAAATCCTGTGGCGATATAAACAACATGCCCATTTCCTTGGCTTTGAGATGATGTTACCATTGCCATGTAGGGCCTTCTCCCTCCTGCTTGGTTACCTTCTTCAAAGGTTATCTTCCTCTTCCTTTGAAAGCCTCAATTCAAACATCACCCTGGATCTCAAGCTCCCCTGCTTTTAGCGTCTGAGTGGATATTTTGAAGAAAGATTCAGACTGCATGGGCATTAGGATGTCCTAAAAAGTTCAGATCACCTCATTTTAAGAATCAGCCACTCTTCAGCATCAGCTGAAGCCCAATCAGTTTCTCTTGATTGGGCTTGGGTTATCGAACACGCTCTAAAGGAACACACTCTAACAGTCATCACGTCTTTAGTGTTTCAAGAGAAGTAGAGATCTGAATTTTTATTTGCCATTCTCCAGTTTTTAAATATTGGCAACTATTTGAATTTTGGTTACCCTGAAAGTGGAGCCTGAGAAAAGGACTTGCAGTAGTTTTCTTCAGAACTAACTCTAATAATCAGGAGAGAGAAAAGTGGGACAAAGGAAGAATAAAAATCAACCATGGGGTCTTCGTGAGGTCTCAGAGGCTCACAGTCTTCCCTGTGGATGAGGGAAGGCAGGGGCATTTATCCTCCAAGCCCCTTTCCCTTGTTGGCTATGAGTTCGTCCTAGGGGCATTAATTCCACTACACTTTCCAACTGTACCTGCTGAAGTGCTGACTGAGCTTCCTCGGTTTGGGAGAAAGCCCTGAACAGAAAGGAAACAACTGTGCCCAGGCAGGGTGCGGTCAGCATTCAGAGAATCACCACTGTGAGTGAAATCGAAGTTGACCAAGGGGATCTGACTTACGGCACAAAAAGCAACTACTCCAGCAACTAAGAAAAACTGTAAACATAGTGCAGGTCAAACAATTAATTAATGGGCGCAGTCTTGATCTCACTCATGGACTCCATCTCCTTTTCGGCTTGAGAGAACCCTTCCCGACAACTTCCCAGTACCAATCCTTTACAGTAAAGCTCAACATTCTACCACCAAGATGCTGGCATTTATACCACTCAACTTCACCATTTATAGTCAAGTCCATTGACCCCCCTAGGCTATGAGCACAACCTGTTTATGACCTCCAGCACCTGGGTTAAGGTAGGAGTACAATAAAAATCTGCCAACTGAATTAGTCCCTGGAAAAGGCCCATCAGTGTTTGTGGAACTGAATAAATGAATATAATTTTTAACAAAGCTCTGTTAGCTATAACCATAACCCAAGCCCAATCGGGAAACAGTCCTGAGGTCACTAAGGAACAGAACAATCATTCTTAATTCCTGCTCTAAAGAGCCTTATTACTCAAATACATTAATCACTGACAAAGATGAACTTTTTTTTTTTCTGAAAGGCTATACTGCCTCAACTATTAAAAGTATATATTCTCAACATATGTGCTTTTTCATATCACTGAAAAAGTCTAGAAAAGTATCTTTGCCCCCAGAAAAACAACGCAGTCGTAATTCAATTTCATCTCTTGCTGTTACTGAAACTGGATTTTTCTTACATGCAACCTAGAAATTCACCTTGTTTCCTATGCACACTCTTCTTGATATTTCCACCTTTCGCTAAGGATCTCAGAGCATTTCCCATCTGAAAGACATCCACTTGGGTGGGGACTTGAGGCTTGTGAGGCCTGAGTGAAGATCTGCACAGGGAAGCTTCGAGGAGATCAACACAGATGGGGGAATTCTGGAATTGTGAAACATTCCATAAAGATCAAGGTTCTCCTTATACCAGCTGAGTGGATACTTGAACATAAATAGCAGAGGAGCAGGCTGCATGTTCCTATCCTACATATGGCACAAACAAAAGAGAAAAAATAAGTACTCATTAGGGAAAGCTAAATGTAGAATGGCAAGATCCCCAACAGACTTCCATTCTTTAAAAAAGTGAAGGAAGGTCTTCTGTGTTACCAAGCTGCTACATTATTTCTAGCAATTATATATATGCACAGATAGATGTACATATATATTTATAGGTCTACACATGTATACATATATATTTTAAAGCATAAGAATCTATATAAATGGGTTCTTATAGAAAATAATGTCAGTCATTCTTGGATAATAACATTACTTATAGACCTAGGAATAGTTGGGTAAAGTTTCCATGTATCTGCTAATTAAGAATCCCCTGCTTTGGTAAACTTATATCCATCAATTCCCACTTATTTTTTACTCTCAAAGGGAGAAATAATTTCCGTAGATGATAAAGTTATTTAATATATTCTGAAAGTACATGTGCAACGACTTAAGAAAGATCAACTAAGAGAGGCAGGGGTTGGAGAAAATTTGATAAGAGTTCAATAAACTGACTTCATTCCAACCTTCCAATCTTTAGTCCATGTTGACCTTCAACCCACTGTATCAAAGGAATTAGCCAATGCCATAGCAAGGTGACAAACCTTACAAACTCTGGAGAGGAGGACTCGGTGGGGCTTGAAGGCTAATAAAATATACAAACTTTTTTTTTAAAGACAGTAATGATCTTGGACTTACCTCAGAAACATTGTTTAGAAAAAGATCTAGTTGCCCACATCTTAAGGAAAACAGTCTTGAGTAATATGTAACATAGCCTGATGCAAACTCAATCCTGTCAAAATAATCTAATCTCTCCTGATGGAGTGACTAGCCCAGTAGATCAAGGGAAGAAGCAAGACACAATTTATATTCGGATTTTTACAAAGCTTTTGCTTCCGCTCCTCATGATATAATCATCAATAAACTGAGAAAATAGGATCTACACTGCATAGCTATGAAATGGCAGGAAGGTCATGCCTGGCAGGGCGCTATCGGTGGAAAAGTGTCAGCTTTAGAGGGAGTATAATAAATGGGGCTCCAATGTGTTCAATTCTGGGCAGTACTCCAGTGGACATTTTTCATTAATGACCTGGAGGGTAGAATAATTATCACTGTTATTAAGTCTGCATATGAGACCAGACGAGGAGGAAGCATTGAGGAAGGGCGGGGGGGCAGAGGCTGGAGGAAGAGGCCAGAGGGAGTCACCAGCCACAAAGGAATAGCTTATCAGAATTCAAAAGGACCTCAAAAGTTTGAAAAAGAAGCTACAAACAGAATGCATCTTAGGAAATAAGTACAATGCATGCTATTCCTTTTCCTTCTCCTAACGTTTACCACAGCTCACTGCTACAGCCTTGACCTCCTAGGCTGAAGCAATCCTCCTGCCTCAGCCTCCTCGGTACTTGTGACTACAAGGCACGTGCCACCATGCCTAGCCAATTTAAAAATCTTCTGTTAAAGACAAGGTCTTGCTTTGTTACCCACGCTGGACTCAAACTCCTAGGCTAAAGCAATCCTCCCGCCTCGGCCTCCTGCAGTGCTGGGATTACAGGTACGAGCCACCGCGCCGGGCCTTCCTCCTCTCTCCTTTCATGAGCTGTGAGGCTCGCTTCTCTTAAAAAAGGGCCACATTTACTCATTTGATAAATATACAAGAGATGCTTTGCTGAGTTCCTGAGCTACTTTGTTAAGCAATACAGTTCTGCTGTCTAATATCACAGAAAGAATTGGCTTACTGAGGAAGAAATTTAAAAGAAAATGACAACATCGTCTGAGAAGTCTTCTTTGGTCCTGGTCCACCATTTTCCCCTCTCCGAGTCTGAGTTAGTTATTTCTCTTAGGTGCTTTCACATTTCTTTCGGCCTTCCTCTGTCACACAACACTGAAGTGTAATCAGGTGTATTTATTTTTCTCCCCTCTAAATTGCCAGGCATGGGCCATGGATTCTGCACCTTGGTATCTCCCCAGAGCACAGCACCTGACACATAATGATGCTCAATAAAAGTTTATTGATTTAGAACTAAATACAAATTATACACATAATAAGTGGCTTTATGCAAGTATTTTTTTTTTAAGCCTAGGGATGCCATCCTGAAACTCAAAAGTTAATGCCCTCCCTATAGCCAGAAAGTCAAGGCTAAAAGTAAAGAGCAGGGCATCTTCTGCATATATGGTAATTTCATATGCGGCTATGAAGTGCCCTCATTCACATCTACAGAATGCGTGAGGGCAGACGGCAAGACTAAGCAAGAATGTCTTCACGGAGAACGCTTTAAGTGAAGGAAACAGAGGAGGGTGAGAAGGAGGGGAAGACCCCACAGAAGGAATGTTCAGGAAACCAGGGGCGGCTGCAAACCTGAAGCTGAGACCAATAGGAAGACCCCAGAAAGGGTGAGGTCAACAGCACCAAAGACGGCAAAGAAATTAAGGAAGAAGACATACCTGAGGCGGAAACCCTAGGTGACACGAGCAAGTCAAAATGTGTTGAAATTGTGAGTGAAAATAGAAGACAGCCATCCAAGGGCAGAGATAAAAACAAGGGCATGAGTTTGGAGAGCACAAACCATCTGTGACGTAGATTATGCGATGATCCAAGTATAACCAAGGATGAGGAAGAAGTGAGGTCCTTCACTGGAAAAGTGGTGCCATACATACATTTACAAATAGTATGGATTATACAACTAGTATGAGATAGACAAAGGCTACAAAAATAATAAAGTTAACTTAGAAGAACCCTTAACCTTAATAAGAGGGGAGTACTTCCATGGTTGAAACTTGTTTTATTTATAATGTGCATTCACATAGCTTTCTGGAGAAGAGCGTTCATATCAATAGAAAGTAACTTAGAACAAATGTGCAAATTTTGTCTGAAACTACCTCTTCTTATTCAATAAATGCTGTTCTCAACTATAGCCAAATCTGTCTCAGCTTTATTGTGGCTCCAATTCTGGCAGTGGACAAGAATTGTCATATCTCACATTTAAAGGTGACATCACTTTATATAATTTAGTTTTTTTTTTTTCATTTTCTCTTCATTTTTATTGAGAAAAGGGACAGTGAGAGAGAAATGTGGAAAGAAGATATAGAGTAGAAGCAGGCATTTGAAAATTTCACATCTGATATAAGCTGTTTCCCGTTCTTCAAATCATGCCTCTGCTGCTGCTACTGTCATAAATTTAACTGGCTTACCTTTAATCACAGGGAATGGTAGGCTACTGAAACATACATTTTCCAAAATAATCCACAAAATCCAAAATACACAAAAATAAATATTGAGATGAGTTAGGCTCAAAATGTGATCCAGTCTTTCCCAATAGTTTGTTTAACCAGCAGGGTCATTTCAGGCAACTCAGATGAAAGGATTCATTTAGCAATTGAAAATGAGCATCCATTAGCAGTTACAAAAATTTAAATTCTAACATTTACTCATCAAAATAAAACAAAAACTCCAATATAATCATGTCACATTATTATATACAAATTTTGTCACTAATCATGGGGTCAAAAGTTAGAAAGTGTTGCAATCTTTAAAATATTCCCATCAGTTTGAGATTATGGGTTTTTTTTCCCTCATCTCCTGCATAAAATTATTCCTAGGCAACTTTTAAGTCACTGTATAACTGGTACCAACAGTGTTGATACAATTCTTTAGTTAAAGTCATTAAGTCTGTTTTGGAATATCTGATTCCAAGGACCTAAATCAAGGGGTGAAAATGAAAAAATGCAAACATGCGGCTGATTAGAAAAATGGTTATAATAGGCCTTACTGCTGTTATTATTGAATGTACAAGTGAAATAACCATTAGCCTGCTTTAACCACTGAAAAACACCCTATGGTGGTACTTGAGTGATTTGATGCATTTTTGTACACAATTGCTGTGCTAACAGAGCAGACATTTACCCCATAACAAAGGAAATCTCAAATGTAAGCCTTAGGGTTTACAGCAATTCCAGAATACCAAACCACTACTAAGGATTTTAAATGAAACCCCTGCTGATCTGTTTACTGATTAAACCCTTTGTCTCCTCAAAACAGTAACATCATTCACAGGACAAATTATTGATAAATTGCAGAATGTCAAACAAAGATAAGCAGGAAATTAAAAATCCATAACAGACATTAGCTTTAGGAAATGCACTTAACAGAATATGATCATTGGTCTAGATTCACTTTTTTCTTTGTGTATTTTAAGATATAAAGGTCTGCGAGAGGCTCCTATTATCACTGTATACAGAAGAACAGAACTGCTTCAGCTATGGAAAGAATGAGATGAGCCAAGCACTCTTTTGATTGTTGAGGATAATCTATAAACACAAGACACAAAGTTGACCCTGAAAGTGATCTCCTCTCACCTCCTCACAAGGGATGGCAAGCTAGCAGTATCGTTACAGGGCACAAAACAGCGTTTAGGAAAGGTTCCTAAAGGAAATCATTCTTCCATGCAACCATGTTGCCATGGCAACCAAACCAATCAAGCTTCTTCACAAAGGCTTTTATGTCAAGTTCTGTTAGCAAACTCATATAGAAAGTATAACTCAACTAAATTAACACTACATTTGTTACCCTGTTAGAGATGGAAGAAAGGTACAAATCCTTTAAAAATTAGAGAAATAGGCACTCTTTCCATATCAACATGTTAAATTACTCAAGTTCAGTCTTTTTACATAAACAAAAGCCTCTTGAAGTCTCTTCTTTAGGAATAGAAGAAGAAAGGGAATTTTACCTAGCAGTACAAGCCCTTTCCAAAAATAGATTCTTTCCTCACCTTCTAAGGAATACAACAACAGAATTCTTGCATCTTGCTGAATCTTTTATTGTCATTTCTTTGCAAACCTGTGCTTCAGATACATCTGTGTTATAAGTGTAACTTACACGGAAGAAATCCTAGCATTTACCACTCAGCATTTTTAAGGCAAGTAGAATAAGTGAATCAACAATATGAACCCCTTTGATTAAAGAATATTTTTCCTTCGGTATAGCATGATGAAGCTGTAATATCAATTACGGCCTTAAATTTGAAGGCCATTTTATGTTACTGACATAGTTTCACACTAGGGCAACTCCATTTCTATGACATTTCTCATGCTAGTTAAATTCACTTCTTAAAAGCAAAACAACAGCTATGAGCAAGAGCTTTAATGAACCTTAGTAATCTGACACTCAGCTCCAGAGCCAATGGATTTTATAAGAAATGGACACCATATCATGTTGAATAAATCTTTCATATTCCTATCTTTAATTTTATTTAGAAATAGTAAAAGAAGTTCTATGTTCTCAAGAGTAAAAGTTTTATAATTTAGATGTAGAGAAAACACACCCAGCCTGGACAACATAGTGACACCCTGTCATTACAAAACAAATTGTTTTTCTTTTTTTAATTAGCTGGGTATAGTAGTGTGCACCTGTAGTGCCAGCCAGCTCCTTGGGAGGCTGAGGTACAAAGATTGCTTGAGCTCAGGAGTTCAAGAATGCAGTGAGCTGTGATCACACCACTGTCCTCCACCCTGGGTGACACAGCAAGCCCCTGTCTCTAAAGTAAAATAAAATAAAACAAAACAAAACAAAATAAAATATACCTTCTATCAATTTCATAGAATGGTAAAATCCATAAAATACCTAATAAGCATACTGATTATGGGAGTTGGTAGTGTGTCTAGCCTCTGTCCTAACAACCATCTTAAATTTCAAGTAGGTTTCTTCTTCTTGGACTTCTTGGTAGAATTTCAAGATTCCTGATGACCAGATTTTGCTCCAAAACATTTGACAACTAAGACTGGGTTGGAAATAATAACCAAGATAAATTTGGATCAAATAAAACTACAGTTAGTTGCTCAGGGGTTTTTAAAAGGCAAAGCATCATCAATACCATTAAACATAAATTTTACAACCTGAGCTTCCAAATTGCCTGTTATAACTCACGGCTTAGTGGGAATATTTTCAGGGCATTTTAGATAGAGTTAAATTGTAACTCTTGAATTTCAATTGAACTACAATTAAGAGCATCTGAAACACTGTATAAATCAAGATTATCCATTTTAATTTCTAGGTGTTTGATACATCAGAAGCCAAAGGTTTAAAGCTTTGGAAAATATCACTTTAATTGACTTTAAACATAAAATTGTATACCTCATCCTAATTAAATGATAGCATTTTACATTTGTGTGGCCACTGGAAAATTTACAATCTATATTCTCTGCCTCACCTTATTTGATTCTCTCTACAGTTTTAGCGGATAGGCAGAGAGATAAAAGAAGAAAATAGGGTTAATTTGGTTTAATAACTTATTTATAATACTGCCTTTAACAATAATAATAGTAAGATTAATCATTTAGTAAACACTTACAGGCCAGGTAGTGTCCTAAGAGCTTTCTTCCTCATTGCTAATGTCATGATCATATACAAATGTCTTCAATTCTCACAGTAATTAAGGTGAGGTTATTCTCATTTTACAGATTAAAACACTGAGACTCAGAAAGGTTAAGCAATCTGGCAAAAGCCACATAGTCAAAAAGTTAAGTCTCCAGAATGCAAAATCATACCTACTGAATTAGTATTATATTCATTTGCCTAAGAACAGACCAAATACTTAGATGTGCTTCTTACAAGAGCACTGCTTCTTACGCACATATTTAATTGTTACTAATTAATATTTATTGCATTTATAAAATTTCAAATAATTTGGCTTTGGTAATCACGATTTTGAATTTCAAATCATTTGGCCATTTTTGATATCAACATAAATTCAGCCATTCTGAACACATAGCTGTTTGTTCGTACAACAGATTTAAACAATTACTCCCGAAGAGTTCCCCGGTAACATTTGGAAGAATAGAGAATCTGGTAACTAACCAGGAAAACGACATAGCACTCTAGTCCACTACTAGTTGCAATGTTCGACTACTGGGTTAAATACAAAATATTGCCATGTCAGAAAAAGGCATAAAATGCTAGAAAATGATGGTTTAACAAGAGATCAACTTTCAAAATTAAAAACATAAAAATGTATCCTTAACGTTGTTAGGATCAAAGGAAATCACTATCTTTGGTGATAAATTAAACACCAAGCACTTACTCTGTGTCTTGAGTATTCCATTATTAAGTGGAAACAATTACTATTATCAAAGTTTGTGACTTACTTGACATGCTTGAATAAATAAAACATATAAACTATATAAAAGCTCATTCTAATACAACATATGTGAGGTAGACTGATCTGTTTCATATTCATATATTAACTTATATTTTATTTTATTATATTTCTCTAATATAAAAGCTCTTTGGGGCCCAGCACAGTGGCTCACACCTGTAATCCCAGCACTTTGGGAGGCTGAAGCAGGCAGATCACCTGAGGTCAGGATTCAAGATCAGCCTGGCCAACATGGCGAAACCCGTCTCTAATAAAAATACAAAAATTAACCAGGCGAGGTGGCACATGCCTGTAGTCCCAGCTACTTGAGAGGCTGAGGCAAGAGAATCACTTGAACCTTGGAGGCAGAGGTTGCAGTGAGCCAAGATTGAGCCACTGCACTCCAGCCTGGGCAACAGAGCAAGACTCTGGATCAAAAAAAAAGCTCTTTGTGAAACTTGGGGCAATTATTAACTTTCTACATTACATTTTAGGCACTTTCAATAAAATGTGGGAGATTGTTAGTTAAAGTCAGATTCCTTTGTGACACAGCATCGTGAAGTTGTTGATAGCCGGAATTAACCAGATAATTCCTTCAACTGACATACAATCAGAGAGCACAAAACGAGCTGAAAGATCACACTGGGGCTCTCCTGTGTCTTGTTCTCCTTGTCCACACAATCATATGCTCAGGAAGCTAAGTATTATAAAAGTATGACATCCCCTGACAATTGAGTTGAGTGCCCTTGTTTCAACATTCTTAAAGTAGCCATTCACAGCAGACGGCATCACTTTTGAGGCAACATTTCAGACATTCTGAAATTTCATTCTCTGTTTGTAAGAGCAGAGAAAAAGATATAAATCAGAATATGTAACAATAACATAGGAAACTATTTGCTAACACTTTCTATATATACATATATGTTTATATTCTTAAAATATATGCATATCTGTAGCTTTAATATAACCACAAATAATACAGGTGCAATTCTGATGTCTACTGCACAGATGTGAAAACTGAGGCACACATAGATTAAGTAATTTAATGAAAGGTCACTCAGCTAGTTAAGTGGCAGAGCTACTTACTGTACTAGGCAATCTAGCTCCATAAGCCATCTTTTCAACCTAAATTTAATATGAGGAAGAGAGTCTCTGCTCTCATAACAGCTTTTTATTGAAGAGAGTATATTTAAATATACAGAATATATTTATAATTTTAATAAAGCCTGATCATATTCATTAGTTAATTATAAAATGTCAGAAAAAATATTAAGAAAGTAAGTGTTTGGTGTTTCATTTACCATCAAAGACAGTGATTTCCTTTAATCCTATCAAGGTTAAGGATACATTTTTATGTTTTTAGTTTTGAAAGTTCAACTCTTGTTAAACCATCATTTTCTAGCATTTTATGCCTTTTTCTGGCATGGTAATATTTTGTATTTAAAGAAATCAATTTCTCAGCGAACGCCTCCTTGAAATTAAAATATATACATACTACACACCACACACACACACACACTTTTTGTGTATGTATATATGTCTCTGGACTCACACAAGACTCAAAGAGTAGAGTCACAGAATACCTCTATATTATGTTCCACTATCCCTTTACAATTGCTTAATGGTGAAAGTTCTTTTCTACTCCCTACACGACAAGTCAAGGAGTCTACTTATTTTTCTAACTCTTAATAATATGATGTCATACAATCATTTTAAGTTATCAAACACAGTCCCAATTCAGAAATTAGAGTGCCCAGTTCAGCATATTAGTCGCACTTGAAACTTTCAACTTATAGCCACCTCCCTTTCCCAGCTAGGGTTGGCTATAGACCAGCATCAGAAAATAAGTGAAAAAAGGTATGATCAGCCCCTTCTTCTCCTTTTTCACCTCCTCTGATCCCTCTGCTCCTCTTGATAGGTATTTTCTTGAACTATGGGGTTTAAGTAGTGAGAAAAAGGAAACAATGGGAATAAGAAAATTCTTAGATGATCACAGTTGGTAGCTGGCCACATACATGCTCTCTGGGTTTGGCCCATGTTTACAGCCACCTCTCTCTCTCTCTGTCTCTCTCTCTCTCTCACATGGTAAGCTCATGGCTTCTTCAGAAGGCACTCACTCCTGGACTCCTGTTACCTGCTGTGCTGAATGTGGGTGCCATAGTCTACCCCACGCATCACTCACTCCTTCTACAACCCCTAGGAATTCAAGGTAACTTCTACTGCGGTTTGTTTCTTTCTCTTAGCAGCTCCTTGGATAAGGCCCAAGAGGGCATCCACTCTTGTCTGCAAGAAACATTTAGAAATCCCCCTTTCCCCTAAGAGTGGAGGCCAATCCCAATGCAGTCACCTCTTCTTTCCTCCACTTTGTGAGAAACAACTAACTGGCCTGGCTCTTGACTGTTTTAGACTTTCTAAGTAGAAATAACAACATCCATCCAATAAGTTCCTTCAACTTCAGGAAACAGAGTCTCGCTCTGTTGCCCAGGCTGGATTGCAGTGGCACAATCTCGGCTCACGGCAACCTCCGCCTCCCAGGTTCAAGCAATTCTCTGCCTCAGCCTCCCGAGTAGCTGGGATTACAGGCAACTGCCACCATGCCCCACTAATTTTTGTATTTTTAGTAGAGACGGGGTTTCACCATCTTGGCCAGGCTGGTATCGAACTCCTGACCTCGTGATCCACCCACCTCGGTCTCTCAAAGCACTGGGATTACAGGCGTGAGCCACCCATCTGGCCTGAAAACTAACTCTTTAACAAGGCAAAAGTCTTTAAATATTCTGTGATCATAGACAGTTACAGGATTTGTTGCCACCACTTTGGCAAACATGAAAGTCACTGTGAAAGCAGAAAACACATTTTTAGTGGTTTTGGTTTTGGTTTTGTTTTGCTTAGTAAGCATTTTTCAGTCTCCATTATTTCATAAATGCACAAGGGGCTACACCCTTCTTATGTTTCTTACTCTGTACCAAGTTGAGTCACTGAAAGTTTCCCCCAGTGATTTAGTATATCTGGTCTCTTTGATTTTTGCCCCTGGAACATTCATCCATGCCCAGGTAATGTCTGCCTTAGAAAGGGCTCTAGTACCCTAACTGCTATCAAAGCAAACTCAGATAGAGAAATAAAAGGCTATAAGAACTGGAAATAAAATGTTAAAGTACAAACCAATATAATCATGTGTTCTGACAGAGAAAGTATACTTTAAATTGTGCACAGCCAGGCGCTCACTACAATTTGGAAATTCTCCCAGAGAGAGTAGAACTGTTACATTTATACCTTGGTTGGAAAGTTAAGGACATGGTTGTTGAAGGCTAATGTTAAAACGCTACCACAGGAGAAGGGATGATTCACTGAGATAAAGTAATTATGGAAGTCAAACACATGCTTACAAGTACAGTATCAATAACAATATTATTGAGGACTTATTTGTGTTATGCATTATACCTCACAGCCTTCGGTTGGGGCTATTATTTTTATACCCAAATTAGACATAGGAAACCAAAGCTAACAGAGATTAAGCAATTTGCCCAAGGTCCCGCAGCTGACAATGGAACAGAACTGGAATCCAATTCTGTTAAACTTCAACCCCCTCCCATCCCCCAAAACCACCAGTGCTGCAGTCATTTACTTAAGCTACGGCAATTTAACAGGTTAGAAAGCAGAAAGGATTAACAGATTTCCATTCCTCCAAACTAAGCCCAGTGTTCACACAGCCCACACTGGAATCTTTCGAAAATAACATTTCTGGTCAAGTCAGTCCTCGGTATGAAATCTTCCAATGCTTTCCCATCTACAGCTGAAGAAAGTACAGAGGATCTAGTAAGACATTTAATACTCAGGGTTCTGTTTCCATTTTACTCAACAGCCCACACCCCACAGCCTCTTCTTGAAGCCCTCTTCTCTCCCGGTATTCTACTCTACTTTAATATCCTAGTTTTCTTCTTACCACTTGGGCCTGTTCTTTCTCAGGCTCCTTAGAAGTTTCACCCCCTTTGCCTGACCTCTAAATGTTCAGTGTTCCACTGAACCCCTTCTTAAAATTCCTGGATGATTTCATCCCTTCCCACAAAGCTTTAATTGCCATCTTTGGTTTCAATGATTCACAAACTTTTAACTCAACAGCAATTGTACCTTTGAACTACAGAATCATGTAATACATAGCCCTTCCCCACCTTGCATGCTTCATGGAAACCTTAAACCAATAGTTTCCAAGCTGATTTCCTTATCCGCCAGCAAGTTTATATGCCAGCCTTCCCCATCTCAAGAAATCACACCTTAGCTGGGTGTGGTGGTGGCGCGTGCCTGTAAGTCCCAGCAGCTCGAGAGGCTAAGGCGGGAAGATCACCTGGGCCAGGGAGGTCGAGACTGCAGTGAGCTGTGATCACACCACTGCACTCCAGCCTGGGGAAACAGAGTGAGACCCTGTTTCAAAAAAGGGAAGGGAAAGGGAAAAGGAAAGGGAAAGGAAAGGGAAAGGAAAGGAAAGGCGGAAGGAAGGAAACCATTTTGTTACAGGAAAGGAGTCTTGATCCAGACCCTAAGGGAGGGTTATTGGATTTTGCGCGAGAAAAGATTAACGGTGAGTTTGCAGTGCAAAGTGAAAGCAAGTTCATTAAAAAAGTAAAAGAATAAAAGAATGGCTACTTTATAGACAGAGTAGTCCCAAGGGCTGCTGGTTGCCCATTTTTATGGTTATTTCTTGATGATATGCTAAACAAGGGGTGGATTATTCATGTCTTCCCTTTTTAGATTGTATAGGGTAACTTCCTGATGTTGCCATGGCATTTGTAAACTGTCATGGTGCTGGTGGGAGTGTAGCAGTGAAGACAACCAGAGGTCACTCTTGTCGCCACTTTGGTGTTGGTGGGTTTTGGCTGGCTCCTTTACTGTTACCTTTTATTAGCAAGGTTTTCATGGCCTGTATTTTGTGCTGACCTTTTATCTTATCCTGTGACTTAGAATGCCTTAATCGTCTGGGAATGCAGCCCAGTGGGTCCTAGCCTCATTTTACCCAGCTTTTATTTAAGATGGAGTTGCTGTGGTTAGCACACCTTTGACATTTCCCCTCTCCCTTTTATAAGAGAACCTTTGATCCTAAGGGTTGCCCAGGGACAAAGATCTATTTTTTGTAACTTTTTTAGGCCAAATAGGGGCGATGATATTTTGGCCTAACTATGGGGGTCTCTTGCATTCACGGTAGAGAAGAGCTTCGTTAGAAAGTGTTAGTATGGTAAGGTTTATTTATAACTTTTGAGTTTTGACAAAAGGTGGTATCTGTAAGATTAGTTAACTGTTTAATAAAACATTCAGTAAGCTTGTTTTGTATTCTTATACAAAGAGTATAACAGTAATATATTTCACAAGAGTAAAGCAAAATAAGTTATTTTAAGTAAACTAAATTAGAAGGCTTTTTATGAACTGGGCAACTGTTGGAACTAAGCTGATACCGGGTTGTCAGCTGATTGTAATGTGCCCAGAATTAGAATACTGATCCAGATTTTTACATTACTTATTCCTTTTGGTTTTTTTTGAGCAGCAGTTAGAGATCACTGGTTGGTTCACAGGAATAAGCAGGGTTTGCTGAAATTGCAGAAATAAGCTTAGAAACAACTAATGAGACTAGAATTTAATAACAAGTATAGTATAGTTCTTGAAACGTAGTATTTTTCCCAGTTTTCCATTTTCACTAAAGATAAATTATGGTAAGACTGATTTGCTTTATTATACTTGGCCTGATTATTTGTATAAAGTGCAGTAAGAATAATTATTTTTTACATAGGCTTTTTAAAAATTGGCTTTGATGGAACTTTGTTTCATAGAAGGAATTTTAGATAAGACTTTTTTAAAGCTGAGCCCTGCCATGAGTTTGTACCTTTAAATATTTATGAGTTGGGTAAATTTCTTTCTTTTTGAGGTCCCAAGATAACTTGTGGTTTCTGGACCTGTTAGAAAGTGATATTTTTTATTTGGCACAGGTTAGAAACCCTGTATAGGGACTGTTTTAGGCAAGGTATGTGGCCAGTTTTCTAAAGGGTTTTTATTGGCTTTACAAGTTAAGTTTGATAACTTAAAGGAAAGTACACCATTTTAGTTAAAGCCTTGGTAAAATAACCAATTTTTAAAATTGTGTCCTGTGACAAAAGAAAACAGATGTTTATTGCACTCATGTAAATAACTATATTGTCATAAGAATGCTTACAACTAGTTTTTAAAATTCTGAAAAAATGAGGTAGAGAGAAATAAATATGCTCTAAATTTTTTTATAGGAGTACACTTAACTGTTAAAAGCTGTAATAGCTTAAAAGAAAAGGTTCCTTGACTTTGAAAAATAAAAGATTAGCAACGTTTTAAGCAAAGTTTAAAAGAGAGGGTTCTTGGATTTTGGCAAGAAAGAATTCATGGTGAGTTCGCAGTGTAAAGTGAAAGTAAGTTTATTAAGAAAGTAAAGAAATAAAAGAATGGCTACTTTATAGACAGAGCAGCCATGAGGGCTGCTGGTTGCCCATTGTTATGGTTATTTCTTGAAGAAATGCTAAACAAGGGGTGGATTATTCATGCCTCCCCTTTCTAGACCATATAGAGTAACTTCCGACATTCCCATGGCATTTGCAAACTGTCATGGCGCCAGTGAGAGTGTAGCAGCAAGGATGAGCAGATGCCACAATTGTTGCCATTTTGGTGTTGGTGGGTTTTGGCCAGCTCCTACTGTAACCTGTTTTATCAACAAGGATTTTATGGCCTGTATTTTGTACTGACCTTTTATCTTATCCTGTGACTTAGAATGCCTTGTCTGGGAAGGCAGCACAGTAGATCTTAGCCTCATTTTACCCAGCTTTTAAGATGGAGTTGCTCTGGTTCACAGGCCTCTGACAATTCACAGATAAAGGCCTGTATCTGTCCTCAATTTCTTCCCAATCTTCCTCCTCCTCCACACCCTTAACTCAATCAGTTGGAAATCCTGTAGTCATTGCCACCACCATCTCTCATCCAGACTACCTATAATAGCTTCCTAAATGGCCTTCCTATTTCTACTCTTGTTACCTCCCAATCTATTCCTTACAAAGCATCCAGAATAATTTATATATTTTTTAAATCCATTGTTTCACCCCTCAGCCTACAATCCCTCCCATGGTCTCCTATTGTGCCTTAAATGAAATCCAATCTCATTACCAAAGCCCTGAGCCATCAGACCTCCTGACCATTTTTCTCCAATCTTAATCACTTTTGACTCACCCAGTCCACCACCCTCCAGCCCTGCTGGCCTCCCTTCCGTTCACCACACAGTTATTTCCTGCCTTTTATCCTTCATACGTGCTGATACCAGCTACCCATATCCAACTGATTCCTTCTCATCCTTCAGGTCTTTACTTAAATGTACAAGACCAAGATTCCAAGACTGCAGGCACCATCTTTTTTTTTTTTTCTATATAGTGCTTATCCAATTTGCAATTGTGTATTCATCCATTATTTTACTCTCCTGCTGGACGGTAAGCCCCTTAATGGCAAGCATAGTATCTCTTCTGATCACCAGTAAATGCCCAGTGTTTAGCATGATGCCTGACAAACAGAAGAAATTCTACAAATATTAAAATTTAGAGCCTTGCGTGGTCTGGTCTCTGACAACTTCTCCCAACTCTCTAACCCCACACACTGGTTCTCATCATATCTTTAAAAAAGCTTATGGGATACCCAATGAGCACGATTCCTTGACACATGTTTCTCCTTCTGCCTGGGATGCTCTTTCTCCCCTTGTTTAAACTGGCAGATTTCTTCTCACTCTTTCAGTCAAACTCTAGTGTCTTTCTACCCCTACACACACACATATAACACACACACACACTACACACACCCTCATGGTTCAGAGTAGACTTGATTAATTCCTCTTCTCTAGGCTCACTACACTTCTGATAAAATATTATCATACTAAATTGCTAAAAAATCTGTCCTCCTATCAATCTCCTTTAATAGACTAACTAAGCTCACTGAGGGTAAGGACAACTTCTAATTCATATTTCAGTCCCCCAAACCTAGGGAAATCTATGGTAAATAGATACGTGACTCAACCCATCAATCTATTTGTTATTGAAAAAATTTTAGTTTTAGACCAGGTGAGGTGGCTCATGCCTGTAATCCCAGCACTTTGGGAGGCCAAGGTGGGTGGATCACCTGAGGTCAAGGGTTCAAAACCAGCCTGGGCAACATGGTGAAACCCCATCTCTACTAAAAATACAAAAATTAGCCAGGTATGGTGGCGCACCCCTGTAATTTCAGCTACTCAGGAGGCTGAGGCACAAGAATCACTTGAACCCAGGAGGCAGAGGCTGCAGTGAGCCAAGATTGGGCCACCACACTCCAGCCTGGGCAATAGAGTGAGACTCTGTCTCAAACAAACAAAAAAAATTAGGTTTTTGCCACAGAAAGTAACCAAATTCCTTTTTTTCCCCTCATAAAGTAATCAGCTCATCATTTATATTTCAAAGCAGAGCATGCCTTTAACCTATAGGGTATTTATCATGTCTCATCACTCAAAGATTTATTATTGTTTACTAGTGATTATTAAAATTTATGAATTAAACTAAATATGGATGTAATCCAATTAAGACATAGCTAAATGAACTTGAATAGGACCTATTGAAAAGAACAGGCCTGAAATCATGTGGATGAGTATCTTCTCTGAAATATCTACATTTTTATATTAATATAATATCTCAAAGCACATTTAATTAGTACTTATCACCATCCCCTAAACAATAAGATAATAATATATTCAATACTGTGTTGGGCACTGTTTAATCTGTTTGGCTTATATGTATATTATTTTAAAAAGGAAGTAAATCCCATAAAAGTCTACAGGTTATACAATCCACAGATGAAGAGCTGGATGCAATGATTATGAAGTACACAGAGCTTGATGGAAAGAGAATCATTTCTGTCTTCCAATGGCTAATTTGAAACTGGTGATACTCAAAGACTTGTGTTTAAACATGACTATGCACAATGGACTAAATGTTTGTATCTCCCTAAATTCATATGCTGAAGCTCTAATACTCAATGTGATGGTATTAGAAGGTGAGCCTTTGAGAGGTAATTAGGTCATGAGGGTGGATCCCTTGTGAACAGGAATAGTGCTCTTATAAGAAGAAACATCACAGAAATGACTTCTCACTGCCATGTGAGGACAAAGCAAGAAGGCACCTGTCTGTGAACCAGGAAAAAGACCCCAAACAGGAACCAAATCACCTGACACCTTGATCTTGGACTTCTGGCCTCCAGAACTGTGAGAAATAATGTTTGTTGTTTAAGCCACCCTATCTAGGATATTTTGTTGCAGTAGCTCAAAGAGACTAAGATGTTATGCTTGTTAGTAGTACTCTAAGGCAGGCAGAACCCCAAATTATGAGTTGCTGCTGAATTGATACCAGGTTCTGTAGCAGTTGAAGAACTAGTTATCAAAAAGTGAGAAGGTAACTGAGAGTACTATTATCTACGCATCTCTAAAAAACATATATAATAAATTGTTAAGTCCATGTTTTTTCTGGATTCATTATAAAGCTTTAACTTTGCAACAGAATAACATTAAATACTCCCTATAAAATTTGTGAAATTCTCCTCTCCATGTAAACTCAGACAATTCAAGCCATGGCAGATTTGTTATTATTTTAAAATAACTTAGGGTGCGTTCATCTTCACAGCATATGTGGACAACAGTGTTCCATAAAATGCAGTACTTGAAAAAGAAACACATATTCTTGGAAATACTCTATCACACTGTGCCAGCAATGCCATCTATCATATGCATCCATTTTAAATTTACTGTTGAGAGCTTTCCAAATTAAATAGATAATCACTACTAATGTTTCCTTAATTGTCCATGTAAATTATTTTATTTTTATAATTGAAGTATAGCTTATATAAGTGAATTGCCCGGGTTTTAGGTGCAGCTGGATGACATTTAACAAATGTTATGTCTACATAACCCACATCCTTATCAAGATATACAACATTTCCATCACCCCAGAAAGCTTGTTCATGTCCTTATCCAGTCATCCTCCTCTTCCCTCACTCCCAGCTCCCTTCCATCCTATGCCAAGGCAATCACTGTCATGATTTTTGTCACTATAGATTAGTTTTACCTAAAAAATCACAGAGGGAATCATACAGTTTGTACCCTTTTGTTTCTGGCTTCTTTCACACAATATACTGTTCTCGAGATTTATCATTTTGTGCATACATCAGTTCATTACTTTTGTATTGGTGAGTAGCTCTGCATTGTGCATTTAAAACGTGACTTTTTTGGAAGGTTATTATAATCCTATGGAAATCTTTATCATAACACACATCACACTGGGTTAGAATTTCTTGGTGAACTGGACTTTTCCCCCTGACTTGCACACAGGTTGTTGTCCAGCACTTGACAGAGCATCAACTACCTCCTGGGAGCTCGGTTACTAGGAAGATAGTACACATTAATGCATCATCCTCTAGAGATATATTTTGACAGCACAGAACAATGAAACAACCATAGAATCAGCTGACTGGGGACAAACAGCTCAGTCTACCACTAATAACCATAATCTTCAGCAGGTCATTTACCCTTCCTGACCTTCACTTTTATAATCTGTAAAATGGAAATAACAATAACATATCAGAAAACTAGTATGAAGATTAAATGCTATTACTTGTATGAAACCTCTTCATTAACTATATAATTCTATAAAACATTATTATAATGTAGCTGAGACAACAGACCTTTCAGAAAATATTTACTGGGTAATACCAGTAAACAAAATTTGAAGATTAAATACCAAAGTTTGAATCTGAGTCTTTACTGTGTTGGAATCAGGCATTGTTCTAGTCTCCTTACATTTATTAACTCTTTTAATGTTTTAAGCATCACTATAGCATAGGTACTGTTATTATGTTCATTTTACAGATGAGAAAATGAGGCAAAGCACATAAAATGACCTGCTCAAGGTCTCACAGCTTACAAGGGGAGAGCCTGAGGTATTAACTCAAGCACTTGGGTTCCACAGTCCAAACTCTTAAGTGTTTTGTTTTACCCCTTTTCTACAGCTTGCTTAGTATAAATTTGCAAAGATTATTTTGAACTCTAGCACTTGAGGGAAAATAATCAAAGGATTAAAAGATATGAGATAAATTTTATAGAAATTGTAAGACTTCTGGGCACTCTCAAAAGTCCACAAGAAACAAAAAATCTTGATATTAAGAAACAAGAGGGTAAACAAGAAAGGAAAGTGGAGAATGGGCTTCAGTCATCGAATCATGGACAGATGAGAGGTTTCAAGCACAATTAAGTGCTCTGTGACCAAACAGAAAAGTGAGGACCATGATCATCTCAAAACTCCTTCAACTCCCCCCAGTGAGGAGTGTGCAGCGACACAGTGTCCACCCTATCATGAGGGGGCATGTTCCTCCCAGTCAATACCCAGCAAAGGGGAAGCAGACACTACTTCGCTGAAAGGAAGACTTTTTAAAAAGAGAAAACAAGTGCAAATGGTCATTCGCACGCAAGGATATTCACAATCAAATCCGTAATTTGGGGAAAGGGCATACGTGATGGTGAAATCATTGCTTAAAGAAATCCCAAAACCCTACTAGAGTGTAAACTGTTGCCTCATTTTTCTAACAATTCTCTTCAATTGATTAATTATTAGTGAAACCATTATAAGGCTTAATCAGCAAGTGATATATCAGCATTTAGTATGAAGTTTATATTTTTAATAACAAATATGCTTTAGAATACTCAAGGACTAGTTTTTCTGAGGAATTTTGATGATCCAGCTTCACCTAAGATAGGCACTTAGAAAATCTGTGGACTTAGAAGGGACATTTGGCATCACTGAATCCAGCTCCTACACTTCGCAGACAAGATGACTGAGACTCAGGAAAAGGGTTTTGTTTTTCTGATACTTGACAGTAAGAGGGAGGGTTGCGGAATGGTTTTTATTAAAGACTCCCCTCCAAAACTGTCATGAATTCATTCCTGCACTTGTTTCAGACATTCTCTTTTCTGATGATTATCTTTGTTAGGTCTACCTCTTGAATCCTAGGAGAATGTCAAGAAATGTTTAAAGGTGAGTTGGTTAAAAATTTAAAACAATCTCGCTTACTCTGTATCAAAATACACTTGGCTTGCTTCCATTACACCATTATGAAACTGCATTAGGAGACCGGACTACACATTATACAGTCTACATACAATTAAATACATTATATAACATGCTCAGAGACCAGACTACACATTATACAGTCTACATACAATTAAAAAGCAAATCCCAATCCAATTCAATAAAACCAGTCATTTCAAATAGAAAGAGAAACAACTGGGTGAGCAATATTAAAGCTTGTTAAACTTTCCTACAAATGTATAATAAACCCTTTAAAATGTAATGTCCTGAATGAAACATATCATCTTCAAATATTAAAAAAGAACTCACATACAATCTGTCTCTTTCAGCCACAGTTAGAATGAATTTTATCATTCTGAAAATTCTCTGCTATTGGTTTCAACACTGTATCACTTTTGTGAGTCAACTACATTGTAAACACTGCAAAACCTCAGAGAAAGTTTCACAAAACAAAGACGATTTACATATACTAATTTGACAAAAACTGCTTCCAAATCACAACGTTTTATGAAGTCCATATTCTATTTCTCCTTTAGTGCTTTTTTTGACAGTTGGAAATGGGTACAAGTTGTAATTTACTTGTATCCATTTCCTACTTTAGTAGTGTCCAGGAAAATTATTTGAACAGCATGACAGATAAAAGGCAACAATGAAAAGTGTTTGCAACCTTCTGAGAGCTATAATGTGCACTGAATGCAAACAGTAGCCGGTGATTTAAATATGTATGTGTATATGTGTGTGTGTGTGTGTGTGTGTGTGTGTGTATGATCTATACATATGTCTGATGACTACCAAGACAGTACCTAAATATATTTAAGAATCCTGCAATAAAAACGTTATGCCAAATGGTGTGCATTGATCCAGTAATCCCCAAAGCTCCTGGTCTCAACCTTTAATTTATCCTAACAGATAACTGCTTTGAGAAAAACAATGAAGAAAACAGTGAAGACTGACAGTGGGTAACAGTGTATTTTTGTAATCATGAAAGCAGAAAAACAAAAAGATGTCAAATGTAAAGCAAGGGGCAGCTAAAATCATCTTTTTTTTTTTTTTTTTTTGTCAAATAACACTTCACAATGTGAAAATTATGGGGAAAATAGGCAATGAATTACAAGTAAGAGAAAAAGTCAATTATGGCAATTACCAAAACAGCCACACAACATTTCAGACATGCCCAACTGAACGAGGTCACAATATACTTCAAGTTATGAGAAAGAGAAAATTAACCAGTGTTTGCACCCACTATGTGTGTTTTGTTAACAAAGTGATTTTGATTAAGTTTGTGGTCACACTGCAGGATCACAAGACTTCACAAAGAGGATTATTTTAAATGTGAAATCTTTCAACTGTAAAACTAATCATTTCTGAAGGAGGCTGGATATTCAATATTTCTCTAAATTGGAGTTCTCTCTCTCTCTCTCTCTGGCTCTTGCTCTCTCTGTATTTCTCTTTTTCAGATTGCATGAGGCTTCATTTTTTCATAAACGCATACCCCCAAAGAACAAAAAATAATATCTGAAATGAAAACAAATGCAACCTTTCACTTCATGTTAGTTGTCTCATAAATTTAATATCTACTCTTCATTACCTAGAAAGCTGTAACATGAAAGACATTTTCTTTCCTATTCTTACTTTGCAGATGAAAAAAAAATCAGCAATACAACTGACTTGATATCTTCTGTGTGCGACCCAGAAATCTTAATAACAGCATTGGCACATCCAGTTCATACACAGGCCACAGCAACAGTGCTTACAGAGAGAAAGAAAAAACATGAGCTTTAGAGGTTGAGCTGGGAAGTTTACAGCTTTTCTCTTCTGACTCATTGTATAGGAAGACCTTGCTAATGAAATAACCATATTGGACAGTATTCTACTACCCCTTAGTTCCCAAGAGGTTATTAGCATTGATTTGAGCATGTGACTTTTGAAACATCTTCAGGATGTTTGAGCACAGCTACTTTTGATAAGCCTGATATATAAAAAGTAACAGGCAGAGAAATGAGAAAGAATAGAGTCCAGTAAGTAGAGATATGTATTTTAAATGGTAACATTTAATTATCTAAGTTTATTCATCGCTTTAGTAGATGTTACATATATATTCTAATTAGCCTCTAGATTTCAAAGCAAATATTCAGGCTGTAACATAATTTCCAATTTTCTTTTTTTCATTTTTTTTTCTCACTTGTTAGGGCTGGATCTATGTATGACCTGGTCCATTTTTCATATTGAAAAAAATTAAAACTCTACTCAGTGAATGATGCAATCTTAATAACAGGCACCATTCACAACATTATAAAGTTGAATGAAAACTCTCTCCTCTCTCTCTCTCTATATATATATATATACACACACACACACACACACACACACACACACGATTCTATATATATTATATATATGTATGATTTAATAACTGTTAAAATTTAGGCTTTGAAAAACAACTGTATTTCCAGACTGGTTGCTTGGTTTCCACCTCTCTTTAAAGAAAAATGACAGCTATATACTGTACCATTTACAAAAATTAACCAACTTATGGATAAATGTATTAAAAACACCGGGCATTTTAAGAAGTTACTTCAGATTTTTAAAAATTCACCTAACAGGTAGACATTTAGTAGAATTCTAAATTTTTATAATTTCTCACATAATTACACAAACCGTTCAGAAAGCACAATAATGCCTAGTCTTTTTCACTCTCATTTCCAGAAGGAATCCTGGTAGAAATATAATGAATTTCTTCCCTTCATAGTCACCTACTTTCATTTATTTACTATTACACTAGAATGATTCACAGTAGTTGAATTCAATAGTTCAAGGGAAAAAGCCTGTTTTTTTCCATGATATTAAATAATTATAACAGACAAGGAAGCTTTCTTACGTAGATTTATTTTTAGATAGATTTTTAAAACCTAGGTATTAAAAACTGGTTTTATTTTGAAAATTTTCATATATCATATGAAGTGTAAAAATCTGATGATTCACATGATAGTGTTTCTTTTTTATAGATAAAATGTTTTAAAAATTCAGCACCTATACAAAAATAGTCTCTTTTATAACCTGTTTTTGTTTATTTCATAAAAAATGTTATTAACAACTACTTGTTCACACATTTAATTCCCAAAACTGTTCTATAAAGGGAGGAATTACGGCAAAGGTATTAATACTGACAGCATTAATACTAATAAAAATTGATTTTTTGACTATCCCATGTGTCAGGCATACTAGTCTTTAAAAGCATTATCTCATTTAATGTTCACAGCAATAGTATGAGGTAGGTAGGTACTCATATTGTTCCTATTTCAGAGACAAAGAAAGTGAGGATCAAGGAGACCACACATCAGGAATTTAAAAAACTGTTTGACCCACAGACCAAAACAATGAGCTGGAACATGTAAAGACAATGATTTGTAACAAACACCCCAATGGGTTCTCCCTCTGTGGCTCTGGGCAAAATATATAAACTTGCCATTTCCCAGACTTTTCCTATATACAGTCAGAGCAGAAAAGCAAGTGAAAAAGAGCTTTACGCAGGCAGCTTAGTGAGTAACTCCTGGGGTTATTCAGAGCAAATAATAACTCACAGCATGGCTGGTGCTTTTGCCTAAAGAGGTTGGCATGACTGAACTGAGGAATCTAACTGCATGAAAAGAGTACCCACCATCTGGGTCAGGCAAGGACCCCAGGTTAAAGTCAGTAATCAGTAAAGACAGTGGCATGGATTCAACTGGGCCCCATGCATCAGAATCAGAGAGTCAGCAAAGCAAAGCATGGGGTGGACGAAGAAACGAAATGACCCCAGCTCCTGGCATAGCTAGACATCACCTGAGTTTATGGGTACCAGCTATAGTCAAGATGAGACCAAAGATCACAGATGGATCTGGCTCTGCATTTCAGGTGCGTGGGCACAGAGAATGGGATATGTCTAGAATGGTAGTCTCTACAAACACAGCTGAGGAGAAAATTTGCTTTTCAAAAGAGTTGAATAACGCACCCAAGCACCAAGCACCAAGGTCTCTACTAAACTCTTCTTGCCCAGAGAGTCGGCTTCTTAGAGTCTCCCTTGACCACATTAATTAAAGCAACAGTGATTCAACCTCACCGCATACACTGATAGACTGATTTCCTTACAGCCCTTTGCCCTGACAAGTTTTACTTTTGTTTTGTTGTTGTTGCTGTTGAGACAGGTCTCACTCTGTCACTCAAGCTGGAGTGCAGTGGCACAATCATGGTTCACTGCAGCCTCAACCTCCCAGGCTCAAGTGATCCTCCCACCTCAGCCTCCTGAGTAGCTGGAACCACAGGTGTGTGTCACACATCCAGCTAATTTATTTTTACTTTTATTTTTTGTAGAGACGAGGGTCTCTCTATGCTGCCCAGGCTGGTCTTGAACTCCTGGGCTCAAGTGATCCTCCCTCCTCAGACTCCCAAAGTGCTGGGACCATAGGCATGAGCCACTTCACCTGGCAATTTTATTCTTCATAATACTCACCATTATGGATTCATTTTACATATTATTATATATCTCTTTAACAACACTCTCCCATTAGAATGGAAGCTTCCTAAGGAAGTAACTTTATATTTGGATGGCCTGCTGCATCCTCAGTGCCTGGATCCACGTCTGTAACACAGTAGGAACTTCATAAATATTGGTTTAATTAATGCATACATATATACCGGTTTAATTAATGCATAAATTTCAGAGCAACATCGTCCGAATGCCACTTTTTATGTCCTAGAGTTTTGCGTTTTATGTGCTGCTGTATGCTCTATTATACAAATAAAGAGGTGGCTAAATTGGAAAATAACAATATAATATAACCAAAGTTAGTGACCTTGAAACTTGTGAATTAATTCAGGCGTAAATACTGCTCAAAATGTAAAATTTGAGTGTTTTGATAGTCTAAGAGAACATTGACAAAGCAAACTACAAGATATGCTCTATTTCACAAAGAAAGAGAGCCCTTGGCACATCTCTAAAATACCAGAGATACTGGTTAATCACTGAAAAACAATACTCTTCTTGGATTGTTTTCTCCTGCCTAAAAATAAAAAAGTTTTTAACATTAGGACATCTACTCGACAACTGATTATATTCTAAGTATACCAACAAAATCCATCCTAACAAAAAATAGTGGGGTTAATTTTAAAACTCTGACCTTTGATACACATTTTTTAAAGTAATTTTAGGTCTTAAGTTCAGAGTATTAATAAAAACCTTTTTTTTTTTTTTTTTTTTTTTTTTTTAAGACGGAGTCTCGCTCTGTTGCCAGGCTGGAATGCAGTGGCACGATCTCGGCTCACTGCAGCCTCTGCCTCCCAGGTTCAAGCGATTCTCCTGCCTCAGCCTCCTGAGTAGCTGGGACTACAAGCGCATGCCACCATGTCCAGCTAATTTTTTGTATTTTTATTAGAGATGGGGTTTCACCATGTTGGCCAGGATGGTCTTGATCTCCTGACCTCGTGATCCACCCAACAGCTGATTAGACTAGTAGCAGACTCCTCCCTAGAAAAGTAAACAACCTTTAGAACTAGCTCTCTTCTAAGACCAAGTCCCATCTCAAGCTAACCCCCCAATACCTACCATTAATAACCCACCCATCCCCCCACCATTTGGGGAAGAGTCTAGATTACAGGCGTGAGCCACCACACCCAGCTTTTTTTTTTTTTTTTTTGAGATGGAGTCTCGCTGTGTCACCCAGGCTGGAGTGCAGTGGTACGATCTCCGCTCACTCCAACCTCCGCCTTCCAGGTTCAAGTGATTCTCCTGCCTTAGCCTCCCTAGTAGCTGGGATTACACCATGACCAGCTAATTTTTGTATTTTCAGTAGAGACAGAGTTTCATTATGTTGCCTAGGCTGGTCTCAAACTCCTGGCCTCAAGTGATCTGCCCGCCTTGGCCTCCCGAAGTGCTGGGATTACAGGCGTGAGCCACTGCGCCTGACAAGAACTTATTTTAAAAACAAGAGATAGCAAAGATACAGGAAACATGAGGCATATAAAGATTGTTTTTCCTCCAGCTAGAAAATAAATTGAGACAAGATTTTGGAATTACAAAAACTAAATTTTAATTAAAGTCAAAATAGGCATTCTCACATCAGAAGACTAATCTCCTTTTCTCTTCCTTTTTTTGTTTTGTTTTGTTTTGTTTTGAGAAGAGGTCTCACTCTGTTGCCCAGACTGGAGTACAGTAGCACAATCGTGGTGAGCCTCAACTGCCCAAGCTCAAGTGATTCTTCCACCTTAGCCTCTCAAGTAGCTGGTATTACAGGTGCATACCACCATGCCTCGCTAAACTTTTATTTTTATTTTTTGTAAAGGTGAGATCTTGCTATGTTGCCCAGGCTGGTCTCAAACTTCTAGACTCAAGTGATTCTCCTGTCTCAGCCTCCCAAAGTGTTGGGATTACAAGTGTGAGCCACCGCAGCCAGCCTGATATTCCCTTTAAAACAAAATGAAACTGTGCCATTTAAAACAAAGTGGTTTCCTTTGTTTGCCTGTTTTATAAGAGAAAAGAAGAGATTTCCCAGTATAATAAAAGTTGACTACAATTAAATTATATGTAATATGCCCACTTCTTAGAACATGAGTAAGCCCCATGTTTTGTGAAAATATGAATTAAGGCTTCTTGGTTTCTTATTGAAAATGTAAGAGTCAACTGAAGTTCATGTCAATGAATAAACACAAGAAAGCACCAAAGAAAAATCTCTAAGAAAATCTTAAGGGAGAGGGGTCCAGCATAATAAAACTCCAATAATTGAAAGGTTATGATGACTGACTTAATCACAGATGTATAAAAAAATTAAGAAGAGCAAGCAAACCAGATACCCATGAACAGAAACCAGAAACAGATCTTAAAACACATAACGACTTCAAATTAAAAAAAAAAGAGTACTGCAAATACTTGGGGGAAGGAAGGACAGTTCGGTGCATCGTTTGGGGATAAGGAAGTGACAAATTTGGAAAAAAAAATTATTTAGAACCTTGCCTTATACCACAACCATATATCACTAGATGATTTAAAGGGAAAAAATTCACAATACATTCCTCTTCTTCAAATCATTCATCTGCTTGGAAGTGTTTCAATTCTAAAATCAACTAACATACTTTTTAAATTCAACTCAAAATTAACTTATTGGAGGTATTTCACTGAACTTTGTAATATTTTCTAATAAACTGCTTGAAACTGAAAAATAAAAGAGAGAAAACAACTTATTGATTAAATAACAGGTTATTTAGTTTGACAGATTTTTTTTTTACATTCTATGTGTATATAACTCTTGGTTGTGAATTTATTATATGGTTTAGTTGGACTTTCTTCTGGCAAAAGAGTAGGTAGTTTGCAGGATAAAAATAAATATAATGATATTTCATGGTCAGTGAATACTTTCAGATACTTCACCTAAATAAGTTTGAGGATCATGTGACTGAAGAATGGATATAAAACAGTAATGAGAGAAACAAAACACCAAAAACAAAATCAGATTGAAATCATAGGAAAGAAAATAACCTTCTAATTCTAAACATAAAATGAATAATAAGAGAGAAAAAAAACCATCAACAGATTTGACTATATAAAATGATGAATAAAGATCCTGTATGTTAAAAAATCATTAAAGTAAGACTCATAAATGTACCAAGACATTTTCAGCACCTTGTAACGAACTGCAAAGTTTGTTACATTTGTTATCAATATGACTACAGTCA
This sequence comes from Homo sapiens, assembly GCF_000001405.40. Taxonomy (NCBI): domain Eukaryota; kingdom Metazoa; phylum Chordata; class Mammalia; order Primates; family Hominidae; genus Homo; species Homo sapiens. Next base: position 8,839,076 of record NC_000009.12, read on the forward strand.
ATATGCCTAATATATAAAGAACATGAACTAATGAATAAAAACCCTTAGGCAAAGGAAATATAGAGATTTAATTCATATAACAGAAATAATTACTTCAAGCAAACATAAGGGAAAAATTATCACTTCAGTAATTAAAGAAATTCATATTAAACCAATAATGAGAAAGTGTTTTGCCTATTAAATGAACAAAACCTAGATGATAATTTTCAGATTGACCAAGGGGATTTTATTTATTTATTTATTTATTTATTTATTTATTTATTTATTTGAGATGGAGTCTCGCTCTGTCACCCAGGCTGGAGCGCTGTGGCGCGATCTTGGCTCACTGCAGCCTCTGCCTCCAGGTTCAAGCAATTCTCCTGCCTCAGCCACCCGAACAGCTGGGACTACAGGCGGGCACCACCATCCCTGGCTAATTTTTGTATTTTTAGTAGAGATGAGGTTTCATCATGTTGGCCAGGCTAGTCTCGAATTCCTGACCTCAAGTGATCCACCCACCTTGGCCTCCCAAAGTGCTGGGATTACAGGAATGAGCCACCACGCCCGGCTGAAACTAGTATTCTCAATCATTACTGGTAGCATTATGAGCATAATCAGCATACTTCTACATAACAACCCTAAAAAGAAATAATGCAAAATATAGAAAAAGCTACCTCTATTAAACTGTTCCTCAAAGCTTTGTATTGATAACAGTGGGAGAAATGGGAAGAAGGGAACAATGCCCAACAAAAGACAAACAGACACATCTAGTTCATGAAATATTCGGCAGCCATTAAAAGCAGCAGTTATGATGAGGCAAGGTTGTAAAAAATACATTTATGGTAAAATGATAACTGATGTACTGAATAGCAAATTCACCATACAGTACAAAGGATCACAAAAATTACTCGAGTTAGAACAGTGTGTTGTTTTCAGATAAAAGGATTATGAGCAAAAGGACTATAAGCAACATATTTTTCCTGTTTCTAAATATTCTATAATGAGATTATATTACTTTTATGGCTTTGAAATAGATGAATAAAAGTTACGGTATAGAACGGTAACATCAGTATCCCTTTACAACAGTATTAGAGCAGTACACATTAGTAGAACTACCTTTGGTTTAAATTTGATATGGTTTGGCTATGTCCCCACCCAAATCTCATCTTGAATTCCACGTGTTGTAGGAGATACCTGGTGGGAGGTAATCGAATCATGAGGGCAGGTTTTTCCCATGCTGTTCTCGTGATAGCAAATAAATGTCACAAGATTTGATGGTTTTAAAAAGAAGAGTTCCCCTGCACAAACTCTCTTTGCCTGCTGCGATCCATGTAAGAAGTAGCTTGCTCCTCCTTGCCTTCTGCCATGATTGTGAGGCCTTCCCAACCACATGGAATTGCAAGTCTATTAAACCTTTTTCCTGTATAAATTACCCAGTTTGGGGTATGTCTTTATTAGCAGTGTGAAAGCGGACTAATACAATATTTTCTTTCAAATGACCCCATTGTTAATGCAAGCTATCTCTTCTTACTCCACCACCTGTTGAACATATTCAAATGGGATGATTTATATTTCTATGCCTTTCCGGTTTTTAATCAGAATGTGAACTACCACTGGGGCTTAGTATGTAATTCGGTGGGCCTACAGTTACATAAATTTCAAACACCACATCTCTCTGAAAAAATATCATGCCCATTCTTAATTTTTTTTTTACACATAATTAAATGATTGAAAATGACTGATCGCCCTTTCAGTGGGACTTAGCAAGGTTTTGGCACCAATTCTATCAATTAACTACAATACTGTACTGGCTCTGGTACTGCATCTTCTACAGTGCATGTAACGATATGTACAAGGGACTTCTATCAACAAAGGTCAGTGTCATGTGTGAATCACCGGGTTTCCTTAACTGAGAGTCCCCAGTCTCTTTTCCTATAATGACAATTTCAAGTTCTGTGTTATGACCTGGAGTGCTGTAAGCCATGGCTACAGAGTGGTGAGGATGAGAAGATGGACTATTAAATCTTTCTGGGGTAAAATGTGTGGCTGTTTCATTACAACTCCTGCCCTATCATAATACTCCTGTGACCATCAAGATTTAGATCTGTAATTACAAGAAGGAACTTGATTTTCACCCTGATTACCAATGGAGCTGGTATACATAAGCACAATTAAAAAACCAAGACTTGAAAAATGAGTGTCTTCAAGAGGTGAATGTTCCACGCTTTTGTGGATTAACAGGTTCAAAGTAAACCCTCTACTTTTCCACTTTGTTACAAGGTGCTGAAAATGTCACCAAGCATAGGCACTTCTGTCCTTGCAATCAATCACCTCTGGTAAGAAAATAAATGTTATAAACAAATAGAAACAAGCTTTATTTTTTTTAATTAAAAAATGTTGTGTGGGGGAAGAGTGGACACAGTTCATGATTCTGAGCAAACATGAGATTATTATGTGCCAAAATGCCCTCAGCATTGTATAAATACAATCCCCTACCCCAACAGAGATCTTTTGTTAAAGCTATAAACACTGCTTAATACACAAATGTATTGTATTCTTAATCAACTGCCTTTAAAAACCCCTACCTTTCAGAAACCTGTTTTTGTTTATTTTGATTATAAAACTGGAGGTACATACTTAGAGTCTCAGAAGTGACTTAAAAAAAAAATGACATCAGCCTGGCACGGTGGCTCACTCCTGTAATCCCAGCACTTTGGGAGGCCAAGGCGGGTGGATCATTTGAGGTCAAGAGTTCAAGACCAGCCTGGCCAACATGGTGAACCCCATCTCTACTAAAAATACAAAAATTAGCCAGGTGTGGTGGCGGACACCGGTAATCCCAGCTACTCGGGAGGCTGAGGCAGGAGAATCAGATGAGCCCAGGAAGCAGAGGTTGCAGTGAGCAGAGATGGCCCCACTGCACTCCAGCCTGGGCAATAGAGCGAGACACAGTCTCAAAAAAAAAAAATCCAACTATTGCTGCATACTTTCTGAAGTATTTTTTTAAACAAAAATAACTTCTTGTATAACAATGAGAATGAAAAAACAACAAAAAACAAAAACCTACCTAAAACAAAATGCAAAAAAAACTGCAATAAAAAATACCAGAACCTGTGACGCTCCCTGTAGGAGGTGACAGAAATTTATAATGTGAAAGAAAAAGAGAAAGGCATTTGGAAACAATTTTCTCAAGTTCTGTGACCAAATGAGAGACCAGGTAGGAGAAAGGGCGACTATGTTTTCAGATAAAAGGATTATGAGCAAAAGGATTATCAGCAACATATTTTTTTTCTGTTTCTAAATATCTTATAATGAGATTATATTACTTTTATGGCTTTGAAATAGATGAATAAAAGTTAGGGTATACAAGGGTAACATCAGTATCCCTTTACAACTGTATTAGAGCAGTACATTAGTACATTAGTAGAACTACCTTTGGTTTGTATTTGATATGGCTGTTCCATTACATCTCTCTAGAAACCTTATACTTAACTCTCACCTAGTGGTAGGGAGACTGTGGAGAGGTAGGGGGTTAAAGTGTTAGGCTCAGTACTGTCTCTACTACTCTGTCTCTCATTCCCACCAAACTGTCAGGGGTGGAGTCTGGAAGTCACTCATCTGGCCCTAGATTTCTTTCAGTGACTTCTAGCAGGTTGTTCTGAGATGTGCTTGTCAGCATTAATTACATGTGACATTGGATTGGCCTGATCTGTGACAAAATTCAAACGCACTATAATAAAGCAAAAGAGCAGGAGGAAAGATGCCAAGGGGAGACTTTGACGGTGTTTCACATCCCCAGGATACCCTTCACATCTCCCTCCTGCTCCGTCGGCCATCCTAACAAAGACACACTTGCTCTGCGCTGCACATGGAGCTTTAAGACAGATCTATCTGCTTTGGACAGCCCAGTCTACACCTGTTGACCCATTAAGAACATCCCCATTCACTCTCACAGCATCCTATTTAGATGTTAAATTACATAATCACCCTACTGAGCCCCCTCTTCCAACTATATTGCCACTCCTTAATTCCTCCCATACAGCTATGCAGTCACAATGGCTGAAGACAAAAATCACTTGGAAAGCAACAGAAAAGACTCCCTGGGAAATCTGAGAGGAAAGGTGGAACTGATAGTACTATATTTGTTCCTTTATTTGATTTCCATGGAAGTGTACTTCACATCGGGCTGGTACAAAATCAAAGAGTTTGTCTGTCATTAGGCAAAATGCACAGAATCTGTTATCAATTCACTTTCCTTGAGAAGGTATTTTTGAAACACAGTATCTTTCACTTACATCTTTCCTGCTAGAGTCAACGAGTATTCTAACTACATAAATGCTGTACACCTTGATTTTATTACATCTGTAACCTTGAAAAGATCAAATGATGTTTCAGAATGATCTGGTAGACTAGGGCTGTCTAATACAACTTAGTGCAACACGGGAAACGTTCTATGTCGGTGCTGGTTCTATATCATGGCCACTAGCTACATGTGGTTATTAACCACTTCAAATGTAGCTAGCATGAATGTGGTTTTAATTACATTTAATTTTAATTAAGTAAAAAGGACAATGGGTTTCTTAAGTTGGAATACTGGGATAAAAAAGATCTGCCTCCCGTTCTCATCTCCTGAGTTTTGATGAGAAATGTCACTAGAATCCTCATCAAGGCAGATACTGTCTACTATGGGATCTTCCTCCCTCAAAGAGCAAGCAAAGGGTTGGCAAGGACCCCATTTCTGCAGTGTAACAAAGACAGTGTCAAGCCCAGAAAGGACTGGCCTTAGGTTCCAAAGACCAAGATGGAGAGGTCAGCTGGAGTAAGAAAGCCTCTTCAATTTTTGGGATCTTAGGTTCCTCAGCAAAACAACATGAGGTTTACTCTCAGGTCCTTTCCAGCACCTTTTGAAAATTTCTAATTGGTATCTGAAAAATGGTCATCACCCATGATGAAGAAGCCAGCATGGCACATTTTACAAGCAGAAATGTGTTTGGTTCTCTCTCATCCAGACGTATGGAAACATAATGTAATCTGTCACTCTAGTACCTAAATATTCCAAAAGAAGAGTTTTATGCTTAAAACATCTAAAAGGTCATTTATTTCCCCTTTATCTACATTATACATAATACCATGTTCATATAGGCTTGTGGATACAATCTTTTATCTATGGATTTGCTTACATCATTATTTCTCTCAACACTAGTTGCAAAGAACATTATTACTGTAAAGCCCTACCACATCCATGGTGTGTCTTTCCTTCTGTATAATGAAAAGATTATTTTGAAAGATTTTCACAATCAGAAAAGGTAACAGGCCTCTTAATATATTTTAAAAAATTGTTAATCACATTTACATTCCTTTTACTAAGCATATTTTTTATTTAATATGAACAATAGTCACTGAGCAGTTTGGTATACTTTTTAAAGGTTTCTATCATTTTTAAAAGCCTTGAAATAAAATATCACTCAAAATGAGGCCAAGATTATGCATATTTTAAAAAATTTCTCATAGAAACTAACCATCTGTACAATAATCCATTGTCTGCTCTACCAAGGTGATTTATTAAGGATAATGAAGCATATGATTTAATAGCTGCCACAAATCCTTTTTCAAGGAAGATGGGTATAAATAATACAAAAAGATGGTCCAATAATAGCCAAATCCCAAGCTAAGAGCTATTCTATATGCTAGGTCACAGGAAATTACATGAGCTCAATTAACTGTGGAGCAAAGTGAAGTGTGGCTAGGCAGCTAAGGCTCTAACCCCCATCTCCTACTTTGGTAGTTGGTGTTATTATTTAATGAAACCAGTAAGCTCTACTATCATGGTGGAATTTGAGTAGCTTTTTTCCACATGACAACATAAAGCTCTCCAATTAAAAATGGACATTACCGGCACAAGTTTTCTAAAATCTTAAAAATCCAGATCTCTAAAATTTGTCAGTGCAAATTATACTTGCACTGACAAGTATAATAGTGCTTTACTCAGCCTTATATTCCCACAGTACTTTGCATTTAGCATAGTTTAATGTCTGGTGCTTTAAAGAATGGATGTATAAATGGGAACACAAGTGAGTGAGTGAATAAAATGAGGTCTCTAAAATCCTTGCAGGAAAAAAAAACAAAAACAAAAAAAAACACACAATTCTGTGTTCCTCTGAGACCTGGTCCTAACAGTTAACACCACTTATACTTTTGAAAAAGTTTGCAAGGCCAGTTGTCAAGAGGTTATCTCCTTTGATGGCAAAGCTTTCCTTCAGTCAGTGTCCTATAAAGAAAAAAAGTCGCCAAATCGTACATGTCATTTGAATACAGTATTTAAATATTAGCTCTTGGTTGCAACCTGACATACTCCTCTCCTGGCTAGCTCTGGCGATATTCAAGACTTTACAAGGCCCTGTGAAATCAGTGAGGCAAATTTCTAACAATAGGAAATACAAGCCATCAAATATGCCAGCTGTTTGGCATGAAAGACAGCCTGGCTGTGCCTTACAGGCATGGCACAGCCATTCACTGATAAGCTGGCACAGCCAATCCTGTCCCATGCCACCCAGCAAGTACATCAAAAACAAGATTAGATACTGCAAATCCTAGTGTCTAAGTAACACTGGGTTTCAGAAAATGTCCACAGCTCAACATAAACAAGAGGCCCATGTGTGAGACATACGTCACTTTCCCCCAAAAAAAGTGTGTGCTTCACCAGGCACATTTACCACCAGCATATTTTCCCACTGCAGTTCCTACGGCTCTTGCTCTTGTGAGTCTGGCTTGCCAGAACCGAGATCAATTTTATTAGATACCATTAGTCTCTGTTAGGGCGGTCATTTGAATAACAACAGATTGGCAAGTATAAAACCAAGGCACCTGTTGTACATTTGGCAGCCTGGATGAGGCCCCTTAAAACGAAAACAAATAAGAACTATAATCATGCCAGGCAATTGCTTTTGGTTCAATAATGGCCATGTGTCAGAATTAAGTGCATCTGGGAATTGCTACCACAGCCAGATGTAAAGGCAGATTTGTCTTGTCTAGTGGCATATGAGTAGATACACACACTCTACTGAGATTTGGCTTTGTCCTGGTTTGGTAAGGAACTAGGTAAATGAAACTTCACTCAAAATAATATAAAATTAAAATTAATTACAGAGGAGCAATAGACAATACCATCGTAAACTGTAGAACCTAAACAGATGGGTTGTAAGATTTGGGCCGTGAACTAATTCACCTCTGAGTTTTCTGGGCACACTAATTTGTTTACAGAATACTCAACGATAACATCCCAATATTACTATTGCACCGAGCCAGGCCATGTAGTAGGAGCTGGAGATGTCACTGGGAATAAGACATGGACATTGGCTTCCAGGTACTCCTAATAAAACAGAGTAAAAATAAGCAATTACAATGCATTATGATAGACACTATATGTAGAATTTATTCGGTATTCTTTTAGTGCCCAGAGAAAGGTACCCAGACTTGGGAGGAGGGAAATTTTCTAGGAAGAGTTGTCAGCTAAGCTATGCCCTGAAGGAAGAAAAAAATCAGGCAAAAATGGAAGGGTTGGGGACATTCCAAATGGAAGAGAGAGAGCATGCTCAAAATTACAGTAGAAAGAGTCAATGTGGTACATCTGGGAAACAGCAAATACTTTAGTATGGCTCAAGTGTGTGTGTGTTAGGGATGGAAGGAGTGGGGAAGAGAAAATGAATATGAGTATGGCAAGGTGGCAAGAGACAAAGCAGAGGAAAGGACATCAAAGGCCAGGTGCCTTTTGGTAAGGAATATTTCATGCTTTTTACAGACAGAAACAGGGAGCCACTGAAATATTTGAAAGCAAGGAATGACGTGATCAGATTTGAGTTTCTTAAAGATCATGCTGGCTGCAGAGCACAGAAGCAACTACGGTGAGGTCAAAACCAAACACAAGGAGACTGCACCCCAAGCATGAGAAGATGGGGGCCTTTCAACAGATGATACCTAATAACATGAAAAGACAGTGAATAATTTGGTGGAAAGGAAGTTAGTATCTATTTTGGTATCCTCGATATAATACAAGTGTAACTGAGAGAAAACAGATTTTGAATGATAAAATTCAAAATTGAAATTAATATTTTCCTAAAATATTTTTTTTTTGGTACATATAAATCAAATTCAGGTCGAGTCTGTTAAATAGTAAAAGTCGGATTAAAATAAACATAAGCAGTCCTTTCTTAAATCAGTAACTGAATATACATAACAGTATTTATTAAACTTATCATTCTTAATTTATAAGTATTATTTTAAAATGTGTATTGATAACCTAACTATAAAAAAAACCCTTGCTACATATTACCTAAAAAAGTACACCCTGCTTCATGCTTCTAGGAAGTTATGTTTATAGATTAACTGGTAGAAAAACATATGGCTAAATAGGCCAGTGTATGCATGTGAGAAGCATTTTAGAAACCTGGGCAAAGAAGACTTAATTGTTCAGATATCATGAAAGCCATAAAAGACCGAGTAATTTTCCATGTAACTTTATTTTATGTATCATGTCTGATTTAAAACTTCGGGGTACCTTCTTGTCAGAGAAAAAATAATTTTCCAAATCATCAAACAAATATAAGATCCTGTATTTTATTATTTATAAAATCATAATCAGAAATAGTTCTCTGAGGACTTACAGACAAGGAGAAGAGGCTAAACTATTATAAAATAGGTTAAATGGAAAAAATAATCAAATCATCCACCCTTATTGATAATGAAACTAACGGGTGAAATGAAAACAAGAGTATTTTAGAAGACATTATAATTAACAAAAGTTTCTCAGATAAAATGGTATAGGGCAGGCTGCCAATAAGCAGAATGCATATATAACAGTCACTTGGCATAATTCCATTTCTTTGATGGGTGACTGCTCTTCAGATATCCCTGCTGGATCGATAGTTCTCTTTATAAAAATGCTTCTGATTTCTTACCTGTTGGGCAGCTATGAAAATGGCAGCCTTTTTGATTTTAAGAACTATTCTTGGTGGAAATATTTCATTTAAACACTTCTGCTCCAGGACTGACCCCAGAGCTCTGGCAGTTGTATCACTGGCAGAATAGGATAAAATTTTAGAGCTGGAGGCCATCTGCAGAAAAAAAAGGTCATCGAATCAAAACCCCTTTGGTAAAAAAATGTTTTTTTCAATGCCTCCAGTCCCAAGCAGAGAAAGGAACAGAAGATACTCTTCAGAAACGGTAGAGAGGCAACGTACTTATTAATGCTTAAGATTTTTCCTTTTTTTTTTTTTTTTTTTTTTTTTAGTTTTTTGCTTTTTGAGACAGAGTCTTGCTCTGTTATACAGACTAGAATGCAGTGGCACGATCCCAGCTCACTGCAGCCTTGATCTCCTGGACTTAAGTGATCCTCCCATCTCAGCTTCCCAAGTAGCTGAGACCACAAGTGCACACCACCGTATCTGGCAAATATTTTTTTTTTTTTTTTTTTTGGTAGAGACAGGGTCTTGCTATGTTGCCCAGGCTGGTCTTAAACTCCTGGGCTCAAGTAATCCTCCTGTCTTGGCCTCCAACATAGATTTTTCTTGAATTTGAGTCAAGAAAGCACCATGTCATTGGGCGTACTTGCCTGGACGATGTGAGATAAATATTTTTTTTAAAATCATGTCATATACAAGAGTGAGGAGGTTAAGAGTGAGTGAAACAGATAAAAGTTGGGATGCTTGACTTAAAATCTTGACCCTATGTTCCATCTTTATTACTTTTATCTATGCAACCTTGGGCAAATTACTTAATCTCTCCATGGATCAACCCTCTTCTGTGAAATGATGATAATAAAACCATCTGACTTACACAGAATGTTATTTTAGACATTAAACATAATACTAAAGGTGAGGTACTGAGCAGAATGCCTGGCATATAATAAATGCTCAGTAAGTTTTAGAAATAATCACTATTACAACTATTACATATCAACCACTATGCTATAGCTGTAAATTTGAGAAAATTAATGAAATTTTTCCCCATAAAGGAATTTTAATTTTTACCTATCTCAGGGTCCTGAGCATTGTGAGAGGTTTCTAATGAATAATTATTCTTCACATTTTATGGTTTCAATTCTACTCAACTCAAAAAAAAATTTTTTTTTTTTTTTTTTTTTTGAGACGGAGTCTCGCTTTGTCCCCCAGGCTGGAGTGCATTGGTGTAATCTCAGTTCACTGCAAGCTCCGCCTCTCGGGTTCATGCCATTCTCCTGCCTCAGTCTCCCGAGTAGCTGGGACTATAGGCAAGTGCCACCATGTCCAGATAATTTTTGTATTTTTAGCTGGGACTACAGGCGCCCACCACCACGCCCAGCTTATTTTTTGTATTTTTAGTGGAGACGGGGTTTCACCATGTTAGCCAGAATGGTCTCGATCTCCTGACCTCGTGATCCACCGGCCTCGGCCTCCCAAAGTGCTGGGATTACAGGCGTGAGCCACCGCGCCTGGTCCATAATTCTTTAGTTCAACTCAATTCAACGAAAAGGAATAGCACTTGAACTGAGCATTAGAAAATGAGAGAATAATAGGATTTCAATGGATACAAGTGAGGACAGCTGGTAAGAGAAAGGAGATTCCAGGAACAGTATTGGTAGAACTAAAGAGGTGCCCAAAAGCACAGCCTCCTCAATGACTGCAGGGAATGTGATACTGCACAAGGGCAGAGTATCACAGGGCTATGGTGAGGGAGAAGGCTAGACATGCAATTTGGGAGCAGACTGCAAAGGGCTCTGATGGCTGTGTTGAGTATTGAGCACTTGATCAAGTAGACTTGAGCAAGTTTGCCTTTCATAAAGCAAAAATTAGGAAGACTCAAAGAGGAGAAATGAGAAAACACAAAAACCACCTAAGAAGCTGCGTATGGAGTGCAGAACACATAGGAAAGGTAGAAATGGAAAGGAAATAAAGTGAAAAGATTACAGGAGGAGAATCTACAAAATTGCCTGAGGATAAGAACAAAAGGAAGAAAAGAGATAGGGATGACACCAAGGTTTCTGATCAAGGGATAACTCAGATGAAGTATGAAGAAAAGAGAAATAGATATGGATGGAAGATAGTATTTTGGGTTTACAAAATACAATGTTTGGGATACAGGAGAGCCTCCCATTTCCCAGTCATGTAACAAGCAGATAGAAATGCACGTCTGGAACTCCAGAGACAAGCGAGGAAATTTATTTTGAAGGTTATCTATGTAGAAATTATTGTTTCTATGAGAAGTGGATAGACATATGGCAGGAGACAGTACAGATAGCCACCTGAAAGGGGATATAGATAAAATGAAAATAAAAGAGTTTAGAATGGAGATGGAGACATAGATGCCAAACATCAAATGGAGACAGAGTTCCATGTTGATGAAGAAAGTGAATGTCAAAGAAGTAACTGACAAAGAACAACTTCCATCCATGGCATATTTCCAATGGAAGATGCTTCCAATATTTTATTCCTCTAGAAAAACATAGTTGCCTCTTTTCTTCCCCCTCCCCGAGAAAAGCAAAAATGGTTACCTGGCCAGTAAGTAGATTTAGAATATTTAAGATACATCCAACAAACTACTCTTATTTCTAGCTAGCCAAATAATCTTGATAGATCTTTTTAAAATAAGACATAAATCAATGTATCTACAAAATCATAATGAGCTATTTCAACCAGAGAAGTCTGAATTGGTTTTTCTCTCAAAATTCTCTAATAATATTTCAGTTAAGTTACTACTACAAGTAGTTGGAATGTGTTTTCACAGGGAGGCCAGGATCTACTTGTGTAGTAAGAAATCATTAGAGCATACTCAAAATGTCCCTTTAGATGGGATGGGCCAGGAGGAAGGAAGACGGAGAAAATTTTTATTTTAAACATTGAAAACATATGTCTTGTTGACCTATAAGCAGACACTGGATCAGCATTTGATGTGTCTAGTCTAATTTCTCCCTGTAAAATTGTACTGGTGAATCTTAGGGAGACAGAAGGCAGTAAATTCCTTGCCTCCATCAATACATTTGACCTCAGAGCAAACCCCACAACTGGCTACAGGCACCCACCATCCATCATTGCTCTTGAAACCTGATACTTCAGGGAAGGACAGCTGCACTGGGCAAAAGTCTAAGCAGCTTTCTAAGATGCACTACCATTAAAGAAAAAAAAAAAAAGGCACTTATTCTGCTTCAGTATTTTAATTAACTGCTTTTCTAAACATTTCTTCCCCCAAACTGAAACTCCAAATCAAATATCCCCAGGAATATATTAATAAAATTTAGACTTTAGAGAGAAACGCTCTCTTTGTGCATTCTAGGTAAAATTATTTCTAGCTTTTGCTTTAAATGCTTTCTAAGATAAACAACATACCGTGCCATGCTAATATGTACAGACTTTAATAAATGTGCTAAGCAGAAAAAGAGAGTTCTAGCAACTACACTAATTATAGCAGTACACACAGAGTGCCAACAGGAAAAACGTACACAAAACATCCGTATCCAACAGATCTTAATTTTTAAGTCAAGTGGCAATCACTTTTAACAAATAGCTGAAGACAACAGAACTCTATCATAGGAACTAGTGTTCTTGAATATGGTATGTTCATTACGTGACTTCTACATTCGAGAATTATGTAAATTTAAAATACAAAATAAGATAAATTTGTATGATCAAACTGGATATTCATTACATGTATGGTTATTCATTCCCTCCATTTTACAGATGATGAAACTAAGATTCTGAAATGTTTTATCATTTCCTCCGAGAGCTCACAGATAATAAGTGGCAGAACTGAGGCATAAATTTAGTTCTTCCTATAAGAACTGAATGTTCTTTTCACTGTAGCCTAAAAAGAAAGGAACCTGGGTCGAGATTTTGCAATTCTTTAGCATCATCTTAATATGTATTACATGCACGCATGGTTAAATGAGAATTAACAATAACTGATATCCAACCATTTATGAAATCATTACTAATACAACCCTTTTAGTTAATAAATGAAATCCATCTACTAACGGTTTAAAAAAAAAAAGATGTCTCTTGTTACTTGTGATCCAATCATTACAGAGGATCACTTTATGTATTTGAAAGTACAATTTCTCCAAACCCCAAAGCAGTACTGAGAAATGCTGTTTTCTAAATACAATTCCCAAATCTCAATTTAGTTAGCTACTGCTACATTAAAGAACATAGCTCAAGGGATGTTGTTAATAAAAAAAGAAAAAGAAAAAGACAATTGAGAATTTATAAATTTAATCAATCTCATGCAACTGGCAGAGTTACGAGAGTTAAATCTAGTAAATAGCCATGTGGCAAAGGTCACTATGCTCCTGACATTGTTATCTGAATGTCAAGGAAGAAGCAAACTTAGCCTTTCTGGTCAATGAATTCAAAGAACTAAGAGAAAGCCTTGACTCAGATGGCTGCTTTGGCTCTTACATTTTGTTGTAAATGCTGGAGGAGCCAAAGTGGGGACCTGCCACGTAAAAGCAGCCATTTACAAAGGAAAGCAAGGTTTGCTCGTCGCAGGTGAAGAGGGAAGAACATAAGTTGTCTCAATACTACTTGCCTGCTGGTATACATGACCTACTAGCTTACAGACAGAATGAGCTGTCTTAGCTCTCCAAACTGTCATCTTTTTCATTTAGTTTACTTATCTATGACACATAGGGATTTGATTTGAAGGACAGCAGAGGTTAAAAAGCCATCAAAAAGCTCAGTTTTGCTGTCTCTCTCTTTTTTCCCCCTTTTGGTAATTTTCAAAATGTCATAGGCCAACTGAGTAGTATTAATATGGTCCTGTTAAATGTATTAGCATCAAACTAAAAATAATTAACAGGAAGATACAGAATTAATCATTTTGTGAGGGAGGAGGGAGGCACTGCAGGCATTGTTTTAGTCCATTTTTTTCCCTGTGAGTTGCTTCGAGGAGCGTGGCAGTACACACGGATGTAATACGTAAAGTACATAATGTCTAAGTCCTAAAAATATTTTATAAATAAACTGTTAAGAGAAAAAAATGCAAACTGTTGATTTCTTGAAAGCAAATGGGTAATTTATTAAGGGGGAAATGAGAGACACAGGTCTTCAGTGTAATCTTTTGAACTATGTTTCGTAAGAATTCTAATTCATTAATTCTCCAGTCTAGCACCATTGTGATGGCATTATTATTTAGGTTACATTAAGTCAGACTGCTGTAACATATAAGCATTTGCTCTTTGACCTTCCTAAGACTTATGACGCAAAGAAAATGCTGAACTTTTACATCTGAGGCTATAATTTCATATAATGAACAATCAGGAAGCACAAGTCACATATTCTTTTAGCTATCTTTCTTAAGGGCTTAATTGTGGAGAGTTGAAATCCATTTTTATTTTTTTAAAAAAGGGAGAGAATTTGGACACTTTGTGGAAACAGATGTAAGCCAAGCATGACATTTTAATAAGTGTCACCAGCTACCAATTAGAAGCAAATGAGATTACCCATATAGAAAATGTATCCCAAACAAACCTATCCTTTGGTAGAAATGTCACTGTGCCATGAAATTACAGAAGCTTAAACAAGTGATGCTTGTTCAAATGAAATTTACTGACAAATTCCTTCTAAGCAATCTTCTTCCACATTATCAGATTTCTTCAGTTGATGTGTTACATAGGAATTCTCAATCTTGTAGTTCACAGAGAGAATAACTCTTCTCTTTGCTCTTTCTTGGCAAATCACTGATAATATAAAAAAGAATGTTTTAAAACACTGGTTTTGCTTGAGGCAGTAAGCTGCCTCTTTGCCATCACAAGTAAGCAGCTTTCCTAAAAGATATTTTCAAAGAAACTGAACAGTAGAAAGATGAAATAACAACAAAAAAAGGTAAATAACTCCATAAAACCAAAAGAGATTCAGACTAAATTTGGTTTAAATCACATGTAACTATTATCACTTTAAGAAAATAGGAAAAAGTAAAGCATTTTTTGAATACTCTGGGAAAACTGGATAATTATATCTATATTTAGCACTTCATATATCTGGGCATGTAATACAAATCCTGTATATTTCGTGACCACTAAGTTGAGTACACTACATAAAACGTAAAGTTTATTTTCGAGATTCCTAGAAACTTTTGGGAATTAAAAAGGTACCATGATTAAAGGCTTTCTGCATAGATATTTTAAGTGTAAACCTAAGTCTGATGCTCCTAGGATCACAAGTTAGAGCACAAGAGCACACACACACTTGACTCTTATACTGCCTGCAAATACACAATGAAACTAAAGAAGGGTTGTTTTAAAATAAAAGGTAAACTAAGGAAGGATAGTTTTAAAATGAAGTCATCTTTGAAATATTCACCTTTCTTGAAATGACACTTTTCATATGTGATTGTGTTAATGAATTCTTAATTATGCATAGAATCCTTTTAAAAATAGAATTGTCCAATGGTTTGATAAATCAAGTTTGGTCTGAAGGAAATCTAATATGCAAATACTTACAGTGTACTCTTTTACAAACAGTCACCCTTGTCAGTTTGAAAAATTGAAAATCAACGAAAGAACAGTTTAAGTATACTTGACCTCACTGCCTAATGTCTCTCAAGATTGCCATGGCTGGTCGATTTCAAATCTGTGAAACTGACACTTAAAAATGTATAGTGCGTCTTCAGTCCAGGTCCCTCAAGTGCTAACTAAACTGTGGTCACAGCCTCAGATTTTCTTTCCATACAAACTTGTACAGCGCTTACAAAGCTACTTTAATCACATCATCAATCTATGCCTATACTTCCCTTAAAGTAATTCTGCTTCATTTATCTTTTAACCCTACATTATGCAAATAACATCCTTATCAGTCCAATAAAGAAAAGTTATTAATGTTCCTTCTTGTTTATCTTTGTCATACACTGAGAACTGGAATCACATATGAATTTGCACCAATACCTTTTCTCTTTTCTATTTTTCACACTCTATATGGAAAATCATAGTGCCAGAGAAGCCCTAAATAAAATTCTTGAAATAGTCTTCAATCATTGTCTATAACTAGTATCAGAATATGAGTTAATGTATTAAAAAGGAAAAAACAAAAACTTGGGGGAATGCCTACTTGAATTTTTTTTTTTTTTTAATGTCTCTCTAGGAAGGGTTTGCATATGCCATACCAGGATACCTCCTGGATATAAGAACAGTTATACAGGCCCCTAGTGGCTTAGCAAATAGCAGCAGATGAGGGGATTCCAATTCTTAGTTCCAGACTTTGAGATATTCTGGATTTAAATAAGTGTCAATCTTAAAAGGCAAATCAAATCACTGTATTTAATACTTTAAGCAGTTTTACATCTATGGTTATCTACTCTAACGCACATATATTAAAATAAATTGCTGCATTTCATTACTTGAGTAACTGCACAACTGCTCTGGCCCAAGAAGAATCTGTGTTACATAACCTACACAATAAAATGTTTAATTCATCCACCTTTTTACATGTCATGCAAAAATAATACATTACTCAACTATATTAAAATATATTTGAGAGAGACAGTGTTCCTATTTGAATCTTATTCCTATTATATATTACTGAGGGCTATAAGAACAGATGATTTCTATGCAAAGTACTATTTAAAATAAGATACAGATAAAAATTGAATGCCACTTTTACAGGAGTAAAAATCTAAACGTATTTCCCAGTAACAGCCAGTGATACAACTCACATTGGAGTCCATCTATTTTTAAAGATCTACAATTAATAACACCCATTAATCCCCCATCCCCTTGCTGTCCTTCCTTCACAAAAGAAAATTCCAGGCAGGCACATTTACAGCTTTTAGCAATTTTTAACTGGACACAATCTGACAGCTGAATTCATGAAACTGACCAGCTTGTCAATTTCACACTTTGAAAGTACAATAATAGCTGATAGCATGAGGGTGAATTTAAGAAATCTGCCACAGAATTGCTAGCTCCATTGAAAAGCAAAGTACAGTACATAATTATGGAATGTGGGAGGTAGGGAAAATTTTATTGTCCATTTAGGATGTCTGTTTCCATAAGTCAGACACGGAACATTGAAAATGTGTTCTCTTTTTGCTATAGTGTCTGTAGCATAAAGCAGAATATATGTTCAAAGTAAGTAAGATACTAAGCCTTTTACTGGGTATTATTATATTACATATACAACTTAATCTTAAGTTATTATCTCTACAGATCCCTTTACATCAGAATGTTTCAAGTTTTGGTATATCATCCTTGTTTTACTCAAGTTGAGTGGTTGGTGTGTGCACTTTGAAACAGAGAAAAAAATACTGAAAATGGTCAGAAGTATCTATGGTTGAACTAAGTCCCCAGAGATGCGCTACAGGATGGTTAGAAAAGAATACACCAAAGGATAAAGTCCACATTTGTAGCTCAGTAAATTTAACAGCAAACCTATTTCAAGTCATAAGCAGTTACTAGCCTCTGAGAGGTTCAAACTGTGTGAGCTACACTCTGTTAAGTCACTGGCACTGTGTCTTTGCACATGTAAATATATATATATAACTTTAAGAGGAAATACAAGGAGAACGAGCCCTCAGGAATCTTCCTAGATACTTAAGGTGCAAACTGTAGATGAGGCTGGGGGATTACTCTGAGAATTTTAGAAAACGGAGGAGACATTTGGCAAGTAGCGTACTGGGAGGCGAACTGGAAACAATAAAAGTGGATTGTGATAGTCCTGGTTTTGGAGAATGGAACTACTATCTGGAATCCTGGAACACCAAATTAATGAAAGCCAAGCTCACACTTGGTGTTCAAGATTTTTTTAAGCATAAGACTTAAAAACTGACTTCACTTGCTAGTGCTTTTAAATGAAAATCAACGTCCAGAGAAGCAATGCAAGTTTTCTACACACCCACATAAAAGCTACAATAAATCTATGGGAAAGCAAATAATCTTTGGTTTGTTCGTGGCTTTCTTTTTAAATTGTTTCTTACAACTTTGACTCTTCATTATAAAAGATGCGTTCCCTTCCCTACGGAATGAATGTGTGTGTTAAGTACACCAGATTCCCGCAGCTGAACTACGAGCTTTGATTCTGCCACGGGAAGGTCTCCCAAACAATCCCCCTCCTCTATGGCAGCTGCGTAGACTTTGATTCCTGCTATTTCTCCTTCTCCCCACTAGTTCAGAGGAAAGAAAGAAAAAGAAATCGCCCCCTCACCGTAGTCAGCCCTCCTTAAAACAGTAATCCCTGCCTTTAAAAAAGGCGGTGGCAGGATCCCTGGGTAAGGGTGGATTGCCCCACCGCTCCACCATTTGCCCCCAATACTACGCCCACCCTAGGAGGAGAGAGCGGGGGTCGCACAAATACACATACCCGGACACCCCCATTCTCTAGAGTCGCCTCTCTCCCGGGTCTGAGGTTTCAGGCGAGAAGTGAACCCAGCAGGAGAGGACCTCTGCCCGAGGAGGTCCAGAGGAGCAAACTGTGCGCTCCGGTGCCCGGGCGCCGGGCTCGCGGAAACGCGAGCGTGTCGCTCTGGCTCGGGAGGCGCCGGCAGCCGGAGCCGGGCGCAGGGCGATTCCGGAGCAGCAAGAGGGGAAGACACCGCGGGGCGGACGGGGTCAGTTCCAGGGACTCACCTGGTCATGTTGGCCCCGGGCAGCCGCCGCCACCGCCTCCCGCGCCGCCGCCAACACTTTCCTCCAGCGCCTTCGCGCCCCGCCACGGCCGCGCCGCCGCCTCCGGGCGGCCAATTTAATCCCGCGGAGCAGCGGCCGCCGCCGCCGAAGCCCCCCTGGTCGCCGCCGCCGCCCAGCCCTCGTGCGGCCAGCCCAGTCCAGAGCGAGGAAGTGGAAGAGAGTCAGCGAGTGAGTCCAAAAACCCGAAATCCAGCATCCAAGGCAGCGCGTCCCCCCGCCCTCCCTCCACCCCTACCCCCTTTTCCTCCTCCTCCGCCTCCTCCTCCTCTTCCCGGGCCGTCCTCTTGGCCCTTCTGAGCCCGCGGCTTCCGCGGCGGTTTCTCCTCCTCCCGCTCCTCCTGCTCGCCCTGCGCCCGCTTCTCTCGCTGCCGCCGCCGCCGCTGTTTGTCTCCTCCCCCTCCTCCTCCTCCTCCTCTTCCTCCTCCTCCCGCTCCTCGATGCTCCGCCGCTCGCGGCTGGGGGGTCCGGGGCCGCGTCTCCTCTCCTCCCTCCGCCTCTCCTCTTTCCTCCTTCCTGCTGCCTCTTCTTTTAAAGCGGATTCTTTGGCCACAAATAGCAACTCGGCTGCCCCCCTCGGTGCCTCCCTCCCCTTCTCTTCTTCCCCCCAAAAGTGAAGCGCACGCGAGGTAACCAGAAACTGAGGCTCGTGGGGGGAGAGGGGTGCGAGGCGACGCCTGGGAAAGGGCCCGAGCAGAGTCGAGGGCCGGGAGGTGGGGTGGCCGGTGCAGCCCAGTCTTTGGACCTGGCTTGAACCTGGTAGTTACGGCTGCAGAAGAGGTGGTTTGGGGAGGGGGGAAAATTAAACGAAAAAGCCCAGGAAAGTCATTGGAAAGGCTTCTCTCTTTGTTTCCTTGTGTGGGTGATTTCTAAAATCCTCGTAACGTGCTGGGGATCCCACGGAATTGCTGTGCTCCAGCGCTGGGGGATTGTGTGTGCGCGTTGCCTGCGCGTGAGTGTGAGTGTGGGTGCGCCCGGACGCGGGGAGAGCTGGGCCCGCTGCGCCCGCTGGCGAATCCCTGAATCTGGACCACTGACCCACTGAAAGGGCCAGAGAGCCGGATAAAGGAGGGGCAGGCAGGAGAGGTGGGTGAAGGAGGCAACACACACACACACACACACACACACACACACATACACACACACAGACACACAGACACACACACACCAGAGGAGGGGGCGGGGTGACGTCACTCCCCAGCATCCATCCACCAGGCCAGAAAAGACCCTCTCCAACAGATTCACTCATCTCCTAAGAGATGCACACCCGGGCGCTTCCTGCTCTGCGTCCCAGCGCAAAGGAGGAAAAAATGCTGGTCGCGCCCTATTGACAGCAGTGATAATACTATAGGGAGCGTGCTTTGATGAGACACAGTTTGTGTCCGCCCCAGTTCACCTTGGCAGCCTCCTTCGGGGATGCTTGTAGGATCCGCTTTGAAGGCAACGAGGAAGACTGGGAAGTACTGAACCAAAATCTTAGTGTGATAACTTGTTTTGCTTTCATGCCACTTGCTTTTATGTTGTTGGAAATGCAGTGCTCCTCAGCTTCTCTGAAGGACACTATAACACCTCTTCCCTAGACAAGCATCCAGTTGTTGGGCTATGCACTCTTCATCCACACAACCCAAGGTGACTAAGGTGCACTGTGTGTATTGTTAGCTAAGAGATGGATTTTAACCTTCTTCACTACTCATAGGGTCTCCAGCATGTGGAAAAAGTCGGCAGCTGGAAGCCACCATTGGCAGTTGGCCCATCAAAATTTATTAGAAACTTGGTCAGAAAGGTTAAATAAAGTAAAGCTAGAGCTCACCAGCCACCTCCATTGCTCATTCTGTGTTCAGGCCAGCACATACACACAATACTTATCCCTGCAGACTCCGGGCTGTCTTTGAAAGAGCAAAGGTAAACAGACACCCTTAGATTTGACTTAATGATCCAGCATGCTGACTGCTGTCTCAAGCTGCCCATTTGTTTCCACCATCTGCATGCTGTGCTCCTGAAAGCCACCGAAGGATTGGTCAGTAATCCTCTGCCCCCTATGTACTCCAAAAATAAGTCACATATTTTTTAAAGGAATCTCTCTAAACGAAGTTTAGTTTTCCAGCAATTTGGGGGTGGGGGAGGAGCATCCCTGCATGATTGTCTCTTGGCTTTTTGGTTTTGCTTTTTTATGGTTAGGGTCATAGTGAAAATCAGGAAGAAATCAATTCTTGTGCAAGCCTTCAAACGAGGTTTACCCTCCAATCATTCTGATTTCACAGGAGCTGAAAAGCTGTGCAGGGATGATGGACCCTTGCCCCCTGTGACCTAAGGATGGATCCAGAAATCTCAGCCTCCCCATAGGTGATTCCACCCAAGATGTAAACTCCTACTTGGCTTTGTCATTGCCACATGTGCCCCCATAAACTGGCAATCCCACTTTCCTCATCCAAAGTTGCATGTTAGAGAAACAGAAAGTTTTAAAACCCCTAATATTCCTTTGCTGTTACTTTTGTGGGAAATGTATCACTCTGCCTGCAGATCTGACCTCATTTAAGAAGAACCCAGCTGGTAAATCTGACTGCTATCTGGGAACATAGTTGAGGATATATCATCTTACACCACTGGTAGTGATTTAAACTAGCAAGTAGAAAAGGGACCCAGAAATCAGGGGATACAGAGGACAGTACAAGTAAATGGCATAAGCCCAACTTTTCTGACACTGTGAAGTCCTAGATGTTCTTGTCTCTACTACAACCAAACATCAAACATCTTAGAGAAAGAAGTAGGGATGGGTCAAGGTGACTGGAGAGTCTGAGTTATTATTATACCAATGAGACTGAGAATTATTCAGGGTGATGCTGCTGAAAAACGGGAGATACAGCAAATAGAGAAGCCAAAGTTTCTCTGCACATCTGAGTAGTAATGGAAGTGAGACTGCAGCCTGCTACACTCATGTTAATATATTCAGAGCAGATTGGCAACAAAAGAGTGTCCTAATGCTGCAGCATCTAGTAAACTTCTGGACTGGTTTACCATTTGGAAATTTTAAGTCAAAGAACATCAGAAGCAGGCTAATCTTTTGTTGAAATTACCTCGTTTTTACAGGTAAAGAAACGAAGACCCTGAGAATTTAAAATCATCCAACTATTTGGTGCCAGAAGCAGGACAAGAACTCAGACATCATGATCCAGTGCCCTCCATCCCACCAGCTATTCATCATCACCTCCACATTCTGGATCAAAGAAGCCAGTTTTCCAACTTATCAATGAGCAATACATATAGAATATTTTTAAAACTCCAAATACTTTTATGAAGGAAAAATGAAGCAATAGGACAAGACATTTTCTTCGTTTCCTTCCAGCTCTAACATTCTGTGATAAATAGCACACAGGAGCTTTGCTATAGCACTACCCCCTCTAGTGCATAATTCAGCATACGATGAGTATGAGTCTGTTTTGGACCCCATCCAAAGGAGTTAGTTCCTAGAAGTACTTGGAAGATTTATTCTCATTTATCATGAGGCATCCTAACAGGAGACTAAAAATAATCACGATGACAATAATAGTAATCAGTTGTTACACTTGTATTATGTACTAAGCATCGTGCTAAGCATGTTAAAGTTCACCTGTTTTTGAAAAGGCACTTCATGACCTTATGTGGGTTGCGAATCTAGTGGGTCATAAACAATTTCTGAAATGAAAGAAAAGTAGGAAAAAACACAGAGTGCATTATACATACTAAGTTGTTTTATTTTTTATTTTTTTATTTTTTTTGCAAAACTTCCTTTTTGATCATGTGGCTAGTGATTAAAAGTTTGGAAGCACTGCCTCGTTTCCAATCTTAACTGCCTTGCTAGTTAAGTATTATTAGCCCCATTATATAAGTGAGGAAACAGGACGAGAGAGGATAAGTAATTTGGCCAAGCTGACACAGTGAGTGGCCAAGCTAGAATTTTGAACCTAGATCTGTTTGACTTCAAATCCAATATTTTCACTTCTATAGTGATGATAAATTATTGACCAAGGTATGGAATAAATTGTTGCTAATCATGTTTTCTTTGTGAGGACTACTGGGGTTTTTATTAAATCCAGCTAAATGGAGAAACACAGCATAGATTCAAGTGACATGTTCGGAAGAGAGTGAGGAATTTCATAAAACACTAAATCTAATATCTAAGACCTTTTCCTGTAGGTGTTAGCTTATGTCTAATACACTTTATTGACTTACTGCTAAATACATAAATGAAACAATAATAGTTTCAGTCCTCAAATAACAATATTCACTTCTACGTGTGTTTCTATTTTTATTTCAGAGAGTATTTTTCAAATTTAAGTTATACAGCATTTCTCAGTAGCTTGCTTTGGCCAAACACAGAACTAGCACATAAGAAAGCTAAAAGGCCAGGCACTGTGGCTCACACCTGTAATCCCAGCACTTTTGGAGGCCAAGGCAGGCAGATCACTTGAGGTCAGGAGTTTGAAATCAGCCTGGCCAACATGGTGAAACCCGTCTCTACTAAAAATACAAAAATTATCTGGGCGTGGTGGCACGTGTCTGTAATCCCAGCTACTCGGGAGGCTGAGACAGGAGAATTGCTTGAACCCAGGAGGTGGAGGTTGAAGTGAGCCGAGATCACGCCATTGCACTCCAGACTGGGCAACAGAGCCAGACTCTGTCTCAAGAATAAATTAAAAAGCAGCCAGACAACCCTATCATTCAAATTCAATTGTAAAGAAGAAAAGAAGATATTAATTAAGGTGCCATGCTAAATTTTTTGACCCATGTAGTTCTATGGATTCTACCAGTAACATTGCATGCTTAGGTGTCATTACTCCCATTCTGCAGATTTGAAAGCTCAAACTCAGAACTAGCTGATGATTGAAATCACCTGTTCTGATTCCACTACCCAAAGATTCTTTACAAACAAGTGGGCTTCCAGTAGAAAAGGAGGCAGCTGGAGATTTTGAGACATGTTGTGCAATCATTTATGCTTTCTTTTTCCACGTGAAAAAAATACACTTTCCTTTTCTTCAAGGCAGCATCTCTTCTTGCTGTTAGGCAGCACTGTCCTCTTTAAGAAAAGAAATCCACATCTTCATGGATGAAATTGGAAACCATCATTCTCAGTAAACTATCGCAAGAACAAAAAAGCAAACACCGCATATTCTCACTCATAGGTGGGAATTGAACAGTGAGATCACATGGACACAGGAAGGGGAACATCACACTCTGGGGACGGTTGTGGGGTGGTGGGGGGGAGGGAGAGCATCGGGAGATATACCTAATGCTAGATGACGCGTTAGTGGGTGCAGCGCACCAGCATGGCACATGTATACGTATGTAACTAACCTGCACAATGTGTACATGTACCCTAAAACTTAAAGTATAATAATAATAAAAAAAAGAAATCCACATCTTTCATAAAGAAAGGCCTAGAAAAGCCATACCTCCTCCACTGACTGCTCTGTTCAGCTGCTGCACTTCACCCTCACCTGCAGTGTGTAGAGGACGTTATGGTACAATGCTATTTGCTACTGGCTCTGCTACTGGAGATTACAGCATGCGACTGTGACAATACTGGCTCTGCTACTGGAGATCACAGCATGCGACTGTGACAAATGGATATTCCCATTAAATTCTTTAGTAGACTGGGGCATTCCATTAACCATTGGCACTATCCCAACCCAAGTGAAACACTGGGTCATTTTTTTCTTGTGAGCAAGAAGTGAAGGGAGAAAACAAAGGATATACTCTAATTACCTTTCCTATTTCTTTTTTGTTGCATGCATTATGATAACTGTATATTACACTTATTTATAATTAATATATGACAAGCTGTCAGCTAAAATTTAACAGGTGATTTGTCAAGAAGGCCCATTAATGCATACATTAAGCAGTGGATTTCAGTGTTTCCTAACAAAATTGTGTATTGGTTTTGTTTTTTCATTCTATTTAGTATAAACATTTTGAGGCCACCTATCTTTACATTTTGCAGCATTTTTAAAAAATAAAACTATTGCTAACATAAATGGGTGCATTGTTAGTTATATGAGGTATAAACACATTTCTGTCACCTTAACCTCTAAATTTGTTTCACTGAGGAAACAAATTGCCTAGTGTTTATTTTAAAGTTTTAACTTTCATGGGTTTTGATACATTTTTTAAATTATATCTTCAGTAGGAAAGGCAGAGCTGATTAGGGAGGAAAGCAACTGCAGTTACTTATGTTCCATTTAGTGTTTGTATCTTAGGTAAGAAAATTCTGAAATGAAGGAATATTTTAAAATACAGAAAAAGATTAAGAAGTCACCAGAAAGCTAGTAGTTAATCATTGAATAAAGGAACACTCTACAGAGACCAAAAACTGATGAAACAGGCTCCATCTTGCTGAATGGCGCAAGAATGGGAAACACAATGGAAATGAATCACAGATAGTTGTGAGGAGGATTCTTTGAAAGAAGGAAAACTCTGTTTCTCTATCTGTAGGATGTCAAATCATGGGACATAACCTGAAAAGGAAGTTAAATTTTGAACTTCAATATTATTATTTCCATGGTCAACCAAAATTTGTACTGTTTAAGAGAAAGATACAAAAGTACTGCAGCATTTGTTTAAAATTTCATTTGCACAAGCCTGACTCTTATCTCTCAAGACTCGGACATGCTTCAGGCAGTTAATGACTCACAATCCACTACTCTAGAGGGTGCTGAATCTCCTTAATGAAAGAATGTGCTTTAAGATTCAATGGTTAGGAAGAGAGAAATAAACGAGAGTAAAACACGAAGCACAGCAGTTTTTCAAAGCTAGTAAGACTTCTGCGTCCACCAACCAACTTTAGCTCTTACATTTTTAGAAAGAAAGCACTAACACAGAACCATGAAATTATTTTTAAAGGTTCTTTCTAACAGGGTTTCAGAGGATGGTTTCCAAAAAACTCACTCAGAAGTGAAATACCACACGTTGATTTTCACGTTGCAGGGAGCGCATTCCTATGCAGTTCAGGGATTATAAATGACCAGTGGCAAGTTGGTCATTGTATCCTGGGCCAGGATCTCACTGTCTCCAGATCTTGCTTTGTTTTCCATATGCAGCAGAGTCCCCATGAGTAACTGGGGGTGTTTCCTTGTGCATTCAGTAACAGTTTTCAAAACAGTGAATATAGCAAGGCATCAAGACTACTATATTTCTGCCACTTTTCTAATGTTTTCTCTTTGTCTTATACTTCTGTTCTTGTCTTACACTTGTATTAAAAACACAATAAAGAAAACAGCTTTGTACAAGCTAGTATTTTGGCCATAATTATACTTTTCTCTGTCTTCTCAATGAATAAGAAAATTTTGGGCCAGGTATCTGCACAAAGCGTGATAGAAATAGGATAAAACAGCACATCATCTAGCATGTAGCCTACATTTATGTAAATCTGGTTGATGTAAAGTCTGTTCTGTTATCACTTTTTAAAAATAAATCTATCATTCTTTCTTTAATCATAATACAAACCATCCAGGGACAGTCCAAATTTTTCAGAAAGAACAAATTTTTCAGTACAGGAGGCAGCATTTGCCAGTACAACAAGAAACCAGAAAACAAGAATCTGTGTTGGATCATTTAATTTCTACTTGGTGTACATACTCAATGTAATGTTTTCACAGTTGTTTGAGAGCAGGATTCATGTCTGATTGGAACCCAGAGCTCCTGTCATAGGGCTTTAAGCACAATAGGCATTTCATAAATATTTCAGAAAGTAAAGGAAGGGAAGGATAGAAATAGGAAATGAACTGGTTGTCAGGTGCACATCTTACATGATACATCACTGTCTTTATAAAGCCTCCCGTATAGTCCACTAAATAGAATGAATTTCCCCTGCTCCTGGGCTCTCATTCTTTTCCTTTTCTTCTTTTTTCCTATCTCTCTGTATTTTTATTGTGTATAATTTCACCCTATTAAATTGTGAGCGTCTTCACACTCTTCTCATCACCACCAAGCCCAGAACCTGCACTAGAAGCAGATCTCAAAAAAGGTCTGCTGCAAAATATGATAGCATGTGCTTAGATACCACTGTGGCCTGGTTAGATGTCACGTTAATATTGCCTCTTATTGAGACTGTGCTGAAAGGTACAACGACCTAGAGTTTGGTCAGAGTTAGGCCTCACTAATCACAACACACACCAAAATGTCCCAGACAAAGAATAATAATAGAGTCTAACGGGAGTGGATGGATTCGTAGTTCCACGGAACTTTTGATGAGAATGATTATAAAGTTTCATGCTTTCCTACAAGAAGTCAAAAGAATTTGATCAGTTCAGTGGACAAAAAATCCTTTATACTTCTAACTGGTGTTGACATTTTCATTTTTAACTTGGTATATTCTTAGATGAACAGAGCATTCATTTGCCTGTAAACATTATTTCCTATAGGAACATATATTACTGGAAGTTATCCTGATTTTCAAAACTCATTGGCCACATCTCCAAAATTACTAGTAACACTGAACAAGTCTTGGAGAGATTTAAAAGGCAAACCAAAACTATTCTTTCCCAACTGTGTGATTACTTTACATAGTCTATTCATGTTAGTGCTTGTTTTATAAATGTAGAAGCACCATTCCTGCTTGGTTATTTATTTGTGTTCAGTTCTTTAAGATCATGTTTTCTTTCCTTTTCTTACCACCAAAAGCCCATCTTTCTAACACAAGTATCTCTACTGTTCTCTGGACTAATACAATAATAATCTTTTGCATATTCTTCTGCTCCCATTGTTTTCCTGATTGGCCCCAATCTATGCCCCAACGTGCTGCCCAATTAACCTTAATAAAACACAAGTTGATTATGTAACTCCCATGCTAAAAAAAACCTCAGTGGTTCATGATTAAGTACGTACTTTATAACTAAGTGCAAATGTTCTACCAGCATTCGACATCTACCACAAATGGAATGCTGCCTGAGCCCATTTTTCCATTCTAATCTTTACCTCTTTTCTACCAATAGCCTAAATTCCAGCATTGTCTGGATAAAACTATCCATATTTCTTACTCAGCCAGAAAGTTTTCTTATGATCACCTACATGTTGAATACTTATCTATCCGTTAAGAATCATCTCATCAAGTCAGTTTTTTTTTCCTGATTCCTCTACCACATATGAATACTACTTCCATTAGAATATCTGATTCTTTGAATCTCTCTTGTACTGAATATTCTACTGAAATTGGATAAAAGATAATAGAAAGCACTAACCTCCAAGATATATTTAATGACCAGTTCGATCCATTAATTGGAGTGGCAAAATGTTATAAGCGGGGAGTAGATGGAGTTAGTGGGAATTTATGCAAACTTATGTTTAATCACATATTGAAAGGCCTCTTTATTTAATCACATCTTGCAAGTTCTTGTGTCAGATAATTGTGTTTGGGAAGGGAACAAAAAAATTCCAAAGATTCTGAGTTAAGACCAATATGAAGAACAACAGATGACGGACACTCTTAATATCTCTCCTTCCCTCCCTCCCTTCTTCTCTTTCTTCCTTCTTTCTTCCTTCTCTCCTTTTGTTCTCCTCCCTTTCTTTCCTTCTCTCAGCTTTGTTCATTATCCATGCAAGGAGATGAAATGACCCTGACTATTAAGTCTTTGTCCTGGAGAAGCACAAAAGCAAATCAAGTGAGGCAGATGTTCTGCTCTGCCCTCCCCCTTGGCAAAGACACAAGGGTCCAGCAGTCTAGAAGCAGACTGTTCTGAAAAGAACAGTTGGCACTCATGCTTTTTACTTTTCCTCCCTCAGAGAGACCTCCTGCTAGGTGAGTCCCAGGCTCTAAGAAATATCCTACCTTAAATCAAGCGGAGGTAAGAAGGAACAGGACAACTGTTTTATTTTTTCCTTTTCCTTTTTAATCCTTGCACCCACCGTTCTCTTAAAAAACAGGTCGTGTTCTAAGACGATGGATATCAAAACTGCTCAGTTTTCAGATATGTGCTGGGTAGTGATGAGAAATTAGAGCAAATGCTGAAAGCAATAATATTTCATCTGTGATTCAATCTTACCTGTGCCATTCATAGCACACCTGCCTTTTATTAAAGTTATATTTATACTTGTTTTTCTCTTTTTCTTTCTATGCTTCTGCCATAGGCCAACCTTGTAAAATCTTTATGGAAAACAATGGGCCTTAATCTTCTGTGTATCCCTTGTGCACCTGCAGAATGTCCTATCATAAGAGTGTATAATAGAACCCTGTATAATTGAATTTTTCTAGATTACATTGTTGTTGTTGAACTTAATGAAAACTTTATAGGGCACAAGCACATCCCATTTTTTCCAGTTTAATATATTCTATCATATTGTCTACAGGGAGCATACTTGTATTTATCAGATCAGGAGTCCAAATGTTTGGACTTGCAAACCCGTAGAATGATGGTTCACCACCCTGGTTGTGCATTAGAATCTGTACCACCTTTTAAAACATATGTGCCCAGCCCACGCATACTAGCTGAACTGGATTCTCTGGGAGTGAAGTTCTAGCATCTATATTTTAATTCATTTATTTGTTTATATTTTGAGACAGAGTCTCCTCTGTACCCTAGGCTGGAGTAGAGTGGCACGATCTCAGCTACTGCAACCTCTGCCTCCCAGGTTCAAGTGATTCTCGTGCCTCAGCCTCCCGAGTAGCTGGGATTAGGGGCATGTACCACCACACCTAACTAATTTTTTTTTGTATTTTTAGTAGAGAAGGGGGTGTCACTATGTTGGCCAGGCTGGTCTCGAAATCCTGGCCTCAAGTGATCCACTAGCCTTGGCCTCCCAAAGTGCTGGGATTACAGGCATGAGCCACTGTGCCCAGCCTAGCATCTATATTTTAAAAATCTTCCCAGTGACTCAAATGTTTAGCCAAAGTTGGAGCAACTTTGCTTTGTAGCTCTAGAGAGCACAATTCGAAAATCACTAGACTAGATTATCTTTAAAGTTGTTTCTTTTTTTTCTCCCAGCTCTAGGATTCTTTGTGAAAGTGCTTTTATTTTATAGATGAAAAAGAAATGATCCTTTGGCTGAATTCCATTTTTAAGTAGTAACTACAAATGAGATGCAGTCCAAATTTTATATATGCCTGTGGTGCTTTCAGCATATCTTATTGCTTAGTTTTCATGTATGCCCATTCATCCCGCTGCTCATTCAATCAAACCTCCACTGTGTGTGAGGTATGTGAACTATGCACTATCAAGTCATTCTAAGAATGTGGGCTATGAGCAAGGCACACATATGAAGGAAAACCCTTTTTATCCAAATACAATACAAACATCCTCTAATGATTTTTATTCTTTGCAGTCCAATTAAAATAGGAAGCCATGCCATCAAACTAGCCTAAATTCCAACCACCCTACCTCCAAATAAATCTGTGATTAAAACAAGAAGAGAAACAAAAAAAGAAAGAATTGGAAAGATTAAAACTCCCTCCTTGGAAGCAAATTGAAACTAGTCTTGATTCTTGATGCCTTTGTGTTATTTTCAGAATTAAATCAGGAACAACAAAACTACTACTTCTGAGAGAGAAAGATATTGCTTGTAATTTTTGGCTTAAGGAATTCATTTTCTTGAGAAGAAAGTATTCTTGGTGAACTCTAAGAATAGAAAACTATCAATTTACAACTAGGACACATGGATTTCTCCAAGAGTTAACATAATGCCTAACAAATAAGAGGTACAGTATCCACACTCTATTAGTTAAATGTTAACATTTGTATGGTACTTTATAAGTCACAGAGAACCTTAAGAGATATCTTTTAAGGCTCCTAATAATTTTGTAAGTGGCAAAACACTGATTTTATGGCTGACCCAGACTCATTGATTGATCCAGACCCTGAATCAGAAACTCTGGGCCAGCTCCCAGGAGTCAGAATTGTTGGCAAGCTTCTCAGGTAATTCTGAAAACCACCATGATAACTCAATTCAAATTTATTGATTTGTTTTATTGCTCCCAGGAAAATGATCCAGTGAGCAGATTCTGGCATTTCCTAAGAAGCTAGCGGCCTTTTTCCAGGATTTGCCTTTTTCTTTCTTCTGTACTTCTTAAAAGGAAAAAAAAAAAAAAAATCACAGGTGGCACCATTTTACCTAAATCTACAAGCTATGTAATTCTGCTCTGCACAGCTGGTTTATTCTTACAGTCAGTTGTCCCTGCTCTGAAGAAAGCCTCTAGCTGCTGGCACTGGTAGGAGGTTTGAATCCTACCCACTACCCTTCTGGCCATAACTAAGGTCCTAACAGCCTGCAGAGAACACAGGCTTCCTTCAGCAGTCAGCTGTAATTACACGAAATTTGTACCGGACATTGTAGTACAAACCCAGCAACCTGCTGGGACATTTCAGGGGCTTTAGCATTTAGTTGGGAACCACTAGTTCTAGCTGTCATACTCAGGGAGAGAATTGGTCATGAGCTATTTGTGTTGGTATATATCTCTTTCCATCAGTTAAAAAAAAAAAAAAAAGGTTTAAACGTAAAAGACACAGTCTTAGGTAGCTATCCCCTGCCCTTTAAATTATATTAGAACAGCATAATAGCTACTTTGGAAATGCCATCTCATATATAACATGAAAAAAAGACAGTCAAACAGACCCCTCAAAATAACCTTTTGTAGAATAAAACTACAGATTTTAAGGGAGGAGACAATGTTGTTTTAACCTTGTAATTACTCCTAATCCACACAGAGACTGGAGAGAAGAGTATTTTGATTTTATGTCTGGAATGAAATACACTTGACTAGAATTGAAGATGCAAGGGGGAAAAAACCCTCAAAATTAAAGGAAAAGGAAAGTGTGTGTGTCAACCACCCCATCTTGCTGTTTCTCAAACTTTCCAAATTCTTTTGGTTCACCACCCCAACCTTAGTAATGCCCTCGTGTGTAACAACCCTCCAACTATTCTGGTTACAGTTGCTGGGAAATTTGTCTGTCAAAAGACGAGAGGTTCCAAAGAGTTGGGCACTTTTCTTCTCAGGCAATAGAAAACAGGGTTATAAGACACAGACATGAAACACACACACACACACACACACACACACACACACACACACACGGGAGTTCAGCACACCATGATGTGCTGGCTCTTTTGGCCTTAAGGAAGCATTGCAGGAGGAGGAAGGGTGGAACCCTCAGATCACCTGACCTAAATGGCCCCTCTGGCTCTCTCAGAACTTTACCCTCTGTCCTGATAGCGCTTCAAAGCGAACGGGATATTGGGAAAAGGACACAGGCAGTTTGCCGTATCCTTGGGCATCCAAAAGGGTAGAAAGGCTTTATGCCTTTTATTCCCTGCCTGCTGAGAAGAAAAAGCAGACATCCCGTTTGAGACCACTAGGTGCCCCCTCCTTTCCCTGTTTTCTGTCTTATACTCTTTAAACCTTCAAATAAGTACACGTGTTGCTAGGTTCATAATTAAAGCGTTGGCAATGCCCGCTCCCTTGCTTTCAATTTCATTTGTACAAATGTTCCCATCATTCTTTTTAAAAGCCCTGGGCATATGTTCAAAACATACAACCAAAACAAATAAACTGCATAACCTAAGCCAAACCCACCAACAACTGGAACATCCTTCCTATTTGGGAAGACTACTCTAAAAAGCTACTTAATTGCAGTATATTCTGTGAATGAAAGTTCACGGAGCTGAAAAATGGAAGTATTTATGTTAGCATCTGATCACTAAGGAAATGTGGGGCATACACATAGGCCCTAGAATCAGCTACTTAAGATTCAATGGAGTAAATTTTACCTTGAGTAACATCTTTAGAAAATGAAATATTTAGGAAGGAACAGAGTTCCTGTGGGAAATTTTATGGTAGAGTTAGACTTCAGCAGACTTTATAATTTGCATGTGCTGAGGAAGAGTTTATATTTAGAACCAAGTTCTTGATCTTATCCAGTGACTGACTTTTCATGACCTTTGGAAGTAACTTTGATAGCAAAATTCCTCTCTGTCATTTACCCCTAAAGCTGACATGATCATAGCAGTGGGAGCTGCTATGTAAAAGGCCATGATAAGAGTGAAAACTTTACCAATGAGAAAGACTCCAACGTGTAGGCAAAAGACAAAATTTATGACAAATTGATTTTACCTTGGTACAGCAATAATAATAATAATAATAGCTTAACTTAATTCAAAATTTCGTGTGACATTTCTCCAAAACAGAATAAAAAGAACTGCCCAAATCCACTGTTTGAAGCAGAAAGGAAATGAAGATATTTGGCTGTAGCCAGTATGTAATTCAGATTGGCATCATTGTACTGGGGCACCACTGAGAAGAAATGTGTCCTCTGCAAGCCAGCAGCCTGTGGAAACCAGCCGCAATGCAATCAATCAACATTGAGGGCCAAAAGCTATTGCTTCCCTTTCTCTCATAGAACAAACAGCTCAAGACCCCTATAAAGTAGGCTTATAGCTCCAACAAAAACTGAAAAGTTTATAACAAGTGGTACCACCTGTGCTTATGTCTCAGCGTAGCCAAAATAATTTCCTCTCCTGGGTCTCCTATGGCAAAGGGTGAGGAATGTGACAGTGAGAATGCAAAGAGGAAGAGGTGCCAACAAGGAGCCTGTAGAGTGAGTGGATTATCTTTGTGCTAGCAGAGAGATCAGCAAGTCTGTCTCCTTTACTCTGGAGCAACTGTGTGTGATATGATCTCCCATCCCCTATCAAAAAGGCTCTGTCTTCAGAAAAACAAAAGACTTCTCTGCTCAATGTTGTTCTCTCACATGATTGAGTATTTTTTTGTTAACAATGTTGTATTATTACAATCCTGTGTAAAACTGGGAATATGGAGCTTGTATTAAAAACACAATAAAGAAAACAGCTTTGTACAAGCTAGTATTTTGGCCATAATTATACTTTTCTCTGTCTTCTCAATGAATAAGAAAATTTTGGGCCAGGTATCTGCACAAAGCGTGATAGAACTAGGATAAAATAGCACATCCTCTAGCATGTAGCCTACATTTATGTAAATCTGGTTGATGTAAAGTCTGTTCTGTTATCACTTTTTAAAAATAAATCTATCATTCTTTCTTTCTTATCTTTAATCATAATAAAAACCATCTAGGGACAGTCCAAATTTTTCAGAAAGAACAAATTTTTCAGTACAGGAGGCGGCATTTGCCAGTACAACAAGAAACCAGCCAAGTTGCTTTGGAGGAGTTAAGCAAGTACATTTCAATAAGGACCCAAACAATCCCTGGCAACCAATTAGAAAAACAAGTCATCATTGCATTAAGAAAGCCCTCAAATATGAGTGCTGTCGGTGGAAAATAGAGTTACTCACCAACTGAAAATGTTTACTTGAAGTGAGAATTATTTTATGGAAACCACTGTGAGTTTTGGAATACTTACAATCTGTTCAAATTGGTCACTGTGTACAGTGTTACTGCAGCGATATGCCCTGAGACTTCTAATCTGTCTGCCTAATGGAGCAGGTGGTGAGACTCTCCACTGAGCTGTCGGCTCCTGGAGGGCAGGGACTATGTCTTATTCATCTTACATCTTGCACAGTACCCAGCTCTTCAAAGACAGTCAATAAATATTGAATGAAGGAATCTTTATATACATGGCCTCACTTCTTGACCCCTTGGCATGAAATATCACTACCCCTTCATCTCTATCCTATTGCCCTGCTTAATTTTTCTTCTGAGTGATTATTACCAGCTGTCGTGTTGTATGTGGTTGTTTTAATTATTTCTTTAATATCTTCTTTTTCCCCAATCAGAATATAAGCTCCCCAAGGGTAGGGATTGAAGAGGATTGATTTCCCGTATACCCCTAGTTTCTAGGATGATACCTGGCACATAACAGGTCAATTATAAATATGTGTTAACTTTATTTTTTTTTAACCAAGTTCCCTAAGAGCTAGAAAGTTTTGACTTTTGAATGAGTGCTAAATAAATAGTTTTCTCTATCTCTTTTTTAAATTTCCTTTTCACTGTCATCTATTTCATCTTAATGAAGGCTGGAAATTATACTCTGAGCTTTAATCAATAGTGACAAAAAGAGAGTTTCTTTATTATGTAAGTGGTTGATTTTAAAGAATGAAAGCATTGGGGGACTAGGTCTCGTTGGTGTCAGGCACGTAGGTCTGCAACCCTGCAGAGAAATATGAGTGACAGGAAATGAAGAGAGGGAGGTAAGACACCAAATAGTCTCCTGGAGGCCATTGAGGGTAGACTCCATACTAACTGACAGGCTGTCCCATGTGAATAGTAATGGTGCATTTGTGCACCATTTTCTAGACTATGTGTGTGCACCTGGTCATTAAAACATAATACGGAGTCTCTATCATACTGGACAGAACACTTGTGTCCTTCCAGACTTTGAGGGGCAAAACTACATCTAAAAGATTAATACATAACTTTTGAACTTAGGGTAAAAATTTAATAAAACAATGTAACACTTGTTTGCCTTGGGCATTTCTACATTGTCCCTATATGTGAATGAATAACAATTCCCAGCCATTATGAATAGTTTCATTTTACTACCCACATTTAACGGTAATGAAACTGATGGCCCATGGTTCAGTGACTTGCCCATAACTTGCATGGTGACTCTGCCAAATATGCACCCTTCAACTGTAAACTCAGATTTTATTTTTCTTTTCAAACCAAGATAGACCAGGACATTCTTTGTTCCTCGTAGATGTTCATCAAGTGTGACTACAGTTGAACGGACTGTTTTTTTTGCAATTTCCCAACGTGGGTATCACCAAATGAACCTGGGAGAGACAGGAAAGTGGCCTAGTTGCAGAGTCTAATTCTGGGAAAAACAAATGACTGGGAAAGGTCTGTCATTGGCCTTCCCAATATTGTTCCTTCTCTTCACTCTGCACCTCCCCTGAGCATCTCATACTCTTCACCCTCATCTCAATCCCCTTGGTGCCTCTGGCCAGCCAAGTACTTGGTTACCTTGTTCTCCTAATGACTCTTATCTCTTCCCTAATTTATCATAATGGAAATTGCATTGGAGTTGAGAGAACATAATCCCTAATTCTGTTAATAGCTGCATGTCATGGAATGAGCTGTTAAAACCTCCAGAGTCCTGTTTCTTTATCTGCAAAAGAGAGATAATTATATTTGTTTCATACTGTGATTGTGCAGAGCATGGCAAATCACTTACTTGAAACCACCATGCGGAGCCTGGCTCCTAGGAAATGTTTGATAAATGTGTGAGACAATGTCTAGATATTTATTCTGACCTAAGTTGGTGGTTCCAATGAAACTTTCAAGACAGAAAAATGAAGAACATTTTTCTGGTGGATGCAGAGGAGATTCACTCAGGTGGAGCAAGGGAGGCATAGAAGAGAAGTCAAAAATATAGGGCTGTGCTCATCAGTGGTAGAGTCTTCAACCTGCACAACCATACATGGATGCATTAAAGAGAGTCACCCATTTATAAAATGGAGATAAAACTAATCCCCCTTTAAAGTTTTGGGGATGATTAAATGAAAGAGTAGACTGACAATCACTGATGTGTTAAAGTTAATTATGATAAATAACATAATTGCTTATCACTGTAGCTCTTTCTCATGGTGATGAGAAAGCTCTCTGGAAGTTCTAGGACAGGCGTGGTAGCCCATGCCTATAATTTCAGCACTTCGGGAGGCCGAGGTAGGAGGATCCCGTGAGCCCAGGAGTTCGAGAGCCTGGGCAACAGAATGAGACTGATCTCTACAAAAATAATTTTTTTTTTAATTAGCCAGACATAGTGGCACATTCCTGTAGTCCCAGCTACAAACCAGGAAATTCTAGTATAATCACAATACACTTAACTCAAGACTAGCAGAATAACATTAGGAATTCTTTGTTTGGTTCCTTTGTGCTTCAGTTCATCCGATACCTAAGAAATTACAACTATTTATAACCTTATTTCAAGCATAAGGTAAACATCTCAATGAGTATTTACAAAAGAATATAGCAGAAACAGGAAGTTGACAGTTATAAGATAAGCAGATTTAGTTGTATGGATGCTCTTGTATATTATTATGCTCAATAATAAGCATCACCTCATGTCCTTAGATAATGCTAAACATCTACAATGTATAATATTTCATGATTTTAGAGTGGTTAGAGGAACAAGCTTTAGACTTAGTAAGAGTGGGCTGAAATCCTGGCTCAGCTACTTAACTGAGTAGCTTTGTGCATATGCCTTAACTTCTCTGAGCCCTGCTTTCCTCATGAAGGAGGAAAAACAGATCCACTTCTTCCAGTTGTTTTGTGACATGGAAAGATGGAAAAACACACACACAAACATTCTTTATGATGCCGAGACACTGAATTCACCAATCCTGTAGCCCTATGCCTGGAATTCTTACAACATAGTGTCTTTATTAAGTAACATTTTGTTGGATTTTTCTCTTACTTAGACCTTATCATATCCTAACTGATAAATCTCTGCTTTTCAACACATCAGTAAATGAGCATATAATTAAGATAATAGAGCATAGAATTGGCCTGATTTTGTGTTTCCACCAGTTTTGTTCTAATATTCTGTACCAGGTTAATCCAAACCAAGAGAGCCTATCT
Source organism: Homo sapiens (assembly GCF_000001405.40). Classification (NCBI taxonomy): domain Eukaryota; kingdom Metazoa; phylum Chordata; class Mammalia; order Primates; family Hominidae; genus Homo; species Homo sapiens. The sequence goes on from NC_000009.12 coordinate 8,876,210, forward strand.
GAGTATGTGTGTGTGTGTTGTTGTTGTTGTTGTTTAAACAGCTCATGAGACATAGCTGTAAAAATTTACTCAGACTGTTTTTTTTAAATACTACACTTGGGGTATATATTAGGAATAGTCATCAAACCAAATAAGCTGATGAAAAGCCTATAATATACTAAATGCCAGTTTACCTTTCCTTTTAAACACTGGAAATAGACCAGGAATGTGATTTTCTGTGGGAAAAAATGTCATGAGTTCTGAAAACTCCACATGCCTATAAACCTCCTTTGTAATGCTCATGCACTATAGTATTCCAGGGTAATCACTTTACTACAGTATCCTCAGAAGAATTTGGAGCTTCGTCATTTCCTGGTTAAAGGTTTCATTATTTGCTCCTGGCAGAAATCTATTCAAGAAGAATTCATAGGTTCGTAAGTCTAAGTTAATATACTCTGATCATTTAAATCTAGGAAATTTAATTGCAAAATAACTCAGAACATTTAATGTTCTTTATGACTGCAGTAAAACTTTACCAAGTGACCAGGTACCCTTTGCAAATAAGAACTTGTTTTCCATATTTGAATTAAAAATGCAAGTAAGTTTGCAAATGTCTTTAAAAGTTACACAGTTCAAGACCATGGTCTGATATTAGGGAAAGTAAATTGTGTTTCAAATGTGTCCTTTAAAATGTATCCTCCTTGGCCCTTTCCTTTACCACCCTGTTTTTCTTTTTTCTTTTTCTTTATTTTTTTTTGAGAGGAAGTCTCTCTCTGTCCCCAGGCTGGACTGCAGTGGCGCGATCTCAGCTCACAGCAACCTCTGCCCCCCGGGTTCAAGTGCTTCTCCTGCCTCAGCCTCCCGAGTAGCTGGGACTATGGACAAGTGCCACCATGTCCAGATAATTTTTGTATTTTTAGTAGAGATGGGGTTTCGCTATGTTGGCCAGGATGGTCTCCATCTCCTGACCTCGTGATCCACCAGTCTCAGCCTCCCAAAATGCTGGGATTAAAGGCGTGAACCACCGCGCCCAGCCTGTTTTACGTTTTAAATCATTTGTATGAGCCAAATTAGAAGAAGAAACGTAATCTGGGCTTTATTCCAAAAACTCCAACATGAATAACCCAGGGTAATGTCTATGTCAAATTAATAGTTTATTAAACGTTGTTTAATCTACCTGAATAGGTAAACACCTTATTTTTACCTGTGTTTAGAATTTTATGAGACACCAATATCTAGGGGACTTTTATAGTGACAGTTTACTTTCATACCGTGAAGGAATTCAGAGCAATAATAAATTAACTTATTAAAAATAAATAGATTCTAATATTTTAGTGAGCATATTATCTTTTTGTTATTTTGGTCTTTTGATGTTTCTTATTTTCTGGCAATAGGTCAACTTATAAAAGTTCATATTTGCTTCTATTTACAAAATGATAGAAGTTTATCAGGAAAAAAATGCAAAAGAACTTTCAGATCTCCATTAAACTTGACACATTTTTCAGCAACATTTTCTAAGAATGATAACCTTCAGTGACATTTTACACTCATAAATGAGACAGGCCAATAGACAAAGTTACCAGAGTCATGATTTTGTCCTTTACCCTTTTCCCATTTAAACACTATAAACAAGTGTCTGAGGCTCTTCTCAGACAATCCAATTCTCCCTTTCTTAAACATGAAGCCCATGAAGGATGCTGGGTAGAAATCGAGGTGTCTATGGGCATAACTCTAGGAAAGTGTTGCTCATGACCCACTTGAAATAGCATGGAAAGAAAGAGGGTTGACTCTTTCCTTGGCTGTTGACAATCCTAGTCTTAAGGAGGTTGTCATTCTACCCTCAAGTATACACTTTATATAATTGAGTTTGAAGATAAAGTGCTTTACAGCCCTTAGAAGTGGTTTGTATTAATCCTCTGGAAGATAATAGTTTACATTGCCAGATATTACTTATTTCTCAGGAAGTCATTTGAAGGAACTGTATGAAACACTGTGTCTTAGTGTTCCCAGGAGCTTGATCATTCGTAGGAGATTGGAAAGCAGGGGAATTGGTCCACAACATGTCCTTCTGTGTAATTCTTCATTCCGGGCACAGACAATACTTGGAGGGAAATAAAATGACTACTGTACCCATTGTGCTCTCAGCTGCCTCTGTAACTAGCCAGACAAATTAAAGAGACAGAACCAGTAAGTGGGGCTAAGGTGGGGGATGGTGGGGAACAAAAATGGAAGAATAAAAGTAAGTAAGAAGGGGTGGCATATGCTTAAGGAGAAAAGAGAAGTGCTCTGTTGATTATTATCAACAGAAGTGCTCTGATTCTTCTTTCTTTCTTTTCTTTTTTTTTTGTTTTCTTTTGAGACAGAGTCTCACTGTGTAGACTAGCCTCGAGTGCAGCAGTGTGATCAATAGCTCATCGTGGTCTCAAACTTCCAGGCTCAAGCAGTCCTCCCACCTCAGCCTCCTGAGTAGCTGGAATTACAGGCACATGCTACCATGCCCAGATAACTTGTTTTTTATTTTTATTTTTAGAAGAGACGAGGTCTTGCCCTGCTGGTCTTGAATGCCTGGACTCAAGCAATTCTCCCACCTTGGCCTCCCAAAGTTATTGGGAAGGGATTACAGCATAAGTTATCACACCCAGCCTCTGCTGATTTAATTATCTGTGCTTTATAATCCCTTTTGGGGTGCATAGCATAAGAAAGAATGGCCATAGCTATACCCTGGTGACTCTGGTTAGATGTCAGTCCTACACCTCACCCAAGCTACAGTTGGTTGCATTTCTGTGTTCACCAGGCTTTCCTGGTCAGTAACATGAACTTTTACTCTGTTGATACTGTGGAACACTTATTTTACTCTGGGTGAGAATGGAATAGTAGGCCTAAGTTACACGCATTCACACTTCCTTTAAACAGTACACCTTTCTGTATTCCAGAGAGAGGCCTGGGTCCCCAAGTATCTATAGGCGTATGTTGTCTTTTCTTGGGCCCAGCATGAGCTCAGGAAAATAAGATCTGTTAGCTGAGAGATGGGTGATCGAGACACTGATGGGAAATCTCCTTCAAAGCTATTTCATTGTTCCTGTTATCCTGGTTTCACAGAAAATAAATGTGCTGAGCATTAGTGGAGAGGGTCAGTAATGAGTACTGACCATACAATGTGATTGGGCCCAATAGGCTTGGCTCTGCATTCATTTTTTCATTCATTCATTCATACTTTTCTCCATGTATTTACTCAAATGTCCACTGAGCTTGGTAGGCACTGCAAAACACTAGAAGCACAATGATGAGAAAACAAAGACACAGTCAGATCGCTGGCCCATTATCATGGAGCTCATTGGCCAGTGGCAGTGAGTCCTGGTTGTTATTTTAGTATTGGAGGTCCCTTTATGATTAATGTCTACTCCCTATCCCAATTGTGAATTATAGATTTATCAAAATATCTTAAACGTTTTGGAGGGAAGAATACTATTTAATTTTAATGATTTGAAACAGAATCCTGGATCTTAGCGTTCCTGCTAACTGCTTTCCATTTGGCATAACAATCTTGCATTGGGAAAGCTCATTAGGGTTTGCCTCAACTTTACTCATAGAAACACAAACGGAGAGAGGCTGGACCAAATCTGGAAGCCAAGTGTCCAGTCATCCATTTCCTGAGACTGCTCTAAGCACCCCACACGTGTTTCTAGGTACACTAAAATGTGTAAGGAGAGAAGAGTGATCCTTCCAGTTCACAGAAAAGGAGCAACCTCTTGGCAGAAAGTGAGCCTTTTTCGTCTCCCTCCCTGACTCCTTAAGTCAGAGTTTTCAATTTAAACATTTCAACCATCTACTTGTTACCCTGTTTACAGAAAAACATACATCCTATGTTTGCTGTGGGGTCTGAAATGTAGCCTTTCAAATAACAGCTCAGGGATTCCTGGGTGAAAAGTAGCTAAACCATAAGAAACAAAGGTGGCATTTTTTTCTCAGTCATAGCCCTGAGAAAACCCACAATATATTCTGCCAGTTATTTACCTAGTGATATTTGATATAAGCTGGGAGGGTAGCCATGTTTATAATCACTGAATAAACAGCATATAAATGGCAACTGTCTGAGAGATAAGAAGGGATTGTAAATCCTCTCTCAAGTTGGTTTTTCTGAGGAAGGCTTCAATGCTAGGTCTGGCGCATCCTCCCTTAGTGTTACCTGTGGATATCTACAGGCACTTGCTTCTACCTTTTCTCTTTCTTTCACGAAGATGATGATGAAGCACAGCATACGATCAACTCCTCCTTACTGATTTTAACGCCATTATTTTTATTGAGTAAAATTCTAAATGTTCAGAGCTAACTATTACTGTTTAATCTGAGGGTGCCTATTGGGAGTAATGAAATAACATTACATTACTGCAAAGACAAGCAAACAAGCAAATAGACCAGGTATACTGCACCTTTTTTTTCCCTTTGCCAACTCATGCTGTTATTCCTCATCTTAGAGCATGAGCAAGAAGCGATTATTCATATGTATAACAACACATTTATCCAAGCACAAATAAATAGAATTAAAATATTTTAATGTAGTTGGTTTCATTTGCCTATAATATTATCTCTATGGTGTTTTCTTTTTTATTTCTTGAGACAGTGTCTGACTCTGTCATCCAGGCTGGAGTGCAGTGGTGCAATCTTGGCTCACAGCAGCCTCAACTTCCTGGGCTCAAGCCATCCTCCCACATGCACACTACCATGCCCGGCTTATTAAAAATATATGTATATATTTTTTGTAGAGACAGGGTTTCGCCATGTTCCTCAAGCTGGTGTCGAACTCCTGAGGTGAAGTAATCCACCCACCTCGGCCTCCCAAAGTGCTAGAATTATAGGTGTGAGCCACCGTACCTGGCCTCAAAGGTAATTTCTGATATGCAGCAGGGATTTTTAATTCTTCATTTCTTCTGTCATTTATACATTCTGCCTATAATATTTATTAAGCACTTACTGTATTCCAGGCACTGTGGATACAATGGGAAAGAAATCAAATGTATTTGTTCCCTGATCTCACAGAACTAACAGTCTAGTGACAGATATTATTCCTAAAAAGTTGTATATCAGTCAAATCTTTATAAATTCCCATTAATAACCAATAGGAAAACTTAGTCTTAAAAGAAGTTTTCCATGAATATTTTTGTAAGGAACTCACTTCTAATATATCCATTTGGTTAGGTCAGACATATTAGGCTTTATTCAAGTTACGTACATTTTTCCTCTCAAACATGAGAATATCTTCCTTTTACAAGATTTCTGTAAATAATTACAATGTAGTATACAGTTAGTTCTTTCTGTAATGGAAGGGGTTTACTATACATCACAATGTACTGATATATTTACAGTGGTATAAGTTTAAGTAAAAGACAGGCATACAGACAACTAACCATAATTCAACGTACGTGTTTTTCTAAAAGTGTGGAAGCATAGTATAGTGGAAAGAGTGAGAGGTGGGGCCATTGGAGACAGAGTTTTTAAAAGCTTTTAAGACCTGCATTTTAAGGACAAACAGAATTGACCAGAGAATGGAAGAAGCAGCGGAGAAAAAGAATGACAGTCACAGAGATCTAAAAACTCATCCAGCCATAGTTTTCTCTGTAGCAGTTTTGTCATTCCTCTAATGGAGAGAGATCCTCAGTTACCTTTCTAGACATTCTTCTGGATTCTTAATGAGCTTCTTCCTGTCTTCTTACTCGGAGGAAAGAAAGGAGAAGGAAGGTGCCATTTAGCTTTCTCACCAAGAACCATGTTTTTTCCTGCTGGGTGGGATTGGGCTGACTGTTGTCAAACAGGCTGGTAGAAAAATAAGTGGAGAAGAGAAGAGCTCTGGAGTCCTGAGGATCATGTCTCAGAAGTCAACCAGAGAGCAGATAAAAGCAGTCTGGAAAAAGTGTGTTAGAGCAAGAACCAACAAGGTCTTCTCTTTTTTCCTTTTTCCCTTTATAGCATCTAGAAGAATGAACACCCAAAGAAATACTGTCGACTCATTGACTAAAAACAGAGTGGTGTTCCTTTCATTTCATTTCTCCTGGATTAGATTTATTTTTATATTGATCTTATAGTATCTCACTTTAAACTTACAGCTTTGGAAAGGATCTTAAAAATGGTCCAATCCAATCTTCTTGTTTTACAGATTGCAAAATTACAGATCCAAGCGGTGAAGTAATTTGTTGTAGACCACAGTTTTGTAGGCAGGGAAAGCTGAGACCAGAAGCCAGGTCTTCTGATCCTCACAAAAGTAGAGAAATAGATGAGAAAATGTGTGAAAAGTACCTAGCAGAGAACCAGAATCTTTATAGGTTCAGAACCTTTATAGCTACTCACATTTGTAGCATCTTTCTCCTCCTATGGCCAACAGAAACCAAACTGAGGGACTGTGATTAAGATATTTTAGAGGGCCATGTGTGGTGGCTCATGCCTGTAATCCCAGCACTTTGGGAGGCTGAGGTGGGTGGATCATTTGAGTCCAGGAGTTTGAGACCAGCCTGGCCGACATAGTGAAACCCCGCCTCTACTAAAAATATAAAAATTAGCCGAGCATGGTGGTGGGTGCCTGCAGTCTCAACTACTCAGGATGCTGAGGCAGGAGAATCAGGTGAAGCCAGGAGGTGTAGGTTGCCGTAAGCCGAGATCACACCACTACACTCCAGCCTGGGTGACGGAGCAAGGCTCTGTCTCAAAAAAAAAAAAGGTATTTTAGAGCATGACTTCTGAAGTCAATCTAAAGTAATAGGCGCTATTAATGGAAGATACATGTGAAAATTGGTCAAAATCATACATGCACACTTGCACATACATTGCATACCCACACATACTTTTTTCCCCCCACAGTGAATACTGGTCTGCTGTTTGAAATTCCTGTCAAATGCCTTAATAATACCAATTATATTAATAATCAGTACCACTAATTGAGCATCTACTATGTGTCAGGTATTGTGCCAATTGGATTACACATATTAATTCTAATTCCACAACAATCTTGCAGAGCACTGCACAAATGATAATACCAATGGCCATGGTGGTTAAATAATGTTAACCATGGGCTAACAACTATGATAGCAACTATCGTAAGGGTCTAGATGAAAGCTATAGAATATTTTCAACTCCTAGATTTGTTCTGTGTGGAGTAAGTAGAGAGAGGTGATTTCTTTCTTAAAATCCTTCTCAGCACAAATGCCTAGACACTTAAGCCAGCAGCTGTTCTCCTTAGACATTCATTGGCCAGTGTTGTTAGACTTAATCAGTCAGGACCATAAACTTGGGTAATTTGAAAATTGAACAAAGGGCACAGATGACAATTTCTTCCAAACACACACCTGCTGGGAACTATGAGTAACTATCCCTAAGGTCAGACTTAATTGGATTTAGATCTAAATGCACTCTGACATGTTGATTATTCACTGCTTGAAAGTGGAAGGAAGAAAAATGCTGAGGTGAGAGGTCAGGAGTGTAAGCTTTCCTCTTTCTCCCCTGTGCTTCTGAAGAGACCCCGTTGAGGACTTTCTTTTATACAGGTCTTGTATTTTCATTTTTCAAATCACTTGCACCACCTGAATGCTTTGGTCCTAATCCCATTCCCAACCCAGATCTAACAGAGTGGACCTCTGTATCCCTTCTGGAGCCGGTCCAGTAATGGATATTAGAGCCTACCAAAGGCAGAGCAAAATATCTGGGGATATACATTCAAGAATCTTCACAATTATTTTCTCCCACAGAATTTTAAGAAAGTGAAGAGAGACACTATTAGAAATGATAAGAGTATTGGGACGAATGGGAGTGAATGAATTTTCATGGGCAAGCTTTATGTTGCCTCATTTATTTTCCATAATTCTTATTCCCATTTTATCACAAGTAAAATTCTTATCCCCATTTTACCAAAGGAGTAATTGAGGTTCGGGAATATGAAAGCAGTCATTTAATGTCATGCTGCAGTAAACGCAGTACTTATTCAAAACCTAGCTCCATCTGATTCCTTCAGCCAGCACTGAGAGAATGGCTATACTGAGACTGTCATGGCAGGTTAAACATTGGATGAGACCTATTAGGGCAAACTGGGAGAAGGTGAGTCCTGAGTTGCAAGACAGAGAAGGAAAAGGATGATGCTCGATTGCCTGTTGCTGTTTAGTCTAACTTCTGAGACTGCAGGCATTGGGAAGCCTGGAAGCAGGAGTACAACTTGGTTGAAGTGGAAGGCACAGGAAAATGAGTAACCCAGAAGGTAGAATAAGGTGAAGAGAAAAATCTAAATAATTCAAGAGAATGTTCTTTGAGTTTGGAGCTGGACTAAGTGATGAGACTAGACATGGCTGGTGGAGGCCTCAACATAGCAGAAGAGCAACCAGGGAACCAAAAGGCACTATGGAGCCAGAGAGTGGGAGGGAGCAGACTAGACTAGCTATTCCGAAAGTTTCTGTTCTGGAAAGGAAATATAGCTAGTTGACTTCTGAAAGATAGTAAGCAATGTTTCTGCAGTAGGCAAATTGAAATCCACAATAGAAAGGTGAGTTTGTAGCAAAGAGAAGGGCTACATTTTGATGTTTACTGGACTGATTTGCCATAACTCACCTGTAGTTTTCTATTCTTTGTTTATGAACCATTCATTCATTTCACAAGTATCTGTGGAGGGCCCACTATGTGTTGGGCTTGCTGTGGGCACTGGAGGTTACATACTGCACATCTGGATTATAGAAATATATCAAGTCTCCATGGTAGGAAACAAAAAGTTATCTCCTGGATTCCAGTGAGGATGATGTAAAGCTCATGACCATCAGTGAGGGGGAATACAACGTAGAAATTTAGTGCTTTTGAGAATGGGATGGAATCAATTAGCATGACTATGATAGTGCAAGTGAAGTGCTGATTGTGTTGAATAAAATAGAAACAGACAAGCCTGTGCTCTGAGAGGAAACAGAATAGGAAATGTGAATGAGATTGATAATGATGATAATAGTTCCCATTTGGAGACCCTACTCTTCTTGGCTGTGCTAGGTCCTTTACTTATTCACCATTCTGCAGTAAAACTCTGCGAGGAAGTTATTATTACCCTCATTTTATAGATGAGGATTAGGGTGACCAATCATCCATTTTCCTGGGACTAAGGGGTTTCTCAGGGCATGGGATGTTTAGGGATAAAACTGGGAGAGTCCCTGGCAAACTAAGATGATTGGTTACCATAGAAGAAATTAAGGCTCACAATGCCACAAGTAAAGGACAGAATCTGAACTCATGTTCAAGATTTTCTGATGCCAATACATGTGTCTTTCCATTATACCACACAGCCTCTTTTTTTTTTTTTTTTTTTTTTTCTGAGACCAAGTCTCGCTCTTGTCACCCAGGCTGGAGTGCAATGGTGGGATCTCGGCTCACTGAAACCTCTGCCTTCCAGGTTCAAGCAATTCTCATGCCTCAGCTTCCCTAGTAGCTGGGATTATGGGTGCCTGCCACCACACCCGGTTAATTTTTGTATTTTTAGTAGAGATGGGGTTTCACCATATTGGCCAGGCTGGTCTTGAACTCCTGATCTCAGGCGAACCACCCACCTTGGTCTCCCAATGTGCTGGGATTATCAGCGTGACCCACCGTGCCCGGCCTGCCTCTGTCTTTAGAAAACCTGAATGTACCCATGTCAGATCAAATGCTTTCTATAATTATGAACATAGAGAACATTTTATTTCTAGAGCCAAATTATTTCCACGCGCTTAATTGTGTTAAGTTTTTCACTGCCACATTCTTAACAACTTGCATCCATATACGACCTAGCAGATTTTTGATGAATTGCATCCTTCAACAGAAGAAAAATATTTACTATGACACACCTTTATGGTTTTTAGTAATTTGGTTATAATCCCAAAGGTGATTGGTAGGAAAGAACTCAAAAAGAGATTTGTGTCTACAAGACACCAACATCTGGAAGAAAACGAAATGAAAAACTTAAGTCCAGCTGATTTGTTCATAAGCCAGACATATTGATATTTGGGGACATCTGGAGGGCTGATTGAAATTTTTGATTTTCATACAGATGTTCAGTGTCATATAGACACAGGGATAACTACACATGAAAAGATATGCTTAATGGTATTTCACTAACTATGTAATTGCCATAGTTATGAAAGGGAACCCTTTCATAATGCTAATGTCTGTGCACAGCATGGAGACTCACCTTATTGGCCTATGCTGTTATATAAATTATATTTTATAGCATATGGTTATTATGTTCCAGGACATAGATTTTGACCCAGATAGCCATGTCATGATATAGATGTTATGGATTTTGAAATTAATTACCTTATAGCTCTTTTTGTTTTAAGTTCTAGTTGGTTAAATGCAGTTAGGAAGAATGGGGACATTTACTTGATTTCTCGAGTTTTCTTAAATAACAAACATTTAAAATGCATGGTTTAAATAATTCAAGTTTTAAAATGATGTCACATTCTAACTAAATATAGTCCTAGGGCTGAATTTTTTCTGCAGTCAGCACCCCCTACCCCTTGACTGTTGTGTGAAGCAGCTGCATTATCTACATTTTGCCAAGTAAACAAACTCTGCACCGTGCAATAGTGTTTGTTGTTTGCTAATGTGCTGGTGGTTAAAAAATGCTTAAAAACTCTAATTATACATTTCCATATAATACAGAGGCGTTGTCAGGCCATGCTTCATTCCTGGAAGATATACACACACAAACTGCATTTCTATTTTGTTCGGTTCATGGTAGATACCGAATAAATATTTTGTAAATGACTAAAAAATAATATGAAGCTTAACTGATTACTTCCTAGGCACTGGACATTGGGCTAAGCATTTAAAGCATATGGCATTACTCAATCCACAAAATCATCTTCTGAAGTGACTTTCTTATCCCCATTTTACATGTGAGTTAACTGAGGTACAGAAATATTCAGTAAGTGACTTGCCCAAGGCCACATCATCTAGTACATATAAGGCAAAAGTGGCTTTTGAACCCAGGTTTGTCAGACTCCATAACGCATGCTATTAACCATTATTTTCTGCTGCCTCTTCTTAAAGTGAGTATCTCACGGCAGAGACCTAGGTGGTTGAGACCCCCAAGACTGGTTTAAGGCCACTGTCAAACACAGACATGCACAGATCATTTTATTCCTATTTCATTAAAAACCATCGTGGCAGTGAGATGCTGGCTCCTGCACATAGATGGAAGAAGTAACAATTTTTATACAAACCCCACTTGTACAGATCCAAAATGATTCAGTCACTGGGTGAGCAAAAGTTGTTTTAAGCCAAATGACACCTGTAAAGGGAAGTTATGTCACCACTCTTTCCTTTTAAATCTGAACTTCTTACTTACTGGCCTGGTCTGTTGCAAACATCAATGTGTCATAAAAAATACGTTGCCCTATAAATCACATCTCTCCTGTAGGAGATTACAACATTTTTTTATTGCCCATCTAAAGCTCTTGAAGTTTTGTTTCTTCAAAACCTATCCTAGTTACAAAGAGATGAGATTTTTACTTCAAAGGAAGCAGTAATGAAATCTACACTTGCAGAACACAAAACTACCTCTTTAAGAGTTTTCAATTGTTGATATGTCACTCAGTTTTGCAATTGCCATTTAAAACTTTAGAATACACAGAAGTGTCCACCTTCTATGATTATTTCCCCGCCACTTTCAGCAATGTATGCAAACACATCAGCGCTTTGATGTCAAGTCTTATGTTTCCTCACTGGAACTTACAGGAAGAACCATCTCAATTCTTGGAAAACCACAGCTTCCAGTGCATTTAACATGAAACACATTAGGAAATTCATTATATATACCCACAAACGTGGGGATTTTAAATCAAATAGCTGCGTTTTTCAATGTGAAAATTTAAAAGGAAGAATAATTACTCTCACTCTTTAACAGAATAATCAAGTGGTATTAGTTTCCTTTTGCTTTCGTTAAAGAGTGCTCATCACTCCATGACATACACAAAATGACAAGCATACAATGGAACTTACAAGTGAGATCATCTTACTTCTGAAAAGTGGAAAAACAACAAAACAAGAGTGCTCATCAAGTACTATGTGAAAGTCTATGTTTATGTACCAACATAGTAATACCGTTCATTTACATGGCTATTTATAGTTTTAAAAGTGCTTTTACATTTATTATATAATTGGGTGATATAATCTGGATACTTGAAAGCATACCAGATATACCTTCACCCAATGGTTTTCTTACCACTAAATTCAAGGTAGATATGCTTTTCAGGCATTGCCTTGACTAAAAAGGTAACATGAAATAAACTCCTCTAGTCCCATATAGATTTTAGACAAAGAAAACAAAAAGATGACAAACATTGTCTCCCTCGTGTGAAACCAAAATTCATAAGAGGGGCTTTTATGAAAGGTTTCCCAACAGTACCAGACTACAACCTAACAATTCACTCTTCCAAGATTAAGTGCTTCACCTTGAGGGTTATTTTTATGGCTGCTTCTAACTGTGGTGCTTCACCTTAGCCATAAAATATCACCTCAGAGGGATGAGCTAATGGTGTGTGTGAAGATGTTTCTCCTGGGAACCGTCATGAGTGAGAAACACAATCAGGGAATAGCATGTTGCATGCAAAGCATGTGACAGAGGAGTGGAGAGAACACAGACTTTGGAGTCCAACTATCTTGCATCCAAACCAAGGTTATTGTACTTATTAACTTGAAGGCCCAGAGCAGCTTATGTAACAACCCTGAGCTTTATTTTCCTTATCTGTATAATGGAGGCAGTAATATCCTTTCCTTATAAGGTTATTGGGAAGATGAACTGTAATATTGAATGTAAAATATTTATTTGTTGCTCAAGATATTAAATAATAAGGATATTCATTGCCCATCTATTATTAGACCTGTGTCCCTCCTATTGCAGTTTTCCAGGCAGAAACCCAAGAGGGTATAAACCAAGGAATTCATTGCAGGGAAATGAAGAGGAGGAGAAAGCTTTAGTCTAGGATGGCTTCCCAGATTCTGACTTGGGCATCTGGATGATTTTGAAGATGATATTTACTAAAACCAGAAATACAGAGAGATGGTAGAATGAGAGTGAGAAAGAGAATGAGAGAGAGTAGAGAGAGAAAGAGAGAGAAATTGCGTAATATGTATGTCTTGTTCACCCCTGAATTCTCAGCTCCTAGCAAAGTTCCTGGCACATAGTAGGCAATATAATAGATATGTGTTAATAAATAAATGAATAATGAGCAAATCATACACTGAGATCACCCAGCCTAATTCAGGGCCCATATATATTTAAAATTTTTTATTTTATTTCAGTAATGTTTGGGGAACAGGTGGTTTTTGGCTACATGGATAAGTTCGTTAGTGATGATTTTGGAGACTTTGGTGAACTCATCACCTGAGCAGTGTACACTGTGCTCAATGTGTAGTCTTTTATCCCTGATCCCCCACCCACCCTTCCCCCAAGTCCCCAAAGTTCATTGTATCATTCTTATGCCTTTGCATACTCATAGCTTAGCTCCTACTTAAAAGTGAGAACATAAGATATTTGGTTTCCCATTCCTGAGTTACTTCACTTAGAATAATGGTCTCTAACTCAATCCAGGTTGCGTGAATGTCATTATTTCATTTGTTTTATGGCTGAGTAGTATTCCATGGTGTATATATACCACATTTTCTTTATCCACTTGTTGGTTGATAGGCATTTGGGTTGGTTCCATATTTTTGCAATTGCAAATTGTGCTGCTATAAACATGCATGTGCAAGTGTCTCTTTCATATAATGACTCCTTTTCCTCTGGGTAGATACCCAGTAGTGGGATTGCTGGATCAAATGGTAATTCTGCTTTCAGTTATTTAAGGAACCTCCACACTGTTTTCCATAGTGGTTGTACTAGTTTGCATTCCCTCCAGTAGTGTAAAAGTGTTCCCTTTTCACAGTGCCTATATTTGAATTAGATATATGATCAAAATAAATATATGTCAGAATATTCTCATCAAAAATATATAAATATCTAACTTGGCATGTATGCCCTTTATCAAGGGCTACAATAAAAGACTTGCATAGCAATTCAAATGAAATGGATTGAGAATGAAAAATACAGAAGGGTAACATTACCTAGATACATCAGGAAACAGTTTCTTTTCCAGGCTTAATGTGCTAGGAAGTAAGAGATACTACTGTTTTCCATCTCACATTTCTATCTGGATGTGTACAAGTGTAAGAAACTATTGGCCTCAGGCAAGAATCTTGTCACCTCTCATAAATTCATAGTGCTTCCCCTTGTCTCCGCCTGAAGACTTGCAAGTGACACAGAACCATTCACCAGCTAGACTTCATCTTTTGGGTCAGGACTGAATCAATGTGGTTAGAAAAAGTGTATGTTAAACAAAAGGTAGCCTGGACCTTTGCATGGAAAGATCTTTATTTTAATGTACTTATTAGACAGCTATTTTCAGATTCCCTTAAATATATCCATTCCTAGAACAAATTTTCTTCCTATTTTGTGGTATATTTTACTTTTCTCTCCTTTGAGAGAGTCTTGTCTTCCATACCACTGTAGGCAAGCAGATAATCTATCTGCTATTTATACAGTACATCTATTTTTCCAAAAGCATTGGTCTCTAGGAAGCAAGGTGCTATTATAATTGCCTATTTTCATTTGTTACTTCATCATGAAAGCAGGCTAAAAATGAGGGCGTGAGAAGGCCACGTTCAGCAGCTGCCTGTCTCAAAGAGGAAATGGGCAAAAGAGGCCTTTTCAGTCATAGACCAGGTTCAGCTGCCTTTTAGGATTACTGATGAGGTAAGCTTTATCATTTTAAAGTGTAAGTAAGTCATGGGGTTTTTGAAGTGAATTGTATCACTTTAAAAATAAGGATCAAGGTCTTTGGAAAATCAATTAGCCCCTGTATTTGAACAGATGGGATACATACACCTCTCTCAGAACTTCTGTGCTTTGAATTAATCTAATTTTTTTTTTTTTTGAGACTGAGTCTCCCTCTGTTACCCAGGCTGGAGTGCAGTGGTGCGATCTCCACTCACTGCAAGCTCCGCCTCCCGGGTTCAGGCCATCCTCCTGCCTCAGCCTCCCGAGTAGCTGGGACTACAGGCACCCGCCACCACGCCTGGCTAATTTTTGTATTTTTAGTAGAGACGGAGTTTCACCGTGTTAGCCAGGATGGTCTCAATCTCCTGACCTCGTGATCCGCCCGCCTCGGCCTCCCAAAGTGCTGGGATTACAGGCGTGAGACACCGTGCCTGGTCAATCTAATTTTTTTTTTTTTTTAAGGTAAGCGTTCTTTAACATACGTGGAAAAGAGTGATCTTTAAAAAACAATGCTAATACATTAAAGAGCCATTTGTTATATGCACAAGTTAGCAGCGTACAATTTGATACAAAATTAGCAACTGATAATTCTGAAAAACAGCAATTTCTTCTTACTAGGAAAGCCACACAATGGCCTGAATTCTTCTCCCTGCAATGGACGCAGCGATGGAGGCAGGATATACTCATACACCTGACATGGCAAAATTGGGCCAAGTAGTATGTTAATGGTGCCCTTTGTCATGAGTAAATGCATTGAAAACATTTATTAGGAATTGCCACAGAGTTCTAGGAACCACTGGAAGCAAAATAAAGTCATTCTGTGACTGCTTAAAATCACCTTGGGAATCCCAGCAGTCGTGGAGTTGGGCAGATTTAGGTGATCTAAATCAACGTCTATGTCTCTTGTATAAGACTTAATTTTATCTCTGCTTTTCTGAGTGGGCTAAAAATCCTTGTGATTATCTTCCCCTTCTTAACGTCCCCTTATGAATGCTTGTTTTCTTCTTATTCGTTCACATACTCTCCCCTTTCTACTCCCTCCCTTCCTGCTTTTCTTTTCTCTGTGCTTGAGGTTTGGGAGATGAAAGGAAAGAAACAGAATTCCACTCCGGGCTTCTTCTGATCCTCTGCTGACCCCAGCCCTAACAGCATGGGAGAGTTCAGTATGACTAACTCCTCCATCCACGCTGCTTTTCCTCAGCTTGTGATGGAAATTTTGTTCAGACCAGTGTAGAACTCCTTGGATTCTGGCATATGACTTCTCTAGCAGGGAGTAGGCCATTTGTGCCGATGGATATGGGGAGTCAGTGCAGGAGGAAAGAGGACCTTTCTTCATCATCACAGACTCTGAACCACTATGTTAGAACTGGAAGGGACTCCACAGAAATCCTTGCCCAATTTATTTATTCATGCCACAAACATTTTCCAAGAATCTGTGTTAAGCACTGGGGATGCAGAAATATAAATCCTTTAGAATCTCTCTTATTATGGATAAATATAATAATAATACAAAGTTGAATATATATATATGTGTGTGTATATATATGTGTGTATATATGTGTGTATATATGTGTGTATATATATGTGTGTATATATATGTGTATATATATGTGTGTATATATATGTGTATATATATGTGTGTATATATATGTGTATATATATGAGTGTATATATATGTGTATATATATATGAGTGTATATATATATATGTGTGCGTATATGTGTATATATATATATATGTATGTATATATATAGACAAAGTTCTACGGAAGCTCAGAAGAAAGAACCACTAGTTCCAAGGTTGAGAGGAGGGAAGATTTTACCAAGTAGTGGACATGCAAAGGCCCAGAGAAATAAAAGCACACAGATAATTCACTGAAGGAAGGAAGTGTGAGAGTATAGGCATGAAGTCTATGGAAGTGAAATAAGATAAAGACAATAAAGTGAGTCATGAAATTAAGATGTCATTGATAATCTTGACGTCCATGTTGGTGGAATAGTTGAATCCAACTATAGTGAGACATCAGGATATGAGAAGAAAAACTAAGTTTTCTAAGAAGTTTGATGGTGGATAAGAGATGAACAGTTTAGACATTTAATTAGGATGCTGAGTAAAGGAAAAAAATATATATGATAGAAGACATTTGAAGAGTTTTGTTTTGTTTTGCAAATAGGAACGGACCAAGAGAGAAAAAAATCTGATGGGACAAGAGAGGTTAAAACAGAAGCATGTTCCTGGAGATAATAAGGAAAAGATGTGAACAGATTATCATTTAATGGATTAGCATTGTATTGGGCAGCAGCCACCTTTCATTATCAGGAGACAGAAAGAGATAAAAATCTGTGTTGCCACCTGCAAAATACGAAGGGAGAGTAGAGAAGGGAGCTGAGTGTGGAAAACAAAAGGCTTGTAGAGAAACAGAAAGCGAAGTGACCAAGAAAGGACCATGATGCTCAAGCTCAACATTTCCAGTAATCAGAGAAACACCATTTCACTCTCAGAAAATTGACAAAACCCAACAATCCGCAAGCAAACAAATAGCAATCTGACAATTTCAAGTGTTGGCAAGTGTGTGGAGCAGTGAGAGCTCTTATGGCTTTTTGCTACACCTGCTTTGAGAGCACTTTGGCACAATGTGGTAAAGATGCAATCATACTTCCAGGTATGCAGTGGGGGACCTCTTATGCATGTGCACAAGGAAGATATAACCTAAGTGGCCATCAATAAGATACACATTTGAAAATGTGGTATATTAATTGGGCCACTCTTCAGAAGTTAAAATGGACTAGGGATGCATCTATCAAAGTGGAAACACATTTATGACACAATGTTGAGGGAAGAAAAGCTCGCTGTAGAATGGTATGAATGGTAAGGAACTATTTATGAAAAATTCAAATCCCACAGAACAATTTTATATATCATTAATGAATACATCTGCATATGTGGAAGTAAAAAAAAATAGACAAGAAAAGATATACAGCTCAAACATATTGTATCTCTCACATTGTATTTTGTAAAGCACACCCGAAGATACGCACACAATGGAATATCAGGCAGCAATAAGAATAACCAATCTAGGCCAGGTGCGGTGGCTCATGCCTGTAATCCCAGCACTTTTGGAGGCCAAGGCGGGTGGATCACCTGAGGTCAGGAGTTTGAGACTAGCCTGGCTAATGTGGTAAAACCCTGTTTCTACTAAAAATACAAAAAAATAGCCAGGTGTGGTAATGCGTGCCTGTAATCCCAGCTACTCAGGAGGCTGAGGCAGGATTATTGCTTGAACCTGGGAGGCAGAGGTTTCAGTGAGCCAACATCACCCCACTGCATTCTAGCTTGGGCAACAAGAGTGAGACTCCATCTCAAAAAAAAAAAAAAAAAAAAGTCTGCAACTGCATGCGACTGTATGGATAAACCTTGCAAATATAAGGTTGGGCAAATGAAACCAGACACTGACAAATACATATTGCATGATTTATATAAAAACAAAAGTCCATGTATCCTGATAGGAGTCAGAATGTGGGGGTTGGGGGGTGCTTAGAAACTGTAAGTGGGTATAGATGTGGTCATACATGATGCTTGTAATGTCCTATATTTTTATCTAATTTTTGGTTGCACAGGTGTTTTCAACTTATGAAAAGTCATTAAACTGTACACTTAGTAAATATTTAGTAAACTGAACGTATGCTATATTGCAACAAAGTGTGTGAAAATGCCATTTGAAAAAGGAAAGTAGTTTTGGGGTAAAACGGCGTATTAACATTTATTTACTCTTGGTTGATGGGCTTATAGTTGTTTTTATGATATGTCCTTGTTGTTAATTTAGAATATTTCATCACAAAAAAGGAACACAGGAACCAACTTAAATTAAGAATTACAAATAGTAGATGGCACCAATCAACAGAGAGAGAGACAACACACAATTTGGAGCCCAGAGAGCCCAAGAGATCTGCTTGTGGCAAAACCGAAAAAGGAATCAAGTCTCTTCACTTCTCACTGCAATGCAGTGCTGTCTTTTGCATATATATTGTCACAAGCTTTATCTTTTCACTTTTTACTTTGGAAACTGATTCAACTTCTGCCTTTAAGTCTTGTGCAGTACTCTTACACTGTGTTAGTAACTATATTAATTACCAATTAAAGAACTTTGCAACCCTCCTAGCAGCTGTAGATATTTTTAAACATGGGGATTTGAGCTAGTTGAAAGAATGACAATGTTTCCTTTTCTGCTTTTCAGACTTTCCCCAAAGCCTCTATGAGACTATTTTATAAGATACACCAGGATAAGATCAAAGCCCTTCCAAGAGGGTCTGGCATTCTCTATCTTTTTGGTTGCCAAAATAAAAACATAAGTCAAATTCAACACTATTAATGGATAATATGTTCCCACTCTCTCTGTCCTTTTGAAAAAGAGACTGAGAGTTTTACTTTGGAAATTCAGTGATAGTGAGTTTGATTTTAAATACACCAAAGAGTTGGAAACTATCTTTTAGATAATAGAACTTTCAAACAGTGTGGAAGATTTTTCAGGGAAGTCCAACAGACTTCAACTCACTATGAATAAATAAAATCGAGAATAAAATGTCCTTTGTAGCATGCTTTCTCCTCTCCCCGATATGTGTGCAATTCCTGTGCCCTGCATTCGCTTTTTAATGCTCAGATAATCCCAGGTTTTTAATCCATGTCACTTCAGCATGTCACACTTGATTGCAGAATTTGGGGAAGACAATGAGTGCTGCTGAAATGTGAGACACTCCTCCAGACTTTAGTTTACTGTGTAAAGACAGGTAGGAAGAGCCTTCTAGATTTAACTCTCATATATCATAAAGCTAAAGCAACGAGAAAACTATACATTTCACATTAAAGTTGGGCATTTCTCTTCAGAGAGAAGTTGAGCCGAATAGCACTTGTTAATTCCGAGGTTCAGCACACTCCTAGGAGCCTGTTAATATTTGCTGCCCCCTGTAGTTTGCTCTTGTAAAAATCCTTAAAAAATCAAGAGAGCTATTTAAAACTCCAGTTGCTCTTTTAAATCTGACACACTTGTGGAATTTCATTTCCTATCTTTTTTCAGTCCAACTCCACACATCAGAGTGTTGACATGGGGCAAGACAAGGGAATACTACTGTGAGCAGTAGTGATTTCATTTAAGTGAATAAACTGGGGGAAATGATTGCCTTTTAAACATGCAGACTATATTGCACGGAGAAAGCCTGCTCACATAAATATAATTTTCTTTAAAAAGGCAGAGGAAGCTTCTGTTAATTGAACTACTTTCTCAATTTCCTATTGCCTTCAGAATTGGTTATGGACATGATTTCCATTGTCTCCAATCACAATAGCTTCTAATAACATTAAGCTTAAAATAATACAGAAGAACAGGACAGACTTGTGGTTTGTTCATTTGCTGAAACTAATATAGATGGCAGAAATTTTACCCAAGCTTAAAATAGCATAAAATAGCATATAGAACACAAAAGTCAACACTGGCTCAATGATGAATGAAATTTCATTATAAAGAATCACAACCTAACATCTAATTTTAGTAAAAATTTTGGAACTAGTTATTGCCACAAACAAATGCTGGGGCAGAAGATAATAAAACTGTTTACTTTATCAATAGATTAATGAAGAGGAGTAGGTAATTCTGAGATAATATCATCCCATAGTCTGTGTGACTTGAATAGTTTCAGGTTTAATTTCATGATTCAATTGGCCTGCATATACGTAACTCCCAGAAAGATTATAGATGAGTGCAATTAATTTGTACAGTGCTAAAGCTTCCCACAGGCACATAAAACATTCCCTTTAGTTCCTTTAGAGTTAATATTACAGATTCAGGTTATTTTTCATCAGAAATGAATCCCAAAGTTGATAATTCCAATCAAATTGGTAAAAATAAAAGCATACCTACAGTTGCTTTGAGATCAAGAAAGAGAACTGTAGATTAGTTCTAATTTTATATAGGTAACTGAAGTGAATAAATGCCTCTTTCTAAAAAGATAAAAACAAATTAAAGGCTTTTGATAGGAGAAACTTTAATATATCTACAATACTGTGAAATACATCAGGATAAATTATGTTTGCTGATGATCATTTTCATTATGAAACTCTTACAATATAGCCATAATATTTCATTTTGTTGAGGTAGAGACAGAGGCCAAAATCTATCAATCAAGGAATATTTATTAAATGCCTGTGGGTTCCCTGCTGAAGGGAATATCGAACAAGCGTAAGTTGTAGACACTCATCTCAAGGTACATGCAGACTGACTCATAGCTAAATGAGTGAAAAGACAATAAGCATAAGAGAAGTTTACAAAGAGATGTTTTTTTTTCGTAGCATGGTCAGAAGGTATGGATTGAGCTGGGCTGGAATTTAGATAAGAAGACAGATGTGCAGGTTGAAGGGATCAGAAAGTGCTTCTGAGGGTTGATACACTAAGTGAAGCTTTGAGGTAAGCTACCACATAGTGATGGTGTCTGGCTAAAAGCAGACACAGAGAATGTGTGGAAGATTTTGAACCTGGACCTAGAGAGTTTTGATATCCCCAGAGAGGGCCTTCGCCATGAGCTGTCTGCACCAGTAAAACAACACAGACAAGGATTTCTTAGTGGGACATACCTCCAGGGGAACCCAGGACTCAGTACCAACCTGAACAATGCTTTCAGGGTACCCTGATGGAAAGACCTGGCCAGAAGTAAAGAGCCTCCTCTGGGAATCTGGTAAAGACGTTGGCAACCTGAGATATGGGGGGCACACAGCTGGAAAGAATGCTGAGTTGGATAAACATTTGATTCCTTGTCACTTTCTTACTGTGTGAACTTCAGGATTGGCACCAAACTTCTCTGGCACTCCAACTCTTTATTTACAGAGTGAGGATTAGTAACACCCCATCTGCCTATATCATGGAACCTTAGCGAAAAGCAAATGAGATAATATGGCAAAAGTACTTTGTAAACTGTAAGATGCTACATAATTAAAGATTTGCATCAACATTCATGACACATTTTCTCTGATTCATTAGCTGAAATATGGTCACCATTAACCTTCTTCCACTCTTCCCTATTAATTCATTTCCATTTCTCACTTCTCTGCCCTAGACACTCTCTTTCCTGAAAGTTTCCCCTCCTCATCCCTTGTCAGTCTTCTCATGCCCTCAACTCTTATGTATGATTTGTAGGACATTATCCATTTTTACTCATATTCTCTTTTATATAAGGATGTGTGCCTCTCAGTGGCATTATCAACTCTGAGAGAAAATGAACTTTTTTTTTTCTTTTAAAATAACTATCTGAGAGCCCCAGGAATCTCCTATACTTGGAAGCAAAGAGTTGGGGATAGAGGGGAAGGAGAAGAAAACTGAAAGTTTGGTGATGGTGGCAGAGGAAAACCTAAGTACAAACTGACCCCATCCCAGGTAGCCTGACTGTTCTCTCATTCTACTCTTGGTGATTATTTATACAATGTAGGTGGCAATCCAGATTTCTATTTTATATGGATTGAATTGAATAACTACAAAATAATAATGAGTTAATAAAAGTATTGCATTACATTTTACATATATAAAATAGCATTCAAAAACTAAATTAAAATACAGAGGTTGAGTGAGATTTTATATTTTCTACATCAACTACTTTAATTGAGTATCTAATCCATAAGACTTGGCACGAATAAGATCTCAATGCAACTTTTTTCAAACCTCAGGAAACAGCTTAATTTTTCCCCCACTGATGACAAATATTGTTCAATTATTACTAACACTGGTATGATGGGACAGAATTTGGAGGACCATGCATATCAGACAGAGAAGTCATCTGTGAAAGGTCATATTAAGTAGGGGAAATAAAGTGATAGATTTTATTTTTTAACAAGACATGTTTGTTTTATATATAAAAAGACTATTTTCATGTTTCAATCAACTCACTGACAAAAGCAAAAATATAACTAGGAAGGCAAATAGGCAATAATGGAACATAAGTGGAGTATTTTAATAAAAGTGACTTCATGAAAATTTGTCATTTTGGATTATCTGCATCAGTGATCCACCTATCAAATGTCTCCCTTCATAAATTTCTGTATCAGATAATTTTTTCTCTCTTAAAGAGAGCTGCAGAGCTAACGGAGAACCAGGCAAGATAAAAAAAAGATTGTTTATCTGCTGGGCAGGGCTTATAAAGCCATCTTGCATTTGCTACAGAGGCCTAATCCAAGAGCACCGTAATTATCATTTCTGAACCTGGGTCCCTCAACTGGCATTTCTCCTTTGACTTACAACACCTGAAAACTAAAGGTAGCATGCCCTCTTTAACAAAAGTGAGTTGAACATAATGGACTCTGTGTTCCCGTATTTTTAAAATTGACTGTGTTCTCAAACATTAATTCAAGCAGTTGCACAATTCAAGGGATGGGATTGTGTCTCCGCATTTTTGTTGTTCAACTAGAGATCGGCATATCTCCCAGCTATGAGTATGCATAAACAGCAACTGCAGGTAATACTTGGATGGTGTCAGAAAGGTCTCAAAGCAGAAATTTTCTGGAAAAGTGCACTAAACAGATTGTTTCCATTTTTGCTCCCCCCATCCTGCAAGTGGTAGCTGTTTCATGGCAAGGAGCAGTTGTGGGAAGGTTGTTGAGGGTGGTTTTAAAGGAAACAGCCTGTGTTTAGACTGGAGTAGTTGCCTGGAACCCACAAAAGTGAACGTTTCTCCTTTCACTTGCATTTGCAATGTGTCACAATGGGGATTGCTAAATTTCGCCCAGATGCTAGTATATGCATGTTTTAGGTATCCTTGTGGGTGAGTGCTTGGCAGTCGGCATGTTGCCTTTGAGAGTAGAGTAAAATGAGAGAAGTTCATCCGGTTAAAATCTAGACATTCAAAGAGCAACAAGTATTTGTTAAAGTTTTTAGAATGGGAGCAGATAAACGATTTGGAAACATGAATCTTTGTGGAAAAACAAATCCAAATTATTCCAAACATGCTTGAACACATCTTCTTTTTGAGATCATTTTTCTTTCTTAAATTTTTTACTAAAATCTTTGGTCAGTGTAGATGTGTATCAAAACTGCATTGTCAAGCTGAGTAATGGACTATTCTATTCAACGACTGTTGGTCATTTTTAAGGCCGTGAGCGGACTTATATGACATACTATATAAATAATTTGTTAAAATGATATTTCATAAAATAATTAGGTTCAAAGGTATTACCTTGGTGAAAAAGCACCATTAGAAAGTAATACAAATATCCCTTTTAATGTATCAAAATGTATGTTTAAAGGAGGCAACAGGTTATCATACCATTAAAATATTTGTGCACAGGAATGAAGATATTGACATTTAAAGAACATGATGGCAAAATAATGTTTTGGATTTTGCTAGAGTTTTCAAGAGTTTTAATTGCTCATCTAAAAACTGTAATAAAATGGCACAATCATAAACAATAAAGAACAAACCCAAATTTTGTATTGTAAATGGAGTGAATGGTCCAAACTGTTCATTTTCAGAACTACACTATTATTAATTTTAAAATAATCAGTCCTTGGGTCAGGTCACTGTTTGCCCAGAATTTGACCCTGCATGGTGGTGCTCCACCAATTTTCCTTTTGGATTACATTGATATATTTAAGTAGGTTGGGGATGGTCATGATGCTGTAGTAATGATAGTATAGCAGTATGAGTGACATAAGGTCTTTCTGTAGAATCTTCAAAATGCTGAGAAAGACAGTCTTGTTTGTAGTGAATAAACCAAATTAGCACTGAACACACATTAAATGTGGGGGAAAATGGTCCCAAAGAATTTAGGATTGCAGTTGTAAAACAAATGCTTGGTTTAGCATAAGATTTCAGCAATGCTTTTTAGTAGGCATATTGATATAATATTTTTGGCTTTGAAAGCCAAAACTGACAGCTTTATAGAATTCCATCCAACTTTAATTTTCATTTTTCAAAAGTAATAAATGTCTTGCTGACCTAAGTACAGGTAAGTACATGATGATAGCATTGATATCAGTAGGCTTTATCAGATTGGAAAAGGGGATATAGAAAAAAGGAGGAAAAGGACAGTATCAGGACACATGCAAGAAGGGCATTTGAACAGTTACTAAGAAAGGGCAAAACACAAGGAACAGAAAAAGGAGAAGCCAAAGAGTTTTCAGTGAGCTTCATGGGTTCATTGGAGCTCAACAGCTCTGCACATATCCTGCAGTGTATACCACGACACAAATCTAACATTTGCATCTTCTGTACTCTGATTGTTTCTGATGGGTAAGAGTCTGAGCTCAGAAAGCCACCTAAACTGGCTGGGAAAAGTTCCAGAAGAGAAAGAAACAAGCCAATGGCAAAATTCCCTTTCCTCAATTATGACAGTGAACTATTTCCATCAATATGAATGACTAGTCATAAATATTAATGATAATGGTAAAAATGATACATTTGTAGAGCACTGTTAATTTTGCACATGTGTTTACATCTATTGCCTCACAACAGCAGCATGCGATAAGTAGGGCAACACTTCTTATCTCCATTTCACAGATGAAAAACAAATGCAAAATGCTCCATGAAGTTTAAGTAACTTATCCAAGCTCTCAGCAGTAAAGTAGTGACAGAGCAGAGGCTGGAACGTAGGTCTCCTGATTGCCAGCACTTAGCTGTTCCCCTTCTTTCTCTGGCTACTCCCAATTAATTAGCCATGCTAGTGTATCCTAAATCAGAAAATAAATTACTTGAAATGAGTGTAATTGCATCACATTATTCATTGTTTCAGATGAGCATATTCTCTTTCTAGATCTCATTGCTGTCCTTGGTCTGACTTTATAATTTCCTTTTGTTCTCTAACAAAAATAGTCATACTAATGATTTTCATACATATAAGATGATGAAATCCTTCTCTGAAATTCCAGACACAGGCATAGGAACAAGTACCAGCTCTCTGGCTTTGTGTCAACAATTCTGGATAAATCTATTAAATTCTCTGAATCTTAATTTTCTTACTTGAAAAATAAGGGATTCAGATAGAGTGTTCCAGTCAGCCTTTTTCTACACAATTGCACATACACACACAGATATCCCATATGCATAATCTCTATTCAGTTATTTATGAGTCTATTACTGTATTATCATATACTATGCACATATTGACATAATATTAATCTCATTTAGGCTTCCACCAGAGTTTCTAGGTATATGTGTGTTTATGACACTGTCATGTGACAGAAACTGTTGCTACTCAAAGTGTTGTTGGTAGAACAGCAACTTCACTGTGACCTTAGAGATGATTAGCAATGCACACCTCATGACCCAACCCAGATTTATTCAACTGGAATTGGCATTTTTCTTTTCTTTTCTTTCTTTTTCTTTTTTTTTTTTTTTGAGACTGAGTCTTACTCTGTTGCCCAGGCTGGAGTGCAGAGGTGTGATCTTGGCTAACTGTAACCTCCGCCTCCTGGGTTCAAGTGATTCTCCTGCCTCAGCCTGCCAAGTAGCTAGGACTACAGGCAATGTGCCACCACACCTGGCTAATTTTTTGTATTTTTAGTAGAGACAGGGTTTCATCATGTTGGCCAGGCTGGTGTTGAATTCCTCATCTCAAGTGATTCACCTCCCTCAGCCTCCCAAAGTGCTGGGATTACAGGCATGAGCCACCACGCCCAGCCTGGAATCTGCATTTTTAACAAGATGTTTGATGATTTGTATATACTTTAAAGTTTAAGAAACAGCACCATAGATCATAAGCTTGTAGGAAAAAAGAAAAATAAGCCTTGGCAAATCTGTCCAACACATGGTATACGGTGGTTAAAAAATCTATTTGAATTTTCAAAATGCCATTTGAAATCTTTACAATTTCAGTCTTCAAAATCATCATTCGAAGGTAATCATAATTTCTATTTCTGTTAAGATTTTTCAGAAGGTTAATAGTAGTAATGAAGGGCTTAGGTGCTTTATTGTTTGTTTTGTTGTTTAGTGAAGGCTTCACAAGTTTTTGGGAAGTAAGGAAAATGAATTTAGAATGAAGATAAAAATCTTATTTTGTTCAAATTATCTTGAATAATGAAACATCAAATAGTGAAAATCTCACCACGTTTAGGAATCCAAATCTGTTGTGAAACTTGCTTAAGGCCACGTAATAAAT
Source organism: Homo sapiens (assembly GCF_000001405.40). Lineage (NCBI taxonomy): Eukaryota > Metazoa > Chordata > Mammalia > Primates > Hominidae > Homo > Homo sapiens. The sequence continues at coordinate 8,903,121 of NC_000009.12, forward strand.
AAGTGGCTTAGGGATCTATCTTATTCTTTTTTTTTTTAATTCAAATTTTATTTTAGATTCACAGGTACATGTGGACGTTTGTTACCTGGGCATACTGCATGACGCCGAGGCTTGGGATATGAATCATCTCATCTCCCAGGTACTGAGCATAGTACTCGACTATTAGTTTTTCAGCCTAGCCACATGCTATTACACTAAGCAACTGACTGACTCAGGAACATATTCAAAGAAAAGGTCCATGATTGGTAGAAAAAGTGTGAAGCCAACTTTTAGTCATCCATTAGCATCATTATCCTGTCTTTAAAGTATTACCATTCCTGCTAATGTTTATTTTTCCAGGTTGTATGTCCTCCTGGAGGAGGTATGCATTTGGATTAAATCAATCACTTTCAAAAGCTTCAAATCAGTAGGTTTGACAAAAATTTTCAACAACAAGGATGAATGTTGTTGCACTGTAAGTAACAATTTTGACATGAAGTATCCCCAAACTATTTTGTAAACCTCCTTAAAATAAAAACGAATAAAAATATTTCAATGCTACATATTAATGAATTATAGTAAGTAATTATCTTCTGTGGGCTTTAGTTTCCTTATCAGTAAAACTAACAAACTGTTCTGATTCTCTACCTTTAAAAAATTATGGGAAATTTGATTACTATTTAAAAGACTACTCTGTAAAGCAATATCCTACAAGTGAATTGCATAAAGTTCATGGTAATAATGGTTGACTTAAATATTGTTTTATGTTCCACATATTTACATATTTATATCCCTCCAATTTATTTTGAAAAATGGCTCAAGGCAGTGTCTCATAGTAGATTTGTAAAGCAAGAAGTCTAAACGTGTTCACTTACATGTGGAATATATTATGATATTATGATTCGATTATTTATTTTTTCAACTTCTTATTCTGAAAAATTTCAAATTTACAAAAAAGTTGCAATAATGCTACAGTGAACACTGACATTCTCTTCACCAATTGTGAATAATTTGCAACAAATGGTTTATTGCTATTTATTTTCTTTCTTTCCTAAAACATTTGTGAGTTAGTTTTAGTCATCGTGGCACTTTACCTTTAAGTAATTTAGCATTTATCTCCTAAGAACTACTAGGACATTCTTTCGTATAACCACAATAAAGTTTTAGAACTCAGTAAATTTAAGATTGATATGATGCTCTTATGTAATATATATCCATATTCAAATTTCCTGTAAAAATTGTATAGCTGCTTATTTCTCAAACTTGGATCCAATCAAAAGTCACACATTAGGCCAGATGCAGTGGCTCATGCCTTTAATTCAAGCATTTTGAGAGACTGAGGTGGGCAGATCACCTAAGGTCAGGAGTTCGAGACCAGCCTGGCCAACACAGTAAAACCCTGTCTCTACTAAAAACACAAAAATTAGCCAGCTATGGTGGCGCATGCCTGTAGTCCCAGCTACTCTGGAGGCTGAGGCATGGGAATCGCTTGAACCCGGGAGGCAAAAGTTGCAGTGAGCTGAGATCACACCACTGCACTCCAGCCTGGGTAGCAGAGGGAGACTCTTAAAAAAAAAAAAAAAAAGCTACACATTACATTTAGTTGGTCATGTTAAATATTATTTGCAAAACACATAATCGTATATTACTGTGGTCTGTAGATATTTTTCTAAAATAACAAATGTACTTGGGAAAATCTTATATTTGATTGTACACTCATAATGCATGTTTTCATATAATTGAGGTAAAAATCAACTCAACTAAATTTCATGTTTCTGATATATAAAAACACACACACATTTTTCCACTGAAATGAGCATGTTTGGACATTTTTGGTTTGCATACACATTAAAATTGGCCGAAGATGTAAACTTGAAACTTGGCAAGATTGTAAGAAAATAAGGCCAGAGTTAGAAGAAAAACACTTCAAGATTTAAATGACACAAATGATTAGAATTATGAGTATACAAAAATGAAAGAGAACATTGTCTACCTTTAAGGTCATTCTCACCAGTCATCTCTGATTGGGTGGCTAAAAGTCAAGATGAAGCTAAAGGATTTATGTAACATGCAAATCAATCCAATGTTTATGTTTCAGAAAAATCAAGCAGTTCCAAAGTAAAGCATTCTGTGATGATTTTAATTTGGCCATGGTTTGCATTTCTGTTCCTGTTTTCATAGATATGTATAAACTTGGCCTTTCCCTTGGCCTTCTTCCCGTAGGCTCTCAGTGGTTGCCCTCGGAAGTGCTATTTTCTTTCTGTGTACATTATGGCCCTCCAGATGCACTGCACTTCCTTTGAATGTGCAAAAAAGATGAGGACTATAAGCACACATCAGAGGATAAAGAATTAGCCAGCCGGACGTCGTGGCTCACATCTGTAATCCCAATACATTGGGAGGTTGAGGCGGGCGGATTACCTGAGGTCAGGCATTCAAGACCAGCCTGGCCAATGTGGTGAAACCCCTTCTCTACTAAAAATACAAAAATTAGTTGGGCATGGTGGCGAGTGCCTGTAATCTCAACTACTCAAGAGGCTGAGTCAGGAGAATCACTTGAACCAGGGAGACCGAGGTTGCAGTGAGCCGGAATCACGCCACTGCATTCCAGCCTGGGAGACAGAGTGAGACTCCCTCGCAAAAAAAAAAAAAAAAATGGAGAGAGAGAAAAGAATTAGCCTACCCTTCTTCCATTGTAGGCTAGCTTGGAATAATTTGTCTTGACACAGGATATTTCCCAATCCAACGAGTTTATTCACAATGATCCTAAGGAAACAAATCATGTCTGTGTTGCTAACTTATACTACACATTACCAAATGCAAAAATAAATATCACCATAGACCAGCTTCATTTGGAATGCCAAAGTTTAAGTTTTCCAAGTTTAGTCTTAAGTGAGCATAGTTTAGCTTTACATTTCATTTTCATATGTGTAGATAAATCTGTACGTCCAAAGCTCAGAGAGACACATGGCAAATATTTCTTGAATGCAATGAATGCAACACAAACATAATGAATTAAATATTTGTAAGGACCTATGCCCTGAGTTTGGAAATTTTCCTGACTAGATGATAATTTTATCCTTTTGAGTGCCATTAAAACAAACATCTTTTTTTCCTCCTTATAGTCATGGTTTATAGAAGTTTAAAAGTTTGATAGCAAGGAGCTAAGCACTGTTTTTTTAAGCACTTGTTTGAGCAAATTAACTCTACCTTGTTCCAAATTCTTTTACAATTAGTTTGAGTGACTTAAGAAGAGAGTGCACTGTAGATAGATTCTGACTTTGTCATTTTTCATCAGTGTAACTTTGGGGAAGTTACTTTGTCTTGATATAGTTCAGTTTTCTCACCTGTAAAACAGAAATTAATTATCTACCTCAAGAGGTGATCAAAGAAGTAAATGAGATAATGCTATGATACACTGACGTACTACATTGTAAGAAATATTTAAAAATTAAGACATCATCCTATACAAAAATGTAAAAAGTAACCACTTGCAAAGGATTTACTTGTAAAAAGTGCTGAAATTCCACTAATAGTGGGAATCTGTGGCATTAATGCCTGGGGTTCCTCCCATTTGTCCCTGCTCCCTTCCACCTTCCTCTGCTTGTCACTAAGACAATTCTATTATGTTGGGGAGCTCTCCCAACAGCAGCTCTCTTAGCCTAAATTGTGGTCTTTTCGGCAGACTATATGACTATCCAGACGTTTAACAGGGAGATCCGAAAAATGAGAGCACCATGGAAGGTCTTGCTAAACTCTACACATCCCCGGCTGACTGCAAGCTCACACAAAGGCAGAGGAGACTTGAGAGGGCCCAAACTTTCCATCCATCACTGATTGCCTGGAAAGCTGTGCATATGCAAGGGGAACCTGGAAGGGCCCAGTGGAAAGTAAAAGTTAGGACAGAATTGAAAACTGCCGAAATTTTGCATATGTTTCTCAACCCACATATGTATCTATCAGCAGATGACATCATCAGGCATGCTAGCAACTGCATACTACAATAGAGATAGATTCTGCAAATTAAATCCAGGAAAAATACTTATAAACACACCAAATAAACAACAAAAAATAATAGAAACAATTATAGCTCTCAGGAAAAAAAAATCCAATCCAGAGCTGCCACAATATGTTATCTAAAATGTGAATTTGTCAACATAAAATTAGGGATAGGCAAAGAAACAAGACAATATGAATTCTATTCAGGAAAAATAGCTATCATTATAAACATGTTCAAGGAATAAAATAGTATTTAAAGAAACGGAGAAATTAGCTAGGCATGGTGGTGGTCACCTGTAATCCCAGCTACTCGGGAGGCTGAGGCAGGAGAATGATGTGAACCTGGGAGGCGGAGGTTGCAGTGAGCTGAGATCGTGCTACTGCACTCCAGCCAAGGTAACAGAGTGAGACTCCGTCTCAAAAAAAAAAAAAAAAATATATATATATATATATATAAAGAAGAAAAATACACAGCATTGAATCAACAAATGGGGAATACAGATAAAGCAACTATTAAAAACAACTAGATGGAAATTTTTGTGTTTAATGGTACAATAACAAAGATGAGAAATTTACTACATGGACTTAATATATAATAAGACGTGTAAGAAGGAAGAGTCAGTGATTCTAAAAAGAGATCAACAGAAAATATTCAATCTTAAGAGCAGAGAATAAAAGATTGAAGAGAAATGAGTATAGCTCCAGGGACCTGTGAGATAAAGCAAGTGTATTAATATACATGTAATATGAGTCCCAGAAGAAAAATACATAAAAGGAGCAGAAAAAATTGAAGAAGTAATAGCTGAAACTTTATGATTTTGATGAAAACTATCAACAGATCCAGGAAGCTCAAGTACCCACAAGTAGAACAAGCACTAAGAGAGTCTCATCTAGAAACAGTATGGTCACACAGTTGAAATCTTAAAAATAAAGAGAAAATCTTGAAAGCAGGAAGAGAAAAATGACTCACCACATACAAGGAAGCAGCAGCACAATTAATAGCTGACTTTTTATTACAAACAATGGGGGCCAGAAGACAGCAGAATGTTGTAATGAAACTGCTGAAAAAATGTCTACCAAGACATCAATATTCAGCAAAACTGTCTTTCAAAAATGAAAGCAAAATAAAGACATTCTAAAATAAGGAAAGACTAAGATGTTTGTTGCTAGCAGACTTGCACTGTAAGAAACACTAAAGGAATTTCATCAGGCTGAAAGAAAATGACATTAATGAGTAGCTAAAATTCACAGGAGAAAATAAAGTTATTAAATTCAAAAGAATTGAAACCATTCAAAGTATGTTGTTTTATTATAATTAAATAAGAAATCAACAACAGAAAAAAATTGGGAGATACCCAAATATACAGAAATTAAACAGCACATTTTTAAATAACCCATGGGGTAAAGAAGAAATTTAAAAAAGAAATTAGAAAATACTTTGAACTGAATGAAAATAACAACACAACATACAAAACACTTAGGAGGCAGCTAAAGTAATGTTGGAGGCTGATTTATAGCTATAAACATCTATATTAGAAAAGGAGAAAAGTCTCAAATCAATAACCTAAGCCTCCATCTTAAGAAACTATAAAAAGAAGAACAAATTAAACCCCAAAACAAACATAAGAAAGTAAATTGTAAAGATCAGCTTGGAAATTAAAGAAATATAAAAATAATAAAGAAAATTATTCTTTGGAAGCAGTAAGAAAACTGATAAACCTTTAACTCGATTATCCAAGAATAAAAGGGAGAAAGTAATTACTAAAATCAACTACAGAAAGAAGACCTATCATTATTAATGCTACAGCCTCATAATTAAAAGGCTCATAATTTGACATGAATATGAAAATAAATTATATATAATAATTATGTATAATTACATATGATATAAAATATATAATTATGGAAAACTTTAAAACAAATTATGCAACTTAGATGAAAAAGACAAACTTCAAGCAAGATACCCAGTAGCAAAACTGACTCAAAAAGAAAAACTTGAATAGACCTACAAAAAGAAAATAAATTCAGCTGGGAATTAAAAATCTTCTCATAAAGATAAGCCCAAGATCACATTGTTTCCCTAGTGAATTATATCAATTCACCATTTTTACATAAACTCCTTCAGAAAATAGAAGACAGAACACTCCCAAACTCATTCTATGATGCTGGCATTATGCTGATACCAGAACCAAACAAAGACATCACATAAAAATAAAACTTTAAAGCAATATTGCTTGTGGACATAGACACAACAATTTTTCACAAAATATTAGCAACCTAAATCTACCCACATAAAAATGAATTATATATATTGATCGAGTGAAATTTAACATACAAGGTTGGTTTAATTTTCTATATTCAATTAATGTAGTAAGCCTTGACAGACAAAAGGGCAAAGCCATATGATCATTTCAATAAGTATGAAAGAAGTTTTGACAAATCAAACACCCATTCCAGATACAAACTTTCAACAAACTAAGCAAATAAGGATTTCATCAACCTGAAACAGGACATCTACAAAAATTCTACAGCTAGCATAATACATAATGATGAAAACGGAATGCTTTTCTCCTAAGATTGAAAAGAAGCAAAGACGTCTTTTATTCAAGATTATTCTGGAACCATGTAAACATCAAATAAGGTGGAAGACATAGAGATAGAGATAGAGACAGAGATAGAGATAGAGATAGAGATAGACAGAGATAGAGACAGAGATAGAGATAGGGATGGGAACAGGAAAGGGAGATGGAGAGAGAGATATTAAAGGCAAAAAAAAAAAAAAAGAAAGAAAAAGAAAAATTGGAAGTAACACTGTCTTTATTTATAGATGACATGATCTGGCATGTAGAACATCTTAGAGAATCTACCAGAAAATTTTATGCTATAGTTTAAACAGTTGTCCTCTCCAAAACTTATGTAGAAATTTATTTATTTATTATTTATTTATTTATTTATTTTGAGATGGAGTCTCGCTCTGTTGTCCAGGCTGGAGTGCAGTGGCTCAATCTCGGCTCACTGCAAGCTCTGCCACCCAGGTTCACACCCTTCTCCTGCCCCAGCCTCCCGAGTAGCTGGGACTACAGGCGCCCACAACCACGCCTAGCTAGTTTTTGTATTTTTAGTAGAGACGGGATTTCACCGTGTTAGCCAGGATGGTCTCGATCTCCTGACCTCGTGATCCGCCCACCTCAGCCTCCCAAAGTGCTGGGATTACAGGTGTGAGCCACCGCACCTGGCCTTTATGTAGAAATTTAATCCCCAATGTGGCAGTATTGAGAGTGGGGCCTTTAAGAGGTGATTGGGTCATGAAGGATCTGTACTCGCAAATGGATTAATCCACTAATTAATAATTGGGTTAATGGATTTATGAGTTATCACCATGTGGAACTGGTGGCTTTACAAGAGAGGAAGAGAGACCTGAGCTAGCATGCTCAGCCCCTCACCATGTGATACCCTGCACTGCCTTGGGACTCTGCAGGAGGTCCCCACCAGCAAGAAGGCTTTCAGCAAATGTGCTCCCTCAACCTTGAACTTCCCAGCCTCCAGAACTGTAAGAAATAAATTTCATTTCTTATCAATTACTCAGTTTCAGATATTCTGTTATAAGCAAAAGAAAATGGACTAAGATAATCTACTAGAACTAGAAAACAAATTTATCAAGATTACGTAATATAAAATCAAGATACAAAAATTAATTTTATTTCTATGCATTAGCAATGAACAATCCAAAAGTGAAACTAAGTAAAAATTATGTTCATAATAGGATAAAAACACTCAGAAATAAATTGAACAAAAGAAGCGCAAGCCTTGTACACAGAAGACTACAAAACATTGCTGAAAGATATTAAGAACATATAAATTAATGGAGAGACATTCCATATTCATCGATTAAAGACACTATTATTAAAATGGTCATTCTCGTTCAAACTTATCTGTAGATTCAACACAATCTGAATCAAAATGCTGGCACAGCATTTCAACACAGTCAAAATGCTGGCAGGCATGTTTTTGTACAATTTTAAAATTTATATGAATTCAAAGGATCTAAAATAGCCAAAAAATTGAAAAAGAACAACAAAGTTGAAGGATTTTCATTATTGATTTAAGAACTTGCTATAAACAATGTGGTATTGTCCTGAGAAGAGACATATAGACCATTAGAACCGAAGTGAGACTCCAGAAATAAACCCTCGTATTTAAGGTCAATTGATTTTTGACAAAAGTGCCAAGGCAATTCAGTTGGGAAAAGATGGTCCTTTCAATAAATGGGTTGGGAGAACTGGATGCCCATGTGTGTGTCTGTGTGTGTGTGTGTGTTGTGTGTGTGTGTGTGTGTGTGTGTGAGAGAGAGAGAGAGACAAAGAGAGAATGAATGACAACACTTTTGATACTTACCTCAAACTCCACACAAAAATTAACTCAAAATAAATCATAGACCCAAATGTAAGAGCTAAATCTATACTATTTTTAGAAGGAAACACAAGAGAAAATGTTTGTGATCATAGATTAGGTAAAGATTTCTTACATATGATGCCAAAAACATGATCCATAAAAATTTTTAAAAAGCAATAGGTGAACTTGAGCAAAATTTAATTTTTTTTCTGTTTAAAGGGTGGCATTAAGAAAGTGAAAAATGACCCACAAATGAAGAAAATATTTGCAAATTATATTTCTGATAGAGGAATTATATCCAAAAGATATAAATAACTCATAAACTTCAATAAGATAAACAACTCAATTAAAAATGAGCAAAAGGCTTGAACAGACATTTTATCAAAGAAGATATATGAATGATTAATAAAAAAATTCTCGCTTCGTTAGTCATTAGATAAATGCCCATTAAAACTGCAATGCGATACAACCCTAGTCCCACTAGAATGACTATATTCAAAAAGACTAACAGTAACAAGTACTGGTAAGGATGTGGAGAGAGTGGAATACTCATACATTACTAGTGGTAGTGAAAAATAACATACCACTTCAGAAAAACATTTTGACAATTCTGTAAAATGTTAAACATAGATTTGGCAGATGACCCAGGAATTCCACTCTTAGGTGTTTACCCAAGAGAAATAAAAATATATGTCCATGTAAAAATATGTATGCAAATGTTCATAGTAGCATTATTCTTTATAGACCCAACGGGAACCAAACCAAATGTCCATCAGTTGGTGAATGGATAAACAATGTTATATATACTTGGAATGGAGTAATAACGAGCAATGAAAAGAAACAAACCATTGATAAACCCTAAAACATGGATGAACTTCAGAAACATGAGAAGTGAAAGAAGTCAGACACAAACAAAATACTACACATTGTATGACTCAGTTTATATGAACTTTACAGAAAGGACAAACCTACGGAGACAGAAAACAGATCTGAGGTTGTCTGGGACCAGGTTGAGAATGGGAACTGACTGAAAACAGGAACTTTTGGGGTGGTGGGAATGCTACAAAGCCTGATTGTGGTAATAGATACAAAAAACATTGAATTGTACACTTATAATGGTTAGATTGTATGGTATGTGAATTATACCCCTATAAAGCTATTAAAATTAGAGAAAAGGTTTTACTAAAAATAAAGACAATGGATTAATTCAGGAAATGTATAATTTTTTAAAAAATATATTCATTGTTTAGTTAAATAAAATGGAAATTAAGTGTGGAGCTAAATTATCTGAGTTGAACTTTTGGCTTGTTGAATTTCTGTAGAACCCTGGTAAAGTTGCCACAGCTAAACCTCAGGTTCCTAAATGGTAGAAACAGAGGTGTAAATACCTATGTCCCTATTTGAAGTCACTGTTGTACAGCTCAAATGAGATATGAAACTGCTTTGTGAGGCATAAAAAACTACACAAATGTTAATTATAATGATGATGATTCTTCCCATTAATCTATTTTGAAAAGTCTTTTAGGTTCTTAAGCTTAACGATTTATGAATTTATACCCCGCCATTTTGAGAAGTTCAATAATATCACCTTTGTAATTCTCTTTTCTTCTCTTCAACATAAATACCACAGAATTTTCTTTAAAAAAAAACTTTATGAACATGACTTGAACATTACCTGGCACATGTAGTAAACTTTACCTTGTGTGTGTTTGCAATAATTGGCAATGGGATAAAAAAGAAAATACCATGTATTTCATAAATATTTGAAAGGTAAAATGTGAGTATTCCTTGTTGTAAGATAAAACGTGAGTATTCCTTGCCTTTGGAGTTACTATTTTTAGAATCCGCCTTTGTAAGACATATTACTGAAGACATCTCTCTGTTGGATATTCACAAACATATCAAAGGTAAAAACCTACATAAAAAATAAATAAAGCATTTTGCAACATCCATTTGTTTATATCAAGCCTCAAAAATCAAGCAAAGTATATTATTTACAGATGAGGGGTTCTATTCTGAGTCTGCATACATCTGGCATAGCTCATATTTTTTTCTTAATTTAAATAAAAAAGTATTATAATGAGTGACTTCCATTTAATTGCTATACATTGGTATTCTGACCTAAATTTAGGAATGCGTTTTGCAAGAATGAGCTTCTTATTAAGGCAAACTTTCCCTACCCCATTCCCCATACTTTCCCTTACCTTTCCTGTCTTCCAAATGAAGAGTGACTAGAAAGAGTGAAGAAATTCATGCTATCAATATTCTGCAAATAAACGTATACTTATTGGTGGACAATGAAGATGAGACTGGAAGTCAGTGAGGTATTGTGATTATGACCTGCTTTGGGGGTAGATAGTCTTGGATTAAATCCTGGACCATCTAAGTATTACCTGTTCATTTATTTGTCTATTCAACAAATATTTACTAAGTACTCACTTCATGCTAGCATTGTGCTAGGTTCTGCCAATGCAATGGTGAGTGAAAAGATACATGGTGCTGTTATTCTCAGAGAACGGTCAGTTTGGTCATGGATTCAGAGATTAATTATACAATCAGACTAATGAATACGTACTAAAATTGAAAGTCAGTGCTCTGAAGAAAAGAAGCATGATTCATGCAGTGGCATGTCTAGGGATTTGACCTCTAGAGTGGATGATTTTAACACCTTTCTCTTCTATATGACAAAATTGTTTTCAATAATTTTAATGTAATAATGATTAACAATTACTATTTTAATTATTCTTTAATTTTAAAATAAATAAGGAAGAATGCATTTGAATTTTGAAGATATTACTCAAATTAAGCAAAATATTTTGTGTGAACTAAAATTTGTTCTTACCAAATAACAATATTACACTTTGCCATTTGTTCTGTTTTGCCATTTGAACTTTTAAACAGAAATAAAAACTCCAGGTGGTCATAAAGGATTGCAGAACTGAAGCAAGTCAAATTATTTCTTTCACTTACAACTACTGCACTATGATTGTTTATTTAAAACTTACTCTTTAAGCTCAGAAATATGTAGAGTGATAGGGGTCGAGATAAATCTGGACCTGAAGCAAGCTGTAATGATTGGGAACTGTTATAGAATTATAACAGTTTGAACATATTTGAACAAATATGTGTAGCTGAGTCCATGTTGAGGGCTGACAATGTAACTAGGAGTTCTACAAATTAACTTCCACATAGAATATAATGCTTACGAAAGCATAATTTTAAACAATTTGAAGTGTACGTGAATATTGAAACTCAATAGTTTAGAATTTAGACCAACAAAAGATTTATTCAGGAGAGACACCATTTAGAATTGATGATTTAAGGTACCAATAAAAAGCAGACTAACATTTACTGGATTTTATTATTGTTTTTAGATCCTCTGCAGACAACACACCCCTTTATTGCTTACACCCTGGCAGACTACTTCTACCATCCTGTCCTTAGTATACCAGATATGTGATGAAAGCATGTGAATAACAAAAGGAACTAAATCACAAAACATGTGCCAGAACCCTGTACGAGAACACATGTTCAAGGAACTATAAAACATCTAGTGTGGTCAGTGCTAAGAAAGCTCTCTAAGAGAGGAAAATATGAAAGCAGTTTGAAGACATATATACACAAAACTATCCAGAGTCTCATATGTCATGCTCAGGATTTTCATTTTTATCCTAAAAACAATAGAAAGCCTTTGCAAGTTTCATGATGAAGAAAAGGGTGTGTGTGACGAGGAGGCATCATAATGAGATCAACGTTTTGAAGAATCCACTTCCACTAGCCACAGAGAATAGTTTAGATGAAAACCAGTGTCAATGAAGGTCGAAGATGCTACAACACTAATATAAGTAAAAGACAGAACTCTGGTGGTGACCATTGAATTTAGGTGATGTGATTTACAACAAGAGGCATATATAGAAAGTAAGATCAACGGGGATTGTGGACCACTGCATGTATTAGTGGGGGTTCTCCAGAAGATCGGAACAATGTGATATGTGTGTGTGTGTGCACATTCGTGTGTGTGTATATATACAAACATATTTACAAGTATACACACACACACATATATGTGCATATACATATGTATCCCAAGAGCTACAGCTGGCAAGCTAGAGACCTAGGTGAGCTGATGCGGCAGCTGTAGCCTGAATGTCAGCAGGATTGAGACCAAGGAAGAGATGATGTTTCAACTCAAGTCCGAAGGCAGAAAAAAATCCAATGTCCCAGCTCCAGGCAATCAGGCAGGAAAAAATTTCCTCTTAGTTGAGAAAGGGTCTACTTAGGCTTTCAAGTGATTGGATGAGGCACATCCACATTAGGAAGAGCAAGCTGCCAATTCAAATGTTAGCTTCATCTAATAAAAACACCCTTAGAGATTCACCCTGAATAATGTTTGACCCAATATCTGGGCATCCGGTGGCCCAGTTAAGTTGACATACATAATTAATCATCACTTTGGACACAGGAATGAAGGAGAAGAAGGTGTTTAGAAAGATCCCTGTCTTTCTGATGTGAACAACTTGATAGCTGGTGGTTACATTCACTAAGCTGGAGAACACTAAGGAAGCCCAAGGTTTTATATCAAAGATCAGAAATTTTATCCTGGATTTTCTGAGTTTGTGATGACTCAGTGACATCTAAGTGGAATTATCAATGGATATACAGTCTGGGACTCAGAAGAGAAGTTTGGTTTAGAAAGAATAATGTGGGAGTCAACAGCATGTAGATGTTAATGGAAGCCATCAGCACAGGTAGAGAGGGAAGGAAGAAGGGGGTTACTGTAGAGGAGAGAGAGAGAGAGAAGTCCTAAAATTAATCATTGGACAATTATGACATTTATTATGACAATTATGACTGGATCAGAAACATGACCCTGCCAACAAATCTGAAAATCACAGTCAGAAAGTAGTGGATACACTATGAGAATATTGTATAATAAGCCTAAGGAGAGGATGGGGTAAGTGGGGGCACTGAAATAAGGGGTGTTCCCTAGAATATGGAATAGGTGGAAGAGTAAATTAGTGACGATGAACTGGAGGTAGTGTGTAGAGAGGCCTTTTAGAAAAGTTTGACTATGAAATAGAACAGAGATTTAGAGTTGTAGATTATAAAATTCTCAGTGATATAGTTGTAAAATTATCCTTCTTTACTAAACCCAGTGAAATCTGCTTAATATAATCAAAAGTAGCAAGGTAGCTCACATAGTGCTCAAAAAATGCATTTGAATGAATACTTCCTTGAATGCCTGACATCATTCCCTCTAGAAAACCATTCACAACTCATGACTTTACATTTTTTGTTTCAAATTGGAAACAACGAGCTATAAAATGAATTCTATTAAATGTAGTGAATTACAAGAAATATTTACATATATCAATGCATGTAGCACATGACTAAATCTTTCTCATAAAACCTCCTGTGGTATCAAATATCCAAAGCAAACAGTGCACATAAACCACAGGGTTCAAGCAAATTCTGCATATAATCGTGTTCTCTTTATGAGGCCTCATGGGATAAATGCCTCTCTTTTCTCTCTGCACAAAGACTTGTTTTTGACATTTTCTTTCTTTTTTTTTTTTTTTTACAATCCCCATTGTATAGGCAATGAGAATCACATAATAGATTATTTCTTCTTCTTCTTCTTCTTCTTTTTTTTTTTTTTAGACAAAGTCTCCCTTTTGCCCAGGCTGAAGTGCAGTGGTGTGCTCTCGGCTCGCTGCAACCTCTGCTTCCTAGGTTCAAGTGATTCTCCTGCCTCAGCCTCCCGAGTAGCTGGGATTACAGGTGCCCACCACCAGCCCAGCTAATTTTTTTTTTTTTTTGTATTTTTAGTTGAGACAGCGTTTCACCATTTTGGCCAGGCTGGTCTCCAACTCCTGACCTCTGGTGATCCACCACCTCGGCCTCCCAAAGTGCTGGGATTACAAGTGTGAGCCACCGCGCCCGGCCTACATAACAGATTGTTTCTATTTTCCTCTTTGCTCTGGGGCAAGGAAGCACAGGTCTAAGCTGTGGTCTACTTGTAACAATCAGAAACAGGAAACTCAGAGCACGGTTTGTCTACATATCTCATCTCTGGTTTCTTTTTACTTTTCTCTCCTTTCTTTTTAATCACCCCTATTTTCTCAGCCAATCTGGAGAACTCTTGTTGTCCTCTGTATTTTTGCAATATGCTCTAATTTTTCTGAATATAATGGACTATAAATATAAACAAACAATCCTAGCAGTCTATACAATTCTGAAGGATGCACCTATAAATGTGTTGCACTGCTTTATTCCAGAACATAATTAAATGGAACATTTGCTAAAATGGCATGATTCAGACCTCAAGGTTTATTGCTAGAGACCATTTGATGGAAAGGCAGTAAAGGATTTGCAGTTTCACTTTAAAAGTTTATTTTTCATGTGTGTGCATGTGCATGCCCATTCTCCCACCACACCTGTGTAACTGTTAAGCAAGTTTCTCTCTTCAAGGATGGGAGGTGTATTTTTAACAAGCAAGAGACATTAAGGGGGATTTCGGGCCTCAGAATCAACAGCGTCACAACAAGCTTTCAATTAAGGGGACATCTGTTGGGAATACAGGGGAACCTCTACCCAAAGTCAGTTGCTAATCACACTCACCTGCTCGAGCAGCCAGACAGCCCTATGCACTGAGAAAGGTTGCTTATTTCCTCCATGCTCAATCACACTGCATTAAGTGGCCACCTGGGCAATGTGTTAGTGCACACCTGCTGACCGACCCAGTCTAACAAAACATACTGAAATCAAACTCTTAAAATAGAGAGAAAGCAGATCCTCTCTTGGCCTAGAAAGGGAGACAGAACAAGCAAAGTAGAAAAGGCCCAAGACTGGAAGTACACAATGAATTGTCAGAAAATTAGCCTTACCTTTGGAACTTTTTGTTAGCATGGTGCACTGTTTTTTAAACAGTGGATTTGAGGGATTTTTAGCAGTAAAAAAAATTCAGCCCTTTCACTTTTAGAACATCAGCATTTAAATGATATCAGACCAAATAACAGCCTCATCTGTAGAGGGTGATACTGAGCAGCACTACGAGAGAGAGAGTGTGTGTGTATGTGCGTGTGTGTGTATGTGTGTATGCATGCATATATAGTGATTACTTGTAGCCTATGTTAGAAAACATATTGCACACTTTCCTTCTCTGGATGCATAAAAGGTGCTTTTCCTAAAACGTACAATTTTGCTTAACTAGATGCCAACTGTTGGGAAGAAATATTGTATATTTCAGATATTTCTATTCGGATACTTTAAAGGAATCACCCAAAGGCTAGTTTATGACACAATATTGTGGACCAAACTTTCTCTAACACAACAGATTGTATTACTATGGCCATTTGCACGGGCTAATTTCTATCTAGTACAAGTCATATTTGTTGCTTTTTGTTTGCTTGATTTTTGTTTTTAATTAGGAATGGTCTGTTAACAAACCTCAGAACACCTACAAAGTTCGACTGAAAAAGACCACACATCGTAGGGAACATAAGTTTATTTCTGAGGATTTCTAAACCCACAGTGGATGTATGCAGATCCTTTTTACCACTTTATTATGCTCTTCTCTATAATACTGCAAAGTCAAGAAGGATGAGAGCTGTTATCTAACTGCAGTTTAATAAATTTCAACCTGTAATCCCAGCACTTTAGGAGGCTAAGGTGGGTGGATCACCCGAGGTCAGGAGTTCAAGACCAGCCTGGTCAACATGGCGAAATCCTGTCTCTAGTAAAAATACAAAAATTAGCTGGGCGTGGTGGTGCACACCTGTAGTCCCAGTGACTAGGGAGGCTGAGGCAGGAGAATCGCTTGAACCTGGGGGGTGGAGGTGCAGTGAGCCGAGGCTATGCCACTGGATTCCAGCCTGTGGGACAGAGTGAGACCCTGTCTCAAAAAAAAAAAAAAAAATTCAACCAGATTTATCTAATTTCTGTTGGCCAAACTCCATGCAATATTTTTTTCTCTAGTTTATTTTTCTTGTTTAGATACAGACTTGCTCTATTATTATAGTTTTCATTCTAAAAATTAGCTTAGCAAAACCTGCTGATTAATGAGGGCATTGTGTGCACTGAGAATGCTGTGTCATGCAGAAACATCTCACTTTTCCTATTTTTTCCATATACAGATGTTCATCTTAGGTATAATCACATTTATAGTGTTTTGGAATCACTAATGTGTATATATTTATACATGCATGTATACACGTATCCAACTGCAGTCACGCATGCATGCACACACATACATGTATACATGCATGCATGCATCCATGTATATGCACATCTATGCACAATACATACACATGCAAGTGCACATACATGCACCCATACATGCATACATACGTGCATGTATCATGCATACATAGATGTACATGCATGTATCATGCATACATAGATGTACATGCATGTATGCATAAGTGGATGCATGTGCATGCATGTATGCATGTACACATGTATGTATACGTGTGTATGCATGTATTGTCTTGTTACAATCAGGAGTATATATATATAATGTTAACAAGATGACATATATATGTGTATACATATATATTTTAAAAATGAGGCTGGGTGCAGTGGCTCACAGCTGTAATCCTAGCACTTTGGGAGACCGAGGTGGTCAGATTGCCTGAGCTGAGGAGTGTGAGACCACCCCGGGCAACACGGCAAATTCCCATCTCTACTAACATACCAAAAATTAGCTGGGTGTGGTGGCAAACACCTGTAGTCCTAGCTACTTGGGGGGCTGAGGCAGGAGAATTGCTTGAACCCAGGAGGCAGAGGTTGCAGTGAGCCAAGATTGCACCACTGTACTTCAGCCTGGGTGACAGAGTGAGACTCCAAAAAAAAATATTAAGACAATATTTTTTCTTAAATACTAAGGAGGCAATGTATTTGGAATGAGGAAAAACATTGAAAATATCTATCTTGGTCATATTTTTATAGTTTGATCAAAATGATTAATAAACAAACCCAGCCCTTCCTCTAAGCCAGGGGTATCCAATCTTTTGGCTTCCCTGGGCCACACTGGAAGAAGAATTGTCTTGGGTCACACATAAAATACACTAACACTAATGATAGCTGATGAGCTAAAACAAAAAATTGCAAAAAAATCTCATAATGTTTTAAGAAAGTTTACAAATTTGTGTTGGGCCACATTCAAAGCCATCCTAGACCAATGGGCTGCGGCCCATGGGCCGTGGGTTGGACAAGCTTGTTCTAAGCATTTACACGCAATTGATATAAGACAGAATACTAAAACATGACACAACAGAGTCTATTATTCCTAAGAAGCTTCTCCATTTTCTTATTTATTTATTTATTTATTATTTTATTTTGAGACAGAGTCTCCCTCTGTTGCCCAGGCTGCAGTGCAGTGGTGCAATCTCGGCTCACCACAACCTCTGCCGCACAGGATCAAGCGATTCTCCTGCCTCAGCCTCCTGCGTAGCTGGGATTACAGACGCACGCCCCCACGCCAGGCTTACTTTTGTATTTTTAGTCGAGACAGGGTATCACCATGTTGGCCAGGCTGGTCTTGAATTCCTGACCTCTGGCAATCCGCGCGCCTCGGCCTCCCAAAGTGTTGGGATTACAGGCGTGAACCACCGCGTCTGGCCGAAGTTATTCTTTTCTGTCTCAAACCAGGAAGGTCTAGAAAACCTGCCACTGGAATCTGTGAGGCTATTCATTGACACATTAGAAGATAGTTGTACATTCAAAGTAGGAACAGAACTATTATCTATACCAGAAACATGAACTTGATTCTATTTTAGGCAGTGATTCTTCCTGTGTTAAAGCTTCCTGAACTTGCTCTCACTCCTCTCTCACACACAGACATACCTCACACACATGACTATCCAATGATTATTGTGCATATCTGCTCATCAGACTCACTTGGGAGGCTAAAGGCTAATTCCCAGTACCAGTTTCTGGACTTATTAAATCTGAGCATGAGGATGTGGGGCTTATGAATATGTATTTTTTCAAAAGTTTTCGCATTTTTTTTTTCTTTTTTGAGACAGAGTCTCACTCTGTCGCCCAGGCTGGAGTGCTGTGGCACGATCTTGGCTCACTGCAACCTCTGCCTCCCTGGTTAAAGTGATTCTCCCAACTTAACCTCCTGAGTAGCTGGGATTACAGGTGTGTGCCACCACACTCAGCTAATTTTTGTATTTTTAGTAGAGACAG
Organism: Homo sapiens; assembly: GCF_000001405.40. Lineage (NCBI taxonomy): Eukaryota > Metazoa > Chordata > Mammalia > Primates > Hominidae > Homo > Homo sapiens. Next base: position 8,921,685 of record NC_000009.12, read on the forward strand.
GGTTTCACCATGTTGGCCAGGCTAGTCTCGAACTCCCGACCTCAAGTGATCCACCCACCTTGACCTCCCAAAGTGTTGGGATTACAGGAGTGAGCCACCACAGCTAGCCTCCCAATAAATTTTGATGTGGTAAGTCCAGCATAATCTTGGGGGAGCCATTGCAATTAATATATCAGCTTTGGTAAATTTAAATAAACAGTCCAAAGTGCATTGGAATGGATGAGTGAGATCTAAAACTGGACACAGAAGAAGAGGAGGCAAAATAAAAACAATAAAAGGGAAAGTTGGCAAGGAACAAAGACAGATAGAATCCCAGTCTCTCTTCACAAAGGAGAAGTTATTACGCTAGTGAGAAGGGATTAGTGGTTAACATCAAATTCATACTGTTAACAGGCAGAGAATTCGTGTGTAGTTTATTCTTTTAAATCTTCATGTTAATACTTATTAAAAGGATTAAAAGGATGTATTTTGTGCCTTTGTATTTTTCTCAGCAAATTTTCTTGACTTTGTTTTTTTTCTCTATTAAGTCCAGTGTTAATATATATTTTTGTTACAGAAATTTTTCTGAAATGGGTGGACCCAACTGATAATTTTCATCAATACCAGGACTTTCAGAAGAGAGCTCACTAGGATATTACTTACACAATCACTCCTGATGAGGAATAGGCATTTTTTATGCCAAATATCTACACATGCACATATACACACATCATGCTAAATGAACCATTACTCCATGGTCGTATCCCTTACCTCCTACGAATATGAGAATACAAAGGTCATCAGGGAAATTCTTACTTTCTTAACAATAGTCATAATAACATTCCATGTCTTAGATGGCTCTTGTTTATTGTCTTTGCCATCCAACTGCGTAGGAACTGATTCAGAGGCCTAATAGGCAGGGATGCAGTTTGATTTAGAATGACCACTTCCATGTAGTTTTTTAACTTCTTCTAATTTTATTTTTTTTGAGACAGAGTCTCGCTCTGTCCCTCTGATGCTCTGTCTGCACTGGAGTGCAGTGGCGCGATCTCAGCTCACCGCAACATCCGCCTCCCGGGTTCAAGCAATTCTCCTGCCTCAGCCTCCCGAGTAGCTGGGACTACAGGCGTGTGCCATCACGCCCGGCTAATTTTTTTTTTTTTTTGTATTTTTGTATTTTTAGTAGAGATGGGGTTTCATCATCTTAGCTGGGATGGTCTCGATCTCCTGACCTTGTGATCCACCCACCTCAGCCTCCCTAAGTGTTGGGATTACAGTCATGAGCCACTGCACCTGGCCCAAAGATTTTTCCTTTCTTTTCTTCTCTCGTTTCTTTTTCTCTTCTTCCTTTGTTTCTTTTTCTCTCTTTTTGTCTGTCTTTTTTTTTGTTGTTTTTGAGACTGAGTCTCGCTCTGTCATCCAGGCTGGAGCGCAATGGTGTGGTCTCGGTTCACTGAAACCTCCGCCTCCTGGGTTCAAGTGAGTCTCCTGCCTCAGCCTCCTAAGTAGCTGGGATTACAGGCGCCTGCCACCACGCCCAGCTAATTTTTGTATTTTTAGTAGAGACAGGGTTTCACCATGTTGGCCAGGCTGGTCTCGAACTCCTGACCTTAGGTGATCCGCCTGCTTCTGCCTCCCTAAGTGCTGGGATTACAGGCATGAGCCACCGCGCCTGGCCAGCTTCTACGTACTTCTTATTTTAGAAGTTACTCAGCACCGAGAGCAAGCAATAAAACGAGTCATACCAAAAAGCTACATTCCTGTCTCCTAAGCCCCAACCACACTCCACTCCTGTGGCCCGTGGTCCAAACAGAAAATAACTGGAGAAGATGAGGAGGTCAAAGGATCAGGGAACTAAGTAAGCATTATGTGAATTCACCAGCAAGACGTACAGAATGCTTGTGTTTACATTGTTTTTATGGAACTAGCAGAATAAAACTGACCTATTTTAAAAATGCAAAAAAAAGTTACTCAGAGCCCTTTAAATAATAAGTTTAACAATCTTAAATCTCTTTAAAAAATAACAAAACTTAGGTAAACTCTCCAAGTATTGTCCATTTCGTTGATATTCTGTTTATAAACACATGCTACCTACCAAACGGCAATGAACACCAGGACATGTGGCTCTACGTGCCAGATGGAGGTAACACACCTCGAGTGTAATGGCTTTGAAACAATGCAGTGAGTCATATGTGATTTTAAGCTCTGCCTTTTTGAGCAAAGCATTGTAAAAATTGGAAAATGCAGTCTATATTTGAAGCTTCCAATTGTTTTAATTAAAAAATCCTTTAAACTGTATTATACCATTTACATAGCTAAAAAGATTGAACTGCTTTGCAAGCCATTATCATTTACAAAAAGAAGGCAGTCATTTTCTAAATTTAGAATGAAGAAATATTTTAATTTTATTATTATGTCTACTATTTGTCTTCATAAGGCGCAGTCCCAGGGGCCTAAGCTACGATTAAATCCAGCACTCACTCATCACACCTATGATTCAGTGCTTCTGAGAAAGGGAGTTTAAATAAGTCTACAGTACTGAAAAAGGATCAACATTGGCAAAGTATCAACCCAAAATTTTTAATTCTTTAATGCAAAAATATTCTTGATATTTTTCCTTAACAAGCACTATTTCAATCAGGTATTTATTGAATTCTCAATAGTTCCTCAGCTCTCTTCTTGGTACAAGGAGAGGTAGGAAGAAAAATACAAAACCTAGTCCTTGGTGGGATAGAAAGAGAAACCACTGAGTACTTGCAACATGTCAAATTCACTCTTAGGTGCTCTTGGCATGTTGCATCAATTTGCGGAATTTAGAGTTTATTTGGGGAGGCAAATATTCTTCTTGTAACAATCAGGGAATCAAAGTGGTACCTGAATTTCACAGAAGCTGTCAACTCCTTTGTCTTGTCTTAGCATCTCCCCACCTCACCTCCCTAGACAGATGAGTCCATGGAGGCCTCTCCATCATTAGCAAACTCGCCAACTCCTCACTTCTACTTGCAGAACTGATCTTGTCTGTAGAAGGAAACTGTTAATGACTCTGCAGCGCTGTCTCATCATCCCTACCCCCATCAATTTCTGGCCATTCAGTAGGGCTTGGCATGAGTCAGCCACCCAGATGTGAACTAGGCTAGAACATATATTTCTTGGAATATTTCTCTGATTTGCTTTTCTTGAAATGTGACAGTGCTTAGAATTCATGAAATTTCAAAAAGCTGGGTAATCAGAATAAGCCTATGAAGCCATCATTTACAACATGGTTGCCATTTGCTTATGCTGCTGATGATTGTGGTGGAAATGAACATCATGACTTGCTTGGTCCCATATGTTATATTCCGTAAATACTTTGAGAAGTCCTGAGAGCTCAGGCAATAAAACTAGAGCAATTCTTCCTGCTCTTTTTACAGCCATTTAAATGTTGGTACTCTCCCAGGTTTCTGTCCTTTGTCCGATTCTCTTCTTACATTATATTTCCTCTGTGTAATCTAATCTACTCCCTGACTCTAATTACTCCCTATGTGATGATGCAGCCAACGTCTTGACTCCAGCCTGAGCATTTTTCTGGGTACTTGTGTCCTTTTATGCAGCTACTTATTGGTCACCTTCCTACATTAAAGGGTGCTCTTATAGGCAGGGATGGTGTAGGATGGCTCCGAGGCAGGGGATGCAGGGGAAGGTACATTCTCCACTATATAGTCTCCCAGGTTTAAAATAATGCAACTCTAAGAAAGGTGAAAAATGTCAAAAGCAAGTAAGTCACCTACATAATTTCTGAAACATAAGACACAGCTGTGTTTGTTCTGACAGGAAAAAAATTTCAATTCCCCGAAACAGAAAAACAAAACAAAGAAAACAAACAAAAAAAACCAACTACAAGTTGCTAAGCTGTGCCCACCCCCACCACCCCCGCCAACCAAGATATTTTTCATCTGATGAGGATGGTTACCTCTGCATGGAGATCCTCAAAAGACTACATCAACGTGATATAAATAGTCTAAGCCAGTATCTTGGATGCCATCCTCAACTTTTCCTTTACGCCACACCTCTAGGCACCGAGTACTGTTCTGTTCAGCTATAAACACCTCTTGTCTCCTTTCTCCCCCTGACACTCACTGTTAGAGAACTGCTGTAATTAGTTCAAGGAGAACTTAATTCAACGCCTCCTCAATTTGTCAGCTGGACTATTGCAATATTTTTTTTTTTTTTTTTTTACTGATCTCTTGCTTTCAAGTTTGTCCTTATTAATTAAGTACATTTTCCATTCTATTGAGTTAATATTTCTCTTGTTTACAATCCTTCATCAATTCTCTCCTTTTCAAACCAGAACCCAAACTACTTAAAATGACATGAAATGGACTTTAGGTCTAGCCCTGGTATTTATAGAAAGTACCACCTCTTGCCATGCCTCATCACACGATTTCTAGTCATTCCCAAGCTTCTTGCAGGCCCTTAACATGACGTGCCCTCTTCCATCATACTCCATTTGCCCAAACTGCATCCTCTGACTGGAATACCTTTTCATTTTCCTGCTGCCAAGGTTTTATCAACTCAGCTTCTACTTATCCTTCAAAACTTATTTCAGATGTTACCACCTCTGGGAAGCCTTCCTTGATCAACCCAATCTGTATAGGTTGCCTATTACACAATCCATTGCAGTATCTTATGCTTACCTCAATAAAAATGACAATAGGAGTAAAATATAATAATATTTATTGGGTAAACACTAGGTCCTAGGCACTGTGATAGCATTTTAGTAAATTTTATCTCGTAGAGTTTTCTAATACTTTATGGTAAGCGTCTGTCCACTTCATGGTTTCTCCTATGTGACCCTGAACTCTAGAAAGGAAAGTTCTGTGTTTTAACTGAAAATTTCTTATTCACAGAGCCCAACTCAGTGCCTTGTTCACTGAATGGTTTAAAGTCTGGAAAGGCTGGGACTGTATGTTCTCCATGGAAAATTCCCTGATTCTTTCCACTGGAAATAATCATTCCCATGTCTGAATTCTATTCTGTCAGGATTTGTATTTCTTCCTTGCTCACATTAAATATTTTTATGTATATAACTTGGCTGCCCTTCAGGCAGGCTGTGCACTTACTGAGTGATCTCTTCTTGATAATTCTTTCTGAAAACATCTCTAAGCATCTTCTAAACCATTTGAAATTCAACTTGTAAAGACTATTCAAATCTTCCCTTTCTTATATTTAAATGTTTTAAGTATTAAGACAATCTAAGGCAGAAAACATCATTTGAGCCCAGGGAATAATGATGAGTCAGTTTACATTTCTTTCTTTTAGAGTGTGGAATTTTTGAGCTCAAAGGGAACTACAAAATCATGTCATCCAATTGCAACCTTTTGACAGAGGAGGAAACTGAGGTCCAGACATTGAATGATTTGTTTAAGGTCACAGAGCAAGTTAGTAGCTACATTTTTACTAGCTCTTAAGAACATAAAAAAAAGGCAAAATTCTAATTTAACAGCTTGAAATAAGAGTCCTACCTCTACACCTTCTCTTTTCTAAGACATGCTTCAACATTGACTGTTTTTCTCATATTTATTTATTTATTTTTATTATACTTTAAGTTCTGGGATACATGTGCAGAATGTGCAGGCTTGTAACATAGGCATACATGTGTCATGGTGGTGTGCTGCACCCATCAACCCATCATCTACATTAGGTATTTCTCCTAATGCTATTCCCCAACATGACAGGCCCTGGTGTGTGACGTTCCCCTCCCTGTGTCCATGTGTTCTCATTGTTCAACTCCCACTTATGAGTGAGAACATGTGGTGTTTGGTTTCCTGTTCCTGTGTTAGTTTGCTGAGAATGATGGTTTCCAGCTTCATCCATGTTCCTGCAAAGAACATGAGCTCATCCTTTTTTTGGCTGCATAGTATTCCATGGTGTATATATGCCACATTTTCTTTATCCAGTCTATCATTGATGGGCACTTGGGTTGGTTCCAAGTCTTTGCTATTGTGAACAGTGCTGCAATAAACATATGTGTGCATGTGTCTTTATAGCAGAATGATTTATAATCCTTTGGGTATATACCCAGAAATGGGATTGCTGGGTCAAATGGTATTTCTGTTTCTAGATCCTTGAGGAATTGCCACACTGACTTCCACAATGGTTGAACTAATTTACACTTCTACCAACAGTGTAAAAGCATTCCTATTTCTCTACATCCTCTCCAGCATCTGTTGTTTCCTGACTTTTTAATGATTGCCATTCTAACTGGCATGACATGGTATCTCATTGTGGTTTTGATTTGCATTTCTCTAATGACCAGTGATGATGAGCTTTTTTTCATATTTGTTGGCCACATAAATGTCTTCTTTTGAGGAGCGTCTGTTCATATCCTTCGCCCACTTTTTGATGAGGTTGTCTTTTCCTTGTAAATTTGTTAAAATTATTTGCAGATTCTGGATATTTGCCCTTTGTCAGATGGATAGATTGCAAAAATTTTCTCCCATTCTGTAGGTTGACTGTTTACTCTGACGATAGTTTCTTTTGCTGTTCAGAAGCTCTTTAGTTTAAATAAATCCCATTTGTCAATTATGGCTTTTGTTGCCATTGCTTTTGATATTTTAGTCATGAAGTCTTTGCCCATGCCTATGTCCTGAAAAGGATTGCCTAGGTTTTCTTCTAGGGTTTTTATGGTTTTAGGTCTAACATTTAAGTCTTTAATCCATCTTTCATTAATTTTTGTATAAGGTGTAAGGAAGGGGTCCAGTTTCAGTTTTCTGCATATGGCTAGCCAGTTTTCCCAACACCATTTATTAAACAGGGAATCCTTTCCCCATTGCTTTTTTTGGTCAGGTTTGTCAAAGATCAGATGGTTGTAGATGTGTGGCATTATTTCTGAGGCCTCTGTTCTGGTCCGTTGGTCTATATCTCTGTTTTGGTACCAGTTGGTTACTCTAGCCTTGTAGTATAGTTTGAAGTCAGGTAGCATGATGCCTCTGGCTTTGTTCTTTTTGCTTAGTATTATCTTGGCTATATGGGCTCTTTTTTTGTTCCATATGAAATTTAAAGTAGCTTTTTCTAATTCTGTGAAGAAGGTCAATGGTAGTTTCATGGGGAAAGCACTGAATCTATAAATTACTTGAGGTAATATGGCCATTTTCATGATATTGATTCTTCCTATCCATGAGGATGGAATGTTTTTCCATTTGTTTGTGTCCTCTCTTATTTCCTTGAGCAGTGGTTTGCAGTTCTGCCTGAAGAAGTCCTTCGCATCCCTCGTAAGTTGTATTCCTAGGTATTTTATTCTCTTTGTAGCAATTGTGAATGAGAGTTCACTCATGATTTGACTCTCTGTCTATTATTGGTGTATAGGAATGCCTGTGATTTTTTGCATGTTGATTTTGTATCCTGAGACTTTGCTGAAGTTGCTTATCAGCTTGCAGAAATTTTGGGCTGAGACGATGGGGTTTTCTAAATATACAATCATGTCATCTGCTAACAGAGACAATTTGACTTCCTCCTTTCCTAACTGAACACACTTGATTTCTTTCCCTTGCCTGATTGCCCTGGCCAGAACTTCCAACACTATGTTTAATAGAAGTAGTGAGGGAGGGCATCCTTGTCTTGTGCCGGTTTTCAAAGGGAATCCTTTCAGCTTTGGCCGATTCAGTATGATATTGGCTGTGGGTTTGTCATGAATACCTCTTATTATTTTGAGGTACATTCCATCAATACCTAGTTTATTGAGAGTTTTTAGCATGAAGTTGTGTTGAATTTTATCAAAGGCCTTTTCTGCATCTATGGAGATAATCATGTGGTTTTGGTCATTGGCTCTGTTTATGTGATGGATTACATTTATTGATTTGCGTATGTTGAACCTGCCTTGCATCCCAAGTATGAAGCCGACTTGATCGTGGTAGATAAGCTTTTTGATGTGCTGCTGGATTCGGTTTGCCAGTATTTTATTGAGGATTTTTGCATCGATGTTCATCAGGGCTATTGGGCTGAAATTTTCTTTTTTTGTGTGTCTCTGCCAGGTTTTCTTTTATATATGTGTATATATATATGTGTATATATATATGTGTATATATATATGTGTATATATATGTGTATATATATATGTATATATATGTGTATATATATGGGTGTGTATATATGTGTGTGTATATATGTGTATATATATGTGTATATATATGTGTATATATATGTGTGTATATATATGTGTATATACATGTGTGTGTATATATGTGTGTGTATATATATGTGTATATATATGTGTGTGTATATATATATGTGTATATATATATGTGTGTGTGTGTATATATATATATAACTATTATTATACTTTAAGTTCTAGGATACATGTGCACAACGTGCAGGTTTGTTACATATGTATACATGTACCATGTTGGTGTGCTGCACCCATTAACTCGTCATTTACATTAGGTATATCTCCTAATGCTATCCCTCCCACCCCCCCCCACACCACAACAGGCCCCAGTGTGTGATGTTCCCCTTCCTGTGTCCAAGTGTTCTTATTGTTCAATTCCCACCTATGAGTGAGAACATGTGGTGTTTGGTTTTTTTGTCCTTGCGATAGTTTGCTGAGAATGATGGTTTCCAGCTTCATCCATGTCCCTACAAAGGACATGAACTCATCCTTTTTAATGGCTGCATAGTATTCCATGGTGTATATGTGCCACATTTTCTTAATCCAGTCTATCATTGTTGGACATCTGGGTTGGTTCCAAGTCTTTGCTATTGTGAATAGTGCCACAATAAACATATGTGTGCATGTGTCTTTATAGTAGAATTATTTATAATCCTTTGGGTATATACCCAGTAATGGGATGGCTGGGTCAAATGGTATTTCTAGTTCTAGATCCCGGAGGAATCGCCACACTGTCTTCCACAATGGTTGAACTAGTTTACAGTCCCACCAACAGTGTAAAAGTGTTCCTGTTTTCCCACATCCTCTCCAGCACCTGTTGTTTCCTGACTTTTTAATGATCACCATTCTAACTGGTGTGAGATGGTATCTCATTGCAGCTTGATTTGCATTTCTCTGATGGCCAGTGATGATGAGCATTTTTTCATGTGTCTTTTGGCTGCATTAATGTCTTCTTTTGAGAAGTGTCTGTTCATATCCTTTGCCCACTTTTTGATGGGGTTGTTTGTTTTTTTCTTGTAAATTTGTTTGAGTTCTTTGTAGATTCTGGATATTAGCCCTTTGTCAGATGAGTAGATTGCAAAAATGTTCTCCCATTCTGTAGGTCGCCTGTCCACTCTGATGGTAGTTTCTTTTGCTGTGCAGAAGCTCTTTAGTTTAATGAGATCCCATTTGTCAATTTTGGCTTTTGTTGCCATTGCTTTGGGTGTTTTAGACATGAAGTCCTTGCCCATGCCTATGTCCTGAATGGTATTGCCTAGGTTTTCTTCTACGGTTTTTATGGGTTTAGGTCTGACATTTAAGTCTTTAATCCATCTTGAATTAATTTTTGTATAAGGTGTAAGGAAGGGATCCAGTTTCAGCTTTCTACATATGCCTAGCCAGTTTTCCCAGCACCATTTGTTAAATAGGGAATCCTTTCCCCATTTCTTGTTTTTGTCAGGTTTGTCAAAGATCAGATAGTTGTAGATGTGTGGTATTATTTTTGAGGGCTCTGTTCTGTTCCATTGGTCTATATCTGTGTTTTGGTACCAGTACCATGCTGTTTTGGTTTCTCTAGCCTTGTAGTATAGTTTGAAGTCAGGTAGCGGGATGCCTCCAGCTTTGTTCTTTTGGCTTAGGATTGACTTGGTAATGCGGGCTCTTTTTTGGTTCCGTATGAACTTTAAAGTAGTTTTTTCCAATTCTGTGAAGAAAGTCATTAGTAGCTTGATGGGGATGGCATTGAATCTATAAATTACCTTGGGCAGTATGGCCCTTTTCACGATATTGATTCTTCCTATCCATGAGCATGGAATGTTCTTCCATTTGTTTGTATCCTCTTTTATTTCATTGAGCAGCCAGGTTTACGTATCACGATGATGCATGTCTCATGAAATGAGTTAGGGAGGAGTCTCTCTTTTTCTATTGTTTGGAGTAGTTTCAGAAGGAATGTTACCAGCTCCTCTTTGTACCTCTGGTAAAATTCGGCTATGAATCTGTCTGGTCCTGGTTTTTTTTTGGTTGGTAGGCTATTGACTACTGCCTCAATTTCAGAACTTGTTATTGGCTTATTCAGGGATTCGACTTCTTCTTGGTTTAGCCTTGAGAGGTTGTATGTGTCCCAATTTATCCATTTCTTCTAGATGTTCTCATTTATTTGCATAGAGGTATTTATAGTATTCTCTGATGGTAGTTTGTATTTCTTTGGGATCAGTGGTGATATCTCCTTTATAATTTTTTAGTGTGTCCATTTGATTCTTCTCTCTTTTCTTCTTTAGTAGTCTGGCTAGTGGTCTATTTTGTTAATCTTTTCAGAAAACCCGCTCCTGGATTCGTTGATTTTTTGAAGGGTTTTTCGTGTCTGTATCTCCTTCAGTTCTGCTCTGATCTTAAGTGTTTCTTGCCTTCTGCTAGCTTTTGAATTTGTTTGCTCTTGCCTCTCTAGTTCTTTTAATTGTGATGTTAGGGTGTCGACTTTAGATCTTTCCCATTTTCTCCTGTGGGCATTTAGCGCAATAATTTTTCCTCTAAACACTGCTTTAGCTGTGTCCCAGAGATTCTGGTACGTTGTGTCTTTGTTCTCATTGGTTTCAAACAATATCTTTGTTTCTGCCTTCATTTCATTATTTACCCAGTAGTCATTCAGGAGCAGGTTGTTCAGTTTCCATGTAGTTGTGCGCCCACAGCTACCCTTTCCCCCAGGTGCTCTGTCGCAGGGAGATGGGAGTTTGATCCATAAGTCCCTGACTGTGGCTGCTGCCTTTCTTTCAGAGATGGCCTGCCCAGAGAGGAGGAATCTGGAGATTCAGTCTGGCTACAACAGCTTTGCCAAGTTGTGGTGGGCTCTGCCCAGTCTGAACTTCCCAGCGGCTTTGTTTACACTGTGAGGGGAAAACCACCTACTCAAACCTCAGTAAAGGTGGACCCCCCCTCCCCACTAAGCTCGAGCATCCCAGGTTGACTTCAGACTGCTGTGCTGGCAGAGAGAATTTCAAGCCAGTGGATCTTAGCTTGCTGGGCTCCGTGGGCGTGGAATCTGCTGAGCTAGACCACTTGGCTCCCTGGCTTCCGTCGCCTTTCCAGGGGAATGAAAGGTTCTGTCTTGCTGGTGTTCCAGGCACCACTGAGGTATGAAAAACTCCTGCAGCTAGCTTGGTGTCTGCCTAAATGGCTGCCCAGTTTTGTGCTTGAAACCCAGGGCCCTGGTGGTGTAGGCACCAGAGAGAATCTCCTGGTCTACAGGTTGCGAAGACCATGGGAAAAGCATAGTATCTGGACCAGAGTGCACCGTTCCTCATGGCACAGTCCTTCATGGCTCCCCTTAGCTAGGGGAGGGAGTTCCCCGACCCCTTGTGCTTCCTGGGTGAGGTGACGCCCCACCCTGCTTCTGCTCGCCCTTCATGGGCTGCACCCACTCTCTAACCAGTTCCAATGAGATGAGCAGGGTACATCAGTTGGAAATGAAAAAATCATCTGTCTTCTTCATTGGTATCGCTGGGAGTTGCAGACCAGAGCTGTTCCTATTTGGCCATCTTGCCAGCCACAACCTTGAGGTTTTTTTTTTTTTTTTTTTTTTTACATAAAAGGACTCTAGTATAACATACAGATAATAATTTATCCCTTTCTTATACCAAGTTTAAGCATTTTTTCTGAATGATTTTAAAGGGATTGGCTGTAGCTTACATGAGTACATTTTATCTTGGATACCAATAACATGCTTCTCAAGTCCACAGACAAAGAATGACTTGAATCAGTTTTCTAATGCATGTGACTGATTTTCATTCAGTGAGCTAATGGATACTTGATATATTTATTCTAACCTAATACAGTTTTTCAAGTGACTATAAAGTATTTTAATGCTTCTAACTATAGAAATATTTGACTCAATGTCATCACCTGATATACTACCTCTTAGTCTTTCAGCCAAGTCTATTTTGGGGTTCAAATGACATCAGAAAATTCCAGAGGGGTATGGAGGGACAAAAACACGTTTGGTAGCATTTTGACCATCTTTAATAATAAAAATCATGATGCAAGATTATATCTTAATCTTTTCTACTATTAATGGTCAAAAGTTTAACAGACTTTAATAAATCACAAATCTAGTATTCCTTCTGGCAAGTTCTCCATATAGAACTCCTTTCCCAGTACCAAAACATATTTCCCAACCCCAGAATATATTTCCTTTTGGGGCTGGGAAAGGAAATGAAAGATTGGGCTCTAAAACTTCAGATGCTTAAGGAAGGTAACTAATTCTATTCCTCAGGACTCTTTTGGCCTCAGTCACCATCTAGCTTCCTTCTCTCACCTCCAGATGTGCAAATGGCTAATGCTGAACTGATAAGAGAGAAAGAGAGAATTGGTAACAAATAAACACTTGTTGATTGAGAAGATGAGATAATATGGAAAAAAAGAATGGAAAGATAGGAAGTGATTTGGTACCTAAACAATTTACATGAAAATAACATAAAATTAAGTGAAGGCCCATCCTCCTAAATTCAGTTCCAACTTGAACTACCGAAATCAAGCCCTGCAGACACCAGGTGTAGCTGGTACCTACATTCCCCTTCCCAGCTTTATAGAGGTGTAATTGACAAATACTAATTATGTGTGTGTGTGTGTGTGTGTGTGTGTGTATATATATATATAAATATATATATAAATTTATATATATATAAATATATATATATAAATATATATATATATAAATATATATATAAATATATATATATAAATATATATATATATGGGAAACCATAAGATGTCTTGATATACATTGTGAAATGATTACCAGCATCAAGCTAATTAATATATCCATTACCTCACATAGTTTGTGGTGAGAATGTTTAAGATCTACTCTCTTATTTCTAGTATACCCTAGAGTATTATTAACTATAGTCGCCATGCTATACATGAGATTTTCAGAATGTATTCATCCTGCATAACGGAAACTTTTTATCCTTCTACTAACATCTCCCTGTCTCTCCCACTCTCTAGCCCCTGGCAACCACCATCGTACTCTCTGCATCTGTATGTTCAGCTTTTTGGATTCCATACGTAAGTGAGATTAAGTAGTATTTGTCTTTCTGTGCCTGTCTTATTTCACTTAGCATAATGTCCTCCAGTTTCATCCATGTAGTCACACATGACAGGATTTTCTTCCTTTTTTAAAGCTGAATAATATTCCACTGTGTGTATACATATGTCTTTCTGTGTATATATACTTATATATACACACACAGAGAGATATATGTATCACATTTTCTTTATCCATTTATCTGTTGATAAACACAGACTGATTTCATATATTGGCTATTGTGAATAATGCTGCAGTGAACATAGGTACACAGATATCTTGAAAAGGAAGAAGTAAAATTGCCTCTGTTTGCATATGACACCATCTTACATATAGAATACCCTAAAGACTTCACCAAAAAACTGTTGGAAGTAATAAAAAAATTCAGTAAAGTTGCAGAATACAAAATCAGTATTAAAAATCAATTGCATTTCTATATACTAGCAATTATTTAAAAAAGAAATTAAGAAAGCAATCTATTTACAATAGCATCTCAAGAACAAACAAACAAACAATACAACCTTAAGGATAAATTTAACCAGTGAATCGAAAGATCTGTACATAGAAAACACTGTGGTGCCTACCTTTAAAGTAAGTGCTTTGGGGATTTAAAATACCAGCAAACAAGAGATTCTTAAAATATCATCCAAAGAGAAAGTCTACTTACTACCTTTTTTCATGCCTTCACAAACATACTAAATAGATCCCGAGGAAGCCTAACGAATGAATGCTTCATTCACATAACTAGTTTTATCTTTACTAGAAGCCCTGGAGGAGAAGGCATCTGAACGTGTGCAGTTTGCTTCACTGGGGAAGGCCCCCCACAGTGGGAAATTACATGAGGCTTAATGCAGTATGAAATGAGAAAGCAGAAAAAGATATTTTTCAAAAGGCCTTCCAAAGAACAGGATAGTGATTCTTACTATGAGTAATTTCATTCTCTTCTCATAATCCCCCTTTCCCTTTCCATCCAAGAGTGAGTATACAGTTTCCTTTTGGGGTTACATCACCAATTTGAAAAAGATTCACAATCCTTGTGTCTCCAAATATTGCTGGAAGTCCCATGCATGAAGTGAATCTTGAACCTTTTTCCTCAGTTTTAATATAGCTTTGGTGGGGGCTAGGGTGCTCTTGGCTACATGGCTTGACATTTTTTCCATCAACCTCCAAAGACGTGTTTGTTTCCTCTACTCTGACACATTATCTCGGATAACAGAAGACATCTTCAAATCAATTGATGGAAGATTGAGAGAAAGAGAACTTCAGGTCCAGGTGCTGTGGCTCATGCCTGTAATCCCAGCACTTTGGGTGACTGAGGTAAGTGGATCGCTTGAGCTCAGGGGTTTGAGACCAGCCTGGGCAACGTAGGAACACCCCATCTCTACAAAAAATACAAAGATTAGCCAGGTGTGGTGGCATATGCCTGTAGTTCCAGCTCCTGGGGGTTGGCAGGGGGTGGTGCGAGGTGGGAGGATTGCTTGAGCCTGGGAGGCAGAGGTTGCGGCAGTGAGCCTAGATTGCACCACTGCACTCCAGCCTAGGCAACAGAGCAAGACCCTGCCTCCAAAAAAAAAAAAAAAAAAAAAAAGAAGATGAAAAATAACTTCATCTAATTTTTGAGCTACCCAATCCTTATTGTGAAAGACAAGCGATTTAGTGTTTGCTATATGCAGCAACTATAATTGGTTTAGTTTTCAGTAGTTCATCTCTAAGGCAGCCTTGCTTTGAGGAACTGGAAACTTCAACTGACTATTTACAGGGAATAGAAACAATCACTACATAGGAATGAAAATGCTAAGCTTAGTTTGCCTGTGGTAAAACATTCGTAATCATTTGATATCATTGGCTTAATTTTATAAGCCTGTTCTACCACTGAGTGATTCTGTTTTCTTACTGGATTTTGGCTATCATAAATGTATTGCTAGATATTGAAAGGATAAAGGTTTATATGGTGAACATGGGATAATTCAAAATGGTTTCTTATACAGAATTCACTTTGAGATTTACATGAATCAAATGCAATAGAAAAATAATAATATTACTGAGTAATTTGGATTTTACTTACTAATCCATTCTTATCAACTCATCTAGTAAGAGGAGCACTTTTTTGGTTTATTTGTTTTTGGTAACAAGTAAGAAATAAAGTATTTGGATAGATGTTACAGACATTACCACTTTCTGATGGCGTGTGTTCCTTCTAATATTAGAGAATAGAAATGGTAGTTTTTTTACCGCATCATAATGTATTGACTACCTGAGAAAAATGTTGATTAGCTATATTGTGTTGAGTAACGTTTTCTTAAAAAGTCTCCAAACAATTTGAGACAGTCACGGTGACATTACTATTATCACCTGATGAGCATCACAGGAGGCATGAAAATATAGATAAGACAGTCAGGAATCAAAGAACGTGCATGGGATTTACAGTTAGTCACATACAGAGAAATGTTTAATTTCACATCAGTTCACATCAGATTCCCTTTCTTATAAAGCCACATTTTCAGAATCACAGTTGAGTATGGTGAAAATAAGCAGAGATTAGGGTTTCAAATTACCTATAATCTGCATTCATAAGTGCTCTAGTTCACCCAGAAAGAAAACACTTGGATGACTGTCATAAATCAGTTCCAATGTTGTTCATCATGCCTCTCCATTCTCTCCTCTGTGCACCCCGCAGTCTAGCATTTTAGCAATCTTAGTCCCTCAGAGAGGCCCTATTCCTTTTCACCTCTACAGCTTTGCATTGCAGCTTGGAATGTTTTTCTCTAACCTTGACTTTTTCACCCTTGCTCATCATTCAAGATTCAAAGTGCAATATACAAATGCTTGAACTTTGGAGCCTTCCTCCTCCTTCTTACAAAAGCTTACAATTAAACAACTGTGTGCTTTTCTTTAATCTTTGGCATTTTATTCTATCCATTATTATTTTAGAACACTCAGAGAGGAGAATTAAAGGGTCAAGAATCTTGTGGCTACATTTTGTTAACTGATTCCCTGATTCAAAGTATAAACTGAAATATGTATTTTCACTGAAAATTAGGTCAATATGCAATCTGCTTTTATTCATTTATTCCTGAGTTCCCACTATGTGTCAATTTCTGTGATGGCACTAGAAAATAAATACAATTTAGTCTTACTAAATAGACCTAGTTTTATATGGTTCTCAACAAGTTTACAGTTTAGAAAAGGGAGGCAGACAAATGAACAATTTTAATAACATGAAGTATTGCAAAAGGAACTACTGTAGGCAAGGAGGTTTTGTAATAATTTACAAAAGTACAGGGTAACCAATTTGTTGATGGCAAGATGCTGTGAAGTATGTGGATGGTAGAGCTATTAAAAGTGCATTATCTATAGGAGTTGGCAATTGATTGGATTTTAGGGGAGAGAAACAGAGAGGGGAGAAGAGGAGAAGAGAGGAGATGAGAAGAGAGGAGGGAGAAGAGAGAAGAGGAGAGAACACAAGATGACAGAAATGAATTCAAAACACAGCTACGGTTTCTGAGCTGAGTGAAAATGCCATTTAATGTAAGAGATGTGACATATAATCACATAATAAATATAGCAATCATACGGCCAAAATATACCCCATTAATCCGCCTTGCTGGCTCCTGAGCATCTTTGAGCTTGTCAGGGTGTGTGCCTTGATTTCTGGTTTGGGAATACATTTACCATAATATTTAGTATAGCACATAGAGTATTTAGGTTCACACCTCCTCATAATTGCAGGTCGGTAAAATGCCACTGTTCAATCTGATAGCATTTAATAGAAGGACACAAATGAAGGCTCCTGGTGACCTTTCTTAGGGAACAAATTCTTTTAGTACAAAGGGTCCACTAAGAGGCCAAGAAAAAAAAAAAGTCAGTACCATTACTCTGAAGATTCTAACCTTTCCCCAAGACACTGTCTTTGTGGACACATTTTCTACAAAGCAAATTTGAGCTAAGCTTCCCTAAGCTTTCAGTAAAGACATTAGCTTAGTTAGCATATTAATTAAGACAAGTTCAAATGCCCTCTTCCCTTCATTGCCATGTAATAATTATATGCTCAGCATTTGTCCAGCTCAGTTCCATTACGTAAAAGCTGTCTGTCTGTCTGAGCTTGCTGGCACTCATAGTCCTGCCCTAAAATTACTGAAGTATGTTAATGTTAAGGATTCCTGGACATCGGATGTTTTATTTATTTTTTATACTATGTAATTGAATTTTGAATGTACATTATCTGATTAAGGATTTAGAATACCGCAAGGTCTTTCAGAATCTCTTAATGAGAATGATAATGTCATATTATTCATGCTGATAATTTAAGTCTATTGTTTATTGCCACTGAAACTCTTTCTCACCCCCTTAGAATGGAGATACTTTCCATTACTACCACTGATGTTTATTTGAACAGCTCATTTAAATTCTATGTTCTGAATTGCTTGCAAGGAAGAAAATACCTAGAACATTTTTAAAGACTCTGGAATCACTCTAAAGTCTTTTTGGATTGAGATGGGGAATAAGTACATAAAACATACAGACAGACAGATGCATACTCTTAAC
Source organism: Homo sapiens (assembly GCF_000001405.40). NCBI lineage: Eukaryota > Metazoa > Chordata > Mammalia > Primates > Hominidae > Homo > Homo sapiens. The sequence continues at coordinate 8,939,408 of NC_000009.12, forward strand.
TTCATTTTGAAAGATACAAAGTTCTGTAACATTTACTGTGACTCTATAATTTATTAGAATAAAGTATTATTTTTTCTCCACCAAAGAACTATGTAAATAAAATGTATAGCATTGCTGCAGACAATATTTATTTTAGCTTTTCATCTATGTGTATGTTGATATATACATAACACACACACACACATCAGCTTATTTCCAAATGTGCTCTGCACTGCAAATCTTTCCAAATCTAACTTAAAAGGCAATCTGAAAAAGAATATCTTTAACTATTTCTTTCCTTTTATAAAGGGTTTTGGGAGACAGCTAAGGATATTTTTATCTTTCCTTCTAAAGTGTTAAACTATTTGAACAGGTTAAATAGAAACTAAAGCAAATCAATGTAATAAATACTGATGATAATACAGACATGGATGTTCACTTAGTGTTGTACTTGGTGATAGTTTTCTTAAACTCTTTATTTATTCTTTATTTTTTATTTATTTATTTTTCAAAACTAAAGTTTTCTTTAGAAAAACATAAATTAACATGTATATTTTTGGTCTCTTTAAACTCAGTTAATCTTTTTTTAACCAGAGTAGCAAGGAATAAAATTAGAATAGGTTCAAATATTATCATTTTAATTGTAGATTATTTCTGTATTTAACTACAAATAAGTTTGGAAAAAAAAAAAAGAAGACTTACATGCTTGTGAAGGCAAAGGTTTTCAGACTGTAGAATGTCCTATATTTCAGTCTGTCAAGACCTGAGAGGCTCTGAACTCAGTCTTCAGGCTACATGGTTCAATCCCTGATACCGTGTTTGCACCTGCTAAATTCTTTCCCCAGAAGACTAAATTGACTAAGGCATTTCACACATCTCTCTCTCTCTCTCTCCTTTTTTTTTTTTTTTTTTTTGAGATGGAGTCTTCCTCTGTCACCCAGGCTGGAGTGCAGTGGCGCAATCTTGGCCCACTGCAACCTCTGCCTCCTGGGTTCAAGTGATTCTCCTGCCTCAGCCTCCCGAGAAGCTGGGATTACAGGCTCCTATCACCACTCCCAGCTTTTTTTTTTTTTTTTTGGTATTTTTAATAGAGACAGGGTTTCACCATGTTGGCCAGGCTGGTTTTGAACTCCTGACCTCAGGTGATCCACCTGCCCTTGGCCTCCCAAAGTACTGGGATTACAGGTGTGAGCCACCGCACCCAGCCTGCACATCTCTTAAAAAGGTTATACCTAATACATCAATATCTGACCCTAAATTAGGAATTTTACCTCCCACCTGGGAACTTTCTAATGTAATGGTTGACCTGCTGGTTGGAGACACTCTCCATCTTTCCCAAGCCAATAATTCTCTGAAATACATTTGACTTCACTACCCCTTTCAGTACTGTTCCTTGGGTAGATCCTATTCTCTTCTCAAAACTACCATTGCAAAACATTAGTGATGATGATGATGATGATGATGATGATGATGTTCACAAGGCCAACCATACCTTTCAGACTCATTTTATGCCTAGATTTTTCATGCCTTGAGCCCAAGTTGCACCACTTAAAAGACTTAGTTCAAAGCAAGAAATTGAAATGAATGCTTATAGACTAAAGGCATGGCTTCCATCTTGAAGATTTAGACATTATCATGGCACAGCAGTAATAACCCATCAGGAACTCCTGATAAACCCATCTCAAGAAATCATTTGTGATATTTTTCCTGACCCTCCCACCAAGTCAGGTAAATGAACTTTATGCTCTCTTTGCTCATAAACACATCTATTATTCTAAAATCAAGTTTAAAAAGTAAAATAAAATTTAAAAATGGGTAAATGTATCTCCTCAACCTTGTGAAATCAATAAGGAAGCATTTACTAAAATGCTTACTAAAACACTAAAGTAAAAGCTTTACTAAACAAGAGGAGTGTATTTGCAACTAGTTTCAGGCAGTTTATCAACAAAATTACACACGTATGTGAAATACACATATACACTATATATAATTTTGAATTGTATGTATATAATTTTATAACATATGTGTGTGTGTATATATATAGTGATTTTAAAAATATTTCTCAGAAAAAGAGCAGTATATGGGTCCTGGCTCCACTAATCCTAGCTGTGAGACCTTGGGTAAGTAACTTAACCTCACTTAATAGCCTACTTTCCTTTTTTATAAGACAAGGAAATAGTTCCTTGGAGTATTGTTGGGTGGAGTTTAAATATGCACATGTAAATTTAAAGTACTACATCCATGAAAAATAAAAATATTATATTTCACAAAGTTAAAACAACTTTGAGAGAAAGCTGTCAGTGAGTTAAAGTGGCTGAAACAGATCTCACAAAAATCCAGCAAAAATACGACTTTCATCAAGGGCTTTTAAGTAGTTGGTTAACGTAAAACAGATAATAAAGGTCTTGTTTGTTTGTTTGTTTGTTTGTTTGTTTTGAGATGGAGTTACACTCTTTTTGCCTAGGCTGGAGTGCAATGGCACCGTCTTGGCTCACTGCAACCTCCGCCTCCCGGGTTCAAGCGATTCTCTTGCCTCAGCCTCCCAAGTAGCTGGGATTACAGGCGCCCACTACCATGCCCAGCTAATTTTTGTATTTTTACTAGAGATGGGGTTTCACCATGTTGGCTAGGCTGGTCTCCAATTCATGACCTCAGGTGATCCATCTGCCTCAGCCTTCCAAAGTGCTGGAATTACAGGCGTGAGCCACTGCGCCTGGCCTATAATAAAGGTCTTAATGCAACCTGCTAGCATGATTTTGATCATTTGCTGAAATTAGAGTCTGGTCGATACTTTACCCATTGCCAGCAACTATTTTTTTCTTTTTTTTGCCCCCCTGTCTATCATCTTGTAACTAGCAAGCACTTTAACAATATACTTTTTTCTGGTGCAATTGTTAGGTTTAAATTCTTTTATTAAGCTGTTCTAAAATAAAAAACATGCAAGTTATCACTTTTGGCCAGTTCCACTGCTTCCCGTTTTACGTGATGAGGTGTACTGTTTCACCTCGTAGTTGACATGGCCATTACAATTAGATCTGGTGCACAGGAGAGAGGAAAACAAAATGAACTTCATCAGCAACTGGACTTGCAGTTAGTGATGAGATCAAACACTTCACTGAGTGTGGCCAGGGAAAAAATCCTACTCAAAGAGAAATTAAAATAACAGCAGTTAAGGGTTAACGCTGGAGGAAGGCAAGGTAAGAAATTCCATTGCAGTTATTAAAAGACTTCCAATTTGATTAAACATGACAACAACATACAGGGGTCAAAGCTAATTTTTTTTTTGAAAGGGAAGAAAAAAACATCAGAATGCAATGGGCTTGGATGACTCTGATTTCCTTTCTATGCTTGTTCTTGATCAGCTTGTTTATTTGAATTCTGGGCTTCAGCTTTATTATAAATAATTCCTCAGTCACAATTTTTTAAAAAAAATTTCTTTGCAGAAGAAGCCAAATTATCCTTGTTTGCAGATGGTATTATCTTACACTTGGAGAAACCTAAAGACTCCACCAAAAAATTATTAAATAAGTTTAGATTGATAAACAAATTCAGTAAAGTTGCAGGATAGAAAATCAACATGCAAAAATTAGTAGCACTTCTATATGCCAATAGCAAATAATCTGAAAAAGAAATCAAGAAAGTAACCTTATTTACAACAGTTACAAATAAAATATGTAGGAATTAACCAAAGAAATGAAAAATCTCTACAATGAAAACTATAAAATGCTGATGCAAGAAACTGAAGAGGACACAAAAAATGGAAAGATATTCTATGTTCATGGATTGAAAGTATCAATGTTGTTAAAATGTCCATACTACCCAAAACAATCTAAAGATTCAATCTCTATCAAAATACCAATTATATTCTTCATAGAAATAGAAAAATAATCCTAAAATTTTTATGGAACACAAAAGACTCAGAGTAGCCAAACCTACCCTGAGCAAAAAGAAGAAAATTAGAAGAATCAAATAACCTGACTTCAAATTATACTACAGAGCTATACTAGCCAAAACAGCATGGTTCTGAGATAAAAAGAGACAAATAGGTCAATGGAACAGAACAGAGAACCCAGAAATAAATCCATACATCTACAGTGAACTTATTTTTGACAACGGTGCCAAGAACATACACTGTGGAAAGGACAGTTTCTTCAATAAATAATAAATTATTTTTAATAATTTTATTTATTTTATTTATTGATTTTTTAACCAATTATATTTAATAATTTATTTTTAACCATTTATTCTGGGAAATAATAAATTATTTTCCAGATTATTTCCCAGAATAAATGGTTCTGGGAAAACTAGATATCCACATGCAGAAGAATGAAACTAGAACCCTATCTCTTGCCATTAAAAAAATCAAATCTAAATTGGTTAAAAACTTAAATCTAAGACTTCAAACTATGAAACCACTAAAAAAAATGGAAGAAACTCAAAGACATTGGACTGAGTAAAGATTTCTTGATTAATACTCCAAAAGCACAAGCAACCAAAACAAAAAAGGGCAACTAGGATCACATCACATTAAAAAGCTTCTGCACAGCAAAGGGAACAATCAACAAAATGAAGAGACAACACATGGAATGGGAGAAAACATTTGCAAACTATTCATCTGAAAAGGATTAATAACCAGAATATGTAAGGAGCTCAAACAACTAAGTAGGAAAAAAAAATCTAGTAATCTGATTCAAAAATGGGCAAAAGATCTGAATAGGTGGTTCTCAAAAAAAGACACAAATGGCAAAAAGGAATATGGAAAGATGCTCAACATCACTGATCATCAGAGAAATGTAAATCAACACTACAATGAGATATCATCTCACTCCAGTTAAAATGGCTTTTATCCAAAATACAGGCAATAGTGAATGCTGGCGAGGATGTGGAGAAAGGGGAATGCTCATACACTGCTGGTATGATTGTAAATTAGTATACTCACTAGGGACAACAGTATGGAGATTCCTGAAAAAATTAAACATAGAACTATCATATGATCCAGCAATTCCAGTGCTAAGTATATACTCCAAAGAAAGGAAATCAGTATATCAAAGAAATATCTGCACTCCCATGTTTACTGCAGCACTACACAAAATATCCAAGATTTGGAAGCAACCTACGTGTCCATCGACAGATGAATGGATAAAGAAAATGTCGTACATATACGCCATGAAGTACTATTCAGCCATAAATGAGAATGAGATCCTGTCATTTGCAACAAGGATGGAACTAAACAACATTATATTATGTGAAATAAGCCTGCCACAGAAAGATACATTTTGCATGTTCACACTCATTTGTGAGAGGTAAAAGTTAAAACAATTAAATTCATGGAGATAGGATGACGGTTACCAGAGGCTGGGAAGAATAGTGGGGTTGGGGTGAAATAAGGATGATTAATGGGTACAAAAATATACTTAGATAGAATTAATAAGATCTAGTATTTGATAGCACACCAGAATGACTACAGTCAGCGATAATTTGTTGTACATTTTCAAATAATTGAGGGAGTATAATACAATTGGAATGTTCGTAACACAAAGAAATGATAAATGCTTCAGGTGGTAGATACCCCCTTTACTCTGATGTGATTATGACACATTGTATACCTCTCAAAATATCTTATGTCCCCCATAAACATATGTACTTACTATGTACTCATGAAAATTTAAAAATTTTTTAAAAAGAAAATTACAAAAAGGGAAAGAAAACCACAGCAATCTAAAATCAGGGAAACAATTTACTTTGCTAAATCAAATTTTAAGGTTGAACTCTGGATCGGTTTGTGTTACTGTAATCTCTCTTGAATTTATCAAACAGAAAATCATTCATGGTAACTTAATTATGATGGAACTGGAAGGCATAGATACTTGTGAATCTCCCACTTAAGGCCTGAATTATTAATAGGTTTCTTTATTTAGAATAAAATATATATTTGGAAAAAAATCTCTTTCCTTCATTGACTCTCACCTCCCGCCTGTAACAGAGCAGTCACCAAGACTTGTTCATCTTTTCACTTTTCCGTTTTTACTCTATTTCAAATTCTTTTCTTCCTCTTCATTTCTACTGCTGTCCTCACTTTATTACTTTGCACCTGGCTATCTACTGCAATTCATCTTGCTCGCTAGAATCCTCCTAAAGCATTCCATAAAGATACTCCTACAGAGTATCTTTATGATACTCTCTTGAAAAAAGACACAATAAACCCTTCACTGGCAATTGATTCAGATTCATGCTCTACACCCTGGTATTCAAGGCCTCTCTCAGTTTACCTCACTGTCTTTTTCCTGTTTTATCATTGATTATTTGGTAATGGATTCCACAATTCCATCTACACTAGCATCTATACATACCACACTCATCTTTGCCTGTGTACCTTTGGATATACAGTCCCATCTAGCTAAGATGCATCCTCCTTTCCATCAGCTAAACCAAATTCTATACTTCCTTCAAGTCTCAGTTTAAAACCCAATTCCTTCAGGAAACCTTCCTTAAATAAGCCAGTCAACAATTACAGGTTTACATTAAAGTCATATTCAAGTTCTTAATTCCTGTAATATATTCTCCTCACCTAGAAACACTTCAGGGTTTCTCAAACTTGTTCCCCTAGGAAAGTCCTCCTAAGCCATGTTACTCTTGTAGAAAGAGCATGAGATATTGATTTAATTCACTCATACAAAACTAGGAACATCCTTGCTAGCAAAATGTAAATACATACCTGTCTATTACACAATATAAAATGGTAACCAAGAGCATTTGTGTTCAAGAAAAAGATAACCAGTTATTAACATCACTTGATAGCCATTCCTAAATTTTTACATTGACAATTACTTGTTTTTTTGTTCCTTCATTTTAGTGTCAGTTTGTATTCTATGAGAAAACTGATAGTAGTCATCATGGCTTGAGATAAAATTAATCAAAAGTCTTAAAACGGAGACCACCCCCCCACCACCCCAAGGAGGCAGCAGTATATAGGTTTCGAGGGTTTTGTTGGAGTACTGGCTCTTCTTTGTGTGCTTGGAAAGTTACTTTACCTCTACCAGCCTCATTTTATTTATGGGAGTAATACGAGGTTAATAATACTGGACCTGGGAAAGGATTAAGTGATATATGAAAATCCCTTATTAGTTAGCATACTCTTGGTAGCTGTAGCTGATGGGCTTTAGCAGAAGCGCACAGGTCTCTGTTCAACACTCTTGCATTCTTCTATCCCCAAGGAAGTGGAGTACTGCTAATGGGGGATTCTTCTTTGTCTGATGTAAGGGCCAAGGACCAGGGAGTGCAGTCTCTTTGTTTTCTTTTATCTTCCTTTAGAGTCAAATGTTAACAGATCCCCAGGTTGCTCTCTTTCAGGAGCCTGGAGAAGGAAAGTATCATGCAGGGTCTTCTCATCCCTGTCTCTTGCTCAATTACTGTGACCCTTTGTCCCTTTTTTTCCCCCCATAATTTCTATTTTCATAATTTTCTCTTTGTCTCTATCCTATTTCTTAAGTCTCTCTCTTTTTCTATTGGTCTCTTTCTTTCTGTCTCTAACTGTGTCTCTTTATTGTCTGTCTGCCTCTGCATCTCTCTTCCTATTTCTGCCTATCTTTTTTTTTCTTTCTCAAGCTTTCTATCTCTGTCTCTCTGTATTTTTTTTTCTTTTCTTTTTTTTTTTTTGTGTGTGTGTCTCGATCTTCCTCCGGTTTTATTTATCTCTTACTCCTTTAAATGTTCTTTATTATATTATTTGTTATTCTCTTCTACTCTTTCCTAATTTCAATGCAGCTTTATTTTATTTTTAAAAATTACTATGGTAGGTTGGGCGTGGTGGCTCACGCCTGTAATCCTAGCACTTTGGGAGGCCAAGGTGGGTGGATCATGAGGTCAGGAGATCAAGACCATCCTGGCTAACATGGTGAAAACCTGTCTCTACTAAAAATACAAAAAGTTAGCTGGGCATAGTGGTGTGCACCTGTAGTCCCAGCTATTCGGGAGACTGAGGCAGGAGAATCTTCTGAACCCGGGAGGCAGAGCTTGCTGTGAGCTGAGATCATGCCACTGAATTCCAGCCTGGATGACAGAGCGAGACTCTGTCTCAAAAAAAAAAAAAAAAAGAAAAAAGAAAAAAAAAAGTTACTATGGTAAGGTCTGAGTGTTAGGTTTAGCCTTAGAAAAAGTAACCAGTAGTAGTGATGTTCATCCTCCTATGTTTCAAGGACATTCACTCTGCCCTTGGATAGGAAATAAATTCTTCTTAGGGTCCAGATGAACTCCTAGAGTTCTGTGCTTTTGTTTTGTTTTGTTTTGTTTCTGTTGATGGGTAGGTGGTACAATATCTCAGCAAATAATTCATTTTTGGTTTGCTTTATGTACATGTTCTGTATTCCTTCCATGGATCTCAAGAAAAGATTACTACTGTGACAGGATACAACAGACGTATTTTTGGCAAAATAATGGTGATAGCTTATATTTATGAAACAAAATGTGCCAGACACTATTTTAAGTATTCTCCTTTTATTGGCTCATCTAATCCTCACAAATACATCACGAATTGGTATTACTAGTATCATTGCATCGAGGTTCAGTGTGTTGCCTAACATCATACACTAGTAAGTTATGTCCAGACCTTATACCCAGAGTCTGGGCTCTCTCTCTCTTTTTTTTTTTTTTTTTGAGACGGAGTCTCACTCTGTCGCCAGGCTGGAGTGCAGTGGTGTGATCTCTGCTCACTGCAACCTCTGCCTCCTGGGTTCGAGCGATTCTCCTGCCTCAGTTTCCCGAGTAGCTGGGACTACAGGTGCATGCCACCACACCCAGCTAATGTTTGTATTTTTAGTAAGGATGGGGTTTCACCATGTTGGCCAGGATAGTCTCCATCTCTTGACCTTGTGATCTGCCTGCCTCAGCCTCCCAAAGTGCTGGGATTACCGGCGTGAGCCACCGCTCCCAGCTGAGTTTGGGCTCTTAACCACTATGCCCATGCATCTTCAATAGTATTTATTGGTTGTTAGGTTGTTATTGGTATGTCCATTGGGTTTAAAATATATATATATATATATTTATATATATATTTACATATATATATATTTATATATATATTTACATATATATATATTTATATATATATTTATATATATATTTATATATATATATTTATATATATATTTATATATATATTTATATATATTTATATATATTTATATATATATATACACACACACACACAATGAAACGACATAGCTGTTATTTAATTTTAAGAGTGGGACATTTTCAGATTTACTTTATAGAATACCTCCGTAGTGATACAAATTAAGTTATAAAATATGATATCTTTTAATAATAGGACACGTAATTTTTTTATCCGTCACAATTCCTGCTAGATTAGATGCTTCCTACTTATGGAGTGAGTGACTCAAGAAACACAAAAGGATGGATGAAGCCATAATTCTGGAATATTTGGAAGGTAACAGATGATGTGATAGAAGTAATTTAGGCCACAGAAGATTGACTAGACAAGTGTTCCCAGTTATTTTTTTCTCAGTCTGAACACGGTTGTAAGAATAGTATAGTAAGATTTGTTTCTATTGGCCAGGTGTGGTGGCTCACGCCTGTAGTCCCAGCACTTTGGCAGGCAGATCACCTGAGTTTAGGAGTTTGAGACCAGCCTGACTAACATGGTGAAACCCCGTCTCTTCTAAAAATACAAAAATTAGCTGGGTGTAGTGGCGGGCACCTGTAATCCCAGCTACTCAGGAGGCTGAGGCAGGAGAATCGCTTGAACCCGGGAGGTGGAGGGTGCAGTGAGCCAAGATCATGCCATTGCACTCCAGCCTGGGCAACAGAGCGAGACTCCATCTCAAAAAAAGAAAAAAAAGAAAAAAGTATTGTTTCTATCATGAAATAAAACTAATTGGTAGATAAAACATGTGAAGAGTGGTAGAAATAATTTATGATATGAAATATTGTCTTATTATTTTTAAAGACAACATTTTACCTAAAAATAACTTCCTTTCACTTACATGAACACAGTGTCATCTTTACTGCTTGGTTCATAGCTTAATCTGCATGAAAACCCTTAGTAGGAAAAACAGTAAAAATGCAGCTGGATTAGTCATAAATAATAATCACTTCCATTTACATAACGCCTTTGAAAGGTCCCTAGAAACTCGCTAACTTTTGAAGTCATGCATCAGATTACAAAAGCAAAACGTTTTGCTAATGTGATGTTGAGGTTACAAATTTAAATACATTGAGGTCACCAAATGCAAGAGGTTTGGTTCTCATTATGACATCTCATCCACATAAACATGCTATTGTTCTTAATATTCTTTATTTAATAATTCAACTGCTACTGAAAATATTTTGTCTATCTAAGTATTTAGCACAACAAAATTGAAACATTGTGGGATTGTTGTCTTCTACGTGTTGCTTTTTAAAATTATAGCATAAACTCGGTCCAATTTGAATTTTGATTGTTGCCTACAGTTATGAATGAAATGAAAATGCTGATCCAGAAGACAAATAGAAATTTTATCTGCTCACTTCAGTTACTTTTATTTGCCTATTCCCTGCATTCAAGAATGAAGAAGGCACAGAAGGGAGAGTAGTACAGGGAGATTGTCTATCATGTTTGAAATATTGTGTTAGGTGCTTTGCCCATGTTAATTCATCAATCGTGTTGCAATTCTACAAAATAGGTATTGGAATGTCTATTTTACAAGTGAGAAAATGTCTATTTACAAGTGACTTGGCCAACATGAAAATACTAAGGGAATGCAAATCTAAATTTGTTAGTTTCTAATGTTGTCTGCCACTCCTCTCACTAGATGGGGTAGGGGGAACAACCTACTAAGTATCTCTACCTACTGCCTGCCAATTTCTGGAATCAGGGTTGTAATTTAGAAATTATGCATGGTTGTGAGATAGGTCATAGAGAAAATGCAAGGGCAAAATTTTAAGTGCAAAGTTAAAATTTTCCAACATATTCCTCACAATTGACATCCAACATTTTAATTTAGGAACATATGGAGAAGGGTATGTGAGTCCAGTTGAGAAGAAAGCTGTGGGGCAAAACCATCTGCTTATATGCACCAATTCAGTCACCTTCTGAAAAAAAAAAAAAAGCATGATGCAGTTTATCCAACAAGTTCACATAGCACTGGGTTAAGAAGGTTTCTCAAATAACAGAGCTCTCTGTAATGAAAACATATTTTCAGATGTCATAACATTGTATACAATAATATATAGGACTCTGTATATAATGGAGCAAGTATCCATTTTTTCCAATAGATAGAACTTCCCAGAATCCTATACACTATTAACACTTAGAATTATGTTTTTCTTTTTTTTTTTTTAAATAGAGCTTGAAAGAATCTAAGAGCGATTCCTGACCCACTCTGAACCTTCCAGAAATGTGAACACTAAGGCCAGAGAGGTTAGTTGAATGGTTAAGCTACTACATGTCAGAGCCAAGACTAGAACCTGGGTCTACCTACTCTACTTGTTCAGATTTTATTGCCAGTTTCTGACCACGGCAAATATACTGTGCAAGGCTATTTCAGAGTTCCAGCATGCTTTACAATAGAAAAATATTTCAGAAACGTTTTGATAGTTGAATCCTATTTGGGATAAGCTGGAAGAGTTCATTATTTAAAGATATGTTTTTGGAATCCTTTTAGTAAGTAAAGAGTTTTACATAATGTGAATATTATCTTTCTTATTTTAAGGCTAAAAGTTTATGTGGTTGTGTTAAGGCATTTGTTTAGGAAAAAGAGTGTGTGTGTGTGTGTGTGTAAGAGAGAGAGAGAGAGGAAGAGGAGAAACAGAAAGCAATTAATGGTAGACATCAACTACTTGAAGCAGTTTTCCACTGTCTTTCTGGTATACTACACTTCTCTATTTTTTTTCTTACCACATGGACCACTCCTTCTTAATTATTTCTCTGCTGGATCCTCCTTTTTTTTTTTTTTTTTTCAGTCCCGTAAACATAGAAATGTGCCAGGGCTCAGGCTTCAGTCTTTCTTCTCTTTCCTCCTTAACATGTAGGTTATCTAATTGAAGCCAATATAATCTGTAGGCTGTTAACTTCAAGCACTGAACTTTCTACTGAAATCTAGATTCATGTAGCTGACAATATACTTGATTTTTCTACTTTGTTACCTAGTAGCTGTTTTACGTTCAGCATATCACAACCAAATTCTTGATCTTCCATCTCCCATCTCCTATGTCTAATGTTCTTTATTGCACTGCTAGTCACCCAGTTACTCAGGCCAGAAACCTTTAAATTATTCTGGACTCCATTCTTTCATTCAGGCAGTTAGGGAATCTTGTCTGATTTACTTTCAGATACAGTACATCCAGGGTCTAACTTCCCAACACTATCACCACAGCACCCAAGTTCACCCCAAGTTCTTGTGTGGAAAATGACAAGAATCATTTTGTTTCTCTAATTCCACATTTGTCCTGCACTCTCCATTCACACAGCAGTGAAAATTTTCTCCTGCTCAAAATTCTCCAGTGCGTTTCTAAACCACACTTGAAATGAATTCCAAAGAACTTACTATGGTGTACAATGCTGCTTCCCTAATTCATTCTTCGGTCTCTGCTCAATTGATTTCTGAAAGGCCATTCATGAATATACATAATATATATACACATATATAAAAATATATATGATAGAGTAGTCTTCCCTTACTTGACTATAACTATTTACCTTATTTCTCTCTGATTAATGTTCTCTGTATATAATTCCGAATTGCCTCCCCCACTAAAATAATGTGAGTTTCATGAGGGCAGGGACTTTGTTTTGCTTACTTTTTTGCTTTGTTTTGTTCACTTCTACACATTAATTACCAACCTCTAATAGATATTTGTTGAAGAAACAAACTGATAATTAATGTATGTTCTTACATGTCAAATCTCATGGACCTTGGAACACACAGATAAAAATTCAGCATATTAATATAAGTAATTGTCATCAACGTACTGCATTTTATTTGCACTATTCTATAAAGGAATGCACAGGGCAATTTTTCTTGAATTAGCAACACAATCTGTATGTTTTACCTTTACCCTTAAACCATATCAACTAAACATAACTATAAATGTTGGGCTGATTTTAACATGTGCGTAGATACACATAGTCACACATTATCCCAAATTAAGGAGCATGGGGAAATGAAGATTTCTTTGATCCCAGTGGCTTCCGAATAACTTTAAATGGTAAAGATGGAGATTCTATAATCCAGGAGCTTCAAGAAAACTAATTCAACAGGTTGTAGGTAACCAATCAAGCAGGGGGCAGAGGTATCTTTACAGGAAGAAAAAATATTATTTATTTGGCTCTTAACGGTATTGAAAAATTAAGATTTTCATGAAAGATTGAATTCTAGGTAGAAGTGATCATGTGGTAAAAAATAATAAAAAGGTGAAAGAAAGAAAAGGAATTTAAACAGTTGAAGAATTTTTTTTGCTCACTCTCAATATGATATAACCTGAAGTCCCAAGATTCATATAAGCAATGAAAGCATAACAAAGAAGAATCAATTGATCTTTCACTGGCTTCTGTCCAAGCAACTTTCAGTATATGTTAGGTTATACCTACTGCAATAAAATGTTTGCAGGCCCAGAAATCTGTGGCTGTTTATCTTGTTCCTCCATTCCAACAATTTTATAATATAAAGCAACGAATTATATTTTAGAATAGTTTTTTTTTTTAGATAAAATATATGCTTTTGGTTACTGTAGGAGATGTGCAGGATGCTATGGGAACTCATAACAAGGGTGACTAAGCAGTTTCCTGTGGCACATTTGTGCAAAAGTGTGAGTGAAATGTGGAGTTTCAGAAAGGTATATCCCAGGAGAAGGGTCGCTACAGCTGAGAAATGAGAAATGCCCAGATAGATAACTGGCTGTCCATATGCAGAAGAATGGCTATCCATATGCAGAAGAATGAAACTGGATCTCTACCTATCATTATGAGCAAAAATTAACTAAGGATGGATTAAAGACCTCAAACTATAAACATCTTCACACAGAACCTAGGAAATAAATACCCTTCTTGATATCAGCCTTGGCAAAGAATTTGTAGCTAAGCCCTCAAAAGCAATGGCAACAAAAACAAAAATTGATAAGTGGGGACCTAATTAAAGAGCTTCTGCACAGCAAGAGAAATTATCAAGGGAGTAAACAGACAACCTACAGAGTGGGAGAAGATGTTCACAAACTATGCATCTCTTCAAAGGTCTAATATCCAGAATGTATAAGGAACTTAAATAAATCAAAAAGTCAAAAACAAATAACCCAGTGAAAATATAGGCAAAAGATATGAACAGACACTTCTTAACAGAAGACATACAAGCAACCCACAAACATATGAAAAAATGTTCCACATCACTAATCATCAGAGAAATGCAAATCAAAACCACAATGATATGCCATCTCACACCAGTCAGAATGGCTTTTATTAAAAAGTGAAAAATAACAGATATTGGCAAGGCTGCAAAGAAAAGGGGACACTTATACACTGGTGGGAATGTAATTAGTCCTGCCACTGCGGAAAGCAGTTTGGGGATTTCTTAGAGAACTTAAAACAGTGCTATAATTCAACCCAGGAATCCCGTTACTAGTTATATACCCAAAGTAAAAGAAATCATTCTACCAAAAGGACACATGCACTCATATGTTCATTGCAGTGCTATTCACAATAGGAAAAACTTGGAATCAATCCAGGCACCCATTCACAATGGACTGGCTAAAGAAAATGCAGTACATATATATCATGGAATACAATGCAGACATTAAAAAGAACAAAATCATATTCTTTGCAGCAACATGCATGCAGCTTAAGGCCATTATCCTAAGTGAACTAAAGCAGAAACAGAAAACCAAATACTACATGTTCTCACTTATAGGTGGGAGTTAATCACTAAGTACACATGAACATAAAAAAAGGAGCAAAAGACGCTGGGGACTACTACATGGGAGAAAGGCAGGAGGCAAGGGCTGAAAACCTACCTATTGGGTATTATGCTTACTACCTGGGTTACAATTTCAATCACATCCCAAACTTCAGCATCACAAAATATACCTTTGTAACAAACCTGTGCATATTCTCCACAATTCTAAGGTAAAAGTCAAAAAAGAGAGAAAGAAGAAAGTGGTAAACATGGAAAAAAAAAGGCATAGTACAATAATGCAAAACAGCAAAAACAAAAAACCACTCAGCTAAAGAGCCTGAGTAGTGGGCTTGGGCTGTGGAGAGCTGTTCCAATGAGAAGTAACAGGATGACTTTCAAAACCAACATATTAGTTTGTATGCAAAGAAGTCCCTGGGTCCAGTTTTGATTTCATTGCTTTCTGTTTTCTTGGGCATTTAGATACATGATCATGGTTTTCTCTTTAGGTATACAATGTAGATAAAAACAATGGACTCAAGGTCTCAATGTAAAGATTGCATTGAAGAAAAATAAACAATTTGAGTAAATATTGAAAATAATCTGTGCAAAAACTATAGCTTATCTTAAAGAAATCTACCAAAGTTGGTTATCACTACAGATGCAAAATATAGACAACCATGTTCTTTCTCAGATTCATCTTCTGTAGTCTTGTGAAATGTCTGTCCACTCCAGGCTGTTGTACTTTTAAAATGATATTGAAAAATTAGGCAGCATCTAAGAAAAAAGCAATAAATTGATGGAGAGGAAACTTGACATAAGATTAAAGAGTTTACATTATTTGGTCTGGAAGAGAGAGAGCTGAAGTGGGATATAATAATACTCTTAAAAAATATGAAGAGCTAATATTAGGAAAATGTAGGCCAGCTGTTCTTTAGCTCCAGTGAGGTCAGAATATGAAAAAGTTGGCTGGGTTTGTTGAAACATTTGAGAGAAAGCCTTGAAAGTAAAGGTTACTTATGGATTCCTGGAGACAGGAGATAGGCTGTCTTCTTAACAGGAGATCTTCAGATACCATCTGCTTGGATAGATAGAGATAGTCCTACTCAGAGGTGTCCCTTTGTGCTCAGACTATAAGCTCGTAGACTCAATTATTCTGGTATCACAGCTATCAATAATTGGTAAAGGACAGGGGGAGAGCTCATTTGGAAGACAATCACCAGCATAAATGCTCTGCTCTCAGGGAAATGGAAGTGCCCTTTCCTGAGTTCCCTCTATGGTGTGCTCTTCGTTATAAGCTTCCCTTGAGCCTTTCACAGAATGAGGCTTCCTCTGAGAGGCTATTTCTGTTTTTTATTTTTTATTTTTTATTTTTTTATTATTATCTTCCATAGAAGCTTATTTTCAAAACACAAGGCAAAAAGAAGTCTTTAAAATTCTTTGTCACATTTTGAAACATCGGAATTTGAAATCTAAAATGTATGCCTTTTAATTAAAAAAAGTCTTTCACACACATCTAACTCCTGTAACATATATAGTGCTAACTCATTAAATCATCTTAAATGTAACTGTCCTTTGCTAAAGAAGAAAAGAAACTCATGCGTTCGACCTACATATAGCATTCATTTGCATATCCATGCATATACACACACACCTTATTTTACATTAAATCTGTCTCCATACTATTTATATTTATACCCATTTGCTGAGTCCAAATATATCTGGCCATTTTTGAATTCCATCAAGTATCCTTTAGAAAGTATTCTTAAGAAGTTATACTTGGTAAGACTTTGCAACAAAGCTGAATTATGGTGGAAATCCTATACAAATGCTCAATCTTTCCAGCAGCAATAAATTACAATGTCAGAAACATAAGGTGCTGACCTCCCAGTGTGAACAAAGAGTGTGGGGTGAGTGAAAGGGATAAAACTCTTGATTAGAAATATTTTTCTTGAAGAATACAGCATTTATGCAGAGAAACAGCCATGAATAAAGTCTATCACCTCCTGATGTTTATCCATATAAAGCACAAAGTGATTTTTCTTCAAGGAAAGAAAAAAGAAAAATAAAAACCATCCACTTTGGACTAATACTTAACATTATTCATGTTTAATACACCTGATGACTATAATTTTACATTGTCTTTTTTCCTGTAAACAAATGAAGACATAATCTATTTTTCTTTTTCTTTCTTTCTTTCTTTTTTTTGTTTTAACAAAGAAGAAGCAAATGAACAATCCTTTGAGTGAGAAAATGTTCTGTAAGTTTAGAATACAGACGTGACTAGTGGGCTATGTGTAAATTTCTTTGAAAAACAACAGCACACTGCTTGTGCTGGATTGTATTTTTAAAAGTCAGGATCAAGGATTGGAGCTATGTAACATGCTTCACAACAGGGGAGCAGTTATCAAGCTCCTGAACTCCACCAACCACGACAGAAGCAGAACATTTATTTCATTCTGTTCCTGCCTCCCTCCCTCTAAAAAATCCCAATAAAATATACCTGCAATAGGAGAGGATTTTCACAGAAACTGAACCCACCATCATCTATCTCAGTGAATCTTAACCCTTGATGCAGTTTGCTTTTATAAACTACCAATCACCCAGGCCCCACTCAAGACTAATTATTTGGGAGGCCTAAACATTGCTATTTTTTGAAACTCTGCAGATGATTCTAATGTGAAGCCAGGCTTGGGAACTCTTTTGACACCCACTTTCATGTCCCTGCGTTAATGGCAGTAAGGATAACTCAGTGATGTAAGCTAACTATTTAAATCCTGTTGTGAGATTCTTCTCTTCCTTTACCACTGAATAGTCCCTTTACTACATCAGTAGTCAAATCCTTTCCTTGACAAAGCTGCACTATGACAATAGATGAATCTTGACTCTCTCCTGGCTAGGTTTCATCACACACAGGGATTTTCCTTTCATATAACTTTCACGTAACTTTCATCCTTTTATTATCTAAATATAGTCCCCAAATTTTCTGG
This sequence comes from Homo sapiens, assembly GCF_000001405.40. Lineage (NCBI taxonomy): Eukaryota > Metazoa > Chordata > Mammalia > Primates > Hominidae > Homo > Homo sapiens. The sequence continues at coordinate 8,957,250 of NC_000009.12, forward strand.
GGCTACCTACTCCTCCAGAAAAACACTCAGATTTTTAAAATAGAGCATTCTAGGCCCTCTGTAATCTGGCTTAGAGTTTCTTTCCAAGTTGAGAATGCTTTATTCCACAGCATGGATCTTCATTTTTTTTTATAGCCTTGTCTACATTCAGTATTTCCTTACTGAACGCCTTACTGAAGCCTACTTTCTTTAATTTTTCCTTCTGTTCTGTTTTTGAAATGCTGACTCTGCTCAGCCAAAATCAAACCCTGTCCACTATAAGTCAACCATGCAAGCACCCTCTCATCAAATCACTGTCTTTAGTATTTATTTTGCGGCACCATACAATTTGCATTTATTGCACGATTCCTTGTATCTTTAATCAGTTTTGCTCCTCATGCTATTGTAAGCTCTTCAAAGACAAGATGTACATCTCATCTGCAGCTGAAAGCACCTGGCACAGTGTCTCACACATAGTAGGCACTCAATACTCATTTGTTAAAGGAATATAAAGTGATTAAATGGCACAGAGCTTACATGATCTCATATCTTAGTGGCCTAATGCTGAGTATGCAAGTGCTGGGAAGTGCTGTCTGAATTCCAGTGCCAGAATTATATTTATGAGGACATATGGAGGACAAAACAGAAAAGAATGCTATAGTCCCAAATGAAAAAAAAAATATCATTCTCAGAAAAAGAAGACCATTCTTTACCTTAGAGTGCATTTAGATCTTCAGAAGATCACAAAGAAGTGATGAAAAGTAATACCTTAGCAGGGGAAGAACCATTAGTTACATGCTCCTTAAAACGTAATGCTAATCATTTGTTCTGTAAATGAAACTTCAATAATCTTTATTTTAATTCCAGCACCCTGAGAGACCAGTCAAGATCCCTCCATCCTGCAGGTGCTAAATGTGTGCTTTTAAATATGAGACGGGTGCCAGAATTTGCTCTCAAAATGGAAGAAGTTATGTATCTGGAGACTCATGATGCCTCATTTGCTTCTTTGTGTCCTGCTTGCCACTTCTCTCTCTGTCTGAACAAGGAAGATGTGGGGACACAAATGTTCCATATACTTCTTCTCCCTAATAAGGAAAATTTCTACTTTCCTCCTAGAATGAATTTAGATTTTGATACAGCATCTGATTGAATTTTGATGTTTAGCCTTTTCAAAAAAATCAAAGGGCATGAGCATAATATTGGTGCAGTTTTGAGAAGATGATAGTGGTGGACCTTTTGCCCTAATCTCTGGCCATTTAGAATTCAGCAATGTGATGGCCCAGAAGAAGACCCAGGAAACCAGTCATGATAAACCCATTATCTACATCAATGATTGACTCAGAAACCAAGGACTAAGCCAATAAAGCTTCCGAAATGACAGTAAATATTTGAGAAACGGACACATAGTTGGATTTGAGCCAATAAGGTACAGAAGGAATTGAGCCTAGTTATTTCTAAAACAAGTGTTTTTCCTTTTTCCAAACTTTTATAAGAATTTCAGAAGAGAAAGAGTCTCTCAGCATTTCTCACTGGACATGCCTGAAGAAGCATGTAGTCTTAATTGCTACTGACATCATCCCATAACCACAATGGAAAAGGACTGGAGATATTGTCTGAGAGGTAAGATAATAGAGAACAGCCATTGGATCAAATTCCCTGAAAGTCCACACCTCCTTCTAGTCTTCCTACTATGTGAGCCAATGAATTTTGTTTTAAGTTAGTTTGAGTTGATTTTCTTATCACATTCAGCCCAATGTACCTTATATGATCATGGCAACTGAGACAGGTCCTCGAGGAAGCACGTATCTGATTCCAAATGCCAAACACACTCACTAAGCCAAGACATACTTGCTTTCATATTATCTTATTGTGACAATGGCTATTGACACAACACTGGCTTTAACACAGGAATGCCTTCATTCATTCATTTATCAAATATTCATTGAGCACCCATCATGTGTAAGACACAGTGAAAGATGGCAGAAGATGAACCCTGGAAAAGTTTTTATGAGTGCTATGAGTGTTTGGAAGGACAGCAGGATGCTATGGAAACATAATGGGGAAACAACTTACAGTGAGGGCTCAGGAGAGGGGATCTCTGAGAAACTGACTTTTACTTCAAGATTTGATATATGAGTTGAGGAGAGCCAGGAAAATAGTGGGGAAAGAAGAAATAATACATGTAAGTCCTGGACAAAAAATGGAGTGTAATATTTTGGAGAATTTGAAGAGCTCAAGTGGAGAGAGAGTGAGAGGAGGAGAGCAGCGATCAGAAATCAAAAGCCTTGAGAATCATCATGGTAGGCATTTTGGGCTTCATCCAAAGTCTTGAAACATCACAAGTGCAAGTATCAGATGATATATCAGAAGATTAACATGATTTTAACCATTTGCATTTAGTAGTTGTTTAAAATAAAGTCTATATTTAGATGCAGTAAGTTGGGAATTAATTTTAATGAAAGAATCATTGAGTATATCCTTTGGAAAGCAGCTATATTTCTTATCAAATCCTCCACTAAGCCAGATGGATAAAGTTTCATGATCTTGAAAACTTTTGAGTGCTTTAGAATATTTAAAAACAAGTATTTTTCTCCAGGGCATGTAGACGGAGTTGCTAAAACATTCTCAGTTTTATAAAATTAGTTAAATTAGAGCTTGGGCATGAAAATGTTATTCCAACAGTATTCATCGAGTACCTCACCTATCATGTGACAAGTGTACAACATCATCTTTCTTTCCCCAGTCACACTGTGCACATGTTCATTCATTTACCAAGTATAACGGTTGATTTTACAGAAATTTACCAATATTGTAGGGTTAAAGGCATGCTTTCAGAAATTAGATGCCTTTTAGTTCATATTCCCTTGGAAATTTACTAGCTGTGTCACCTGGGACAAGTCACATAACTTCTCTAAGCCTCAATTTCCTTCTTTGTACAATGGTGATAGTATTAGTTCTAGGTCATGAGTTTTGTCGTCAGGAACAGATAAGGTAGTACTTATTGAATACTATGTGTGGAACAAGGCAAACACTGAGAAATATTAGTTATTATCATTAGTTATCATGATTGCTAATTCATAATACAGTTAGAAATGTGTGGAGCTGCAGTGTAATGGTAGAATAACTGGGCTGCCATACTTAGGAACCTCTGGTATATTCAGAGAGAGAAGTGGTCCCAGTAACAGGGACGTGTACTAGGACATTGTGCTTTGCGTAGGCAGCAAGATCAGTAAAAGAAATCCAGGCCAAATTCTGACATGGGTACCCAGAAATCTGACATCCAAGGTTCAAAGTGCAGTTGGAAGATAGAAGAAGATGTCGTGCATTAAAAACAGAGCTGAAGATCAAATATTGAAGTATTGAAGAAAGCATTCTAGCTGCCCTAGCTCCATTTTAAAGATCTGTTAGTCCTGAGGCAGTGACTCTTCAGTCTGTGGGAGAAATAAAGGCTCAACATAGACTCTGGCTGAAGCCAGAGACCTACTTTCTAGCTTAATCCTGACATTCATAAACTATTGAAGCTGGCAAATTATGTGTCATTTTGATGATTCAGTTTCCTAATCAGTAAAATGGTGATAATTATAAGTGGTTTGTGTACCACACAGCATTGTTGGGTTATTAAATGAGGTAATGGATAAGAAAGCACTTAGAAAATTCCAAGGTACTATATGAAATCATTAATAAATCTATTCATTAATATTTATGAAGTTTTATCTTGTTCCTGGGATTGCAATACAAAGATGAAAAGAAAAATTCTATTGCTTTAAGGCACTCATTGTCTACTAGGGAGTCAAATATCAACAATCAATTACAATTAATATATAATAAGTAGTTTATAATATAATGAAATACCAGCTGCCACAAAGACATGCATAAGGTTCAGTAAAATCCAAAGTGGAAGGAACACCTAAGTTGCCTAGGGGGACAGGGGAAGACTTCAGAGAGGAGCTACATTGCAAGCTTATATTTGATTTATGACTGCGAGCTTTCCAGGTGGACAAGGAAAAGAAAGGATGTTCCAGGGACAAAGGGCAGATGTACATAAAACACAATGGTATCTTTGTGGATTGAATTAGAAACAAAAGTTGCAAGTAAATCAAGCCAAAGGCCACTTGAGGTCTTACATTCTTTCCCCGTGTCATCATGGTCATTTCAGTTGCAGAACATGTTGGGAAATGACTGACCTTGATCCTGGAATACTCCTCCCATTTGGCCTGGTTCTGCACTTCTTTCCACTAGGTCAGAGTTAGCCTTGCACCCGCAAATATCACTGTCTCTAGTAGTCAACAGTGAGCATGCCCTGTGCTCTGACTTCCACCAGGCACATGTTTTACATTCATCAAGGCAGTTCTTCTGCATCAAGGTTGAGGACATTAACTGAGCAACCACTGTGGCTGATTTCATCATTTGTGCCCCATAGCTGAACAGAAGGTTTTAGTTTCCACTGCCTGCTAGGCTACTTAACCCTTCTAAGCAGAAATATTCAGACAAAGAAGCCCAACTGTTACTATAATTTTGTCGATGTAAAGACATCTGCATATGACTTCACAGCATCTGGCACTGTTTGAAACACAGAATCCAGGACTGCAGTTTCCATTTCTCTAAGTACCCCATGTGACAGTTTAGAAAACATTCACTCACCATGACAGCATGAAAACCCCACTTCCAAACAAAGCAAAATAAGAAAAAGTATGTATTCTGCAGCAATAATTATATAGGAATATATATGAAATTTACTGTATGTGGAAAAATCCAGTCAATGCGATGTCATTTCATGTATTTTTAAATCATCTCCCCTTTATGTCAACATGGGTTCTCATAAAGTATCTTTTACATTGGAGCATGTAAAAAGAGCCATTTCTTCTTTCTAATGCATTTAACAAACTTTTATTTAGCTCTTGTTATGTGCTAACCATCCTGTTGGACAATGGGAACAAAGATATGAGACTCCTTCAAGGAAGGTAAGACGTAAGTGAAAAAATAATTACTTGGTGAGAACAAGTCATATACACACGCAGGCATCATTTCCTTTGCAGAGCCACTGTGTGTGGTTTTGATGAGGTGGTCAGTCTAGGTGCTCTGCCCTCTGAACAACCCTGACAGAGAAAGCACATGATTCAGAGAGGCTAATATGTGCCACCTTGGGACTTTCCTATGAAAACATGCAGGACAGATTGTCTCTTTTCACATGGATTGGAAGGTGGGAAGATGGTACTTTGGATGTGATTTTGGCAGTCATCTTCCCTACCAAATGACTAAAGATAAGACATGGGGGAGGGAATAAAAAAGGAGAAAAGGAAGAAGAGAGAAAGAGAGAGAGAGAGAGAGCGAGAGCACTCTTAGGACATCATTTAAGCTTTGTATCAAGGGTGTCCATGTAAAAAATTGATTTATCACTTAATTACAAATTTGTTTCTTTGATATCTGAATGTGGGGTACTAAAATTACCATATTCTAAAATAACAAATTAGCTGAGTCAAGGAGGGCTGAAGAGAAAATTCATCTCTTTTATGGGGAATTTGGTTAGGATGAAGAAAAGAAACTGGTTAATCTACATGTATTACGTTTTAGGACTCAAGCTACCAAAGGTAAAGCTTTGAAAAACTATTACAGGCATTTCTTGAAAACAGTATGGAATCATCTGATAACACTGAGGTGATATGAATACTCCTTTAACCGGCAATGTGGCTCTTAGGAACTGATGGGCATGCACATCAGGATATACACAAAAGATTTCCCAGCAGCACTGTTTGTAATAGCCTTGAGCTAGAAACAATAAATGTCCACCAAGAGTAAAATGTATAAAATATACAATGGAATACCAGACATCAATGAAAATGAATAAACTATAACAACATTTACATGGTAGCCTTACTGTCATAATGTTGAAAGATAGAAGCTAGACATAGGAAATGCATAAAATATGATTCCATTCATTTACAGTATAAAAAAGGAAAACTGAGACTTGTAATTTGGGAATACTTGATGAAAGTAAAGAGAAGCAAGGAAATGATTATCAGAAAAGCTAGGATATAGTTACTTTTCAGAGGACATTAGTGGTTTGGAATCAGGAAGTAATACATGGGAGGATTTTAGGTATTATTATAGCAAGGTTTAATTTTCAACTGGGTGGTAATACGGGTGTTCACATAGAGTTACTCATGGAATTACATTTATACATGTTTTATGCATTTTGTATGTGTTATATTTCACAGAAAAAAACATAAACAAAACATGTAGGGATGTTGGATTCTATCAAAAACTTTTTCCATGTCTATTGAGATGACCATATGGTTTTTGTTTTTTAATTCTGTTTATGTGGTGAATCACATTTATTGATTTGAATATGTTGAACAATCTTGCATCCCAGAAATAAAGCCTACATGATCACAATTAACTTTTTTTTTTTGAGACATGGTCTTGCACTGTTGCCCAGTCTGAAGTTCAGTGGTGCCAACATGGCTTGCTGCAGCCTCAGCCTCCTGGGCTCAAGTCATCCTCCCACCTCAGCCTTCTGAGTAGCTGGGCTACAGGCACACATCACTATACTTGGCTAATTATTTTTTGTAGAGATGGGGTCTTCCTATGTTGCCCAAGCTGGTCTCAAATTCCTGGGTTCAAGGAGTCCTCCTGCCTCGGTCTTCCAAAGTGCTAGGATTACAGGCATGAGCCATTGCACCCAGCCTAAATTAACTTTTTGATGTGCTGTTGAGTTTGGTTTGCTTGTATTTTGTTGAGGATTTTTGTGTCTATGTTTATCAGGGATGTTGGCCTGTAGTTTTCTTTTTTGTTGTTTCTTTGCCAGGTTTTCATATCAGGGTGATGCTGGCTTCATAGAATGAGTCATAGAGGAGTCCCTCCTCCTTGATTTCAATTTTTGGAATAGTTTCAGTAGAATTGGTACTAGCTCTTCTTTGTACATCTGGTGGAATTTGGCTGTGAATCTATCTAGTTCAGGGCTGTGTTTTTTTTTTTTTTTTTTTTTTTTTGCTGATTCAATTTTGGAACTTGATGTTGGTCTGTTCAGTGTTTCAAATTCTTCCTAATTCAATCTTGGGAGATTGTGTGTTTCCAGGAATTTATAAATTTCCTCCCTATTTTCTACTTCATGTCCATAGAGTTGTTCATAATAGTTTCTGAGGATATTGTCTATTTCTGTGGGATCAGTTGTAATGTCACTGTTGTTGTTTCTGATTGTGCTTATTTAGATCTTCTCTTTTTGTCATTGTTAATCTAGTTAGTAGCCTATTGATCCTGTTTATCCTTTTAAAGAACCAATTTTTGGTTTCATTGATTCTTTTTATGGATTTTTGGTCTCAATTTTATTCAGTTTAGCTCAATTTTAGTTATTTCTTTCATTCTTCTAGTTTGGAGTTGGTTTTGTCTTGTTTTTCTGGTTCTTCCAGATATGATGCTGAATCATTAATTTGAGATCTCTCTGACTTTTTGAAGCAGGCATTTAGAACTATAAACTTTCCTCTTACCACTGCTTTTGCTGCATCCCAGAGATTTTGTTTTGTTGTGTCTCTGTTTTCACTTACTTCAAATAATTTTATTTCTACCTTGATTTCATTGTTTATCCAAAAGTCATTCAGAAAAAATTAATTTGCATATAATTGTGTGGCTTTGAGAAATCTTTTTGGTATTGATTTCTATTTTTATTTCACTGTTGTCCAAGAGTATGGATGGTATAATTTTGATTTTTTAAAAAGTTTATTGAGACTTGCTTTATGACCAAGCATGTGGTTGATCTTGGGGTAATTCCTTGTGAAGATGAGAATATATATTCTATGGTGATGGGTGCATGTAGATGTCTATTAAGTCCAGTTGGTCAAGTGTCAAGTTTAAGTTCAGGATTCCTTTGTTAGGCCAGGCACAGTGGTTCATGTCTGTAATCCCAGCACTTTGGGAGGCCGAGGCAGGCAGATTACCTGAGGTCAGGAGTTCGAGACCAGCCTGGCCAACATGATGAAACCCCTTCTCTACTAAAAGCACAAAAAAATAATTAGCCAGTTGTGGTGGCACATGCCTATCTCAGCTACTAGGGAGGCTGAGGCAGGAGAATCAGTTGAACCCGGGAGGCGGAGGTTGCAGTGAGCTGAGATCGTGCTACTGCACTCCAGCCTGGGTGACAGAGCAATACTCTGCTTCAGAAAAAAAAAAAAAAAAATTCTTAGTTTTCTGCCTCACTGATCTGTCAGTGAAGTGTTGAAGTCCCCCACTTTTATTGTGTGGCTAAGTCTTTTTGTACTTCTAGAAATACTTATTTTATGAATCTGGGAGCTCCAATGTTATTTGTGTATATATTTAGGATAGTTAAGTCTTCTTGTTGATATGAATCCTTTACCATTATGTAATGCCCTTCTTTGTCCTTTTTGCTGTTGTTGGTTTAAAGTAAGGAAGATTCCTTAAAATCGTAAGTGTCATCTATGACAAACCCACAGTTAACATTATACCAAATGGGCAAAAACTGGAAGCATTCCCCTTGAGAACTGGAAGAAAACAAGGATGCCCATTCTCATCATCTCTATCTAACATAGCATCAGAAGTTCTAGCCAGAGCAATTAGGCAAGATAAAGAAATAAAAGGCATCCAAATAGGAAAAGAATAAGTCAAATTATTTCTCTTCACTGACAATATGATCCTATAGTTAGAAAACCCTAAGGACTCTGACAAAAGACTATGAGAACTGATAAACAATTTTAGCAAGGTTTCAGAATACAAAATCAATGTACAAAAACAAGCAACATTTCTATACACCAATAATGATGAAGCTAAGAGAAATCAAGAATACAATCCCATTTATAATAGCTGCACATGCACAAAAATACCTAGGGATACATATAACCAAGGAGGTGAAATTGAAGAACTTCAGAATACTGCTAAAAGGCATCATAAATGACACAAATAACAGTCCATGCATATGGATTGGAAGACTCAATATTACTAAAAGCAATCTATAGATTCAATGCTATTCCTATCAAATTTCCAACATCATTTTTCACATAATTGGAAAAAAACTGCTAATATTCATATTGAAAAACAAAGATCCCAAATAGCCAAAGCAATCCTAAGCAAAAAGAACCAAACCAAAGGCATCTCATTACCTGACTTCAAACTATACTATAAGTCTACAGTAACCAAAACAGCATGGTACTGGCACAAAAACAGACACATAGACCAGTGGAAGAGAAAAAAAAAAGCAACAAAAAACAGAAATAAAGTCACACACCTACATCCATCTGATATTCGACAAAGTTATCAAAAATAACCAGTGGGGAAAGGACTCCTTCTTTAATAAATGGTATTGAGACAACTGGCCAGCCATATCCAGAAGAATGAAACTAGACCCCTATATACTATATACAAAAATTAACTCAAGATGGATTAAAGATTTAAATGTAAGACCTCAAACTATAAGAATCCTAGAAAAAAACCTAGGAAATACCCTTCTCAACATCAGCCTTGGAAAAGAATTTATTACTAAGTCCTCAAAAACAATTGCAACAAAACCAAAACATGACAAATTAGACCTATTGAACTAAAGAGCTTATGCACAGCAAAAGAAACTATCAACAGAGTAAACAGACAACCTACAGAAGGGGAAAAAATATTCACAAACTGTGCATCCGACAAAGATCTAATATCCAGAATCTATAAGGAACTTAAACAATTGAACAAGCAAAAACAAACAAACAAACAAACAACAAAACAACAAACAAACAAAATAAATAAGCCCATGAAAAAATGGACCATAGACATGAACAGACACTTCTTAAAAGAAGACACACAGGTGGCCAATAAACACATAAAAAAATGCTATCATCACTAACATAAGAGAAAGGCAAATCAAAACCACAGTGAGATACTATCTCACACTAGTCAGAATGACAATTATTAAAGTAAAAAAAAAAAACAATAGATGTTGGTGAGGTTGTGGAAAAAAGGGAATGCTTATACACTGTTGGTGGGAATGTAAATTAGTCCTGCCACTATGGAAAGCAGTTTGGAGATTCCTCAAAGAACTTAAAGCAGAATTGCTATATGACTCAGCAATCCCATTATTTGATTGGATATGAAATGAAAACAAATCATCCTACTAAATGGAAAGAAATCATCCTACCAAAAAGACACATGCACTTGCATGTTCACTGTGGCACTATCCACAATGGCAAAAACATGGGATCAGCACAGATGCCCCATTAACAGTGGGCTGGATAAAGAAAATGTGGTACATATATACCATGGAATACTACATAGCCATAAAAAAATAAAAACCATGTCCTTTGCAACAACATAGATGAAGCTGGAGGCCATTATCCTAAGCGAATTAACACACCAAATCAATCTTGGAGGTCAATAACTAAGAACGTGGTATCAAAAAACAATAGAAAATTAATGAGTCACTTAGTATATGGTATTGAAAATGATTCATAACATGCAAAAAATAAAACTGAATTCTTACTGAAATATACGTATGTTATTTATCATAACAGCAACATTTATACAATGCTCAGTATGTACAGGCAGGCACTTTTTTTAAATTAAAGTTTTAGGGTACAAGTGCACAACGTGCAGGTGTGTTACATATGTATACCTGTGCCATGTTGGTGTGCTGCATCCATTAACTCGTCATTTAGCATTAGGTATATCTCCTAAAGCTATCCCTCCTCCCTCCCTCCACCCCACGAGAGGCCCCGGTGTGTGATGTTCCCCTTCCTGTGTCCAAGTGTTCTCATTGTTCAATTCCTACCTATGAGTGAGAACATGTGGTGTTTGGTTTTTTTTTCCCTGCGATAGTTTGCTGAGAATGATGGTTTCCAGCTTCATCCATGTCCCTACAAAGGACATGAACTCATCCCTTTTTATGGCTGCATAGTATTCCACGGTGTATATGTGCCACATTTTCTTAATCCAGTCTATCATTGTTGGACATTTGGGTTGGTTCCAAGTCTTTGCTATTGTGAATAGTGCTGCAATAAACATACGTGTGCATGTGTCTTTACAGCAGCATGATTTATAATCCTTTGGGTATATACCCAGTAATGGGATGGCTGGGTCAAATGGTATTTCTAGTTCTAGGTCCTTAAGGAATTGCCACACTGTCTTCCACAATGGTTGAACTAGTTTACAGTCCCACCAACAGTGTAAAAGTGTTCCTATTTCTCCACATCCTCTCCAGCACCTGTTGTTTCCTGACTTTTTAATGATCGCCGTTCTAACTGGTGTGAGATGGTATCTCATTGTGGTTTTGATTTGCATTTCTCTGATCGCCAGTGATGATAAGCATTTTTTCATGTGTCAGGCAGGCACTTTTCTCAGTGTTATTTATGTATTACCTCATTCAGTTCTTACCATAATCTTATTGGGTTCATTAGTACTACCAACCCCATTTTACACACAAAGGAAAAGTTATTTAAAGGTTAAGTTATCCAAATTCACTGGATTAGTAAGTGAAGGAGCCAAGACTGTGAATCCAAATAGTGTGATTTCAGTATCCCTTGTCTTAATTACTATACTGTCAATGCAAAATTATAAATTAAACAGTAAGTTTGTGTGACATAGATATGAGAAAGTACCTTCCAAACAAAATCCAAAAAGCAAGATCATTGAGACAAAGAAAGAATGGATTTTGTAAAATAAGAATTAAAGATTTTTATTCACTGAAGATTGAATGGAAAAAGTTCACAAAAATCAGATGATAGCTTGGTAGAGAAAATTTAATTTGTAGTGTCTAAAACTGACAAGAGATTTATAATTAGATTATTAAGCAAGTCCGATTAATTAAGAAGAAGATAGCAACTCGATTAAAAAATAAGCAAACATAATGGACATTTAATAAACAAAAGGAACCACTCCTCCTCCTCATCCCATTCCTCCCTCTAAAACCATTTATAATGAAATGATGCCCAAATTCATATCGTTAGAGAAACAGAAACTAAAACACTGACATCACTTTTCACTCATGGTATTAACGAAAATTAAAAAGCCGAATCGTGCCAAGTGTTGGCAGGGTTACAGGTGCCCTCATCAAATTCCTGTAGATGTTATAGACTGAGACAACCATCTTGGAGAATGATCTGGCAGTCCTTTGGCAAATTCAGAACATGCACAGACTATGACCATCAAAGCCACTCCTGAGCATATATTCCATATAAACTTTTCCTCAAATATGAAAGGATTCATATGCACAGAAGTTCATTAGTACATTGTTTGTGTTATTGAAGAGTTAGAGCTTGCTAGGTAAATGTAATAGTTTCATATTATACAAGACTATAAATCAGATCAAAGCAAAGGTAACATACATCCAGCAATATGGATGAAATTTCAAAACAATGCTGAACAAAAATAAGATACAGAATGAGTTCTATGTTTTATAAAAAAGTATGCAAATAAAACTTATTAGAATATTGGCTATTAGGGGAGAGAAATGGGAATGGGGAATGAAGAAAAAAGAGAATAAATAAATGGATGGATCGATGGGTAAATAAAACTGACCAATATTGATAGTGAGCCATCAGAATGAGGAGTATGATCTCATACCTTTGCCCCTAGGGTCAAGAAAAGTATAAAAAAGTAATAAGAAAGCAAAATCAACAAAAGACCCAGACTTTTTATAGAGTTTACATTCTAAAGCAGGAGATAGATATCCAACTACTAATTACAACATTGCCTTTTAAATTACTATTTTGATTAGTGTCATCATAGATGAAAGCATGGTGTGTTATGAGAATGTAATAAGGTGTAAAAGAAGATTAGTATTTATCTCAAGTAGAAACCACTAGATGAGTGTTTGTGAGATACAGGAAATTGGACTAGGAGTTAGGTACTTATTCCACCCAATTTTAAAACTAAAGGGTATGTGGAGTTGCCATGTGTTCAGTTTATAACTAGAAATTCTAGACTCGTTTATTATTTTTGTCTAGAAACAATATATATTAGGCAAATTTGAGCATGAGTGTTCTTGCTCATTCTCTAGGCTAGTGCTATGGGCTTATCAGCATAATTTACATATTAAATAAAAGAGCATAAGCCATATCATCTGTATATCTGCAGAAACACTATGACAGCCCTACACAGTAGAGCTGAAAATAGCATCTTTTCAAAAATAGTGAGTTCTAAATAATCTCTGTTTAAAGATGAATAACCAGAAAGAAACTTGGTCTTGACTTGTGAAAAAATTCTGCAAAACCAAAGAAAGAGTCCATCATCCAAAAGATTATAAAAAGTCAACCATCTAAAACTTGTTTATTTAAGGAAACAGCAGAAAATTATTTTTAAAAGTGATAATCAAATACAAGAATTCATGAATTCTATGAGACAGCAAAAAGAGACAAGGAAACAATAAGCTATTAAAAAAGACATAGAAGTGGAGAAAAGAAAAAACCACTAAAAACCCCAAATTACAACTAAAAATCTGCTTCAGAGCACATAAAATTGACATTACAAAAACTCAAATCAGTGAGGTCAACACCTTAGAAACTCTTTCAAAACCAACCTAACAAACAGAAAATCTAAGTTCAAGCAAAATTTTCAGTTGTTTTTGATAAAGCAGGACAAAATAAAACCAAAACACATGGAAGAAAACTAAAAGATGCAATACAGGTAGCTCATCTGAAGACATACTTCTGAGTTGAAGAGAGCTTTGAGTGTGCATTTTACAAAACAAAACAAAACAAAACAAAACAAAACAACAACAAAAACCAAACAAAAAACACAGAATTAACCGGAGATATGTTCTAATGAAATCTTTAAGTTATAAAAGTTTTTAAAAAGCCTAAAAGCATTTTCATAGAAATTCAGGATATCAACAAAGAAACAAATATCAAACTGTCACAATTCTTTTCTTCTATAACTTTAAAATGTTAGAAAACAATTCTTCAAATGTGTCACATTATTTGCAAATATATGTAATTTTCAACGAACATTTTAACCCAAGTAATTTATATTGAGTCAAATTGTTATTATATACAAAAACAAGAAATACTTTATTAGATATAAGTTAACTTAGAATTTATGTCTTTACTGAATATCATGAGCCAAAGACATACTTTAGCTGGCCAAGATATAGACACATATAATCCACAATTGAGAAAAATGAGAAATTAAAAAAAACCCCAAAACCTTCCTGCCTGTTCAAAGTCAATATAATACAGTGGTTAAATACTGGCTTGAGCTTGAGTTCACAGCCTGGCTCCTGTAATTACTTGATTTCTTTGTATTTCATTTTCTTTATCTGTGAGATGGGAAGGACAGTTATGCCTAATTCACAAAGTTATTGTGAATATTAAATGAATTGATATAGGTAAGTGTTTAGGATGAGGTCTGCTACATAGTTAAAGTTCAATGAACATGATCTATAATTACATGTTTAGATTCTAGTGGCAAACTATTGAAGTTTCCTCTTTTGTAAAATTTGTATGGGGAAATCATCCTATCTAACGAGATGACAGACAATGAAGTCAAACAATAATAATATTAATAATAATTAAATATTTATTGAACAATTAATATGTGGCAAGAATTATATATATATTACTTTATTTAATCCTGATAATAAATCTGAAAAGTAACTACTATTATTATTCTCATTTTATAAATAAGAAAAATAAGGCCAGAAGAATAAGCCATTTCTAAAATCACACAGCTTGCAAGTGGCAGAGCTAGGATAATTCATTAAAGTATATTATTCATATTTTCCTACACCAGATTTGAATCAAGCTATACTATCTCATTGCATACCTCTTTTACTTTAAATACTCTTATCACAAAATTTAAATTATTTAAAATAGCATACAATTCTGTGGCAGGCTAGTTCAGAGGGAAAAAGATATTTAAATGGCCTAACATGAAAGAACTCAATCCAGGAGACAGTTCTGATAGCATTACCTCACCCAATGACCAACTAACCTCACATATGCATCTATGATATTATACCTTACCATATGCGTTCTTGATATGTCTCTCTTTCTCTTTCAGTAGACTAATACGGGACTGGTGTTTAATAAATGCATGTTAAATTTTAGTTGAGAGCCACTGATAACATTTCCTAAAGAAACTTTTCAATAACTCTATTAGACATGAATAAAATACAAAAGAATGACAAAAATATCGCAAAGAAGACGTTAACACATCCTGATTCAAAGGATTTTTCCCCAAAAGTCACATTTAACATTTCCCCAAAAGTGACATTTAAATGAATCAAACATACATACTAATTGTCTTAGAATACATTTACAATTAGGAAGAATTAGTGTAGAAGAAAAAGAAGAAAGGGAAGAGGAGAGGGAAGGAGGGAAGGAAAGGAGATAGGAAGGGAAGAATGAAAGAAAAGAACAAATTAAATGGAAGTGAATATTTATTGAGGACTGTTAGTCAATAACCTTGATATTAATATGCATTATCTCATTTAATTCTTATAAAAACACTTCACGGATGCAAAGGATTTCCTTTTTCAGTAAGAAAACTGAAAACCAAGACAGGTTGAAAACTTCCTAGTGATGCTTATAACCAAGTACAGACTTTTGTTTTAATCTACATTTTTCCCAAGAACATTTAATGAATGGAAATCTACCAAGGTTTGCAAGCTGTCCTGAGACATAAATATGTGCCATAGATAAATGGTGACAACATTCAACTAGGAAACACATTCCTATTCTAGTTAACTTGTTTTTGAGTGGATCAATGTTTTAGAGACGTTTAATAGACTAGTAGATAAAATTTAAGTTTCTTTCTGCTTTCATTTGCAGGCATATTACTCTTCATTGACTGCCCCCAGGGAGAAAAAAAAAAAACACTTTCATAGCTGAAAGATATTATTGAGAAGTATGTGCATTATGATTCAAATTAAAGAAATTGCCTTTTAAAAATATTCAGCTTTGATTTTAGACACAGGTGTCAAATGTATAGATTTGTTAGATGAATATATTGGACCCAGGGTGTGAGCATAATACTCAATAGGTAGTTTTTCAACCCACTCCCTCCTCCTTCTCTCCTCCCTCTAATCAACTGCCAAGTCTATTTTTTTCCATATTTATGTCCCTGCGCGCTCAATGTTTAGCTCCCATTTATAGACGGACACACAGGATTTAGTTTTCTGTTTCTCCATTAATTTGCTTAGGATAATGACCCCTAGCTTTAACCATGTTGCTGCAAAGGACATGATTTCATTCTTTTTTATGGCTGCGTAGTATTCCACAGTACATATGTATCACATTTTCTTTATCCAATCCACCGTTGATAGGTACCTAGGTTGATTCCATGTCTTTGCCATTATGAATTGTGTTGCAATGAACATATGAGTGCATGTGTCTTTTTAGTATAATGATCTATATTCCTTTGGGTATATACTCAGTAATGGGGTTGCTAGGTTGAATGGTAGCTCTGTTTTAAGTTCTTTGAGAAATCTCCAAAATGCTTTCTACAGTGGCTGAACTAATTAACATTCCCACCAACAGTGTATAAGCATTCCCATTTCTCTGTAGCCTCTCCAGCATTTGCTGTTTTTTGACTTTTAATAATCACCATTCTGAGTGATGTGAAATGGCATCTCATTGTGGTTTTGATTTGTATTTCTCTGATGATTAGTGATGTAGAGCATTTTTTCATGTGTTTGTTGGCTGCTTGTATGTCTTCTTTTAAGAAATACTTCTTTGTGTCTTTTGCCCACTTTTAATAGGGTTGTTTTTTGCTTGTTTAATTGTTTACATTTCTTATAGATTCTAGACATTAGACCTTTGTCAGATTCATTGAAAGTATGTTCTCCCATACTGTAGGTGGTCTGCTTACTCTGTCCATAGTTTCTTTTGTTTTGCAGAAGTGCTTTAGGTCCCATTTGCCAACTTTTGTTTTTGTTGCAATTACTTTTGGGGACTTGTCCATAAATTCTTTGCCAAGGTCGATGTTGAGAAGGGTATTTCCTAGGTTTTCCTTTAGGATTTTTATAGTTCGAGGTCTTACATTTAAATCTTTAACCCATTCTGAGTTAATTTTTGTACGTAGTGAAAGGTAAAGATCTAATTTCATTCTTCTGCATGTGGCTAGCCAGTTATCCCAGCACCATTTATTGAATAGGGAATCTTTTTCTTATTGCTTGTTTTTGTCAGAAATTGCCTTTAAAAAAATTACAGTTCTACTAGTGTACCAACTCTTGGGTATACTCCTTTTTAATTTTATTTTATTTATTATACTTTAAATTCTGGGATACATGTGCAGAACATGCAGCTTTGTTACATAGGTATACATGCGCCATGGTGGTTTGCTGTACCCATCAACCCATCATCTAGGATATGCTCCTTTTAATGTGCTACTTTTCGAAGGCCAAGGAGCTATTTTCAGGATGGCATCTGTTGCCATCAGTAGAGGAATGGCCATTTCCCTTCACTGGATTATCTGAATTGACCATGTATACTGCTTACGTTTATTAATCCTCTTTAAGCCTTTGCTTACTCTATGTCATCTATAACCGACTTTAGAATCACATTAAAAGAATAAAGATGCAGACAGTAATAGTATATACTATTAGTATATAATAGTATATACCACTAATATACATTAACATACCCTATGCACCAAGAAAGATATTTGGGCCAGGTGTGGTGGCTCACACCTTTAATCCCAGCACTTTGGGAGGCTGAGGCGGGTGGATCACCTGAAGTCAGGAGTTCGAGACCAGCCTGGCCAACATCGTGAAACCCCGTCTGTACTAAAAATATAAAAATTACCTAGGTGTGGTGGCGGGTGCCTATATTCCTAGCTACTTGGGAGGCTGAGGCAGGAGAATCACTTGAACCTGGGAAGTGGAGATTGCAGTGAGCCAAGTTCCTGCCATTGCACTCCAGCCTGGGTGACAAGAGCAAAACTCTGTCTCAAAAAAAAAAAAAAAAAGATTTTCAGAGACTGTTTATCAAAGTAGTTTGATAACATGATGAAGGGAATGGATACATATTGAATATATTCTTGTGTGTAAATAAACTTCTACTTTACCCATGTAAACAATTTTAGTCATTAGGAGATACCAAAAAGTAAAAATACTGATGATGTTATTGATTCCTAATGATAATTAAACAATCACTTTGTTTCAAGAACATTTCTATGTACTCCTAACTCTGCTTTTCAGTTGAAGAAACTGAGGCCTAGGAAGATTAGGTAACTTGTGTGAAGCTGGTAATATATTATTCCATTGAAAAGAAATAATTGATTCATTTAATCTCTATGTACATATAATTACAAAAGGAAGATCTACCTTGTCTATTTAATTACATGGTATATAGTAAAAATATTCAAAATGTTTAGATATGTTTTTTGAAATCTGAAATTAATGTTATATTAATGACAATTTCAGGAAAGGACTGAGTTTTTTCCTATCTGCAAAGAATAAACATTGAACTATGAGTAAGCCTCATAAAATTACTTATCTTGATGTATGTATTTATTCAGTGTAATAAACATTTTGGATAAATATGTAACTCTGATACTTTTTAGATATATTAAAACATTTTAAATCTCACATATTTCCTGCAGAAAAGATGGAAATTACAGAAAACTATATTGAGAAACCATATATATATATATTTGTATATATATATACACATCCAAAATTGATATTAAATGATAAATTTTCTCTATGCTAGCTTTCTTACTTAGCATTATATCATGACAGCATTTGTACTTCAAAAACATGATTTTCATTGGTTGCTTAATAATATATAGATATGTTGTAATTAATTTAAGTAATCCCTCATAGTTGTACATTTAATTTGCTTCCACTTTGCCATTACTGTAAAACATCTGTAAGATGATACGTTTTTGCCTTCACTTTGAAATATTTCCTCAGGATACAACTAAGTATTTTTCTGGGGAGTCCTAATAAATGCAGGATTTACGTGAATGTCATTATATCTCACTTCACTTCCCTTCTTTTTCTGCACCCTTGCTATCTTTTGCCCTATCTGGGGAAAGTTCACCATATTGTTTGTGTTTAAACTATTTGATAGTTAGGGTAATCACTACTGTTAGTTTTGAATCTTTCTCTGGTAATTAGTACAGTGTTTTGCACATAGTTATTAAGAAATGTTTGTGGAATAAGTGACCTAGTTCATGATAGAACTAGGACCTAATTAATACTTCCAAATATGACTTGGTAACCACTATCAAACACTAGGCTTCATATGTTCTTTTGCTGTGCCAAGTTAATAAGCAAAAGGATTATCTGAGTGATAATAATTAGAAGTCCATTTTAGCAACTCTTCTAGTAAATAAAATGGAAAAACATATATAAAGTTTGTGCTTCCACAGCCAATACAAGTATTTGTTTAATCTGGACTACATCAAGTATTTCCTAGACTTAAAACAATTGCATAAGATTGTCAGTGTAAAGAAAAGTTTTGTCTAATTCAATTTTGGCCTTGTGTTCTTTCTTTTTCTGTACTGGGAAATCTAACCATTGATAACATTTGATTCATATTTTCCTTACATCCTCTCTACAGTCTGATTTTTAAGAGCCAAATGTGAATTTTAAATATTTTCCTCTCAGAGTAACGTAATTGGAGAGTATTCCTAAATGGAGGTGGATATTGTTGATTTTTTGGAGTGGTTAAAGCAGTACACTGTACTTGCCTGTTAAGGTGAAGGAAAAGATGCTGTTTTTTCTACGAGGATGATGTTCCTATTTTTATCTCTAACCCTGACTTTTCTTCAAAGCTTCAGTTCTACTTCTCCATTTGTCTGTTGGACATTTCTACCAAGATGGCCATTTGGCTCTGCAAAAAAGAGCCATCCAAAAATGAACTCTTTAAATCACTTCCCAAACTTGCTTCTCCTGAGATATCTTCTGTTACGCATCCTCTTAACCATCCATCAATGATCAGTTACCAAGTCCTGTCGATTCTGTGCTGGTAATATCTCTGATATCTATTCTCTTTCCTCTATTTTCCCAGCAACTTCAAAAATTCGGGCCTCTATTAGTCTCTGCTGGTTTAACTGACTAATTTACCGTCTTCAAATTTTAACCTTTTGCAAAATTTATCCCACTAAGTCTTGCCAGATTCACAATTTCAAAGCATAACTTGGATCCTATCATCCCTAATCAAAATACTTTAAAGGCTTCCAAGATCTCTTAAAGTCCTGACCTGGGATATTCTCCCCTCTATGATCTGGTTCTATTTAGTATTTCTAAATTATCTTGTTCTAGCTCTCTTCATACATTAGTTAACCTATGCCTCATTTAAACTAAATTATTGGCTGTTTCCCATAAGGGCTCTATGTGCTGTTATTGAAACTATCAATTCTTTATGAAAAGTTCCCTTTCATTCTATCTTGTCATACAGTCATCATCTTGAACCCTCGAGGTTTTGTTTAAATGTCATCCCAAGGAAATTTTACTCTCTATTTTAATAATTCATAAAAATTTATCTATACTATTCTGTAACAAGGAGAATTTTTTTTTTTTTTTTTGCTAGTCCTCAGTTGTCCCTTTGTTTAGAAGAATCCCCTGGTACACAACTTAGAGATAGAAAGTGAGGTGCCAAGGGCATATCTTGGAAGGAGACAGTAAAGAGAGTTTTAAATTAACTTATCAAAGAAATGAGGAGATATTTAGGGCTGGGAAAGACTGAGGGAGGTAGAAAATGTAATGGAAAAACGTAATATAGCAGGTCTTACAGAGAAAGGTGGCCAGTAAAATACTCTCAGTTACAAATATCCAATATTCAATTTTAAATTGTTTATACTGTTGTCTTTTACATGCATAAATGCCTTGGGGTGTTTCATTTTGTTTGGATTTAAAGTAATCCAAGCAAAGTGTTGGCAGGGAGAAGAAAGAAGAAAAGCATTCTAGGAGATGAGACAAGTAGGAGATGAAATTCCAAGGAAACAGAAACTGGAAGCCAGAGTGAATTTGAATCCATAAGCCTTAAGTAATTAACGTAAATTTTGGGGAAGGGAGGTCCTTGCCATTCCCACACAATGTGGAATAAGAAGCCTAAGCTGGATTTATCTCAGTCTCAAAGGGTAGCAAGGCCTCAGCTGATGCATGGACAACATTCTTCATCGCCAACTTACTTTCTGCTGGCATTATGGTTGTTACTGTGTAAGTCCCTTATCAGTTCTGCTGGAGTACAAATGCTCTGCACTAAGTACCCACCGTTGTACTTTGTAAAGCTTAGCCTGGTAGTTTTCACATATTGGGCTCTCAATAAATATCCACGGAATGAACTATTGGGAAACTATGAGGAAGATTTAGGTACATGGAGTCAGCATTATTAGGGTGCCTCTATGCAAAATTGAGAAAGGCGCCCTCTTTAGGCAGACTCAGACCTATCAGAGTTAGCTGGTGAAATGACCAAGTGCACGCAGCCTTGAATCAGGGTAAGGGTTTCGTGGATGCAGCATAAGCTGGAGCTGAAACTTACTCCCCACCACCCCACTTCTCCACCTTGGCTTGTGCCAGGCACAAGTATAACCTACATAGCCTTGGACGGCAATACTGCTTTGGAGGGAGAGACACAAGGAACAATGGAGGAAATAGTAGTTGCCACATGGAGTCTTAAGTAATGCTGCTAAGTGAGGCTCAGAAAACGAAAAGGACCTGATTTTAGAGAAGCAAAAGCTACTATATCTTACCTGCTTCACTTTACTGCTAATGATTCCTGAAAACGTCTAACACTTTGCAAGGCAATGCACATGTAGTTATTTAGAGTTGACTTTGAACGACATTCATTTGAATCCAATGAGGCTGCCATCTTTATTCTTTTTTTAATGTTTACAGTCATGGTTACTTTAAAGAGTCTTGTGAAGTTGAAAAATCTCAACTTTGGCAACAGACCCAAACTTGTAATTCATTTCTTGTATGTTTCTTTTTAAAGGTTAAAAGCAGTTCAGTTCCTTATGTACAGGCACACACCAGGCAAGCCTGAAGTTGTTTAAATTCAAAAGATTATTTTTCAAATTTAGATAATTTTAGATAATTCTTAAAAGCATTTATAGCTAACAAAATTATTATGAAATATTCAGAAGTTCTCTGAAGTATTCCTAAAAAACTGAACAATAAACCTAACAGATAATAATATCATGATATAAAAGTCTATTGGACATTGGGCTTGGCAATGGTTTTTTTTGGATATCACACCAAAGGCTCAGGCTACAAAAGCAAAAATAAATGAAACTACATCGAACTCAGAAGTTTCTTCACAACAAAGAAAATAATCACCAAATGAAGTGGTAACCTATGAAGTGGAAAAAAGTATTTTTAAACCACATATCTGATAAGGGACTACTATCCAAAATTTATAAAGAACTCTTACAATGCAATAGAATAAAAACAAATGACTCCACTTAAAAATGGGCAAAGGACTTGAACAGACATTTCTCCAAAGGAGACATAAAACTGGCCAACAATTATATGAAAAGTTGCTCAACATCACTAATTATCAGGGAAATGCAAATTAAAACCAGTATCAGATATTACCTCACAACCATAAGGATGGCTTTTATCAGTAAGACAAGAGATAACAAATGTTGGTGACTGGAGAAAAAGGAACATTAGTACACTGTTCATGGGAATAGAGATTGGTACAGCCATTATGGAAAAAAGTATGAACCTTCCTAAACAAATTACAGCAATTCCTCTTTTGGACATATACCCAAAGAAGATGAAATCACCACTTTGAAAAGATATCTGAGCTCCCATGTTCACTGCAGTAATATTCATAGTAGCCAAAGTATGGAAACAACGTAAATGTCTGTAGATGAGCAAATGGATACAGAAAATGTGGTGTGTGTACACACACACACACATACACACTGGAATATTATTCAGCCTCAAAAAAAGAAGGAAATCCTGCCATTTGCCATAACTTGGATGGACCTAAAGGACATTGCATTAAGTGAAATAAGCCAGACACATAAATAAAAATATTGCATGATCTCACATATGTGAATTTTTTTAAAAAAAGAAGTCAAATACACAGAGATAGAGAGTGAAACCATGTTTATCATCAGTGGGGGTGGGGGCGAGGAAATTAGGAGCTGTGGGACAAAGGATACAATGTAGCAGATATGTAGATGAACAAGTTTAGAGATTTAATTTACAACATGTGGACTAAAGTTAATAAAATTGTATTATATTAGGGATTTAAAAAAATAAGTAGATTTTAGCTGCTTTTGTCATAAAAACAGAAACTACGTAAGATGATAGATATGTTAATCTGCTTCACTATAGTAACATTTTACTATCTATATGTATCCATAATAATGTATTGCAAACCTTAAATACATACAATAAAATTTATTTTTAAAAAGTCTATTGGAAAATAACATTAGGTTTCTAGAAATTTTATCAACATTCTCAAGGATATTAAAGTTATCTCAGAAAATTCCCCAAGGACAAACTGAGAGTTACATTTTCCTAAACAGATGGAATTTTTCCATTAGAGAAATGACTCTGGCATTCCATTAGGAAGAGACTGAACAATGTGATCATAAATATATGTAGCCCCAAATCCCTACCTTGAATGATAGAGGCTAAACTTTCCAAAAGTGAATTCTGTGCTTATAGCTATTTCTCAAAGCCAATCCCTGGGGACTTACGGTGTACATTTATGAATCATGTAGGGCAAAGGGTGGTTCCAAACAGGAAATAAAAGAGACCATGAACGGATAACATATGCATTTTTTCAGGCCAAAATTCCATTGTTTAGATTTGCATGAAGATAATGGGTATAAAACTGACATTGACATCAGCCTCAGCATTATGAGTATGGGCCTCCTAGGAGTTGAAGCTGAAAGCTCCCCATAATCTTTGAGCAGCATGCTGAATTACTTGTCTCCGGCACCTCGCTAACGGAATTTCTTATCTTTCTTTTATTTTCAAAAGCTCAGTGCTTTCAGGATGCTGATCTAATATTGGGGTTATTTGTCACCAAAATCAGTTTATAAAATGTATTTTGTTCTTCAATGAAAACACATCTGCTGTATACCTAATAAAGAGCTCAGCATAGAGATTAAAAAAAAAGAAGCTAGTACTACTTATTTCACTGCTTTTATTAGTGGGATCATAATTATTTTTAGGAAAAGTTTTTAATTTAAGGGGATGTCTACACACTAAATAAAGGATTGTTAATATGCTAGAAATTATTCCAAAACATATGTTGCCATTTGATTCAGTTCTTTAGTCTGATTTTTTTTTAAGTAGGTATCGTTTAGTAAAGTCAAGTGTTTACACTGAAGGGAGTTCCATGGAGCCACTGGATTTGGATTTTCAATAAGTTGAAAAGAATCATGAAAACATTTGCAAATCATCTACTTGGCTAGGAATCTTTGTGGAGTGAAAGTGGTGCAACTGTATGTGGCAACCCAGTGCTTATTTTTTCTGTTAATACAATAAATAATAGCTAATCTAGAAAAAAAATGTATGAGCAAAAAAGGAGACTGGGCTGGGCACACAGAATTCCATTTCTGAACTTCAATTTCTTTTTCTCCTCCTTATAGGATTTTTTTTTGAGGACTAAATGAGATAATATATGTGACTATACATAATATAATTGCAAAATACTATGCAAAAAGGCAATGTGATTATTTGGCTTTCTAATTTTCTACAAATTTGGAAAATAAAATTCTCTTGCTAGAAGGAAGAAATAGAATGGCAAAATAATGTTAAAAATCATTTGTCTTTTTGTTGTTTGGAATCTCTTTTCTGTTGATTTTCCACTGACTCTCTAGGATGATTTAATCTCGCCAGAGCAAAAGGTAGATCACTTTTTAAAAGACTTACTATAAATGAAAGTTAAGGTATGGGTAAGAAAATTTGTAACTTAATAGGGACAAAAGTAAGAAAAAGGTCAAGAAGTGAATGGCAGTGAAAATAGAGGTATTTCAAAGTGAAATTAACACACTGAATTTAATAATTTCACATTGTTAAAAGAGGAAAATATTACTACACAATTATCAAATTACACATGTGATCTGATTGACTTAGTACTGAATGGTATTTCATTGAAATGCACGTATTCCAATGGCTCATTGTAGAAATTATATAAACTCTCCTTCCATTGTATGCTCTGGGTTTGTTCCAAAGACCATGCGTTAGCTTCTTTTAGGGCATAAACTTTATAGATTTTAAACTTCATTTATTTCCCTCTATAAGTCTCATAAGGGAAGTCTTTCTCTCTGTTTTCCCAACAAGAATAACTTTTTATCTTAAGCGAATGCTTCCCCAGCAATTCAATACTGAAATCAGCATTTTAATCACTGTAAATGGATTCTTCCACATTTGTACCATAGTGTTCAAATATGGCATCTAAGTATGAATCTTACTTAAAAAAAAAAAAAGAGAATGAAAATATGACCTAAAGGGAAAGGACAGAAAAAAAAATAAAAAACTCCACAATCATCATCTTATAAATTTGTTTTTATAACTTCTGGGATAAAGGGTTTCTAAAATACTTCTATCTCACCTATCTAGTTCATTCCTATCTGCAAGTTCACTATTTTCTTTTTCTAGATTATCAATTCATATTTAGCAACCTGCATGTCTTTAGAATATAAATATAGCTAAATATTATTTATTTTCCTTATTTTTACAATATTCAGAACTGCTTATATTCAGAAGCTCCTTTTTGAGACTATTCACATGTAAATCACTACCCAGCAAACATTATGTTTTTGGCTAATAATGTAGCTTCCATAAGATAATGTGGTCTCTCTGCATAGGGATACACTCTAGGGCTGACATTTGAGATTGTTGAAGTGGATCATCAATTAACCTCACTTAACAATGAGTTGAATCATACCATGTTCTATTACTCTTTAATGTACTGTGGAAAAAAATCTATTTGATGGGATACACTTTTTCTTTTTTTCATAAATCATTTTTTCTTTAGTCTGTTTTCATCATGAGTTATTTAACATTTTAGTGGCTTTTCATCACACTAGTAATATTGTGATTAGCAATAATTAGAATGGCCAAAATTAACCTACCTGGATGTGAATGAAATCAACCTTCTTTATATCATGAAAATTTCATTGAGTTATTCTAGCTTGAAGAGATACAGATGAAAATAAAATGCTTCACTAGAAATTATATTAGATGACAATGTCAAATAAGTAGGGAAAAAAACCTCTGATGCCAGTCAAAAATATACTCAATTTATAATTTTCCACCCTTACCTCTTATGTTTTCCTGTAGTAATAGCAAGAGTCTCAACCCGAGTTAGTGTTCAATACGTTTTCTCTTAAGTGACTTTTTTGTGTTTAGGAAATGTGTTATTTATTTTATACATTTTCTTCCCCCTCCCCCCGCTTTTGTTTTGGAGAAAAAGTCTCACTCTCTGGCCCAGGCTGGAGTGTAATCACACATCACTGCAACCTTGAACTTCTGGGCTCAAGCAATCCTCCTGCCTCAGCCTCCAGGGAAGCTAGGACTGCATGTGTGCTCCACCATGCCTGGCTAATTTTTTTTTCTTTTTTACTTTTTGTAGAGACAGGGTCTCATTATGTTGCCAAGGCTGAGCTCAAACTCCTGGCCTTAAAGATCCTCCCACCTCCACCTCCCAAAGCACTGGGATTACAGGCATGAGTGCCCAGCCAATTTTATATACTTTCTTAATCTCATCTTTACTATAACTATCTAATCTAGGTATTATCATTGCTTTTTTACATGTGAAAAAGAGGTTCAAAGAAATTAATTCATATTTTTAGTAAGTTTTATATCTGAGTCATACACTCAGATCAAAAGACCAATATTTTAAAATTCCAAATGAACTTCTTACACTGCAAATATATTTCTAAATAGTGGCAATTTCTATACTATAACGTATATTTAGTATGTGTGTTTTCTACTTAATATAGAACATCATTTAAAAACTACATGTGTATATTGGAAGAGCCTATTTTTTAAGTCCTAATTGCAGTGACATCATAAAAACAATACAAAGACATGTAATTTTTATTGAGTGAGATATTAAATGTATTAAATACAGTTTTTATTAAAGTTAAAATTTTAATTTATCAATCTACTTTCAAACATTTTATAAATTTTTAGTACAATTACTGGCATTTAATGAAACCTGGATCATAAAATGTGCCCTAAGCGGAAAGGTAAAGAACAGAAATGAATTGTTTTTTAAAAAATAAATAAGTACGATGAATCTTTAATAACAAGAACCTCCAATTTTGATAGTTATGCTTCCTCTCCACATATATCAATATAAAAAAATTTAAATTATTTGAAGCTTAACACAAAATTATAAAGCATCATACTGATGGAAATTGAAACCTAAATTATGAGCTGTTCTGAAACATACAATAAATTCCTTGGGATGAGACGACTTCTAGAAGCACAAGCAAGGAAGCAGTGGTAAAATCCATTTTTCTTCTGACTTCTCAGGCACATTAGGCTAATTCCAGAAATAGATTCAGTCAGTTGGCAAGTTAACCTCTCACTCTTGTCACAGAAGTCATCTGCAGCCTTGAGTTTAACTGTTTTCTTTCTTCCTGGTCTTGGTCCTTTATGTAGTAGCCCAGTATTTATGGTGCCACTTGGGAAATTTATCTATGATAAGAATGTACCTCTGAAAAGCATTTATTTTACAAAGCTTGGATGTGGGAATCATATATTACATAAAATCTCTTTAATTCTTTTAACATGGATTCCTTTTTCTACCATGGAGTACACTAAGTCACTCATTTGATGGTTTTGTGTTTACAATCTTATTTGCTCAGGACCCATTTTATTTGGGCTTTGGAAATGATTGAATCAAGTTGGAGGAAAATTTACTTTTGATCCATTTAATTCTAACCTTTCTTGCAAGCTCAATTTTTAGAATCTAGTTCAATGGGCTGAAAGAAAAACATCTCGCAACAGACAGTTTATTTCTTGTGCGATCAGAAATGCTAACAGTAAATATGAGCATATTTACTTTAAAAATTTAGATTTGAAATACATATTGTTTAGAATTTCAGAAGTTTTTAGGAGAACAACTATCTTACATACCAAGGATATACTAGGCATATGTATGCATTTATAAATGTTGTTGATAAATACTATTTTGTGGCAGAACTAGATGATTGGATGCTTTATTCAATATAAAAATTTTTATGTCTCATATACTGTAATGAAGCTACAACTTATTTAAAACACATTCTGATACTTAACCTTTAATAAATTATTGAATAACCACGACCAACATAGATCCATTAATACAGGTTGTAATAGCTAAAAGCAATGACAGGTAACATTCGTGTGGAATTTACTGTGGGTCCTACTTC
The DNA here is from genome assembly GCF_000001405.40 of Homo sapiens. NCBI lineage: Eukaryota > Metazoa > Chordata > Mammalia > Primates > Hominidae > Homo > Homo sapiens. The sequence goes on from NC_000009.12 coordinate 8,985,492, forward strand.
ATTCTGAAAACCTGGCTTATTTAAAGAGTTTAATCTTCCAACAATTCTAAATACAGTATGGTTGAGCAATTTGCTCAAGATTATACACGCAGGGATAGTCACTCAGTGGTTCCTTCCTTGGACATGTAAATAAAATTTGTGTGCCTTTTACAAAAAAAAAAAAAAAGATTCTACAGGTGTTAGGTGGTAAAGCTGGGATACATTTCCTGCTGTTTCCAGAACCCAACGTCTATGAGAAGTTATATATGCTTTGATTAAATTTCCTATTTTCCACAATATATTGTGCACCTATAGCCTGAGGTTAATGAAGTTATTGAATGCCTCTTTTAAATAAAATACTGGTTAGAAGATTATGTTCATGCACACCTAATTAAAGCAAACTCTCATGAAAATATCCACTGAAAAACAAAATTACTTTTCTTCTTTTCCATTAGCTAAAATATACATTTTTGCTCTATCATTTCCATTATTTCTTTCAATCTACTGTGTTCATCAAATATTAGCTATAAAAGCTTTTTTACAGTAGTTGATTTAAATTATAAAACTAACTTTTTGAGTCTGTTGGAAAAAGCTTGGAAGGACCTTGATAATTCAGTTATGCATGGATTAGTGTGCAGTAATACCAACCTTCAGTGCAAGCTCTGCACTTAAACTAGATTTTATAGCATGAGTTGGGTGCAGAACAGTTTTTGATTTTGCTACAGGTATCTGTTTCTCAACTGTCTATGAACTCTCCAGAAGAAATCCAAACATTATTGTTTTTTGATGGTTCATATCCACACTTTGACTTCATTTCCAATCTAAATAGATATTATTTTTTATTTATGGAAGTGATGTAGAATCATTGCAGAAGGGTTAAAAATGTAGAGAAGAAAACAGAACCACTAAAATACAAATCAAGAGTTAACAGTTGTTTTCATTTTGTATAATTTTTTGTGTTTTAAAATATATATATTATATGCATATATGTCATATTTTTTTCTTATTTTATATACCTCATAAATAGTTTAGTATCTTTACTTTTCATTCAACAGTTTATCATAAAAATCTACTTTTGTTAATTTAAAATAAATATATAGAGTTATACAGTATCCCTTCTTATGTTTTGACAATTTTTAATACTTAGAACCATTCCTATATTTAGCCCTCATAAATAATTGCGGTGAACATCTTAGAACACAAATTTTGTAAAAACTTTGAAAAATATATGCTCACTTTTTAGCCTGATTAACTAGATTGGGAAGTGCCAGATACAAATGTGTAAGCATTTTAAATGTTTTTGCATGCTAATATCAAACGAATTATTTCTACTGGCAGAGTTTGAGAGTGCCCATCTCAAGCCACTCTTGCAGTTATTGAAGTTTTTTTTCAGTCATCATTATTTGGTGTTTGAAAGTGATGTACTACTTTAACAATTGTCTGTCTCTGAGGACTAAGGAGGCTGAATATTTTTATGTGTGTATTACATATTAAAATTTCTTTTCCTGTGAATTGCTTGCTTCCTGGTTTATATTTGTTATTTGCAACCCAAAGATGGTCACTAATAAATAAACCATAAACACATGTCTCTTAGAAGGTTAAGACATCACTGGAATTCATCCACCTGTAGCATGTTGTCAAAATAACCTAAGCTTGAAGTGTATTCCCCATTTACTAAAAGGACTATCACAGGAAAGATATTTATTATATATTTATTTGTCATTAGTAGCATTAGGTTTCTGCTGACATGTTTCACCAGATGTGAGACGATTGGCCAGGGTGAAAGGTATGTGTGAGTGTGTGGGTGGGTATGTGTGGTGGGTGGAGAATGAACCTCATTAGGGTTCAGGATTTCGGCTTTCTTAACAGCATCTTTTAACACAAATATTTCCAGCAGGAGCATGCGTTGCAGTACATTAACACAATGATTACTATGCTAATGCAGCTCCATCTTAGCTTTCCTCATTCCTTTTTGCAGTTTTAGAACAGGCATAAAGACAATAGGTGGTGGTAATCATTTGGAGAGAAGAGAAAGAAAAGTGCTGTGTTCATGTGTGTTTTACCCAATCACCAAAATTTTTGATCACATGATATGTGCCAGGTGAAATATTAAGTGCTAATGTGTGAATGCGTTTGTGGGTCTTTATGTATGTGTGTGCTTATGTGGACTAGTGGTTTAGATTTGGGGTGATATATACAATAACACAATGAATGTGGAAGTCATTTAACACGGGTAGCACCACATCAGCCTTTAAGAATGAAGTTGAATGAAGTTGAAATTGTGCAACAGAGAGAAGTTGAAAGGAAGAAGATAAACAAAATTTAAATGGCTGTGATAAATATATTTAGTTGGAAATGTCTAATATAAAGGAAAGACAGGTAAATCAGGACTGAAGGTCTAATTTGGGAATCCTCAGTTTGAAGGCAATAGTTAAAGCTATAAGGCTGAATGACCCTTGTAAAGAGTACTGTGGAGAGGAACAGGTAGCTGAAGATGGAGCAATAATGGTAGAAATATGAGGGAAGTGGAGTGAAAGCAAAAGGGAGAGAGAGGCCGGGGGAGATGTAAGGAGGAAGTTGGGGAGAGAGAGAGAGATTAGAAATGTAGATGCTTCCCAAGAATAGTACAGGTATATGACAGCTAAGATAGGAAGGCATTTCAAGGAGGTAGTTGTAGTTCATATTATAAAATAAAAATCAAAGATAGTACCCACACCCTCCTCTTGGACTGAAGAAAGTGTGACTATTGGTGGCTGAGTAAAGGCATAAAAAACCCAATTTCAGGTCATTTAATATCTAAATAAAATGATTAACTTACCGTTGGCCATGCATAATTGTATTTAAGATGTTTAAATAAAGAAATATGGAGTCCAATTAATCTGTTTCTTTAACTCCCATCAATTGTTGCAGTGACATCTATTAGGGCTATTTTTCTTTAAGAAAAACCGTAAGAAATCCTGGCTTTAATAATCAAAGCTATGGATGGTATCTTTGATTAGTGTTCATTATTTAGGGTCAGATAATAAAATGCTTGATTTAATAACTTTATTTGTTGATGTGACCTGAAATTTTATGTTACTGGAGATAAAAACAGGTTTTAGCAGTTCCTCTGTTGATGGGCTTTATTTCCAAAAAGAAATCTCTTCTATTAATTTACATAGAAATGATTTAACAGTGTAATCCCTCCATTTTCATTAACATTACGATTTTTTTAGGCTCTCCTTCAACACATTGTTTTATGGGAAGAATTAAATTTTGCTCCTGTGTCTCTTTCATTACACGAAGTTTGTTTTCATTTGTCTGTGTTGTGGTGTTAGTTGGAAATTTAATGTGCTTTTCTCTTGAAAACAAGGAGACACCAATCTTTTCTTCTACACAGAATTGTTCCAGAGAAGTAATGTCAGTCCTTAGAGATATCATTCAGAAGAAAATTGGCATGAATGAATGTAAATTGACGCATTCAGAATTGGGAAAGCTAGATTCAGTTTATTCTTTACTATACAAATGTTTACATAAGTTCTTTTAATAATATTCCGATGAATTTCATAATTAATATTAGTAGTTGTTTTGAGTCACACTCAGGATTTCAACTACCTATGTCTCAGTTTTTTTATTATTGCTATATGATAGTTGTATATATTTTTGGGGGGCACATGTGATATTTTGATACCTGTACACAATGTGTAATGATCAAATCAGGGTAGGGATATTCATCACCTCAAACATTTATCTTTTCTTTATGTTGGAATCATTGCAATTCTCTTCTACTTGTTTTGAAATATACAACACACTACTTTAACTATAACTTCCCTACTCTACTATTGAATACTAGAACTGATCCCCTCTAACTGTATTTTCATACCCCTTAACCAATTTCTCTTCATTCCTCCTTCCGCTTTTGCTTCTCAGCCTCTAGTAATCACCAATCTATTCTCTATCTCTATGAAATCTATTTTAGCTCCCACATATGAGTGAGAATATGTGATATTTGTTTTACTGTGCCTGGTTTATTTCACTTACTATAATGACCTCCAGTTCCGTCAATGTTCCTGGAAATGACAAGATTTAATTCCTCCTATGGCTGAATAATATTCCATTGTGTATATATACCACATTTTCCTTATACATTCATCCAATGACAGTCACTGAATCTCGGTTTTTTCATCTGTAAAATTATGTGACTAAATCCCACCCTGATTTTAAAGGGTTTGGAAAGGCATGACCAATATTTAAGATATAGAAAGTTCACTCTTTAAAAAAATTATAAGCGATTCTTACTTATGTCTTTATTTGTTTTATGCTCAAAAGATAGATAACGTGCTCCTAAGAATTAAGAGGCACAGTGCCAGAAACCGTGAAGCTTTGCAAAAAGAAACATTAAGGAAATTAAAAAGAAATCATGATTTAATCTTAAAATGAAATAAAATTGCCCATATAAGTTTACGTCTACATTTTAAATTACAATATTTACTCAGACAGTTCTCTTTATAAGGGCTATAAAGAAACTTATTTGAAAATGAACTATCATAAAACCATAATAATCTAGACCTCATTTAATCAGAATTTGGGATAACATGGATACATTTGGACTTGTCTTTTCCCATTATTTGTGAAGAAGGTATTTGTTAAGCAAACTTAACAGTGCCACAAAACTTTAATATCTCCAAGTACTTCCATGCACACTAAGAGTACAAGTTTACATGGAAAATCTGTGTCCACATTCAACTGGCCTCTGGACTTAAAGATCTACTGAAAGAAGAGAGATTGCAACACACTAAAGGAGCAAGGGTCCCACTTAGAAATAGCCATTGTTAAATGATTCTGCATCAGTTACGTGGAATATGGTGAGATATAATCCATTTGGTGAAAAAGTTCATAGGTTTACAGAATATGTGCATCTGCTTGTACCGAACATGTAATTCACAGAGAGCAGGGACTGAACTTATCAACTGTGTAGGTAGCACATAGTAGGTTGTTGGGGCTCAGAAAACAAAATACCAAAGTGAAAGCCTCAGAAGTGGCCTCAGAAGCTCTTTCTCTCTGACCCTCCCCTGCCCTCCTGTCCCTGGCCCCTCATTCTGCCCCATGGCAAGTCACAGAAACAAGAATACCTCTTCCCTCAGGTGAGTCATAGAAACTAGAACTCCTTTTCCCCAAAGCCAGCCAAAAAAACTAAAAATATTATTCTCGCCTTCCCCTGCCTTTCTGTGTAGGAGATGGCCATAAAGAAATTGATGTACCTTGTTTGATAGTAGTCATAAGACCCCCATTCTGGAGAGAGGCTGCCCCATACCCAGGAGGAAGGAATGCTTCAGAGAAAGGCCAGGAAGAATCTGAACAGAGAAGCCTTTCTGGGTTTCCTAAGTCAGTCTACTGCCGTAAGATTATACTCTTTTGGTCCAAGCACATTGCTACATGGCTGCCTATACTTCATTGAACCTAAGCATAAAAACGGATTGATAGGCCAGGCACAGTGGCTCATGTCTGTAGTCCCAACACTTTGGGAGGTCAAGGCGGGAGGACCACTTGAGGCTAGGAGTTTGCGACCAGCCTGGCCAACATGGTGAAACCTCATCTCTACCAAAAATAAAAAAAAAAATTAGCCAGGCATGTTGGTGCATGCCTGTAGTCCCAGCTACTCGGGAGGCTGAGGCAGGAGAATCACTTGAACACGGGAGGTGGAGGCTGCAGTGAGCTGAGATGGCGCCATTGCACTCCAGCCTGGGTGACAGAGTGACACTCTGTCTCAAAAAAAAAAAAAAAAAAAGTTGGTTGATAGTTTTCCCTGGGTCATTTGATCTTCATCCTGAAAGCTCCCATGTCACATAAAACTAGGATTAAATAAATTTGTTGTGCTTTTCTCTTGTTAACCTATCTTTTGTTATAGGAGTGTCAGCTGTGACCCTTGTAATGGGTAAGACTTTCTTTTCACCCCCTACAAGGTGCTCAGTAAATATTTTTATGAATAAATCCCTTGCCTTATTTAATTTCCGTTAACTCTAATCTATTAATGTTTATTGAGGACTTGTTTAGCACCAGATACCCTCAGTCCTGTATGAAGGACTTGTGTATCTACATATTCCTAGTTCATTTGTGTGGGAGTAAGATGAAAAACACAGGTAAATAGAGGCTTAGATTTGCCACAAAATGGATCAGGAAAACTATTTTCCTTAATTTTTTTCTAATTGAAAGGCTTTGAGTAACACATTAGTTCTGTGCAATTTGCCTCTTAGGGTAATTTTAATTAGAAGGTAAGTTTGCCCTGTCCATCAGATCAATAGTATTTTTAAATAGCTAATTATACATTTGCTAGTTCATAATTAAGATTTGGAAATCTGCCTATATGTCTTAATTCAGAGAAATGCTAAATTAAATATGTCCCTCAATGCCTAATTTGTTAGAATACTTCTAAAGAAATGGCAATTAGCTAGGACTAAACACTAAATTTTAAAGTTATTTTTATAAGAGACATTTGCCATAGTAATATAGAATTGTGGTGTTCAGAATGAAAAAAATGAAGAAAGAATGTTCTGGAAAGAGTTTGAGAGTGAGAAGGATGGTGAATTTATAGCCCAAATTATCCTATATTCCACATTTACCTTCCTTTAATAGTCTCCTGTTTGGCGGCCCAAACAAGGACTCTGATGTCTGATGATACTATTATGACAGACAAATTTGCTGGTGGAAATAACTATTTAACCCTGAATGGCTATAGAAGGAAAGAAATATTCTAAAATGTCAAGTGTAAACATATCAAACTGTAAGAGTGACACCCCAAATTGACACCCTTCTTTCTAAGGAAAGACTTTTTCACACTGGTTTCTCCATTCTTGAAATCTTGCTGATAACTTACATTATACTACTAAAATAAAGAGTGTGATCAACCTTTGTTAAAAGTTAATTTGTACCCTGGTGTGCAGACTGGAGGCAAGGAATGGGGGTTAGCTAACGTTTGAAGTACTCTAATTGGGACTATTCCCAGCAGGATGGTTGCTCAGAGGCTCTCACTCTAGAGAGAATGTCACTGTAAGACCTTCGGCTATTCTATTTTACTTCTCATTAATACTAGAGGTTTGGTTATTTAGCACAACGAATATTAGGCATGAATTTTTATGGTGAGATAGGGTTCAAGATACATCGATTACTATAAAATAATATACGGCTACTTTGAGTCTTGAACAAACTGTGCTCAAAAATCTAGTGATCTCAAGAGCCTACACCTTTCAAAATATTGCACTGGATTTAGGATTTTCTACCAGTCCTTTGCTTAAATATTTATCAGAGGATTTTGTTAGCTGGTTCTGACTAGAGATAAATTATGCCACGCCTTAAGTGAAACTTAAGTGCAAGGAGCAGTTAGAGGGACTAAAGGGACAGAAACTGAAGACCTCATCAAGCTTGGAGGTAATATGGCTGTTTCCATGCCAGCATTCCTATAAATATTTGTTGGTGAGGCTGATTTTGGTTTGCAATTTGCTTTCAAATTACAACACACTCTATAAGATTACAGAAGACAGGACATACAGTTTTGTCTTCCTGAGCCGTTGGAATTCTCTTGACTAACTACCAAAGATGGCTACAGTTGATCAAATAGTGTTACATAATCTTATCTCAGAAATCAATCAGAGGAAGAATAATTATGTTTTATGTCATATGTTTTATGCACAGATAGGGACTTATTTAAAGTCTCATAGGTATGGAGTAGGGGCCATTCCCTTGGCCCAGAGAACCTGGCTCTAAGGTTAGAACCATTGTCCTCTGTTTACAAGCTGTGAGCCCCAGGACAGGTTGCTTAACTATTTCCTCATTTGTAGAATGAGTTTAATAACAGTATCTATCTCTTACTGTTGTTTTGGAAATTTAAAGGATTAAAATATGTGAAAATTTTGGCTTATAAGGATGTATACAGCAAACTATAGCTACTATTATCACAAAATGGACACCAATGTCTTGTGCTCTCCCTACTTTGTGTAGCGTTTTTCCCATTAACAATTCTGTTGAAAATTTGTTTGTTTCTACTTCTTTGTCTGTCTATAATGTATGTATAGTCTGAGCAATATGAGCCATATGATCAAATGACTAATAGAATGCAATGATATATTTGGATCAAAATTTTCCTAAAATTTTCAGGGAAAATCAACTAAGATGATTATATTTTTCCTGAGCTTAAATGGAAGAAAATCTTATGTATCTTAGAATTTTTGAGTTCAGTTCTGTTCAACACAGTCTACTAATTCTATTGCTTTGCTTTATTCATGCAAGTCCTGATGAAGGAAGAGTTTCTCAGACTTTTCAGCAAAGAAATTTTTCTTTCTTTATGAAATGTTTATTAAGCACCTGTTATTACACACTGGGGGACCCGAAGAGTTATACAACAGCTCATTTATAAAACCTAGCAGGAGGGACACAATGTAAACATGAGCAAATGACAATAAAAATTTCATTTGAAATAAATGTAATATTTGATAAGTGTTCAAGACATTTAGAGGAGGGAGTCATCGTTGCATCCCAATAATTTTGTGAACAAGCACTGAATTGGTACATGTGGAAGGATTCAGGAAACTTTTACCCACAATGTAGGATTTAAGCAACACTTTGAAGAATACATAAGATTCAGAAAGATGCTGAGTAGAACTAGATGGAGAGGGAGTTCAATGAACTTAAGGATCTCTGTTCTAGAAACATCTTCCCCTCTTTCTGTCTCAGTCTCCCTCCCTCAACCAACTCACTTATTGCTTTAAATAACTTGCTTAATTTGACTTTGCATTCGTACTGAAATTCTACCAAATAGGGATGCACTTGAAAGGAATGACATGGTCAGCTTCTCATACTATGATGTGATTTAGTTAGTTCTTTAATGACAATTGCCAGGTCTGTTTGTAGATAGTTCCTTCAACAATGCCTAGCACAATGCTTAGTAAGCAGTACATGTCAATGAAAACAGGTTTCTTTTATTTGGTTTCTTTAATCAAATGAATTTTTACTCTAACAGGTTACTGAGATCAATAGGACAATTATTCAAATAAAAGAGGGAAACAAAGAGCAATAAATTTGAGAATATGAAATAATTAAGTGGCTAGAAAGCTTAGAGGGAGAAGAAAAGGGCAGTGGGAAAGGATTTTGCCAAGAATGGAAGATCAGGATAGATAAGATGGTGAGCAGAAATTAAGACAATTACAATTACGGTTGGAGGGGGGGTGTTGTTTGTTTTTGTAATGAGTGACACAGTGAGGGAAGGCAAGGGAAAAAGCATGAATAAAGAAGAGTGAAGAATTTATGTTGGGTAATATTGGGAGATAAATTTGGAAAGGTAGCACAAGCCTGTGCTGAACTGTGGAGGATCATGCTAAAGAATTTGGATTTCATCTTATATGCAACTAAAAATACTCTTAGTTGTTCTACTTATATCCTACTGCTCAAAATTAAGCTAAAGGGAACTTTGCAGATATTCTGCAACATTTGGGGAAAAATGGCAGTGATTGGTGTAATTTTCAAATCTCCCCAAATCTGCCCTCCTTCCATAGTTGAAGCAAGTAAAAGACATAAGAGCAAGTAAAGGAAACATAGGAGACATGGGGGTAGAAAAACCTGTTCAAGACCAGAAGAATGGAATGAGAGAAGCTCTACATGAAAATTTATAAATTTATTAGATATATAACTGGCATTTTTTTAAAAGGAGGAGAAACTTAATAGATATAACAACCAAATGCAATATTTTAGACAGTGAAATTTGGACCTGTACTAGGAATTAGGTAACATTAAATAATTACTTTATTGGTTGTGATAATGGCATTATGCTATGTTTAAAAATCCTTATCTGTTAGAAATACACATTGACCTATTCACAAGTAAAGTGATATGATGTCTGAAATATACTGTAAAAGAATCACATTTTCCTCATCCTCCAAGTTGATATTAAGAATATAATATTGCAATATATTGATAACATTGAAACTCGCTGCTGGGATGCTGACTTTCATTATTCTCTCTTCTTATGGAGGTGTTTGAAAATTTCCACAGTGGGTCACTATTTTACAGTTTGACACATGAAGGTGTATGGGGCTCTTACAGAACTTTAGGATTTGACAACTCTCTCTACACCCTCTTGAATAAGCATTATTCAAGAGACCATTTCCATATCAATTAATGTCCAGAACATTCATACAGAGAGTTGAAATCGGGTTCCCCTATCATAGAGAGTGCCACTGGCTTCTGCTTTCCTACCAGAGAATCAGAGCAGAGCTCATTCACAGAAGTTTCAGGTTTCACAGTGTTATATACTGGTTCCTAAAAATTCTATTTAGGATACACAATACTAGTTTATATTTTACCATGTTATGAAGTATAAAAGTCTATTTCCATGAGCTGAGGGGCAAACTGACACAATGTGACATTACAGAAAAAGTTCAAAGAGCAAAGTCTCTTCCTTTTAGTAAACGTACTTCTAGTACAATATATCTGTAGCAATTAATAAATGATCATAAGGAGTTACAGTTGTCATAATGGAATGACTGAACCATAAAATATTGCTGATATTAATTCAAAATAGGAATGCTATTTTGAAAAACAGTTTGGCAGTTTCTTATAAAGGTAAACATACACTTTATATGCAACTTAAAAATGCCACTCCCAAAACTCCAAGGTATTTACCCAGGAAAGAAGAAAACTTAGGTTCTCACAAAAACCTATATTCAAATGACTACAGCAACTTTAATTCATAATCACTCCAAACTGTAAACAATCCAAAATTCCTTCAACTGGTGAATGGATAAGTGAATTGTGGTACATCCATACCTGGAATGCTTTTCAGTTAAAAAATAAAAACAAAAATGAACTACTGATACACACAACAACATGGTAGGATGTCAAATGCAATACACTAAATGAAAGCAGCCAGAGTCAAGGGTTACGTAATGGATGATTACATTTATATGATGTTCTGGAAAAAGAAAAACGTAGGGGCAGCAAACAGAGCAGTTGTTGCCTAATGATAGAGGTGGAGAAAGGCATTGACTGCAAAGAGGAATGAAGGGATCTGTGGGGTGCCTTACCCCATTTGGGCTACTATAGCAAAATATCTCAGACTGGGTAGTTTATAAACAGAAATTTATTGCTCACAGTAAGGATGGGAAGTCCAAGACCAAGGCACCAGCAGATTCAGTGTCTGGTGAGGGCCTGTTCCTCTCAGACAGCACCTTCTGGCTATGTCCTCACATGGCAGAAGGGGTAAACAAGCTCCTTCAAGCCTCTTTTATAAGGACAGTAATTCCTTTAGCCAAACAGGCTGAGCCTCATGGCCTAATCACCTCCCCAAGGCCCTACCTCTTAATACTTTTACTTAATACTTTTGGGGTTAGATTTCAATATATGAATTTTGGGGGATATAACATTTGGACCATAGCAGAGGGTGATGGAATTTTTCTATATCTTGATTGTGATATTGGTTTTATGATTCTATGTGTTTGTCAATACACAGAATTACATGCTAAAAAGAATATATTTTATGTATGTAACTTACACCTCAATGAACCTGACTAAAAATAGGTTTAAACAATCTAAAAGAATTCTTCCTCAGTTTCCTGCACTAGAGTCTCATTTCTTTCCTTGTTTCTTTATTTGTGAAAAAGCTCAATGGCAGCATAATATTCTATCATTTGGACAAACTGTGACTAGCAAATATTTTTTCTATTTGAACATTTAAGCTATCTTTTAACTTTTCATTATTATAAATAAAAGTCAGATATACAGGCACACCTTGTATTATGGTGCTTTGTTTTTTCTGCTTCACAAATATTGTGTCTTTTACAAATTGAAGGTTTGTGGCAGTCCTTCATCAAGCAAGTCTATCGACACCATTTTCTCAAAAGTATGTGTTCACTTCATGTCTCTGTGTCACATTTAGGTAATTTTCACAATATTTCAAACTCTTTCATTATTAGCATATCTGTTATAGTCTGCGATCACTGATCTCTGATGTTACTCTTGTTATCTAGTTGTTGTGGGGCACCACAAACCAAGTTCATAAGAGACAGTGAGTTTAACTGACAAATGTGAGTGTGCGTTCTGAATGCTCCACCAACCGGCCATTCTCCCATCTCTCTGCCTCTTCTTGCACCTCCCTGTTCGCTGAAACACAACAATATTGAAATTATGCCCATTAATAACCTATAATGGCCTCAAAGTGTTCAAGTGAAAGGAAGAGTCACACATCTTTCACTTTAAGTCAAAAGCTAGAAATGATTAGGCTTGATGAGGAAGGAATGTGAAACACCCAGATAGCTGAAATCTAGGCCTCTTGTGCCAAAAAGCTAGTCAAACTGTGAATGCAAAGGAAAAATTCTTGAAGGAAATTAAAAGTCTACTCCAGTGAATACACAAATGATAAGAAAGTGAAACAGCCTTATTGCTGATATGGAGAAAGCTTCAATAGTCTGGATAGAAGATCAAACCAGCCACATTTCCTCAATACTAATCCAGACCACAGCCCTAACTCTCTTTAATTCTATGAAGTCTGAGAGAGGCAAGGAAGCTGCAGAAGAAAAGTTGGAATCTAGCAGAAGTTGGTTCATGAGTTTTAAAAAAAAAGCTGTCTCCATAACATAATAGTGCAAGGTAAAGCAGCAAGTGCTGATGTACAAGCTGCAGCATGTTAGCTGGAAGATTTAGCTAAAATAATTGATGAAGGTGGCTACATTACACAACAGATTCAATGCAGACAAACAGGCTTCTATTGGAAGAAGATACATCTAGGGCTTTCAAAGCTAGAGAGAAGTCAATGCCTGGCTTCAGTTCTTCAAAGGATAGGCTGGTTATCTTGTTAAGGACTAATGCAGGTGGTGACTTTTAGTGGAAGACAATACTCATTTACCATTCCAAAAATCTCAGGGCCCTTAAGAATTATGCTAAATCTACCCTGCCTGTGTTCTATGAATAGAACAACAAAGCCTGGATGAGAGCACATCTGTTTAGCAGCATGACTTACCGTGAATATTTTAAGCCCATTGTTGAGACCTACTGCTTAGAAAAGAAAAATTTCTGTAAAAACATTGCTGCTCATTGACAAGCACCTAGTTACCCAAGAGCTCTGATGGAAATATGTAAGGAGATTAACACTGTTTTCATGCCTGCTAATACAACATTCATTTTCTAGCCTATGGATCAAGAAGTAATATCAACACTTAAGTCTTATTATTTAATAAACACATTTTATAAGGCTAGAGCTGCTATGGATAGTGATTCCTCTGATGGATCTGAGCAAAGTAAATCTAAAACCTTCTGGAAAGTATTCACTAGTCTACATGCCATTAAGAACATTTGGGATTCATGGGTTAAGGCCAAAATATCAACATTAATAGTTTGAAAGTTAATGGAATTTGGAAGAAGTTGATTCCAATCCTCACAGATGACTTTGAGAGGTTCAAGACTTCAGTGGAGGAAGTAACTGCAGATGTGGTGAAAACAGCAAGAGAACTAGAATTAGAAGTGGAGCCTGAAGATGTGACTGAATTGCTACAGTCCCATGATAAAGTTTAATGGATGAGCAGTTGCATTTTATGCATGAGCCAAGAAAATGATTGCATGAGACGGAATCTACTCCTGGGAAAGATGCTGTGAACATTGTTGAAATGAAAGAAAGGATTTATAATATTACACAAGTTAGTTGGTAAAGCAGTGGCAGGATTTAAGCAGATTGACTCTAGTTTTGAAAGATATTCTACCATGGGTATAATGCTATCAAACACCATCACACACAACAGAGAAATCTTTCATGAAAGGAAAAGTAAATTGATGTGCAATTGATGAAGCAAACTTCACCGTTGTCTTGTTTTAAAAAACCGCAACAGCCACCCCAACCTTCCACAACCCCCAGCCTGATCAGTCAGCAGTCATAAGCATGGAGGAACAACCCTGCACTAGCAAAAAGATTATGACTTGCTGAAGGCTCAGATGATTGTTAGCATATTTTAGCAATAAACTATTTTTAATTAAGATATGTACATTGTTTTTTAAGACAATGCTATCAAACACTTAATAGACTACAATAGACTGTGAACAGAACTTTTATATGCTCTAGGAACCAAAAAATTCATGTGACTTGCTCTTTTGTGATATTGCTTTATTGCGGTGGTCTGGAACTGAACCTTTAATATCTCCGAGGTATGCTTTTAAAAATAAATAATCAGTATTATTTCCTCTACAGATGTGTTAACATGGCTGGGAATATTTCGATAGTCCTTTGTAACTGATATTGCTACTTTGTTTTTCCACCAGAGCCAGGCCTGGTGGATTCTACAGAAACAAGAAAAATATGCTCAAAACAATCTTAATTTTCAGAAATGTAGATTTCTATTTTGATGACCGCAGTCTGTAGATTGAGCTTTGTGGAACAGGGGGATGGGGTGTTGACAGATAAAGAAAAATAAATCCTCTCAACAATTTTCTAAAAGCCTGGCTAAACTAGGGTCAAAGTATCTGAGAAGCAGTGTAAATATTCCAATGAGTTTCATTTCCTGATCAGACATATTAGTTTCCATATGCCAGAGTCCTGGTGGCAAATTTACACTCTGTCCAAATGCTGCTTTTATGGGTAACTGGAGGCTCTGTGTGTAGCTTCAGCATCTGTAATAATGGTTTTGCACAAGAGATGTGTCTAACAAAGTTGAAAGTATAGATAATTTCATTGATTGCTTTAAATTCCACCATTGGCGCTGCATGTGGAGCTGCGTTCTGAATCACTCCAGATGCACATCCTTTTAGAACGGCAGTCCTGCTACCATCCAAGTACCCATAAAGGTCTTTAATTAGGTAATCTCCAAATAGCAACAGCACCATCCTCTGACTTTATTAACATAAAATCTCTCTTTTGCAAAGCTCTTTCAATGTGCAATAGGGGAGAATTCCTGGATGAAGATGGGCAGGTAAGAGTAAAGAGAGAAGACAGAAATGGAAATGACAAAACAGATAAAAGCAGAGTAATATTGTGGTTCATCTTGAGGTGCTTGTTATAACTTCACTTTAAGAAACTTTAACCTATTAACCTTTTTAAAAAACTTGGCCTCTGCTAAGGATCTGCATCACTAACAAGAACATTTATTTATTAAGACTCTCTGTGTCTAAGCATTTTTAATGACCCCCATTGCCATGGCACCATCTGGACACCTGACATTTTAAAAACAAACATTTCAGCATAATTGATGAATTCTACCTTAGATGGCTATTATGCACATCTGACTGCTAAAAAACAGGCAGCTCTCATTCCACCAAATTAAACCTCGCCAAGCAGAAATATCACATAGAACAATTTAATATGGGTGTATTATGAAGAAAGCTTAACCTGAAGAGACCCTCTATAACAATAAAGGTGATGGATTCACAAAAAACAAACCACAAGAAATAACCAGGTGGATTTTGGCCAGAGTATACTCACAATGGAGAGGTAGCAGGGAGATGTCAGTATTGCACCTGAGTCATACCTTAACCATACAAACAGCTACAGCAAAGCACGCACAGCCAGCAAATGACCCATCCATCGAACAGCCATGATTATCCTGCCTTCCACTATAAGAGGACATACCCTTTGCTAATACTCTCTCAAATTTCTGTTGATTGTGGAGAAAGGTAGGGGAATTAATTAAAAAAGGCACCGGTTACTAATGAAGCACTTTTGATTCATGCATCCATTTATTTAACATAATCAACAGAAACGAATTTATATATGAAGTACTGTTCTAGGTCCTGGGGTTGCAGCAATAAACAAGAAAATTTCCCCACATGTTTACACTTAAGATCCCCTTGGAGCCTGGGGAAGGTTTAGCAGGAGCCTTTGAGCTATCTGTGCATTTGTGAATTAAATATTACTTTTCGTCTTGTATGGATCAGGGAACCAAGACTCTGACAGATTGAGTTACCTGTACAAGTTTACATAACTAGTAGGTTACAGAAATAGCCCTAGGATTTAGGACCCCAACATAGCTCAGTTTTGCACAATCAGGAAGCTTGCTTCAGGTAAACACCTTCTGCCTCATTTCCTTCAGGCACCTCTAGATAAATGGCACCACAGGCTTCTTTAGGTTCAATACTTAAAGCTCTGGATCGGGTTCAAAAATCAGAGTTTTAAGAGAAGTTGGTGGAACTCAGGGCTCAGAGGTTCTTCATTTAATTTCAGCTAGGTTAGGACTTTGAGAGGTTTTTTGGACTACCATTGTGAGCTACATTGCTGCTCTAGGAAAAATACATCCAGAGTTCTAAATGAGTGACTTACAAATCAACTTTTGGAGCCTACTAACCCGCTCTTTTGACTTTTAACTCTCTGATTTCTAACATCTACTTTTCCATGCAAGTTTCCAGCTCATGCCATCCTAAATAAAGTAGAAACTAGGCACATATTTTTCTTCTTTGATTCTTCCTATTTCTTTCAGAATTGTTCTCATGCAATAAGCACCTATCTAGTTTCTGCCCACCTGGCTTCCAATATGCAATAATTGATTACTACCACTAGCTCCCTGTGTGTGTGTGTGTGTTTGGGGGGTTGGTGTCGGGGGTGGGGGGGTGTTGGGAGTTCAAGCCCTTATATTACAGCATTCTGAAACTCTAATCAAATCACTCTAATCATCGTAACAAAAGATTTTTTCCCTGTTTTACAAGAATTTTTAACATAGCCTGATTCATAATACCTTATACCATATATTATCTAGAAGATAGGATATTTATCTCCAGAGAAATGGTAAGGTAAAGAGAGAAACAAAATATTCAATATAAAAAACTATTTACCCAAGATTTTTCAGAAAAATCACACTTGTAGATCTTAATATTAATGAGGCACTGAAGTATATTAAGAAATGCAACGTACAAATTAACATAATGAAAAGAATTAAAAGAAAGCTAAGTAATGATCAAGTCATTAGGCAGCCCATACTAAAGAACAATTTGCAGAATCAAAATTCAACAGACGGATACACCACTATTAGTGAAAAAATTGATTATTCTATTATATAAACTTACTTTTGCCATTTTTAGAAGTTATGCCTGTTTCTTTTATAATTAATTATGTGCCTATAATGGTAGAGAATTTATAGTTTAGATAAACCTATACAAATAGAATTCTCCACACCAACAATAAGGCCCTTTATGATGTCTAATTTATATTACTTGATATTTTATATGTAACTAGATTTCTTTTTTCCAGTCTTAACAACTTACTTTTTGGCCTCAATCTGGTTACTGGGCTTCCGCCTACTTCTTTGCACCCAAATTTGTGTCTTAGAAATTTGCTTAATATCCTAATCCCTCTAGGAATTGAGGAAGTTGTTCTTGCTTGACCAGCTCTTTCCAGGAGATTGGAGCCCTGCTCATTGCACCCATCAAGTAAGGGTCACCACAATGTACCAACGCTTCCTTGTGCTATCTCCCTCCTTAGATTTTACTTTCAGTGGTATGTTGGACCAAGCTCTTACTGGCTTGCAATAGCCTGTTGTTAAATGTTCAACAATTTTGTGAGTGGGACTACTGCTGGAAATTAATCACCGTAGAAGTATTTAACCCAAAGAAATCATGAAATGCTTTTAATGCCTGGAGAGCTGACTTATCAACAAACACACCACTGGATCATCGCCCCTTTCAGAATACGTTAGGTAACTCTGTTTGGATCCCCTGACCATTAACTATTATTGAAAGGTTTATTTTATATAACATTCTACTGGACTTTGTCCCAGTACTTTCAGCTGGCCTTACTTGAAAGTAACTGCCTCACCCTAGTAAGACAGTGTGGTTCTGGATTCTGGTTCCTTCAGTTTTTCCTCTATTGTTCTATGAGCAACTAAGACATGAACAGCTGAATCTAAATCCCTAACGCTCTGAATACTCTAGGCAGTCTGGCTGTTGCATCTGAGCCTGTCCTTTTGTTACCCAAAGCCTCCCTCTGCTGGCCCCAACTATTAAAATATGCCTACTTGTGTTCTACCCTCTCAAATGCCTATTCTCCTTTAGTATAGACACATTTTGAATATGGTTTTAGAAATACAGACTCCAAGAGAGGTGAGCTAAGACATGACTGGTCTATGATGGTGATTGTTGGCTGGATCTCAGTGTTCATTTTGGATGTCCTAATTTAATGCCAGTTAAACAGTCATCTAACTCTAGCATAAAGGCTTTTTAGCAATAGGCAGTAAGTAGATTGTGAATGACAGGCTGAGCTGGGCTTTGATATCATTAGCAAGCATGTTGGTTGCTTACTTGCTGCTTCAAATCTATTCTCCTTAATGCCCATTCTGTGTTTTCGAACTGGCCTGTGATAGCTGGAAAAAGGCTCTTCTCTTCTTACTAAGATTGTTAAAGACTTAGCTCTGTTAGTAAAATCAGAAAACTCGCAATCTGTAAATGCCTGATAACGTCACTACACATAGGAACATGACAATGCATCAACTTTCATGTGATTTGTTGTCTTTTAAACAAATTGTCTACTTCTTAGTCTTATGGCCATTGCATTCCTAAACGAACTCAATCTCTGGACTAGGTCTCATCTCACTATAAATCATTTGCTGCATTGCAAAGACCAATACTGAGTATTCTTGTGCTTATGTTTCTCCTTTAGATAAATCTTTTTGTGTTCTCACAGACTCTAACCCCTTATAGACTACAGTTTTGTTGTTTGAAAGAATTTAAGGTAAACAGCTTTTGTCAATCAGAACTCCTCAAATTATTGTATGTTTTGATATTCAGTATCATTTTTAGTGGTATAATCTGTAATTTAGGAAGCATCCACATTATTTCAACTCATTTTAAATTTTAAGAATATGCCACAAAAAGATTTGAAATATCTCCAAGGTATATATAAAATATTTTAAACAAATTATCATATAAAATATAAACCTCATACCCTTATTCTCTTCCTACATTTCAACCATCTCAACACAATTATTTTTGGAACTATATAATCATGTCAGTTTAAAATCACCTATATAGTATAAACTCTCTGGAATTCGAAAATTTTGGCACATAACACTCTGTGGCTGTTTTTTTTTACTTGGCTCTTGTTGGCTAAGATGATCAAGATCCGGAATGATTGCATCCCATTTAATTCTTCCCAAATGTTTCTCTTCCTGACATTCTTTAGCCATATGGATCATTCCCATTTTCAAAAGGTGAAAAAGTACCAGGAAAAATTAATTTATGTTTGGATGATATAACCACCCTGCAAATAAAGAGAATGAGGGCAAAACTGCCTGCGGAGGGCAAAACTGCCTGTATACCAGAGGTAGGACTGAAAATCAAACCTCCCCTAGAGCCCATAAAACTCATGTCTTTTGGTATAGCAAGAGCAGAGGAACTAGTAAGTGTACAGCACTGAGCCATAGCTCAGATTCAAAACACGTGTGTATAGGAAAAACAAACAAAACAAAACAAAACTCCAAACTGGGCTTATTTTCAGTGTAAGTTTTGTTCAATTGACCAGGGCACGGGGAAGCCAAAAATGAGCTAATTTTCAGTGTCATTTGCATTATCCGCCAGGTGTTAAACTCATTATAGGCCATAGCATCATTTGCTGGAACCAGCCATTCCTTCATTAGCCATGCTCTCTTTATGCCCTCTAGTGCATATATTTTGAATGGACCTTCAGGGGAAAGATCCAAATAGTTTTGCTATGGCTATAGTCTGTTTCCACTGGTAGAAATGGAAGCAAGCTCAACTAGCTTAGAGGAGCTTAATAATAAGCCAGGCAACAACAGGTATTGACAACTTTCTATCTGATCAGTTCATTGCTAGGCATTTTGAATGATATAGAAGAAATGCAAAACTCCATCTGAGTGACAATTTGCTCCTCAATAAAATGCAGATAAAACAGCAACCACCTTGCCTGAATGTTGTGAAAACAAGAAATAGCATGTGTAAGTGGAAGTAGCATGGTGAATGCTACATATGAGATGCCTAATAAATAATGACTGTTATTAATGATAATTAATTTATAATTCTCATGAGAGAGGAACATCATCATGAAATAATTGATGTGCCAAACAAGGAAGTATGAAATTAATCTGCATCCTGAATGAACCACCCAACTTTCACAGATCATTTAAAAAGGGGCCTGCAATTACACTCTTCTGATCCTTTTGGTTAAAAGGCATTCTATAAAAACCTAAGTATAAGAAGACTAAAATTCTGCTGCTTTCAGCTGTAGAGGATGATGAAATTGTACCCAAGGGTGCCTTTTAATAAAGTTCACTTTATTATTCTCTAATGCATTTTAGCAAGCTTCACTGGCTATAACCATGACTTTCTTAAATGAGAGATCCTTTTTCTTTTCAGACGAGGAAATCAAGATTTCTTATCATAATTGGGGATGTCTGGAGGGCAGACTTATACTCTGATTGTTCAGTGGCTGGGCTACTATTCTAGACCAGTTAACTGGCTTCACTAACCTATAGGACTTGCTATAGAAAAATAAAGCCATATATGTGATGATTATTTGGAAAATATACAGTTCTAGAATTTCCTTTACCAGAGAGCTTCTGGGGCTCCTGTCTGAATAGCCTGGATTTTTTTTTAAATTTTCTTATCATAAATTAAATAATTTTGATATTCATAGAACAAAATGCATCAATGAACCCATAAGATGGCTGTTGTCTGGTTTAGAATGAAGCACAGTGCAACTGATTCATTGAAGACTTCTTTCACTTTTGTGTCTGAAGCACATGAATTTAGCTGTTAAAAGAAAGATTAGAGGTGTATCCAACCGATGATGTAATGTGATTTTTCAACATTAAAGTCTGACTCTATTATTCTAGGTCCTCCTATGTTAGATGGGCTATGAGAGCAAATATAATGGTGCATAATTTATAAATTTGGATTCTCCTCCTCTTTTCTTTTTGTTCTTCTTCTTGTTCTCAAGAATGAACAAAACATATACTTTTAAAAAGAAAGTCTATTTATGTTAAGGAATAGACAAGGCACAAATCATTCATTCCCTTGGTATTTACAAATTTAATTTTAAAGACTAACGTTATTCTGAATAGTCACTGATCCCCAGAGTTTTATCTCTGTAAGTGACTTCTTCTTAAAATGGAGATTGAACTCTAAATTTGCAATTCCCATTGGGCTGCAATTACCATATTTATTCACATAACCTACCTGTTATTTTTACTGTGAAATTGGGAAATGATATTACGTAAGCATCTGCCTGCTGGTCTAACCATAATTTTAGGGAGTATTACTGATATCATAAATCAGTTTCCCTGATATTTTAAAAAAGTTTCATACTTTGGCATAGTAAGAAATCTAAGATAAAGATTAATTGGAGTTCAAATGACTCCACAGATATTTTTCAATATGTTTTTTCTTTTTTTATAGTATGGAAAAAAACTCTATTTAATGAAGCAGTACTTGTCCATTAAAGAAATGATTTTAAAAAATATTGGGGGGTCATATTTACATTTAATACAGCTAGATAAATGTAGACAGTAAATCTAATAACTCTTTCTTCCTCTGTCCCAACCTATAGCAAGATAGGGTAGAGAAAATGGACTATTTGTAACATTTAATGATTTGCCTATTTATAGCAAGTAAAAAGTAAGTTCAGCTTATCTTAACTTCTGACTGCTTGGTTATTTTAAATTATAAAATTAAAATACTGTGTGTGCTCCCATCCACACATCTTAAGGAAATCAAAATGAAAAGCTACATTAAATTTCATTTCAAACTGTGATGAGGTTATGAGTAGAGGTATATGTAGAAATATACAGTAATCTGTTTTAGGAAAATATAAAAATTTAATTTCGATAGACTTCTTCACTCTACCCTTCAACTCTGAATCACTTGATTTTGTTTTCCATACTAGATGACTTTGTGCTAACTGGTAGCCCAAAGATGGCTAAGGGTGACAAGAGGAACAAGGAGGGTGTAGTCTCCATTACCCTCCAAAGCCTCTAAAATTAATAAAATCTAAGAGAAAAAATGTGTTTTTGTACAACTATACCTTCAATACAAGTCCCTGAAGAATTTTAAAAATATATTTTTTTTTATGTGCTTGACCCTATTACTTTTTTCTAAAATACTCCAATAAACCAAATACAAACCTATCAATATTTCTTTCTAATCACTCCAAAACAGCTAAAACTTTCCATCAATTCCATTCCTTTCTCAGAGACCATCATGCCTTTACCTTCCTACATCAATCTGGACCTGTTGCTTTAGATACCTATGTATAGTTATTTTTCTGGGAATTCCATTTACCCTTCTCCCGTGTTTGACCTCCTGTTACTTGGATCCTTTTTTTTTTTTTCATTGTGGTTTACACCCCCCAAAGGTTGCTTAAGCATATCTTTCAGTTGTTTCTTTCTTTTTTTTTTTACACCATAAATATATAATTTTTATTTGTCTGTTATACTTAAAGCTAAAAAGATATGACCCATTTTAGAAAAGTGTTTTTTTTTTTTGTTTTTGAAATTTGGCATTTTTTTTAAATTTTATTATTATTATACTTTAAGTTTTAGGGTACGTGTGCACAATGCGCAGGTTAGTTACATATGTATACATGTGCCGTGCTGGTGCGCTGTACCCATTAACTCAGAAATTTAAAAAAATCTGCTTTAGAAAAACAGATACGAAAATTGATAAAGAAAGATGACAAGATGGCGGCTTTTCATGTTTTTAACTTTTAGGATGTTTACTTATCCTATGTTCTAGCCAAGAAAGCCACAGTCCATGAGAGTCTGTTAGGTAACACAGGCCTTCTCCCCTTCATTTTATTTATTTATTTATTTATTTATTTATTTATTTATTTTTGAGACAGAGTCTCACTCTGTTGCCCAGGCTGGAGTCCAGTGGCCGATCTTGGCTCACTGCAAGCTCCGCCTCCCCAGTTCATGTCACTCTCCTGCCTCAGCCTCCCGAGTAGCTGGGACTACAGGCTCCCGCCACCACACCCGGCTAATTTTTTGTATTTTTATTAGAGACGGGGTTTCACCGTGTTAGCCAGGATGGTCTCATCTCCTGACCTTGTGATCCACCCGTCTCGGCCTCCCAAAGTCCTGGGATTACAGGCATGAGCCACCGCGCCCGGCCTCCCCTTCATTATTTAGTGAAAACGCATTCTAGTGTGTCAATCTGACAATTCTATGGAAAAAAAGGATGGAGTTAACTTTGTACCTATTATGCTGCTGACCTTTGTTTTTGATGCAAGAAAGGAAGTGTGAAGAAATCAAACAGTAGAATTCTGGGTTAAAATATTCCAACTGCTATTTAACATAATTTTGGCATTTGCAAAGATTTTTAATTCGTCTCCTTAGTTATTACTGGGATTTGCTGGTAATATGATTTTAAATATACTCTGTTACTATAACTATTTTTGAGAACCCTTGTAAAACCTTATGTTTTTCCTCTCTTTAACCATAATATTAATTAAGGAAGCATGTCAGGTAAAGCATAAGGACAATTTTGCTTAAGATAAATTTTATATCATTGAGCTTGTTGTAAAAACAAGGGGAAAATCTGATATCATATAAATACACTTAAATGAAGAACTAAAGTAGTGTTTGGCATAACAGCTTCAGATGAAATCTATTTGAAAGACAAAACAAACAATAACAACAAAACCCATATAATCAGGCTAATGTATGTATAAAAATAGTAGAACTTGCTCTAAAAGTACAAATCATTCTCTCATTCACCTAAAATTTTATTTAGGATTTTTTTTTCCAATATCTATCTCAATATTTTGTTTGATATTTACAATGCACTTTATATACACAGCATCAAAATCTTACCAAAAATTACCAGGAATATGATATGCTTAAGGAGAGAGAAATTGAGAATTAATAAAAGTTGACTAGTTCTAAGTCATAGAAAGGCTAGACTTAACCCCAACAGAATTGAAATATTGGGTTGCAGAGCTTTCACAATCCTAAAGGTAGTGTCTAAAGGCTCCACAAATTTCAGCAGTTCTTTCTATTTTATTTTATTTTATTTTATTTTAAGTTCCAGGGTACATGTGAAGGATGTGCAGGTTTGTTACATAGGTAAATGTGTGCCATAGGGGTTTTCAGCAGTTATTTTAATTTAAAACTGGAAAGGAGGAAAAGTATATGAAGATAAGAAGCAAGTTGGTATGGAGAAAAAAAAATTAGAACTGTAAAAATTTTTATGAGTGCTTAGAAATAAGAAACAAGTAGAATGATGATTTGTGTTAGAGTTAATATAATTTAGATGTAGATGACATTGGTGTATCTGTGGATAAAACTGGAGGATTTCATTCTGTGATGTATGTGCCAATTTGGAAATATTCTAGCTCACATCTAGGCATAAAGCATTTTTTGGATGCTTTGGCCACATAACGAGTATAAGGACAGATTGCAAAAATACTAGATAATAAGCTATAATTTATACTAATCTTCATAAATTCTCTCCAAATTTTCACTAGCCTGCTTTCAAGGAGTTATGAGAATTTTAGGTTGACTTGGTGCCTCTACGGAGGGATCCTGAGTAATTTTTTGCTCCGTACAGTTCTCTTAGGCCTTCCCTTTAAAGGGACTTGGAGTTACAGAAATGTCCTAAACATGACCAGCCTGACAAAGATGGAAATTTTTAGGAGTTGCCTTAGGGGAAACTACAATTGTGAATGGTTAGAAAATCATTCAAGATTTCAGCAATTCCTCCTACAAGTCCCAGATTTCTGAAAAGAGGCCAAAATCTGAACAAATTCAGTAGATGGTTGATGCAGTTTCTAAAACAATGTTAGAAAGTAACAGATTCAACATATCTTTGACCAATATTTTCCAAGCCTAAAAGAAAGTAAGACACAATGGATAGAAATCAGACTATGAACAAAAGTTAGAATTTTAATACAAATGGGACAACATTATCCATAAGACTTTTTGAGTTACTGATGCACATTGACATGCTATAGGATATTCCATTCTCACCTTTTATCCCCCTGCTCTGTGTCTGGTGAGTTCAACATTTATTGACTGCATCAGCTAGGCTCTCTTGCTTTGTGGCTTCTTGTTAGTTCAGGTAATGGGAAATACCAGCAGAATATTAGAAGATAAAAGGAAAGAGGAGTTCTGTTATTTATTTCCCTGGCTCTCTATCTGCCAGTGCACATGTTTTCACATGTTGCTTTTCTGCACTTGAGGTTAGGTTCTTACTGAGTGGCCCTCTTCAACAGTGCAGATCTTTCTGGGTTCTGATAACCTTATCAAGCCAAAGTGTGGAAGTTGCTTCCAGTTAACCCAGGATGATCCTTGATCCTTTCATCTTGTCCATCCCTCTGTAAATAGTCAATTTATTAAGCTCTCCTCTATTAAGAACACTCTTTTTGAGTGTGCCATCAGTTGCTGACAAGATCTTGGGTGATAAACATGCACTGGATTGTCATGTGATCATTTTTACATGTGAGATGGGCTAGTGATTGGCAGACAAATATTATCCGCTTATTGCACAACAGCCACCAAGGGCGTCCTCACGAAAGTATGAATAAATACCATTATTTTTAAATTTTAATGATTAATATTGATTATTTTGGTACAGAAAACATTTCCTATGGCCTAGGATTCATATGTAGCATGCTCATAATTTAGATTGCCCTAGTTAAAAATGCTATGATATGTGTATCCTGGTTACCTTAGAGACTGTGTCTCCTAAGTAGAGAGTGGCAATTCTAGTCTGTAGGGGTGCTCAGAAATAGTATCTGTTTTTGAACTCCAGGAAGATACAAAAGTGGGGGGAGTCTTTTCAGGAATCATCAGTCATAGCTTCTCCTCATTTACATGGTCTCACGTATCCCAACACTCTCTTTTTTGGGGGAAATAGCTTATAATTCATCTATTATTCTCACATCCTGGAAGACTAGTAAGCCTGGAGCTTTTCATTTAAATATCATAGAATTAAGTGGTTATTTGAGAAAACAGACCTATGGATAAATATATGGTAAAATACATATTAACTGCAGCATATAATTACATAGGATATAAGGATATAATTACCTCTGTGGTTGTTATAGGCCAAACAATAGTAGAGAAGTGAGGTGTACATTAAGAAAAAACTGTGTTATTCAAAGGCCTAAGACTCAGAATGCAGTAGCAAAGAAAGAGGGTCACATGCTATTCCCTGCCAGAGTAGCTAAGAATACATCCCTATTCCCTGAAGATTCTGCCTCTTACAATAGGAAATGCCCATTGTACTTCAGTGGTACTTTAGTAAACTAGTATAATGATAACTCTACACCCTACAGCTCTTTCAACAAATATTTTTCATTTTCCTTAGTGAGAACAAATTAAGATGTTCTTTCTCTGATGTGATTTTCAATTCTAGTTCAAAGTTAGGATTTCAGGGAAGGCCCTGGCACTGGTTCTTTTGATGGTATCTGTTGTGGCAAAGAGACTCTAAGGTCTTTCCTTTGGTCTCTTTCTCCTGGTGTCCAGATTGTATAATCCTGTCCCACTGAGTGTGGGCAGGACCTGTGACATATTTCTAACCAATAGAACTTGGTAAAGATGATAGGATTTTACTCTCTTGATTATGAATCATTATATAAGCCTCCACCTTGCTATCAGTCTGGTAATAGGAAGTGTCCCTTTCCCTTTCTGACTTTAAAGAAGCAAGGTACCATGTTGTGAGAGGGCCTATGGAAAAAGCTATAGTCAAGGAACTTCAGGCAGCTCCTGGAGCTGAGAGTAGCCTCTAGCCAACAGCCAAAGCCAAAGCCCTCAGTCTTACAGCCACAGGAAATGAATTCTGCCAACAACTTGAGTAAACTTGGAAGAGAATCCATCACCAGTTAAGCCTCCAGATGAGAACCAAGCCCTGGCTGACACACTGCATTCTTGCAGAGGACCCAACTAAGACATTTCCTACCTTAAAGTGAGAGATAATAAATATATTTTGTGTTAATCTGCTGAGTTTCTTACAATCATAGAACACTAACAAACCTGCCCAATACGTACTTAGTTAATAAACATTGACTGAGTGAGGACCATAAGCCAAGCATTATTCACCATATTTAAGATGACTGTAGAAGCAAGAAATCCATGCATGAAAGGGAGTTATGTAGGCAAATTCCATAGGCGGTATAAGTGTCTAAAAATATCAAATGGGTAAGATGCTTTCCTTTCACATGCAGACAGGGAAAACTATTTGCAATGTCTAATGACTGTTCTACTTTAAGTGGATGTGAGAACAAAACAGACTTTGAAGGAGATTTACAGAATAGTATTGAAATTTTTTTATCAAGTTCTATCAATTAAAGTTTGATGCCATATGTATGTATTTTTGCCATTCTGCCATCCAGGATAAGAAATTGCTATTTTCTGCCATATGAGGGTGTATATTCTTGCCACTATATCCTGTAACATCAGGCAGAGATAAAACTTCACAAAACTCAGCAATGCTAAAAGAAAATCTGTGACTTGCCTTTGTATTCACTATCTACTGGCCTACATCTCTAGAAATCTATATCCAATTTATACCAGACAGTTGGTCACAGTCTTAGGTGAAATTTTCAGCAAAATTTTGAGTGTCTAAATTTTTTGAATGAAAAAAATAAACACAACAGATGACACTAACAGGGGCAGAAAGAAAAGACGTTAAAGGGGGGGATGCAGATAGCACAGATAATCTTGTTTGTTTGCTTGTTTGTTTTTTAAGCACCAATGCTATTTGAAAATTCTTGCTAGCTCTTATTTTTTTTTCTGTTTTTTGTTTTTTCAATATCTGAGGCATTGGGGGTTTACATCAAAGTAACAAAAGAATGACTGAACTC
Source organism: Homo sapiens (assembly GCF_000001405.40). Lineage (NCBI taxonomy): Eukaryota > Metazoa > Chordata > Mammalia > Primates > Hominidae > Homo > Homo sapiens. The sequence continues at coordinate 9,013,219 of NC_000009.12, forward strand.
CGATGAAGCGTTTCTGAAGCAATAATTAATATACGAGGCCACCGACACTAGAATTAATCTTGAAAACCACTCTCAAGGTGATGGGCAAAATAAATGCGCCATGGGAGTGCCCCCAGAATGCTGCACTGACATTGTTGGGTCCTATCATTGATCATTGATGATAGCAAAGAAGCGATCAGTCACAAGGCAGAACTAATAATAGACTTCAAATATGGAAGGAACCTTACTTCTATGTTTGGTAACAGTCCATGTTTAACAAATAGTGTTTTTTTGTGTGTTTGTTTGTTTTCTTTTGCTTTGCTTTTTCCTGCTCCAATGGACAAAAGCAACAAGTCTCTTTCTCTTTCTTTCCGTGGGATAAAAGACCTTGCTATATTCTCTGTATATATGCATTGCAGGCAGCATTGGAGGGCAGTTAATTAACTATAATGACCAAGTGTATGGGCATTTCATTGCATACAGAAGCAACTCTGCCCTGATTCAAGCAGCCAAGTCGACTCAAAACTCAGGAAATGCTTACGTATAACAGGTATGGGGATGTACCCACTGTTTTTTCCAGTGGTGGTGAAGGTGCCATTGTCAACATTGGTTTAATCCTTGGAGTCCCACTAATTAAACCATTTCTTTCTTTCACAAAAGGGCCTCTACTGGCCTGAAAGTATCAACGTGCAAGGTGAGGTTCCCAGATAAAATGGATCTTTTGTTGGGTGCATCTTGCAGTTTAACCAATCTCACTATAAGACTGGACTCTGAGTGCTCCCTCACTCTTGAACTCTTGGCTGCTGCATTTTTGTCTACTTGATATCTTCTGATGTTCATAATAAGTACTTGTTGTAGATAACACCATTTTTCTATAATAAGTAAATCGTAAGCTCTATGTAATACTCAGAGAGGAATAGTATCTGTTTTTGGAATTAAAGAGCAAAATGAATAACTGTTTGGTCCATGCTATTACCTCGTTTTTTTTTGTTTGTTTGTTTGTTTTTTTTTTTTTTCTGGAAGCATTTATTTGAGTTTCATGAGCAAAGCTGATATCTTTGAATAAAACTTCTCCACGATCTTTCATTCTCACAATCTGAACAGAAATGTGCTTATGTTGTGTAAATTAGATTCCTTTTATTGTGTAAGACTCCAAAGATTTGTCAATAATATTTTTGCTTTTAGTCATGCCCTTAAAAATGTCACCTAATAGTACAGCTTTTTACTTTGAACTTTTCTACATACTAAATTCAGTTTTATAAAAGTGTTAATATGAACGATACATATGTGATTACCTAGAGTGAATAAGATCACAATCAATCCAGAAGAAAGCATTGTGTTTGTCTAGAGATTCCTTGCCAGGAATAATCCGAAGAGGAAATATGTGTGTTTATTTATGGTAATAACAATACAGCTGTCCAGCAATCAAGTTAACTTGACTGTCATCTTTATCAAGCAGTATATTTACATGGGAGACAATCTGAGGAAGGAGAAATCTATATTGTGTATGAACATGATGAAATGTATTTCTAAACACATTGAGCCTCTAATTTCTGAAGTAAGATGACTACTTAAAACACGATGTTTAGAAAGGGGTAGATTATACATTGACACACTTAAGACTCAATCATTTCAACCTTTCTCCAAAATCACTTTTTCAACATTATTTATTCTAAATATAGAATACAATATTTATTTCATTGAAAAGGGATAAAAGACCTTGCTATATTCTGTGTATACATGTATTTATAAGTGTGTGTGTAGGTATGTCTGTGTACATGTGAGTATATGTGTGTATAAATGAGTAGAGTAAGAATTACTTATGGATTTAAAAAAATGTTTTAACTATTTAAAATCAATTTGTGTAAAAAAAGAATAAGCCAGGTTTATTTTAACTAAATTAACTAGATAGCTTTTAAAAAAATTAAACAATCAATCAATCAATCATGAATGTGTCAGAGGCATTTAAACCAGAGCAACTCCATCTTGAATGGGGGCTGGTAAAACAATGTTGAGACCTACTGGGCTGTATTCTCAGAGGGTTAAGGCATTCTAAGTCACAGGATGAGATAGGAGGTCAACACAAGATACAGATCATAAAGACGTTGCTGATAAAATAGGTTGCAGTAAAGGAGCTGGCCAAAACCCACCAAAACCAAGATGGCCACAAGAGTGACCTCTGGTCGTCCTCACTGCTACACTCCCACCAGCGCCATGACAGTTTACAAATGCCATGGGAATGCCAGGAAGTTACCCTACATTGTCTGAAAAGGGGAGGCATGAATAATCCACTCCTTGTTTAGCATATCATCAAGAAATAACCATAAAAATGGGCAACCAGCTGCCTTCAGGGCTGCTCTGTCTATGGAGTAGCCATTCTTTTATTTCTTCACTTTCCTAATAAATTTGTTTTCACTTTACTCTATGGACTTGCCCTGAATTCTTTCTTGCATGAGATGCAACAACCCTCTCTTGGGTGGGGTCTGGATTGGGACCCCTTTGCTGTAACAAAATAATTTATTTTCATTTCTTTCTAATGACTTACTTTTTCTTAAAGAAGATGAAGAGAATGGAGCCTCAAAAGGACTGTTCAATGTACATTTGGATATAATAATTACCATCTTCCCTGACTTCAGCAAGTATACGTAGATCAACCACCAATTTTTGACCATAAACAGAAAATCAGGGGCACAAACTTTGTTGTTGTTATGGAGGTGAGGAATGCCAATAAGTAGAAAGAAAGTAGAGTTGGGTCTTCTCTCTGCTAAATGATCATAGGAATGCAGAAGAATTGGGCCTTAAAGCACAGGCAGCAGGACTTGAGGAATTTGCTGTTAACTGCCAAAGGAGGAAAGAGTTGTAGGATTAAAAAACATGCTCACTAATACTTTCCCACAGAGCTTGTCCAAGGCACAACTCTGAGACTGCCTTACTGCAGCCCCTTTCAGCAGGTGTCACCCTCCTTGGGAAGCGAAATTGCTTTTCCTCTCCCTCAAACATTTGTCTTTTATATTAGATGTTTTCTCCACACCAGTGTGGATAAAATTACTGTGACAATTTTCCCCCAAATAGTTGCACTAAAAATACTACATTTCACTGAGGAAGGCAGTAAAATACATTTGTAATATACATGGGCTGTGGAACAAGTTCTGGGTTCCAATTCCAATTCTTTCTCTTTTCTCTTTGTGTTACCTCAGTTATATTACTAACCCTTTATGAGAATCATCCAAAAATGGGGACAAACAGATATTCCTTAGATGATTGATTTGAGATTTACATGAGAGAATATATGTAAAACAAACCAGCCTAGTACTGGTTAAAATCGGGGAGATGGTCCTAGTTTTATTCCATTAGAGGAATATAAGGCACCCACAGCAGGATATTCTTATGAGGCTACACTCCAGATCCAGAGCAATGAGGCTGATGACTAAAGCTTCTTAAATGGTCGTTTGACCTACCCCCTAAATGACTTAAAAAATGATAATGTTGAATCACAAGTACAAACAACTGTAGCAGTCTTTGCAAAGTCATTTGGGTGGCTTCACTTGCAGGGAGCTAGAACCCAAGACTCCCCAGTTATGTCATCCAGCAATGTTGACCAAGTTCAAAGTACTTTCAGAATGACAACTTGCTCAAATACCGTAGCAATCCTGTCACTAGGCAGTATTCTCATTTTAAACATGAAAACATTGAGGAGCAGGAAGATAAAGTGGCTCTTAATGGTGGTGCTGGGATTTTACTCAGTATTTTGGATTTAGAGTCAATGGGCGTTTTCTCTTTTGCCCCCACAGAGCTCTACTCTATGGTTATAAAAAACAATGTATGGTGGCCTAGTAGTGATGTGTATTATAGATAATGAATCATAAATAACCAAATAATTTTCTCCAAGACACTGCGACTATTAGTAAGATTATCATCGCAACAAAGACCCTTTGTTGCGATGATAAATGATTAATACATAATAGCCACCCAAACCCATGAACAACAGCAACAACCATAAACGAACAACCATACTTTTCCAAGTGCTGCTAAAAAGGAATTTTTACTTGTTTTATCTTTATGCCAATGAAAAGAAAGGTCATCTTGCTGAATTTTTATGATTCATTCTTTGGATAGAAAAACTCAATTCTACAGGTTCCTTGGTAAATCTGTGTATTACAGTTGAGATCAGCACCACTGTTAATCTTTCCTTTGCCAGCAAATAGCAATTACAGGATAACTACAGGGTAATTCTAGGGCTTTGTGTCTTTGAACGCCGGAGTAATTTGAACCATTCTAACTGTAAATTTGAATTGTTTAACATATGCTTTCCGCAGAGTATAAATACATTTTAATGATTTATTTCACCTCCTTAAATGCACAATTTTCAGTTTTTTAGAATCAAGTGATTTCATAAATATAGAAAGTTTAGAACACTAGTAAGGAAACTTGAAATAAATCAAGAAACATTTTCTTCATTTAAACATGGCTTAAATTGAGCATAAAACAAGGTTCTCAGAAACATCGAATAATTGCATGATGACTAGAATTTTTTTCTTTTTCAATGAAATAGATAAAAATATTCAAGGCTTCTATTTATAAACCATTCAAGTTGTAGTTTAAATTACGTAAATTGTCAAATAAGTGAAAAAGCAAAAATTTAAAATGGAACTTTCTTCTACTTTTACCACTTTTTTCTTTCCCTTTCTCTTAGGCACTATTTATTGAATATCGTGTCTCTATATTTAGTTTCCAGTCTCTACTTACTACTTTGTATTTGTTCCACCTCTCTTTTGTTTCTTCCAAATATTTACAATGAAGTGCAAGTATATGTAATCTATTTGTTTACTCTATTTGTTTATTTTTATTTTTTGAAGATCTGTCGTCTTTCTTCTTTATTATTTTCAGTTCTTCCCTTACTCATTTGCTTTCCTTTTGACTGCACTTCACACTTTCTCTTTCCCAATCCATTAACTGAAGATTCCCTCATAACCATCCCAACACATCTCATTCCACTATTGGGTGGTTGTTGTATTGTTCATACTCTCTGGTGTTAACAGAATCATGGTTCCACACGAGGTGGAGTTTGGGGAAATGAATCAACTACTCACTGCTCACTAACCTACTCCATTGATAGGCTAGAGGTCACACTAAGACAATTTTTAAATAAAACGGTATATCTTATAAAAATCATCGTGTAAAAATTCAGTCTATAGATGTGTATTTGCTCTTCCACATAAAAACATACCCATTATTTAGGACTTGAAATTTCACTCCATCTATATACATAAAGACATAATATTTTTGTGTCTGCCTACTACATACAGAAAATTTATGTATATTTTTTAAGACTCCAAATAATTTGAAAGTGTTGAACGTTCACTTTTATTCCTTATACTCCATAATAAAATTTCTAACAATTTTAAGCTACAACCCACAGTAGTAAAGAAACACTATTAAGCAATAAAATAAATAAAATGTGAAAGCCAGGCACACAACCCAGTATGCTTTAAATCTTACTTGTTCTTTAGATCCCACGGGTGTTCACCAGACGTCTCCCTAAACAAAGAAGAAATGTGACAACAATTAAAATGTGAAAACGATGCTATTAAAATACTGCTCATTTAGGTGATGCATGTTTATATTACTTAGCTAGTGGAAATGTCAAATTCCAACAAGAAGTGAAATTGTTTGTATTTTGGCATTTCCTTTCACACTTATTGTTGTAAAAAAGCAACTTAAAATGTTCCTTTTAAAGCAACAAGAAGCAAAACATGTTATGATTGTTCTGGAAAAAGAAATGATAGTTTTAAAATATTTAATGTATCCCCTAATCAAAATTATATGTAGTAGAAAAGAAATAACATACAGAACCATCAAGTATCATTCAATAAAAACAAACTTGTGCTAGAAAAACCTATGAAGAATTCTTACAAAAGGGAGTATTTCTTGTGTTGAAAACCTTTGTTAAGATTTTAATTCCTTGGTAAACATACAGAAAGCCCATTGAGTTTCTTTGAACAACATCACAGGATTTTTATTATAGAAAGACAGAATCTACCAGACTATGATAATAATGTTATCAAGAAAGAAAGAAAAAGAAAGAAGAAAGAAAGAAAGAAAGAAAGAAAGAAAGAAAGAAAGAAAGAAAGAAAGAAAGAACGAAAGAAAGAAAGAAAGAAAGAATCTGAATTTTAAAATTAGGCTGAGGGCTTATTAAACTTTTAATTATATACCTCGAAGTTTGGCTGGGTGCAGTGGCTCATGCCTGTTATCCCAGGACTTGGGGAGGCCAAGGCAGGCAGATCACTTAAGGTCAGGAATTCAACACCAGCCTGGCCAACATGGTGAAACCCCATCTCTACTCAAAATACAAATAATTAGCCAGGCGTGGTCGTGTGCATCTGTAATCCCAGCTACTCAGGAGGCTGAGGCAGGAGAATCACTTGAACCCAGGAGGCGGAGGTTGCGGTGAGCCAAGGCTGTGCCACTGCACTCCATCCCAGGTGACAGAGTGACACTCCGTTTCAAAACAACAACAACAACATGGAAGTTTATTATTAATATAATTTTTTATCAACGTTGAGAAAGATACAAGTCCATGAAAGTGTTGTAGTGTTTCGGGAGTTTTATAATTTATAAGTAACTCTAAAAACTGGGCACCGATGTTGGCATTTTCTCAGTGATTTTCATTGAACTTGTTCACTTTTTTTTTCTTTTTGGAAGAGTGGAAATGAAGAAATTAACCTGGACTCTATGTGAATAGCTGAGGCAAGTGGAGACATTAATTCATTTGTGTAAATTCCTAGAAAATAACAACTGATCTTGAGTTACATAAAGCTGATCAGTGGTGCTCTGCAGACATGGGAGGAGAAGAGAAGAGGGAGGTATTAAAAGGGCCATAAATAAACTTCTGGAGCTGACGGATATTATTGTTATCTTGATTGTGCTCAAGATTTTAAAGGCATATACATGTGTCTAAACTCATCAAATGGTATGCTTTAATGCATGCAGTATATTATATGATAATTATACCTTAATAAAGCTCTAAAAAAGTGGAAGGATGTGAAATATATATTTAATGTAGAGCATGAAATGCATGTATAAACCATTCAATAAATTAATGAGAGTTGGTACTCTTGCGATTTTTGTTTTAAAAGATTATCTGTTTGCTGTGTGATGACTAGATGGAGGAGACAGTGATTGGAAGCGGAGGTGAAATTTTGTAAGAAAGCTTGGACCACCATAATGACAGTTGACATAAAAGATGCTGGATTGATTCATGATATAGTTAGAAGGTACAAAGAAAAGGCTGGTTGAGGCATTGAATGTGAAGGTAAGACAAAATAAGGAACCAAGAATGATGGCCAGGTTTGTGGCTTGAACAACTGAGTGCACGTGCTGCCATTTTCTGAGGTGGTAAAGACTGAGAATATAATAAGATTTAAGTGGAATACAAGAATTCCATTTTGTACATATTATATTTGAAATGCCTGTGAGACAATCAAATGGAAATGTTAAGTTGGGTAAGTGTTTCTAGAAGCCAGAGGATAAGTCTGAGTTACACAACTGATTTTGAGAATTGCCAGCATATATCTAAGAGAGTGAGTGGCTGTCATGAAGTGGAAGCAAAGGTCATTGAATGAGAATAGATAAAAGCACCCAGAGTCAAGGTGCTAGATGACGTATCTACTCGGATGTATATATCCTCTAAATAACCAGAATGAGAGTGAAAAGCGGTTCTAGGGGCCAGAAGCTAATTTTAATTATTTCTTATGTTTTTTTAGAGACTACTTTCTAATCCTTACGTTTGAATGTTCACAATGTAGGCAGGACACAAAAACATAATATTTTAGCAATTAACCTAATGTGCTGCCAATTTAACCTTTAAATTATCCTCAAAGGTCTCTAAATGTCTAATTATTTAAGAGGTATTTTAAATCACTTCATCTAAAGTACATCTCTTAAATAAACATATCTTTTGTTACATAAACACCTTAAAAATCAAATTAGAAATGAAGTACAGTTATGTGCTGCATAACATATCAGTCAGCAATGGACTGCATATATGACAGTGGTTTCGTAAGCTTATAACAGAGCTGAAAAATTCTTATCATCTAGTGATGTGATAGCTGTTGTAATGTTATAGCACAGTGCATTACTCATAGCACATACAATTATGTATGGTACATCATATTTGATTGGTACAAAAGTAATTGCAGTTTTTGCCATTAAAAGTAATGGCATTAGTACTTGATAATAAATGATCAATGGTATTAATACTTGATAATCAATGACTATGTTACTGGTTTATGTATTTGCCATACTATGCTATACTTCATGTCATTATTTTAGAGTGTACTCTTTCTACTTAAAAAAAATGTTAACTACAGAATGGTCTCAGGTGGTATTCCAAAATAAGGCATTGCTGTCGTAGGAGATGACAGCTTCATTTGTGTTATTGCCCCTGAAGATCTTCTAGTGGGACAAGATGTAGATGTGGAAGAGAGTGTTACTGATGACTCTTACCATGTGTAGGCCTAGACTAATGTGTGTGTTTGTGTCTTAATTTTTAGTAAAAAAAAGTTTTAAGTACACAAAAAATTTAAAAAGAAAAAATGTATAGAATGATAATACAAAGAAATATTTTTGTACAGCTGTACAATGTGTGCTTTAAGCTAAGTGTTATTACAAAAGAGTCAAAAAGTTTTAAAAAGTTTCTAAAGTAAAAAATCTTAGCTTACAATGAGAACACGTGGACACAGGGAGGGGAACATCACACACTGGGACATGTAGCGGGGTGGGGGGCAAGGGGAGGGAGAACATTAAGACAAATAGCTAATGCATGCGGGGCTTAAAACCTAGATGACCGGTTCATAGGTGCAGCAGACCATCATGGCACATGTATACCTATGTAACAAACCTGCACATTCTGCACATGTATCCCAGAACGTAAAGTAAAATAAAAATAAAAATAAAAGATGTAAAAAAAAATGTTAGCTTACAGTAAGCTAAGGTTAACTGATTATTGAAGAAAGAAAATATTTTAAAATGCATTTACCGTAGCCTACGTGTGCAGGGTTTATAAAGTCTATAGTAATGTGCAGTCTTGTCCTTGTCCTCCATATTACTCACTGCTCACTCGTTGATTCACCTAGAGCAACTTCCAGTCCTGAAAGCTCCATTCATTGTAAGTGTCCTATGCAGGTGTACTATTTTTTATCTTTTATACCATATTTTTATTGTACCTTTTCCTTGTTTAGTTATATTTAGATACACATACACTGGCCAATGTGTTAGAGTTGCTTACAGTATTCAGCACAGTAACATTCTGTACAGGTTTGTGGCTTAAGAACAATAGGCTATACCACATACCATAAGTTTGTAGTAGGTTGAGCCATCTAGGTTTCTGTAAGTATGTTCTGTGATGTTTGCACCATGACAAAATCGCCCAAGGATGCATTTCTCAGAACGTATTCTTGTTAAGTGATGCATGACTGTATAGAGCTTTGCTAAGATTTTCAAAGAAGTCAACATAATTTGCAGAACTTGAACACTTTTTCTTTGCAACATGTGCATGGAATATGAAGAAGCTGTAATATGATTTGCTGAAAGTAGCTGCAAAATCTATATTGGAATATTCAAAAATGGTTGCTTTTACATATTCGTAGAGATCAGCCACAGAAACAGAGCAAACAATATTGGAATTATAGTGTATTATTATAGAAGGAAAATAAAATGTAGAAATTTCATGGCTGGCATGACTGGTATTTTTCAAAGTAATGTTCAGCCTGAGAATAAACCATGGTAGATTTGGTTTTGTTGGTTTCCCTTGGCTTTGAACATTAGGGGATGTTTGGAAGTCAACATCCCAGATTTTTGTTTCTTCTTTTGTAAAGTGGAACCTATACAAATAACTTCATGGGGTTTTGGTAGGAATAAGTGGGATAAAGTGCACACAAATGCTTTGTACAGTGTAAAGTACTATAGACTGCACAAATAACACCATCACAACAGTAAGTGAGACATCATAGCTAAATGTGGGACTTGATATTACTCAAAAGAAATATTCAGTGAACTGAATTTGTGTACTGCATTTAATTTCATTTAGAATTTTCCAAGTTGTTACTAAGGCCCAGAAATAAATATCAACTCTTCATATATTGATTAAATAAATGTGCATTACGTTTTTCTTTCTTTTTACTTTGCACACTTTGCTGAATATGAATTTTTGGCACACATGATAAACACAAAACGCCTAGGACCTGCTCTTTGTGGATTACTTGGACCGAAACACAATTATGAAATATGATTTTTCCATTTCCATTCTTCTATTTACACTTAGTTGCTTTTATTTAATCTTAAATTTCAACTTTTATTTTAGATACAAGGGGTCCATGTGCAGGTTTGTTACAGGGGTATATCGCATCCAGCTAGTGAGTATAGTACCCACTAGGCAGCTTTTCAGCTCACATCCCCCGCTCTCCCTCCCCCGTCTAATAATCCACAGTGTCTATTACTCCCATGTTCATGTCCATGTGTGCTCAATATTTAGCTCCACTTATAAGTGAGAAAATGAGGTATTTGGTTTCTTGTTCGTGAGTTAGTCTGCTTAGGATTACGGCCTCCATCTCCATCCATGTTGCTGCAAAGGACATGATTATTTTACTTGCTTTTTTAATCTTACAATTTACTTTCTTTTCTTCTTTTCTCTATTTCCTGTGATATTGCACAGCTTTCTCATTATCTCATCTTCGGTTAAGATTAAGTCATTAATCATCATTTTATACCTTTTTCTAAAAATAATACAAATTTTTATTTTTGTAAAAATAATTTAATATAATCACCATTGAAATTTACAAAATACATTGAAGAAAAAAGACAAAAATGAAAGTCATTCAAAATCCTACCACTGAGAGACAGCTGCTCTTGACTTTTGGGTATACAGCTACCCAGTCTCTTTTCTATGCATTAATATATATTTTATAAGTTCATTAATAGTGCTATGTTCTCTTTTTTACTTACTCTTCCATGAGTATTTTTAAATAATGTGAATGTTTTCCTACAATTTGTTTAGTTAGTGCATAGTTATTTTAAATTTTAATTTTATGGATGAAACATAATTTGTTAGACCTGTCGAAAAGGCTATTGTCGATTCTTTGTTTTTTTTTGTTTGTTTTTTTTTTTTTCCTGTATAAACAGCCTTGTGATAAACATCCTTCAGGCTATATATTTGCATGAATCATGATTAATTCCTTAGGATGAATTGCTGGATGCAGTCAAGCTTGCATATTAAATTACAAAAATTATAATATCTATTGCCAAATTATACTCCAAAAAGGTAATAACATTTATCACTCCTACAAGCAAGATAGGAGAGTTCCAACTTCTCCACACTGAAGCTAATAGTAGATATTATCATTTTAAAATTTTTGCCAATTTGATAAATAAAATTATATCTTTTATTATTTTAATATGTGTTTCTTTGGTTACCAGTTCTGTTGAAAAGTTTATTTTTTCATTTGTGTTTATTAGTTTCTGAAATGCTCCTTCATGTATTGTTGCCTACTTATCTATTAGAGCACATGTCTTCTATAATTACTTGTAATAACTTTTTATATATTAAGGATATTGATTATAAACATAAAGATTTGATTTAAAAGACCAATAATGAGTTTAACATTTTCAGAATTAACATATGCCAAGATTCATCCTAAAAACCAAGGGAAAGTTTAACAGCTTTTTTACTTCAACTAGATGCAAAAGTGATTACAAATAGATGAATAAATTTAAGTAAAGTTTTATGCTTCATTTTTATTACCCCATTTTCATTCCAATTTGAATCAATGTTGCATTCAGTTTATCGTTGTTTAGTCCCTTGTAAATTTTTTGGATTGTTTACATAGATATATTTTTATTCACTAGTCCATCAGTTATATTTTACTTTTTCCCTTGAAAGTGTGCAAACATTTTTCATTGCTTTATTATTTTATGACTTTATTTTTCCTTTATTACCCTGAAAGAGCAAGATGGTGGGACTAAGTTTTTCTTGACATTTTTTCTAAAGAGGGAGGCTTTACTGGTATGGCTAAGATTAAGACAAGAGCCAGTCTGCAGTACTATCTTTGTGAAAGACTTTCCTATGTTCTGATAAGCTGACCAATGCTTTGTCTTAATGTTGATGTCATTGTATAGAATGTGACTTCTTTGAGCTCAGTAGCAAAATTGTGAATGTAATCTTAAGGGAATTCATGAGCAGATGTGTATTCCTGTGTATACTCCTCTAGACTTTGACTTAGACATTCTTATTCCCTGATAAAAGACTAGAAAACCCATGGAGCTTCAAAGATTGTAAACTAGCTAATATTCACTAGTGGTTAGTGAAGTATGCCACACCAACAATGAAGAGAACTGAAATAAAATATCTTACTTTACTATAATGCTTTATAATCTGTTCACTATCTCATGTAACACTCACAATAATTTGGGAGCGGGTAAGGAAGATATTGTAATGGAAAAAGCATGAGCTTTGAGGACATATTAATAGTCACATGATCTTGGGGAAGTCAATCTCTCAAAAAAGTCAGTCTCCTTTTCAGTAAAATAGATTAAAAAAAGAAAATAATACTTATCTTTCATAACTGCGTGATTAGAAAAAAATGTAATGGATATTTAGCACTTAATATTTACCTCATCATTTATTTATTCAACACACATATTTGAACATCTACCATGTGTTCTTTTCTAGACACTAGAAATTATAGTCCGCTCAGATAAACATTTTATGCTAATGGGTAACAGGTAATAAATGACAAAGAAAGAAAGAAAGAGAAAGACAGTTGGATGGATGGATAATTTCAGTGAGAACTAAGTGCCATGAAAAAAATAAAACAGGGTATTGTGGTAGTGAATGGGCAGCACTGGGTAATGCTACAGAGGATAGTCAGGAAGGCCTTATAGAGATGGCTGATAATTTGAGCTGAGATCTTAACAAAAGAAAGAACAGCCATGCCACAAGGAAGGGGTAAAGACCTCTAGAAAAAGCAATAAATGTAAAGGCTCTGGCACAGGGACCAGCTTTAGTGCTTGAAGAACACAAATGTGTCCAGTGTGGCTGCAGCATGTTGAGGCATGAAAAGCCTGGTTTAAGACAGGTAAGAGAGGAGGTGTAGGCCAGATGTTAGATTATGTAAGGCTTTGTAAGTCATGGTAAGTTGACCATAGTAAGGTAACAGAGAGCTACCATGATAATAATGAGGAAGACAATAAAGATCAAGCCTATTATCTGTTAGACAGTTTAAGAAACTGGGTCTTTCTTTGTCTAAATGTGACACAGCAAGGTAGTCATGGAGTCTGGTTTCCTGTCCAGGGTTTGTTCAGTTTTATTTTCTGTATGTTTTGTTGCTGCCTATAATAGTAATGTTTTTTCATCTTTTAAGCCCGAAGTTCATTCCTGCTCTTGATTTTTTTTGTTTCTATTTCTTTTTAAAGGTATTTGCCAGTTTTCTGCATCGACATTAATGCTGAAGAAGCATTTACAAGATTCAGTAGCTTTATGTAGGGATTAGATCTCTGAAATTCAAACTGCTTTATTTTCATAAGAACTATGATTAACAAACACCTTTATAGCTTTCTCATTCTCTACCGACCCCATTCTCCAAACCTCTTTTCTCTAAGCTGGACTCTCCTACTCCGACATTTTAGCCTTATCAGCCAAAGAAAGCAAGTTTCAATTCACATTCCAGGAAGGAATCTCCCCAGCCAGAGCTTCATCTCTTAAACTTACTTTTGTCTGTTTGAGCCTTCTGCTTGAGTGCTGATTTCTTTCTCCCAGTTATGGCTTTTCTCCTTCACTGGATACTCCCCTCTCTATCCTTGGCTCTGGCACCTGCTATGTCTGGTGTTCCGCCCATTACTATTTCAGATTGTACTTCAGCTTTCTTGCATGACATCTGGCATACATTCTGAATTTTGTCCAGCTCATTTACTACCTTCCCTCTCTGTTTTTCCAGGTGGATTTTCCAAATGTAACGATAAACCAAGAAAGAATTTGTTCCCCCACAAGGCTCTCTGCCTGCATTTAAATTAGCAATAATCTTAATTTTAAGAAGAATAGATAGATATACAATGTATATATCTGCATGTTCAGCTTTTATCCATTTGACAATAGCTGTTACCATGGAAAATGCACATGTACACTATACAAACACTGTAATTTCGTTTGTAGTGATAATGGAAGTTTCTAAAAATACTGATTGAGTTTAAGAATCTTTCTTTTTCTAAATTACTCTCATAAATATAAATTTTGGATTTTAGCATCAATATTATTAACAGGAAGAGTATAGTATAATATTAAGTGTTGATGTGGGGCTTTCAACCAAATTAATTTCCCTAATTCCAGTTATTGTACTGCATATTTGTATCATAAAAATCTTCAGGACCTATCTATCAAGAGGTCTTAATAAAATCAGAGTACATTTGAAAAGTCCTATCACATATCATTGAGGTGTTATGGGTTGTAATGGGGAACACTCAGGCTTAAAGGGAGAATAGGGTGTTTAGTGATGGTGAAGTTTGTTATCTCTAAGTACAGATTTCATTTATTTTACATTTTACATAAGATCTGCTTTGTCAAACTTATCCTAAATTTTTATGTTATTGAATCATGCCCTTCAAACTAACTGCCATTTGGTCTACTAACAGTTCTTGTCATATAAAGTGGTGGTAACATAAAAGAATCCCCTGTGATGAAAAACATATTAGCCACATTTAGTTTTTTTAGCCTGTACACAAGGACTCATTTCTTTAATCTGTAATTCTCTGAGTGAAATCTCATCAAGGGCTCCTTGTGTAAGTAAACATATACCCCACCATTGCATTTACCATTCCCTGACAAAGCATTTGCCACAGCCTTTCAACACATCCACAGAGTAACTGCACAAAACCTCCCTATCACAAACTGATGTTGGTTATCCCTTATCAAATCACTTTTTCCAACACGTTCTTTTATCAAAACTTCTAAATATGTTTCTGAGAATTCTTCCATACTGATAAGAAATTCAGACAATATTTGTTGAAGCTCACTAAATTATGTCTTCCGTAATACTATTATGCTCACCATATTCACTATATTTCAGCTATCAATATTCTCACCACTCCATATATAAATTGCAGAACTAAAATTATAGCAGGTCACCTGACTTTCTATTTAGTTTGTGTTACTTTTACATTTCTGATATTTCATTTATCCTTCTAAAACAGGAATGTATTACATTTTGGAAAATAAATCTTTACTAAAACCCAGAAACCTAAACTAACAATTAAATTTGTGACAGTACAGTGTGGTATCATAGTAATTGATATGTAAGACTTGATTAATAAAGTCTATTTATTTAATCCTATAGTAACTCCATTTTCTCATTACTCCATCAACAAATATTTACTCTGTCTTCTCTATGAAAGACATTATGCTAAGTGATATGAGGTACAGAGAGAAGAATTAGTCTTCAAGATATTGGCAGTCTGGCTAGGGTGCAGTTCTCATGCATTAATTACAGAAAGTAGCACATGGGAAATGCCAGCTGAGTGGTACAGCTAATGCGTCTCATGAGATGAAATCATAGTCTTGTGATGACTGGGGAAGTTTGCCCAGGCGAGTTAGAATTTAAGTGAGAGAGCCTTACATATTATTAGTATTTAATTACGATCGAAGGAGAACAGATAAAAAAAAGTAGAAGCATAAGCAAGGAATGAAAATGGGGGGCATAGAGTATTTTGTAGAGCTGCGTTGTCCAATATGGTAGCCACTAGTCACATATGGCTACAGAGCACTTCAACTGTGGCTAGTAAGAATTGAGATGTACAATTGTGAAGATTCAGTATGAAAAATAATATGAAATATCTCATTCATATTAGTCATTATTATCTATTAAAATGAGAATGTTTTAGCTATATTGGGTAAATATAACAATATTATTAACACTAACTTCACATATTTATTGTTACATTTTATAATATGACTACTAGAAAATTTAAATTATATACACGGTTCATATTTGCGACTTGCATTATATTTCTATTGGACAGTGTCAAGCTATTGAGTAACTGTTGGAAGGTTGAGATTATTAAATACGTATTTTTAAGAAAAGGAATCAGACTAAAAAGTGCTGATTGGTTAGGAGGGGCTAGAGATTAGAAATTTAAAAAATGATAACCTACTCAAGGCACCACACATGAGGTGACAAGGGCTAGATAAAGCAGGTGGCAATGGGAAAAATTGGGTAGCAGTGTACACTTTTTTTTGTGCCTAGCTACTTGCACTAAAAAAAATTATTTTAAATTGTTCCTAGTGCCAGAGACATTACAAAAGAAGACTTTCAGAATAATTAACACCAGTGACTAGGCATGGAGACAGGAAGAGGGAGGGTTCAAATATGCCTGAGACTGTAAACTGAGGAGGCAAGGAGAATGATGATGGAATTTGATGAGAAAACCTCTTTGGTGAGGAGAGGGTTATAAGTCCTGGAATGTACGGTAGTGGTGGAGAGCTGAGGATGATTCATCTCTCAGTGGAATGAAGAGTGTAAGGAACAGGTAGGTGGCTGAGTCTGATATAATGGTGGGACATCCAGGAGAAAATGTACTTAAGACTTCGGTAAAATGGATGTGGAGATCAGGGGAATGGTTAAATTGATGAAAGACATTTGATGACCACCTTGGTAGAATTGAATGTGGAATTCAAGGGTGACAGCACGATTTCAGGTGGTGACTCAATGGCAATTCTTTGATGCAGAGCCAGGAACTGAACCATGGGAAATACTGACATTTGATGGTTGAAAATGGATGATCTACAAAGATAAATTGATCAGTCAAGAAAATGGGAAGAGAACAGTGTGGGATCATGGAGCCTAAGGAAGAAAAAATGCCAACGAGAAAGAACTAGCTAACAGGAAATCTATGAAAGGATGTAGATGACATTTTATTATTTAGCATCAATATACTACCTGTCAGGAATGCAACCCTCAACCATGAAATCTCAGAAACAGCAGATGTTCCATGATTTGTCTTAGTGCCTTTGGATCACATGGGCCACACTTGGGCTTTTTTTTTTTTTTTTTTTTTTTTTTTTTTTTACAGATATCTTTATTCTTTTCTCATTCACTAGTAAGTATACCTATCAAATAAACTTTCTTCTGAAGAAGCTCAGACTTATTGTTTACTGTAGCATTTAATACCTGCGTCCTCAATCAACACTTACCACAGACAGACTGATATTATCTTTTTTGTGTACATACCAAGTCTCCTAACTTGAAAGCTATGTTTTTGTACTCCATCTGGCTGCCTCTCTAGGATTGCCCTTACTGCTTAAAATATACCATGCATAAAGGAAACAGAGCCAATAGAGAAAGATTTAGGGCTAAGGTTAGCAGGAATAATTGATCTGGGCTGTCAAGAGTCACGGTTCTCCCAAGAATCCATATGTCATCATTGTTTTTTTTATTTCTCCACCAGTTTTTATCCATTGTTTTTCTGTAGGACCTTTATTGTTGTTAGAGAGTGGAATCCACCTTTATTAATTCAACAAGGTGCTAAGATACTTAAAAGGTTATAAAAATGAATCCAATATGTATCCTGTATACTCTAGATTGCAATTTATATACATGTTTACATGTCTATTTTCCATACTTAAATCTAAGATCCTTGAGGACCTTAGATTCATTCATATGGTTCTTATTCATATGTAGTGGTGGAGTTCTGAGGATGATTCATCTCTCAGTGGAATGAAGAATGTAAGGAACAGGTAGATGGCTGAGTCTGATATAATGGTGGGACATCAAGGAGTGAACGTACTTAAGACTTTGGTAAAATGGACGTGGAAATAGGGGGAATGGTTAAATTGATGAGAGAGACTTGATGACCATCTTGGTAGAATTGAATGTGGAACTCAAGGGTGACAGTAAGATTTCATGTGGTGACTTGTTGATGGGTCTTTGATGCAGAGCCAGGAAATAAACCATATAAATACTTACTAGTATTATATTACTAATGCCTGAAAGGTCCTTGGCACCTAGTAGACTGTCAAATCACATTTGTTTAATGAATATAGTCATGTGTCACTTAATGACAGCGATTTATTCTGAGAAACGCATTGTTAGGCAATTCTGTTGTTGTGTGAACATCATAGAGTGTGCTTATACAAACCTAGATAGCATAGCCCACTACACAACTCGGCTATGCGGTATAGCCTATAGCTCCTAGGTCACAACGTGTACAGCACGTTACTGTATTGAATACTGTAGTCAATTGTAACAGAATATTTGTGTATCTAAACATATATAACCATAGAGAAGGGAATGTGTTGCACTATGACATAATGGTGACTATGACATTAGGAGAGAGAAAATTTTCAGCTCTATTATAATCTTAAGGGACCACCAATAAATACGTGGTCCATCAGTGACTGGAATGTTGTATATATAAATTAATGAAAGTGTGAATTTCTTCTTGAAGGAGACTGTAGTGAAGACAAAATTCATGCACAAATAATCAGAGTACAAATAGGAAAGAGACACCTGACAAAAGTACTCAGATAAAAACATATTAGGAGTTAGGTGAAAGAACAAAAAATGCCTCATAGGATAAATGGGACACGGCTTCCTGGACGTGCTGGCATTTGAGCAAGGGCAGAAGGATGGTAGAATTGGACAGTCAAAAAATGGGGCATTTTACTAAATGGAAGACTACCTATTGGTCTTATCTACAGATTTTGATTCTTTTATATTTATTAAGGATAATCACATATTTTTCATGTCTGGTTAGGTTTTATTTGAACTCCTGTAATCTTTTTTTTCATTATAAAAAGCTTTTTTTCCATAAAAAATTTCTTAAAATATGTAGCCACACAGCCGAGTTTTATTTTAAGGACAACAGCATTTTTACCTCCTGTTTTGCGTGAGGGTCTGTGGGTTGTAGGAGATGAGAAAAGAGAGTTCCCAGCTGCTACAGCTCAACAAAGCCCCTAAAAATGATGACTGCATCCATTTCCACCCAACGCCACATTCTGAAAGTGATCTTTTTGAAACGAGGATTGCAAATAGCTGCAGCTTCTCAAAACTGCAATTGCTTTTCATGGTGTGGCATTGCTGTCTTCATGCTGACACAGCTCTCAGCACTGACACCAGCCTGCCTATGAGCCGTTAAAGATATTTCACTTCCAACAATAAATATAAAGAGTATTATACAAAAACAGAGAGGCCTTGTTTTTAATAAGCTGAAATGGATGAAATGGGCAGTCATGGAGCAAAAATAATTATGAGGGAAGGAAATGGAGACAAAAATTAATGCCTCTCCCTCCCTTGCCCCCAAGGACTGCAGGCAATGTTCTGTACCTGTGGGTCATGCTCTGAAAAGATGCATAAATAGAGGTGAGAAATTGGTGCTAGAAAAAAAAAATATGATTAAAAGGATGTGACATTTTCTGCATATTCAATGTGCTCTGCTGGGAAGAACTTGTATAGTTCAGACAAGGTTTGCATCCCGGCTCTGGCCCTCACCAGGGTTTTATATTTTTCCTTGGCTAAATTGCTTAATCTTTCCAAGTTCAAGTTCCTGCAAATAGAGCTTATATTAATGACTTCTTAGGGTTGCAGTGAAGATACTGAGACAATATCTATAAACCTAGCTGGTTTGTACAAATATCTTGGCGTCTTCCCTTCCAGCCGGCCTTCTTGTCCCTTCCCCATGTGCACTAGGGAAACCTCTCTGTACGGGACTCTCAGACCAGCAGATACACTTCATATTATTGAAATGTGGGCTACATTATCTTTCACTGCAAAAATGGTACTAATCACCCACCATCTGTAGTGCTCATGCATGTACTTATCCTTTCCTAATGGAGATGCGTTTGTATGCTGGGATGGGCAGCTGTACTCTTTCCCTCTGTTCTCCCTTGACCTTCTTTTCTCATTTGGCTCACTGGGTATAGTCCATAGACATGACACATAATTTGGCAGTAATCATATCAGTGTTTTCCCACAGTGCATCCCTTTTCCAAGAATGTGTGACAGAGTTAGAAACACCAAACTTTATTGCTGGAGAAGGCTTTGGAAAATATATGATCCAAAGTCTCATAAAGAGGAGGAAACACAGGCCTAAGAATTAGCTGACTTGCCCAAGACATGAGGAAAGTTAATGGCTGGGTTCAGACTAGAATCCCTATTTCCGCTGCTCCACTCAGAGCTTTCCAATCATTCCCACATCTCAGAAAGGGGAATTCTTCCAGCTTTATCAGAAGAACATCCAACCGCAGTACATACAAATATTAAATGCAAGGCTAGCCACATGAGATTCTATAAAAGGATTCATCATTAGATGATTCTGATGGTGAATATCTTTTGGAAAATACTAGAGATAGATACTTCGAAAATTATTTTTCCCTTTTTTGATTGGCTGCAATTCTGAATGTGCCTGTGTTTAAACCAACCTCTCTACTGCTCTCCCCTCCCCTTCTCTTTCTCTGTCTCTCTCTATCTCTGTTCTTTTATTCTCTCTTGGGTTTAGTTACTTGCCCAGGTGGTCTCATTTAATGATTACACTATCTCAGGCATGAAACACCATGACTTTTTGCTGTTGGGACTGCAGTATGTAAATTGACTTGAGTCAATTGTACCTGATTTTCTAAATTGCCTCTGGTATAACAATTCTCCCACCCGTAATAACCCATTGAAATCAAACAATAGGATTGATTAAACATTCCTCACTCAGGGGGAAACTCCATTAATTTTACCTGAATAAAAACTGCAGAACAGTGCCCATTTTGGGGTAAGTAGTATACAAAATTCTCCAGGAAGCACAGTAGAAATAAACTTGAAAGGCTTAAATATTACTCTTTAGCCACAGGGAATAGAAGCAAATGGAATTTTATTTACAAGTCACATGAAGGAAAACAAAGGCATACTTAAGTGAGTATTGCACAGTGCACCAGATTTGGCAGGACTAACATTTACTCTGGCTTTTCTTCTGGGACAGAGCAGTAGAATATAGGTGAATCCTGGAACCTCTAGAGCTCTGTTAGGAATCCATATACAGCGTATCTGTCTCCAGGTTGGGATTTTCCAATTTCATGCCACAAGTAACCACTTGTTATGAGCTCTGGAATGGAGTCCCAGCTCTTCCACTCACTAGCTGTTTGATGGTGGACAAGTTATTTAAATTGTGAGTCTGAGGTTTTCAATGCCTAACCTGGGTTTAAAATACCTGCACTATGTGTCTCCCAAGGTTGTTGTGAACATCAAATGAAACTATGCAAAACAACTGATTTGAAGACGGTTAAGTGCATTGTAAACATGGGGAATAATTCTTATTTGAGGTAGTCTTTTTTTACTGAGCTTGTACATAATTCTATAAGATAAAGAGCTCAGCCAGTGGTGACGGCCTTTTCTTCCAAATCTAAATTCATATGTAGTGGCTGCAGTGTAGTCAGACTGTGGAGTCAGATTCACCCGTGTTCACATCACAGCTCCCCATTTACTAGCTCTGTGTCCAGAGGCGAGTTATCCATCTGCCCAGACTCATCTATAAAATGGGGATAGAAATAACACCTACCTCACAGGGCTGTTGTGAGACTCAGCAATGCAGTGCATGGGACAGGAACACCACTCAATGAATGCTACTTATTAATAGTAGAAAATAACTTCAACATGCAGGAATATTCATATGGTGCCTTTCTCTGAACCAATCAAGAACTTTCAGTGCCTGGTGCAGTCTGAAATCTTGGTCTGAGTTATTCAGAATTCTCATCTCTTTGCAGGAGGGACTTCTGGGGACCTGTAAGAGAACTAAGGTGATATTGTGGCTCATAGAGTCTGGATTCCTAGATGGTGAGCTTTTGGAGTGTGGGATTGGATTTTTTGCATCTCACTAAATATTTGTATTCATAGTGTCTAGCATAGAGTCTGGCACATGGTGTGTGGTCCTCTGCTCAGTGAACACTTTTGCATGAATGAAAAAAGAAATCTTTGCCTAGTGTAAGGATGTAAAGGAATGAAAAACAGGAGGCTTAATTCCTCCTGCTTAAAATAAGAGCTATTTTCCTTTCCTCCCTTTTTGTCAGAACGTGTACTGTAGAAAACCTGTATATAAAGTACCTTCTCTGTCTTTTTGAAATGTATCTTTCTAGACAGTAAATAAGCCTTCTGTCAGCTTTATTATTGAGGAATGTCTTTCTCAAAGACCTGAGAGTCATCTCTTTGAAATGTAAATATCAAAGGGGAAGGTGCCCCCATCCTACAATTTTCCATGGGAAGGCAGGAGCCTAACATCAGCTTGCGCCATGCTCCAAGTTATAAACCTCCCTCCCGTCATAGGGTGTTCCCCCCACCCCAACCCCACCCGCTTCCTCTCTCCTCTGGATACACCCAGTTAGCTAACATAGATGGTCACCTCAATTACCAGGTAAAGTTAAGATAGACTTTATGCCCAATGGTGCTGTCAAGTCCTCTTACTTGAGGACTAGTTATTGTTCATCTTGAAAATATGTGTGTAATTGGGTATATTTGCTTGGCTATATAAAAGGGTGTGATTTTTTTTTTCTTTCTGTGCACTTTCTTAGTGGAGTGGCTGTAATGCACATGACAGTCTGGTTTAATGCTTATTCAACAATAAAGGTGTTTCTTTCTCTACTGCATTTGTGGAGAGAATTTCTGGGTTGGGAGAAACATATTGAAACATATAGAAAGATATTTGAAGACTAATGCTAGTAGCTGAAGTGTTAATGTTTTTAAATACTAATGTGCTTAATCATTCTTACCTATTTATTTGTGTACCTATAAGCATTCAACTAATGTGCCTACCTCTTTTGAAACTTCACTAGGTTATTTTTCAAGTGTGTAAGATTTAAGACTTTCAACTGACTGACTCACTAATAAAGATTATTCTCCTTTTGCCATCCAAGGAAAGTCTTGCTTCAATAATCATAAATTCTTATTGGCCTCTGGATAGGATTGCCCTCCTCATTTGCAAATTTTCAGAAAATTAAAAAAAAAAAAAAACTTGGCAGGTTGTATGGAAACTAGGGATTTCCAGAACATTTCCTAAACAAAAGAGTAAATAATTAGTGCTCTTCTAAGTAGAGGAAGAATTTAAGACAGCTTACATAAATAAAATAAAATAAGCAAGTGAAGACACTGAGACAAAAAGGAAGTGATTGTTAAAAATATAGGGTCTTAATTGTCATAGCCAACAGCAACTTAAGGATACATGATATTAAATATAATGTAAATCCTAGATGGGATTCTGGAATAGCAAAAGGGCATTAAGTAAAAATTAAGAAAATCTGAATAGAATATGGACTTTAGTTAATCATAATGTGTCAATAGTAGTTTATTAATTGTATTGTAATAAAATGTACCATTTTAATGTTAGATGTTAATAGAGGAAACTGAGTATGAGTTATAAAGGAACTCTATGGCGGAGAGGGAGAATAGCTTAGACAAAGATGCTAGGTGAAAATTCTAAAATGTATTGTTTATCTTTACATCCATAATATTAAGATTATATTTAATAGTTTCCTTCCTCCTCTCCTGTTTGTCCCCATTTCTTACCTCTCTCCCCTGATACATATATATCCCACCCTGTTAATGAGATCTCAGCATGCCTCTTGGTTGAGCCTGCTCAAGTTTTGACAGGAACAAAGCAACAGAACACATCCAACATCAACAACTTTGTTCATTCTGTATTTTCTCATAGTTCAATGAACTGGGATGCTTCCAACTCTCCTTAAAAATGAAAGTTAAATTGGTTTGAACACAAATGCACAAAAACGTATGCTTCCACAGTGCAATCTACAAGGTTGGGTACTGGGTTAAAAATAAAATTTCATCTACACAATGGTATGTCCATTTAAGAAACCCGTTAATAACAGGAAGTAACTCACTCCGTGCCTGGAATCTGGAATTAAATCTAGGCCAAACTACAGAGCCTAACAATGTGTATCTCAGGCTAAAACAAATCCAGAATGTGGGAGTTGGAAAGGATTTTAGAGATAATTTAGTCCAAATCCTCCATTTTATGGTAGGGAAACTGAAGCTCAGGGAGGTTCCCTGATTTGTCAAAAGTTTCGCAAAATGTATGTTTATATGTCACTTTAATCCTATAAAGAGTCTGAGGAAGGACTAAAATAGAATGAACAAAGGATATAGAGACAATAGTTTGTGTTAGCAAACCTCACCTTAATGTTTCAACCATTAAGATGACCTTCTCCAGGGTGAACTTTTCAGCAGTACTAAGCTTTATAAATATAATGGATGGCAAAGATAGTTTGCTCTAGGACAGAGCACGATTACATGGTAAAACTTCCGTGCTGTGCTCTAAAAATTACTCTCTCAACCGCTAATTGAACTCTGAGGATTCTTTACCAGGAGAGATCAGTTTTATTCCATAACTAAGGGCTTAAGGTAAAAGTACCCTTGGAATGATTCTCTTTGTCTTTCCCTTCTTTACAAGATTTATCAGATGGTACAGAAAGGTGTCCAGCAAAAATGGCCACAGGGAAATCCACAGATCATCATAGGATTAAGCATTTAAGTAAGCTAGGAAGAGTGGAAAAAGTAGGCTTTTCACCAGGGCCAGATTGTTGGAGGGTCTTATTTCAGGGCACCTGGAAGCACAGTGAAAGCCACTGATTTTCACTGTGCTGACTACGTGAGCAGGGACTTGGGAAGCAGGAATGTGTGGTTTAGCATCTGGTTTGAGCCATGCAACTCTGGGAAAACTAATTAACTTTTTTGAAATTTAGTTCATCATCTATAAAATGAGAATAACTTCACAGAGTTGGGTAGAAGAGTGAAATTAATAAAATAAATAAAATATTGAAAACCTACAGCAAATGCTAACTACAGATTTGTTCCTTTCCCCTTTCTACATTCCTACTCTCTCTTCCATGTCTGGATTCAAAATCCTCTAGGATGTATATATATTTCCAAATAGTCACACAATGTAAGCTGAATAAGAAATCAAAAAAAAGATTGTGGGTGAGCAGGTGGGGAGAAACTGAGAAGGCAATGTATGTTTGATAGCACGTTAAGGAGCATGAGCCCAGATGGGCAGCTGGGACCTACCACAGGACAGTTTGGTCTAGGCTGGCTGGTCCATCGCCTTTCCTTCGTCTCAGATGTATTCATTTTACTTTCTTCAGCAAAATTCCCCCCACTTCGCTGTACTTCTAAACACCCCCACATAGAAATAACAGAGGCTGATAATACTGAACATGTACACGAACATGTATACAAACATGTACACAAACTGAGCATGTACACAAACACAATTCTTCACTTTAAGTGGGGGGCTAATTTAATATATGTTCAATGTTTGTGATAACGGTTTTTTTTTTTTTTTTTTTGAGATGGAGTTTCGCTCTTGTTGCCCAGGCTGGAAATCAGTGGTGTGATCTTGGCTCACTGAAACCTCCGCCTCTGGGTTCAAGTGCTTCTCCTGACTCAACCTCCCAAGTAGCTGGGATTACAGATGCCTACCACCACGCCCAGCTAATTTTTTTGTATTTTTAGTAGAGATGGGATTTCACCATGTTGGCCAGGCTGGTCTTGAACTCCTGACCTCAAGTGATCAGTCCGCCTCGGACTCCCACAGTGTTGGCATTACAGGCGTGAGCCACCCCGCCCAGCAGATAACTATTTTTTTTTAATTTAAAAATTTTTCCCTCCCAGGAAGGTTTTTTGTTGTTTGATATACTGAGTACCACTTACTTTTGTAAAAGCTTTTGCTGTATTTTCATGAGTATTACTTGTAAATAGCATAGGGTGGTGGTGAGCACCCCTATCTCCCACAAAATATTAAAGTAGAAAATAAAACAAGGTTGTGTTTTCAGAGTTAAGCTATGAAACAAAAAAAGAATTTAAGCATAGCTGTATACATTTCATACAACAAGCTATACACATGGATAGCTATACAAAGCTATACCTTAAACAGGAAGAATGACCTCCAGGCTAAGGCCAAACCTGGAATATAATTGAAGTTATTTGTATTTATGAAGAGAACTTGTCAATCAGAAGGACTGTTAGCTAGCAATGGAAATATGAGATGCTGAGAAACAAACATTGGTAGCGGAGGAATTCCTACCCCATTTAAGGGATGGGTTCACTAGCTTTAGAACCCAGGTATGAAATCCATCTGCAGATCTAATTCTGCAGCTAATTAGATCTGCAGTGAAGGTAGGTGTACTCCACATACTTATCTCGATGACTCTAATCATCGAACACAGAGGCCTACAAACTAAGGCCAGTGGGACCAAATCCAGCCCACCATCCTGCTTTTGTAAATAAGGTTTTTTGTGGAACACAACCATTGCCATTTGTTTACATGCTGTCTACACCTTTCTGCTACAAGAGTTGATCAGACACAGTTGTAATAGAAACTGCCTGGTCTATAAAGCCAAAAATATTTACTATCTGTCCCTTTACAGAAGTAGTTATTGACCCCTGATAATTCAGCCAACTTGCCTTGATTTCATGCTCACCCAACAATATTTTGACTCAATGTTGTTTGTTTATTCCTGAGAATATTTTGTACTGGGAAAGTAAGAGCTTGCAGAACAGTAATAAGCCAATATATTGAAAGTTGTATCTTTTTAAGTGATGGTAGACCTTCTGTGTAGACTAACAATTACAATATCTGAGCTCAAAGCTGGTGGGCTGACCTGTTGACTGTGGTGCCTACCCCCAATGTATTGTCACCTGGGCCTGTTTGGAGGTCAGCCTATTTTCTCTGTGTAATGTTGGAACTTCCTGTGCATTTTTTTTTTTCTGGCAGCATTTAAAAAATTCCTACTTTACAGATGAGGAAGCTACAATTCAGAGAAAGGAAAAATAAAACTAATATTTATTGAGGATCTACTCTGTGCTAGGCTCACAGATGTTCCTTAAGTAATGCCATTTAATCTTTACAAGCCCATGCAAGGGGAAAGGGCTATGAAACTCAAGTTTATGCTTTCACTGATGTGGAATTGGAGGCTTGGAAAAGGTAAGACCACAGTAATTTGTTAGCAAAATCAGGATTTGAAAGCAGGTGCTCAGATTCAGATACTTTTACACTATGGTATTTTCACATGACATATACTGCCTGGCAGAGTCTTCTGGTGATGGGCTTAAGAAAGCAACACCATATGCCTTGGTCTTTTCCTCCCACCAAGGTGTACTGTTGTTCTTTAGTAAACATGAATTAAGTTAGAAAATCCTAGAGATTTTAAAGGTGTAGAATTTTAAAACAAATTCTGCACATTTATATTGGAGTGTAGAATCTTAGCCAACTAATTTACATATTCAACCGCACTCTTGCATAGAGAAATTGGTGCCACCACAGCCTGTGTTCATAAATAACAGTTCCCGAAGAATTTTTTTTTTCATAACTGGTTTTGTACTTGAAGTGATTTAAATGTTGTACTTTGAAATCATTGTAGCAAGAACATATTTTAGAATTTCTAAAAGCTGAACAGAATGGAAGGTTATCTATAACATGAGCATAATCACAGTCATAATATCTGTTTAAAATAAAATGCTGAAGAGAATTAAATATTCCCTTCAAGCCAAACTCAAATTTCAACACAAAATAGATTGTAGACTTGCAGCTAATGTTGCTTGCTGGGGCCCATTCTTTAGGAGTTTAGAGCCTTTGAAAAGCTTTTGTTTATTATTTTTTCAGTGCTAAAGAAGAAATTCCCCAGCTTTTAGAAACAGAACTGGTCCTACCTTCTCACACAATGACTTGTGCACTGCCCTGAGCTTGATTTGTAAGTGTTCTACCTGAGTGCACTTCTTGTCTTAACTACACTGAAAACTTTCAGATGACAAATTGTAGGTTGATGGCACTGAATTTACTGCTATGTAAATGCTATGACTGTTTCATAAAAATATTTGCTGATGTATTATATTGTTATAAGATAGAACTTTAACAAAAATTATAAATGGGGGAATATATATGAAAATATTAAAAAAATATAACTCTCATTCATAAAGACTTCCCTTTTTCTTTAACTTTTATTTTAAGCTCAGGGGTACAGGTGCGGGTTTGTTATGCAGGTAAACTTGTGTCATGGGGGTTTACTGTACAGATTATTTTGTCACTCAGGTATTAAGCCTAGTACCCATTAGTTATTTTTCCTGATCCTCTGCCTCTTTCCACCCTCCACGCTCTGATAGGCTCCAGTGTGTGTTGTTCCCCTCTATGTGTCCATGTGTTCTCACCATTTAGCTCCTACTTATAAGTAGGAACATGCGGTATTTGATTTTCTGTTCCTGGGTTAGTTTGCTAAGGATAATGGCCTCTAGCTCCAACCATGTTGCTTCAAAGGATATGATCTCATTCTTTTTGATGGCTGCATAGTAAGAATTCCTTTTCTTAGTTTCACCCTTCATTTTCTTTAATAAGGAAACAGAACTATACCCTGAGGAGGCGTGAACTCAAATGAGTAAATACATTCACAATTAGGAATTATTTGGAAAATTCTACTCACAGAAAGTTAGCACTGGAAGGCATCTCTAAAACCACCTAACTCAACCCATGATCCAAATGGAGTACATAAATCTTAGAAACGTCCAGTGACATGCTCGAGCTGGAAGGAACAACTAGGACTCCTAAATCCCAGCTAATCTCCTACTCAACTGTACTGGCTATCTAGGAAAAATAAAAGTTTACATTTCCCTTAGAATTATTTGAACAAGAAGTCTCTAAAACACAAGAAGTTAATTTAGGTCTCCTTTGTCTTGGCAGAAAACGGACAATATATTTCTTAGAAGGGTGATGATGTGACATAAATCCAATTCATTCTGGCTTGAGCATGAAAAGGAGTTTATTGGTTCCTTTAACTGAACTATGCATGGTCTGGCTATTGTGACTAGACCTAGAAACTGAAATGCCATTAGGTTCTCTCTTTCCACAACTCTCTTCTTTATGTATTCTTATACACTGGTTTTATTCTCTCTGACCGGTTGTCTCTGTGAGTCTGCAACCAGAGCTTTAGGTAACTCTAGGTGTCATTCTTACTACCTCATACCTAAAGAAGAAAGAAAATGCTTCCCTACCAGTTTTACTGAAGAAAATCCTGAGGGGAAATGTGGATGGGTTCCGGCAAGATCAAATAAACATCTCTAGGTCAACCACTATGGCTGCAAGATTGGGACTAGGACAATTCCAACTGGGATCACGTGCCAGGAGGCAGGAGAACAGTTAGACTGGCAGGTCACCTTGGAGTCACATTTGAAGTATGAGAGATGCAGGTCTCCCCGAAAATTGGGGTTGTCACCAGAGAAAGGAGAAAAGATGTGCCAGGCAGGGAAAACAGCAGGTGCCAGATGAGAAATTAGAGTCACTTAAGACTTGTTTTGCCCTGAGAGAAAATACTAGCCACTTAGCATTTTTTCTTTTTTTTCTTTTCTTTTTTTTTTTTTTTGGTCTATTCAACATCTGAGCCTCCTTAGGAGGCTTTTAGGGAATCATGTATCTTATGACCTCTGGTGGCAGACATAATCCATTTTCTACTGACCATATTCTAAAGAAGTTGAAAATGCCAGATACTTGGTTTCCCAGCCTCCTTTGTAAGTAGGGCACAGGAACATGACCTAGACTCAGCTGATTTCCTGGACTTTGAGTCAGGGATTATTGATACCAATATTCAGTTCATAGGCAATGGTAGCTGCAGTATCTGGTCTGGGGTGGCAACAGCAGCAGTAGTGTAAGTTGGGTATCCGACACTCATGGGCAGCAACAGCAGTGTTCTAACAGGACTGGACTTGTAGTTTGAAGCTGAAGGCAATCTTATCTGTTACCAAACTTCATTTGCTCCTGCACATTTTAAAACTTGGTTCTTTATAGTTCTCTTGGTGATACCATGAACTCCCAATAAATTTACAACAAATTAGTTCTCTGCTTAATCAATCTAGAGTGAGTTAGTGTCTGTGGCTCACAACAAAGATACATAAATTTTACATACTTCTGTATCCTAGCAGAGGAAAGCTCTGGCATCATTCTGTGTTGTTGGAAAACTTAATTAGTACATCTCCTCTTTAAGAAGTTTTGATTAACATCTTGTCTTATATTAACTGTAGGTCATTTTTAATACCTGATGCTACATCAACCCACATTAAAGAATTTTAAGAGCACCTTTGTTAGTCTATACCACCTACCTGTAGATAGGTGTCACCATTATTAAACAATACAGGGTTCAATATTTGTCTAGTATTTCATTATCAGGATGACCTCGAGGTCACCATAACCTTTTCTGTTTTGTCCTTCAGTTCTGCTAAGGGAAAGACGCCAATAAATAGTTCACTTTCAACTAAACCATCATGGAGAAGGTGCCACTCTATCTTTAAAAGAAAAATGGTCTGACTTTGAATGCCTTAGAAAATGAAAGGAAAATGAGTAAGTAGAAAAACTAGGCTGGGCACAGTGGCTCACACCTGTAATCCCAGCACTTTGTGAGGCCAAGGCAGGCGGATCACGTGAGGCCAGATGTTTGACACCAGCCTTGCCAAGATGATGAAACCCTGACTCTACTAAGAATTCAAAAATTAGCTGGAGGTGGTGGTTTGTGCCTGTAGTCCCAGCTACCCAGGAGGCTGAAGCAGGAGAATCGCTTGAACTTGGGAGGCGGAGGTTGCAACCAGCTGAGATCGCACCACTGTACTCCAGCCTGGGTGACAGAGTGAGACCCTGTCTCAAAAATAAAATAAAATAAAATAAAATAAAATAAAATAAAATAAAATAAAATAAAATGAAAGTAAAATAAAATAGAAAAACTAAAACTTCAGTGATAGACTTTTAATGCCAAGTCAGCATTCAATTTAAATAAGAGCTAATGTTACTCTTAGGAAGTCTGATGTATTAGTGTTATAACTGTGTACCTTAAACTTCCACAAAGACAATTAAGTTGGAAAAAGTTATTTTTATATGACAACATGAACTTCCATTCTGTTTTTACAGATTCAGATGGAAAATAAAATTTAGACTTGCATTGCTAAGGAATGGCAGAAAAGTGTTAAGGCTAAATATCATCTGAAAACACTCAACATGTCACCAAAGGTTTTATGAATTTATCTTCTCTGAGCTTTGTTTGTTTCAAAAAAGAACACATATACACATATTTGCTATGGATAGATGTGATTGACCACTGTGAGTGGCCCATGTTAATCTGCTACAAATATTTAAACATGCTGCTTGGGCAGGTCCTACTGAGGACACTTTTGCAGCAAACTCAGTAATATGAGATTCCTCACTGCCTCCTAGCAATACATGAACCATAGATGTGTTGGTTGCTTGCTCATTTTGTGAACACTAACTAGTTTAGGCATTTCTGTTTCTTCCATGGCAGGGGCAAGTGTAAAAAGAGTGGCTGTCTAACTAAATAACAATGACACTGTTAAATAAAAGCTGCACTTTAGAGAAAGCACATCCTAACTTGGAATTTATCAGGACCTATCAAGTCAATACAAACTGACTATGCTGGGAACTTGAGTCATTTTCTGCTTAAGGAGAATATGCAGTAATTACCCTTTAAACATTTTCTCCCAACTTCTTCCCTTTTACCTTTTTTCCATTTATTTTTCTGGAAATTAATTACCATTTAGAAGGAATGACAGGTATTTTTGAGCCTTGAGAGAACCAATGAAATAGTTACCTTGAATATACTGTCATAATGGTGTGTCTAGAAGCACAACCCAAGACAGCACTAGTCAGGCCATTTGCTGAGAAGCACTTAGGACAATAATTTTGCTTATAAAACAGAATCAAGATAATCAACAGAAACAAGAAACAAATGAATCAAATTAAGGTTCTTGATGACAGAAACTCAGCTAAACCATTCAAAAATATGATGTTAAAGAAACATGATTGTCATTTCCAACCAACTAACTAGACGTGTTCTGTTATGGTTCAAATTAGGAGCATGAAATACACTTTACAACCTAGGGGATTTTAGAGCACTTAGATGAATTACAAGTGACATATGGGAGCTCATTAAAGGAAGGTGACGTTATGAATGCCCAGAGAGCTTGCTGGAAATCAGAGCTTTTTTCAAAAAGGCTTCAAGGGTCAGTCATGTTGATTAGAGGATGCTCTTCATTCTTATGGATGAACCATTTCTCTTTAGCACTTCTCAGTTATCACAGTGCTTGAGTGTTGGCCATTACTGAAAGTTTCTAAGTCGTGAGCATGTGGGAGGGTGGGGGTAAGGTGGGTGAAGGGTCGGGGGTTGTGGTTTGATTTTGACAGGCAAACAATAAAAGCTATTGAAGAGTAAGACCTCAGTGCAGCCTGTTTCTGCTATTTCACCCAAACTTCAAGGTAACAGTTGAAGTTGCAGGAGCAAGAACAGCCCATGGTTGCTTCTATGTTATGAAGGCTGTGTCTGTAAGCTGAGCTTTGAATGACACATTATTTCCTCTGTGCACCCCAATCTATTTTCTGCCTGACTAAGCTTATAAAACTCTGCATAAATTCTCCTCTCAGACTGTTCCATAATCCTGTGAACACATTGTCTTCCTGTTCATTCCTTCAGCCAGCAAGCACCAGCTGTTGGGTCCTGGAAACATTTTATGTTAAGGAGGAAAAAAAAGTAGATGATCAGAAAGCTGTAAAAACTGCAAAATGCTTGAGATATGCAGACTTTTTAGGGTTGTGAATATTTGACCTGCATAAAAGAAATGATTAGGCTTCCATCAATCATTCCTCTGCTGAACACTCTGCTGAGATCGGTTTATCCAGATGCTTCTCAGCTGCCTCGGTTCTGCACAGTTTGTAAACTAATCCAGTTTTGTTTGTTATGTGCTAGAGAAAGGATAAACTCCAAGCTGAAAAATATGGACAAAGATATAATTATCTTAAC
Organism: Homo sapiens; assembly: GCF_000001405.40. Lineage (NCBI taxonomy): Eukaryota > Metazoa > Chordata > Mammalia > Primates > Hominidae > Homo > Homo sapiens. The sequence goes on from NC_000009.12 coordinate 9,046,067, forward strand.
ATAACACTCATGCTTTATTTTTATGTAAAATGTCAGAAACTTTATTATCTATATCTTTCAGCTTCCAAAAGAAGGTGGAAGTCACTTGATAATGTCTTTCTAATTGCTTGAATGCACACTTCATGCCTCAACTCCACAGGAAAGCTAGTTGTTATAATTAGAAGTTTTATAAAGACATAGTTTATACAAATTACAGATAATTACTTAACTAAAACTCCAGTCTCTTGCCATCTTAGAAGATATCCAGCAACATGTGATTTAAACAATAGGTTAAAGTGGAAGATGTGGTGATTATATTGGGAAGGATGCTCAATTGTTTTTATAAAATTTTCTTTAAAAATTGGTAGCTGTTATCGTGAACTGAATAAGTTCTGTTTCCATTTGGAGACTTAATTCAGGATATATCTGGAAAGACAAAGCATATCTACACTCCAAATAGTTTAAAAAGAAGAGCATTTATGCACATTTTGTTACTAACGTCTTCCTATTCCTTTTATTGATAATTTTTAGGGAGGAATGAAAACCAGTCAAATAGGTGATATTACTCTATGATAGGGGTCATATAACTTTTTTATTAAAGGAATAGATAGTAAATATTTTAGGCTTTGCAAGACATGAAATCTCTTCTGTAATCATGCAGGCAATTTTGTTATTGTATTTGGGAAAGCAACCATAGGCAATACATAAAGCATGAGCGTTGATATGTATCAGTATATCTGTTTACAACATACCCTTAGCTAGTATCATACTGAATGGGAAAAACTGAAAGCCTTTCTTCTAAGATCTGTAACATGACAAGGATGCTCAATTTTACCACTGTTACTCAACATAGCACTGGAAGTCTTAGCTAGAGCAATCAGACAAGAGAAAGAAATAAAAGGCATCCAAATTGGAATGGAAAAAGTCAAATAATCCTTGCTTGCAGATGGTATGATCTTATATTTGGAAAAACCTACAGATTCCACAAAAAGCTATTAAAACTGATAAATTCAGTAAAGTTGCAGAATATAAAATTAACATTAAAAATCGGTAGCATTTCTTTATGCCAACAGTGTACAATCTGAAAAAGAAATAAAAAAATACTGTTTATAATAGCCACAAATAAAATTAAATACCTAGGAATTAACCAAACAAGTGAAAAATCTCTATAATGAAAACTATAAAACACTGATGAAAGAAATTGAAGAAGACACCAAACAATGAAAAAATATTCCATGTTTATGGATTGGAAGAATCAATACTCTTAAAATGCGCATACTACCCAAAGCAATCTATAGATTCAATGCAATCTCTATCAAAATACCAATGACATTTTTTATATAAATAGAAAAATAATCCTAAAATTTCTTTGGAACCACAAAGGAACCAGAATAGTCAAAGCTATCCTAAGCAAAAAGAATAAAACTGACAGAATCATATTATCTGATTTCAGACTATACTACAGAGCTATAGTAACCATCATAGTACTGGCATAAAAACAGACACATAGACCAATGCAACAGAATAGAGAATCCAGAAACAAATCTGAAAACCTACAGTGAACTCATTTTTGACAAAGATGCCAAGAACATATACTGGGGAAAAGACAGTCTCTTCAATAAATGGTGCTGGGAAAACTGGATATCCATATGCAGAAGAATTAATCTAGACCCATATCTCCAATCATATATGAAAATCATGACTTAAATCTAAGACCTCACACTATAAAACTACTAAAAGAAAACATTGGAGAAGCTCTGCAGGACATTGGTCTGGGCAAAAATTTTTTGAGGAATACCCACAAACCAAGCAAACAAAGCAGAAATGGACAAATTGGATCACCTCAGGTTAAAAACCATTCTCAAAGCAAAGGAAACAATCAAAAAAGTGAAAAGAAACCTCACAGAATGGGAGAAAATATTTGCCCAATCAAAAATGGGCAAAATATTTGAATAGACATTTCTCAAAAAATGCATACACATGGCAAACAGGCATAAGAAAAGGTGCTTGACATCACTGATCATCAGAGAAATGCAAATTAAAACTACAATGTGATATCTTCTCAGCCCTAGTTAGAAGGGCTGATATCCAAAAGACAGGCAATAACAAATACTGGTGAGGATGTGAATAAAATGGAACCCGTGTACACTTTTGGTGGAACTGTAAATTAGTACAATCATTACAGAGAGCAGTTTGGAGGTTCCTCAAAAAACTAAAAATAGAGCTAACACATGATCCAGCAATCCTGCTGCTGGGGTATATACCCAAAAGAAAGGAAATCAGTGTATTGAAGAGATATCTGCACTCCTATTTTTATTGTAGCACCATTTACAACAGCTAAGATTTAAAAGCAACCTAAGTGTCCATCACCAGATGGATGGATAAATAAAATGTAAGACATACACACAATGGAGTACTATTCAGCCATAAAAACAAATGAGATCTTGTGATTTGTGAAAACGTGGATGGAACTGGAGATTATTATGATACATGAAATAAGCCAGACACAGAAAGACTAACATCGTATGTTCTCACTTATTTGTGGGACCTAAACATCAAAACAGTTGAAATCATGAACATAGAGAGTAGAAGAATGGTTACCGGGGGCTAGGAAAGGTAGTGGGCAGTGGCAGTGGGGCAGGTGGGGAGGTAGGGATGGTCTATTTTAAACAGAGTAGAAAGAATGAATAAGACCTGCTATTTGATAGCACAACAGGGTGACTATAATCAATAATAACTGTAAATTTAAAAATAACTTAAGGAGTGTAATAGAATTGTTTGTAACACAAAGGATAAATGCTTGAGGGTATAGATACCCCATTTTCCATGATGTGATTATTACACATTGCATGTCTGTATCAAAACATCTCATGTACCCCATAAATATATGCATCTACTATGTACCCAGAAAATTAAAAGTTAACAAAATTTTAAAGTCACCTATACAAAAATAAAAATAAATATGTTTACAAAAATACATGGCCCACAGGCCAGCACTTGCCATCCCTTGCTATATACCAAGCATCCAATGATCTGGAAAGCAACACTAGTCATTATCACTGTCTTCAAGACATTTTAAGTTTTTTGCTTCCTTGTAAAACCTAAGGTCTAGCAGACCTTCTCAAGGAACATTCTACTGAAGAGTTAAGCCTTAAGGCATTCAGTGGAAGGAATAGGGAATTTTCATCCTGTGCCTCTAGAATGGAAGAACTGAGAAAAATGTTATCAAGTCATTTCTGTAAGGCTTAATTTTCTCATGGAACCCTAGTTGGAAAATCCAAGAATAGGTGCTTTATAAAAACTGAATTGCAAAAAGTGCAGTTTTGGTGTAGTTTGTAGTGGCTCAAGTTAACCAACCTCTTTATTTGAAGACAGGACAAAATAAATATAAATATTTGTCTTTCACTTCTGGTTCACAGATTTGCCATTTCGCTAGATTTAACAGAGATAGTAAATGTAGAAAACATGACTATAGAGTTGAGCTTATGGGATGTGGAGGTTGCTAAGGGGAATAGCATATTTTCAAAAAGTCATTTTTTTTTAGCAAAACGTTCCGATGTTTATTTGTAGGTAGTTATGACTATGAGGAGTGGGCATTTGAATAGCAGTGTAGAGGTTGTGGGGTTTTAGGTCTATACCTCAGGAACTTACATGCAGGCCCTATACCACAGTAGTAGGAGAACATCTAATAATACTGAGTGGCTGCATTCATATTTCAGAGCACTCTGTAATGATTTGAGTCCTGCCCTGGATGAATTTAAAACAACCATCTTATTGTTAGAAATCATGACTACCAATCATTAACATTACCTCCATTTCAATAAAATGAAAAAGACCCCAACTTTGAGATTAGAAACAAGTTTGTAAAGCCACAGTGACATTAATGGTTCCTGAGTCACTTCCCATTTTGATCTATGAGGTAGCAAGGTGTGGTGTGAGTCTTTGCAATGGGAAGGTAGTCACACTGAACTGGGAGCAGAAGACATGGTTTCCTGCCCTAGCTCCATTACTTATCATCTATGTGTGCTTGTGCAATTTATTGCCCATGCAATTTATTGCCGCACGAAACCTCTGTTTTCTTATCTCCAAAGGCTATAAAAATATTGTCCTGCCACAGGACAGAGGCATAAATGACAAAATACATTAGAATACTTTTTCCCTTTAACATTATTTTATTGAATTAAAGCATTGTTCAATGTACTGATAAAACTAGTCGATAAAACTAGTCATGACACTGAAAAGTATGCAATGCAATGAAGGAAGATGAAGGCAGTAAAGTTCAGAAATGTTACACCATAAGGCATGGAGAAAACGATAGGGCATGGATTTGAACCATGGACGTTTCCCTTTCCCCATTATATTACATGGTCTCTCAACAATCAAAGACAATGTGTTCCCTGTCCCTACATGCCAAGTATAAAAACCTCACCCTTTTAAAATGCAGTAGTCTCCACTTATCTGAGGTTTCACTTACTGTGGCTTGTGTTAGCTGAAGTCACCTGCAGTTTGAACATATTAAATGAAAAAATCTAGCAATAAAAATTGTATACATTTTAAATTGCATCACTCTGAGTAGAGTGATGAAATCTCAGACAGTCTTGCTCCTTCCTACCTGTGACATGATGCATCCATGCTATACATGCTACCTACCTCTTAGTAGCTGTCTAGGTTATTACGTTCACTGTTGCACTATTATAACGCTTGTGTTCAAGCACTCATTTTATCTTTATTAAAGTTCGTTGTTATAATTGTTCTATTTTATTATCATTTATTATTGTTAATCTCTTACTGTGCCTAATATATAAGGTAAGCTTAATCCTAGGTATATATGTATAGGAAAAAACACAATAGATATAGGGTTTGGTACTATCCACAGTGTCAGGCATCCACTGGGGTCTTGGAAAGTATCCCCCATGAATAACTACTGTACTAAAACAAAAATTAGATCAATTACGTATAGTTAATTTGTGAGCATTACTTTTTAATTTTTTCCAACAAAGATAATGTAGCCTTCTGCTTCCTAAGTAGGGAATTTTTCTAGGCTATTATATAGTCTTCCAGCTATCAGTCATTCTCTGTACATATTCTATATTTAACAATATAAGTGAGCAATAAATAAAATTATAGATTTTAAAAAATCATGTACACCACAAATATTTACAATTACATCTGTCAATTAAAAAATCTAAAAAAATTATAAAATATTATGAATATGCAGCTTACCAGTTTTGTTTGTTTTTAAACCTGAAGGTGGTTATTTAAAGTAGGCCCATTTTATTAAATGTGATACTTTCAAATTGGCCAACATGCATTGCCTGAAATGTTTCATTATGCAGTACAACCTATTTATTCAGGTGAAAGTATACAGAATATTGCATATCTCTACATGCATTGATCTAAATGCAAATGTAGTTAAATGTGAAATCCAACCTTGGTGTCATTTAGTGTTACATTCAGCTATGAAAATTTAGGAGCATTCTTTCTTCATTTTTTAACATAGAAATCCAGAAATCAACAGCAATTTCAGGAAAAACTTGCAAAAATGAGGTAGAACATTTTAAATTCATATGCCTAAGCCATTTAGAAAGCATTTTTGCAGGTATAAAATAAGTTAATGTTAGGTTGTGACATGGTCATTAAAAAAGAAGGTTTGATAGCTTCTGTAGACCATGTTCACACAGAATTTAAAGGTAAGAGAAAGGCAAAGGCTTTAGGTTTTTATTTCACCCAGTTGTAGGACTGACTAAGGTGCTTATACCAAATTCATTTAAATCAAATTGTTCAGGGAAAATTTCTAATCCTGCCTGGTCAAAATTCTATATTCCTAGTCTCATTGCTCTATTGCTACAAAACAACATCATAATGAATCTAAAATAAATGCAGCAAATTTGAAATCTGGGCATGGGATTTAAGGCAACTGTTTTACTTATCTTCATCCATCTGGATTGCTATAACAAAAATACCATAGACTGGATGGCTTAAACAACAAACATTTATTTCTCATAGTTCTGGAGGCTGGGATGTTTAAGATCAAGGAGCCACACAGACTCAGTGTGGTGTGGTGTTGTTACAGCCGCCTTCCTGGTTCACAGATGGCACCTTCTCGCTGTGCTCCCACATGGCAGAAGGGGCAAGGGAGCTCACTAGGGTCTATTTTATTAGGATACAATCCATTCATGAGGGTTCTGCCCTTATTATCTAATCACTTCCCAAAGGCCCCCACCTCCTAATATCAACATCTTGGGTGTTGGAATTTCAATATATGAATTTGGGGAACATAAAGATTTATTCATAACATCATTGTATGAATAAGAATATTGGAATCCAGTAAGGCTAAATGACTTATCTGTGACCCTAATAGTAGATTGAATACAAGATCAGAACCCATTCCTTTGTGTCCCATACATCCTTCCTTTAACATTAGTTCCTTGAGGTAAAGTGTTGTTCAATGTATGAGTAAAACTATAGGGTCATAACACTGAAAGGTATGTTAGTGCAATGAAGGAAAATGAAGAAGGCAGTGAAGTTCAGAAATGGTAAGTCATACAGTTAAGAGAAAATTATAAGGCCTGGACTTGAACCATGGACTTTCCCTCTCCCATTCTGTTACATAGCGTCTCAACAATCAAAGGCAATTGTTGATGTTCCAATTCACTGGATTATACTGTCCACATAAGTACAAAGCTGTAAAGAAGTCACTGATTCCCAATGGATAACTTTACAGTTTGTAAGCTGCATTAGGAATTTTATGTCACTTGAGGCACTTGTTTTTTTCATGGCAATACAAAATAAAATCTTCTAGGCAGAATAAAGTAGCATTGAAAGTGAATGGGGGCATCCTAGCCAACTGAATGTGCCTGTCATCTTTCCACTAACTATCTACAGCAAATAATTTTACGTACTGAAACATTCTGGCTAACTTACTCATGTGATGAGCTAAATGTCCTCTGAAGTAGTTTTAGATGGTGAATGACAATTTCCAATTGGAAAAATATAGTATCAGAATTTTTTCCTATAGAACAATAAGCTTTATATCTTAGATATAGGGGTATAACCTAAGCATATTCATTTTTGCTTCCTGAAAAATAGTAACATGTATTAGGTTGAATGTTTGCAAAATGTTTGAATATCAGCAGTTTCATAATGTTTAACATAATAGTATAACATAGTGGTTTACATTATGGGATCTGTTCACAGAGGGCTCAGAGTCCAAGTTTAGTTCTACCACTTAGGAATATCACATGATATTAATAGGGCTATTAAGAAATAATCATTAAAAATTTTGAATCCTTTTGTTAGTCATATGAGTGCTGAAAAATGCTAGTTGTTATGATGGCCAATGATGATGATGATGATGATGATGATATTATTGATGATGTCTGCTCTATACAAATAACCCATCACGGTTGAGTCAATGGGTTTGAAGAGCTGATGTATTTTGAATTTCCTGAATACAATGACTGTAGAAAAAAGAAGATACTTATACAAAATTAGCTTAGGAAGGATCCTACCATAGAGCCTTCAGAGAGCACAGCCTGGTGGACACCTTGATTTTTGACTTCTTGACTCCAGAACTGTGAGATATTAAATTATTAAATTTCTGTTGCTTTAAGTGACCAAGTCTGTGGTACTTTTTACAATAGCTCTAGGAAATTAGTATATATTTAAATAAATGTTGTCAAATAAAAATATTAGCCTGGGTTGTAGTGTGAGTGAAAATTGGATGTTATTGAAAATGTTGATTAGCAGGCTAGGTTTTTTGGCAGATTAGGTTTAGAAAGTAATTCTAATGCACTTATGGTACAATCTTTTGTTATGGATTGAAGCCAAAATCTAAATGGATAACTAGACAATTTTCAAAAAGAACATGAGATAAGAAAATATCTTTTGTTAATTTTCCTATTAAAAGATTCCCCCTAAATTAAGGACCAATTTGGTAATATGAGTGAGAAAGGAGACAATTTTTTCCCTTTAAGATTAAAGTCAAACAACAATAACAATGATAACAATTAAAGTCCCATATCATGTATTGAGCTCCTGGTCCATGCACCAAATGTCTCAGACATTGTGTGAAGCATTTGCCTGCATCATTGCATGTAATCCTCACAACAATCCTATAAGGCAAGTTCTGTTACCATCTCAACCATCTCAATTTTACATAGTGCAAAATTGGGACTCAGAATAGTTAAATCACATTCTCATCACCACGAAGTTCTCATTGTCACGAATAAATGAGGAATTCAATATATTGAGACACTTGCGTCTTGTTCATGTTTTAAGAGTTTAGCCAAAATTTGTTTCAAAACATCTGAGACTTCTCTGGAAAGCTTAAAATTTTTTGGTATTATTCAGTGAGTGCTTCTTCCTGAATAAATGAAACATTGAAATAGTAGATATAAAATTATCATGACGTTTACCAGTAATATTTATGATGATTCCTACATCTAGACCTTCATGACTTGCTAAGGTCAAGCCTCTTTGGAAATACATGGAAACAGTCTGTGCTATGGCCAGGACCACACAAGGCCAAGGGTGTGAGGGTCAATTCTGAGATTCTCTTATGCCCTGTTACTCAAAAATCTCCATGAAATGTGCTCCAAACCTGTTTTGAGCTTGGAACTATTCACTATTATATTTTTGCTCACTTAAACAAACATTCATTGATCATATACTGGTGTGTTTGCCATTGTTGTGTGATTTGGTAACTCGAAGGCAAACAAGAATAGATATCAACCCTTGATGAGATCACAGTCCTGTAGGTCAAGTAGGAGAGAAAACAAATGATTTCAAAATACTGTTTTATATTCTCTGCTAGTGTTGTGCAAGGGAACACAAAGAAGAAGACTGGCAAAAATGTCCTGAGAGAGCTAATCCCCAACCTGAGTCTTGATATATGATCGGGATGTCTATATAACATGATATTCAACCCCATCTACCAGTCACAAAAATCTGAAAATTAAGGAGTTACATATTTGCAAGGACTGAAACTTGTCATACATTGCTGGTGACAGTAGATATTGGTGCAGCTATATGGAAGAGTAATTTGGCAATATCCAGTAAAACTGCTAATACAAATAAGTGACAATATTTTCTAGATGTAAACCTAGACAAACCCTCATATGATATACAAGAAAACATGTATAAAGGTATTCATTGCAGCATTGCTTATAAGAGCCACCATCAGAAAAAAACATGATGATTATAGTTAACAATATTTTATGTTCTTGAAAAATACTGAGAGTGGATATAAAGTGTGCTCACCACAAAAATGATAACCATGTGAGGTAATGAATATGTTAATTAGTTAGATTTAGTCATTTCACAATGCACATATACTTCAAAAACTATGTTGAACATGGTCAGTACATACATCTTTGCCAGTTAAAAATATATACGTAATGCCAGTCTCATCCAAAAGTGCCCTCGTGAAAATACCAAGAATAATGTTTGACTAAATATCCCAGCACTATGGCCCAGCCAACTTGGCACATAAAATTAGCTATCACAAGAGTAGACACAGGAGACTAGTTAATAAAAATGGTTGCAATAATTCAGGCTCCAATTCAGGGCCTCAAAACGTAGTAAAAGTTGAGTATATATTTGTTAATTTGAGTTGATTCAACAGTGACTTTAAAATGTGAGAAATTTGTGCATATGTACACATAAATATTTTATATATATTTTATGTATTTTAGATGTATTTTATAACTAACAATATATAAATGCAACATACTATCTATTAATATATTTTATATTTAACTAGATTAAATATTTAATATATTTAATGTATTTATGTATTATATAAAATACATATGCATTATATATGTTATATATGTGCTATGAACACTAGTCTGGTATTCTCAATGAGTTCTCATCAGCTCATTCCAAAGATATTCTGCACATGGTTTATTCTGCTGGACTTCTCTATGTCATTTGTTTTATGTTCTGGTGAACAGTTTTGGTTCATAATGTCTGGCAGAATATACTAGAGTAGTTCTGGACTTGCCACAAAAAAGACTAATTTTGATAGTACCAAGTGAACATTATTGTTGTTTTCTAGACTATTAGTTGTTTTCTAGACTTCTAGACCTCAGTATTTAGAACAATCTACGAAGAAGACAAAATCATCTGTTGAGTCTACCACTGCATTGACTACAGGAGAGCTAACTTTACAAGGAATAATGCGTATGTGAGAAAAGATGAACATCTATTAATACATTTATGGATGATCAGAAACATCAGGTGCTTAATCAGGAGAAGTACATAAAACATCTTAACCTGCATCCTCAAATGAAGCAAAGAAGCCATAAAAAACATTTTGAGATAGTTATGCTTGACCTAGATGATCAGCCCTGCAGTAACCCGCATAGCACAGACCTGATCAGTGTGAAGTAAGTGCTGACCACCTAACCTGCAGTTTTGAATTCCTCATCTGATCAAGGGAATGATTAGCATGGTCATTCTCGAAGTTTATTCTCCAGTTTCTTCTTAATGTGGATTAAATTGACGTTGATGGTAAATTTGTGCCAATGAGCATTTTAATCTCATAAGAAAAGAGTGGTTTAAGACTTCCTAGGACCATTTCACTTTCTTACTGGGCAGTAATGGTTTTTTGGGATTTTAGGCTGAATAAGGTTGTGCTTATAAGCCATTCAACGACACTAATCTTCTCTACCACCAAGTCTTCCATGTTTGGCGTAGGCCTGTACACTTTGCTGCATTTCTTTCTTCACTATTATTTGGCACGGAAAATATATTTATTAAATCATATTTATATCAGATTATTTTTAAGTGAACACATTTCTGGTATGCATATTAGGGATAGAAAAAAGAATCCATCAGGATGATGCTTACATTGAGACTGCAATAATATTTTTCAGAAAGTTCTCTGTGCACCAACTCTACCAATTAGGAACTTGATGATCTTGCTAGATCATTTATGCTTTTGCAGTCTCATCTTAATTTTTTTCTCTTTCCTCAGGGGGGATCTGTTATAGGGTGGTTGTGATGATTAAATGCCCATGAGAAGCTCTTCATAAACCTTAAATAGCTATACAAACATATTAAATAGTTGGCATTATAGATAATAATCTGATTGCAGGAAACAGAAGATCACCTTCTCTAATATATAAAGATTATTTTTCACTCAGTAAATCAATGAACAAGTTAAAATACATTCAAAAGATTACTCTGCCACACAATTAAAAGCAGTCTATTCTTTCTAGGGACTGTCAGTCTTGGCAATGATATATTTTTTTTCTAAGAATCGAAGTATATTTGAGCTGAAAGGGGCCTTGGAGAATATCCAATTCAATGCCCTCAAGCCCCACCCATCTCCATTTTATCATAATGTAAAATGTATTATGAACATAAATTAAAACTTTTTGGGTGGTTTAAATGGATTTTACTTTGAAAACTATATGTTAAAATGGATTTAGATTCCACTATGACAAAAATGAAGCCTGAAATTTTAGATTTAAGAATAAGAATCACATTTCCTAAGGATTTTTTGTTAAATGATGAATGAAAAAGGATTCAGAGAGAAAGTTGATGGGTAGATCTGACATGTTACCGTAATAATTTCTCGTAAAGTACATCCACATAAATAAGATATATGGCCATTATCAAGTAATATGAGAAAGGTGTGAGGGTGAGTAAAGCTGCTGAGAATGTAGAAAACATCAATGAGATTCCCAATTCTTGGTTATCTATGAGCTTTTTGTGCATAATTTAGATCTTTAATTCCAACATTTTCCTACTGCCACTAAGCATGCTTCTGAGTAGCTGTTATCAGTCAAGGTATGTGCAAAGAATGGAAAATAATTATAATATTAGCACAAGACATAATTAGAAGTATAAATATTATATAAAAATAATCATAGGCTACAATCATTAAGAAGAAATAAACAGCTTTTACTATTCACACCTTCTTTTGTTATAGGATTTCCTGATATTTATAACGATTTCAATACTCTATTGTTTAGAAAGGCAATTCTAAAATGAGATTATAGGAAAAAATAATTCACAGGACTCCTTAAACACTTATTTACTTGACCATGTTTGGAAAGAGAAGTCTTCCAAATAAATAAGTATTTAAATATTGAAGACAGAATATAAAGAGGGAATTAGGGCTTGTACTTACGACTAGGTTTTTTAGCAACACAGCCTATGATGGAGTCACAATTTCACCTATCAACCGAGAGAAGTAAGTTGGAATAAAGCAGTGTCTTATGCAATGTCACAACCCATGAAGCATAAAAGGAGCAGTGATAATCTGTTTTGCTTCTGATTTGTGTGAATTTGGATTGGACTGGACTGGCTAAATCCCCTGAAGAGCTGGCTTAGAAGATAAATTCTATGTATAATAGCAATATTGGTGAGAGAAATATTATGAGGGTTTTTTTTTTTTTTTTTTTTTTTTTTGAGACGGAGTCTCGCTGTCGCCCAGGCTGGAGTGCAGAGGCGCGATCTCGGCTCACTGCAGCCTCCGCCCCCTGGGGTTCACGCCATTCTCCTGCCTCAGCCTCCCGAGTAGCTGGGACTACAGGCTCCCGCCACCTCGCCCGGCTAATTTTTTGTATTTTTAGTAGAGACGGGGTTTCACCGTGTTAGCCAGGATGGTCTCGATCTCCTGACCTCGTGATCCGCCCGCCTCGGCCTCCCAAAGTGCTGGGACTACAGGCGTGAGCCACCGCGCCCGGCCGAGGGTTTTTTTTTAAGCAAAGGAAAAGAAAATCTTAAAGTTAGAGAGGTTGTGAAAAAACATGTCATAAAGTAACGTATGACGGCAAGGTTAGCTTTGGGAAAATAAGGTAATGTAATTCCTCTGAAGATGGAGCAAAGGAACAGATAATGAGGACTGATTATAATACATTTATAGTGGAATTTAGGTGAGTGCCCAAAACATCTCAGCTGAAGAAGAGGAGATTTGAAGGAATTTAAGCTGGAGAACTTTAATCTGCCCAGTAGAACAGGGTAGGTCTTATACTTAGGGAGAAGAGAAGGAGAAAGACTTGGTGGCTCAAGAACTGAAAGTTTGGAACAGAGGCAGTGAGTCATACCACATGAAAAAAATATAAGGAGAGAACAGAAAGCATGCTGGGCAGCACTGAGGACCCAGATGAAGTCAGAAATCATAGTAGAGTCAATACATTTTCCGTTAGGACTATTCAAGAGGAAAAACATGTGGTACAGGTAGCACAGGGCTGGCAGACAGCCAACTACAAGAACCTAATGTGTACAGCATTGAAATGGCCCATAATATGGCTCAGACCAGATAAGAAATAAATGACACCAGAAAAATTCTCAGGGCTCATGAGGCCAGTGAAGGGTATTACAAGAAATGGGAACCCTCAAGGCAGAGGCCAGTTCAGGTTAAGGATATAGACAAAGAATAAGTATATAGAAATCAAAAACAAAAAGAAGAAAAAACCAGAAAATAACCCAGGCATAAGGAACCATGAATGGACACAGTTAGAAACAGAAGAAAATTGAAAAATGCCATGTATCAAAACTCATCCAGTGCTGCTGAAACCATTCCTGGAAGAAAATGTATGTCCTTAAGCACATTTGTTAGTAAAAGTTAGAAATTAATGATGCCAAAAAGATAGAAACATATTATTAAATAAAGAATATATAATTTTGTATATACAAAGATGAAATATCAATAAATGAATTTAGCAAGGTTCTTAGATACAAGGTAAATATATAAAAATAAATTATATTTTTCACAAATATTAGAAAATGAAATAGCAAATAACTTACAGCAAATATTTTTAAATGCACAAAATAAATACATTAAAAATGTATAGGACCCCTACAAATAAAATATACATCATTTTGAAGAGAAACAGAATACTTAAATAAATGGAGGGTTACCCCATATTTATCAGTGGAAAGATTCAATATTGTAATGATGTAAACTCTCTGCAAGTTATTTTTTAAATTTAATGCAATTCCAATAAAATGTAAATTTTTGTTTGTTTGTATGTATTGTTGGCACTTGATAAGTTGACTTTAAAATTTATTTGCAAATGCTAAGAATAGCTAAACTATTCTTGACATAGAATAAGGGAGCTAGGGGAAAGACTCACTTTTTCAGATATCAAGGATTAATTTAAAGCTACATTAACTAAAACTGACATTGGTTTACGCATAGGAAAAATGACCAGTGTAACACAGCAGAGGCCAGTAGGAGACCCATGCAAACATAGAGAGTTGATTTATGACAAGAGTGTGCATCAGAGCAGTAGGAAATGAAAACTCTTAATAAGTGAATTTGACTCTTATCTCACATCATAAAACAATCACTTCTAGAAGAATTTTACAACATAATGTTATAGGTAAAACAAATTTAGAAAATAACATGAGAATAATTTTAGAATCTTGGGACAGAAGAAAAATTTCTGCAATAGACACAAAATACATTAAACATAAAAAATTAGATTAATTTAAAATGATACTAATTATGTTGTAGTAATATGAACTTCTGTTCAATGAAAGAAACTAGGAAAGACAAAGAGGAAAGATACAGACTAAGAGAAGATATTTTTCACATATATAATAAACAGATAGTATATAGTGATATCCTAGGAATAACTTAGAAAAAAGCCAATCCAATAGAAAAAAAAGAGCAGGATATTTGACTAGGTATTTAATCAGAGAGACTGTTTCTCTGATTATTAATGAGAAAAGGCATTCACCGAGTGTCGTAACCTACTCACTATAATGGTTAAAATCAAAGTTATCAACAGTGTCATGTGTCACATGTGTTAGTATGTGGCATAATTAAAATGTCTAACAATATTATAATAGACAAAACAAATTTTTCAGAATAGTCCTATGATAGAATCCTATTCAGCAATAAATTTTTTTTAAAAAAGCAAATGACTGACAGCTACTTGCAGCACTGTGGAATCTCACAATCAGAATGCTTAATAAAGCCAAATACAAAAGCATACATACTTAAATAACTTCATTTCTATACATTTCAAAAGCAAGCATAACTGAAGTTTGGTGTTAGCCTTTAGGACAGCGGTTACTTCTAGGGAGTAAGGGCAGGGTTACTAATAGGAAGAGGACAAAAGGGAGACTGTCAGGGTACCGGCTATTTTCATCATGGTTACCTGGGCTATTCATTTTGGAAAAATTCCTTTGGTTGTAAATTTGTTTTGTGTGTTTTTCTATGCGTTATACTGCAACACAAAAGAAAACAGACAAAGCATGTGAATGGAATTGTTGACAGTGTATTTCTTGCATTCATAATACAATACATTTGTAACGCAATTTCCCATTTCTGTTTCAATGACTAACCTTTCATGGATATGTAGCCTTAGATTTTAGAATCTTGCTTAAAACTAATGACAACAAACAAGGTAATGAAGACTCGGTAAAAACTACACTATTGAATATATTATGATTCTTTAGCTTCAGAGCAGTTACTGTAGCTGCCTTCCTCCTTTTCTCTTTGCCCATATATAGCCTGAGCCTTCTAATATTTCTAATACACCCCAAGGTTGTCAACTCATGGCTTAGATTATTGGCCAGTTTGACTACCCCTAAAAATGTAAGTGGAAAGGGTCACAGCAGGACATGTAGCCAGACTCCATTAAAAATATTAATAAAAGAAGAGCACAAATTTATTAAATGAAAATCCTCTGATCTGTTCACTGTAGCAAACAGCTGTTATTCTGTATCCTACCGAGGGCCTTGGGACCCAGTGGCACTAGCAGGTTTGCCTCTGTGTACATTTCTCTCAGCTGGTCAAATAAACAGCTCTTCTATCCTCCTGTAGAGAGGCAGGGTTGCTCCCAGTTGTCAAACTCAAATAATCCCCTTCAAACAGAATCCCTGGCAAGTTCAAAGAAAACATGCCAAACCCCACTGCTCTGGGGGATAATGGCCACCAAGAACCGACTGTGGGAGTAGAAATTAAAAGATGCCTCTGAACATGAAACCTTAATAAACCAAGCATCTTTACAAATATTACTCCCTCATCCAATGCCCTTTCTCATAAAATTAACCCCAATCCCTTATGCTCTCATCCCCTCATTTTATATTCCAATAGTTGAAGTTCAAGTTTACTTAGCAGCATAAAATTTTACTTACACTGTTTTCCAATCACATAAATGGTCTTGAATATAGTGTTACCAAAACATAAGACAAAACAAGTAGAATTACATGTCAAAGCACAGTTTGACCTTCATTTTAATAACCAGGAGAGATATAAAAATATTAAACAGCTGATAAGACACAAGTTGACACTGCATGGACACGACTAATTAGTAAGCAACTGATTAACCATAAATAACTGGTGCAACTAATAATTCATATACATACCTTGTGGCTGATGGAAGAAATTAATAATTTCTTCAAGATTTGTGAGTATGTTTCTCAATTCCTTTTCAGTCATCACAAGTTTTCCTTGTATCCCCATGGATCTCACCCACACAGAAAAACAGGCATTATCTTTTCTCTATCTATCTTTTCTATCTCTGCATCTCTCCATATATTATCTATCTATCTATCTATCTATCTACCTACCTACCATCTATCTAACTATTTATGCTTGAGAAAATAAGGTCCAAAATTTAGCTGATTAAGCAGGAAGAGTTGAATGTATGTTTCAGTGGGTAAATAATTATACCAATAGTGAAAATAGCCTGAACACTTTAAAACATCATGTTACTGTGTAAATATCATATGGCTGCTTATATCTATCATTTGGTTTCTACCTTTATCTACAGTGAATTTCCTGACTTGATTTTAATAGGCACCATGTGGCCTATTTTGCCATCCCAGGCAGCTCGTAAACTTCAGAAATAAATAACTTCCGCTTATGTCACAGGGGTGTTTTAAGTAGTAATATAAATGTGATCACTTGCCAGAAAGTATTTGAATTCATCAGAGAAAAGGTACCATGTATGAGAAATGTAATATCACAGTGGGTAGGGGCTAAACATGGTCATTCTTAGCCTAACACTTATCTGGGCAGTATGTCTAAGGTTTTCCTATTGATGGAATGCTAGCCTGGATACCTAGATTGTGTGTGAGAGGAATGAACATTGAGCTGGGAGTCAAGAGATCCCAACATTTGTCATGGCTCTACTTCAGACTAGCATTGGCAAATTTTCATAAAACTCTACTTTCTAGGCATTAGGTATCTCATCTTTAATATGAGATAGAAAAAAACAGTAGATAAACTTGAAGATGGCTTCCAGTACTAACATTCTGTAATTCTGTAGTTCATGCTAATCCTTCATGCCTAAGAAGGTAAAAAATTGTTTTTGAAAGTAAATAGCAGAATGATGATTTAGAAGTTAAAGTTCTACCTTCACTGAAATGCCTACCCTCATCAACTAATTAGGATTTAGCCCTCACAGGTGACTTAGGATAAGAGAAAAGGCTTCCCTTATCCTATCAAAGCTTGTTTCCAAGTACTGTAGTATGTAATCTTACTCATTTCTTCCAACTCACTATAATCTGTAATTTTATTTTCATTTTAAAAAACATTTTCTCCTCTAATATAATTTAGGCTATCTTGTTTACTGCTGAATTCTTAGCATCCAGAACAAACACCTAGCATGTAGCAGGGCTCAAAAACATACAGTGAGTGAAAAACCAAATGCATATCAAAACCATTTAGCTTAGTGTAGCATATGACTAGATATGTTTAAAAGAAAGATGTTTAATGAACACTAGTATGCGGAAGACTGTTTTCCTCAGATACACTGAAAGAAAAGGTGTGCTGGAATCAGATCAATAGAAAGTATCCGGCAGTTTTCCCAGTCTAAATCACTTTTGCCAGGTCATTAGATAAGTACATAGCTTACGTATGATAATGGTTTTGCAATAATTCAAAGAGAGTAGTCTTCTATTTTATATGACATGGCATTAATTCAGTGAAAGCTTTGCTGAATCCTAGAGTATTACTTTTATTTACTGTGGCATGGTTTTAATATATACTCAAGTTAGATGCAAATTTTAGCAAAAGATATCAGCTGAGTGCTTTAATCAGTTTCATATTGTGCTAATAATATACCATAATATACAAATTGTTATATATCATGTTGTAGAAAAATAATTTATATAACTGAGCTTTACAAAACTTAAAGCATAAGAAATGTATTTTACATGTTTTCTCAGCATCTGTAGTTTCAACATGTATATTGTTTGTTATTGCTATTTATTGTGTGTGTCTATTTTTAAAGATACTATGTTTAGCAGGATTAAAAATATGGATGTCATCTGCATTGCTCCAGAACACTCTATCATAGAATAGTCTGTTGGGTAATTTGTATATAGGTCATCAGGATTTCTTTATAAGGTTAATCTATAGTTATATTTTATGTAGTCAGAGAAATCATTGTCCCATGATGTCTTTTCTTGGGTCATCTTGATAACTGATTGTCACACAATGATCCAATCAGCCATTTGATTGATCTGATTCAGTATATCCATGGCACCTGGACCAAACATTTCAAGGTCAGACTCTTTCTGTGTGACACTGATGAACATGGCATACAACATCAAGGGATAAAAAAGTCCATTATATTCAAGAACTGTCCCACACCAAATACATTTCCATCGCTTTCTTTAAAGATGACTGAGACTCCGAACTGAATACTGTTAGGCCAATGATTTCAGTTGACAGCAATCTGTGGTATGAAGTTGCACAGTTAGTATGGACATTCGGTCAGATTGATAAAAATCATCACGGTAATAATGCTTCATTAAGAAACTAGAGATTTGTGTTCAGAAAAGCGACTTCAATATAGGATTTGGAAGAAATTAATACTGAAATAAGCAAATAGCTTATGGGTCTAGACAGCAGTCATGAAGATACAATACAATGTTATCCAATTTCAAATTTTAAAACAAATGGACAGAACTATGGAGGAGTCATTGAATTTCCTGTCCTCTGAACAATCAGTCTCAAATACAGATTCATTTTTCATATGCCTGAACTTTTGGCTGAAGAATTCATCACAAATATCCACTGAGTATTTACATGAAATAGGCATTCCCATAGGAGCTGGGGATATAACAATATATACATTTGACAAAAATCTCTTCCCTTTTGGACTTTCAGGTCTAATGGCAGAGATAGGTAATAAACATATTAAGCAAATTAATTAAAAAGTGTATTAGGAAGTGATAGTGCTATGGAAACAAATAAGGATAGGGTGAAAAGGGGTGCCTTGGACTTGGGGGATTATGTTTGAAATAGAGAGATCAGGGTACGCTTTGCTGAAAAGTGACAATGGTAGAAATTGATAAGGTTCCATTGGGAGGGAGATCTACAACATCAGTGGGAAGCATGTTCTGTGCAGATTAAATAGCCAGTGCATAGGCAAGGAGGCTGGACTGTACTAGCATGTGTGAGGAACACCAAGGAGGTCAGTGTGGCTGCAGTGTGATGACATAGGGAAGTGGGAGTAAGATACACGGTCAAGTGTGTAGGACCTTGTAAACCATCATAAAGGCATTCAAGTGCAATGTGAAGCTGACAGGGGTTTTCAGCAGAAAAGTGACAATATCTGAGTTATAATGTACAGACTTACTCTTCTCACCATGGGAGAAAATACATTATGGGATTACAAGCTATGATGGAAGAAGGATAGTTGGTTAGGAGTGAGATGATGATGGCTTAGATCAGAGTTTTAGACTACAAACTTTCCCTCTCAAGTCAAATTCTCTTCCTTGAAATGATACATTAATGTCTCTGGAAGGCTTCCAGAGTTTTTCCAGTAGTTCTCTTTAGTGGAATCTATTTATGCCATTAATTAATGTAATGTATAAATGTAATCCATTTAACCTCACCAATCTCAGTTGTCTTATTTGCTAAATGGGTTTAAATACAGTGCCTAATTCATAACTTAATGGTAAAAATTATACAAGAATATGCATGTAAAGCATAACACCATTGTTATATAATATAAAGTAAATTTTCAGTACATTTTAGCTGTTGTTATACATGTGATTGTCATCTCCAATGACAATATATATCATTGGAGGGATTCAGTTTGTAAATATTTCATTTATGGTTGTTGCAACTGCATTCATGAAAATGACTGAAGTTAATATTTATTTCTTTTGTATGTGTACTAAAATTTTGATATTAATGTTATCCTACTCTCATAAAATCAATTAGGATGGGTCCTTTTTTTATTCCCTGGAAGATTTTGTGTAGGATCGGTGTTACTTCTTATGTTTGGAAGAAATCACTGGGGTAAAGTCACCTTGGCCAGGCATTTTTTTTTCATGAGAATGTTTTAAAAAACATATTTAACCTCTAAAAGAAATGACAAGTCATATTTCCTATCTTTTCTTGTGTTCATTTTGGTAGTCTGTGTTTTTCTAAAAATTTGGCCATCTTTTAATTAAATTTTCAAATTAATTGGAATAAAATTTCTTAGTTATTTAGTAGGCTAAAAAAATGGTCTCCCAAAAGATAGTCATGTCTTAATCCTGGAAATTATGAATGTGACCTCATATGACCAACAACAACAACAACAAAAAGTTTTGCAGATGTGACTAAATTAAGGAACTTGAGAGGGGGGAGATTATTCTGGGTTCTTGAGTGGACCCTAAATGTGATCTCAGATATGCTTGTAAGAGAGAGGCAGACGAAGATTTCAGAGACAGAAAGAAAAGACAGGACCACAAAGGCAGAGATTGAAATGATACAGCCATAAGCCCGACCATGGGGTAGCTATCCAAAGCTGGAAGATAAACGGGACGGGCTTTCTCGCAGAACTTTGCGAAGCAGTGTGATCTAGCTGACACCTTAATTTTGACCCAGTGACTCTGATTTTGTTCTTCTGGCCAGAAATTCAAGAACTGTGAGAGAATAAATTTCTGTTGTTTTAATTCATCAAAAGGATTATGTGGTAATCCCTATTAAAACTTGTCCTGGCTGGGCGCCATGGCTCATGCCTGTAATCCCAGCACTTTGGGAGGCTGAGGTGGGCGGATCACCTGAGGTCAGGAGTTGGAGACCAGCCTGACCAACATGGCAAAACCCTATCTCTACTACAAATAAAAAAATTTAGCCCTCGTGGTGGCACATGACTGTAATTCTGGTTACTCAGGAGAATCGCTTGAACCTGGGAGGTGGAGGTTACAGTGAGCCTAGATAGCACCATTGCACTCCAGCCTGGGCAATAAGAGTGAGACTCCGTCTCAAAAACAAACAGACAAACAAACAAACAAAAAAACTTGTCTTAATACTGTAAGAATTTTCAACTGTATTTTTGTGTTTATTACAGAAGTTAATAGCTAAGTTTTTGAAACATTAATGCTTATGTTTGAATTCTTTGTGTATTTACGTTTATGCCTTTCTAAGTCATTGACTTTTTTTGTTAATATTTGCTTATTTTTCACATTGTGTGTGTCATAATAGTGTACCATGTTTCTAAGGTATGAGTATATTGTGAGCTCTATTCAAGTGTACCTCTTCCTCTCAAGCTTTTCTCCTCCTCTTCTTGGCAGGTACTTATCTTCTATATATTCTTATACTTCAAGGTTTGCAAGGACATTTTAAATTAGTCTTTTGGTTATTTACTGTAAAACTTTTGAATTTTCAAAATTAACCTCTTTATTTTGTTATAATATAGATTTGCATATGGTTGTAAGAAATAACACAGAGAGACATCAAATAGGCTTTATCCAGTTTCTCTCAGTGGTAACATCTTACAAACCTGTAACACAATCTCAGAACCAGAATATTGACATCAATACAATCTATTGATCTTGTCTAGATTTTTTTAGTTGTATTTGTACTTGTGTCTGTGTTTATATGTGAGTTTATTTAGTTCTATGCAATTTTATCACATGTAGATTTGTGTATTTAAACTAGAATGAAGACACAGAACTGTTCCATTACCTCAAGTGTCCCTCATGTTGTCCTTTTAACCACATTCACTTTTCTCTTCCCCACCTCTCCCGGCTACCAGTTCCTAATCTCTGGCAACACTGCTCTGTTCTCCACATCTATAATTTTGTCATTAAAAAATTATATACATAAATACATTTAATATTTAACCTTTTTTAGATTTTTTTCTCTCTCTTTTAGCTTTTACTTAGCATAATTTTCTCGAGATTCATCCAAATTGTTGAGTGTATTGATTTCTTTTTGTCCTTTTTATTACTGAGTGCTAGCCCATGAAATGGTGTATCACAGTTTTTTATCCATTTACCCATTGAAGTGGACATCTGGGCTGCTTACAGTGTTTAGCTACTAGAAATAAAATTTCTTTGAACATTTATGTACAGGTCTGTGTTAACATAGGTTTCCCCCTCCCAGGATAAATGCCCATGAATGCAATTACTGGTTGCATAGTAATTGCTTGTTTACTTTTATAAGAAACTGATGCTTCTTTGAGAAGCTATGCCATTTTACTTTCCACCAACAATGCATATGCAATCTTTGGATTTCTTTTAGTTTCTGACATTCACTATCATCTAGTATTTTAATAACTGCTTTTGTGTCACTTTTAACACTTAATTGCTAGGACACCACATTAAAGTCTTTCTCATCTTTATCTTGCAACTGATGTTTTACAAAAAATTTTCTTTTTTCTTTTGAGATGGAGTCTCACTTGTCCCCAGGCTGGAGTGCAGTGGCGCACTCTCAGCTCACTGCAGTCTCCGTCTCCCTGGTTCCAGCAATTCTCCTGCCTCAGCCTCCCTAGTAGCTGGGATTACAGGCGCGTGTCACCATACCTAGCTAATTTTTGTATTTTTAGCAGAGATGGGGTTTCACTATGTTGGCCAGGATGGTCTCGATCTCCTGACCTTGTGATCTTCCCTCCTTGACCCCCCAAAGTATTTGGATTACAGGTGTGAGGCACGGCTCTCGGCCTACAAAAATTTCTTTATGGGAAAATATTTGGACATCTGAAAAATAATTTCCGGGTAATAGGCAAATATCTTCATTGTCTTCAATTCTGTAGTAAGATTTCATATATACAAAGGAAAATAAAAAGCACCCACTTAAGAAAAAACAAATTAAGAATATGCTTTTATTCAATAAGACTACAGTGTATGAGAAAACCTGACGGAAGTTCTAAAGATATTGCTATACTTAAAGGTTTCTCAAGGTGGAACTTTAAATTCCCAAGACAAGAACTAATTTAGTGACATATTAAGACATTTAAATACCATTGCTAAATGAAAATAGCCCCAAATTAATTTTTCCAAAATCGAAAAAGTATCTTTATTTATAAGTCAATGCTTATTAAAAGAGCAGTAAATACAAAAAAAGTATAAAGAAGAAAATAAAATTAGCCACAGTAGTATTCACACACAAAAAACTGGCTTTCATACATTCATGACTTAAACGTCTTTGTGACTAGAATGAGCTGGTTTGGGAAGAGAGAAAAGTGGTTAATTTTAAGAAATGGGATTAAAGTGAAAGGACTGTAAACTTAAAGCATTACTGACAGAATGTAGTGAGCACAGACTCAAAGCAAGAAGAGTTATCATGATGCTACCTTAACTGTTCAGTAACAACCTTAGATTGCTGGCTCCAGCCTTGTATTGAGGCCTTCAAGCCAGCAAAGTTATAAACTCTTTTATTAAATGCCAATTATTTAGTTTCTTGTAGTGACCAGTGTCGTGCCTGACTCAGCACCTTCTAAACTTAACCATTGTGAATTGAGTTTATGAAGGCAGTGTTAGAATGTAAAGATGAAGGAAACATGTATACCTCTTAATTTAATATGGAAACCTCAGGTATTATACAAAACCAATCCTAGCAGCACTGGAAGAGGAGCAGTATAAAAATGAGTTCACTAAAGCAGTGCCAGATTGAATCATCTAGCTATTGTGTAATGTTAGCTTGAGGATCATCTATTGCTTATTATTTCACCAGTGGAGAAAAAGAACCTATAAAATTAAAAGAAAAAAAGGCTTTCTCCTAGGTGTCTGTGAGAGAACAGAGTTTAAAGTAAATCAACACTTCACTGGAAAATATTTCCCTAGTTGTTTCCTCTATGGACAAAGTCCTTGAGGAATCAGTCATGTATTTCAAGTGTCAGCAGAGCTTAGGAGAACAGCTGAGCTTCATAACTCTTAGCATTTTATTTATTCACAAGGAAATATTGACTTAAATTAGCTAGATTCTGTCTTGGTGTCACTTGATTCTCTAGACTTACACAGAGGTTGGAGAAGGAATTTATGCAATTCAAAGACGCCAACTTGTCAAGGAGTAAATCAATGTGATTTTCACAAAGCCAGTTTTACATAAGGCGTCTTGTAATTCTACAAGAAATATGCTATTTTCCTTTCATTCCATTATAGAAATATAGAAAAACAGTTATAATAAATTAATATATGTTCCCATTCTCATTTTTCTTTGAGCATAGGTAGCAACATCGATCCAAATGATTCAAAGACTTTAAGTTGACCCATTCAACTTTATCCAAATTTTGAAGAGAATAATATGCCTGAAGTTGAAAATCAAGGGCACATTCCTTCACATTTTGCCCATTTGAAAAAAGGGGACAAAACCCATAAGGCTCTATACAGTTTTTCTTGATTAGTTACAGTCTTTTAAATTATTTTAAAATAAAAGCAATAAGCACTTTTAACTTAATCTTTGTATTCAGCCATAAGAACACACTACCTGTTCTTATGTACTGAAGCCTCATTTGAAGATCCTATAATCACTGCACTTTGGCATTGTATGGAAATCTTAATAATTTTTTAGTTCAGGATTTACATTTATCACACTTTATAAGTAAAACACTCAATGTGCTAAGCAGTGTGTCTAGTTTAAGTAACTAATAAGTGGCAGTCAAGGCTAGAATCCAGAGTACCTTAGTTGCTACTGCTAGTGTCCCCACTAGCACTACCTTTATTATGATTATTATTGAGACAGGATCTCACTCTGCCTCCAGGGCTGGAGTG
This sequence comes from Homo sapiens, assembly GCF_000001405.40. NCBI lineage: Eukaryota > Metazoa > Chordata > Mammalia > Primates > Hominidae > Homo > Homo sapiens. The sequence goes on from NC_000009.12 coordinate 9,070,958, forward strand.
CAGGCTGTAGTGCAGTGCCTCCCCCAGCTCACTGCAGCCTCGAATTTCTGGGCCCAAGTGATCCTCCCACCTCTGCCTGCTGAGTGATTGGGACCACAGGCATGCACCACCATACCCAGCTAATCTTTTAATTTTTTTGTAGAGACAGGGTCTCCCTATGTTGCCAGTGCTACCTTTAAATACCCAGTAAAACACATTTAATTCTTTCTGTGGCACGTAAAACTTGGAGTGGCTTGCATGACCCTTTCGCCTCTACCCTGAACTTTTATATTCATTCCCTGTGTAATCAATGCTCTCCCCTTGAGTTTGGACAAGGCACACAACTTCTCATTAGTAAATATGGCAAAGGTGAAGGGCTATTGCAGATATGCAATTTAGATGCCAAATAGGTTGATTTTGAGTTAGTCAAGAGGGAAATTATCCTGGGTGGGCCTGACTGAATCAGGTAAAAGCCCTTACAAAAAGAACTAGGCCTTCTCTGAAGTTAGAGATTTTACATAGGAGAGAGTCTTCTTGCTGGCTTGGTGATGCAAGCAGTCAGGTTGAGGAAGCCTAAGTTGCAGGGAACTGTGAGTAGCCCCTGGGAACTATGGATGGCCTCTGGTCCCTGAGGTCAGCCTCTAGCCTCCAATCAGCAAAGGGTGGGGGCTTTCATCCACACAGACCAAAGCAATATTAATTCTGACAACAACTTGAATGAAACTAGAAGAAAAATTTTCCCCAATCAAACCTACAGATGAAAATGCAACCCGGCTGATAATACATGACCATGTAAGATCTCAAAGAGAGGGCCCAGATAAGCTATAACTGGGCTCTTGATTCATAAAAACTGGGAGAAAACAAGTGTGTGTTATTTTAAGCTGCTAATTTTGTGGTAATTTGTTACTCTAATATAGAAAAGTAAAGCGCTTTGTAAGTGGAGTATTTCCCCGTCATACTTGAGAGTAAAATATGCTTTTAACCTGTTTGTGTATAACACATAGAAATGGTCTGCTGTTTTGCAGTCTTGCTTCACACATCACACCCCTTCCTCATCACTGCACAGTCATATCAGAGCTCCTGCCAGACCGAAGAAGTGATTGTTTCCTCAGGCAGTGATTTGCAGATGTTTGATTTTGCAAAGCAGGATAATTTTAAAAAATGTTTTGGCCACAGACATAGTGTTACCAAACTTTAAATTAACTGCATAACAACATTTTAAAAACACCAGCTACTATATAATTATTTTATCATTAAAAACCAAAATATAATACCAAAAAGCTTAGTAGGGTTAGAATCTCAGAAAGAAAAGAGTCTTTCTCACGAACAAAGAGCTGGCAACTTACACACACACACACACACACACACACACACACACACACACACTCCTTAATATTCCCATTTTGCCATTGACCAGAATAAACAGAGCATTGTCACAGATTGCTACCAGACTATACACAATGTCATTTGGAAGCCAATGTTGTAAGAAGTTGTTTTAAAAACCACTGGGTAGAGCAGATGGCATCCTCTGCTACTTCGTTCAGGCTGCTTACTATCTTTCAAGATTAAGATGCTTTTATGAAGGAGTGAACTAGAAATGTACAAGCTGTCTTTTTATACCCCACTAATTATACTTTTATAAAAATATTTCTTCATCTACAGAGCACCTCTTATTTGCCACATACTATTCTACATAGTCAGTATCTATCATGTCACTGAGTCTTCATTAGAGTCCTGTGATTTGTATTACTATGATAATCGTCATTTTGCACATGGGAAATCTTACGTAGCAGGGACTTGACGAAAGTGAAGTGATCTTAAGTTATTTAGCCCACACTTTTAAACACTATGTTAGAATGTTACATGGAGTCACATTTTGCCTTGTGTATATTCCTTTTTGTCCATATTGATTTCACACATAGATTAATCTAGAAAACTGAATGAGCATTTCATGGAAAACAGGATATAAGACAAGTATGAAGGCATATAAAAAATTACGTGCCATCTTGAACAGATCTCTACTGACAGCATATTTGAGAGAGATTTTCGATTTGAGGATCTCAAACATGGAAGTTCAGAATAAAACTTAAAGGACAGCTTTTCAATAATATAATGGTGAAACCAATGGAAGAAATCAGTGGAGAAATAAAAAGGGGTAAAGAAAGACGAGAGAATGTTGAGGGAAACACTAATTAGTAATAACATGGTTGAGGTTCCTCTTGGAAACCACCCAGAATCTAACTTGAACTCAGATTCAACGAAGATTTATTTACTGTTCATTTTGTACAAGCACTGTGCAAGGCATTGTTACATGTTTTCTAGTGATTATCAGAGTCATAAGCTTGTGGACTCTCGAATCAGATGATCTGGCTTTCAATAATATATCTGAGATGGTATGCAAATAGGACAATATGGGACTTCTTTTTTTAAAAAATCAAATATTTGGTTATGAATAATTTTATGTGTCAATATGGCTAGATCATGGTACTCAGTTGTTTGGTCAAACACTTGTGTAGATGTTACTCTAAGACTATTTTTCAGTTGCGATTAACATTTACCACCAGTTAAGTAAAGCAGACAATCCTCCATAATATGAATGGGTCTCATTAAATTTGCTGAAGGCCAAGACTGAGGTTTCCCCAAAAAGAAGAAATTTTACCTGCAGACTGCAACATAGAAATTCTACCTTAGTTTCGAGCCTTCAGATGCAAGACTCTTAACTGCACCTCCAGCCTGTCGGCTTGCCCTATTAATTTTGGACTTGTCAGCTCCCACAATTATGTAAATCAATTTCTTAAAATAAATCTCTGTATATATGTATATCCTATTGTGCCTGTTTTTCTGAAAAACCCTGACTAATACATATGCCAGCTGAACTAAATGCCAGTTCTAATTCTCCAAAATCCATTAAAAATCCTCATTTTTATATTATATGTGATAATCCATATATAATATACTAAATGTAATTAAGCATCTAGTCTGTGTAATATTGGTCTCAACAGTTTCCCCACCTGTAAAATAAGGACTAATTATAGTATAACCTTCCAGAAAAGTGGGAATTATGTGAGATGTCAAGTGGGTAGCATAGTGCCTGACACACCTAAGATTTCATTAAATAGAAGCTGTTTTGTTATCCTTAAAATAATCCCACAAAAAAATATTATTTAGAGATGAAAAAACTAAAGCTGAGAGAAGTTTAAATAGCTCTTAGGATATTAAGCCACTTATTTTGACAGTGAAATGATGGTTACTTTTCTGAATATAGCTTCCTTTTTCCTGAGTTTTATTGATCTTCAATGGGATAAATGTGCTGATGGCTGAAATACTGAAGTTTACATGAAGAATAATTGAAAAGAGATAAGGAGTAGCACAGGGTATAAAACAAGTAAAACACAATTTGTAAAAATGATCATTGATAATGAAAATGCTTTAGGATTGATTCACATATACGCAAATTTTGGTGGAACACTCACTAAAACAGATTTTCAACATTTAGCAGTCAGGGTTGACACTGGGATTATTGTAGAATTCTGAGAAGTGATCAAAATTGAGACTTGTAATTTCTTTCCACCTTATGTTTTATGGATTTGGTAGAATTTGGGAGTGAAATATAGACCAAGACTATGTAAATATTTTAAATCTGGCTCATATTTTATTATATATATAAAAGATGATCAGTGATGTTAAGCACCTTTCATGTGCCTGTTTGCCATTTGTATGTCTTCTTTTGAGAAATGTCTATTCAGAGCTTTTGCCCATTTTTAAATCAGATGATTACTTTTTTTTTCTGTAGAGTTGTTTGAGCTCCTTGTATATTCTGATTATTAATCCCTCATGAGATGTACGGTTTGCAAATATTTTCTACCATATATATGTAAAATATAACATGTAAAATAATCAGTTTTAGAACAAATTTAGGTTTCATTCTGAGGAAAAGAAATTACAATTTAGTTTGGGAGGTATTTTGGGCAAAAAAAAAAAAGTCCTATATTATCCTATCATGTACCTTATCACAGATCACTGACAATATAGAACAAAGATGGTCTTGTTTATTTTATTTGTTTAATGTTTATTGCAACTTTAATTATAATTGTACAAAAAGAGAAGAAAACAAAAATTCCCTACAAAAAGATAATGGTCAAATGCTTATTGTACTTTCCTATGAAATTATTATAATTATTTTGCTTTTGATAATCTGTGTTTAAAAATTTTTAATTTTTAATTTTTGTGCATACATAGTAGGTGTATATATTTTTAGGGTACATGAGATATTTTGATCCAGGCATATGATGCATAATAATTACAACAGGGTAAATGGGTATATCCCATCACCTCAAACATTTATCCTTTCCTTTTGTTACAAACAATACCATTATACTCAGTTATTTTTAAAAGTATAATAAATTTTTGTTGACTGTAATCACCCCGTTGTACTTTCAAATACTAGATATTATTCATTCGATATCGGTATTATTTATTTTTATTTTTATTATACTTTAAGTTCTAGGGTACATGTGCACAACGTGCAGGTTTGTTACATATGTATACATGTGTCATGTTGATGTGCTGCAACCATTAACTCGTCATTTACATTAGATATATCTCCTAATGCTATCCCTCCCCCATCCCCCACCCCACAACAGGCCCTGATGTGTGATGTTCCCCACTCTGTGTCCAAGTGTTCTCATTGTTCAATTCCCACCTGTGAGTGAGAACATGCGGTGTTTGCTTTTCTGTCCTTGTGATGGTTTGCTTAGAATGATGGTTTGCAGCTTCATCCATGTCCCTACCAAGGACCTGAACTCATCCTTTTTTATGGCTGCATAGTATTCCATGATGTATATGTGCCACATTTTCTTAATTCAGTCTTTCATTGATGGAAATTTGGCTTCTTTCCAAGTCTTTGCTATTGTGAATAGTGCCGCAATAAACATACGTGTGCATGTGTCTTTATAGCAGCATGATTTATAATCCTTTGGGTATATACCCAGTAATGGGATGGCTGGGTCAAATGGTATGTCTAGTTCTAGATCCTAGAGAAATCGCCATACTGTCTTCCACAATGGTTGAACTAGTTTATAGTCCCACCAACAGTGTAAAAGTGTTCCTATTTCTCTACATCCTCTCCAGCACCTGTTGTTTCCAGACTTTTTAGTGATCACCATTCTAACTGGTATGAGATGGTATCTCACTGTGGTCTTGATTTGAATTTCTCTGATGTCCAGTGATGATGAGCATTTTTTCATGTGTCTGTTGGCTGCATAAATGTCTTCGAGACTTCATCCACTTTTTGATGGGGTTGTTTGATTTTTTCTTGTAAATTTGTTTAAGTTCTTTGTAGATTCTGGATATTAGCCCTTTGTCAGACGGGGAGATTGCAAAAATTTTCCCCCGTTCTGTAGGTTGCCTGTCCACTCTGATGGCAGTTTCTTTTGCTGTGCAGAAGCTCTTTAGTTTAATTAGTGTAAGTGTTATTTTTGTACCCATTAACCGTCCCCTTTGCTCCCCTGTCTAGTACTCCTCCCAGCCTCTGGTAAGTATCATTCTACTCGCTATCTCCATGAGTTCAATTATTTTCATTTTTAGCTTCCACAAGTAAGTGAGAACATATAATGTTCGTCTTTCTGTGCCTGCATTATTTCACATAATATAATGTCCTTCAGTTCCATCTCTGTTGTTGCAAATGACAGGATCTCATTCTTTTTCATAGCTGAATAGTACTCCACTGTGTGAATGTACATTTTCTTTATCCATTCATCTGAGGATGGACATTAGGTTGCCTCAAAATCTTGGCTATTGTGAATAGTGTTGCAATAAACATGGAAGTGCAGATATCTCTTCAATATGATAATTTCCTTTTTTTTTTTTTTGGTTATATACCTAGCTGTGGGATTGCTGGAACATATGGTAGCTCTATTTTTAGTTTTTTGAGGAAATTCCAAACTGTTCTCCATAGTGATTGTACTAATTTACATTCCTACCAACAGTGTACAAGGGTTCCCTTTTCTGCACATCCTTGGTAGAATTTGCTGTTGCCTGTCTTTTGAATAAAAGCCATTTTAACTGGGATAAGGTGATCTTATTGCAGTTTTGATTTGCATTTCTCTGATGGTCAATGATGTTGAGCACCTTTTCATATACCTGTTTGCCATTTGTATGTCTTCTTTTGAAAAATGTCTATTCACATCGTTTTGCCCATTTTAAAATCAGATTATTAGTTTTTTTTTTTTTTCTGTAGAGTTGGTTGAGCTCCTTATATATTCTGGTTTTTAACCCTTCATGAGATGTGATGTACAGTTTACAAATATTTTCTTCCATTCTGTGGGTTGTCTCTTCACTATGTTGAATGTTTCAAAGATGGTTTTATTAATGAAAAAATACCATGGGTGTATATTTCTCCATAGTTCATAGAAGCAGAATGGGGATGAATTCAGGTGACTGAAAATGTTATTATCTTGAATAAGCTTAATGGATCTATTTCCTAATGTAGTAAGTCTTTTCCATTGCTAACTTTGGTGATTTTTATTATTAAACAAAGTCAATATAAGATGTGGTTGGTTCATCTGGATTAAAATACATACACATGCCAGAATCTATTACTCCTTTTTTATGTTTATAGAGATCCACAAAAATTGATGTGAAGAGCCAGTTTTCTAAAACTAATAGCGGAGAGTGTCATGCAAAGATTTGTGACTAAATGTGTATACTTATAGCTTAATGCACCCTGATTGGGAGAGCCTTGTGAAATATCACTTTACTGGGGGAGGGAGGAGTAGTCACATATGATGGTCCACAGTTAAACACACAGCTATGCCTACCTATACAAGATAAAGATGAAGCACATGGAACATTTCCTTGGAAATGTGAAAGGGAATGACCCCAGCTTAACCTGAGTCAGTTTTGTATTCAAATAGTCCCTCTGTGTACATTTTCTCCTTTCTCTCAAACTTGAATGAGCTCTAAAATAAATATCTATTTACATTGAAGCCATTGAGCATTTATCTACCTGACCATAGCCTAGAAATAAGAGTGAATAAGAAAAAGGAAAAAGTTTACGCTTTGTATTTTGTAAATGTATGCTAGATTTCTATACAGATATTTTCAAGGGCCTTGACATTTTCAATGGCTTATGAGATATTCTAAGACCTTCATATAACATTTGAGTCCTTGAAATCAAATTTATTGGCTTTGGAATACAAAAAAGAACCCATAAAATCAAAATGAATAAATGTTTAATTAAATGTCTGCAAGACATAACATTATGTAAACGTCATTAATTATTAAATTTAGTATTCATAAAAGTTTTATTGAATTTGAAAACAGTTTGCTGGATATATTTTTTCCACTTCGCAAGAATTTCTGAGTTCTGCTGAAAAATCATGGCCCATCCTTAATTATATCATAGTTAAATAATTTCAAAAACAAAATTACAACATTCCTTTCCAGAATTTTGCAGTAAATAATTAATGTTGAATGTGGGTGTGCTTTCATATGTTTGTTATGAGGCATGCTGTGGCTTCGAAAGGGCTGACCAAGTTCTTAAAACAGCTCCACTTTGAATTCTTCCATTGCTTGCTGTGCCATGATAGATAAGAAAGAAATACTTGGCTCATGTTCCACTTTTTTATTATAAAACCTTTCAAACTAGGGGAAGCCTTAGATTGTGTTCTCCAGAAGCAGTCTCTGGGAAAGGAGTTGTGTTTAGAAGGTTTTTTTTACTGGGGAGTGTTCTCAGGAGATACAGCTGCAGGAAAGTATGGATGGCAAAGGCAAAAACTATCAGCAATATGGTTGCAACAGAGGACCCAGTCGATCCTGCAGTGAGCTCTGGAGCTGGGATGGCCCTTCAGAATTGTGCCAAAATATTGGGGCAGTGGGATGGGACTTTATTTATTTGTAATTGAAAAATAATAACTGTACATATTTATAAAGTACAATAGTTTCAATACTCAATATATAGTGATCAGATCAGGGTAATTAGCATATTTCAATACTCATAATGTTGAGTGATCAGATCAGGGTAATTAGCATAGCCATGTTTCAATACTCATGATGTATAGTGATCAGATCAGGGTAATCAGCATATCCATCATCTCAAATATTTATCATTTATTTGTGTTGGTAATGTTCAGTATTCTCCTTCTAGTTATTTGAAACTATATATTACTGTTAACTATGGTCATCCTACAGTGCCACAGAACACTATAACTTATTCTTGCTATCTAGATGTAATTTTGTATCCTTTAACAAATCTCTCCTTATTCCTCCTTTCCCCCACCCTTCCCAGCCTCTAATATCCTCTGTTCTACTGTTTACTTACATTAGATCAAATTTTTTTTAGCTTCCACATATGGGTGAGAGCACACAGCATTTAACTTTTTGTTTCTGGCTTATTTCACTTAATATCCTTCAGTTCCATCTATGTTGCCATACATGACAGGATTTTATTCATTTTTATGGCTGAATAATATTCCATTTTGTATATGTTAATTCCATATCTTGGCTATTGTGAATAGAGCTGCAGTAGATGTGAGATGCAGATGTCTCTTCGATCTTCTTTGCTTTGGATAGATTCTCAGTAGGGGGATTGCTGGACAATATGTAGTTGCATTTGTAGTTGTTTGAGGAACCTTCATACTGTTCTCCATAGTGGTTGCACTAGTTTACAATTGGACTGGGGCCTCTGAGTCCCTGAATTAGTTAGCTGTCGGTCTCATATCTCCTCTGGGAGGTGACATAACCTTTGGCAGGCAGCTCTTGACAGCTGACAGAAACACTTTAGGGAGGGGATCAGGACACAGAGGATCACAATATGTATGCACTTATGTACTTTAAGGAGTATTAGATTTCTCACACCAAAATTCAGCCCATATGCTGTGGTTATGACAAAGGTAGATTAAGGAGAGCTAGGATTTCATCCAGTTCATGAGTTTACCAGATTAATACATTGGTGATGATGTGTTGCTGGAATAAGGGTGCCCTTAGTTTCTACTGATGTTTAATATTTAAGTGTGCACAGTATGCTTGATGAAGCTACCAATACAATATTAAATGTTCAATGACATCCCGAACATTCTAAATTCAGTTATTGGTATTTTATGTGATCATGTAGAATTCTGGGTTTAATCTAATTTAGTCAAATCATAACCCATAGTTATTGTCTATTGAGCATCTATCACTGTACTAGATCCCTGAATGCATTATATTACTCATTTCTCAATTTACATCTCCCATGTTAAAAATAGAAAGCTGATGTCTAGAGAGTTTATACAACTTATCCAAGTTTACACATGGTGTAAGAGATGACCAAATATCTTTGATTCCAAAGACTTTTTCTCTGCCAATTTACCATGTTGCCACTCTAGAATGACATTTTTAAATCCTTCAAAATACATGGAAAAGTAATTTAAAACGGTTGTGCTCAAAAAGGTGACAAAAAGCTGTATGTGAATACTGATTTTATAATAAAAGTCGCTTGCTACTACTATGTGCCACATATTGTTTGAAGCACTTTACTTGAATAGACCCTTTACAACTTTAGAAATGATATCCTATCATCTTATTATCCTCTTTTTTGAGGTTGGTAAAATAATATACAAATAGGGTTAGGTAATTCCCAAGATTACATAGCTACAGGCAGTAGAGATAGCATGTGACTCCTGCAGTCTGACTCCAGAGCTTCCCACTTAATCACAAAGCTCTATCTCTCTTCTGGGTCTATCCCACTTAACCAGAAGTGGGATTCTAAACTGTGTACTACATTGTTTTAAAAAGCAAATGTTCCCTTGGGAGGGTGTATGTGTTCAGGAATTTATCCATTTTTTCTAGAATTTCTAGTTTATTTGCATAGAGGTGTTTACAATATTCTCTGATGGTAGTTTGTATTTCTGTGGGATCAGTGGTGATATCCCCTTTATCATTTTTTATTGCATCTATTTGGTTCTTCTCTCTTTTCTTCTTTACTCATCTGGCTAGCGGTCTATTTTGTTAATCTTTTCAAAAAAACAGCTCCTGGATTCACTGATTTTTTTAAAGGGTTTTTCATGTCTCTATCTCCTTCAGTTCTGCTTTGATCTTAGTTATTTCTTTTCTTCTGCTAGCTTTTGAATTTGTTTGCTCTTGCTTCTCTACTTCTTTTAATTGTGATGTTAGGGTGTTGATTTTAGATCTTTCCTGCTTTCTCCTGTGGGCATTTAGTGCTATAAATTTCCCTCTAAACACTGCTTTAGCTGTGTCCCAGAGATTCTGGTACATTGTATGTTTGTTCTCATTGGTTTTAAATAACTTATTTATTTCTGCCTTAATTTCATTATTTACCCAGTAGTCATTCAGGAACAGGTTGTTCAGTTTCCATGTAGTTGTTCGATTTTGAGTGAATTTCTTAATCTTGAGTTCTAATTTGATTGCACTGTGGTCTGAGAGACTGTTTGTTATGATTTCCATTCTTTTGCATTTGCTGAGGAGTGTTTTACTTCCAATTATGTGGTCAATTTTAGAATAAGTGTGATGCACTCCTGAGAAGAATGTATATTCTGTTGATTTTGGGTGGAGAATTCTGTAGATGTCTACTAGGTCTTCTTCTTCCAGAGCCGAGTACAAGTCCTGAATATCCTTGTTAATTTTCTGTCTCGTTGATCTATCTAATACTGACAGTGGGGTGTTAAAGTCTCCCAGTATTATTGTGTGGGAGTCTAAGTCTCTTTGTAGGTCTCTAAGAACTTGCTTTATGAATCTGGGTGCTCCTGTATTGGGTGCATATATATTTAGGAGAGTTAGCTCTTCTTGTTGCAATGATTCCTTTACCATTATGTAGTGCCCTTCTTTGTCTTTTTTGATCTTTGTTGGTTTAAAGTCCGTTTTATCAGAGACTAGGATTGCAACTCCTGCTTTTTTTTTTTTTTGCTTTCCATTTGCTTGGTAAATATTCCTCCATGCCTTTATTTTGAGCGTATGTGTGTCTTTGCACGTGAGGTGGGTCTTAGTCAAATCCCTGAATAGACCATAACAAGTTCTGCAACTGAGGCAGTAATTAATAGACTACCAACCAAAAAAAGCCCAAGACCAGACAGATTCACAGCCAAATTCTACCAGAGGTACAAAGAGGAGCTGGTACCAATCCTTCTGAAACTATTACAAACAATAGAAAAAGACGGACTCCTCCCTAACTCATTTTATGAGGCCAGCATCATCCTGATACCAAAACCTGGCAGAGACACAACAAAAAAAGAAAATTTCAGGCCACCCCAATGAACATCGATGCAAAAATCCTCAATAAAATACTGGCAAACCGAATCCAGCAGCACATCAAAAAGCTTATCCACCACGACCAAGTTAGCTTCATCCCTGGGACACAAGGGTGGTTCAACATATGCCAATCAATAGACATAATCCATCACAAACAGAACCAATGACAAAAATCACGTTTGTCTCAACAGATACAGAAAAGGCCTTCAATAAAATTCAACACCGCTTCATGCTAAAAACTCTCAATAAACTAGGTATTGATGGAATGTATTTTAAAACAATAAGAGGTATTTATGACAAACCTAAGACACAAGACAAGGGTGCCCTCTCTCACCACTCCTATTCAACCTGGTATTGGAAGTTCCGGCCAGGGAAATCAGGCAAGAGAAAGAAATAAAGGGTATTCAATTAGAAAAGAGGAAGTCAAATTGTCTTTCTTTGCGGATGACATGATTGTATATTTAGAAAACCCCATCGTATCAGCCCCAAATTTCCTTAAGCTGAGAAGCAACTTCAGCAAAGTCTCAGGATACAAAATCAACATGCAAAAATCACAAGCATTCCTACACACCAATAATAGACAAACAGAGAGCCAAATCATGAGTGAACTCCCATTCATAATTGCTACAAAAAGAATAAAATACCTAGGAATATAACTTGCAAAGGATGTGAAGGACCTCTTCAAGGAGAACTACAAACCACTGCTCAAGGAAAACAGAGAGGATACAAACGAATGGAAAAACATTCCATGCTCATGGATAGGAAGAATCAATATCATGAAAATGGCCATACTGCCCAAAGTAATTTATAGATTCAATGCTATTCCCATTAAGCTACCATTGACTTTCTTCACAGAATTAGAAAAAACTACCTTAAATTTCATATGGAACCAGAAAAGAACCTGTATAGTCAAGACAATCCTAAGCAAAAAGAACAAAGCCGGAGGCATCACATTGCCTGACTTCAAACTACACTACAAGGCTACAGTAACCAAAACAGCATGATACTGGTACCAAAACAGATATATAGAACAATGGAACAGAACCCAGGCCGCAGAAATAACACCACACATCTACAACCATCTGAGCTTTGACAAACTTGAGAAAAACAAGAATGGGGAAAGGATTCCCTATTTAATAATCCTGGTGTTGGGAAAACTGTCTAGCTATATGCAGAAAACTGAAACTGGACCTCTTCTTTATACCTAATACAAAAATTAACTAAAGATGGATTAAAGACTTCAATGTAAGACCCCATACTATAAATCTCCTAGAAGAAAACCTAGGCAATACCATTCAGGACATAGGCATGGGCTAAGGCTTCATGACTAAAACATCAAAGCAATAGCAACAAAAGCCAAAATTGACAGATGGGATCTAATTAAGCTAAAGAGCTTTTGCACAGCAAAAGAAACTATCATCAGAGTGAACAGGCAACCTACAGAATGGGAGAAAATCTTTGCAATCTATCCATCTGACAAAGGGCTAATATCCAGAACCTATAAGGAACTTAAACAAATTTACAAGAAAAAAAATAAACAACCTCATTAAAAGTGGGCTAAAGATTTGAATAGACACTTCTCAAAAGAAGACATTTATGCAGCCAAAAAACATATGAAAAAAAGCTCATCATCACTGGTTATTACAGTAATGCAAATCAAAACCACAACAAGACACCATCTCACACCAGTTAGAATGGTGATCATTAAAAAGTCAGGAAACAACAGATGCTAGAGAGGATGTGGAGAAATAGGAACACTTTTACACTGTTGGTGGGAGTGTAAATTAGTTCAACCATTGTGGAAGACAGTGTGGTGATTCCTCGAGGACCTAGAACCAGAAATACCGTTTGACCCAGCAATCCCATTTCTGGGTATATACCCAAAGGATTATAAATCATTCTACTATAAAGACACATGCACATGTATGTTTATTGCAGCACTATCACAATAGCAAAGACTTGGAACCAACCCAAATGCCCATCAATGATAGACTGGATAAAGAAAATGTGGCACATTTACACCATGGAATACTATGCAGCCATGAAAAAGGATGAGTTCATGCCCTTTGCAGGGACATGGATGAAGCTAGAAACCATCATTCTCAGCAAACTAATACAGGAACAGAAAACCAAACACCGCATGTTCTCACTCATAAGTGGGAGTTGAACAATGAGAACATATGGACACAGGGAGGGGAACATCACACACACCAGGGCCTGTCAGGGGTTGGGGGTCTAGGGAGGGATAGTATTAGCGGAAATAACTATTGCAGATGACAGGTTGATGGGTTCAGCAAACCACCAGGGCATGTGTATACCTATGTAACAAACCTGCATGTTTTGCACATGTATCCCAGAATTAAAGTATAATAATAGTAAAAAAGTTCCCACTGACACACATTTCTGGGAGCCAAAGTCAATGTATTTAAAGGACTGTAAATGAATGGGATCTGAGAGTGTTATTTTTAAGCAGAGGTAATGTACTGGCCTCTGTCCCTAACAATGGTAGTAAAAATATACTCCAAATGACACACACTATAGCAAAATGTGGGCAAGGTGCTTAGAGAAGGACACTTGAAAGAGGAAGAGTAGATTGCTTCATAGTTCACGGACTGTTGTTTTGATCTCTCATCAAAAGAGCCATCCAAACAGATCTCTACATTTATCAAAATATCAACATTTTATTTTCTCTAATGTTTAAATATTTCTTAGCCACTTTCTCATATGTATTTTTAAGACTATAAAATGAAGAAAACTTTTCATCAACCATTTTTAGCACAGACAGGGAAAGATTATTTTTCCCTGAAAATATTCCTTTAAAACTTCTATCTTTGCTACTGTATAGTTAAGCACAAAAGGAGATATTGATTATAATGTATGATTCTGTAATTTTATCATTATTTCATTACAAAACAATTTTTGTGGCTGCTCACAAGCCTGATAAATATATATTTAGTGATTTTTTTGGTCAACACTTAAAGTGACTTTCTCTTTCTGTCATTTTAATGGCATTGTGATAAAAAGATCAAGACTGAAAAGAAAGATAGACACAAGAACATATCACCTTTTAATTATTTTATAACTACCTATTTAGGATTCCTAGAATAAATATTCTACTTTTACCATTAAGTGTGAACATTTTATAATAATTACTTCCTTCTCTCTCAGAGAAAATGTTGGTTTTTGCCAAGGAAAATCTACAGCATGCAAATTCTTCTTTCAAGATGCGAATAGTGCATATGTAAGCTTTGACGGGTACTAATGGACATTTCTTCCTATTTTTGACCCTTAGGGTGAAAATAACAGCGCCTTATTATTTTTCAGGAAGAATAAGATCCATTTCCAAACAGTTTAGAAACTCAGGGCTTTTTTTCCCTCTTATAAATAGACAAATAAATGGTCACATTAGCACTTATACTTCATTGTGAGCCAAGGACATTTTTAAAATGTCACTACTCAGGGTTAATGCTCTTTTTTTTTTTGACATTTGGCCTTCAGATTTTTCTGCTTAATTGTCGGTTTGCCACCTCATTGCCATATACAGGGTCAAATGCATCTCTTTCCTTTCACATTGCCATAAGATATAAAGTCCAAATGTTTTAAATGTTTTATATATTGTGTACTACCAGACCTTTCCAAGCTCTATATTAATTTAAGCCTCTCGAATCTAGAGAAGTCTTCCGCTCAGGCTGAAATTGTCCCCAGGAAGGATTATCAGTTACTTGTGTCCAACCCTAAGCTGCTCACTTTTTAGCAGATGCTTGTGGTTTTGCTTTCTCCACCAGTGAAAACATTTTGGGCTAGCCTTACAAAAGTGAATACATATGCAACTTACACATATAATTTACTGATATATAGGAAAGTAAATAAATTTTCAAGGTGATTCTGTTAATGATTAACTAACTCACATAACTTGGACTTCAATTTTCTTTTTAAGTAAGGATCACTTCCAGAACGGCACCAAATCGAATTGAAGTGTGACCTCTATACATTTTTCACTAAAGATGACTTTTGAAAATATTCTAAATCTATGGGTATAGAATACTGAACCTCCTTCTGACTGGTACTATTCATTGAGACTAATTCACTGAGAGTGAGAAGCATAGTAGTTTTAGTTTTGATATGGAGATGTTTGGTTTAATCTAGAACGCATGCTGTTCATTATGGGCAGCCTATTGTGTCATGCCACACTTTGGGACAGTTACTGGGGGAAATGAAGAGAAAAGCTGTCCCTCTTAAGAAGGCTAGGAGCCTAAAGACTGATTTCTGTCTCACATCACCCTTTATATACTGATTTGCTTGTTTCCCACATTGGATTATTATCACCTTTATAAACCATTATAAGCCCTAGATTGGATTCTCAATTCTTGGCTGCCTTTTCAATCATTTAGCCACAACCATCTTGTCCTCACCCCTCCCTGCAGCTGTGGAAAGTGGGCTTAAATTGTTCCTAGGAAATATAGGTGGCTGAATTCTGTACATCAGGATGCCATTCCCTTGGTCCCAGCTGAAGTGACTAACAATGGACATCTATTTTAAGAGGATAATATTTGGGCTGGATAAAAGCATCTGGTGTGGCTTGGGCAAATGCTTTTTTAAAATGTGAACAAAGATGACTGGTTAGGTGAGTCACAGACTTCTGGGGAATTGGGCCAGTGAAACAAAAAAGTTGACCATAGCAAGCTGAAACTAAGAGATACAAAGGAATGATAGTGTGTAGGTACCATACAATAGCAAAAGCCAAAGAAACAGATGCCATGGGGAAGAGAAGAAAAGAGAAATAATGAAAAACAGTCATCATGGCTGAAGTGATATACAGAGTGACACACACAAGCTGAATTTTCCTAATTATGTCAGAGCTCTAATTCTTGCTCCTAGAAAAGCAAATACACACACAGAAAACACTGATTTCCATTGTCTCTGAGTTGGCTTTTTTTTCTCTCTTGGATTTTTCTCTCTGTTGTTTTTCCAACATTACTTAAGGTAAACTTAGTGAGTCCTCTAAAATATTTTATTACTATAAACGTGTGAAACATCTACAGATTTCCCCAGTTACCAAAGCAGAGATTTGGTCCTTGGCCCTGAAGAGTTGGTGTTTTCATAGTCAGAAATAGAATGTGCATAGATGAATGTAATAGAGAAGATAAATCACAAATAATAAAATTATAATTATACCTATTACCCATGTGTGACCATTTTTCAGTGGTTTACCGATAAGTTCAAGAATGAGAAAAACTGTGAGAAGGTCCGGAAGGCAGCCACTGTACTCCTGCATACTGAAGAGGCATTGTCCTTCCATAAAGAAATGTAGGTGGCATTTCAAGGAGGAAAAAGAACTAAGAACCAGGATTGAAATATGAGAAACATACAGAGAAGTGATTTCAAGGAAAATACAGAGAATTCTGAGTGCCAGATAAGTTACTTACATTGTGCTAGAGTTCATCACATACATAATCTCACTTAACCTTATGGAAAACATGGGGAAGTGAATATCCCAAACTACCAAAATAAGAAAGTCAAGGCTCAGGGAGCTTGTAGTAATTTTTCCAAAGTTAAATTTTAAATTCAAAGTCATTATTTTCTGGCTTTAAAATCCACATTCCTTTCATTTTCACAATATGCCTGCTCTTCACTCAACACAATCGCTTGATGTCAAATAGAACATAATAATCTTATTTTCCACCAGAGCCCTAAACTCTTTTTTTTTTTTTTTTTTTTTTTTTTGAGACAGAGTCTCACTCTGTTGCCTAGGCTAGAGTGCAGTGGCATTAGCTCACTGAAACCTCCACCTTCCAGGTTCAAGAGATTCTCTTGCCCCAGCCTCCTGAGTAGCTGGAATTACAAGCGTGCACCACCATGCCTGGCTGATTTTTGTATTTTTAGTAGACACGGGGTTTCACCAAGTTGTCCAGGCTGGTCTTGAACTCCTGACCTGAAGTGATCTGCTCGCCTCAGCCTTCCAAAGTGCTAGGATTACAGGCGTGAGCCACTGCACCCGGCCAGAGCCCTAAACTTTTGATTCTTGTGTCCTCATTCTTCCCTTGAACCTGCCAGAAAAGAAAGTTCTTCTAAATTTTAAAAGCTGTTAAGGAAGGGACAATCTTGAACTAATAAAATGAAATCTGGGCCGGGTGCGGTGGCTCACGCCTGTGGTCCCAGCACTTTGGGAGGCCGAGGCAGCTGGATCACCTGAGGTTGAGACTAGCCTGACCAACATGGTGAAACCCTGTCTCTACAAAAAATATAAAAATTAGCTGGGCATGGTGGCAGGCACCTATAATCCCAGCTACTCGGGAGGATGAGGCATGAGATTTGTTTGAACCCAGGAGGTCGGGGTTGCAGTGAGCTGAGATTGTGCCACTGCACTCCAGCCTGGGCGACAGAGTGAGACTTAGTCTCAGAAAAAAAAAAAAAAAAAAAAAAAAAAAAGAAGTCTGGCTTGCAGTAGATGGTCTCAAAGGACCTTCATACTTTACAAATATTAACACAGAGTACTCCATATTAGCCCTGGATATTCAAATAGAGCCTTGCCTAGCTTGCTGAGATTGCAGAAGACAAAGGTTTTCTTAGTATTTGTGGAGGCTCTGAAAGAACTTATGCCTGTGAGCTCTGGAGTCAGTGTCTGGATTTGAAACTTGACCCTGTCACTTCATAGCTATAGTTTAGCAAGTTACTTAATGTCTGTAGTCTCTGTTTCCTCAATGTGTTATAATAGGTAATTATAGATTTTCTGTATTAAATGAGTAAATATTGTAAAACACCTAGGACTGTGCCAGAACAATGATAAGCACTCAATAAATATGAGCTATTTTGAAGGGAACACAAGGGTTTTTCACTCAACATTACTCCTATTTTTACCCCCTAGTAAAAAGAAGGTCTTTCTCAAATAATTTGTGACTTGCTAAAAAAGTCAACAAAACCCTTTAATGTGGCTGTGTTTAAGTGTGTGTGTGTGTTGAGTGGGGTGGCATATGTAAGATATTCTTGTGTTGAAGGACTTGACACAGTTGACAGCTATCTTACTTTTAAAAGGGCTTTCTGTAAATGTTTAGAGAATAAATATTTTAGGCCTTATGAGCCATAGTCACAAATAATAGGTAAAGAAATAAGTGTGTCCTAATAATACTTTATTGGCAAAAACAGGCAGTGGGCCAGATTTGATCCAAGGTCTACAGTTTGCTGACTGCTACTATGGGCACAGTGCTCAAATAATGAGTATGTAGCTGGGACAATTGCTCCCCAGATTCAGTACGAATATTAATATTTGATCTGCGGCAGGCCATTTAACCTTTCTGACCAAAGTTTTTCATTCATGAGTTAGAATAAATGCTCCATGAAGCTTCTTTATGACTCTACTAACTCATAGTATGCAAGGGCCTACAAATTGATTCCATGTAGCAAAACTATCACTATTCTATTAAGGTTCCTAAACTTTCCTCTATTTCTTCTAAATAAAATCCTGCTTGCCTATTTAGGTTCTCCTCTCCAATTTTTCCTGACTGTTGATTTTGAGATTTTATAATGCAGAGTAAGAACGAAGGGTTGGTGTAGAAGGGTAATGTCAACATACTTGTCAGGGCTGGGGAAAATAGTTTTGTGAAGGTTTCCAAAGTAAGAAATAAGGAAACACCTATAATATGTGGGGAAAGCAGAAGGTAAAAAAAGTAGTAATGCTCTGCCATATTTACTCCTTTCACTGTGTTTGAAAAATGAAAAGAGACAAGTTTATTTTGAAATCTTTTCCAGTTTTTATTTTTTATTGATACATAATGTTTGTCCATATTTATGGGGTATATGTGATATTTTGATACATGCATACATGTGTAATGATCAAATTCAGGTATTTATGATATTCATCACATTGAACATTTATTCCTTTGCATTGGGAACATTTTAAATATTCCCTTCTAGCTATTTTGAAATATACAATATATTGTTGTTAACTACAGTCACCTTACTGTGCTATTGAACACTGGAATTCCTATGTTGTATGTTTGTACCCATTAACCTACCTCTCTTCATCTCCCTGGCCCTCCATACCCTTCTCAGCCTCTGGTAGCAATCATTCTATTCTCTACCTCTATAAGGTACACTTTTTTAGCCCCCACATATAAGTGAGAACACGCAATATTTGTCTGTCTATGCCTGGCTTATTTCAATTAACATAATGACCTCCAGTTCCATCTATATTGGTGCAAATGACAGGATTTATTATTTTTTGATGGTTGAAGATTATTGAATTGCTTTTTATTGTGAGCTGTGTGTCTTTAATCAGAACATCATTCTGAGATTGTACCACATGGGTAATGGCTTGTTAGATATTATATATTTATAATCATTCTAGTATTTCCACAGATTGAGTAGTGAATATGTCAGCGTTATTAGGTCTTCAGTGGCCATTATTGCAATTTTTATAAGCCTATTTTTGGATGAAGGGCAGAAGCTTCAGATAACAATAATAGTTGGCAGCCTGGCACTTTCATACAAACTTAAAAAACATTTTCATCTTCCTAAGTGAGGTAAAACTAATGATGACTCTTGAACAAAGACAATGTCCTTACTCAAAACATCAGTGATTTCAAGTTGCATCCTCTTTAGCTGAGTTGCTGCATTCTTCAAATAACTCTTAATGACATCTCAATGATATCTTATTCCATTGACAATGATGACAGGTTAAAAATTTCTTTAAATAGCTGTCTCCGGTCCGTGCCTCCAAGATGACAAAGAAAAGAAGGAACAATGGTCGTGCCAAAAAGGGCTGCGGCCACGTGCAGCCTATTCGCTGCACTAACTGTGCCCGATGCATGCCCAAGGACAAGGCCATTAAGAAATTCGTCATTCGAAACATAGTGGAGGCCGCAGCAGTCAGGGACATTTCTGAAGCGAGCGTCTTCGATGCCTATGTGCTTCCCAAGCTGTATGTGAAGCTACATTACTGTGTGAGTTGTGCAATTCACAGCAAAGTAGTCAGGAATCGATCTCGTGAAGTCCGCAAGGACCGAACACCCCCACCCCGATTTAGACCTGCGGGTGCTGCCCCACGTCCCCCACCAAAGCCCATGTAAGGAGCTGAGTTCTTAAAGACTGAAGACAGGCTATTCTCTGGAGAAAAATAAAATGGAAATTGTACTTTAAAAAAAAAATTTCTTTAAATAGCTGCGTATTTTTCTGGAACTGTACATTTCTGTAAATCTCCAATCACCTTATGACTCTGGTTCTTACTAAAGTTTTATTCCTTTAAAAAATACCTTGTTAGTCTTGCAGATTGTTTCCCAAGACTTCAGTAGGCTTATAGGAATTCTAGGTAGCTTCAATATGGACATTTGTCCTACAGCAATTAGTAATAGTCCCCATTTCCAGTATCAACTCTTAAAACTCCTTTTCATAGTAATAAGCCTATTCAGCACTTTGGACAGTGCCTAACACACTCAGTAAGTATTTGTGGAATGAGAAGTAAGTGAACAGTCACAGAGAATGACTTGGACATATATCTGCCTGTAACAAGTACTATATTTGCTAAAATTCCCAATCACAAGGAAACTAAACAAAACCTAACAGAACCAGCCAATATAGTAAAGTCTGTACTCCATTGAAGAATTGAACTTTCAGGTTGGGGCAAATGGGATACTGTTTACTCTCAGGTTTCATCTAGGTACTATTACCATCATGCTTAAAACTCAATTGGGTTTTGTGTTGAGTGTGGGAATAAGACCTTTGAAAACCTAATTAACAAAAAATTCTTATCTCACTAATGTCACCTTCTATCTGCCAGGATTAGACAATGGTTTTTAAGTGTCTCTGCCATTTTCTTTTCTCTCAGTTTATCTTTGGGGTTCTTCTCCAGAGAGAAAGTCATGCCACTTTAGAAGATTCACTCTTAAACTTTCATTTGACATGGTGAAGGTTTATAATGTACTGGATGGTAATAAAACACTAGGCTCACTATTGTTACCAACATGCTACTGTTAACTCATTTTCATGTTCTCTTCTTAGAAATAATGCACCATTTTCAAATGTTAAACATATTGTCTATTATAGGGCAAAGTTCTCTACAGATAATACTACTGGAAACTAAAGTAGACACAGATATTGAATAGGTGATTCTTCATTCATGACTGTATCCTGGTACTGATTTCTATACCAAGGTATTTATAAAGGTATGCTGTTTTCATTTCTTCTTCAACTGATTCATATTATTATTGTTATAAATATCACATGCAGTAAACATATTAATGGTAAATAATTGAATATTCACAGATTGAGGAACAGCTACTATATTACTCTTATGCTTCATGGACAAGGGAAGTGTATTCATAAAGTGAATAAATAAGATGTGATTTACAAATTAAGTGTAATAGTTATTCTATTCACTTATAACATATGAAAAAGTTATGACTTGAAAAGTTATTCTATTCACTTATAACACATGAAAAAGTTATGACTTGAAAATATGACTTGAAAATTTGTCTATTTAGGACAAATCCACAGTTGACTGAAATAGACAATGGATCTGAAACCACTATCATTTAAGATATACAAACTTAATAAACATCTATTGTGTTCATGTTATGTGCAATGTGCTTTAAATATAAAGATGATTAATAGTGTAGAAATTTAGAAAGACAAATAAAAAATTATGATCATCAACCATACCAATAATTTCATCATGTGTAAATGTTCTAAACACACAAATTAAAATACAGAAATTTTCAGATTTTACTTAAAAAAACCCAATACTCTATTATATGCTATTGACAAGAAACCTGCTGTAAATACATGGACATAGCTAGGTTCAAATGAAAAGTACAAAAGAAACTAATGCAGTACGAAAGAAAATGCAAACACCAATCAAAAAAAGCAGAAACGGCTATACTAAAATAAAGTAGGCTTCAGAACAGGGATATGGAGGGACATTGCATAGTGATAAATGGGCTAATCAACCTAGAACACATAACAATCTTAAATATATATACATCTAACAACGGAACTTCCAAATACTAGAAACACAAACTAATAGAACTAAAAGGAGAATTAAGCAAATCCATAATTATAGTTAGAGGCTTCAAAATTCTTTGCTCAGCAATTGATAAAACAATTAAACTGAAAATCAGTAATGACACAGGAAATACGAATAACACTAGTAGTCAACTTGATGTAATTAGTATTGATAGAACCCTCTATCCAATAACGGCAGACTACATAGTTTATTCAAATGCCCAAGAAATATTCACCATGATAAACCATATTCCAGGCCATAAAACAAGTCTTACAAAATTTAAGAGAATTAAAATTATGTAAATAATGTTTTCTGGTTATAACATATTCAAGCAGAAATTAGTAATAAACAATCTAGAAAATTCCCCAATATCTGGAAATTAAATAACACAGAACTTTCTAAGTAATTCATGGGTAAAAAGGCAAGTCACATGGGAAATTATAAGCATTTTTAATTTTATAAAATTAAAAACACAACCTGTTAAAATTTGGGCGGGGGGGCGGATGTAGCTAAACAGGCATATAGAGGAAAATTTATAGCATTAACTGCTTCTATTAGAAAAGGAAAAAGTTCTCAAGTTAATGATCTAGCCTTCTATTTAAGAAACTAGAAAGGGAAGAGCAAGCAGAAGGAAGAAAATAAAGAGCGGACATAAATAATATGAAAAACAGAAATACAATACAGAAGGCAATGAAACAAAAAACAGTTCTATAAAAAGATCAGTAAAATTGATAAACTTCTAGCCAGAGTGACCAAGTAGAAAGAAAAAAAAAGGCACAACATCAAGAATGAAAAGGGATATAGGACCTCAATACAGATATTAAAAATGTAATAAGAGAATATTAAGCTCAACTTTATTAACATACATAAGTTCAACAACTTAAATGAAATGGAATAATTCTTTTTAAGAAACAAAGTACCAATGCTCACTCAAGTGGAAATGGTCACCTGAATAGTCCTACATTAATTAAATGAATTGAATTTGAAGTTGAAGTCTTCAAGCAAAGAAAACGTTAGAAAGTCATTACGTGAGAAAGACACATGCACACGCATATTTATAGCAGCCACAACTCTCAATTGCAAAGGTTTGGAACCAACCTAAGTGTCCATCAACCAATGAGTGGATAAATAATATATATAAGACATCGATTGCCACTCAGCCATAAAAAGGAACCAAATAGTGTATTTTGCAGCAGCTTGGATGGAGCTGGAGATGATTATTCTAAGTGAAATAATTCAGGAAAGGAAAACCAAAAATCGTATGTTCCCACTTATAAGTGGGAGCTAAGCTAGGAGGACACAAAGGCATAAGAATGATATAACAGACTTTGGGGACTTACGGTTGGGGGAAAGTTGGGAGGGACTGAAGGATCAAACACTACATAGTGGGTACAGTGTACACTGCTCAGGTGACAAGTGCACCAAAATCTCAGAAATCACAATGGAAGAACTTATCCATGTAACAAAAAACCACCTGTACACCAAAAACTATTGGAATAAAAAACTAAAATAAAGAAAGAAAACTTTAGGCCCAGATGGCTTCCCTAATAAATTTCATAAAATATTTAACAACAACAAACAACGACAACAACAACATACAATTTCCATACAAACTATTACAAAAAGCAGAAGAGGAGGGAAAACTTTACGAGGCTAGCATTATCCCGACACCCAAATCAGGCAAAGACATCACAGGAAAATAAATCTTTAAACCAGTGTCCTTCATGATCATAGATGCACAAATTCTCAAAAACCTAATAGCAAATCAAATCTAGCAAATAGACAAAAGTGATAATACTTCATGACCAAATGGAGATTATCTCAAGAATGTCTAGCCCAACATTTGAAAAATCAACCAACAACTGATATCAACATCCATTCATGGTAAAAACTTGCAGCAAGATAGGCATTAAAAAACATGCTTGCTAATAGGTGGTAATTATATATATTAAAAAAACCCTATAGCTAATTTCACACTTAATGTTTAAAAACGGAAGATTTTCTTCCTAAAATCAGGAACAAGGCAAGAGGTCTATTTTCACCACTCCCACCCAACATACTGCAAGTCTTAGCTTGTATAACAACAGCACAACAACTATAATAAAAGGCATATAAATAGAAAGAAAAAAATAAAATGACCTTTATTCACAGCCAATATGACTGTCTACATAGAAAATCTGAAGAAATCTATAAAAAGGCTATTTGAACTAGGGTTGCAGAATACAAAGTCAACATACAAAAATCAAATGTATTTCAGTTGTTTCAATGTCAATTTTCTCCAGATTGAGCTGTGGAATCAACACATTTGTAGTATATTAAAAATATATATCTGTTGACAGGCAGGGCCTTAGGAAGTCTCCTGGGACTTGTCTCCAACTCTTGGCCTCAAGTAATCCTCCTGCCTCAGTCACCCAAAGTGTTGGAATTATAGACGAGCCACCACACCTGGTTTGGACAGTCTTTAATACACTCATGTAGGAATGTAGATTGGGAGAACCATTATGGAAAACAGTATGGAGGTTTCAAAATAAATTAAAAATAGAACTACCATATGACTCAGTAATCCCTCTTCTGAGCATATACCCAAAGGAAATAAATCATCACTTTGTTAAGATATTTTCATTCCCATGTTCCTTGCAGTATTGTTCTCAATAGCCAAGATATGGAAACAACCTGTCCATTGATGAACAAATGGATTAAAAACCCCTGTGGTACATATATACAATGGAATATTATTCAGTCCCACAAAAGAACGAGATCTTGCCATTTGCCATAACAAAGATAACCTTGGAGGATATTAGGCTAAGTGAAATAAGCCAGACTCAGAAAGAAAATATTGCGTTATTCTACCTATACATGGAACAAAAATAATGCATTTCAAATACACAGAGCTAGAGAACAACAGGAAATGGGGAGATGTAGGTCAAAGGATACAAAGTAGCAGATATGTAGGATGACCAAGTCTAGAGATTTCATGTGCAACATGAGGACTATAGGTAATAAAATTGTATTTGACATGAGATTCATGCCAAATGAGTAGATTTTAGCCACCGTTGCCACAAAATGGATAACTGTGAGTTGCTGGATATGTTAATTTGCTTCAATATAGTAATCTTTTTACTATCTATAAGTATCCCATAACATCATGTTGTAGACCTTAAATATACGCAATACAATTTATCAAAGCAAACAAACAAAAGTCCCCAAGAAACAATTGTCAATCTCACGAATGGAATGCGACATTTTGGTTAAACTCCAGCACTGAAAATTATTTCCAAGCATTAATTTGTATACTGATTAGACATTTTTGTGTTCCATGACTCTTTTTACAATTAGATGTTAACCTGTAGAAAACTATATAAGATATAGATTATATTTTCCAGGTGAAGATATAGATGATTTCTTTTTTTTAAAAATATTTTGTCATAATTTCAAGGTTACATAGAGATTATCAGAATAGAACAAATAATACTCATATATCCTTTACCCAGATGATATAGATACAGATTAATCACAATAGTTTCAGTCTAATTGCCTTTAGAACAGTAAACACATTTCAATTAAATTAGCAAAAAAGTATTATGATTATGTGTTGTGCTAAAGTAAATGAGGTTTATATAATGCTATGGAGGCTTCATGAATGAGGCCATAATTGGCATGTAGGACTGCATGTCAGGGATGCCTTCACTGTAAGATGATATCTGAGGTACACTTTGATGAGTGAGGTCACCAAGGACCTCCCAAATGCTGAAGTCACTGCTTTTATCTCCCCTACCCCCTAAGTTTTGTGTTGCATTTCATATTTCTGAAAATATTATTAATCAGCTTGAACTAAACAGCAACACTTGAAATTCAGGTGTTTTATCATCAAAATACACATTTCACTCTTCTCTTGAAACATCAGAATATAAGGCAACATTTGGTTTGCATACAAGCAGGGCAACAGTTAGCTGGATCTCAGCAGGGGCTGATTCCTAGGCATAAGAGGCATACTCTTCTGATTTGCAAGCATAGCAGGCATTATGTTTTCTTGATCCCTGCATGTGGGCGAAGGACTTGAGAAAATCTGTCCTGAAAACAAATGCAGTATCAGCACTATAATGAGGAGATTCTGGTTGGGGCCTAAAGCAAAGGTTTTTGGGGTACTAAACCTCATACTCATGAATTAAGCTAAGGACTGGAGGAAGGGTTTAAAGAGGCCACAGGTTAGTAGCACACCATGGCTCTTTTTTTTTTTTTCTTTTTCTTTTGAGATGGAGTCTCGCTCTGTCACCCAGGCTGGAATGCAGTGGCGCAATCTCAGCTCACTGCAAGCTCTGCCGCCCGGATTCAAGCCATTCTCCTTCCTCAGCCTCCCAAGCAGCTGGGACTACAGGCACCTGCCACCATGCCAGGCTAATTTTTTTTGTATTTTTAGTAGAGACAGGGTTTCACCGTGTCAGCCAGGATGGTCTCAATCTCTTGACCTCGTGATCTGCCCGCCTCGGCCTCCCAAAGTGCTAGGATACCATGGCTCTTGATGCAATCAAGTGCAAATCCTCTCTGAAGGAAATTGTTGGGAGACAATTCTCTATGGGTCTCATGTTTCTACAGATCTTGTGAGCAGAAGACCTGTCTTTGTTACGAACTATTTTTCACGGATGCTTGTATAGTGAAGAGCCTTGAAAGATAGAGATGGTGTTTTCCTAAGGAGTAAACATTGGGTTTGTGTACTATCCAATACAATAAAGATGTTTCCCTTTGGCTCGTCTGGCAGGCATGCTTGCTGACCATCATAAAAGATCCAGAGAGGGACCTGGAATTGGGATGTGATAACTCAGTGGTCAAGGGATTTTGTTTATTAGAAGTGTTTTAATTTTTTAACAATATTAATATATTTATATATAATCAAAGTAAATATATTTATATGGATTTTGTGTAATTATAAAAAATTAGCAAATGTTCATTAACCATGTATCACCTCAAATCACACACATTAATGATGATTCTTGCTCCAAAAATTGCCTTTCTTTCTTTTTCCCCAAATTCCAGTGTGCTCTCTTGCCTCCTATTTTTGACTCCTATTCTTTTGTCCATAAATAGATTTATTATTTTCAGTATCATTTTTGTTGTTGTTGTTTCCCGGGCTGAAGTGCAGTGGTGTGCTGTTGGCTCACTGCAGCCTCCGTCTACTGGGTTCAAGTGATTCTCCTGCCTCAGCCTTCCAAGTAGCTGGGACTACAGGCATGCACCACCACACCTGGCTAATTTTTAGTAGAGACAGGGTTTCACCATGTTGGCCAGTCTGGTGTCGAACTCCTGACCTCAAATGATCCACCAGCCTCAGCCTCCCAAAGTGCTGGGATTATAGGCATGAGCCACCATGCCTGGCCTGTTATTTCTTTTTAGTTATTATTTACATTTATTATTATTACAATTTGAGTGTCTGTAATATAATCTGCAAAGTTACTAACGATGAAAAGAATAATCATTACAAGTATGTTTATCATGTACCCATCGACTTACATAAACTCTTGGCAACTATGTGGATCTTACACGCTATTGGAGAAAATACAAATGGATACAACATTTTGGGGAAAAATTAGGTATATTTTGTAAAATTCATCATTTGTATGTAATACAAGGCAGAAATTCTATTCCTAGAGAGACTCTTACACATGTTCACCAGGAGAATTACATGAACATATTCACAGTGGTATTGTCTATATTTGTAAAATTCTGAAAACAACTGTGATATCTCTAGATAAAGAAATGAATACAGACATTGTGGTATAGTCACATTACTGAGTATTTAGGTGACAGTGAAAAAGAAAAAATGTGGTCTGATAAAATTGAATGGGTAATTCTTGGAAACACAATATTGATTGGAAAAAGCAAGTGAGTACAATGACATTTTGATAAGAATTTTATAAAAATGAAAATAAAATTGTGCATATGTTTACAAATGTGATAAAACCTTTAAAAAGACAATACAGTGGTAAACACAGAGCAGGCCATGTACACATTTATTAGCAACAGGTGATGGGAGAGGTAAAAAGCAATCCACGTAGATTAAAACTATGTTGGTGATATTCTAGTTCTTCAGTTGGGTGCTGGTTCATAATTATTCATTTTCTTATTTGTCTCATTATCTATAAATATATACAGAGAGAATGTGTCTCTCACATGTGTCAAAATATTACACACTAAAAATGGAATATACGAAACTGCCTTGTGTATTGCTAATCATGTTTGTCTTGAATAAGTGTCTGTGGACTGTATCAGTCTTAGGATTTAGAGATTATTTTACAAGGCGATACTTTTTATGCCTGCCTGGGTGTGTTGCAGGTTTTGGAGGTAAGTAACATCATCTTCTTCAGTGTCAAAGCCCATATAACTATGTGCAAAGTAGGAGAACAATATCTACTTGAGTTACTACCGGGCAGGTAGCAGATATTTGCTTATAGGATGCATTTCTACAATTGTAATTATGTTTTTAAGAATAAAAATATTCCATACTAGGAAACTACATAGGTGTTACTGAAAGCGTCACGCTGTGTAATGGAAGTGAGGATTACTTTTTTATGGCCCATGGTTTCTATGAATAGAATTAACCAGACACCAATTATCACCTCATTGAAAGGATAAGTCACTGTGACATCTACAGCTGAGATCAAACTCATTGCTTTTGCAATGTGAATTAATTAGAGTTGGAGAGAGCTACACTGAAGGGTGAGGAAGCACTGCAGATTTGAAAAGTCTATATTTTAAGCAACTCAGGGGAAAATCTGTTCCAATTAGTGTGTGACGTTAATATGCAATGGTCTTATTTATATAAAAGTGCTTTAAAGAAATACTTCTAAAAGAAAACATTAAAAGAGTCATACAAAATATCCTCTTTTTGTGATGATTATAATTAAAAGAATATAAAAATTCAGAAAGTAGATTATTTATTTATTTTTAACTGGCAAGCAGGCTCTACAGAATGGGGTATCTTTACTTGAAAGCATGTGTTCCTGGGTAGTGAATAAAGAGAGATAGTTGGCTTCTTACCATAATTCAAAAACATATCAGATAAATATGCCTACCAGCCTATTTGGACACAGCAGTAGGTATTACCATCTGCTCCCAAATATGCCTGCAACCCTGTAGCTCTTCCATTTTGGCATCAGAATTTATAGAAAAGAGCATGATGTCCTAAGATATACTGATTTCTGAGAAGTGCTTTGAAAATGTATCTGTAGTGACACAGAGTAGGGTAAATAGCTGGGTTTGATTCAAATGCTACTGTTTATTTTGGGGAACACCACCCCCACATTTCTTCTTCTATGATGGAACAGGATGACATGACCCAGAAGACAATTCTGTTGGTATGATCAGGTAGACAGAACATTGTTCAAGCAGATCATAGCCACATTTATCATTTGTTTGTTTTTACCAGAAAATGAAACAAAACAAAACAAAAATTTAATGACACAAACAGATGTAAGCATCTTTATAGGTAAAAGTCCTGAGAAAACAGTAGCCACATTCCGAAGGGAATGTTCCTGTCTCAGGAATATTTCTAGGCAGGTCCATTTCCACCTTCAAAATTATGTATTGGAAATCTTAGTATTAGAATCTAGATATAAAAATCTCACAGTGATGTAATATATAGTACCTAATTTTAAGGAGTTCCTGATCTCATATTATATTATTAACATTGATTTCCAAATTCTCATTCATACTGTGTGTATAATCATAAACAGAAATTTGATTGCTTAAGAATTTATAATGCGTAAATTGGATTTCATATAACTATAGATATTTTGTTGTGAAAGCAGATTTATTTTGTTAATTTTTATCATACCTGATCATTTGGAAAGAATAAAGAAGATAAAAATGTTTAAAAATCAGCACATACAAGATGTAAATATGAAATCTGAACCAATTGGCCAATGTAAAACAGAGAGAGAGAGAGAGTAGAGAGCAGGAGACCAGAAGCTTTAGCAAATGAACAATAATGATCAGCAAAACAAAACAAAACAAACCCGAAACAAACAAACAAAAAAAAATGCTCATTATAGATATAAAAAAAGATCTTTCAGAAAGATCTGAGCTTTAATAGATGCTTAGGGATTCATTGCTGGAAGAAATTTGGGATATTAGGTAGATAGTAGTTTCTTATTTTTAAGAAGACAGAACATTAATTATAGACAGATGATGTTCTTGAATGAACAGTACGATTTTTCTGGCAGCTCTATAAAAATACACCTGTACAGATACGATTAGCATCCTCACCTCCCATGAAATCAAGAATGGGGATGGAAGGTGATTCTGAATATATTCTTGATGCATTAATGAGGTAGCAGAGCAGAGTGTGATGATAAAACCAAAGTGCTTGCTCAAGATTGTCATGACTGACATTTACAAAATAGGAAAACTAATAAGAGAATTATTATCTTTTGTAGCACCTGATTAAAAAAAGAATTCTCAAGCGTTAAAAACCATGTCATTATCCACAGACAACTTGAGGAGCTAAAGACTTGAGACATGATGTGTGCCTGTCACTTATGCATGTTACCCCACTGAGTTATTCCCAAATACCCATATGATTAACCCACATGTATAGTAATTGAGAATATTTTTACTTTAAGAAAAGATGTGGGAGAAAATTATTCCTTAATCATACATATAGAAAATCTTATTTCAATTATTCCAGAATTCTAGGATTACTTAAAATTTTAATCCGTATTTTTTAAAAATTGACTATCCTGAGTTATTGATGTGAAGTAAATAATGATACCTCTTGGCTATATTTGCATGGAATTTAAAAAACACACACAACTTTTTTGGGGCTAATTTGACTTAGTGCTTAACATAAATGATCAAAAATGGACCATCTGTCAAGATAAGAATATAACCAGTGCTTCATTGGTAAGCATACAGACTCTTCTTTTAAATGTAAATATTGGCTTCGTCTTTTATGTAATTATTGAAGACAACAGCCAGAGATTTTATTTCATATGTTTTATAAATATGTAGGTTGTAGCTGCTCCATTATTTTTAATAGCTTTTCATTTTTGAGAAAGAAAATATTCTTACAATAAGAGTATTTTCTGTCATCCATATATGAGGGCAAGAAAGAGGCAATTATGATGTGTCTATTCTCTTTTGAATTTACCATTCTATGGCCACCAACAGGTAGTGCCTGAGTAGGGGTGATGATCTAAACAGAAGAAAATGGCCAGTTTGAGCCATTGAACCAGAATCACGCTGCGGGAACTGTGGCTTCTTCCAAGTCATCCAAAGATAACTGCCAGCCAAGGGGGTAGAGAGAGGTGGCCTTCAGCCATTTGGCGTTCAGAAGCATGTAAGCCAGATTTGCTCCAAGAGCCTAATCACCATCAATCAGAAAGATAACAACTCGCCCTCGCATTGAATTGGAGCTGAAAGATTCGCTTTCCCACCAGGGTGGCTGATTACGTAGATAATTTAGCCCATGTGGAAAAACATTTACCAATGACAACATTTTCTTAAATATACAGACTACAATTGTTTTACGATGTGATCATTCACGGAGGTTACTGTTATAAGTGACCCTGATTTCACTGTACAAATTAATATTTTCAGGAAATTAAACTGGTAGAGATTTTTTCTCAATTTTGAAACATGACACTTGGGAAAAAATAAGAAAACAAAAACAAAATAACAACAAAAGCAAAATTTGTGAATTGCTAGTTTCCAATAGAATGAATTAACGCTATAATTTGAGCAGAGTGATTTTGTTTTCTTGCAAATAGAAAACTAAAGCAGGTATTGATTTATTTGTGTCTTTGGTCAGTTTTTATGGTCTCTGTGTCTTTGATACTGCATTGTCCTGGCTCTTATTTGTGGAAGCATGTAGTAATCAAACAGTTTTAAATTAAATTTTCTTTTTCAGTAGTGATTTTCCTATTTAGAACTTCCTAGCTCTTTTGTACTTGTCTTAACAGTGCTGGTATTCCAAGTTATAACTTTTTATTTGGGTGGGTTAGCCAATGTATTTTTTAAAAGTCTAATTAATATTATTTTCTAATGTCTTACTTCCAGACACAATTTGAGAAAAAGGGATTAAGGGAACTCCTTTAGTCACCTAATGTCATTAGGAAATAGTTTTTGTTTGTTTTTTTTTCCATTGCACCAACTTTACAGACAGCATAATGATACTTTATAAATGTCTCAAGCCAAATGTCTTTTTTAAAAAAGATCAGATCTCTGCTTGAGTTAGCATGAAAAAATTTTCGTAAGTAATTATGGAGTAAAACAAAATGTGGAATAAACAAGTAAATATATGATGAACTTATATATGTTAAATGAGAATGTATTATTTTAAAGAAAGCAATTGCTCACACTAGTTCTTGGTTTCAATGTTGCAAAAATCTAAAGAAAAAAATTTAGCATATCCTTTCCTTCTTTAGCGTATCCTTTGCTTCCATAAGAAAAAAAAAAATCAAAGAGGTGACAATGAACTTTCTCCAATTTTTGCAAGTACCTCACCTTTCCATTAAAAGTGGAGCAATTTGGCTGGGAATGGTGGCTCATGCCTGTAATACCAGCCCTTTTGGAGGCCAAGATGGGTGGATACCTTAAGCCCAGGAGTTTGAGACCAGCTTGGGCAACACGATGAAACCCTGTCTCTACAAAAAATACAAAAAATTAGCTGGGCGTGGTGATGTGCACCTGTATTCCCAGATACCCTGGAGGCTGAGGTGAGAAGATCGCTGGAGCCTTGGGAGGCAGAGGTTGCAGCGAGCCAAGATGTTGCCACTGCACCCCAGCCTGGGCCATAGAGCAAGACCCTGTCTCAAAAAATTAATAAATAAATAAAAAAGATGAAGCAGTTCTTCCAAACACACAGTAATTTCTGTTTATAAATTGATTTTGATAATACCATTATCAAAAAGGACCATCAGATATAGCCTGGCTTGGCAAATTTTTCTGTATAGGACTAAATAGTAGATACTTTAGGCTTTGTGGGCTATCCAGTCTTTTGTGACTACTCAACTCTGCTGTTGTGGCATCAAAGCATTCAGACAATAGTAATCACATAAGTGTGGCTGTGTTCCAATAAAACTTCGTTGGTGGGCAAAAAAATTCAAAATTCATGTAATTATCATGTATCATTCTTTTGAATTTTTTTCCCCAAACATATAAAAATGTAAAAATCATTTTTAGAATATGGGCTCTATAAAAACAGATAAGGTAAGTAGACAGGAAGATGGCTTTAGCCAACAGATAGTGTGCCAATTCCTGAGATGAATAATTAAGTCTTGGCTAACATATATACTCCATTCCTACTCAGGTAGGTGTTTTATAAAGGCTGTTTAATGGTAATCAAATTTGCAAAACCGTTATTTCCAAAGATACTCAAGCCCACTGTAATTTTCACTGAATGCCAGTGCTGTCAGCTAAAACAAGTGCTGTAAGAACCATGTTGGACAGTATCTAACCTCATGAAACAGGAGCTTAAAGATAAGTTCTCATGATGAATTGTATTGAATTACTTGGTGCTCAGTGTCTCTTTGTTTACTTCCTGCCTCGCTGATATTAAGCTATGCATTCATCCACCTAGTCATTTTGTCATTTCTTTGTTCATTCTATCGCTCCACATTCAATGCTAAGCACTTTCCTATGCACTCGGGAAACAGGGGAGTTCGACGTGATTCCTGAACTGCAAGAATTGATAATAGCCACGAGTGAGACAAACAAACTGGTGGCTGGATTCCAGTGTGATAAGTGTGAGATAGGAAAAGATAATTGCCACAAAAGAGAACGGATGCTGTGCACAACACAGAAAGTAAAATGAAGACTTCAGAGAAACAAATCCGTTTAGGACATTAAAAGAAGAGAATTCTTCCTGCCAACAGCCTCAGATAATACATATCCTATTTATTTATGCAACATTGTAGCAATTTTCTGCATCTTTCACAGACAGAATTTTAGGGATGAAAGACATCCTAATAATAACTTCTTTGAATTCTCAAATTTTAACTGATGAGGAAAAAGTGGCCCTGAGAGAAGTGAGAAGTTCAAGGTCATCCAGCTCTTGAGAGGTGGCCTTATTCAACTCCAAAGCTCTTCAGTGCCAACTCAGCATTGTTTTCACTAAGCCTTTCATACCTCTTCCATAGCTTTTCAATGATTATGCATTGTTGATTTTGTTGATTCTCTCTTTTCTATGCAGATTCTCTAAGTCAACTTTCAGAGCTCTTACCTTTTCTTCAGTGATTCCTTAGTGACTATAGTTGATAAAAATTGAGAAAATGCAGTTGGAACTAATGCACAAAGGATGTTCCCTTTAAAAAATTTTCTGCTGATCTGAAGTAAAAACACAACTACCTCAGCTCTCAGACTCAGCATATTGTCTTCTTCATTCCAGGTTACTCCATAAATTGAAATTATCGTCATTTGTGGCTCTCACAAGATTAGAGGTGACTGAGTACTTCATCAACTAAGATCAGAATTTCCCATGGCACAAAACAAAACACTTGTATAATGATCTAGGAGAGTGGATTAAACATACTGAATGAGAGAGCTACACACTGAAAATGTTCAGGGGATTATCAGTGTAGCTTTTCAAATCCATTCAATGAAAGTGAAATTGATGTGGCTTTGCTTAAGTGTCAGTACCATTTTGGGGTCTGAACTTTTATATTTCTGACTTCCTGCTATTTTAACTGTAAAGAAAAGAATCCACACTCTTTACTTAGCTACGACTCCACCCAGTGCTCTTTTTGGTACATTCAGGGTTGGGAAGTGGAGGGAAGCATTCAACTTCCTAAGGCAGAATCTCTGTAGACCTGCAGGGTCTTAGAGTTATTGTGCTTTTCTCTAGGACATCATAATTAGAAAAGGGGGGGTCGATGGCTGAGATACCTGGAAGAATTTCCAAAGGTTGAACATGGCAACTACAACTACAACATAGCAAGAGCTTCGTAGGAAACCTTACTCATCATTTTTGTTATCCACTTAGTGGGTCACTGTGTTATAGGGCTTCAGGTACATAGTTTCATTTAATCTATGTTGAATCCTATGAAACAGCCCCTATTCTCCCCATGCATCTCAGTCACATCTGCAGTGGAGGGAAGTACACAGGATTTGGAAATGAAGGTTATAATAATAATATCAATAATATTAATACAATAATAACAATAGGCATGTACCATTTGTGTTTTAGGGATTCTTATAAATATTAATACTTAATATGTTAATTTATTTAATCTTTCCAGCATCCATAAGAGTTATGATCCTCACTTTAAAATTATAAGCTATAGTTAAATATGCCTAAAGTTAATAAGTAAAAGAGCAAGAGTTTGGAACCAGGCGATCCGACTTTAGAGGTCACATAGAAATACCACCATACTACAGAGAAGCTCCCACAAAAGGCAGCCGATGGAGGGGTGTTTATATTTGCTGTTAACCTATATTCCATAGGCAAAAAAAAAAAAAAAAAAAAAAAGGTTTCATCTGCAGGCTCCTACCTAAGTTTAATAGGTGTATAATTTGCCAATAGAATTTAAGAAATATTGAGCAAACTCTGTAGTTGGTGATTTAAATGCTCATTTAAAAAATTTCAATACATGATAGTTGTTCTTTCTCCATGTATTTTTTAATGAAATCTATCCCTTATCCACCTCCATGGATTGGAATTGTTTTGTTCTATCTCTTATTATCCTTGAATATACCTCAGCATAGACAGTGTGACATAATGTCTGTATGTGTTTGTGATAACTTAATCTACCTTCTATGGGAGATCAGTTGGCCTAATTGGGAGAACAGTCTCCAAGGACAGCTAGCATTTTAAAACTTCTAATCTGAAGCCCACTTTCTAAAAGTATGCTCTTCAGCTATCTTTATCTTTAAGATTTTTATGTCTGATTAACATCAGAGGTTTTATGGATTAGCATAACAGATATATTAGAAATTATTTTTTTGTTACTCACATGAGGATATGAGTAATGGAAGTATTGTAGGAATAGAGTGTAAGAATCTAGAGACTAGGTGGCCTGTATCTTTTAGAAGGAGGCCAAAAGCCAGACTTTGAAATAATCTAGTATACACCCATTGATTCTGAAGATACTTGCTGCCACACTAAATTCTGCTGCTAGAATATTGGTTGCATTTCCTTCAAGCAAATTTGTCACACTGCTGGCGTTAAAACACTAAGAATGTACCGAACAAGCTGCATGCTTGATTGCCAATAAGTGTTTGTATGTGTGACCAAATTTCATCTACCAGCCTTGTTTTTACTATAATGTGGTTGTAGGAAGAGACTTATAACCTTTACCTGACTCTACTATTGAAACTTTTATTTACCACTTGGAACCTACTAGTTGTGAATGATCCATTGCCTTAGATCAGATTGTGGCAGGAGTCTGTGTGTGCACACACATGCACATACACACACACAGGAGAAAAGTGAAATAAAAGGGAGGAAGTAGGTGAGAGAATCAGGCTGCCAACTGTTTATATATGGACTTACTTGTCCTTGTCCCCTTTGGTTGGAAAGTTTTTCATCCACAAATTCTCCTGAATTTCTTACAGTGATCAGGCCATTTGTCTTTTGCTACAGAGATGATAGCACATTCTTTATGATATACACTTAACTACAGTTGTTCATACCCCTGTCACCTTCAGGATTGATGACTCAAAAGCACTCTCCTTCAGACTACCATGCCAACTTACATGCCTTTATTTGTTCTTTGAAAGCCTGTGTTGTGTATATTTCATGGAAAAATCTGGTTTAAATGTTCTTCCTTTTACTTTTTACACATGACAAATGTTCAAGCCACTTTTCTCCCTCAAAATTTTCATTAATATTGCTTTCTTCCTTTCTTCTAATGTTGCCATGCTTCTTCCTCATGTCTTTGAAATCAGAAAACCATTTAGTAAACAGTGTCATAAATACTTCTTAAAACCCTTAGGGCTCATATCACGGAATACTATTTCCAAGCCTGCAGCATCATAGTTTTCTTAAGTTACAGTTTTTCCTGTAAAACTTATATTATTTACGTTTGTCTGTATGAATTAAGTATTCTCTCCCCAGAATGGCATTTCTTGAATTTTTCTCCCTACCTTTTGTTTTCATTTTCTTCTTTAAATGTAGCTATAATCTGTTTCAACAAGGGGTGAAGATACATTGTAGAACCAACAGAAACCTTCATTTGACCCAGCAGAGGAAATAAATTTAGTATTAACATGAGCGGTTGCATTAGTTTAGGTAGGCTGTGCTATGCTGCAATGAAAAACAATCCATGGTAACAAATTTACTAAACAAATTTATACAACAAATTCTTTCTCACTCTTACAAAGTCCACCCAAGGTTGAGGGACTCTCCAGGTTGACTCTCCTCTATGTAGTGACTCACGGATCCAGGCTGCTTTTATCTTGGGCTTATGCCACTTATAACACTTGGCTTTTATGGTAACCGAAGCAATGGAAAAAAACAGTTGGAAAGTTATCTACCAGATCTTAAATGCTTTACCCAAGAGTAATACAAATTACTTCTTTTTACAGCACATTGACCAGACCAAGTCACCAATGACTGCCTAACTGCAAGGGGACTATAAATACCAGGTGAGCAGTAATCATCTCTGCCTAGTGCTTTCCTAGAGCAAGCACTGTGTAACTGCTGAGGCCCTCTGGCACCAACTCCACTCAGTCTGGTCGGGGGAGCAATGGAATGCAACTAAATAGTTACAATTAGCATGCCTCTGTCATTCAGAGTTATCCTTTTAATTAACTGGCATTTCCACTTAGAGATACGACTGGCATCTCATTCAACTGAACCCAATTTCCCTCTCCCCCACTCTTTGCAAAGTGCTATTCGTTTATAAAGTAGTCAGCCTGTTCCTCTCCTTTAGGCAAGAATAAATAAAATGATATGGGGATGGGGTGGTGAAGTTTTGATGAGTTCCTTCCTTAGCAATAAACCATGAGGGAAGAATTCCAACAGTACCTCCATATTTATAAGATTGTATCCTGCTATGGATTAGGATCTTGAGAGCTTTAAAATAGTTTCTCAACTTTTAAACCTTGCTAAGCTTGTTATACTCTATCTATATCTATGTAGAGATTAGCAGCAAAGCCTTTAAAAATGTAGCATCTGTGCATTTTTCTTTCAGGACTACAGTAAGGAGAAGGGAAATCTGGGGTGCTGAAGAATGGTCATGAAGAGAGGCTATGGTGTCAGTAAGCTCTGAGATGAAATTTCTCTCACTGTTGCCTATGAACTGTTTGATCTTGAATA
This sequence comes from Homo sapiens, assembly GCF_000001405.40. Lineage (NCBI taxonomy): Eukaryota > Metazoa > Chordata > Mammalia > Primates > Hominidae > Homo > Homo sapiens. Next base: position 9,109,426 of record NC_000009.12, read on the forward strand.
AGTTCATTGGCATCTGTATTGCTCTAAAATGAAGATGCAAAGACCTACCTCAGCAGTAGTTGTGAGGATGAAATAAGAAAATGTACCCAAAGCATTTAGTGGCAAGCATCAACGAATAGTGGCCATCAATATAATTGTTAATACTAATAATCATAACAGTTATACTGCAGAGAGTAGGAGAAGAGAGCCACAAAGAGCTCAGTCTGGGTGGAGGTCTAGGAGATGGCCCTGATTTTAGTAGTGGAAATATTTGCAAGAAGGTTTGAGGCCTCCTCTTATATTCTTCTTGGATGATATCTTTCTAATATTTTTCCATCTTTCTGCGAATGAAATAGAGTTGTTTAATATCAACATTTATTTTCTTTTTGATTCTGCCTAGATATGGTGGCCTTCTTGGTCTGAGTTGGAGAGTCTGGGGATGTGCCAGGAATACTGGGTCAATAGAAGGAAAGCTTAGATTTTGAAAATCGATATGTAGACTGAAGATGAGGGAGACATTTCTATAAGGGTCACAGGGACAGAGGAAAAGCAATATGAGGTAGATCTGGGGGTACTCAACGAAATGAGCTTGGCACCAAACCAGGAGCTCCAAAGAGACACTACAGAAGTCAAGGCTTAGATGGGGACAGGAATGACTTCATGGCTCCTTTCACAGAAAATGTTATGGCATGGGGAGAAGAAAAGGAATCGTATTGTAGTCTCAAAGGACTTCATTATTTGTTTAAAGGATAGTAGTATGTATACTGCTACTATGGCATTCTCAAGATTTTGCTTGGTTCTCTCTCCATTTCACTTACTTTTAATACTGGTGACACCCAAATAAAAACCCCAGCACACGTCTTTAGGTCAGTTTTTCTCAAAGAATAGTCCCCAGACCAGCAACTTCAACATCATCTGGGAGCATTATAGATATGCAAATTCTTGAGCCCCACCTCAGAATCAGAAACTTTGGGTGTGAGGCCCAGGAATCTGTGTTTTCAACAAGTCCTCTTGGTGACTCTGTTGCACACAAAGTCTGAGAGCCAAATTGTTACAGAGTATATCACATATTTCTCATATTCAGTATGCTCCAAATGTGACTCACCTCTTCTTCTCCACTCTTGCTAACCATACCCAGTCCCACTGTTTTTACAAAAATATTTCCTCCTTAAGACCAGAGGCTCAAGTCAGAAACTTGAATTTCTACTCTACTTCTTACCCACCCATCAAATAAAATCTCCAAATTATCAAATCACCAAATAGCTCTCAAATATATCCTCTTATCTCCCTGCCCACAGACCACCATCAACTCAGCCTGTACTTTGGAAAGTCTTCTCTGAACCACTATTTTGTGCCAGGCATTTTGTTAAGCCAGAGTCAGCAACTATAGATGGCAAGACAAATCCAGCTTATGCCTGTTTTTGTAAATAAGATTTTACTAGAATGTAGCCACAATCATTCATTTTCATATCACCTGTGGCTTTTGTGTGTGTTTGTTTCACTGCAACAGAGTAGTTGTGACAGAGACTGTATGGCCCACAATATCTAAATTAATCTTTACTATCTGGTCCTGTACAGAAAAGCTTTACCGATCTCTGTGATTGGCACTGGGTACTGGAGAGAAAGATGCCATCTACATCCTCATGGAGCTGACAGTCCAACAGGGAAGATCAGAAGTTAAAGTGAGCTATCTAGTTATCTAGGTCAGGAACATCTGACCTACACTATGGGGAACCAGAAAGGATTTCCAGGGAAAGTGAGGTGAAGCTGAGTTTCAAAGGATAAATAGAAATTCATTAGATAAAGAAAAAAAAAAAAAAGAAAAGTGTTCAAACCAGTGGAAATACCTTTTTTTTTTTTTTTTGATAGCTTCTCTCAGCTCTTAGTCTAATCCTCAGTACATTCTGATTTTTTAACCTAGCTGACTGTTCAATGATCACCTTATAAAATCCAGTGAGTCTAAGTCTTTAGAACCGGAATCTTCTGATCGCCGCCTTCCTAGATGGTTTTTCTGTGCCTGCTGGGTGAGTCCTCACTTTGGATGTGGTCAGTCGTGATTCAGGTAGCACTGGAACACCACTTTCGAGCACCCCAAACAACCCACATTAAGACTCTAAACAAATTGCTTCCTGCAAGGCCAATACACACTTTGGGAATTGCCAAAAGTAGTAACTATCAGATTGCATTTTACATCTGGTAAAAGTGACCTGGATAGAAGAGTACTGGTGTAACAGTTTTGCCCAAGGGTCTGTGGCCTTTTGCTCAAATGTTTTCAGAGGCAAATTATACACAAGATCTGAAATTATTTTGGCCACATATTTATTTTTTTCCTAGTGAAAATTCTTTTCCTTTTTGTGGAGACGCTTGAGGAAAACATTTTTTAAAAAAACTCAAGAAAATATATCTGAAATAATTATAGAAGAATTTACTTCCTTTACTTTTTTCTCTATTTCCACTGCATGATACAAAACAAAACAAGAAAACCTTTCCTCTGCTCATTAAGGACGACTGCTTCATAGGCACTTTCTTTCTTTCTCCTAGGAGAAAAGAAGGTGCAAAAATGGGGGTCCAGGCCATTGCCATGGGGAGTCCAGGCTCCAACAATTTGTGGCTAGAGCCATTTTTCTTCTCATTTTGCTGTAACCTCCTCTGCTTTTACTGCTGCCCCAACATCTCAGGTAAAACACATATTCATTCTCTTTCCTGTCTACAAAGCCATGCTAGAATAATTCCACCTGTTTTGTAGCTGGCACTGATCCTTTTTGGCATGAAAAATGGAAACACTGGGACCGTGAAAGCACTGTCTACATTTCCAGCATCTCACTGGGTGCCCTCCTCTAGCTAATAACTTGCTCCCATCCAAATGGTACATTTTCACTTCAGGCAGGGATGTCTCTGGATGACTGTTTTAGAGGTAGAAGTAGTTAGGGGATCTGAGACACTTCTTAATTTTCCCCTCCTCTCCAGCCTCTAACATTCCTCATGAATCAGATCACTGACTGCTCGCTGCTTTTTTTCCTGCACAGCCTGCTTTGGTTATCACCAGCATTACTTTCAATCATGTTGCAGATCTAGCTGATTAAAAACACTGGCCTTGAGAAAATTCTCTTTCTTAGAAGTCAATGCTTGAAGGAGATTAGGACTATTTATATTGTAAGGCACTCCCTGAAAGCCTCTGGTGGCTTTACTCTCTTGACTGATGCAAACCTCGACTAATTCTCTTTATCCAGATAATCCACTCACTTCCAATATTCATCAAATGGCAAAATGAAAAGCTTTTAAGAAAGAGAATAAATGTGCAGGCTTAAAATCACATAGAATTTTAGTCTTAACAAAATTGTGAGAGAAATTATGGGAAATCAGGGTTCTGAATCCTATTTCCAATGAGATAACATAAAAGCAGATAAAATTCATGGGACCATAGCAAATATGTTTCGTATCTCTTGAATTACTTTAGCAGGTGTTTCGATTACAAACCTTTGATGAGGAAAAAAATGTGTTTTTCTTTCTCTGATAAGATCACAATAGGACAAACTTTTAGAAATCTGAGCTCCTATTTTTTTCTTTTTTTTTTGTTTGAGACAGAGTCTCTTTCTGTCACCTAGGCTTCAGTGCAGGGGCTCAATTATAGCTCACTGCAGCCTCAAACACCTGGACCCAAGTGATCCTCCTCCCTCAGCCTCCCAAGTGGCTAGAACTATGGATGTGTACCACCATGCCCGGCTAATTAAAAAATATATATATATTATTTTTTAGAGATGGGGTCTCACTATGTTGCCCAGACTGGTCTCAAATCCTGGGCTGAAGTTATCCTTCTGCTTCAGCCCCCCGAGGTGCTACAATTACAAGTGTGAGCCACCATGCCCAGCCATACTTCATTTTTATACATGAAATTATCTATTGCATCCATCTTTCCATCTGATGCTTATATTAAGTATATTCGATATTTACTATGCAGTGACCACACACAAGGTACTAACAAATAAAGGGGGAGAGTGTTGTCCTAAAGGAGTTTCCAGTATTATAGTAAAGACTGATGGAGTCATTCTGAGTTAGGCCAGAAAACTAGGGGAAGCTAAAATAATCAAAGTCAGTCTTTTCTCTGATTCAATCATTTCTATGGCATTAAGAGAAACAAAACATGGTGAGAAAAGGGATGTTTTTTGAAGTGGTGACATCTAGAACTCCAGTCCCAGATTTGTGTAATTAGTAGTTAGTTAAACAGGCTTCTGTGAACTAAAAGCGGTGTCAATCATACCTCTGCATCTGTTACTCTGGGTTAGGGGTAACATGTAGGATGATGCTACAAGATTCTTACTAGTGCTGCCAGGGTCTCAGCAAGGCATATCAAAGGATTTTCCAAGAATATTCACAAAGTAGTGTAGCCATTTTATTACACTTTGAAGAATTCTGACCAAAAATGTAAAATGAAAGAAAATAAAAACTCAGTTCTCTTTATAGATAGCAATATGCTATAGTAAGGTATCAACTGGCTTAGTATTCACCAAAAAATGCTCTGATATTTGGAGCAAAAGAGTATGAGAAGAATGGTCTGTTGATGGAAGGAGCTAGCAGGTTTCTTTTCCAGGTTTACTCTATATTTGACAAGTGGGCTGTTTCTGGCAAGTTGAATAAAGTGGTGAGAATCACTATAAGAGAACAAACAGAAGAGCTATAAACCATATCCTTTTGACCTGAATTTTCAAACAGAAAAACTATCATTTAAAGTTTAGTCAATGCAAACAAAACAAGAAGACTGCAGGCCAATCATGTTGCCTTTAAGGTCTGATTCCAATTACTCAGGTTTCTACAGGGTAGTTCGGGTGCAAACAGGGATGGGTATTGATGGCCATACAGTTGAAACGAGGGCACTTATGTCTGTGTATGTATCCTGTTATATCTCCATAATGAAACAATGAATGTGCTGAATTGTAAAATGATAAGAATCGTTTTTAGAGGCCTTAGCCTAGGAAAGGCCCCTTACACTCGGAAAATCCTATTCAGGGCTTGTACAACATGTAAAACCTCAGTGGGATCATTTGGTCCTGTAGGTGGGCACAATCTGAAGGTATCTGAATAAGGGAGGGAGGTAAGCTGATTTCATCTTGGCTAACACTTTTTAACCACATCAACATGAATATTGACATTCTCCTGAGACCCAGTGTATATGTCATAGCAATCTCTTATTCATTCCTGGGGACTTTATGGTCCTGAGGATAAAAGATGCTTGGACTGCCTCCCTTCCCCCGACAAAGATTTCAAGATACTCCCTGAACAAAAATTTTACAAGCTCCAAAAAATAAGGAAAAAAATCAATGTAACCCTTTTGCCTCCTCTTTCTATAGTTAAGCAGATGGCCGGCATTAGGGGGAGATGGCTTTGAAACGGGTCCCAGTTCGTATGCATCTATGGGCCTTGGGCATTATCTAGAAGATACGTTATTCTAGGTGGAAGCTCCCATGCAGATTATAGGACATTTAGGGAAACGTTCTCTTGAATTTGAATTTAAACTGTGCTGAGCTCAAGAATCAGTGTTGTTCTTAGGAGACTCTGCATATACAATGGTTATCTACATTTCATGGTTGTGCGCAGATTTTAGAGAGGACCGTGTATAAGGTATCCAAACAAAGCTTGGGTGGCTGTCCTGAACTGGAGCTCAGAAAGATCACTTTACTTACACTCTAGTCTACGGTGTTGTTGGAGGTAGAATAATTTTTTACTTTGGTAAAGGTATTTCTGGTGGTTATTCTATTTCGCAGATTCTCTGAAGGGAAGAGGTTTGAAGAAGGAAGCCTACAGGGCAGGGAAGCAAGTTCAGAGATTGGGGTATGTTCCTAATTGTAGAGGGTTTCATTTGGGATGCTTTTTACTTACGTTTTGAAAATAATCTTACATAGAGGATAATTATTTCCATGACATGAACAGACATTTCTCAAAAGAAGATAAACAAATGGCCGACAAACATAGGAAAAAATGTTCACCATCACTAATCATCAGGAAAATACAAAATAAAACCGCAAGGAGAGACCACCTTACCCCAGCCAGAATGGCTTTTACTAAAAAGTAAAAAACAATAGACGCTTGCATGAATGAAGTGAAAAGGCAATGCTTATACACTGTTGGTGGGAATGTAAATTACTACAGCCTCTATGGAAAACAATATGTAGATTTCTCAAAGAACTGAAAGAAGATCTATCATTCAATCTAGCAATCCCACTGGTATGTATCTACCCAAAAGAAAATAACTCATTTTATAAAAAAGACACCTGCATGCCTATGTTTATCACAACACAATTCAGTTTTAAAGACACAGAATCCAATCTAATGCTCATCAACTGATGAGTGGATAAAGAAAATGTGGTTGCATGTGTATGTTCATCAAAGCACTACTCAGAATAGCAAAGTCATGGAATCAACTTAGGTGTCCATCAATAGTGGATTTGATATAGAAAATGTATATACCCATCATGGAATACTACACAGCCATAAAAAGAATGAAATTATATCCTTTGCAGCAACATGTGTATAGCTGGAGGCCCTTATCCTAAGATAATTAGCACAGGAACAGAAAATCAAATACTGCATGTTGTCACTTATAAGTGAGCTAAACATTGGATACACATGGACATGAAGATGGGAACAACAGACACTGAGAGGGTGACTGGAAGGAGGGGAAGGGTTGAAAAATGACCTATTGGGTACTATGCTCACTACCTGGGTAACGGGATCATTCATATCTGAAACCTCAACATCACACAATATACTCACGTAACAAACTGCTCATGTACTCCCTGAATCTAAAATAAAAGTTGAAATTATTTAAAAAATAAGAAAATGTGGTGTGTATATAAATATATACTTACTATGGAATACTATTCAGCCATAAATACAGACAAAATAATGTCTTTTGCAGCAACTTGGATGGTGCTGGAGGCCATTATCCTAAGCAAAGTAATTCAGGAATGGAAAACCAAATACCACATGTTCTCACTCATAAGTGAGAGCTCAGCTGAGTATGCACATGCATACAGGGTGGTATAATGGACATGAGAGAGTCAGAAGTGGGGAGGGTAGGAGGGGCTGAGGGATGAAAAGTTACCTACTGATTATGATGTACACTATTTGGGTGATGGGTACACTAAAAGCCCAGACTTCACCACTATACAATTCATCCATGTAACCCAAAACCATTTGTATCCCTAAAGCTGTTGAATTTTTCTTAAATGCATTTTAGCAAAGTCTCATGCACCCAAAAACCTTTTATTTACTTATTGTTTTTCTTGGGGGGGAAGGGAAAGAGATGGTTATTTTCAAGCAATCTTTCAGATCTTACCTTAAATCTTCCTTGCACAGAAAATGCTCCTCTACATGCAGAGGATCAAGTTCTTCAATTATTATCTCCTCCAGATACCTTGTGCTTTTCATTCCTAGTGCTTGCCACAGTTTGTAATTAAATGTATGTAATTATTCAATTAATCCAGAGCATTGTTTTCTCACTATTGGCTTTCCAATGCTTGTTACCATGCCTGACCCATAGTATGGATACATATTTGTCCAATAAATGATAAATGCTCAGGGTGTGTGTGTGTCACAGTTGGGGAGAAGAGCGTGAGATGGGAGAAACAGGACAGATACAGGCTTTACTCCTTCCCAAATATATTAAAGGAAGGTGACTCCTGAAAGCAGAAGGATGCTATCTGGACACTGAATAGAAACTCTGAAGTAATTTTTGAGCTTGTTGAATTTTTAGCATGTTTTAACTGGAATCTGATCTAAAATTAGTATCTTTTTCCAGCAGAGAGCTCAGGAAATTAAGTTTTTTTTTTTTTTTGTACTTTCAGGGTATGATTAACTTATACCCAAGTAATTAATTCGTGAGTACAAAAGCACTGTTAGATTTGTAAAACATAGCTCCATTGTGCCTTAATACTTTCATTGACATCTTGTTTTACTTACTAACCTACCATTTTAATAACTTAAAACACTTGTTGTACTTAAGCATAGGAAAGTGATTCAAATGAGATAATGCACATGAAATGGTGATACCCCACAAGACACTATATATGCAGCTATTTTAAAATCATTTTATAATTGAAAATTTCACTAAATACTTTGGACACTCCAAATGTAAAGTTGGTAGGCCAACTGAGGAACAAGATCTTTTATTTTTCTCTTTATCACTTTATCTTTGTACATGCCAAGAGCCATGCAGCAACCTCATTACTGAATGAAAGTTTACTAAATAAAGAAAAGAATAAATAAAAGAATGAATCCCTAGTCTTTCCTAGAATAAACTGAACTTAGGAAGCTTTATTTTAATGTTAATATGCCAAGAAAAAAAATATTTCAGAAGATAAAACCAACTGTAAAATCATGGGTGGTATTTTTGGAAACAATGAACCTGTCATTTGTCCCATTGCTTGAAAAACCAAACTGATGCATTACCTTGAATGTATGGTAGAGGCAAAGAAAATTTAAAAAAAAAAATGAAGGGATGGATCCAGGTTTTGTGGCATCTGAAGTTTACACGATGTTGATGCTGTTTTTTTGGAAAAATAAATTTTAAAATTACAACTATAAATTTAACTACACGTTCTTAGACAGGGACATGCAAGTGAGGGACCTGAAGCACAACTGAAGCATAAACTCCCTGGCTTCAGGCCAAATCAGCTTCTGGCAGGTTGGACAGAGAAACACCCACACTTGGGTTTTTGATCATTGCATTACCTAAACAATTGCTACAACTTTTGACTGTGGCTCTGCAGGATTTGAAAGATGCATAACACTATAAAAGTATTTAAATATGCTTTTAGGTATGGCAAGCTATCAAAATAATATGCAAGTAAAAATACTGTCTCAATTATTAGCAGGATCTACCTGAGAATACATGGTAAGCTTGATCCCAAACCTGTATAGATTCACAAGCGGAGTGAACAGATATGATCCATTTAGCCCCACTTAACTGACCATTTTCTGCAGAAGTTATAGTGGGAATAGAAAAATCCTGCCCAATTTCACACTACATGCACAGTGATTTAGTACCCAGCAACTTTTTAGTCACACACTGGCTTCCTATCTACTTTTTAGGAAGGTCTGTTTTTATTCTTTATGTCAAGAATCTAAATAGCTATTCTAGTAGCCTGCATAATGGAAACAGACTGGAATCTTCCAGCATTACTCATACATCTCCTCCCTTAAAAAATGAAAATAAAGTTCTTATATGTATAAAGATGCAGCTTTCCTCTATTGAGACGACAGGGTTTTGCTGGTGGCCTGAAAGTTACTTGCAAGCATAGACAGCTGATAATTGAACAAATAAGGTGACTAAAAAGCAGTGAGCTCAATATACCCTGCCCTTTTTATTTTTATAATTTCAATTCCAAATGATCAGTGAAGGATGAAGTACTTATTCTACCTTAAAGTAAATAATAAGAGCATTTTATTTTTTAACAGAATAGAAACCCAACACTCCCATTATTTCTAACAAAAGTGATGCACATGAAATCACACCACATTTTACTCCACAATTACAAAGGGAAGTTAGAGGGCCTAAAGTTGTAGTAGCGGACATGGACATTATTCACCTAAAAATATACTAAGGATAATATATTTCCATGTCATATGGAAAGACCAAGACAGCCAAATTAATGGGGACAAATGTAATCTTTTCTTCAGCAACATGAAAAATATGCTAACAAACTTGTATGTTCTTTAGTATGTCCTGCTGGGTTCTCTGCAGAAGTGAAGTGAATTGGTTTAACCTTGTTGAGTTTATCTTATTATGACTCCTTATCATTTTATAGGTTTACCATGTTAGTCACCAGTCTAAGTTATTGCAGAAACCAGTTAGTTGTTTTCCTAAAACCAGCTGGCCTAGTTTCTATCTATTGCTTTTTAACAATAACAAAAAAATGAGCCTTCCTTCCAATGTCTCAGAAATCTGATTTAGCAAAAATGGTGAGGGTGAGGAGATAACTCTTTGGGTTGTGATATATTTACATGAAACTCTATTTTCTGGACAAAATTAAAGAGATTCATATTGAAATCCAGGCACAGAATCAGAATCTCAGAAACATTCCTGCAAAAATATTTACTTTGCAAGATTAGATGACTACCAATTCAGATTCTGTGATTTTTTTTTTTTTTAAGAAGTCTCAGTCTGTAGCCCAAGCTGGAGTGCAGTGGCACAATCTCGGCTCACTGCAACCTCCCAGGTTCAAGCGATTCTCCTGCCTCAGCCTCCTGAGTAGCTGGGACTACAGGCGCGTGCCACCACACCTGGCTGATTTTTTGTATTTTAGTAGAGACGGGGTTTCACCATGTTGCCCAGGGTGGTCTCGAACTTCTGAGCTCAGATGATCCACTGGCCTCAGCCTCCCAAAGTGCTAGGATTACAGGAGTAAGCCACCATGCCTTGCCAGATTCTGTGATTTTTTTTTTTTTTAATCTCACAGAGAAAGATGACTACACATGAAAGTGTATTGTACTTGGGAGATGGACACCCTAACTACTCTGACTAGATCGCTATGCATTATATACATTAAAAAAATTCTCATGCACTCCATACATTTGCACAAATAAAAAGAAATTTGTGTTTGGGACATAATGGTTGAATGCATACCATTTTCTAAACTGTGTTCTGTAAAACATTTTTCCTTGAAAGATGCCAACAGGTAGACATCAAGTAAAGAGCCCATGGTCTAAATAGCAAATGATGTGCCTGATTATATTTCATCTACTGGAAATTCACAGTGCACATTGGCATCTTGAAGGCTTTTGGAAGTCATAGAGAAGTACTAGACTGAAGAAATCTGTTCACCAAATTTATTTGAAGAAAGATGTCATTTAAGTGCTTATTAATAACATCTTGCAGAACAGTGTATGGGGGAGCATCAGCTTGGGAAATGCTGAATCAGTAATTACATGGAGACCGTGATGATATATGCCATCAGGCACTTGTGGTGCTTTAGAAAGCTCTAAAAAGAACCTCCAAGGAACTCTGCAGCACTCAGGCAATCTGCCTCATTACCATCAATTATCATTGACTCCTGTATACATACGTGACATATGGAGCTATGGAAAAGTCTGTCAAATATGAAAGCTGTGCATGCCTCCATTGCATATAAAAGCTACCTCTTTAGATTTAGTCAAACATTTGCAGAGTTCCTGAGTTAGGTGGTATTCTATAAGCTACCTGCGTAAGTGGTTCTCAATCATGAAGCAGATCATCTGGAGAGGAGGGTAAAAATTCATCTTCTCAGGTCCCAGCACCGGTGAGTCTGACTGAGTAGATTTGAAGTAGCACCTGTATATTCATAACTTTAAATTTCCTTCAGGTATTCTTTTATATAGCCAAATTTGGGAACTACTGGTCTAGGCCAGATTTTCCAAGGATCATGTGTACAACATTTCCATAGATTGTGACAGCTAAGTCTAAACGTTTCCAAGGGTTGGTATCACTGTTAGAAACTCTTCCTTGCTTGAATCTAAAATGCAACTAAGAACTATCACTTTCTCATTGCTTACTAAGTGCTAAGCAATACACTAATCACTCTCAGGAATTATTTTGTTTAACTGTCACAACAATGCTGTAATGAAGATATTATTATTATCTGCTTTTAGCGGTGAGGAAAAGAAAACGTACAGAGGTTATATAACACCTCCAGGAGTCCAATTTTCAGTTCAAATACTTATTGAAAGTCAGGATAATTTCTCTTGTAGTAAACAGAACATAAGAAACATGGCATAGATGCTGTCATAGTCACCAACTATTTATGGAAATGTGACAAAAAGTATTTTTATTTGAAAATCTCCATTCTTGTAATGTAAACTAATACAGCTGCTGTGGAAAACAGTGTGGAGATTCCTTGAAGAACTAAAAGTAGAACTGCCAATTGATTGAGCAATGACACTACTGGGTATCTACCCAGAGGAAAAGAAGTTATTATTCGAAAAAGATACTTGCACACGCATGTTTATAGCAGCACAAGTCACAATAGGAAAATTGTGGAACCAATCCAAATGCCCATCAATCAACAAAGAAACTTTGGTATATATATATATACACGATAGAATACTACTCAGCCATACAAAGGAATGAATTAACAGCATTTGCAATGACCTGGATGAGTTTAGAGACTATTATTCTAAGTGAAGTAACTCAAGAATGGAAAACCAAACATTGTATGTTCTCACTGATTTGTGGGAGCTAAGCTATGAGGACGCAGAAGCCTAAGAAGGATACAATGGACTTTGGGGACTTGGTGGGAAGTGTGGGAGGGGGGCGAGGGATAAAAGACAACAGATATGGTGCAGTGTATACTGCTCAGGTGATGGGTGCATCAGGTTCTCACAAATCTCCACTAAATAACTTACTCATGTAACCAAATACCACCTGTATCCCAATAACTTATGGAAAAATAAAATAAAATAAAGAAAATCTCCATTCTTGTAAAAAAACTTGATCAGATATATTTTGGCTCATGTTCTGAACAATATTATTCAATGTAGGAATCTCTCTAAAGAGTTTTGTAGTCTACAAGCCCAAGAAAAGTTTAATGAGCATCAAGATATTTGCTATCACTATTTATTTAATGTTCCCAGAATTTGTTACATGAGGGGAGACTCCCTCTCTACTCCACCCATAAAAGGTACTAGCCATTTATGATAGAAAACAAAAAAAGTAGATCCTTGAAAAGTGATTCATGATTAACAGTAGCAGACTTCATATGTTCCTCAGTGATATCTGGTTTCCTGAGATCTTACAGTGAAATGATGTGTTACAAAAGAGTTATTGTTACTCATCAGATATTATTTCTAGCTTTGCTGATTAAGAGAAGCAACACTTATTCAGTATCTTGTCTTTGGAAAGACACACCTATATGGGAGGATCCTTTGCCTTTTAAAACAAGAATTTCTATTTTATTTTGTTTATTTCTATCTACATAACTACAAAAAATCAAAGATATATAATATTTCAAAGAAGAATCTTAATATATGATAGAAATGGATGAGTCAGCAAATGTCCTAAATTTATGAATGCAGAATTAGCCTAAATCTGAAAACCATCAGAAGGCATTGCTCTATTTTTTTCCTTTTTAGTCAGATCTCCATCTTGGGTTTTATTTTGGACTCCTCTTCATTCCTAACATAATTTTAGCTAAATGTTTAAGAGGATTTTAAGCTTCACTATTTCTAAGTGTCCTCCCATCTTGAAATGCTATGACACTTGCCGCAGTACATGACATGAACATATGGTGATTTGGCTCAGAAGTCCAGATAACCTTGGATTGAAATCCTGTGTTTCTCATTTAGCTACGTTCTGTTTTACAGATATGGACTATACCCATACTCTCATCTAATGTTTATGCCAGTGCATGGAGTAACGTGCAAGGGTATGAACAATTCTGGGAAAACTCATCTCCTCCCTGGATAAACAGTACAAACCCAATCCCATTTCCAGTGATGATTAAAAATAATCTTTGTACAAAAAGGGTAACCTACCACTATTAATACAGTTACACCATTTATTTAAAAAGAAATAGAGTTTGTGACATGGGGAAAATGGCATTGCTATATCCACAAGGCACTTAAATTCACTGTTTTTGTTGTTGTTGTTGTTGTTTGTTTGTTTTAGCAAGCCTGATATCTTTGGACAGAAGGAGAAATGAGAACCGAAGCAGGACTGCTCTGTTTGTGCAGCAGAATCCTCCATTTTTGGTGGAAAAGTGTCTGCCATTTGATGAACACTGAAACACTAATATTTTCATTTGCGGTTAGATTTAGGGTCAGTCATGCAGTCATGGCCTCATGCCATCTGTGCCATGTCACTCCAACTCAGGTACAAAAATGCAATTCTGGTATTGGAAACCCAGGTGTTGGAGCTAGGACATTTCTCTGAAATGCTAGCACCATTTCCCCTTCAGCAAGCTGTGTGTGTCCTTTCCAGTTCTCCTTAGGCATGATATAAAAAGAGTATTTTTAATTTAACTCCTCAGTACAATAAGTCGCATATTAACTATCAGTAGACTGACAGCTACATGCTATGGAAAATCACCAGGCTTATTGTAGTCCAGATTAGAAAGAGAATACAGAACTCTGCTGCCTCAGCTACATACAATCAGATATGTACAGAGAAACATTTTTTTTTTCCAATGGCATCAAGAAAGCCACATGTTGTTAGCAAAGTAACCAGCCCATAGACTGATAAAAACTGAACATATTATATCTTAGAGGTTAAAAAGCAATTATACTTTCTCGAGTGAAACCTTGGGTATTTCAGAACAAAAGGGTGTAGCTTGCTTTACTTTACATCAAATTATACGAGAAAATATTTCCAGAATGAAAGGAAGACAACATTTGTTGAAAGGTAGATTCCAAAGTCATCACATGCAAATTTAGAATATCAAAAATTATTTTGATGAGGGGTCAACAGGAATAGCCACAATGAATCACAGTCAACCACATTGTGTGAGTGGGAAATCATGATGTCATATCAGATGAATAGGAGACAAAGAGAATATCTAAGCTAAAGCACACCTCAGAAAAAGTAAATTGACCAGTGGGCAGCTATTGGTTTATGTAGGCATATTGTCTAAAAGGTGGGGTGGGGGAGGGAGGTTAAGTAGTTTTGGTAAACTGCCTAGGAAGTTAATACCACTAGTAAGCAAGGCATCAAGCAATCATGGATATAATTACCTTTTATCTACATATCTGTGTAAGGAAACAAGAACATCAGTCATATCAACTTTAAGTATATGTCACACATTATAAAGTATTATGCCATAGATGCCTTTGATGCAACAGTAGACATTTTCCTGGGAGAGGTATTGGATAGTAACAAATACTGGAAAAAGTAGCTTTTAAGATAATTCTCATTAAGTGTTACTTACATATATTAGTAAGATTCTTTCTAACTATCTATCTATCTAATCATTTCCTTGTGCCAAAATGAGAATTCCTAGATTTATCTAAATAACTATCTTAAAATAGATGCAAAAATACCACCATATAATCAATATATTTACTGATGCATTTCTAATATGGTTGGTCAAAGACAGACTGAAATTAGACCAGAGAAGAAATGACAAAATGGCCATAATTGCTTTCAAGACAATTATAAGACTAAAAACAATCAAGCAATTATAGACTCTCAGCTCTAAAATTGCCTTTAAAAAAATACAAAGAACTAACAAAACCGAACTGTTCAGCTCATACCAAATCTGCTTCATTTGATTCCCGGTGAGTTCAGACCTGGTGGCTGCTATTTCAAGCCTCATTTCTTTTTGACCTCAAATAATAAAGTTGAAGTCAGCCAGTTTCCATTCAGCCTTGTTGCATTGTTTGCCAGTTTATAAGGCTTTATGTTTGTACCAAAAATGTTACAGGAGGAAAACCACAAAGAAGTCACAAATCTGGGCAATTTTCCCTATATTACACAGATGTTAAAATTGTTGCAAAAGTTGCCAACCACTGGACATACTTGACAGCAGGAAATAATCCAAACAATGAAAATTCCAGTCACTATTTTGTTAACTCGTTATAACAAGAGACTGCTGTATTGAGCAACTGGTTCCTCTCCCTACCTTCCTTTTCTGTCTTCCTGCCATCCCTCCCTTCATCCACTGTCTATCCATTTTCTAGTATCATCTGTATGCTCCCTTAAGCTTCTCAGTCTAACAGAAAAAGACAAATGTAAAAAGAAAAAAACCCATGACAATATAAATTTATCTGAGCCTGGATTTCTCAACAGTAGAGCAGCTATCCTTAGCAGAACTGGCTCCTTACTTAGCAGAGTGGGCCACTCCTAAGCAGTATGGTCAGAGAGTCTAACAAATCCCTGCTTGACTTTATATTACCTAGCCAAACTTCCTGTCATGGGAGCACCTCGCTGCCAGAGAAGGGCTGATATTTCTACCATTAAAGCCATTTCAACTTGGTGTCAAGACATACTGTGAGAATTACCTTGTGTGAAGGCTTTCTCTAATTTGCTCTCTCACTCCATTACCATTCAGTTGCAGTTTGACTTTCTTTCTTCCCACAGTACCTGTGCTTACCTCTCGGTTAGCATTTCCCTCACAGTGCTGCAATTGTCTGAGAAAAGCAGTATCTCCCACTTCAGACTATGAGCCTTCAGGGCAAGGACTTTACCTTTTATATTAGTTTCACAACAGGTAGCAAGATATCTGGCACAAAATAGGTGCTCAAGAAATACTTCTTGAATAATTTCATTAGAAAACATAGCCTCCCAGGTGAGAATCACTGATCTAAACAATTCAGCTAATATTTACTGAGTATGTACTATGTTTCAAGCACTAGGTACAATTATGTGTGGCAGAAATAAAAAATCCATGCCCTCATAGAACTATATATACTCCAAGAGAGGGGACATACAACACACAAACAACAAATAAAGAGTATCATCAAATAAAGACTCAATGGGGTAAAGTTGTTTTAGGCTGTGATGACTTTACTGAGGAGGTGACCTTTGAGCTGAAACATGAAAGAAATGGAGCCAGCCAAGTGAACAGCAAGGGGTGAATGGTCCAGGCAGAAGGGACAGTTGTGTTAAGATGAGTAAGAGCTTAGGGTGCTCCAGGTACAGAATGGAGGGTATCATGCCTACAGCATTGCCAACCAGGGAAGAATAGTAAGAGATGAGATTTACCCTGTTGGTGGTGCCAGATTATACAGAGCTTTTAAAGGAAAGCTAGGAGTTAGGCTTTTATTTTAGGAGCAATGGAAACTCTTTGTAGGATTTTAAGCAGGAGGGGGATATAAGCCACAATTTATTTTAGATCGATAATGTCTTGGTCAGTGATGCAGAAAATACACTGAAGCTAACGACAGAGGAATTAGGGGCAGGATTCAAAACATTTAGCAATTCCTATAGCCTTTGGCATTTATCAATCAGAAAAGTTGCCAACCGGTCAGAAGGAACACTGTCCAATAGGCCATAATATTTGAATATAAGCTGAATACAGTAAGTCCTCACCTATATCAAGGATAGCTTTTTAGAAATTGTGACTTTAAGTGAAACGACATACAATGAAACTGATTTTACCATAGGTTAACTGATATAAACAAGATTAAAATTTCTATGGCATACTTATTGTCACAAAAAGTTAGAAAAACTTCTAAATAAAGATTCAAAACATTTCAAATATTAAACAGTGAAATTAATGTGAGTTATATATACATTTAAGAAAGATTAATGAAAACAAGATAGTCACTCAATTTTTGGTGAATCACTGAGTGATGGTAGTTGTAGTGGTAGTAAGGTAAATCAGGAAATAATTGATGGTAAAGTGAAAATTTTAAGAAGTTCTTGCTATTGTCTCACAGCTCAAAGACAATCACTGAATGCTTTTGTACTGCTTCATTTGTTGTTGTGCATTTGTAAGATTATTGTAATCCTACACATTTTTATTTGACAATAATTTGTATTCGTTCATTCATGCATTCACTCTTTAACCCATTTATTCCAGTTTAGGAATGCAGGTGGCTGGAGCCCATCCTAGCATCTAAGAGCACAAGGAACAAACCCAGAACAGGATGCCATCCCATCGCAGAGCACATTCACACACACACATACACACACAGGTACACACACACACACTCAGGCTGGGACCATGTACACATGCACAAGGAACAAACCCAGAACAGGTTGCCATCCCATTGCAAAGCACACTCACACACACATACACACACAGGTACCCACACACACACTCAGGCTGGGACCATGTACACATGCTGACTCACCTCATGTGCACTTCTTTGGGATGTATGGGAAAACGAGAATACCTGGAAAAAATCCACACCAACATGGGGAAAATGTGCAAACTCCACATAGACAGTGACCCAGCTGGGAATTGATTGCTTTTCTCATCAATGTTATAATGAAACAACGTTGAACAAAATGACATGATTTGAGAACTGCTGTAGTTAGTTAACCTCATAACAAACAGTGAGAGATAATGGTAGTATGAACTAGGTGGACAGTGTAAGTATGAAGAGAAATGAATTGATATAAAATATACTGGGAAGCTATAACTGACAAGACTTGCAGATAATTTAGACAGAAGGGGTCCTTAGGCAAGGGAGAAATGTTTGGTAAACAAAACTGAAAGGTTTGACTTGAGCAATCAATGATAATGGATGTCTATTCCACTTTAGTAAAGACTAGTCCAAAGTTCTGTTTTTAACATGATAAAGTTAGATGTCTATACCACATTCAGATATATGCTAAATAAGGGAATGAGCTTTCATATTTGAGCCAAAGGTAGTGGTCAAGACGGGAGGTGTAAATTTATATATACATGTATCAGTCTTTCATCGAATGTCTGGAAGAGATTACCTCGGGAAAGAGTAAAGAAAATAAGTTCAGAAAAAATAAAATATGAAGGAAAAAAAGAGGTGATGCCTACAGACAGGAATTTAGCAAAAGGAAGAAAAGGAAGCACCCTGTTTGAATTTCGTATATCTTCTAACTTTGCCAGAATTTGCCACTACTAGAATATCTGGTCTACAAGGTACCCCAAGCTCTCTGTCCTCCTACTTCTTTTGCCTCTATTAACCTTGATACCTTCCAAATTGGCTGCCAATTTTATTTAGGCTCTAAAATAAATTCATAAACTTACCAATACTGTACTTTTTTAAAAAAGATGTGGGCATGACAAGTATTTTTATATGCATTTAGTTGAGGCCAGATGGTTTTACTACATGAACAACATAGATGCTGGATCATCAGCTTAAAGCATGTGTGTGACCATGATGCTTTGGCTATTTAATTTAAAAAATAAAACTCATAATATTTACCATTGTTAATAGGTCTTTCTAAATATGAGGTATGTATATCTATATTTCAAAATATTTAGGTCATTAGCTCTCCTTTAACCTTCCGAACTCATACATTTGCGCACAGAAACATAAACACACATATACAAACACATATACATGCACATACTGTCCAAGTATTAGTAAACAGATGACTGATGATAATTCAGGAGTATATGTCAAAACCTACATTCTATTGCATACTATACAAAACATATATTCAATTATACACGTATGCATAATAACATCATGGCCCATTATCTCACTTATTTTGTGGCTAAATGATACAAGGCTAACATGACCAGGAAGTTAGCTAGCACAAACAGATTTGGGGGCTGTAAGTATAATAGTCTATACATGTAGTTGCTTTAAAAATATATCAGCTTTCTGAATATCATACGACTTTTTGAGTGTTCATGTATACAATACTTGTGATGACATTCATGCCTATCAAATATTTTGGAGAACTCAGTATGATTAGATAAAAGTGGAGTTTAGGTTTCGTGTAAAAGACTAAATAAATTGTAGTTGCAGCTGTGTTCCTGTGGCTAACGCTGCCCACAGCAGAGCAGAGAAGTTAGCGTAGTATACAAAGAATAGCAGTATTTTTCACTGTGGTCTGAGCATAATTTTAAAATTATGAATCTTAAGTCTAAACAAATGTTAAATGTAACATCATTTTTCTCATTCCAAATGGACTTATGAAAGTCATAATAAATGAATACTTAGCAAGCAAACTATAGAAGATTCTATTTGGGAAATATAAAGCTGTATTTCATTCTTCCACAGATGTCCACATCAACCACATTTAGTGAGAGTACTGCTCTTACAAGCAGTCCTAACACAAGGCTTTATCTAATAACGAATTAGGCCGGGCGCAGTGGCTCACGCCTGTAATCCCAGCACTTTGGGAGGCCGAGGCGGGTTGATCACCTGAGGTCAGGAGTTTGAGACCCACCTGGCCAACAGGGCAAAAACCCATCTCTACTAAAAATACCAAAATTAGCCAGGCATGGTAGCGGGCGGCTGTAATCCCAGCTACTTGGGAGGCTGAGGCATGAGAATCACTGGAACCCAGGAGGCAGAGGTTGCAGTGAGCCAAGATTGTGCCACTGCACTCCAGCCTGGGCAACAGAGACTCCGTCTCAATAAATAAATAAATAAATAAGAGAATTAAATATTCGATTCGTGTAACTCAGCTGATTTCCCTTCCTCCTTTCTTATTTACGTATTTATTTAGTTATTATCTTCCACCCTTACTTTCCTAATAGAACCATAGGAAGTCTTGGTCCTTTTAGCTTCTGACAGCTGATACATCGTTCAATTAATGACCAGATTTACAAATTTTATATCACTATAGGTAATATGCTACCCCTTAAGTGGTAGCTGTGCCACTCCAACAAAACTATAAGATACCTTACATCTAACAAATACCTTGTCTCTGAATCAATTGTTTGAGTTAGTCACTAGCCAGATTTTTTTCCCTTTATTATTTAACTGGAATATACTGTTTGACTACATCCCACATACATATTGACATTGTAGTTATTTGTCCAACCAGAAAATATTTACCATGGATTTATTTATACTCAAGGCATGACAGCATAGTATTGAGGAGTACAGACTCCCCAGAAGTTCAGTTTTTCCACTTACCAGTTTTTTTATTCTGGGCAAGTTATGTAATTTCTCTCTGCTTGAGATTATTTGTAAAATAGGTGTAACAACAATATCTGAGGGTATGAGTTAAGATATATTAAGCACTTAAGAGTGCCTGACATATAATAGGCTCTTAATGTTATACATTGCTATCATTTTAATTATTAAGATATGCTTGTCTATCTTATGTTAAGTACTAGGGATAGATTTCTGAAAAAGCTATTCCTGCACTGAAGGTATTTTCAGGGGGGCTTGGGCAATGTACAAACAAGACAGGTAATTTCAGAATAATGAGTGGTTTGACAGGAGTAAGTCCAGATCTTGAAATATTTACCCAAAATATAGGGAAACTAATTTAATGATGGATGATGAAAATAAATGATTACTATGAAAATTTGGGCATTTACTTTTCATCTATTTATAATAAAACATCAAAATTTTAAGTAAAATTAAAGAGTTTCTCCAGTTAAGTTTCATTGGAATTCCAAGTCACGTAAACAGAATCCTTCTTAACAATTTTAGACACCCATCTTTCTGTTTCACTGTGTTACTAATTTAATAGTCTACAACT
The DNA here is from genome assembly GCF_000001405.40 of Homo sapiens. Lineage (NCBI taxonomy): Eukaryota > Metazoa > Chordata > Mammalia > Primates > Hominidae > Homo > Homo sapiens. Next base: position 9,130,466 of record NC_000009.12, read on the forward strand.
TGTGTAAAACAGAGGTCATATATATTTTGTGGGGACAAAGTGTTACAGTAAATTCCAGAAAACAATCAATATCTAGGAATGAAAGTAGGAATCCTGCATAAAAAGTGTTTATATATTCTCTTTCATCTATTTATTGTTCTCTTATTGAGACTTACCTCAAAGTGAGGGGAATCATTTTAAAGACTGAATCTCTACATATGTATGTAATATTATTTGGTTCCTACTGACCTTCCTGAATTGTGATTACCTGGGTGTTGCGTATGGATAACGATTGAATGGAAATCTTTGATTGAGTGTATTTATTAGGTTGCTGAGCTATTTTGGGGTAGTCATTTCACCTAGCTGGCCTCAGGGGTACCAGTTTTTTAGGATGGTTAGCATCGTATATCAGGAACAGATTCCAAAATTACTTACGAATCAAATGTCCATTTAAAAGCCGTTGTTTTTAATGGATCCTATGACGAACCCTTTAGTAAAATAACTAATTCTATCTTCATTTCCTGGTACAAATTTTAATTTTGTCATTTTTCTTTTCTAATACAAGATTTTTTTAAAAGAATAAAAAAACAAATCCGGTGCTTTTGTAGGATGGAAAAGTCTGAAAAAATAGTTGGGAAGGAAAAGGGAAATAGAAAAGTTGAAGTTAGGAGTAAAAAGTTGAGAGAATAAAAAATGATACTTAGGGCAAACTCCAAAAATACTGGTGCTTTTGATGCCTTCTTTCCTTTGCATTGTCTCTGCTCTACTTACACGTTGATGCAAATTAAGTCTGATTTCAATTTAACTGTTTTCTTTCAGATTTTAGTATGAAAACTTTTAGTATTTGTGGAGGAACAAAAATATCATTTTGAAGAATGCATGTCCAGTAGCAATAAGACAACCTATGACTAGAAACAATGGACTTTTCACAGCCTATACAAATTTGTATGAATAAATCAGCTAACAGATATGTCAGAAATATTGTTTATAAATAGCGGAGTTCAAATAATAATATCCCATGGAACAGATTGTAGCAGTTCGCTATTACCATTGTAAAAACTCCACACCATGCTATATATATTCTATTTGCCATAATATATTCTATTTGTCAAAGAATTTCCCTCCATAAATAAAATTGTCATTTTACAGAGAAGTACACATAGTAATAGTTACTTGGACTTTGCTTAAGTATGGAAAAGCATGTAATGCTATTCTTAATTAATTGAAATATCAGTATATGCCCAAAGAGTTTCTCTGTATAAAAAATCTCAATTGTAAATATCATATATGAATAGCCAATTCAAATATTTACCATAAGAGATTGGTGACTTAATTATGAGAGTTCGATAATATGGAGATGAATGTACGTAGTGGTTCATGTAGTAAAATATGTTTCTTAAAACAACATTAAAATTTTTAAAATTTGGCAGAGGTATCAGTGAAATAAGGCTTTTCATGCTTTGTTGTAATGAATTTTAAAGACAGATGTACTATTTCTTTCATTTGAGGGGGAATTGTTTAGTCTACTGAGCCTAAGTAAGGGCCACTAGTTTTTTGTTTGTTTGTTTGTTTGTTTGTTTTGAGACGGAGTCTGTCTCTGTTGCCCAGGCTGGAGTGCAGTGGCACGATCTAGGCTCACTGTAAGCTCCGCCTCCCGGGTTCACGCCGTTCTCCTGCCTCAGCCTCCCGAGTAGCTGGGGCTACAGGCGCCCGCCACCATACCTGGCTAATTTTTTGTATTTTTTTGGTAGAGAGGGGGTTTCACCGTGTTAGCCAGGATAGTCTCGATCTCCTGACCTTGTGATCCGCCCGCTTCGGCCTCCCAAATTGCTGGGATTACAGGCGTGAGCCACCATGCCAGGCCTGGCCACTAGTTTTGAAGGTTGTGAATTTTCCTAAATCTTGCATGATTTGGGTAAAGTCCATCTGTACCTAATCTGCAAATGTGCAAATTACTACATAAAGTACATCAGTACCAATAATAATTTATACAACATTTTATGCATTGAAAGTCTTCTTGCAGAGGAAATTATTAAATATTAAACTAGATGAAACATGGGTCAAATTCAAGCTTTTAGACAATGGAGCTGGAAAAAAGTATCTTTATTTCAAAGGAATTATGACACCTTCTTTGGAGACATAGTATTCTCATTCTATTAATAAAAATAAACAATAAGAAGAAGTCAGTCTCTTTCTAATTTAATTAAAAGGATGTTTGATTTTAATGCTTCATTCAATTTACTTTGTCCCTAACCAAATATGCAATCATAATTAAATGAACTGTAGGCAATGTTGCAGATTCCAAATCTTCTTCCCATGCTATAGGGAATGAATGGACTACACAACACTAATACTTGTGTGCAAAATACATAGGGCTAGATACTCACTTTGTTTTTAAAATCAAAGAGTAATATATGATTAAGTGCTATATAAAAGAAGGAGAATGTGTTGATGCTGAGAATAGGGATGGCATATATAATATTAAGTTATATTCATTTGCATATCAGATAAAGTCCAATGCAGGAAACAAAAGACATTAGTTTTTCTTTTTTCATTTTTTAAGTTACTCTAAGGGTAGTGATTTCAATAGAAGATATTTTAATAATATTATTTCTCATCTATTTCATATCATGCAATCAGGGTTATTTTTACAGATGTAAAGGAATTCCTTTTCTAGTGGTTTCTGTATTTGGCTAATCAGAACAAATGAATGCATGTTAAGTACAGATTCCAGGGCCTATCCTAAAACCATTGGAAGAGAATTACACAGAGGTAGGGCAGGTGTTGGCTGGCAGATAGATGGTGATGTTGTCTGAATATTTAAAGACTCCTTCCTAGGTTATTCTTACGATGTTCCAGGCTTGGCAAGTTTCCTAAAATTTATTTTAATAACCTGCTCCCCGGGGACATTTATTTTGCATAACTTGGAGCTCTCTAAATATTAATCAACATTATCTTCAAATAAATAATATGGATTCAGTATCCATTTAATATAAGATGGTCAATTCATTTTAAGAAATTAAGAATTAGAGTGTATACACTGAAAGAAAAGCAAAAGGGAATTTCTAGAAATATTTCATAAACAAAGTAATGTGTGCATGGCAAGGGAAGCTTTTTAAATGAGTTGTTATAAAAAAACTCACTTTTGAAGACATGGATACATAGGGATTTTAGATGTGAGTACTGTGTCAAAATCACTATTGGATCACACTGGAATATGAAAGAAGCATTGTTCGGTTACTGAACAATCGCAGTCATGTATGGCCACTGAGTCTGTAAGGATGCTGCACACAGACTTTTCAATTGTTTTTTATCAGGAGAAACAGCACAGGGCTTTAGGGAACAGGGGCTGAGCTGCCTGTGCACATGTAGAATGAGAAAGGCTCCCACTTCCTCGTAAGGGCATCAACACAGTCCCAATTTACCCAGACCACAACAGCACTGAAAGGGAACTGGGTAAGACTCTATACAGCTTGAGCAAGAAGACTTCCATACTCTAATAGATCTCTCAGACTTAACATTTGTGAAATTCCACACCTTACCTCCATCCCCAAATCTGCTACTCCTGCAGTCTTTGGCACCTGCAGTTTCCAATAGTTCATATAGAATCATTCTTTTTTTTTTTTTTTTTTTTTTTTTGAGACGGAGTCTCGCTCTGTCGCCCAGGCTGGACTGCGGACTGCAGTGGCGCAATCTCGGCTCACTGCAAGCTCCGCTTCCCGGGTTCACGCCATTCTCCTGCCTCAGCCTCCCGAGTAGCTGGGACTACAGGTGCCCGCCACCACGCCCGGCTAATTTTTTGTATTTTTTAGTAGAGACGAGGTTTCACCTTGTTAGCCAGGATGGTCTCGATCTCCTGACCTCATGATCCACCCGCCTCGGCCTCCCAAAGTGCTGGGATTACAGGCGTGAGCCACCGCGCCCGTAGAATCATTCTTGACTCTCTTTTCCTCTATTCCCATCTGTTAATCTATCAGCAATTCTCTTGGCTTTACCTTCTCACACCTCCACTTGGTCTATGCTTGCTAAACTGGAATACAGCAGTAGCCTCCAAACAGGTCTCTCTGATTCTCACCTAGCCAAATTGATAGTTTTAAATTGGTACCACATCTCTTTCCACACAAAATTCAGTGATTTTCCAAATTATCGAGAGTAAAAATTTAGGTATTTGAAATGCCCACAAGGCCCAGTGGAGACTCTCCCTTTCTCCTCCCAGGACACTCATGGCTGCTTCCTCTGGCTATTTTGTCTTCATAGCACTTTTCATCATCTGACTTGCTGTGTGTTTTACTTTCTTATTTCTTTATTGCATGATTCCTACCAAGAGACTGTATCATCCTTGAAATCTGGTATTTGGAGTGCGTGTGTGTGTGTGTGTGTTTTCACTCTATATTCCCAGCCCTTAAAACACTGCCGGGTACATTGAAGGTGTTCAATAATTTTAGAAATGGTACATAAAAATCAGTAGTTATGTCACAGGATGTAATCTTAGCAGACAGAGGTAAGGAACGTTTCCACAATATAATCAATGATTATAGGCCCTTTCTGTGCAATGACACAGTCATGGACTCATATGCGCTTTATGATGCTTTACCTTGAATTTCATTAATTTGAGATCACATGTCTATGTTAATGAGATCATAAATTCCTTGAGGTAAAGGGTAGTGAGTTGTGTCTGGAATTATAACTTTACCTAAGTTTAAAGACGTATCATATTTTGCCTCAATTTGCAGAACTGAGAGAGGACTCATGTCTTTCCACTCTGATTGTATGCTTTCAACTCAGAAGATTTTAGACTTCAAACAATTCCTCTGGCACCTAGTATGATACTTTGTACATAGTAGAAAAATACATTCAATATCTCTTGATTTATCACTTCCTATGTAATCTTTTGGTTCAGAGAAACATTTAACCTCCCTAGTTCTGGATTGAATTTTTTGAATAAAACAGCCCAAATCGATGTGTGTATACACAGAGTTTAAAGGATTGAAGATGATGAGATCATTTTCCCTGTGATGGCTGCCACCAGGACTTCTTCACATTGCTGTTGACTAATTCTCATTGCAAGAGTTAGTGCTGGAGAGAAAGAAAATGGCTTTCAATGCTTTCTGTTACATTCCCAGAAGGTGGCTAAGTGCGATAGGAGACACTAAAGAGGGAAAATATTGGATTTGAAGCTAATTACTAAGGAAATGCTTAGTAATTCATTAATCCAATACTGAACTCACTTTATGCAGGATTATTTGGGTCAAAATATTGTGAGCATATATCCTATGTTAGAACTTTGGCTATGAATGTTATATTGTAACAATTTATTTTGTTACATACTTTTTAATAGTTTAAAGATAGAATAGCAGCTACATTTGGTCACAACTAGAAATATTCAGCTTGAAAAAAACCCCACAGTTTTCTGTCATCCCTCTTGTTCTTCAAAAGTTGAGCAGGCATTTTGGAATAAGCTCATTAGTTTATGACAACCATTTAAATATTAATGATGACAATAAAACGTTATTTTTTCATGTGAAATCATCTTATAAATTATATACATGCACATGTGTTCATGCACATACACACATGCACACACACATACATAGTAATTTGAGAGAACAACATATTTCTTTTGCTAATGAAATATCTCAACCTCATAACATACCGTCATAGTATAGAAAGGTGAATTCTCAGCTTTTACAACTTCATCAAATGTTGAATACTGAGTAATTCACTGTGGTAAGGAGTTTATGTTCACATTAAGGAGAAAAAAATGGCAAGCACTAGAAGCTCAAGTATTTTCATTCCAACTTGATTTTTAAGTCTCTAATTAACATCTTTTGGTCATGGTTGTTTTTAGATTAACATGGCTTAATTACTTTATTATAAGGTGTTGGTAGCATTCTATAAAACATTTTTCTCTTTATTATTTACTTATATATGTTAATTTTTAAAAGCTGTAGATTCTCATTAAACAAAATACAAACACTTTCAAATCATCATCTGAACTCATTTTCATAAATGTAGATAAAAGTGGTAAAAAACGCAATTAATGGAACACCTCAAATATAATCACTACTTAGATTCTAGAAAAAAGGTTAAAAAGAGAAAGACTAGCAAGTGAAATGATAATATGTGAAATCAAGAGTAACTTAATTTTACAAAAATTAATTCTCTTTTAGTAAAACAAATAGTCCAATGGTTAAAAATTTTTCAACTGCAGTGTTTCCATGTAGTAGTTTAAGATTTTCAAAGAGGGCAGCAGTTTATCTGTATGTATTTGCCCCTGTAGATAAATTTCTTGAAAAAAGGATCAAAACATCAATCATTATGTTCTTTGTCTATATGACAAGTTTAACATAAATGTAAAAAGAAAATGGAACTATGGAAGAATTTTGGAAGTAAAATAAACCCTATCAGTATTGGAGTTGTGTATTTCCAATGGGTGAAATGCCTATTTGGGATTGCCTTCAACTGGTAGGGGATTTACTCTGTGCCTGGCTTGCTCAGGGATAAACTAGATCTCCACTGGCAGTGCAGTGAGAGAAAGGTGATGTTTTCTTCTTGTTTATTATTTGGTCTTTAACTATAAAGCATTAGCTTTTTCAACAATCACAAAAGCCCCACTTTACATGATTTCACTTGCTCAAGATGTAATTTATTGCTAATGGAATCACAGAAAAATGTTTTCACTGTTTCTGGAATGCAGAATCAAGTAAGGCAAATTGCTATTGAAGAGGAATTATTGATTCTTGTTATAATAGCTGCATTTCAGCTTTAATACATGAAATTTTATTTTTATTGTTTCAATAATTTATATTTAAGCCTCAAGGTTTCTGTATAACCTTCCTTGGGCTATTTTGTTTTAAACCAGGTGTGACAATTTTGCCTTAATGTATCATTCTCTTGGTCTGTCTTGAAAACCTTAATTGAGTAGATGCTATCAAACTGGGTTTGAGAAGTTGTAAAGTTACCAATAACTTGCTTGGCAAACTTTGTCAAGAAGCTTTATTTTGTCCTCAGTTTTTCTGTCTGAATATATAGGAGACTGAATGAAGAGATATATAACCCCCCTCTTAATATCTCCAAAGTTATAAAATTATTATTTAACTCTCCATAGAATAATCAAGGGTGCATATTGAAACCATGGATGAACTTCTTTATGAAATGTGTTGAACAAGGACTGGTGCTGTTTTCTAAACAAATTAGTTTATTTACTATAACAAATTTATTAAGCAAAAATGTTAATCAAATCAAAATTAATCATTACTGTACTCTCACAGGACATTGTACTTTGCTTAAAAGTGTTTCTCTGACAGTTGTATATTACAGCTGGATTCCTGGTGCATCCATTTGTCTCATGAGGTTGCACAAGCCACAAAGAGCAGGGAATAAAGTTGTTCTTTACTTATTTTATTTCCAGACCCAATTCAGGTCTAAATAATATCATCTTCCATTTCCCGACCATTGTTTTCATTATATAATATTTTGACTTTCCCCAAAAGAATTCATGCATCAGGTATTATTACCTCATTTTGTAGCAGAGAAAACAGGTCAGAGATATTTAGTTACTTGTTGAAAATGATAAAGATGTTAAGGGATAGAGCTGAGATACTACATAGATCTGTCTGATGCTAAAGCTCAAGACATTTCTCCTATGATAGACCAGAGCAGATGAATAATACCTGTTAAATCAAAGGCAAAGAAATCTTTTTTTTTTCTTCTGGAAACACTGTACCTAAAAACTTCCCAAAATGTGACTCTTTTATCTGACTATAAAAAGAAATAGCAAAATCAATTATATTACACAGTATCTGCATCAGCTTTATCATCTCCTAAATAGGGATATAATATTGAGATGTGGTGAGAGTTAAGTATAATTATTTATATGACATGAAATAGCTTATGTACCTGACACAAAGAAGTTCTCAATGACTGTTATGTACAATTATTATTATCATTATTGAGTACTATTTGCACTTAAAAGTCAAACATATCTTGAATCAGAGGAAGTTCTTACTTTTAGAATAGCTCTACCAGAAATTAAGAAATATCACAAAATATGCTTCTGTAATTATTTTAAAGGTGACTTGTGACCATTTACCCATTTCTTTCACTTTTAATAAATGCCTTAACTTTTTAAAAGTATAGTGTGTTCATTGTGCCAAGGAAAGATGACATCTGTGTTTGTGTGGGGAGGGAATAACCACAGTTTTAAGGTACATTCTTTAACTTGATTTTACAAATTGAACGTTATGAGCAGTAATTTAATTTATGCTACACATTTTAATTCAGAACTAAACAGTTCTGTATTTTAACACAGAGTTGTTTATCTAGAATAATGTTTGGCATTAATAAGCATTTTTTTGATATCTATTTATTTAAAAAATGAACAAATTAGGCCCTTTTATGTTTAATATAATGCTACCATTCTAGGCTAAAATTACAGTTTTTACACAATTAATGTTATATTTGGTTATTATAACTACCCTAGACACTAAGTAATAGCATAATAACAATAATAGTTACAGTAATCTTCATTAAGGTATTATATTTACTTATTTATGTGCTTAAAAACATATAGACACTAAATAGCAGAGCCAGGATAGACTCTCAAATCCAAATTTGGGTATCATCTATTCTTACTAGCTATGCAGGAGCCCCCCTCCCCCCCGCCCCCACCTTATCCGTGGGGGATACATTCTGAGACTCCTAGTGAATACCTGGAACTGCAGACAATTCTGAACCCTATATTTACTATGTTTTTTTCTGTAATAGTAAGTCCTCAATGACATCCACAGGTTCTTGGAAATGTGACTTAAAGTGGAACAACATACAGCAGGTCCTCAAATAACATCGTTTAGTTCAAAATTGTTTCTTTATAATGTTGATGAGGAAAAAAATTGATTTTCTTATAAATTGTTTCAGTTATAGTCCCAGTTTTCAATAACCTATGTATGACATTAACTGAAGACTTAACTGTACTTACATCCCTATGATAGAGTTTAATTTATAAGTTAGGCACAGTATGAGATTAGCAACAATAACTCATAACAAAATAGAACAATTAAGTAAAAGAAGCATTACTTGAACACATGCTCTGTGATACCGCGACAGTCGAGGGTGGCTACTAAGTGACTCAGGAATGGGTAGCTTAGAAATTATAAATAGGCCGGACAAAGGGTGGATTCATGTCCTGGGTGGGAAGGAGTGGGACTGCACAAGATTTTCATCATGCTTCTCAGAATGGTGCAAATTAAAACTTATGCATTGTCTATTTCTATCGTAATTTTCCATTTAGTATTTTCAGACCATGGTTGACCACAGGTAATTGAAACTGCAGAAAGTGCAACCACGGCTGAGAGAACCACTGTACCGGCAACAGTGGCTTTCTATGAGGTTGTGATTGAACTATTCTACCCTTAGGGAGATGCATATTTAATATTTCAGACTAATTAGTGTAAAAATATAAAAAGGATAAATTTGAAGAGTCCTAGTACCCTGGTTGTCCATGATTTGCATTCATTACGGAAATGGTGGGAATATCTAGTATAATTGTATATATACCTCCCGCTGTTCTTGATGAAGAGAATGGATTATTTTGTTTGAAAAAAGATTTATTATAGTCAGGAAACCAAAGTCAATGAGCAGTTTGTAAGACTGAAGAAGAGTCTAACATTTCTGGAATGAAGTTACTATTAGGAACTAAAGAAAAAGTCCCTTCATAGGAGTTGGGTCACTATGTAAATCCATGCATGGAAAAAAAAAAAGAAAAAGAAAAAGAAAAAAAAGAAAAAGCCCTGTTTGGCTGTTTTCCAGCAAGACTAAATGCAGTGTTTTATCTTGATAGATTACATACACCCCACCTTATTTTCTCCTGTATTGGCTAACCCTTGGTATATGTGTACATACCCACATATTTAAATCCCCACTATTTTTTTTATACTTGTCTTCTTGTGTAACACCAAATCAAATAGAGAGAAATACTAAAGAAGGACAGATATAACCTTTGAAAAATATCTGAGGGTCTCCAAGATTCAAAAGCTCAGCAGTCCAAGCAATAGCAACATTCAGATGACAACCGGGACTCTGGACTCTTTCAAGACGCTGGGGATTGGAAAGCCACTGTGACAGAAACAGTGCTACATCTTTTTTTATTTTTTTGAGACGGAGTCTCGCTCTGTCGCCCAGGCTGGAGTGCAGAGGCGCGATCTCGGCTCACTGCAGGCTTCGCCTCCCGGGTTCACGCCATTCTCCTGCCTCAGCCTCCTAAGTAGCTGGGACTACAGGTGCCCGCCACCACGCCCGGCTAATTTTTTGTGTTTTTAGTAGAGACGGGGTTTCACCGTATTAGCCAGGATGGTCTCGATCTCCTGACCTCGTGATCTGCCCGCCTCAGCCTCCCAAAGTGCTGGGATTACAGGCGTGAGCCACCGTACCCGGCCAAACAGTGCTACATCTTTAACAACTCCCATTTCTTTTTCTTCCTGGGAATGAAGCTGGACTACCTTTCTCAATTTCCCCTGTGGTTAGAAATTAGATTCGGTCATATGATTGAGTGCCAAAGACATATAAACAAAATTATATGGAATTCAAGCTTGGTGTTTAAATCCTGTAAATATTCCACTTATATTTTTTTCTCTGTCTCTGTCTCTCTGCTCCCCCTTCTCTTCTTCCTTCTCCTCTTCTTCTTCTTTTTCTCTCCTCTCTTCTCTCCCATCCTCCCCTCCCCTCCTCTTCTCTCTCTCTCTCTGTCTCTCTCCATCTGCTTGCTTCCCTCCCTCCCCCTTCTCTCTCCTCCCCCCGTCTTCCTCTCCCCTCAGGGGAAGACTATTCCCCTGAGGCACTACAGACCCTAGGTTCCTGAGTCATTTCATGGAACACGGCACCTGGATACTTGCACTGGACCATAACACAGGTAATTAAGAAAGGTTTCTTGTTTTAATGCAGTGAAATTGTTGGGTAGTTTGTTATAGTGGTTATCCTACCTTGACCACTTTAGAATGGTAGCTTCTGTTTTATAGACAACCTTATTAGCACTGGAAGTAATAAGCCACAAAGTAGTTTATTATTTTTCCACTACACTAAAATGTAGTTCCAGAAAAGGATAAATTCAATACATTATACTGTTCTCCTTAGCCACCCATGTTTCCTCTTTACATAATTGAGACCAAATCTCCGGGAACAGTGCACATCATGAAGAATGAAGAATCCCTTTCACACCAACACCCATTAAAAAATCTGATATAAATATAGATTTATATATTATAAATATATTATCTGGTATATACCTAATGTAAACATATATTTATATATTATCTCATGCATATTAATATAAACATATTCATATATTATATATCTCTATATAATAGTTATTAACAAAGTTTCTGGGAAAGTCAACTATTTATTCTGGAATATATGCTTGGGGCATGAAGGTGGGCCATGGGAATCGTGGAGGTTTATCATTAATAGATTAATAGTTTTGGCTTTCTCATGTCCCCTTTCTACCAGAGAGCAATAATAATGCCTGCAAGGCATGTGGTTTGACTGCTACATAGACATATTCATCCTTATAGCGATTATCTTAGTAGAGCTCCATTAGGAAATTAAAACTGGGTGCTGATAAAACTGAGTAATTCAATGTGCCAGTCTGTTCCTTGTGCTTGTAGGGACCATCTGCAGTTCTGCAAAACAAGTGTGGGTTGTGGACAGGTGCTCTTTGAATGCAGGCTCATTATCATTTAAGCTCCGCAGAGGCAAATCCCATAGAAGCCCTAGAAGAGCAGCAAGCAGGTGTGCTGGCGCCATCTCCAGAGAACTCTGATGCCTCCCTCCTGAGAGGCCCAGTAACAGGACCACCAGGATGACTGGCATAAGGGACAGGAGAGGTGGGTCAATGAGCAGTGAGTTATAGTCTCCCTAGCTGAGGTTTTAGAATGAGCTTGGGAGTTTTATTCTTACAAATATATTTTCTTCATCACTCTTTGAACTTAGTCCTAATGCAATGACGGGTAAGTGGTTGCCATCAGCAACTTCAAAATTAATTTACTCCTTTGGCGATGAAATCAATTCTTAGAAATTTTGCCAAAGTTAGCAGTGACTTATGTTCACCTGGTAGTCTTTAAATTGCCTGTTGTATTTTAATATTTTCTAATAGTGTTCATTGCATGTTTAAGCTTAACTAGAGATGTTTGTAACTTCTGTACATCACTTGATATAAAAAGGAACTGCTACATTTATCTGAAGCTATACAGTAGCAGAGGACAGGAAAGAATTCAGAATTTCTGACTCCTGTAATTGAATTCTATTTTTCTGGTGGTTTTTATTTTTAAAGTATTTTCACATACCCCATCTGTCCTGTATATTTCCATTTGCTCCTCTCAGTTCATTCTTTTCATTCATCTGGCTCTGTGTCCTGGAAGATTAATCTACAGGGCCATATTGTTGGGCTTCCTGGTCTTCTGGCTTCCTGTTGAGTTCAACCCCTAGGGAACACAGTAGGAGCAGAGAGAGGGAGTGCTTGCCAAAGACCCTACCTGTACCCCTCAGAGGAAGGCCAGAGCTCCTGGGAATGGCCCGTTCTCTCCACAAAGCTTTCTGTCTCTGTGTTACAGTACCCATTCTCTCCTCTCACCCGTCTGGATGGTAACATTTCACTACCACTTGGTCTTTCTACTCCTCTCCCCTTTGCAAATAGACTGCTTACTAAATTCTCCCCAAATTCCTCATTGGAGCATGCTATTTGTTCATCTCTGAGACCCTGACAGAGCAACCATCTCATTTGATGTTTATGCCGAATCTATAAAATATTTGTCCCATTTTGTAATGGAAGGATTTGATACATAGAAAATGAAATTACTTGCTTAAAGTCACACAGCTGGTCAGTCAGTGGTTAGAATTCAGCAATTTTGACTCTTATTACAATGTTCCTTCCACACCCTGACACTGCCTCCACTTTCTACAATTATTTAATCATGTTAACTACGTTATATTGAATAAATGTTTAACTCATTATCACCTTCTATTATCTTTTCCAAGTAAAGATCAGGCATTGAAAGGGAGCCCCTTTAAATTAAAATTATTGATGAAAATCATTGATGGTAATGTGGATGTTAATCATAGTAATTTTTAAAGACCGAATGTTTTCTAATGGCATAATTAACAGTCACAGGAGATCATCCCAATATGGGTCTCTTCAAATATCTCTATGTTCAGAGTTTAGTACATCAGGCATTCACAAACTTTGTATGTTATTAAAAAATAATTGGCCTAATAATTTGGTCACACATTTTGAATAAACAGTTGACTCATCCATCCTCAGAGAGAGGAAGGCTTGAGACTGCCAGTTCTTGGGTAGAAAATCATTATGGTTTGGACAGTAACATAACCGATTATAAAAACTACTAACTTGGCCAGTTGTACTTAGTGATCCGAATTAAGCAAAAATGATTTCCTCTTACACGTAATACCTCAGTACATGTTTTGTGAGGTTTTCTCATGTGATCATTCATCCAGAGATGTTTAGGTATTTTCCCCCTTCTAGGAGCAGATGTTCTGTGAATGGAGGCACACTTCTTCTAAGATCAATTCTTTTATTATTAAAGTGATAACTTGGCAACACAGCCAAATGTCTGATAAACGAATGGATGGAGTATTTCCCTTCTTTCATTACAGATCCATATAATACGTCAACATTTAAAAAAGTTAAATAAAGTGAAGTATTGGGAAAGGGAACATCTCACTCTGATAGATTTGAATTTGCTATTTCTGCTCTGTGACAAAACCCTGAGTTGATATGTGATCAGACATTTACAAGGCCCTGCATTCTACCTGGTAATGGCTATAGTGGTGTTGAGCTGCTGTGAGATGATTTACTGCAATTTGTCACTTTTTGAAACTGTTCCAAAATAGTCTGCTGACATGTACTAAAGAGCTTTCAATAAAATCCGAAATAGTTCATTTTTTTATGTCAACTGGAAACATTAAGTGGTACCTAAAATCATTTAAAGATTTATTGAAGTGATTGAAAACATTCTTTAGGCCGGGTGCGGTGACCCATGCCTGTAATCCTAGTGCTTTGGGAGGCTGAGGCGGGTGGATCACGAGGTCAGAAGGTCGAGACCATCCTGGCTAACATGATGAAACCCCGTCTCTACTAAAAATAGAAAAAATTAGCTGGGTGTGGTGGCACGCGCCTGTAATCCCAGCTACTCCGGAGGTTGAAGCACGAGAATCACTTGAACCTGGGAGGGGGAGGTTGCAGTGACGTGAGATTGTACTATTGCACTCCAACCTAGGCGACAGAGCGAGACTCTGTCAAAAAACAAACAAACAAACAAAAAACAAAAACAAACACAAAAACCCAAAAAACAAACAAACAAACAAAATCTTTAATGGCAATTTGGCATACCGCAAAAGCAATATTGTTATTAAAATTAGGAGAAAATATTTTAATTGCATCTTTAAAGTATTTATATCATGTTTTAGTCTAACTGCATCACCTCACCACTTGGGAAATGTATCAGTTTAAAGGTATTCTGAAAGTTATTAAGCAACTTTTAAACAAATATCAGCAAAGTAAAGGGGATAGTTGTGATTTGCATAATTTAATATCATTGAAAATCATAGGCCTGATAACTTAAATTCTAGAACATACACTAGTGTAATTAGGTTAAAGTTGTGGCTTATATACTGTTTTTCCTTAAGAATCTAAGTATGTGTTGCTAGGCAGCAAAATCTATCTTGGCCACTGTGAATCACTTTCTAATTTATTTAACATGCAACTTAGCTAAACCAGATAATTTATGTGTACTATTAAATATTACTAGAAGTTTCCTAAATTTATCTTTGGGACCACTGCTACTAGAAAGATCAGTATTTCATAGCAGGTTTAAGCTGCCATCAAAAAATTTCCTTTGATTATTGCTTATAATTATTCTCCTTAGGGGAAAAAAAGAAAAGTATATTGTATATCTTTAAGTTTAGATATTGAGTGTCCTTTTAATTTAGAATATATACTATGAGATTCTTTTTTTATTAGTCAAGAATACCTGGTCATCACAATGCTTTAATTTCTAAGTTAAATATAAGAATAAAAAGATATAAACTAAACTCTAACATACCCCCTCCTCACCCCCAACCCGAATTTTAAAAAGCTGCTAGGCCAATAATAACAGGAATCTGTTTTCTTGGAGTGGATCTAAGAAGGAAATAAGGTAAAGATAAAATTGCCCTCATGTCTAAGCTGGGCTACATGGAGTGAGCTGGCTTTGCCCTGTGTAGAAGCAAGGAGGGAACACAGTAGAATAGAACTGGATCTTGGTCAGAGATTGGGACTATGGCCATATACTTTTTCCTTGTTCAAATTCATAGGATGTTCTAGTACCTGACTACGATTCCCTCAGGCAAAAGATACCTGACAATGGAAACCTGCAACAATCAAATCACATCGAAGGAAAGGTAATTAACATAGGCACGTATCATCAACCAATGCAGCCCAAGGAAAAACACTCTAACTGAAGATGTCCTTCATGAAGAACGGGAAACAAGTGCCTGATGGCGCTTTGACCTAACTACTTCTTTGTCCACTCCACCCACTCAACAGACTCTCCTTGTAAAAATTACACTTATGAGTGTTCAGTGACATCAGACCACAAATGTGACTTCAAATGGGGTTTTGATACACATTTTCCACTGTGATAATTTCTCATGCTGAACAGAAGTGATCCAGAATATCATGCCTGTAGAATTCTATGATTTAGATTGTTTATTCGTTAGTACCTGTATTAAACACTGCTGTGCATGGCTAAAAGTAAATTTGTTATTTTTTTTTTAAATTTAATTCTACTGTCAAGCTCAATTACATATTTGGTTGTAGTAAGTCAGTGTTTCTCAAAGTGTGATTTATGGGCCAGATATGTCAAAATTTACATAGGGTATCATTTTAAATGCAAAATTTGGGGCCCTAGACTTCTTCAATTAGGGTCTCTGATGTGAGGCTCAGGAGTCTGCCTTTTAATAAAAACCCCAGGTTATTCTTATGTACACTAAAATTTGAGCACCAGTGTAATAGGATTTTGTGGTGGTTGTCGTTTTTCTTTTTTTGATTAGGGCTTATAGTCACCATGAACAGAGCCTCACAACTAATTTATTTCACAGCTCGAAGGGACCTTGGAGATTATTGCATTCAATAGCTACCTGATTAAATGAAGATGTGTTTGAAGTTCCAAAAATATTTGATTATTTCAATGAGAGGCCAGCCTTAGAGACTATTTCTGACATAAGTAAAAACAATAATAACTGTCATTTATAAGGGATCAGAAATATGCTTGGCAAGTAACATGACATTTTTACCAATAAAAATGACCCTCAGACATAGAAAGGTAATTTAGGAAACATAGTTTATAAATAGGTGGACCATTTCTACTAGTGCTTACTAACTCCAGGTGGCCTTTAGAACAACAATAACTAAACACACGTGGAGCAGCTGCAGTGATAATAAGGTCACCCAAAACATTTGACTTGACTTTTTAAAAACATTTTCTGATTGATTCTTAAAAATGGACAGATTTTGAAATTCTTGAACCCAGTGTGTGTATATAGATAGACTTTAACTACCACCAAATTGGAATAATAAGTTAGTACATTACAAGTATGAGATTAGACCTGTTAAAAGGAATGATTCTTATTTTATATGATTTGATCATATAAATTTCAAAACTGGTTTACCAATCTGAGAAGTAGTCTCAGATTCTGTTATTTGCAGAGTCCTAAAAACCTGAATAATGATAAATAATCCAATCCATTAATTGGCAAAACTATTCTTTGGAGTAATCACAGTGACTCTGGAACTCCCAATTTGTTCTTTTTGCAGTAAAAATGAGTTTCCTGGGGTGGGGGAGGGGATTAATACTGTTATTCTTTTTTTAAAATTTTTATTCTATTTATTTATTTATTTTAGTGTGAGGCCCTTATTTGGCACTTACCATAAATTTTACTACTGAAGCTTCTACTTATTCTCTCCTTCTAAGTCCAGTGTTGGCAAACTACACTAGGACCTGCCAGTTAAGAATGTTTTTTACATTTAAAAAGTGATTAAAAAATAATATGTTGTATCATGTAAAAATTATATGAAATTCAAATTTTAATGTCCATGAATAAAGCTTTCTTGGAACACAGCCATAATTATTTGTTTACCTATTGTCTATGGATGCTTTCAAGTTACAATTGCAGAGTTGAGCAATTGCTTGCCACAGAGACCATATGTCCCACAAAGTCTAAATTATTTACTATTTGGCCCTTTATAGAAAATGTTTGAGACCCTCCCCCCTCTCCCTGCTTCCCTTCTACAGTAGTGGTTTTCAAAGTCTTTTTCCCAAATCTGGAATATCAATCAGCATCACTAGGAAATTTCTTGCTAGAAACTTTGGCCTCACCCTCTATATTCAGAATCAGAAATTATGGAGGAAGGCAGTTGTGGAAGGTGGACTCAGCAATTGGTGCTTTACTAAGCTTTTCAGCTGAGTCTGATGCATGCTCCAGCTTGAGAACCACTATCACCTGGAGGGCTTGTTTTAGGAATGCAATAAGCAAAAATGATTTGAAAATATAGGTTAATACGCATATGGAAGCATTATGATTTATTTAGCTTTTGTATTGCATTTGCAAGAAAAACATACAAAAATAAAGAAGAAAATTACGAGCACTGGTGACTACCCTTTGTTTCCAGAGAGAAAGTTTTTGCTAGAGAAAAAAAAATTGCATGTTTTACTTTAGAGGTTACTTTAATTTTAATAGGCTTTATGAAATTACTTCAAAGTAGCTTTGATAAATCAGAAAAATGACATGGCAACCTTTTTTTGGAAGCTGAATCTCAGTGGTACTTAAGAAGGCTTATCACTTGGTTTATACAGAAGAAAATATAGTATGTTTCAATTATTTATATACAAAGTTAAAAACCCAACCTGTAATTATATGTGGAAATAAAATTGACTTCAGCAGACGGAAAGAAAAAAAATACAGCTTCTTTTTGTAGATGAGTCTAATCCTGATATCCTGTCATTTGATACATACGTGTCATGAACACCAAGTACTCACCCCCATATGGCTGACATTTTTGCATCTACTATTGAAGATGAGACTGCTTGGTCCCCATCAGAACCGAAACTGTGAGGACAGATGAGGATGAAAGGAGGCATAAAAACTAATCATTTAAAAATAAAATATAATAGAATAATCCACTCTAAGTGAAGCTATTGCTTTAGAAAGCCCACTAAAGAAAACCCTTTAATGGCTTTTAACATTCCACTCTAAGACAACGAATAGCTCAATGTACCATTGCATTCTCATTCAGTGATATTTATTTCAGGATATTAATGAATATTTAATTTTAGTACTATTTACCAGTACAATAAAACCTAAGGTAATAAAAACAAGAAAATGATATGGTTACAAAAGCTAGAACAAAATGGTGCAGTTACAAATAAAGATTGTAACTGAGAGGTATGGTCTTAGTAGGCTAATACTGCCTTTGGAGACAGTAAGCAAATCTGACAATGGATTTGGTTTTCCAAAGAGCATTGTAAACTTATAATGAAGAACTTTATTTTCAGTTAGGAGACATGGAAAGATTGTCTTGGAGTAGTTAAGAGTTCAGCTTCCGCAGTCTGACTGTTTAGGTTAGAGTCCTAGCATCACCTGGATAACCTTGAGCAAGGTATAAAATTATCGCTCACCTCAGGTTCATGTCTATCTATCAGATAAAGAATAATAACATTATCTACCTCGTAGCCTTACTGCAAGGATGACATGAGATAATCCACATAAGGCTTGTAGCCCTAAAACTTGGCACATAGTACACACTGAAAAGTGTTAGCTATTGTTATTGCCATTATTAATTATTTATCATATATTTGCAATGTAGTGGTGGTGGTAAGGCAACAAAGATATGCAGAGAAAGATGATTCAGTTTGCCAACAAACTCAGAGCTCTCTCATAAATCAGATCAGATTATTCACTAGACTTGCCTTCTGGATCAGCTTCGAAAGAATTTATTGGTGGTGTTCTGTAGAAGCCATTTTAGCAACGCATGCATGGTGACTCCACAAAGTTCACGGGTTCCCTGGCAATCAGCTTCAGCAACATGTTCATGAAAGACTGAAATCACCCAGATAAAAAAATCCCGGCTTCATCCCAATCCAAGTAGGTGATAACAACTTTCACTTTTCTATGAAAAGTAAAGTTATCTCACTTAGATTCTTTGCTAGAATTTCCAAATGAAAACATAGTCAATAAAGGCATTCTTGTCTTTATGCCTTGGCCTGTAAATTTCAAGTCTGTTTCCACCTTGGGGTGACAGGCATTTGGATGCTGGCAGCTGCCTGGCTGTACTGTTCCTTCATGAGGGCGTATCACTGAGGCAACTCCAATGCCTGACCTTAGTCTGCATGTATGAGATAGTCTTTCCATTTAAGTACCTGAGGACTTAGAGCTTAGTATAAAAAAGTAAACTCTGGTGAAACTAAGTACAGGTAGTCCAGTATACATGAAGACCCATTTTACAAACACAAGTGACAATATCTTGCTTTGGAAGAAGTGCTGCTGCCCATCACCTAAGCAATTGTCACCGGAGTCCCTAACATGTGACGCTATTGAAATTACAGATCCAGAAAGCTGCCTTGTTTTTTGAAAACTTAAAAGGTTGCTTTCTGTAATGCCTAGCCATAAGAAATTATTCTAACCATGGACATGTCTTGTTATGTGCTTTTTACCATCAGAGGGTGATATTAGTGTTCCAGGGAGTATGTATGAGAAACCACAATATAATCATTCTGCATCTTCCAAAAGTCTCAATATAAATGCAGCAAATATTTACTAAGGATACGTGCTTTGTGCTAGCGTAGGGTTGGGGGATATAGTGATAAATAGTATAAGCACAGTCTTTTACATCATGGAGCTTTCATCATCTAATTGAAACTATATATAAAAATACATAATATATTATATATAATATATATGTATGTAACATATTATATATATAATATATACTATATATATATGTATATATATATTTTTTTGAGATGGAGTCTTGCTATGTCACCCAGACTGGAGTGCAATGGTGTGATTTCAGCTCAGCAAACTCCACCTTCTGGGTTCAAGTGATTCTCCTGCCTCAGCCTCTGGGATTACAGGTGCCTGCCCCCATGCCCAGCTAATTTTTGTATTTTCAGTACAGACGGAGTTTCACTGGCCGGGCTGGTCTCAAACTCCTGACCTCAGGCCATCCACCTGCCTCAGCCTCCCAAAGGGCTGGGATTACAGGCATGAGCCAACAACCGGCCTGAAACTATATTTTTATATGAAAACAAACACTGGCAAATATGCTATGACATAAGGTAAAACTTTTGGATGCGTGTGTTTGATAAAACAAGTAAGTTCAGTTAAATTTTCCTTGGGGCGGCCTGTTGATGCCCCTCTGCCACAGAGATACTTTAGTGGAAGAAAAGCAAAGATTTTTGAGATAGAAGTACCTGCTGAATACACTTTGCACACAAGATCGTGGGAGTCCACATTTTAAATGTTACCACTAGACTAATACTTTACCTCTATGCAGCCATTATAATTAAATATTTCCTCCCAATTCAAAGATAATTACCATATATTTAGGGGTAGGAATGGCTCTAGCCTCCATTCCCATCATCCCCTTCAAACTTTCTTACTCTCTCTTGCACTTTTACCTCGGATCTCAATGAATTCTAGTCCTTCAGAATGACAATTGTTTTGGGGAGTCTGAGGTTTTTGTTTGGGCATCTCCTGCTCCTACTGTTTCTGCTTTCCCTCCCTCATGCCAGACTTAGCAAATCAAAAGCAATGATATTGCACATCCTTTAGCTTCCCAGGTTTCCCAGATCCCAGGAACTCAACCTGGGTCACAGATCACATAATCAGACACAGAGGTGTTGAGATCCCTATTTCTAAGTGGGAGTGGACTCCTGATGTCCCCCAGGCTGCAGGCAGGCGTCTGGGGATGGGTGCAAGACATCTCACAAATGAAATTGGACTTGAAGTTCTGAAGAATTGGGGATGAAAGAGTTAAACATGTTTAAATGAGATAGAATTTAAAAATTTGAAATGGTTGAATACCAACTAGGAAACTTTACGAAAAATATTCTCTATTTTTATTTTCTTTGAGAAACCCATCTTGGAAGATTAATTTTAGAGGCTATTGTAGACTACGTTTTTAATGCAAAATGCTCCGGTTGTTGATGAGACAGGTTTTGTTTTTCAGTTCATCAGCAAGATGGCACTTTGATAAATCACAGATTGCTCAGTGCCTAAAGAGGCACATTGTGACAGTTTTCATCACAATGTGATATAAAGAGGCAAATGAAGCAGTGCTCCAGATCACGCCTGGGCCAGTTAGGTGATAGCACCCACTGTGTCGTTAAGAACCAGGAGGGTCTGTCATTTCTAACAATGTGTTCATTGTTTTCTGACCTACCTGTGAGAGTAACTTTTTCAATCACTTAGGGACTGAATTTGATTTGGAGTTTGTTGCTTATAAATAGTTAGATGAGTGAGAGTAACACAGATAGCAGAGACCTCTGTAAAAAGAAATAAACTGGATTTTGTTCTTTTCTGTCTTGATAACTGAGTTGGAATCTTCTGTGTCATTGCATTGGGTACGAATGAAGAGCTGGTCACTGGTTCACCCTTGCACATTTGCATGCACTGGCTAATACTAACTAGCTCCATGTCTAATCCTTTAACCAAGCTTTCTGGCAAATCAGAGCCATGGCATTTTTCATAGGCATCTGATTTGAATGCACATGTAGAGACATTACCCGTGACTTCAAATTTCTCATCCTGATGCTCTGCTTATTTTCAGAATATATGTAATACAACATTCTGCCCTGTATACCCAGGTAAAATTTTCCCTTATTCCATCACTGAAAGTAAATTCTAAAGGAAATATTGAACACTTTCACTCCTTGATTTGTTTTTAAGTCTCAAGGGGGAAATTATGATGTTCACACACAGGTTAAAGCAGACTGTAGGATCCTAATAGTAATAACTATACAAGATTAATGGTAAAGACAAATATGTAAGAAAGAATTCAGGAAAAAAAGAAAACGAAGTTGTCAACCAACTTTATCATTGGGTGGTGGAGGTAGGGCTATAAATGGTGCCAAATGAATTGCTTGACTGTAATTTTCACCTTTCGAATATTGCTGTGGCGCTGTAGAGGCTAGTCCAAAAGAGGCTGATCTCATTTGTCACCCAGTGGTTTCTTTTGGGCCTTGGGCAAATGGGCCAACACTTATTTTCAAGGCTGACCTCATCTTTTCTGGCTGTTGAGTAGACTTTGCACTTCAGTTGATGAGGGCATATGAGAAATGAACCAGATAAATTGCTTGATTAGAATCTTCGTGAACCAGAACCGATGAGAGGGGCACACATTTACTTGTGAATTAAGAATCAAATGTATCTTTCTTTGGCCCAGTACTGACACACATTTACATCCTCCCCACTGTGTGTTGTTCACTAGTAGCAAACCCTGGCTATTCCTTATTTTAGAATTTTCTCACCACTATGTGCTGCTTGACTATTGGCCATGCTTCTCTTGCAATTCTCATGTTAGTCTATAAATGACATTCTGGTTAGGAGGGGCACTGACCCTCCTCCTGTGCGTTCACGAAATGTGAAGGAGGGAATTAAACCTGTAACTCAGCCAGTTTTAAAGTAAGCTTGATTATTATTTCTTCAATAGCATCAGCTTCTATAACCATAATAAACAAACAAACAAGTAAATATAAATTCTCTTTAACTGCTAAATGGATGGAAAATAGACTGACTCTTTAGTTTTTAAAAGGTAGTTATAGTTAGCCAAGATGGAATCAGCTTACATTCTTGGCGCTGTATACGATATAACAGGTCTGTGTGTGCCTGAGTATATGTGTGTGAGGATGTATGTTCTGAGAGTGTTAAGGTGATAAATAACATATTTTTTCTTCTCAAATGTGACATGGCTTGGAATTAAACATTTACATAAAAATTATGAAATTTATAAAATGTGAGAGGTCAATTTCTCCATATGCCATAAGGTACAGAAATTAATGTCAATTTTGTCAGTTATGTGTGATTTATTTAACTTATTAATGGTAAACAGTGATATTAACTATACATTTAAAGATGTGTATTTTGTTAACTTTAGCTAAAGTGTCTAGGTCTCTACAAAACACGTCTTTCTAATATGAAATATATTTGGTAAATAGGTGGCAAATTTCAAATACACTTTTCTAGCCAATTACCTTGTAGAAAAATCAACATTCATCTACTGCAGTGTTCCACAGCCAAAATCCAATAAAATTTGGGGTAGAGGAGACATAAATTTGTCTCCTCAGACCAGACCTTCTGATATTTTAAGGGACCAGGAACTATTAAAAAGTATCTGATTTAGGTTGTTAACTAGTGAGGCAGATGGTGTTATTGTTCTGCAAATATTCACTACTCCCACTTGCATTCTTCCTGGAGGAATATACTTCCCTGCCCTGTTGACATTGAAGATAGCATCACGTATTTTGGCCAGTGGAATGTGAGTAGACGTGATCTAGTAACATCCAAGGAGAATTTTGTGGTGCTTGATTTGTCTGCTTGCACTCTTACTGTCATCCATGAGAAATGTATGATCCTGGGAGCTGCAACTCCGTCAGACCAAAAGAAAGACCTAAACCTGATGTTGAGCCTGGAACATTAATGCCACAATGAATTACAGACTTGTGAATGAGAAAAAAATATGTTTATAGTAATAAGCTGAGATTCTGTGGTTGTTTGTTACCGTCTTAGTCTGTTTAGGTTGCCATAACAAAATACCACGGAGTTGGTGGCTTAAACCACAAGCATTTGTTTTCTCACACTTTTTGAGGTAGAAAAGTCCAAGAGAAAGTTGCTGAAAGGGTTTGGTTCCTGGTGTAGGCTCTCTTTCTGGCTTGCAGAGGGCTGTCTTCTCTCTGTGTCTTCCCAAAACAGGGAGAGAGAGAGAGCAAGTGCTAGCCTTCTGGTCTCTTTTCTCATAAAGATATGAACCTATTGAATCAAGGCTCCACCATTACGACCTCATTTAATCCAAATTATTTATATAAAGGACTTATCCCCAAATTATTACATGAATTTTAATGGGACCAAAACTTCAGTCGATAGTAGTTATAAAACATTATTGTAGCATAACCTCACTGATATATCGTTGTTACTAAAGCCTGTGTCCCAGCTCTTTGCATCTGCTCTCTCCTAAAACAGCAACAGGTAAGCCAGAAAAGTAAAAGAAGAGTGTAATCTGGTGTAGGCAATGAAAATGACAAAAACCACTTTTTGTTTATGTGGCCTTTTAAAAAAATCATTTCCTATATTTTATACCAATGTAAAGATTTTTAACCAGTAAAAAATATTATTAGGTAGAATTTTTTAATTTGCTATAGTTGAATGCATGTAATTACTTCTGAAAGAGTTAACTCTTATTTTCTGTCTTGTGTGCTTGTGTCTGGTTGCATTATGAGATTCATAGGTTTTCTTAAAGTCTGCTTTGTTAGATACAATATGATGAATGCAGAAATGCAATAGGGTGGTATTAAAATCAAATAACGAGATCAAGAGACACAGAAGCAATATCAGTTTCTTATGTAGTACGAAATGACGATTGCCTTAGTATATAGGCCTGCTCTAAGATGCATTGAAGGGTAACATTCTCTTTTGATTCTAGAAGTGGGTAATGTATCGGCCTTTTCATTTTTTAAATGTAGAAATCTAGTAACTAGATTTTTTAAATTAAAATTATGTGTTCCTGTCACAGATTGTCTTCTTTGTACATGAATTGGATCTCAATATTATGAATAAGCATATCATACAAACAAGGCTATCTTAATAGGAACAGCAATCCTAGAATACAAGAGTAAGAAATGCTTACACTTGAGGGAGGGGTAGGCGAAGGCAAAACAAGAGATCCTGGGATTAATGTTCTCAGAAATAAGTCTCTAGCCTACAAAGGTGGCACATATTGGTAACCAGAATTATAAGATTGATTGATGTGCCTGAGAAATCAACCTGGAGTCATAATCAACATTGCTTATTAGTGCAAGACCTCTCAGTATGATGGTAAATTTCTAGCCCAGATGCTCTAAGTGAAGACATTACTCATTGGGCTACATTCATCCTTGGAAGAAATCTTTTTTTGTTTGCTTGTTTCACATAAAGGTGCTGCCTGGGCCAATGTTTGCTTGGATTCATGGATAATCATCGACCTACATCAAATGCCTGATGTGAGGGTAAGAGGTAACACTGCAGTCCTGGTGATATCACTTGGACATAGTTTGAAAACCACTAATTTATCTTAGTAATTATAATTTGAACTGATGGGTTCAGAACACTCTAAAATTTGAACATTTGCTTTAAGTACAATAATGCAGGCACTCATTTCCCTGGAGCCTGCTTTATTTCTTTCCTGCTTTAGCTTCCTTGAACAGAGACTTCAGAATTACTACTCCCTTAGACCTTGTAACTTGGTCATTCTTACTAATAGGCTATAACAGCTCCCCTACAAATCAATGAGGGTTATGCTTTCAGCCTTAGACCTCTGTTTCAGAGCAGGGCAATATTTATTCACAGTTCTTGTTTATTTAGGTGTAAAACAGATATACAGGCACTATGAGAATCAAATATTTTGTTTTAAAAGGGTTCTGAGAAAAGCAATCTTTGTGCCAGATATGTACATATCTTGACATACTTTTTGTAAACTACCATGAATATATTTTCAAGCTTTAAAACTTATTTCCTAATAAAATACCTTTAGTCAATGTTATAATACATAATAGCTGACTTCCTAATTTTTCATGTAAAATTCCCATTTTCTACCTTCCAAGATATTTATATGTATGTTAATGTTTTTATGGTACATTATCCCCAAAATTTAAAAAGTAAGCAGATTCATACTTGCTCACCTTTTTATAAATATATAAAAAGTATTTATAAAAATACTTTTATATAAGTATATATTAATTAAAAAGCACCTCAAACTTAAAAATAAATTTATTTTTGAAAACTATTAACAGCCAACACATAATTGATTAGACCAAGTTGTCTATAGGAATACCAAGAGATTATGTATAAATATATGGCTGAGGAGATTTGGGGACATCCATTTCAATGATTCACAGCGGCGTCATGTATTTTTGCTCACATCAAAATCAAAATCAGGTATTCCAGATTAGATCATCCTCTATGTGGACCCAGACTCTTTCCATCTTAGGGTTCTACCTTGTCAAAAATCTTAGAGTCTTCTCCATTTAGCTGATGGATCAGGGAAGAAACCACAGGAAAACAACACCTGATTTTTGATCAATTTGGCTGGTAAGTGTTACTCATCGTTTCTATTCCTATTCCACTGGTGTAAATAAGTAATGAGGCCTCTCTAGATTCAAAGGAGATAAGAAATATGTAATTCCTGCCTAGGCAGTTGCTTCTTAGGAACAATTCCACACTCTCATTCTCTGCTACCAAGTGGTTATCCAAAGCCTCTCCACATATTTTCAGTTTTTTGGACAAGAATAAATAGCAATGATATTTATCTATTAATCTCCACTCTGTGACAGCATAAAGAATTAGTGGCCGGAAACACAACATATGAAAACTTAAGGAATGTAGCAAAAGTAGCCCAAAGACAGAAATTTATAGCAATAAATGCCTATGTCAGAAAAGACGAAATATCTCAAATAAACAATATAATGTTACACCTTAAATAACTAGAAAAAGAAGAACAAACCAAACCAAAGTTAGCAGAAGAAAGGAAATAACAAAGTTCAGAGCAGAGATAAATGAAACAGAGACCAGAAAAAAATTACAAAAAATTAACAAAACTAAGAGATAGCTTTTTGAAAAGACAAACAAAATCAATAAACTCTTAGATTAATGAGGAAAAAAGAATACTCAAATAAATAAAATAAAAAATAAATGTCATTACAACTGATAAGACAGAAATTCAAAGGATCATAAGAAACTACTATGAACAACTGTATGTCAAAAAATTGGACAGTCTAGAAGAAATGGATAAATTCCTAGACACATATAACCTACCAAGATTGAATTATGAATCAACAGAAATTCTAAAGAGACCAAAAATGAGGAAGGAGATTGAATCAATATTCAAACTTCTCCCATCAAAGAGAAGCCCAGGACCAGATGGCTTCACCACTGAATTATAACCAACATTTATTTTCTTCCCTTTTCTTTTTTTTTCTTTCAACTTTTATTTAAAGTTCTGGTGTACACGTCCAGGATGTGCAGGTTTGTTACGTAGGTAAACGTGTGCCACGGTGGTTTACTACACAGATCATCCCATTACCCAGGTATTAAGCCCAATATCCACTAGCTATTCTTCCTGATGCTCTCCCTTGCCTGACCCCCCAACAGTTGCCCACAGTGTGTTATTTCCCACTGTGTGTTCATGTGTTCTCATCAGTCAGCTCCTACTTATAAGTAAGAACATGTAGTGTTCGGTTTTCTGTTCCTGCGTGTTTGCTAAGAATAATGGCTTCCAAGTCCATCCATGTCCCTGCAAAGGACGTGATCTCGTTCCTTTTCATGGCTGCATAGTATTCCATGGTATATATGTACCATATTTTCTTTATCCAGTCTATCATTGATGGGCATATAGGTTGATTCCACGACTTTGCTGTTGTAAATAGTGCTGCAGTGAACATACATGTATCTTTATAACAGAATTATTTATATTCCTGGCTATGTGGCTATATACCTGTAGTGGGATTGCTGGGTCAACTGGTATTTCTGCTTCTAAGTCTTTGAGGAATTGCCACACTGTCGTCAACAATCTACTAAACATTTAAAGAAGAACTAGACTCACGCCTGTAATCCCAGCACTTTGGGATGCTGAGGCAGGCAGATCACGAGGTCAGGAGTTCGAGATCAGCCTGGCCAACATGCTAAAACTCCGTCTCTACTAAAAATACAAAAATTAGCTGGGCATGGTGGCACGTGCCTGTAATCCCAGCTTCTCAGGAGGCTGAGGCGGGAGAATTGCTTGAACCCGGTAGGCAGAGGTTGTAGTGAGCCGAGATCGTGGCACTGCACTCCAGCCTGGGTGACAGAGTGAGACTCCATCTCGAAAATAAATAAATAAATAAATAAAAATAATAAAGAAGAACTAATTACATTTCTTCTCAAACCCTTTCAGAAAAATTGAAGTGGAGGGAATACTTGTAATTTCATTTTATAAGGCCAGCATTACCACAGTATCAAAGTCAGAAAAAGATACTACAAAAGAAAAAATTACAGGCTAATATTGCAGATGAATATACATGCAAAAATACTCAGTAAAATATTAGCAAACTGAATTCAACAACACATTAAAATAATCATTCACCATGATCAAGTGGGATTTATCCTTGGGACGCAAGTATGGTTCAACATAATGCAAATCAATAAATCTGATACACCACAGTAACAAAACAAAGAACAAAAACCAAATTATCGTCCCAAAACATGTGGAAAAAGCATTTGACAAAATTCAACACTCTTTCATAATAAAATCTAATAGACAAAGTATAGAAGGAATGTATCTCAACACAATAAAGGCTATGCATGATAAATCTATATCTAACTTCACACTCAATAGTGAAAACTTGAAAGCTTTTCCTTTAAGGTCAGGGACAAGACAAGAATGCCAAATTTGACAACTTCCTTTCAACACAGTACAAATTCCTAGCCATAGTAATTAGGTAAGGGAAAGAAACAAAAGAACTACCTAATAGAAAATGAAGAAGTGAAATAGGAAATGAAGAATAGAAAAAATAGAGAAATAGCAAATAGAGACTATCTGCTGAAGACTCCACCATAAAGCTGTTAGAACTCAAACAAACTTATCATTGTTGCAGGATATAAAATCAATATCCACAAATTAGTAGTGTTTCTATATATGTATAATGAACTATCCAAAAAAATTATAGAAAACAATCTCATTTATAATAGCAACAACAACAAAATATGTAGGTGTAAATTTAATCATGGAGGTGAAAGATCTGTATACTGAAAACTAGAAAACACTGAAGAAAGAAAGAAAAGAAAATACAAATCAGTAGAATAATATCCTGTGTTCATGGATTGGAAGAACTAATATTGTTAAAATGCCATTACTACTTCAAGTGATCGACAGGTTGAATACAATCCCTAACCAAAATTCAATGTCATTTTTCACAGAGATAAAAAACCTCCGAAATCCTTAAATTCGTATGGAACTACAAAAGGCCCTAACAGTGAAAACTATTTGAGCAAAAAGAATAAAATAGGAGGCTCACGCTTCATGATTTCAAAATACAAAGTGATTGTAATAAAAATCTCATGGCACTGGCATAGAAACAGACACATCGACCAACAAAACCAGAGAGAAAGCCCAGAAATAAATCTAGTCATTTGTGGGCAATTGATTTTTGACAAAGGTGCCAAGAACACACAATAGAGAAGGGATAGCCTTTTCCATCAGTGGTGTTGGAAAACTGGTTATCCACATGCAGAAGAATGACACTGTATCTTTATCTCACATCATTATAAAAATTAACTCAAAATGGATTAAAGATTTAAATGGAAGATCTACAACTATAAATCTTAGAGAGGAAAAGCTCTGCAACATTGTTCTGGGCAATTATTTTGTGGATATTATTCCTAAAGCACAAGATAAAAAAGCAAAACATAGACAAATGGGATTGTATCAAACTAAAATGCTTCTGCATAGCAAAGGAAATTATTAACAAAGTGAAGAGACAGCTCACAGAACAGGAGAAAATATTTGCAAACCATTAATGTGATAAGCCAAAAATATATAAGGAACTCAAACAACTCAATAGCAAGAAAACAAATAACCTGATTAAAAATGGGCAAAGGATTTGAAAACACATTTTTCAGAAGAAGACAAACAAATAGCCAACAGGTACATTTAAAAAATGCTCAGTATCACTAATCATTAGGGTAATGAAAATTAAAACCAAATGAGATACCACCTCACACCTGTTAGAATGGCTTCTATGAAAAAGATGAAAGATAAGTGTTGGTGAGGATGTGGTGAAAAGTGAACACTTGTCTTTTGCTGGTGGAAATATAAATTAGTACTGCCATTATAGAAAATGGCATGGAGATTCCTCAAAAAAACTAAAAATAGAACTACCATATGATTCAGCAAACCCACTTCTGGATATACATTCAAAGGAATTAAAACAATATGTTAAAGGGATATCTGCATGCTCATGTGCATTGCAGCATTATTCACAATAGCCAAGATATGGAATCAATCTGTGTCCATCAACAGATAATAGATTAAACCAATGTTGTATACACACACAATGAAATACTATTTGGCTCGAAAAGAAGGAAATTCTGTCATTTTCAACAACATGAATGAACCTGGAGGATATTATGCTAAGTGAAATAAACCAGGCACAGAAAGACAAATACCACATGATCTCACTTACGTTACTTATATGCAGAATCTAACAAATTTGATCTCATAGAAGTAGAGAGTAAAACAATGATTACCAGAGCCTGGGATATGGGGCAGGGGGTGGCAGGTGGGATGGAATGAAGTGCTGTTGGTCAAGGGATACAAAGTTTTGGTTAGACAGGAGGAATATATTAAGCTCTATTGCACGGCAGGGTGACTATAGTCAATCATGATGTATTGTATATTTCAGAATAAGTAAATTTCAAATGTCTCACCACAAAGAATGATAAGTGGAGGTGATAGGTATGTTAATTAGCTTGATTTGATTATCTCACATTGTATATGTATATCAAAACATCATATAGTGACCTGTAGTGTAGACAATTATGATTTGTCAATTGAAAGTAATATTAATAAGAAAAGAATTAGTGGTCAGGAGATAAAATTGGAGATCTAACTCTTCTTTTTCATATATGGGGCACTTTTTCTTTTACTCATATTTTATTTGCTAAAGTGATCACAAGATGCTGAGAAGAGAAAGTGTGGTCTCATTTGGGCTCCAAGCCAGGCAGTTTAGCAATAGAGATTTAATTTTTAAATTTAATTCTAATTAAAATGAGAAGCTAGAGATGTAACAAAATTCAAGAAGTGAAAACTACAAAATAAAATACAATCCTGGGGGAGCAAATATTTAAAGATTCATGGAGCCTCCTGAATGAGAATACTGGTATTCCTTGTTTCTCCTTATGTCTCCTAGTGATAAAGATACAGCTGTACATTGACATCTGTGGCAAAATTATAGATACATTTAAAATATGTTTTAGATAAATACATACATACTTGTGTATCATACTATATTTTTATCTCTAAATGGTAAACTATGTAACACATCATATAACAGTAATGGTAACATTACTGCATAAGCTACACATATATATATATATTTAAATTGACTAAATGTTTAAATTTTCCTGTACCTTTATGAAATGGGACTCAGCACATTAATATATAGTACAGCCTTCAAATGCATTTCATTTTAAGATTTTTTTTTGTCTTGAATCCTAAAAGAGTAGCAGGATAACATGATAAGGGATTCAGCATTTTCAAAGAAGAAAACAACAAGGCCCAGCATTTAGAAGATCTTCAACTATTTTCTTGCCAATATCTGACTATTCTATGCCATATTGGCCTTTGTCCATTTGTGCCTAGAAAATTCCTCACAGTGAGATTTTTTCTTATGCATGCACCACGGTTGCTAAACTTTGCTAAACACTGCTACAAAATGTCGCAAAAAGTGGCAGATTGGTGCCAATATACATTCATGATTGCTAATCTTACCCAGGCTCTCAACAGTGCCTGAGAATCCTATTAGCTTTCCATTACCCAACTTAATTCCCATTCCTGACAGATACTATTTCACATCTTCCTAACTCTTCTCAAATCTTCAGTTCATCCATCTTCCCCCTCAGATCCAGAAGATTACTTAAAACCACTGGGGGAAAACTTTTGGACTTCTCACTGCCCAAGTAACAACCAGCATACACCTTTTCCTTTGTCCTTTTGGGACAAGGAAGAGTTGACTTTCCATCTACATAATTGATCTACCATGTATCTGCAGTCTGAAATCCTTCCCCGCTGGATTCCTTAGAAATACTGTAAATTCTCCACCCTCCACCTGCTTGCATCTCCATTTTCTCCACTTCTGGAGGAATCTCATTAGAATTTCATCATGCATGGTTTTTCAGCATTAAAAAATAGAAAATAAAAAGTAAACAACCTTCAACACAAACTACCTCTGCAAGTACTATTTTTTTTCTCTCCTTACCCCTTTACGGTCAAAATTCTTGAAGGCATTATCTATATTTTCTGTCCCAGTTCTTCAACTCATTCAACATTATTATTTTTCCTGCAATATGCCAACAACCCTGCTTTCACACAGGTTATCCAAGCTTACATGTTGCGAAATGTAGACACTCTTTAGCTAGCTTGCTTAACTTCTTGGGAACATTTGATACTGTTGGCAACTTTTCTTTAGGACTCTCTATTTTCTTACCTCCTGGGGTACAACTCTCTTCTGGTGTGCCTCCTTCCGCACCAGCTTCTCTTTTTTTCCTCTGAACACTCCTTTTATCTACTCTCACTTAAAATATTGATGACCTTCAAGGCTCAGTTCTAGTCTTTTTCTCCACCTCACTCTAGGACTTATTAAATGAATCCAAGAAACCTTTGGTAAGTTTGTCCACTCCCAAAGCTTCAAAATCTGTAAACTGATGACTCCCAAATCTCTTCCTTCAGTACAGACATCTTTCCTGGGATACTTGCCTAGATATTTAGCTGGTTACTAAAACTGCACATGGATGTTTCATAGGCCCCTGAAGTCTAACCCACTCAAAGATGCACTCATGATCTCCTTATCTTTCTTCCACACTTCCACACTTAATTGTCCTCTTGTGTTCTCTATCTCAGAAATTCCACTACCATCTACCCAGGACACCTCTCACATCTAGTAAATCATCAAGTAATTTAGTTTCTATTGTCAAATTGCTTTCTGGATATTTCTCTTTATTGCTACAGCCACCACCGAGATCCAAGCCAATACTATGTATTTTTTCTCCTCATTGGTTGCCATCTCTTCCTAATTGGCCTTTTTTCCCGTCAAAATCTCTCTCCTGTAATCTATTGTCTACAGTGCACCTATGAGAATACAGTTATGATATTCTCCCACTTAAAATCTTTTAAAGCTGTCCTACTGCCCTTATGATCAAGATCAAACCTCTAACCATTTAATAACTGACTCGACCATTCATGATCTGACCTCAGTACGTTAAGCAGCCTCATAACTTGACAGCATCCTCAAATTCTGTTGTCCAGATATACTGAACTCCCACCAGTTCTTCAAAGCAGAACTTGCTCTTGTCCACATCTAAGGCTTCACATATTTTTGTTTTCTCTCAGATTCACTTTAGCACCCCTCTTTTCTATTTGATCCTACCCATCCTTCAAGTCTTATGTTACATATCACTTCCTCAGAAAGCCCTCCTGAAATTTTTGGATTAGTTTCAGTAAATCCTACTGAAATATGACTTCAACATTTATGTACTTCCCTTATCATAACACCTATCATGCTTTATTATTATGCCTATTATATTAGTTTCCTATTTCTTCTGTAACAAATTACACCAATTTTTTTTTGCTTAAAACAGCACAAATTTATTATACTTCTGGAGCTCAAAAGTCTAAAATAGGCTAGCAGTGCCATTTTCCTTCTGGAGGATATACAAGATAATCAATTTCTTTATCTTTTACAGCTTTTAGAGGCTACCTGTATTCTTTGGCTTGTGGTCCCTTCCTCTATCTTCAAAGTCAGCAGGCCATCTTTAACTTTCTGTCTTCTGACCTCTGCTTCTATTTTCACATTGCCTTCCCACATTGATTTTCTGCCTCTCTCGTTCTCTTATAAGGATCTTGGTGATTACATTGGGCCCACCTAGGTAATCCAAGGTACTCTTCTGATCACGATATCTTTAACTTAATCACGTCTGCAAAAAACTTTTTGACACAGAAGCTAACATATTGACAGGTTTCAGTAATTAGGATGTAGATATCTTGTAGGAGGGTATTATACTGCCTTTCATACTTGTTTAAATGTTTGTTTTTCCTATTACAGAGCATAAAATCTTTTCTCTTCCCTTCTTTATTCTTAGTGCCTAGCACAGTGCCTTACCTCTGAGAGGTGTTCAATACATATTTATTATGAAGAAATACAAAGTCCTAGACTGATTTCTTTTTTAAAAAATTTCTCCAAGGCTAGACACGGTACCTCATGCCAGTAATCCCAGCACTTTGGGAGGCTGAGGCGGGTGGATCTCCTGAGGTCAGGAGTTCGTGACCAGCCTGGCCAACATGATGAAATCCTGTCTCTACTAAAACAAAACAAAACAAAACAAAACAAAACAAAACAAACAAACCAACCAGAAATTAGCCGGGTGTGGTGGTGCACACCTGTAATCCCAGCTACTTGGGAGGCTGACGTAGGAGAATCGCTTAACCCAAGAGGCAGAGGTTGCAGTGAGCTGAGATCATGCCACTGCACTCCAGCCTGGGTGACAGAGCAAGACTCCATCTCAAAAAAAAAAAAAAAAAATTCCAATAAACATTTACTGGTTTCTTTTTAAAAAAATTCATTCAATAAACATTTATTGAACTTCATCTACCTGAAAGACATATTTTTGATGCTTAGATTATAGATGTGAATAAGAATTGTTCTTTGAATCCATAGTCTAATAATGAAGACACATATATAGAAAGATAAATACATTAAGGTCTTTTTGTTGTTTGAAATAAGTATGCACATTGAGAGTGAGGAACCAAAAGATGAATGTCAGGACTTCTTAATTTTGAGGAGAGAAGGAAGAGTTTTTATGTAAGGCATTGCCTTCAAAGAGAATTAGGTCTTCTCCGGAGAAACAAAGTCAGATGAGAAATAGCATTCTATGCAGATGAAGGTAGGTGAAGACATAATTAGAGCGGCAAAGCCATTTGGTTGATTTACAGAACTGCAAGAAGTCAGAAATGGCTGCTGTTTGGGATAGATAGAAACTATATTATAGTAAGATTGGAAAGATAAAAAAGAGCCAGCTCTAAAGGGTCTGTACATCATACTATTAAGGTTTGAATTTAGTTCATAAATAATGTGAGACCACTAATAATTTCAAGGATGTCAACTATGACTCTGTACATATTAAAATAACTTACTGAGATAGCAATGTGTACATTTCACGGGGGGCCACATATTAACAAGGAGATAAGTTAGAAGTCAATAACCAATAGTCAATGTGTGATATTAAAGGATGTCTTCTTGATCTTTGAAGGCTAAACTTGATTTCAATGTATATCAAAAGATACTGATGTAGATATAAAGACATAGATATAGCAACATATGTAATACTGAATGAGTACAAATTATAAAATGTAATAATAAAACAACCAACTATAATCACAAACCAGCCTTTTCCCCTTAAGTGTATCACCCTTTTAATTTTTTTCTCAGTGACTAGCTCTTATCCTGTCCCAAATATAAATTTAGTCAGGTACAATTGTCTGTCCCTATGTAGGTATTAAAAAAACCTGTGGTGACTTTAACTCACAAAACATAGTTTCAATCCACTAATTAAAATGTCTCAGCTCATGAATATATCAAGACTCTGGGTTTGATTTTTTTTTTTTTTTTTAAGTTGAATCACTTCTCCATCTACCTTACTGTGGTTTCTGATCCTTTCAATGTTGTAATAGTAGGAATAGAGGAGAGTTGAGAGAAACAAAAATATATTGCTTAGCTGAATCTGTGGAGATGACATATTCCTATACTCTCTGGACTTGGTGGATGTCCAAAACTGACTCTCTTGTGTTTATTCCTGGAATTTTGGGAGAAACTCCTTCCACTCCATCCACAGAGAGCTCTCTTCTGCAGCCTCTAGGCTCCTAGCATTTGGCCTCTACTTTCTGTTAAGGTCATCTCATTCCCCCAGCTGACCTGTGTGCAAAGTTTAAGACCACCTAATTGCATATTCCTCTCCTGTGTGGCTCAAAAGTGGTCCCAAGGAAATGCTTATGAATCCATCATCCCTACAAAACCTAGAGATGCCATTAACATTCTCTAATCAGCCCTCTCCTCTGCTGCAACAGACCATGTTAGCCAGTTTCTTGCTTGTAGACTACTTAGGCTTAGCTCAGATATTAGTTCACTACAACCTGTAATTTGAAAGGACACAGATTATGATCCCTCACTGGTCTTCTTAAAAACACCTTGGAGTTTGTGTGTAAGTTTGGAGAAGGAGGGCATTCACAAAATACCTCTCCCCAAAAGAAATCTTCAAAACCCCTCCTTCCAAAAAACTCCAAAAAAAGACAACCTACCTATAGTTGTAAGAGGTTTAAGACTACCTATAGTTATAAGAGTCATATAGCTGGACCAAAGCCACCACCTATTTTTGAAAACTTTCATAACAACTTAGAACCTCACTTTGCAATATACGCTCTTAGCTGAGTTAAGTAAGTATTAAGTACTGTGTGCACAGTACTAAGTCTTATCTTAATCATTTCAACTCAGTGAGAAAAAAAACTAAAGCCCAGAGAGGTTAAAGAATATGTTAAAGGTCACATTGTTGACAAATAGTGGACCTGATATTCAAAACCAGGGAGCCCAAATCAGAACTATGTCTCCTCATATCATAACCTTTATTGTATTATATTTGTTTAAATGCCCGTCATCCCTATCAGATTGCATTTTTTTTCTCTTCACAATTACCATAGTAATGCTCTTCCATTTCTTAACACTGATGTGCTTCTTATTTTTTTAAATGCAATGCAAGATGGTGTATTGCTTCTCATGCTATATGGGGTTTGTGTGTGTGTGTGTGTGTGTGTGTGTGTGTGATTTTTCGATTTGCTAATGATGACAAAATAAGCAGCACAGCCAACTTTGGAATAAAAATGATTCCAAAACATAAATATTATTGCTATAATATCGTGTTAAAAAAATAAGGAGGGCTGGGCATGGTGGCTCACAACTGTAATCTTAGTACTTTGGGAGACCGAGGTGGGTGGATCACCTGAGATCGGGAGTTCGAGACCAGCCTGATCAACATGGAGAAACTCTGTCCCTACTAAAAATACAAAAATTAGCCGGGTATGGTGGTGCGTGCCTGTAATCCCAGCTACTCGAGAGGCTGAGGCACAAGAATCGCTTGATCCAAGGAGGCAGAGGTTGTGGTGAGCCGAGATCGCGCCATTGCACTCCAGCCTAGGCAATGAGAGCAAAACTCTGTCTTAAATAAATAAATAAATAAGGAGAAAAGTTCATTGTTTTCATCTACAAAAAAGCAAAATTAATTTTTATCCTGAATTTTAAACTCATTTTACAGCCACTGCATGAAACATGCTATTTTATTTACTGGAGAGACATTGCACTGACAATGCCCACAGTCTGATCATCCTTAGAAAGCTCCCTCTCACATGCCAACGAAAACCTATCTTTCTGTGGGGTCCTTCTGTGGAGTAGATTTTTATCTTAAAATCAGATAACTGATTTTTTTTTCCACCTTTGCTTTATTCTGAAGGTTTGGCAAACTACCGCCCATGGGCTAAATCTGGTCCACTGCCTCTTTTCTAAATAAAGTTTTATTGGAACACAGCCATGCCTATTCACTTATGTTTTGTGTACGGTTCTTTTCTTGCTAAAATGGCAGAATTCACTAGTTGCCAAAGAGTTTGTATAGGCCACAAGGTCTATGGCCCTTTACAGTAAAAGGTTACTTACCCTTCTTCTAGACAGTTTAGATTGACATAAAATCCTCTACAGAATACCACTGCAACCATGTTGCCCTCCTTCAATTTACTTTTTTAACATTTATTCATTTTTTTATCTTGCCTTTTTAACCTTGTTTCATTTTTATTGCCTTTTCCATATATTTTTAGCAATTTTAAATTTATTTTATTTTAGTATATTGCATGCATCTTCAAAGCTACCCTAATTTCTTTTTGAAATACAATGGCATAAAACTGAAATTAAAATATCCCATGGTGTTATATACATTTTGCAGGTTGTCTCAAAATGTCTTTTGTTTAAAATACAGTTGAATATAAAGAAATCAAACAAGTAAGCAGCGAAACTTATAGTTTAAAAAACGATTTTTTTGCACTGACTTGACTATTTATCTTGTTTTGAGACACCACCACATATTTGTTCTCTAACTTTGTAAGCTTTAGAAGCACTAGCTAATGTTTTTAATGAAAAAAAGCCAACAGACAAAAATAATAATAATTCTATTTTCAACTTCATGCTTTATTTTCTGAGAGGAAGAAAGCAGTTTATTTGTTACGGGTACATTTGAATAAGACCTTAAATCATTTATCTGTTAAAAGCATTAAGTACTGTCTTTTAGATTTTTTTAAAAAATATTTATTTATATATTTTTTTTGTAGTGAAGTAGAATGAAAATTAATGCTCTCCTGTCTCTGTATAATAAAAAATAATTTGGATATATACTTTTTATTTCATGAAATTTCATTTACCTAGAAAATATGCTTCTGTCATAGAAATAACCACTGGGTGCTACAAAACGTATATATAAATTTTTATCAGTGGAAATCAATTTGCATAAATTTATATTAGCCTTCTAATTGAACCTTCTCATCTTATCTAATACACTGTTTGCTTAATAAATCTTATAGAGCCTCTTTTTGGCTTTAACTTTTCTCATAAAAAACTTTTATGATATTTCTAAAGTTTTATTTCACTTTATATAATTCAAAAACCACCACAGGTAATATATATAAAGGTCATACTACAAAAATGTCTTGACTCCTAACCAATTCTATGCCACACTAAAGTTCCTATACTCAGTGTTTCTGATTCAATGCTAAGAGGACTTTTACATTTTCAAAGACCTTTTGATAATGAATAGACGGTAAGTATTTGGAAAGAAAATATAAATCCCAGGATTATATTTGAAGCACTTTTCTTCAGTTTGCAATGCTAAAGTTAGGAGATTAAATGAGAAAACCCCATACTAAATTTTCCAATTAAAAAATGAGGTAGGCCCTGGCTATAAAGAAAGTCTCTTTACATAGACTTCATTATGTTGCTGGTCAAATCATACCCCTTACATATATGGTGATACACATAGGCAGCTTTGTTACTCCTTCTTTCTGTTTTTGCCAAAGTTAAAAGAGATTCTTCTGTATTTTGCTTTCTTGTTGGAAAACAAAGATTTACTACCATGTTTAATACCCCTGGGCTGATTTTGGAAATTTCAGGTTAAACACATTCTAAAAAGGCATCTGTAGTCTAAGGACTCAGAGCATAGGTGTGCCCAATCCAAAGAAAACTAAAACAACATCAATAGCAGCAACAACAAAGGCACTAACTTCCTGGTTAGCCTAATGATGTTTCATTACAAATACTCAGCCAACAGTTTTAGGAAAAGTCCTGTCCTGTCCTGGAACTGCAAGATTTGATGGCTCTGCCATAAGGGATTAGAAGGGGTTGATATTTGTCATTTTGCAAGCACCACAGATCTTTGGTGTTTTTTCATTTGTATTTATTTTATTGTAGGATTAAACTAGACTAAGCCCATAAAGTTTTCCTGAAAATTAAACTTTTTTCAACTTAAAAGGTGGTGATTTAGCCAAACAATAAATATCGCAATCTGTGATTACAAAATTGGATCAAAGGATGTGAAAATAACACCAGAGGAGCAATTTTAGATCATTGTGTTTAGATTTCTCAGAAGAATCTGACACTAAGCTGAATTATTTTTCTGAAACCCATACCAAAAATGTTCATTAGAGTTCTTGTTCAAAATCACTGTGATGGGTAAGGTTCTTTGTCCTTCAAATTTTTACTTATGTTAGATTTCACTGTGGCATCACTGAATAGAAAAAAATAAAATAACAAAATAGATTGGGTGGTTTGATTTTAGGGAAAAAGTCCTTAAATGAATCTTTTGTTTTCCTGCTTTTGCTACCTCATTAATCCTAAATGGTGTCAGTCAGTTGAGTCTAATAGCTGCGAGTGTTACTACCTTGGTCAGTTCCAAATTATAGTATTGATTAATTGATTGTCTTCTTCCAGTTGTGAATTATATTAACGCTGGCCCAGGCAGTTTGGCTTGAGGCCAAAGGCTAATTTTCAATGGAAGGCAAGAAGCAGTTTCACTGTTTCTCTGCTGTGGTTAAGTGGATGCTCAGAAAACAGAAAGCTTTGAAAAGATGATTTGACAAAAAGGAATGCACTAAATATAATTAATATGTGCTTATTGATCCATCCAACCTAGAGAAACAAGTAGGAAGACAGTAAGTTGAGAATTCATCATTTGTCAGCCCCAGACTTCCAAAACAGTCTTAAAACAATTGACTGGAGAATGAGAGTAGGAGGGAAGCAAGATGGTCCAGAATGATAATGAGCCAGCCTCAGGATCTGTGGAATTAAGTCCAGATGCAAGTGTGGTGACTGTGGTGCTTTCAAACGAAGTGAAACTTGATGTGGGTTACAGGCTCCTCTACATCATAGGCCCAGCTGTCCAGGAAAGCTTAAGAAACACCTGCCACATTGTGGTACCACCAGGGCAGCAGTACCATGTTCTCAGAAAAATATAAACATTACAAATTGAAAGTCAAAACAAGAGGGGCTGCTTTCTCGTTAACTCTCTGCTTTAAGGAAGAACATAAAAGGGTTGAGTGTGCTTATCATTGATTCTTGTGGAACGGGAAAAGCTAAATGGGGCATTGAGAGGTTAATAACTTTCACAGATCTATAACTCTGAGTTTCTTTGTTGCCAGATCAATTCATTTTCCCTGTAAAATGTGAAGGGAAAACTGGTATGGGATGGAGTATTGCTAATTATAAGATTATATTATATATAAATATAATTAGATTATATTTATAATCATTATTGGTCTTTCTTTTCAATGTGGACAAAATTATGCTTGGTTTCACAGGGAAATAGGAAAAGGAGCTTTTCTTCTTCAAGTAAAGAGAAAGAGCATGAAAAAATGCGGGAAGTGATTGAAGGGGTCTTAAATTTGAAAGCATTGACATCAAATATATAGACGATTGTCATAAATGGAAAGTTTGGAGGAAACAATCATGAATACGTGGAAAGCAGTCACAAGGTCAAATATGTTGATAGGAATTAGAATTCTATGGGCGTATTTTCTATAAGAGAAGAGAGACTGCAGGTAGACATATTGATGAGGAAAAAACTACTCTTCTATAAGTGGCACTAGGTTTAATATTATTGATTATTTTATATATATATGAAAAATCCTTAGCAGAAGCAATTATGTAACAGCCTCTTGGCATGGATTCTATAATGAAAGTTCATAGAATAAATCTCCACAAAATATAAAGGTATATTAATTCTTCATTACTGTCTCAATGATCTGCAGCAAAAATAAGGTTAAAATTTGGAAAGACATAATCATTATTTAACAAATATTATGATAAGCTAGGCTGTTTATGATAGATGATAAGGATATTATAGAGGGAGGGCCAAAACAAGAAGCATGTCTTTAGGGTAATCTGTTGAGTAGTTAGTAATTCAGGTAACTCACAGTATAAATGGTATTACAAATCCAGTGTACCAGTGATTTGAATAAATTACTGCATATCTTAGTACACTAAGTATTCTCTAAGTGAGCTAGTTATAATCTTAGCTTCTTTTGGAAAAGATACAAATATAATTCATCCTAGTAAATTCTTCTGCACTCAGCACAGAGACCCTAACACAAAATGAGTGCTGCATGAATATTTGTCAAAAAAGGGAATGTATAAGAATATAGCCTTTGAATCAATTTCCTTTCAGTGGCAAAATGTACTTTCCCTAAAGAAACATAGTAATAAAGTCAACAATGACACAGTAGCAAAGTAAAATGTTTGGGATCCAAGCATGTATAAATATAACTATTTTTATCTCTTCTCTTCCTCCTCTCTTTACCTGAATAAATCTGATTAACCCTTTACTCACTTTCATTTTCTGGAGAAGTGATCCCTTGCCCGTTTGGACCTAGATTAAGCAGCATTATCTCGGGCTCTGTGTTTCCCATGTTTTGGAAATATTTGCACTCTCCTATAATTGTTTATTTAATTGGCTTATTCATGATAGATGTGCTATGTCTTCTTATTCTTCTGTATGTTCCCTAGGCACTGGCAAAGGGTTTGGCATATAGATGGCACTTGGTTTTTCTAGTCTGTGTCATTCTTGGCCCCTCTCCTCTATACCTCCCATCTGGTTGATTTGCACATCCAGGTAGCTCTAAGCAATGCCTATCTAGAATTTAACCATTTCTCTGACTCCCAAAGCCATCATCTTATCCAGTACTTGCCTGCATTATTCCAATAGCCTTTATCCTGCACCTGGCACTGTTTTTGCCCCATTTATTCAGTTCTAACTCAAGCCTAAATGATTCTCTTAAAATACAGATTCGATCGTGTCCAAAATATTCAGTGAAAGATCATCTTCTGTTCAGAATGTTCAATGAGAGATCACCTCACTCAGAATGAAAGCCAAAGTTCTTACCAGCAGCTAACATGGCCTTCGTTTATTTCCCAGTCATCTTTTCCTCCTGACTCTCCTCAGACTTTCACTCCAGACACGTGAGCCCTTCTGTTCCTTGCTTTAGGTAAGCTCCCTCCTTAGGGTCTTTGCACCTGCTCTTTCCTTATCTAGAATATTTTCCCCCTAATATCTACATGACTCACTCCTTACTTTCTTCAGAGTTTGACTCAAAAGTCACCTACTCAGTTCAAAATTTGAATATTCTCCTTACTCAATACTTTAATTTTATTTCCCTACTTTATCTTGTCCTAATAGTGCTGATTTCAAGTCTGGTATTCAGCAAGTAAAATGAACTTCCATTCTGTGTAGCTGGGTGTCTATTCGGATGGGTTGGTATCCATTTGTACTGGTTGGGTCATGGGTCACTTAACACTGGGGATACATTCTGATAAATGTGTTGTTAGCTGATTACATCATTGTGCAAACATCATAGAGTGTCCTTACAAAAACTTACTAATTATAGCCTACCAGTGTAGCTATATGGTATAGCCTACTACCCACCTAGGCTATATGGTATAGCTTATTACTCCTAGGCAACAAACCTGTACAGCATGCTGCTGTGTTGAATACTGTACACCATTGTAATACAATGGCATGTGTGTATCTAGACATATCTAAACATAGAAAAGGTAAAGTAAAAATATGCTAGTATGCTCTTACAGGACCACTGCTGTATATGCAGTCCATGGTTGACCATGGACCATTGTTACACAAAGCATGACTCTATTTTAAATCTCACCTCTGCTCGTCACTATCTAATATACCCGATACTTTGCCGGTTTCTCTTTACCATTGGCCTCCCCTACTCTAATGTGTTCTTGTTCAACACTGTATCCCAATATCTGCAGTGTCTGGCCCACTTTGGCTCCTACCGGCATGCTCTTATGTTAGCCTATGCACAATTTCACCTTAAAAAGAATTGCAAATGCCTCAGAGAATGAGAGATTCCATAGACATATATTTTCTAGGCAATTAAACCTCCATGATAATGAGGGAGTTAAGTATCTTTAAAAAATACTATGAGAAGTATATTGCATGAAAAAATAGTTTGAACTATAAAACAGAAATATATTTGTTTATACCATACAGCCCCCCCAAATAAAACATTACCAACAGGAAAAAAAATCGTTATATAGAATACTTATTTGCTTTCCTATTGTCTCCATGTAACAGATCATGAACTCCTTGAGGGCAGGTACCATTTTTTGTATCTTTGTCTCTCCATCATCTACAATAGTGACTGATTAATAAATATTCAATAAATAGATGAATGAAAAAAGGGACTTTGAACATATCCACAATTACCCATTTAAGAGACAGAAATCATCACAACTATGCTTTTATTTACTATGCTTACATACTTTTATTTTAATCAAGGTAAATCATTTATACATACTCCTATTGGCTCAAATATAACCTTATAAGTTATGTTATTCCAAATGTGTGCATTTATCTGCCTTAAGGGTTTTCAGGAGCATAATCCTTGTGATTGAGGTGAAGATAGTAGATATACATAAATGCTATCTCAGCATTACTGTGGTTTTAAATTGTGTAATATGTTCTCCTAAGTAAATTGTAAACAACTGTTGCCAACAAAGGATATTACATAAGAGATTTCATAATCTTATTTAATAACTATAGTGATTTCTAATATTTCAAAAAGTGATTGAAAAATGTAATTCTGCCTAGAAAAATTTAGGATCAGATTTAGAAGTAATTTTAAAAATTGTTATTATTTTTATAAATTTGGAACCATTTAATGTGCTAATGATTTTCTTTTTTTTAAGACCGTGAGATTTGCTTTGGACTGAATGTTGCTAGCTCACCCAAAATTCATAATCTGAAGCCTGATCACCAGTGTGATGGAATTATGAAGTGGGGCCATTGAAAGGTGATTAGGTCATGGGATGAAGCCCTCAGGAATGGGATTAATATCATTATAAAAGAGTACCCAGAA
The DNA here is from genome assembly GCF_000001405.40 of Homo sapiens. Lineage (NCBI taxonomy): Eukaryota > Metazoa > Chordata > Mammalia > Primates > Hominidae > Homo > Homo sapiens. Next base: position 9,175,002 of record NC_000009.12, read on the forward strand.
AACTGATTTCCCCTTTCCACTATATGACATAGCCAGAAGACCCCATCTATGAACCAGGAAATGATCCCTCACCAGACACCAAATTTGCCAGCACTTTGGTCTTAGACTTTCAGCCTCCAGAACTATAAAAAATAAATTGCTGTTTATATGCCACCCAGTCTAAGGTAATTTCTTATAGCAGCCAAAGTGAACTAAGACAAGATTTTTCTAAAACGTTGTCTTTCATGTTACCCTGTTCATCACAAGAACAATTAACCACTAAAATCTTTGTTAATAAATTATATAAGATCATACAGGGCATGTTTGTCAATCGTACAAAAGATAGTTTTAATAATTCTTGGCTGGGCACGGTGGCTCACGCTTGTAATCCCAGCACTTTGGGAGGCCAAGGCAGGTGGATCACGAGGTCAGGAGTTCGAGACCAGTCTGGCAAACACAGTAAAACCCCGTCTCTACTAAAAATACAAAAAAATTAGCTGAGCATGATGGTGGGTGCCTGTAATCCCAGCTACTCAGGAGGCTGAGGCAGGAGAATCGCTTGAACCTGGGAGATGGAGGTTACAGTGAGCCGAGATTGCGCTGCTGCACTCCAGCTTGGGCAACAGAGTGAGACTCTGTCTCAAAAAAAAAAAAAAAAAAAAAAAAAAAAGAGTTTTAACAATTCTTATAAGCTTAGGACTCAAAAATATACTATTTGTTTTGAGGAAGACTCTTCTTTGTGTGATCCGATTGTATTACTCCATATTTCTACCGGCCCAAGTACCTCTCCCCATGGTCAGCACAGCTCATGCTAGGTACCTCCAGGATCACATCATTGAGTATTTGGAAAATGGGTCATCGACTAGCAAAAACTCATATTATAAATGCGGAGCCATATGCAATGGGTATAACTTAATGCCCCAAATCTGTAGGCCTGAAAAAAGAAAGAAAGAAGCACAAAGTCTTTTATATATCACTCTTGAACTCAACTTCTAGGTAATCTTCTATAGCTGAGTCTGCAACTCCTTCCCTCAGAATAACAAATGTGCAGCTACCAAGCACCAAAATTTAATAATTCAGCAATCTCACATTGCTACTCTTATATTTCATCCTTCATCTTTCCACAGCCTATAAGTAGAAAAATAGTTGAAGAGCATGAGGCAGATAAACTTAAGGGCTTGATATGTAAGAAGGTTGTCAGCTTGCTGGTCTAATTGTTCTGGTTCTACACTCTGCCACCTATAATTGAATGTGATTGAATTAATTCAGCTTATTTATTTGGTCATTTATTTCTAGAAAGAGGTATCTAACTTTTCATGAACATAATCATTGATGATTTGACCATTAAGGTCACTCTCAGGAGGAGTTAGAAGTCAGTCTCTATCTATATAGTTCTATGCAGGCTGAAAAACCATTCACTTTCTCCTAATCTTCTTTTCTTAGGTGCTTTTCTTCCTTTTTGTCCATTTATTAGGTAATTTCCAACTTGATTACTAAACTAAGATGAGAGATATTTAAAAATAGACCCATGTTAATTGCTATGATTTCAATGTCTCCATTAAAACTCATGTTGAAACCTAATTGCTAATGTAATGGTGTTGGGAGTTGGGGCCTTAAAGAGGTGAGTAAGCCATGAGGCCTCTGCCCTCATGAATGAATTCATGCTGTTATAGTAGAAGTGGTTTAATTATCATGGGCATGGGTTCCTGATGAAAGAATAAGTTCTGTCCCCATTTACTCTTTCAGTCTCATGAAATCACTTCCACCTTCTTCCCTTCTGCCATGGGATGAGGCCCTTGCCAGGTGCTGGTGCCATGATCTTAGATTTCCCAGTCTCCAGAACCATGAGTCAAATAAACTTCCATTCTTTATAAATTACTCATGCGGGGGTATTGTGTTATAGCAGCACAAAACAGATAAAGACATTAATGGAATTCAGTTCTAGATGGTTAGATGGTCAAAATATGTCCTATGAGTATCTATCTATCTATCTTAGTAGTTTTTTCTGTCTGTATATCCTAATGCCCACTTGTATTAATTCATTTTCATACTGCTATAAAGAACTGCCCAAGACTGGGTAATTTATAAAGAAAAGAGGTTTAATTGACTCACAGTTTAGCATGGTTGGGGAGGTCTCAGGAAACTTACAATCATGGTGGAAGGTGAAGGGGAAGCAAGGTGCTTTCTTCCCAAGGCAGCAGGAAGGAGAAGTGCCTAGTGAAGGGAAAACAGCCCCTTATAAAACCATCAGATCTCATGAGAACTCACTCTGAAAAGAAAACAGCATGGGGGAAACTGCCCCCATGATTCAATTACCTCCACCTGGCCTCTCCCTTGACATGTGGGGATTATGGGGATTATGGGGATTGCAATTCCAGATGAGATTTGGGTGGGGATATAAAACCTAACCATATCACGACCCTAATTGTTTTTTAGCTTCTATTTTTAGAAGTGAACTGATAAGTACTGACTAAAACTAGTGTGAAAAATTTATACTTTATACTCATTAATATATTGCATAATTAGAAAATATATTAGAGCATAACTATCTTAAAATTTGTTTTTTGTCATTATGAACTCAAATTAAACTTAATTTTAAAATGATTATGTCTAATGCTTGATTAATTCAAACAATCCAAACTGATGATCTTTTAAAAATAATTATGGTGAGCAAAAAAAATTCCGGTAAGCAAATTGTTAATGCTTAATCCTATCAATCTTGACTTGAAAATGATGGATGTAAACAAATCAATTTAAAAATCAGCTTAAGAGGCCGCTATTTATAGTAGTCCCTATAAAAATGGCTTTGTACTTTAGTTGTTTTATAAAGGCATCTTAAAACATATAAAAGACTGAGTTAATTTTAAAAGCTAAAAGTATAGTGGCCAAATGAAGAGATGCACATGCCTATGATGGTATCCAGACACTATTTGATACATGGTATTTAATTGTAGGCATCAATTTGAAACATGAAATATTTTATCGATGTGCTGGGAAAGAGAGATCAGATGATGAAATATCTGGAACCCATCTCATAATAGGAATGGTGAAGGAACTACAGATATTTTGCATAGGAAATAGAAGACTAAGGATAAAAAAGGCAGGTAGCTTTTGTATCAATATAAGGAAGACTTTTCTTGTAAATACAGCTACTCAATAATGAAAGTGAGGTTTATGCTTAGTTTAATCAGAGTGTGGCTGACTGTGTGTGTGTGTGTCTCAGGAAAGTAGCCTACAAAGAGATTGAACTGTGACCTCCCTTAGTCTTTCTGCCTTAATTGCCTTGGTTTTCCTGCCTGCCTGCCTTTTTCTTTCCTCCTCTCCTCCCCTTCTCTTTCTTCCTTTCTTTCTTTTCTTTTCTCTCTCTTTTTCCTCACTTCCTCCTTCCTTCTTTCCTTTTTTCTTTCCTTCTTTCTATCAAAGGGTGATGTGGTTTTAAACACAGAATAAAAATGATTTGAATCACAGATATACTACCAAATATCTTTTATTATCTTGGGCAGGACATTTGCCTTCTCTGGGTTTAAATTTGTCATGTACAAATCATGGCCTGGGGTCTTTACAGCCTATTTTAGTTCTAATATTCTCTGACCATGTAAGTGTAGACATATTGACAAACTCTAAGTCTAGTTATGAAGAGTCATTACAACTATAGGCTTTTAGAGCTGAAAAGCATTTAGTCAACCTCCATACAAGTCATTACATTTTACATATTGTTGTTTCTACATTGAATTGCTAGTAAATCATTTCAATAAGTCCTTCTTTAAATGCTGTATATATAGTATAAAGGTTTTTTACTACCCTTGAATGAACAAATGTGACTCTCTCAAGCAGAAATGCTCTGGGAACATCCTGCTGAGCTTTCTTCTTCTGGCCATACAGTCTACATACACAATTAACCTTCCCTTAATTAGATTAACTTGTTCTTTACCTGGGACTGTCAAATTAATACTGTAATCAAAGATCTCTTTTAGAGACCTGAATATGTTCCTGCTACGTGTAATGCTAATTACTTCTTTACTAAAAGTAACTAAAAACAGGCTCACTTAATGGTATGCCTTAGTTAGAAGATCTGGTTTATGTCTCCAAACTAGTGCTACTCAGAACTTCACAAACAATTCTTAAAATCAACTAAAGAAACCTTAGTATTTCTGATTTTCTTAATTGTTGAAACTCAAAGATTTAATAAAATTCCAGACTAGACCTACTTACATGAAAATATTTATAAGCATTGGCACTGGTTCTTATATTAAAACATGATACTGCATAGCATTTAATCAAATGTTATTTATAACAAATTAAATTGCCCTTTCCAAAATAAGCAAAGCATTTGGCTATAGAACCCACAGTATTGTTATGTTCACCCCACATATTTCCAAATGCAGACATTTTAACAGTTTCTGGCTATCATTAGCTTGATCCAATTATGAAAAGTGACACTGATGATTACATGACAAAGAAAGCTCACTTAACCAAATTGACTAAACTTGGTCAATGTCCCCAAGGCAAAATGCTACGAACCACTAGCTGAAGACTAGGATATTAAGCATCAACAGTATTTTAAATACCCTCTAACATTCTCAATCAGCCATTGATTAAGCATCTATGGTTTCAATGTTTAGACATTGTGGGAAATGTGAAGATGAGCAAAAAGACATACACCCTCCTTTTAAAAAGTTTACAGTCATAGACACTTAAGGAGGAACTGGCAGGATAATGGAAACCTGATTCTTTTGCCATCTAGTTAGATGGTTTTGATTCTGTCAATCAGGAACCACCTTGAAATAAAATAATGAATGAGGTCTCTGAAGTTTCACCTGGGTTTGAATTCTTGTGTGATGTAGCAAGATATTTCATTTCTCTAGTTCTCAGGTCCCTCATCCTAACATGGAGATAAAGTACAGACCTCAGGTTTTCTGTGAGGAGTAAATGTCATATATGTACAATATGTTTTGCACATAATATACATATCAAAAATAAATGTTAAAATATTTAAGGGATGAAGGATACATTAAACAAGAAAGCTCTTTTTTATTGGCAAGAGTGAAAAGTTAAGTATTTTGTGTTACATAAGTACCGATTGCGCCACTGGATGACCCAGCCATCCCATTACTGGATATATACCCAAAGGATTAAAAATCATGCTGCTATGAAGACACATGCACACGTATGTTTATTGCGGCACTATTCACAATAGCAAAGACTTGGAACCAACCCAAATGTCCAACAATGATAGACTGGATTAAGAAAATGTGGCACGTATACACCATGGAATACTATGCAGCCACAAAAAATGATGAGTTCATGTCTTTTGCAGGGACATGGATGAAACTGGAAACCATCATTCTCAGCAAACTATCGCAAGGACAAAAAACCAAATACCGCATATTCTCACTCGTAGGTGGGAACTGAACAATGAGAACACATGGACACAGGAAGGGGAACATCACACAGTGGGGCCTGTTGTGGGGTGGGGGGAGGGCGGAGGGATAGCATTAGGAGATATACCTAATGCTAAATGATGAGTTAATGGGTGCAGCACACCAACATGGCACATGTATACATATGTAACAAACCTGCACGTTGTGCACATGTACTCTAAAACTTAAAGTATAATAGTAATAAAATTAAAAAATATATATTTTGTGTTAGATGGCTACATTCAGGACTGATGTATAACACTCACATACTACAAAAGGAAAGAATTTCTTCTTTCTTTCAGGCAATGCCCTGAAACAACTAGCTCACTAGCTGGTGATCTTAAATAATTGGAGGAAAAGACAATTTAGGAAATACTGATGAAATCTAATACCCTAAATAAAGTGTATTGAGCTTCACCCAAGTGTCTGACAACATGTCTTACAATATTTTTGTACACATCATGTCTTAAAAATTTTTGTAGACAATATGGAGAAGTTGGAACTGAAAAGAGCCAGGTAGATTTCTTAAGTGGCAAAAATCATAAAAAAGACATTGGAATATGTAAATATTAATTTGTAAAGCACTTTTGGACTTGGCTCAGAGTTCCGTCTTCGGTAGAGTAAAAATACCAAAGAATTTGAAAGTCAGAAAGGTTTAGGTTGGAGTTCTTGCTCTAACTCTTTAGCTGTGAGAGACCTTTGCCTCCTTGGCCATCAGTTTCTTTTGTAATGGGATCATATGAAGATAACATAGAAAGCCATTCCTTTTCTGCTTGGCACATACTAAGGGCTCAACAAATGATTTCAATAATAATCATTGTTATTTTTACCTTAATTTCATTTTTGTAATGAGGTGCAGCTGATTATGGTATCTTGTTTTCGTTTTTATTCACTTTGAAAATACAGTTAGAAAAAAAGCCTTTTCTCTAGGTAGGTAGTTATGTTTTTTTCTGACTGTGTGCTATGATTCAAGCAACTATCCTGTTTTGAGAAGGTGAACTGCTAAAATATGCTGCCTGTTTCCATTTTCAAACCTGCCTGTGTGTGAGCAGACAGGTTCCTGATGCTCTAAATTTTAATAAAAATAACAATAATAACATCTACAAACAAATTTATGTACCTCCTACTGTGTCAAATAGTATTCACCAAAGCAGCTTTCATATATGAACTCATTTAATCTTCACTACAGCCACCAGAAATATAATTATTATCTTTATTTAACAAATGAGAAATCTCAGGCACAAATTTGCACAGTTTACTTAATATCAAATGGCTAATAAGTAGAAGACAATCCAGGCAAATGTAAGTCTAGAATCTATGAAATTTGCTCCTTATAATAGAATTGGTCTGTCTTGAAGAAACAATGTCATTAATGGAGGCATATTTGAAATATTTCTATTAGCACTAGATCAGACAGAAATAGAACTAAAAAGAAAATAGGAACATCACTTGTATGATTAGTTCTACAGAAATAAGTACTTTGGACTCCCAAACAAGTGGCTTTTAAATGAACACTGGAAGATAATGTGCTTGGAAAATGGAAACTGATTCTATACAAATTGCTGAAACATAAAGCAGAATGAGTAGTATTTTAAGAGAGTCAAGAATGAAGACACAGAGGAATTCAAAAGAATAACACATCAATTTGACTGGGGGTATCCAAGAAAGCTTTTTGGGGAAGGTAAGCTGAATCTTAACATATAAAATTGAACAATGATGAACCCCCATGGAAACAGGCTGAAAGCCTGAAATAAATTTACTACAATCTTCGTTATCTCTTATTTGTTTGTTGAGTTATCATCTTATTTGACTTCAGTGGTACTGTGATTTCTGAAGGACCTTTGTGTACCTTCTCCATATGCAGATATTTCCATTTTCTTAGAGTCATAAGATACATCAACCCCAAAATAAGATCAACAGGGGATAGGGACGGTGATATTCTTTTCTTTAAACTGAGGATGCAAAATTTTAGCAGATAAGAGATTTGAGCATGCTAACGAACTTTTAAACCTCACAGACTTTATTTAGAAAGTTTGTATTTAGAAACATTGATTTTAAAACATTTAAGTTTATCTTATTCATCACAAGTTTATTACGAGATAATAGTCTCTGAATAACAAGCCAACAGATCAAATATCTCAGAGAAAGAATATGGGAATTGTTTATTTCAAAGAATTATCTTTGTAGGATTAGAAACACACTATTAAACTGCAATGGGTGAGGAAAAAATGTCCTTGGCAGAGGATTTTAAACAAAAAGTATTATTATGGTAGATGAAATGTTTATATTAGAAAAGGGATATGTAATGAAACAAAGCTGTGTTAATAGCAAAAATTTTGTCACAAAGTAGTGAGAACTGAATGCATTAAATCATAACCTGTTATTGTTTAACAAAGATTAGACTTTAAAAAATTCGCTAATCTACTCACTAATCTGTTTTCTCACTTTATTCCCTCATTAACAATAAATAGCTTTGTAGCTTCCAAAAGAGCCAAAATAAAGTATGTAGGCGAGACCACCACCGAGGGCTAATAATTTCATAGCAGCAGCAGCTAAATTCAATCAACATTTAAATCTATAAGCATCTGCTGCTTCAATTCAGAAATTTAACCGATTGTTAGATTTCCCCCCACGTTCAGGCCTAACATCATATATAATTCAGAACTGAAAAATAAATCTCTCATTGACAGATTTCTTAGTTATTCTATTGTCATTAATACATTATAAAGGAAAATCTATAGTAAAGAATAACTCAATATTAGGTAAACAGAGTAAAATGTTTGAGTATTTTATCCATCCATCCATCCTAACCAATATTCGTTGAGTTGAACTATACATCAGTTACTGTATTAAGTATTAGGACCCAGAGAAGGGAAAGGGTTAAAATGTGGTTGTGGACTCACCTTGAGTTAGCCACCGTCGGTGTTTTCAGACACAGTCCCTGGCCTCAAGAAGTTCAAAACCTAATTATAAAGATAGAAAGTAACAATTATTTAAAAAATATTTTAATCCCTACATTGTCTTTAAGATAAATGCTGTCACCCCATTTTTTAGTGGGGATTGAGGCAGAGATGAGAAAAAGTAAGCTAGTTAATGAGAAACTAGTATCAATTTTATGAAATACAATCTTTAATTGAAGTAGTGAAATGCCAAAAACCAACATGGAAATCACTATTGTTCACAGGCTATAAAGCAGAATATTGACTATTCTTTAAAATGTTGAATTGAAACTAACATGTCCACCATAAAATGGCTAAATTGCCTTCTTACAACATCAGTTTCATTAAGTCCAGTAAACATCTTGGTTTGTTGCATCCTACAATTACATAATACATTTCAGAATATCCATCCTTTGGCCTTTAAATAAATAATGCCCCTAAGTTGTTAAGGGGAGCACTTAAACCTTGGCAGCCAAGCTAAAGCAAATCCTTGTCTATCCTACTCGTTCTGGGACGAATTAGCATGGAAAATTCCATCTTATAAGCATTACATTTATGTTTAAGAATTTCATAATTAATTTAAAAAGATCCACACCTCTGAAACATATAAAAAGGCACAATGTCTTAATTTCTCAACAGAATAATTTGTACAAGATTTGAAGTCTACCTTAATGATTCATTTTTGTATTGTTTTCACAATTGCTTTATTTTGTTTAGCACATTTTTTTCTCAACTCTTTTTAACATATTAAACTCTTATTCCTCCTTCAATTCCCAGCAAAGTTGTCATCTCATGGGGAGAGACTTTTTGACACCCTGCTCCCTCTAAGTTTTAGTTAGATGAATCTCCTAGATGCTCCAACAAGCTCTGCATCTTTCCCTATCACACGTTATCACATCACCCTGTGTCGGAGAAAATGGCTAACTGTTCACCAAAACATTTCCCTTTTCCTTCTGTTACATAGCCAGACTACATTTTGTAGTTAGATGTGACTACATTCCTCACCATGGAACACAGTCTTAAGAACATCTTGCATATGATCCTCATTCTATGTTTCTTACCTATAGGTTAAATCCCTAAGGACCTAAAGGAGGAAAGGTCCCAAAGACAAAAAGAACATGATTCTCCAGCCACAGCTTTCAGGATCACCCCTCACTTCCACTAATAAGGTCTATTCACAGTACAGTGTTACATAGATGAGCATTCGTCACCTCACCCTGACTAGGACATCTATTGGCACTGCGTTTTATGTAAATGAGAATTAAATTTCTCTTCTTTAAGCCATTAAAAGGGTGGGTGTTTATTATAGCACTTAGCCTGTTTGGTTTATTAGATTTCCCACATTAGATTGTAAACTATGGTACCCCGTGGATACAGCAACTAGTTTTGTCTTGTTTGAGGTTTTAGCTGAGCGCTTGACACAGAAAATAGCATATACTTACCATCCCTCTCTCTGTTTTTTAAAATAACTTAAATCTTATGTGATAAGATGTATCATGAAAATTTCATAGGAACTATTATTCTAAATAGTTATTCCTTCAGGAATAGGGAACATAAGGCTTCATTTAGCACGGGTTCCAAAATATCCTTTGGTAAATACCTAAAGGTAAAATTTGATTTTGTTTAAGAGCTCACAGCAAGTGGAACACATCAAAATATGCTTGCAAAACTGTTCTTATAGGCCTCTATTTGTGGGTTTTAGGTAAGACGCTGAGAGCATTGCACAACCTTAGTCAGAAGTAATGGGCTTGGAAGCTCCTTGCTGTAGTCGTGGTGATTTGGAATGTCCTTTGACCCTCTACTGGATTTAATGCCAATGGAGAGAAAATGAAAGGTAATTTTCTTTCCTTTTCAAAACAATAACCAATCACAGAATCCAAGACCTTCTGCTCTTCACATATTACAATGAAACAGCTTTTGAAGTCTAGACAAAAATAGAGACATCTGACAAGCAATATCAAATCTCAGTCAGCATGCCTCCATGTATTCATTACTGACACTTCTCTCCCTTTCCCCTAGAGTCAAACACACTCTATTCAATGATTCCTTTTAGGCAACCAACCACCTGTTTGGGGCCACTTCCTAAGGGTCTCTCCAAAAGTCTCACCCATCTGTCTCTCTTTACTATTGTCCACTTGCTGGTTAAGTTTAGTCTTGCTTGGCAGAAGTCAACTTTCCGAGATTTACCTCCTTTACTTTCAGCCCTACTTAAGCAACGGACTTTAGAGGAGATGATCAGATCTCCTGGCTTCCTTTCTGAGGAATGAAGAGGAAACTTTTGCTGCTAGACATGCAACTGCCTTTTGATCTGAAGTAGAAAATCCTCAGGCTCTATTCCATTACTCATTTAGATGATTGCTGAATGGCACCTTCAGGCTAGATTTTATGGTTGCTTTAATAAATTTGTAGTTCACTCACATTAATGTCTATATATTAATAAAGCATTTCTCTAGTGTCAGGCAAACATGCGTTGGATTTACTAGTTAAAGACACCTCTTACAGGTTTTCATAGACATTTTAGATAATTTTTTTTCTTTTTTTTTTTGCCTCTCAGACCACCACACAAGTGCCTTTCTTTTCAGAGTACAAATATCAGTCTAGTTATCTGTCGATCTGGTAGAGGAGACAACAAAAACTATTTAACATCAGTGAGAAATAGAAAAAAATGTAATCCTTTCTAAGCCATGCATAATGTCTAGGTCAACTAAGTTTTCTCCACTGTGATTAAAAATGGCAAATTATTAAGAAGTCCCATTTTATTTTCTGGAGATTGAGAAAAAATAGATGATAAATTCTCATGAACAGAAGAAAATGGATTTTCAGCAAGTAATTTGGCTCAAGAAGGCAGACCCTAGTGCATGGAACATGCTCAATCTGGGGGAGAGAAAGAAATGAACAAGGAGGAAATAACAATAAGGGTTCTTTCATTTCCCAGCTGTCTGCCAAAATTTGGACTGGTTGTTATGGCTGAGGAAACTGTAAGAGCTGAAGTTCATAACTTTAAAGCGAAGATCTGTCCATGGTGGGGCACAATCTGACCAGATACAGTTTCTAGTATTTGTATATGTTCATGAAGCCTGGGCAACATCATAAGATCCCATTTCTACAAAAAATACAGAAAGCTAGCTGGGCATTGTGGCATGCACTTGTAGTCCCAGCTAGTCAGGAGGCTAAGGTGGGAAGATCGATTGAGCTCCAGAGGTCGAGGGTGTAGTGAGCTGTAATGGTACCACCGCACTCCAACCTGGACAACAAAACAAGACTCTGTCTCTCTCTCTCTCTCTGTCTCTCCCTCTCTCTCTCTCTCTCTCTCTCTCTCTCTCTCTCACACACACACACACAAACACACGTATCCTAATACATATGTGTGTATGCATGGGAAGTTTTGAAGGCTCCAATTCACTTTGGTCATAACCCAGTTTTCCACCTTCACAGAAATAACAAACATTTCAGAAATAGCCTTTCATTTAGTGTGTTTTGCATTAAAAGAGCATAATCTTCTATTTTCTAACTGGAATTATCTAGATGATGTTTATATTCTTACACATAAAAATATTTAGATTTGCTTAGAATAATTTTTTTATATTTACTATATGGTATCCCTTCTGTTATAAACTGAAATTTCCAAATTTTAATATGACTCTTGAGTATTATATAAAATATAATAATTAAAACATTTCACACCTGAAAAAGGTATTTCAACAGAAACACTGAAATTTATTTTACATAATATATTGCAATGATTTTCACTCTAAATTAGAAAAAAGTTTACTTCCTATCAATTTTATTTCTGCTGTTAACCCTATTCTAAATCATCCCTCAAAATTCTGATTATCAAAATAACATGTAATTTTAAAACAGATTCTCATTAGTGCAAGCAACTGTGACTTTTTAAAGTAGCTTAAAATTACATATTAAAGAGATTTCATTAGGAAGCTTTCATTCTCTTTCATTTAGAATTGTTTGCACATACTTCTCATTAGTCATTGTACTCAGATTTTCAGATTCAAGTATAAGGATAGTCCTTTGCATTACCTTAAACACCAGGTAAGTAAAATTCCAGGAAAAAATAAGTTTTGAAATACCTAAAGGTACCTGTCTTATGAAATTGTCAAGTCCCTTTTTTATGTGCAGTTTGTACAATACAAAGCCAAGACAGATGAATAAGAGAGTGTGATTTTAAGCTTTGCTTGGCAAACATGTTAGATTTCTTAAATGGCATAGCTTGTCTTTCCTCCCTCCCTCCCTGCTTCCCTCTCTTTCCCTCTCTCTCTCTCTCAACCTTGTTCTAATGTCATCCCTTATAGGTTTCTTGTGAAATAGACTGATTTGGAGCTGTGTTAATAACAACAACAACAAATACTACTGCAACCCACATTGCAGTGAACAATATATAAAATGGCAAATAAATTGTACCTCTCATGACTAAAGAATAAGAGGATTTTTTTTTTGTGGTGTTGTGTTATGTTGTGTGTGTGTTTGTGTATGTATGTGTGTTTCCATGTGACACCATTATAAGAACAAGCAGGACTTCTTGGAATCCTGAGTCCTTTTGTCTCAACTAAATTAAGAGATAATTTAAATTAAAAAAATCAATATATAATGCACTTATAGAAAAGTACATAAATAATGAATCATACAAAATAAACATCAGGGTAAACACCACCCACGTCAAGATATAGCACATTTCCAGTAATACATACTTCATGCTTACTCTCAAACTCACTTTTTCCTCCTCACCAAAGGTAAACAAACACCATCTTGACTTCTAACCTATGGTTTAGGGTTGCCTTGAACGTTATGTAAATGTAATCAAGTATTGCATGTTATTTTTGTGTCTGCCTTCTTTCCTTAACATTAAGGTTGTTGGCTACATTCATGTTGTAATTTGTCAAATATCTGAATATACAGTGCCATATTTTTGTAACTATTCTATTGCTGATGGACATTGGGTAATTTCCAGTTTAAAGCAATTACAATTAATGCCGCAATAAACATCCTTGTAGATATTTCTTGGTATGCATGTTGTAGATAATGAGGAGTGGAATTGCTGGATCATCTGGTTACGTATATGTTAAATTTCAATAGATAATGCCAAACTGTTTTCCAAAGTGGTTGTAGCAATTATACTTTTCCTGCAATATATGAGTGTTTCTGTTGTATAACATCTTTGCCAATAGTTGGTAGAAGTTATTTGCTTTGAAAGTCTAAGCTTGGTTAGTGAAAGAGGAGAGAGGGAGTGAAGGCTTGGACTAGAAAAGGGAAGACCCCTGACCTAGGATTCAGTTGACTGGTAGAAGAATGATGGTTGTGCCATGAGTGGTAAAGACTCTAACAACCCTTTTAAGGATTTTCCCTGGAAGTAGGGAGATCCTTGAAGGATTGCAGGATCTAATGAGAGACATGGTATTCTGTGGAATTATGAGAGTGGACGTCAACCTGGTCACAGAATTTTAGTGCAAAATAAATTGTGTGTGTGTGTGTGTGTGTGTGTGTGTGTGTGTTGTGTGCATGCATGTCTTGGAATCTTTTTACAAGCAAATAAACAAAACCAACACATAAAGTGGAAAGAGTCTCTTTACACAGGAAAATCATCAGAAATTCCTAGGGTGGTGAATTAAAGATGACAAGGACCACAAGAGTAGAAGCTAGCCATGAAGAACTACTTAATATCAGTCTATTCTAAATTACATCTTATTCTTCTTTTTGTAATCCATTTTGAACATGGTATGTATCAGAAGAGATGGGAATACAATTCCATTATTTTCAGGTATGAGGAATTTTCCATAAGTGTTCACTGAGCTGTTTTAGTAAGTGATTGCTTTATAAGGTAATTATTTTATGATTATCACATAGAAGGTGCTTTTGAAAAAATATCCTCTAGAGTCAGGAAAAATCATGGAATTTTATAGTTGAAAGAGATCTTGAACAACATCTAATTAAACCTCATTTCACAGATGAGGAAGTTGAGGTGCACAGTTGCTCAGTGATTTGATGGGGCTAACGTAGTAGTTAACTGCAGATATAGAAGAATCTAGGCCTTTTAATCCGGAAGACTCTCATCATAAATTCATTTTATTAAATAAACATTGAAATTTTATTAATTCACTTTTCTTACCTGGTCTATTCCTACACATCCTTCAGAACCCATCAGGGTTTATCTACTACAAAACGTCCTCTCTGATCCCTTCTCTCCTTAAATCCATATGAGATGCTTCTATTATGTCTTAACACTTTATAATGATTTCTATTTTATAACTGTCTATATGGTTATCTCTTTGCCCACTATACTGAAAAAGCAGAAGACAGGAACTGCTTTTATTTTTTTCTGTTTTTGTCCTCAGCATTTTGCATAAGCCTAGCATACAGTGATAAATGGTAAATATTTTTGAAATGAATAAACAAATCAAAATCTGGCTCTTTATTATTTTGCTATGCACTCAGGTGGATGTGAAATATATTACTTTACCCATTAGGTTGTTTTCTGGGCTGTTCATTGATATTTCCATTTCTCATCTTTCCAGGAATATGGTCAAAGTGAACTTCCTTGTGCCTTTGAAATTAGTGTGGCTGTGTAATTTGAGCAGAAGTATCACATGTCACTTCCATGCAGAAGACTTTAATAGCCAGTGATAATTTGCCCCTTCCTCGCTCCTGGCACAGTGATGTTGGAGACTTTCTGAGTGAGGACAGCATGAGAAGAATATGTAGCCAATGGCTATGGTTTGAATGTGTCCTCCAAAGTTCATGTGTTGGAAACTTAATCCCTATTGTAACAGTGTTAGGAAAGTCAGACCTTTAAGAGGTGATTAGGTCATGAGGGCTCTGTTCTCATTGGTAGATTAATGCTTTAATTGTGGGAGTTGGTTAGTTATTGCAGGAGTGAGCTCTTGATAAAAGGATGAGTGATATGGTTTGACTGTGTCCCCACCCAAATCTCAATTTGAATTGTATCTCCCAGAATTCCCACATGTCGTGGGAGGGACCCAGGGGGAGGTAAGTGAATCATGGGGCCAGTATTTCCCATGCTATTCTTGTGATAGTGAATAAGTCTCACGAGATCCAGTGGGTTTATCAGGGGTTTCTGTTTTGCTTCTTCCGCATTTTCTCTTGCAGCTGCCATGTAAGAAGTGCCTTTCACCTCCCACCATGATTCTGAGGCCCCCCCAGCCATTCTCAGGTATGTCTTTATCAGCAGTGTGAAAATGGACTAATACAACGAGTTAGCCCCTTTCCTCTCTCTCCTGATCTTCTGAATTTCACCATGTGATGACATAGCACAAAAGCCCTAGGAGGACACTAATACCTTGACATTAAACATCCTAGCCCTGAGAACTGTGAGCCAGTAGATTTCTGCTCTTTACAAATTATCCAGTCTCAGGTATTTTGTTACAGCAGCATAAAATGTACTATGATATCAACCCATGATAGATAAGTGGTGTGATTGAGAAATAGAACTATGTTATTCTAAGTCACAAAGATTTTAGAGTTACTACTGTCTCATAACCCAGTGCATCCTGACTAATTAATGGGATGAGACTTTGGGGGACTGTTGGAGAGAGTGAGCCTATTCTGCAGTGAGAGAAGGCTGAACCATAGAGTTCAGATGTTGAACTGTCACATATAGCTTCAAAAATGGATCTTGAAGATTCTCATCTCCTGGCATTCATACACTTGTGTAACCTCCTCCCCTTGAATGTAGGCTGGACCCAGTGGCTTGTCTCTAACAAAAATAATGCTGCAAAAGTAATGGCAAGTTGCCGATTAGATTATAAAAAGACTGGGGCTTCTTTCTTGCTTGCTATGTCACATTCTGTCTCTTGGAGCCTTTGGTCTGGAAAAAGCCAGTTACCACATGATGACTAGCCCTATAGAAGGGCCCATGTGGCAAAAGGTTAATTTCTTTCGCTTACGACAGAGACTACTGAAGGCTTGTCAACAATCCTGTGAATGAGATAGGAAGGGGTCTTCTGAGCCTTACCAAAAGCCATGTTGCTGAACTTGAGTGTGGATCTTCTTTCATTTGGTCCTTGAAATGACCCCAGTCCTGGCTGATACCCTGATTGCAGTCTCGTGAGAGGTCTGGAGCAAGAGGCACCCCGCTAATGCAGCTACCTCCATTTGTGACCTACAGAAACTGTGAGCTAAGAAAAGTCTGATTTAAGTTGCTATATTGGGGATAATTTGTAATGCAGCAATAGTTAACTAATACATTTTATGAGTATTTCCCTATCTAAGTATACTGTCCCAATATGACAAACACATTTAACATTATGTCAGAGATGCCTGATGATGACCATATCTGAAGTTGAAAGCAATGCTGTAACTCTTTATTTATTGCACCATTGAAATATGGTGCACTATGTGAACCAAAAGCCATTTAAGAATCAAGTTTATACTTTAGCTTCTTGCATCAATTAATTAATAAAATTTATATAGGTATTAGCAAGCATCTCTAAATGCAAATAAAATATTAAGATATAATTAAACATATACTATTAATAGTAATCAGTATTTAGGATACTGGAATGTTGGGGGTATTTTGTGTCTCTTTGATTTTTGCAAACAACAGAAAATTTGATTTGCCCATTAAGGAGAAACATGGATTTTTATTAGACCATTTTCATGTTGCCCCAATATAAACTGACTTCTACTTAAATAGCTAACCCAATTCCTGTACTGCTTCTGAAAAATTTATCAAAATATGATCAAAGGAGTGCAGGGACAGTGTGAGACTGGGACTTTCAGGCTATTTTGAGTCATCTGAATCTAAAAATGAGAGCATGACACCTACACTTTTCCCATAGTTGTTCAATATCAGGAATCTAGGACAGTGTCTGTTCAGTAAATCAGAGAGTTAATGTTAAATTTTATATAGCAAAGATAAAAAAAAAGCTGTAAGAAAAAAATTATAAAGTGTTGGGAGAAAGCAGGAGTGCAGTTCTCACACAAAAAAAATAAACTTGAGAGCTGAAAATCTTCCACTAGCTATCTTGTGACAATACAGTGAAGCATGAGCCCCAAGCGAGGGACCTGCTTTGGTAGTAGGCTAATGAGAGACTCAGAAAACAGGTATCCTAGTGATTAAAAGGTTTCTCATAGGTGATTATAATTGTTTTTACATGTTTGAAGTCAGCCTGGTTTTAATCCCAACAGAAATTTCTAATGAATACTGCATTTTCTGTGGAAGCAACAATTCATAATTTCCCTTTATTCTTGTTTGTTACTACAAAAGACTCTGTCTCAGAGGGCTTTGATTAAGATGATGAGACAATAAAACAAATAGAGAGTCCATTAAATGCCTGCCTGAAACCAGAGCTGCACCACTTAATATGAAAGACTCTTCAGAACCAATAATGAAATAATCATCCTTTTTCCATGACTGATAAGAAAATGAAGGCTAGATACAGATTTGGGAAAACTAATTTACACTGGAGGAGGGAAGAAGGGAAAGAAGAGCAACTACAGAAAATCAACTGTTAATAAATATCAGAGACTGCAGAGAAGTCACGAGATAAGCTGCAGCGTATGTTCCTCCAGCTAGAAAATCGCAATCATTTCTCTGAGAAGAGAAGCTGATAAGGTCCCCTCCCCTCCACCCTGCAATCATTTTGCATTTTAGGTTATTTGAAAAGAGCTTGATTATTTTCCTTTGAATGAAACCAGATTGATTCACATTTACCTGTCAACAGAATGTTCCATTCCTCTGTTTTGCTTGTCTATTTAAAGGCATATGACCTGACTATGAAATTCCATATACAAACGTTCAGTTAAATGTAAGTAAATAAAAATGAGTGACCAGCTTGCATTTTAAATATTTTATATTTTTATTTCTGGTAGCAAATTATGCTAAATTAGAATCCACTGATTGATAAATATCACTGATATGGAGTAATGAATTGAGGTCATGAATATTGCTTTACTCAAGGTCAGATACAATCTTTAAAAATCATACGCAGAGGAAAAAGCTGCATGTGAACATGATAATTATGCTATTTGAAGCCTATTTTAAGGGGGCAAATACAACATATAATCTTCTCCTGTTTTGTAAACTTGGATAAATGTGTAAGTACACTCATGTATCACTTGATGATAGGAATACATTCTGAGAAATGTGTTGTCAAGCGATTTTTCATTGTATGCACACCACAGAGTGTACTTACACAAACTTAGGTGGTATAGCCTACTACAAACCTAGGCTACATGGTATAGCCTATTTCTCCTAGGCTACACGCCTACACATCATGTTACCATGCTGAATACTGTAGGCAACTGTAACACAATGGCAAGTATTTTTGTATCTAAACATATCTAAGCATAGAAAATGTACAGTAAAATATCATCTAAAAGATAAAAAATGGTACACCTGTGTAGGGCACTTACCATGAATGGAGCTTACAGGACAGAAGCTGCCCTGGGTGAGTCTGTGAGCGAGTGATGAGTGAATGTGAAGGCCTAGGACATTACTGTGCACAACTGTAGACTTTATACGCACTGTAAACTTTGGCTACACTAAATTTATTTTAAAATGTTTTTTCTCAATAATAAATTAACCTTAGATTACTGTAACTTTTCTACTTTATAAACTTTTTAAAAATTTTTTGGCTCTTCTGTAATAACAGCTTAAAACACAGACCTATTGTACAGCTGTACAAAAATATTTTATTTCTTTATACCCTTATCTTACGAGCTTTTCTGTATTAAAAATAATCTTTATACTTTAAAAATATTTTTTGTTAAAAACTAAAACACAAACACACATATTAGCCTAGGTCTACACAGGGTCAGGATCATCAGTATCACTGTCTTCCACCTCCACATCTTGTCCCCACTGGAAATTCTTCAGGGGGAATAAAAGGCATAGAGCTGCCATCATCTATGATAACAATGCCTTCATCTGGAATACCTCCTGAACGACCTGCCAGAGGCTATATTACAGTTAACTTTTTGTTTATAGGTGGAAAGAGTACACTCTAAAGTAATAATTAAAAGTATAGCATAGTTAATACATAAACTAGTAACATAGTCGTTTATTATCACTATCAATTATGTACTGTACATAATTTTATGTGCTCTACTTTTATAAAACTGGCAGTGCATAGGTTTGTTTACACCAGCATCGCCACAAACATATGAATAATGTGTTGTGCTACAATGGCTGTGATGTCACTGGGTGACAGGAAACTTCAGCTCCATTATAATCTCATGGGACCACTGTCATGTACTTGGTCTGTTGTTGACAAAAGCATTGCTAAGCAGAACATGACTGTATTGCTCTATCAAGTAGAGACAGACAAGAGGAATGTGCAAAGGCAAATAAGAAGTGAGGAGCTGGTCAGTATACTTATATGGGTTTAACTTCACTTGTTGAAATAGGGCGCTGGGATCCTGAGCGATAGTGGGAAAATAGTTCTAATAGCACATTGCATATTATCTCTTAATATTGTAAACATTTTGCTTATTACTAAAAGGGGATGTGGAACAAAATGCTTCTCTGAGCATCAATGCAGTTGGGTTCTAGTATGGATTCTATAGCTTATAAAGTTTGTATCTTTAGTAAGTCAGTGACACTTTTTTGTTTTAGTTATTCCATTCTACTAAGTGAAGGAGTCAAATAGTATTATCAAGGACCAGTTGAACCCTACGTGTGTGTGTGTGTGTATACAGATACCTATGGTATATATGTGTGTGTGTGTATATATATACATATTTATACGAATACATATATACATATGTGTGTGTTTGTGTATATATATATATATATATATACACACACACACATATACATACATACCCATATATACAACTTTTAAAACAAACAAATTGTTAAGCTGACATGGTGTTAGCCCTCAAAGCTATGAAAACTTGAGCATACATCTTGGATAAAAAAAGGTAACTTATGTGGAATCTCAATTTCAGCATGCTGTTTACATAATTCACAAACAACATTTAGTTGAAAACATATGTTTGGAAAATAAATCAAAATATTCTGTTTGTGAAATACAGAATTGATGCTTTAAAGGATGAAACATGCTTTGGGTGATAGAAACTGTGTTCACTATCAACAGAATATCTCGTTTAGTCTAAATACAGGCCAATTGGTCATATCCGTAGTAAGCCAATGGGAAGACATTTGTTGGGGATTAAGTAGGGACTGTGCTGGTCTGTTTCAGTATGTTTTTCAGTGTGTTGATATTAATACAAAGTTTTGAAATTTTGGTACTTTTTGTTAAAGTATTGGTTTTATTTTCCTCAATTCATCACACAACTTGAAACCTTTCATTTGAATGGAGCATTCGCTTCCCACAGAGTCTGTGGTATTGTTGCTTTCAGCTAGACCCTAGCAGTGTTCCTCAGCCATCAACATTTTTAAATGCAAAAAAAAAAAAAAGTGTATACAAAGACAATTTTAGGAAGTATACATAGGCTGTAAATTATTTATAGTGCTTAAGGATTGAAACAGCTACAGGCTGTCAAGAATAAGAAAAGACAATTACCTAAAAAGTAGGGGTGAAAACAGAGTTATAGGCTGGTCATTGTTTCATTATTATTAAATACAAAGGCTACATAAATGCTGATATTTAGAAAATATTTTAAAAATCTGAGAATTCTAAACTCTTCTTCTCTTACCTAAATTATTTTGAAGAATTAAAAGATAAAAGGCTGTACAGTTTGGAGGATAGTCCTCTGGACATAAAGATGGGGAGGCCAAGATTCTAGCCCATGTCTGACCACTTGTTACTTATGTGAGGACTTAGCATACCTGACCTTCAATGTTCTCATATGAAAGATAAGAGAATTATCTGCCCATAAGAATAAATATGTGGGGGTACATTGTGAAACTCACACGATCCAAAACATGAGTAATTACTATTACCAATATCTTAAGGTTTCTTCCTACTTCCTGGAACACAGAGTGAAATTATATGAAATAGTCATGTCTGATCAAGCATGCATATTTGGTTCCATCCATCTAATTGATCATTTTATATGTATTAAACACCATTCTAAGTAAATCACAAATCTCCTTGCTCTGAAATAATTCAGAAATGAACAACACAGTATCTCTGCCATGATATACCTTTTAATTTAATGGAGACACTCATCTCTTAAGGTACCAATGTTGTGTTCATACACTCTTTTATAAGGAATGATTCAATAATTTTGCTCTAAAGTTAGACAGGTCTAGGATTCTAATCCCATCCCTACTCTACTTTATACGGTTATGCCATTTTAAACAAATAACTTTATTTTTCTAAGTCTTATTATCCTTACAGGTAATATGCACTCAAATAGTACTTAATTCAGAGGGTTGTTGTGAATATTACGTGAAATCATGCATGCAAAACATCTAGCATATTTCCTGTCTTGTAATATGTATGCAATACATAAATATCCACAATTTTTCTTTGGTCTTTTCCTTACCATAATCTTTATGTGTCTCCCCCTAAAAAAGAGCAAAGCAACAACTGATAAGGACCTGGCCTGCTACTATCTTTCAGGCTTTGGTGTTGCTACCAACTGGCCTGGCTCTCACAGCTGATTCTTGCTATTCTCCTGTTGAACATAAACCATTTCATGGAATATCAATATCAGACAAGGTCAATCTTTGACCATGATAGATCTAGATACAAACAAGATCACTCCCTAATCATGTCTGAGAATAGACAAAAACATAATAACATTGTCAAAACCCACAAATGACCAAGCATCCCCCAACTTAGTTAATGTGTAATTGTTACTTCTATACCAATTACAGTTTTACCTCACTCTGCCTTTCTTCCTTCTGAATAAGATTACAGTACCAAATGGCAGAGTTATCTTCACTTTCTGGAAGCATCTAATCCAGAGCAAAGCCACACTTCCTTACACTTTCCCCCAAAGCACTTCACACAAGCCCAAATCCTATAATATTAATAAATCCTATCACTCCCTTACTAAAGTCCCCATAGTTCCCCGATGGCTTGTGTTCTCCTACGCTGCAGTGAACACTAAACTCAACTTCTTTGACTGGTGGTCGTCTTCAGCTGGAGTGCACTGACACTCTAACACACCTGTCATCTGTGTTGTCTCCACATGTCATTATTTTGAGATGGAGTCTCACTCTGTCGCCCAGACTGGAATGCAATAGCGCAATCTTTGCTCACTGCAATATCTGCCTCCCAGGTTCAAGAGATTCTCCTGCCCCACCCTCTCGAGTAGCTGGGATTACAGGCGCGTGCCACCACACCCAGATGATTTCTGTATTTTTAGTAGAGATGGAGTTTCACCATGTTGGCCAGGCTGGTCTCGAACTCCTGACCTCAGGTGATCTGCCCGCCACGGCCTCCCAAAGTGCTGGGATTACAGGCATGAGCCACCATGTCCGGCCTATTTTTCTTTTCTGCTGAGTTAATCTTCCAGTCTACTCTGGCTTCCTTTTCCTGTCAACACTCCTTTCATGTTTCAGATACTCAATAAATGATTTTTGAAGGAATGAATGTTCCCTTTCTGTATTTCTACTTTTTATCTTTTTCTTTATGATAGCTCCAGTCCACACAAGCTTCAGGAAAATAATTGGCTCACCACTCTATCAGACATTGAGCAGGGAATTGCATAGCATCAAGCTTTTTGACACTGGAGTCTCTCAAAACTTTGGCAGGACTAATCTAGAAAAATAATAATTTCAAATAAGTGTTATGCAGTGAAAGAACACAAAAAGGCTACTGAGAATTTTTAACCATGTATAAGGAAGTAAAAGTGTGCATTTAGGTTTACTTATATTTTTGATAATAAAATTTGAGGTTTATATTTTTTAGTCTTTTAAAAATATCTGGTTGAGCTCACTTATTATTTTAATTTCACTTAGCACTGTGGCTTTGCATTTCTTTAATCTTTTGCAGTTTTCACTGGGAGATTTTTAGGCTATAAACACACACGTGCAATTAACTGGGTTGAAAACATACACCATAAAATCAAACCAAACTTAGAAAATAAGTTTGGTTAATTTTTGTACCCTAAGTGTCCATTTAAAGTTTCACTGGAAATTAACCCTTATGTGAGCAATTTTGTAGCCCTCTGTCAAATAGGTTTTTTTTTTCTTTTATTCATTTACTTAACATGGACTCACTTAGAATTCAAGCAACTTTTAGAACTGACACATGCGATGTGGAAGCGTACCATGTATTTTACTGTTTCTCTGCTGCTCTCAAGTCATTCTCAAGAATTTTAGTTAATTTCTTCTCCATGAATATTTTTTAGTGACTTGGTTTGGAATTCCTGAGATTTGGCATTTCAATGTGCTGGATTACCGAGGAACATCAGCTCAAATGCAAACTTAGGAGTTAGTTTTAAACTGGTCTGAAATTCTCACATGTTCTAAAATAAAAATGAAGTGGATAGATGCCTTATGATTCCCTTGGGTTAAGAGTGTCCATAATCAGTGTCTTACCTTAATGGAAAATATCTGATTTATCCCTGAGATAGATGACTGCATATAGTATATCTTCAAATAAGAAGAGGTAGATGAACAGAACTTCTTAATTGGCTCCTACATGCATCCCATTATGGAAGGTCTGCTTTTGATTCTAAGGTCAGGCCTCTTACTTCCAGATTCATCAAGCAACTTGGGTGACTTTTCAGGAAATTCTCAGCCATGGCAGGAAGATATAACTTATGATTTTTATGATTAAATATTTATATAGTACCAAAGACATGTGGGCAGCAGGTCAAGTGTTATCTACAAGGCTTAGATTGAAAGACGGCTGAGAGCCTTAGGGCTTCTCTGATGATGAGTGCACAAGGAGACACAATATCATCCCCTAGGTAAAAAAAAGAAAGAGGAGAGAATGACTAGTTGCACCTAGGGTATTTTGTAATATATATATAACTAAGTTGATTCCTTAAGGAAGGGCTCTATACTATTCGTGTATTATTG
This sequence comes from Homo sapiens, assembly GCF_000001405.40. Classification (NCBI taxonomy): domain Eukaryota; kingdom Metazoa; phylum Chordata; class Mammalia; order Primates; family Hominidae; genus Homo; species Homo sapiens. The sequence continues at coordinate 9,199,256 of NC_000009.12, forward strand.
CTGGGATAAAGATTTATTTTAGAAAACATGGAAGAACTTTAAGCACATTCTCTTATTCAGGGTCCTAGTATAAACTTCTGTTATGTAAAATACCTGTTAGATGCCTTAAGTAAAATCTCTAATGCAATTGCTGTCCCGTATGCCCTATGGTACACACCAGAGTCCTTAACCAGAAAACTCAAAGTCTGTAAAATGCATCTCTACTGGTAGAATTCACATGCAGTGATTTGCTGCTATGAAGCGCTAATGAGAGGAATGAAAATAAGACCAGACTAAATATAAATGGTGAGAACTGATAAAAGTGTTATAAAGGAAACCAAGATCAATTTAAACCTAGAGAAAGTTTTAGCCACAGATCACCATATTTGGAAAGATGAATATAAATAGGTTAAATAGAATTTTAAATATATTTCAGAAATATGCCTAGAGTCACAGAGCATTTAAAATATACAAGTCAATTTCCTAAATAAAGGTAAAGTAAATTCAAATTTAAGTTTCAAAAATGATTTTATTAGAAACACGCTAAAGTAATTTATATATAAATTATAAACATCATATATATATATAGCTGAAATCTTATTTACAAAAAAGTATGGCCCTGCTGTGATTACTGGACTTGGCATTAGAGAATTTGCTTTCTGATTCTAGCTCTCCTACTTCCTAGCAGTGTGGTTTAGCAAGTCTTTGAAACTTAGTTTCTGATTGTAAATTGGCAATGCCTATTTACCTACATAAAGTTGTTATTGGTCCAGTGGTGGCCACAAGATCTGAAATGTTAATCAAATCAAAGGGGCAGACTAGTCAGGGCATGGTTGAAGGCTAATGTTGACTCCCACTGTCTGTTAGCGAGGAAATAAGTTGCCTCTGCTCCTACTGGGAGCCATTTGGTGACCATGAGCAAGCCAGCTTGGCAAACAAACAAAAACAAAACAAAACCATGAAGAGGAGTTTAGAAAGCAGAAATCAGAAAATTTGAGCAAAAATCCTGATATCCTACAATGAGAGTCTTTCTGGCCTTTGGACTTTTTGTTATGTGAGATGAAACACATTCCTTTCATTTAACCCAATTTGAATGTGATCTGTTTTATTTCTAACATCTTCTTACATTTCTACAAAGAGCACTTCAGGAAAATTCTTCTCTCTTCTTTATCTGAATCATGTAGGTATTAAATTTCTATGAGTGAAAACAGTTTACACTTGTTGGCTTCACCTATGAGCAATATATTTTGTTGATATTTTACACATGTAATCTTATTTAATCCTACAACCCTCTCACTTTATAGATTAAGGACCCAACACTCAGAGAATAAAGCAATTTGCCTAAGGTAACACAGGATTCCAACCAAGACTGTCTGTTGCAGATTTCATTGATTTTTTCATTACGCCACTCAGCAAAACAATTGTAAATCCTTGTGGAAGATTCCCTGGTTGGCAGAGATCTGCTAAAAGTGGATTCCTTAAGAGGTATCAAGAAATACCCTGGATAATCAACAATGCTTTTGCAGTGAATAAATGTGATGGGGGAGTTCCTTTATCTTTCTAACCAAAAACTGCAAAAACCTTTAGAACAAAGAAATTATTAAAGCTTACACAAAACCATCATTGATTACATTTCCCCATGTGGTTTTCCTCTCTATTGTAGAAATCCTTTCCTAATTCAAAAGAAGCTATTATTAAAAAGCTAATCTCTTCTTATATGAAGCACAGTGTATGCTGCAAATATCTTAAATTCTGTTCTAAACACCGTTTTACTGAAGGGTTAGAATAGCAGGACTATTATCAAGTCATAAGAGAAAAGAATAGACACCTCTGAATAAATATATGGAAAATCTTATCATGAAAAGTGGTTTATTTGACTACAAACACTGACATCTTCAGAAAAGCTTTTTTCTTTTTTTGTAAGCAACATACAAAATTGCTGGAAACTGCCATATACATGTCAGGAGCAAGAAGAAAACTAAAATAAATGTTGGAAACAGGCAGCATTAAAAAACAATGCTGACTTAAGTAGAAGGAAACAGGAAGTTAAGAAATATAAATAAACTCTTGTGTTTGCATTTTGGTGGCAAGGTCTTTCCTATTTTTCTCGATTGAAGAAAACTGTGGAATGCTTATTTGGACAACTAATATTTGGCAAAGGTGAGTGCAGCAAAATTTAAATCAATAATTCTGTTGATACCAAGTTTATTTTGATCAGTCTTCCTAAGAACAATGTAAATGTTAACTAGTATGTCTTTAATAAGGCAATAGGATAGGATAGGACATACATGGGGAATAGAGTACTATATTATAGACTTGGTGATTAAAAAAAAACATTGATTTCCTATTACAGGGTTAGGATCAGGCTCAAACATTGAACTTTTCTAAGCCACTTAAGTTTTAAATATCTTACTGATAAAAATAATTAACAAATGTCTTACAATATTCTCAATGCATTTAAAAGGTAAAAATAATGTTTTGTTGATTGCAAAATCTATACAAAATAATTCTCATTAATTTAAATAAACTGATTATTTGGGATGAGGGACTAATTTTGATGTGATAATTATAGCACAGTCATTAACTCATTTTAATGATAGTTGCCAAATGTTTACCATGCAGAAAGCCTACAACTGGAAGCTGTGGAGCACAGCAAAAAGCCCATAGTGAAGTGTGATCATTACCCTCAAGAAACATTTAGGAAATGAAACACTAATAACTATTTTAGAAAGAGGAGAGAGTGTTGAATACACTAATAAAGATGGACACGAACTTTTGGTGGAGTTCAGTGCAAGAAGTGCTTGTTTCAACCGGAAGATAAGAAAAGCCTTGATGGAAAAGATGCCATTTGGATGGACTTTGGATAGTGTGTTGGGTAGCACACACAGAGGTGGAGAACATGACTGAGTCGAGTCCAGTGTTTGGAAAGCCTAGACAGTTTGTCAGCAGTAGTAACAACGATTAATGAATCTCTTCATTCTACTAAATTTGCACTCTATTATAACACAAATCTTATTGTCAGATCTATTGCAGTCTTACCTTTCTACAGATTAACCCGAAGTCCCTATGCAAGATGGTTAAAAATTTACTGAATACTTCTCTTTAATATCCTGATATGTTTATGACATTTTAATTTTCTTTTGGACATTTTTCTTATCAAGTAGGAGACATTAAAGCTGTCCCTGACAGCTGTTTTCCAGTATTCTACTATTGTTGGATTGAAAATTTTTCATTTTCAAAATGTCCCAAAGAAAACTGTCACAAGTTATTAGATCCAGATGTTGAAGAGGCCACATTACATCAGATGCAAGCTTGATCAACAGTCTCCTAACCCTTTTATCAGGATCTTCTCTAGTTGGGGGATGGGGGGTGTAGTGGTACATTATTAGTTGTTGCCTTGAAACTTCTGTCTTGCAGTTGTGAATTAGCAGTATGAATGACATTTGTATTGAGAAAATATGTTCCTACCAAATGATCTTCTGAACTGCTGCACATGTAACCTGAGGACATGCTCAGTTAGCACTGAACACAACTGTTCAGTTATGGGGACTTTATAGCCACTTTGCTCTTGATCTTTGAAGCTTGGCTTTCTTATTTCATTTACTTAAGAGTGCTTTTCTAACTGTTCTTTAGTCCGCCTCTTAAATGTTGTTGTTTCTTCAGGTCACTGTCTTTAGACATGTTCTCTTCCAATGTCTGAATAGTCTCATGCACTCCTAATACATCACCTTTGTTATCCCCATTGATTCTCACATCAACCGTCTTTATCCCTTTCTTGAGCTCTAAACATCTATTCCCAGCTGCCTATTTGCCATGTCAATCTAGAAACAATATTTTAGATACAAGTTTAAACTTCAAAACAAATTCTGAAAAGTCAGTCAGCTACTTGGGAGGCTGAGGCAGGAGAATCACTTGAACCTGGGAGGCGGAGGTTGCAGCGAGCCGAGATCGCACCATTATACCCCAGCCTGAGTGACAAGAGCGAGACTCCATCAGACACACACACACACACAAACACACACACACACAATCAGATATACTTTTCCCCCTTTTATCTGAAATTTAGAAAGCCTAGGTGATGGAGTCAGGGCCACAAAACTGGCATATAGTAGAGCTTGGACTTTATTCCATTTTAAAACCTTACCCATTGAATTGCATGTTTTTGTTATGCTTTACCACATATCCCATAGGAATCTCAGTCTGTTTTTCACATCATCATCTATCAATTCTCTCAAATTAGAAAATTTAAAATCACTTCTTCCTCTCCCTCTATAAGTCATTAACTCTGTCCCTGAGGTATCATTTTAATCTTCTATCAGTCCCACTGTTACAGTTCGGGTTCTTATTGCATCTTTTCAGGAAGCCATCCTACCATTTTTCCTATTCCCAAGATTTTCCTCCCCTTGATCCATTCTCTCCATCTCTGCCACAGTCATATTTCCCAAAAAGTTCAAATTGGATTAGAGGCAATTTTGATTTTCTTCTTTATGTGTTTTTGCAGTTTCTGATGTAGCAAGCGGGTATTTTATGGACTCAGACAAACAATACATGCTTTATAGCAAAGAAAAAGGTCTTAGGAAATATGAAATTCTTATGTAGAAAATGGCTATTTTAGAGATGTGTTATAGAAAAGCTAATTTGAGTGTAGAGTATGAGAAGAATTGGAGAAAGAAAATCAAGCCATAGACTGGCTTTTTCTGCTCACTGTACTCTTAAAATTTACAGTTTAGGTAAAGATAGGCACAATATATCTCTGATTTGGGGATCAGATTAAATTGGGAACACTGAGAATTTTGCCCTGAGTGATCCACTGCCTTTCTGGGTCAACTTAGACTAATACTGGCTGCATTACTGCTAAAATTAATGCTGTGCGCCAGGGAACAGATGTGAATTCATCATGTGAATTCAAGAATAGGGACTTCTGATTTCTAATCCAGCCTGATACTCTCTTTAGCTTTGGGGAATTGAGTTGGTAAATCTGCTTTGCAGAAATGTAGTTAGTAAATATGCACAGGCCTTGTTTCATTAGCGAATATGTCTGATGCTTCCAGTGACTACATTTCTCACTGCAAACAGGTCTCTTTATATAAAGTTACTAATTTTTTTCCTTGGAGTTTTCTTACTTATCATCACAAAATCAAGTTCATAAATTAATGGATGATGTTAATCTACTATTAAGGAGACCAAGTCAGCTAGTTTAATCCACTCATGTTTGGATAAAGCCTAGCTCAGACACTTTACAGAGTTTCCTAGCCTCTAAGCATTACCGGGTTCTCAACTTTTAAAGGAACACTCACGAGTCCTTTGCTTCCAACTATAGAGTACTCTATATAACTCTGGCTTAATTTTGGAAGGCTCACAGATGAAATGTTTACATTGCATTTATGTAAGATATTTAAAACAAATATTAAACCAGTCAATTCAATGATGGTTTTAAATTGATGGTCCTGTTAAATGCAACTGAAAAGAACATAAATAGTGAATAGATTTTGCTCTGTACAGCCTTGTAAAAATAGCTTTTGACACAGATTTACTTGAAATTGTGCTAATATTATATTGTATATTAAAAATGACCAAAAGAAACCTATCAGAACCATTTATAAATGTCTCAAATTATTATCATTATTATCACAAAACAATATGCAGAACTAAGAATTTCAGAGTTCATAAGACAACTTATTGTTCCTGGAGTTAGGATACACTTCCTCAAGTATCTGCGGCATTAAAGAAAAGGTGAAGTGTGTGACTATTGAAGAATGCAAATTAATTCATAGTAGCTTTGCAGATCTCTAGGGGTGGCAATTTAATCTAATGGGAATTTAATAGCTCATATTAAACACATTACTAATCTGATGCTTTGCTTACAGTAATTTAGAAACAGTGAAATAATAAATCACTTATTTAAAAAAAATCTTCTGGAATTTGAATCTTTTCTTAACTAAGAAACAGCAGGTAGGAAGAATCCTTGTTGTTTTCAAGTGAATTCCCATCAAGTTTTGTATTCATGTTGAAACATTAAGTAAACACATTTAATTCAGACAACTTAAACCAGTGTCTTTTGTCTAATCATATAATACTGTAAATATGAACTAAGTACTTCACCAGTTCACATTTAACTACACATTGGCTTCCACTTCATATTCTTGATGAGCAGGGAGCATGATCATGTATATCTAATTATAAACACATGGTAATGCGTTGCTTAGGTTTCATGCTCAATTACTTCTAGATAATAATAATAATATAGATCCAAAAGAAACCATAAAAGTATGCCAAAATTCAAAACGTTTTCCCATAGAAACTTGAAAAACAAAGCATCATTAAGACAGTCTTCTTTCTTTGCATTATCTAAAATGACATTGAGCAAAGTTTTCTTAGCACTAAGCATACATTTTATATCTTTTTTGTGGCTTTTAGTTTTTATCATTTTGCTTATACTCAGATATTTCTGTATGCTGTAATTGCCAAGTCAATACAGTATAACTATCTATTTATCCATTCTTTTACTCATTCACCCATTTATAAAAAATATGTAGAATGCCTACTTTATTCCAGGTACTGCCCTAGAAGATTGTACATGCAGCAGTTAACTTAATAATGTCATCCCCTCATGGTTAGTCTCAGGTGGAAGAAGGACGCAATGACACAATTAACAAATCATTATTTCAGTTTGTCATTAAGTGACTTGAAGGGGAGAGCATGATACTGGGATGTAGTGAGTATAGCAGAGGGTGGGGTTATTTTATCTTGGGTTTTAAGAGAAGGCTTAAGTGACATAATTGTTGTCATTACAAGCACAGAGAAGAAAATGAGGAAGTAAGTTATGGAGATAATTGGGGGAAGAGTATTCTAGATAGCTTTTAGAGCATTCTAGAGGTTGGCAAATTAGAAGGCTTGTGCCTAGAACAAGAGGAGTTTGCTCAAAGAACAAGGTGACCAGTGTTGCTGGGGCTGAGTGAGTGATAGGGAAGGGAGTGGAAGCTGAGGTCAGAGAAGTAATGATGGAGGGTGGTGGGAGATGACATACAGCTTTATAGACCATTCAAAAGACATTCAGTTTTACAAGAGGAGGACCATTGGAGGGTTGTGCGTAAAGGCATGACATGATGTAACATGTTTTTTAAAGAACACACTGGCAATTATGTGAAAACTATACTGGAGTGAGAGTTGGGGGAGGCAAGAGAAATCAGTTAGGAGGGTTGTGATGGTTAATATTGAGTGTCAACTTGATTGGACTGAAGGATGCAAAGTATTGTTCTTGAGTGTGTCTGTGAGGTTGTTGCCAAAAGAGATTAACATGTGAGTCAGTGGACTAGGAGAGGCAGACTCACCCTCAATGTGGGTGGGCACCATCTAATCAGCTGCCAGCCAGTGTGGCTAGAATAAAGCAGACAAAAGAAGTTGGAAAGAGCAGACTTGCTGAGTCTTCCTGCCTTCATCTGTCTTTTGTGTTGGATGCTTCCTGGCCTTGAACATCAGACTCCAAGTTCTTTAGCTTTTGGACTCTTGGACTTACACCAGTGATTTTCCACTGGCTTTTGGGCCTTGGGCCACAGACTGAAGGCTGCACTACTTTTGAGGTTTTGGGATTCAGACTGGCATCCTTTCTCTTCAGCTTGCAGATGGCCTACTGTGGGACTTCACCTTGTGATTGTGTGAGTCAATACTCCTTAATAAACTCCCTTTCATATATACATCTATCCTATTAGTTCTGTCCCTCTAGAGAACCCTGACTAATACAAAGCTATTGTAATAAACCAGGTGGAAAATAATAGGGACTCAAATCAGAGTTGAAGTGATGGATTTGAGGAGAAGATTCTGGATTTATTTTGAAAGTAGAGCCAGTAAAAATTGCTGATGGAGTCCATGTGGTGACTGAAAAAAACAAGAAGTCAAGTTTGACTCTTAAGCTTTTTGGTCTCAAAAACCTAGAATGATGGACTTGCTGTAACTGAGTAGGGGGAATCTAGGAGAGAAGAGTTGGTGTGTGGTGAGAAAGCAGTAGTTTCATTTTGAACTTTTAATTATTAGATATTTAATAGACAACCGCATGGAGACAGGGAGTAGATAGTTGGACATAAGAGCATTAAGTTACACATAGAATTCGGGGTGCAGATGTTACTTTGAGAGATGTCAGTAAATGAACTGCCTTTATCTAAAATACAAAGAGCTTCTAAAAATAGAAAAAAAATCAATCATACAATAGACAAATGAGTTAGGGAAACAGTTCAAAGAAAAAAAAGCCAAATAAAAATATAAACTAAAGCTATTAGACTGACAAAACTCCCAAAATCTGACAACATACAATGCTGGTCGAGCTTTGTAAAAATCAACTTTGTGGAAAAACGTGCTCTGTCTTACATTGCTGGTAGGTATGAAAAATGGTGCAATTACTACAGAGGATAATTTGGCAACATCTAGCCAAATTAAATGTGCATTTACCCTTTGACCTAGAAATGCTAATTCCAGTAATGTATTGCAACAATATGCTCGCAAAAATACTTAACAATATTTGGTCAAAGCTGTTAAATGTAAGACTATTTGTCATAGTAAAAGAGTTGAAACAACTCAAATTTCCATCAATGGCAGGTTGGTTGAATAAATCACGGTGCATCCATATAATAGAGAACCATGACTGCAAAAAGGAATGAGAAATAACTCTATATACTTCCAAGAGCAATCTTCGTAGTATATCTTTTAGTGAAAAAGGAAAGGAAGAGACAAATACATAGTATGCCATTATTTTTCTAAGAAAAAAGGTGGTATGGCTATTCATATATATCTGCTTTTTTTTTTTTTTTTTGAGACAGAGCTTCGCTCTCTCTCCCAGTCTGGAGTGCAGTGGTGCGATCTCACTGCAAGCTCCGCCTCCCGTGTTCATGCCATTCTCCTGTCTCAGCCTCCGGAGTAGCTGGGACTACGGGCACCCGCCACCACGCCCGGCTAATTTTTTGTAGTTTTAGTCGAGACGGGGTTTCACCGTGTAAGCCAGGATGGTCTCGATCTCCTGACCTTCTGATCTGCCCGCCTCGGCCTCCCAAAGTGCTGGGATTACAGGCGTGAGCCACCAAGCCCCGCCATCTGCTTGTATTTTTTTAAAAAACACCTTGGAGGACAAACCATAAATCTGGTTTTTAAAAGTTGTTTCTAAAGAGAGGTGAGGGTATAGGATACAAAATAAATAAATGAAAGTTAAGATCTATCTTCACATTTTAATTCATATGGAGGGGATAAGATAAATATTTGATATGTTCCCTTTATTTGGTATTTTGCTTTGTAGAGTTTACTTTGTGACTATGTTAATATTTACATATTTATCAAACTAAATTTAATAATCTTTAAAATTATCCTCAAGAATAGAAAATAAGGGGAACATACCAAGTGTTTTTCCTATCTGTCTTAAGTGAACCAATTAGTATTTAGGGAAAGTTTCTCTATGTAGAAAGAAATAAAGAAGATACGATAAAATTGGAATATCATTAGTTTGTAGACACTAATGAATTAATGAATCTAAAAGTTAAGCATCAATGGTCTCAAACTACAAAGAAGAAAGAAACCCAGAGACAATATAACTCTTTTTTTTTTTTCTTTGAGATGGAGTCTCGCTCTGTCGCCAAAGCTGGAGTACAGTGGCGCGATCCCGGCTCACTGCAAGCTCCACTTCCCGGGTTCACGCCATTCTCTTGCCTCAGCCTCCCGAGTAGCTGGAACCACAGGCGCCCGCCAATATGCCTGGCTAATTTTTTTGTGCTTTTAGTAGAGACAGGGTTTCACCATGTTTGCCAGGATGGTCTCGATCTCCTGACCTCGTGATCGGCCCGCCTTGGCCTCCCAAAGTGCTGGAATTACAGGCTTGAGCCACCGCGACCGGCTGACAATATAACTCCTGAAAGAATATACTCCCACCAATGATGTAGTTTCAAGGGGGTAAAGAGATCTGAATCTTACTAAGCCTCTATTCCTAATTAGCAATTTGTAGAAAACGGAGAAGATAGAAATATATATTAAAAGACACTATTGTTAAGCAATGAACAAAATTCAGACTGTGGGTCAAACACCTGTGTTTCCTCAGTAAATAAATTGCAAAGAATAAGAAAGAAAAATTAGAGGCAGAACCTAGAGATCAGAAGAGGGAAATATCAATCAGCCTCACTGTGTTGAGTTCATCTGGATTCAGATACAAGTAATGTGTTAAAGACATTATAAGGTAATTGAAAATTAGAGATGGACCAGTATTTTGGTGCATTAAAGAGTTATTGTTAATTAATGTTGGGTGTATTAACGGTATTGTGGCATATTTTTTAAATCTTAGAGATATCTACTGAAATATTTGTGTATCAAATGATATGATGTCTGGAATTTGCTTCAAAATACTACTATTTTGTAGAGGATGGTTGAAATGAGACAGGACTATAAATAAACCAGACTGTTCATGAGTTGATTATTGTTGAAGTGGGTGATGGCCTCAGAAAGAATTCATTATACTATTCTGTTGATTTTTATAAGTGTTTAAAATTTTCAATAGAAAATATTTAAAAATATATATCCTGTCTCAGATTTTACCTTACTTGCAATTAGTAAGTTAGCCTACCATGGTTTCATGGATGCTGACAGAAGATATGAAACTCCTGGGTCAGATACAAAGGACTTTATTACTCTCAGCAGAGCAAGCAGTATGAGCTTTAGCATATTTTCATTGGTTCCTCCTAAACTCAGATCCCATGGGGTGATGCAGAAGGGCCCAGATAGATGATTATCACGCAGTAGATTTGTGTCCTAAGCTAAGGTAGCACAAATCTTTTATAATGAGCCTTTCCAACCTTTGCCCCAGCGGAAAATGTTTTCATTATTTTACTGAACAGTAAAATACTTGCCCTTTGCTCCAGAGAAACAAACAATTTCTATCCTCCAAAGCTCCTCACAACCTTGAAAAGTCTGGAAAAGAGAGCCAGCATCTCTGCTCACTAGATGTGCAGAAATGCAAAAGATCCATAGAGAATTATCTCCACAAATAATGTATTGGCTGTAACTCTTCAAAACGAATCTGAAACTCAAGAATTGGGTATTAAAATATATATAACAGGTGAGTTTCATCCATATGTATAATAATATTAAGAATCACTGCGTTTTCCACATTTGGTTTCAAAATTTAACTTGTTCATTCCAAAGATACTTTGGGATTTGAAAATTTCTTAATTTGCCATGAAACATTTAAATAATTTATTTTAATGCCTACTCCTTTGTTTTCTTGTTTTCATCAAAAAACATAACTTTTGAACTTTATTATAAAGTTAGTTCCACTTTTCTCCTTCCTTGCTTCTTTTGAATCATATTTAAAACATCTCTTACCATTTTTTTGCTTGAGAACACTTGCAAATGTTTCTGGAATTTATTTTAATGGACTTGGATTATTACTTTCATACAAATGACTTGCCACATGCCACATGCCACATACATGTGCCACATGTATGCCACATACAAATGACTTGCCACATCCTAAACATCTCCTTTCTCTTTGGCCAGGAAACAAAGGCAACTATTTTTTTTGTTGTGAACTTACTAATTTTGCTCCCTGGCACAAATGTATCTTTAGTTTCAATATGCACAAGTGGTTAATTTTGTTTCCTTTTTTTTTTCTCTTCAATAGAAACCAGGCTTTTAAAAATCATTTCTTATAGGTTCTATTTTCCTATTTCTTAATTATTATTTTTATTTTTCTGAAATTTCTTATTTTTCTTCCTCTCTTTGGAAGTTGAGAATAAAGATAAACATAGTTCCTTAATAATGTTTGCTTAAAGAGCATTTGTTTTTGTCCTTGCAAATATCAAGGCAATACATGTGTGTGAGTGTGTGTGTGTGTGTATGTTTGTGTTGGAGTACATTCTGGCATTTTTTTCCACAGTCATATGTAAGCCACACATACAGACCCATCTATGTCTCTTTTCATATTTACTTATAAAGGTCTGTATTGCCTGGTATTTAATCATACAGACTCTGAAGCTCAATTGTGTTAACTCAAACATAGCCTAATTATTTACTGGCTCTGAGACCTCAGCCATATTACCTTTTGTAAAACCTCAGTATACTCATCTTTAAAATGAGAGTGATAATAGGTCTTGTGTCCTAAGTTTCTCATTAGGAATATAGGAATTAATGTTTGTAAAGCAATTAGAAGAGTGTTGGGCATATTTTTTAAGTACTGTATAAATATTAGCTTTCATCACTGGTTTTCCTTCCTTCCTTCTTTCTTTCCTTCCTTCCTCTCCCCCAGTGTGCGCACGCACACACACACACACACACACACACACACACACACACACACACAAGAGCTAAGGTTTCTTCTCAATGATATTAAGAAGTTAAATTACAAGACCTTTAAGCTACAAAATATTTGACATATACCAAAGAGCCTTAATAATTAGATTCTTAATAAACAATTACATGTAACATGTTTAAGAGAATAACAATAACCATCAAATTTTTGGTATTGACTTTGTCAAAGGCTCTTTGTTGTGCTTTGCACATATTATGTCATTTAATCCTCATAAATAGCCTAAGAAACTGGTACTATTTTTTTTTTTTCATTTTGAAATTAAAGAACTTTATTTTCAGCCAGGCTGAGTAACTTAGCCCAGGTTACACAACTGTTTCAGTGTTGCAGCCAGCCAAGATTTGAAACCAGTTCTAGAAAATTTTAATATCTGCACTCTTTTTAGTGATCTATGCTGTCTCCCCAAGTTTAATGAACATAAAATTTTAGAAGCAAACATTTTTGTTTCTTGAATATACTCGTCAATTCTGATTCTTTATAAGAACAATAGCATCAAAACTGGATTTTGCCTGGAAACAGAATAATTATTTCAGTGTTTTGTATGGGCAATACCCACCACTGAGAGGGATAAAGATGTTTGTATTTTATGATATCCATCACTATTCATTGGTGAATTCCATGTTCTTAGGTAATGTTTTTCATTGTTTAAAATATTCTATTAGCACATTTGAAAACAGATTTAAATTTGACAACAGCCTTAAATTATTGCCATAAGACTAAGGAAAATAACAATAATATCACTAATACACATCAAATGTCTCCTGCCACCCCTAGGCCTCTGTGATTTTTCCCTATGCTGAAACAGTTCTTTTAAGCTAGCTTTTAGTGTCTTCCAGCTACTCTCTACACATTCCTATTGTTGCCTCCTCACTATTTAGTCAGTCTGTTTATAACTTGTGATTTTAACGCTATTAATTGTATATTACTGCAAAAACACTTTGGTCAAATCCATTGAGCAGCCAAGAAAATTAACTTGTTTTAACTGCTAGCTTATTGCATTTTAAAAATACCCTACACAGCCAGTCAATAGAAAGCTGGGAGAAAAACAGAAGAAGGAGCAAGAAACCCGGCATGTTGAGATAGAAGTATTTTGCACATACAGCCAAGGCCATTCACAGATTTAATGAGTATGTTTTGATTATCATTTAAGGAACTAATACAGATATGGGTTATTGGACTCAAGACGATTCCTACTGAGAGAACAGTTGGTGTGTCACTCTTGTGTGACACATTTCAACCATTACATAGTTTCTATTTTGCAATGTGTGAGGTGAAAAAAACAAGGGATTAGGAGTTAGATCTGGGTTTCCTTCTATAGTATGTGACTTGAGGTCATTTGAACTCCCGTGCCTTTGGTTTATCACTGTAACTTATGGAATTAGCCTAGAGTTCTCTAAGATTCTATAGATTCTAACTCCTATAACTGTGACCTGTTTTTTTAGGTCAGGTTAAGAGTAAGATGGTGATTAAAATTTTAATTATAACATGATTACTTATTAAATGAAGTTGAAACGATGCACATCAAATCCCAAAATAGGCTCTTATGTGAAAGTTCTAACTCGTAGCTTCTCAAGGTGCTCTTATATACCACTATATTCAGTGGTTTCAGATTCTGTTTCAAGATCTTGTTGCAGAGAATTGACTTTACATCTCTTTAGCTGAACTCATTAACTGAGAGGCGTAAATGCTTTAAAGTATCATTAAGTTAGAAGAGTTGGGAGTGTTGGGGGACTTTGAGAAGACTTGTGGTTTGGGGACAACAGGAAAGGTTTTTCCATTTGATGCATAGACATCAACGAAAGTTTACACAAAACACAGTGTTACTCTGTTATTCGTGCACAGTTATTGGTATGTGAAAGTATTCTTTGCTAAATGCAATACATTGTAATTAAATAAAATCACTTCATTTAAAACCGCACTTGAAAAATCAAATGCCCTGTTTTCCTGGTTTTTTGTTTGTTTGTTTGTTTGTTTTGATAATAGGCAACCATTGGTTAGGTCTGCCTCATTTGGGAATCGGTTATATTTATTACAATTTTATAAAGGTATAAATTTTAGTCACTTTGTATTCAAATATACAGACACATTATGCAAAAGGCACAGTTAGCATCAAACAGTGTCCCTGAATAATAAGTTCACATTCACATGAGACACTTTCATGTGAGATGAAAGTAAGGTGCTAAAGGACACTAAAGAAGAGCTGATTATTCATCCCTTCACAGCATTCCTTTTGATCAAAATATTTATCTATCATCTCTCTCTCTCTGACAATAAACAAGCAGGAAAAATGCAACCGATTCTGAGGGTCTCCTTATCCCTTGTTCAGCTTTGTTTTTTGTGTAGTTTTTCTTGTTTGTACTTTTATTTGCTCACTTTTCTAGAATATCTTCATCTTCTTTTTTTTCTTACTGGGCATGATAATAAGAATGATAGCAAATATTTGGTGGAACAACAGATAAATGTAAACATGTTCCAGTGCTTAACATCCATCCTCCAACACCCAAACAAGATGGTAACCATGGAAGAATTCTCATTCCCAAACCAACAGAGTGTTGTCTGCCCCCTACTAACTAAGGAGAAGTGCAAAGTATCCGGGACATTTGTTGATGGACATCAGGCCTGCTCCAGCTGTCAAAAACACAGCTGTTGCGTTTCCCTCTGAGTGATCAGTGCTCCAGATGCCCTCCAGCTAGTGTGTTCCCCGATATGGTCCAGTGGAAAGCTGAAAAAGAGCTGAACACTTGGCTTCTAATAGCAAATGCAAAAACAAATTTCACAACAAATTGCATTTTCAGCATTGCCTGATGCCATACGATTAAACAGGCTGAATTTGTTTTAGTCCACTAACTCGGAAGACATCATGATGGAACAGTTTCTCTTGGTGACTGTTAAACGTTAAAGCAGTTAAGGGAGGAGGATTTTTTTTTTTTTTTAACTTCTACTACAAAGCAGGGGGTGGGAGAGGGAAAGCTGATCAAACTTATTAGAGCTTCTCAATGAGGAGAAAGCAAATAAGGCCATTTAATGTCTTTACCAGGGTAAAACTGACAATGAGACCTCTCTGTGACTTTTTTGTACACATTTGTTTTTTAAACTTTTAGAGAAGATAAAAACGCCAATATTTTTATCTAGCCCTTCTAATGTTCTTCAAAGCTTTTTGCAAAGATACATTATAAAAATAATATTCATACGTACATTTACATAGTGCCTACTGTGTGGTTGGCACTATATAAATATATTAACTCATGTAGTTGTCTCAGCAAGCCTGTGTGATATGTACTAACAGTATTACTTTTAACAGATGAAGGAATTAAAGCCCAGAGATGTTAAGTAACGTAATCGAGATAACACAGTTGTACAATGGAAGAACTAGTATTTGAACGAGCCCTTCTGGGTTCAGAGTCTATGCTCTTAATCATGACATTCTGCTGCCTCTTGAACACACACTACTTATATATTTGTTCAAATGCAGTGCTACTGTTTGGCCTACTTTCTTGGAACAATAGTTCCAGTGCAGGATCAGTTTGATGATTCATTTGTGTGTTAACAAGTTCAAACTACAACCTAGCAAAATTGGTCCATGTGCATTTGTGAAGAAACTTCCTTTAGAAGTCATCTGCTGGTGGGAAATGTTTAAAGCCTGCTTTCATGTGTCTCTTAATTGACTCAGTTGCAGAAGTCACGCCTGAGAGTAGTTTAACCCAGGTTATGCAATGGAGCAGTTACATACTTGTACTTGTTCACCGGGAAAGTTATGGAGCTACAAGAGAACTGGATTTGCCACTCAGCCACTTACTGAAAATTTCTTCCCTGAGTTCTGGAGAGAAAATAAAAATACCCTGCCTACCACACAGAATTGCTATAAAAATCAAATGTGATAATTTATATGAAAATATATTACAAAATATAAGGATTACAATGGGTGGAAATTTCCACTGCTCCATGGGCTAAGCAGAATGGGGGGAGAAAAGGGAAAGACTGAGGCCTCTGTTTTGGCAGGAATTTCCCCTACTGCTGCAGGAACTGGGCACCAGATTGTGGAGCTGAGGCACAGTGAGGTGGAGTTGGGACGAAGGGAGCAGCTCCTCAGGGGGCTGTACAACCCAGGAGGTTAATCTAATACAACTGGATTAAACCCTGCTTTACAAGTAACACATGTAGCTGTTCATGACTTTCTTCATTCCATCGTACATTGATTCATTGATTCACTGTAGAATGATTCATAAAATCCTCTATGTATCAAGAATTGTGCTAGGGAGTCAGAACACCACAACAGTAAAATAGTACAGTATTTACCCTGATGGAGTCAACAGTCTGGTGGAGGAGACAGATTAGTAAATGGACAAGTACTGTACACTCTGCTAGATGAGGGGCAAGAAATACCATAAACCATTTTGTGACACCTTCTCCTCTGTGTTGAGTGTCACCTGTATAAACATTGGCAGTACTTGCTGTGTGGTTCAGAACACACAATCTAGTGTCAGCCTGCCTGATTGGAATTTTGATTCCATTCCTTACTAGCTATGTGACACTGGTATAGTTACCAACCTTCTAAGTCTCAGTTTAGTCACCTTTTAAATGGGGATTATAATAGGGACTACCTCACAGAGCTGTAAAAATTGCATATGCTTTTGTATGTACCTTGACATACATTTTACTCAGTACTGTACAATGCCTGGAATATAGACACAACAAATATTACCTATTAAAATAAGGATGCCAATGCTAGATAGTCACCAGCTCCCAAATCCTAGCCACTTACCTCTCTCTACCTCAGTTTTCTCCTCTATGATATGGAGCTAATTATACTACTTGCTTCGCAGGGTTACAGAAAAGAAATGGGATAAAATATGTAATCCTGAGCCTAGGAATTTTAAACTTCAAATCCTATGTTGAGCCACCCTTCTATATGCCCTTTCTTCTTTCTCCTCCCTCTCCAGCCTCAAAGACTAAGCCTGATTAACTACACAGCCGTCATCTTCCAGGTTCAGAGTGAAGTTAGAGTGAAAGCTCAAGGCAGCTGAGAATAATAAAAACAGGACTGGGAGAAGTTAAAGCTGGAAATTGTAGGTGTTCTTATAAGTCTTCAGCTTGGGTCTAGAAAGACCAAGCTTGGTATCATTCCTCTGTTTTGTGCCTTATCTTTCTTTTTCTTCTGATTTTTATTTTAGAATGAAACAACCCTCTCCTCTTTATTGAAATAATATTAGGGTTATTATAGACATTGATATAACAAAATACTTCTTTGTAAAATCTATAACTGTGTTAATATAAAAATAAATAACCTTAAAATAATTTAAAATGGAACAGTTAAATGACTTTTGGTTACCAACATTTATTGTTTTTTCTTCTGAATTATTTCTATTTTTTTTCTATTATTTCCCACATTGGGCTTCAGAGGGCATTAGTTCTGCGGGATTTTAAAGAGTAGAGGGCAAAAAAATTCAAAGAACCAATATGTTTAAGAAATGCCAGTGTTAACATTTTTTTTAATCCTTAAGACTAGTCAGACAACTTATATGCAAATGAGAACTAAGGGCCCCTTTAGCCAAAGAGATTCCACTGGGAGGCTGTAGGGCTGGCAGTTTAAAGGCCACTTGTTCCCTTTGCAACTCTGTCTCTTCCTAATGTTGGGGATCCTGGATAGGCAAGATGTTTCTCATCTGTAAAATGTGGATGATAATAGAACCTACTTTATAAGGGTCTTGTATAAGAATTAAATGAGTATTTGTAGGGTACTTAAGAAGCCTGCGTGGCACCTCATAAGTGTTTTATATGGGCTACAAATACATAAAATAAGATTCAATATTTCCCAGAGTTGTTACTTTACCAAATCTCTTTTTAAGGCATATCACTTTGAACTAGTGTTCCTTGGAATAAACCTGAGCAACACTCAAATTCATTATGTCCTCTTCTTTGACACAGCAATTACCTTAGCACAACCAGCATCCTCTCATCTGGGAGTATATTGGCTATGTCGGATCCTTTATCCATTCAGGACTCCATCTACACAGCTATCTTCCTAAGACACAAACTTGAGCATATTATTCCCTTCCTTAAAAAGTTTCTCTGGTTTCTAAGGGCCTGCCAGAATAAAGTCCAGACTTCCTTTTTATATTGAAGGCTTTTCAAAACTTAGCCCCAGGCAGTCTTGACATAACCTTCCTTGGATCCATTTCTACTCTTTAAAACCTCATCTCCACCAAAATCCCGCCCAGCATTCCAAATTCCTCTTTGCATTTGTCCAGTATTATCTTGTCCATATGTTTTCTGATAAAGTATTTCAGAAGCGGCTTCCTTTTTGAAGCCTTCTTGGTCCCCTGCTCTCTTACATAATTAATACATAAATTTATTTTTATCTATGGCGTGCAATAGTTCTGTCTTCATGTTGCTAACAAAGCATGTTTTCCATTGTATGACAGTTATGCCGTTCATGTTCACTCTGTTTGTTTCTGAGCCCTCTGGGGTCCGAAAATAGAACATATAACTATCTGTTTAAGGAACACCTGATCTTCAGGCTTGGAACACAGCAGCAAATTAATTAATGTTGCATTGGACTGAATAAAGAAAATAAAGCATCTTTGGGAATTGCTTCTTTCGTTTTCTAACCATACTGGCTATCCTCAATATTCTCCTCACAATGTCAAACTTCTGTCTTGTTTTGGTTTCAATTTTTTCTCTTTATATTTTTCTAATCAAGCCTATGCAACTCATAGATCCGGATTAGATAGGCCTTGAATGTTGCTTGATGCTCACTTTACCTTCTTTCTCCCTGTCACACTTCATTTTTAAAAGCCATTTCAATGTTAAAACAAGACTAGTGGCCATTAGATGAAAATTTTACGGAGTTTAATCCTGCACCTCTTTTTCTCAGTAACATAAAAGATTTCAGTCTCATTCTGACAAGAAAAATAAAATGAAATGCCTTTCCAATATAAATAGGTCTGACAATTTTAGGTACAGAAAGGACACTGGTGTTTTTACTCCTCTGTGGAAGCCTTCTAAGTGAGACAAATGAAAGCTAAGTCCTTTGGTAACATATATAATAGGACAGGTAAGACTGGTGAGCACTGTAACTAAATCTGGGACTGTAACATATATAATGGGACAGGTAAGACTGGTGAGCACTGCAACTAAATCTGGGACTTTTGTGTGTGGTAGTGTTATCAGCATTATTCTTCTAGTATGAGAATACAAGCAAAGAGCAGCATTCTCCACTGTCATGAATGCCCGGCCCTCACAGCTGACGAGGTAAAAAACACTACCAGACAATCACACCCCACATTCTCCAGAGGCAACACTGCAACCTCCCTGGGGCATTGTCTTGGTATTCCTTAAATATAAGAAGCCAAATAGACCTTTTAACTATGTCTCATTTGTGTAGTCCAGCTGTTAAGTAGCAAAATAAAAAGCATAAGCATCAATGAATATACTACAAGGAAAGGAAGGGGTACTTTGGTACACAATTTTTCCACTAAACAAAGTCTCTTTTCACATCGTGTGTGCCAATTAAAATATATTACATTATTACATATGCATAAGCTTATGTGAAAATCCTTTTTAGATTTCAATGTACAGATATTTAAATATTGGAAAAATAGAATTGTTAAAATTTTCTGGGCTGATATGAGGCATTTACAAACTTTTACAGATTTAAAAACACTGTCTGCAAAGATTTTTAGAAATACAAGGTCTCTAGATGTACAGCTTGACATAGTACAATTGATTTTGTTTTCAGAGACTACTCTGGTTAAAAAATAGGATTATATTTCAGGGATTGTTTTGTTCAAAATATCAAATTTCACAGATGATTTATTCCATAATGATAATGCATCTTCTGTGCTTATTAAATTAAAAAAAAAAACATTATAGCAAGGAATCTAATACCAAAGACATGTCCTTAAACATTTGGCTAAAAGCCAAATTCCTTAAAGTTTAAAGCAGCTGCTCAGTTTGTATTTAAAGTCATAGAGATACATTTTAAATTCTTTCCCAATAATACATATTTTTTCACTATAGAATAACCCTGTTTACATTGAAACACACAATCAAGCAAAGGAAAACTCTTCGAATGTATCAAGAGCAATCCCTGTATCAACACCAAACTTGATTCTCTGGTGGAAGGATTAGACATTGAGCACAAGTAAACCTTTGGAAACATTTTCTGTGGAGTGAAGGCAGAAGGTGGATCAGAATTCTAACCTCCACCCTGAGAGTTCTACACATGGCGGACAGTGAAAATCTGGCAGCTGCATGTTCCCAGTTTTGCAATTCTCTGCAGGAAATGGGCATCTGCCCCAATTTCAGCAAAACATTGGGACTATGGTAAAGGGAAGCTTTTTGTTCTTCATTAGCTCAATACAATTTGCATTCTGTAGTTTTTTTCATCCATTTGATACGGACTTTTCACAGTGATATACAAACTCATATTGAAATAAACGGTATCATAAAATACTCTTGAAAAGCTTAGAACTTGAAGGACTTAACTGTTTACTTAGAGAAGTTTACTTAGAGAAAAATGGGAGAAAATGCTGTGAACCTTTTCCTTTAGGTAACTCAAATTAAATATTTGGATGAAAATAAATCATTGAAGGACTACCTAAACTCATGCCTGTGACATTTTTAGAGTATTATAATAAATGGACACATTCAAATAATTATTGTACATGTTACTAAAAGCACTATCTTTTAGTGCTCTGCCTATGGGGTAACCATTCTTTACTTTCTTAATAAACTTGCTTTTGCTTTTTTTTTAAAAGCACTATCTAGAAGGCTTCATATTGCAAAATGACAAGTTTTTTTGAGTTTAGAGGCAGAAAGCATTACTGATAAATCTTACCAAATGAAGGCCAATACACTAACTAAGTTAGCCCAAACATATTTGGTCTTGATAACCTTGTTTTAATTTGCCTCCTTTGTGCATTGGGGATATATTCTTTGTAAAACTGTTTCTGAAACTTTCTAAAAATAGGTGGATTTTAAAAAGCAAGGGGATGCTCCATGATATAATAGCACATCTTTCCATAATGCAAATGAAGTGCTTTGAATAGACATTAGTATCCATTCATTTGCATTTCGGGGGGTTGAATTCAAATATTGATGTAGTTAGTATTCCTACAGCACAGTCAACTACATTTGACATATACTGTAAAATGTAATTTGACTATATGTAGGAATGTGGGTAACTTAGGCAAACCTCTATTTCACAAAATCAGTTTGTCCCCACGGCCATTTTGTATTTTTATAATTCAAAAGATAATCCTTATAGTCATGCAATATAATAGATCCCTCCAGCTTTTACTGAAGAGGTACTACAATTTATTTTGCTGACACTTGCAGGTTGATAACCTGGTGTATGAGTAGGAAAGTAGGGGGAGGCTAACTGATTGGCAGCAGCCAGGATGCCCACCTCCATATTCTGAGAGGTAAAAGAGCCATGACAACTGCCTTCAGTTCTGTCCCTCTCCCTGGTTGAAATATCGGGTGTGAAGACATGGCAGAGGCTGAGGCCATGAAATCAACCAGGTACAACTTTTTTCAAGTATCGGCCTGGAATTTCTACTCTAAGGCTTTAAGAGATTGCCTCAACAATTTGCCTTGTTAACAGGAATAATGTAGTAACTAAGGAAAATTAAATGCATTCATTGGCAAAGTGAGAAAAGCATCATCTTTCTTGCTCAGCCAATCAATGATGATGCATGACATGATCAGGATAGAATTCGGAGCAACAGGAGAAAACTTGCTTCTGGTTACACTGGCTTCCTAATTTGGTTAACTTTACTTCCTCAGGTAAAATATGAGAGGAAAGAAAGCAAAAGACAAAACAATAACATCTGTATTAGTTGGCTTGGGCTGCCACAACATAATATCATAGACTGAATGGCTTAAAGGACAGAAATATATTACCTCACATGTCTGGAGGCTGGGAAGCCTGAGATCAAGGTGCTGGCTGATTAGATCTCTGGAGAGGGCTCTCTTTCTGGCTCGCAGACAGTATCCTCTCCTTGTGTGCTCCATGGCAGAGACAGAGAGTGACCTCTCTAGTGTATATTTTCATAAGGACCCCAATCTGTAACTATACTCTTATGACCTTATTTAAACTGAACTATCTCCTCAAAGGCCCTATCTCCAAATACAGTTACATTGGGTGTTGGGGTTCTAGCATATACACTTTGGAGGACCAGAATTCTGTCCATAGCAACAACCAAAACCTGTTAGCAATCTGTCACGTGTAGCAGAAGAAGACAAAGGAATGATACAAGATTACGGCATGATGTTGCACAAACGCTGTACCTAAACAAGAAATACAGTCATCACTTCAGAGCTTATTAGAAATATAGACTCTGAAACCCCACCCTAGACCTACTGAGTCACAATCTGCATTTTAACAAAATCCTGAAGTGATCTTTATAGACATTAAAGTTTAAATCAATCAATGTTATAAAATTCATAATAAAAGCAAGGGTTAATTTTGTCCATTGTGTTGGAACCTTCTTCCACAACTAGAACTGCCAAATGTATCCACTGTAACAATATTAATATTCTTAGGAAAAACTTACAAAGTTTATTAGTATTATTTTTCTTATTGTAGGCAAAAGTAATCTATTAATTTAATTTAATAGCTTGACCTTTTGTTACTATAGCCTGTGATAGACCACTAGATTCCTTGCCCAGAAAGTTTAGCAAACAACTTCCAGGCCTTAACATAAACTGAAACTTTGGTTAATTGTACCATTAGCTTAAAACATGCTATTCATCTTTTACAAGAGTTCTGTGTTTAAAAATGGCATTATTTTTGAAATAAATAGCACTTTAAGCTAGGCATATTTTTCTAGAACACAGGGAGTGCGACATTACTTATAATGGAATTTTCAATTATGTAGCATTTCAAAGCAACTTTAAAAAATTTATTCCATAATGTCAAAAATGTAGAGTTATGCCCACAAAGCTTAATATTTTGGCATAGTTCTAGAAAAGTGCTTAATAAATCAAAAACCCTACTTATAACTGGCATTTATAGGTCCCTACCATATATTTTCTTAATATTCTGTCTAAACACGAAAACAGATGAAATATGCAAAAGAATACAATTATCTTTGCCAATGAGAAACAACAGATACACCCTATTATCAGTCTTCAAACTATTAGCATTAGGAGATCACTGAAAATATCAATAGATGTTGTTTACAGTTTGAAGTGAACTGCGAATAAAAGTGACATATTCCCCATGTAATAATTTTTGAAAATTTGAAGGAATATATTTTAATGTTAACATATATTCTTGGTTAATTTTACAGTACAATATTCAAATTTATGCCAGAACTCTTAATGGATGCCTCATTTAAAAAACAATGCAGATTAATAATGGATGACTTGCATAATTATTAGCTAAACTGCAACAAGTATACAGTCCATATTACTAAACTATGACTTTTTCTTACTGTAACTATATTTTTGGTTTGTGTGTTTTAAATCTGAACTACAATGGAAAGGTATAAGAATTTCTACTTATGAGAAACATAAAGAAAACTGTGATGTGATAAAGCACTAATACAGTATTATAGATCCCCAGCTTGTTTATAATATAGCTCTAAGTGGGCAGATATTTTTGGAAGGGCCCACTGAGTAACTGAGGAATAGAGCTGTGTGGGGGAGGTGGCATCAACATGTCATCATAATACTTGAGGGGATTGTACAGCATAAGGCACAATGTCTAATCTCTCAGAAGTGTGATTATTTCATGAAAACCACACCCCACTGAGCTGCCTTATTGCTGTTATAAAAAATCTTTATTATAGGAAGCTCTTTTGTGCTGT
Source organism: Homo sapiens (assembly GCF_000001405.40). NCBI lineage: Eukaryota > Metazoa > Chordata > Mammalia > Primates > Hominidae > Homo > Homo sapiens. The sequence continues at coordinate 9,223,382 of NC_000009.12, forward strand.
AAGAAGATGAATTCCACACTTTAGAATGTTAAACAGCAGTTTCAGCAGAGTTCTCTAGTTCACACAGATTAATCTACCCCTTTGGAATATTCATGATTCAATCAGAATGCTCTCTAAGTCTTGGCAATTTTACCATTGTAAAATAAACTAGGTATATTCTGATGAAACAGCCTATGCCTAACAAATGCCTTCATTATTTTTTTTAAAAGTATTTTATGGATTCTGTTACTATCAAAGAACATCTCTCTATGAAAGTAGACATCATTCCACTAGAGCAAATTGGTATTATTAAAAAACTTGGTACTTGAGAAAAACAGGATAAAACCAACACATTATCAGGCAAAGTGCATTGACAATGCAAATCAAATGCACGTGGTTTAATTATAATTGAGTATTAACTGAAGAACTGAGGATTATAAATGATATGTCTCTGGTGAAGAGTTCGGCTGAGTACATTACATATTCATTAGCTTTCCATTTTTATTCCCTAAATGTCCAGTCCTTTTTCCTATACACCTGGAATTATGCTTGCATGGCTGAAATGAATATTTTGAATTCAGAAGACCATGTTTATGTATAAAAAGGATATAGAACTAAGTATTGAATATAACAAATGTATTTCTACTAATCTGCTTACTTTCATCTGATTAGAAGATCATGTTGGTTTTGTACAAGGCCAGAACATTCTATAAAGACTACTCAAAGATTAACTTTAGAAGGAGTATTGGAGATTTCCTCAAGATTCTTACAAATGAGGAAGTTGAGAGAGAGACAGGCAGCTACAGTCAGTGACTCCCTCAGATCCCACACAGAACTGGTGATAGACTCAAGAGTAAGAAGCCTAGGCACATGACTCCTGCTTTAGTGAAGTTTATTTTAGATAAGTTTCAGATAAAAATGTATTGTGTTTGCTGGATATTATGTGTATGGGGAGGGAGAAAGGGAAAGGCCATTTCAGGAAAATTTTCAATTTTAAATAGGTGGTTCTCATTGCGTAAACTTCATTTTCAACACAGTTATTCTTATTTGGCATGTTCTTTCTAAGACTGCCTCTGATTTGGCTCCATTATTGAAATTTAAGTATGGCTTTCATTTATAACTTTGAAAGAAGTGCTGAAAATGGGGGATAATAAAATATCTCTGCTCTAGTTTAGATAATCCAATAGTCTACAGTGAAAATTGGAAAATTTAAACTAAAGTCATTATTAATGATTAAGGTAAACGTATTAATTATGGTTATATTTTTATATCTTTATGACTTACAACAACTTAAACTGGCTTACCTAGTTTATTTCATCCATTAATGACTTTTAAATGATATCACACTTAAATTTTCTAAGTATGTGCTAACTGCTTTACTATCTTTTCTGAAGAAAGTACATCATTGTTTTATAACATAATAGTTTTCTGGACTCTGTAAGATATGTCTTAAGCTAAGAGTTAATCATCTTTCACAATAAAAAGATACATGGGATTCAAATTGATACATTTGCTAATTGCTGATGTCTACATGTTGTCTATGAACTGAAATTGCTCAAAGACCTTTTCCCCAAAAAATCAGTTTGATAATTTGATTGACTTCCTGTTACTTTGGTGAATACTAACTTGATCCAGTGAATTGGTTAAACTCATTTATACACGTATACTGGCATCTATGGCAACTCAAATCCATAGGGAATAATTGTTCCTGTTTTGTCTTTTTTCTACAAAGAGTTATGATTAATATAATGAAACTTCTTGATAAAAAGTACATAGTTTTATTAAAATATTATCAGACAGCAGAAGGGGAAGGCTGAACTAAGATGGAACTTTCCAGAATCATTGCAAATGGTTTCTAGAGAAAAAAATTTTTTTAAATTATGTCTATGATTAGCTCATCTGATCCATTAACATATGAGCATTAGGTAAATATGTCATAGGTGACAACCAGACAGAAATTACCTGAACAGTTTCAATAAGACACACTGAACAAGCCTTAACATCTTTATCGAAGACCAACCATCGTAAGAAATATAGAGCACCTCTTACAAGGAACACTATATAAGAAGATGAACATGATTGATGAAAAATTCCTCACACCTCGGAGAAAAACAACTCATGCTGGTTGCTTTATGCCAAATTCCTTGTGCTACAAATCTATCTATGCAGAACCCACTTCCTCACACATCACCCAATGCTATCAGTGTCTTGAACTAAACGTGGGTGCTTCCTACAAAGCCCTATTGAGACATCACTAGCTGAGAAACTTACCTTGAGACATAATCTTTTTCATGTAAAGGATAGCGCATTTAAGAATTCTAGACTCTGGCCTTTGAACAGTTTCACAACAGGAAGATGGAAAAAGAAGTCAGCCTGGAGGAAAAGCAACAGAGAATTTTGCCCAATAGAACATAAAATACAGAACACAAGAAGAGGAGAAGGGGAAAGAACTAGACAGTTTGAATAGTGTCTTTAGGGTATTTAGGAAGGTCATAATATAGTATCATATTGATGCATCTCATTCAGACTTGCCATGTTAAAGAGTATGAATACCTCCTCTTCTTCACAAGCCCAGACAGCAGCAGGAACTCCTAATATATTTTTTGTTTTCAGGAGCCTGTTACTGAGGAAAATTTATGGTTCCCTCTTCTGGAATTCTAGGATCCTATTGCACATAAGAAAATAATAAATCAATTGGGTCAAATTTATCAGTATCTAAAAATGAATTGACGTTACCTCTACCAGATATTATTTGCACTTAAAAGGCTGCTTTATATGAGATAGGTAAAGTGGGGGAAGAATAGTGGTCATTTTAGATGGCTAGGTAGCTTTACTTTGGGAATCAAAGATGCCTTCAGGGAAATCTAGTAGGCAGTGGTCTGTTTCTCTGTGCAAAGGGCAAGACTGGTGGGACATGCTTGCTGGCCTCAGATCAAAGCTATTATTTGGATGAAAAATCTAATATCAGGGGATTAAAGCAAATTTTACTTTTACTTACAACCTATTTAATAAAGCTATCTTAATCCCTATCTATCTCAGAAGACTCACTTTTTCCTTACTGTTATTATTATTGATGATACCAAATCAGTCAGGATGATAAAACTCAGCCCAGGGAATTTAGTGGGTAGTGAAGGGTATGGGCAGAAGGTGACAAGTGGAGGGAGAGGGGTAATTGAATAAAAATGGAGGTTAAAAATATAAAAATGTGGGAAAGAGGAAGGAACATTGTATTGTTTCAAGGTTTTGTCTTTTATCTACAGTGGAGTAATGAGATCTTGGATCTTGGGTAAACAGTTGGAATGAGCCACAGTTTCCTTATCTTAGGAGATAAGTACTTTGACTATCTCACAGGGTTGCTATGCAGAACATTTAAACTATAAGCTGCATGAAGGTAACCTCTCTAACTATTCTGGTTATCATTGTATCTTTCACTTAACATGGATATCATATAATAGGTACTTAACAAATGTTGAGTGAATTAAAGACATATTTCACAATCATATGAAGATATGGTCATTGACTAATTTGCATTAAGGGCTACACCAGATAATAAATATATCTAAATTTTGTTTCCAACATACTAAAGGAGGACTTTAATTCACAACCAAAAAGATGATAGATATTGTTAGATACTTCTATTTCATATTTATATGGCTTTTTTTCTAAAGTGCATTATCATAATTTCTGTTTACTCTTATAATACTTTGGTGAAATAGGTTAAGAAAGTAATATCAAAATTTTACAGGAAAAGAGGCTTACAAATGAGGTGAAGTAACTTGATCAAAGACATCCCCCTTTCTACCATCCCCGAAGTACAATCACGGTCATATGTTAAGTTTCCTTACATACTGGTGAAGCCCTTGAGTAATTTTTTTCCATTTCTTTTTTCATACACATCACAACCCTTCTAAGATCCTAGTTTCATGTAGTGGAGTTAGTAGTATTATTTGCACGGTATGGGAGAAGACCGAGATTCTTTATTTTTCTCCTCTAATGTGAAATTACAACCTCAGCCCCTAGCCTGGAGAAAATATCTCCAGGTCTGAAATCCCATCAGCTATCTGGCCCTGGCTTCCTCCTACTGTTTTGGCATTTTACTTTTTGTGATAACTGTGGCTTAAAAACATTATGTCCACAATCTCTTTGACACTCTCTGACACTCCTCCCTATAAGAGACAAAGGCTTGAGTATGGGCTGAACTTAGGTACTTGCTTCTAATGATTAGAATAAAGCTCAAGTAATCATGTATGACTTGGAGAACAGGCCATAAAAAGATATCACAACTTCTTTGTAGTTCTTTCCTTCTTGAATTACTTATCTGGGGGAAGCTAGATCACCAATAAGCAGCCCACATGGTAGGAAACTCAGGCCTCCAGCCCACAGGCAGTGAAGAACGGACACATCCTGCCCATAGCCATGTGAATGAGCCATCTTGGAAATGGATCCTCCAGCCCTTTCCAACCCTTTAGATGACTGTAGCCCAAGCTGAAACTTGATTGCAGCCTAATGAGGGACCCAGAGCCAGAACCATCCAGCTAAGCTGTTCTTAAATTCCTGGCCCACAGAAATGATGAGATAATATTTTGGTGGTAATTTGTTATTCAGTGATAGATAGATAAGTAATGCCCTATTTTTCCAAGCATTTCTGTTTCTGTAGTGGGAGAATGCAGGCTGTCTATATCATGTCAGTTGGTCATGTTAGCTGAAATTGCTGGGCACAGTAGCCCATACAATAAAATGTACAAATATAGATGAATTACATTTTACATATATATGCCTGTATTTCTAAGGTATCACTTGCTTATATTAAATAATTGCTACTCTTATAACCCCTGTGCTTCAATGAAGACATTCATTCTTCATGCAGGAATATTCATAAGAATTGAATTCAATTAAATAGGATGTGGTCAGCTTTCTCTCAAAATGTGTTACTGTAGAAACTCCCAGATGGAATAAGAAATGTTGAAAAAATTTAAACTCATTCTTTTTATAAATACATCTTATTGAATTATTAGATTGCAAATACACATATGTGCACACATATGTGCATGTGTATTTGCAAATCAATAGTTCAATAATATGCACACATATATGCATGTTGATATATGTTGATATATACAGTATATATACATATCTGAATGTGTGTGATCATATATATAATTAATCTACTACTGTATCTTTTTTTTCTCATATGGCAATAAATACATGGACTTTAGGGTAAACAGGTTTAAATCTCATTTTGATGCCTTGCTAGTTCTATGAACTTGAAAAAACTTACTTGATCACTGTTTCTGTTCCTGCATTTGTAAAATGAATGAAATCTTACAATGTCATAGAGTTACTATGGAGATTAAACGTCATTATGTATTTCAAATGCCTAGCGTAAAGCCTAGTTTAAGAAGCACACATAAACTATTAATTTCTTTTCCTTTTCCCTTGTCTTGCCTTCGTTTTTTGTTTCTTATAGTTACTTACTCCTACATTACAAATTGAAAAGGCAGAATTCTAATAAGCAGGCTCCACAAACAGTACTTAAAAAGTATGTGAAGTGTAGATAGTTTATGTATGTACATTACCACAAATGTTTTTACAGGGAGAGCACAAAGGCTTATCTATAAAGGTAAGACTTACATTTAACCATATATACTTTCTTTCTTTTAGAAATAATTTTAATGTGGGTCATTAAGGCTAGAAGTGAAAAGTTTGTATGTGTTGACCTTTTTGTTTCCCTGTAACATTCATATCTCACCTAATTTTTCCAGTAGAATGATATCACATTTTATTGCTATATTCTTGGTCTAAATATAGACATTTTAAAAAATTGATAACATTCAACTTACAGGTATTATCCTTCTATTCTTAAAAGTTATATTTACTTACATTGGAAAAAGCAGAGTAATAGTCCTGTAACTGATAAGATTTGGATTGCAAACAAGAGTCTTTAGTTAAGTAAAAAAAAATTATTGGAAGGCTACAAGGGGCCCAGAGAATTAAGACAGATAGGAAGACCATGTGAGCTGTGGCCAGGAAGAACAGCAATGCCTCATAGAAGAAAGTCTGGCCGGCCTGTTCCTGTGTGATGAATAATCTGTAATCCTTCATTGCGCCCTTACCCAAGACTCAAAACCACAAAAAAGCATCCAATTGGCCAAGCTTAGATCATGTGTCCTCTCTAGACTGTACAAAAATGTTGAGAGAAAACTTATGGCTCCTTTGACTATTCAAATGGCTGACAAATACTCGGGTTTACTCTCAGACCAAAATTATACATGATGGAATGAAACAACTCCCCAAAATCAAATAAGACTATCTTAGGAGAGACAAAGCTGGGCTGACAAAAAAATACATTTGTGGAACTAGTATTGTCTTAACTGACTCTTTTCAAGGGAAGAGAAACTACACGTGCCAACAAGGCTATAGAATTGAAGAGCAGGCATGATGAGATATGAGAAAACAAATTTATCATTGTGAACACTGATACTTCATATTTGGTTAGGAAGACTGATAGTTACATTAAATACAGAAATTATACACTTTTTAAATTAAAATAGAGAAAGAATAGGGAGTGACTAGATAATACTAGATTCATTGTTGAGATTTATTTTCATTTATTAAGATTTATCTTGTAATGAAAATCTAATTATTACTTAAGTAATAGCAATAGATTCATCTAGTTTTCATGTTAAATTAACTCAATATGGTATAATAAACAGTGTATTTGGTCTTTGTCCTCTGTTCCCGACTGATAGGAGTGTATTTTGTTATTCATAAGCAAATCTTTTGATCACACTTGAGTTTATGCTAATGAGACAATGGGGGTGGGTGGGTGCAGGCCTAGATAACTTCAGAATGGGGCGGTTCGACAGAAAGACTGAATGATTAGAATGATTCTAAAGAGGAGGTAGGTAGGAGAAAAGATTAGGCTAACTAAAATCTCTTCAACAAAATTTGACGAGCTTCCAGGCTGGTGAACATATCAAAATGCTGGGAGGGTGGCGTACCCAGGTAGGATATGCCCCATTCATCTCTTCCATCTGGCTGTTCCTGAGTAAATATAAGTACAGTGTTTCCCTGAGATCTGTGAGCCATTTTAGCACATTATCACACCTGAGAATAGGGTTGTAGAAATCCCCAATTTATAGCTAGTCCATCAGAAGTATGGGAGGCCCAGGCTTGCAACTGACATCTGGATTGGGTTCAGTGTTGTGATACTAAGCCTTCTAATTGGTACACTCTCAAACTAACTACATTTAGATGATGTCAGAATTGGATTGAATGCTAGGACACCCAGCTGTTTGGTGGAGAGTTGGAGAATTGCTTGGTACGGAAAAACTCCACACAGTTGTTGTCAGGAGTGTTGCGCATATAGAGAAACAGTGTTTCTCCAGACTAAGAGATGCTATAATCAATTGGCTGAAAATAAGAGGATAAATCTGTATCTTTTCTTTTAAAAAAGACTAACCTGAGAGATTTTGCCTGAGATTACTATCTTTTGTTGGATAACCTAATTAAAAACAACCCACTGCCAAACAATTAATTCTGGAAGCTAAGAAAAACAGATTTTTATCGCTTTATAGTGTGCAGTCCAGAACGTGAATACTTCAAATAGCCAATCTCACACTTGCTTAATCTACCAAGTGAGCTGAAACTTGAAAGTTCTTATCTCCTTGATTCTTATCTGTGTATGTCTGTCGGGGGGAGGGGGGAATGGGTGTTCTAACAAGTTAGGAACAGAGTTAAAATGCCCGATTTTCATGTTGTTTTGGTAACAGGCTTATATCTGCACTGTCTGCTACTATTGGTGAGAAAATTAGTTTTTAAAAGATAGTCTCAGTACAGTTGTTCATTAGTTAGACTTAAAAAACAGACACAGAATTCCATCCTTTGTACCCAAGAAAACATTTTAATGACTGGGAATTAAATTTATCTAAATTGGCATTCTTAACTCTTTGGCTGGAAAAGCCAAATTAGAAATACAATACTCTCTTGCAAATAAGTAATTAGAGTATATTATTGACTGTGTTGTAGATTTCAGATATAATCAGGAATTTTACAAGTGGAAATCCTGGAACTGATATAATAAATGGAAGAATTAAAGGGTTTAACAAAGTTTCATTTTGTGTTGATACCCAAATTGGACAATTGAGTACCATTAAAGTAGTAAGACTATCTAAATGCTACCCAGCATTTTTGAAACTACCTAATTTTCCAACAAATAATACTCTCTGCACTATATATAATTAGGTATATGCCAAAGTCAGCTTTGTTTTGCTATTCCTGAATGCCATTTTTGTTACTTGTAATCTCTATTAAGTATATAGAACAGTAACACACTTGAGATTTAAATGAATATCTAAGAAATGCTTCCTTTTTCTTTTTTTTTAATTATACTTTAAGTTATAGGGTACATGTGCACAACGTACAGGTTTGTTACATAGGTATACATGTGCCATGTTGGTTTGCTGCACCCGTCAACTCATCATTTACATTACGTATTTTCCCTAATGTTAAATACTTCCTTTTTCTGATAATCAGGCATTTCTTCTCTTTTGTTTGATCTCTGTTTCTGTCACTCTCCATCCAGGAAACTGGTGGCATAGAATACAATGGGACTGTCCAAAGGTGCATCTCCACTTTTTGTAATTTCACACTCTTTATGATTCTATTTCACACTTCTTAAAACATGGTACTATCCCTACAGTGTCACTATTCACTTGTATGTTATTGTGCAGGGGAACAAAAGTTGCTGTGTAGAATAAATAAGTTGAGATCCTTTAGTATGCTGAGTTGACAAAACTAAATTCTTTAGCACTTGTAGTGCATTATGCCCATCATTACCTTTAAACTACTGAAAGGAGGTTTAGAAGAGTTGCATAAGATCAACTACTAAGGATCAGCTTGTGGAAAATCAACAATTGTCCCTGCACTACATTATTACATGCTGTGAGAACTATTGAGAACTGGAATACTAAAGTACTAAAGAACTATCAATCTGTTGTTGCTATGCACCATCATTATAAAACATTTCCATTTCAGCTAGTCATATTCAATTAGCTAATATGTAAATTGAATTCAATTTTATTAAGGTATAAGCAATTCACAATAATGAAGCTTACAAGTACACGATTCCATCAATTGTTAAAAGATCATTGCATGGTAAAATATAAACATTTCACTGTTATGAAATTTATTCTGGAAGTAATAAAAATACCAGTTCTTTTTGAATCAATATAAATAATAGAAATGCAAGCCAAGGAATTGCATTTTTTATAAGTTTGACTGTTTTCACACTGTCTTTTGTTTAGTTTTATATATTTATTTATTATTAATCTAATTAGATCAATCTGCTAGGGCTCATGAAACAATACTCCAAAGTATGGCACTATGACATGTTTAGTACTTTGAACTAAAGGACATTGGAAAGCCTCAGAAGTAGCCTCAGACCCACGATCCCTCTGACCTTCTGACATTCTTCTTGAAGCAAGTCACAGAAACCAAAATTTCTCTTCCTCAAGGCCAGTCATAAAAACTAGAACCCCTTTTCCACAAATCCAGCTATAAACCTAGAAAAATACTACTCTAACCCTCCTTGTTCTTCTATATAGGAGATGGGTGTAAGGAAATTCTCTAACCCAACCTTGTCCAATAATAGCTCTTAAGACCCTTATACCAGAAGGGGCCCTACTCAGTCCCTGGGAATAAGGAATGATGCACAGAGGCTGTATTAGTTTGTTCCCATGCTGCTATGAAGAAATACCAGAGACTGGGTAATTTATAAAGAAAAGAGGTTTAATTGACTCCCAGTTCCACAAAGCTGGCGAGGCCTCAGGAAACTCACAGTCATGGCAGAAGGCACCTCTTCTGAGGGTGGCAGGGGAGAGAATGAGTGCCAAGCAAACGGGGAAAATCTTCTTACCAAACCATCAGATTTCGTGAGATCTCACTATCATGAGAACAATATGGGGGTAACTGCCCCCAAGATTCAATTACCTCCCAACAGGTCCCTTCCACAACATGTGGAAATTATGGGAACTACAATTCAAGATGAGATTTGGGTGGTGACACCGAGCCAAACCATATCATTCTGCCCCGGGCCACTCCCTAATCTCATGTTCTTACATTTCAAAACACAATCATGCCTTCCCAACAGTCCTCCAAAGTGTTAGCTCATTCCAGCATTAACCCAAAAGTCCAAGTTCAAAGTCTCATCTGAGATAAGGCAAGTCTCTTCTGCCTATTAGCCTGTAAAATCAAAAGCAAGTTAGTTACTTCCTATATACAATTAGGGTACATGCATTGGGTAAATACACCCATTCCAAATGGGAGAAATAGACCAAAAAAAGGGGCTATAGGCCCCATGCAAGTCTGAAATCCAATAGGGAAGTCATTAAACCTTAAAGTTCCAAAATGATCTCCTTAACGCCATGTCTCACATCCAGTTCATGCTGATGCATGACGTGGGCTCCCACGGCCTTGTGTAGTTCTGCCCCTGTGGCTTTGTAGGGTATAGTCACTCTCCTGGCTGCTTTTATGGGCTGGCATTGAATGTCTACAGCTTTTCCAGGTACATAATGCAAGCTGTCAGTGGATCTAGCATCCTGGGGTCTGGAGGATGATGGCCCTTTTTTTCAAAGCTCCACTAGGTAGTGCCCCGGTGGGGACTCTGTGTGGGGGCTCCAACCCCACATTTCCCTTCTGCACTGCCCTAGCAGAGGTTCTCCATGAGGGCTCAGCCCCTGCAGCAAACTTCTGCCTGGACATCCAGGCATTTCCATACATGATCTGAAATCTAGGTGGAGGTTCCCCAAACTCTATTCTTAACTTCTGTGCACCTGCAGGCCCAACACTACAGGTAAGCTGCAAGGCTTGGGACTTGCATCATCTGAAGCCATGTCCCATGCTATACCTTGGCCCCTTTTAGCTACAGCTGGAGCTGAAGCAACTGGGGCACAGGGCACCATGTCCTGAGGATGCATAGAGTGGGCGGGCCCTGGGCCCAGCCCATGAAACCATTTTTTCCTCCTAGGCTTCCAGGTCTGTGGACAGGGACTGCTGTGAAGGTCTTTAACATGCCCTGGAGACATTTTCCCCATTGTCTTGGTGATTAACATTTGGTTCCTCATACTTATGCAAATTTCTGCTGCATGCTTGAATTTCTCCCCAGAAAATTGTTTTCTTCTTTTCTATGACATCACCCGGCTGCAAATTTTCCAAACTTTTATGCTTTGCTTTCTCTTGAACACTTTGTCACTTAGAAATTTCTTCTGCCAGATACCCTAAATCAACTCTCTCAAGTTCAAAGTTCCACAGATGTAAAGGACAGGGGCAAAATGCCTTCAGTCTCTTTGCTAAAGGATAGCAAGAATCACCTTTATTCAGTTCCCAAAAAGTTCCTCATCTCCATCTGAGACCACCTCAGCCTGGACTTCATTGTCCATACCACTATCAGCATTTCGCTAAAAGCCATTCAACAAGTCTCTAGGAAGTTCCAGACTTTCCTACATCTTCCTTTCTTCTTCTGAGCCCTTCAAATTGTTCCAACCTCTGACTGTTACCCATTTCCAAAGTTGCTCTCACATTTTTGCGTATCTTTACAGCAATGCCCCACTACCTCAGTACCAATTTATTGTATTAGTTCATTTTCAAATGCTATGAAGAAATACCTGAGACTGGGTAATTTATAAAGAAAAGAGGTTTAATTGACTCACAGTTCCACATGGCTGGGGAGGCCTCAGGAAACTTATAATCATGGCAGAAGTCACCACTTCTCAGGGTGGCGGGAGACAGAATGAGTGCCAAGCAATGGGGGAAAAGCCCCTTATAAAACCATCATATCTTATGCAAACCCAGTCACTACTGTCATGAGAACAACATGGGGGTAATCAGCTCCATGATTCAATTACTTCCCACTTGGTCCCTCCCATGACAAATGTGGATTATGGGAACTACGATTCAAGATGAGATTTGGGTGGGGACACAGCTACACCATATCAGAGGCCAAGAAGAGTTTCCACTGATGGGGGCTTTCTGGATTATTACCCTTTGTCCAATTGCACTCCTACATGGCTGTCCACTCTTCATGGAATGTAAGCATAAAGTGGACAGTTTTTCTTTGTGTCTTTCAGCCTTCATTCTGAAGGCTCTCATGTTATGTTCTTCTCCTCTTGTCTTTTGTTATAGGGGAGTCAGCCTTATGAGGGGTGAGAAAAGGTATCACCCCATTTTTGCCCCTACTGTTTCTGGTGTCCAATAAGGGACACCTGAGACACCTGACTCACTTTGGAACATACTGGTGTTATTCTCAGACAACCAACAAAAAGCCAGATAAAAAAGGTCAGAATTTTTATCAATGTCAGCTGTCCCAGATTTCTGCCTCCAGAATCTTGTCAAGAATGTAAAGTAAAAATTTGTTTGTTCCTTCCTTTCCAAATTCAGATTAACATGAAAAAATCATTTGTATAAATTTGCTCTTAGATTCAGTAACTCTGGTGACTTTTTTTTTGTTGTTGTTGTTTGGCCATGATATTCTAAACATGGAAAGTTACCTTGCATGTCTCCATGAACTTATTAGTCTGAGTCAATTCTAAACAATAAGGGGTTATATTTAAAAAGAGCAAAATTGGCCAGGTGCGGTGTCTCATGCCTGTAATCCCAGCACTTTGGGAGGCTGAGGCAGGTGGATCACCTGAGGTCAGGAGTTCAAGACCAGCCTGGCCAACATGGTGAAACCCTGCCTCTACCAAAAATACAAAAAAGTAGCTGGGCACCTGTAACCCCAGCTACCCAGGAGGCTGAGGCAGGAGAATTGCTTGAATCCAGGAGGTGGAGGCTGCAGTGAGCCGAGACTGTGCCATTGCACTCCAGCCTGGGCAACAAGAACAAAACCCCATCCCAAAATAAATAAATAAATACACAAATAAGGAACAAAATTATTTGAGAGAGCTCTCATCCCAAACAACTATATTTCTGATACCTATGGGAAAATCAAATTTAAAAATGGACACAAAGGAGTATAAAAGCTAGCCTTAGATACTCCTTTAATAAGATTAAAAAGCAGAAATTAGATTAGAAACAAAGTTAAAATTCAAATCCACCCATAAATTCTCCTCTCTGCCCTCTTATACTCTCTCAACTTCCTGGGAGTCCCTGACACTCCAGATCTTTTGCATTTCTGGTCCCCAGATTTAAAATTCCCTTTTTCTAAATCTAGCTCCATTTCCTTAGTACATTCCTTTAGCTAAAGAATGAATTATTTGTTTGAATTCATTTGAATTATGACTTTTGGTTTTGGGTGTCAATTCATTTGTGGTCCTTCCCCTTCCATGAACAGCCTTTGTTTTCCCATTTGTCACATTTTTAACACTCCGTCTATTGGGGCATTTTGATTATTTGGGCTTTGTGTGCAGGCAGCCAACCATAAGGTTGGGACCCCAAAGAAAATGGCCAGAGAGAAATGTGTGTTAAGCCCCACTGTGGCTAAGCAAATTGACTACCGCCAGCTCTCAATGTGTTGTCTAAGCTTTTCTAACTCTGGCTGTCATTTGGAGTGCTCTGGATCTTGAAAAGGCTGCACCTTTTTGCTTCCTCTTTGGAAACCTTAGTTAAGCCTCAAAAGGCTTATTAGTTTTTGTCTGGAATTACTTGTCAGATATAACTTTGGTTCTTATTTGTTTGACTTTCTCTACTAAGCTAAAATGGAACTGTATACTCAGAAGGAAAAAGAAACAATTTATTAAAACATCACAAACACTAACAATTCTAAATATAGAGCACAGAAATCTTTTGATTTCCTTCTTAGTTGGAAACCTGATTCCTGATAGGAAGGAGCAAACAAATGATAATACAATTGGATAGATGGGTGAGCCCCTCAATAGCATTCAGGCTGCAAATTAATTATTGAGGAATTAAAAACAACTAACCTTACCTGGGCATGATGGCACACACTTGTAATCCCAGTACTTTGGGAGGCCAAGGCAGGAGGATCACTGGAGCCCAGGAATTTAAGGCTGCAGTTAGCTATGATCATGCCACTGTACTCTAGCCTGGGTGACAGAGTGAGACCCTATCTTTACAACAACACCACCACCACCCAACAACTATCCTTATCTCAAAAACTGAGTATTTAAAAAACCGACATGTGCCCTGAACTTAAAAAAGAAAGAAAAGTTTGGGTAGTAATTACCCTAGACCACCAATATGCAAATATCTTCCCTTCCCCCAAAGCCAGGAATATTTGCTGTTTTGTTGGTTGAAATCTGACAAGAGATTTGCAATAATTTTTTTTTAAGAGCTCCATGGTCCAAAGCTGACTTAATGGAAAGCTGATCTTCAGACTATAAATTTTTGTAGGCCTCTCTCTTCTGTCTATTTGATCCTGCATCTCCTGTGAGAACTTCTTAGTCAACTAAAACCCATTTTTTCAAATCCCTGCTATCTATATGTTCAGTCCCTCTGTCAGCTTCTTTTCTTGTTGCCATGATTTTTGATGAGGTTAACAGGGCACTTCATTGACCTTTTTGAGAAACTTAAAATCTCCTCAAATTAGCTCCTCTAAGAACTGTTCCTTCCATTTACTTCTGTTCCTCCTTCTGCCTTTTGTCACCTTTGATTTTCTGTCCAGTTTCCTTAAATCCTTGATATGTTCCCCTTCAAGTCCCTTTCTCCTCCATTTGGTGAAGAGTAGATACAAGATTACTAATAGGAAGCATCAGCGTTCTGGCAGCCACATGAAGGGACCTGAAGGAGACATCCTGTGACACTAAAACCTCTTGAGGAATCCAGGAAAGGCACTATTGACCCCCTTTGGGAGGCCTCTGTCTTCTGCATGTAGCCCTGAGAGTCATGAATAAGTTTCTCTCAGGTCTGAAGCTCTGCTGTGTTTTGCATTGCCTAATCTCTTTGGCTTTGAGGATACCAAGGGTTAGTTACTGCAGTGTGAAGGCACTTGACCTTTGGGTTTGCAGTGGCTGACAAGTCACTGACAAGAGATGCAGTTTTAAAAGTAACTGACAGCAGTTCATTAAGTAATTATTGCTGCAGGGGATACAGACTCCACTTTTTGGAGTTATAGGTGTCTGGGTTTTAACCCTTTGTCTCTTTTTCTTGTGTACTTAAGTGAGGAAGGCCTCGGGCATCTGATTCGGTCAGAGAGAAACTGGAAAATCATTGGTTAAGTTAGCTAAAGGGATCTTAGAGTCAAAGTCTTGACTGGAGGACACAGTTCAGGCACTTAAGAGCTAGTAGCATGCTCACCACTGAAAAATATGACTTCCATTTTAGAATAAGCTGGGCATAGAATGGGCTAGTTGACATTAGGTCACCCACCAGCTTCAATAAAATGTCCATGCAATGAGGTATATTCTAAAACAATTACACAACCTAAGCTTGTGGCATTTTACTCTTATGCTTTTATCTTCATTTTGAGAGACCCAAGATTAAACAAAAGCAAAACTGAAAATCCACGTATCTGATTAAATTGGTCTCCAAAATATAACTTTCTGATATTCAGCCCCTTATTTTGAATAAGCTTCTTAATTTTATCCTAGGACCCTCTGCGTACTTCCCTATACCATTCCAAGTGGTCTTTGGAAACATTCAGACAGCCACGGTGTGTCTTTTTCATCACCAGTCTAAAATCTAGCCCACAGCCTCCACAAGATTGAGCTCTGATAATAGGCAAATATGCCTCAAACTCCTTCTTAGAAGAACTTGCAATCTCCCTGTGCCCATGAGATGTAAATCTATTACCCTGTCTTCTCTAGAACTATGCTTATCTTTTATCTTCACTAGAACTATAGATACCTTTTGGAAATACAAACTTCAGGGAGATGACTGTCTGAAAAAAAAAAAAACCACAAGTATTCTGTCAAAAAGGAAAAGTAGAAACTAACTCAAAGGCTTTTGGTTCATGTGATATGAGATAATCCTTGGTAAATAAAGATAATTTTAAATTTTTTGGTCATATAAAAGTAGGAATGTCTTCTGAATTGTCAGCATCAAATATAATACAAACATTTTTGCCTGGGATTGCTGGTTAGACAGGTTTAGGTTGTGTCTCCTAAATGTTTTAAGGTCATAAAATGATAAATCGAACCTAAGAGCAGAACCAATTACTTGGTATATATTAGTCATGAGAGCAAGAAAAAAATTACCCTTAACAATTTATTCTGTGATATTTTTGATACTTGCCTGATTTATTGGTGGACTGAAGCTATGGGAGTCAGTTGCTGTGCTCTCCTGAAATCTTACACACATCTTGCTGTGAGCTTATTTTAGTATGAAGCCCTGGATTTTGGGATCTGGGCAGATGGCCATGGTACAGCCTGAAGACATTTGTGTATCTATAGCACCTGGGCTGCTAGCCAAAGTGCAGGGTCAAGCCCAGGATAGTCCTGTCCTCCCTGGCCCAGTTGTGACTCCTGGTGATCCAGGCATTATCTTCACAGCTGTCTGACCTCTATCCTTTGGCTTGTGCTCTATCCCTGGTATGTGGGTCAAAGATCCAGATGTGCTCTGCCATTTGCAGGCACACTGGGCACCATCTGATTGCTCAAAACCCAGGATGACTAGAGGTGGGAATTGAGGACCATAACTATGTTCAGAGTCTCAGAGGCCTTGGTTAAGACAAGGCTAGCTAACACAGATTTGGATTGGTTTCAATTTTTCAAAAGAAAAACATAGATTATGCTTAGCCTGTTTTCATGACCCATTCAAGCACAAATATTAAGAATAAGTAAATTCAATAAGATATAAGTGGAATAAAAGTTTGTAAGTAAACTTTTCAATAATATTTATGTTTTATAAAAGATATCTACTTAAAAATAGTTTCAAAAATATTTTTGGTATTCTGAAACTTTAAAGTGAAATTAAGTAATAGTTATTAAATGTCTGCCTTATTTATAAGTTAAAATACTGACACATTAATTACTAGTCATTGGTTTAAACTATATATATTTTGACATCTTGTTTTTATAAGGTATACAGAAGGTAAATATATTTAAGTCTGTAAACAAACATAAAAATTCTTTCTAGGCTGGATGCAATGGCTCATGCCTATAATCCCAGCACTTTGGGAGGCCGAGGTGGGCAGATCATGAGGTCAGGAGTTCAAGACCAGCCTGGCCAGCATGGTGAAGCCCTGTCTCTACTAGAAATACAAAAATTAGCTGGGCATGGTGGCACGTGCCTGTCATCCCAGCTACTGGGGAGACTGAGTTAGGAGAATTGCTTGATATTTTATACAAAGAGAGACACTAAAGCAATTAGGCTTATTTGATATATTAAAATATATGGAAGCATTGTTGAACAGTAAGTGATGCTAAACTTTCTTTAAGTTATATTTACAGGTATGGTAGTAATACGAATGTTTCAAAATTGTATAAAATTCCTAGAAGTCTATACTTCTAATATAATTTTGGTTATTACATTAAAATATTTTATGCCACAGAAACAACCAAATTTTATCAATTTCGCTCATCAGGTTTCTAATCACGGCCATTTTAAGTTTTTGACATCCAAATAGTTATTGTTTTACTTTGGTTTTTATTTAAAAGCACTGTCAATCAGCTGAGGTCCAAACTTGTTTCTTTAATTAGATTCATAGAAAGGATAGAAAGAACTCTGAAATGTACAGGTTTCTGATAACTTTAAGATTATACCATTGGACTGGGTGAGAATTTTCAGAGCTCTAATAAATGAACTGAGTGATTTTGTGAACGTGCTCATCGAGATCAAACAGAGTAAGAATTAATTCGTGGGTCTAAATGAACTGATAAGAACTTTTTATGATTACTTATTTGAAATTTTGCTGATTACTTAAATGTTAACTTTTCTGGATTTAAAGAAACTGTTTTGTTTTGTTTTTATTTTAAGCTATCTATTTGTTACAGCAATTTGGTCAAATATACATTGGTAAATAGAATGAAAATATTTATTCTTCTCCCCATCTGATATCTCCAAAATTTGGAAATTATTTGTGAGTATTCTCATTTTTATGGCAATGTAGTTATTCACATAAGTTCAATAAGAAAATATTCTCTTTGTAATAGGATACAAGGGGAAACACTTCTTAACTTACAAATGCTTGACTGGAATGACATATTTTAAAATATGACCAGACAACTTTGAGAAACTAAGGTAAACTTCAGAAAGGCAAGAAAGCGCACCTTGGAGAAACTGGTCTCATACCTTGAGCACATGGTTCACGTGACTGCTTTACAGGTGGGTAAAAAATGTCCCTTTGTCTTCTTTGTCTCTTTTGATCTTTGTTGGTTTAAAGCCTGTTTTATCAGAGACTAGGATTGCAACCCCTGCCTTTTTTTGTTTTCCGTTTGCTTGGTAGATCTTCCTCCAACCCTTTATTCTGAGCCTATGTGTGTCTCTCCATACGAGATGGGTTTCCTGAATACAGCACACTGATGGGTCTTGACTCTTTATCCAATTTGCCAGTCTGTGTCTTTTAATTGGAGCATTTAGCCCATTTACACTGAAGGGTAATATTGTTATGTGTGAATTTGATACTGTCATTAAGATGTTAGGTGGTTATTTTGCTCGTTAGTTGATGCAACTTCTTCCCAGCATCGATGGTCTTTACAATTTGGCATGTTTTTGCAGTGGCTGGTACCGGTTGTTCATTTCCATGTTTAGTGCTTCCTTCAGGAGCTCTTGTAGGGCAGGCCTGGTGGTGACAAAATCTCTCAGCATTTGCTTGTCTGTAAAGGATTTTATTTCTCCTTCACTTATGAAGCTTAGTTTGGCTGGATATGAAATTCTGGGTTGAAAATTCTTTCCTTTAAGAATGTTGAATATTGGTACCCACTCTCTTCTGGCTTGTAGAGTTTCTGCCGAGAAATCAGCTGTTAGTCTGATGGGCTTCCCTTTGTGAGTAACCCGACCTTTCTCTCTGGCTGCCCTTAACATTTTTTCCTTCATGTCAACTTTGGTGAATCTGACAATTATGTGTCTTGGAGCTGCTCTTCTCAAGGAGTATCTTTGTGGCATTCTCTGTATTTCCTGAATCTGAATGTTGACCTGCCTTGCTAGATTGGGGAAGTTCTCCTGGATAATATCCTGCAGAGTGTTTTCCAACTTGGTTCCATTCTCCCTGTCACTTTCAGGTACACCAATCAGACGTAGATTTGGTCTTTTCACATAGTCCCATATTTCTTGGAGGCTTTGTTTCTTTTTATTCTTTTTTCTCTAAACTTCTCTTCTCGCTTCATTTCATTCATTTGATCTTCCATCACTGATACCCTTTCTTCCAGTTGATCGAATCAGCTACTGAAGCTTGTGCATTCGTCACGTAGTTCTTGTGCCATGGTTTTCAGCTCCATCAGGTCATTTAAGGACTTCTCTACACTGGTTATTCTAGTTAGCCATTCATCTAATCTTTTTTCAATGTTTTTAACTTCTTTCCGATGGTTTCAAACTCCTCCCTTAGCTCTGAGAATTTTGATCATCTGCAGCCTTCTTCTCTCAACTTGTCAAAGTCATTCTCTGTCCAGCTATGTTCCATTGCTGGTGAGGAGCTGCGTTCCTTTGGAGGAGAAGAGTTGCTCTTATTTTTAGAACTTTCAGTTTTTCTCTTCTGTTTTTTTCCCCATCTTTGTGGTTTTATCTGCTTTTGGTCTTTGATGATGGTGACGTACAGATGGGGTTTTGGTGTGGATATCCCTTCTGTTTGTTAGTTTTCCTTTTAACAGTCAGGACCCTCAGCTGCAGGTCTGTTGGAGTTTCCTGGAGGTCAACACCAGACCCTGTTTGCCTGGGTATCAGCAGCGGAGGCTGCAGAACAGCAAATATTGCTGAACAGTCCAGGCCCAGATGGATTCACAGCTGAATTCTACCAGAGGTACAAGGAGGAGCTGCTACCATTCCTTCTGAAACTATTACAATCAATAGAAAAAGAGGAATCCTCCCTAACTCATTTTATGAGGTCAGCATCATCCCGATACCAAAGCCTGGCAGAGACACAACAAAAAAAGAGAATTTTAGACTAATATCCCTGATGAACATTGATGCAAAAATCCTCAACAAAATACTGGCAAACCGAATCCAGCAGCACATCAAAAAGCTTATCCACCATAATCAAGTGGGCTTCATCCCTCGGATGCAAGGCTGGTTCAACATATGCAAATCAATAAACGTAATCCAGCATATAAACAGAACCAAAGACAAAAACCACATGATTATCTCAATAGATTCAGAAAAGGCCTTCGATAAAATTCAACAATCTTCATGCTAAAAACTCTCAATAAACTAGGTATTGATGGAACGTATCTGAAAATAATAAGAGCTATTTATGACAAACCCACAGCCAATATCATACTGAATGGGCAAAAACTGGAAGCATTCCCCTTGAAAACTGGCACAAGACAGGGATGCCCTCTCTCACCACTCCTATTCAACATAGTGTTGGAAGTTCTGGCCAGGGCTATCAGGCAGGAGAATGAAGTAAAGGGTATTCAATTAGGAAAAGAGGAAGTCAAATTGTCCCTGTTTGCAGGTGACATGATTGTATATCTAGAAAACCCCATCATCTCAGCCCATAATCTCCTTAAGCTGACAAGCAACTTCAGCAAAGTCTCAGGATATAAAATCAATGTGCAAAAATCACAAGCATTCTTATACACCAATAACAGACAGAGAGCCAAATCATGAGTGAACTCCCATTCACAATTGCTTCAAAGAGAATAAAATACCTAGGAATCCAATTTGCAAGGGATGTGAAGGACCTCTCCAAGGAGAACTACAAACCACTGCTCTACAAAATAAAAGAGGATACAAACAAATGGAAGAACATTCCATGCTCATGGATAGGAAGAATCAATATCGTGAAAATGGCCATACTGCCCAAGGTAATTTATAGATTCAATGCCATCCCCATCTAGCTACCAATGACTTTCTTCACAGAATTGGAAAAAACTACTTTAAGGTTCATATGGAACCAAAAAAGAGCCCGCATTGCCAAGTCAATCCTAAGCCAAAAGAACAAAGCTGGAGGCATCACACTACCTGACTTCAAACTATGCTACAAGTCTACAGTAACCAAAACACCATGGTACTGGTACCAATACAGAGATATAGACCAATGGAACAGAACAGAGCCCTCAGAAATAATGCCACACATCTACAACTATCTGATCTTTGACAAACCTGACAAAAACAAGCAATGGGGAAAGGATTCCCTATTTAACAAATGGTTATGGGAAAACTGGCTAGCCATACGTAAAAAGCTGAAACTGGAACCCTTCCTTACACCTTATACAAAAATTAATTCAAGATGGATTAAGACTTAAATGTTAGACCAAAAACCATAAAAACCCTAGAAGAAAACCTAGGCAATACCATTCAGGACATAGGCATGGGCAAGGACTTCATGTCTAAAACACCAAAAGCAATGGCAACAAAAGCCAAAATTGACAAATGGGATCTCATTAAACTAAAGAGCTTCTGCACAGCAAAAGAAACTACCATCAGAGTGAACAGGCAACCTACAGAATGGGAGAAAATTTCTGCAATCTACTCATCTGACAAAGGGCTAATATCCAGAATCTACAAAGAACTCAAACAAATGTACAAGAAAAAAGCAAACAACCCCATCAAAAAGTGAGTGAAGGATAAGAACAGACACTTCTCAAAAGAAGACATTTATGCAGCCAACAGATACAAGAAAAAATGCTCATCATCACTGGCCATCAGAGAAATGCAAATCAAAACCACAATGAGATATCGTCTCATACCAGTTAGAATGGCAATCATTAAAATGTCAGGTAACAACAGGTGCTGGAGAGGATGTGGAGAAATAGGAACACTTTTACACTGTTGGTGGGACTGTAAACTAGTTTAACTATTGTGGAAAACAGTATGGCGATTCCTCGGGGATCTAGAACTAGAAATACCATTTGACCCAGCCATGCCAAAGGAATATAAATCATGCTGCTATGAAGACACATGCACACGTATGTTTATTGCGGCACTATTCACAATAGTAAAGACTTGGAACCAACCCAAATTTCCAACAATGATAGACTGGATTAAGAAAATGTGGCACATATACACCACGGAGTACTATGCAGCCATAAAAAATGATGAGTTCGTGTCCTTTGTAGGGACATGGATGAAGCTGGAAACCATCATTCTCAGCAAACTATTGCAAGGACAAAAAACCAAACACTGCATGTTCTCACTCATAGGTGGGAATTGAACAATGAGAACACTTGGACACAGGAAGGGGAACATCACACACCAGGGCCTGTTGTGGGGTGGGGGGATGGGGGAGGGATAGCATTAGGAGATATACTTAATGCTAAATGATGAGTTGATGGGTGCAGCACACCAACATGGCACATGTATACATATGTAACAAACCTGCACGTTGTGCACATGTACCCTAAAACTAAATATATACAATGTAAAAATAAATATATACAATGTCCCTTTGTCACATGCCCAGGAACGTTTGAATGTTTTTGGGAACCTTGAGCAGAAATAAATTTTCTCACATATATAGATATTATAGGTGAAATGTGACATTGAATCTTTGGCTTGGTTCTGTAGCTTTCAGATATTTTTAAAAGTCCAGTCTGAGATTCCTTATAAAACGTTCAAGCAAAGCAAACTTAAAAAGATCCTATGTGGCTGATCACTAGTTTTACTGCACTTACATAAATAATCATGCCAATTTTAATGAGACTAAACTGATTTTGCAAACAAATATATTTTACTTTGATTATCTTTGGTAGGAATGGGGGTGACTTTCAACATAAATATGATATTTTAGAAGAAAGGTAGAGTGAATTCATTATTAGACTCTAGCTCATTGTTTTTGCAGGTTTGTTGTCCACCTGAATTCTGGGCTGGATCCTGAATGTTTTTAGTGTCCTCCGATATGTCTCGAAACTAATACTTTCAGGTTTTTCTCACAATCTCTTGTGTGGAATTGTTGAAATTAAAACTGAACTTTTCCTGCAGCCCTGCAAGCTGAAGCTTGACCACTTGATATGGACTTCAGAAAAATCACCAGATTAGCTTATACATACACAAACTTTGTGCCTATTCCTGTATGGGCTGCTTAGAAAAGTTCACCTGATGCAAACTGCAAACTAGAAAAATCTGTCAGTTTGCTCCTTCCTGCCTCCACTCCCACAGAAAATGCATCAAGCTCAAATCTAGAAATCTTCTCAACTGGCTATCCCCCAGACTCAGAAAATAATTTATAGTCTCTCCTAAACATTGACTTTTGCTTTTCTTTCATTTTCATAGAAATGCCTCTTATTAAGTATGTAACTGCTCACACCATATAGCAGCCTCACTTTGGAGTAAGCCCACCGGCAACATCAGTTTGGGAGCTGAGACTTCACAGTTTAACTGGACTGGCCTATTCTTGGAGCTGAGAGATTGGTTCCATTGCTCATGAGACAATCCAGCAACCCAATTTCTGGACTGTGAAACTTCAGGAAGTTTCCTGTTAAGGAAGGAAGAAGAATGTTGTGGTTCAGAAAATAATACCCCAAAATATGGCACTTTGGCATGCTGAGTAATTTGAGCCACAGTACATTGGAAGGTCTCAGAAGCAACTTCAGAACCAAGGTCTCTCTGACCTTCTCCTGCCCTTCTGTCTCTTGCCACTCATTTTCCCCGAGTGACTCATAGAAATCAGAATTCCTCTTTCCCAAGATAAGTCATAGAAACTAAAATTCCTTTTCCCCAAAGCAAACCGTAAAGTCTAAAAATGTCACTCTAGCCTTCTTCCACCTTTCTTCTAGGAGCTGACCATAAAGAAATTCTTTGAGCTACTCTTGTCTGATAGCAGGTCATAAGACTCTCATTCCAGAAGGGGTCCTTCCCTATACCTGGGAAGAAGGAAGGCCATACAGAGAGGTCAAGAAGAACCTGCACAGACAAGCCTTTCTGGGTTTCCCAACTCAGTCTATTACTATTAGATCATTCCATTTGTGTCCAATCACATTTCTACCTGGCTGTCCACTCTTCATGGAATATAAGCACAAAATTAGACAGTTTCTTCTTGTGTCTTTTAAGTCTTCATTCTGAAGGCTCCCACATCCCATAAAACGTTGATTATATACATTTGTTATGCTTTTTTCCTGTTAACCATCTTTCATTATAGGAGTGTTGGCCTTGACCCTTATGAGGGATGAGAAAAGGTATCACACACTTTCTGCCTCTACAAATCAAAACGAATTTAAAATTTCTTTTCTTCTATATAGCCACTCATCTTTCTTCTCAGAATTTTCAACTCTACATAGCCAAAGCCTCTCCAATACAAGGCCCGACTCACATGCTTTCTTCTAGGATGTTTTCTGATCTCCAGCAGGGAGTCACCTCTTCTGACCCTTGAATCCCACACAATAGTAGTTCTCCATCTTTGGTTAAAAATATAGATGTAAGAGATATATTCCAATTCCATTGAATCAGATTCAATGAGGGCAGCTAAATTTTTACAAGTTCTCAAAGTGATTCTGATGCACATTGAAGTTTGAGCATGATCACCATACATTTCATTTGCATTTCTGCTATCTCACTTATTACTCTCAGCTTTGCTTTACAGTTATTCAAATTATCTATCTTTAATTTCCTATGAAAGGTAGCTCTTGAGGGTGGAATCTGTGTTCATGATTCTCTTTATATCTCTTGCAGTACACTGTAGGTATTGAGTAACGTGTTAAGTCATTGAGTAAACGGAGGAAGCAATGAGCTCCTAAGTTATCTATTATTATTTTTTTTTAATTTGAGACAGGGTCTCACTCTGTCACCCAGGTTGGCATGCAGTGGTGTGATCTCAGTTCACTGCAACCTTTAACTCCCAGGTTCAAGTGATTCTCCTGCCTAAGCCTCCCGAGCAGCTGGGATTACAGGCGCCCACCACAATACTTGGCTAATTTTTGTATTTTTTAGTAGAGATGGGGTTTCACCATGTGGGCCAGGCTAATCTTGAACTCCTGACCTCAAGTGATCCACCTGCCTCAGACTCCCAAAGTGATGGGATTACAGGCATGAGCCACCGTGCCTGGCCTCCCTAAGTGATTTTTAACATCAAAGTTGCATTTTATAACATTTGTAATTATCTTGGTAACAATGATTTTTGTAACTTCTTAGAATTTTTCTAATGTTAGGGCAACATTTAGTAAGCAATGGTGGAGACAGATATGAATTAGCACCCATCTGATGTCTTAGAGTTTTAGAGTAATGATTGTTTATATGTCATCTCTGATTATACCTGTGTATACCTGGTGTTCTGTGTTGAAAAGGAATCTGAGGCTGTATAAAATAGTTCTATGCACTATATTATACATACAGTCTAGCTAAGGGAATGAGAAGTCTTAGCATGTACACTGAGACTGTACCATCCTTTATCATCTTTAAAAGGCAAGTATGCATTTGGGTGTTGCAAAAAGGCACAATTCTATCAAAGATCACAAACTCAAATGCTTGCAGGGACCATGGAGACAAACATAAGCAAGTAAAGTAGCTCAGAAAGAGAGTGGGTTAACTGGAGAGATTTCTACTCTAAAGAATCATGGAGCACTCAGTACTAGCTGGTAAAGTGTATGGCAAAGCTGCAGGTTCAGTGTTATCAGATCTTGCTTTTGAACGGGAGTCATAAAGCAAGTGATATAGTTTGGATATTTGTCCCCTCCAAATCTCATGTTGAAATGTGATCCCCAGTGTTGGAAGTGGGGCCCAGTGGGAGGTGTTTGGGTAGTGGGGGCAGATCCTTCATGAATGGCTTGGTGCCCTCCTATGGTTAAGAGTGAGTTCTAGCTTTATTAGTTACTATAAGATCTGATTGTTAAAAAAGAGTCCAGCATCTTCTCCTTTCTCTCTTGCTCCCTCTCTCTTGTTTCCTTTCTCCTCGTGACATGCCTGCTCCTCCTTCGACTTCCATCATAAGTAAAGGCTACCTGAGGGCTCACCAGAATCAGACGCTGGTGCCCTGCTGGTACAGTCTGAAGAACCATGAGACAAATAAACCTATTTTCTTTATAAATTACCCAGCCTCAGGTATTCCTTTAGTGCAATGCAAACAGATGAACACAGCAAGATTGTTCTTCGTAAACCTCTTGATTTCTAAATGTTGACAACCAACTACATTTTCAAAAAAATTTGTCTTGACCAAATCAGAATGTCTGCTTATTATACCTCATAAACTTATTTGGATTCTCTCTCCATTTTTGTCTATGTCTCTGTGTCACTGATTGCCTGGCTTTGTCTCTGTTTCTCCCTCCCTCTTCCTCCTTCTTTCTCTTGGGTTGTCCAACTTTATTTGAACAGTTAGAACCAACTGCTAAAGTTTCAACTATGCATTATTTGTAGAAGTGAGCTTCCACGGTGGACTCTTGTCACTGTCTTTGTCAAGGAAAAGTCAGCTGCAAACAGCACTTTGTTGGCTATTTTGTTTGAAGCTGATGCCTTACATGTAACTTCTTATACTGAAAGACTGAACTGGGAGATGAAAAGAAAGGATTAAATATTCTTTCAGACTTCAGTGGTTTCAGGTAATGAATTATAGTTCTTTAGAATTCAAAACATACTTTGTCTTAATGAATGGATAAACAAACAGGAGGAAATTGGGAGAAAAGTGTTATTTTAAAAAATCCCTGTAAATGCTTTAGATACACATTAAATTAAATACTGTTTGAATAACTACAGTTAAGTAAGGGGAAATCATTTTTAATATGACTGACATTTTGCCTTGCAACTTGCCTTCTCCCAGAAGAACTCCCGAGCACACCATGAACAGTCGCATACATACATTCTTTAATATATGGCCACAATGTTGAGTTGACATCCTTACACTTATAGAAGCTCCAGAGCACTGGCCCTGAGCATGAGCATGTGTAGCTTCATATTTTCCTGTTCCCTGAATGGATGTTTTCACCTATGATGTACCAGTACTGATAGAACTTTCTGACCCCAGGGCAAAAACATCTCATCTGTGAAGAAGTATAGGCATTGCTTGAATGTTTTGTGTATAAATACTAATATCTGCCCTATCTTATTTAGCTGAGTAAATCTCTCAGAGGGTATAAGTCAGGCAGCTTGACACAAGCTGTTATAGTTAGGTGAGACAAGGAATGCAAACCCTCTGCCATTAATCATGTTTCTTAGCTCTTTAGATTTTAACAAATAACCCCAATGACAAAAGGTTAACATATTATCAGGTGTCTCTTCAAACAGCAGGTAAAGGTGATTTTCATGTTTTTGAGTTTACTTAAAGCCATTCTCATATGCACTAAACTGATAAAATGTTTTGCATTTCAGTGTCAGAAAATTTGGTCTGCCTTTTAGATTGGCTCAGGGGCCTTTGGCCTTTTTGGGACTCTGCAATTGGGGAAATGGCAACCTATGAAACAGCAAAAACCAAACCAAAACCAAAACCAAAAAAGAAATATCAACAACAACAAATATATTATTGGTGAAAAAAATGAGTCCCAACAAATTTGTTTTCCTGTGCATTCCTATGATAGCAGCTTGTGAAAAGTCTTTTTATTTATTTATTTGAATTCTTTATCTTTATCCTTGGATCACACATAGATGCAAATTCAGCAAGGGAGAAGAGAAAAATGTTCAGCTTTCCTGATCAGAAAGCATGAACCAGCTTAAGAAATGTATTACATTTGAAATTGACCCTCTTTTCCATTCCTTCACCATGTTCGCACACCTCTGATATCCTATTTCATTCTTTATACCACTTTTAATAGGAAAATAAATGAAAGTCCAGAATCAGAGAACCAAGGACAGATTTAAGGTTGGGGGCTATCAGAGATACATAAAAATCTAGTGCGGGCATTGCCAGCAATAGATCCCAGGGTTGAGGTTCCATTTTGGATCCAAGCCAGGTTGCCTTGCTGAGCATCATTGTGAGATTGACTGGCATCTGAATGTGGCAGCATGTAAAAGAATGTCCAACATTTCTCCATTATGAACAGGATAAAGTTCAAATTCTTTACACAATACTTCATCCCTGCCTACTTTTCTAGCAATATATCTTCTATATCCCTATACATATTCATACATACTTGCTAGTAAGTTTTAAAGCTCTATGCCTTTGTACATGCTTTTTCCTTTATTTGGTAATTCCTTCTCTTCCTTCTTTATTTTGAAAACTACTATTCATTAATTTTTAAAAGCCGGCTCAAGGGTGTTTCTCTGTCAATTGACCTACAGTTGAATGTACTTTCCTTCGGGCAAATATTGCATTTGGTATATTTTTTCATTACAGACTTTGTCATACTATATTGCTATTATTATTTTTTGTATTTTACACCACACAAGGCTGAGAGTTCTTTAGGATAAGAAGTGTCTTCTCTTCATTTGTGTCCTGGATAAATAGCATAATGGGGTACTTTGTACATTTGAAAGAAGCCAAAAGTAATTGTTGAATAAAGTGTTTAAATAAAAGAATGATTTGAGATATAACTGCTCTAGAATTATTGTTTATAATATTTTTGAAATATCAGATTTAGTCGCTGCAGCAGTCTTAACTACGCATTGGGCCACCTTGATGCTATCCCTTGTTTTCCTTTCCCAAGTGAAATACAAAATACTACCCAGAGTGCCTTCACCAAAAACTAGCAGTCTGACTTCCCTATTGTCTTTACAACCTATATACAATGCTTGCTATCCTCTCTTTTAGCTGAATTTTATATCTCGGCAGCTACATTTGCCACGGGATTTCTTTTTTTTTGCCCAGGATATTTAACATGGTGCCACAATACTCCCTGGGGTACTCTGTTGTAGGGGACCAAAATGTGCCACCCCAAAATATGCCTCTTTGGCATAAAGCTTATTTTGAGCTGATTATTTTGGGAAACAGCTGACAAAGAAGAAGCTCCAAAAACAGCATACTTCCCTTTTGTACAGGAAATGTACATTTATAAGGAAATCTCTGTTGGTCATGGCATGTCCCTTTTTGTATCAGGAAGAGAAGAACGAGTTAATTAAGAGATTTTATTATCAATGGGTAAGGCATGAACTTAAATTTGCATAACACACCTTACCCTCGTTTATTGTACTTTTCCTGGCCACCTTCCTATAACTTGTCTCCCCCATACTTTCTTCCTTTATTTTAGCTGAAGATGGTATTTAAACCCAAATTTTTAAATTTTGTTTTGTTTTGAGACAGCTTCTTGCTCTCAGATCCCAGGCTGGACCTCAGTGACATGAAGATAACTCATTGCAGCCTTGACTCCTGGGCTCAGGCAATCTTCTTGCCTCAGCCTCCCAAGTAGCTAGGACTGCAGGTGCATACCACATGTCTGGCAATTTATTTTTATTTTTGTAGAGTTGTGGTCTTTCTATGTTACCCAGGCTGGTCTTGAACTCCTGGCTTCAAGCGATGCAGTCACCTCCACCTTCCAAAATAAATCCAAGTTTTAAACACCTCTTCTGGGTTATTCATTGCTGGGTACTCATGCTAATACGCTTCTGTTTCTTTTCTGTCTTGTTAATCTGTCTTTTGTTACAGATAACCAGCCAATCACACGCAAGAGTAGAAGGAATGAAAGATTTTACCTCTCCTACACTTTCTTTTTAAAAGAAATTAACATAAACAAATTTAAACTCACTTAAGAGAAAAGTATAAGGACATTAAACAAAAATAAGACTATTGGCAGAATTTGCTCATCAAGGAAAACTAGATTTTTGTTTAATGGAAAAGTAGAATAATTGTGAAATTTTAAAAAGGAACTATTTTGAGATTTCCAAACTAAGATATAAATTCAAGAGTGTCCAGCAGCAACATCCCAGAATTCAGTCTTCTTATCTCTATTTTTGAAGTACCTACTGACATAATAATATTCAGGTATGCAACATCCCAGTGTAAATGTTTTTAGAAAGCCAGGATCATGATATCTATTTTTTTGGCTAAAAATCTAAAGTATCTATGACTTCCATGAACATTCAATATAAATTATTAATTGATGAGGCCTGACTTTTTTTATTAATTTACAATTTTTAAACTACTAAGTTGCTGGCGTCGAGTCTAGAAATTATTGGAAAATAATGTTATTCTGTTAATCAACAAATAATATTTACTTTTATTCAAGTAAGCTACTAACAAAAGTTGGCATATTCATTATGTTGTTGAATCATATTTTTGAGCTTGACTGCACTTGTTTTTGAAAAAAAAAATATGTATACACATATCTCCCTGTTTAATACTTTCCTTATCTAAACACCTCAAATTGCTTCAGTTTGAGTGATTTTGATGTTTTAAATTTCACTTGGGTTTAGAGTCTGCTGGAGTCTCAACAGATGCCAAAGCATAAAAAATGGTTTGAGTGATTTTGAATGAGGAACTGTAATTTTCGTAGTCCTCTTTCCTTTGGGTGAAATATTCCTACATTTGTTGAGCTTCACTGATTGCTTGAAGTCATACTGTATTTGTTTCTGAGAACTGCTGTAACAAATTATCACAAACTTGGTAAGTTAAAACAGCAGAAGTTTATTCTCTTCTGTTCCAGAGGCCAGAAGTCTGAAATCAAGGTGTTGGCAGGGCTGCACTTCCTGCAGAGGGCTTGGGGAGAGTTTGCTCTGTGCCTAGTTCAGCCTCTGGCAGTTGCCAGCTTGGTTTCTGGCCACATCACTCCAGTGTCTGCTTCGGTCTTCACATTGCCTTCTCCTTTGTGTCTCTCTTCACCTCTGTGTGTCTCCTATAAGGATACCTATCATTGGATTTAGGCCCCACCTGGAAAATCCAGGATGATATCCTTCTCTCAACATATTTGAATTAATTACATCTTCTAAGCAAAGACTTTTTCCCAAATAAGTGATATTAATAGGCTCCAGGGATTAGGATGTGAGCACATCTTATGGGGGCGGGGCGGGGCACCATTCAGCCACTACCCATTCCTTTCATTAGGAATTCTATTAGAACAAAAATTTCCTTTTTGGACAAAGTAAGTCTATATATTTTCTATTTCCTTCTATTTTCTGTCTGGTTGGATGTTGTATTTATAAATTATATGGATGTGCTCATGGGTTACATTTGAGACTGCTTTTAGAAGTAAATTTATTTCAGTGAGCAAATTTTTATTGTTTTTCGTTAGCTTTTTTGGTTAGCTACCTAAAGAAGAGGTATAGTTTTATTTACAATTAATGGTAATATTTGTAGTTATATATGATTTTTAACATGAAGGATGGTTATAACAAAAGATTCTCTTTCATTCTTGACATAAATTATGTGTCAGTTAATAATATATCTTTCAATAGTGAAAAGAAAGAATCCCAAAGATGAAGATGATTTGGAGTTGGTTCCTCTAACTTTCATGATTAACATCTGGAAGCCTTAGAAGTGATTTAGGAGAAATATCAGCAGATGTTTCTTGTTGAAGAAATCTCAGCATACAAACATTTGAAAATTCACTGTTTTTAAACGGTATTTTAAAACCCTGCGCCCTCATTCCTTTTACTTTTTGTTCCTGTATTCAGTTCCTGGATTTGAATTCCTCCAGTTGTAGGATACCAAGCCACCAAAGATTCTGGAGAATACAATTTCCACACTTTTGATAGGCATTGTTAGGATATTTGTGATTTACTACAGTTTTATATCTCC
This sequence comes from Homo sapiens, assembly GCF_000001405.40. Lineage (NCBI taxonomy): Eukaryota > Metazoa > Chordata > Mammalia > Primates > Hominidae > Homo > Homo sapiens. The sequence continues at coordinate 9,254,937 of NC_000009.12, forward strand.
TCTAAAATATCCATTATTCAAAAACAGGTTGTAAAATTCTGACAAAGATTTCTTTCATCATTATGCTTCTATGATATAGATGAGATTTTGTGGCTACATAAAGAACAAAATACAGTTCAGCTAACGAATGCAACTGCACTAAGTAAATAAACAAAGCTCAAGTTAAATATAGGCTAGGCTTTGCTGTGTGCAAACAGACCCAGAAGAAAAACAATGAACATCTGTAGTTCATTGCCACTGGAACATTAACTTGCTTTTAGGTGTTCAAGAAGAATAAAATATGTTTGCTTTGATTGCAATGATGATTTTATTTAAATTTAGATTCCGTTATCATTGATTTATTTTGACCTATCTCAAGGACTGACTTAGTCTGTATCAATAATTTCCTTTAAAAGCCATTTGCTTCTTAAGGTGACCAGAAGATATTCAATTGTTTCCTCCTACTTATAGCTCAACTCAGGAGAGGTATGGATAATAAAAACCTCTTTATATATTTAAAGGATTAAGATCTATTTTCAATAAACTAATAATGCTCTATCTCTAAAACCATTCCACTAATACTGAAAATCTCACGATGCAATTCTAACAAAGAGAATGTATGTAACATTGGGCAACTCTCTCTGCCTTTTAAGTGATTACATAAGTGTAATAGTTTGTTCACACTCCCTCTCAGCACTTATAGATGTACAAAGAGATGCTAAGAATTAGGCCAATGAGTTTTATTGGCACAGATACTACAAAATACTGCAAAAAAGTTTTACAACCTTTTGTTGTAAAAGGGAATCATGATGATTGATCGCAAAACGTAATCCAATTGTCCACTATTGGCATAAATAATTCCACAAGATCCGGGACTTTTTTCATTTTGTTTATGACTGTATACTTCATACCCAGAATAATTCGTACCTAGAACAATTCCTGGCCCCTTGTTTGACTTCAGGATTCAGAGAGAATGTTCAAACCTCTGATTCAAAGACCTTTGTACCTTAGCACATTTCAAGGAGGATATGCTTGGTTCTTTCAGTTTTTGGATTACAGGGCTTGAAGAGGATTTTGCCAGGGCAAACACCTTTTCCCCAGATAAAAGCATAACTTTATTGAACTTTAGAATAGCAAGACATCTCAAACTTCACCCACTTGCCATCTTCAGTGTTAACAATAAGAAAAAAACTAGGTCTGGAGAAGAAAGGCAACTTGTATAGAGTGGCCTTAGAAATGAATGACAGAGCCAAGACTAAATCCAATTCCTTTTCTCCTTGGACCACAAAGAAGAGTGACAATGACATTGCTGGCCTTTGAAATTATAAAGGAAAGATCTCAAGGCTTTTAGCCTCTGTGGTTGAAAAAATGCTACTGCAGAACTCTGAAAATATATACAAATCACATTATCTTTCCTTCACATTTCTTTTATCTCCACCTCTTCCTTTTTCTTCTCTCTGATAATATCTGCATTTTGGTCCTTACATTTTTTTTCTCTCTTTTTTTTCCATTTTTGTACTATTTTTCCCTTCCTCATGATTTGAATGTTCTTGCCTAAAAGATTTAAACTCTTCTAATCCAGCCCTAAACGCTGACCTAATAAAAATTCCTTGCCTTTCTCAGGAGGACCCTTTAAAGTGAAAATGACTTGCTAAACTGCTTCAACCAATGTTTGGCAGATCTGGGACTAGAATCCAGGATTCCTGTGTCCTAGCCTCGGTTCTTTCTATTATAAGACAGTACTTATAATATAGTTTCTTTCTATTATAAGAGATAAATAGCAGTGCCCTGACTAATTACAAGATTTCCAAAATGGATAGAAATGACACTTTAAAATGTCATTCCTCTATATAAAAATCGACAATCTTCTTGTCCTGCCTCTCTGTCTACCTGAGACCCCAGCTGCCTCTCTGCTTATAAGAAAAATCTCTAAGTCTTATTTGCCTAAACTCTGTTGACATCTCCTCTCAGAGGGTCTTCTGTATTTCCCTTCCAGGAATCAAGTTGTTTTTATGCACCATCCCCAGAAAAAGAAAAGCCTTTATTCTTGCTCATGCCCCACTTCTCTAAGACAGCTCAATTAATTCTTTAAGGGTTGTTCCCTCTTTCTCTCTCTGTGTCTTGTATCATATTAGATGTGTAAAACCTCCAATAAGAAATGTATTAATATCTTAACTGTGGCCCATATGTTGTCAGACTGAAAGGGCACCTAGAGATGATCTAGTAAAATCTCCTCTTTTGTGGGGGGTAGAAAACAAAACTCTGGAGGAGTTAAGTGACTTTGCCAAGATTTCTAGGTGCTGTGGGAAACTCTGAGCAGAAGGAAGGAGGAGAGGGAGTGGAAGTTTTCTTTATATGGCTAATGATTTTATAGATAGTATGTATTTGTATTTACATTTTCCATATTATGATGTTGAGTCTGTGGTAGTTTCATAAACTATATGAGACACAATTTGAGGATGGAAGAGTTGGCTTCCATGTCCCAACCCCAAGCTCTTAGTCATCAAACTCAACTGCTCCTTAATTTGAAGAGAAATTTAAAAACAGAAAGCTAAAACAAAAGTCCGAATTTTTATATATGATATTTAAAAATTGGCCAAGGATGGGGGCTCATGTCTATGATTCCAGCACTTTGGAAAGCCAAAGCAGGAGGTTTGCTTGAGTCCAGGGGCTCAAGACCAGACTGGGCAGCATAGTGAGACCCTGTCTCTACCAAAAATAAAAAATAAAAAACGTAATCAGGCATGATAATGTGTGCCTACAGTCCCAGCTGTGGGAGGATTGGTTAAGCCCAGGAGTACAAGGTTACAGTGACCTTTGATTGCACTACTGCACTCCAGTCTGGATGACAAAATGAGACCCTGTCTCAATTAAAAAAAATCTCTGTGCCAGGGCAAAGAAAATGCCAACTCTATGCAAACTAGCAGGGACATTAGGGACAAGTGGTCTTAAAAAATTTTCCGAACTAACCTTTTAAAAAATATAGTGACTCCTGTATTGGCAAAAATCACATACAATGCTATTAAAGAACATTTACTCTTCCTCTTAAAATAATACTCAAAAATTAGAAAATCAGCTGTTAAATTTAATATAATTTGGCTTTTGGCTTTAGTGGTAATGAAAGAATTTAAAGAGTAAGGCAGAATATGAAAAAAGCTAATAAATGAATGGATAGAGATAGATAGATAGATAGATAGATAGACAGATAAACTGCATCAGGCTTCTAGATAAACAGAACTGCCATAAACATTACGATGGCTGACAGCTGCAAAAATAAGTGAAAGTGACAGTAGCCAATACTATACAAAGCTGAACCATGTAATTTACATCTTAGTGAAATTAAACATACTATAACAGCTTGGCTTCCAGGCAACAATACTATTAAATTTGCAGTAGTAGATTATGACATCATCTGAAACCCCAGGATACACATTTAGAGCTGGCTATTATGGTTTGTAATCTGTATTGCTGTTCTGGTTAGTTTTTCATTTAATTCATTGCACGCTTCTATTAAATAAAAAAAAAAATACAACAGCCATTGAGGATGCGAGTTTTTTGAAAAATCTGTTAAGCTTCAGGTTGTACTGATGTCACATTTTAGAATCAATAATGATAACTTATGTCTGAGAAGCATTCAGAGGTCAGAATTACATTGAACAGTATAATCATTCAAATATTTTTATGGTCATTAAGTATAATTTGGGGAGTTTTTCTAACTCACCTTTCTTTTCCAAAATGTTTCTTAGCTAACTAAGACTATACAATGGTGGAATAACAACAAAACCTACTGCTTTTAGTAGAGGGTTTACATTATACAGCAGCATTCTCAAGCAAATACACTGTACTGAGATCATTACAAGTTCAAACTTTTGCAGGGGACTGGGGGATGGAGAGGTAAGCATATTTGAACTTCAAAAAACTATTTCCAGAATTTTGTGTGTAAATCAATTTCTTTGGAAAAGGGATTTAAACGGATATCTAATTTTTTTAAAGGCCTATTTTTCCAAAAATTGTGCAGACATTGATTCATTTTAACAGTGTTTCTCGAGTTGGGGAGCTTTATTACAATTTCTTGTGGTGGGTAGGAAAAAGGATCATATAGTTTGAATACTCCCCTCTCTCTCCACCATATGATTCTAATGTTCTTGTCTAAGGAATCTGTGCTCCTCTTACCCATTCCCAAGACTGAACTACTCAAAATTCCCCATTTATTGCAAGAGGACACTTGAAGATCAGGGACATGAAAATAGCTTGGCAAAACTTCTTCAACCAGTGACTGCCAGACATGGGACTAGAACCTAGGCTTCTTGTCACATAGCCCAGGGTTCTTTATAAAAAGCTATGTGAGAAAGAGAAAGACCCACAGAGGTAATTCAATTAGACATAGCAGAAAAAGATATCTGCTACACAAAAATACAGGGCAGACAGACTATAAAACTATGGCTGGAAGGTAATTTAGTAATGTGCTTACAGGACATGTTTCTGGAGATTCTGCTGTCTTTGTACCAGCCCTCCCTCTCCACCAATGAATGTATACCTACATGTGTAAGTGTAAAGCCTTACAAAATTGGAAATTCAGGTGAAAGCACTTGGAACACACATTCAGTCACTCCGGCCTGAAATAGATGATGCTTTATATAACCAAATTAAAGGAAGTACATCTGATTTGAAGTATGTCATTGAACACTACCAGAACTCTAAAGCCCATGGGAAAGTATCACCTTCATTCACCTTTCAGGAAACTTAGTGATGCTGCCATTAGTGCTTCCCTCTTTAAGTCAAGTATAAACTACAGACAATTATCACCAATAAACTTTCAGTAATAGTAAACGCAGATCAGGTGGAGAAGAAAGGTTTGGAGAACTGTATACCAACTCGCACACATGGTCTTCTGAAGGAAGGATAGAACTCTGACCTAAGGTCCCAACAAAGGGCAATCAGAGATTCCTGAGCATCTAGGGAAGATGAACTTAGGAAAAGTGATGCGAGGAGGGTTTAAGGAAAGCCGGCATCAACCTTGTGGCCTTAGCTGGACAATGCTTAGTGACTTCTGAAAGGCGAGTAGGCCTCAAGTAACCTGATATTTGCCCTAAATCTGCAGAATTTAACAGTCAGATAATGGAGAGAATGCCAGAAAAGTCTGTGGGACAAAAAACTGTTTTATGAGCTTTGAGATGACATTGTGAAATATATTTTCTATAAATGCTATACACGTAAATTAGGTATGTACATAACATTATCTTATCCTTGACTTTCAAAAGTAAAAATGGGCAAAGAAAACTGGCAAGTTAACCCAGAACACTGGGCTGAATAAAAGCAAACTCCATCAGCTAAAGCCCTGAACTTGAAATATGGAAACATTAAGACCATCAGAGTGAGGCACATGATCTTGACTCCAAAGACTACTGTAAAGGGACTGACTATATTAAATCATGATTCAAGTAGAAAACCGAAATCACGTTTATTAAAATTACCTATTTCTACCTCTGGGAAACAACTTCTTTTACCTTTGCTTGAGGGAAAAATAGTTTAAGACAGTTTTCGCCAATATATGTACAATAGCGCCTCTTGTCATTTTAACGCTGCTTTTTCTAGGCTAGTTTTTCTCTCCTCCTTCCTATCACCTTTTTTCATTCCCTCTCAATTTTCTCATTTTCTAATTTGCATTTGAAAGAGTAGGGTGAGGTAGGATAGGGTTGTTGAAACTGGGAGGGACTTGGCTTGACGGCATTGTAAAGTGGTGATCCTAGACATTATGGTTACAAAAGATGATAGACAAAGAAATATTTATTGGAAACTTCAATTAATAGAATAGAATAGTGCGGGTGAAATAAAATGGTAGACGACACTTTTCATGTACTCACTGACAATCACTTTTTCCCACCCTGTTCTCTTTAGGACAAACCGTGCAGAAATACAAGGCATGACAATCATAAGTCTTTCTTCAAGAAATCCAAAGTAATGACTTTACTGCTCCATCCTGCAATCAACAGATACTCAGAAACAGCCCAAAGATGAATTACTTAGCTAATTCTTTGGTATTTTCTCGCAATCCTCTTTTTCATTGTACATTTCATTTTTTAACAGCCATTGGTACTGAAACTTATGTTTGCAAAAGCAAGAGAGTTGATTAATAGGTATTTTATACATCTGGTATTTTCTCATAAAAGACTAGAAAACTTATTTCAATTATCATACCACCAACAAGGATGCAATCTGTTCACAAGGCCTGTTTACGAGTGGCTGCTTTGGGTAATGGCTGTTTTCTTAGCATGGGAAATGAAATATAATATTATTAAGCAGAGATATGCAAAATGAAGTGTCAACTTATCCATCTTCCTGATGTTTATAGGCTTCATTTTTTAGAATGTTTATTTTATTTTATGGGACCACACGTTAAAATACCTCCTATTTCAAAGGATCTAATTTCTTTTATTCCGATTTTAATGTCCTTGAATATTAACATTCTCAAACTTGTAAGCAATCAGCTAAGGAAATCTGTGGTAGGTACTTTATTAATTCCATTTAGATAAATGTATCATAATGGGAGAGACAATAAAAATGAACACTTTATCTTTGCCTGAGAAAAAGAACTGGTCTTTGCCAGAAGGATGGCATAAATGATTTTCACTTTTAGAGGCCACCTGTGATAAAATGGGGGAAGGGGTGGCGGTTGGTAGAAAGCAAACCTCTAATAATAATGAGTGTGTGCGTGTGTGCATGTGCATGCACGTGTGTGTGTGTGTGTGTGTGTGTGTGTTCAGGAGGGAGAGGGGTTGTGAATCAAGGCACTGTAATGGAAATAATAAATCAATTTTGAAGAGCTTGAGTAAGATCATTGGAAAAGTCTAGCTATATCTGTTTTTGGCTAAGTGTGGCTCCTTCGTTATTTCACTAAATTTCATTATCTCTGCAAGGAGTGGAAGTGAGAAAGAATAAACTTTGTAAAAAGGTAAATATCACCACTTATTTAATTATCATTTCTATTATTTTCCCAGGAAGGCATCCTACTAATAAATGGACCTACCTGCAGATAAAGGAAAGGAAATCATATACTAAAGGAGGAGGATAACTTTAAACAGTATAGATTATAGAACTCTACAAAGCCCTCTTGCAAAATATATTAAATTCCTTTATATGAGGAAAAGGAATATTAACACTGGCAAGATATATACTGGGGTGTCCCACAGTGTAATTCCCTTATGATTTAATGGACACTTAAACAATGACTGGGTCATGAAAGCAATATTAGAATAAAAAATACTTCTTTTAAAAATATTTCTTAGATCCATGCTGTCTAGTAAAAATATGAGTCACAAATACAATTTAAACTTTACTCATAGACACATCAGAAAGAGTAAAATGACAGGGGCAATGAATTTCTTTAAAATATATTTTATTTAATCTGGTATGCTAAAAATAGTACAATTTCAATATATAATCAATATAAAAATATTAATGTAATGTTTACATGCTTTTTTCCCCATACCAAATCTTCCTGGTGTTTATTTTATTTTACTTACATTTAAAGTATATCTCAATTTGGACCAGTCACATTTCGAATGCTCAATAGTCACATGTAGCTAAAGGCTACTATATTGGGCAGTGTAGCTCTTGATTGTCCAAGATATGCCTTTTTATACAGAAATGGGCTACAAAATTGACCTCAATATAAATGAGTAAAAAAAAATGCCCTTGTATAGAAATGGATGAATCCTTACTATCATCATTCACTTAGTCAATGATTCCTAGAGCTAGGATATATACAGAAAAATCAGAGGTTCTTTTATAACAGAATCCAGAAATTTGTTTGCTTATTTTTAATGCCATGTTTCTTATTGTAATCAGTTTTCCATATATGAATACATAAAACAATTAATTTGCATCATTGACTTAGATAGATACCCTTTGGTTTCCTGAAATGAAATCTAACCATTGATTAATTTCCGTTTTCTATGTTGTGTTGACTCTGCTTTCAAAAATTATTCATCTTACTTAGAGTTCCTAACAATTTTGGTGTCATAAACGTAAAAACATTTCTACTCCCACCCTGGCCAAATGCAAACACATCTGATACATATAATAATTTGTATGTAATTTCACTTTCATATAATACCAAGGGATTAATAGAAATGCTAATCCTCAGGGTAAAAAAATTAATTTATCATGAAATATATGTGAAACATTAAAGTACAGTCACAAGTTCTGGGGGCTCTGTTACATTTTGACAGACTAATGAAATCTTGTTTTCTTAAATGATCCCAATAAATCATTCAAATTTATTATTATTAGGATTTGACTCTTTTTATTATGTACTTTAATTCTGTTTCACAAGTACATATCATTTTTTGTCTTTTTTTATAAATGTTTTTTGAATACATCTCCTATAGGAGAATTGAGGGAATAGACATTGTCTTTTCCACCTTCTTCTCATCTAAAACATTCATCAAAGCACCTTCTCAGTTTAGTTCAACTGAATGACTATAAATGAACGATGATAGTACATTTCTCTACCTTCAGTCAATAGTGTAACATAACCATATTGAACAGAAAATTACATATTCCATTCCTGAATTACATTTAGAAAGCCTTTGTGTAGTTTTTGATCTGATGTAACTTCATGAAAGCATTATATTCTTGGTACTTAGTATGGTGCCTGAATCACAGTAAATATCCAATTTTCCCTGAATTAATTAATATGCCCTTCCTTTCAAATGATGTTCATTTCTGTTTAAAGTCATCATATTGAAATTTTCATCTGCTAGCCACAGAAGATATTAAATAATATGAAAAACAAATACTGCATATTCTCACTTATAGGTGGGAACTAAACAATGAGCACACATAGGCATAAACATGGGAACAATACACACCACAGACACTTGAGTAGGGAGGGTGGGAGGTGGATGTGGGTTGAAAAACTACCTATTAGTTACTATGCTCAGTGTCTGGGTGCAATATACCCATGTAACAAACCTGCATATCAATCCCCTGTAATTAAAAGTTGAAGAAAATAAAGAATAGTTTCCCAAGAAGAGCAAGAGATATGGAAGAGACTCATCCATAGAAAAATTTGGAAAGAGCCTCAGAAACCCTAACCAGTTTGTTTGGTGAAGGTATTTCTTTCCTGAAGCCAGTCAGTAATGATTAGCAAAAGTGACCACTTATTCAAATGCAATAACCACAATGGAAGACTTCAAGGATTTAATGCAAAAACTTCAAGACTTCGATGAAAATATTAAGTAATATGACACCCCCAAAGGTACACAATAATATTTCAGTATCCAACCTAAAAGAATTGGACATCTATGAACTGCTCAACAATTCAAAATAATTGTTTTAAGGAAGCTTGCTGAGTTATAACAGAACACAGATAAACAACTCAACAAGACCGAAGTTTAATAAAGAAAGAGATAGAAATCATAACAAAGAACCAAACAAATTCTGGTGCTGAAGAATACCAGGATTGAAGTAAAAAATGCAATAGAGAGTGTCAAAGGCATACTTAATGAAGTAGAAGAAAGACTCTGTGAAATCACTGGTCATTTGAAAATATTCAGTAAGAGGAGAAAATATTTTTAAAAGATAACAGAAAATAAAGAAAGCCTATGGGATTTATGGGACACTATCAAGACAGCTAAATTTCACATCTTAGGAGTCCAAAAAGGAGAAGAGAGAGAGAAAAAAGGCAGAAAGCTTATTTAAAGAAACAATGGCTGAACCCTTTCCAAATCTAAGAAAAGGTATAAACATCCAGATACGTGAAGCTTAAAGGTCTCCAATCACGTTCACTGCAAATAAGATTTCACCAAGACACATTAAAATAAAACTGTCAAAAATCAAAGACAGAGATAATTTTTAAAGCAGCAAGAGAATTGTGTATGTCATAAACAAGAGATCCTCCATGAGATTATCAGCCGATTTTTCAGCAGAAGCCTTGCAGGCCAGGAGAAAGTGGAATGACGTATTCAAAGTGATGAAAGAAAAAAAAAAAAAACCCTACCAACCAAGAATATTTTAAAGCTGTCTGTCCGTCAGAAATAAAGAAAAGATAGAGTTTCACAGACAAATAAAAGCTAAGGGTGTTCATCGCAACTAGACCTGGCTTACAAGAAATGCTAAAGCATATTCTTTAAGCTGAAACAAATGGATGCTATTAGTAATATGAAAACATATGCAAGTTAACTCACTAAAGTAAGTATATAGTAAAATACAAAATATTCTTTTACTGTAATAGTGGCATGTAAATCATTTTTAACTTTAGTATAAAAGGTAAAAGACAAAAATATTGAAAATAAATATAGCTACAATAACTTGGTAATGAATATGCAATTTATTGACTTGTGTTTATTTATTTATTTTTAGAGATAGCATCTCATTCTGTCACCTAGGCCAGACTGCAGTGGCATAATCATAGTTCACTGCAGCCTTGAACTCCTGGGCTGAAGTGATGCTGCCCTACTGAATAGCTAGGATTACAGGCACATACCACCACACCTAGCGTTTTTTTGTTTTTGTTTTTTTTGTAGATATGGGTCTTGCTGTGTTGCCCAGGCTAGTCTAAAACTCCAGGCCTCAAGTGATCCCTCTATGTTGGCCTCCCAAAGCACTAGTATTAAACACATATGCAATTTAAAAGATGTAAATTGTGACATAAAAAATAGGACATGTATCTAGGGAGATGAAAATGTAGAATTTTTGAATGCAAGTAAAGTTGTTATCAACTTGAAATAGATCGGTCTAATCCTATTTTTTATGTAAGCCTCAGATTAACAAAAAAAAGCAAGAATCTATAGTATATACACAAAAGATGAAAAGACTCAAAGCACACCACTACAAAAAATTATCTAATCAAAAGGAAAGACAACAACAACAATAAAAAAAAATAAAGAAAGGAACAAAGAAATAAAGGACTGATAAAACAACCAGGAAATCATAAGTAAAATGGAAACAGTAAGTTCTTACCCATCAATAATGACTTTAAATGTAAATAAATTACATTCTCCAATCAAAAGACAGAGTGGCTAAATGGTTCAGTAAACAAGATCAAATTATATGCCGTCTGTAAGAAACTCACATCTGCTTTAAGGACATACATAAGGTGAAGGTGAATAGATTGATAAAGATATTGTATGCAAATAAAATCCAAAAAGAAAGGGGTAGGGGTAACTATAAGTAAATGAGACAAAATAGACTTTAAGTCAAAAATTGTAAAACAAGACAAAGAAAGTCATTTTATAATGATAAAAGGGTCAAATCATCAAAAGGATGTAGCAATTTTAAACGTGTGTATGTGTGTGTAGCCATATACACACCCAGTATTAAAGTACCTACATATATAAAGCAAATATTAACACATCTTAAGGGAGACATGACAGCAATAGAATAATAGTAGGGGACTTTGACACCCCATTTTGAGCAATAAATAGATCACCCAGACAAAAAGTGAATACTGGATTTTAATTACATTTTAGACCAAGTAGACCTAACAAACATATACAGAACACTTCACCCAACAGTAGCAGAATACACATTCTTCCAAAGAACACATGGAACATTCTCCAAGATAGAACATTTATTAGGTCACAAAATAACTCTTAGAAAATTTAAGCAAACTGAAATTATATCAAGCATCTTCACTGACCACCGTGATATGAAACTAGGTATCAATAAGTGAATAAATAAGTAGAATAAGTGGTATAAATAAGTGGAAATTAAGGTGTAAATAAGTAAAAATTAAGTATAAATAGGTTTAAATAAATGGAAATTAAACAGCACACCCCTGAACAACCAATAGGGAAAAGAAGGTATCAAAAAGGAATTTAAAAAATATTTTGAGACAAATGAAAATGAAAATACAACATATAAAAACTCGTAAAATGTAGCCAAAGCAGTTCTAGGAGAAAAGCTTATGGAAGTAAATGCCTAAATGGAGAAAAAAAAAATCTTTAATAAGCAACCAGTTTTGCACTTCAAGGAGCTAGAAAAAGAAAACTAATGCCAAAGTTAGAAGGAAGGAAATAACAAATTTCAGAGCATAAATAAATGAAATAGAGACTACAAAAAATTAGAAAAATATCAACAAAACTAAGAGTTCATTTTCTGTAAAGAAAAGAACATCAACAAACTTTTAGCTAGAGTGATGAAGAAATATAAATGAATAAATGTTTTAAATGCTAATTACCCTGATGGATCACCACGCATTATATGTATTGAAACATCACTATGTACTGAAGAATATGTACAATTATTATTTATCAGTTAATACATAAAGAGCAAAAACTCAAATAAAATCAGAAATGAAAGAAGAGACATTACAATTGGTATACAGAAATACAAAGATTCACAAGGAACTATTTGAATAATATCAACAAATTGGTAACCTAGCATAAATGGATATGTTCCTGGAAACATACAATCCACAAACAATAAATAATGAAGAAATAGATAACCTGAACAGTCTAATAATGAGTAAGGAGATTGAATCAGTAATTAAAAATCTCTCATAAAAGAAAGGCCAAGACCTCATGGCCTCACTGGTGAATTCTACCAAACATTTAACAGAATTAACACTAGCTCTTCTCAAATTGTTACAAGAAATTGAAGGAAACACTCATGAGGCCAGTATTCCCTTTTACCAAACCAGAAAAGGACACTACAAAGAAAGAAAATTACAAGCCAATATCCCTGGTGAGCATAGATAAAAAATTCTCAAAAATTACCAGCAAAATGAATTCAATAGCTTATTAAAAGGATCATATACCATGATCAAGTGATATTTATCCCTGGAATGCAAGGATGGCTTAACATACATAAATCAATATATGTGATATACCACATCAACAGGATGAATTATAAAAATCATATCATTTCAATAGACAAAAAAAAAGCATTTGACAAAATTGAACATATTTTTATGATAAAAGCTATACCCAAAAATGAGATATAGAAGGAATATACTTCAACATTATAAAGGCTGTATTTGACCAGCCCATAGCTAACGTCATTTTCAGTGGTGAAAAGTTAAAAGCTTTTCCTCTAAAATCAGGAACAAGACAAGGATGTCCACTCTCGCCACTTCTATTCAACATAAAACTGGAAGTTCTTGCCTGAGAAATCAGGCAAGAAAAGAAATAAAAGGCATCCAAATCAAAAGAAAAAATTGTCTCTGTTTTTGATGATATAATCTTATATATAGAAAACCCTAAAGACTCCATGAAAAAAAGCTGTTACTAATAAATTCAGTGAAGTCGCAGGATAAAAAATCAGCACGAAAAAGTCAGCTTTGTTTCTGTATACTAAGAATGAACTCTTAAGAAAAGAAATTAAGAAAACAATCCTATTTACAACAGCATTAAAAGAATAAAAATACTTACGAATTAATTTAACTAGGGAGGTAAAAGATCTGTATAATGAAAATATAAGACATCGATGAAAGAAATGGAAAAAACGCAAGTATATAAAAAAATAGCCTGTGGTGATGGATTGAAAAAAAAATCATTATTGTCAAAACATACTTCTCAAAGAGATATACAGATTTAATGCATTTTTTTAAATCAAGGTTCCAATGGCATTTTCCACAGAAATAGAGAAAGGAATCTTAAAATTCATCTGGAATAACAAAGGATTCCCAATAGCTGAAGTAAACTTGGTTGAGAAGAACAAAGCTGGAGGCATCACATTCCTGATTTCAAATTATAATAAAAACCTATAGCAATCAAAGCACTATAATATGGGCATAACAACAAACATACAAAGAGAAGAGAACAGAGAGCCCAGGAATAAACCCATGTTTACCATCAACTCATCTTCAATGAAGATGCCAAGAATACACAATGGAGAAAGGATAGTGTCTTCAATTATGGTGCCAGGAAAACTTGATATCCACAAGCAAAAAAAAAAAAAAGGAAATTCTTTTTTTATATTACACCACAAGCAAAACTCAACTCAAAATGGATTAAAGACATAATACCTAAAGCCATAGAATTCCAGAAGAAAACATAGAAGAAAAGCTCCATGACACAGGTCTGGGCAACGATTTTCTGGAAATGACCCGAAAAGCACAGGCAAAAAAAAAACCAAAAATAAACAACTGGAAACACATCAAGCTGAAAAGTTTCTATACAACAAAGAAATCAATCAACAACATGAAAAGGAAATCTACGGAATGGGAAAAAATATCTGCAAACCACATATTTAATAATGGTTTAATATCCAAAATATACATGGAACCCATACAACTCAACAACAATAAAGCTAAATAACCTTATTTAAAAAATTATCAAAGAACCTGAACAGACATTTTCAGGTTATGAAATGGTTAATAGGCATATGAGACAGTGCTCAACATCATCAATCATCGGAAACACGCAAATCAAAACCACAATAAGATATCACCTCACACCCGTTAGGATGGCCATTAGCAAAAAGTTAAAAGATAAGTGCTGGTGAGAGTGTGGAAAAAAAAGAATCCTTATGCATTGTTGGTAGGAATGTAAAGTTGTACAGCCACTATGAAAACAATATGGAGGTTCCTCAAAAAAAATAAAAATAAGACTACCATATGATCCAGCAATCCCACTTCTGGGCACATCTCCTAAATAAATAAAATTGAGATCTCAGAGAAATATCTGTACTTCCATGTTGATCACAGCATTTTTTCCAATAGTCAAGATAAAATATAAGTGTTCATTTACAGATGAATGTATAAAGAAAATGTGGTCGGTGTGTATGTGTGTGTATGTAAACATTATTCAGCATTAAGAAATAAGAAAATCCTGCTATTTGTGATAATATGGATGAACCTGGAACACATTTTACTGAGTGAAATTAGCTGGACATAGAAAGAAAAATACTGCATGATTCCACTTATACATGCAATCTAAAAAAGATAACTAATAGGAACAGAGAGTAGAAGGATGGTAACCTGAGGTTGGGGGTGGTTGGGGAAACAGGGAGATGTTGGTCAAAGGGTACAAACTTTCAGTTAGAAGGCGAATAGGCTCGGGAGACCTAACGTACAGCATGGTGACTATAGTTAATATCGATTTAATATAATATTAATTAATAAAATTAATAATTTATTTTGTTACTATATAATATTACTATAACATGTTAATAATGTGTTATATACTGGAAATTTGCTAAGAAATTAGATCTGATGTATTCTCACCATATACAAAAAGGTAACTAGGTGAGTTGATAGATATGTTAGGTAGCTTAATTGTGGTCATCATTTCACAAATTATACGTAAAACAAAACATCACGTTGCACACATTAAATATGAACAATTATTATTTTCAATTATGCCTTTATAAAGCTAGGGGAAAATATTAAATAAATAAGTAACATTTGTGATAATTGCTGTGACAGAAATAATCACTGATGACATAAAGAGAAATAAGGGAAAAGAACATGAAAATATTTAGACAAGAATGTAGAGAAAGCCTCTCTGTAAATGTGGCATTTATGCTAAAAATATGAAGAATAAGAGCAAGCCAATGTTGGGAAAAAGGGCAGAAAGAGCGTTCCAGGCAGCAAGAAGTGCATGTAACAAAGTGCTGAGGTGGTGAAGGGCTTAGAACAGTCAAGGAAACAATGGAAGGCTGACGTGGCTGAGTGTGAACTACAGAGTATAATGTGCTCATGCTGGTGAGTTAGGAAAGATCAGGTCAGGGCAAGGATTCCAGGAAAAATTTGATTCTAAGTGCAAAAGAAGAGCCATAGAAGTTATTTAGGGGATCCCATGATCTTATTTATGTTATAGAAAGATTTCATTGGCTACTGTGTGTAGAATGGTATGCAGAAAGATCAATGGATTTAGAGAGAGCACTTTGACATGATGGTATCTTTAGATGATGGTGTTTGGTCTAGCTAGGCAGCAGAAAAGGTGGAGAAAAGTTAACAGGATTCACACACATTTTAAGGGTAGAACCAATAGAACTCATTAATGGAATAGATATCGGGGGGTGTAGGGATAGGAGGAATCAAAGAACACTCTTCGAATTATTGCCTGGAGTACTTGCATAAACACTGGATTAACTTATTAATATAAAGAAGACGGTGAGATAAAAGCTTTGAGGGTTGGGGATAAAGGGTTCTATTTTGATCATGTTAAGTTTAAAGTGCTTATGCGGCTTCCAGGTGGAGATAAGGAGGACCGATTGGGCTACTAAGATATGCTGCTGATATGAAGCCTGAAACTCTAAATTACATATTAGAATTAGAAAAAAGAAAGCCACTCTTCAAAGATTAGTCATACATCTCAATTTATAGTTATTCCCTAACTAGAAACTTCATGAAGCCAACTTTCAAAACTATTACAAAGCATTGAGAGTATTTTTTTCCTTCAAACTTATTTTTCTCATCTTAAAAAAAAAAAACATCTGTGAACTTTCTCATCTTTCTGAACATGGTATAATTTGGAAAAGTACGTTCACCTTCTCCAAACTTCTAATTAACTATTTATCTTTCAGATCAGACCAGTTATAACCAAAAATCCCCCATTTCATTCCTGTTATGTTGCATCTGAATAGAAGATAAATACAGTTCATATTCTTACTTGCACAGCAAGTGGTAAAAAATCCATTTAAAACATGCTATGAATTGAATTCATTTAATCTATTAAATATAGCAATTTAATGAAGCAAAATACACTAATTAAATTATTAAAATCTGGATAGCAAGTAGTAGTTAAAAAGCCTGTTGCTATGCAACTCAGAGAATTTCTATAAACAGTCTGCAAAAATGTATTGGTTAAATATGTTGGTATTTTGCCTTGACCTTTTATAATCAAACACCTTCTCAATCTGTGAAAATGTTTTTTCTGAGACTAACATCAAATAGAATTCATGGATTTTAAAAAAAGAAGAAATTTAGGGTTTGATTGTGTTACTTCTTCTATTATATTCAAAGGTATAAGAAGTTCAAAATTCCAAAAATAAAAATTATCAAATATACATACGGAAAAATAGCAGCAGTTCCTTAAAGGTTTCTGCATAATTGAGAAACTTCATTGTTTATAGAGATACAAATCTGCTATATTGCATTATTATTTCTTTCATGAGGTTGTAGCACTTTATGACAGAAGCAGGTTAGCATAGATGAGGTGAAGAATGGAGTTTTTTAAAGTCAAAACTTTTTTTTTTGACAGCAATTCCCCCCACCCCATACTGCCTGCTGAGACTGTCAGAGAATTAAAAGTTGGTCACAAGTTCTAAAAGTCTGCAGTGTATCCTTCCCAAAATATACTTGAAACTGCATACCCCAGAGGGTCGTTTATGTAATGAAAGAAATTACTCTGATATGTGGGCTTTTAAAAATCATTTTTAAAGGCAGTCACTGAGAGATTGATATGCAGGCACACTTTAATTTTAAATGTCGGAATTAGACTAAAAGAAAATGAACTTCATTAAAAAAATAAATTGAAAGTTAAAAAATCTTCTCTTGTGAAATCCAAAATATTTCCAAAATTTTGAAACTACTATTTAACTACAAGCAGTACTGTTGGGTACTGACTTAATATTAGCGGGAATTTACAAAGACCTCTTAATCACACATCCCCCGATCCTGATCACAGGGACTGAGCCAAACTTGGTGGAATAAGAAAGGTATTTAAGGACAACTTTAAATGGGGGCGAAGGGCGGTCATCTGATGCCATTATCTTTGCTGTAGTGGTCCGTTGACGAAAAATATTATTTGCATGTATTTGAGCCTCAAATTGTTTTTTAGCCATAAACATTTTGAGACTTTTCTGTCACCAGACTGCCTACTCTTATTACTCCTTGTTCAGAAGTCAGTTTCTTGTTTTTTGACACACGTTATTCCTTCTTTCCCTACCTGCCACTTTCATGTCCTAAAACCAGGTGTTCAAAAGCAAGCACTATGGCCATGTTCTCCAAACTCTGTGCCAAGATATTCTGTGGTGATGCAGTGAGCTCAAAGAAGTGCCCTGAAATATTTAATATTTTCAGGGGAAACAGCAACACTGCACATACAAGCTTGAGGTAATTTATAGTTTCAACATTAGATAGCGCTATATGCCTTTAGATAATGTCAATATTTGTTGTGAAGCTGTCTTTGTGATTTCTATGGATAAAAGAAACACCACATGAAAATCAATGTGGAGCAGGAAATAACAGTAGCAGTGGCAAATTTGAATTTGAGTTTTGTGCATTAGAAGATGTACAATATCCAACATCTTCATGCATTCCATTGTTAAGTGACCATGCTTATTTAAGAATAGAAATATTATTATGTCAATATATGGCAAAAATGATTTCCAAGTTGCTAGTAAATTCTTATTGAGTTTTTGAGACCTAACTACCAAATAAATGGAACTATCAGGCATTTATTTTGGCCTAACAGCACTGTGAAACAATCGCTGAGTCACTAAGGAATAGAATTTGAGATCCTCTGCCACAACAGTATGACAAAAATAATTATTAAAATTGTGAAGCTGTGCAGCTACTTCTTGAAATAGCTCTCTCTGTGTCTGTATGTATATATACATACATATAGCAGATATTGAGCAGAACTTTAAAATACATAAACTGCCTTTTATCTTTCTTATATAGTGTACATTAAATATAGAAGATAAAGTTGGGTTTATTTACTATTCTAATGGAATTTTCTTTAAAAACAGAGAACTGTGAAAACATTTTAATGTTTTCTTCACTGCAGATATCAGAAGTCTTCAAAATGTATAGCATGTACTCTAGAGTGTCTACCCAGGCTGACTCTATTCCATAGAAATAAAAAGTTTCCATATGACCCAGTGGGTTAACCTAGCTCTGAGTGACTCCACATGGATTGACATTTGAGCTGTCAGCTAATGATTTGCACAGGTGGAAGTAAGAGATTATAATGAGGTCTCATCCTCCACTGCAAATCTGACTAGGAGTTTTGACCCATTCTTGTTCATCATTCAGTCTTCTTATTTTATTCCTTACAAGAACATTCGCCAAACCTTCCAGAGGTTTGTCAATATCTATAAAGGAAATTTCATAGACTTCAATATGATATTCAAGATCCTCTTTGATCTGTAATCAACCTATTTTTTTCTACCTTACATCCTGCCACATCCTCCTATGATCCTATAATCCAACAAAATGAAACTGCCTCTTTTATGAACAGGTCTTGCACTTCTCTCCCTGTATACTATTTTTTTAAAATTCTCTCTTTCACTTGGATGTCCTCCTTCTGTCCAAGTCTTCCTGCTTCTTCACAGCTGTGCTCAAATCCTACCTCTTCCACAGAGCCTCCACACTTTCTCCCTGCCATACTCATTCTTTCACCTTGTACATGGTATAACATATACACAGTCTTGTGTTTTACTATGTTTGCTTCACATGTGACTTTCTCCGTTCTGTTACTTATATGCTTTACGCTTATGTTTTCAAACCTCTCCCAAACAAGTACAGCATGCATTCACGTCTTTCTCCACCCACAACTTTAAATCATTTGTGGTAAATGTCTGCATAAATAGATACTCAACCAATTATTATCAGACTATATTGGAACAGATTATGCTACAACCAAGATGGCAAATTATAAAGACTTAAGGTATTATACTTCCAAGGATGAGTCTCATTTATCAGGGGCCCTTATGGAGCTTATCTATCCCAACTCTTGCCACTACCAACTTTTTCTACTGTTTGAAATTTGGAGAACTCCCAAAAATGTCTTCATCCAACTTTTCTTTTTCCACCCTCTGGCCCTAAATTGAAAGAACTTGAACATATTCTTTTGTCAGAGGTTGCTCTTGGTTTATACCCACAATTTGTGCAAGTAGAATAATTGGTGTCTTAAAATACATATTCCTGGAGCTGACTTAAGACACACAGAATTCAAATTTTGTGAATATTAGCTATTATTTTTATTATTAAACCAGCATCTCTCAGTCCACAGAACACTAGTCTTCAGTGAGATATTCATATAGGTTTAGATAGGAATGATTCTACTCGTAAATAATTTGGGAAATAGTCACCATTACATATCTTTCTTAGAGATTCAAGATTTTAATAAACATGAAAAAAGTCTTTGAGAAGTCTTGCAATCTAATTTATTTAATTTGTTTAACTCAAACTTTCTTCAAACTGATTGGACCATCAAAATCCCTTTGTTTCCATATATATATGTATATATATATTATATATATATATATAATATATATGTTATATATATAATATATTATATATATATTATATATATTATATATAATATATATATAATATATTATATATATAACATATATATAATATATATGTTATATATATATATATTATATATATATATATATAACCATTAGCATTTCATGCTCTTTGAATTTGAATTGGGAAAGTATCTATCTGTGACTCTTCTTGATCATCAGTTTTGCCAATTTAAAATAGTGAGGGAAGGTCAGTTGAAAGTTATTCTCAGAAAAAACTTATATTGTAAAATGTCCTTTGTGTATGTATGTATTTCCCTCAAAATGGCTCAGAGTCACCTGCATTCAGTGCAGAGGGGCTGTGAGATTGAAAATATCTCTGGACCCACCCGAAGAGGGTGAAACTATTTTCCTGATCTTACATATCTCAGTCTTGGAACCCATGTCTGTCTGTTCTGCAACAGGTTCCATTAGCCAAGGTTGGCTGGTAAGAGCCTAGATTATGCTTTCTGCTTAGGTTGGTCTAGACCATTGGCTTGAACTGTAGGATGACTTTGGTCCCTAAGACAAGGGCTGCTGCCCCCAGAATATTGTCTTTCTAAGTCTGGGTAGGCTGCTATTTGAAGGCCAACACTAAAATGTATTCAAATGACTCATCTGTGTCCTCTTTAAAGTGTGAATTAGTGCAGGCACTCATTACTCACCTCCCTCCCTTTAGAACAAGTTGCTTCTGACAACAGTGAGCGAAACAGCTGTGTGTGTGTGTATGTGTGTGTGTGTGTGTGTGTGTGTGTTTCTATAAAAGAAGGATTCTTCTACTATACTAGAATGTCCCCAGGCCGTGAAGGAGATTGAGCTGTGTAAACCAACCGTGCCTTATGCTCTAGGGGAAGAAAAGAAATGGAGAAGAGAACACCTCAACCGAATTTATTATAACAAATTTCTCGGGATAATAAAAGACATCATCTCAGCCCTAGAGGGAAAGTAGGTTATAGCTCAGCTAAATGTCCTTGTCTAATGTTGCTTAACCCCAGCTAACATTTCAAGCCTTAAGTAAAGTCCCGTCAGTGGCACATTTTGGCCTGTTTAGTAATTTCATTGGGGACATTCATTTGAATGAATTTTTTGAATCTGATGAAGACTCACATCAGTCATTTTCAGATTAAAGCCCCTAGTGTGCTGATTTCTGTCTTCTCCTGTCTGTTTGATTCTTTAACTAAGAGAGCAGAAGAAATAATATATTGTATAATTGCTCTTTATTACAAATTTGTAATTACATGTTACACTTGGCAACAACTGAGAAGAGAAGAGATGTAGTCTAGAATATCAGAGGCCCGGGGCAAAGGTCAACAGGAACTGTTTTGGTAATGGGCAAGGTGGTTTTCTCAGAGATGGTCTTGGCAATTAGATGGCAATGGAAATTCTAGATCAATTGAGAGACAACCTCTAGAGCAGCATGCAGTCCAACAACTTGTATCATCGTCCTCAGTCACTGGCATGCCATATTCTGCTCCTGTGACCTCCATGAGAGCACATGCTGGCAATTTACTTGGATCTCAGCTTCATCTTTCTTCTTTTGTGCTTTAATCTACACATGTACCTCTTTCTCCACTTGGCTCTCATGGAGCAGAAGTTTCTGAGAAAATGGTGCTAAGGCCAAAAGAGCCTAATTTCTTTAGGGCATGTTCTCTTTCTTGGTGTAAGGGGGCTATGACGTATTCTTTTTAAGTTCCTAATTCTATATTTCACTAACTATGTGGGGAAAGTCAATATTTTATTGCCATCATAAACAAAGAGAGGCCATTTGCCTCTTGATGTGTCGTGCTCTGTGTCTCTACTCATGCAGTTCCTTTTGCCTGGAAAGTTACTTCCTTCACAAATGCCAGGACAGCATTTTCAGCATCTCTGCATCTGTAGAGCTTCTTACCAAATCCAAGAAAAGTAGAGCACCCCTGCTTTCGCCACTACTGTATCTAGTACATGCTCTTTTACCTCACTTGTCAAGCTACAATTCAATCCCTTGTCTATATTTTTATCTCCTCTCCTAAACTACTATTTTACATACTTTATATTTTTATTTGTACCTATAACAATGCCAGGCTTAAAATAAGGATTCAGAAATATTTGTTAAATTTAATTGAACAAATATTCAAACAGTTGATTCCCTATGTTTTTGAATATTCTTTCTCTACCAGTTCATTCAGTATGGTTGTGTCTTAAAATGCCAATCTGTAAGAATTTAACATTTTTAGGAAGCTTCATATATTCAGGATGTTACATCTCACTATCTGGTATTGATAGAGCTGCAAAAGTAAAAGAAAACATTGTGTAATTTTTAAAGAAATGGATAATCACAATTTTTTCCGTTGAAATTTTAAAATACACATATTTCTGAATAATATAAATAAAAAAGTCTGTTAACACAGACTCATCAGAAATATGCTATTGCTTAATTTTTATATATGATTATACAGAAGGATCTCTTACCCAAATATTAAACAATTTTGTTGCTTTATTTATTATACACATCTATCTGTGACCCTCTCAAAATAAAACTATACCTATAATAAACTATGGAAAATGATGGGTAGTAATGAAAGTTTCCCATCTGGAAAAGCCCCTGGTCCAGATGGATTTGCTAATTACTTTTATAAGATGTTTAACCAACCTTTGAAGAATATTCCAGGCATGTTTGATTACTTTACATTACCAACATTTTTGGAAGTACCATTGTGGGCTCTCAAACTAAACTTTATAAATGATATGGAAATGGTAAAATCCAGAAAATTGTGTTTCTTAAGAACATACATCTTTCACAAGAAATGCTAATAACACATTCCTTCCAAACCTGAGCCCAGTGATAAAATATTTTTTCATTGAAAGGATAATTTTAGGACAACCAGGTGGAAGAAATATGTTACCTCATATTCATAAAACTAATTACATTAACTTTCACTAAAGTGTTAATAAATAAGAGTTCTTAACATGTGCTGCAATATATGCTATTAAAGGTGGTTGTATGCTTTCCACGATTTGACATAGAATTAGACATTTTATTCAAATAAAAAATAATAAACAAGTAGTAACCAATATACTATGATCTGAGGGCAACAAATAAGAGATCATGTCATAAATTATTTGTTTAACCGGTTATCTCTCATGCCAGAAATCTTGCAATTAGGTATTTATTCCTTTTAATAGACTGGCATTTTCAGAATCTTTTATTATTATTATGGCTGTCAAATTGAATGGTGTACTAATTATAGGCGTGTAGCTGACTGTATTCTTATATACAGTGGGAAATTCACTACACAGCCTTATAAAATTTTAAGATTTTTATAACAAATAAAATGGTCCTAAAATAATATATGAGAAGATACATTTGTAAGCCACTTAGAGAAGTTTACTTTATTAAAATTAAGTGCCCAATAGGATACTGTACTAAATTGAGGATATGTATATTTTAACGTCAGATGAGGGATTTGGGAAAAGTTAAGAGCCTGGCTGTAGAATAAGTAGGACCTCACTCTGAGTAGAGAGGTGATACTTGTACAGACAGAGGGCAACATTACAGTATGTGGTTGGCCTGCCTATACAACATCTATGAAAAGTCCCAGACATTTTAGTGTCAGTCAGACCTGCGGAATTCTCTGAGTTTTCATTTTCTCATCTAGAACATGCAGTTAATAACGTTTACTTTCAAGTGTTATTGTGAGGATTAAATATCTGCCTGGGATATAGTAGGTATATCTAATATTGTGTTTTTTCCTCTCTCTCACTATTCATCTACACATACACAAACACACACAGCATTTTGATTAGAGCAGAGAATTTGTATAATAATCTGCCAGGTCAGATATGCTTTACTACATCTCTTTTCTCTGCTCATTGTTTTTGTGTCACAAAATAAACCTCAGTTTTACTTGAACAATAACCTGTCCGGAAAACTATATATTAATTTATTTATAGAGTCAAGGGGATATATCATATCAATAGTTACCTAAGAAAGTAATGTTTAATAAAAAAGCTTACCTCTGTCCATATTTTTGTGCCATGCTCAAAATGTCAACTGTTTCATTTTCAAATAATAGGCAGGTGTTAAGATAATTTTGTATGTATATATGTATGTGTATATGATTATATACATCCAGATATACATATATGCATATATCTATATAAGAATATGTGAATGAAGAATGTGTACATATATATACACAGATGTTATATATATAATCATATACACATGCATATATACAGATATATATATACCTAAATTTATATATATATATATATCTAAATATATCACTGCTGCTGGCAATAGATAGATATAACACTTTAAAGAATGCATTCGGTGCTACTGGTATGATGCTAGAAGATAAAGCCATATGCAAATCCTTCTTTTCCCTTTCTTAATGATATATAGAACAATTTAAAAAGCATAAGATACTCATAAACTTCATTCACATATTCTTTTTTAAATTTCGTTTTTGTAAAAGTCAGTATTTCTATTGCAGACAATATTACAAAGCATGGGATTTCACTAAAAGGTAACTGTAAAGACCATTAAATTTATTTTCCTGTTTTCAAGAAGAGAATGTTTAAAAACTTAATTATTAATATTTTATATAAAAATAAAAATTCCCCTCATCTCTCCATTTGCCTTCTATCTAACCCTGGAGTAACTACAAATAAGAGCATGCAATATTACTCTCCTCAAACTTTTCTATATAGTTTAATATGTGTTAATGTCCAACTTTTTTATTTTAAAACTATGGTCATACTTATACATTCAGTATAAGAGATAAAATTCACTCACGCCACTCTACTTTTTAAAATGTATAGAATATATACATTTGCCTCATTTAAAAAACATTTATATATTTTTCAGGTTGTGGAAGCTCAAAAATTTAATTGACTGTTTCTATATTGATAGGTTATTGGGTTGTTTCCAATGTACCGCAATTACAAACAATGCTTTAGCATAGCAAAAACTGTTTTACAAAGTGTGGTACTATAAGGGGCTGCATGAGTAGGAGCAGTATGCCCTTGCCTGGGGTCTGAGAAAATCTGCACATGACAAAT
Organism: Homo sapiens; assembly: GCF_000001405.40. Classification (NCBI taxonomy): domain Eukaryota; kingdom Metazoa; phylum Chordata; class Mammalia; order Primates; family Hominidae; genus Homo; species Homo sapiens. The sequence continues at coordinate 9,280,149 of NC_000009.12, forward strand.
ACTCTCATGGCCCTTATGAGTGTCAATTATTTCTACATGAATAAGGCTGAGACTTAAGTGGAGAATCCATATTGTGAAGGCATGTACTAAGACGGAGTGACTTGTAGAGTATAATTCTGGAACCCAACAAGCTACATTCTGACACTGAATTAATTGTACATATGAAAGAAATAAGGAATAGGGAAATATAACATATAACTGAATAACTAAAAATGATAATTCAGAAAATCCAAAATAATCTACAAAAAAACTCTTCCTGAAACCAGTAAGTGATTATTGAAAGGTTGCAGAATATAAGACTAATTTATAAAAATTAGTTACTTTTATATACCAACAATGAAAAAGTGGAATTTGAGATTGAAAACACATTACCATTTATTTTAGCACACACAAAAATGGAATAGTTAAGCATAAATCTAACAAAATATGTATAAGATCCATATCAGGAAAACTATAAAACTTTGATAAAAAATATCAAAGAAGAACTAAACAAATGGAAAGATATTTCATGTTAATGAATAAGAAGACTCATTAATGTCAGGATTTCAGTTCTTCCTAACTTGATTTATAGACTTAATACAATCCTAATAAAAATCTCAATAACTCATTTTGTGAATATTGACAAACTGATTGTAAAGTTTATATGAAGTGGCAAAAGACCCAGAATAGTCAACACAATATTGAAGGAAAAGGTGGAGGGCTGACATATCCGACTTCGAGACTTCCTATAAAGCTAGTTATCAAGACAGTGTAGCTATTGGCAAAATGACAGACAAATAGATCAATGGAACAGAAAAGAGAGCCAAGAAGTAGATCCACATACACATAATCAAGTAATTTTTGACAAAAAATCAAAGGCAATACAATAGAGAAAAAATAGTCTTAGTGCTGGAACAACTGAATACGCACATTAAAAAAAGAATTTATATACAGATCCTACACTGCTCCCATAAATGGACTCAAAAGCAAACATAGACCTAAAATTAAAATGCAGAACTGTATAATGAGTAGAAAATAACATAGGAGAAAATCTGAATGACCTTAGGTATGGTGATGGCTTTTTATATACATTAAGGTATGATCAGTGAAATAAATAATTGATAGTCTGGGCCTCACTGAAATTAAATACTTCTGCTCTGCAAAACCCAAAAGAATGAGAAGACAAGCCACAAACTGGGAGAAAACATTTGCAAAAGACATCTAATAAAAGACTGTTATTCAAAATATGCAAACAACTTTTAAAATTCAACATAAGAAACCAAAAACCTGATTGAAAAAATGGACAAAATACTTTAACACAGCCTTGATAAAGAAGACATGAAGATAGCTAATAGATATATGAAAAATCTTTTAACATCATAGGTCCTTAGGAAATTGCAAATTAAAACAACAATGAAATATTACTACACACCTATATTAGAGTGTCCACAATGCAAAATATTAACAACACAAAATTCTGGTAAGGATGTGGAACAGCAGGAATTCTCATTTATTGTGGTGGGAATGCAAAATGGTACAGCCACTTAGAAAAACAGTGTGGCAGTTTCTTACAGAACTAAACATATTCTTACCATATAATCTCACAATCACACTCCTTTGTATTTACTCAAGTAAGTTGAAAACTTATGTCCACACAAAAATGAGCACATGAATATTCGTAACAGCTTTGCTCATAATGGCAAAAAAAAAACTTGAAAGCAATCAAGATACCCTACGGTAGATGAATGGATAAACTGTAGTATATCCAGATGATGAAATATTATTCAGCACTAAAATATTATTCAACATGAGTTATCAAGCCATGAAAAAACATGGAGAAACCATAAATGCATATTACTAAGTGAAAGAAGCCAATCTGAAAAGCTACATCCTGAATTATTCCACCTATATAAATTTCTAGAAGAGACAAAGTATGAAAATAGTAAAAGTATCAATAGTTACCCAGAGTAAGGAAGGAAGAATGAATAGGTGAAGTATAGAGGACTTTTAGGTAAGTGAAACTACCCTATATGAGACTGTAATGGTGGACACATGCCATTATACATTTTTTCAAAACCCATAGAATGCAGACATCCAAAGTTGGGTAATAATGTTTCAATGTAGGCTCATTGATGCTACCAAATGTACCATTCTGTTGGGGGATGTTGATAATGGGGCAGGATATGTAGGTGTGCATGCAGAGGTTTGGGGGGCAATCTGTATTTCTTCATCTGAAGTTTGCTATGAACCTTAAAATCTGCTCTAAGAAATACCTTCTAATAGCAGATGACTGAAATGAAATAAACAGTGAAATTCAGAAATTATTCTATTGGATGCTAAATCTTGAATATTAGGAAAAATTCAGATGGTTTTAGTTTTTCTGCTCTTGTTTATGTGAGTATTTAAATTTGTATAAATTCAGTTCCTAGGTTTGATTCTGACTGCATAAATGACCCCACAGTTTGCTTTCCTGAATAGATGGTATTGATTATTTTGTAACTATTTCTTTAAGCCCACTGATTTTAGCATTTTGACTGAACTAACTTACTACTTAGCAGTTCAAAGAGAGAATGAAAGTGGACAATTGTTGTTTACTTTCCTTTAGAAATAGCTGGAGGCTAAATGTTAAAGGTGAGTTTTGCAGCTCTGATACAGTCAATAATTGTGGTTAAAGCCCTAATAAACTGTTCAAGATTAAGTGGCATACAAATTCAAGCAAGGTGGCTCCAAAATTTCTGTTAGGAGCACATTATAAGTTGTCATTTTTATAGAGTTAGTTATGTGAACCTTTCAATATGTTAGATTACACTATTCTATTCCAAATCTAGGTATGAAGAAACATTCTTCCACAGGGGACAATATCCACTCTCATCTGACTCTTATCTTGAGGTCAGAATTAATGGAGTGAAGGTATCTCAATCTTCCCCTAAACTTGGTGTGATAACCAAAAAAACTCATGTCATGGAAGAATACATAGGAAAGCTGTTCCTTCTTTGCTTCATTTCCTTTTTATAATTGGACCTCTGGGCAGTGAAATAAGACAGGATGGCTTGATCTATGCTTTCTATGTGAAGATGAGGTACAAAACTTCACTTTCTGTTAAGGTTATGCTAATTTTACTTCCAAGACCCTGATAATTTAGTTGTACAATTCATCTTCTATAGAGAGCAATGTGGTAGATAACCCACATTCAGAATTAATTACCATAAATCAGAAGTATATTCATTGTATTACTGTGAGATCTTTCATTTCCCAGGAGGAAATGTCCCATCTACAAATGAACCCTTTACAGGTTCAATTATATCTTCTCATTTCTTTTCTCTTTCAGGCACAGCATAATGTCTATAATTTTAGCTTTATATTTTCTTTTTTACAGAAAGTATCCAACTGCTAGGAAGTAAGCCCAATTATCACTAGTGATAGAACAAATAGAAAAATGACAGTGTTCCTCAAAGCTATCTGCTTAGTATAAGTCTGCAGCTGCCTTTTCCTCATGACCATTTGGTTCAATTAAGTGAACTGCATTTGAGATTTATTATTGAACAAAAAAAAGTTGACTGGGGCTGGAAAAAAAATAAAAAATTGTTTCTCTTTACCATGAAATGAGTCTTGCTGCTGCCTACATATATCTCTCTAATTGGACTGCATTAATCATAGTGAATGTGCTAGATGTATATTGACCCTGTGTGATAAATAGCCCAAACTGAATAATTCTGAGTACCTCATGTTTCCTTGTTCAATATACTTACGCAGAGGAAAACTAATAATCAAGAAATAATTATAATTTCGTTCACTATATTCAATCTTTCTTAGGTTTTGTGACTTTTCATAAACAACCAGGTTTTGCATCTGGAAAAATAACTCAACCACGTTATAATCTTCCTGGCATGTCCTAGTAGATTCCTTGGTATTTTAAAGTCAATACAATATCTCTAACACTAAGTAAACATTATTGGTGTTCTTAGCTATCCAAGTAATGTTCAGGATTAGTCAGAGGAACTACATACTTAATTTAATTAAACGTAAAATAATTCCTTTTCTTGGGGTTCTATCCTAACTTTCAGGTTTTAATTCCTCTTGTTCCCTACAGCTGGGGTTACACTTGACCTGTAGGTTCAGCTTAGCCATAGCACCACAGTCAAGGTAATAAAGTTTGTTGGTTTTTATTATCCCATCATCTGGATTTAAAGGCAACTTTAAAACCTTTTGATCCTAAAGTGATTCTGGAGTCATGAATAGACTCCTGCCATGGTTGTAAGTTTTATTCTTCCTCTTGCTCTCCCTGAATGCCTTGGTTGTTTTATAGTCAGATGTCTCCAGAACTGATCAGCTTACGAGCACAAGCAAAACAATATTAACTACTGAAATTCGCTACCCCTCACTCCCACTGGCAAGGAAATGTCTCAGGTCCATTCCATGAACATCTTGGTCAATCATTTCTCCACCAGTCCCTCAGAGAAGTTTTTGAAGATTAATGTCTTGTGTGACACTATTAATGTGATACTGTTAATCATTCCTCACGAAGATATTTTCTAGAATTTTAACTTAGAGGAAATACTGAAAATGAAGACAGCCTTTTAGAGAAAAGTGTCCTGGTGCAATGGAAAAGAACATAGATTCTTATGTTAGGATCTTGGCTCCGTTATTAACTAGTCATGTGACCACTTAACCTTAACCTTTCCCAGCTTTTATTTCATTTTCTACCAAATGTGGACAATAATGCTTTTATCAAAGGACTTTTGGAAAATATGATGAACAGTATCTGGCACAGAATAGATGCTCATTAAGTGTTAGCTATTTGCCTATTCTTTTTTGCAAATGTTAGACAATGTCAAGCTAACATAGAACAATATCTACCAAATATGATTGCTATTATCCTTGGGGAGATGACAGAATAAATTTTCATGAATAGGCCTAAAAATAACATTCCATTTCATTTCCCACCACCTAGTATGTAATATAAAACCTCACATATTTGGCATGAATAGTTTTGAATTCATTTCTTGAATAACATTGTGTATTCTTTTACAATGGAAAATATTCAACTTTTTAATTTTTTTCTCTCTTCCTCTATATGTTCTGAAAATAGTACTTGTCTTGTCACTTTTTCTGCATTCTTAAAATAAGACATATTCACTTTTCCTCAAAGTTAAATATTACCATACCTGCCTCACACATTGCTCCATCACATTTTCCTCTATTTCCTATAATGCTAATTGCTCTTCCTCTGACTTCTCTTCAGTCTATAAAGAATGATAAAGACTCATCTATTCTAAAATTTTTTTTCTCAAACTATCACTCAATATTTCTTCTTTTCTTCATTGGTAACTAATTGGAGGAATAATCACTTGATGGCTTCATTTCTTGCTCTCTCCAGACATTCCTTGAGTCTAAACCCTTGGTAAGGCATTAGCAATTGTGCAAGTGCTAAATCTAGTGGTCACTTTTATTCAGATCCCACCTCATCTCTTTCTAAAGCACTTGATTCTGTTGACCATTTTTTTAATTCTTTCTATTCTTGTTTCCAGGGCCAGCACAGCTTGCTATTGCTCCTTTGGTCATTTCATGTCTTGACCCCAGGCTTCCCCTCTTACGGAGTACTACTAAATGTGTTTCTTATGGCACTAACTTTGATCCTCATTTGTTTCTTCATCTTAGTAAATGAGATGCATAATCTCATCTGCTTTCATGGCCTCAACTACTCTTTGTATGTAGATAGCTCTGAAAGCTCTATATCTATCTATATCTGTATCTATATCTATATCTATATATCTGTAAATTAGTGTATCTTCTCAGTCCACAAGTACATTTTAAATTTCCTGGTCTGCCAGAGGCATTTCAGACTCAACATGCTCAAAACTGAAATCCTTGTATAGCCTCATTTCCATTGCCATCCCCCACCCGATACTTCCCATCCTATGAATTCTATCCTAAAAAATGTTGTTAGTATACATAAATTTTCTGTGGTAAATTCTTTTGTGACAACCCGGATATTCTATCCTCTTCTTTCTCCCACTTCACATTTCATTGGTCATAATAGCCAATTAATTCTACTTCAAATATGTGTAGTGAATTCTGTTTCCTTACCATCTCCATTGCTACTGACTTACATCATGATTGCAACTATTATAATAGGCTCCAAAAGGGATTTTTAAAAATTTTACTTGCTTTTGTTATCAGATGAGTCCCAGCAGGGCTATAAATTATACTGTCAACAATACAGCAAAGACTAAACCTCCTAGCATCATCTTCATGGCCCTGCCTTCATAGTTTTGCTACTACTAGCATTTCCATTTCATTTTTGTTTCTTCTCACTCTACAACCCTAATCTCCAATCATTTTGTAATTATCGCAGAACTCATAATGTCCATTCACAACTCTGAGTTTTGAACACATTACTTCCTTTGATGAGCATACGTTTTTCTAATTACTTTTTCCCTTAAAAAATTCTTACCCATTTCTTGATATCACTCAAATAAAACATGCTCTATAGAACCTTTCCTGATGCCCCCAAACCTAGTTAGTTCTTCCCTTTTTTGCAATCCATTGGCTCCTTGTCTTTCATTTGAATCCTAATTTCACTGTAGTTGTCATTTTGCACATCTGTATCCCTTACTGAAACTATAATATAGGCCAGTGTCTCATTTTTCTTTGATCTTTCTGTTGATAGCATAGTGCCTGAAAAAATGATGCTCAAAAAATGAATGAGTAAACAGAACAGCTCAAGGCAGTCTTGAAACTACTGAATATATATATATATATATATATATATATATATATATATATATATATATATATATATATATATTTGTCTTTGGCTGGGCATAGTGGCTCATGTCTGTAATGCCAGCATTTGGAAGGCTGAGGCGGGCAGATCACTTGAGGTCAGGAGTTCAAGACAAGCCTGGCCAACATGGCAAAACACTGTCTCTGCTAAAAATACAAAAATCAGCTGGGCGTAGTTGTGTGGACCTGAAGTCCCAGCTACTTAGGAGGCTGAGGCAGGAGAATCGCTTGAACCTTGGAGCAGAAGGTTGCATTGAGCGGAGATCACATCACTGCACTCCAACCTGGGCAACAGAACAAGACTCTGTCATCCCACCCCAAAACAAAAGGTATTTAGTATAGGAATGTTGGCATAAATGTTTATGTGCTAGCCCCATTTAAAAATGACCCAGTTGCCATGTGTCTAACTACTATTTCATCGTCACCTTTTTCTCCACAATAATTGCTGTAATATTTATTAATATAATCAGTACTATAAAATTTTAGTGCTAAATTATATGTCTCAAGTTTGCAGATTACCAGATTGTAGCTACTTGATAATTTTTCTATCCAGCCAGACTTCACAAGGACCAGTTATTGTGGCCACAGAGTAGGAAATTACTCAGTACGTTATCATTTACGGCAGAATTATGTTTATAAATCATGGCCTTGAGAGTTTTCTCATTAAATCTGTGAGTCTAAATGCTTGTGGATAGATATGATGGCTAAGCATAAATCATACTAATGAAATGGTTAACTAAAGGTCCTACTGTGAAACAGATTTATATTTAAAAAGATTATTATTTGCAGCACTTTTGAAACATATCAGTTGAATAGGAGCACAGAAGATATTTCTGAGAAACACATTTGTATAAGTCTGTTACTCATATTAAGATGTGGCTAAAGTAAGTATGTCATAATCAGCCAGGAAACTATAGGAAACAACCTTGACACTTCTATTAAGAAGGTGCAAACATACCAGTAAAAATGAGTTCATTTATTAGTTCTCAGATGCCTTTGAAAGCATGACTTTTTTTTTTTCAATTTTAATTTTCCCCATCTGCTTTCCAAACACTGAAGCAAAATGTTTGGAAGCAAAGTGAGGCTGCCTAGTAGAGACTTATCATGGTTAAATGCAGCACAAGATTTCCTATTAATATTTTAATTTATCTACCACTCTTGGCTTCATATGAGCAAACATGAGAAACAAAGACCACTGTCAGACCAATTTGTTTCTTTCCTTCTATTTATTCTGTCCTATAAAAGGAATGTTTTATAAAGATTTTTTCTTCATTATATCTTAAGAGATTATTCATCTACTCTAAAATTTTGTTGTCGGAGGTGATTTGTAAACACACTTGAACATATTTATTCAGTATATTATGCTATTTTATCCATATTATGCTATGCTATGTATGTAAAATATAAAATCACTCTACCCTCCTCTACTCTGGACCTTTTGCAGTCAAAAATGTCTATTTTCATACTTTGTTAAACATTTTAATATAGACTTATCCTTTACAACTACCATAATAAATACTTAAAAAACACGTAAAGATCAGAGTATTTCCATAGTCATTAACCAGCACTTGGCCTTTAACGTGGTATATCTGTGTGAGTCTGATAAAACCTGAAAAAATATTTAAAAACAGAAAATTATTAATCAATATTGTGTTCACACTTTCATTGTTAATTATAATTGAATCAAGGTATCTGTATTACAAAAAGCTATTGTCCAACAGTAAGATGTTATATGCTTGAATTTCATAGGTAAGTTAAATACATGCTTTGTTTTTCTTGGTAGTCAACATGGTTTGGCTGTGTCCCCACCCAAATCTCACCTTGAATTGTAGTTCCCATAATCTCTACGTGTCATGGGTGGGACCCAGTGGGAGGTAATTTAATCATGGGGGCAGTTACCCTCGTGATGTTCTCATGATAGTAGGCGAGTTCTCATGAGATCTGATGGTTTTATAAGGGACTTTTCCTCCTTTTGTTTGACACTTTCTCCTTGCTGCCACTATGTGAAGAAGCACATGCTTTCTTCCCCTTATGCCATGATTATAAGTTTCCTGTAGGCTCCCCAGCCCTGCCGAACTGTGAGTCAACTAAACCTCTTTTCTTTATAAATTATCCAGTTTCAGGCATGTCTTTATTAACAGCATGAGAACAAACTAATACAGTAGTTACGTCATGGAAATAGAGTTTACTGAAAAACACATGGGCTAGCAAATAGTTACCCTCTAGAACACAAATACAAATGAAATTTTAATTTCTAAATGGTAGGTATTTCCTTTTATTAATTAAACTAACACCATCCTTCAAAAATTTATAAAAAATTGTCATACAAACAGTGATACATGTGCATGCTAAAGATAACTTGGTTCATATCTGAAGTCAAGCAGCTAGCAACTTATTTTATGTGTTAAGCACCAAAACTACTAGAACAGCTACATTGAGATATGATTGACAAATCAAAATTATATGTATTCAATGTGTACAATGTGATTTCATATACTTAGACATTCTGTCATGATTTTCATAATCAAATCCATTAACATATCTATCACTACCCACAGTTACTATTTGCATGTGTGTGTGTGTCTGCTCTCTTCAAATTTTAAGTAAACAATACAGCATAATTAACTATATTCATCATACTGTAAATTAGATCTCCAGGACTTATTCATCTTACAATTCAAACTTTGTACCCTTTGTACATCTCCCTATTTACATCAGCCCCCAGCCCCTAGGAACCACCTTTCTACTTTCTGCTTTTTGAATGTTTTAAATTCCACATATAATGAGATCACACAGTATTTTTCTTTCTGTGTATGGCTTATTTCACTTTACATAACGTCTCACAGGTTCAACCATAATGTCACAAATGGCAGGATTTACTTCTTCTTAAAGGCTGAATAGCATAACATTGTGTACATAAACCATATTTTCTTTATTTATCTCTCAGCAGACACTTAGGTTGCTTCCATATCTTAGCTATTGTGAATAATGCTGCAAAAAAACATAGCACTGCAGATATTATTTCAAGAACCTGACTTCACTTCCTTTGGATATATACCCAGAAATTAGGTTGTTGAATCATGTCGTGGTTCTATTTTTAATTTTTTGAGGAGCCTTCATACTGTTTTCCATGATGATCATACCAATTTGTATTCCCACCAATGGTATACAAGGGTTCCCTTTTTTCCATACCTTCACCAACACTTGTTACCTCTTGTCTTTTTCATAATAGCCATTCAAACAGATGTGAGGTGATACCTCATTGTGGTTTTGATTTGCATTATCATGAGGATTAGTTATGTTGAACAGCTTTCCATATGCTTGTTGGTTATTTGTATGTCTTCCTTTGAAAAATGTCTATTCAGGTCCTTTGCTAATTTTTAAATTAGATTATTTGCTTCTTTGCTATTTAGTTGTGTGAGTTTCTTATATTTAGATATTAACGCCTTGTCATATACAAGGTTTGCAAATATTTTCTCCCATTTTGTATGTTGCCTTTTTATGTTGTTAATGTTTTTCTTTACTATGCAGACATTCTCTAGTTGGATATAGTCACTTGTTGATTTTTGTGAAAAACAATGTCAAGGAGTTTTTTCCCTATTTTCTTCTAGGAGTTTTAGAGTTTTGGTTCTGCTATGTAAGTCTTTAAACTACTAGATCATTTGTAGCCATTTATTAATAACATATTTATGTGTATCCAGTACCAGTCTTAATTTTAACGTTAGAAAGCCAAACTCGGTTAATGACTCTGTATGTAAATACTTTGAATCAATGATTAGCATGAACAACAAAATATTTTGAACGATTAGCATGAACAATGAAAGTTAACATGTGGAAATGATTTATAAACATGGGAGATTCATTTGCTAATTATTTTTCCAGTGATGAATATTATAATATCATTAATTCGTTAGGTAATCAAGAAATATATATTTTGTGTGCTGGGCACTTCTCTGTTCCATAGCCACAAGATAGAGTCTTTGCTATCAGTGAGATTATATCATTAAATTTTAAAATATGAATTGGTCATAGAAATCACTGAGCTCTAACCAAGATCTTAGTTACCTAAGACCACACTAATAATAGCAAAGATATCTCAATATCATATGCTGTTGTTTCATTCAGCTGCAAAATTTATATTTCTTCTTAAAATTTGGTTGGTATCAATTTCCTAAGAAACTTAACAGGTAACATTAAAAGATGATATACACTGAAATACATGGCCAATAACATTTCTGAGGCATATGTATGGTTTTGAATATAGATAATCACTTGCCATAACAGGATTATCGTAACACTGACTCAAGAGTAGTGGTGATTTTTCATCATACAGTATCAGCCTTTAGAAGAGAAACCTTAAACTTTTCTTCAAAATGTAGAACCACTTATAAGATGGTTCTTTTAAACCGGAAATTTGAGAGACTGCTTTCTTTACAATTAAATGCAGACATAAAGAAATGTCAGGCTTTCATGTCCTTGAAGAAGATGCCCCCAACGGAGGTGCAAATAACTTTGTTCCTTGAATAATTACTGCAAAACATCTTAACCTTTAGCTCTGAAAATTTATTAGAGATTTTGATTAGATTTTAACTTACCAATAACATAAAACGGGATTTCCCAGTGTTTTTTGAAAGACCTGATTTTGTAATATGTGATTAACTTGTTAATATGTTATTAAATTTGCAATACATTACAGTAAGCAACTATAAAGTTTATATTGCTTATGGTTTTCATCTGAACTATTTTTTCCATTGGTTTGCTATTTAAAGGGTAATTGTGAATAAAAATTTATTTACTATAATTACTTTTTTTCAAAATGTCAAAACATGTTTCTTATTTCGGAAGATTTATAAATTTAAAGATTCTTATAATATTTTCTCTCTTTTTTTAGGTTTTCTACAGGAAAAATCTTATCTCAGAGGATATATATGTGTATATGTGTGTGTGTAATATGTGTATATATATGTGTGTATGGTATATATATATATATATATCTCAAATGAATGTCATGTATTATAAATTTCTTGATTTTTAAATTCATTTAACCTAATTTATGCTTTGCAATTACTTACTACTTATATAGTAAGAGGTTTCCCAATCTGTCAGGTAATGTGAATAAGTAATACTGGTATTTTATCTCCTCAGAAGATTCATGGAGCTTTGCAGCTTTGTATTATCTATGAGACGAGGGCCTACTGAAAAATATAGTGACATGGAAGGATCCTGAAAACGTTTCATTCTCCTTAGATACTCTGTAATGAATGAACACTTTTTTTTTTCTTTCCCATATCTCTCTCAATATCATCTCATTCACTTGAAATCCTTCCAAGTTAACTGAAGCATAACTGGTTCTTTATCTCTATTCTGTGATAGAAGACTTCAAAGTCAAGAAATTTAAACTTTTTGTTCATGGCCAACTTTGTCACTTTCCGCATGATGTAGGAAGATTTCCCATTTACCATTAGGTGACTGACATACATTGTATATCAGTAACACATAAGAGGTTTTCTTTCTGTTAGTTTACCAAGAGAGTATTTTTTTTAAATAAACTTTATATTTTAGAATACTTTAACAGAAAAATTATGAAGATAGTACAAAGAGTTCTCATATACTCCACATCCATTTTCCCTATTAACTAACATCTTACATTAGTATGGTGAATTTGTCTCAATTAATGAACCAATATTGATAAATTATTATTAACTAAAATCCATACTTTATTCAGATTGCCTTAGTTATTACCTAATGTCCTTTTTCTGTTCCAGGATTCCATCCAAGATACCACATTATATTTAATAGTCATATCTCCTTAGGTTCCTCTTGGCTGCGACAGTTTCTTAGACTAAACTTGTTTTTGAAGATCTTGACAGATTTGAGGAGTACTGATCAGGCATTATATAGAATGTTCCTCTATGGGAATTTTCTGAGCTTTTTTGTTTGTTTGTTTGTTTTCATGGTTAGATTGGGGTTATAGATTTTGGGAAACAAAACCTCAGAAGTAAAGGGCCATTCTAATCCTATACTATCAACATGATTTATCACTGCTGATTTTCATCTTGATTACCTGCTTAAGGTAGTGCTTGTTAGCTTTCTCTACCAAAAAATATTCCCCGCCTTTCCTTATGTCAGTTTCTCCTCTCTATCCTCACGTACACGTTGGAAAGAAGTTACTGTGCACATCCCATATGGAAGTGGAGAGTTATGCTTTACCTTCTTGAGAGTGAAATAACCACATAAATTATTTAGAATTCTTCTGCATAGGAGATTTGTCTATTCTTCATTTACTCATTCCTCAATTCATTTACCTATTTAATCATTAACATATGTCAGTATGGATTCATGATTATTTATTTTATACTTTGATAATTTAATATTATTTTATTTGTTGAATATATTGTTCCAGATTTGGCCATTGGGAGCTCTTTCAGTTCTCTCCTATATTCCTTTTACATACTCCCATCATTGTTTGTTTGTTCTTTTTTTTTTTGCATTTTGTTTCTTTTATGTCCTTAAATTTTTACACTACAAGCTGTCCCAGGCATATCTTGTGTAGTTCCTGCTCCAGTACTAGAATCACCCATTTCTACAAGGAGATTATTATTATTATTACTGACTAATGCTATTAGAAACCACATATGAAAGTTGAATGTGTTCATTGCTACTGGTGGTTGGTTTTAGGCCCTCTCAGTTGACAGAGAAAAGAAATATACGTATATACCGTAATACCCCCTTATCCTTCTTCAGGGATATCTTCTAAGACCTCAGTGGATGTGAATCTCAAATAGTAATGAACTCGACTGCTGGCAATCAGAACATGTTTCTATTCATGTCTTCTACTCACAAATTTAATGCCTTTTCCATCTTAACTAAGCAGTTATGTACTGCAGTTGTAACTTTTGCAGTTTGAGGTACAACAGTAAAATTAACACTAATTTCCTTTTTCTTCTTTGCAATTTCACAGATAAAAGATCTTAGCAACCTCAGCATTCAGTTTTTTTTAAACCTAAAGGAATCACTTAATAGTTTTCATTTGGCATATTCAAATGGCCAGCATCAGTACTCTTGCACTTTGGGGTCATTATTAAGTAAAATAAGGGTTACTTGGACACAAGCACCTGTGATACTGCCACAGTTGACCTGATAACTAAGAAGGCTGTTAAGTGACTAATTGGAGGGCACTGTATACAGTGTGCATTTGCCTTATATATGGAGGATTCACATCCTGGGAGGGATGACATGAAATTTCATCACACTACTAAGAATGTTGTGAAATGTAAAACTTATGAATTGTTTATTTCTGGAATTTTCCACTTACTATTTCAGATCACAGTTTACCAGAGATAACTAAAACCATGGAAAGCAAAACCAAGGCTAAATGAGGAGTACTGTACACTAACCTGTGTATATACACATACCTACTTCTGTATGTAACCATAAATATCTGTATTAGGCTAATATGAGTTCATACTCAAGAAAGTAACTTTTATGTGGCTCCTTGTTATGGATTGAATAAATAAATTCCCTAAAAATTCACATGTTGAACCTCTGACACCCTGTAGGGATGTATTTGGACGTAAGGCTGCTAAGAAAATAAAGTAATTAAGGTTAAATGAGTTCCTAAGGGTGGGGATTTGACAGATTAGTGTTCTTACAAATAGAGACACCAGAGCGCTCTGTGTGCTATTTCTCTATGTCTGTGCACAAAGAAGAGGTCAACGTTAACTCATACCAAGATGGAGGCCGTCTATCAGCCAAGAGACATGGCCTTAGAATGAAACTTACCTTGCTGACACCCTGATCTTAGACTTCTCAGCCTTCAGAAATATGACAAAATGAATTTCTGTTGTTTAAGTCACCCAATCTGGGTATTTTGTTATGGTAGCCTGAGCAAACTAATATACTCCATGTGCACTATTAAGATTAGGCATAAATTTTAAATTTATAAGCTTTAAGATTATATTAAAATAAGGTGGTCATGAATCTGAATACTCACGTTTTTATTCAGATTTGCCAAAGAAGTTTTAAGTGAAATATTAGGCAATAAAGAAAAATTAAGGTCTAATTAGTAAGTACTTGTATCAGGTAACTTTAAGAAAGTAAAACATGTATTAGTTAAATTAAATTTGATTTTTAAAATTATCTTAACCCAAAACAGTGTTCAAACTTTCAAATTTCTGAAAATAAGCTTGGTGGCTCACAATGAAAAGCTGGGTAATCAGGAAAATAAAATACGTCCTTTAAAACAGATTTCAGGGGAAGAATCTAAATTTTATTTAAACAAATAAAGTAAAAGTTACCCTTATTCTAATTAACACTTTCTGTTGAAAACATACACATATTTTATTACAAGGCTGGAGGTAAAATTATATCAGAAGTATAGCAAATGTTCTAAAAACAACATAAGAAGCCAAATGAGTGAATCTTTACAGCTTACTCCCTTTTTTAATACCATTTTTTTCTTGAAAATAAAGTGTAACTGACAGTTCTGTCACAAAAATATACTCTATCATTGTAACATAAATATGCAGTGTAGTTCTACGTATTTTAAAATGGTAGTTGTTGAGGAGAAAACAGCTGTTTTGAAAGTACATGAACAACCAAATAACTACTTGAAACATACTTTATTGCAAGGGTAGCTATGTCCAAATAATGAAGAGAGATTTTTAAGAGACTATTGGAGCATTCTTTTTCTTGGATCCTTCTGAAGGGGAAAAAATGACTTTTCTCTCAAAAGTAATTATATTTTATTGTATAACCAGATGGTAGTATGTGTCATGACATAAAATGTAGAAAAACACTAGGTTTACTTCAAAGAGAAGCTTAATTTCTTTGAAATATTTCTTTACAACCAGGGTGGGGAACACGGAAGCTTGTCTGTGACTCTGGTGCATCCTAGAACTCTGATCAGGGCTTCGAAGCATAATTCAGAGGCAACGCCTCTCTCTATGCCCAGATTATGGCCCCATTTTCACATTGTAAAGCCTCTCTTTTTAGCCTATTGACAATTATGACTTTACTACTCAGGAGGTTGGATTAATTTTCTGGAAATTAAATTTTAAAAAAGCTTCCTAATATTACATGATACCTCAGGTTTTTTGTTTGTTTGTTTTGTTTTTGGTAATGAGGACTCAGATGATCTCATCGGGCACATTCTCAGCTTTGAGGTCAATACCTAGATTATTAAACTACCAATCATGGCCAGTTAATGGGGTTTAGAGTTATGAAACAGAATAAATTCTATGATTAACAAAAGGGCTATAAAATCTCTAGACTGCTGGTTCTGCACCATGAACTTGTACTCATATTACAGTTCAGGTTTATATTCTGAGTTTACCATTTTGACTTTATATCTCCTTGGGACAAATGTTCTCACATGACCTTTAATTACTGTACTGTCAGTGGAACCTAGGAAATGGACATCATTAGCAGTCTTGCCTGGGTAATTAAGAAGTAAGTTCAGAGGGATAATTGCTCCATCATTATTTCTCTTTACCTTCTGACAAATTTGATTTTTTAAATAATTGAGTTGACCATATGTTCAAATATATGCAAGTAGCAATGCATTATTTTAATTTAGAAATTTGTATACACACAAAAACTATGATCATTTATTCCTCCTCCTCCTCCACCTTGGGAAAGAAATGGGGATAGAGTGATAGTAGAGTTCTAATTATTTAAATCAGTTTCAGATTGATGTTATAGATCTATTTTGCATTCACCTCCTGGGATTTATGCCTATGTCAGTTAAGAGAGAGAATGTAGAATGAAGAGGACTGGAGCTTTTCAAATGTGGCTCTGATTGCTTTTGACATTTTAAATAAATAAGAAGTTTTTTGTGTTATCCTACTGTTCCCTAAGGGACTTACGTAGATGAATCAAGGCAATGCAGAAATGAATTTGAACAAATTTTACATTACTTTTGATTGTCCTAGAAGGAATCCAAAAGCAAAGCCTAGACTAAGTAATATGGGAGGTTCTAGAAGATATTAAAATGTGGCATGAGACAGCTCCATCTAAAGCAATTAGTGTTAAGATCTGAAATCTGGGGCAGTCTATAAAACTTCTTTAACTGTTCAAATCTCTGCACCTTTAAGCAGACTGACTTGGAAAATGTATTTCTTCCTGAAATAGGTCTACAAGAGTTAAAATGCACTGCATGTTCATAGCTACTTCTGGCTTCAGACTGTAATGATATGGATGAGAGTCAGGGGCCACAGTCTTCCCAAATTTCTCCAGAAATTTCCCCTTTATCTCCAGAGCCTCTTGGTCTTGTATCAAAGATTCAGAAGTTCACTGTTAATTGGAAGCCTAGAGTCAGACTAGAATTTATGATAAAATAATGATAATTAAAATAATTGTTTCTATTTTTCTGCAATCTTTATAGGCCAGAAAATACAGAGACAGAGATATGGTTTTGGGTCTTGCAAACATAATGAAGTAGAATAAGATGAATGAAAAAACAGAAAAGAGGCCAAATCTTACTTCTCCCCATCATCTCTGGATGAGTCCTTTTAGTCCATGATGAGTTTAAAACATTGAAACAAAAAAATCCCAATAAATATCACCAAAATTAAACAAGTATTTATACTTATTAAATGTTATTGACTATCTTCCAAAAAGACATATAGATTGGGAACAGGATTATTTCAGGTAGTTTCCACAGAAATATATAAATATAATTAATCCCAGAAATATAATTTTTAGTTAAGAGTTACACATTATTACTAACTGTAAACCACTAGAATTCTTCGTTATCATAAAAAATAATAAAATCCAACATTGATGGTTGGTTAAGGAGATTAAGAAAGTTTCTCTTTGTTAGTAAGAAGGATAGAAAAAATATTGGAAAATTCAAGGTAGAAAGATGAGAGTAAGATATTAATATAAGAGTTAAATGACTAGCTTAGGACATTGGCAGTGGGGACTTACACAGAGATAACTATGTGTCATCTACTGTTTTAATACTTTACATATAGTAGATCATATAATCCTTACACAGCCCTATAAGATAAGTATTCTTCCGTTTTATAGAATTTAAGAGCTATTTTAAGTTTGGTTTGGATAATTCCCAGCACAATGTGTGACACATAGTAGATGCTAGGGAATATGATTAAATAAATCAATGACTTAAAATGTGAGAGACAATGGATGGGTAAAAGAAAACTCCACATTTTTAATCTTGGGAAACTGGGAGTGTAGTGGCACTGATAGAAAGAGTGAAGTCAGAAAAGGAAGAAAGTTTGAACTTAGGCAGTTGATAAATTTAGTATGAAACATGTTATTAACCTAAAGGTTTCAGAAATAGAATTGAAAGAGAAACAAATGCAAGCAGAGTTTTATCTTTTATTTTTTTTGGTTCTCCATGGCATCACACAAAATTTTAAACATCCTTTGTACATGAAAAGATTTGAATATATGCTGATTCCCTGGAATGCTTATTTCTGATTCTCTGAGACAAATCTTTGATTCATAACCTTTTCTTTTTAAACTAGATTTAATTTCTCCTGTGAATTTTAACTTTCATGGCAGATGGAATACACTTAAAAAGTTGTAATAGGGTAAGATACTGGCTTAAACGGGACAGAAAAGTTAAAAGAACATTTAATTATAAAATGTCTAATAACCATTTTCATTGACTTTTTTTGGAAGGTTGCAGAGGGAACTTGAAGTGTTTTGCAATGCTGCAAAGATTATGATAACCAAATCAGTAGAGGAGCAATAAAGAAGCTGAAGCAGGAGGGAAAAGATAAGGATTATTGAAGGGAAGACAAGAGCATGCAGAAGAAAATTCCCTTAGCAATGGGCTGTTTATATTTAATTCCTCCTCTTCTCTGAATTGTCCTGAATTATTTACATATTGAATAATTAGAAGTCAAACCATTAGCTGTTCAATAGAAGTTCATTATAAATTTGTATATAAGAAAAAGTTATAAAATATGATTATACCACAAGGCAGTTATTAATCCTGTCAGCAATACCAGCTTAAAAATGTTTCCATCACAATGAGCATGAAATAAAAGGAGTCTATTTTTCTTAATATAAAAGACTTAAATGTGTTTGCTAATTAATATACTTTAAGCTGCATGGCTTCTTTGCCAACTTCATTATTATCCTAATCATTTCAGGTTCTACTATAATTATAATGTAGATCCTGACTATTGGCAGATGAAGATTATGGATGGTAAGAAAAACTAATTGTGTCTCCAGCAAATATAGGGAGGTGAACGGTAAATCCAATAGAATAGCAAATTGATTGATCACTACATAGAGTATTAATTTTGGTAATGAACATGATATTTTATTATTTCAATATTAGTTAATTAGTGAAAAAGCAAATATGCAGAAAGGTAGATTTACAGCAGTGGTTATCAACCAAAGGGTGATTTTGCCCCCCAGAGGACATTTGGCAATGTCTGGTAACATATTTAATGATTTTCAAGGGCTGCTACTGGCATCTGGTGGGTAGAGCCTGAGGATGCTGCTAAATACCTTATAATGCCCAGGTCAGCCTGCATAACAAAGATTTTTCCAGTGCACAATTTCAATGGTGCTGGCTAGTGAGAAACTCTGATTTCTAGTATGAAGTTCTTACAGTTATTTGTCTTTAAATTTTTCTTATTTGGGATTTAAATATTGCTATGGACTGCAGATTATTTATAACTCTCAAAAGGGCCCCTTCCTTTTTTGAAAGGTCATATGTGCAAGGTCATCCATACACATCTTAATGATTATAAAATGATAACATCAGTGACTTGTGCCCAAAGTATTTTTGATTAAAGGTGAATTTCCATTGGTGTGATCTTATTATTTTCTCCATTTTATGTTTATAAATGGATAGAATAGACACATATGTGGGATGAGGGAAAAGACACGCATGTGGGATGAGGGAAAAGACACATATGTGGGATGAGGGAAACCAAAGTCTTTATGTTCTTGAGCAACAAAAACTTCTTACTGATTAATCTAACTTGAAAACTAAGATCTAATTTATACATTTTTTACTCTACGTGACAGCTATAGGCCTAAATATTCCTCCACAGTATGTACATAGTTAACTATTATCTCGTATGCTGTTCAAATTGTAAAAAAGTTTGTTACTGACACACAATTTTTAAATTTACTACTTTATGAATCTGTTTAATTCTGTCCACCTCTATGGCCACTGTCCCATATTCTCCTCACTAGACATGTTTGGTCTCTTGCCTTCTTCCAATCCATGAGCTACATGGTACTTAGACTGACTTTTAAAAATACTTAGGGTATGTCATGCTCTACTTAAATTTCTCAAGTGATTTCCTTTGTACTTGGGATAAAATTCAAGATACTTAAAATGACCTACAGGGCCTCTAAATAGTCCATCCCCTGCTTCTCTGGAACTAATTTGTATACACTATTTTGTATCTTAAGCTCCTCCTTCCAGATCAATGTATTCCAGTGACACAAATTTTACACTTCCTTCCTTGGAAGCTTTGAATATGCTGCAATCTCTTTTTAGACAGCGCCTCTTCATCATTATGATCTCTGTCTAAACGTCATTTTGCTACATAAGCTTTCCCTGACAGCAATGGACTGAATGTTTGTGTTCCCCCCAAATTCATGTGTTGAAATTGTAACTCCAAATGTGTTGGTAGTAGGAGGTTGGGCTTCTGGGAGGTAATTAAGTCATGAAGGTGGAGCCCTAATGAATGGGATTAGTGTCCTTATAAAAGGGACATCAGAGAGCTCTCTCACCTCTGTCTTCTGCTGTATGAGGATACAATGAGAAGTCAGCCGTTGGATAGGTAGAAGGCTGTCACCAGTACCTCATCATGCTGTGCCCTGATCTCAGACTTTCAATTTTTAGAACTGTGAAAAATAAATTTCTGCTGTTTATAAGCCATACAATTTATGGTATTTTGTTATATCAATCCATAATGACTAATACAGTAACTCTGCTCATTGAAAATTAGGGGTACTTGCTTTAATCTTTTACGCATATTGTTATTTATATCACTTAATTATAATGTGCAATTATCTACCTGTTTTGTGAGTGCTTGGATAATACACTTTTCCCACTAGAGTGTGAACTCACCAAAGCACCAGCACTATGTTAATATTGTTCATCTATGTCTCAATGGAGCCTTATTCAGTATCTGGCACAAAGCAGGCACTCAATAAACACAGAAGTCTTTCATATAATTTAAGATTCTTGTGATTAATTAACCTTTTATTATTCATAATAACTAGGTACAATCTTTAATCTCCTCAGATGACTAATTTTACATATATGATTAGAACTATGTTAAAGTTTTTTCTCAAACTAAATAAGATATAATTTTTGAGGATGCATTGAATTTAGGCAACATAATCAAGAGCTGTCAAAACAGATTTCATGCTATTTTTAGCCAGAGACTGTGCCAACTGAAATGTGTTCCATCTCAAACAATAATAAGGTAGTTTACCTGTAGCATTAGGATAGTGAGACAACATACCAGCAGTTCTATTCTAACAACGACCATCATAAAGATGGTGGCACAGAACTAGACTGAGTACTTACTTTAAACAGTGAGAAGCATAACAGTGGGGATACATTTCGTTACCTTGGGAAATTTTGTGGTACTGCATCAAGCTACTAATTCACATTTACCTGTGTTGTTCTGTATTTACATAATTTGTCATTTTTGAATCTCGAGTTCATCATTTTACTTTATCCCTTGAATATTGCTTTTACTGAAGCCGACTTTTGATGGAACACTAATCTGATTTGTCTCAATTGTTTATTGCATTGAGAAATAGGGATTACTATGGACAGAACTTTCATCTGGCTATAAAATTGTATTGATTGCACTAATTATAGGTATAATGGTCATTTCAAAGAAAGGAATTGCTGTAATGGGTCCTAAAAACTCTATGCATTCATAAGAGATATGTCCCTAGAATTTCCCAAATTCATACTTTTGTGAATAACAGGTCGATTTCACAAATGTCCAGACAACATCTAGAAGGAAACTATAATGAGAGCAGAAGCTGAGTTTAAGATACGCATTTGTTTGTTGATTTGCTATGTTGGTTCATTCACTATTTAAAGTCAAGTTACTGATCAGCCTGCCGTGGCTGTAATTCAAAACACATCTTTAGCAAATTGATAAATTATAAAATATCATGGCTCTTTCATATTGCTCATACATAAGTTATAAATGTCAAGGGTTATCTATATGGTTACTAAGAGCAATGCAATTGGTTTCAGAAGTCATCAAGTTGAGATAAAAAGCTTTCATCACAATTGCTGATAATTTCTTCTTTTTTTAAATTGCTTTTTTTCCCGAAAATATGTTATGGCATTTCCTTCTGGCCCTATCTGACAGGAATTATCTTCTATGTCCTTTTGGCAAGTTAGGAAAGTTAGCTTAGAAGAAATATGTCTCTTCTATTGCATCCCTCTACCATGTCATACACACAATTGTTATTGATAGGCAGCTCTCTTTGATAATAATTATTTTATTTTTACCCTTCTCCAGCTGCATATGCAAAACCACGTGTGAAAGTGGATGAGATGTACAGGACAAAGTTTATGCATTTTAGGTTGCAGATAAGGCCCATGTAACTTGATTCCTGCTTATATTTCCATGTTCCGCCTTCCCCACTCTCCCACTTTTCATTTTTTGTTCCACTAATATTGACCACATCATGTTTTGTAGTTTTTTTTTTCTTTTTTTTTTTTTTTTGTCTTTCCTGGTGTTCTGTCCTTTGCCTTAAACATTCTCCCACTGACTTTCATTATTTTTTTAATTGGTTAACTCGTATGTATGCTTCTTTACTCAGCTCTGATATTACCTTTTTCCTTTGAAGCCATCCATAATTCCTCATAGCAGTTCCTCATTATTTTTTTAACTAGTTAACTCCTATGTATGCTCCTTTACTTAGCTCTGATATTACCATTTTCCTTTAAAACCACCCGTAGTTTCTCATAGCAGTGTGATGTAACTCTTCTGCAAATCTCTAGCACCCTGCACAGACATTTTTGCTGAACTTGCTTCACTGAATTGGTATTTTTAGTTTACACATCTGCTCCTCTCTTTAGATTCTATGCTATTCAAGGGCATGTCCTACTATACTGCTTGTCAGTAAATATTCATTGGCTTCATAAGAGAAGACCTTTTCTTTTCTATTTTTTAAATCTAATTTGCAAAGGCATTAGCACAAAAATTACCCCCCAAATCAATGAGGGAGATAATTTGGAAATAAACTGAATGAAGCCAAACTACAACATATTCGCAATGCAAACAGACTTTCTTTGCCTTCAGTCCAGTTCCCCATTATCCTATTTTTATACATCAATAAATACTACTAATGATAATGATGTTAATAAATTGGTTTGGTTTGTCATTCTCAAATATCCCAAAATACACAATTGGTTTCATAAAAGACATGAAATTTTAAAAATCACATATGGGGAATATGACAAATTTGACTACAGTTGACAGTAGTAAAATACAATTATTCAAGTAGATTACATGCATGTTACATGTGTATTTTCTATGTTTCTCACTTTTACAACAAATAATTCTTGGGACAAAGTTATGCCGTAATAACAATAACTTTTCAGTAACTCAATACGTTATTCACTATTGTAAAAAGCTATCTTACAAAATGATGAAAGCCTGCTGTGATGTGGTTATGTGGATTTTACTAAATGTTTTGAATAAGCCTATCATCTACAATTAGATTCAAGAAAAATGGGAACAGTCAACATGTGGATTGGTATTGAGATTTTAATGAAAACACAAAAGTGGAAATTTGGAAGTGCACATCCACATTTCCTCAGCACATGGTACTTGAGGGAATCCTAAAGTGAACCAAGATACAGTAATCACTTTCATGGTCTCAGATAAAAAGTGAGAATGCTGTTTACAATAAGGCAAACAAACAAACACTGGCAACCACATTGCCCTTGTTTGTAGATTATCTCCTAAACATAAAATTCAATATTTTTCTGATGTAATGATTTAATTTCCCTTTAAGGAATACTTATAAACAGTTAAAAAGACAGATTGCATTACGGGGCTTCTAGCAGTAACATTTGTTCCTACTTCTTTCTACTCTCCAACTGGGCTCAAGGAGGGAACCCTTTCCAACTCTTTTAGCTATTGCTACTAATTTTTACCTTCATGTTCTAAAATTGAAGCAATTAATTCATTCCAAAATGGTTATTAATATCTCCCATTTTCCAGGCACTGTTCTAGGCCCATGATTGAGCTTAGAATCTAAAAAGAAGTTCCCTCAACAATAGATTTTATAAATTAGATCATAATTGGTGACATATAGTATAATAGAGGATGATTGTTATGGGAAAAAGAAAAGAAGACTAGGATGAGATGAATGGGGAGTCATAGGTGAAAAATAAGTTTGTAATTTTGAGTAAAGTGATCATGATAATCTTTCAAAGAACATGACATTTGAGCAAAGACTTAAAGGAGGTGAAGACATTCCCATTTGGATGTTTCCTTAGAGTTCTTTTTTAATCTTTGTGCATTTGCAACTTTTATTCTCTGCTTTTCCTATTTTAGACTTTCCTTAAGTATCTGTTGATTTTTGACAACTCATTTGGATTTAAGGATGTGGAACTTGGAGCATTTTAGATGCTCTGTGTACATGGGCAGGTCTTATTGGTGGGCAGGATTCATTTTATGATAATAAAGTAGCAAACTAATTTCTGTTGGAAAGCTCCAAATATTAGTATCTTATTTTCTCTAGAGGATTCAGTTTCTCTAGATTATATATTTCCCTAGAAATATATAATATATATAATACTATATAATCTCTAGATTTTATATGTATATTTTCTTACCTTGGAGAATAAGCCTGGCTGCTGGCCTAATGGAAAGGAAAAAGAGCTGACAGTCTTATTGTTCATTCACAGGTTTCTGTTTAATCTCCACCCTCCAACGTTCTTGGTGTCCTTGCATCCAAGGCCCTTCTCAATAATCTCTCCATGAAAGGATAGGGGAGAATTTTTATTGCTTTGGAATCGGTGGTGGGTTAGTCACTTGGCTGCACAGGATGGGAGTCTGTAATCTAGTTGCCGAACTGTGCTTTAAACAGATTTGTCCACTAG
Organism: Homo sapiens; assembly: GCF_000001405.40. Lineage (NCBI taxonomy): Eukaryota > Metazoa > Chordata > Mammalia > Primates > Hominidae > Homo > Homo sapiens. Next base: position 9,305,008 of record NC_000009.12, read on the forward strand.
TTCCCTTAGTTTTCGGTCAATACTTCACGCCCACCTGTTAGAGTCCCTAGTCCCTTCAATTCCTGAGCCTTTCTGGAAATTGGTGGAAAATCAACTTGCTTCTCATCTTTACCTCCTCTTTCTGCACATTTCAGCTTCTTTTGTCTCACTAATACAGTACACATATTTCAGACATTCCATTTTCCAAAATTGTCTTCGTAACTCTTACCTAGCTGCAGTTTCATTTTCTATTCTGTCATTGTAGATATTTACTTTTTTTGTTCTTTAACAGTAATCTTGGTAGGTTTTCCAGAGAAAGCAGCAATAAGATGTGTTAAGTGTGCCATGTTTAAACAGAAGACAGTAAAATTCAATCAAATAAACATTTATTTGGGCTCTATTTAGTGTGAGGCACTGTATAAGGTCTTAATTGGAATACAGATGTTATTAAGGTAACCTATCTATGCTGCAGAGATTCAGTTTAGTGTGGAAGAAAAAGCACACCCTTGCTTAACTCTACCTCAAATCAGATTGATAAATGCCATGCCATATATTGGATTCAATAGCGCCTCTCTCTTCTGTCTCACCAATCACCTTTAAAAGAATATGTCCACCTAGAACCTCAGAACACAGTGTCATTTGGAAATGGAGTCATTGGAGATGTAATAAACTTAAAATGAGGTCATATTGAATTAGGATGTGCTCTAAATCCAGTGATTAGTGTTTTTATAAGATAAATGAGAGAGAGAAAGATAGATGTAGAGACACAAAAAAGACATGGGGAAAAGGCCATGTGGTTGTCATGTGACAATTAGAAGAGGCCATGTGCCAATCAGAGATTAAAGTGAGGCAGCTGCAAGACAAGAAACTCCTGAGGCCACCAAGAGAGGCAGGAAGAATTTTTTTCCTAGCTCTTTCATAGGGAACACAGCCCTGCTGAAACCTTGATTTTGATCTTTTAGCCTTCAGAATGTGAAATAATAAATTTCTGTTGTTTTAAGCCATCCAGTTTGTGGTATTTTCTTACAGCAATCATAAGACACTAAATACCAGTCATAACACCAGTACAGAGTACAATAAGAGAACATCAGTAGAACAGAGCCCAGGAAATATGAAGATAAGAACCCTACCAAAACCTTGGCAGTTGCCTTTGGCCAAGTGGAAATTCTATGAGTAAAAACATGTTTGACATTATTAAGCTATCTGGCAGAAACTCTTGAATATTTAAGGGCTGATTTTCCAGTGAAGATTTAACCACATGTACATATTTGCACTTTAAAATGACATGTTTTCTCGGCTGGGCGCAGTGGCTCACACCTGTAATCTCAGCACTTTGGGAGGCCTAGGTGGGTGGATCACCTGAGGTCAGGAGTTTGGGACCAGCCTGGCTAACATAGTGAAATCCCGTCTCTACTAAAAATAAAAAACTAGCTGGGTGGGGTGTGGTCACACCTGTAGTCCCAGCTACTTGGGAGGCTTAGGCAGGAGAATCTCTTGAACCCAGGAGGCAGAGGTTGCAGTGAACCGAGATCACACCACTGCACTCCCGTCTGGGCGACAGAGTGAGACTCCGTCTCAAAAAAAAAAAAAAAAAAAAAAAAAATCCATCTTTTCTTTAAAATCATCAATAATATCCTCTGAATATACTTGAGAAAATGAAGGCACACATTTTTAGGGTCATGCAGCCATTATTTATGAAAGAAAATGGAATGCTATTGAATGCATTCTTGGTCATGAATTTTCTTCATATAAATAGAAACACTCTCATTTTTGGGGAGCCAAATTTCTAACTTTGTTAGCATTGAGAGTAAATTTTAAAGAAGTATTCCATTTTACTATTATAATCCAAATCGTTAGCAAGATTTTCTCAGCTAAAGCAAGAGTAATGGTGTTTGGCATGTACATTTGAATATCTCAAAAGCAGAGATTAATGCTTAAGAAACTGAAGTCTAGGAAGAGACAAATCTTATTTGACAAATTCTAAAGACATTCTCAAAGAAACAAAAAGTGCTGGTGAAGTAAGATTCAAATTGTTAACATTTGTTCAGCAATTACATGTGAATTAACCAGCCTGTCAATATAGAATTGATGTGCCTGAGACATTTCAAGTAAGCTTTGTAATCTAATTTTTAAAAGTTAACCAAAAGCTTTATGGAAGCTAAACTCGGGAAACCAGCTATGATTGCAAACACATGGCAGTTAGCTGAAAATTGTTTGGATGGAGAGAAAAACGGCTTCATTTATCACTTGTAAGATCAAACATTTCCACTTGAGTAGCTCACACTATATAAATTTGGTTCAGTTTCTCTCTTGGAGGCTAGGCACGTACCAGCAATGCTTTCTTTCAAGCTTAGAAAGTGAAGAAACCTTCCTTTATTCTGTTTTAAAATTCCACAGCCTCATCCAAGCCTAAATTTTAGCTTACCTCCATTCCTATGTCTTTTCCTGCACCATCTTTACTCATAAGCTTAAGGGTACGATTGCTAAGATAGAAACCTGAAAGTCTTCTTTAGCTATCTCTCATCCCTAACATCCAATCAGTGGCTGTGCTGTTATATCACTAATCTCATGTCTTTGCCTTTTTTCCATTCTAACTACTGTTGCTTTAGGTAGAATCCCATTATTTCTTGACTACCCCAGTGGTCTCTCCTAGACAATTCTCTATACTGGTGCCAAAGTGATCATTCTGAATTACAAATCCGGTCAAGTTAAACCTTGCTGAAAATCCTTCAGTAACTCTGCATAACTTTCAGATTAAAATTCAAAATCCTTAGCTTAACACACAGAAAAATTTATGATCTATCATTTGTTAATTGACCAGTATCATCTTCCCAAAACCTCATTGCACTTCGTGTCTGTTCTAGTTCTACTGAACCACCAGATTAAAACCTGGGAGCACATTCTGTTTGCCTCCACAGCGACTTTGCCTATGTTCTCCCCTTATGCTTGGGATAACCCTCCCCACGCTGTGTAATAGCAGACAAGCTATCCTGCAAAATTCTATTCAAATGTCATCTAACTGGGTTTATGAACTCTCTAGGTTTACTTTAGCTAGTTACTCAGCTTAATATTTGAGCTTATAGCCTGTGAACAAATTGATGAAAAAGAGAATGTATAACTGTGGCATTTTGAAGTAAATTTCACTCTTACCATGTGTGATCTAATTTGTGTTAGGCTCTTTTTAATGCGTGATTTTGGGCAAATACCTACCTAATCCTCAGATTGTGATCAAGTAATATCACCAACTAATGACACAGAACTCATATTCATTTTCAGATCATTCATGATTTCATGACACAAATCCTAGAAACACATTTTAAACGGAACACGTGTTTGTATACTTACAGGCAGTCCAGATTACAGATATGAGAATTGCAAGAATATTGCTACAACATGTTAAACATATACTATAATGGTCTTTGGATGGCCAAAATACTAATCGTCTCAGCATCATTTAATATCATGTTACTTATTGAAGCATCATTTCTTGAGAATAAATCATTGGAAAGAGAAGCATAAGATGAACTTTGTACTGAGATTCACTTTTTGTGATTCTTCATCTGCTCTCATCTGGAATAGAGCCAACCTATTAAAGACTGGTATTTGCTATCTAGGGTTGCTATTTACTATCTTAGCCTTATCAATGGAAAGAATCCCAAAATGGATTGAAAGTAGCTTTATCTTCTATTTACCGGCACCTGATTAAAATACATATATAATTAGGCACTTATTTTTGGAAAGAGTTATTAAAATGGATATTTTGATACAATTTAAAACATAATGTATTCTACAGATGAAATATTTTAATGTTGAATTTTTATCACATGAATTTATTTAAACTACAAAATTTTCAAACACTGTGAAGCATGCTGGTTAATAAGCATTAGAGACCCAAAATATCATTACATGTTATTTAAAGCAGAGTCTTCAAACTATTGTGGTGAGATTTATATACTAGCACATTTTCCAGAAATATCAGGTAATATTTAAATCTCATTAATAGCAATTATATGAGTGATATATTAAAACAAATCATTTAGCTGATTTGTTTTAGGCATTTATTTTTCTTCTCAGCCTTTCTGCAATGTACAAATAAAAATAAAAAACCAAGAATTTATTTGAAAATCTTTCCTCCTTCAAAAAAGATATTATTTTATCATGAAGTTCATGTTGTCTAAGATGTAGCCCTAGAATGATTTGGTGCCCTGTTCCTGCCTGAACTGTATGTTTTTGTTTTTTTTTTTAATTTTTCTTTGCTCTCCCCTATCTCAAACTCAGCACAAATACTCCAGTTTCCTAAAAGGTATAGATGAACAGTCAGTAAATGAATGGAAACATTGCAAACAAACCAACAACAAAAAAAACAAAGAATGTAATCTTTCAGGAGAATGTCACAAGCCAACATTATGTGCTAGCAATGATGCCAAAACTATTTCAGCTGCTAGAATTGTCTACTTTACCTTATCTCATACGTTCATGTGCCTGCATTAAAATACATATTCTAATGTTTATAATTTTGGTGTCCTCAGCGCAAATATTTCCACTTTATTGGTCTCATACAGCCAGGATGCATTTCTTTGAGGCTACAGATTTAAAGAAAACTCTCCTAGCACATCAAAGAGAGACTCTAAAAGAATACTAACCCACCATACACAGTATAATCTGTGGCTCTCCATCTTGTCTATGCTATCCTGTAAAATTTTTGCAGAGAATATTTGAAAAGAATGGTACAACGTTATTCTGCTAATGTAGTCTCTCATCCATACTGCCACAGCATCTTAGGTAGTAAGAATTTCACTATCGTATTTGTTAAAATTAGAATTTCCAAACTTATTCTTTTTACTCCAATCTTGGAATAGTGGCTCTATTCTTAAGTCAGCTCAGTTTTAATATGGAGTAATTTAAATAGGACTCTGTCTGCTTGAGGTGGATCATGGATTTCCTCCTTATAATGGTGTGAAGATTTTTTTTTCCCTTACATAGGATTAAGTTTAAAATCATGTTGTAGGGTTTGGAAGCTTATCTGAAAACTTTCTCAACTACCCCAGAATTCTACAAATTGAATGGGAAAATAAAATATTATTCTGAAAAGAAACTTTCACAGAGGAGTCCCTGCAGATCTCATTTTTTTCCAGACTGTGTATACTAAGGCAGCAAGGTCACATAGGTCGTTACTGTTTTGGATCTGCTGATGTTTGTGAAGTGTGGCTTGGAGAGGAAAGTAGGAGGACAGAGAAAGCATTTGGGGATTTAATGAAGAAGCATATTAGCATGTGCCATAGTGGGGGCAGGTTTCAAGGCAGCATGATGGAAGACACACACCTTGCAGTGCTGAGACTTTTATCTCATTTCCACACCTGCCTTGTCACCAATCTGCAGACTAGTAGCATGTGGCCCTGCTTGGGGTTTCTTCTCTCTTGCTCCTTACCCATTCTCTCTTCACTGGCCTGTACTATCTACAAGTGAAAGGTGCTGAAGGTAACTGATCCTCTGTTGTATTTCTTTAAAAGAAATCAACAAACCTGATGTGACAATCATGTCTTTAGCTGAAAAGGCAGAAAGAAATACTTTAATTTGAAATGTATTTAATGAGCCGTTATTGAATGCCTACTATATGTAAAGCATTTTCACAGATAATCTCACATTCTGGGCCAGGTGTGGTGGCTCGCGCCTGTAATCCCAGCACTTTGGGAGGCGGAAGCAGGCCGATCACCTGAGGTTGGAAGTTCGAGACAAGCCTGACCAACACGGAGAAATGCCGTCTCTACTAAAAATACAAAAATTAGCCGGGCATGGTGGCAAATGCCTGTAATTCCAGCTACTCGGGAGGCTGAGGCAGTAGAATCTCTTGAACCCAGGAGGCAGAGGTTGTGGTGAGCCAAGATCGCGCCATTGCACTCCAGCCTGGGCAACAAGAGCAAAGCTGTGTCTCAGATAAATAAATAAATAAATAAATAAATAAATAAATAAATAAATAACATTCTCGGTGGGAGGCCCATCTTAAATATGAAAGTGAGTGCTCTTAGGAGAGTGCATAATTCAGCAACCTTAGCAAATTAATATGAGTACTGCAATTCAAACCCTTCTCTGAGTCCAAGTTTGTACAGGGCAAAATAGGAAAAGGCAAACGCCAGCAATTACTAGAATTTATTGTTTGTTTAGTTGCTTTCATGAAATTATCTCAGAACAACACAATGAATTAGCTGTTTTCATTCTTAGTTCCAAAGAAAAACTAAAAGTTCAGCAAGATTACATAAGAGGTTACAAAACCAGGAAGTTGTTGAGCAGGCACCCATGTCAAACACAAAATCATTATATTATGTTGTCATATAATAAAAGATGTATTGACTCTCAGGAGAGGTCTGAATATTATGTACAGCTACCAGCATATTAACAACTAAACAAAAGAAAACACTGATAAATGTCAAACAAATAAAACAAAATCATCCCCCTAAAACTTCAGACACAAGGCTACTGCTCCAATGTCTTTTTATTTTCTAAGTTTTGAAGGTCTAATAATCCTGAATTACATTAACAGGATTCTCCCCAAAACCCCTGTTGCAGAGAAAATAAGTAAAGGTTATTATCATTTTGCTTAAGGAGAATTTAGAAGGATGCTTTCTTGCATGTGATTTTCTAAACCTACCCCATAATTAGCTATAAAAATGAGATTAAAAACTCCTCTCTGACAACCAAATCGTTCCTTAATCTACAATGTTATCATTATAGAAATTTAAGGCTTGTAGCTCTACCATTGTTTTAAATAGAATACAGAATCACTCTCCTCTGTTTGAAAAATCACTGAAACCAATTGACCTGTACTTTGCAAGCAATTGTTTTCATTGACTGTATCCTAGGTAGATAAAAATAGAATGTTTAAAGCAATTCATTAAATTATAATCAGTAAACAATATTCCTAATCTTGCACATTAACTTTTTATACCAGTGTCAATAATAGGTTTTAAGATCCATTATAAATTATGCTAAATGTAGCAATATACACTGCAGTTTTAATTTGCTAGTCCTGTTTATTCTCAACAAAGGAAGTGTAAATGTAGTATCTTCAATGTGTTTTCAAATTAAAAATTTTAAAATCCCTCACATTTAGTTAGTGCCTCACAGATCATAAACATTAAGCTTGATTTCAGCAAATCAAAATATTTCATTTGATCCTAAAAATAGCTAACTGAGATGTGAAGTATCAGCTTTACTCCACCCGTTTAAAAATTGCAGGAACTGAAGTTCAGAAAGATTAAATAATAGAGGTAGAATATTGAAGCATCTGGGATTGCAACTTGAGTCTAATTCCAAAACCATGTAAATTCAACGCATAAGATTAAGAAAATTCTATATTACAGGGGATTTTAAAAGTTGTTTAGTCAACACAGAGACTGACTTCTACATTGTACAGCATGTCTTTGAATAACATCATTTTGTTCAACATCATCTTCTTTTAATGTAGAAGAGAAAAAAATGTATTTCTGGCATGGGGCTACTGTCTGTGTGGAGTTTTCAGCTTTCCCCATGTCTGCGTGGGTTTTCTCTGGATACTCTGGTTTCCGCCTACATCCCAAAGATGTGCATGTTAGGTGAATTGGTGTGTCTAAATAGTCACAGTGAGTGAATGTGGGTGTGAGTACACCCTGTGATGGGATGTCATTTTGTCCCAGGTGGGTTCCTGTGTTGTGCCCTGAGCTGCCAAGATAGGCTCTGGCCAACCTCTACCTAAACTGGAATAGGCATGTTAGAAAATAAATGAATGAATGAATGAACACAAATTATTGTCAAATAATTCATAAAGTATCTGACAATCATACAAATGCATAACAATAAACAATGCAGCACAAAAGCACTCAGCAAGCCTGCCATACTTGTGATTGTTTATTTTTGAACTACGTGTTAGTCGCAGGACATCCTCACAAGTTTTGCTTTGCAAACATGTATTCCTTGATTTAATCCACCACCACTATGGCTACCATTACTCATGGATTGACACAAAATTAGGTAAATAATTATCTCATTTTTATTAATCTTTCTTAAGTGTATATATAGCTCACATTTATTTCAATGTTTAATATTTGATGCATTTGGGGTCTTTATTTTGAAGTTCGGTGATGTTTTTGTGACCAAAAATATAGCGTAGGAACCTAACTCTATCTCAATTAGCCTATGATAAACCTGGTTTTGCTGTGTGTCATAAGTTGCAGTTTCCGGTAAGTTACTGATGATGTTAAATGAGGACTTAACTGTATTTGAGAGGAGAGCAACAAGATTATTTAATATAAATGTGTTGAAATATGTATAGATGATCTCTCTGTTGGACCAGTTAAGAGTTAGAGGAGAGTAAGTTCAGAAGAAAACTTTATTAGTTTGTGGTACAATTGTACCTGAAAAACAGATAATTATCTATTGTCTTGAGTTCACCTGGAAATAAAGAATTAGCGTAAATAAGTGTCAGATACAGAACAAGAAACTTGACCTCAGAGTTCACCCAGCAAAAGGTTGAGAGATCCTGGTAGGAATCATCTAATGATGAAATCTAGCCTCTGTTTACTTCTTCTTATACCAGTGTTAGAGTGGAATCCAAATCTAGCTGCTCAATGCACAATGCAGTCCATCTCTCTTAAGGGGAGGAGGGGTGGATGCCTATTAGGTATAGTAATTAGGAAGAGTGTTTTGCTGTTGGAAGGTCAGGCAGAGAAGGTGTTTACATTATATCTCCGAAAGGGCTTCTGATAAAAATTTATTCAAACCAATGCCTCAGTCCACAGGCAAAGAATAACAATGGTTCTTCAGCTAATCAATTGGAATGGTGCTTATGGCACTTTAGGAAGATTTCTATATCTCTTTAATCCTCATACAAAATTTATTCCAATTTAGTTTCACGTGTTGATTTCTTTACATATTCAGGCACACAAGCATGCACATGTGGAAACAAGATTCCTTTGTCTGTGGATTCTTTCCATGTGCTCAGTATATTTTAATGTTCAAAATCTAGCTGTCATTTAGCTAGTTAAATGAGCAAAGAAGCTGTTTTACTCTAACAAATAAGAGGAAAATTGTTTATTTCTCAACATTTCCTGCCTATTGTCAGTACTAGCATAATTTTCACCATTATTTGTTTGTTTGAAGGTGGTGGAGATATTGGCATGTGCATTATTAAGATAGTCTGAATATGGTAATTTTCATAATGAGATTTATTGTATACGCCTCCTGGAATAAAAAGAGGACTGCTCTATTCTGAAGCATTTAAATGGCTGTAGGATAGTAAGATTCCATTATTTTTAACGGAACAAAATTTGTATTCTGAGTTCATTAGAATACTGAATGAGTTGAAGAAACAAGTTCTGTTCTTACATCACTCATGTAATGAGGTAGTATATAAAAAATTCAGTTCTGTGGTGTCAAACACATGGGTGGAATTTAAATGGACATAAATTAGTAGTAAATGTCCCATCAAAGAATGCAGGTGATTTTTTGTTGTTGTTGCAGTTTTTGGTAGTTTATGATTTCATGGCACATGGCCTGGCTTGACAAAATGTTATCAAATGAATATAGAGTAGCAGCTTAACATGTGATAAATGTAAAAGGCTTCCTGTTTTTCCCTCATGTCTCCAGTGCCTAGTATAGTGTTTTGCTTATGGTAGGAAGGTAATAAATGCCTGTTCAATTAAAGTGAAAGAATATAAATGCAATGGGATTGAAATACAACGTGTGAACAATTTGTCCATAAACTCTGAGCCAGTGTCGAAATGAATGGTTTTTATTTTCATTCTCTAATTTAACAAAACGAATCTAAAATATCTCTAGAGCTATTTACTCTGTTTTATTTATTTTTATATATGTTTGAAATAAGCTGATGAAATACCATAGGCACAAAGGACCTTTTTTTCCTCGTCATTGTCTTCTTTGTTTCTCCAGATATCCATCACATTTATTACAGTAATTTACTTTGTCAATCTCAGCATCCTGATCTTGCCTTTCTGCTCATTCCAGCTTCTTATACAATCTCATCACCAAATATTTATAATACAACTCACCTAGATTTTATTTATTTTTACATCAACATTTTAACTAAGGCCAACTAAAGTTGTCATTTAGAATTTTCATTGATCTTTTACCACATTATTTTACAGTGAACATATTTCCCCTTTCTTCTTCTTTGTAGCTCTTTTTCAGCAGCAAAAGATAAAGAAGCTGAATTTCACCAAGCTTATTGTGTTGTAATATATAACTCCCAAAACTTTTTATATCCTTATCTGAAGTATTTTCTCGTATTTGATATACAGCTAAATTAAAAGGGGAGTTACAACTTATTGAATGCTACCATATCACTGTGATTTTCTGTATGTGTGTATGTATATACAACTTATTATTGACAATATTGCTACAAAGTAGATATTACTATATGCCAGTAAGTTAAACACTTATCTAGGATAATTAGGTTTTTAAAAATTGTAGAAAAGGAATTTTAAGAGCCTGCCCATCCAATTCCAAAGTCTATGTTTTTCTATATACCACACATTAATTCCAAATATAGTTTTGAAATAGGGCTGAGTGAAAACCTAGTCTGATGAAATTCACTTTTTTGGGGGCCACTGAATTTTTGATTCCCTAAATATACTGATTTATTGACTTATGGATCATGCTTTATATATTAACTTTCATCTCATAATAATCATAAACACATTTGCTACTGTAGAATATTCCTTGCCAGTACATAACCGTCTAAAAAACAAAGGAAGAAAAAAAAATCTCTGTGACTAGAAACAAGTTGAATCTGGGGTTAAATCCTTATGTTTTTCTTGTTGCTTCATATAATTTTCTGTATTATAGTAGCAGACAACTTTTTTTTTTTTTTTTTTTTTTTTGCTACATGTGAGATGCTAAAAAGTTACACAAAGAACCTCAGCTACGGAAAGCTTTTCTTGCGAATTTTCTCAATACATTTTTAATTAATTGACATATATCTGTGCCCATGTGAATCTTTTAGATGTCCACATAAACAAAATAAAGTATACCAGTATGCAATTTATATCATAAAGCTTTATGTTTAGTGCACATGCCTGTCCATAGAATCCTAAAGAAAACTCTACATATTGACAGTCAATTAGGATGTGCTTGCTTGAAAACACCCTTCATCTTTCATCTTATACCACTATAAAGTACGTTATTCTATGAGATATTCAGTCCATGAGATTGCTACACAAATAAAGCATGATTCTCCACCCCTATGTCTCCCTCTCCTCCTCTCTCTCTCCCCTACCGTCTCTCTTATACTCACTGTTTCTACCACAGAGAAATACAATATCTGACAAGCAAACAGTTTCCTAAATATGAACTGATTGAATTGCAGACACATTTTTCAGGTTAGAATACTTTAAAACTCTGCTATTAGAAAAATCATTTATAGTACACATAGAGCTTCTGAAAGAAACTTATCCTCAAATTAAAAACAAGACTTTTATTAGGGTAATCTATAGATAAGTCAAACAAGACATTGCTTGACCCAAATAAAAAATGTTGGACATGATTAACCAAATAACTCTTTGTGGCATGTACACACAAGACCAGTTTTTACCCTATCATGAATCTTCCAATGGGCTTTTGTAGGGGAAGAGTAGGTTAAGAGCAAAATAGCCCAATCAACTATGCCACTTTTCTTCCAAGAATTGTAGCATGAAATTAAGTGAGCAAAATTGGATGCATGGAATGATGCCCAGCATTACTGGTATCCACATAAAATAACGATACATGAAATATTAAAATAACACAATCAGATGCATTTCCCAAATTATTGTCATCGTATGGTAAATAATTTCCCCTGGGACTACGTGGTAATTCTTTTATGAGTCTTCAGTGAATGATCTGTGATTTGGCAAAAACTCTTGTCTCTTCACTGAGAATATTGAGATCATCAGGAACAAACTCTCTGTCTCTAAAGTTACAAAGTCACTTATATAGGAATCTGCCCTCATTTCTTTCTCTACAATGTTGACAAAACATGGCCCTTCTCTCCTTCAAGGAAAGTGTCTCAAGTGTTCTCTGGTCTTTTTTATTCGCATATACTGATCTAGAAGCTTGTTTCAATGTTTATTTTCTATCACAATATTTTCAATGTTTTACTTTCTACTGGTTCATTTCTCTGAAAGTACATAAGATTTCTCATTCACTTACTCCTTAAAAATTGGTTATGTTTCAGGTTTTGTCCTCTGCTCACACTACAGGCTTTCCAAGAATGGCATTACTCATGCTTATGCTTCAACCTATTACTATTTACTAACAGCTTCTAGTCCACTAGCTTAAGCTAAAATCCCATTCATTCAACCACCTGCTAAATATCTCTTTTCCCTTGGAAGTTTCACAAGCATGTCAAACTCAATATTTCTAAAACAAACTTATTATTCTTCCTTAAAACTTTGCTTTTCCTTCTCAATTTTCTATGTGGGTGAATGCAAGTGCCCTAGGCTTTCTTTTAACTCCTTTCCACAATTAGGGATGAAGTTCTGTCTACCCCACCTCCTAAACGTCACATCTGCTTGTGCCTCATAAGTCATTGCTATTGCGTCTATGGCCTGCACTAATTAGTCTTCTATCTGGTCTTCCTACTCCCAGTCCTGACTCTCTAGAGCTTATACTCCACATTGATGCTGATGTTATATTTTGAAAAAAATTTCAGTTTTGATTGTTATTCCATGTTCCTAAATCCTTTAATAATTTTTCTATGCAATAAAGTAAAAACTTATTTACCTGAAGCACAAAGCCATGGATCACCACAGATATAAAATGGACCTGATCAAAATTCATGATATTAATAATTTTTTTCATCCTGATAGATTATGTGCATTTTCATAATAACAATCTATCAGGAAGAAAAACAAACATTAAAATAGGTATTTTTCCAGCCGGGTGCGGTGGCTCACGCCTGTAATCCCAGCACTTTGGAAGGCCAAGACAGGCGGATCACTTGAGGTCTGGAGTTCAAGACCAGCCTGATCAACATGGAGAAACCGTGTCTCTACTAAAAATACAAAATTAGCCTGATGTGGTGGTGCATGCCTGTAATCCCAGCTACTTGGGAAGCTGAGGCAGAAGAATCATTTGAACCAGGGATGCGGAGGTTGCAGTAAGCCGAGATCGTGCCATTGCACTCCAGCCTGGGCAACAAGAGTGAAAACTCCATCAAAAAAAGAAACAAAAAACAAAACAAACAAACAAACAAAAACAAACAAAAAACCAAAAAAAAAAAAAACACCAAAAAGTATTTTCCCTCAATACTTGTTAAAAACAAGTTTGCCACAATTAAAATACATAAATATGAAACCACTTTCCAATGTGCTAGTTAAGAGTCAGGAAAGTAGTGAACTTCTTTGTAATATCTGAATTGACTGATATTTTTTAAAGTCAAATAAAGAAGACTATAAAATGAGATTCTAAAATTCCAAGAAATGATCATAGTTTGAAGTAATGGTATTTTTGTTTCTTCTTCTCACCTCCAAGCTCCAGTTTGTGCAAAGAAACCAAAGTATTACAAAATGTAATACTACTAGCATCCAAATACTTTAGATCTATCCTAGAAAACACTAGATTTTAATTTTTTCTGCAAACGATTTCAAAGAATTTAAAGTATAATCACTTTTTCCCTTTATAAACACAGACTCAAATTTCAGGATTTGATAAAAGTATCTCAATTTCTAATTATAGCCTATGTTTTTTAATACAACACAGACAACATCCAGACAGTTGTCTACTTTTAATCTAATCTACTTTTATCATAATATAATATTATGGACAGCAGTAATATGTGTACTGAAGTTCACAGTGGAGGTGAGCTCCTTGTTGACGTTCAAATGCAATGATAATCAAAGTGGATAAACTCTCTGCTCTTCATCCCACCTGCAGGCTTCTAGATTCATGCATTGATTTATGCCAGCTCAATCTTCTGACTTTTCATCAAGATGTGCAATATACAGTGCCTTCATTATGAACTATAGTTTCCTCTATCATTATAAGAAACACAAGTTAAGTAAGCTTTCCTCAAACAGCAGTGATTGCTTTCAAGTTCCTGAACAGGCTGCAATAGGCTTGACGAAAAGGATTGATTTATCACTTTTTAAATAGATTCTTAATCTGCAAATCAATAAAAATGTTTCACTTCAGCAGTGGCACGGGGTGAATGACTCACCCTTGAAAACAGAATGAATGAATGCTGCCTTTCTTCCTTTCTTTAATATACTCAGATTGCAATTGTGCTTTTGCTTTGCTTGTATTACTTGCTAAATTCCAGTGTTTGGGAGTGCCTGAGATTTCAGCCTGGTTTCTCCATAAATCAAGTGAGGGGTTGAATGTTAATCTGCTAGGACTGCTATTTTAACACTGCCATTCTTCTTGTTATGTAATAAGAAAATTAAACTCAAACAATCTTTAGTTGGCCAAAGATAAAAATAAAAGATGAAAACACACAGATGTGGAGAACATTTTGTGCCAAAGTGACACAGCATTTGTTAGTTTCAGACTAGCAGAAATTCTGGTAATTTAAATGTTATACAATCGGCTTTGTAAATTCTACCAAAGAGTTAAATTAAAATACATAGGCTCATTTCCCCATATGTCTTCTACTCTTCATACTTTACCAAGTGTATAGTAGAATCTAAACACCTCTTCTTAGAGGTAGCTCTTACGTAGTTCAGAAGTCTGAGTTAAGTACTCAAAAATTCCAAAAAGAAGGCACTTTAGCCTATAGTCATCAAAAGTTTCTTTAAAATTTTCTAGGAGTAGTGATAATTAAAATAAGAAAAACCAAGGAACCTCATAACAAACAGCTGGTCTGATTTAAGTATTTTTGAATAATTTACAATTTAATTTAGCCAGTCTCTATAACAAATTTTATTCCCATACAATTTGAATTAAGTAACTGCATGGTTACATAAAGTCCTTTTTTAACAATAGTAAAGTGAAATAGTAGTGGCATTTTCACTTCAATTATATCATTGATTCCAAAAAGGAAACTTCCTAAAGATATATTAGCTAAGAAGTTCATCACTAATGTTTGAAAACTTCTGAAAAAGTACCTCATTTTTGTTTTAAATGAATAATAATGTTTTATTTGAAACAGAATAAAAATCAACTCAAATTTAGGTATATAAGAATTCCTTTTTGTAATGTCAAAAATGTTTTATTTATTCTAGATTTAGAGGCACCATATTTTATTTCTTCCTTTTGTTCTTATTTTTCCCATGTTTTAATAAAAAGGACACTTTGGAAGACCTACTTTTTTTTTCCCTCACATATCATCACCCATAGACAATACGGAGAAGAAGGTGGTGAGATTGGGTATTTGGTTCTTATTTAAAAGCTATGTTTGGTGAGAACCCCATATACTGGGCATGAAACTTATACACAAAAAGTTAAGCCTATTCCTGAAAATCCTCATTTTAGAAATATATTATCTAATTATTAAAATAAAGTAAGGAAGAAAGCAGGAGAGAAAACTAAATATTGTTATAAATGATTGGGGAGTCCTCCTGGTCTCTGTTCACACTTCACTTACATCTGTAGTACACACCAGTCCTTTACACCGACTCTCTGAGGAAAACTACCCTTCCCATCCTTCGTCTACTATCCTCCTGATCTCACACTGCCTGGATTGAGTAGACCTTTCTAGTGACCAATGAGTCATAAGACAGCAAAACCATACAAGTCTAAACTCCTCTTAGTTTATTATTCATCCTTGTAGTTCAATCCAGTAGACATTTCCATGGGATAACACATTATTTGGCTTCTAAGTTTTCTACTTTTATGATACCTCTACATATTTGGGAGGAGTAATGGGAGGGCTCAAATTTCTCTTCAACTACTCATATTTTAATTTGATTGAGAATTTGTATTTTGTCCAAAAGCCAGAAATGTGCCAGATAAGAATTTGTCCTCTAAATTACCTAAATAGGCTCCTTCAAGAACAGAAAGTGAACAGACCTTGCCTGCTTGCCTTCAATACCTGTTAATAAACAATATGGGTCAGTGAATGTTCAAGAAATAGAAGCCAATGATTACAGCATCAGTGAAAATGATTTAATGATAATTTGTGAGTCCAACACTGAGACACAAATTAACATCACTGCATTAGGTATCTTCTTGTAAAATCTACGTATGAAATAAAGATACAAAATTCAAGCTGTATTTTGATTTTTCTCATGATTCTGATGTATGTGGTACATATACTATTTGGGCCCTAAAGACATTTAAAAGTTATCTCCAAAGCTCAGAATTCATTAAAGGAGGACTCTGGGCTGGGTGCAGTGGCTCATGCCTGTAATCCCAACACTTTGGGAGGCCGAGGCGGGTGGATCACCTGAGGTCGGGAGTTCACGACCAGCCTGACCAATATGGTGAAACCCCATCTCTACCAGAAATGCAAAATCAGCCGGGCGTGGTGGTGCATGCCTGTAATCCCAGCTACTAGGGAGGCTGAGGCAAGAGAATGGCTTGAACCTGGGAGGCAAAAGTTGCTGTGAGCCGAGATCACACCATTGCACCCCAGCCTGGGCAACAAGAGCAAAACTCCACTGAGAAAAAAAAAAGGACTCTGTTTTTGTTAAAATGCCATGTATGCATATCTGATTTTTCCATAAAACACATTCTAAGAAGTTATAGTAATTAAAATATTTAGCTTCAGAGATTGACCATTTTCATTTACATCTAACTTTCCAGTATTTAGTAGCGATGTAACATTAGCAAAGTTATTTATTTTCTCTATCTTGATTTCTACATTTGTAGAATGGGAGTTGTAGCAGGGTCTATGTCATATGGTTGTTGAGAGGATTAAATGAGATAATTCATGTAAGGTGGTTAGCACACAGCAAGAGCTAAATATATGCCATCTATTTTACTAACTTTATGGTAATAGACCTAATTAACTTGATTTTGATTGAGGTACTTTATCGCTCTCATTAAAATATACATTAATCTGCCATCTAATGTTTATTGGCAAGGCACTCTGGTAAGTATTACAGTCTTAAAAGTATTTGCCATAAATAATTAGCAAATCACTAGAAGTTCTGATTTCTCAAGGCCTGAATAGTTAAGCAGTTATTTTAATTACACAAGGCTCTAAGTGTACAGGCAAAACCATGACCTGGAAAATGGACATGCTTTTGAGTTAAATCAACAAAATGGTCTTAAAGTATTGTAGCTTAAAGATGTTTTTAAACATTCCAAACCAGTAGAGTCCTATGACTTTCACCAGTAAAATTAATTGTCTTCGTATTCTACTAAACTTTGGAACGATAAAAGCTACTGATTACTGGGCATTTGCTATAGACCAAGGATTATATACATGTTTTATGTATATTGTCATACATAATTCACAATTTTCCTGTGAGAAGAGTATATTCATTATTGTACAAAAAAGAACGCTAAAGTCCAGAGAGTTTAAATAACACATTTCCAAGTCACGTAGCTAGTGGCAAGATGTGGAGTTTGATTTCAGTGTACACCTTAAATATGTCACTATACCATGCTACTTCTCATATACCTAGGTTTATGTAATAGACCATTTTGGTATTATCTTACGCATCCAGCACATTTATACAGCAGCAAATGTCTAGGAGTAACATATGCATGTCAGGATCTCGGCCACATGACTTGGATCACTGCCCTGTTTTATTAAATGAGTAAATCAGTGCAATGCTACAGGAACACTCTAGATCCTTGGTATGAGGGAATTTAGCACTTGTGGTTTCAACCGTTTTGTAGAGACTTCAAGGGTCTATGACATCTAGTAATCTGTACTTTTGTTGAGGTGAAAATTTGAACAGGTACTACTATACTGGCATGTAAGCATGTAAGAGTGAGTCATTTAGAAAGTGTGGAGACCTAGCTAAAACCAAGATTTGCACCTTGACATATTCCACAGTATTTCTGTATGCACATTTACTTGAGTTAAATGATTTTTAAAAATGTCTATTCTGTTAGGTTTTTAAAAATAATATATAAACCTTCCAAGAAAATAAATTACTAGTGCTAGTCTGAAGGAATCACTCAAATTTTTAAGTTACTGTTTACAATTTTTTTTGCAACATTAGGGTATTTTGAATACCCTAGGGCACTTTACTATGGCCAGAATATATCAGAATGATGTATTTGTGAAGGTGCTATTGTATTATAGAGCAAGATTTGAATAAGATTTTCCTAATTATACCATCCAAATCATTACTCTGTATTTTATCACGATGAGAAAAAATCATTGGTTTTATTTTAAAAAAGACAAAGACAAGACTTCATATGATTTGTTAAATCGATAATAATGCTTACAAAGTTCACTGAGTTGGTTTAATCAAATCTTTTTTACTTATCATCTAATTTTATTCTTGAACCAACCATGAGAGTTAGGTAGAAGTACAATTATCCTAACCTTAAGGTTGAGAAAATGGAGGCTTAGAGAAGTTAAGTAATATGCCAATGCTAATCAATATAATCTGATGTCGACCAGGTCGTCTAACTCCACATTCAGTGCTTCCATTTTTAATAGTCTATTTTCTAAGAATTTTTCTAACATTGTTAACCACTATTGAATGAGTATCTGATACCAATTCGAGAACCATCATACTATCTTATCTCAAACAAATTGGCTTCTTTACTTCCACTCATAATAGAGACCATGAGATCATCTGATTTCTCTTAGGCAGTTCCATATGCATTCTCTCTCTTGTTTATTTTTATTATACTTTAAGTTCTAGGGTACATGTGCACAATGTGCAGGTTTGTTACATATGTATACATGTGCCATGTTGGTTTGCTGCACCCATTAACTCGTCATTTACATTAGGTATTTCTCCTAATGCTATCCCTACCCCATCCCCGCACCCCACAACAGGCCCTGGTGTGTGATGTTCCCTGCTGTGTCCAAGTGTTCTCATTGTTCAATGCCCAGCTATGAATGAGAACATGGAGTGTTTGGTTTTCTGTCCTTGTGACAGTTTGCTCAGAATGATGGTTTCCAGCTTCATCCATGTCCCTACAAAGGACATGAGCTCATCCTTTTTTATGGCTGCATAGTATTCCATGTAGTATATGTGCCACATTTTCTTAATCCAGTCTATCATTGATGGACATTTGGGTTGGTTCCAAGTCTTTGCTATTGTGAATAGTGTTGCAATAAACATACGTGTGCATGTGTCTTTATAGCAGCATGATTTACAATCCTTTGGGTATACACGCAGTAATGGGATGGCTGGGTCAAATGGTATTTCTAGTTCCAGATCCTTGAGGAATCGCCACACTGTCTTCCGCAGTGGTTGAACTAGTTTACATTCCCACCAACAGTGTAAAAGCATTCCTGTTTCTCCACAACCTCTCCAGCACCTGTTGTTTCTTGACTTTTTAATGATTGCCATTCTAACTGGTGTGAGATGGTATCTCAGTGTGGTTTTGATGTGCATTTCTCTGATGACCAGTGATGATGAGCATTTTTTCATGTGTCTGTTGGCTGCATAAATGTCTTCTTTTGAGAAGTGTCTGTTCATATCCTTTGCCCACTTTTTGATGGGGTTGTTTGATTTTTTTCTTGTAAATCTGTTTAAGTTATTTGTAGATTCTGGATATTAGCCCTTTGACAGATAGGTAGATTGCAAAAGTTTTCTCCCATTCTGTAGGTTGCCTGTTCACTCTGATGGTAGTTTCTTTTGCTGTGCAGAAGCTCTTTAGTTTAATTCGATCCCATTTGTCTATTTTGGCTTTTGTTGCCATTGCTTTTGGTGTTTCAGTCATGAAGTCCTTGCCCATGCCTATGTCCTGAATGGTATTGCCTAGGTTTTCCTCTAGGGTTTTTATGGTTTTAGGTCTAACATGTAAGTCTTTAATCCATGTTGAAATAGTTTTTGTATAAGGTGTAAGGAAGGGATCCAGTTTCAGCTTTCTACGTATGGCTAGCCAGTTTTCCCAGCACCATTCATTAAATAGGGAATCCTTTCCCCATTTCTTGTTTTTGTCAGGTTTGTTAAAGATCAGATGGTTGTAGATGTGTGGTATTACTTCTGAGCCCTCTGTTCTGTTCCATTGATCTATATCTCTGTTTTGGTACAAGTACCACGCTGTTTTGGTTACTGTAGCCTTGTAGTATAGTTTGAAGTCAGGTAGCGTGATGCCTCCAGCTTTGTTCTTTTGGCTTAGGATTGTCTTGGCAATGTGGTCTCTTTTTTGGTTCCATATGAACTTTAAAGTAGTTTTCTCCAATTCTGTGAAGAAAGTCCTTGGTAGCTTGATGGGGATGGCATTGAATGTATAAATTACCTTGGGCAGTATGGCCATTTTCACGATATTGATTCTTCCTATCCATGAGCATGGAATGTTCTTCCATTTGTTTGTATCCTTTTTTATTTCATTGAGCAGTGGTTTGTAGTTCTCCTTGAAGAGGTCCTTCATATCCCTTGCAAGTTGGATTCCTAAGAATTTTATTCCCTTTGTAGCCATTGTGAATGAGAGGTCACTCATTATTTGGCTCTCTGTTTGTCTGTTGTTGGTGTATAGGAATGCTTGTTATTTTTGCACATTGATTTTGTATCCTGAGACTTTGCTGAAGTTGCCTATCAGCCGAAGGAGATTTTGGGCTGAGACAATGGGGTTTTCTAGATATACAATCATGTCATCTGCAAACAAGGACAATTTGACTTCCTCTTTTCCTAAGTGAATACCCTTTATCTCTTTCTCCTGCCTGATTGCCCTGGCCAGAACTTCCAACACTATGTTGAATAGGAGTGGTGAGAGAGGGCATCCCTGTCTTGTGCCAGTTTTCAAAGGGAATGCTTCCAGTTTTTGCCCATTCAGTATAATACTGGCTGTGGGCTTGTCATAAATAACTCTTATTATTTTGAGATATGTTCCATCAATACTTAGTTTATTGAGAGTTTTTAGCATGAAGGGCTGTTGAACTTTGTCAAAGGCCTTTTCTGCTTCTATTGAGATAATCATGTGTTTTTTGTCTTCGGTTCTGTTTATGCGATGGACTGTGTTTATTGATGTGTGTATGTTGAACCAGCCTTGCATCCCAGGGATGAAGCCAACTCGATCTTGGTGGATAAGCTTTTTGATGTGCCGCAGGATTCCATATGTATTCTCTTAAGTGAACTCCACAATAACTCTGATATAACTATGAGGGTTGAGGAAAATAAGGCACAGAGAAAGTGTGACTTAATGAAGGGAAAGACAGGAGCCCATCCAGGAAGCCGTATCTTTTAGCTTTGGATACTGTGATCTTTCACTCAAATATCTCTTTGATGACAATAGGAGGAAATGATAATTCATGTGGATAATAGAGAATAAGAATGTATAATTCTGAAATTACCTATGGATTGAGAGAAATTTTTTTCAAGAAGGGTTTGAATGAAACAATTAACAAAGAATTATGAAATATTTGAAATAAAAGTTGCTGTGCATATAACTCTACCTTTATGCTCGTTTTATCAATTAGAAAACAGAGATTCAGAGACATTGGCTGATTTTTCTATGATTGCAAAGCTAGTAAGTGAGGGGTAATAATTATAATTAGAAAACAAATATTCGAACCCTTGATCTTCTGAAAATAAAAAAAGAAAAATGAAAAGAATATAAATTACCATAAAACAATGTTTAAATAAAAATGACAAGCATGAGAGCATTGAAGATTTTTTTTTTTAAATGAGCAAGTAAGATAAAGACAAATGAATCCTGAAATAAACTAGAAAATAAATGTCAGGGATTGAAGGTAGAAGAATCTCAAACAGAAATATGCAGGCATCCCACAAGATAGAGGGGAAAAAAAAGGTATTTTTTCATGATTTACTAGAAGAAACTATTTCACCTTATAAAAACTTTTAAAGCTATCTGAGCCTTCTGGTGTAGAGGAGTTAGTAGACATGAGCAGCCCACTTCTCTTGTCCCAGAAGCTAATTACCTATGTATCAAAGCCTGTCACCAAGTAACAGTGTCCTAGTCACTATTAGGTTGGGAGCAGTGTATGGCTTTGAAAATAAGCCACAAAGCTAAAGGGACAAAGTAAAAAGAACTCACTCTGTGTTTACTAAAGAGGTCAATTGATTTTAAAACATGCAGCTGTTCTGTAGTTTAGCAAGAACAATCATATATAGATTCCTGGGCAGAAAATACTCCATCTACTGAAATTCTTGGTAAATTATTAAACAGTAATCACAGACTCATTTATATTGAGTAGAAGCAAAAAGATTAAAAAAGAAATCCCATATGTAAACAACAAGAATGTAAATTAAATCTGCCTCTAGCAGATTCCTTCAATTCTGCTACTTCTTTTGGAATATTCCCTGTTCTAGTCTGTTTTTCTTGATAAGCAATCAAAGTATTAAATATGCTTCCCATAGTGTCTAAAACAACCGAAATGGAAACAGTTATTTGACCTTTGTTCCAGTAATTTTTTTCCATTTTTTTCTTAAAAAATTTACGTTTGTGGCACAACCCAAGACACTAAATGATAAATCTACAAATGTTTTCAGAGAAATTTGCAAGAAGTACATGAAAATATAAGTAGCAAAGCACATAGTATAAAAAGAAGCACTTTTAAACAGCCATATCCATGACAGATAGTAATAACATCTTGTATTCACTGAAATTTTGTTTCTATTGCAAGAGGTTTATTCTAGGACAAGGTACAAAATGAGAATGTGGGAAATAATAACAATAATAAGACTTTCCTATATTGTTGTAATTCAAGGATAGAGCTCAAGAATACTTCTATTTTTTCACTGGATAATACACGGTACTATGTTTCAATTAAGTCCATCTTCAGCATAAAATGTATGATAGCATGTACATCACGGGTGTCCAATCTTTTGGCTTCCCTGGGCCACGTTGGAAGAAGAATTGTTTTGGGCCACACATAAAATACACTAACACTAACGATAGTTGATGAGCTAAAAAAAAAAAAAAAATCACAAAAAAATTCATAATATTTTAAGAAAGTTTACAAATTTGTTTTGGGCAGCATTCAAAGCCGTCCTGGGCCCATACAGCCCACGGGCCATGGACTGGACAAGCTTGATGTACATAGTTTTTGTGTTGTCTGTTGAGTCAAAAGAGTGCTATTGATGATTCCATTTAAAATTACTCTAAACTCTGTGAATTTAGATTAAGTAGATTTGAATCCAACATGACAAATCAAAAATTTAAAAGTTAGCAAAAAAGTTGAGTTTTTAACACTTATATTTAATATTCTATTTACCGGAGCTAATAGTAAACAGGGAGAATGGTAAAGTTTTAAGGAAGAAGAGACACTGCCAAATAGTGGCATGTAGGACCATACATACTACATTCATTCTTACATGTAGTATGTGGTATGTCACTTACATGATTCACTTTTAGACATCTTTTGTTATTGTTGTTTCATATCAGGATCTTTAAAGTGGAGACAGCTTAATGAATTTTAAAGTGAAAAGAAAATATTTCCATTCCATCTTATTATATTTCTTTAAACTCAATTTCTGCTTTATGTTCAGATGCTTCAACCTGGCTGGTAACTTTAAATCTGTCAATTTAGCATATGTGTTTATATTGAAATCTCACAGAAATTATGAGCAAAACATGGTCAAATTTTCTTTTTGATCACATTTTCTTTTGTTGTTGTTCTTGCTTTTTTTTTTTTTTTTTTTTTTTTTTTTTTTTTTTTTGAGATAGAGTCTTGCTCTGTCGCCCAGGCTGGAGCGCACGGCATGATCTTGGCTCACTGCAACCTGTGCCTCCTGGGTTCAAGAGATTCTTGCATCTCAGCCTCCCCAGTCACTGGGATTACAGGTGCCTACCACCACATCCAGCTATTTCTTTTTTTTTTAAGTGGAGACAGGGTTTCACTATGTTGGCCAGGCTGGTCTTGAACTCCTGACCTCAAGTTACTCACTTGCTTTGGCCTCCCAAAGTAAAGGGATTACAGGAGTGAGCCACCGCGCCTAGCATTTTTGATCACCTTGGTTAAAGTGATAAGGAGTGAAACTTGAAGATTGCGTAAAAATTGACACTATGAGGAGAACACTTTTTTTCTTTCTTTATCTTTTTGTTCTTTGAGAACATCTGTCAGAAAATAATGAACAGTGACTCTGGGAAAATTCAGCTATCCTCTTCCCAAAACCACCTCCAATTGTGCAGTAATGTATCTCAGCAAAACTTGGTAATGACAACGAGAGTCATCCCAGTTTGACATCACAGAAACAGGATAATATGGCTGGCTACTTACTTTTATTGTTTGTAAGTTCATGCAAAACAAAACAAAACAAAACAAAAAACAAAAACACAAAAAAACCAAAGTCTTTATTTGCAAGAGAAAAAGATTTATTCAGAGATTACAGTCTATATGACCCCATTTCATCTTTTCATAACTAAGAGATGAGTTTTCTTCAACTTTATTAATGCTTAAAGAACACAGATTCCATGCCCTTTACTGTGAGATAACAGTAGACACTAGATAATGTTCTTAAAAAGCATTTTGAATGATGAAGTTGGTTTTTAATTAAAGTAAGTTTAATACAATTACAATTATTGCTATTCTCTGTCTGGATATACAAAAGCCAAGAATAATTAAACAGCTCCTCTCATCCTAACCCCATAGCCTGCTTTACAGAAAAACCTTCTATCTTCTGTTAGAGAATGTCCCAAGGAGGGAGCTAGAGAGAATATAGAAGAATTACATGGATCACATAATTGTTACAACAAACTAGATGAACATCCAGTTTACCATTATGATTTAGAGGTTTGGTTCTTCACAGCTGTTAGTTTCATCTTCAGATACTACTTCATATTGAAAACTAAACTTGCATTAATGCAAATGGGTTTTCAGTAAGGTTCCATTAGCTGTTAAGATTTAAATACAATTTTTGAACACAATCATTCATGTTCTACATAAGCCAATTCCCTCACTGAGAAATTCCTAGGGCCCTACCTTCTCAGTCACTTCTAGCTGCTAATCCCTGTCATGGGTAAGAGAAGGTGGCTTTTCCTTGATTTCCCCACCAGTTCTCACAAAGAACATTTGTAGACTAAACAGGCTTGACTAAAAATTTAGGATGGCGGATTGGGTTTACGTAGAGAAACATAATGCCCTTTAGCCATGGTGTCATGTTATCACTGGCTATCTTTTGTCTCAAACTCCAGACCCTGCCATGCCATCTGACCCCCTGCTTCTCTTTTCTCCTTATCTTCCTTGATTTCCTGACACCCAAAATACATGTTCATTCCTTACATAGAACAGTTTTCCTGTTGTCTTTTCCCACACCACTGGCTTAATGTCTGCCTTCTATTCTCAAATGACTTTCCTTTAAAAAAAAGTTAAATTTTAAGAACCTCTGATTGAAGCTGTATAAGAAGAAATACATATACATATTCTCTCCACCTGCCGCAGACTTTTTAAAATAAGGTTATCTTCAATTAAGTCAAGTACAGTAACCTTTGGGATTTATATTCTATACATATAATTGAAATTATGACTTCCCATCGAGCAATTTTAATGTATGGCCACATTAAGAAAAAAACTTGTATTTAATGTGAAAACTAATAGTCATATAGTAAATACAATAAGTAATATTATTAAAAGTCTGTTCAGTACATCTTTAATCTTTAATTGTATAAATGTATGATGATGCTATTAATAACACATATTGATTCATTTTTATTAAATTTTGACAAAGAGTTAATTTTGTCCTAGGATAATCAATACCCTTAAATGGAACAAACTCATATATAATATTGATTTGTAGAGAGAAAAAAGTCATTGAATTTTTGCTTAGGGGAATAAGTGAAATTATCTATAATATAAATATTGAAAAGTACTAATTCACTTTTTTTCTAGGAAGAAAGAGACATGGGATATTTCTAGTAATATTGATTTATTAAAAATGTCATACAGGAGCATTTTTGGGGAAAAGAAGAGCTTTTTTTTTTTTTGAAATGATATCTTTGCAGCAATTAACAGAAAGCTTTTCCTATACTAGGAGCTAAATAAATGTTAATGAACAGAGTAAATCTGGTCATTTGGTTGCATGGAATAAAAAATCCTGGGCAAACTTGCTCAGATAAGAGTCTAAGCAAACATGA
Source organism: Homo sapiens (assembly GCF_000001405.40). Lineage (NCBI taxonomy): Eukaryota > Metazoa > Chordata > Mammalia > Primates > Hominidae > Homo > Homo sapiens. The sequence continues at coordinate 9,331,069 of NC_000009.12, forward strand.
AGACCTGCAGTTGGGCTGAAATACAGTAATGTATGAGACAGTTTCAAGGACTAGCTATTCTATTCATGTCTCGGATTGCCATGTGATAATGCTTAACATGCGTTCTGTTCTCTTCTCTCCAAAACCAGCTTTCACTTAGTTTCCCCTCTTTTATAACTTTAGCTTGCAAATGGGTTAGGTTTGCTACTATCTCTCAGGCTTTCCTGATGTACCTTGTCTTTTTCCACCCCCATTTCCAATTTACTAAGTTTTTAAAATGTTTTAAATTCCTTAAATAGTAGTATGATTGCCTGGCTCATTCTTTCTCGGGATAATTCATAGGTGGTAGATCACTGGCAGGACTATGCATAGAGAGACATTGGATTATCTGCGCATCTAATCCTATCAATTGAAACTGGAGGAGGAGAGCACAAGTTTTGTAGGAATAAAGATTTCCCTTAAAAGGAAGTATTGTCAGGAACAGGCAGTATAACAGCTCTCAGGAGAGTAGATCGTTATGGATGATCTCTGACCTATAAAAGGGGTATGTTTTACAAATTGAAAGCCAGAGAATACCGTCTTGCTAAGATTCTCAGAGTGTACCAATAACAACGGCTATCTAATACACGCAGGTAACATTTACAGAATAGAAGTCTCTTCTTGTTTCCTGCCTCCCACCTCTTTCACACTTACTGTCAATCACTGAATCAAATCATCTCAAATAAATAGGTGCAGTGACATAGCAGAAGAAGGGCATGCACAATTGGGGCTGTTTTGGGGCTTGGGAGATCATCCATCATGTTAGACATGCATACTAATTAGTTCATGTTGATATGCCCAACATAGCAAATTCTGGGGAAACTGGAGGGGAAGTTTGGGGAAAATTAATGTGACCTAGAGTTGTTGCTTGAAGAACATCCCCCCACCTCTTTTTCTCTATCAATGGGAGGAATAAAAGGCTATGCTAATTACATATTTGTTCCCTCTCTGCGGAGTCTGCATGGACAGCTAGTCTGTTCACATGTAGAGGTGAGGAGGATCACTAAAGACAATGACAGAGAGCAATACACAGAAAATGATTTCATGCTAAAAATACCAAATTGTAAGAATGTGGATATCTCAAATATATATTTGAATCAGTCATTTATGTGCTTGCTTTCCTCTGAGATGGTGAAAGCCAATTTAGCAGGTGGAGAGAGAGAGAGTCAGAAAATAATCATTTCCAGAAACAGCAGGTGAATCATGCATATTTTTATATTCACATATATACACTCACAATGCAGATAGCTTGAAAAAATATTTATCCCTCAGATAACTAGATGATCTACATACCTCATAGTATATTCCATTTTGTCTAGTTGCTATCAATAACTAAAAAAATAACCACACAATATATTTAAATTAGGATGCAAAACAGATACCTATTATCACACTGTACCAAATATAGAAAGTAAATGCGATAGTCGAGGAAAGATAATCTGTTTCATTTATGTTGGAGATGAAAACAAAATTAAGAAAATAGAAGTAAGAAAAAAAAAAAAAAACCTCTATACTGAGCTTGGGAGTCTCTCCCCAGGATTACGTTGTTCAACATTTTCTAGTGATGCTAAGGATAGAAACAACCAGCTCTTGAACTTTGAAGTAATTGGTTCACAGCTGTGCTTATACTGAGATGGAAATATGAAAATACATTTGTACAGAGGAGGGTTTTTTTTTTGGTAGTTGTAATGAAAGAGTTGTCAAATTAAACGCAAACTGCTGTAAGTAAAATAAATTACATGTGGAAATTCAATTCCTGATACTTTCATCAAGTGGATACATGTGCTATATTTCCAGAAAGAATGCTAACATTAATCATAAAAAGAACTCTTACGCTGTGTTATTCTCTTATGTTAGTTAGTGTTAAGGAAGCAAAAGTGATCTAAAGTGATTGTTAGATATTTTTGTATCCAAAAAGCATGGATAAGACACTGAATCGGTGGAACACAGAGCACTTCAAGCATTTATTAAATGTTTGAGCTGTTCGGGAGGGACATAAAGAGTACAAAGACCACATTTCTGGCTGCAGAGATACTTCAAATATACCTGGGAAGGCAAGATTATCACATTTGAGAGAGATAATATAGAATACATAGATAATCAGAAGAGCAAGATCAGTGGGGCTGAAATAATAAGAAAAGGCTTTGTAGGTGACATAGAATAAGGGCTTGAAATGTGGCTGCAGAGTAACAGAAAGGCAGAAAGAAGGCACTTTAGGGGGCATATGTCTGTAAAGTCCATGGAGCAAAGAATGCAAACAGGCACATGAGGAGGGGAGAGGATGGAGTAAAGACAGAGAGAGTATGGATTGTTTAGGGGAGAATAAAAGCTACATAGAGAGCATTGGGCTCTCTATATGGGCTACTTGGAAACAATGATATATAAATATATATAAAACATATATATTATATAGTATATTATATATATATATATATATATAAAGTCTGCAATGCAATCACAAGTGGCCACATGATGAAAGGTGGGACTTAACGCAGAATTAATATAAAAGAAAAGCACTGGTCTGGAAATGTAAAGAAGATCTGAAACTTATTCCAGCTGTATGACTAACATACCATGTAATCTTGAACGTGCCACTTGGTTTCCTGACAGTTGATAGATATTTCCAACTCCAATATTAACCAATAATTTATAATACATTCATATGAGGTCAAAATTTAAAATTAGCTAAAGGAAAACACTAATTTGTAGATGTGGTTGGAAAATAATTCCTCTAAGTAAAATTATTAGGAAATTCAGATATATTTGCCAATAGTATATATTACTTAAACACTGGAACACCTAATGCTAAAGAGAAGAAAATATTGATGGAATAGAATATTTCATAGTCTCTTCGATCCTCAATGTCGTGCGTTCCACCAGATTAGAATCTATGTGAGGGGGAGGAACTATGACTAAGCTAGTCTGTACATTTAATAATGCCTGGCACAAAGAAAATGCTTAATTTTATCAATGTTGAAAGAAAATGCCTAAGTGTATATGCCCGTAATGTATACTTCATATTAAGTTTTATCAGAAATAAAAACATAGATCTCGTCATCAATTTTAAAAATTTACTTAAGTCTCACTCCAAAATGATAATTCTATCATAGTTGCTTAACAATAAAACAGACATGATCTCAGTTGTTGCTGTACTTCAGGAACCTACAATTAAGATGGCTCATATAAAATTAGCCAAAAAACAAAAAGAGGATTGATGGAACTGAGAAGTATTTATGTCTAGGTGAAAGTGATCTTCCAAGGGTATGTGTACAAATGTGAAGCAAGCATCAGGTCAGTATTCTAAAAGTTCTAGTTTAATGTGAAATAGTCTGTTAATCACCTAGTTGATTTATCTAGTGGGGATTTCATAATAGTTTCCCTAACTTTTCCATCTGTCAAGTTCAGAAGTGACAGAATAAAATATTTGATGGTCTGGTGGGAAGATCAGGAAGAAATCAGTTACGAGAAATAAATGGGTCTGCCACTTTCTCTTGTGGGGTTTGGATATGTCTCCTTATCTCTCTGTGCCTGTGTTAACTCCATCTATAAAATGGATCTAATCATGTTACCTTTTTCATTGGTAGATATCAGAGATTATTCAAATCACTGACCACATTGCCTGGTACACAGAAAGCATTTAATACATATTAGTGTCTATTATTATCATGATCATCATCATCATCATCCTCATCCCAACCATGTTGCTTTGTTCAGAAGTGCAGAGAAAATAAAGATCTTCCAAGGTACCATTAAGACAAGTAAATAGTAGTACTAGGTAAGAAATCAACATTAGATGCTTACCAATATGAGCATATAATTCAAAATAAGTTAATAGTAATTTTTAAAAAAAACCTTATGAAGGTAGAGTAATTGGAAATGTGATCTTATGTTTCAGCTTACAAAATGAATAAAATGCACCTGTTTCAAAAGCAAAGACTTCACCTGTCTCTATACTCTTAATATATGCTCATCTTGTAGTTAACTGCAGCTCAGACTAATATTAATATTCTCCAACTGACAAAATTACATCAACTGAAAATTTGGTTTTTGCCTGATATTCCGTGTTAGCTTTGCTATTTTCAACTGAAATAAGCATTTTGAAAAAGCCTTAAAAAGTCATTGTCATTCCTGATTGCAGTTCATATTACATTACCTGTAGAATTTCATCCCCAGTTGAATTACTCATCACCAATCTGATCATTCTTCCATAATTAGACTCTTTTGGTGAAGGATAAACTCTGAATGTTAATATGAGAACACTAGATTTAGAGTGAAGAACAAGATTGAAGGCAATTTTTGAACTTATCATTAAAATTTTTACCTTTATTGTCATAGAAATTATTTCTCACTACGTGTTTTTAACGGGTAGTGTACAGTAGACACAAACCCATCTTTTCACTTGTATATTAAGACATTACCTTACTAAGTCTGTTTGAATTGTTCTTCCTTGGAACAGTCTTTTAAAGCTGGTATTTATTTTAAATTAAATAATCAATATAAAGGACTTATGAATTTAACAGTGTTAAAATACAATAATATGCTATTTTGACCAAATGTTACACACATCAATCACATATTCATTGTTTCTTTCTTTACTTTTTTATTCCTTTCTCATTCACTTTTGGCCCAAGAAGCATAGAAATGAATTATACCTTGGAGAAAAATTCATTCAATCCTCTCTTTTACAAATGAGGACCCAGAAACTAGAAAAACGTAGATGTCTAAACTTCAAAGCAATTTGGACTTTCAACTTTTGCAACAAAAAACACAACTCAGCATCTAATGAAATGTAACATGTTCAAATACACACTAACAAGGGAGTATGATAACATAATATTCATTTCCAATAATAGGAGAGATCATAAACTTGGATAAAATAACTTTCAAAAAAGAAAGAAAGAAATCTAAGAAATTGGAATTTCAGGAAAAAATGCACAAACTCAAAAAAAGATGTTAAAAAGAATATTACATATATTTCCATCACAGGTTAAAGATACGACACACACATAATCTTTTATTTTCATTATTACGGAGAAATGCAAAGATATAAGCTTTGTAACCGCCTCATAAGAGAAACAAAGATAGGCTCTTTGATGTATCTTTCTAAAGCTACTTCCTCATGTATCTTCCTCCAGAGAGAGTTACACATGTTTAGCTCTGATGTTATCTCTGGAAAGAATGTAGAGATGTTGGTCATACAGATAAAAGAATGATACACATTCTCAAGGCAGAATCCTTTGCCCATGTGAGTTGGAACTCAGGGAAGAATGTTGTGCTATCAACTTTTGGGTTCCTAAATAGAAACTGAATCATAAACTTTTCAAGGAGCATATGGCCTGACGTCGCACAGTGATCTTGATGTCCAACCAGGTGATGATGGTGGACAGGCTGGCTACATAGTTCTTTACTCCAGGACCAATTTCCATGCCCTTCCCATATCCCTAAATGATAAAGTTCATTATTTCAACCCATATTAAGCAAATTATTCTCTATATGGGTTGGCAGGTAATATGTGTTCTGGGATGAGGATAATCATGCTTTGTATACAAAACCACATTTGATCCAGGCAGAAATATGCTAATATTTTTTAAATGATAAATATCTATGAGATATATTATATAACTGCTTTACCTTATATGTGCCTGTCAACTTTTAAAGTAAGCTCACTTTTAAAACGCCCTTGAAATTTATACTTTAATAATTGTCATAAATTATGATTATTAAATTATTTGACTTTAAGTCTCATCTTTGTGATAGTTTATATGAGTAAGACATTTTTCAGTGATGGCTCCCTGTTGTGAACTTCGACAGCTATTATTATGCTGTTCATTTGACAGAATATATATAACAGCTGTATATTTTTTACACATATCTTTATATAAACTAATAGTTCTTTAAGGGAAGACCTATATAGGGACAATTTAAAAATTTTTAAAAGCAAAATACATTGTCAAAAATTTTCTACACATAACAGAGTGGAGGCTGACCTAGGGGGTCAATGGGCTGTACTTTCCCAACATTTCTTTCCCAACCTTGGAAACAGGGAAAGAGGAATGCTTTCTGAGAAAGAAACTATGAAGTAAATCAGAGATTGGGACAGAAATAAGTGATGCCACCATTAACTGACAAAATGCAACATTATGTCCAATCACTATAACTAAAGAAACAATGTATCCAAAATTGTAGTCAGCAATGAAAGCAGGGTAAAGGGAAAATCTGAGAGGCAGGTGTTGGCAGTGTGTCCTCTCCTGCAGGTAGGGGGTGCTCTGTTGTACTTCTATCTTCAAAAAGAAGACTTTAATAGATCATTAACAAGAGCCATTCAAATCATCTAACTCTTCTTGTTCTGATTTTATGCATGCCAAGAACACTCCCAGTTACAATTTTCTTCCCATATAGCCAGGGGATGATTTTACTTAGAGTTATGTTTCTCACTTTAAATTAATAAATGAAAATGTTGGTTTAAATTCTAGTCTCTGAGAATTTGCTTAATATGAATCTACCTTTAAGTGATGGACAACCTGACAAATCGCATACGTGAACCTGCAAATTTGAAGGCCAAGACTTGTCCTGTGATGACTTTGCCAAGAAGATGCCACTCTCTGGGGGAGATTTCTGGGCAGCCAGTTGGCTTTCCTCAACGGCAAAAGGCTTGCTGGACAATGACCCTTTTCATTTAAATTGTTCTCTTGATAACTATATTATGAGTTATCTTGCTAACTACATTATAAGTTTCTCTATCATAGGTACAAATTACCTCACACTTTGTGCTTCTACCCCAGCAGGTACTAAATAAACAGAGGTTGTTATGATGTAATAAAATGCAACCATAAAATTATAAAATTGCGGAATTTTACTTTCTTCATACATTCTTTTCCTGTCTAAAAAACACATGCATTAAGAGGAGATAACTTTGATCAAAACAACAACCTATGTATTTATTCAGAAGACTTTTTTGTTTCATGTACAAATTGCTCCATTCAAATAAAAAATTACATCTGAAAAATATCCCCATACAATGACAAATAGTCATTATGGAAAAGCTGCTAATTTCGTGTTTATTTATTGTTCATCACAGCCTCTAGAGCAATGCTCAGTGCTAGTGCAAAGAATTATTCTTATGTTCAAATTCTTGCTGTATCATATTTAGAAGACAAGGTTTAACAGAATGTAGGCTTAATAGTCTATTCCATGTTAGGAATTCCATTCTTAAGAATATGTGGTACCTCTGGCACATGTCTAATTCAGATTGCAGCAAGATGAAAATAGGTATCTGAAAGGCATATTTTAAACAACGAGTTGATTTGCATATTAATGCCTGAATACTGAACGAAACTATTTTAGAATTTTACAAAACAAGAAAGGCTTTAGGTTTTTTTAGTTAAAAAACATTTTAATTTTTTAAATCTAATGTTTTTATATTTTATAAGATATTCTTTTTCACAGAAACTGGTAGAAAGATACAGAAAAGTTATATTACCTAAAAATTCCCAGCTAAACTATTGGTATAAAATTAACTTTCCAAGCTCTTCAGCATTTATTCAAAATTTTTAAAATCTAAAGCCTTCTCATTATCAATATTTGTTTTCAAAACTTCCTTTTTTCCAATTTCTTTTCTATTATACTTTAAAGTTTTGGGACACATGTGCAGAACGTGCAGGTTTGTTACATAGGTATACACATGCCATGGTGGCTTGCTGCAACCATCAACCCATCATCTACATTAGGTATTTCTCCTAATGCCATCTCTCCCCTACCCCCTCACCCCTCGACAGGCCCTGGTGTGTGATATTCCCCTCCCTGTGTCCATGTGTTCTCATTATTCAACTCCCAAAACTTTCTATCAAAGAGTGGCCAAAAATGTTACATGAGAAAAATCGCAAGATTCCTGCTACTTTAAGGATGACATATTGTGCTGAAGAATCTAACGACAAATGGTCATATCCTCTGTTGAGCTATAAATGGAAAATACACTTTAATCTTGTCAGTTGCCAGTGCCATTGGGAGGGCTTCTCCATAGGCATGAACAACACAATGACCTATAGCTGAAAATCAACTGAAAAGAATTTTTCATGTTAATAGAGGAAGCATGTAAAAAGCTAGGTGAGAGGCTAGGCGCGGTGGCTCATGCCCGTAATCCCAGCACTTTGGGAGGCCGAGGCAGGTGGATCACGAGGTCAGGAGATCGAGACCATCCTGGCTAACATGGTGAAACCCCATCTCTACTAAAAATTAAAAAAAAAAAAAAAATTAGCCAGGCATGGTGGTGGGTGCCTGTAGTCCCAGCTACTCGGGAGGCTGAGGCAGGAGAATGGTGTGAACCTGAGAGGAGGAGCTTGCAGTGAGCCGAGATCTCGCCACTGCACTCCAGACTTTCTTCTTTGAACACATGCTTTTCCATGATTTGAGCTGGAGTTAAGTTGACGAATATCACTGGGTCTGATCTATTTCTATAACCTGCAATAAGTGCCTGGTATAGTCCTAACTCACAGTTGTTACATAACACATATTTACTGAATAAATTAAATGTATGCATTGACAGGTTAGCAATTTTATTCAATTATTTACATCAACTTAATTACCAAGAAACACTTAGAATAGCTACTGAATATTTGCTTACGTAAGTAATTGTACAGTTGTTTCTCAAAAAACCTAAGAACATTGCTTATTACCCTAAATGATTGCTTCAGAATGAAAGATGCTCACTACTTTGAGACTATAGCAATGGAACATCATGGAAGCTTTTAGTAGCAAAGTGAAATACAGTGGATATAATAACACCATTGGTTTTAGGTCAATTTATACCAATATATATAATCATAAATATGAAGACTCTTTTTTACATGCTAATCTATTTTGGAAGCCTTTTATCATTCAGCAGCAAACATACTTTAATTGGGTAGGCTGTATGTAAATTTATTTCAAGATAGGAGTGACTGTGAGAAGACATTAGCAATACAAAGTCTCAGTAAGAGAGATAGATAAATGGCACTCTAGGAAAGAGTGAAAAATAACAGATTTAATTTGAGGTAAGGCACTCTAGAAACCGCTAAAGACAGTAAAGTGATACTGACTGATGGGGATGACTGGCTGAAATGGAGGAAAATTAACAGCCCATAATCAATATGTGGATAAATGCCTCCCGTTTAAGACAGAAAAACAGATGTTGCATCAGAAAGTCCATGATACTATGTGCATATAAGATATGGAATGAAATCCAAGACTATAATATGAAGTAACCAATTTCTTTTCTCAGAACACTGAAGATTTGCTTTAGAAGAGGGTTATGTTATTTTGTGACTATTTAAATCTCTTTTTAACCTTTTAATTATGCTTATTATACATTATGGATAAAATATTACCAAAAATTAGTTCAAATGTAGGAATGACACCGAATGCTACAAGTAGTAGTTAACCTGAAATCCATTATCCAAAGTTGTTCAGTTAATGGGATCTATCCCCATGCAATATATTAATTACTGCTACAGACTTGGTGGGTGCGTGATCACACTGTGAGTTAATACAGAGTACGGAATTCAATATCTGTTAGAACTAAAGAGCTATGAATTGAATAGAGTTGGCCCCAGCTGGAAAGCTGTTGGACATGCTGTTGGAAAACAATTATATTTCCTTACTTATAGGAATTAATACCACCAGAATAAACACAAGTCAATGGTAGCTATGCGAAGTAACAAGAAAGGATTCACTTAAAAATAAATTTCATTGACAAATAAATGATTTTTCATGAGCTGTTACATTCCTGAAGAAGGCATATAATTCATTTTACCCAGCTAATCATTAGAATAAACTACTAGTGAAGAAAACAGTGATAGTAACAGCAGTTTTTGAACCTAAATACACAGACCTCTTCTAACAATACAAGTTTCATTCTCTTCAATATTGAATGTGGTATGTATACAAAAGCTTTCCTTATAAAAGGTAGTTGTAAATATGTTTTTAAGGAAATACATTAAATGTTTTGCTAATTGTTTTTCAAATCAAGAAAGGAAAAATAAAATTGTAGTAAATATTTATGTGTATATATATATATATATCACAAAATATATAATGCAGTTGTAGATTGTGGCCACTTAATGCAAAAATGGTGTTTCTGGTGTTTTTCCTGGCCCCACCAGCCTTTCTTCCTTTCAGCTGCTCTATTTAACCTCCATCTGTAGGCTCAGCCTGACTCAGGGCCCTGAGATGAATGTTACTTTAGGCAGATGGGCTCTGAAAGAAATCCTTTGTTAGAAACTCTCCATTCAGTTGTTGCTCCAACGTGAACTCATTATCCCCCCAGGGCGCAGGTGTCTGTTAGTACCCCATCTCCTCCTTTGTGAACCCCACTTCCCACTGACTGCATTACTATTCAGTGCCCATGCTCAGACACAGACATTAGTAGCCTGGTTTCCTGGCACTTGTCCTGCTGGTAATAGATGGACATCTGCCAATACTAGGATTTTGGACTTCCACTTACTGCTTGGCTGACCCACTTGAATTGACATCCTGGTTTTGTATCTTGAGTTTAGATCTTGGATAATAGTGTTTATGCTTTACTTGACCTTAGACTAATCTTCTAATTTGGAACCTGAGGGCTGGAATGATCACTTCTTATACCCCTTTCTGTATTAAAGGATACCTGTTTGCATTTGCATAAGGAAAATAATGATATATGTAGACTGAAAGAATTCTCAAACACTTCAAGATTTTATTTATTATTATTATTATTTTTATTTTCCAAGACAGGGCCTCACTCTTGTCACCCAGGCTGGAGTTCAGTGTCGCAATCTCGACTCACAGCAACTTCCACCTCCTGGGTTCAAGTGATTCTCCTGCCTCAGCCTCTCCAGTAGCTGGGATTACAGGCATGTGCCACCATGCCCAGTTATTTTTTATATTTTTAGTAGAGACAGGATTTTGCCATATTGGTCAGGATGATCTCAAACTCCTGACCTCAAGTGATCCACCCGTCTTGGCCTCCCAAAGTGCTGGGATTACAGGTGTGAGCCACCACACCCAGCCAAGATTTTAAGAGAAAAGTTTTTCAGTAGCATAGAAATGACAGGAATATTGGACAATATCCTTCTTAATAATGAAAAGATTGACAGATGTTGTGGTCAAGTGATATTCAAGCAATACTGTCATGCTTTATAGAACTCCCACATGTAGTTTATTATAACATATTTTCATGTAGTATTTCCCTGGGTCCCTGACTATTTTATGCCACTTTACTTGAATTTTAAAAAGAGGTGGAGAAGATGGGGAAAATAAATTTGTATACTATTTTTTGTTTAAGATGATGATACAGGGTTAAAAGGAAAAGTAGAGAAAAAATACTAACAGGAGTAATGTTAGTAAATAAAATGTATTATAGGTGACGAGATTAATACATATTTGGCTATATGCTTTCTAATATGGTCAAAGAAATGAAGAAACATGATTGGCTACATGTGTATGGAAGGGAAAAGTAGAGCTGTTGCTTAAAGAAAGTACAGCCTTTTTGGGGATACTGAGTCCTGTGAAAACCACTTCCTAGTAATCTTGATGTAAAATTGCTGTTGAACAAAATGTGGTTACCTGAGTATCTTCCAAGGCAGTCTCACAAATTGTATATCTCTGACTTTTTTTTTTTTTATTATTATACTTTAAGTTCTGGGATACATGTGCAGAACATGCAGGTTTGATAAATAGGTATACACGTGCCATGGTGGTTTGCTGCACCCATCAACCCGTCATCTACATTAGGCATTTCTTCTAATGCTATCCCTCCCCTAGCCCCCTACCCCGCCAACAGGCCCCAGTGTGTGATGTTCTCCTCCCTGTATGTGATGTTCCCTTCCCTGTTTCCATGTGTTCTCATTGTTCAACTCCCACTTATGAGTGAGAACATGTGGTGTTTGGTTTTCTGTTCCTGTGTTAGTTTGCTGAGAATAATAGTTTCCAGCTTCATCCATGTCCCTGCAAAGGACATGAACTCATCCTTTTTTATAGCTGCATAGTATTCCATGATGTATATGTGCCACATTTTCTTCATCCAGTCTATCACTGATAGGCATTTGGGTTGGTTCCAAGGCTTTGCTATTGTGTAGTGCTGCAATAAACATACTTGTGCTTGTGTCTTTATAGTCACATGATTTGTAATCCTTTGGGTATATACCCAGTAATGGGATTGCTGGGTCAAATGGTATTTCTGGGTCTAGATCCTTGAAGAATCCCAACTGTCTTCCTCAATGGTTAACTAATTTACACACCCAACAGTGTAAAAGTGTTCCTATTTCTCCACATCCCCTCTAGCATCTGTTGTTTCCTGACTTTCTAATGATCACCATTCTAACTGGTGTGAGTGGTATCTCACTGTGGTTTTGATTTGCATTTCTCTAATGACCAGTGATGATGAGCTTTTTTTCATATGTTTGTTGGCTACATAAACGCCTTCTTTTGTATATCTCTGACTTTTCTCCAAATGAGGTTTGAATTACACAACCTAATGACTTAAGCAACTGCAAATATCAAAGTTTGAAGGTAGCATTGGAGAAACTATTTTTTCCAGTGTCAACAAAATCAGATAAAACATTATATCAAACAAGCAGTGCTATGAAAAATGTTTCATTCGAAAATCACAAACAGGAGGGAACCCTTTTTTTTTTTGAGGACTTCAGGTCTATTTCCACAGTGAAATGAAGTGAAACAAATATATTCTTTTTAAAAATAGCAATGAAATGAAAGTGGGGAGGATGTTTCTCTTTTCTTCCCAGTTTCAACTAAATGTTATATCCTGGGTGAAATTCTTTAGGGTCCAATACCAATGAGAAGAAACAGGTTATCTAAATTTTCCTGGGGAAGCACTCCAACTTTCTTTTGGAAATTAAACTTTTCACTTATTTTTCTTCCTAACTGAGCTTGCACACATTAATAATATGTATCTTAGGTGCTATATATGTTTATCTTCTAGATAGCCAAGTATACTGAAAATGCACATCTCTCAATTACACAAATACATTAACTCCAAAGATTATTTTGTTACATTGGCATCAGACATGACAACTTACACTAAGAAAGTTAACTCATCTTTTTGTTCAAGTCCCTTGCAGGGCCATGGATGAAGCTGGAAACCATCATCCTCAACAAACTAACACAAGAACAGAAACCCAAACACCACATGTTCTCACCCATAAGTGGGAGTTGCACAGTGAGAACACATGGACACAGGGAGGGGGCATCACACACTGAGGCCTGTCGGGGGTTTGGGGGGAAAGGGGAGATAGAGCATTAGGACAAATACCTAATGCATGCGGGGCTTAAAACCTAGCTGACAGGTTGATAGGTGCAGCAAACCACGATGGCACATGTATGCTTATGTGACAAAACTACATGTTCAGCACATGTATCCCAGAACTTAAAGTAAAATAAAAGTAAAAATTAAAAAAAAAGAAAGCTAACTCATCTTTTTAATGAATAAAGTATATATATATGCATTTGTGATACTTGTGTTCAGCCTGTATTCATGACTAAAATTCACAAATGCAGATAAAAGATATCTAGAAGGTCTGCACCACAATGTTTCTGTATTCTGAAAATTAACTTACTTTTAACTTTTAAAAACTTTAAGTTAAAACATTTTAGATGGTAGATACAATCCAAAAGGCAAGTTACCTGAATATATTTAATATTTTTTATTTTGAAAAAGTTTTATAATTTATTTAAAAAACTTCTAATGAGAAAAGTTCTACTTGAAACATGGTAGTTAAGAAAAAAAATGAGATGTACCTGTGGGGCCAATAAATGTATATAATTATTCTATCAATAAGAACTCTTTTCAGGAATTAATTAGAAAGCCAGAGGAGTTTCTGAAAAAATGTTACTTTGTTACTAATTATAGAACATGAAAATTGGTGGGGAAAAATTGATAAGGGACAAAATAATGCCCTAGAAGTCATATATTTGAAGTTGGGAAGTTAAACAACAGCCTACAAGCAATTACTGATTTTCCAGACAGGAAAGTGGTTCATCAAGAAAGTCTCTTGAGATTTTCTGACTCTGAAAGTGAGATTTTACAAATGCTAATTTTAGGACAAAGTACCATATTCACACATTCTTTCATATGAATATTCTTCCTTACTGATAATTACTTGCACTTAGAGATATATTATTTCTTAAAATTTTAAATATTAAACATATATTTCAGTAAAAATGTATTATCTAATCCATTAGGGCAGCCCTCATCTTCTGCAAGTCTCTCTTCAGAGGTTACAGCAGTAGGTTTTTGTTAAAGTAGGTTTTTTTGATCAGTATGAGACATGGGCAGAGGAGGCATGAAGGCAGAGGCTCAAGTACAGGTTATGGCTGGGAAGTTACACACTAGGAATGGACCCTGGGCTATGATTTTGACTTCCAAAATCACTTACTCTAAATAAAATATTTTTTTTACTTGAATATTTTCATGATGTAGTATATTTTTTTAAAGTGCTTTCTTAGAATCTATGACTCTGTTACAGAATTTGCATTAATGCTTATAACTCCCCCAAGGTCATCCCATATGGCTAGATTAGCATTGAGGCTAAAATAATCATGAATTCTGAAGGCATATTATCTAGATGCAAATCCTGATCATAATGGCTTCCAGTAGTATGGTCTTGGATTACTCAAACATTCGGTTCCTCCATTTTTTCCTCTATAAAATGGGAACAATAATGATATCAACTTCAGAAGGTTATTACAATGATTAGATTAACAAACATTAGGTTATTGTGATGATTAGATTAACAAACATAAAGTGCCTGGTACATAAAAGCATTATGAAAGTATTTCTATTATTTCTCTAAATAGTGGCTCTTTGATATTTCAATGTACTTCTTTATTCATGAATCTGTTCATTATTTTGTTAACAGTGGAACTCTTTTTAGAAGATTTCAGGTGAAAGTACAACACGAAAAAAGATCTGCTCTTTAAGAGTATAGAATAGGGGCCGTGTTCTGGAAGCTCCCTCACGTAGTGCTGTGGAAGTCTCTCACACCCCAGAGCATAAATAGAAGACAAATTCCTTAATAAAATATTAAGTGCAGAATATATCTTCCTAGCCATATTCTCCTGAGATGCCTAAAGGAGTCTAGTGATCTACTAACAAGGTGTTTACAATGACATTTATCATAGAAAAAAGATTCTTCCAGATATTTGAGAAAGAAAACTGTACAGCAAACACAAGTTTACAATCAATTAGAAATATGGGAGGGTCAATATTCATGTGACTCACACGTAACATAATTTGATCTTGAGAAAAATTTAAGAAAAAGTAACCAAAAATTAACTGAGAGAAATGTGTTAAAAATGTACAAAGTTATTACCATAATAATTACAAAACCACTAATGCAATTAAACAACTCTATATTACGATTGTAAGTACTTATTTATGAGTGATGCTTATTTCCAAAAATTTGAAAAGATGGAAGATTTATTTAAAGCCACTTACAAATGTCCAGTCTAAGTATGTAACTCTAGTTGTTCTTAAACATACGGATGTATATAAAGCACTCTATAACTCTATGTTTTTGAATTGTGCCTTTGTATGTTTTTATTTGTACTATTCTATTAAATACATAAAGTGCCTTAATTTTTTTTTTCTTTTTTAGACAGAGTTTTGCTCTTGTTGCCCAGGCTGGAGTGCAATGGCTCTATCTCAGCTCACTGCAACCTCCACCTCCTGGGTTCAAGATATTCTCCTGCCTCAGCCTCTCAAGTAGCTGGGATTACAGGCGCCTGACACCAAGCCTAGCTAATTCTTGTATTTTCAGTGGAGATAGGGTTTCACCATGTTGGCCAGGCTGGTCTCAAACTCCTGATCTCTGGTGATCCGCCCACCTCGGCCTTCTAAAGTGCTGGGATTACAGGTGTGAGCCATTGTGCCTGGCCAATTCCTTAATCTTAACACAGCCCCTGGGGCAGGTGTGTTGGCGCACGCTTGTAACCTTAACACTTTGGGAAGCCAATGCAGGAGCATCACTTGAGCCTGGGAGGTTGAGGCTGCCGTAAGCTGTGGTCTTACTACAATGCACTGCAGCCTGGGTAACAGAGTGAGGCTCTGTTTGAAACAAACATAAGCCTCTTCAAAATGTTTGAAAAGATGATTAGATTTTATTTTACACATGAACTCTGTTGCATATATTATTGATGCAGTTATTTATCTAGAAGTCTTATACTTTCTATACTTCAGAGGACTCTCTCTATGTGTATATATATAAATATATATATATATCTATATATCTATATGCATGCATACATATAAGTGTTTATCCTACAGATTATGTTCTTTTAACACAATGGTCAAAATGAAGAATAACAATTTCTGTTCCCTTCAATGTTACATTGTTATGTTTTTATTTTCCTTTTTATCCCTCAGGGTAAAACCATTTGCTAAGTGGCCCTTACTATATACAGGTGATGCAGAGTGGGTGTTTCTGTTTCACTTATAAATTTTCATTATTCTTTAGCTATTACACAGAGTGGCAAGGGAAAAACAAGGCAATATCCATGCAGTTACACTATATTGCTAGAAGAATATGGCTATAAGTTAAATATATAGCAGCAGATAATGGGGAAAAGGGTGAGATTTTGATTCATGGTACATCTACATTCCACTAATAACTATTCAGGTTATAATGGTATTCTTATGAATTTCAACACTGAAGCAAAGTGTAAGCAGTGTTTGTTGAAATTCACTCAATAGTGCTTCACTCTGTAAAGGCACTAAGCAATGACTGGAAGAATTCAAATCATCACTACTGTGGCACACAGCTCATTACCACTGCCATTAAAAGCGTCCTATGTCATTGCTTATGTCCTTTTCAGACACATCATAGTGACATCAGTAGCCATTACTGCCTATAAAGTGACCAAAAAAAATCAGAGAGTATGTCACCAAATTTTAGACTTCTGTTTTAGTATGCATATTCATCTACTTTGTTTAAAAAAGCAAAATCCAAGTGTGCACAATCAAGCTAGAGAGTTGATTGAATAGGTTGCTAATGCATTCTTTCAATGTTCCCACCAAAAGAAAAATAGCATATTTGAATTTGATTTGGTATCTTTAGAAAAGAAGCAAGAATGTTACCTTTTTATATAGGTGAGAACAAATTAGGTATTCTGTTGCTCTCTTTGGGTGATCTCAATTTACTTAAAAAATCCTTTGGTTAGATAGCTATAATGTCTCTGGCACTGAAAGTTGTGACTAGAAAATAGTTTTCTACTTTAAAAACAAATGTCTTGGCTTTCCTCCAACATTTATTTTCAATAAATGCCTACGCATTTATCTTGCAGTAGGAGACCATTATCCAGTCACAATGCTCAATTCCTTTGACGTTATCTCTTAAGTAAAACAGTAATGTTAAGAATAAAGGACTTGGTGATTGAAAGAGTGGGCAAGTATGCTGGGTGGGTGAACAAATACTGTGGGTGAAAATCACCCCTTTAATCATCATCTGAAGTGGGAAAAGCACATGTTTTCTTCCCTTCAGACACACTGTGTAATGGGACGTTGGGGACAGGAGTTGGGGTAAGAGTTTGTACCCAAGTACAATGTCTAGTAAGTCCAGATTCCAGCATTTTCTTGAATAAATGGCATCTTCACCTACTCTCATATAACTTAATCTCTGACATTATTTGGTGCTTTATGTGGCTTCTCTTGAACATTTGTGCTATGGAGATTCACACGGATTATAACAGCTCTGAAGACCTCCACTTGTCCTAATTAGGGTGCTCTCTTAATAAGGTCCCTCTGTACTACAACAATCTGTGTGCTGCTTCTCTTCTTCCAATTGTCAGTGGAGATTTTTCTCTTCCTGTATTTTAATTAATTCAGGAGACTAAACCTATTTTAATAGGAAGTAGTGTCTGAGGTTATTGGTATCTATGTATATACATCTATTATCAGATTTATTTTCTGTATTTTGTAGCCAATTACTATTACAGTGGCGGGCGGGTATCATAGTGCCATTGTGAAGAGGAGATCCATTATGAAAAATCAGTAGGTCAGTGGGGATGGAAATATGTTTAAGAAAAAATAATTCACTCGACGTAAATCTGATCATATCACTTCTCTGCTTACATATTTCACTTAATAAATCTCTTGCTAGGTGTTAAATTCTGAGCTCCTTAACATAGAATGGCAAGAAACTTTTTAGCATAGAACACTAAGACATGCCAAGGGCTAGCTTATCTACCAGTCTACCACTACTTTGGGAAAGCAGTATCAGACTATCAGTCACCACACCTCCAACCCCCATCTTGCACAGGGACCATAAACTGATATTTTGTCTGTCTAATACAGAAACACTGCAAGCAAGCTTTAAGACAAATCCTTTTGCCTCCCAAGAAGATTGCTGCCACAGGTAAAGTGATATAGAAGTGCCACCTAATGTTTACATTTTAGACTTTGGAATCCCACTCAAAATGTAACAAATTCAACTGTCTGATGGTTGAGACTGAAAATTGGATTTTTTTCATTTCTCTAAGTTTTTTTTTTTTTGTATACTAAAGTTTGAGAATGATTGTTTTATGGCTTTATTCAATTTTACTTTCCTTAATTTTCTCACACTCATCACCTCCAGTGATAATAATCTTTCTCTTTCCTAATTTCTATATCACCTTGTTTATACCACTTAAGTGGCACCCATCACATGTTTTTTTTTTGTGCTATAAATAATTGTAAATATGTCTCATCACCTATGGGGACAGAATCTGCATTTCTCATATACTAGCACTTCTGCAGAACTTATCCAGAACCCTAGTCCATTGTAAAAAGCCATTTCATGATCACACAAAAACTTAAAAGGAAGCACTGTCTATATTTAACTTTCAGAGTAGAGGGGTATCCTGAAATGTAGGCTATCCAGTATCAGCATAGATGTAACCTTGGTCCTTGAAACTCCTTTTTCTGAAAGCTGCTTTCAGTTATGCAAATGCTTGAAGAGGTAGGAACGGAAAGGACCCCAGGAGCTATGCTCCAGAGTGGTCAGAAATCCTTTGCTGATGTAGAACACCCAAGTCTTCCTTAGGATAATCTGTGAGAAACATCTTTTTTCAGCCTTAGTATCATAAAAAAATGTTCCTCTCCTGAACAAGCAGTTAATTTTTGTCATATAGAAATAATAACTCTTAGACTGGATTCTAAGGCATTCTGACCTTTATACAATTAGAAAGCTCAGAAGCAAATAAGCAGCCTAACTCTTATAGGTGCAGAGGTATGTGATATGGATTTCTGCATACAAATGTTATTCCTGGCTTTATTTTTGGACAAATGGACATTTATTCTGATTTTCTCAATAGTTTGCCATACCCTTTTGTACTGTATCAACTCCTCTGTAAGAGTCTCTAAATCCTTTGTGTAATTAGCTGGGATTCAAGCAAAGGGAAGAATTTTAAATTATTTGCATCCCCTTTTGTGTCAACAATCTGTTTTCTTCTGCCAGATAAGGTGTCATGGTCATCACTGTAAAATTTTAATTTTTGTATACATTGGTCATAAATATCTTTGGTGATGTAGTATCCTCTATATTTTCTACGGTTCATTCTCCTCAGATGGACCAGAAAGGAATCTGTGTGGCCCTTCACTCTGATTACTACTCTTTTATTTTAAATATGAAATTGAAAATATCAAATTTGAAAAGGAACTTCAAACAAAACACTATAGTACAATATAAATTAAACAGACATTATTAACTTAAATAACATTCATGTCATGTTAAAGTAGTAAAAGGAAAATATTCCCTCAGATAACGAGGTCAGCCAGTCTCAATATTTTAAGATCCTCTTTTTCTGAGAGTGTCCAGTTGTCATCAAAAATGAACTCTGATGATCTTTCAATTACAGTGCTTTGGGCAAGTTTTTGTTCGTTTGTCTGTTTCATTTTAGATTGCTAAAGAATTTCTGTGAAAGTTCACAGAACCACTGGTACCCTGAAGTCAAGTCTCAATTACCTTTGGCTTGGGGAATAGGGTTACATGAACACTTGCTGGTGATTTCCAGGCATCCCTTACTCAATTCCCTCAATATTCCCACCACCGAGCTTTTCTTAGAAGGGCTGTTAACAAGAAACCAAATGTACAGATTTGAGTTTTGCCTCATTTCACTTCTGCAAGATTACAGAAGGAAACTGAAATTTCTAAAATACATCTTGTAGGAAAGAGAACATAAAAAGAGGAAACAAAGGTAATCAGAACACAGAATAACTGGCACCTGAATTCCTGGGTATGGCCTGCACTGGGAATGCACTATAGAATCTGAAGGGATTAGTCACCATTTATTGAGCTTGTCTAGAAGGAGAGCAGGAAAAGCAGAAAGTACTTGGGAATGAGAACAAATAATTCTATGCATTAGATGTATTTTAGTTCTACAAAACGCAAAGGACACACTATCTGAACTTCCTTTCAGGTGTTCACGTGAACCTTCCTAGGTGGAGGGCTTTATTAATCAGGGAGGCCAAATAAAGCCTAGACACCCTGACACAGAACATGTTACTGAGTCAGTACAGCAAACCAAGAAGCCTTGGAAAGATACACATGTTAGCTGAGGAATAAAGAAGACTGAAATACTTATCTTCTCTTTTCAGTTAAAAAGGATTTGTGACATATTGTCTTAAAACATATTCTCTAGTGTATGTCTGTGCCAAAGATTATAAGGGTCAGGAGCGTAGGCTATGGATTTGGTCAGCTGGGTTCATAATTTGGACTAGTCATTTTGGACTCATTGTTTAAACTCTCTGTGCCTCCATTTCTGTATCCGTCCATTGGAGATAACATGAATATCCACCTTGATGGACTATATGAGGATTACATGATTAGTCTGGAACACAGTAAGAGCTTCCTCCATGAGAATCATATGATTCATATTTTAACTCTATCTTCATTCTGATATGCAAATAAAAGAATACTATATTGTTCAGGCTGGTCCCAAACTCTTAGCCCCAAGGAATCCTCCTGCCTTGACTTCCCAAAGTGCTGGGATTACAGGAATCCCAGCCTCTGCACCTGGCCCTTGCATTTTTTATCAGCTTGATTTTTGTCCCCCACATATCTTTGGAACCATTCCCTATGTGCACATGAAGAGCACCTTCACTTTTTAACAATTGTATAGTACATCGTAGCATAACTATAAAATAATTTATCTGTCCAGCTTTGTATTGCTGGAAATTTAGGTTGATAGCTCGTAAACACAAACAATACTGCCAAAAAACCATATATATATATATATATGTGTGTGTGTGTGTGTGTGTGTGTGTATATATGTGTGTGTGTGTATATATATATATGTGTGTATATGTATATATATATCTGTTATGTTTTCCCAATAATCAATATTTAATATCTAAGGCAAATTTATTTTTTCTCCTGGAAATTACAACAAAATCTGCCTCATTTGTTTTCATAACATTTTGCATTCTTTGGCTTCTGGAGTTAGTCCAGAGACAAACTCTTCACTCTGTTGCCTTCACACAAAATAGCTGGTTAAGTTTTATTTGTAAATCTCAGTAGATTCCTAACACACTCAGAGAAGAAAAAGCAAACTCAGAATAATTTACCAAATATGAATGTAGAAACGTGTAAGCATGACGAATTAATGATAACTATGAATTATGTCTACATAGTTCACATTACAGTACCATAGTCTCAGAACTATCTTGACTTCTCTCAGAGTTGTAATAATTTTAAATGTCTGGAAGAAGATTCTCTTCTTAAATATGTAGGAAAGGAATTGAGAAAAAGTCATGCATAAAAAAGGTAGGACGTGGTTCTTTTTGCTTATGGTTTGAGTGTTCACTCAGTGTTTTTATAGAAAACGCTAAATTTATAATAACTCTAATGGATACAAAAGAGAAAACACTCCTCATTACTTGTACTGCTTGGTGTTGTTGTATCTTTATTGTTCTTATTTTCAATGATAAAATTTGAATTAATTCTTCAAAATTTTAATGCAGGGAGAAATCATGTGGGAGCCCTCTGGTGGCCAAAACAATGCTATTCAATGTTCACTAGAGAAGTTCAGGCTCGGTCAAAAGACTGTCCTTGAAATCCTAAAACTTTACTACCTATTTCATGTTGATATATTTAGAGTATCTTGATTCAGGTTACCAAAGTGCCAAAATATTTTAATGTCTGTTACCAAACTCTTAAAGTAACATTTTCAGTGCAGAAGTCAATATTAAAATGTATAAAAATGTTGTATTTTTAAATGAACATAGAATCATAGGTGACTTTAGAGCAACAGAACTATTGAACTACAGAATTTTATAACAGGAATAAATCTTAGAGTTAATCTAGTAAAATTCACCCATTTAATGAACAAAGAAATAAAGCCAGTTTAGGTTAAATACTTTGCATATGTCTCAGAGTAATTATTAGAAGGGCTGGGGCTGGGAGTCCACTTCTATATATTGCAATCTTGAGTGATCTGGAAAAATGCGGTCATTTAATTTTGCCTTAATTTCTTTTTTCTATTCACTTTACATAGGACCTTGTCTTACGTATATATTGGCCTTGTTTTCATGCCTTTAAAAAAAAAAATCCTGCTTCTGAAAGTTTTCTAGGTTGAGTTAAGCATGAGCATCAAGTATTTTATAGTTTAAAGGTAAAACAGAGAAATAAAAACAAAAAAGAAAACAAGGAATATATTAGTTTTCTATTGCTGCCTGGTAGATTACCACAAAGTTGGCAGCTTAAAACAACACCCTTTTATTAGTTCAGAATTTCAAAAGCTCGGGTCTGATGGGTCTCTCTTCCTCAGCTATCACAAGGCTGAAATCAAGGTGTTGGCTGGGCTGTGAGTCATCTAGAAGCTCTGAGGAAGCTTCCAAGTTCTTTCAGGTTATTGAAAAAAATTAACTTCTTTGTGATGGAATGACTGCGGTCACTCTTTCTTTCTCGATTTTGGCTAGGGGTCACTCTTAGCTCCTAGAGGCTGCTCTGAGCTCCTTGTCCCCACATGGCCTCCTTCTTCTATGAAGCCACATTGAGGAATCCCCATTTTGGTGAATCCCCCCACACTTCAACTCACTTTTAGGAAGTGCAAGAGCTATTTATAGGCCAGTTTTACCCATGATGGTTCCTCTTTCTTAAAGTTAACTGTCCCATATAATATAACCTAATCATGATAATGACTGTTCCATCATATTTACAAGTCCTGGGATTTGTACAGGGACATGTATGGGTATATGAATCCTGGGGGCTATTTTAGAATTCTTTCTACCACAACAAAATAAAATTTTCTTACTAAAATACATCTCAGTTCAAAGGAAGATTTTATACACTTTTGCAGCTTTTATACTTCTTTCAATATCTTAAATGTATATTTTATCATACCTACAGAGATCATATATTAATAAGGTCTTGTAATATGAAAATATTGGCTTTACAATTCAATAACTTTTCAAATGAATTTTAAAAACCTACATTTTTTTTTGTGGTAGGCTCTCTCCTAGCTGGGAATTCATCAGTGAATGAAACAAAGTTTCCTTCCCCTGTAGAACTTACATGCTATTGGAGAGCGATAGATAATACACAACTATAGCCAATAAGTAAATTATCTAATGCATTAGGAGGTAAAAAGTGCTATGGAATGATAGTAAAGGTATCAGGGTAAGAAGGATTTGAAGTATCAGCAAGGGATTAGGTAAGTAAGATAGCATGAAGTGGGGTACCATGGGTGCTTCTCATTGAGAAACTGAGATTTGAGCAAACACATGCAAGAAGTGATGGAGTTGTGCATGAAGATATCTGGAGGAAAAATAATGGAGGGTGAGGTAACAACTAGTGCAAGAGGCCTAAGGATAGTCCATGCCTGGCATTTTCAATGAATAGCAAAGGAGGAAAATGTGACAGTAGTGGAGTGTGGACAAAAAAGAAAATAAAGGGAAAGGTACCAGATAATTAGGTGCCATTGTAGAGTATGGATGAAGTTGGTGGAGGATGGTAACAAGTATGACTTAAGTTTTAGAAAGACCACTCTTGCAGCTTTATTAAGAATGAGTTGTATACAATTTGGTGAGTGTGGTATACACTTGTGTTACTATCACCACAATCCAGGTAATAAAGTTATCTATCATCTTCAAAAGGTTTTTGGGTCCTTTATTTTCTGGTTTTTATATACCAATTATACCTCGAAAAAGCTGGACAAATAATTATATATTATCAACTGTAAAAGATGAGAATGAATTATAATGGTACAATGGTAGAAGCATGGAGATCCATCAAGAGGCTATTGCTGAAATTTAGGCTACAGATGACTATGGTTTGGACCAGTTTTAGGAGCGGAGGTGAAAGAATGGGCTTAATTATGAAAATGTGTTGAAGATAGATCTTCATAGCATTTTTTATATATTGGAATGTCATGAATAAGATAAAGAGTGGGTTAAAAACCATTTTTAGGTTTTTGGTATAAGTGACTGAACACAAGGAGTTGCTATCATTTGAGATGGAGAAGATGAGAAAAGTCAGGGACTTAGTTTTTGGACAAGTTTCATTTTATATGTTTTCTAGATATTCAAGTGGATAAGTCAAGCAGGAAGTTGGATATGTAAGTCTGGATTTCATGAGAAAGACAGGGCCTGGAGATGTAAATTGGAAGTCACAGGTATACAGAAGGTGTTTGAAAGCCATGGGATTGAGTAAAAACACAAGGGAGAGAATCAAGGTATAAAATAGAAGGGTACTAATGACTGAAACCTGGAGCATTTCAATGTTAATAGGTCAGAAGGATGGTGAAAAATGAGTAAAGGAAACATGAAAAGAGAAACCAGTGAAACAGAAGAAAAGCCAAAGTGTGTAGTATCACAGACGCCAATAGAAAAATGATTAAAGAGGAAGGAGTGATAAACTGTGTCAAATGCTACCAGTAAGATTAAACAAAATGGGTCCAGAGACTAGAGCATTGGATTTAGCAATATTGAGGGGATTGGTGACATTGACAAGTTTTAGTGGAATGATGGAGTAAAAGCCTAACTATAGCAGTTTTAAGAGAAGAGGTATAAAGAAGAATCACAGAAAAAGGAGTATAGACATTAATTTCAGGAAATTTTTTCTGCAAAAGAAAAAGAACCAAGGAATAGGGAGAGTGAATCTGGCAGAGGAAATGGGGACAAGACAATTTTGTGTATGTTTTTTTAATCTTGGAGAAATAACAGCAAGTTTGTGTGGTTATAGAAACAACCTAGTAGAAAGGAAAAATTGATGTAGAAGAGAGAGGAGAGCTGCTAGAATGAGGTCTTTGGCTTGGCGGTTGAGGGACATCTAATGCAGATTATTCTTGTTGTATAACAGCACTGGACTTATTTTTTTCATGACCCATCACAGTCTATTGTATAATAAACAAACCAAGTGAAATGCAAACACACATTTAAAATCATCAGAGCATATTCATTATGAATCATATGAGTGTTTGCCACCATTTGCAATAGATTTTACTAAATAAGGCCAGCTTTTAAGATGTCATTTTCTCCATTTCAATCACGTTTGAAGAAAGAATTGTGTTGGAAAAAGTAGTGATGGGGAGAAGTAGGAATATACAAGAAGGTTAATTATGTTTATCAGAAGCTGCATCTTGAAGAAACATAGTTCAAGAGTCAGAAGACCCATGTTTGAGTTTCAAGTACCACTGACTAGTTTTTCTACATTTGCAAAGACAATACTCCCTCTAGGTTTGATTTTCATTATGAAAAAGAAATACATTCTGTTGATGATCTCCAAGGTCCATTCTAATAAATTCAATACAAAAACATTCCCTGAATTTCTGCTTTGTATAAGAGATAAGATATAAAGCTGGCAACTTGCTACCAGTGAGGCAGCAGAATTATAGTTAACAAACAGAAAATTAGAGGGAAATACATCTGTAAAATAAGGTCAAGCAACCGGGTATAAAGCATCCAAGGGGGATTTGGGTCTCAAATATAATATGCACCTTCTGCCTTCTCTCATTCCTTCTCTTCATTTATCAATCCGTCAGTAGACTTTAATTCTCTTATGCCTAATTCTGTTCTAAATATACATTAGAGAGCTTTGGAATTAAGAAGTCTCTTATTTTAACGGATTCCCAGCAAACAGCTGATTTAGACACCAGCACAATCTGGTTTCATAAATACTGTGAGAATTTATGGGTGTCTGGAATAAAGGATGATGTGCACTAAGTGTCTCTTTCAGTTAGGACTTTGGGGATGTCAAATATTCTTCTTCTGTTGAAATGTAAATTCCTGCTTCTACTCATGGACCTTTGAATTTAAAGCCAGATAAAATTTAATTCATTTTACCAATTTTTATTCCTAAAGGTTTGTGGACTTCTCATGACCTTTTGTCACATGGAGGATGATCTTGTATGTAATCATTAGGTCTGAAATGAGGAAAGCTTGGTGAGAACTTTGAATGGCGTTAGTCACTATGCCTGGGAAATCATATATAAGGTCCCTTTGCAGCTTTCAGAAGACCTGAAATGTGGCTAATGATTTTAAAAGACCATATAAGAATCAGAGAGCAGTGTGAGGTAGCAAGTGAATGAGGGAAAGAAGCAAAGTGATTAAATATAGGTCTTTTGGCTATAAGGTACCACAATAAAATTATTAAATCAGAGGATGTGCTGCTCAATAGTTTTTAAAATAAAAAAAAAAAATGACACAGTTAAGAGGGCAATAGTGCAGACTATTTTAGGTTGACCCTGTCTCAAGCAATTGGAATATATTTGACATTATAAAGGCATTATAAATATATTTATTGATTGGACTTGAGTCTTTATGTCTTTCCTTTTTTTTCCCAGGTAACATCTTTACCTACCACAACCATTTCTCTGTTCTCTATTTCCTTTTACATTTCTATTCTGTAATGCTTTAGAATTTGCACTTTCCAAAGAGAGAAACTATTTCTCTGGAGTTCAGCTGAACAGAATTCTTCCTGTGAACAGGCTATACAGAAAAATATGAGATTTTTCTATAAGATTTTTTTTGTTGCTATTTTACAAGCAAGAAATTAAATCACATTTCTGACCACAACTACTGGAAAATCTTTTGTTTGAAGACCTTTTTGAAACAGCATATTCTCCTATTCTTTGCATTGCTGTTCAAAGGTACTTGTAACATTTGGAAAAACATATTATATAGGCAATTTTTTCTTATTTAGGTTATATTGCCTGTTGTCTATTTAAAAATATAGACCAAAATTATTTATATTATGCTATTTGCTTATTACTTTTCCAGGTAATGAAATTATTTGATTTTAAGCAGCATGTATTCTTTTTGGTGCTTTAAAAATATAATTGCTTACTATAATGAAATCAGAAAAGAATATACCAGGTATCTTGCTATGTATATCTATAATACTTTAATAAATATTCCTGGAAACATTTTAGCCTTGTTCATCCAGGAAGAATTTGGAAAAGCTGATTTTAAATAATAAAAAGCTCAGAATTAAAATGAATGTCATATTTTTGCCTTTACAGAGAATCAATTAAGTTGCAATCCTGAGTATGTACTTGCTAACTATGCCAATAGTCATAAAAGAACTGATTGGCTCCCATGCTCCAGAAAACCAACTTATCTATAAGCTTAGCTATTCTATATCTCAGAAGTCACTCCAAAAACCCAGAGAGAATGGTAGAACTAAAAAGTACATGTTGAGAAGGGCCTGCGCCTGAATCAGATTCAGTCTTTGTGATTAATCCAACACCTTTACATTCTGAATAACAATCATTAACGTCATTAAGCTGCTTGTTTCTTAATCGCATTCTTGTATAGGAAACTCAAGGCGAGACGAACCAACTCTGAGAAGCCCACAATCAAAGTTGATTGCATCCAACCTTACTGTTGCACCTCTATTAACCTACAAGCTGTTTGGGCAGGGCTTCTAAAAACAATTTCAGGATAAAAACTGTCTCCTTCAGATTTTGCTGCACTTGCATTTATTATGAATTTTCTGGAAATTATGAAGCAGAACAGCTAATGATCCCATCATAGACAGCCATTATCTCAAACTGTGAATACTGGTTGTCATTTTCAGAGTCAACAGATGTTGACCTTAGGGTGGCAACTTTTCCTTCATTGTATGAACCTAATCAACATTATATCCTTCAGTTTTCTATAAAATGCACTATCCAATTAGAAGGTAAGCTTTTTAAAAAGAGAGGTCTAAGGTTAAAATCTCATTTAAGCTGCATTAGTCTAAATGTGGCTTTGGGCTATTTTTATTAGCTGAAGCTATTTATGATTTTTCTAAGGAATAGGAAAGGACACTTCGGGGACTACAAAGAAATTGATTTAATGGTATGCATGACTTCACATTCAATTTCTATAAAAATGTCCCCTGATAAGAGGTTGTGAAGATTTCTAACAATCTCTCTCTTTTCATCTCTGTCCTGATCTTCATAAAAACAGTGTTTGCAAACACATAGCTAAATTGACAAAGACTTACCTAAAGAACAATTCTGCAGCATGGCTGGGATTCAATAATTATTACCCCTCCCAATTAAACTGAACTTGAAACCAACTAAACCTAGTCATTACTCACATGGAGATGTGGTATGAAATCCTGAGCCCTGTCTACTTTCTGTGGAACTCATATACCTCATTTGAACTTGGTTCTAAGCTGATTTTCTTCAGATGACTTTCCCAATTAAATTCCATTTGATGCTGATAATGACTTTATTGACATCTGACTTCGTTTGATTTTCATGCATCTATTCAATCATTTTTATTCAGCAGGTGTACGGAGTGCCTGCTGCGTGGAGGCAATATGCTGGGCTTCCTCAAAAAAGTGAAAGAAGATTCAGAGACACTTACTTTCACAGCTACTACAGATTAGAGAAAATGTAGAAAGAATTCCATTTCAACACAACATAATTATAACTTAAGAAAACATTTTTATATGTTTTTTGCAGATAGTCTCTAGTAAGGATGCTTCAGTGATCTGGTTACAGTTCATTTTACAAACTAAAAATCCCATGTGTTTTCATGGCAGAAGTCAGATTTCATAACAAAAATGATGTTTTCAAATTTAATATTTGTGGTAAGTACAATGTGTTTAGATTTTAAATTTCCTTTTAATGGAAGTGATTCTAAAAATCTGACAGTTGTTTGATATTTTTCATTTTGAGCATTGGACAGCTGAAAAAGACTATTTCCTGTAGACTGACAGTTGTATAATAGATGGGAAAAAAAAAAAGATGATTGGCAAAGCCATAAGAGAGAAACAATAAAAATAGGGCAGTCCTTACCTCAATTTAACAGAAGCAAATAATAGGAAAAAGAAATCT
Source organism: Homo sapiens (assembly GCF_000001405.40). Classification (NCBI taxonomy): domain Eukaryota; kingdom Metazoa; phylum Chordata; class Mammalia; order Primates; family Hominidae; genus Homo; species Homo sapiens. The sequence goes on from NC_000009.12 coordinate 9,360,358, forward strand.
GAATCTATGGAAGCTTTTACCTTAGACTTAGGCAAGTAAAATCCCATTTCCTAAGGGGATGTTTTAAGCAAATTTATACTAAACTCTTTTTCCTGAAAATAAATATTGAAAGATTTGATTAGGCTAAGTTTGTGACAAGGTCTATGGGAGTGTGAATGCATATTTATTTACATCTCTGAAATAGGTAAATTGGGAAATTATCTAGAAGTAAAGCTGATAATGAGAAAAATACAAGATGTGAATTAAGTATAAAGAAATAAAGTTATTTAGTAGCAAAAATAACAATCTAGTCATGGTATCAAAATTAATATGTAAAGGTAAAATGTTATTTAGCAATTATAAGTTATTTTCATTGTATTATATTTTCTATAAATAATGGTAAATTCCTGCTTGATGATAGATAGCTTTACAGTTTTTAATAATAGATACATTCATTGAAAAAGATTTCCAAGTGTATTATGTGAGGAAGTGGATTTGATAAGTCAAGAGTACTGTTATTCAGAAATATCTTTCACTTGGTGACAGGGAAATATAGCTTAAGGCAAAGCACTGAAGCCAGATGTGTACACAGAAATTACCTTAAATTCTACTAAAACGATGTAAAAAGAAAGAACTGCAGTGCCAAATAGAGATGACTTGGTTAATATTTGAATACATGGCCAAATATTTTCAGTCCTGAGGTTCTCAATATATTGCATATAAAGGGATAATTTCCAGGAAGAATACAGCTAATCATGTCATGTTTAAATCCATTTTAGTTTTTGTCATTAGAAGTGCAGGTAATTTGGGGGACCCTATAGGTCAAAGGCTTACAACTCAATTGTAATAGGAACTTAAATGCTTATAACCATTCTTTTCGCATATAATCCTTACAGTTGAAAATGCCCAGGCTTTTCTCCCTTCAATTCATTTGAGATCATTACCACCGGGGATATCTTTCAAAAATATCAATTCAGTCATGTCATATTGCTGCTTATTAATATTCAATAATTCCTTATCATAATATTTAAAGCTGCTTTGAATTTATTTCTAGATTAGTATTATCTTAGTGTCCTATATTTTAGCCTTTCCTGGCATTCCTCAATTTTATACCTGATTACCTTGTTCATAGTGTTTTTTAAAATGCACCATGGCTCTTTACTGCCAGATTCAATTCTACTGTTGATCTTTTTTTTTATTGATACATAACAGAGGTACATGTTTTTGGTACATGTGATAATTTATAAAGATCAAATCAGTGTAATTGGGATATCCATCACTTTAAATATGTATCTTTTCTTCATGCTAGAAAGATTTGAATTATTCTCCTCTAGCTATTTTGAAAACACAATATATTATTATAAACTACAGTCACTCTAGTGTGGTCTTGATCTTTCAGTCTCAAGATTAAGCATACTATCTTTCTCATGTCCACATGGAAGATTAGATTTCTCCCTTGGTAGCTTTTTGATAGTAACTACTATTCAATTAAATATTATACAACTATTTATCAGGGCCTACCATGAATGAGAAAACTTCTAGAAATGGGCATACAGGAATAAACAAGGATAGAAACCCCCTAGCCTCCTGGGGTTTTTCTCATATATGTTGGATATTTACCATAATAATTCATAAACTCCTTTTGGAAGAGCCAACGTTAGTCATTCTTGAGTCCAATCAGAGAGAGTTTAGTGGAAAACATGGCACTTGTTCAAATGTTGACTTAAAAAAAGATCGAGTGGAATTAAACTTCTATAATATTGTTAATTCCCACTTGGAAAACCATTCCTCTTTTATATCACAAGTCAGTAACACAGGGAGGGCATCGCAAGGGATGGCAAATATGTGGTTGGGAAGTAAGTATATATTATACATTCATACAGTATTTCTATAGTATTTCCTCAAAAGCTTCCGTATTTATGACTTTTTGAGAAATAGTAGCAGATTCTCCCTTTATTATAAATAAATATATAGGCATATAAAACACAAATAAGTATTGGGATCCTAGGAAACATACGTAAGGTTTTGCCTCATACTTTGTTAAGGGAAAAAAACAACATTTTAAAATATCAACCAACTAAAAACTACAACACAGTGTGATATCTACAATTCAAGGATGATACAGTTCAAGGATGAAATGTATGAGAGCAAGAATGGGGTCCCTTGTGGTACTTCATTGTCAACATTGTCAGAAAAACATCAACTAATGTGTCTTGTATAACTTCATTTCTAAAAGATATATCTGTCCCAGATGAATAAAAAAGGGCATACTCTCTGTTCTTGAAATTCACTTACCCCTAAGAACAATTTTTAGTTGACTCTCAAGGGGCCAATACGTGCTCACAGCCTGCCAATAGAATAACTATCCATTGTTTCTTTAAAATCTATAATACTTTTGAAGTCTATTAACTAGGATTTCCTTGATAGAATAGCAAATGTGTTGATAGTTAGCAGGCTTAACCTATTGCCTTTTGAAAGTGATAGCATAAATCAGCTATACATTTCTATGGAGAATTCACTTTTAAAAGAAAAGAATAGATAGAATAATTAAGTGTAAGAAAACCTTTCTTATTGGTGTAAAGAGTGGTCAGTGGTGGAACGTAGATTCTTGTAAATCCTTTTATCAAATGTTTAAGGAGTTATCTAATTAACAGGAGGCAGCTCCAGTTTATTAAATACTATTAATCTCCCAGTTTATTACCCTTTTCCTTGAGAGTTCTGGAACTGTGCTAACAAAGGAAGAATAATTATCAGGAAATCAGTACTATTTTGTGCTTTTTTTTTTTTTTTTTTTAACTGTACTTGTGGTCACATTAGAACTGGATATGACATATCTTTTTTTGGTTGTTTCTTGTTTTTGTCATTCAAAATAGGGAATGATAAGGCCACAAGAGCAATTACTGATCAACACCCCAAAAGGCATCTAAAATGCCTCTCAGAATCATAACAAGTCTTAACATTCTAGATAGTTGTAATGGACCCAGATTTAGAAATCCTCATATACAAGCTGGCATCATATCCCTTATACCTGAAGAACAAAATCTCATACTAGGAGATCTGAAACAAATGGATTCTCAAACATTTCTATCTCTATTTTACTTAGAAATTAACTATATTTTGCTATGAGTTGTAGCATTTTATTTTTAAAGGTTAGGAAAAACCATTATGTCGATCATAAATTGCTAGAACATTGGTGTAGTTTCAGCTTTTAGGGGACTGAGATTGGCTCTCTGTTCAAACAAAATCTTAGGTGTTAGTACAATAGGTAAAGCTCATAGATGCAGGGTTTTTCTAGCTAAGTGGAAGTGGTCTTGGCACATAGGCAGTGTGTGGGGCCTGAAGCTCAAATATTCAGCAGCCTTTCCTACAGGTGACCACTCTAGATTCTCTAAGAGAGCTTTGTGAGCCTGTAGAATCTCCACAAGCAAAAACTTAGAAACCATCGATATATTTTTTTCATCAAATACATTTGACAACTGAGGGAACTAAGGTCCAGCGACAGTAAATAACTTTTTTGGTGTTGATACTTAATTATTTACTTTGCATTATAGTTTTAAGCATTTTTCCATCTTATTAATGAAATTATAAAAAAGTGTTCATCCTTTGTAATTCATTATATCCCCACACTGTCTGACACACGGCATTTTATGGTATTAGTTGAAGGCTAATACCACTTTAGAAAACATTTTACATAACTTCTATAATACTTTACATATTTACATTATCAGTATTGTTTACCAATATTTTCATGTGCCGATCTTCAGATCAAGGCCTATTGCCTCTCTTAAATCAACATGAAATTAGCTTTGGGAATAGAAATATTGAGTCTAAATTGATAGACTGATCGTTTTTCTCTGTTGTGGAATTAGCTGCCTAACACAGTTTTATATGCACATAAAGTCTGTGTAGAAGTATTCACTCAGAATTCATATACAGGCACTGTTCTATACCCTGGATTACAGTAGTAAACAAAATTGTGAAGAGAATTTTCCCCCGAAGTGCTTACATTCTAATGGAGGGAGTAAGACACATATGGCAAAGAGAAAGTATGTCAGATATTGGTGAGTGTTGGAGAAGGGAATGTATTTTGAGACATGGACAGTTGCAATTTTAAAGAAAGTTGTTGGGAAGGCCATATTAGAAGGTGATATTTGAGCAAATTGTTGAATGGTATGAGGCAGCTATCCCTGCACATATACGAGGGAAGAGCATTCTATGCAGAAAGAAAAGTCCTAGGCTGAGAAACGGTCTTGAGTGGCAGAGGCACAGTGAGGATTATAGCTGGAGCAGAAAGAAAGAGGAAAGTTATGGAGGCAATGGAGGGAGAAAGGAAAACCAACAGTGAGGAAGGAAAAACGAGCAAGGAAAGGTCCCATTTATATAAAGACCTTTAGGCTGCTATAAGAATTGTGGCTTTATTCTTAGTGAGATATGAAGCAGAGGGTTTTGAGGTGAGGAGTGATGTGACCTGACTTCATTTCGGAAGGTTCAGTTTGTGCTGTGAGCAGTGTTGAGTGTGGATGGAATAAAAACAGATTAGGTAGAAGGCCCTTTCAATAATCCAGGCAAAACCTAATGGTGGCTTAGACTGGAGCAGCAGCAGAGAAGGGTGTAGGATAAGGTTAAGTTCTAGGTACATTGAGATTGTACATCTCACAGGATTCTCTGATGAACTGGATATGACTGTGAGAGTCAAGGATGACTCCCATCTTACCTGAGAAACTGGAAACATGTCACCGTCATACCCTGTGCTGGAGAACACTGAGTAATATGTGCTGGGGCTCAGACAGAGGTTAAATACTATCAGCAGAGAGGACAAATACAAAATATTGGATCACAGCTTTTTAAAATTGTTCTATGTTACAGGGAAGTTGCCACTTAGCTTAAGATCATGTGTCTCTATTATATGACCAGAGATATTGACTAAGCCTCATATCCAGCAGTGAGATTTAAAAGGTAGTGTTTTAAGTGTGTAAATGCAAACATATAATCTTTCACATATAGTTGGTATTAGCCTTAATAGAGACTAAAGATTATTTTTATGCACTGAAGAAATAATGTCTTTATTCATTCACCTCTATTTTACAATTTTTAACAGAATATTGAAAATATAAACAGTTGTTTAACTCATGAATTCCCTAATTGTGCTTTTCTGCTGAGGATGTTGGCCTGCTTTCTACCTTTATCTGAGGTAGTTCTATAAAATTCCATTTATTGCAGGGGAGTATGGCCAATACAACTAAATGGACAGCTGTTCATACTGGTTTAAAATACATTATAATCAAAAGCTTTTAATAAATGTCTATGTTTTTTCAAAGCAAAGATTATAGACTATTAAATGGGCTTAAATAGACAGGTCAAGAAAAGATCAGCCAAAGGTTTTGCCTCCTTCCTTGTGTGCTGTCGACCTACAGCATAACCCAGTCTCTCTATGGGTCTCTCAAACAGACATTTTTCACAACTAAAGGCCTCATCTCCAAATCTATAACCCTTAGAATATCTAAACTCTAGTTATATTATACAGCATTCTTAAAATGATGAATATAAATAAATTAATTCATTCATTAGAATTGTGGTAACTGAACATAGTTACAAGAAAATATTATTTTGATGTAAATATAGCATGGATCTTTGCAGATATTAAACTATAATATTATAAATCTTTACAAAGATATTCTGAGTAAAATTCTGCCATTGAAGTTATCAAAGTTCTGAGGCTACAAAAATTCCTAGGAATAAGTCTATTGCATGAGAATTCAAATACCCTACCTATCTAATGAACACCAGATCATATATGGAAGGAACTCCTGTGAAATAATTACCAACTGACCAATTTTATTAACAAATAAAACTAAAAAAGAATTTAGATTTATTAGGTTGCATAACCGACTATATATATGGCTTACACCTGAGTGTTGTAATTTTTTTAAGCAGGGATTCTTTTTGGTGAGGATTTACGAGACGTTTTATTTTCTCCTTTGAAAAGTATTGATTTTGAAAGCTTTATAAATAAACAGCACTGACCTATCTATTCTTGAATCATTGAGAGTAGGTCACCTGTGGACAGCAAATGATTTTCATTTCCTGGAGGTAAATTTTATTGAAGAGAAAGCAAAAGAAAGGGAAAGCTTAATTTATAATGCCAAGTGAGATTACTGAAATTCAGCATTTTAAAAACTTCTGCTCTATAGGGTTTGAGAAAGCACTAGCTCCTAAACTGAAATGAATAGGCTGGTTCTGTTTAATCAGACAGAAATTTTATAAAATGGCCATTAGTAAGGAAAATTACAGGAAATAGAAACATATCATCCATCATCATACCAGTTACATTTCTTATTTGACACTGATTTTAGTAAATGAAATATGCAATTTAAAATAACGAATCATTAAGAATATGGAAAAATTCTTCCGAGTAAAAAAGAGGTTACAAAAAAGACAAAATAAGGTCCTCATTATTAGTAAACATACATGTAATAAAAATGAATAGAGCTAAATACATTAAGGTAAAAAAAAGGTCAACTGATCTTTGGGTAAAGAGATACTGACTTTTTTTTTCTACTTTTGTGTATTTCCTGAATTTATCTCTTCACTATGTATAACTGGTTTTGGAAATAAAAATGAAAAAAATTACAAAATGTCCTGCGAAATTTGGTAGTAAAATGAAACAAATCTCAGGATATTGTAATACATTGAAAAATGATAAATTTTAAGAAAAGTTTAAAAAATAAAAACCCTTTGTCCCACAGAAAATGAGTTTTTGATTTATAAATGAAGAAAGCTAATATAATCAGTGTTACGTGGGGTTATTTATATTTATACATATTTATGCTAAAATTTATATTCTGATGAAATGTTTTTTAAAGTTTCTACAAGGGAGAACTAGAAATCTATATAGATTACAGTGGGGGAGGTGGAATTCACTAGAAGTTAACTGGAAGGAAAACAAGAATACAGGTAAAAGTATCATTTCAAGGACATCAGATTTTAGTATTTTACAGTAAATAAAAGGAAAAATATACATATTTTGAAAAATGTAAAATATTCATAAGGGACAAGAGAAGAAAGTCTTCTTTCACCACATTGACATTTTGGCCTACAATTATATTGTATTTAGTGAAATAAACTCTCTCCCAATTGTAAGTAAAGTTACAAATGAAATACATAAATTTGATAACAACTTTGGATGTTTTTCCAGGTACAGGATCTGTACTGTTCAACTGAAGTCTAATTTTTGTATATATTAGAATGAGTAACTATCATTGGAAGTTTGGCATTAAAAAAAACAGTAGATTGCCAGAAGTTAAATTTTTAGGCTATACAAATGGGAGCTGTTTCCATCAAAACTGCCAGAGACGTGTTCGGACAAAAAAATAGCTCCAATTTCCTGGGTGTGGAGAGGCTATCACAGGCTCACATATTATATGCTAACTCGAATTTGCAAAGCAATCTGAGAAGCACCAAATTGCTGTAATAAGAAAAGGTGACATTTGTACAATCTCACAGTCTTTTTATGTATTCTGTTCCTAGAATAAGATAATAGAGGTCTATTTTCTGTCTCTTCCAAACCCTGTCATAAGGGAGAGCTACTAGCACACATGAGTGCCCAATAGGTCATATGAGGAACAACTGGGTGACATCGTATATGTTGACGTAAGGACAGCTCAGTCTGGCATGATTAAACTTCTGAAAACATATTATTCATCTTTATTTAGGGCCATAAACTACTCAATATGGATCCCATTTCAGTGTGTACATTTTATTTACATAATTCGGCCCAAATTTGATTTTAAGTATGTCAAAAACTGATCAAGGCCCATGGGGTAAAACGTTAGACCTGCATTTATATCCTACTTCTTCCACTTATTAACCAAGTGACCCTAGTAAATTCACTTAACATTATTGGGCCTTATCTCCTTCAACTTTACCATAGAAATTATGACTTGAGCCTCACAGGATTTTATGAGGTTTATATGAGCTCACATGTGAATGAAATATACTAGCATAAATCGGGCATAGGAAAAGACAGGTAAGATAATAAGTGTTAGTCCATTCATTCCTTGTTAGGAATCTACATTTGCATCCTTTCATCTACTACAACACTCTGAGAGATGTAACATATTTCCTTTAGGCTGAGCCATTTACTGTAGCAGTGATTCTTACAATGAGTGTTGGGGACTGATGTCCCTAGCAAAGAATATTAAAGTCAGAGAGAGGCTAGGTTGAGGCAATAAAGATGACAGTTTGAAAAAGTCCCAAAGATTATTCTTAAATGTCCCACTCTTAGGGGGAACTCTTGAAATCATTTTGGTGGACTAATTCAGTTAAAGGTAATGACACTGAATAATAAATATGAACCTAGGGTAGGAAAAATATTCCTATTTTTAGGGTATTACAAACAAATGCTGCAATGGATATCTTTTTTTAAATTTTATTATTATTATACTTTAAGTTTTAGAGTACATGTGCACAACGTGCAGGTTACATGTGTACACATGTGCCATGTTGGTGTGCTGCACCCATTAACTCGTGTCGTCATTTAGCATTAGGTATATCTCCTAATGTTATCCCTCCCCACTCCCCACACCCCACAACAGTCCCCAGTGTAGGATGTTCCCCTTCCTGTGTCCATGTTTTCTCATTGTTCAATTCCCATCTATGAGTGAGAACATGCGGTGTTTGGTTTCTTGTCCTTGCGATAGTTTGCTGAGAATGATGGTTTCCAGCTTCATCCATGTCCCTACAAAGGACATGAACTCATCCTTTTTTATGGCTGCATAGTATTCCATGGTGTACATGTGCCACATTTTCTTAATCTAGTCTATCATTGTTGGACATTTGAGTTGGTTCCAAGTCTTCCACAATGGTTGAACTAGTTTACAGTCCCACCAACAGTGTAAAAGTGTTCCTATTTCTCCACATCCTCTCCAGCACCTGTTGTTTCCTGACTTTTTAATGATCACCATTCTAACTGGTGTGAGATGGTATCTCATTGCGGTTTTGATTTGCATTTCTCTGATGGCCAGAGATGATGAGCATTTTTTCATGTGTTTTTTGGCTGCATAAATGTCTTCTTTTGAGAAGTGTCTGTTCATATCCTTTGCCCACTTTTTGGTGGGGTTGTTTGCTTTTTTTCTTGTAAATTTGTTGGAGTTCATTGTAGATTCTGGATATTAGCCTTTTGTCAGATGGGTAGATTGCAAACATTTTCTCCCATTCTGTAGGTTGCCTGTTCACTCTGATGATAGTTTCTTTTGCTGTGCAGAAGCTCTTTAGTTTAATTAGATCCCATTTGTCAATTTTGGCTTTTGTTGCCATTGCTTTTGGTGTTTTAGACATGAAGTCCTTGCCCATGCCTATGTCCTGAATGGTATTGCCTAGGTTTTCTTCTAGGATTTTTATGGTTTTAGGTCTAACACATAAGTCTTTAATCCATCTTGAATTAATTTTTGTATAAGGTGTAAGGAAGGGATCCAGTTTCAGCTTTCTACATATGGCTAGCCAGTTTTCCCAGAACCATTTATTAAATAGGGAATCCTTTCCCCATTGCTTGTTTTTGTCAGGTTTGTCAAAGATCAGATAGTTGTAGATACGCGGCATTATTTCTGAGGGCTCTGTTCTGTTCCATTGATCTATATCTCTGTTTTGGTACCATTACCACGATGTTTTCGTTACTGTAGCCTTGTAGTATAGTTTGAAGTCAGGTAGCGTGATGCCTCCAGCTTTGTTCTTTTGGCTTAGGATTGACTTGGCGATGCGGGCTCTTTTTTCGTTCCATATGAACTTTAAAGTAGTTTTTTCCAATTCTGTGAAGAAAGTCATTGGTAGCTTGATGGGGATGGCATTGAATCTATAAATTACTTTGGGCAGTATGGCCATTTTCACGATATTGATTCCTCCTACCCATGAGCATGGAATGTTCTTCCATTTGTTTGTGTCCTCTTTTATTTCCCTGAGCAGTGGTTTGTAGTTCTCCTTGAAGAGGTCCTTCACATCCCTTGTAAGTTGGATTCCTAGGTATTTTATTCTCTTTGAAGCAACTGTGAATGGGAGTTCACTCATGATTTGGCTCTCTATTTGTCTGTTATTGGTGTATAAGAAGGCTTGTGATTTTTGCACATTGATTTTGTATGCTGAGACTTTGCTGAAGTTGCTTATCTGCTTAAGGAGATTTTGAGCTGAGATGATGGGGTTTTCTAGATATACAATCATGTCATCTGCAAACAGGGACAATTTGACTTCCTCTTTTCCTAATTGAATACCCTTTATTTCCTTCTCCTGCCTGATTGCCCTGGCCAGAACTTCCAACACTATGTTGAATAGGAGTGGTGAGAGAGGGCATCCCTGTCTTGTGCCAGTTTTCAAAGGGAATGCTTCCAGTTTTTGTCCATTCAGTATGATATTGGCGGTGGGTTTGTCATAGATAGCTCTTATTATTTTGAGATACGTCCCATCAATACCTAATTTATTGAGAGTTTTTAGCATGAAGTGTTGTTGAATTTTGTCAAAGGCCTTTTCTGCATCTATTGAGATAATCATGTGGTTTTTGTCTTTGGTTCTGTTTATATGCTGGATTACATTTATTGATTTGCATATGTTGAACCAGCCTTGCATCCCAGGGATGAAGCCCACTTGATCATGGTGGATAAGTTTTTTGATGTGCTGCTGGATTCGTTTTGCCAGAATTTTATTGAGGATTTTTGCATCAATATTCATTAAGGATATTGGTCTAAAATTCTCTTTTTTTGTTTTTTTCTCTGCCAGCCTTTGGTATCAGGATGATGCTGGCTTCATAAAATGAGTTAGGGAGGATTCCCTCTTTTTCCATTAATTGTAATAGTTTCAGAAGGAATGGTACCAGCTCCTCCTGTACCTCTGGTAGAATTCGGCTGTGAATCCATCTGGTCCTGGACTTTTTTTGGTTGGTAAGGTATTAATTATTGCCTCAATTTCAGAGCCTGTTATTGGTCTATTCAGAGATTCAACTTCTTCCTGGTTTAGCGTTGGGAGGTTGTATGTGTCGAGGAATTTATCCATTTCTTCTAGATTTTCTAGTTTATGTGCGTAGAGGTGTTTATAGTATTCTCTGATGGTAGTTTGTATTTCTGTGGGATCGGTGGTAATATCCCCTTTATCATTTTTTATTGCGTCTATTTGATTCTTCTCTCTTTTCTTCTTTATTAGTCTTGCTAGTGGTCTATCAGTTTTGTTGATCTTTTCAAAAAACCAGCTCCTGGATTCATTGATTTTTTGAAGGGTTTTTTGTGTCTCTATCTCCTTCAGTTCTGCTCTGATCTTAGTTATTTCTTGCCTTCTGCTAGCTTTTGAATGTCTTTGCTCTTGCTTCTCTAGTTCTTTTAATTGCGATGTTAGGGTGTCAATTTTAGATCTTTCCTGCTTTCTCTTGTGGGCATTTAGTGCTATAAATTTCCCTCTACACACTGCTTTGAATGTGTCCCAGAGATTCTGGTATGTTGTGTCTTTGTTCTCGTTTGTTTCAAAGAACATCTTTATTTCTGTCTTCATTTCGTTATGTACCCAGTAGTCTTTCAGGAGCAGGTTGTTCAGTTTCCATGTAGTTGAGCAGTTTTGAGTGAGTTTCTTAATCCTGAGTTCTAGTTTGATTGCACTGTGGTCTGAGAGACAGTTTGTTATAATTTCTGTTCTTTTACATTTGCTGAGGATTGCTTTGCTTCCAACTATGTGATCAATTTTGGAATAAGTGCAGTGTGGTGCTGAAAAGAATGTATATTCTGTTGATTTGGGGTGGAGAGTTCTGTAGATGTCTATTAGGTCCGCTTGGTGCAGAGCTGAGTTCAATTCCTGGGTATCCTTGTTAACTTTCTGTCTCGTTGATCTGTCTAATGTTGACAGTGGGGTGTTAAAGTCTCCCATTATTATTGTGTGGGAGTCTAAGTCTCTGTGTAGGTCACAAAGGACTTGCTTTATGTATCTGGGTGCTCCTGTATTGGGTGCATATATATTTAGGGTAGTTAGCTCTTCTTGTTGAATTGATCCCTTTACAATTATGTAATGGCCTTCTTTGTCTCTTTTGATCTTTGTTGGTTTAAAGTCTGTTTTATCAGAGACTAGGATTGCAACCCCTGTCTTTTTTTGTTTTCCATTTGCTTGGTAGATCTTCCTCCATCCCTTTATTTTGAGCCTACGTGTGTCTCTGCACATGAGATGGGTTTCCTGAATACAGCACACTGATGGGTCTTGACTCTTTATCCCATTTGCCAGTCTGTGTCTTTTAATTGGAGGATTTAGCCCATTTACGTTTAAGGTTAATATTGTTATGTGTGAATTTGATCCTGTCATTACAATGTTAGCTGGTTATTTACTCGTTAGTTGATGCAGTTTCTTCCTAGCCTTGATGGTCTTTACAATTTGGCATGTTTTCGCAGTGGCTGGTACTGGTTGTTCCTTTCCATGTTTAGTGCTTCCTTCAGGAGCTCTTTTTGGGCAGGCCTGGTGGTGACAAAATCTCTCAGCATTTGCTTGTTTGTAAAGTATTTTATTTCTCCTTCACTTATGAAGCTTAGTTTGGCTGGATATCTTTTCAAGTGGAATCACTTGGTCAAAGAGTAATGCACACTCTCCATTTTGAGAAACCTTTTAATATTACCCCACAAAAAATACCAGTTTAGAGTCTCACAAAATATGAAGACTTTCTTCTTCTACATCTCTGCAAACACTCAATGTTATGTATCTTTAATTGCCACTATCTCTGATGCCATGCTCAATCTGACAGTTTATGTTCCTTAGCCATCAAATTGTATTTTTGGAACTAATAGTTTTCACAGAGGCTGTATAGTACAAAGGTTAAAGACATGGACTGAAGACCTGGACTTTCTCAGTTCAAATACCTGTTCTACCTCTTTTTAGGTGTGTAATCGTGGACAAGCTACTTAAACTCCCAGTGCCTCAGAATCCTGCTAAATTTGGTGAGAGAAATAAGTCAATTTAAGTGACTTTCTATAATTTATATGCAAAGAAGAGTACCTAACACCTAGAAACCTTGTAGAAATGCTTGTTATTAGTATTTGTATTAGTTTCTTAGTGCTGCTGTAACAAATCGCATACTACATAATTAGTGGCTTAAAGCAATAGAAATTACAATTCTAGAGGCCAGAATTCTGAAATGAGTCTTATGGGGCTAAACTCAAAGGGTATTCAGGACTGGTTCTTTCTGGAGTCTCCCAGGGAGAATTAATTTCTTGTCTCATCTAACTTTTGGTGACTGTCAGCATTCCTTGACTTATGGTCACCTCACTCCAATCTCTGATTCTGCCAGCACATTGCCTTCTGCTCTTCTCTAATGAAATCTCCATTTCCTTCTCTCTTATAAAGAAATTTGTGATTACATTAGAGCCTATCAGGATAATGTCTTCATCTGGAAATCTTTAATTGCTTTTGCAAAGATTTGACTATGCAGGGTGAAATTCACAGGTGCCATGGTTTAGGACTTGGAAATCTCTGGGGACTTTTTTCAGCCCAGCCCAGTGCTCTTTTACATTTTATATTGGAATACTTGCATTATTTTCATGTATTTGTTAATTTTTTATATATTATGGACATTATATTTTATCAATTATATATAATGCAAATATTTTCTCTTAATGTGTCTTTTAATTTGGCTTACGGTAGCTTTCATAATACAGGCATTTTAATGAGCTTATCATTTATTACAATTAACACATCTACTAGATGGAAATAAATTAAGAAAAATGGTACATCCATATTATGGAATTGTACGCAACCATAAAAATGTGCATCTAAATATTAACCTAAAAATATTCCAGAAATATTAAGTGACGAAAAAGACAGATTTTATGTAAAGTATTCCATCATATATATAAAATGATAGACTGCAAAATTCTAGATAGCTGCCAAGGGGGACAGGAATAGGAGGTAAAATAAATAAACTGTTACTTTTTAATCTATATTAGTTCTATTTAAAACTTTTTATAAGGAATATAGTTATATGTAATTTCTATAATTAAATTTTTAAAACAGGAACATTAAAGTCAAAACAAAATTATATTTAAGGTGCTATAGAATTTCAAAAGAAGAAGATAATTACTTATTTCTGGGAAAATTGAAAGGAGCAACATTTGAGAAAATAAAAGCAGTTTTAACTATAACATAAAGTAAAAGCATATTCCAGAAAGTAGTTTAATAGGATGAAGCTGAATGAGGGTAATAAAGTAAGGTAAAGTAAAGGGAAATAATGACGAAATGCTTCCACTGAATTAAGTCTTAGAAGGCCTTAATGTAAGACAGTTTACATTTATTTCTCCCAGGTTAAAACCCTCAATACGTTGTAACAAATGGACAAACTCTGACTGTTCAGAGTATTGCCAAGTTTACCTAAGCTCTTGTAAAACAATGCATATACAAAGAACAAGGCACCAGCCTGAGAGTGCCCCAGGGCCATCTTTGTCTTACATTGGGCAAGGTCTGAAACATCACCATTTTCATCTTTCAAGTCTCCTAAATGCTCTCATGGTCTTAAGACCAATCATGAAAGAAATTATTGTTATTAATATCCTACCTGCTTATCAATAACAATAACAGAAGGGACAAAGAAATTTGAATTTGGCTTGATATAAAAGACTTTTTAAAGAATTGGATATCATGAGCAAAAATATCATAGAGATTCAGTCATGCTCTCAATTACTAGAACTTTTTTTTACAAAATAGAACAGATTAAACATAGGTCTATAACCAAACTCTGTGTGTGTATGTGTATGTGCGTGTGTGTGTTGGCACATGTGTTTCAAACAAAACTTGAAAGAAACATTTTTGTTAATATCATAAATTTTCTACATCATACTGAAAGACAATGTCTGTTATACCAATGTTCACAGCAGCATTATTCACAGTAGCCAAATGTGGATAATCCACCAATGAATAAGTGAATGAAATGTTGTGCAGGTATCCAACAAAATATGATTCTGCCTTAAAAAAGAATGAAAATGGCTGGGCGCAGTGGCTCATGCTATAATCACAGAACTTTGGGAGGCCAAGTCTGGCAGATCATGAGGTCAGGAGTTCAAAACCAGCCTGACCAACATGGTGAAACCCCATCTCTACTAAAAATATAAAAATTAGCCAGGCATGGTGGCATGTGCCTGTAATCCCAGCTACTCGGGAGGCTGAGGCAGAAGAATCACTTGAACCTGGGAGGCGGAGGCTGCAGTGAGCCAAGATTGCGCCACTGCACTCTAGCCTGGGCAACAGGGCAAGACTCCGTCTCAAAAAACAAACAAACAAAAAACAAAAAAGAATGAAAATATGATATATGCTATAACATAGGTAAACCTTCAAAATATTTTGCTATGTGAAATAAGTCAGAAAACAAAGAATAAATATGGTATGACTCCACTCACATGAGGTATCTGGAATAGCTGAATTCATAGAGACATAAAGTAGGATGATGGTTATCAATGGCAGGGAGGAGGAGTTATTGTTTAATGGATATGAAAAGTCAGTTTGCGATGATGAAAAAGTCCAGGAATGGATAATGATGATGGTTGCACAGTGTTAAAATACTTAATGCCACTGAATGGCACACTTAAAAATCGGTAAAATGGTAACTTGCATGTTACACATATTTTACCACAGTAAAAATAAAATAAAATGTCTGTCAGGATTTAAAGGCCATTCTCCTTGTAAAGAAGGTAGTGTTAAGACATTTTCATAATATAAAGCGCAAGAAAATGAGAACTTGCTCATCATTATTATTTAGTAGATCTTAACATTCTACTATACCATGATTCCTTTTGATTATGTTACGTATTTCAGTGTTAAAAACCATTGAATAATTTGTGTTGAGTGTATGGGCTTGAAAAAAGTCTTCATTCAAAATCATTTTTCTACTATAATCTATATGTATAGGATAGGTAAAATTGTTTTCTCTATGGCAAACAAATGCCTGGATGACCACTAATGCAAGACTGTTTGCTCAGGTTTGAGCTGCCTCAGTTTCACCCTCCTATAAAATTTGACTTTGGCTATAGACAACTTAATCAGTGATTACTAAAAACCAAACCTTCCTCCATCAGTCAAATTATCCTTTAAATTACAACATGCATGCAATTATTTCATGAAATGTATTGACCTACATAGTGTTTAGGACTAGGAATTAAATTTCACCTTTGAGCCCAAGCCCATTAACTTCACTTAAAAGAAATTTGGTGATAGGTATTTAATTACTGATATCCTACAGAAATTGACATTTAATAAAGTGAAACATTTCCTAAACACTGAAGAGCTTTAAGATATGAAATGAAACAGTCTATGTCTTGAAAATGAATCCAGTCTTAAAAGGAAAAAAACATTAATAGAGTCATGTTCAAAAGCTTTTAATAGGACTGTAAGACTGAAATAGAACCCCTCGGGTCTCTTATTATAAAGCAGTATAACATTTTGTTCACAGTCTCAGGATGAAAAAAGAAAGGCGGGATCCAATGAAACACCAAGTTATACATAAAACATAATGTGGAAAATATATATCCTTTAGTATTCAGTAACTTTCTCAGTAATCCCATCTTAATAGACACTAAGAAAATTCCAAAAAATTTGGGCTAGGAGACCAAATCTCAGATCTATATTCTAGGGAGCACTCAATATAAAAACTGAAAATTTTAAGTCTCTTGTCTGCAGGGAATGTGGAAATTTTTAAAAAGCATCATCAAGCTAAAGGAAGAATTTGGCTGGAGAATTGATGTTGGCTATGGCAACATATATTTTTTTTTAATTTCAAAAGGAGTTAAAACAATTTTAAAATAAAACATATAAAAACATCCAGTTATAAGGTTTTTATGCATAAACTAATCATGTATGCAAATACATGTCCATACATAGATATATATGAATACAGTATCTTTGTGCATTTAGTATAGACATTGAAATTACTATAACTATATAAGGAACAAAACAGTAGTCCTCCATGAACAAAAAATACGTCTTGTGCTAATTCTTCCTGGTATAGAATGCCACAAATAAGATGTTTTCCTGTGATTATCAACAATTTTCATCAAGCATCTTAAATTAAAACATTAATATTTGTCAGCAAGTGAGGATCATAGAAAAATAATAATATTAATTTGTTGAGAACTTAGTATGTGCTAAGTCCTTTATATACATCATCTCATCCATATATACAACTCTGTAAGTTTGGCATTATTATTGATCCTATTATCAGAGAAACAGAGGCTTTATTTGGATATTTGTTTAAGGCCACATGGCCAGCAGAGCCATAATCCAACCCCCAGCTTTACATAAAACTAAAGCTTCTGGAATGGATGGATGACTATGAAAAATCCCTTCAGACATTGACTACAAACAGCTTAACAGTGGCCCAGTTAAGCGGAAAAATGTTGGCACAGATGAAACAAGGTGGGTGGTGGGGGCTCAGGGGGTGGTAAAAGTAGCTACAGGAAGTGAGAGAAGTACCACAGTTGAGACACGGCAGGGTCATACCTATTAGGCATACTTCTTAAAATAATATTTTAACTCTCAAGAAGAAAGCACCTCTTCTAGAAGATTTTTGTTTTGTTGTTGTTTCTTAAGACTATTTTTTTTTAAAGAGTAGTTTTAGGTTTACAGCAACATTGAGAGGAAAGTACAGAGATTTCACATATACTCCCTCTCCCACATATGCACAACCTCTCCCATCATCAGTATTTCTCACCAGACTGATATATTTGTTACCGATAATGAACCTCCATTAAAACATCGTTATCCAAAGACCACAGTTCACATTAGGGTTCGCTCTTGGTGTTATACACTTTATGGATGTATATTACAGAGTAGTTTCACCACCCCAAAATCCTCTATGCCCCACCTAATCCACACTGCAACCCCTGGCAACCACTGATCGTTAAATATCTCCATAATTTTGGCTTTTCCAGAAAATCATATAGTTGATAATACAGTATATATCTTTTTCAGATGGCCTTTTTTTCACTTACGAATACACATTTAAGTTTCTCCTTGTCTTTTCATAGCTTGACAGATCATTTCTTTTTAGCAGTGAGTATTCCATTGTCTGGATATACCACAGTTTATCCATTCACCTAGTGAAAGACAACTTGATTGCTTCCAAATTTTGGCAATTATGAATAATGCTGTTATAAACATCTGTGTGCAGGTTTTCTTTGAACATGTTTTCAACTCATTTGCATAAATACTATGGAGATTGTTGCATCATATGGTAAGAGTATGTGTAGTTTTGTAAGAAACTGCAAGCTTTCTTCCTAAGTAGCTCTACCATTTTATATGTCTACTAGTAATGAAGCAGAATTCCTCTTGTCCCATATCCTAGCTAGCATTTGGTTTTGTCAGTGTTCTGGGATTTTTACATTCTAATAGGTGTGTAGTTGTATATCGTTGTTTGAATTCACATTTCTCTAATGACATATACTGTGAATCACCTTTTCATATGCTTAATTGCCATCTGTATATCTTCTTTGCTGATGTATCCCTTAAAATCTTTCACCCACTTTTTAATTTTTTCCTATTGTTGATTTTTAAGTTTCTTATATATTTTGGATAACCGCTCCTTATCAGATGTATCCTTTGTAAATATTTTCTTTTTCCATTCTGTGGCTTATCTTCTCATTCTCTTGACATTGTATTTGAAAATCAGAAGTTTTTTTATTTTAATGAAGCCCAGCTTATCAATTATTTCTTTCATGTTCTGAGTCTTTGGTGTTATAATTAAAAAGTCATTGCTATATTTTGTCATCTAGAATTACTCCCGTTTTATTTTCTCTGAGTTTTATAGTTTTGCATTTATGTCTATGATCCATTTGAGTTAAAAATTTTTGTGAAGGGCATAGGTCTATGTTGAGATATATATATATATGATATATATTTGATATATTTTATATATATATATATATTTGCCTGTGAATGTTCAATGTCCCTCTCCCATTTGTTGAAAGGATTATCTTTACTCCATTGTATTGCCTTTTCTCCACCGTCAAAAACCATTTAATTGTATTTATGTGGGTCTATTTCTGGGCTCTCTATTCCATAAAATTGATCTACTTTCCTATTCTTCGTCCAATACCATGCAGTCTCGATTACTGTAGCTTTGTATTAAGTGTTCAAGTCAGGTAATATCAGTCCTCCAACTTTGTTCTTCTCCTTCAACATTCTGTTTGCCATTCTGGATATTATTTCTCTTTATATAACTTTAGAATCATTTCGTCAGTATCCATAAATTAACCTTCTGAAATTTTGATTGGGATTGCATTGAATCTACAGATGAAGTTGGGAAGAACTGACATCTTGATATTATATCTTCCTATCCATGGACATGAAATATATTTCCATAAATTTGGTTTTCCTTTGACTTCTTTTGTTATAGTTTTGTAGTTTTCCTCATATAGATCATTTATTTTTTGTTAGATTTCTACCTACTGTTTATTTCTGAAGTGTGCTAATGTAAGTGTTATTTTGTTTTTATTTTCAAATTCCACTTGTTCATTGTTGGTATATAGGAAAGCAATTACCTTTTGTATCTTAACCTTGTATATGGAATCTTGTTTTAGTTGCTTATTAGTTCTAGGAGTTTTTTGATTCTTTTGTATTTTTGCATAGAAAATCATCTTATTTGCAACAAAGATATTTTCATTTTTTTCTTTTCCCTTCTATATATTTTAATTTCGTCTTGTTACATTAACTAGGACTTCAAATGTGGTGTTTAAAGGTGTAGCGAGATAGGGAATCCTTTCTTAGTTGAAAACCTTTGAGTGTCTTACCATTAAGTTTGAAGTTAGCTGTAGGTTATTTGTAGAGATTCTTTATCAAACTGAAGAACTCTCCCTATATCCCTAGTTTTACTGAGAGTTTTAATCATGCTAGACATCTCTCTAGACACTACTTTCACTGCATCCCACACATTTTGATAAGTTGTGTTTTCATTTCATTTATTTCAAAATATATTTAAAATTGTCTTGAGATTTCTTCTTTGACCTGTGTGTTATTTAGAAGAATGCAATTTATTATTTATATATTTGTTTTTAATTTTAATTTTTGTGGGTACACAGTAGGTATATATACTTATGGGGTACATGAGATGTTTTGATACAGGCATGCAATGTGAAATAAGCCCATCATGGATCTCCTCATATTTTAGAATTTTCCAGTTATCTTTCTGTTATTGATTTATAGTTTGATTTGTGATATGAAAGCAGACATTTCTTAACTTCTATTTTTAAAAAGTTTGTTCACGTGTGTTTCACAGCTTAGAATGTGGTCTATCTTAGTAAATGTTCCATGTGAGTTTGAGAAGAATTTTTTTTGCCATTGTTGGATGAAGTGTCTATAGATGCCAATTATATCCAATTGATGGATAGCGTTGTCAACAACACTATGTACTTGCCGTTTTTCTACCTGACGTGTCTGACTATTTCTGATACAGGACTGTCAAAATCTCTATGATTGTGGATTCTTCCATTTCTCCTTATAATTCTATCAGTTTCTGCCTCTTGTATTAATAGTTTAACACTCTATTTTTAGGTGTATATATGTTAATAATTGTTACGTCTTCTTGGAGAATTGACCTTTTTATCATTATGTAATGCTCTTCTTTATTCCTGATACATTTATTTGCTTTGAAATCTGCTTTGTCTGAAACTAATAATAGCTATTCGTATTTCTTTTGCTTAGTGTTAGTATGGCATATTTTTCTTCACTCATTTATTTTTAATCGATAAATGATTTTTATATAAATGTGGCTTCCCTATAGACAACATATAGTTGGGTCTTATATTTTGATCTACTCTGACAATCTCTGTCTTTTAATTTGTGCACTTAGACCATTGTTCTTCAAAGTCATTATTGATATAGTTGTTTTAATACTATTAAATTTGTTACTATTTTTTTCTATTTCTTGTCCAAGTTCTTTGTTCTCATTTGTGTCCTTCACTCTTTTACTGCCTTGAGTAGTTTTAATTGTACATTTATACGATTCAATTTTCTCTCTTTTCTTAGTACATCAGTTATGCTTTTTTTTTTTATTTTTTTTTTGACAGGGTCTTACTTTGTCACCCGGCTGGAGTGCAGTGGCATAATCACAGCTCACTGCAGTCTTGACCTCTTGGGCTCAAGTAATCTTCTCACTATGGCCTCCTGTGTAGCTAGGACTATATGCATGCACCACCATACCCGGCTAATTTTTGTATTTTTGTAGAGACAGGGTTTCACCATGTTTCCCAGGCTGGTCTCCTGGGCTCAGCAACCTACCCACCTCGGCCTCCCAAAGTGCTGAGATTACAGGTGTGGGCCACCACGCTCAGACAGCTACACTTGTAAAAAGTGTTTGTTTTTTTTTGTTGTTTTGTTTTTTGTTTTTTGTTTTTGTTTTTTTTTGTTTGTTTTTTAGTGGCTACCATAAAGTTTGCAATACGAGTTTGCACTATAGCTTTGTTATGTATTTTGAAATCAAGAAGTGGGATCTCCAGCTTATGTCTTTTTTTCCCCAAGATTGCTTTGGCTATTTTGAATCTTTTGTGGTTCCATGTGAAATTTAGTATTGTTTTGACTATTTCTGTAAAAAAAAAAAAATCATTGGGGTTTTAATGTGGATAACATTGAATGTATAGATCACTATAGGTAGTATGCACATTTTAAAAACACCAAATTCTCCAATCCATGAACTCAGGACATCTTTCCATTTATTTGTGTCTCTTTACATTTCTACCATCAATGCTCTGTAGTTTTCAGTATATGAGTTTTTCATTTCCTTGTTTAAGTTTATTCCTAAGTATTTTACTCTTTTTTGTGCTATTGTAAATGGGATTTTTTTTCTTAATTTTCTTTTTGAATGATTCATTCTTAGTTTATAGAAACACAAGTAATTTTTATATGTTGATTTTATATATTACAACTTTGCTAAATTCATACATTAGTTCTGATAGTTTTAGGGGAAAAACTTCTTGACATTGGTTTTGGCAATGACATTTTGGATATGATAACAAAAGCAGAGGCAACAAAGCTTATGCACAGCAAAGAAATAATCAACAAAATTAAAAAGGTCATCTACGAATGGGAGAAAATGTTTGCAAACCATATATATGATAAAGGGCTAATATCCAAAATATGTAAGAATCTCCTACAACTAAATAGCAAAAACACAAATAACCCAAATAGAAACTGGGCAAAGGGCTTGAATAGACATTTCCCCAAAGACAACATTCAAACAACCACAAGGCATATTAAAAGATGCAAAATCAAAATGAAAAATGAGATATCACTTCACATCTGTTAGGATGGTTTTATTGAGAAAGAGAGAGAGAGAATAAGTGTCCATGAGGGGACAGAGAAATTGGGACTCTTGCACATTGTAGGTGGGAATGTAAAACAGTACAGCTATTATGAAAAACATTATGCAGTTTCCTTAAAATATCAAAAATAAAACTTATCATATGATTTGGTAATCCTACTTCTGGATATACATTCAAAGAATTGAAATGAGAATTTCAGAGATATCTACCTCCCATGTTCATTGCAGAACGATTCACAATAGCCAAGACACAAAAACAACCAACCTAAATGCCCACCAATAGATAAATGGATAAATGAAAATGTTGTATATTTATATAATAGAATATTATGTTGCCTTATAAAAGAAGAAAATCTTGTCATTTGCAACAACATGGGTGAATCTGAAGGACATTATCTTAGGTAAAATTCCCTGCCATGTCACCACCAGACTGTGTTTCTATATTTCTTAAATTTGGGAATTATATTTTTAGATCAAAATAACTTTTTATGAAATCCTACCATTTTTCTTTTGTGATTTGGCACTTTTCAGGTTTTGTGCTATTATATAACTTTCATATCATTTCCAGAGTTATTCTCCAACTAGACTATATACTCCCTAAAGACAAGAAAATTGTCCTATTTTTTCTCATACTATCCAATGAACCAATACCTGCTTTAAACATATTAAACATTTAATAAATATTTAAAATTTTATTTCTGAGTACAAAATAAGTAAACAGATGGCAGAAAGCATACTATGGACATACAAGTTCACCATGTTATATCCTTAAGAGAATTTGTATAATGTGATTTACAAAGTACTAACTGAACTTATTAATTCTAGAATAAGGAGGCCAGAAAATATCACCAACTTGCTCTTCATCATCCTGAGTATATTATTTGATTGAGGCAATGCCATGTTTGGAAATGTCTTAATGCTTTAAGCAATACATTATTAAAGTTAAATGATTTGGCTAAGAAAAAATTGTGATTCATATATTGTCACTTTTTATATCTATGCTTACATTTATTTTTATGAAAAGTTATCATAAGCTTTTATGCGGTACCTTAATTATATTTATTGGTAAGTGTAGGGTAAGTCCTGCTGCAGTAGCAAACAGGCCCAAATCTCAAGTTAATATTTATTTCTCCCTTACGCTAAAATTCCAGAGTCCCTCAGCAAGGACGTTCAGCTCACAATGGGGACTCAGGGATCAAGTCTAATAGAAGAGTAGCTACCTTGAATCCTGATAATCATTGTTCCAGAAAGAACAAAGCATTCTGTGTGTTTTTGCAACAGTAATTCAATGCTTGTTCCAGAAGTGATATCTAACCCTGCTCAGTATATTGACCAGAACTAAACACAAGGCCCTGTGCACACACAAAAAGTCTAATAAGCATAAACCTATATACGAGATACAGTTTGCCAACAACCACATTCTATTACTAATTATATTGAATTCAAACAATGAAGGGACATTAAAAACTTTTCACATACTTTTTTTTTTGCTTATAGATACATAATTTATATTTTACAAACAAACATATATCTCAGTGTGTTACTTACATAAAATCAGTGAACTAGTAGGTATAGAAGATGATGAATAAATCTAGGCTTCTTTGGATTTTCGGTGTACCATGTTGTGTATTGTAAAATTTTGTGTGCAGTTTACGTCAGGTATAAAAGGTTTTATGTTGAAGATGATATTTGAGCAGAAGACTAGGCTTTTTTTTTTTTTTTTTTTTTTTTTTTTTTTTTTTTTTTTTCTGGTGGGTCAACAACCCTATCCAAGAGATAGTTCAATGTAGAAACATCATTTTTGTATGAATCTAACACTAATCACCTGGTATGTTGAGGTCGAGTTTTTGAGCTCTTGCAGTAAGTATTCACTACATTTTTATTTAACTTGTAAAATATGTTCCTTTCATGGTCTTGGCACTTGTAACAACTTTTCTAATTAAGCCAACTCCTAAAAAATAAATAAGGAGATTCCTTGACATTTAAAAACTGATTGCTTTCTTACCCTGGTTGTTAATGTTTCTTGTAACTTGTAGTTGTTGGTTGTTTGCCAATACTAATAAAATGAGCTCCTTGATCACTAAATATTATTATACAGACTTTCTATTATGATGAATTTTCTCATTGCTGCTTTTTTCATGCTTCACTATTTGTTTTCAGATTTTTAGTGATATTTCTATTTGGTGACTGTTGCAGAAAACACCCTTATGGAATGAGACATTAGAAAAGAAAGTGCCTCTGAAACAATTATGCATTCTGAAACTCTCAAACACTTTAAAAAGTTGTTCATAGTATCTCTCATAATTGATTGAGCATATATATGTTCAATATATCATTTTTTCTAAACAGTGTTTCAAACTTTGAAGTATTTATATTTTTTCTATCAGGTGCTATTTGGGCAATAGGAAATTTATTTCCTGACTGAAGCTCTTTCATAGGTTGAACAAACACAGGTCTTCCAACATAATGCCAGGATGTAGACATAATATCAACAGAAAAAAAGAATAATGAACCCACATGTTCTGTCTTCATTTACCAAGTATCCACTTGTCTGAAAGCCTTTAAAGTAATTTGGCATTTTCACCTATATTCATTTGGACTTTCAAGCACTATGAAGACAGCCAGAAATTTTAGTCAAACATTTATTTGCCACAGTTTTCCTCCAGGATATAGACTATTTTTCTTCCGTATGATCAACAGTCTTCAAAACGTGGTCCCAGAGAGTAAAATAAACAAGAGGAAAGTGAGATAAATGAGAGGAAAGCGAAGTACTAGACAATCTTTCACAAGGATCTCAAAATGCTTACAGATTCTACTTTTGCTTTAAGCCTAACCTGGGTCAGTAATCACAGGAAACCAATCCTTTCATATATATTTTCAGGAAAGTGTGTGAAATAAAGTTACCAGTCCTTTCAGTGAGCAAGTATTTCATCCATAAACCTTCTAGCTACTCTGTGGCATGGCTATGTGCATGCTTGTGTGGATGCCCAGACTGGACAAACCTTAGTGAAAGTGAATACAGGCAAGAAGAATGATCATTCTCAGTATGCTGGGTAAGGGAACACCCATTAAACCATGTACTTTTCTATGTATTTAATATACATTAACTCATTTAGTCGACATAACTTTGGGGTGAATGTCACTTTTAAATTCCGCTTTCCATTTGAAGAAATAATCTTGTAATTAAAGTGAACAGTCCAAAGATACATAGAAGGTAAATGTTAGAGGTGTCATTTAAGCCTAACTATGACTCCAGTCTTATGTTCTTTTAAAATATGCTGTATCATAAAACAAGTATGAACACTCACCAGGAGCCTCCTTTGTATGTGTATCTATTTGCTTCTGGAATAGCTGTGTTGGGAGATTTCAGAAGCCCAGTATGGCCTGCATCTTATATGAAAATACTTACCTAAGGGAAAATTTTAGACTTCCTACTACAAAAAGAGGCAACTATTTGTTTACCCCAAGCTTAGGTGAAATTGTATTACCTGAGTCCTAGTCTGTAGGCTTAGTTACAATGACAGCGTCCAATATATGTTTCCAATGACATGCATCTTCTAGATTTCCCTTAATCCTATGTGACTGGAATGAAGTATGTGAGCCCCTGGCAGGCATGAGTCTACAGACTCATGAACCACATGGGGATTCATCACCTAGGGTTGCTGACCTGCTAAAATGCCTCACATTGAACCAATGAGGTACGGCACTGAGAAAACAACTTCAAATGCCTCTGGTATGTCAAGCAACATATTTTAGTAGAGAAGACTCCAGCAAATAAGAGAATGAAGAGTGAGGGTAGATCCCGGTAAAACGAATGGTGGTTGCATTAGCCTTTCTGGAAGCTTCAACAGGGCAGTGGTGAGACTCTTGGTAATGATTAAGTCTTCCAAGTCAATCATTTTGAAGACTAATATGCATTTTATAACAATGGTTATTATATATATTTGTAGAGGAGGAGGTGAGAGAGTTGTAGCAAAATGCATTTTAAATAGCAAAATATGAGGAAAAATTAAAATATTTCCTAATTTTCTAAAAATTAAAACCTTCACATGTACATAAAATCACACAAATATTATGATTAATATTTCTGTGTTCATTGTTAAATTAACCCTCTGGATGGGGAAAAAAAGATAATAAAGGCAAGGAGTAGGTTATAGTTTATAGGTCTGAGGCTTCATGGACATTTGGATGTACTCTGGTATTTTATGAAATAAAAGGGAACTGAAGGTCCATCTCAGGCTCCTGAGCCCCAACACAGAGGCATTTTCCCTTATCTAAAGGGAGAAATGAAACAACCCTTTATGCAAAATCTACAGAATGAGAATTCCAAGAATTTGTGTCCTAACAGCTCAGATGAGAAATAACATAACTTATTTAACGCTCAGAGGGACTTTGATGTGAGTGCAGGTGCTAAGGTTGATTATTTGTTCTTTCCTTTGTCTTAGCCAGAATGGCCAAAGACCTACATTTACAAAGGCTTACATTGGAATGAATTTTCTGCAACAGTAAATGGAACACAGTACTTCAGCTAGGGCATCTCTAATGTTTTCAGTGTGTGTTTATGTGAAATCTAGTAAAGACCCAGAGAAATAAATGTTTTATCCTTCCTGGCAAAGACTATTTTAATAATACAAGTTGGTTTTTCAGATTTGTTGAGAGAATTTCTATTAAGCAAGTGGAAGCACAGTTTAGGGCTAGAGTGTCTCATTTTGGTGAATGTTATTTTTTTTCTTTAGATTTTAATTAAGTTATTTCTTTTGAAATTAAAATAAAGTTATTGAGGACATTTATTCGTTTCCCCTTTTATACCTAGAGTACAGACTTTTTTCTTTTTAAAGAGAAAATGTTTTTATTTCAACCTTATTTTTGAAGGGTGGTTTCACTGAATATAGGATTCTTGGCTGAAAAAAATTCCCTCCTCTGCTTTTATTAATACTTTCTAGAAATATCACATATCTTCTTTAAATTAAGTGAGCAGAAAATTATTGTCCATTATGGACACTTCAGAGGCACTTCTGAAAGTGATAGTACATGCTATTATTTGTCACATTGAAACAGGAAGGGTTCCTTTGTCCCCCTCTCAGGGCCTATGGGATGGGGGCATGGCTCACTTCTTCAGCTCCCCACTGCTCAATCCTCTAGGGGAGCATACAGATGGGCAGGCTGTGGGGCTCCGACCCTATGGCAATGTCTGTGGTAAAAATGAATGTTTTTCATTTCATTTTCATTATGGTAAAAATGAATGTTTACAGCTGAAGCCCCAGTGGGCATGTGTTACAGGGTGCTCTTTTAGTTTCCCACCTATAGGTGGCCTGTGTTAACCAGCTTAATTAGACCCCCCTTCCTTATCACAAGGACAGAGGGATTTCTGTATCCCGGAGTTTCTTGCCTTGCTGTACTGGAAGAATTGGATCACACGTGGGCTTGGGAAATTAGTGCAAGGTTTTATTGAGTAGAAGTAGCTCTCAGCAGATGGGGGAGCCAGAAGGGAAACTGGTTTTCCCCATGACCAGCCGCTTGTGTCTTCTTCCATTGACATGTTCCTCTTGCTGTCCAGCAACTTCTGTCCTTACCTTGCTAGGGTCTTGGGTTTTTATAGGCCCAGGATGGGGGTTGTGGCAGGCCAGGGTGGTCTTTGAAAATGCAACATTTGGGCACAAAGGCAGAAGTGCCTGTCCTCAACTAGGTCTGTGGGGATGGAGCTTTAGCCAGGGACCACACACTCCTCTACTCAGCACTTCCCTTCCCCTCTTCTGTATCATTTAAAGGGACCACTCTCTTCCCTTCCCAGCACTAATGTATCAATATATCTAAATGCATAGCATGCTAATAATTGCACTGGGAGAAGAGACATGAACTAGGACTGTCCAAGTAAACTAAGATGTATGGTTACCTTAGTTTTAAGCAACAGTCAGGTACTGAAGAGAAAGCAATGGTGAATGATTCTAAGGCTTCATTCAATCACAGGCTTGTTCTCATATACAAGTTTATGAAGAAACATGACTAAAAAAACAGATTGTACCAGGAAAGTTTTAAATATACGAGCTGAAATCTGCCATAAAAAAATTAAATAAAAATATTTTATTCCAGTAATTATAGGTATTAGTCTAAGGAAAGTAAGTAGCATATGTATACTAATGCATTTTGTTAATTTCTCCAAGATAATTTCTCAAACACTCAGAAAGAATAAATAATAAAACAGGCTTTCTGAGATAATGAGTATAAGGGAATGCAATAATATTGCCAGTCTCCTGAAAAAAAAATCTTTCACAGTGGGCATTTTAATCAGGATCATTAGGGAGAGTTGGTGCTGAACAATAAATCAGTGTGGGAGAAAAAATATATATGCATATATTTCAGTTTGTAATAGGAGTCTATGGGATTGTCTCTGACTTTGGGCAAGTAACTAAACTTTTTCTGTGCCTCATTTTTCTCATTTATGAAATTGATATAATAATAGTGCCTCCATTATAAGGTTGTGGTGAGGATTAAATTTGATAATATATGTAAAACATGTAAAATAGGGGTAATATATCTAGCAGCATACTGCTTAATGATTGCTTTTATTATGTTCTCAAAAATAGTAAAACGCAGCTGGGCGCAGTGGCTCACGCCTGTAATTCCACCACCTTGGGAGGCCGAGGCAGGTGGATCACCTGAGATTGGGAGCTTGAGACCAGCCTGACCAACATGGTGAAATCCCATCTCTACTAAAAATACAAAATTAGCCGGGCGTGGTGGCACATGCCTGTAATCCCAGCTACTCGGGAGGCTGAGGTAGGAGAATTGCTTGAACCCGGGAGGCAGAGGTTGTGGTGAGCTGAGATCGTGCCATTGCACTCCAGCTTGGGCCATTCCAACTCCATCTCAAAATAATAATAATAATAAAAAAACATTAATTATGTTCCAGTAATTTATCTCTAATTGCAATAACTTTAAGTTTCACCTTTTTTACTTGCCTCATAAAATGAGATATACCAACCATTGAGAAGCCTTGAATATATATTCATGTGTATTATGCTGTAAAGAAAACCATTTGATACTGTACCTAACAGACAGTCATTCTAGCAACAGCTAAGTAGGGAATCCTTGAATAGAGTCCTAGAATATTCATTTACTTGTTTATTTCTATAATTTGACTGTCCATTTGTGCAACAAATAGTTATTGAACATTCACTCTGTGCCAGAGCCTGGGGATACAGGAGGGGATATTCTAAACAAAGTCAATCCTTTCTTATGGCTTCCCTAGTTTCTATAGATTCTAGTATTAAAGGCTGGACAAATAAATAGATTTATCAAAGGCAAGGTAGGTAAGTGCTCTGGAGGCAATGGAAAATAGATTAAGAGCATTAAGTGGGATAAGAAGAGACAGAGGTGGGAGAAAAGCATTGCGGTAGGGTGACATTTCAGCAGAGACTTCAAGGTTGCTAGGGGAAGTCACATGCTGTTATGTGAGAAAGCACTCCAGGTACAGAGAGCAGAGGCCAAAGTCCTCCAGCCTGACATTGGTTGGGGATTCCTGGGACAGCGGGGAAGCCGGATTATCTTAAGCAAGTGAAAGAGGAAGATGGAGGTGGGAAACCATGTCAGACAGGAGGTTAGGTGATGGGCAACTTTGAAGGCCATTGTAAGGACTTGGCTTTCATTCTGAGTAAGATTAAGGATCCATTGGAGAGTTTTGAGCAAAGATTATGTGAATTAGAATACAGAAGTACTTAGATTTTTACTTTTAATATACTTATTAAGAGAAATGGGAAAACAAATTCCTGGGCTCCATGAAATACTCGTCCACTCTATCAGTCAATGGTAGATTCTGTCTTGCAGTTCTCCAGGCCCTCTGAACAGCTATCTAATGTCCTAAAGTATTCATAGAAACAATAAAAGATAAGAGAGTAAGAGAAAAGAAGAAAATAATTTTAAAAATTTAAAAATGTGTTATTATTGTTATTATTGCCTTAGGACAGGTAAAAGAGGTAAGAGATCAAGGAGATAACTCTTGGACAAGTAGATCTCATTACAACTTTTAGTACAGTCACAGATGCTTTACATGATCAACTGAAGCAGACTTAGTGTTGCTTTTAAGGAGGACAGCAGGCACAGTCTTATCAAGTTCTGAATTTCCTCACTTGGTCAAGCAGTTGCTGTGTGACTTTGAAAGAGTTATTAATACATTAGTAATCTGTGTTTGTTTCCTCATCTGTGAAATTCAGTAAATCCATCTTACATGCTGGTTGTGAGGGGTAGTGACCTGGCAAATAGTAATCACAGGCAAGTGTTTGTTGTCATTGATAACAAGATTGGATTTCTAAGAAGATGGTGTTGATTGCAAGATGGTGTTTATCAAGATATCTTGATAAGATAGTTTTTATTGTGAGATGCATTATTAAGTTGAGCTTTGCTTTAAGCATAAGAGACTGCATTAAGTGCACTAATTGACTTTTAAATCTATTTAATTTTCAGAAATGTCAAATATGAATAAAAATATGAAATGAATGGAGGGTTTATGATCAGGGATATTCTATGTTACACATTTACTGCTTTATCATTTAAAATAAGCCCCCAAATTGAAAGTGAGTCAACATTTGACATATCAGTATTTTCCAAGGAATAATTTGTGTAGCCAGTTTTCAAAACTAGAGGCTATAAACTACTCTGATTTTTAAATGATATTGATAAACAAGGAGACATTTCATTTTTTAAATGACTAATGTGATTATCAAAATAAAAGAATAAAAAATATAAGACTTGATTTGACTAATGGGTAAAACATGAATGCCACTAGGTAAGACTATTTCTATCATGACATTACCTTAAATTAGAAATCACTAATTATGTATGCATGTGCCAAAATATAACTACTCTAGCAAGTGATGAATTTGCATATACAATGATTTTAATCAAGGCACTTCTTTGATTGTACAATTATCTGTTTTGCATACACAAAATCTGAATTCTGTACATGTGAGTCCTCATTTGTATATGCACCAAATTATTTTGTTGGTGCAACTTAGAAATCTCTACTTGATATATTAGGGCATTATTTCTCTTCCATTTATAGTAATATGTTTTCAGTTTTTATTAAGTAGTAAAACCAAACTCCCTGGAAAAACATGGGAGGTGGGCCCTGCCTCTAGTCATAATAGAGGGAAATGCCACTGTATTTCTATTCTGTGTTAAGAAAAAGCAAAAAGTTTCTTCTACACACCGTTTGTTCCTTTCTGCCTTCTTATTTGGAATGTATCTCAAAATTTAAAGAAGACTTTGGTTCACAGAGAGAACCCTTGAGTGGTAATCATATTGAGTTCACTCAATTTTCCACATTGTTAGTCTGTAAATGATGAGAGTAGGGTGTTGATCCTTACTACTCTTAAGCAACAGAGAAAATTTAGAGGTGGTGGAAAGTACCAAATTTATAGTCCTAGAGACAAATATTCTCTGTAGAGTTCCTGAAAAAAGAAATAGCCGGAAAAGCAGTGAGGCAAAACTCGTTATTTCATTATGGTCTTGCTGGACAACTGAGACTCCCCTTGGCCCTCAGCGAGAGCAGTGTGCTACATACAGTAATCTGGGCACATTGATGACCGCAGTGTAAAGCTCTTAGTAAGTGGGATGTTTGTTTTGTAGTTAAGTCATCCTGACAGGCCCATTGGGTCATAAACCTGCTTACAATGCAAAGTTATTCACAACCTCAAAATGAGACTTCTGTACATTACAGATAGGTCATTGGTAACAGCAGAAGTCTTAGCTTTTTAATCATTCAAATCAAGATCTTTTCTGCATATTTGGGTTTGGTCTTGAGGATTCAACTGAGATAAAATTGTCTCATATCAGTAGATACAAAATTACCACGGTCCTTCTGTTGTCTACCTGCCTGCAGATGTGTCCTTGCAAGAATGGGATCCTATGTTAGGTCAAGAGTAGAATTCTAGCTTGTAAATTTTCAGTTTTGCTACCTTTGCTGTGACTCTAGGGTAATTTGATAATCAGGCTATAAAGAGATCCTTTCAAAGTCTCTGAATTTTCGAACTTTGAACCTTGCTTTTACGTAACACTGAATTTTCTATAATGCATTTCTTCTTGGCTACATAGATGACCCACTGTTATTGGAATAAGCCCAGGTCAAATTTGTCTATGATGTCTCTTCAACAATATTTTGTAGTCTGTTTTCTTCCAGTCTTCACTTTCAATCTCCTCAGGGAGGGAATATATAGTAATGAAACTATATTACAGTAATTAGAGTCAGCCACATTGAGACAGCCAAGCAAAAAGGGCTTCCTGGAGAACCTCTGACCAACCTGCACACTGGGAGAATGGGGTGGAGCCATGGAAATTCCTGTCATTTGCAGAGGGGAGGAGCCTGGTCTCTTAAGTTCCTGTGTGATGGGGCGGGAGCTGGTTAATCGGCTTCCCTCTTGCTCAGCTGAAAGTTTTTCTCTTTTTCCTTTTTTACCCAATAAATTGTTATTCTCACCCTTCTATGTGTCCACGAACCTAATCTTTCCTGGCCATGTGACAAGAACCTGGTTTTAGCTGAACTGAGAAGAAAGCCCTGCAACAACATCTGGTGTGATAGACTGAACCATGCCTCCAGGTATGCGTATACTTGTCATCTTTCTCATTAACTCTGGGTTTGTTCATATAACTTATTTTGACCAATGGGACATTAGCAAGCTTGATACCAGGAGAGGCACTTGCAATGGGGATTCTCCTTTGCAAAACTCCTTGGAGCTGAGCTGCATGCTATGCGAAAAACCATGCTAGTCTGCTATATGGAAAGGATATATGGACAGCCATTGGAAGGTGACTCACCATATAGAAAGAGGGGCCACATGGAAAAGAACTGAGACCTCCAGTTAATCTCTTAGCTGAATATAGTTGCATGAGATCCCTATTGACACTTATTGGAGTGGAATAACTGCATAGTCAATCCACTCTCAGCATCATGAGGAATAACAAATTTTTATTTTAAGGCACTGAGATTTAGGGTGGTTTCTTCCATAGCAACAGATAATTGATATAGTTGGGTTAAATTCAGCCTCCATTATTTGCTGAGCTATGTGACTTGGTGAGTAGTTTAAGCTTTCTAATCCTCAGATTCTTGAGCTCTAAAATACACTGTTATTTCCACAAGGCTGCGGAATGGATTAAATACTGAATATAAATAATTTAGCACAAGGCCTGAGCTATAGTAAGTGCTTAATAAGTGGTAGTAATTACCATCAATTTCATCATTTCAGTCAACATCACCATTATCACAAATATCATAACTATTAGCACCCATGCCAACACGAACTCCGCAACATTGCCACCAATACTTTCCTGATAGCTAGTGCTTTCATGATGCCCTTAGTGTCTACTGCCACGGAGAAAATCAACCTTTTTCATTAAGACATTTTTAAACCATACATACACACAAAACTTTAATTTTTTAAACCATACATACACACAAAACTTTTATTATCCTAAAATATGATGTAATAAAAATAAGTTATTTACATGTCCCTTTACATCATTTAATCAGATTACTAAACAGGTAAAGAGATTTGACAAAATCATTCAGAAAGCAAATGGAATGGCTATATTTGAATTCTGTGTCTTCGTGTCATTAATGCTGAGACCTTTTAAAAAATTCTGGTTGTTCTAAAAATAAGAGCTTGCATCTCTCACTAGAAGGACATCTCCATAGGGGAAGATATTTTATTGCCTTTAGTGCTCTATTCCTAGTGCCTTAAAAATTGCCTAGTATATAAAAGCTCCTCCAGAAGTGTTTGTTGAATACATGGATCAATTCACAACTGATTGGAAGTTTACAGGACATGTATTGTGTAGCCAGAATATCTGAGTTTGAATCTCAGTTCTAACACTTACCAGTTACGTAAATTTTAGCAATTTAATATTTTTGTGCCCCAGTTTTCTTATATGTAAAGATGATAATAATAGCACATATTATCTAGGATTGTCCTTATAAATATGAAACTCTGAACAGTGCCTGGCAAATAGTCATCACCATGTAGCTCTTGTTATTATCATTATCTTGTTATATTGAGCTCTATTGGTGCATAGAATAGTATATATACATTATTGATTTAAAGAACGGGAATATGTAGCATATTGAAAGAAAGTCAAGAGAGATGGTGTTGTGTGGTCTAAAACAATGGCTTCCAAGCTCCATTTTTGATTAAAATCATCTGGGATGATTATTAAAATCCAGATCCCTGCCCACTCTACTCCTCCTTCCATGCTCTATATTTGTAACAATTGCACCAAAGATCATGTTTGCATAGTCAGCTTTGGAATGCAGTGAAATCAAATGAATTTTAATAATGCATGTTCAGGTACCATATGATTTAATTAGAGAAGCTATTTTGGTACAGGGGTTTTTCCATTGACCTATAAATTCAATCCTGTGGGGAGTTGTGCATTCTACCATGTCTCCACCATGTGCCATTTGGATGTCTCCTCTCTCCTTTCTTCCTTTCCCTTCCTCCCCTCATCCATAGAGAGAAGATGACTACTCCCAGTTGATGCTGACCCTCCCAGGAACATGAAACAAAAAAAAAAAAAAGTATGGGGTCTAATAGGTCCTTGCTACTCAAAGTGTGATCCACAAAGCAGCAACATAAACATCACTTGAGAACTTGTTGAAAATGTAAAATTTCAGGCCCTAATGTAAGGGATTTTCAACTCCATTTCCTGATATAATCACCAGGGAGCTG
This sequence comes from Homo sapiens, assembly GCF_000001405.40. Lineage (NCBI taxonomy): Eukaryota > Metazoa > Chordata > Mammalia > Primates > Hominidae > Homo > Homo sapiens. The sequence goes on from NC_000009.12 coordinate 9,395,353, forward strand.
AAGCATCAAAGTTTAGATGTTAGGCTTCATTTACCTTGAGAGACTCTGAGTTAATTGGTTTGGGTACTACCCAGGTCTAACTAGCCTTTTCGACTTCACAGTTGATTCTGATATGCAACCTGGTTTAAGAAAGGAGAGTTTTAGCAGAAAACTTCAATTGATTTTGAAACTTCTACTTCCATGGCCTTCTTCAAGCACCTACAAGACTCTGGGTTTCAGAATATTCTTCAGATTTCCTTGTACCAGTGGACCAGTGGCAGATTTCCTTGCACCAATTTCCTCTTGACCCCATTATTCATGGTTACTAACCAAACCTGCCAACTTTGGCATCTACCCCCTTTTCTCAGTAATCTTGAGATCTGAACTAGCTGAACAAATAGACTGGAAAGCATTCACAACGTCAGTAGGAATGTGGTACGAAACCAAAAGCATTTTATCACATTTTCAAGCAAAACTCAAGTACTTTCAAGCATAATAATGACGATAACGTCTACTTGTATTATGGTTAGGACTATCTACCCCCACAACCATTGTTGTTGCTTTTTGTAATCGGACTATTGCAAAGTGATATGATTGCCTTTGAATAGATTGCAGTATTAGAATAATATATTTATATTTTTGTAAAATCTTGTATTTTGTTCACTCACAAATTACTTGACTGAAAGAGACTGACTTTCTTCAATCCTTTACAGTTTACCCTGGAATAATTAGGTAATAAGAGGGAAAACAGACATAGAAGCTAGTCAAGACCCAGTTCTTTTTGTATGTGACTCAACAAAACAGCATTTTTGCTGTAAATCTTAAGATAATCTTTGAACACTGAATCAAGAGCACTAAAAGTCAAAACCAAATCAAACGTTTGAAAAATTAATGTCTTGATTGAAGTCCCTTGGGGAGCCGTCAAAGGAACAGAGTTATTTATATACTACCTTACTATTTACAGCATGGTCTTTAAACCAGCAGCTTTGTACCACCTAGGAACTAATAGAAATGCATATTATTGGGCCTTACTTCAGCTCAGATTCTAAATCAGAATCTGCGTTTTGAAAAGATAGCCCACATTATTCATAGACATATTAAGGTTTGAGAAGCACCAATGTAATATACAATAAGGCTTTTAATATTTTTTTCCAACATTTGCTTTTTCTTAAGTCACACCACATACAGCATCCCATACAGTTGATCTATTATTTCTTACCCAAAACCTATGTAAATTTTTTTACGCCTTCAAAATTGTTATCTTCCTGCCAACCAGCTCCCACTCTGGCCATTTCTTATTTTACCAAGCAGTCTAGTCTGAGGGAAGGGGGAGGATGCTATACAAAGACACTCTTTCATAACATTTTCCTTATCGCAATTGAATAAGAACAAAAAATGCAACACTTTCTCTCAATCTGCTCTAAACTGGTAAACTCTCAAGAAGTAAAATGAGTAACAATTTTATGTAGAGTCTTCTTTCTCTAAGTCTGGCAATGTGCAGAGAATCCTTGAAAATACCAGTTTACCAGTACTGTGAAAGCACACAAATATGTTGTGTTTATTCTTCCAAGAGAGACATAAATGGGTAGCAACTTCTCCAGAGATTAACTATATTGTTCCAAGTTATATCCACTCATCTTAGTTTCCAATGAATAATCATAGCAATATAAGGCAATTATGTAAGCTAAGGAATGTAAATTCTTTTTTCTTCTTTCTCTTATGGTATGGATAGTAGAGAAAACAAAAAATAATTTTTGTGTCAGTATCCACTGGGTATTCTGCTATCAATCTAAAAACTATAAAGTATTTCTTGTAACTACTAAAAGAGTAACTAACAACAGGATATTACTTTTCTAGTTGATTGAGAGATTGTTAAAGTTTGAGTAAGTGAAGCATTTGTGAAAATAAACATCTCTGTTGACAAAATCTGGTTGAAAACTAAAGTCTTACTTTTAATTGAAAAGAAGAAACAAAACATCCTAAAATGCCTAATGAACTGCCAGAAGGAAACTCATTCAAAGAATTTTAACCAAAGGTTTTATAGGTAAAATAAAACCTTTAGAATATCAAAAAGAAAAGTATTCCGTGCAGACATAAGATGAGCAAAATAAACTTACCACAGTTGTTCAGTTAATGGACAGGCACCATCATCTGAAACAACAAAAATGTATTTTGATATTGTGATCATAAAAACTACCAAAACCTTTCAAATTGTCTTCAAACACATGTTATGGACATATCTATAGAAGCAAAATAAAATTAAGTAAGCAATGAAGATACGTTATCTGACCTCAATTATTTATTTCAGATGAAAGTGTTTCATCACCACCATTTAAGGAGTAAAAAAGATATTAGTTGTTTATTCAAAAATCTTTTTTATAGGCATACCTGGCATATATATGTATTGCACCAATATTTTCTTCTGATATATATGTTTAAAAGGCAGGCAAAAATACAGAGTCATCTCTTTAATACAATCTTGGTCCTGGCACAAACACAATCTTGAATTACTGGTCCTAATTCTCAGCTCTGACAGTGCCATATACACCACCTTCCTGAGCTCAAAAATTCTCTTTGTTGCCTACCTAAAACAAACTAAAGTGTTTAGCATAGCATTCAGGAGCTTTAGTAGGTTGGTCCTATTCTAACTGTTTATGATTCTTTTCCATAATTCTCCAGTGCATACTCATGCTACCTTTCAAGTTTATCTCCCACTATTTTCCCTTGTACACTAGTCTCGAATCATAAGCCCACCTTCCCTTCCTCCCTCCCTCCCTCCCTGCTTCTCTTTCTCCCTTCCTTCCTTCCATACTTCGGTTTACTTCATTTGCTCTGCCTCAATATTTTTTTCTAGCCATTCCTTATGGCCAGCTCAATTAACATTTCTTCAATAGAGGTTGTCTTGACACCTAGAGAAGAAATTATTCTCTTTCTAGATGTTCCCACCATATTTTATATGTTTATTACAGTATTTATCAGATTCTATTTTGTGTGTTTAGCCCATATTGGTGTTTATGCCTTAACCCTGTTCATTGTTCCCTACCCAGAAGACTTCCTGCTATGCCTCTGAAATAGGAGATGTCCAGAAGATTCTAGTTGAGCTAAAGGAGACAATTTATTTAGTGTATAGATAGCATATGGTGCACATTTTCCATATTTTGTCAATCATTCTTTAAGTGAAAAGTGCAATTTCCATTGCAGTTTCTGGAATAAAACTTGACTGTTAAAGTCATAGTAATATACCCTATGAACAAAACTTCTTAGTTTAACAAAAAAATAAAGAAATTGAGGGTGAAGAATGTCCTTTATTGATAAATGATTTTTAGAAAAATTCTTTAAGACTTTTTCAATCATATGGGAATACATTTTATTTTTATATTTTTTAGATTTAAAAAACATGTTTTTTCCCCCCACAGGGTTAAATTTTGTATAAAAAGTTAGTGTTTTGAGGAACAGTGATAGATTTGCTTTGGCCTATGAACGTGGTCACCCCAGCACCAAGATGGAAGTTACTGGCATCATCTTAGAAAAGAGAACTTATCTTCTTATGGAAAATGAAATAATAACATTGCCTTGTTGCTAATTTTATACTCCTAGCCAACTATGCTAGATCAGACTCTGCCTATATGAAGCATACAGGTGTATTACATACCCACAATGTCTCATACTTCACTATTCTTCAGGGCCCACAACCACTTTAGACTTCAAAATGTTGGCAAACAATTTTGTGTAGTTACTCGTATTAAGGTTTTCTGTGTCTAAAATAATTATAAATCCACTATTCTGCTATTTCATTAAGAACTTTTCTTACTGTTTCATGCAATATATTACATATCAAGAGAAGGTATTACTGAATAATAAAATTTTAAGTAACAGAAGTAAAAACTTTAGCATAAGTATTTAAAATAAAAGCACTGGTTTCTTAATTTGGTAAGAGGGAGGACTTTATTAGGTTCTTTGTACCTAAGCATAGAATGTGATAGTTCAACGTTCAGCTTCTCAGATTTTGTGCTTTTCATTCCAATCCCCTCTGGTTCTCATCATAGGAGGAACATGACCTAACACACAATTACAATTTTTCTCTAAAGTATTTGTGATTTAAAGACACCCCTACAGTAGAATGCTACTCAGTAATTTAAAATGTGCTGGTAAGTCTAGATTATTATTGGACATTTTCCCCTCCAAAGGTCAAAGTTTTCAAAGTGTTCTGATATGGCTTGGCTGTGACCCTACCTAAAATTCATCTTAAATTGTAGCTCTCATAATTCCCACATATTGTGGTAGAGATCCAGTGAGAAGTAATTGAATCATGGGGGGCGGGTCTTTCCCATGTGGTTCTCATGATAGTGAAGAGGTCTCATGAGATCTGATGATTTTATAAAGGGGAGTTCCCCTGCACACGCTCCTTTGCTTGCTACCATGCAAGACATGACTTTGCTCCTCATTCACCTTCCGCCATGATTCTGAAGCCTCCCCAGCCATGTGGAACTGTGAATGAATCAATTAAACATCTTTCCTTTGCTAAATTACCCAGTAAACAGCTTTCCTCTACTAAATTACCCAGTCTTGGGTATGTCCTTTATTAGCAGCATGTGAACAGACTAATACATGTTCTAAATAGAATAATCAGAAATCATGGAAGTACCTTTGGAAATATTAATAAAAGTGAACTGAATTTTTGTTATAATTATTAATACCTATCATCTATATTATTTTGACTTTCTTTAAAAAATAGAGTGTGGACCTAACTTTACCTACTAGTTTTTTTTTTTTTTTTTTGGACTGGCACAGGTAGATGAGTAAATAGAAAAATATGAGTTGTAAGTACCCATTGATTTATTGCTGACTTGCACAATATGTTACCTTCCGTGCCAGAGGTAACATAGTTGGGTAAGGAACAGCAGAGATCTATGGCTTCCTACAAATAATGACTCAATGGCAGTCGTCTATTTTACTCAAATGGTAACCAAAATTTAACTAAGATACTCTCCCCAGAGAGAAATATAAAGCAGGGAATATTTAAATGTCCCCAGTATCTGTTCTGAGGACATTTAAAAGGAGATTTTCTTTCACATGATTGAAAACACCAGATAATAGGACCAATCAAAATCCGTCCTTCTAATACTACAACATATTTTCAATGACGTATAATTGTTAACTGTGGATCTAATTCGCTACCTTTATCTAACCAAAAAAAAAGTTTTTTTTCAGTTCAATTATCTTTTCCATTCATTTCCAACCACATCTCCCCACCCCCTACAGAATTTTGATTAGCTCCTGAGAGTGGCATCTGGAAAATATAGAAATCCTTCCAGTTAAAACAGATAATTACTAAATATATAACTATTGATTGAGAGAAGAAGGAAGATACTGTAAACAATTTTGGAGCTTTTGCTTTGACTCTAGTGATGCTGGTAAGAGTGAGGAAATGGAGTCAAACCAAATCAATTGATTTATGGATAGCATATGCACCTACAGAAAGTTTCTCTTAAAAGAAGTTTCCTGAGAACCTTTCAGATGCAAATTTATTCAAATAACCTTTAGAATTACCCATCCACTTCTCCATATTCGACCATTTAATTCTTATAAAGGGTGTCTATTTTCTATAAAAGAATCCTGGCATTTGAATGCAGGAACAGAATACTAAGTTGGATATTGTCCCAATATTGTGATCATATGATTTGTTGGAAAATACAGTGAAGAAAAAATTAAATATATATTATTACCTTCTCTGTATATCTGTACTAGGCAGGTGGTAGGAATAAACAAGCTATTTCAGTATTGACTTGTAGAACCAATTATAGAAATAATTATAAAAATAAATGCAAATAGGTACCCATTCTGGGCATAGAAAATTATTTTTGCAATGAAATTCTTATGAGTTTCAGTAATATCACTGAAATACATACATGCATACATAATAATCTCTGTCTCTATTACACACACATACACATACGCACACATATATACAGATATATATACACAAGTAATCAGAGAAATCCCCCTCTTTTCTAATTACATCAGATTTCTCTGTCCTTTGGCATTTCCTTTTTCTCATACCAAAACTCCAGTCCTTATTTCTCATATCAGTCAGGACTAAGTCCAGGACTTGGACTGAAGTGGCAAAAGGTGAATGGTAACGGGGAAAGGAACTGAGTATGAAGGGTAATTGGTATGACTGACCTTACTATATATATATTGTTTAAACAGCCTGAGCCAAAAATATAGACCAGCCTTTCTCTGTAAAACAAGAAGTCCAAATGTTATATCTTATTTTTTTTTTTTCCCTGAAATACAAATAACTCTTCCTCCAGTCATTGATACGGTTTTTCTACGTACCCACCGGAATCGCATCTTGAATTGTAGTGCCCATAATCCCCATGTGTCCTGGGAGGGACCCAGTAGGAGGCAATTGAATCATGGGGGTGGTTACCTCTATGCTGCTGTTCTCCTGATAGTGAGTGAGTTCTCACGAGATCTGGTAGTTTATTAAGGGATTTTTCCCTCTTGGCTCGGCAATTCTTTCTGCCTTCATGTGAAGAAGGACATGTTTGCTTCTCCTTCCGCCATTATTGTAAGTTTCCTGAGGCCTCCCAAGCCAAGCAGAACTGTGAGTCAATTAAACCTCTCTCCTTTATAAGTTACCTAGTCTCAGGCAGTTCATTATAACAGTGTGAGAATGGACTAATGCAGTCATAATTGTGAGTTCTTCGTGTTTATTACAGGGCAAACATAAAAATACAAACGAAAGTTGGTTCATTTTTGCCAAAAAGTTGTGTCAGATATTGTAAACCGACAGTAAACGATCTTAATGCAAAACATATTTGAAATACTGGAATAAAATATGACAAATGCTGTAATGCATCCTTGAAAAAAATATAGTACAGAAATGTCCAGTGGCCAAAACTGAAGAAAAAAGTGGAAATGGTTAATATGCAGTCAGTGATATTTGGATGTTCCCTGCAACATTTGTCAATCTTAAAGAAGAGCCTTGGGATCTCTAGGAGAAGTGATAAAAAGTCTCTCCTAAAAATCTGTCACAAATGTTTCAGGTTTGAATTTATACCACCCACAAGGACAAAGAAATCCTAAAGGGAGATTTAACAAAAAATTTCTTCCTGTGTTGTTACCTCATACATTTAATCACCAAATTTCTCTGGAAGGGTACATTCTCAACAGAGGACACTTAGGATTTATAAATATAAAATCCTGTTAAGTACAAGCTCAAATCCATAGTTATAAAACACATGAGGAAATCTTGAGTGAAAGTCAGTACAAGGATCAAGATCAAGATTAGAAATACCAAAACATTGAGATAATGCAATTCCAAACATAGATTATGAAATGAGTATTTAAAATTATTAAAAATAAAAGATGTCTGAGCAAGTATGTGAAAGACATATCAAAAAAAAAGACAATTTTCAGTGGGTACCCATTTTCAGAAAAATGAAATAATTGAAACTGAGTAAATAAACCAATATATTAAACACAACTAAAGGAAGAATTAATGGGCAGGCAGAGCTGAAGAAATTATCCATAATGTTGCTCAGAGAAGCAATGAAAAATAATGTAGTGAGAGGGCATATGGTATGTGAAAATTACGGTGAGATGGTTCAACATTTGTCTAATAGGGAGAAAAAAAAAAAAAAAAAAAAAAACACCAAAAAAAAATGAGGTGCCAGGCGCGGTGTCTCCTGCCTGTAATCCCAGCACTTTGGCAGCCAAAGGCGAGTGGATCACTTGAGGTTAGAAATTCAAGAATAGCCTGGCCAACATGGTAAAACCCCATCTCTACTAAAAATACAAAAAATTAGCTGGGTGTGGTGGCACAAGGCTGTAATCCCAGGTACTTGGGTGGCTGAGGCAGGAGAATTGCTTGCACTCAGGAGGCAGAGGTCTCAGTAAGCTGACATTGTGCCACTATACTCCAGTCTAGGCGACAGAGGAATACTCTGTCTCAAAAAAAAAAAAAAAAAAAAACCAAAACAAAAAACCCAGAACTAATCTTAAAAGAATAATGTACGAATTGTGATATCACATGTATAAGTTGTGATACATTTCTAAATATTGTTATATTTTCTCTCTCTCTTTCTCTCTCTCTCTCCAGGAAGCAAATCATATCCGAAGTAAGATGCACTCCTTAGATTTTGAAAGCACTGCATAATCACTCTCCACACCTCCATGCACTTCTATAAAAAATGACTCTATTTCATTTCTCCCTGTTCTCTTACATTGTAAAAAATATTTTAACCATGTGATAAATCCAGTGAATAAACAGTGGTGTAATATCAAACAAATCAGTAAGTAAATACAGTGGGATAAAATGAGTAAGATAATTTATTAATTTTTTTATTAATTAAACTAAATTTTAAATGTTTGTTTATAAAACGAATATTTTTAACACCTAATATGTTTTGTATTCTATTTTAGGCATTGGGGATATAGTGGTAACCATGTGGACATGTTTCCTACTTACATTATTGTGGCATGGAGAGGCAAGAGAAAGACCATACACAGCTAAACAAATAAAGGAATAAGATAATTTCAGATAATTAGTGAAATGGAGAAAATAAAACATGTAATATAGCTCAAAGGAGGAATATTTAGATTGGATGGGCAGGCCTGAGCAACACAGAACAAGCCAGCCATGCAAGGTAAGAAGACAGAATGTTTATGTAAAGGAACAGTTAGTACACAAGGACTTGTGTACACTTATATTCAAGCAACAGAAAGAAGGCCAATGTGACTAGAATCTAGTAAGCAGAACAGAGTGGTAAAAAATACATTTAGAGAGGTAGGTGGCCAGATTAAGGAGTGCAAGTAGGCCAGTGCCAAGAAATTTGGGTTTATATTCCAAGGGCAATGCAAAGTCATTGGAGGGTTTTAAGAAGTTGAGTGACATTATGGTTTTGTCTTAAACATGCCTCCGGCTACTCTGTAGAAAACTGAAAGCCAAGGAAGGAGCAAAAACTGGGAGATCAGTTTTGAACCTTTCCAGGCAAGAGCTGGTAGTGGTTTATACTAAAGTGTAGCTGGAGATGGAGAAAACTGGAGAGATTGGTATAGATCTGGAATATATTTTGAAGGTGGAACAAGACTTGCCAATGGATTAGAGAGTAATGAGTGAAAAAAAGATATTAAGGATTATTGCTGCTTTGGAATATTAGTAACTAAGTGGATATTAGTGGTATTTACTGAGATGAGCAACACTGGAATAGGAAAAATACACGTTTACTGTATCTGTATCAGCTGTGTTGATTAGCGTCAACACACATTTTAGCCATTTTAAGTGGGACATATATTAGATACATGAGTACAAGTGTCAAGTAGGAAGTTGGATGCGGAAACCTATAGTTCAGTGGAGAGTCTAGGACTAGAGATAAACATTGAGAATCATTATCACAGAGAACATGTATGAAGTCAAGGGAATTGGAGAGTACATAGGTAGCACATTAGAGAGTTTAGGCCAGAGCCCCGAGAAGTCCTGATATTAAGAGTGGGAACTGAAGACATGTTGCAACAAAATTATGTGGCCCTGTGCTAGATGGGATGGTTTAATTCAGTCTTTTCCAAGTCCCTACTTTATGCCACATTCTGTGCTTTCTGCCCCAGTGAACAAAATCAACTGGTTTGTGGTTTAGATTCCCTAAAATCATGTTTATTTCCCCATCATTTCTGGATTCAGGATAACATCCCGGTGGCACCCTAATGATTTGTCAATTTTAACCAGCTCTTTATTATTCCAGACACTAAGCATTTCTTATAGGAAACACTCTCCTTCATTTCCTCCCAATTCCTTTCAAAATCTAAAACTCACAATTTCTTCAGTAGGAATAAATAAAATTATGATATTGATTTTCTCTGCTATGCATTTTGGGAAAAGCAGATACAACAAATTTACAATGTAGTTGCAGCTTAATATTTTTCTCTTTATTTGATCCTATTTTTGCAAGTTATAACTGAACATGGAAAATTGCAATGGCTCCTTGATTAAGGTGATGGATTCTCAGGTTCCTCGAGGGTTACCAATTACCATAGAAGTTGTAGGCAAAGCAACAATGTCCATCTAACTCCGGTAGAAGAAATCAGGTGAAAATAAGGAAAATCATTAGAATCCCTTTAATCCTAAATTAAATAGAACTGTGTAGATAGACATCACTAGAAACACACTTCATGGGAAACATTCTGCTCTGGGGCATGCTTTATAACATTAGCCTGGGTAAATCTACTTCAGTTTCAATTAATAAAATTGTAAATTCAGGACTTGTGCTTTAGCTAAGTTATAGTTCGGGTTTGTGCTCTGTTAGATTATTCTTTTTTAAAGCAAAATAAAGCTGTGAATAAAGCATGCTCTCTAGAAGACATTATTGTGGTTGGTGCAAAATCGAATTTTTATCCTGTACCTTGGGGGAGACAGTTTAACAAAATGTATTTTCCCCCATTATCATCATTGTTTCCATCTAAGAATGTTTTCCAACACTGAAATCATTTTTATGTAGCCTTGGAATGTGTATTGATGTTTGTCCTTTGGCTTTTCTCTTTCTTGAGATAATTTGTAATTTGCTTAAACATTGTAAACACTAGAGCTTTGCATATTTTCTGCATGTTTACTAATCTGTTTGTGCTAAAAAAATTGCAAGTTTGCCATTTAATTTTGCTATTATTTTCCCTGTGCATTAAAAATGTATTATTTGGATAACTTTGGTTTGGAATATGAAGGGCTAATGTTAAAATTTACCTTTGCACTCTATTTAAAGGAATAAAATATACTGAGAAAATTGAATAGCTAAAATAGGATTTTAAGGAGAATGTTTGCATACCTAAGAAGACAAATGTTTTTGAAACACATTAAAATTATCACCTGAAAAGTGCTGTTAAAAAGATGGTAAGGGCCAATCATTGTTTAGGCCATTACTTTGATTTCGGCTTAGGGACTTTCAAAATCTGCCTTCTTTTGTCTCTGTCTTTCACTCTCAATTAGAAGGCTTAGAACATTAAGCTTGAAGTAAACACTAAGCTGAAGTTCTATTCCATGAAGTAAATAAACAGAAAGAATTAAGAAAGTAAGAGATAGAAGAATACTACATGGTTGAAAAATGTGAGCCTTCAAGAAATATTAAGAAAAGCACCCTCCATCTTTTCTACAAACTTCTACCTTTTCACTGAAATCAAGACATCTCACATTTACGATATTTACTCATTTATCCACTGTAGATCAGCCTCTTTCTTTCTTCACAATTTCAAACTGATAAGAGGGAGAATTTTGATATATTTGATATGTTCTTGAGTTTTCAATACCATTCCCAAAAGCAAGAGGATTAAAGCAAGTTTTTGAGAGCAGGGAGCAGGATTGAAAGAGTGATGTGGGATAAGAGAGACTGACAAAGTTGGATGCTTGAGGAAAGAGTCTGTGGGGAAGGAGAATATTAATGAGCAATTTTATAGTGGAGATAAAGAATATGTTTAAGGAACAGTAGGCTTGAAAAAAATATCTAATATGAACTCTTTCTTCTTTCTTTTTTTTTTTGAGATGAATGTGTCTTCCGTAGAAAAGGCATTTTTTTCTGATTCTTGTCTATTATAATGCTGAGCACTGGAGCTCTGGAGCTCAACAGATTAGATTTGAATTAGGAGTTTGCCATTAGCATTGTGAAAATTAGTAAATTACTTACCCTCTCTGAACTTCAGTTTTCTCATAAGTAAATAGGAATAGTAATAGTACTTATTTCATAAAATACTGTTTTTGGATAAATTAGATAGGCTTACCACCACCATTTAAGTTCAATCCCTCATTACCTGATTTATAATACTGTAGATTGGCTTATCGATATCTGAAATTTAAACAAATCACCTAAAAGCATGTCTGTTTTTGGTGTCTGGCTTTTTTGGCTCCATTTCTGAGCATCGACCATGATGACATCATATATGATAATTGTTTACTCATTTTCATTGCTGTGTAGAATTCTAATATATGAATATACAATGGTGAATTCATCCAATTTACTATTGATGACATTTAGGTTGTTTCTACCTAACATGATTATAAATAATGGTTCTATAAACATATTTGTACGTGTTTAATTGTGATACATGTAAAAGTTTGTTGAAAATATAAACAGATAGGGTATCTACATTGAGTATACCAGATTTATCAAAATAAAAGTGGATACCTCTGAATAATAGGATATGAAGAAATTTTTGTCCTATCCTAAATTTTCCACAATCAACACAAAATCTATTTTTTTGAAATTGTTATACCATAGTGATTTAGAATATAGAGTCAAAAAGCCAAATTTCACTTTTAGTGCCACTGTTTATTCCCTCTGTAGTCTTCACGCTGCTAAGACTCAGTTTCTTTACTTGTTCCTCTGTAAAATTTGGAATCAGAGTATCTCCCTCACATGATTTTTGCAAGGAATAAATTATCTAACACACATAAACTCATTTCAGTTCCTTGTACACGCTAATCATTCCATAAAAGCTAGTTGCAATTGTATTACTATATTTATGATAAAAGAACTTTGTTTCCTTTCCTCTCACGTAATTATCTTGTAAAATTTTGGTTAGATATAAGGAAAAATTATAGTGTAGTAATTTTTTTAAAACCCAAATACTTGGAAAGTGGAAGACTTTTAATTTTTATTGACCTTATAAGAACAGGGAGGCAATCTGCCTGTGGGGTAAGTTACCCAGAAGTACAGCTAAACTGGTTAATTTTAAGAGACAGGATTCTGCAAATGCATGAACAGAAGCTATGAAAGTAACATTGGCAGTAGAGAGAAAAAAATACAGGAAATTTACTTTATCAGTATAGTGATTGAATCATTACTGATGCTTCTCACAACTTTGTTTTTGTTTTTCATTGTTTTCTTAAACATTCTGACAGCAAAGGAAATTATTATATGTGCAAATTGGGTATCACTTCTTAAACTTTTGAATCAGCTGGAAACTGCACTCAACTGAACCAGAGAAATCTAAAACAAATAAAATACCATTTATGAGAAAGCATTTAAGAAAATCATAAGCACGACAAGCATTTTTTCCCAACCCATACAGCTCAAATATAAATGATTCTAAAATGTATGTGCCATGTTTACAAATGTGCCCTTATTGAGATTCATACCTGCATTACTTGTTTGTTCAGAGCCCTAAAACATTATAATAAAATTGAAACTCTCACTCTCAATTAGCGGATTCATTTCAATTAAGAAAGGAAAGCAAAAGAATAATTTTCATCAGCTTCCACTTACTTCTTAGTAAATGCTGTGATAAAATATATTTTAAGGAACCCGACATTACATTAAGAGGCATTATATTAAGGAAAGAATAGGGATCTGGGTTATCAGACAGAACATTGTTTGAAAATCAATACTGCCATTTACTAGTTTTAGATTTTGGGCTGTTTTTCTTATCTTTCAAAAATAACAATTGTGAAGATTAAATAAAATAATGAACATAAAACATCCCTCATACTGTCTGGCACAAAGTGCGTTCTCAGTAATCATATTTTCTTTTTCCTGTCATTCTATTTTTTAATTATTTCCTTCTAAGTAATATAAATTTCCCAATATTGGTATTAGTCTGGTGTGTTAGAGACTTTTTATATCATGCAATGTATTGCAAAATATATTAAGGCCTTTTAAAAGATCAGTATTTATCAAGAATATAAGAGACTGAACTTTCTTTCATCAAAACTTAGACACAATTATTGAAGTATAACTTTTCTGAAATGTGTCTTTATTCTAGAATATTCTTATCTGACAAAGATAGATGAGTAATATTCTCATATTATGCTTTCTTATTTTAATATAAAGACAAATATATGTGTGCTGAGCTTATCTCAGTATACTGTTCCTACAATATTTTTATAAAGTCAGGGGTATTCTATGATAATATTTTATGCACCTGCCACTCCTCTTGCATATATAATCTAAAACAATATCCAATAGCAAGCTTTAATATATCTTCATCATTGAATGTATTACATTGGAATTAGGTAATTTTTTATGCATATGAATATTTTATTTTACCTTGAGTTTCTCCAAATCTGGAACTGTTTGCTTGGGCCACTCCTAGTAACATGGTCCAGTAACCTGACATGGAAATCATTTACCACTTCAAATATGCAGTATTAAATTAAATATAATTAAACTAATTCAAGACCAGTAACACAGCTGGTGAGTAAACAGAAGTAAATTCAAAAAACAAATTAAAGGAGACTGCTAGAACTGAGAGCACTTAAAATTTCTACTGAAAAACAAGTCACTAAGATGAGCTCAATATAAAAAGTACAAGCCACAAAAGCAAAGGAACCCACCATAAGGGAGAATCAGTAACTACAATAAGCTGAAAAATTTACTTCCCAAGAAATCGTAGAAAAGCCCAGGACTGGTTACTTTCAAATCCCAGTAGAGTACCATGGGAGCAGCTGATTTTCAAATTTGCTGTATGTCAGTATCTCAATGATTTTAATCCATATATAAACTCATATTTTAGATGAAAAATGTCTAAGGTTTCTAATATTTTTTCGGCATATACAATACAGATAACGATAAGAAACTTTGGTCTAACATTGAATCTAAATATTTTATTTAAAAGCATATGAATAAATGAAATGTGTAATATGTTGGCCTGTCTGACTACCATCTTTTACTACCTGCAAGAAGAAAATATGAAACACATTTTTAATAAATGTTTTATCAAACACATTTGTAAGGTAATATGGCACAATGAAAATTATAGTAAGGTTCACTAAGCAGCCTTATACAAATTCAATAAATGCTAGATGTCTTTAAAGACAGCATCAGTTGCTTAGATAAGTGAAGTAGCCTTCCTGACCAGAGGTTACTGGCACAAATCAATACAATGAAATATGCATTCAGTCCATATGGTATTTCAGTAATGGGTGCTTGAAATTCAGTACACAGCTTTGCTATAAATCACAGACAGAAATTATATTAAAAGAAAGTTCGTTCTGTGATTTGAACTCAGAAATCAATGGAAATGTATACCAAAAATAAAATACTTTTAGACATATACATCAAAAGAAAAATGATTTGTGTCATTGCCATTCATATTTCATCTTTTTGTTTCCTATGTCCAGCTTACATTGGATCCTTTCCATGTCTCCCTTTCCCCACACAGAAATACACAAGCATTCCCCATTGGGAAGAAATCCACACATGTGATCCTTATTAAAAATATAAGAAAAGCAAAAACCAGAGTAGCCAGAACCCGACTATGAATTCCTTGCTAGGAAAAGAGGGGCATGTGGCTTTTGCTGGTGGAGGGAAAAGAGGCTTTGAAACAGGAAGTTTTAGGGATTAGAATTAGAAAAAGACACCATAAAGCAACCATGATGCTGGTTCATTGAAACTGTATTTTAGTTTTGTTATTTATACACACTTACCCTAGGAGTTGAATAATGACAACATTTTACTACTGTATATTAAAACTATTATTGCCACATGTCATGGGCTTCCCAACATGCTTTCCTGCATACACATGTAAACAAGAAACACATGCAGCAGAACTCTGCGACCACGGTTGTGCTACAAACAGAAGCTGCTGTGATAAACTGACTGGGTGATGTTCAGTGACCTAAATTGAGGCTTAGAATAAGTGTGGGCGCGTGCCTGCCTTCATCAAATGAAAAGTAGGCCAAATATACATGTTTGCTTTTTTTTCCCACCACAGCTGCAAAACCTCTTTGTGTGTGTGTATGTGTGTGTGTGTTGGACTAGAAAAATAAATATGCCATTAACCTGAAAAAGAAGTGAACCACAAGGTGGGTTTCCATCAAAATAGACATAAAATAGATTACATATTAAACTCCAGATTGGGACATAGTTTGTGTTCCTATTCAATTCCCAATAATATATTAGAGTTTGCAATAAATAATAAATTCCCTGAGGATACATAGCATTGTGTCTTTTTTTTTTTTTACGATAATTAAGGCAAGGGTGAAAACAAAGACTTTTGTCTCATAAAATTGTGCCTTCTAAGATTACCACCCAAATATAAAATAAATCCTAAGCTAGCAAACTATGTTATTTTCTTCTCAATTGTAAGCATTTTCTGTGGGTTTGTGTGGAAATAGTGCCTATGAAGATCATCATCAATATCCAGAACTGTCTAAACAAAAGCAGCCAAATTACTCTTTTACTCTAAAATATGGTTGGATGTAATACAATGCCACTTACTACTAGGCATCATTGAAATCATTAAACATGAAGTGGAAATAGCCTTTTGCTAACGTTTCCGAAATGAGAGCTAAATTGTTGTATGCTGCGAAGTTGAAAGGAGGTATTTGCTGTCTGACACCTGAAAAAAGGACCTAAACAGGCAACTTCCATTACCACCAGAGGCAAATGGCGAGAATGCCTGCCTGTTAACTGAGAGCATTTCTCTTAATGTTTTAAATTAACCAAAGAATTCACAACACAGAGAATTTCAGCACTATGCACACACAAAAAAGATCCCTAGGGAATAAATGTGTGTTTTTGAAAAGATTTTCTGTGTAGGGAAATGAAATACTAAATGCATAGTGACCCTATGACCCTGCAAGCAAGAGGGACCTGTGGAATCACTTAGACCAACCCTGTCATTTTACAAGTGAAGAAACTGAGGCCAGGAAAAGGTCAGTGAAGGATGCCAGGGCCACATAGTGAATCCATGTCTTATGACCACATTCACGGGATCTTTCTGCTATGCCTAGATGTCTGAGCCAGCAGAGTAGAAAAAAGCGATTATACAGCCAAATTTTATGTAAAACTCAATTTTATCCCAAATCATATATAGCACTTTTTTTCTTTTCTTTTCTTTTTTTGGCCAGAATTACCTAGAGTCAGTTTCTGTTTTACAAACAGACAAATGACCCACTTTTATATTTTAATAATTATGCCTTATTTCAAATGATAATAAATTCGCTTTTTGTAAATTTGGTATTTGTGGCAAGTGACAAGTGTAATATGATACCACACTGCATCTCAAACACCCATGCCTACTGAAATTGTTGCCTAATTTTCTATGTATGTAGCTTCCTGTCACTTGACTTTACATTGCCAGCACTGCAGCCACTGTGGTTGCCTTCCCAGCATGCAGCCCATACAGGTCTGGGCACAGATAGAGACTCTCATCCCCCAAGGCCATTATAATCTCAGTCTGTTCTCTTCTTTAGTAATCTCCCTTTCACATTTCCTACAGTTACTTTCCCAGCCTCAGGCCACTCTCCTCAAGGCCCTCATCTCATCCCAGTCACTACGCGAAGGGGTTTAGACTCTCACTCCACCAACTCCAACTTTCATCCCAAATTTGTCTTCATACACACCTCTCTTCGCTCTATTAAATATATTTTTACTTGTATTTGTTTTTCTCAGAGTACCTTATGGAATTCTCTGTTCTCATGCGCCATCCCCCAAAAGAGTAGCTCTCTTTTGGCACAAAATTTCACATTTTTGATAAGACAGTCTAATAAATTATGGGCTCTGGTGAACCAATATGTTAGCAATTTCTGGGGCACTTTTTGTACTCTCTCAAGAACTTCTGAACACAGTGTCTTAAAACAGATGAATAAATCTCACTAAGGATATTTCAGAGGAAAGATCAATGGAGGGATATAGTTTTGGCAGTGGAACTTAGCAGTCCACCTCATATTATACCACAATGCATCAGATACTCCATCTTGATGTAGGGTTGTTATTCCATGCAGCTATTTGTGATGAGGACAGTCATTTTGGGCAAACAAGTTATAAAATATCTTGCAGCTTCTTTTTTTTTTTTTTTTTTTTTTTTTGAGACGGAGTCTCGCTCTGTCGCCCAGGCCGGACTGCGGACTGCAGTGGCGCAATCTCGGCTCACTGCAAGCTCCGCTTCCCGGGTTCACGCCATTCTCCTGCCTCAGCCTCCCGAGTAGCTGGGACTACAGGTGCCCGCCACCGCGCCCGGCTAATTTTTTGTATTTTTAGTAGAGACGGGGTTTCACCTTGTTAGCCAGGATGGTCTCGATCTCCTGACCTCATGATCCACCCGCCTCGGCCTCCCAAAGTGCTGGGATTACAGGCGTGAGCCACCGCGCCCGGCCTGCAGCTTCTTATTTTAAATCATGTTTCTACATTTAACTGGTTAGTAATAAGCAAGAAATGATTTGCACAAATACAATTAAATGGAACCTTATAATGGACTATGCTGTCAGAATTTTATTATTAAAGGCTTATTCATCATTATCCAAAAAAACAAAGAAAACCAAACTAGAAATTATATAAACTCTCTGTTTTGAAAAAGTCTATGAGCCCATATCACCTATTTGTTTATCAGCTGAACATTGGTGGCAATCTTGGTTCTGTCCTTTTTAAACTTTATGAACTTGGTCAATACATAAAGTTTCTTTAAGCTCTGATTTCCTTACTTGTAAAGCACAGGAGAGGGATATCTGTCTCTGAGGATTGTTAAGATAAAATTAGATAACATTTTTAAAGTAGTAATCACACTGTCTGCCACATGACAGTCACTTAATAAATGACAGGTGGTATTATATTTCACAGTGAGTTTGCCCTTTACATGTAATACATAATTACTGATACCAGTCCAATTTTGGACTTTAGGGAATGAATCCACATTTATAAAACTGAGAGAATTTTCAGGGAAAGAGTAGAATTTTCCCTTGCAACACCTTTTTTCTTTTTCCTTTAGAAATGAGTATTGCATAGCTCTATTGAGAATTCACCTCCTATTATTTAAAACAACGTTTGATTGGGTTCAAACTCTCTCCTGACATCTTCTCAAAGGACAATCCAAACTCTTCAATTATCTTTTTCACATACATCTCAAAAGGTATTCTGAGTGCCTGAAAGGCAATAATTCTTTTCCCTTAAAGTTTTGAATTCCATCTGATGAAGATATTACACTTAGTGGAATAGTACCATGTCACAGAAACAATAGCTTAAATTAACCTCTCACTGTGTTCAGTCAGGTTCTTTCTTTTCCTTCATAAAAGTTGATTCAATGCTTTTGAAAGAGGCAAGATTGGCAAGGATGGAGAATTAAGGTCTTTGCATCAAAAAATAGGTACTGAGTAGAATGAGTAGCAATATCCTTAAAATTATTGGCTACAGAATATCAAATACATTTAGGGAAGGACGGCCTTAAGGAGGTGGTGGTAATTGAGTCTTCCTGGTACGTTTAGTCCAGGGATATATCCTAGGGATAATAATCAGCTCTATTCAACATGGTGAGTGTTGGTTTTTAATTAAAAACAAACAAACCAACCCATCTTCATCATCTCTTAGATACACTGTGTTGCAAGATTAGAACCATCATATCAAATTACATGGAAGAAAGTTTTGACAGGACAATTTACCCTCAAGAATTTCAGAATGTGAGACTCAAACCTAAAATAATTCTTTAATCAACAAATACTTACCAGGTAGCTATCATCTCCCAATCTTTTATTTCCCATGAGGCACTGAGAATAAGACAGGCATGCTCCCTTTTTCTATGGAGTTGAATGGAAAGAGGGAGAGACATGAAAGAAATAGAAACACATAAAATTTAAAAGATAATTACCTGCTGGCCAACATTATGGGCATATGACGTATGTGATCACACAGGGCTCTGACTTTAGAAGGGCCACACACTTGGCTTAATGCTTTACTTTTGCCTTCCTGAAACTCTTTATAACTTTTAACGAGAGGACTGCATTTTCATTGCATTTTGAACTGGACCTAATTACGTACTTGTTTATTAAGTATTGTGTAATTATGTAGTCAGTCTTGCTCAGATAGCAATAACTGCTATGCAGGAAGTAAAACACAGAAATGAGATAGAGAAAAACAGGGGTTATGAGTCACAGAGTTCCTTCAGATGGCATAAAAAAGACCTCTCTTCCTGTAATCCCAGCACTTTGGGAGACGAAGGCGGGCAGATCTCGAGGCTAGGAGTTTGAGAGCAGACTGGCTAACAAGGCAAAACTCCATCTCTACTGAAAATACAAAAATTAGCCAGGTGTGGTGGCATGTGTCTGTAATCCCAGCTACTTGGGAGGCTGAGGCACAAGAATTACCTGACCCCTAGAAACAGAGGTTTCAGTGAGCCAAGAATGCGCCACTGCACTCCAGCCTGGATGACAGAGCAAGACCCTGTCTCAAAAATAAAATAGATAAATAAAATAAAAAAATTTTAAAAAACCCTCTCTAATGAGATTTATGAGCCAAGAATTAAAATGTTTGCTAAATTAGTGGATCTCACTTCATTCCCTTATAAGCAACTGAATATAAATTCAACAGACACTGATTTAATACCTAACCTGTACAAAAAGCCATAAGATTACCCTTTAGGGATTAGTAATAGGACAAAATTTTTGACCCAGTAAATTTAAGGTGAAAAAAAGTACTCAAGTAGTTCTCAATCTGTTCTTTAATAGAGACACTGAGAGATATGAGTATTTCAGTAGTGGAAGTGAAAGATACAAGTGTTTAGAAGAGCAAGAAAAGCCTTTAAAAGCAGGAAAGATTGATTTCATTGTCCCGGTTAGTCGGGTAGGACGGGGTAGCAAGCACTTCTTTTCCAGGGAGGACAGAGCATCATTGAAGTCCCAGAAGGAAAAAAAGCAGAGTGCTTTTGAGTAACAGTGAGTAATGTCTAAGTTTATTTACAGGATAGGATAGATGTAGGAAATGTTTTTAAAAAACAAACAACTGGGTGCATTCTCGTCTCCTGCTTTTCTCTTCTCACCTTTACCTAATAAATTGCCAAGTCCAGTTGATTCTGTCTTCTAAATATCTCTTGAGGGCATTGCTTCTGTCCTACTTCCAGCTTCCATCCTCTCATTTCTAGATGGCTGAATCAACTTCCCAACTCATCTGTCTTCAATTAGGCCTCTTCCCCAGATCGGTTCTCTTGTCTGAAATTAGAGAACTCATTCTAAAATGAAAATCTGATCGTCTCATGGTTGGGTTTGAAATCTTTCCATGCAGTGTTATGAGTGGGTAAGTCTTGATTTTGAAATAAGACAGAATGTGATTTGAGTCCCAGCTCTCCCACTTAATAGCTGTGCTCTTTAATGAGCCTCATGTCCTCTCTGATCCTTGGTTTCCTCATGGGGAGTTTATGATAATTAAATAATGTATATAAATTGATAACACTGCCTTGTGAACAGAGCGTGCTCGGTGAATGTTATTGCTGTCAGAACACGTCCAATTCCTTTGTGTGGCTTTTAAGGCTCTAACTTAGTTGGTTTCTGGTTTCCTCTCTAATGTTATTCCTTGCCTTATTCTCCACTTCCACAATATGCTCAAGGACGTGCTCTCCCTTTTCCTCAGGACTTTAACATGCTCTGCTTTCTCCTAAGAATATCTGTCTTCCATGACTTATTTGTACTATTCATTCAATCTATTGTTGTTCTACCCATTTGATAGGCAGGAATACTCAGACACTACTTGGCCCGATGACTTTTTCAAAGTCACATGGTGACTAGCAGAATAAAGCCATAAACCAGCTTCTGTTGGTTCAAATCCTGTTCTCATTTCCTGTAAGACCTATTATTTCACAATTTTCAGATGTTCACTGGGAAAATATTTGTTTTTTTCCCTCAATACAAGTACTTTCACAATATAAATTGTGTCTGCTGCACTCATAGTTAATCTGGGTTTCTACTAACAGCTTATGTATACCAAGTAAGATCAGTGAACAAAATAAACCAATGAACAAAAACCTGGATATACTGCTTCCCCTTCCAAGCATAATCTTCAATTTCGGGGTTAATGAAGCTGTTATCCCATTCTTTGGCGGACACATAAGGCAGCCATTTTTAAGTTTCACTTGCTTCAGCTATAAAATTGGTGCTACAGAAGCAGACTGTTATTTTTAAGGCATTTAGGGAAAGCTGTCACAGATACAAATTTAAATGGAATGTTAATCTGCTTGGTAAAATTAGAGTTTTAATCTTAAAGTCTGAGGTAAAATAAATTCAGATTGATATAGATTCATTCCACAAACATCAATAATTTTCCATTATGTTAAAATCAATTCTAATTTTACATGCAAACAACAGATTCAAGTAAAAACCTTAGAGGTTTGTGTTCTATCACAAGCATACTTATTTTGGGTCTGTGCAAATCCAAAAACATTTGGAACAGCTGCATGTTCTCCTTGCTAAGGAGGGGACAATTTTGCTTTGATGCCTCCAATTCTAAAAAACTCCAGTTCATTCTTTCTAATTAGCCATCATATTTAGTTTGAACTCAGGGTCTTAAAAAAATTGAAAGAAACCTGAGGGAAGTTGAGTTAAAAAATTATAGTCACAACAAAACTTGATTAAAAGCACATAAAATTATCTGGAAGTAGCAGTATTTGTAGTGACATGGGAAATGCTAGTCTATTTTTTTAAAATTGCATTTAGAAAGTCATTTAACCTCTTCAAAACTCAAGTTTTGTCATCTATAAAATGAGATCAACTTGCCAATTTTTAAGACTTTGTGTCAGGATTAAATAAAATATTGTGAAAGCACTTTGAACATACCTATGCTAATCAAATATAATGTGAAATCATTTCATTTCATACTGGAAAAGGCAAATAAATCCTTCATTTCTCTTTTCTGTTGATAAAATATCCAATTAGATCCTGTTTCCAATTGTCATCTGATTTTGGTTTCACCTGAAAAGTTTTCGCTACTCTCCACTCAAATTCTCTAAAAATTCGTTTTCTCTATGAAATGTTCTGAGTCCTACAGCTTTTGTTTATCCTTTCTCATCTGTGTAAGAGCATCTTTTCAACTTCAATCCACATACATAAGACTTGCATGGCATCTCATTTTCAGATCCTTTAGAACAGAACAACTTTCACATTGCCTCTGGGTGCCTGGCAAAGTGTTAAGCATGAAGGAAATGCTCAATGATGTATTTCTGAATGGATCCATTCACTTCTTGAGAAGGCCAACTGGGTTTTCTGCTTAGGCATCCTGATGGTTATTCATAGTTTCTTATGTCTAAAATGAATCTAGCCCAGAGTTAGCCATGTGGAGATTAGTACTAGAGAAAACCGACATAACTCACTGGTCATGTTAGGATTTAAATATCTCTTGCACCTTATATTAATGACAATAAGAGCTCTTATTTGAAGATTAATCTTCAGTGAGAGACATTCATTAACATGGGGACTGGCAGTAGACTGACTTATCCAACATTTTCTAGTTATTAGCCTTGCAACTTTTGAAAGCGACCTAGCTATTTCGTATCTCAATTTTCTTATCTGTAAAATGGCCATGCTATTACCTGCCTCAGCAAGATGTTGTGAAGTTTAAATGAGATAGCATACATACTATTGGCTACAAGTGTTCTTAATGTCTACATCATAAGATACCTGAGCAACTCATTCATTTATCCATTTACTGTCTATACAAATATGGATTAGACATAGTCTTTGCTCTTGAGCATTGAAAGTGAGATCAGGCCTAAAATTTGATCAGTAGCAATATCACTATATTTGAACCAGACTGGTTTAAGAGTACAAGAGAAGAAATGATTAATTTTGCATGGAACTTCAAAAGGATATGTGCTAGAAAGAAAGGTTATTTGAATTGGGCTTTTAGTTGATAAGCAAGTTTGTTTTAATAAGCAGAAAGAGTGTAGTGGAGAAGGAAACGACTTTCTAGATAAGCAATAAATGATCATCAGGGCTTAATTTTGCAGAATATTTTGTGCAAAAATTGAATGAGAACACACATATGAAGATGCTACAAGAGTATTCTATTGTACAACTGGGTAAGCTTAGTTTTATGAATTCTAAAGATAGGCCCCTTATACACACACACACACACACACACACACACACACACACAAGCATGATATATATATATAAAGCTAAATATAGTCTGTATCATTTATCTGTAACATAATGACATATACCTGGAAAATGAAGACAGTCTCATTGTAAGAAAGAATAATATATTCAGATAATTAAAAATTCTATCAGATTTAATCAAGCTATTTCTAAACAACAAAATAGGAGTAGCTGGTTTTAAAATAGCTTATGATTTATTTGTCTAGTCATATTTAATAGAAATACTGTAGGGTTATATTAATGACTCTTCAACAGTTTTATTTTAGTTACTTGATAAGTGAAAGTAATATTATCTCTTTCAGAAATAATTAACAATGTAAAATCAGGTCCATGATGTTGGGAAGGTTTGGGAAACCTATAATTCTGCTTAGAAGTAAACAGTTTAAGAAAAGCCCCAATATGTATATTGTTTATAAACTTTAACAGAAGCAGTATATCATCCTTTCTTTGTTCATGTTTTTGATATTATAAGAAATATAAAACCCAGTTTATTAGTTACTGGAATTTGTCAAGGACTTTTCATGGCTGGACCTACATTAACACAGATGGCAAAATTACAATTTGCCTTCATTATTGTGTTCATTAACAGCAAGAAATTCATTATAAAGATGACTGCAAGGAAAACAAAATGTAATTATTAGACTTTTGTATGTAAACATATTAAACACTTAATATCATATGCATTTAAGAAAAATATTTTATAGATATATAAAGCATTTTGCTTTATTTATCAACAACTGAACAAAGTATAACATCAAAATACTTTTAATTATCTTTGATCCAGCACCGACGTAAGACTTTCATATGTAATATCTAAATTTTGATGGTAAGGAAAGGTAGTTACTCCCAGGTTACAGAAAAAATATATATATTTTTAAAATTCTGTAACCAAGTTAAACTGATCTTTTAAAATGCACATAGTGTAATGACTACCAGACACTATAATATTTATAAAATTTCTCCTTGTTAAAGTTTACCCAAAATTATCAACAGATTAATCACTATAAAGCTTAATATTTTAGAAAATAACTATAATTTTAATTGACACAAACAAAATATCAACTAATATTCTGTAGTGGATCTGAAGTGTAAACTATTTTAGTTTTCACAAGATTAGCTTTATCTAATGAACAGCAAATATTTAGTAAACTTTTAAAATATAAAGCATATTTCTTCATTGCTGAAAATAGGTAGTAAAGGATTTCTATGTGTGTTCAACTAGCTGTTACTGCCTCCCCTATTGTTTATCATGATAGGTTCTAGCACATATTGGTGATAGTTCTTAAAGTAGTACTTCTATACTACTGCCATTATATTTTAAAATACCTACACTGTAATCGGGGAATACAAATCAAAATTTTACAAATGTGAATAACTTTGGGTCTAACAATTTGGTTTGAAAACAGTTCAGATAGTTATACAAATATGTGTGTGCACTGAATGTTTAATGCAAGCTTCTTTGTATTAGTGAAAGTTGGAAACAACAAATATCCATTGATGACACTGAGCAAATAAAGTACTCACCTCTGCATGTATATGACGACGTACAACATAACCACCAAAATAATTATGTAGCTCAATATTTATGACATGGAAAGATGCCCATGATCGATTAAATTATTAAAAAACAGTATATCAAGTCACCAAATAGCAGTGATTTCACTTATGTATCTATATATTTGTAAAGAAAAAATATCTTTTCATAAATGCAGATAATTTGTTAAAATATTTGACCAGTCCTTAACAGTGGTCTTTTTTCTCAGTGGTATAATTTTTGTGATATCTCTTCAATATTTTATGCCTTCATAAGGCTGCCATTTGGTTGTGCATGCCTTGTCCATAATAGAAAAATACACAGCTTCTGCAAACACTTTACTTCCATCTATCAGAAAACTGACAAGTTTAATGGTCAATTACATATTTGTAAATATACAATTTATGAGGTCTAACAGTTGATGATGCTACTTAGAGTTGTCCCATCCATAACCTCGAGAGCCATAAACAATGGCCCTGCCTTTATATATTGCCTTTAACAAACACTAAATATTATTTCTAAAATAAAAACACTTTAATTCTAAAAAGTCCCTAAGTAGCAAGTAATAGTACTGTCTTTGTGAAAAAAAAAAAATTATACCAGTGTTACATACAATATAAACAGGAAATATGCACGTCAAAATAATAAAAAAATTAAATATATAATTCCAAATTATTTCTCTCTCCCTATTTCTTAGGAATCACGAGAAAGACTAAGACTGACTAAACCATAAAATATTTCTGAAAACGAGTTGTTAAGATTTGAATTGCTTGAAATGTCTTTGTGTGCCTCACCTGTGGTACTGCCAATTTCAAATACAACAAAAGTGTTTTCTTATTCTTTGTTCTGGGCAGAAGATAATCTGAACTTAGAAATACACCCCATGCCTCTGGCTTAGCAATACACCACTTGGGATTTAATGTTCTATTTTAATAGAGGTTTGTCACATCATTTTATAATGAACACTGAACTGGCCAAAGGTGAAAATGATACTAACCAAAAGAAAATATTCATGCAATACAGTCAGCTGTACCCTTATTGAAAAGCTCGTTTGGTATTGTAGCTAATAGGATTTGACACTGGCGTCTCAGCAGTCCTGGCACATTCTTGGCACATGGTGTGCACTCAATAATTCTTTCTTCTCCCTGATGATGAAATGATGCTCAGAGATAGTATATTGATGGGAAATGAAAGTCTGATCCAGATTGATGGAAAAGAATGGAGAATAAAAAACAAACAAACAAACAACAATAACACAAACAAAAACTGTAAGTGACACCAGTATTGAAAAAAAAAACAAAAAAACAGTAAAGAATGTGAAGGAGTAATGAAAGCTTTTGACATCTATGGACAGGTATTTAAGTCACATATTTGAGAATATCTGTAAACATGTTTTGAGTGTGTACTGTGTGATTGGTACTACACTAAGAGCTTTGTATGCATCGCTTTGTTCACTATTCACAAATATGTGAGATAAGTACAATTATTATCTTTATTTTAAAGATGAGAAAGCTGAGACACGAAGGGCACAAAGAGGTTAAGTAGCTTGCTCCAGGTCACACAGCTAAGGTCCCAGTTCTGTACGATTTAATTCTTGGTTCTTAGCCATTATACTATCATAAAGAAGGGGGTGTGAAGTGAAAATCAAAATATGAGTTGCATTATTTTCATTTCTAGCTATGATGGAGTAGCTTGTAGTAGACCAATCACCTGCTTAGAGCTACTAGAAAATCTTTATTAAAATACACACAGACAAAGAAGCATTTTTTTAAAGCACTGGAGAGCTTTGAGCTTGCTAGGATGTTAGGACAAAGATCCCGGAAGGACGGTAAATTCATTGGACGTAAGACATACATAAATACTGTCCATTTTTCTCCTTGGGACATGAGCTATTTTCTTAAGCAGTTACCAGGTAGAGACAGTGATGTCAGATAGACGCTGCCACCAACAGAAGCTGGTAGAGCTTTCTGCACTGTCAAATAGCTAGGGAGACAAAAAGTTAGGGTGTATATCTATTAAGATAGCTACGAATTGAGGGATTGAGATCCTGACGAGAGAAGAGAGGAACCCAGGAGTTAGCCCAGCTCTTTGAGATAGTTTTCCTTGAGACCTTTGCAGTTCTTAAGCCTTACAAGGTAAAAGGCTATGAACCTAAACAAACAAGGAGCTGAAAAGCTGACTGGAGCTGCTGGCACCTTTAAGTTGTTACAGACACAAAAATTAGATTTGAGAGCCCATAAGGAAGGAGAGTCCCTGATAAACATGTCAGGCCCTTAGTTGGGTCCCTCTTGGCGTATAACACAAAGTTTGGGGAAACCAGAACAAAGCTGAGTCTAGACTTTGAAAATTCTAAACCTCATCCTCTTCCTCATGAAGTTCTTGTTTGGAGGGATATATTCTGATTCTACTCCATCTGCCTGCTAGAAGATAGAGTGAATCTTCTCTGTAGCTTCTACAGTTTTTCACACAATGTCCAGTATATGAAATGAAGGTTTGTGTCCTCCTCGAAATGAAGCCTTAACCCCCAACATGATGGTATTTGGAGATGGGGCTTTGGAAGTTAATTAGGTTTAGATGAGGTTAGTATCCTTATAATCACAGAATAAGAGACCAGGGTTCTCTTTCTCTCCACTACACAAGTACAGAGCAAAAAGGCAGCCTTCTGCAATCCAAGAAGGGACCTGTCACCAGGAAACTGAATCAGCCAGCCTCTTGATCTTGGACTTCTCAGCCTCAAGGATTTGAGGAATAAATTCCTGTTGTTAAAGCTACCCAGTTAATGATATTTTGTATGACAACCTAGGGTAGAGAATTAAATGCAATATCACCAGGCATACAAAAAATGCCGTGAGAATAAGAGACAACAGAAACATACTCATAAGTGATACAAATATTAGAATTTCCAGATACGCACTGAAAGTAAATGTGTTAAAATAGTCAGGATGGCAACAGAGATAACTGCATCAGAGAAATGGAATCTATGAAAAATAATCAAACAAAAATTCTAAAATGCAAAAAACTGCAGTAACTATAATTAAGAACCCAATGAATAAGTTAAATTCCATATTAGACAGAATTGAAGAGGGAATTGGTGATTTGAAACATAAAGCAGTACAAAATATTCTAGTTGATATACAGAGAAGAAAAGAATAAATAATGCAGAAAAAAATACAAAACTTACGAGAAACAATGAAAAGGTCTAACATACTTTTAGCTGGAATCCTAGCAGAGTGGATTCTATAATGCACCACTCCAAGATTAAGGCAGTCATTCTCCCAAGTGCTGGAAGTATTGGCAACTCAAGCCCCTTGGCCAAATCCTACTCTAGGAATTTTCCTTAGCCAAAGATATATATTTTGCTCAAGGCTGCATTCCATCTTGGAAGGCTGTTGACATCCAGTGACTAGTTGATGCAATGACATGAAGATCTGGACCACTTGAAGGGACATCCTAGCTCCAGAGCTGCCCGTGGAATGGCTGAAAAATTTGTTGCCACTTCATCACAGTTTTACTTCTCTCTCTGCCCATTCAGACTTCTTTACTCCTTATATAAATGCTAATGCTGAGGGCACTCCCCAAATTCTTATCTCAGAGTCTATTTCCTGGGAAACTAAGACAGTTGGTGCTGGTAATGTTCGAAAGAAGCAAACACTAAAATGGGATTTTGGAATCTGTCAACCTACCAGCTGGCTGGCAACGGTCACTGGTTGAAGGTGAAGTGCTGAATAGCCCACGGCATTGTGTAGAAATTCCATAGTTCACTGGGGTGAAGTGGGGTGGGATGACATGTAGAAGAAAATGCTGTTGCTTGTACAATCTCTCAGGTTTTTGAGAATTTAGGGATACTACTAATTACAAAGATAATAGAATCAGAAGGCTTCTGATAAATGCCAATTATGCAATGGAGAAAAACGGTGAAAGGCTAAGGGTGACTAACTAAAATCAAAATTAATTAAAAACAAAAGAGGCTTTCTTTCACAGCACATAAAGAAATATAATTGTCTATCTAGCCTGAAGAATCTACTGACAACTGTTAGAATTAATAAATTTAGGAAGGTCACTAGATACAAAGTCAATATTTTAAAATTGCACTTCTACAGACCAGCAAAAATAAATCATTTAGAAAACGACAATTTAATATATGCATATATACTATGATGGATTGGCTGCAAAGAAGGTCACCAACAATTTCTTCATCCTGTATACCTATATCAATGCACCAATCAAGAATTAGGTTATTTTTACCTACTACTTAAAGCTGGACTGGGTCTGTGACTTGCTTTGACCGGTAGATTTCAGCAGAAGTGTTATTATATCAGTTCTTAGTTTAAGCTTACCAAGGTCTTGCACTGCTGTATTCATTTTTGAAAGTAAGCTACCAAACATAGAACTTGGGCTAGACTGTCTAATCATGACAGACCATATGAAGAGAGTAAGAGGCCATATGGAGGAAAATCAATGCATCCCAGACAATAGCCAGTACATCCATTTTATTGTGGTGATGCTTGGCTCCCAGAAGAACCATGGCAGCTGTCATCAGGAGAGACATACCAAATATGCTGAGCCTGGCCCAGTTCCATGACGTTCAGAATCATGAGCAATAAACCTAACAAACTTTGATGATGGTGTGTAGTGCAGCAATATTACATGTGCATATATATAAAATATATATTATAATATCTTATACATTATATAATTTATAATATAAAATATATAATATTATAATATCTTATACATTATATAATTTATAATATAAAATATATAATTATATATATATGTTTGGTGCAAAAGTAATTGTGGGTTTTGCCATAAAAGTAATGGCAAAAATCACAATTACTTTTGCAGCCTCCTAACATATACATCAGAATAGACAGTTCACAGGCTGACACAATGTGGAAAGCAGCGTAAGATCACAGGTACAGAGAAAAGAGTAAACCATGCCATGAACTTACATTACTAAATTTTATACTTGAAATTACATTTAACAATGATGCAGATATAGTTTTGAGCAAAGGTAGCTTCTTGAGATATTTCTGCATACAGATTCAATTACATTTGGTTAGGAAAATCAGCATCTTGAACTAATAACAAAACTGGAATTTCTTCACCACTAATTTAAGAAGAGGAGATAAAAATAGTGTTGAGTTGATTTTTATATAATAATAATGTGAAGAAAAAATGAATGCAACAATAAAAAGAATGAAATCAAAAAGAAACACTGGGGGAGGTTCCAAGATGGCCGAATAGGAACAGCTCCAGTCTACAGCTCCCACCATGAGAGACACAGAAGATGGGTGATTTCTGCATTTCCAACTGAGGTACCAGGTTCGTCTCAATGGGGCTTGTCCGGCAGTGGGTGCAGGACAGTGGATGCAGCCCACTGACTGTGAGCTGAAGCAGGGTGAGGCATCGCCTCACCCGGGAAGCACAAGGGGTTGGGGAATTCCCTTTCCTAGCCAAGGGAAGCCGTGACAGACAGCACCTGGAATATTGGGTCACTCCCACCCTAATACTGCACTTTTCCAACAGTCTTAGCAAATGGCACACCAGGAGATTATATTCTGCACCTGGCTCAGAGGGTCCCACGCCCATGGAGCCCTGCTCAGTGCTAGCACAGCAGTCTGAGATCGAACTGCAAGGCGGCAGCAAGGCTTGGGGATGGGCGCCCACCATTGCTGAGGCTTGAGTAGGTAAACAAAGCAGCTGGGAAGCTCGAACTGGGTGGAGCCCACCGCAGCTCAAGGAGGCCTGCCTGCCTCTGTAGACTCCACCTCTGACGGCAGAGCATAGCTGAACAAAAGGAGCAGAAACTTCTGCAGACTTAAAGGTCCCTGTCTGACAGCTTTGAAGAGTGTAGTGGATCTCCCAGCACGGAGTTTGAGATCTGAGAACGGAGAGACTGCCTCCTCAAGTGGGACCCTGACCCCCGAGTCGCCTAACTGGAAGGCACCTCCCAGTAGGGGCCGACTGACACCTCATCTGGCTGGGTGCCCCTCTGAGACGAGGCTTCCAGAAGAACGATAAGGCAGCAACATTTGCCGTTCTGCAATATTCACTGTTCTGCACCCTCCGCTGGTGATACCCAGGCAAACAGGGACTGGAGTGGACCTCCAGCAAACTCTAACAGACCTGCAGCTGAGGGTCCTGACTGTTAGAAGGAAAACTAACAAACAGAAAGGGCATCTACACCAAAACCCCATCTGTACGTCACCATCATCAAAGACCAAAGGTAAATAAAACCACAAAGATGGGGAAAAAACAGAGCAGAAAAGATGAAAAATCTAAAAATCAGAACACCTCTTCTCCTCCAAAGGAATGTAGCTCCTCGCCAGCAATGGAACAAAGCTGAACGGAGAATGACTGACAAGTTGAGAGAAGAAGGCTTCAGACGATCGGTAATAACAAACTTCTCCGAGCTAAAGGAGGATGTTTGAACCCGTTACAAAGAAGCTAAAAACCTTGAAAAAAGATTAGACGAATGGCTGACTAGAATAACCAGCTTAGAGAAGACCTTAAATGACCTGATGGAGCTGAAAACCATGGCATGAGAACTACGTGACAAATGCACAAGCTTCAGTAGCCGATTTGATCAACTGGAAGAAAGGGTATCAGTGATGGAAGATCAAATGAATGAAATGAAGCGAGAAGAGAAGTTTAGAGAAAAAAGAGTAAAAAGAAATGAACAAAGCCTCCAAGAAATATGGGACTATGTGAAAAGACCAAATCTACGTCTGATTGGTGTACGTAAAAGTGACAGGGAGAATGGAACCAAGTTGGAAAACACTCTTCAGGATATTATCCAGGAGAACTTACCCAACCTAGCAAGGCAGGCCAACATTGAAATCAGGAAACACAGAAAATGCCACAAAGATACTCTTCAAGAAGAGCAACTCCAAGACACATAATTGTCAGATTTACCAAAGTTGAAAAGAAGGAGAAAATGTTAAGGGCAGCCAGAGAGAAAGGTTGGGTTACCCACAAAGGGAAGCCCATCAGACTAACAGCTGATCTCTCGGCAGAAACTCTACAAGCCAGAAGAGAGTGGGGGCCACTACTCAACATGCTTAAAGAAAGGAATTTTCAACCCAGAATTTCATATCCAGCCAAACTAAGCTTCATACGTGAAAGAGAAATAAAATCCTTTACAGACAAACAAATGCTGAGAGATTTTGTCACCACCAGGCCTGCCTTACAAGAGCTCCTGAAAGAAGCACTAAACGTGGAAAGGAACAACCGTTACCAGCCACTGCAAAGACATGCCGAATTGTAAAGACCATCAATGCTAGGAAGAAACTGAATCAACTAAGGAGCAAAATAACCAGCTAACATCATAATGACAGGATCAAATTCACCCATAACAATATTAACCTTAAATGTATATGGGCTAAATGTTACAATTAAAAAACACAGACTGGCAAATTGGATAAAGAGTCAAGACCCATCAGTGTGCTATACTCAGGAGATCCATCTCACGTGCAGAGACACACAGGCTCAGAATAAAGGGATGGAGGAAGATCTACCAAGCAAATGGAAAACAAAAAAAAAGCAGGGATTGCAATCCTAATCTCTGATAAAACAGATTTTAAACCAACAAAGATCAGAAGAGACAAAAAAGGCCATTACATAATGGTAAAGGGATCAATTCAACAAGAAGAGCTAACTATCCTAAATATATATGCAGGAGCACCCAGATTCAAAAAGCAAGTCCATAGAGACCTACAAAGAGACTTAGACTCCCACACAATAATAATCGGAGACTTTAACATCCTACTGTCAACATTAGACAGATCAATGAGACAGAAAGTTAAGAAGGATATCCAGGAATTGAACTCAGCTCTGCACCAAGTGGACTTAATAAACATCTACAGAACTCTCCACCCCAAATCAACAGAATATACATTCTTCTCAGCACCATGTCGCACTTATTCCAAAACTGACCACATAGTTGGAAGTAAAGCACTCCTCAGAAAATGTAAAAGAACAGAAATTATAACAAACTGTCTCTCAGACCACAGTGCAATCAAACTAGAACTCAGGATTAAGAAACTCACTCAAAACCGCTCAACTACATGGAAACTGAACAACCTGCTCCTGAATGACTACTGGGTACATAAAGAAATGAAGGCAGAAATAAAGATGTTCTTTGAAACCAGTGAAAACAAAGACACAACATACAAGTATCTCTGGGACACATTTAAAGCAGTGTGTAGAGGGAAATTTATAGCACTAAATGCCCACAAGAGAAAGCAGGAAAGATCTAAAATTGACACCCTAATATCACAATTAAAAGAACTAGAGAAGCAAGAGCAAACACATTCAAAAGCTAGCGGAAGTCAAGAAATAACTAAGATCAGAGCAGAACTGAAGGAAAAAGAGACACAAAAAACCCTTCAAAAATCAATGAATCCAGGAACTGGTTTTTTGAAAAGATCAATGAAATTGATAGGCAGCTAGCAGACTAATAAAGAAGAAAAGAGAGAAGAATCAAATAGAACAATAAAAAATGACAAAGGGGATATCACCACTGATCCCGTAGAGATACAAACTACCATCAGAGAATAGTATAAACACCTTTATGCAAATAAACTACAAAATCTAGAAGAAATGGATAAATTCCTGGACACATACACCCTCCCAAGACTAAACCAGGAAAAAGTTGAATTCCTGAATAGACCAATAGCAGGCTCTGAAATTGAGGCAATAATGAAGAGCCTACTGACCAAAAAAAGTCCATGACCAGATGGATTCACAGCTGAATTCTATCAGAGGTACAAAGAGGAGCTGGTACCATTACTTATGAAACTATTCCAATCAGTAGAAAAAGAGGGAATCCTCCCTTACTCATTTTATGAGGCCAGCATCATCCTGATACCAAAGCCTGGCAGAGAAAAAACAAAAAAAGAGAATTTTAGACCAATATCCCTGATGAACATTGATGCAAAAATCCTCAATAACATACTGGCAAACCGAATCCAGCAGCACATCAAAAAGCTTATCCACCATGATCAAGTGGGCTTCATCCCTGGAATGCAATGCTGGTTCAACATACATAAATCAATAAACATAATCCATCATACGAACAGAACCCAAGACAAAACCCACATGATAGTCTCAATAGATGCAGAAAAGGCCTTTGACAAAATTCAACAACCCTTCATGCTAAAAACTCTCAATAAATTAGGTATTGATGGAATGTATCTCAAAATAATAATAGCTATTTATGACAAACCCACAGCCAGTATTATACTGAATGGGCAAAAACTGGAAGCATTCCCTTTGAAAACTGGCACAAGACAGGGATGCCCTCTCTCACCACTCCTATTCAACATAGTGTTGGAAGTTCTGGCCAGGGCAATCAGGCAGGAGAAAGAGATAAAGGGTATTCACTTAGGAAAAGAGGAAGTCAAACTGTCCCTGTTTGCAGATGACATGATTGTATGTCTAGATAACCCCACTGTCTCAGCCCAAAATCTCCTTAAGCTGATAAGCAACTTCAGCAAAGTCTCAGCATACAAAATCAATGTGCAAAAATCACAAGCATTCCTATACACCAATAACAGACAAACAGAGAGCCAAATCATGAGTGAACTCCCATTCACAATTGCTTCAAAGAGAATAAAATACCTAGGAATCCAACTTACATGGGTTGTGAAGGACCTCTTCAAGGAGAACTACAAACCACTGCTCAACAAATTAAAAGAGGACACAAACAAATGGAAGAACATTCCATGTTCATGGACAGGAAGAATCAATATCATGAAAATGGCCATACTGCCCAAAGTAATTTATAGATTCAATGCCATCCCCATGAAGCTACCAATGATTTTCTTCACAGAATTGGAAAAAAACTACTTTAAAGTTCATATGGAACAAAAAAGAGCCCGCATTGCCAAGACAATCCTAAGCCAAAAGAACAAAGCTGGAGGCACCAGACTACCTGACTTCAAACTATACTACAATGCTACAGTAACCAAAACAGCATTGTACTGGTACCAAAAGAGAGATACAGACCAATGGAACAGAACAGGGCCCTCAGAAATAATACCACACATCTACAACCATCTGATCTTTGACAAATCTAACAAAAACAAGAAATGGGGAAAGGAATCCCTGTTTAATAAATGGTTCTGGGAAAACTGGCTAGCCATATGCAGAAAGCTGAAACTGGATCCCTTCCTTACACCTTATACAAAAATTAATTCAAGATGGATTAAAGACTTAAATTTCAGACCTAAAACCATAAAAATCTTAGAAGAAAACCTAGGCAATACCATTCAGGACATAGGCATGGGCAAGGACTTCATGTCTAAAACACCAAAAGCAATGGCAACAAAAGCCAAAATTGACAAATGGGATCTAATTAAACTAAAGAACCTCTGCACAGCAAAAGAAACTACCATCAGAGTGAACAGGCAACCTACAGAATGGGAGAAAATGTTTGCAATCTACCCATCTGACAAAGGGCTAATATCCAGAATCTACAAAGAACTTAAACAAATTTACAAGAAAAAATCAAACAACCCCGTCAAAAAGTAGGCGAAGGATATGAACAAACACTTCTCAAAAGAAGACACTTATGCAGTCAACAGACACATGAAAAATTGCTCATCATCACTGGCCATCAGAGAAATACAAATCAAAACCACAATGAGATACCATCTCACACCAGTTAGAATGGCGATCATTAAAAAGTCAGGAAACAACAGGTGCTGGAGAGGATGTGGAGAAATAGGAATGCTTTTACACTGTTGGTGGGAGTGTAAACTAGTTCAACCATTGTGGAAGACAGTGTGGCAATTCCTCGAGGATCTACAACTAGAAATACCATTTGACCCAGCCATCTCATTACTGGGCATATACCCAAAGGATTATAAATCATGCTACTATAAAGACACATGCACACGTAAGTTTATTGTGGCACTATTCACAATAGCAAAGACTTGGAAGCAACCCAAATGTCCAACAATGATAGACTGGTTTAAGAAAATGTGGCACATATACACCATGGAATACTATGCAGCCGTAAAAAGGATGAGTTCATGTCCTTTGTAGGGAGATGGATGAAGCTGGAAACCATCATTCTGAGCAAACTATCACAAGGACAGAAAACCATACAGTGCATGTTCTCTCTCATAGGTGGGAACTGAAAAATGAGAACACTTGGACACAGGATGGGGAACATCACACACCGCGGCCTGTTGTGGGGTGGGGGGAGGGGGGAGGGGTAGCATTAGAAGATATACCTAATGTAAATGACAAGTTAATGGTTGCAGCACACCACCATGGCACATGTATACATACGTAACAAACCTGCATGTTGTGTACATGTACCCTAGAACTTAAAGTATAATAATAATAATAATAATAATAATAATAATAATAATAATAAAAGAAACACTGAAACAAAGAAAGGGCACGCAATATATATATCATGCATTGTGTGAGAAAGTTTAATCATGAAGCAGTGTTTATAGAATTAGTTCTAAATCAAAAGTAGAAGGTAAATGGGATTGAACATCTGGCAATCTAGTATTAAAAGTGGGGAGACTTCCAGAATCAGACACTGGCTTATCTATTTCTGAAGCATGTCAGTTTCTAATTTATACAGTCTTAATTGGCAGACTGTTGGGCCACTTTCCTTTAAGGTTAAAATGTACTTTGCATGCTTAGTTAATATGGTGAGCCAAAGGAACTAAAAGACAAACTTACAATTATTTTTAAAATGCTTCTATAGACACCTGGGTGGATGTACTATTATTTGTAGCCTAATACCTCAGTTTAAAAAAGGGCAATATTGATCCAACAAGAAATAGCCTAATTTTGTGATTTACTGAAGAGTTTTTTAATTTACTTTGCAGCTCTCTCTGAAGATCTTTTATTCTTTTGAATCACATTGAAAAATAAACCCAACAGTGCAGACCCATGCCTCTGCCTAAGGGGAAAATGCTTTGTTCAAACAGAAATTAGCTATTTAGATATTTAGGATTTCACAATGCTAAGCAATACATATGGACTTTCTAAAGTATCATTTAATGAATAATGAAGCCACTTTAATACCTAAGAAAAGAATAAGCCCTCAAACATTTCAAAGAATCAATTTAATTTGATTTCTTATATTTCCTGTGGCATAACAAAGAAAGGATTACAGCCAACACTGAGGAGAAAAAGTGGAGTTTTAGAGGGATCAGGAAATCGTTATAATTCCCAGAGTTGCAGACAATGCTTTACTTTCAAATATTCACTAAGAGCATCCCTCAGATTCAGAGGCCGCTGAAATAGTCACTGTGGTAGAATCAGAGGGGTATAATATGTGTGTGTTTCCGAATGCAAGCGTGTGTATAAGAGTGTGTGTGTTAGGAAGGGCACACAAAAGATAGGACAAGGTAGATAAGGGGCATCCAGAGAAGAAGAAAAAGTAAAGAAAGTGGCAGAGAACCTTCAAAGCAAACACATGCTTTATCCTCAGAGATGATTTTGCATTGCCAGACCTCCTACCAACATGCTTTTTGAAGGACTCGAGATGCCGATACACTTAAAAGAAGTTTGTATGTCATCAGGAACAGTTAAAGCTTATTGAAGTGTTGATCTGGGATCAGTAGGAAGTCATCCTTTTCAGACTGAACTGACACACATGAAGTTGAGTCAGAATTACGTTGAGGATTTATAATGAGTATTGCAGAAACCATTTTTCAGGACAATGTTTATACTTAAAGTGGCTTTATTAAGAAGGCTTATACATGTAGGTCACTTATTCAATGCAATCAACAAGGATTCTTCTCTTTTTATTTTTTTAAAGTGCTTGTTTTTCCTGTTTTGACTTTAGAAACTAATTAAGTAAAAAGTGGAAAATTAATTTATTATGAGGAAAATTTTTATTTTGATTAGAAACTTTTCCCTAACTTACTGGAAATCACAAGAGTCACAATAAGTCACAATGAAGCAACAGTCACAATGATACTTCACAAAATAGATTTTACACAGATACATTTCTGAAAAATCATCTTCTTGATTATTACTGCATACATATTTACAAGTCGCAAAAGAATAGCATGCCACTTTAATTTTAGTACCAAAATGGCCATTGCATGTAAGACCACAGCATTAAGTCACCAAATTGGATAATTTACTTTAAAATTTTAGTGTCAAATAAAGTTGTATCTGATAGAGACAGATCTGCAACATTCCTAACAATCTTTGTGGCTGAGGGTTTGGCCACTTTTTCTAATAAGCTCAAAAACGCAGCGCAGTTTTCTTTTTAACATGATTCAGCTAAACAGAAAAATCATTAAAATAATTTGCCTAGACAAAGGCAATCCTCATTGCAGAAGCCCCAGAATATCGCTTTACAGAGGACATTCTGTCAGTCTGCGGTTTTGCATATACTAAAACCACACTTTCTGGAATGTGATCAACAAATGGCTTTACCTATTGTAATATGAGTCCTAGAGTAAAAACTGAATCAATGAAAACTAAGATTAAGTATTCTAAATTAATGTTTGTACAAACAGTGCCTAGATCTCTCTGAGCTTCTTCACTAGAGAATAAAAACAATCTTAACCTTAGGGTTCTCTGTATTTAAAATAGCTTATTTAATGCACTTAACCAGGGAGGTGAAGTATCTCTACACTGAAAACTATAAAACACTGATAAACGAAATAGAAGGAAAGATAAATAAATGGTAGGGTATCCTGTGTTCATGCATTGGAAGAATGAATAATGTTAAAATGGCTACGCTGCCCAAAGTGATCTACAGATTTTATGCAATCCCTATCAATATGCCAATGACAATACCAACTTCTTCACAGAAATAGAAAAATAAGGTTCTGAAGTTTATATGGAGCCACAAATAATCCCAAATAATCAAAGCAATCCTGAGCAAAAAGAACAAAGTTGGAGGAATCATACTACCTGGCTTCAAAATATACTATACAGATAGATAAACTAAAACAGCATGGTACTGGCATAAAAATAGACAGACCAATAGAACACAACAGAGAACCCAGAAATATATGTATATACAACAAATCGTACCCCATAAATATGTACAATTACAATGTGTCAGTTATGCACATTTTATTTAGGTTGCTCTGGTCTCAGTGACATTCATTGTTGTTACTCAAAGCCAGATTATATATTATTTTTATATAGTATAATATATAATCTATAATATATATTGTTATATATTATATAATATTCTTATCAGATAGTTCTGATTTAAAGTATCCTCTGTTTTCATTAGACTTTGATAATAATACCTGTCTCTTCATAGAATTCTTTGTCATTGAATGAATAAAATGTTAAAGACAAAGAGTATTTAAGAATCAAGTTATGGAGTAAACTGATAATTAGGTCCAGATAATTTAAACTCTTTTAATGTATTTCCTAAAATTTTGGCAAATTTTAGACCCCGCTTTACTTTCTTTATTATTTCTATTATCATTATTTTTTGATCATCTTGGCCCTGACACCCCCAAACAAGAATTGCTAGTAAGTGGGAAAAAGTTTAAACTTTAAAACGCCAGGACCCGGCTGGTTGCGGTGGCTCACACTTGTAATCTCAGCACTTTGGGAAGCTGAGGTGGGAGGATTACCTGAAGCCAGGAGTTTGAGACAAGCCCAGTCAACATAGTGAGAACCCCCCCACCCCACCCATCTCTACAAAAAATTAAAAAATTAGCCAGGCATGGTGGCATGTGCCTGCAGACCCAGCTACTCAGGAGGATCCCTCGAACCCAGGAGTTGGAAGCTGCAGTAAGCTGAGCTATGACTGTGCCACCACACTCCAGCCTGGATGACAGAGCAAGACCCTGCCTTTTTATTTATTTTTGTCAACAGATTTTAAGTGCTAAGGATTTGTTTTATTACACTTCATCATCTTTGGTAAAGATTTCTTTTATTGGATTTTTCAACTGCCTTTCATAACTATTTTCCAGCAAGCACATGTAAGTAAAAGTTGCATATATCATATTTATCTATGAATTATTGGAGATAAAATATGACTATAATAATTGAATATTAATTAATATTAATATTTGGTTTTCAATACTTATTACATGTAATGTCTTAGTAAGCTTTGGATCCTTTATTAGAAACCTGTGGGATATAATAAACTAACTTATCATTTAAGTAATATTTTTACCCATTTTTAATTACCAGCAAAAGATTTAATATTGTTGAAAAGCAAAGTAATGGAAATCAGATGTCTGGCACAAAAAGTAAATAGTGTATGTATTAGAAACTTCTTTAGCCCTGTTTCCCATTCAATTAGCTCACCTTTTTCTCCATTTCTGCCTGCTCACTTTCCTGTAGATATATACCCTGACCTCACCTCTACTTCTGCTCTGACTTCCTGATCCTTCCAACACCCAACCATGTATTACCTAGAAATGCAAGGGAATAAATATTCTGTAGGATGACCCTGGGTCAATGGGGGATGGTAGCTGGCAAATAAAGTTCCTTCTTCTATTCTTTGGGTGAACAATTCTGAGGTGTATTTCTTCTTTAAAAAAGTATCTGCATGATAAGCTTCTAGTTGCCCTAAGCTGTGACCCCCTATTTAACTCATCCTTCAATGGATTTTCACTCTTTCTCGGTTTCACTCCTTCTAGTTCCCTCCTATTCCCTGAGACCCAAAATAGGACTACCTGCACATAAGGCCCTTCTTAGGCTCTGCTTCTCAGGGGAAAAGACTAAGACACTGGATATATTGAACCCTTTAATAAGGATTTATAGTTAACACTGACTGATTAGATACCTACATACTGGCAAGAATTAAACTCTCCCTAATTTCATCCTTGATTTTTGGATGGAGTTTACAGATGCATCCTAAAATAATTTCCTTTAAATTTATTGGTAAAATGTAAATATTTTAATACATTTTATACTTAATGAAAGTCTGTTAA
The DNA here is from genome assembly GCF_000001405.40 of Homo sapiens. Lineage (NCBI taxonomy): Eukaryota > Metazoa > Chordata > Mammalia > Primates > Hominidae > Homo > Homo sapiens. The sequence goes on from NC_000009.12 coordinate 9,436,604, forward strand.
TTATTAGTACTCTTATACAAAGGCATATGTGTCATTGTTCCCTCATTCAAAAATGGCACATTTCAGGAATTGAAAAAAAAAATCTCTCTACATGAAGGAAGTAGAAGTTGGAATATTTTATGAACATTTAAATAATTAGCAGTGTCATTAATTTTACACAGCACATATGCATACATTTTCAGTCAAGCAAATCTGTACCGCAGAATTTTCCACACTGGTTCCTGGAGACTTCAGGCTGGTGTTATCTGTCTCTTTTTGCTTATATACCAAACAAAGTTACTAAGGCAAAAAAAAAAAGCCTGTCTACGATACCTGAACCCATGGCAATAGTATGAATAAAGAATGTCAGGAAAGCTGCTAGCCTCTCTGACTACTTTCTTCACCCTTCTATCCGTTGTTTGTGTTATGTAGTACAATGCAGATCTTTTCCTTCATTGGAAAATATCGTCTTGCTTTCTTAAAGCAATGTAATAAACTCTAATATTTTTGGGCAGCGAATTCACTGGGACACTATATTCAGTGCACATTCTGCCTTTATTGGCAGAGGGCTGAGAGGGCGATGTTAAAAGTTAAACACAAACAACGAAATATCAGAGAATGAGCTCTTCCACATAACAGATTTTATCATATAACTAAAGATGGCTCTTTGAAATTCTAGATTTTTATTTTTAACTCTTCTTCTTGGAAGTTTTTTCAAAATGTATTATTACTTATTTTACTGATGTCTTTCACAAAATAAGCTGAATATAACTTATAATTTTTGATTGCACTGTCACCAGGAGCTATTGGCTAGATGGCTGTAATCACAATGATGCCCCCTGAGAGTAATGAGGTGTATCAGGTTTTTTTATGCCCATGTCAAAGGGTCTGAGACTGTTGCGATTTTTAATATATTTTAAAATTTCATAACTACATTCTTTTCTCTATTATCTGGCAGATTTTTCTGTTTTAGTAGTCCTGCTTGAGGGTTCTTCCATCTTGGGAATTAGACTATCACACTTCTTGGGATCAGCTGAACTTCTTTTAAGATGTAAATTATTCACCAACTTCTGAATCACATTAAAGATAAACAGATTGTGGCATCTCTTATAACTTGTGGTGTATCCATGGTGGTATATCTAGAGCAGTGTGATTTGACACGGGACTGAGATCTGCTGCTCTGGGTTCAAATTTCACAGTTAACCCGAGGGGATATGCTGATCCCTCCCTGAACTTGGCAAGTCTGTCAGTCAACAAAGGTTTAATTGTTTACTCATTTCAAGTATTTCTGCTTCTTATAGTGCTGTATTAGTGGGAGGCTAACTCAACAAAAATTCATTGTCTCACAGTTCTGGAGGCTACAACTTTGAAATTGCGGTGTCTGCAGAGTTGGTTCCTTGCGAGGCCTGTGAAGAGAGGGTCTGTTCTAGGCCTTTCTCCTTAGCCTGAAGTTGGCTATCTTCATGTTCCGATGGCTTTCCCTCTGTGTGCTTCTCTCTGTATCCTAATGTCCTCTTCTCATAAGGCCACAGTTATACTGGAGTAGAGCTCAACCTAATAAATTCACTTTCACTTGATAATCTCTATGAAGATCCTATCTTTAGCATCATATTATGAGGTATTAAAAGTTAGGATTACAACAGAATGAATTTTGGGAAGATACAAGTCAACCTATAGCCAGTGCCTACAGCAAAAGACTACTACTATTCATTTAACAAATATTTTAAAATAACGTATCCAAGAATCATGTTAGGGATAAGGGACACAACCATGAAGCTATGTTCTGTGGAACTGAGAAATAAATAATCTCATACTGTTATTATAGAATATTAATTGGAATAAAGTTCCTTCTGACTTCTTTCTAAATATGCATTGTGTGAAAGTCATAATAGACTCCACTTTACTGCTATGAAAATAATTTATATATGTACAGGCAGTTCACAAAGGAATCTAAATGTGTTAGCAAATTGTATAAATCAGTTAGTTGTGTACTGGGCCAACCAAAGCATCTATCCCTCTAAGTCTCTGGACTATGATGCCGAGCTTTATCAAAATGATTGCTAATTATTCACTATGACTACTACTGGATATTATGAATTAGTATTTAAAAAGTTAAACATTATCTTTACAGTTCTTCCAAAATTGCAATTTGAGAAGAAAATTATGTACTAATATTAGCATCAACATTCTAGTGTTAAATAATTAATGTATGTGAGTACTAATTTCTTTCAAAGTATAAATGCAATATTCTAAATTGAACATAAATGTATCATTTGTATAAATGTAAGTTTATATAAACTTTTCTATGTATCAAATATAAAATGGGAACGCTCTAGGACAGCATTTAAATTCAACTTTATCATTATCAGTCTGTGGTGTTAATATGGAACTAAGTCAATATCCTATATGAAATAATACACTCAAATAAAATGCCAAGTAATATTTCTGTGCAATGTTCCATAATCATTTTATAAACCTCATCTCATTCTCTTCTTCCTTTCAAAGATAAGAATTCATAAAGTAGTATAAAGTAGCATTAAAATATATATGGCTTATATGACTCCAGAGCAGAAAACAGTTTAAAAATAAACAAGATCTGTTAATACATTAGATTTTTTTTTAATCAATAGAAGTTTGAAGCATAAGAAAGAAATTAGTGAGTACTCTCCCACAAATATAATCATTTCTTAGGGTACAGCACCCCACTTATTAGAAAATTCATTCATGCATAACATACTCTGATGAAGATACTTTGATTTCCAAGGCTACCAGACATCCCAAAGAAACTGAGGATCAGGAGTCTTAGGTCTTATCTAACAATTTATCAGGTAGGACAACTGATAAGGTGGAATAATGTGATAAACTATTGGGTATCAGATTCTGTTTTCATTTTACTCTGAACAACCTGCTGCAAGGAGACTACCGGAAACAGATCATTTTCAACAAGCTCAGCAACAGCATGTGAGTAAACACAATAGGAAACTGCTTCATCAGCCCTTTCAGCCCCCAGATTAGAGGTGCATTCCATTAAAAGCCAAGAAAAGTGAACTGTTCTTCAGATCCCTTACTTTGGTGTCAGATAAAATCAAGTTTGGCAAAGGGCTATTTGGCAAAACAGTGAAGATTCTTACCTTCACTACCTAAAGACTATCACTGTGAAGACGAAGAGCATTAATGGTAATCATAGATACTGACACTTTATTTGTATAATTTCATTTTATCAATCCAGTAATTCTAGGAAGTTGGTACAATTTTTATCCCATTTTGTAGATGAGGAAACTAAGTCCTATAGTGAGTAAATAATTTTTCCAGTGTCTTGCAGCTGGGAAGTGGCAGAGCAGGATTCAAACTTGATGTCAAAACCCAGCCTATTTATGACCATCATCATGACATAGTAAAGTCACTACAAGTCAAAGTCTATACCTCCAGCTTCATGAAAGCAAAAGGTTAGGTTGTCATGCAGTCTAGAAACCATAAAAATTCCTTCAACTTAATCTGATTGAATTCTGCATTTTAATACAGTTCAATGAAAATATCATTATATATAAGCATTAGATAAGAATCAGAAGTCCAATCTCATGGAGGATAGAAGTAATGTTATTGCATAAATTCCTAAAATTATTACCAACTTCAGCTTTTAACTTGTAAATATTCAGCTTGGAATGTTTATCAAATTTGTGTACGCACAAGAAATTTACTGTATTTTATTTTTAAATTATTTTTCCTTTGGTTTGTCCATTTGCTTTGTCGTGGTTTGTACTTGTTTTCTTCTTCATAATTCAGGCTTATTTTCATCTATCAAATTGTTAAATGCAAAAGTGAAAAGGTAGAAAGGGGCAATTAATTTGCATGGTGGGAAAAAAGAGACAACAGTACAAAGAGGGTGTCTAGGAGAGTCAATAGAATTTGCAAAAAAGCAAAGCCATTATTCAATACATATCTCTTAGGCAGAAAGTGTGGTCCATAACAGTTGTCACCGATAACTTCAGATGGAATCTTTAAAAGTCTCCAAGGAATGATACTGGATTCAGCAGTATCTATTTACCGATGGTAGACATTCTTCCTTAAAACAATATTATCCCAAAATTCTGTCTTCAAGAAATCTATTTGTTCATTAATCCAGCCATTAATTATTCCATATTTATTGAGTATCTACTTATCTTCTTGTGTTAAACAGAGATAAAATGATGATCACAAAATTGTTTCAATCGCAATAATATGGCATGGCAAGACCAAGGTATAATGATTCATGATTATGTTTAGCACATGGGCTTTTCTGAGTTGGAGTTTAGAATGCGGAATATTTATCAGGGGCTACCCTAGGATCAGCATTTGAAGGGGACGAAGGAAGTATGATGGGCAGAGCGTGAAGTCAAGCTGATCTTCAGGCCTGCTGTTAGCCTAGTCAATCTACAGAAAGTTCCAGAGCTGAAATGTCCTGTGAGACTTCCCCTCATTGGGCCAAAATGGCTGGGTCTTTATATCATTATCTCAACCAATAATTTAATATGGTTCATCTTACCTTGGAAAGAGTGTGACCTTGAATGAGGTGTCTCTCTACAGCTTAAGTGATACCAAAGATGCTATCAACTGAGCACTACCTGACGACAAGACTCCAGGCAGCTGAGCAACAAGCCTATCCTCGAAGCGGTGTGGGAGGCATAACTATGTCCATCACACCAGTTTCTAAGGCAGTGAGGTGCAGGAGGGTATGAGTTAGGGAAGAAGGGCTTCTTAGAGTAAATTAAGTTTGAACTAGAAAGATGAATAGGAAGAAGACAGGTAAAAAGGTAGAAATAAACTGCTAGACAAAAGAAAAAGTATGTCTGAAATTCTCTATTGGAAAGATAATGCTGTCTATGGAAGTGGTGGAAAGTATTTGAGTTCAGCTGGAGCATAGAGTGCTGAGGCTTCAAAAGGCAAAAGGTGATGATGGAGGGAGAAACTAGGTGATGAACTAAATGATCTGTTCTCTGCTGTTTATGAATGAGATACTCATTTCAGGAATTATCATGCTGCCCTTTCCATGGAGACATATCTGCCAGGCTATCAATATAACATGTTACACTAAATTCTGAATCAATGAGGCCACTTTAGAATAATTTAGAGTTAAAACCGAAAAAAAAATCCACTTTTCCAAAATGAATGAATTTGGCATTAATGTCCCTTTTGAATATTTATGCTAAAATGATATCATTATGTACAGTGCTATTTGATTACCACTCAAGCTTTGCAGAATGGTGTCATGCTAAGGACAATTGTTATAAGTGATAAAATTGCTTCTGCTGAAACATCGCCTATGTGATATGGTATTTGAGCAATAGCAGGGGTGTTCTCCTTTGCTTGGGATTCTCCTTACTATTCCCAAAATAAGTAATGGAACATATTTCAAGATATATCTTATTCAAAATGTTCTCACTTCCAGAGCTTGAAAACAAAAATCTGTATGTTCTCTCAGAGTCAGAAGTCTGTAATGCGCCGGGCGCGGTGGCGCGTGCCTGTGGTCCCAGCTACTCGGGAGGCTGAGGCTGGAGGATCGCTTGAGTCCAGGAGTTCTGGGCTGTAGTGCGCTATGCCGATCGGGTGTCCGCACTAAGTTCGGCATCAATATGGTGACCTCCCGGGAGCGGGGGACCACCAGGTTGCCTAAGGAGGGGTGAACCGGCCCAGGTCGGAAACGGAGCAGGTCAAAACTCCCGTGCTGATCAGTAGAAGTCTGTAATGCTACTGGTGTCCCCTAATTTTCTTATAGCCACAGTTCCTTTCGCCTGAGCTCATTACAGAGACAAATATCCATTAGTGACAGGTAACTTTTCATTCTAATGCGCCTGTAGTACTGATGTCTGGGCCTCTGAGATATTCTATTTTGCACCTGAAATTAGTTTCTGTGTTACAGCTCTGAATTTGTGATAAGAAAACAGATACTGTAATTTAGATAAACTCCACTAAATGGCTTGACTGAAATAAAGCCCAAATGAAGGTATAAATGACTGTCAAGTTCTCTGGGGTACAGTTAGAGAACAAAATAGCTGATGGATTGTTATTTATCTGTGCATGTGAGTTTGGGGGATTTAATTAAAGATGTTCTATTATATTTTCAAAGTCTTTCTGAAGCTGTAAATCAAAAGCTGAAGAAACAGAGAATGTTGCCATTGATCAAAAAACCAGATCTCTGGCCATACTGGGAATGTCTTCTTTTGGCGGTGGTTTTAATGTTTCTGTTTAGTGTTTTACCCTAAACATGACTATAAAGAAATAAAGGGAATCTTTTTGGTATAATTATTTCCTAAAGGATTATTTGAGCCATTGTGGTGTGCATCTGTACATTTTTATCCATACATGTAACATGTATGTTTACATATGTTTATCCATATGTATGCACGTACATATATATGTGTGTGTGTGTATTTGCTTTTCTTAGTGATAAGTATTCTTTCTTAAATTGGCTTTAAACATAAATCCCCAAAATGTGCCACAAGTAGAATTATGCAACAAAATCTGCATCACAGAAGAAAATTGAACCCAATATAAAATGAATTTCAAAAATAGGGCCATTCTATGTTCTTAATATCCATTCCTCTTTAAAAAAAATCTTCAACTGTTACTAAAACATAATGGAAGTATTATGTGAGCTAATTATACCTGGAAAAATCATATGGCATAAATAAATAAATAAATAACAGCATGGACAGGATCCCAAGGGTCAACTAATCTGTTCTCTACTTCTAGTTAGCATTGTGACATGTATACTATTATTAAACCACTTCAGAAACTAAACAGAAACTACTCTTTTGTAGAGGATTAAGGATGGTCACAGTTCTTTGATATTACTTGCAGGGAAATATAAAGTCTGTTTTTGGTCGCTTTGAATCCAGAGTGGCCTGTAATGGTTTAGGCCAACAGAATGTAACAGAAGTTTGACTTTGCCAGATCAAGGCCAAGCCTGTGTGTGAGAAAACTGGCAACTTTGGCTGGCCTCTTCAAGCCCTGGGTTGTTACGTAAGAAGTCTGACTACTTGTCAGAAAGATCGCTTGGAGAAGCCATGAGAACACATAGAGAAGGGGGTAGCTCAGCTGACCCAGCCCTCTAGCTGTTCTCACCAAGGTACCAGACACATCGCTGAAGCTATTCTGTATCTTCTAGTCCACTCCAGTTCCCAACTGATCTAGTTGGCACCCATGGAATAGAAGTGCCAAGCTGACCCTCTGGAGGTCCTGGTCCTCAGTATCAGTAAAAAAGATGATGCTTTAAGCTGCTAAGTTTACAGTGTATTGTTACACAGCAGTGGATAACTGGAACAAGCTTGAAAGCAAGACTGAAACATGCACTTATATTCATTCATGTTTTTGAATGCATAGGGACTTTTTTGTCTACTATACATAATGACAATTTTTCTAACTACAGTGGCAAAATAAAATCATATGGACTTTATCTTCATTACAGCTCAGTCAAGAAAAAACAGGATTGGACTATTTCTTGAGTAAGTCATCCTGTTTGGCCAAACACTGTATAATCAACTTGAATTTATTAAATTTTTAGAAAGTTTTGCTGTTGATTTATACTGTGTACCATACCACTTAACATGTTCTTTGGATTTCGTGCATCTACTTTTTTTTCTGAACAACTAATTTGATAGGAGAGTTCTATAATATGCTTTACTTTTTTGACTTCTAGTTTTTTATTTTAAAGAAGACAGAGACCTCATTAGAGATTAAAATGATAAAATGAGTCCGATAAATATGAAAAGATTTGATATCTATTTTTTGTGAGTCTTTCATCTGAGTTATGTAAATCCTTCAAACAATAATCTCTCCTATGTGATCCCATCTTTAATTCTCAGACCCAAAGGACTAGAACTATGTTCTGTGATATTGTGCCTAGCATGGCATTTTAGAGTTTGCAGATGCTCCATAAATTGGTAGAATGAATTAACTTGATTCAAATGATTGCCAGTGCTCTAATAAACACAGATGTTTTTATGGATATGATAACATTTTAGAATTAAGGTATAGGAGATAGTCAATATTCTTGGCCCTTTTCTATTATTTCCAAGGAGACTTTCTGACCCCAAGTTAGACTGGGGTAGGAGTTACAGGTAATAAAAAGAACAACCTTTTCCCTTTCTTCATACTACTCTAAGAAGCTCTTTAAATATATGCTTTTAGAAATGGTGCAGCAAATTCTAGTAACTTTTATATTTTAATTTTTGATAGCTGCAAATTATGCCCCATGTAAGCAAATACTTGATCTCTACAACTATTAGATTTATCATTTAAAGAATACATGCCTACTTGCAAGTTAAATGTAAATTGACCCTACTTTCTGACCTATTTTCTCTATCCTTCATTTGTTCCATTTGACCAGTTTTAACCTAATTTTCTTGCTCTATTATGTGTATCTTCAAATAGTGTTTTAAATTATTTCTTGATCAAATTTTAAAAAAATGAGTGAGCAACAAACACACAAATAAATGAATTGGCATGTGATATGACAATTTGTAAGATTTTTGCACTTGGTAATATTTCACAAGTTTAGTTGATGGATCCTCATTGGTATCAGTTTTAAACTAGAGATTATTCTGGATAATAAATGGGTAGGTCAAACTGTAGCCCATTCACATCTGTCTCTATGAGAATCCTAGAACCAAGCAATCATGCCTCTTACCTACCATACTTATCTGTCCCACGTTTATCCCTGCAAATGGACAATACAAATTAAAGCTAGTCAGTTATGCATGCCATTGATGGATCTGTTTCCTTGAGATCTGGAAAAAGTGGTTCTTCCTTTTTACATTTCTTTCTCATGGTTGGTTAATCCTTAGAGAACAATTTTCACTTGGCACCTGTATTAGTCCATTCTCATGCTGCTATAAAGAACTGCTCGGGACTGGATAATTCATAAATGAAAGAGGTTTAATTGACTCATAGTTCTGCATGGCTGGGAAGACCTCAGGAAACTTACAATCATGGCGGAAGGGGAAGCAAACACGTCCTTCTTCACATGGCAGCAGGAAGGAGAAGTGCCAAGCAAAGGGGGAAAATCCTCTTATCAAATCATCAGATCTCATGAGAATTCAATCACTATCACGAGAACAGCGGCATGGGGTAAATGCCCCCATGATTCAGTTACCTCCCATGATTCCCTCTCCTGACACGTGGGAATTATGGGAACTATAATTCAGGATGAGATTTGGGTGGGGACACAGCCAAACCATATCAGCTTCATATAGATTACTTGAGGTCTTTATAGACAGCAGAAAAGTATAGTGGTAATATTACTTTGGGTGTCAGGAACTCTTGTGCTTATGCAAGTTCAAATGTGTAAGAAATGGTTCCTTAGCACAGTTGTGCAGAACATTGTTTAGACAAAAGGAAGTGAGAAACAATTTAGGCAAGCTTTTCCATAAAGTTAATTCAACTGAATTTAAAGAACTCCACTTTAAATTATGTTCTATTTTTTAATTCATTTGTTTTGGATAAAGATTATTTTATGAAAGCCATGTGGTAAGAAATGACATAATATTTTGTTTGATATTTGCACGTGGCACCTCCAAGATGATCCTTCAAACAAAACAAAACAGAACATGATGACAAGAAAGTCAAAGTTCAAGAAAGACTACACTTAAGAAATTCCCTGAGAGTTACAATCATATTAAGGTTAACACAAATTCCTAAAGAACTTATACATCTGTCCTCCCAAGTGTTGAGGATTTAATAGTGGCCTAAAGATAGGTCTCTTCACAGATAAAACAAGGAAGAGAGGATACCTTATGTTCCATTGTGACCCATCTACTTAATATACCTGTGAGGGAAGAAAATCCCACTGTAAGAATGCTGACTAAGCTCAGTCTTGTATCCAAACTGCTTCACACCTCCTGAGACTTTCGTGAGGTTTTAACATTAGGAATCAATGTGGCCTTTGGCAAATCATTCCACACAACTGGAACTCTATTTCTTTATTCAATTCACTGTCTCTTCAATTGATATTTATTGAGGGCACATTATTGAGCACCCAGTCAATGTTATTGTCAATGGTGCCACAGAAGGGAACACAATAGATTAAAAATCCCTGACCTCCAAATGGGATCTAATTAAACTAAAGAGCTTCTGTACAGCAAAAGGAATGGTCAATCTACAGACATCTTACCTACATAATAGAAGTGAATGTTCACAAACTATGCATTTGACAAGGGTCTAGTATCCCACATCTATAAGGAACTTAAACACATTTACAATAAAAAGGAAAAGAACCACATTAAAAATTGGGCAAAGGACATGAACAGACACTTTTCAAAAGAAGACATACATGTGGCCAAGAAGCATATGAAAAAAAGCTCAATATCACTGATCATTAGAGAAATGCAAATCAAAACCACAATGAGGTAACATCTCACACCAGTCAGAATGGCTATTATAAAATGTCAATAATATAACAAGTGCTGGCAAGGCTGTGGAGACAAAGGAACGCTATACACTGGTGGTGGAAGTGTAATTTAGTTCAACCATTTGTGGAGAATAGTGTGGAGATTCCTCAAAGACCAAAAATCGGAATTACTATTTAACCCAGCAATCCGATTACTGAGTATATACCCAAAGGAATATTAATCATTCTATCATAATGACACATGCACATGTATGTTCACTGCATCACTATTCACAACGGCAAAGACATGGAATCAACCTAAATGTCCAGCAATGATAGACTGGATAAGTAAATGTGCTATATATGTACCCCATGGAATATTAGACAGCCATAAAAAATGAGATCATGTCCTTTGCAGGCTCATGGATGGAGCTGGAGGCCATTATCCTTAGCAAACTAACACAGTAAAAGAAAACTAAATACCGTATGTTCTCACTTATATGTAGAAGTTAAATGATAAGAACACATGGACACAAAGAGGGGAACAACAGACACTGGGACCTATTGGAGGGTAGGAAGTAAGAGGGAGGAAGGAGAGGATCAGGAAAAATAACTAATGGGTACTGGGTTTAATACCTGGCTGATGAAATAATCTATGCAACAAGCCCCAATGGCAAATGTTTACCTGTATGAGAAACCTGCACATGTACCCCTGAAATTAAAAGAAAAAAAATTTAGTTCTCAAGGGACTTCTACATGTTCCCTTAATAAAACATGTGTCATTTGATTACAATTGCTATGGGGTGCTAGGGTACCTCAGTATGTGAAATAGGCAGAATATGGAAGAACGCTGTTCTAGGGAAGGGAAAGATGAGTCTGAAGACACTGACGTAGAAATGTGTCTGGCATGTTCAAAAAGCAGCAAAAGAGGTCAGTGCCGTTGGGCCAGATTAAAGAAATGACTGAGTGATGAAAGATCAAGGAGATGCTCAGAAGCCAGGCCACATAGTCTTACAGACTGCACTAGCTTTCATTTTTGGTGAAATGGGCTACTATTGAACGGTTCTGAAAAGAGGAGTAGCACGAACTGACTTGTGTTTGAAGGGGTTCATTCTGCTGCTGTGATAGAAACAGGTTTTGGAGAAGAAAGGAAGGGTATGAAGACCAGGTAGGAGCCCCATGCATTTAAATCAGGGTAGTAACAATGGAGGCAGTAAGAAGTTGTAAAATTTTCAAAAATAAAAATGATCAAATCACATTTATACACTTAGTCAAAAAGCACTTAATGAACACTCTGATACGGTTTGGCTATGTGTCCCCACCCAAATCTCATCTCTAATTGTAGTCCCCACACGAGGAGGGAGGGACCTGTAATCCTCACGTGTCGAGGGTGAGAGGTGATTGGATCATGGTGTCAGTTTCCCCCATGCTGTTTTCAAGATAGTGAGTTCTCATGAGATCTGATGGTTTCCTAAGTGTTTGCAAGTTCTTCCTTTGCAGTTCATTCTCTCTCTCTCCTGCTGCCTTGTGAAGAAGATGCCTGCTTCCAATGCTGCTATGATTGTAAGTTTCCTGAGTCCTCCCCAGCCATGTGGAACTGTGAGCCAATTAAACTTCTTTCCTTCATAAATAACCCAGTCTTTGTATTTCTTTACAGCAGTGTGAAAACAGACTGATAAGCATTCACTGGATGCCCTGCTCTAAGAGTTACACACATAATAGGGAAGAAAACAGGTCAGCTCTTACTTACATGGGCATGATATTTAATGGAGTCCTTTAAGACCAGGTCAGCCTACATTCTTGGTGTAGTTCAAAGAGATCCAGGAAATTTACTGTTTTCAGCAGGGGGATTAAACACACACATGCACACACACTGTGGTATAGGTTGTGATTAAAAAGCAGGGTGGCTAATGGATGAGGTTGCTAATCATTGCCTCGTCTTCCATCAGCAACTCACTAAGAAGCCAGTGAAAAAAGAGAATGTTGTATCTAAAAAATGTTAGTTATTTGCACAGATGTCTGCTCTCTCTGAGGAATTCCTATCTCCACTTTCAGCTTCGCAAAGCATGTCCCTTTATGGACCATGTTATTAATGAAATGGAAAAGAATGTGCAAGAAAGCCTACTGTTGTCTGAAATTATCTTTACTTCTATACTGCCGCTGGCAATAACTGTCTCTTCTCCAGAATTCCAGAACAGTGAATTCTTTCTTCACGAGATTAAAAGCAAAACAATAAAAACAAAACAGAACAACAACCACAGGGAGAAAAATAACTTACCATTTTGGAATTATAGATATTGTATTTTGAGTTGTGCTGATGTGTACTACTTCTCAGCAATTCAATCTTTTTTTATTAATGTAAGATTATCTCAAACATTATTAACAGATTGCCTAATGAATAAGGCAATTCTCCATCTTGTACATTCCTCCAAACCCAATAAATCAGTGAGAAATTCAAATTGCTATATATATATTTTTAAGCTACCAGTAGTGAATTGTAATTGCTGATTGGATGTCACCTGTTTAACAGCAGGTCATAATGGTCTGGAAAACTGAGAGAATATAAGGAACCTGCCCTGATGGAGTACAGCCTCTGTGAAGGAAAAAGTAACTAGTTCATTTGAGTCCTCCAGCAGACCCTTTGTCTAGAACCTCGTCCTTGCAAACATATAGTGTGTAAGCAGGGGGATTCCACATTTGCTCATTCACATTGTCTAGAAACTTATGGCTAAATGATTTTTGGATGTGTATTCAGACATAACCTCAATTATATCTTATAGCAGTCATTCTTTTTTTTTAAATTTCAATAGTTTTGGGGGTACAAGTGGTTTCTGATTACATGGATAAGCTCTTTAGTGGTGATTTCTGAGATATTGGTGCACTTGCCATCTGAGCAGTGTACACTATATACAATGTGTGGTCTTTTATCCCTCACTCCAACCCACCCTTCCTCCCAAGTCCCCAAAGTCCGTCATATCATTCTTATGCCTTTGTGTCCACATATCTTAGCTCCCACTTATAAGTGAGAATGAACGATATTTGGTTTTCCATTCCTGAGTTACTTTACTTAGAACAATGGCTTCCAGCTCCAACCAAAGCGCTGCAAAGGCCATTATTTTGTTCTGTTTTATGGCTGAGTAGTATTCCATGGTGTGTGTGTGTGTGTGTGTGTGTCTGTGTGTGTGTGTGTGTGTGTATTACAGTTTCTTTATCCACTCTGATTGATGGGCATTTGGGCTGGTTCCATATTTTTGCAATTGCTAATTTTGCTGCTATAAACCTGCATGTGCAAATATCTTTTTTGTATAATGACTTCTTTTCCTCTGGGCAGATACCCAGTAGTGAGATTGCTGGATCAAATGGTAGTTCTACTTTTATTTCTTTAGGGAATTTCCACACTGTTTTCCACAGTGGTTGTACTAGCAACATTCCCACCAGCAGTATAAAAGTGTTCCCTTTTCACCACATCCATGCCAACATCTATTATTTTTTGACTTTTTAATTAAGGCCATTCTTGCAGGAGTAAGGTGGTATCTCACTGTGATTTTGATTTGCATTTCCCATAGCTATTTTTCTTAATCAGGAATATATACCAGAATTACTTTTGGAGTTTGTTATAAGAAAGACATATGTAAATTCTTATCATAGATATGAATATTCTGATTCAGTAAATATAGCATGCCTGAGACCTAAGCATTTACATAATGAAAATGTTTCCTAGAATTTTGTTTTCGTAACTTGATTGACACAATTCAAAAAACTGTATGAAGAAAAATTAAATATGTATTAATTGTACATATTATGGGGGGGGGTGTGTGTGTCCCTGTAAAATTATCTTTTAAAAAAGAGAACAAAGTAATAGAGTTTACTACCAACCATTTTTCACTAAAATAAATATAAATCAAAATAAATCTTTCCAAATTGAATGTCTAAAATCCAAGAAAAAATGATGGGCAAAAATACTGGTGAATATTTGAGTACATCTAAGTAAATACATACATACATACACACACACACACACACACACACACACACACACACAGACACACAGTCAAATAACTGTATCCTTTAAAATACATCACTGAGCTAGCAAGACAAAAAAGTCCACAGAGGTCAAAGAATAAAAAAGCAAAAATTGTAGAAGTTGTTCAGTAAATGCCAAAGTCAGCATTACCCTCTCTAAATGAAATCTTGATATCCTTGAGCATCTGTTTATATAAGGTGCAATACACAGAAGGAAAAGCCCAAGTTTTACCCCATGTATGGAGAACACTAGAAGACATCATGTAAATCTGAGAACCTAAGGAACAGCAACTCAGTATAAGGTTTAAAGAGAAATAAACACAAGGCTATAGGAAAACACTTCATCTGTCTTGATTTTAGCATTAAATAGAAATATTAAATAATTCAAAATTAAAACAAAAAATGAAACCACAAAATTTTAATAACAAGAATTCATGCAATTTTGCAGTTTGTTTCCATTTTTGTGTTACCTATTGAGCATAAAAGCACCATGAGAAGAATTAAATCAATGGCGAATTTTCACTGGACAAAATGCAACTTCAATATAGCCTCAAATGGTTTACCCAGTAAAATGTTTCCTAGAAACATGTCCCTGCAGTGAAAAATTACAAAATAAATAAGGCAGCAAGTTGGTATGAATGAGAGAAAGTAGAAATAGAAGAAAAATCAAACTCACATAGACTTTTTATATAAAAATTAACAACCAAACAAAAGGTTATGTTTCAAAAAAACCCTTAAAATATGAGCAAGGAGTTAGAAAGCATTAAATTAATAAAGTACACTTGAAAAGCAACCAAATAGTTTTTTTAGAAATAAAAAATACAAAAATTAATTTTAGAAAGTTAGAAGAATGGGTTGAATTTGCGCTATAGATACAACTGAATAAATTAGAAGATGAATGAGAAAAAATTCATTACAGAGAGAAGAGGAGATGAATAGTTTGAAATAAAATAATATGAAGAGAAAATTAAAAGTTATGTCTCTTTGAATTTCTAGAAAGAGATAGCAAAAAGAATAGAATTATCATACGTACAGTATAAAAAATATTTCTAGAATTGTTGGAAGATATAATACCTCACACCCAGAAAGCCCAAAATGTCTCTAGCAGGAGAAACAAATATATAACAATCTATACCTAGCAGTTTATAATAAAAAAGCTGAATGCCAAAAACAAAGAGATATCACAAGTAACAAAATAGAAAGGATAAATCAACTTAAGATGTGTCATTTAAACCAATAACTATCATTTTGTCAGCAAAAATGGAAACCAATTGACAATAGAATAATATTTTCAGTGTGTTGATTGATGACAATTCTCAACCTGGAATTCTATACTCATTAAAAATATCTTTTAAAACTGAGAACAAAGTAGTAGAGTTTACTACCAATCATTTCTCACTACAATAAATTTAAATCAAAATAAATCTTTCCAGACTGAATGTGTAAAATTCAAGAATGAATAATGGGAAAAAATACTGGTGAATGTATGGGTATATCTAAGTAAATATGGAAGTATACATCAAAAATGAATATGATAAGATTTGGGGTAAAATAAATAAGAAGTAAAGAAAAACCACAGAAGTTGGCTTAACTTATGAGAAAGAGAGAAAAAAACTTCCCATAGCTAACTTACTCATCTTTATACAATTATCACTCTTAAATTACTTTGAGCATTAAATAGAAAGGATTTGCTAAGGATTCACAGACTTAAAGATTCTTTGTGTAAATTTAGTAAAAGTTAAAGTCAATTATCAGATATATCACATAATTATAATATGAAGTTCACATATCCCTAAAGGAAAATGTAAAATAATAATTTGCTTAATATTTACAATGGGAAATGCAATTTATTAAAGAACACTAAGCTATTTCTAATTCAATAATATCCAAAATTTTATTTGCTCAAGCTCTTGAGATAAATCACAAAACAAGCACATTCTTTCAAAATTAAAATACAGTTTTAACATTAAAACTCCCTCTTTTGAATCTGGACTTCATATGATTTTTCTGTATACTTAAATTTTGTGTGACATTTAACTGAAGCCTATTTTATTTTTTTTTTTTGCTCCATATACATACTGGAAATTTAATATCCATAAGATGTGACCACTGATACATATTAATTATCCAAATGGAATGGAAATTAATATTGCTGTTAAAACAAGACTTTCAACGCCCCCCCACACAATGCATTGCCTGCAAACTTAAATAATGTTATGCCGGACATATTTGTTAGTATGGGTAATTAAACATCTTTACAAGCCATCTATATCATGTAGTTACATGCTTAACCTCATTTTATAATCATTCCATGCGGTTGCATATTCAGAGGCTGCCACATTTATATTAATAAGCAAATATTAAAAGTAAAACAGAATTATTTAGATTTCCAAATAATTTCTGAAGTCCAAAAGGCAACATAATATCATAATATTTTATAAAATATTTTTTACCACATCATTATCACCATTTTATTGTTGAAAGCACATCTGTGTCGGGGAAATATTCATAGAATAACCATTCAAAGAAATATTCAGAAGATTCAAGGTTGCCTTATTAAATTACAGTCTAAGGGGATTCTTATTACTAAAGGTAACTCTTGGTAATTACCAACATGAAAAGAACAATTCCATTTATATTTCAGTCAAGTGCAGGAATATGAGGTGTATATGTTTGTTTACTGTTCTCTTCAATAGCTTACAAAAATATGGATATATCTTAACAGATATAAGTAACATAAACTAAAAGGTAAATTGCTTTAAATTAATCTGACATTTTTGGATTTAAGGGAAAAGGAGGTTTCAAATATTTGTTTAAAGCATTTCTTTAGTGAAGCCCATAAGGAGATATAAGGGCCTAAAGAGCTTTCAAAGAGAAACTCAGAAGGATAATTTCATGAGTGCCACATTACTCTTCAATCCATCACTGCTACATGTGTTAGTATATTACTCTACATGAGATCCACTTCTAAAAAATGTCTTTCCAGTACTTCATTTCTCTATATCTGTCATATTTCCATGTCATCCTCTTTTCTTTAAAATTTCAGTTATGTTCCCTTTTTATATTTTCCTTATTTATATTTCCTGAAAGAATTTCACGACAGATTCTTACAGAAAAAAAAGTGTAAGACAATGTTTACTATGTAAAATGAGAAAAATGAAAATATCCATTTTTAAAAGCCTAAACAAATTGAGCATCTTTGAGTTGTTAGATATTTCCAGTGATGAGCTAACAAAGGTTTAAAAGCTGGCTTTCTGGGGAACAAAAAAAGCCCTGATTTGTAGCTTTTACCCATTTTCTTGAGGAAATACTCCCGGTTTGGCTCTTTTGAAGCCACCAATGTGAAATCTATGGACATGGAATTGGGAAGACATACCAGCCACCCATTCTTGCAATCCAGTATGAGTTGGCTCTAGCATATCACTGCAGTATTTTGTTATAAAATGGCTATGGTTCTGATTATTCCCAGGCACTACAGTAATATAAAACAATTATGGTTTGAAGAACACTTCACAATTAAACTCTAGTACAATTACACTGAATTCCCCACTACTGATCAGAAATTCAAGTGTTCCCATTAGTTCAGTAAGAATTTTCAAGATAAGCATTTTAGAATTGCAAAAGGTTTTGAATAGCCAAAAGAAATTTCTCACATGCCAAAACCAAGAACAGCATACTTTACACAACTGTAACTGTAAATTACATATAGTTTATTCTTAACTGTGTATATTTGTATAGCTATTTTGCATTACACATACTGTAAAAGTTAACAACATTCTACAAACATTTAGCACCGACTATGTGTTAGTCTCAATACTAGATGTTGGCAAAAGACAGGTGAATCAGATGTAAATCATGTCTCATATATACATATATATATACACATATATATATATACATATTATGCATGATTACTGGTTATTAAATGTATGTAATACAAGCATTTCATTGTTTAAATAGAATCTGTATAATCATGGCCCAAGTGAGAAACTTGAAGAAGAGTGCCTAAGGGCACAGATTTATTCTATTTCCAAAAAGAAAAAACAACCCAAGTATTGCGTTTTATCTATCCCCATTTCCTGATAAGAATTTTAATGGACAATGTTGAAATATAAAAGAAGTAAACATTAAAAATGTTTTGTTTTCCTTAAAAGTTTTACTTTCATAAATGTGGTAACATCTGGTGGTAGCATAGATGGTTATTCTGCAGTTGATATTCTAAGTAACCCTCTTTTTTTGTTTAACAGATATATTAGATGACATTGAGAGATGTAGATGGGAAAATGAAGTAATTAGGCACCTTGCCTCATTTTTTAAAATATTAATTTTTAAAAATATTAATGTACATGATACAGATATGCAGAGAATGAAAATTATGCACACATACAGTGATAATTATGTCTCTCTAGTTTCATTTTGATTTTTATATACAATATTATATATTTATGTAAAATATAACATCATAACAATACCAACAGTGCAGAACATTAACAATCATTCCAACACAGGTTAAATAAGAGATCTGTAATCTTATCTCAGTACAGCTACTCTAAAAGTCTGGAGTTTACTTTTACAAGGCCCCCAAAAGGCCTTTCAAGATTAATATTATCATTACTCAGCTGTGTTAATTAGCTGGTGAATCATTTAAGCCTAAATGGAGATCCAAGTAACTGAATCAGAAATTTGGAGCTTTCCCAAAGAAGCAAAGAAAATAATCCTGGAGTTTCTAGATTGTTCAATATAAAGGGGCAAAAGCATGGAATAGGTTGTAGAAAAAAAACTCTTTTTGACTTCAATATACTAAATATTATAAAAACAATAAGCTACTGTGAAATAGTTTTTCATAAAGTTCAAACAGAATAAGCAAACACAAATGGATGCTACTAGAGCAGGGAAAGAGGGACCACATGAAGGCAGTGAGCAAGGCATTGATTAAGCTGAAGGTTGTTCAATAACTGCTCCTTAATTGATTAAAAGAAAGGCCAACCTTGAACAATCAATATTTAACCCATTAATATTACTACTTGCCATATTTATTGATAAATGTTGCCAAAGTTAAATTGGCAACAACCAAACATTAAAGAAAATACTAATCCAAGCCTGAAATATAACACTTTTTCCAATAAACTGTTACAGGTAGAATACGTTTATTTCCAAATCCAACACATAGAATATAATGGAAATTTAATTATAACAACTGAGGCATGTTTAGTCACATTGTTAAGAACATAACTCAGTTTTAATCATCTCTGTAGTTCAATGAAACAATAAACTAAAGGAGTTAGAGTGGACTGATCTGATTATTGAAAACTACAAACACAAACCCCAATGTCTGCTGATGTCTAAATGCTTCCAGGTATTGATTAGGAATAAAAAAATATAGATCAGATAAACCGTACAGATTGCTTTAGATAAAGATTAAATACAAAACCATTCAATTCCTCCCAATAAGTTGGTAAATGACAGAGAGAAAGAATGTCAGTCTTATTTTCTCCGCTTTTATTCATGGCTTCCCTGTTCTTACATATTTTCATTTAAAAACCCAAACCAAACCAGATGGCAGAAAGAATATAGAGTTAAAAATGTATTACTTATATGCCTCAAGGTCTCTCTCAGGTCACTATTAGCCTCTAACTATCACCTCTAAACTTTAATAAGTAATAACTAATGTTTATGGAGTGCTTATTATGAGCTATACATTTCATACATATCTGTATTTTTTCATTTACTAATCTTAAACTGCTACATAGTAAATAAAATTAATAGGGTCATTTTATAGATGGGGAGACTGAGAAATAAAGAGGTTAAATAACTTCTTAAAAGTCACCCAACTGGTAAATGTGGGGGTTATAATTTTAACTCCTGAAGTTTTATTCCAGAATTGAGACCTTGAGCTCTTTACTAAAATGTGATATTTTCAAAAGAAGAGAGGAAGGAAGAGGATAGGAAAAAACAAAGTAAAGAGTAGTGATAAATAAGACACCACAATATCACAGAACTACTGTAACAGGCATGACAAGTTTGGAAAAGTAGGTCCAAATGGCATGCCCAGTCATAGGGCAACTCTCTCTGTAAGGACAATGAGTTGTCTCCTAGGATCAGTAAGAAAATCATTCCAACAGGACAGCAATAGGGTAGTGAGTAAGTGAAGTACTAGGTGAAGTACAAGGGAGCAAAGGAAGACAAAAGAGGAAACAGTACAATTGGTACTTATTTACTCTGTTACCCTCCTTGCTTATTAACATGAAGTTCCATTCTGATGATAAAAATAGATTAATATTTGCCTAGACAAATAAACCCCAAAAAACCCTATAAATTCAATATAGTCCTTTATGATAATCGGTCTCTCTAAACTCAGTTCTAAGATCCAAAACCAGATTTATCAAAGTCCTCTCTTGGGCACTGTTATAATTCCTATTTGACTAAGTATAAGAATTAATTGAACTGAAAGTTTAATAATGGCTGAAAAATATAATTCTGTGTTCTATATTTCAGTGATTGGGGTTAAAGAACATAAAATTAAACACTCTGAATATCAGAACATCCAAGGAGGCTATGCAAAAATTTAGGGCATGATGTATTATACTTTATTCTGGGGAAGATTTTATGGGGCTCCATTTGTTCTTTTCTTCCTTTATGGGAAAGATTTCACTGTGATGTGAGTTTTAGAGACATGTTCCAATATACAGTTTCTTTTGTACAACATGTTACATATATTTAACTCTAATATGCAACCATTAGGTTTTTTCCATACATTCAGTCATTTTCCAAGTATCTATATTTTTAAATGTTTTCCCCCAAATACAGGGGGAAGATAAGTTTTACTGGGACAAATTATGTATGTTCCCCTCTCATAACTTTACCCCAGGGCATTTTTTCCCCAAAGGGCATAGAGCAGTCCACTAACACTATAAATTATATCCCTACTACCATCATTGGTGGTGTTTCCCGTCTAACATTGTCATGTCTAAAAATTATTTAAAATGCAATTTTGAAGTAGAAAAAGTATTTCATAAATAATAAGTGGTTTCACATTATGTTTAAATGTGATCATTAATCTATAAAATTTGGTGAGACAATTATGCTTTGAAAGCAGTTACTGATTTAGTTAGATTTTCTTTAGAATGTTAAGAAAATATGGATTAGAAAATACATAATCCATACAATGTTTTCAGAGCATAGAAGTTCCTTTAAATTACACTCTAGATATAATCTAGGTACGATTAGTGGTAAAGTACCATGTAATAACATGAGACTTTAATAAATGAGTAAACAATTCAAGTGTACAATGGAAAATATATTTCACTTCATATGTTCATTATTATAAAGAAAATAAAAATGTTTCTGTATCTGTCAAGAAGAAATCCAACATTGTACCACTATTTTTTTAGTATAAAACGTTTATTTTTTACTAACATTGTATGGTTTTAACAAAAAAAAATTGTAAATGGTTTTGATAGGTTGATTTAAGATTTTATTCTTTTAGGCTAACTTTGTATAATGAGTGTGCATGTCTTTACTTCAAAATGTATGAAGTGTATGAAATGTATGAAAAGTGAAAAATATTGTGTCAGGAGACAGAATTATAAAAGCTTAAAAAAAATCATGAGTTGTTTGTTGTTGTTGCTGTTGTTTCCCCAAGATGGCTAACTTGGGACAGTGGATGCCAGCTATCTCAGAAAGACAAAAATGACCAAGTAGAGTGGCTCACTCCTTAATCCCAGCACTTTGGGAGGTCAAGGTAGGTGGATTGCTTCAGTCCAGGAATCCTAGACCTGCCTGGGCAGCATGTAGAAGCCCCATCTGTACAAATGTACAAAAATTAGCTGAGTGTGGTGGTGTATGCCTGCAGTCCCAGCTACTTGGGAGGTTGAAGTGGAAGGATTGCTTGAGCTTGGGAGGGAGAAGCTGCAGTGATGTAAGATTGCACCACCGCAATCCAGGCTGGGCAACAGAGCAAGACCCTGTCTAAAAATGAAAACAAACAAACACATACACATACACAAAAGAAAATAAATCAGAGTTGCAGGTGAATGGTCATGCTTTAAATGGAAAACTGAGCCAGGACCTATCAGAGAGCCCACGTGAAGAAGCTGGGGTGTGGAAAAGGAAACCAGAAAGTCTGCAGAGGTGGATGCCTGAGAAACTCAAAGCCCCATGGAATGGCCCCACAGGAGATAGTGTGTTGGCTCATATGTCCAGTATATCACTACAGCAAAGCAGTATTTGAGAAAGCCACCACACAAAAGCTATCAACAACCAAGGAACCCATACATCATACTGAATGGGGAAAAGCTGAAAGCATTCCCACTAAGAACAGAAACAAGATAAGAATGTACACTTTTACCACTCCTATTTAAAATAGTAGTGGAAATACTGGCCAGAGTAATCTGGCTAGAGAAAGAAATAAAAGGCATCTAAATTGGAAGAGAGAAAGTCAAATTATCTCCGTTTTCTGACAAAATGATCTTATATCTAGAAAACTCTGAAGATTCTTCCAAAAGACTCCTAGATCTGATAAATGATTTCAATAAATTTTCAAGATACAAAATTAATACACAAAAATCAATTCCATTTCTGTACATCCACCATTTTCGAGCTGAGAACGAAACCAATAACTCAATCGCATTTAAAACAGCCACAAAAATACCTAGAAATACTTTTAACCAAAAAGGTGAAAGACCTCTACAACAAGAAGTATAAAACACTGAGGAAAGAAATCACAGATGTCACAAACATATAGAAAACATCCCATGCTCATGAATAGGAATAATCAATATCATTAAAATGACCCTACTTTCTTAAGCAATTTACAGATTAAATATGATCCCTATCAAATAACCAATGCCATTTTTCACAGATTTAGCAAGAGCAATTCAAAAATTCATATGGAACCCAAAAAGAGCCCAAGTAGCCAAACCAAACCTAAGCAAAAACAACAAAGACAGAGGCATCACATTACCTGACTTCAAACTATACTTCAAGGCTATAGTAACCAAAACACCATGGAACTGGTACAAAAATAGACACATCGATCAACAGAACGGAAGACAGAACCCAGAAATACAGCCACATACCTACAACCATCTGGTCTTTGACAAAGCTGACAAAAATGAACAATGGGGAAAGGACATCTTATTCAATAAATGGTGCTAAAAACACCTGGCTAGCTATATGAAGAAAAGTGAAATGACCCCTATTTCTCACGATATAAAAACTAGCTCAAGATGGATTAAAGACTTCAATGTAAGACCTGAACCATTAAAAATCCTAGAATAAAACTTAGGAAAAACTCTTCTGGACATTGACCCAGGTAAAGAATTTATGACTAAGACCTCAAAAGCAAATGCAACAACAATAAAAATAGACAAATTATACAAAAGAGCTTCTGTTCCGCAAGAGAAACAATCAACAGAGTAAATGGGCAGCCTGCAGAATGAGAGAAAACTTTTGCAAACTAACCATCCAAAAAAGAACTAACATCCAGAATCTACAAATAATCTAAACGAATCAACATTAGAAAAAAACAAATCCATTAAAAAGTGGGCAAAGGACATGAACAGACACTTCTCAAAAGGACATAAAAATGGCAGCAAACATATAAAAAATGCTTAACAATAATCATCGAAGCGATGCAAATTAAAACCACAATAAGATACCATCTTATACCAAATAGAATAACTATTATTAAAAAGTAAAAAATAGCATGTTGGCAAAGATGTGGAGAAAAGGAAACACTTATACACTGTTGGTGGGAATGGAAATTAGTTCAACCCCCTATGGAAAACAATATGGATGATTCTAAAACAAATAAAGATAAAACTACTATTCATCCTAGCAACCTCACTATTGGGTATCTACCCAAAGGAAAATAAATGATTTTATCAAAATGATACCTGCACTCTTACGTTTATTGCTGCACTATTCACAATAGCAAAGTCATGTAAGCAACCTAAGTGTCCGTCAGTGGTTGACTGGATAAAGAAAATGTGGTATAAATACACCATGGAATACTATGAAGTCATTAAAAAGAATAAAATTATGTCCTTGGTAGCAACATGGATGGAACTGCGGGCCATTATCCTACAGGAATAACTCAAACAGAAAATTAAACACTATATATTCTCACTTATAAGTGGGAGCTAAACAATGGGTATACATGAACATAAAGACAGAAGTAATAGACACTGGGGGATCTAAAATGTAGGAGAATGGAAGTAGGGTTGAGGTTAAAAAAAAACTACCTATTTGGTACTATGTTCACTATTTAGGTGATATGTTCACTAGAAGCCCAAACCCCAGCATTACACAATATACCCATGTAACATACCTGCACAGGTACTTCCTGAATCGGAATTTTAAATAAAATCATATCATTGTCTAATTTTACATAGAGAAGTTGTCTGTATTTTTTATTACCAAAATATGACTTTTAAATTAATGTCCCCAAATCAGCCTCTCTCAAGTCAAGTAGCCCAGGGAGAAGATTTAATGGAATTAGAGTAGATAAAGAAATGAGAGAACATGGAAAAACAAACACACGATATACAAACAGAATGGAAGAAAGTTAATATGAAAAGGGTTCTTAACCATTTGAGGGTATTTGAACCATCTGAAAATGTGGCAAGAGCTAGGGGTCTATTCAGGAAAATGCCCATATACTCATACCCTCAAAAGGTCTACAAAATTGTAAGTCTGCATTATTCCTAGAGAATTGTACAGCCTCACAAAAATTGTTCATAACCTCTATGTTAGGAATTTATGGGCCAGATTGAGGCAGCAATAATCCAGACCTAGAGTGAAGGCATTTGGATGTTAAACAGTAAATGAACTGTGCAGAGAATAGAATCTATGAGCCTTTCTGTAGGCTTCTCTCCTCGTTCTCCTCACGGATGACTTCTGATCCTTCAGGTCTCAATTTAAATACTATCTCCTCAGCTTCTTTAACCATTATATTTAAATTGGGACTTCTACCTTATTCCTCCTTCCTTGTATTATAGTATTAAACCAAATTACTTTGTTGTAATCTATTATAGTAGTTGCCATAACTTATTAATGTTTGCTTCTCTATTTTTGTCTTCCTGATCTATAATATCTATGTCTTGTTTGTTATTATGTCTCCAATATGTGATATATTGATCTGCAAATAGTCGACTCACAATAAATATCTGTTGAATTAAAAAGTATGAGTGAGTAGACTTTCAATATCGGGAATCTAAAGGACTTCAAAGTATTATATAATTCTACCTTCAGCCACCTTTTAGGATTTTTGAGAGAAAAGGGAGTTTAGAACTAGAGGGCTAGAGTTAATAGTAATTTCTGGCAGTGAACTATGCAGCCAAGAATGGAACTGACATTCATTTGAAATGTGAAATAATAGTTCTCATTTGTCATAGTCTTGGGTATTCATATTCATGTATTTGTAACTAAAAGATTTTGCAGAAAGGCAATAAATGATTCACCAGAAGTCATTGTCATAAAATTATATGTTTAACATATTGAATATGCACTTAAAATTATTTTAGATTTAATATATACAGATAAGTTAAATCAGATTTTTAAAACAGATAATTTAATAAGAGTAGAAACAAATAACAATCCAACAATAAAAACCATGCACATGACTCCTCCAGGGTGGCCTGTTCTAGTTGCCTCGTTGTTTTGCAGATCCTTCTCCCTTATGTTCAAGCCCCTTCTTTAACTTTTCCTTTTCGATCTCCCTAAATGCTGTACTTTTCCAGTTTGTGACCCAAATCACCTAACAGGGAAAAATGACAGTGCTCACACTTCGGAGTATAGCAGGTGACATGGCAGATGATCAATAGAGATGGAAATTTTGGTGGGATCTATAAATTCTCCTCCTAGACACTTTATCCCTCTTCTACCCCCTTAGTCTTTACCAAAAGTTCTTGTCTGCTGTGACCCACAAAAAATGAAAGAATCATCACATCAGTTTTCTTTGTCACCGATTGTATAGTTTAAGGAATTTAAACATTTTCAGACACTATGTTTTACTGAACTGACTACCAAAAGTAAAAAAGATTGTTTGTGGCATCTAGTTTCCAAGAGACTAAATAGGAACAAAAGCCTTTGTGGCACCTAGTTTCGAAGAGACTAAATAGGAACAAAAGCCTTTGTGGCCTCTTCAGACTGAACCACAGGTCCTGGTATTAATTCAACTTTCTACCTTGGCTCTCCCAGTTGTGAGGTCATTTGGATGAAGGATTACAGCAACATTCCTTTGGAAATTTGCTTTAAGAATCAGGCAGCTAGGGATCATTGAATCCTTGAAGTTTAAATTTGGAAAGATAAACAGGAATAATTGTCACAACAACAAAACAGCAAGGACAGGCTACATTAACCAAATCTAGACTCCTTCACTACTTCTGGATGAGAGAGTGGGTTGGAAGAGGGAGGGAGGGGCAGGAAGAGGGAGATTTGGAGAGAGCTCCAGAGAGAGAGAGAGTGCAAGAGAGCAAGTGAGCAAGCAAGCACATATGAGCAAGCTGGAGGTGGAGGAGGCAGGCAAAGGAGACCAAAATATAACCAGAGTATGTAATTAGAAGTTTAGAGTCACTTTCCTATCACCTACTTCCTTTAATTTCTAAGACTGAAAAAATACAATCCAAAGAAAACATACAATTTTTTAAAACCTTCTATTTTTATTTTTATTTTTTTTAAATTTTACATTCAGAGGGTACATATGCATGTTTTTTTACATGGGTATGTTGTGAAATAGTGGGCATTGGGCTTCTAGTGTACTTGAAACTGGCCCAATTTTCTGATAGAGCTGATACTTTTCGTTTCTTTTGAATAAACACAGAAGTTTACTATCCTAAGTCTTAAAACTTGAGAAACTTGGATTTGTCTTATCTGAGTTCCTTTCTTAGGAAATCAACCATCAGGCCTCCCAAATAGTATCAAGGAACTGAAGCTTACCAGATCACCACATTTGGACAGTGAGACACCAGACCCCTCACTCATCATGACTGCATAACCAGCTACCTGCTTCTTGTTAACTAACTCCTCTTTCTTTCCACTCCCTAATTCCTGTTTTCTCAAACATGGTTACATTTATTCCCAACTATATTAACCCTTAATTTTAGTTCGTTGAAGAGATGGATTTGAGTCTGATCTCACTTCTCGGCTGCAGCACTTTAATAAAGCCTCCATTCCAGGAAACACTCATTGTCTAGATGATTTGCTTTCTCTCCAGTGAGCAATGGGACCTAGACTGAACTCTGGCATTTTGGTAACATACCCATCACCCAAATAGTGAACATCGTATCCAATAGGTAATCTTTCAACCTTTTCTCCCTCTCACCCTCCCTGCTTTTGGAATCCCCACAGCTTATTGTTTCCAAAATGTAGTAAAAGTATAAATAGTGAGTTTGATTAATTCTCTTACTACTTATTTTTATTTAGATTTGTATAGTTACTATCATTGCATTTTAAGCTGTTTAATTATAGAAACAAAATTATCATTAACTCTTGCCTAATTTTCATCTCCTGTGACTATATATTGCTCTGTGTTTAAAATTAAGGCCTTTCTATGAGTCGCCTGAAGTCTAACACAGCATGAGACACATTTAGTGGTATGTTTTATTGCTTGAATTTATGAAAGTTTCTGTTATTCCTGCTTGGTTTAGTTCTTAAGTCTGATCACCTTAACATTGGAGAGTCTATCAAATTCCATCTGTTAGTTGATTTCCACCCCGGGAATCACATTATCCAGTCAAATATAAAATCCATCTGCAGTAAACATGAGTTTTTAGCAATGAGTACCTTTTTATTTATTTATTTTCTTCCTTAACCATGATTATTCCTCCAGTGTTTTGTGTCCTTTCTTACCCAGGTCTTAAAGGTACAGCAAAAAGTGACTTATGCTCCTCAATTCCCTAGGCTTAACCTTATGGGATGTTAATTAAGCATGTCCAATGCAGGCGTCTAGAGCATTGTGCATGAAACCTCATGTGCTCATTTTGCATATTTTAGGGTAGGGTTGTAAAGTACAGAATAATTGAAGTTTCTTGTGAGACAATTGAATTCTGGTTATTCTTAAAGGTATTTTCCATATTTACAAATATTACTGGCTACAGAGATCTCCTGCCCCAATGGCTAAGCTCTGGTTCTTGTATTCCCTTTTGTGGTTTTCCTCATGATCTGTATAGTTTTGATCTTAAAATACAGCAATATAGTTTAATAAGCTGTAGAAATGTACCAGGTAATCATCAATATAACAGCTGAAACTTTTCTAGTATGAGAGAATACCATCACTCTTCCAATAAAACAAAAGCCAAAGAAAAGATGCAACTCTTAAAACTTTGCAATAAAACAAATAACAAATACTTTATCCTTAAGATATGGAAAATGTATAATGAATTTGCTTGAATCCCTCCTAGGCATAAACAAGATGGTATTTTATAAGGCTAAGAGCCAAAAACCAATATGCAAACTGATTGTTTGAGTCAGAGGAGTCCATTACTCAAGTGTAAGAATATAACATTTATCACTAATACATAAATGGGTGAGAGCAATATAAATTTAAGTAGCTATATCAGAATTCATACTGGAAAACAAATACCCGAAAGACAAAGACTTTTTCTGTCTCTACAGGACAGTTTAGAGTTGATTTCCAAATTCCTGATTTTTGAGAACGATCCTCTCTTCCATCTTTTTGCCTTTTTCTATGCCCCAAACCCAATGCGTTCTGGATCTAGAAAAGGCACCAAACATTTAATGTGAGATTTTGCTTAATGAAAGACCATTTAAGCTGTCATTTCTTGCTGGTGACAGTATTGTTACATCTATGTCAGGGGTGGGGGAAGTGGCGATTTGCTTCCATGGAAATCAAGACAGAATGCTATTGGTAAGGAGGTGGGTATTAGCCATGTGCTGGATCTTGGTGGGTTTCTCCTAATACACCCAATCGGCCACAACCATTGCAATACATATCAGCCACAGTGACCACAAATTGTGCTTATTTTTTGCCAGAGATTTCACAAAAATATTTAATTCCATAGCATTGTATGAATCACACTACAATATAAAATCTAGTAGCCAGGTGTGATGGTTCACACCTATAATACCAGCACTTTGGAAGCTGAGATGAATGGATCTCTTGATCCCAGGAGTTCCTGACCAGCCTGGCCAACATGGCAAAACCTCCTCTATATAAAAAAATACAAAAATTAGCTAGGCATGGTGGCAGGTGCCCATAGTCCCATCTACTTAAGAGGCTGAGGTGGGAGGATTGCTTGGGCCTAGGAGGTTGAGGCTGCAGTGAGCTGTGATTGTGTCACTCTACTTCAGACTGGGCAACAGAGTGACACCCTGTCTCTAAATAAGTAAGTAAATAATAAAATAAAATCTAGCTTATCTTCTTCCCAGATCAGTGTTCTAGATGAAGTTGCTATTATGAATCATATACTATACAATTCAAAAATATTCATCTGTAGTGAAACTGCAGAGTACAAATCACTGTAGAAAAAAATAATTCTGAAGTGCATTAGAAAGTTTACATAATTTAATTGAAGCAAAGGAACTCGCTGATGAATTATTTTCATTTAATTAAGGGAGTGTATTCAAAACACAAATCTGTGTTTCATACTTACTTTTCACATGAATGACCAAGCCTTCCCCATTTCTCCTTGAATGTGTTTAGTAAGACTTAGGGATATTCTGTATGGATAGACAACTTATTTGATAGTTCATCCTTTCTCCAAATATTTAAAATATATTTTTTCTTAAAGCAAGTTTCCATATCTATTTTTTCCTGGACTTTTTGATTTTCTATCAGTTAATCTGTGCAAAATGCCTTACTAATTTTAATTGCTACAATTTGTGATGTGTTGTCTTCTTCTCCTCAGTCTTTTTTTGTCTTCCAAATAGTCTTTCTAATCTATACTTTTTGTTCTTGCATGTAAGTTTGAGTTAGCTTGTCAAGTACTGAGAAAATATACCATGTTATAATTTTGAGAGGATTTTCTTGAATTTTTTGATTTAGCCGAATAGCTGAATTTAAACTTTCCTAAGTCTTTCCACTCATGTATAAGATGAAATTTATTTTTTACATGATGATATCATAGAATTTTGGTAATGTATTTCTCAATACCTATTTTTTCATTACATTTCCAAACAGTTGTTACTAAGATAGAAGAGGACACATTTATTGTGTCCTCACCATCCTTTCCTAGATTTTGTATAGGAATAATCACATCATATAGAGATGATGGTTCATTTATCTTTTTTTTTTTTTTTTTTTTTTTTAACCTAATGCTTCCCAGTTTTTTTTTTTGGTCTTCTCTTTGGCCAAAATCTATCCTAGAAGTTGAACAGGCTAGGCATGGTGGCTCACACCTGTAATCCCAGACCTTTGGGAGGCCAAGGCTGATGGATCGTCTGAGGTCAGGAGTTCAAGACCACCCTGGTCAACATAGTGAAATCTGTCTCTACTAAAAATTCAAAAAATAGCAAGGCGGGGTGGCAGGCACCTGTAGTCCCAGCTACTCGAGAGGCTGAGGCAGTAGAATTGCTTGAACCCAGGAAGCGGAGGCTGCAGTGAGCCGAGATTGTGCCACTGCACTCCAGCCTGGGCGACAGAGCGGGACTCCATCTCCCAAAAAAAAAAAAAAAAAAAAAAGTTGAGCAGAAATGACCGCATCTCTTATCTTTCATAAATAGCATGTTTACTATCGATTTCAGTAGATATTCTTGTGTTAAATTTCTCTCTTATTTTGTACTTCTATAGTTTATCTTTTAAAAAGTTTTAAGTAGGTATTGACTTTTCTGCATGTATTTAGGAAATCACATAGTATATTTTTCCTTTAATCAGTTTACGTGGTTAATTACACAAATATCAAACCACTTAATTTTCTGTAAATCTAATTGGTAACTATTCATTTTAAAATACATTGAGGTATTTGGTATGTCAATTTTTAACTTAAGATTTTGCACACATGTTCATAAGACAGGTTAGCCTACACATTTTTTTCCTGTAATTGTCCAACTTTACTATTAAACATCACTATCCTTGAATAGTGATTTAGGAACTTTATACCATGCTTATTTTGTGGAGCAGTTTTGCATTTGAATGTGGAAATTTACTTCTTAGGATTTGTAGAACTTACTCCTACTAGACCTACTGTTAGTTTCCTCTTTCCTTTTCTCTTTCTTTCTCTCTTTCCTTCTTTCTGTGTAGGTAGTATTTAACTATTGATTCAGTTTTTTTATCGGTTTTTATTTTTTCTGGAATCACTTTCAGTAATTTATATATATTTAGAAACTTCATTTCCTATAATATTTCAAAAATGTTGGTAAAAGTTTATAATATTGTCTTTGGATTTCAAAAAATAATCTATATGAAATACATACATTTCAAAAAATAATCTTTACTAAGATATCTATGTAGTTATCTTTGTATAGATATGTGCATTTAGTTATATCTGTAAACACATACACAAGTATACTTATGTGTGTGTGTTGTTTCCTGTCTTTATCCTAGTCTTCCAAATATCTTTTGATATTTTTCACTTTCAGCACTCTTCAGGCTTAGCTACTATTCTTTTTCTAACTTCTTGATTAGGACATATCAGTTATTAATATTCAATGTCTTTATTTCATAAACATGCATTTCAGTCTATATATGTTTCTCTAATTGTTTCAGCTTATAAACCCAGTACTTTTTTTGTTAGTTCAAAATAAGTGATATTTTAAAATTTTAATTCTAAAAATGCATATATATAGTTAGAAATGCATATTGTAATTTTCACATATATTGAAAAATGGTTTGGTTATATTTCTGAAATTAAATTATAATTTTATTTTTATCAGAGAAAGTCATTTACGTAATGCCAGGCACACTGACAGGTTTATTCTCAAGGCTTAGTGTGTCTATTTAAACCTATGATTTTTAATCATTTTGATCAGGGCAAATTCTCATGTGTATGTAGAGTAAAATATCTCCATAAAGGGGTTACATCAAAATCTCACAGGGAAACTGTACCATTCAATCCTTCATCAAATATTTATATGTGACTTTAGCATCATAGCTTTAGATGACTAAGAGCTACATTTGTGGTCATAAAGCACTTGAAATGTTTGGCCCAAATTGGGATATGCTTATCACATACAATATATAACAGATTTTGAAGACTTAGTATGAAAAGAATATATGAAATATCTCATTAACATCCTAAAATATTATGTATAAGTTGAAATGCTAATGGATATATGTTAAATAAATATTATATATTATTAAATTCATGTGCTTTTTACTTTTGTAAATGCAGCTATTAGAAAATTTAAATTATGTATGTGACTTGCATTATCTTTGGATAGTTCTCATTTAGAAATAATCTGAAACTGTTGTCTTCTAGGAGCAATGATTTTAAGGATAAAGCTGGCAATGTTCCCCAGAGAACAGCCTTAAATCAAAAGGGCTCACTGGGTCTCACATGACCGATGTACTTGGGTTCCAGAAAGCCTCTGTGGTTAAAAACCCATCTACTGAGCTTGAGACAGAGGCTTTCTACTTAGAGTTGGTTTATAGTAACAATACTTCCTATTTCAAATAATAATGTGCAATAAAAAAGACCACATGATTAACTGATGACAGATGAAAAGGCCTATTGAGTGCTGGCAACTAATTTGAGCATATACATTCTACAATATATATTACGGTGGATGTGCAGTAGAGAAAAATACAAAGTTGGTGCTTTCTAACAGTTCAAGGTGGGTATGTTTCTTCTTGAAGTTTTTAAAATGCCTGAATCTCTGCCTGGGCTTCCTAAGGGAAGTGTCTGTTCTTATTATGCTTATATATTATATGCAAATTGACTTGCTTATTTTGTATATAATGAAAAATCAAATGCAGTCATGGCATATGTCCAATGAGGGGTCAGAATACCGTAAGTTCATAAAACCATTCAATCAGGAATCATTCTCAGGCTATGGGGAACATTATTTGGATGTAGGCAGAAGAAAGGAGGTTTTTGCTTTGCCTGATTGTTACTTCTAGTAAAAGAAAATGAATACTGGGGTGGATGAACTCCCAGAGGACAGAAATGGTAGAGAATAAAGAGGAGGCTTTTATCTCAAGTGCATACCTTTGCAGAAGCTGTAATAAAGTGCCAGTGGTGGCCAGGCTGTCAGGTCACAGTGGGTTGAATGAACTAGTGGTGTTAATAGTGGATGTGTAATATGATGAGGCTTTTTAACTGCATGGGATATTAGATTTATATTTGTATGGTCACTTCTAGGATTTTCTCTCTTTATATTTGCAGCATTTTTGTAGATGTTTCTCATATTCACATTTGGCTGTTTCTGAAACCTACCATCTTCATCTTGAAGTACTGGAAACAGCAAGATACCACCTATTGGAAGAAGTTTCATTGATTTCCAAGATGTTATATTTTGTACAGTTTCAAAAGTCAATATCACATTAAAGAATAAATAATATTGTTATTTAGCAGAAACTTTGAATTCTTTAAATGCCTTAAATACAAAGTATTTTATTAATTAGAATTGGAAAAATAGAATTTTAGTCAACTGATAGAGTTGGAATAGAAGGGTTTTCTAACAGTATACACTTAGTAAAAGGGGGAATAAACATTTTGAAATAAAGGCAGCTGTCCTCTTTTCCAATGGCATGGCTCCATTTTGATTGGACTGAAGTATATGGTACCAAACTTCCAATTCAAGTGAAGAAATCTACATTCTCTACTACCTTAATAAATTGCCATATGGATTGTTTTGGTATTCAGGGGATAGGAATTGGAAATCAGTGTAACAAGAGCCTCCTTCATCATTTGTCTGGAGGGACACGAATCAATGTGAAGCTGCCATGCTGTCTCAAATGCTAACTTATTAAGTTCATATGGGGAGGTTTAAAATCAGGCAAGATAAAACTACAGATTTAACATGAATAGGCTTATTCTTCAATCATAAATGATTGGTGGGATGGAAACTTAGACTGTAGTATCTGGATCTTTTCCTCACAAATGTTTTATAGACCAGAATTCCAATGGGTGCAGCCATCTATCAATTTCCATGGGAAATATCAGGTTGTAACATGCAGGTCTTGGGGTCTAACAGAACTGATAAATCTGTAAAATGTAAAGCATTAAGTACTTTGTTCTTCAGTGTCTCTGCATTTTGTATCCTTCCTTGGTCCTATAGTTGCAAAATAATGTATCATTTTCCCAGACATATTTTAATTCACAATTTGACTACATTTGTGTGCATCTATATGTATCTATCTATAAATACCAACATATACATATATATGGACACACATTTGATATTTCTATGAATGAAGGCCAAAGGAAACAACTGGATATTTCTTCTAGCTGAACTTATTATACTGTCAACAGTGACAATAGCAATAGGAGAATTTCTCATGGAACAACCTACAAAGCGATCATATTTCATTGGTGACTTAATAAGAATCACAATCCTTCAATTATAAATAATAAATCAAATTGTTGACATTTTACCAAAATCAATACTCTTCTCATTTCAAATAAAAAAATGCTCCCTGAATGAACATTAAAGAATTTATTGCTTAAATAGAAGTGAGTCACTATAAAATAGAAATGTCAAAATTGCTATATTTTAAAATTATTCCTATTTATTATGTTTTTGTATTCCTGATCAAGTTTTCTAATCTTACTATATTTTGATTTTTAAATTTCATTATAGGAGATGTATTGCTCTCATGTACTTATTTTGAACAATTCAATGCATTTCAGTTACTTTATTTTTCTTTACACAAACTTTTAGGCTAATTAGAATGCACTTTAGGCATTCACCCCCATTATATTTCATGCAAAAATGCAATTTATATAGGCAGCATTGCAGCATTCATACTTCTATTTTTATACATTTAAATGGTCACATTTCATGTTTTGAAGGGATAAGTATATCTTGAGGATTACATTTTAATGATTTTTTTAACTACAGTTTACTCCTCAAATCCTGTTTCCTATAAATGAAAAACACATTGCAATTACCAGAAAATTCCATTTATAAAATATAGACCATTACCTACTTATGTATCAAATATTTTAAGTGTCTAAGTGGTATATTGACAGATATAAGATGGTGATCTATGCCAATATTTTAAATTTTCTATTCTACCTTATCATTTTAATTACAAAAGGACGTGTCTCATTTACAAGTTAAATAATACATGAGCATGATAATCTACCCCTACTCCAATCTTTTTTTTTTTTTTTTTCTTTTTTTGAGACGGAGTCTTGCTCTGTCGCCCAGGCCGGACTGCGGACCGCAGTGGCGCAATCTCGGCTCACTGCAAGCTCCGCTTCCCGGGTTCACGCCATTCTCCTGCCTCAGCCTCCCGAGTAGCTGGGACTACAGGCGCCCGCCACCGCGCCCGGCTAATTTTTTGTATTTTTAGTAGAGACGGGGTTTCACCTTGTTAGCCAGGATGGTCTCGATCTCCTGACCTCATGATCCACCCGCCTCGGCCTCCCAAAGTGCTGGGATTACAGGCGTGAGCCACCACGCCCGGCCCCCTACTCCAATCTTTAGGCACTTGCAATCTCACATACTTGAGGGAACCAACGTAAGCTGTTCAGTTTGCAGCCAACCTCAAGTTTCTACAGCATTTGAGGGAAAAAAATAGGCTAAAATAATGATTCACAAAGTTGAATAATGCTTGCTGTGACCAGTTATCACTATAAAGCAGGTGTGTAAAACATCATTTTACACACTCCTGAAAAACAACTCAATTTTAATCTATTAGAGTTTTGCTTTTTAAGTTCCCTTAATCGGCATAAAATCCTAACAATTTAAAACTGAAATAAAACATTTCAACTCATCTTATCCATTTTCTTACTTTTATTCTCTTATTTTTAGTTGACATATTAATTGCACAGATTTAAGGGATGCAGTGATATATTATTACATGTATACAAGGTGTAATAATCAAATCAGGATAATTAGCATATCCACACCTCATATATTTATTATTTCTTTGTGTTGTTAACACTTAAAATCCTTTTCTAGATTTTTGAAAATATATATGAAATTATTGTTAATGAACTCTACATTACTACAGAACATTAAAATTTATTCCTCCAATCTAGTTGTAACTTTATACCTGTTAACCAATGTATCCTTATCTTCCCCTCTCCCTACACTTCCCACCTTCTAATATCCACAATTCTACTCTCTACTTCTGAGAGATGATTTTTAGTTCTCACATATAACTGAGAACACATGAATGAAAACATGCAATATGCCTTTCTGTGCCTGACTTATTTCACTTAACATAATGTCCTCCAGGTTTACGCATGTTGTATTGAGTGACAGGATTTTATTCTTTTTTATGTCTAAATGGTATTCCATTGTGCATATATAACACATACTTCTAGGCATCTGTTGATGAACATTTAGGTTGATTCCATATCTTGTCTATTGCGAATAAAACTGCAATAAACGTGGAGGTGCAGGTATCTCTTTGATATATTGATTTTCTTTCTTTGGAAAAATACCCAGGAGTGAGATTGCTGGAGTGCATGGTATAATAGTTCTATTTTTAGTTATCTAAGAAACCCCCATCCTGTTTTTCACAACTGCTGTACTAATTTACATTCCCACTAACAGTGTGTAAGAGTTCCCTTTCCTTCACAACTTTGTCAGCATTTGTTAGCACTTCATTCTCTTGATGATGGCCATTCCAACAGGGGTGACATACTTCATCACTGTGGTTTTTATTTTCATTTGATGATTAATGAGATTGAGCATTTTTTCAAATATCTGTTGGTCATGTGTATGGGTTTATTTGAAAAATGGATATTCAGACTTTTTGTCCGTTTTAAAATCTTTTTTTTTTTTTTGCTGTTAAGTTTTTAAATTTCTTATATATTCTGGATATTTAGTCCTTTGTCAGATGGGTAGTTTGCAATATTTTCTCTTAACCTACAGGTTTTCTCTTTACTACATTGTTTTGCTTTACGGAAGCTTTTTTGTTTGATATAGTCCATTTGTCTATTTTTGTTTTCTTTGCCTGTGATTTTGAAGTCTTATCTATAAAATCTATTAGATGAACGTCCTGAAGTGTTTCCCCTATATTTACTTCTAGTGGTTTTATAGACTTGGGTCTTAGTTTAAGTCTTTATGCATTTTCAGTTGATTTTTGTAGATGGTGAGAGATAGGGGTTTAATTTCATTCTGCTGCATATGGATATCCAGTTTTCCAGCACCATTTATTGAAGATTGTCCTTTCCCTAACGTATCTTCTTGGTACCTCTATAGAAAATCAGGTGGCTGCAATAGGTAAATTAATTTCTGATTTCTGTATTCTTTTCCATTGGTCTATTTTTCTGTTTTTATACCAATATCATGCCGTATTGATTATGATAGCTTTATAGTACATTTTGAAGTCGGGTCCAGCTTTATTCTTTTTACACAGTATTGCTTTGGCTATTCAAGGACCTTTGTGGTCCCATATATATTTTAGAATTTTTAAAAAATTTCAGTGAAGAATTCCATTGGTGTTTTGATAGGGATTGTATTAAATCTATAGATTGCTTTGGTCGTTACGGTAATTTTAAAAATATTAATTCTTCTAGCCCATCAGTACAGGATATCATTTCATTTGTTTGTGTTCTCTTCAATTTATTTCATCAGTGTCCTGTGATTTTCATTGTAGACATATTTTGCTTCATTAGTTAAATCTATTCCTAGGGTTTTTTTTGTAGCTATTATAAATGAGATTACTATCTTGATTTCTTTTTCAAATAGTTTGTTATTGGTGTATAGAATTTCTACTAATTTTATGTTAATTTTGTATCTTGCAACTTTACTGAATTAATTTATCAATTCTAGGACTTTTTGTTGGAGTTTTTATAGATTTTTACATATGTAAGATTATGTGGTTTGCAAAGAGAGGCAATTGGATTCCTTTTTTCCAATGTGGATACCCTTTCTTTCTTTCTCTGGCCTAACTTCTCTAGCTGGAACCTCTGTTTTCTCAAGTTTTTACTTTTTTAAGGAGGAAAACAGACCAGCCAATGTAGATGAAGTACAGGCTTTTAAAAATAAAGAATCCTGCTAGAAGAGTGCACGATCACTCTAACTATAGCCAGGGGTGATACATACTACCAACTGAAGTCAGGCAATGGTTCTCTTAACATAGTTTCTAAATATTTCTATTATACAATACTACTTATGTTTACTATTTTACTTTCTCAACATCCACAGCAAATAGCAATAGCTAATATATTACGAAATCTGCAATTATGTAGGGTTGACTCTCAGAATATTTAACAAGCATATGACATGTACAGCAACCATCCAAAACCAATACTAGAATGTCATTAACCAATAAAAGGGATAACCATAAACAACCTGTATAGCCTCACTCTTTTTACATATAACCCTATGGCACTAACAGCTGTTATGGAAGATTTTGAGTAAAACATTGCATTAGCTGTGACATTTTCCATCAGGAGAAATCGAACCTAAAAAAGATGAAGCAAAGATAGATTTTATCAGCTCATAAATCCATGATTGTGCTAGTTTCTTATGTCACTGATCCATGGATCAATCAATGTCATCAGGACTCAAAACTCTCTTTTTTCTGTCACCCTTGCTCTTCTCTGTGTTGGATTCATGCTCAGACAGTGTCTTACGAAATGGTAGGGATCATGTCACCTCATTTTCACTACAGATGTCCCTGACTAGATAGCTTCCAGTTAAATAATTCCTGAATGTTGATTTTCATTAGACTATCTGCATGTTTATTGAAAATGCCCATTCTAACATTCCACAGAGATTTGAGGTCACTAAGTCTTGTGTGTGACTTGGCAATCTGAAGTTTCAGCACATATTCCAGGTTCTTCTGATGCAGATGGACTAAGATCACACAGCTCTAGAAATAGGCTTTGGCCTATGTTATATATAAACTGCTACCTCCGCAGTGGTAGTTTCACACATTGTAGGGATTATCATCACTTCTTAAATTAAAATCTTAGGTAGAACTCCACTACATTAAAAAGAGAAAAGAAAAGTCTCATAGACTGTACATTATATCTACTGATATATTAAAAGGGCCATTTATGAATATGAGAATTGAAGTTGAGAATCCAAAAATTCATAATCTTTCATCTTTTGGTGAGAAAACAGGCGTAGTGATATGTCTGCCTCAATGTTGCATAGTGAGCTAGGTATCAGAACAGAATCCCTCAGTTCAGCCGGCTGACTCCTAGTGTGTCTATCTCTTCTTGATGTATAAACTCCTGCCATATATATTTTTTACTGGATTTTGAGGAAATAGATGATTAGCAAGCAAATATTTCTATTCACTCTGCCCATTTTCTTTTTAAATTGTGAATTACATGGTGTGAACAAATCTAGCCAGGGGCCTATTCTCAGAAGAGAAACAATATATAAGGAATATATAAACAAACAGGATAATTGAGGATTATAACAGATTTTGTAAGGACAATGAATAGTGATGTGTTACGGGGATAATCAAGGGTAGGAAATACTTAAGTAGCTTTCATGTCAGTTTACACATTTGTCTTCTTAGCTTGACAGAAAACTCATTGATGTCAAGGACCAGAACATCTTTATGTTTGGTTCCTTCACTGCTAGCATGTGGCCTCTATAATATAACTTATGTTTATAAATGTTGAATTTTACCTATGTATAACTCCTCTGCTCATACTAATGAGTATACAGATAGAAATCTGAAATTTTACATAAGAAACCTAATAAACAAAGCACTGATTTTTATTTTTTATTTTTTATTTTTTTGCGATGGATTTTTCTCTTGTTGCCCAGGCTGGAGGGCGATGGCACCATCTTGGCTCACCGCAACCTCCACCTCCTGGGTTCAAGTGATTCTCCTGCCTCAGACTCCCGAGTAGCTGAGATTGCAGGCATGTGCCACCATGCCTGACTAATTTTGTATTTTCAGTAGGGACGGGGTTTCTCTGTGTTAGTCAGGGTAGTCTCGAACTCCCAACTTCAGGTGATCCGCCTGCCTCAGCCTCCCAAAGTGCTGGGATTACAGGTGTGAGCCACCACACCTGGCCCTTCATACCATTATTTCTAAACCATACAATAGCAATGCAAAAAAGGTACTATTTACCTGCAGTCATTAAGTGAGTGATTCAGCAAATGGTCCAAGAATGTAGGCCATTGGAAAAGACAGTATTTATACCCAGGACTGTCTGACTCCACAATATTTTTATCCCATAAACCAAATTATTTATCAGTTTACTACTATTCAACTGTAGTCATCTCACTACCTTCAGTTCTGATGTGTACTTGCCTCTAACCGTAAAGGTAGGTTCTGCTCTATGATGATATCACCCATTGAGATTAACAGCATGAGGATGCTCATGTTTCTCATAAGTGGGATTCCTTTTCTTACAAACTGGGACCATTTGAAGGTAAATTGAGGCATTATTAGTAATTAAACTGGGACAATAATATTAAATCAAAACTATCTGAGGCATAAGAGGAGGTGTAGTCACCCCACTCAAAGAAAATGCTTTTTAAAGTTCTGATTATTCATTTCCACACATTATTTATTTTACTATCCATATCACTGATATGAGGCTGGTGTTTTTTATCTTAATTTCCAAGTTGAAAGGGTAAGACCCAAAACAAGTATGACAATGATTATTAAGTAAAAGAACTGATATCCGTGCAAGGAACTACTACTGGACTCTGAAACGTATTTCCCAGTACCTAATAATAATAAAATTGGTTTGGTCACTTATTACATTATATGGTGCAAGAATGTAATAATGATAATGAGATCTATGCAAAGGATGCTATTAGAACTGTACATTTTCTTGACAAACGTGTTTCAAAAAAAACAACACAGCCAATGTTAAGGAAGAATAATATTGCTTAATCTTTGTTGATTCTCAAATTGAATTTTATAACATCTGTAATAAATAGTTCTCAAAAACTCAGGCTGGAGATTGATTTGTGTATCTTCTAAAAGCCACCCAGGATTGATAACCACTGGTCTCAAAAATTTAATAACAGTAATGAAAATATTACATTTACATTTGTACTACACATGGACCGTTCTGAAAAATTTGTGGTCTATGAGGTTATTTGTTTTGATTGTCTCAAATAATTTAGGTTTTTTTAGATTATGCGTAAACCTTCTTTGGCCTTGTTACAGTTTTAGCAATAAGTAAACTGCCCTGTTAATAACTTGAACATTTAAGACATTTGTGCCCGGGTCTTTCTAATACTTGTGAGATTTATGCTACAGATTAACTGCATGGGTATCAAACAAGGCACCAATGACTGACTTCAGGCAAGTAAGGAAAGAAGTAAAATGACAGCATCTTCTTAGTTCTGAAATGCCTTTAAGGTCTTGGATTCTGACATTCTGAGAGGTTAATAGCTGAATAACAATAGTAAAAATAAAAACAATGTCATTTATCACTTATTGAGCCCATTAAATGTGAGGCATAGTGCTAAGTACTTTGCATACATTATCTCTAATTCTAACAACAAACTTCATTCTGAAAATGAAAAATAGTGAGGATGAAAGTGGTTATGTAAATTGTCCAAGGTCACGCAGTAAGTAAACAGATCTTGCCACACATTTAGATCTAACCATTTATTTCCTACTGTCCTGCATCCCCCTCTCTCTCTATCCCAAAGAGTTAGCCTTTTGTAAGTGTTAATGCCAACAAAGGTTCATAGAGTATTGAATAATATTAAAGTTGAAAATTAATTAATCTTTTTAAAAATTTGATGCTCAAAATGTTGAAAAAAAATTTTAAAACCCCAAATATTTCAAGTGCCTCTTCTTTGTTAAAGATGCTGCTCGAGTTTAATCCTCAGAATTCTGCTCTGTTGGAGGTAGTTCAAGGGTGCAAGTGAGTTCCATCTCATGTTTGCTTACGCAGCTGATATATGAGCTGCTTTCACATACCGGGAGAAATTTTTTGGCAACTCTTGGTTTGTCATAGTAAACATGGCCTAAAATATGAATAATTACATCATAACACATAATACACAG
Source organism: Homo sapiens (assembly GCF_000001405.40). Classification (NCBI taxonomy): domain Eukaryota; kingdom Metazoa; phylum Chordata; class Mammalia; order Primates; family Hominidae; genus Homo; species Homo sapiens. The sequence continues at coordinate 9,478,996 of NC_000009.12, forward strand.
GCTAATTAGATGTGGCTTTCTGGATTCAGAGAAAATAATCACACAATGGTTCATAAAGTCTGTTTTTCCTTATGTTTTTTTTCTTTCATAATGTGTACTTTACTCATTGCCTTTAGACCATTTTGCATCTAAGAAGAACTAGATGGTCATTTTTATTGTCCAAAAATAGTTCTTATATGAGGAGATAAATAAGTCACACATACATACATACACACACACGCCCCCCCCCCCCCCACACACACACCCACCTCTAGCATTTGGAATTATAAAACATTTCTAGTGTGTTTCATCTCCATTTTCAGGAAAGCAAATAAAAACATCTCATGCCTTCGAGAAAATGTGAAAACTGATGCACACACACACACACACACACACACATACACTCATTGCTGTTTTTGTATATTTCTTGAAAACTAACTCAGAATTATTTCCCAATAATAACAGTTACCAGTTGTTGAGGACTTGATTCTTTTCAAACCTTGTATCAATTAAGTCCCTGACATCATTACAAGGTAGGCAGTATTTCTATGCCAATTTTACAAGTACTAAAAACAAGTCATTGGATTTAATTAACTTGCTTTTTCTATATAGAATTCAAACTTGCACCAACACTTTTAAGTATTATTAGATACCATTCTTCCAAATAACAGAAATTATTTGATTGATAATAAATGATGGCAATCACTATTGTTTTATAGATTGAAAACCTTAAGTAATTTAGTCAGCAGCAAAAACAAAAACAAAACAAAACAAAACAAAACAAAAAACTCTTAAATTCCCCTATTTGTCCTCTCAGGAAGATACAAATTATTTGGAAAGCACTGGAGTTTTAAACATCAAGTAAGTATAATGTCAATTTTCTAATGAAGATGGCTGCAGGCTTATAGAAACTGACAATACTGAATGGTTATTTGGTATATAAACTATATAATAAAAGCAAATCTGACAGGCTACTCAGAAAGACTGTCATGCCATGGACTGCTACATACTTAATTTCTTCTCTTTTCATGAGCAAGAATAATGGTAAAGTTTGATGGCAAAATATCTGGGATCAATTGTCCTATCACAGAATGTTGCTATCAAAAATGCCATGAAAATACTGCCCACAAAATTTGTTCCTGGGCACATTGAAAGAATAAGGGCATTCATATGCTTCAGGTATTAAATCCATCAGTCCAAGGGTGCATGGATAAAATGTGAATAATTCCACTGAGGTGAAGGAGATGGTGATTGGTGGTATTCACAGTTTTCTTAAATCATATGCTGACATTAAAAGAAATACATTTTCTCTTCTAAGTTAAGTTCGGCTTGAGACATTGCTCACAAGGGAGAAAAGGCAGAATTGTTCCCATAAAAGAAAACATATATTCAGTTAAAGCTGAAAGCATATTTGAAATATAAGTTCCTTTTCAAATATAAAAGAATTTTCTTCCAGATCTCAAAACACAATGAAAGCTTATACATTCAAGAAGTTATATGCAAGGCAATAAAACTGAGCTAAAACAATACCAAGAAAATGGTGAAACATTTTAAAAAGCAATATTTAAAAAAAATGTTAGATTTCAAAGTTTGTATTGATGTTTATAGTGTCTCTTTTTCTTTTAGTAATTTCCTGCTATTGCTCCAGGTTTAGTAATGTATATTTTTTCAAATACATGATATGTAGTACGTAAAAATATATACCATATATTTTTTAGTATATTAAGTGCTGTGGCCACAGAAAATTTCCTTTTATTTAGGATGCAATAGTCTTGATAAAAATACAACATTAACATCCATCAATAATTAGAGAAAAATAAAAAGCATACAACTAAATGCTAAAACATGTGGTACGTGGACTGTCTCTGATATCATATTTGAAAGAAGAAAGGACTGCTAAGAGATGGAACTGTCAAAGGATTAATCATGCTGTCTACAGGCTTCCTTCATATGCCACATGCTACCCACTACCTGGGTCAACTTGGATAAGTTATTCTGTTTCTCTGGGCCCTACGTTATCTGTTGAAGACATGTAATAATGCCTATATGATGGATTTAATTTTAAAGGCAAATAAATTGGAATAAATTAGAATGTGCACTCAGTATACACTTCCATGATGATGATGATGGTGATAATGATGATGATGATGACAGTTAAGTGGTAAAGGGTGGAGTGTAGCGAGGATGAGGGCAGACTAGGCAGTAGACACTAAGGAAAATAATGAGATATTTTTAGTATTTATTACCTAGTAAAAAAATCAGACTTGGTGAGGTAGAAGCTGGAGGGTATCAAAGTCCAACAGAGGCAGATTCAATTCTTGACTCACAATCATCACTGTGTTTTCAATCAATTTGATTAGCCTTGCTGATCCTTAGTTTTCTCAACATGTAACACAGTGACAGGAACATCAACATTACAGGGAAATTTTGAAGATAATATGTCAAAATAGCATAATTTTCTGTTGTGCTCAGCAGGGCTGATTTACCCATCAGACACAGTAGGTAGGACTAGTGTCTAGTGCCCATAGTACATTTAGAGGTCTACAAAATGTTTTAATTTTAATTTATTTAAAATCAGAAGAAAAATGAATATAAAAATAAATATATAATAGTTAATTCAAGCTGGATTATATTCTTTTTTAAAACAACGCAATTGTAAAACATACTTGGTAGTATTTTTTTTAATGAAGAAAGAGGTCCATGAAGGCGAAAATGCCTAGAGCTCGCAAATGTCATATTGCAGTGCTGGCGTTCAGTTCTATTCTTGCCCCATTTGACACCTAGTCAATAGAAGAGGGCTAGGCCAAGAGAATCACAGAAACAGAGTTTGAGCTCTGCTCCATACCTGAAACCTGGTAGCCCCTGTCCTTGCAGTTATCTAAAGAAATACTTTTGATCATTTTAGTCAGTTTTTATTGCATTTTATCTAACCCAAAGAATCTTAATAGATAAAAATTAATAAAATCAAATCTGCTTGAATTATCACAGGTATATTTCAATGTTTCACTTTCATCATAAGAGAACTCTCCCAGTCAACATGTTCTTAACAGTCTCTGGGGAGCTACTCTGCCACATGAATCCCATTCAGCATCTGTATCTGGCCCTAGCAGTTCCCCGAGAAGACAGGTAAGGAAGTGATCAAGAGGTACAGACAGGTGGGCGAGGTTGGGAGAGTAAGATCTTTTGGGGAGAGGTGGGGTGCTGGAAATTTTAATAGACACAAAATTTTAATAAGATCTCCTCTTTATCATATACCTGGACATTCCTAGATATTTGAGAAAAAAGTAAGTAAACCAGTTCAGTGAAATGACTTAAAGTATAACACTTGTTTTAACCTAGAATTCTAGAGTCATGGTATTCTAAGCATACTTTGATTCAACAATATCTAGTCTTGTTTAAAAAATTAATGAGCTTTATTTTTTAAAGCAGTTTTAGGTTCACAGCAAAATGGGGTAGAACGTTGAAGTGTCTATATAATCTTTGTACCCACACATGCACCATTTGAAGAATTGTTCTTTTCTTTCATTGTCCAGATACTTGAGAAGAGGGGAGTCTGGCACAAGGATGAGAAAAGCCAAAGAAGCATCACAAGTAAGCACACATTATCTTGTACCAGCACTACAGATAGAATCATAGTTCAGGTATTTACTGCCATTCTCTTCTGAGGACATCAGCTATTATCCGTAGATGGCAGTGGTTCTAAGCACAACTTAAATAGCACATTTATGCTTAAAATAAGCTTGTTTATAAACAGAAATTACAAATATTCACAGAAGATAATTGAGGCTATGAAGAGACAATTAAGGCTCCTCCTTAGGGCAGCATTTTGTTTTGTTCTATATTTTACTGAAGGATTTAAATAGCAATATCACAATTATGCAAATAAGTAATTGCTAAAGTTCTAGTTTGCAAGGAAGTTTAACTCAAATGCTTCTAACATGTAGACGCTACTCTCTTTAAATAGTTTCTTAAGTAAAGCCAGTAAAATTATTGGCAAACTGCATATTTAAAAGTTGATTTTTCTTCTCCATCTTAATGAAATCATTTTAAATTCTGCAGTTCTGTGATAAGGAAAAAAATCTGCATTCAGAGTATGACTAAATGCTTTCTAATATATTGATATCTAAGAATAAGATCTATCCTTTAAAAGCATTGTGGTACAATAAATGCTTCTTTGTCTTAGAAATCATGCATAGAACATGACAGCAGAAAGACTCAGTGGAGACAGACCACTTTAATTTTTACTGATAATATGATGATCACAGGTGCATTTTTAATTATCTCACCACATTGCTTTCCCCATCAGCTGTCACTAGTAATTTCATACAGCAAGTACGTTGCCCTTATGACATTACAGAATACAATTTAGAGTCATTTAGGATGCGTGAAGATTGACATGTGGCTTCACCATTTGTCAGGATGTAAACAAGGGAGTCAATGGATTTAGGAAATTAGATGCCAATCATTTTTGCAACCTAGAGGTGAGGAAAAGCATGCATAAAGTAATAAAAATACGGAAGTTTTCAACAGTTGAGTGACTACTGCTAAGCTTACTAGAGTCTAAAGACAAATTAGGCAAAGGAAGCAACTTGTGGGTATTGGTTGGGAGATGGAGAGAAAAACATCACATTTTGGTCTTTGTCTCATTGCTAGAGGGCTTATAGAATCCTCACTAGGTAGCACTTGCAGTGAGTGATAATACCATGAACATAGAGGAGGCTCTGGATGCTCTGAGCCCAAGGAATAAGTAACTCATTTCCTGGGCTCATGGTGTTACAGAAAACAAAGAAAGTAATGTCTTCTTTCTTTTTTTTTTTTTTTAAGTCATGCTATAATCCTCTCTGTGAAAATTCGTTCTCTGTTTGGACCTGCCTACTTCTCTGAAGTTAAAATTTTGAAAATCAACAAAACAGCAATAAAATCCCTTTGTATCCTATCACGTTTATGTTATATTATAAATGCTTTTCTAGAAGTCCCTACCTACAGGTTTTCTGTGCTAAAAAAAATCCACACCATATAATAGTATTTTACTATCTTCTATAGGTGACTCATCTTTGTATCCTTTTTATAAACTAATGACCAGCTGCATTTTATATTTAAGTAAAGAAAAATCTTTAAGAATTGGAAAAAGTAATGGGTTAATAAGAGATTGATTTAAACTAATTATAATTAATAGGAAAATAAAAATTTTAAACATTTAAAAGTTCTATTGTATATAATAGAATACTATACAGCAAAAAAAAAATAACAAATGAAACCTTCTGGTCATGTAAGTCAGTCTGATGAATTCAAAAAATGTCATTTTGAATGAGAGATGCCAGGCATTAAGGTATACATATTTTAGGATTCCAGTTATATGAACTCCAAGAATAGACATGGTAATAGAATCAGCATAGTAGTTAGTTCAGGAAAAGGGAATGGGGTATTTTTTAGGAAAAGAAGACAACATAACTTCCTGGGCATATGAAAATGTACTACTATATCTTGATCTGGAGGTGGCTACATGGATGTCTACGTATGCAAACAGTCAAATTGCATTCAAGATTCATGTTTGTTGCTGAATGTAAATCATACTTTAATAAAAAGCAGAACAAACAACATTTGTTTATGGTTGTTATTGGTTTACATTCATTCAGTGCCCATATACATTATTTCATTTAATCCTTGCAACAACTCTATGAGAAAGACACTGTTATTGGGCCCATTTTTAGATGAAAACTGAGGTACAAGGAAGAAACAAAATTTTACGAGGTCATATAGGTATTACATTGCAGAATGAAGATCAGAACTCAAAGTGTCTGGTTCTGGAGCCTACAGTCTTGACCACCAAGCAATACTGCTTCTTCCTATTAGGTCTCTATATACCCGGTTTTTATTTTGTAGAGAAGCTTCATGTAACAGTAAACAATAGGCTTCTACAGAGAAAATGAGTTATTAGAAGCATCAATGCATTGGAAATTGAAAGCAAAAACTATCAAAGTGGGTTTCTGGGATTTAAATAATTTCCAGTTTATGAATTATGCATATGGATGTGTAATGCTTTTAACTGTAAATGTCACATTGTTCCCCAAAGTGCATTCAAGATAAGCCATTTGCCTCTTGCAGTTTTTGAAAGATCAATGGATGTTCAAATGTGTCAAACAGCTGTCGTTTCAGGACTTCTCTCTCCACTGTAAAAATAATCTATAATACATTTTCAGAAAACTGATACATGTTTTGAAAACAACTATTATGGGTAAAAAAATTGAAGCATAATCCACTAATTCTAGACTTAATATCTAAGCATGATTTGTAAAGTAGTAAAACATGTCATTATATCTCTAAATAGAAATAGGTTTTAGGCTTTAGAGTACTAAATTTAGTAACATTTAGAAGAAACGTTTTGGAATAAAAAATAATATTCATAAATGCAGCTGGTTAAATCATTATGAATATAGCACCTCTACTTATCTGTATCAATCTTAAATTTTGATCACTTTGCTTAGTGCATAGCTCATTTTCAATCTTTCTTCTCTGAAGTTCCAGTTTTTAGTGTATGTTTATATAATATTCACTGCATTTTTTCCAATCCTTCAACTTCCTTAGTTGCTTAGTAGATAATCTAGTCTCTTACTTAACAAAGAAATTACGTGATCAAATAAGATCTGCTCAATTTTATGCCATAATTCCACAAAATTCTCTGCATCTTCTTCTATTATTTTCTTCTTTCCTCTTCTAAAGTATTGCGATTCTGGTACAAGACTTATTTCTCCAAATTTACACTGAACCTATCTGATCCCTAACTGTCCCTCTCATTCAGTGGATTATTCTGTTAGCCATTCTAGGGATATCACTTTCTCCACTAGACCCTTCCCATCAGTGTCTATGTCTGCCCAAATCTCTACTGCCTTCCCTTGGGCCGGGTGGGGTGGCTCACGCCTGTAATCCCAGCACTTTGGGAGGCCAAGGCAGGTGGATCATGAAGTCAGGAGTTTGAGACCAGCCTAGCCAACATAGTGAAACCTCTTTTCTACTAAAAATACAAAAAATAGCAGGGCGTGGTGGCTTACGCCTGTAGTCCCAGCTACTTGGGAGGCTGAGGCAGGAGAATAGCTTGAATCCAGGAGGTGGATGTTGTGGTGAGTCGAGATCACGCCACTGCACTCCAGTCTGGGCAACAGAGCAAGACTCTCTCTCAAAAAAAAAAAAAAAAAAAAAAAAAAAAAAAAAAAGCCTTCCCTTGAAGTCACTATGTGAGCTCCCTCCTATGCATTTGTTTTCCTTTCACAGAGAACCTTGAATAAGTAGTCAACATCCCTTACCTTTGCGTCTTCAAACAAGGATGGATTGTTAGGCTGCTGTTTCAGTCTCTTTTCCACCCCATCACTTCCCTGCAAATACTATTCCCAAGGCAACAGTATTCTTATTGCTTCCAATGGACTTTAACAAAAAAACAAAACTTCATGTCTTTCAGATTTCCAGCATTATTTGATGCTATGGAAAATTCCCTTCTTGAAATATTTTCCCTTAGTTTTAGACACATACACTCTTATGCTTTTTTTTTCCTCCCTCATCTCTATCGCTGCCTTCTTAGTTTTTCTTTTCTTTTTTGTTCTTGCCCCTTCCTTCTCAAATGTTCAATTCTTTATTGTTTGCATCCCTCTCATAGTCTTCAAACCATATTCCGTCTACAAACAGGCTATGTTGGCACTGGAATCCACCTTCTCTTAAATAACGTACAATCTTCAGATCTCAGATTAAATTTTGCTTCTTCCCAAAGACGTTCATTGAATCTAGGATACACACCCTCCAAAAGCTCTCTTGAAATGTAGTATTTCCCCTATTACAACACTTAACATCATACATTATAATTACTTGTTCTTTTGTCTGTATTCAAAATTTTACTCTCCACCTCTATAAAAGTATGGGTCATGCCTGCTTTCTTTTACCAGACACTTCACCCGCTCTTATCACCGTGCCTTGCAAATGGCAAGTTCTCAAACTGTGAAGAGATATTTGTCTTTTCTGGTGCCAGTACCATATTATTTTAAATAAATTATAGTTTTAATAATAAAATAGAGCAAACCAGTCATTACTCATTTTCTTTTTTATTATTATTATGATACTTTAAGTTTTAGGGTACATTTGCACAATGTGCAGGTTGGTTACATATGTATACATGTGCCATGTTGGTGTGCTGCACCCATTAACTTGTCATTTAGCATTAGGTATATCTCCTAATGCTATCCCTCCCCCTTCCCCCCACCCAACAACAGTCCCCGGTGTGTGATGTTCCCCTTCCTGTGTCCAAGTGTTCTCATTGTTCAATTCCCACCTATGAGTGAGAACATGTGGTGTTTAGTTTTTTGTCCTTGCGATAGTTTGCTGAGAATGATGGTTTCCAGCTTCATCCATGTCCCCACAAAGGACACGAACTCATCCTTTTTTATGGCTGCATAGTATTCCATGGTGTATATGTGCCACATTTTCTTAATCCAGTCTATCATTGTTGGATATTTGGGTCGGTTCCAAGTCTTTGCTATTGTGAATAGTGCCGCAATAAACATACATGTGCATGTGTCTTTATAGCAGCATGATTCATTTTCTTAATTCAAAAAAATCTTAGTTTTTCATTTGCACTCTCAGATTTGCTTTAGGAAATGACTTCCAAATCAATTAACAAGCCCATTATTTTCAATCATAATTATTTATTGTAGAAACATGATAATTAAAATAATATTAAAAACAACCCATCTAAGTAAGCATATGTTCCTCAACTGCTCTTGATATAGACTTTGATTCTTTACAATATATACACTTAGATTTCCAGTGACAGAAGGACTTTCTGCTTCAGTTTTGAGGGTCAAAACTAAGTAATATCAGAAAGTATCCCTAATAATTCCCAGTATTTGATACACAGAATCTGACAGAAGTGATGTGGAAAATGCACATGTACTTCATGAATTGAAAGATAATGAGTTCTTGTCAAAATAATAGCTTGAAATTAAATAAATTCTGAGTATTTTTCCCATGAGGTATTTTATTTTTATACTATTTGTGTGCCATAAACCTATGAGGTAGACTTTCCTGGATTGTTATATATGTTGATCCACTATTATTGTAACCTTTATTTTGCAGCAGAAGAAATGGAGACAGAAAGATAATGTAGTATCTGTCTGATGTAAATAATGCGGAATATTTTTCTCCCAGTGTCAAGATGAATATGTATTTCCTTACACTATTCACCTACACATTGCTTCACAAGCATACTATGAGACAATGTTCATCACTCCATCACTCTCTGGAATATAGTTACTGCTACAGTAATTCTTTGGTGTAATTCCACAGTTTAATGTATTAGTGGTCTACAATTTCTTTTGCTGCTTTTCATCAAGAGGCCTAATTAGACCCTTCATTTTGATGCCATACTTTCCAGTATACGCCAAGACCTGCTGCCTCTACCTTGGCTCTCCCACTCAGTTGTACCTGGAAAGCAACTGGAGAATAGTGTTTCTGCTCTCAGGTTCTTTCACTCAGCTTCCTGAGTTCAGAGGGCAATGAAGTCCTCAAATCTGGATGAATTTCCACCGTCCCATTAGATTTTTAACTAAATAAAAATAAGGCTATTATTTTTAAAGTTAAAAGTAACTGGGGAAGAGGATTCTAGGAAGTGGAAAACACAAGGAATTTGTCTCCCCACTTAGGAGAATGCACTTGCAGAGTATATCTGATGTAAACATTTTGGAACTCTGCTGTCTATTTAAGGCTTGCAACTTCCAGGTAAAGGCTCAGACTGGGAATTGCAGTTAATTTCTGATGAATTTCAATGCTCAGCACAGTAGCAGACACTCATTCTCCACCCCTAGCCACACTGCAAGCAGCTGTGGACATGTTCCTGAAGCAGCTTGCACCCAGATTGCAAGAGTCAGGATGGGCAAAAAGAACCCCATTCTCCAAATATATGGGATCTTTGCTTGGATTGCTGATTGCTGCTTCTGAACATAGCAGTACAAAGAGGCAGGAGGCCATTATTGTTGCACTACTCACTATTGTTATAAGGCCCTCACTCTTGGCCTAAGTGATTTCCAGGAGACATAAAGGGCCAGCACTCTTTTTACTCCATTTTTCTCTTTTAAAAGCCTTATGAAAAGATTAGGGCATTCATAAATAATTGCATATATGAGAAACAGTAGGAAGTAACTGTATGCCCAGGAAATGACATAGGCGCAGAAAAAATCTGGAAAACTTTAAGCTTACACCTGCAACTGATCCTTGGAACTGACACAGCCTATAACAATCAAATGAAATAAAACACGAACATTCCAAAAAATAGCAGACGCTGTGGAAAAGAGAATCTGAGTTCCATAGTTACTACATTATTAGATTCAATTGCAAAGCTTTCAACAAATAACCCACAAGACATACAAAGAGAGAGGAACAAAGGGACCATTCAAAAGAAAAAAATAAACTGTCCCTGACAAAGCTTGATGACACATCTACTAAACAGACTTTATAACAAAGTCTTAAACATACTCAGAGAAGTAAAAGAAGATGGGGAGAAAGTCAAGAAAACAATATAGGAGCAAAGTGGTGATATTGATTTAGAGCTAGAAAACCTAAAACGAAACCTAAAAGAAATTCTGGAGCTGAAAACTATAATAATGAAAATTTTAAAAAAAGGATATAGAGGGCTTCAAGGGAAGATTTGATTAGGTAGAAGAATCAGCAAACTTGAAATAGGACAAAAAATATCACTGAGTCTTTAAATTAGAAAGGGAAAAGACTGAAGTGAACAGAACCTAATGTATCTGTGGAGCACCATGAAGTGGACCAATATACACACTGTAGAATAAAAGAAGAAGGAAGAAAAAAGATGAAAAAATATTTAATGAAATAGAGTCTAAAATGTTTCCAAATTTGGTAAAAGACATGAATATAAACATCAAATAAGTTCAATGAACTTTAAGTAAGTTGAACAAAGAAACTCGCATCAAGACAGGTTGTCAACAAAATTTCAAAAGCCAGAAACAAAGAGAAAATCTTAAAAGGAGCAAGAGAAAAGCAACTTGCCACATATAAGAGATCCTCCATAAGATTATGTGCAAATTTCTTATCAAAAACTATAGATGCCAGAAGCTAGTGGGTTAATATATTCAGAGTGCTAAAAGAAAGCAATTGCCAAACAAGAATGCTATAGTTGGCAAAACCATCCTTCAAAACTCAGGAAGAAATTAAGACATTCACAGATAAACAAAGTTGCTGGAGTTTGTTACCACTAAACCTACCCTGCAAAAAAAGCTCAAGGGAATCCTGGAGGGTGAAAAGAAAAGATGCAACACAATAGCTAGAAGCTATGTGAAGAAATAAAGATCTCAATATAGATAAATATATAGGCAATTATAAAAGCTAGTATTATTGTAATGACAGTTTTTAATTGTATTTGTCGCTTTCCACACAATTTAATGAACTAACACATTAAAACATATATTACTCTAAAAGCTAGTATTGTAACTTTGGTTTGTAACTCCACATTTTGTTTACTATATAATTTAAGAGGCATTTCAAAGAATTATTTGTTTATGATTTTGGGTACACAATGTATAAAAATGAAATTTTGTTATATCAACAACCAAAAACAGTGGGGACATAGCTTTTAAAGGAGCAGAACTTTTCTATGTCATGAAGTTAAGCTGGTATTAAGTTAAATTAGAGTGTTATAAATTCAGGATATAATTACCATGGTAATCACAAAGAAAGCAGCTATAAAATATAAATAAAAGTAAATGAGAAAAGAACTTAAACATTTCACTACAAAAAATTAACACAAAGGAAGACAGTGATGCAGGAAATGAGGGACAAGAAAAACTATGACACTTATAGAAAAAAATAGCAAAAAGACAGAGGTAAGTTATTCCTTATTAGTAATTAATATAAATATAAATGAACGAATTGTTTGTTGAACTAATTAATATGAATATAAATGTACTGTCTAAATGAACTATAATGAACTAATATAAATATAAATGAACATTGTCTAAAAGTTAGACAATGGCAGAATGAATAAAAATTAATGATCTAATTATACACTGTATATAAGAGACTCTCTTTAGATTCAAAGACACAAACAAGTTGAAAGTTAAAGGATGGAAAAAAACATTTCATGCAAATAGTAAGCAAAAGAGAGCAGGGGGTGGCTGCACAAATATAAGATTTTAAAACAGATTTTAAATCAAACATTTACAAGAGTCAAAGAAAAATACATTGTATATTAAAAATTTCAATACAGCACTAATATATAGCAATGAAACACTTTTGCACCTAATAACAGACCATAGAGACATATGAAACAAAAACTGATGGAATTAAAGGAAGAAATAGTTCTACGATAATAGTTGGGGACTTTAATAGTCAACTCTGAAAAATGGGTAGAATTACTAGACAGAAGATGTGTAAGGAAATAAAGAACTTAATATAATTTACCAACTAGATCTAACGGAAATGTACAGAATACTCTTCCCAAAAACAACAGCATAAACTTTCTTCTCAAGAGCATATGAGACATTTTTAAGGACAAGCCATATGTTAGGTTGCTAATTAAGTCTCAATAGGTTAGAAAATAGACATCACACCAAGTGTATCTTCAAACCACAACAGGATAAATTTAGAAGTTAAAAACACAAGTAAAACTGGAAAAGCCACTTATTTTTGGAAAATAACACACTCTTAACTAATGGGCCAAAGGAGAAATCAGAGAGAAAATTTAAAATATTTAGAGATGAATAAAATAAAACCACAACATATCAAAACTCATGTGATGCAGAAAAATTTATGAACACCTTAAAAATGAGAAAAAAATCAACTCAACAATCTATCTTTACAACTAATTAGAAAAAGAAGAACAAGCTACACCCAAAGCTAGCAGAAGGATGGAAACAGTAAAGAGCAGAGATCAATGAAATAGATAATAGAAAAACAGTAGAGTAAATCAATGAAACCAAAAGGTGATTCTTTAAAAGGATTTTTTAAACTGACAAATCTTTAGCCTGATAGACTAAGAAAAAGAGAGAGTATACATAAATTACTAAAATGAGAAATGAAAGTGGGGGCATTATCACCAATTATACAGAAATAAAAAGGATTATAAGAGAATACTATGAGCAACTGTATGCCAACAATTTGGATAACCTAGATGAAATGAACAAATTCCTATAAACACAGAACCTCCCAAGACTAAATCATGTAGAACAGGAACATATGAATAGACCTATAACTAGCAAAAAGATTGTATCAATAATAAAAAAAAAACCTGACATATATCTTCTATATATAAAAACCCTGGACCTGATGGACTCACTAGTGAATTTACTAAACATAAAAAAAAAAAAAAAACTAACATAAATTCTCCAACTTTTCCCTAAAAATGAAGAGGAAAAAACACTTCTTAATTCATTCAATGAAGCCAGCACCAAATCCAGCAGCATGTTAACAGGATTATGTACCACGACCAAAAACCAATGATGTTTATTCCTGGAATGCCAAAATGGTACAACATATGACAGCTGATTAATGTAATATACCACCTTAACAAAATATAAAACAACATGATCAAACTAATTGATGTAGAAAAAGCAACTGACAAAATTCATCATCTTTTCATAATAAAAACATTCAACAAGTTAGAACTAGAAGGAAAGTATTCCAACATAATAAAAGTCACGTACAGGCATACCTTGTTTTATTATGGTTCACTTTATTGCACTTCACAGATTTTTTTTTTTCCAGATTGGAGGTTTATGACAACCCTGAGTCAAGCAAGTCTATAAATGCCATTTTTCCAAAAGCACGTGCTCACTTTTTGTTTCTGCATCATATTTCGGTAATTTTTGCAATAATTTAAACTTTATTATTATTTATATTTGTTATGTTGGTCCATGTCCTGTGATTGTTGATATTACTATTGTAATTGTTCTGGGGCACCATGAACCCAACCCATATAAGACGACAAACATACTAGATAAATGTATGTGGTCTGACTGCTCCACTAATTGGCCATTCTCCCATCACTCTCCCTCTCCTCAGGCTTCCCTAGTCCCTGAAATAAAACAATATTGAAATTAGGCCAATCAATAACCCTAAAAGGCCTCTAAGTGTTCATGTATCAGAATAATTTTACATCTCTCACTGTAAATAAAGAGCTATAGAAGCCAATTTCATTTACCATTCTGAAAATCCTAAGGCCCTTAAGAATAATGCTTAAGGTACTCTGCCTGTGCTCTAGAAATGGAAAAACAAAGCCTGTATGACAACACATTTGTTACACTGTAGTACCAAATTTTTAAAGCCCATTGTGGAGAACTTCTGCTCAGATAAAAAGATTTCTTTCCAAATATTCTGTTAATTCACCAGGAACAGAGTCTACTAAGAGCTCTGATGAAGATGTACAAATATATGAATGTTGTTTTCATGGCTGGTACCACAATAACCATTCTGCAGCTCATGGATCAAAGAGTAACTTTGACTTTCCAGTTTTATTATTTAAGAAATACATTTTGTGTCCGGGTAGGGTGGCTCATGCCTGTAATCCTAGCACTTTGGGAGGCCGAGGCAGGCAGATCACAAGGTCAGGAGATCGAGACCATTCTGGCTAACACGGTGAAACCCTGTCTCTACTAAACATACAAAAAATTAGCCGGGTGTGGTGGCGGTAGCCTGTAGTCCCAGCTACTCAGGAGGCTGAGGCAGGAGAATGGCGTGAACCCAGGAGGCAGAGCTTGCAGTGAGCCGAGATCATGCCACTGCACTCCAGCCTGGGTGACAGAGCAAGACTCCGTCTCAAAAAAAAAAAAAAAAAAAAAAAGAAAAGAAAAGAAAAGAAATACATTTTGTAAGGTTATATCTATCATAGATAGTAATTTCTCTGATTGACCTGGATAAAACCTAAACTGAAAACCTTGCAGAAAAAATTTAGATTTTATTCCAAATGCTATTAAGAACATTTGTAATTCATGAGAGAAGGCCAAAATATCAACCGTAACAGAGTTTGGAAGATTATTCCAATCCTCATGAATGGCTATGAGGGGATGAAGACTTCAGTGGAGTAAGGAACTTCCAATGTGGTAGAAATAGCAAGAGAAATAGAACTGGAGCTGGAAGATGTAACTGAACTGCTACAACCTCATGATAAAACTTGAATACATGAGGAGTTGCTTCTTATAAGTGAGCAAAAGAATGTGTTTTCATGAGATGAAATCTATTCTTGGAACAAGCTGTGAATATTTTTGACATGGCAACAAATGGTTTAGAATATTACATAAACATATTGATAAAGCAGTGACATGATTTGAGAAAACTGACTCCAATTTTGAAAGAAGTTATACTCTGGGTAAAATGATATCAAACAGCATTGCATAGAACAAAACTTTTGTGAAAGGAAGAGTCAATTAAGGAGGCAAACATTCATTGTTGTTCTAAAGAAATTGCCACAACCACCCCAACCTCGAGTAACCACCAAGCTGATCAGTCAGCAGCCATCAAGATCAAGGCAAGAGCCTCCACCGGCAAAATGATTAAGATTTGCAAAGTCAGCACATAAAATTCAGTTGTACTTTTATACACTAACAATGAGCAATTTGAAATAAAAAATAAAATACTTGGGAATCAAGGAGGTGGAAAATTTGTAAAAAGTAAACTATGAAATATTGTTGAGAGAAGTTTTCAGAAAGAAATAGAAATATGCCTCATGTTAATGGATTGGAAAACTTCATGTTAAAATGTCGATATGACCCAAAGTGATCTATAGATTCAACACAAGTTTAATCAATATCCCAAATAAGTTTCTTTGCAGAAATAGGAAACCCAACCTTAAAATTCATATGGGATTTCAAGGGACCCTGGATTACCAAAACAATCTTGAAAAGAAAGAAGAAAACTGTAAGATTCACACTGCCTGATTTAAAAACATACTGCAAAGCTATAGTAATCAAAACAGTGTGGTACTAGTATAAAAACAAGATGCTTAGACCAATGGATAGAAAAGAGAGCTCAGAAATAAACACTCACATATTTGGTAAAATGATTTTTGACAAGAGCACCAAGAGCATTCAATGGGGGAAACTATAGTCTTTTCAATAAATGGTACTGGGAAGACTAGATAGCCACATGCGAAACAATGAACTTAGACCCCACTTCATTCATTATACACATAACTTACCTCAAAATGGGTCTAAATGTCAGACCTAAATCTATACAACTCAGAGAAGAAAACTGAAATTAGTAAGTCTGATGATGATAGAAACAGGCAGCAGAGAAATTCTAGGCAGACAGGGATGGGTACCCAGTAAAATCCCACCTTCAAGCCAAAAAAAAAAAAAAAGCAACAACAACAACAACAACAAAAACCCAACAGTTTGAAACCTGCAGCCCAAAGTGAGAACTTCTATTCCTGTTTTCCCACTCTCTCCCAATTGGTTCTTTCTGAATAATGCCTTTTTACCAATCAAATGTTGCCTTTTCCAAAAACCCTACAGCCCGCCCTGCCCCTATCCTGTGCCTATAAAGACCCCAGACTCAGTCGGTAGAGGGAGAGACAGCTGGACCTCAGGGAGATGGCTGGACCTTGAGGGAGTGACTAGACCTCGGGGAAGAGACGACCTGACTTAGGGGAAGATGATCTGCCCTTCCCATCCCCGCCCCGACTCCCCTCTCTGCTGAGAGCTGTTTTCATCACTCAATAAAATTCTCTGCTTTCACTATCCTTCAATTGTCCATGTGACCTCATTCTTCTTGGATGCTGGACAAGAGCTCAGGACCCATTGAGTGCAGGTACCCAAAACTGTTGTCACACTGACCCTTTGCCCTCACTGGCAGAGGGCAGCCACCCCACGTGATGAGGCAATGGGCCAACTGAGCTGCTAAGATGCCTCCATCTGCAGACAATGAAACCAACAGAACACTGTAACACCCCTTGTGGGGCTTTGGGGTAGCAGGCACCCCAACTTGGGTGCCACCTCAGGCCCCGCATGAAGCTTGCTCCTGTGTCAGCTCCCGTAGCAGCTGGCTGGATCCTACACTTGCTCACTCACATGCTCCCTCCTTCAAGGTTGAGCACAGCAGGCCAAGTAAACAGGGTGCCCTTGCTGTGAGTCTGGCAAAGGGGCCGAGAAAAATCCTGTCTCAATGTGTCACAACTTTTGATTTGACAGTGTTTTCTTGGATATGACACCAAAAACTTAGGCAACAAAATTAAAAAAATAGACAATTTTGACTTTAGGAGAATTCTTTAAAATTGTACAGCAAAATAGAAAAAAGGAGTAAAAAGGCAACAGAGTAAAAAGACAAACCAGATAATGAGAGAAAATATATTAAAGTCAAATATTTGATAAGAGAAAATCAGATATCCAGAATCTATAGAGAACTCCTAAAACTCAACAACAAAACCCAAGTCAAAAATGGCCAAAGAACTGAAATAGACATTTCTCCAACTAGGATACACAAATGTCCAATAAGCACATGCAAAGATGTTTGACATGACTAATCATTAGAAAAAGGCAAACCCAAACTACAATGAGATATGGTAACACACCCATAAGGATGGCTACTATTTAAAAACAAACAAAAAACAAAAACAAACAAACAAAAAAGAGAATAACAAGTGTTGGTGATGATGTGGAGAAACCGAAACCCTTCTGCAATGTTGGTGGGAATGTAAAATGATATAGCTGCTGTGGACAGTGTTATGGTTATTCTTAAAAAAATTAAAAATAGAATTACCATATGATATAGTAATTCTACTGCTGGAAATATATCAAAAATACATTGAAAGCAGGGTCTTGAAGAGACATTTATACACCCATGTTTAGTGGCATTATTCACAGTAGCTAAAATGTGGCAGCAACTCAAGTGTCCATTGACGAATGAGCAAGTAAAACGTGGTTTATACATAAAATAGAATATCATTCAGCCTTAAAAAGGAAGGAAATTCTGACATATGCTACAACATGGATTTTGAGGACATTATCCTAAATGAAACAAGCCAGTCATAAAAAAAGACAAATACTATATGATTCCACTTATATGAGGTAGTTAAAGAGTCAACATCACTGAGACAAAGCATGCTTATTGTTGAGGGGTGTTTGGGGAGGCAGAGAATGGGGAATCCTTGTTCAATGTGTATGGAGTTTTAGTTTTATAAGATGAGAAGCGTCATGGAGGTGGATGGTGGTGATAGCTGCACAACAATATGAATATATTTAGTGCCACTGAGCTGTACACTTAAAAATGGTTAGGATAGTAACTTTTATGTCACGTGTATTTTACCTCAATTTAAAAAATAAAGTAAATGAGATAGTAGTGGGAACTGACTTAACTATCTGGTCACTACAGTCCAATCTATCAAATTTCTTCTCTAGTCTATATTTTGGTGCATAGAAGAGTCCATTTTGGAAATAGATTTGGCATTCAAGAGTCTTTTAGTTATTGCTGTTTTTAAATGACTCACTTTGATAGAGCAGCTCATTATCATCCCCCTCCAACATGCACAATATTGACACGCATTCACTCAAACTAAGTTTATAAACAAAATTATTTCACAATTAAAATAAGGGTGTTTACGAACAAATATTTTTATTTGGACTGGTTTTGGTAAGAACATTTGTCCATGTCAACGATCACCATCTGTAGATGACTGTTAGAAGTTATCTCAAAAAGAGGAGAAATAGGAACATTATCTCATTTATAGAGATATAATTACCACCTTTATGCCTCCACCACTCAAATGTGTAGCACAGTACAAGTCACATAGCCAGCTCAATATATTTAAGATATAATATCATAATAGCAGTAAAGTTTATCCAAAAGTAGCACTGTTATGGAATGAAACTCTGGAATGGTCACTGTATTGACTTTGTCAAATATTGACTTCGATCTTCAGCCAGAATCTTCACATATCAGGGCCTCAGTTTTCTCATCTATAAACTGTGCAGGTCAATTTAAATGATTCACAGTGCCTTTCAACATTAACATTTTGAATTTCTATAAGATGAGTAATGTATTTTGCTTGCCTGAGATAACAGTTCCCAGTTTTGCACATTCAAAGGGATCTTTAAGTGTTTTAATTGGAATCCATGAAGGAGCCAGGAAGCAGTTTACTTACCAAGAGAAGTTTCCTCTCCTAGCTCCTGCTTTACAGTAGTGCCTGCCTCTGTTCAACATTGTTTTAGCGGCACAGTTGTAGGATTTTGAATTAAAAATAAAATTATGCTCTTTGAGTGGCATTCTGCAAGAGAAGTGATTTTATTGCTTAAGTTCCCTCTTGTATTACGCAGTCTTGTAAGCCAAGTATGAATGTTGACATAAATGATGTATTGCACAAGTACAGGCTTCACAGATAGAGCTGTAACTTCTAAAGATCCGGAAAGATAAAAAGTAAATCCATGCTGTAATTTAAATCCAGGTTATAAACTTGGACTTCACCTGGGGTTTCATTTAGATTTGATAAATTATCATATCTCAGCTCAGGGAACTTTCTCCAGAGCCTTTCATTCTCACTTCATTGACATTTCAGTAAACAGTATTTAAGAAGTAGATATGAAATTCTCCTTGTTTGGCCTTTAGTGGCAGGCAGATTTACTGGGGTTGAGAAAAGAAAAATTTTATACAGTGTAAGGAGAAATATTTTGAGGTAGTAGAATTCCATATAAATATTTATTGGGGTAAATTTAAATACCTCATTAGAATGATCATTCAGGAATATTTTGCCACTGACTTGAGAAATAAAATGCTGTACAAATAGAACAATGAACATAGGCACACTAAAATCTAGTGAATAATTGTAAGACAGGAAATGATCTGTGATAAATACACAAAAATTACCCAATTAGAACATATCTGTGTTCTTAATTCAAAAGTGTCCTTCATTAAAAAATTCACAATCACAATTAAATCAGATCCATAAATACTTTTCTTTAAAGAGTTTAGGCTTATTTTTTCTCTCTCTGTCTCTCTCTCTCCCTCTCTCACTTGCTCTTGCTGTCTCACTCTTGCTCTCCCTCTCTTTATCAATTGTTTCTCTGTCAGCTCAAAAGAGTAGACATTGTAGCCATTATTTAAGAATTTGGAAAATAGCACTAAATTGTTTCTCAAGGCAACACAGTAAATCAACAATGAGCATAGATTGGAAGAAAAATCCTATTGTTTCTCTTCAAAGATAATCACGACATTCAGATAGTAGAATATATATTTTTCATCATGTTGATAAAAACATTGTGATGTTATCAAGACGTATGATGTTATCCCCTTTTTAATGGATGAAGAAACAACTTCTGAAAAATTGAAAAGACTGCTAAAATATATGTGCATTCATGGCAGGGAAAGATCATGAATTCTGACTTCTCCTTCTGTGTGCTTTTCACTGTACCACTCACCACTCTGTATTTTCTTATATTTACTGTTTCTAGACATTTAAAAATATATTGCCGAACTATAGTTCATCAAATGGAAATCTATTGTTATTATAAACTTTACTTCAGCTATCATATTTGTGAGTTATTTTGGTATATATACAAAAACTCATTTATCTTCAAACATTTAAAATTAAGACATTATTTTTGCTGGTAAAGTTGGCTAATTTGACATAGTATTCCTATCAGTATTATTTATCAGTGAATCAGACTGGTATATGGGCAAACATTCTGTACACAGCAGGAACTCAGCAAAACAGCCTGTTTCTTCTCACAGTTAGGACCTACTTTATTCAATAATGCTGAATGAATACTTAAAACAAAACACAAGCATGGATAGTGTTAATGCCCTCTAGTGTACAGAACTCTCCCAACCAAAAACAGTGCCTGATTTCTTTCCTTCATTTGACACTGTCTCATAAATAAAAGATAAGAGACTAATGAATTATAGTTTGTAAACACTAGAGCCAAATAATAACTGCTGATTGCCAATAAACTGCAATGAAAACTGATCCATACCAAGCAGAAGTGATACTGCAGCAATAAACATTTGGAAGAGAACTGTAAATTAATAACAATTCTTGGGCTGCCCCTTGAATATTAATTCTTATGAACACAGCATTGTTTAGGAGTAATTTGCAGAAGTATTCTTTGAATGGGCTGTAAAAAACTGCCAAAAACTTACTTTTCCTCCATTTCTCAGTTGCTTTTCCATTCCTAGTACTTTTTGAAAAGCTACTTTTCATTCAGGAGCTATTTTATGAAAAGTAATAAAACATTAAATTCAACCATCTAAAGTTAAAGTGTAATCTCTCCTCCCAGCCATGATAGAGAAAGTCACACCAGGCTTGGCCTCTCGATGTAAACAACAATAAAGTAGCACACAACATATGAAGCGAGTATTTCAGGCACTGGACGATATGCATTCCAGGGTAATGATTTTTGAAGGATAACAAAATGAATTAGGTTCTACATTTCCTTGGATTTCTTCCCAGCAGAATTTTCCTGATAGCAGTACAGGAAGGTACAGCTAAAGAACACAGCAGTGCCACTGAGTTGAGACTATAGATATTGAGGTTTGGTGCTGCTAAGTTGACTGGATTTGGTTGGATAGGGTATCAGGTAGGAGAGAGCTCTGCAGATGGCACCACGGAGGCTTGAGAGTGGGTTCCCTGTGGAACACTGGGCTGTATATAAACAGACTTGTACTAAAGAAATATTAAAGGAAGTTCATTAAGCAGAATAAAAAGTATTACAGATGAAGATTTGGATCCATAAGAAGAAATAAAGAAGACTGGAGATAATAAATATGCAGGTAGATATAGAAGACTTTTTTTTCTATTCTCTTAGTTTCTTAAAAGACAGATGAATGTTTAAAGCAAAAATAATAAAGTTGTTTTGGGAGGGTGTTACAATAGATGTAGAATTGAAACATTTGATCAAAGCACAACGGATGATTCTAAATGGACTTATTACTGTTTTTATACTACTCTATTTTATGTGAAATTGTTCAATATTAATTGCAAGTACACACTGATAAGTTAAGGATAAATATTATAATCCCTAGAGCAACCATTAACAAAATACACACTGCTATGGCTAAAAAGCTACTTAGGAAATAAAATGTATTACTAAAAGATATTCAATTAACAAAACACAATTCAGGAGAGGAAAAACAAGGCAATAAATAATTAATGGGCCAAAAAAACAATAAAAAGCAAGGTAAAAACTTAAATATAATAATATGAATAATTACTTGAAATGTGAATGGATTAAATATTCCTATTAAAAGCCAAAGATTGTCAAATTGGACAAATAAGAGTCACTAAAATGAAGTGTGCCTTAACAAGTTACACCTTAAATTTTAAAACACAGATTGGAAGTAAAAGAATATAAAAATATTTGTCATGCAAATAGTAAGCAGAGTCAGAAAAAGTAGGCTTCTAAACAATATAACCAGAGGTAAAAGAGAAATATTTATTAATTATAAACAGTTCAATTCACATAAAGACATAACAATCATATATGTGTATGCACCTAATAACAGAGTTTAAATATCTATAAAAATGGCCAGAAAAGTGTGAAATAGACAACTAGCCCCTCAAAAAATCAGTAAATATATAAATGATCAAAATAACACAATCAACAATCTTGTTCTAGTTAATGTATATCAACTATGCCCAAAGACTGGAGAATAGATTTTCTTTCCAAGTGCGTATGAAATATTTACTAAAATAGACTACAGACTGGGCAATACCATAAAACTATACACCTTACAAAAGATTGAATTTATAAGGTGTATTTTCTGGATACAACATATCTAAATTATAAATAACTAAAAATAAGATTCAGACAGGACCAAAATATTTAGAAATGAAATGGCAAAATTTTAGACTACCAGTGAGTCAAAGAAGATATCACAAAGAACTTTAGAAAATATAGTAAACGGAAAAATATTATTAAAAATAACACAAAAACAACACAGAGAAAACTTGGTGGGATGCCTCTGAAGCAATACTTTGGAGGGAACTTTAGGAAATCTTTTTTTGTTTTTAAACCCTCTTTATTGAGGTATGATTGACATACACATAGTCTACAACTTGATGAGTTGGAGATACATACACACCCATGAAACCACTACCACAATCGATGTCATAAACATATTCATCACCTCCTAAAGGTTCCGCTTGCTCTCATTTATCATCATTTTTTGTTATATGAACACTTAAGAGCTATCCTTTTAGCATATTTTTATACAATACATTATTATTAACTATAGACACCATGCTGTACGTTAGATCTCTAGGACTTATTCATCTGGCATAACTGAAACTTTTTACCCTTTGACTAATATCTCCCCCTTTCTCCCTCTGCTGAGCCCTTGGCAACCACCATTATACGCTCTGCTGCTGTGATGTTGATTGTTTTAGATTCTTCATATAAGTGGGATCTTGTAGTGATTATCTTTCTGTATCTGGTTTATTCACTTAGCATGTCATCCAGGTTTATCCATGTTGCAAGTGGCAGGATTTCCTTCTGTTTTAAGGCTGAATAACATTTTACCATACGTATATGTATTTCTGTTTTGAGTGTAAAATGATATAACTCTTTGGACTAATACTTTCTTATGACCTTACACATTCACTGAGTATAATTCAGTGATTCCACCACTAAGTCTTTAACCAAGAGAAATAAAAACATTTGTTTATGAAAAGAATCAAGCAAGATTGTTTATAGCAGCTTTATTCATAATAGCCCCAAACTGTAAACAACCCAGATTTTCAACTGCAGAATGATGATTAAACAATTTGTGAAATATTCATGTATTGTTTATAAAAAAGGAGCAAATTGATGATATATAACAACATGTATACATCCTAAAAACATTATGTTGAAGCAAAGAAGCTACATGCAAAAGAATATGCAAAATGAGATTCTATTTATGTGACATTCTCCAACAGACGTAACTATTCTATGGTGACAGAAATTAGAACAAGCTTGCCTTCACAGTGGGATTAGATTGACTGCAAAGGAGTTAAAGTAATCTTTCTCAGTGATGGAAATATCTTGTGTCTTGATTGGTGGGCAGACTACACAGGTTAATATGTTTGTTAAAATTCATCAAATTGTGTCAAGGTCTGTGTATTTCACTGAAATTTTTTGCCTTGATTAAAATAGACAAGCAAATAAGTAAATAAATAAGGTCAAAGAAGGGACTTGGTTGGTAGTTGTTTTAAATGTATCTTGTCAAAATTGTAATTTTCTCTCAGATACTCCTTTTTGAGAGTTATTCTTATTTTAGTTATAGCTCAGTAATGTTACCATTGGATTTTTAATAGGCTATTTTCAGTTCTGGTACCTATACCAAAAAAAGTTTTTTTTTTTTATTTTTCTTCTTGTTATAGGTCTTGAATCACAGCACATCATTTAGATGAGATGTGTGGGTTATGCTCTGATAACAAAGTGACTCACATTTTTTAGTGTCTTTATGAAATAAGATCTGTTTCTCACACTACACATGCCACACATGTCAATAGGGGGCTTAGGTTCAAATGGGCGCTCAAGTATCTGGGCTCATAACTGTAAGACCAGATGAAAAAATGTAGAGGAGGCCATGGAATGTTTGCTGAGTACTACCATTTCTGCCACAATGATCATATGGTTTAGTCAACTACAGTAAATATTGCATAGGAATCAATGGTGGTTATAACAGATCAAACCTCCGAATCTTGTAGCAAGACTATGGTAGAAGTGTGTAAGTTCTCAGAATCAAAGTAGAGTCACTTGTGTCAAACTCTAACAAAAAGTAAATATATAAAGCCAGGAGGCTGAGAAGGGAGGGCCCTCACACACACATGCCTATGATTTTACAAAGGCTCTCTGAAGCATTCTTGGGCATGTATGCCTATCACAGAAGACTGCAAAAACCATAACTTTACATAAAGGCCATTGCCACCTTACATAAAAAAAAATACTTCTGAGAGGACATCTGCTCAGCAACTACATGTCCAACCTTGGAATGGTGCCACTTTTGTTATCCATTATTTTATCCAAAGACAATAATCTCAAAACAATTATGTAATCCTTCTCATTATTCCTTTAAAAATCTTTGTCTTCCTTTACCTCCCCAAATGCACCACATAGTTACCATGGCAAGGGTATTCTCATTGCAATACCCTATTCCAAAGTAAATATCATTTTCCTTTACAGAGTCTCTCTCTATTATTTGGGTTGACAGTTGAAAACTAGAGAGATTGTAGTCTAAGGCTTTTTCTAAAATTTATAAAGACATTCTTAAATGGACAAGCTTTGGATTTTGTAGTACTTTCTAAGTTTTTGCTCTATATTTCTACTTATTTGACATCTGTTTTATATGTCTTTACCCAATATATATTGCTCAAATATGACCACAAAATATTCCAGATATAGAGATTTCATAGTCCCATTGTTCTTAGTAGATAATTCTTATGGCTTATGATGACCTACAAGGCCGCAAATTATACAACCCTTGTCTCCATTCCAAATGTATCTTAAGCCATATCCCCAACACACATTTACTATGGTTTCAAAAAACAGGTGTTAAAGAAACTCACTTCAGCACAATACCTACCATGTGAAAAGCCTGCAGCTAACATCACCATCAAAAGGAAAAAACTGAAAGCATTCCCTCTAAGATGAGATACAAGGCAAAGATGCCTACGCTCACCATTTCTTTCAACATAGTACTAAAAGTCTTAGCCAGAGTAATTAGACAAGAAAAAGAAATAAAACGCATCCAAGTCTGAAAGGGAGAAACAAACCTATCTCTATTTGTGAGATGACATGATAATGTATACAGAAAACCCTAAAGGTGTAACAAAAACCTATTAAAACTAATAAATGATTTCAGTAAAATTACAAGATTGAAAATCAATATGCAAAAATCAGTTATATTTCTTTACAAACTGTTCAAAAAGTAAATTAAAAAACAATTCTATTCACAGTAGCAACAAAAAGAAATAGAATACTTAATAATGATTGCAGTAGAGAGGCTAAGAAGGCATCATTCTTGGGCAATCCAGAATGTCTTTGTTGACAGACTAGCTCAACAACTACTTAGACTAGCTGGAACTAGTAGTCAAGGACACTTCCTCCTAACTTTCTAAACCTTGCTCCCTCACTCAGGGTCAAGCTTGCATCACAGTTTGATTGCCCTTCTGGACTTTTCTGACTTTCTATTTCCTTTGATATAGGTATTTCCCCTAATAAATCATTTGCATGTTTAATCCTCTCTTGATCTCTTCTTGGAGGACTTGGTCTACCACAATGGTTTCATTTAGGACTAGAGCAGCCGACTCTCTTAGATTAAATAATTAATCAGCAGTAGATCCATTTTTTTAAATCCTTCTCTTCTTTATAGATCATTTCATATCGTCACGTCATTTTTCAATCGTGTTGGTCTACTTTGCCATCAGAATTTTACTTTCCTCTTGCAAAAGTGGCCCAGATTCATTGCTCAATATAGGATGTAAATATTTAGAATCCACAGATTAGAAAGACTTTTAGCCTGACTGAATTCTGAACCCTGGAATAAATTTGATGCCAGATTTAGTATCAGAGAAACGTGTAGCTGTCATTATTATTTGAGGTACTCAAATATTTTAATAAACTTCTTTAAAGATATGGCTCAAGAAGCAAAGGATATATTCCTTGTCAAGTCAATGGCCATACTGCATTCTATGATAGGTGGCAAGGTTTCATCTAGGCATGCTCACACAGGGAATCAATAAAGATGAAATAATTATACCAGGGAAAATAATTGGGTACTTTTTGTTGTTGATGTTGTTCTCATCTACTTAAAAATGTTTAATATATTTATAACAGTGATAAACCTTTTAAATTTATTTATGATCCCAAGGAACAATCAATTTTTAGGATATGCTTAACTACTTCGTTTTTCTTTCTAACATGGGACATTACAACACAACAATGGACTACAGTGACGGGACAATCACCAATAAACATCCAACTCTTAAATCGGAAATACTCTCTCATCCCTAAGTAGGCAGAAAAAAAATAATTTGAGAGTAGATAATCTCATAATCTAAGGACACAGGTCTGATTTTTCAGATTCAAGACATAGGGGCTTAAATGATAAATAAAAATAAAAATAAACTCAACATTCAAATGTCTTTAAGTGATGGAAAACCAGGCTAAAAATATTCTTGTTAAATTTTCAAAGCTGGTTTGAATACATTTCAAATAGTCTATAGTATTTCACCTATAAAGATTTTTAAATTCACGCAGCAACCTATATAACTGTCTCCATGTTTATTATACATTGCTTTATGCAACATGATTCGAAATTTCCCCATTCATACTGAGGACAAAAGGAAATATTGTACTTAAAATTTGTAGAAGCAGTAGAGGACCTTTATCTTAAAGGGAGAGCTTCAGGGAAGAAGAGCTGATTATATAGCTAAAAAAAAGACTTTCCTAAGAATCACAATATCTTACTTCTTGGAGATTAGTTCCAGTGAGATGGGTCCAATCAATCTTTAGAATCCTGCCTTTTTGTCCTTCCAGATTTATGATTCTAAGATCATGCTTCTTATATGGGTTTCTTGATGTGAAAGAAATGGGAAAGTTTTGTTTAAATAATGTCTAGAAGATAACAGAAATGGCCTAGAGATGAATGTATCAGATTGTCTCTAGATATCATTTCTCAGCATATTCCTTTTTTTAAAAATTACCTTTGGAATACTCAATTTGAGATGGCTTAGACTAACCTAGATAGAAGTTGAGGAAATCCATATATTTTAGTGGAAAAGCACATTAAGAAGTTATCTGGAGTAATGCAAGTTACAAGGCTCTGACTGAGACATCTTCTACCAGTGGTGTTTAAAGGTATTTCTTAGTTGAGTCCTCTGAATGAAAAGGCCAGAAAAGTCACAGGACCTACCAGTCTTGTTAACAAGGCTGGTTAACAAACAGCAAAATTTGGAAAGCAATAATGATTATGTTTTAAGATTATAGAAAATTAAGTAACCCAGTAATTCTATTTCTAGAAGTTAAAGGATGTACTCAAAGATTATATACAAGTATACTTGTCTTAGTTCCATATGTCATAGTCCAAAGACATTCAAACAATACATATATGAAACAACAGTAAATGGATGAACAAATTATGTTCCTGCCAGAAGTTTGAATTCTAGGAAATAATAAAAGATGAAATTTTAAAAAGAATTTGAATGGCATCAAGAGAATGATTCTAATATAAAATTAACTGATTAAAAAGCAGGATAGTAAGCATTATAATGTCAATTTTGTCTGAAAAGAAGCAAGGATATACAATATATATTAATTTATCTATCTATATTCACAAACACACAAAATTGCAGAAACTGGGATTAAATTTGTTATATATTAAGAATGCTACCTGGGTAATAGGATAAATAGTGCTTTTTATTGGCTTCTATATACTTTCTTGGATTGTCTGAATTGTATACAATAAAAATGTAAGGCTTTGTACTAAGAACAAAATATAATGGTTTTCTTAGAGAAAAATAAAAATACTCAGCTGAAAATAACCTGGAAAAGAAGACAAGATAAAATGAATTATAAAAGAATTAGATTTTCTACCCATGGAAAGGGAGAACAGAAAGTAAAGCTAGTATGATGATTAAGGAAGAAAAATTATGAATGTTTTATATTTTACAGGAATTTATTGCAATCAGTCTTGTGATTCTATTGAATTGTGAACTAAAAATAATTATCATTAGTAAAGACAATTAGGTCATTTCTGCTGTAACAATGATTGTAGTGTTGTTATAATGTAAATAACTCTAATCTTAGTGTATGTAACACTTAATGATCCAGATGCAGATAAAAATCTGTTTATAAAGATGATTTAAGATATAGACTCATTGTTCAGGTTGCTATGGTAATTAAAATCTCGACTGTGCCTTCATAAACCAAAGTCTATTTGATTTTTGTCATTCGTGTCTTGGGTAGCTCTGTATTCAGAGAAAACTTAAAACTCATTTCAGAAGGGGAAAATGAGCTCTTAAAAATCTATATTCTTTATTATTGTATCAATAGCCTAATGCTTCTATACTATCACACATAAAATTCTCAATATTTAATTGATTACACATAATTTATGTGATATTTTAATAATTTATAAGAAATGTCAGCAAGTTCATACTTCAGTATTTTACTGTTATGTTTTGTTGGTCTCTTGCTCTTCTTCAGACACACAAGTAAAGTACACATACAATCATATTTCCAAACTTATAAATGGGATGTTTTTGTAAAGATAATTTTTAAATTTGTGGTTTGGAACACTGTATCTATTTTCCTTATACAAGAAGCGCTCCAGTGGCCCCTACCACTAATGAGCAATACACAGGCACAAAAGGGAAAGCCAGGAGGTAACACAATTCTTTCAACGCGTTGTTTCTTCTACTTTCCATTCCCCAAAAATGACCTTTCGTGAGTAGAAATTACATGGCTATTTTTTCCATAATGAAAGTAAAGACAATTAGATTTATGTATATTTTACAGAAAAACAATACAACCCAACAACTTAGAATAGCTTTTTCTCCATATATTTCTCCCCATAATCTACTTTCCGAGCTTGCTAATGTTTAAACTTAATAATGACATTTCTCCTCTTACATTTTTGATGAGTTTCCCTTGCTTTCCAACTAAAGCCCACATTTTATAAACTATCACTTAAGTTTGCTTCTTTCTCCACTACATTTTCAGTCTTCTTTGAGCCTCAAAAGGTATTATATGTTCTCATTTTCAATTCATTGTACTTATGGATCAATCTACCTGGAAGAACATTCATCCTTCAGCAACTTTCCCTGCTCTTATCTCCTTCCTTTTCCCTGGCTGTCTCCTATTCTTCAGGACGCAGCAGGATTTAACCACTTTTGTGAAATCTTCCTTGAATGATCCATTATTAACAAGGCATTATGTGGTGGCCCTCTTATGTATGCTCAAAGAGTCTGTATATCACCCTTGCATTTACCATATATATATTAATTACATGTTACTGCGTTCGCTAAATATGGTTGTGAAACCGTTCCAATTGTCCAACTGTTATTGCATTTACTAAATATGGTTGTAAAACCTTTCCAAGAAAAAAAAATCTTATAAATTATTAAAATACTACATAAATGAAATGTAAGAGGAATGCCATGATTAAGTTTAAACATTAGCAAGCTCAGAAAGTAGATTATGGGGAGCAATACATGGAGGAAAAGCCATTCTAAGTTGCTGGGTTGTATTTTTTTCCTGTAAAATACACATATATCTAATTTAATTTAATTATGGGAAAAAAACCCATGTAATTTCTGCACACTAAAGGTCATTTTTGGTAACGGAAACTGATGTTTATGGTTTCTTTTGAATAAATATAAATATAGAAATTGACCCTCCTACTATTAAAACTTGAGAAAGTTAAAATTGTCTAATCTGAATTCCTTTCTCAGGAAACCAGCCAGCAAGCCTCCTAGATAGTGTCAAGGAACTGAAACTTACTAGATCATCACAACTGGACAATGACACACCAGACCCCTCACTTGTGGTGACTGCCTAATTGATCACCTGCTTTCTGTTGACCAACTCTTCTTCCTTAGCCCTCCCTAATTCCTGTTTTCCCACATATGATTCCATTTCTTTCTTGCTATATAACAAACCCTAAATTTTAGACCATCAAGGAGATAGATTTGAGACTGATCTCCCTTCTTCTCAGATACAGCATGAGAATAAAGCCGTATTCCTTGGCTATCTTCATTGTGGCAGTGATTGGCTTTCTGTGCAGTGAGTAGCAGGGGTTACACCAAACTCCTGGCTTTCAGTAACAGTTGCATTTACCACAGTTTATTGAAACTACCTTTTTATTTAAAAAAAAAACATTAAAAAATATTTTGCTGTCCTATACAATTACTTTCCAGATCATTTGCCTATTTGGCCTTAGCTCTATTCTCTGTCCTTACTGTGTGCCTTGTATCTAATGTAACTGCATTCCCCAGTTTCCATTTCCAACTGGCTGCCTGATAGTCCCTAACAAGAGGCCACAAAGCAAGAAGAGTGAGAAATCAGAACACTTCTCCTTGTCTTTCCTGCTCAGTGACAAGGAGCCTCAAAATTGCTACATCTCATCCATGTCTGTTTCCCACAGGATCACCTTTACCTGTGTATGGCCCTACTTCCTACTGGGAACTTCTTCACATTGGTTCCATATGGGTGGAGTAGCTTTCTGTTTTTCACAAATCAAGGTGGCCTCATCAACACTTATTTGGCTTCCCAGCTTTTGTATTTTAAACATGATCCTACATTAAAGTCATTTTTTTTTCTTTTTTGGAACTACTTAGAATAGTATCTCTTTTTTTTAACTGCATTCTGTAAGACACACTATAAACTTTTAAAAACAGGATGTCTTATTCTTTTAGTTTTTATCAGCAATGAGCAAACTTCCCAGCATATATTAGGCAATCATTAAATGCATGTTGAATTAAATTGTGATTTACGAAACATAGATTTCTTAATAAGGAAATATTTAAATTAAGAGGGATAGTTAGTTGCTTTAATACTTGAAACTATACTGGTAATATCTGTCACTTAAGGTACTTCATTTTCATTTCAAAATATTCAGTCTCAAAAAGAATGCTTCTGCTTTAAAAAAAGTTTGGTCCTTTACTTTTAAATATCTTACTACCAGCCATTAAGAAAAGGCAAAATTACTTTTTTTTTTTTCTAGAAAAAAACATTTGCCATTCCTTTCTTTCCATTGGCTCTGCCCACCTATTTGGGCGGCCTCACCATGATCTCTTCAGGCATAATCATGCATCCTTGATTTACCACCTCATTATATAATAAAATAAAATAGTGGCAAAACATATTTTTTCAATTTGGAAAACAACCTTAAATGCCTTAAAATTTTTACTCATTTTACATAATTGACAAAAATATCCCAGAGCAAGAAAGGAAAGTTTAATCACTACTTGGTTTTAATTTTCTCCATTTAATTTTTCTAATTAAAGATGGAGGCTGAAAGTAGTGGGACCTCTGGGAGACACTACAGATAGCAACATTTCTGCCAAAATTAATGAAGTCGAGCAAAATATCCACTCCAAACAAAGCTCTTGTACAATAGAATCTATGAACAAAGGCCATGGCAAATGCTTTTCAAAAGAAATGTGTGTGATTTGCAGATAGCTTTTTGTTTATTTTTTTCCTAAGGTTGGACTTTGTTGTATTCAATTAAAAATATCACACTGTATATTCTGAAAAATATTTATGACTATGTAGTAAATGGAGACATTTTATAAATACCCTCATCCTCTATGGTAAAGAGTACACGTACTGATCACTAAACAGGTATTGACAAATTGGTAACATGCAATGCAAAGCTTTTGGTATGAAAGAAGAATCTGGTAGCTGAGATTCAATACAGCTGTTGTCTTTAAGCACATAGCTGATGCTAGGTGAATATCTGTAGGCCATATTTTCAGCTGTCAAATGGCAAAATCATTTGTTATCCATGTAATAAATATCTAGGCTGATAGAAATTTATAATACATATTGTTTGCCTAACTGAAAAAACAAAAATCTTGGTATCATTCTTTGAAGATCAAGCAAAAGGAAGGATTTTTATGAAAATTTACAAGTGTCAAACGTTAAATTAAAATAAATACAGCAACATCAACATCATATCTCTTGCATTGCTTTAATTCAGTATGACTTGAGTTCTCATAAAAATATGGAATTATATTTTTATTCTTTCTCAAATGTTTATTAATTCTTTAAACATATATTAATACTTTCAAAATTGCCATAGTTTATACTTTAGATAATTGTATTCAATACCAAAGATCTCTTTTATTATTTGAGACATTTCTGTAATGTAGGTCAAATGCTCAGAGACATTTTGCAAAAAGCCAAAGTTAAACTATTTCCAAACAACTTTAGGTTTTCCCCTAAGGATGAGCAAATTTTTCATAGAAGACCTAAAACTGCTATTTGCATTCTTCCTATTTATCCTTCTCTACTAGACACATGGTACATAATCTAGGAAATAGGTCATAAATGCGACTTACAGAAAAAAATCCCATCTAGAAGAACAGATTATGACATATTTTGGAAGTAACTTCAATCCAGTTTCTATGGAGCCAGAGATATGTTTTTCCTCTCATTGCATCTCACTATAAGTTTAATAAGAGAAACAGCTAAGGACTTGTTGAACTCATGATCTCTCTTATTCAAAGAGACCCAACAGTGTCTAGCAAAGACGTAATTACATGATTAGCGATTGAAAACACAAAAGCCATTGCTTCAATTAGTATGCAAGCTTTCTTCTGACAGAATAAATGCAGAAATCAAAGATGATTGAGCAGGTGATTATTTCTATTTTTCTGGGTATATGAGTAAGGGGGTAAAAGGTTATTTTTAAAAGGCTTCTAAGCAAGAAAAATATAATCTTTTTAAAGAGATAAAGTATGCCCTTGAAAAGGTAGAAGGGTTATCTTCACATAAAGTAACAGTCTTTTACTCAAGACAGTTACTTTTTAATAAGCTGACACTATTTGTTTTAGCTTACAGAGAATATGTAAGGCATTTCAGTGATAAAAATGCAATTTCGCTTTCCAATCAAAAACGTTAATAACTATCTTTTCTCATTTCGTGAGCCTCTTTTTGGAAAATGTATACAATGACAATAAAAATCATGGCATCTTGTATTCACAGGAGATTCTTTCTTAAAATTTTAAATATTAGGAGATACATGAGTTTCTTTTGTTCCTCTAACCCTGGGGACTATACACAACTATCAACATATCTGTGGCCACAGGGATAATTTGACTGGCTCCATAGTACCCATATGTCTATGGCAAATCTTAAACTTGGGTTTCTGGGCTGCTATGCTGTTCTCTTTAGAGTGCAAGACCAGATCTTTTGCCTTCTATGGTGATGAAAAAAAAAAACACAATAATAATCACGAGTAATCATTACTAATGAGAAATATAACAGATTTTCATGCATTCTTTCAATGATAATAACAATTTAGGAAATAAATTCATTTCTTCCTTTTAGCAAATAAAAATCTTTCTTTTGGGATCTAGATGTGTTACTGGTTAACACATCTACTACTGGCCTGTAATTAGTGATCTCATAAATTCTGGCAGAGGGACTCATCTTCTAACCCACTAAAATAACAAGATAGTATATGTCTGATTTATTTCCTATTAAACAGTATCAGTAAATGGCCACAGTCTTTTCAAGGGATATAACTCTACATAAAACCCAACTAGGATTTCAAACAACTATAAAACAAAGTGATGACTTTTACAGATAAAACTATGTAAGTGCTAAAATGTCTCACACAGTGTGATAAAAATGTTCACAGTTCATGCTAATATCTTTGCCCTTCTTTTTATTCCATGTGTTGCTAAATTGATTACTTTCCTATGTGTTATGACTTGACTATACTCAAACTATTTCAAAGAGAAAGGGGATGTTTTTACTCATGTGTATTTAACAATAGACAATTTCATTTTTTAAAATGCTTACTATATATAATGTAGTTTTTATATATTAACATTTTGCTTTTTCTTAAAGATCCAAAAATTATTTATATACATTTTATTTCATCTCCATGTACTCAGTAATAACCTGATAAAGATATATAACAAAAAAAAAACAAATAAAAAATCTCAGTCTCATTTGTGCAATATTCACACTTTCCTGAATATTCTTCTCCTTCCCCAAACCTTTCATGAAACACAGACATGAAGAACTGAAGTAAACAAACAGGTTTAGCCAATAGATAGCACCAAAATTCCATAAAAGAATATTATCTACAATGAAGTTAAAGAA
Organism: Homo sapiens; assembly: GCF_000001405.40. Lineage (NCBI taxonomy): Eukaryota > Metazoa > Chordata > Mammalia > Primates > Hominidae > Homo > Homo sapiens. The sequence continues at coordinate 9,513,774 of NC_000009.12, forward strand.
TAATGGGACCTCAATGATAGTCATTGAAAGGGCAAAACTCTTGTTTATTAGGAATCAAATATCACCTGCTGGTTTTTATTAGCATTTTCTTCCTCAAATAAAAAGGGAGCGTGGATAAATGTTGATGGCAGAAGAGAGTAAAAATGTCTTGTGAATAAGGCTGTTAAGATGGGAGCCAAGCTGGTACCAGTTTCAGGCCAGAAAGGCTGTGGCCATCTACGTTGCCTAAACAAATTGCTTTCCTGGAGAGCCTTAATTCTATCAAGTCCGAATCTGTGCTAAGTACCCCAAAGCAAAAAGTCCCTTGTTTTTGTGCTTTGAACATTGTGAAAATGTTGTTGCCCCCAAATTTATTTTGGCCTTTTGGTGGATGACAGAAACAGACATGCAATTTTTAAATTAGGAAGGAATTTTTTCTCCCCTGGAATAAAATTTCCCTCCTGGTTAGGGCTCTGCATCAGCTTCATGAATCCTCCAGCATGAGTGGCTTTAACAGGATCTATCAGGTTGAAGAATAATGAGAATCATAACTGAGTTTTTTTGATGGCATACAGGAATACCTGAATACACAGGGATCTGGATAGTTATAGTGGTCCTGGCAACTGTCAGTTTGGAGCTGTGTGTGTAAAACACTAAACAGAAAGATGAAGCTAGAGCAAAAGACAAGTACTTGGAATTCCACACACTGTAATTACATTGTTCCTTAGGAAGTAGACAGAGAGGACTAAATTTTATCACAGGAGAGAAATTCCTGCCTTCCGAGGAGTTCTTGGGTGATTAATGTCCAAGTTAAAATTGCTAAGTCCCATTAACTTCCTTATACTCCATTTTTAGAAGAAATTGTCACATCATATTCTTAAGGAGAATTGAGATATAAACAGTTACTTCGATTTCCATTTTTCAACTGACATCCTAAGTTTAAAAATGAAGGTCCTCCTCAGTGCCTTACTGGTAAGTTTCCTTGAGGACTTCCTTTTCTGAGGACTGTTCCTCCTGACCGATGGAAGCTGTACACTCTGAGGCTTCAACTGCCTTTGCAGCACCGTAAAAAATAAGCCTACTCTGGAAATAGCTCCAAAGTGCCTAGTTCTCTCCCTTTGGTGGTCTCTCATTAAATTGCTCTGTGTCATACCTAAACAAATACTTATTTGTAAAGTGTCTAATCAGGGGCTGATTTGAGGACTTTTTTTAAAAATGCCAAACCTTCATCAATGCAAGAGGTCATGAACCATTTTATCATTTCTTGACTTCTGCTTTAATACTACATTTATATGTTGGGTAGCAAAAGTCCAACCTGGTTTCTCTCAATCATTCAGGGAGCTAAAATCCTTGATTTTCCAGTAAGTCTCAATTAATAAGCTTGGTGGGTTATTGTTATTGACCGTGGTGGAGGTGCTGGTATAGAAGTCTTTTGTAAACACTTCAATCTATGCCTGTAGCTTGTATGAGTGTCTGCCTCCGCACATACCATATAATCATTGCTTGCCTACTCTGTTTTTGTATAATATCATGTTTTTTTATTTGTTTGGAGTCTCCAAGTTTGAATATCTATGAGATTTTAAAAACACCTGGCTATATATCTAAACCTCAATTTGATTTTAATCTTAAGGGGGCACTATTCCCAATGCAGAGAATGAGGATAACTAATTTACATTTCCAGATTCATTTCTATCCATCAACTACTTTAAAATGAATTATGAGGAAGAAAAGATAATCTGTATACAGAAAGTTTTTCTATGTATCACTACATATAAGAGAGAATGGTGGAGATGGAAAAATTGTTCTTTTCTCGAGGTGGTTGCAAAATGAATTAAATTATGTATTCTCAACAATTATGATTACAAGATATGGAAAAACATGAAGAAATATGTAAGGTAATTATAAATTTTGAAAACCATATATTAAATAAAATTATATCTATATGTTAATAATTATTACACAGATTTGCAAATATTTAATAAAGACTGCTAGAAAACATGAAAAAAAGTTTGATGTTCTTAAGTATGGTGAGATAAAGGTGACTTTTTTCCTTTCTGTAGATTCTTTATTTTTGTTATAATGTTCTTTGTATGGTAATTAAGCAATAAAAAAGAATTACTTTAAAGAGAATTGTATTATAAGGAAATTGAATATTGCCCCCAGCTAACTGACATGAGAATATTTATGAGATTAGATTTCACATTTGGAAGACCAAATTTCAGATTATTATGTGAATGCTGCAATTGGAACTAATTTATTTGTACCCATATGCAAGCATTCAACTGTTGCTCAACATTCAAGCTTTTTGCTTAACCTTCAAGTTCTTGGGATAATTTTGAGTATACTCTAACTCTAATCTTTGAAAATTAAAATTGATTTTTCCTCTCTGTCTTCTTGTACCACTGGATCTTATTTTGTTTATACCAAAGGAAAAAAGAGTACCAAAATATAAACAAAAGGAAAGTTAATTCTACAGTCCATCTAAATCTATTTTAACTCCCATCCATATTTACTTAAGCTAAAAGAACATATTGTAATGGGAGCAGTGACACCATTCAGCTTTTGTTGTCTTGTGAGAAAATTATCCATAACTCTAAAAAGACAGACAGTTATGACAGCCTCTACGTTGTGTGAACTTGATCGAGAAAAGATGAACACCTTACATAAAAGATTCTTAAATTCTCTAATGGAAGCCAACTTCATGAGGAATATCATTTATAAAACCATAAACTTGTTTCAAAAAATAAAATATATATACATATATATTTATTTTATTTTATTTTATTTTATTTATTTATTTATTTGAGATGGATTCTTGCTCTGTTGCCAGGCTGGAGTGCAATGGCACTAACTAAGCTAACTGCAACCTCCACCTCCAGGGTGCAAGCGATTTTCCTGCCTCAGACTCCTCAGTAGCTGGGACTACAGGCGTGGGCCACCACACCCAGTTAATTTTTGTATTTTTAGTAAAGACGGGGCTTCGCTATGTTGGCCAAGGTGGTCTCAATCTCTTGACCTCATGATCTGCCCTCCTCAGCCTCCCAAAGTGCTGGGATTACAGGTGTGAGCCACCACAATATCTTATTTTAGGCTTCTGGAAGTTAAATTACTTCAGTCCATTTTATCTACACTAAAAATTAAACATATTTATGGACTCAAACAAAATCAAGAAGCAACAAGCTACCCAATCACTATAAATTTAGGTGATGGCCCAAAAATGAATAAGAAAACAAATGATATAAACATAATAAATGCTGTAACTTGAAATTAGTTGCAGTGAAATGAAACCATATCAAATGAGGAGACAGAAACTAAATGTTAGTTCAATAATTAGAGATATTAACACTAATTTTAAAAACATTAATTTATGCTAAATTATGCAACATTTAAACATTCATTTATTTATTCTCATAACTTGTGAGGCACTGTGCCAGGTGAAGGGAAAATGTTCCTAAGGAGACTCTCTGTGTATCCACTACCCAACTCACTGCATAGTTAGAAACAAGAGACAATAAAATATGATTAGCATATAATTCAGTTTGTATGGGGTAGGGAGACGCCCTGGAAATAGTGATGACTAATTTGAAATTTTAGTAAGGGGATAGACTTTGTTTCTGTAAAGATGAGGTAATGTGACATAGATATACTAAGCAGAACAAAGAGCCTAGGCAAAAACACTGAGACGAGGAAAAGCTAGAGTTAATTAAAGATGGCCCCTATAACACAACTGTTCACTTTCACACCTCCAGCTTTCTTATCCTCTGCACTAATAAATAAACAGTTAATGTTTCTTCCTACACCAACAGCAGTGAAAAAAACCACTTAGAGTATTAGAAACACTGGCATGTGGCTTGAGATTCCCAGTGAAACATTAGAATCCAATTTACAAAGTATAACAAATGAGGTCATATTGAAATTAAAAAGCAAGGGGTCATTGAAAAACATCATTATTTCTTTTTCTCTTGGAATTTATTATGTAAAAATTTCCAGAAAAAAATGGTGCATATTAATTGGTAATTACAAATTTTAACACATATGACCCTAATTTTGAAAATAATTCAAACCACCTGGGGTGAATAGACAATGCTTACACAAGTTATAGAAAGATTTACTTAGAAAAGAAACTTCTAATTCAAATTCCTTGAAACAATTGTAATAATCTTAACCTGTGTTGTATATGCAGAAATATACTTTAAAAGTTAAAATTATTAATTTTTGGGTTTCTGTAAAGTATTACTTTTATACTCAATGCATTAATAACTATATTTCTCTATATTTACTTTCTAATTTTTGATAAACATTGATACTTTTATAGTTGTGAAGTAGGAAGGAAACTTCAAGTAATGACTCTGCTCATAAAATGTTAAAGTTCTCCCTAAAACACTTAATTTGGGATTTTTAACTTTTAGAAGCAAATTAGGTGGTAAATTCAGGATCAACTTTCTGTGATGTTGAATCATAAAGTATAAGTTAGAGACAAAGCAGACCATGAGTCTTCTTATGTAATGTTAACAAGCATAAACTTTATCCTTAACATGATGAGTGAAGTGTTTCTTCCTAATATAGAAAATTCTTTTTTAGGCTACGGGAAGATTCTACTCACACTAGTGAAAATATAGTAGCATTGTCAAAATTTGTTAGGTGGATATAATGTATAGATGTAGATGTGTAGGAGATAGGTGCTTTAAAATTTCAGTCATATAACAAAATGCATAATGAAATCACAAAGCAACTTTAATACAAATCTAAGAAGGAAGGCATAATAGGGTAGGTCAATGCAGAAATTGATATTCTGGCAATGTAGTTAAATGTAGAAAATATTGCAGCACTGATTCTCCTGCCTCTAACATGGAGGAATAGCAAAAACCTGGGACCCGAAAGGGCATTAAATATTTTCCTCAGGAAAGACATAGTTCTCCACTTTAAATTAAATATGACAGAATTGTGTGAAAGAGTTTTAATGTAATGCATGCCAGTTTAACAGAATGGACAAGGCAGCACAGTAGAATTCTAAGACAGAAGAAAAGCATAAGAAAAACAAGTAAGAAAGATTCACCTAGGAGGCAGGTAGCTTCCTATCACATCTCTCTGCTTTTATATGACGGCTAAAAGATTTTTATAATATATGTCCCTCCCTTGATTAATTTGCTCTCTCTTCTCCATACTTAATATGAATATGTATTCTTCTATAATGAGGGCATTGTTCTTTCTGTATGTGGACCATTAGTTATTTCTCAAAAAATTTTAAAGAATTGAAATAAAATATAATTACAGTATGTTAATCTAGATATAAATAGACCAAAAACAATTAATCTCCATGTGTTTGCAAATTAAAATACTTCTATATAACCCATAACTTAAAGAATAAATCACAATGAAAATGTATAAATATTTTGAAATATATGATACTGAAACATTACCCATCTAAATAGTGAAATACAGTTAAATTATGTTCATTGGCTATTTTGAGACTTTAATGCATACCTAGGAAAAAACAAAGGCTGAAAATCAATGGCCTCAGTGGCCATATAAAAACAGGAAAAAAAAATCAGTGTAATAAACTATACAAAGTAGAAGAAAGACAATGAAAATAAGAACAGAAATAAATGAAACAAAAAAAACCAGAGAGAGAAAGAATCAACAGTTACAGGTTGATTCTTAGAAATGACTAATACAACTAAGAAAATCCTGAAAGCCTAATCAAAGAAAAGGAAAAGAATAAAGGCATATATAATTGATACCAGGAATAAAAGAAGAACATAGCTTTTGAGACTACAGACATTAAAAAGAATACAAAAGGATCGTATGAACAACTGTATTCAAAAAGTTGGATGAAATAAATCAACTCCTAGAACACAAACCAAAATACCAAACTAAAGAATAAGCATAACAAAAGGTATGCAAAATAACTACAAATATAACTATAAAACACATATTGACAGGAATGAAAGAACATATAATAAATGGAGATATACAAGATGGTTCATCAATTGAAAGACTCAATATTATCAAAATGTTGATTCATCTCAAATTGTTCTATACATTCAACAAAATCCATAAAAATCCTGAAAAGTTATCATATAAAACCGAACAAGTTGATCCCATAATTTATGAGGAAACAGAAAGGGCTGGAAAAGCCTTGCTCCACTGATGATCACATCTTATAAAGTTACTGTCATGAAGACAGTGTGGTATTGGTGCAATGATAGACAAATAAAATAATGGAAAAGTACAGAGCCTGAAAATAGGCCTATGTATGTAGACTTTCTTTAGAATAAAGTTGGTACTTCAAAACATTGGTAGTTCAAATATTGGAACTTTTTTCAAGTGTTTAGTTTTTGTACCTACTCGTACAAGAGATGACAATGAAGTAAAAGTGTTCTCACCTCAATCTATTTTATGACAGGGTTTCTGTTGAAATGTAATGCTTTACATTTATTTTTAATATAATGTTCTCTGCCCCAGAGCACATAATTTTTTTGTATTTAAATGTAAAAATAGACTCCTAAAAGTTATATATATATATATATTAAGTTATATATATATATTAAGTTATATATATATAAGAAAATTAATAATATCTGGGAATGAATTTTAGAACATGCATGAATACTATGACAGAATTATCTTTGTATTCAAACCTGCTCAAGTATAGTACATGAACAGTTAATAACATATGGAAAATACATCTCCATTAAACTGAGGGAGACGGAGCATTTAATTTACACATTCCCATGCATTTGTGTGTTCTCATAACTGGAAGAAATACAGTGTCTTTTTTCTACTCAGCTGTTTAACATTTTATGCTCGTTTGCTTGCTTCACAATAACTTTCAAAGGCGCAGACTAATTTTGAAGGAATATGGTCAACAAACAGTTATCGAGATATAAATTATTTTCCATTTTTGGCATGGTCTATCTTGAAAGTAATTGGCAGCTGGAGAAACCTTTTATAAGCAAACAACTTCTCAACTTCTCTCATTTTAATTGAATGCCAATAAAATTTTCAATGTCAGCATGGGTTACAGAACTGTGGGATTTCATTAAAGCAGTCTACGAGTCGTAGAATCAAGGGTTTAGCACTATTTAAACAAATCTCAGCAGGCAGCAAGCAGTCTATGACCTGAAGAAGCAAATCTTTAAATCCTTCAGCCAGTTTTTCTTAGTTCCAGACCAACTGCACCAGAATCATCTGGGAGGCTTGTAAAAATTGTAGATTTGTAGCTCACACCTGCATCAGATGGGGTACTGAAATCACAGATGATTTTTATGCACACTAAATTTAAAGAATCTTTAATTAAAATGTAATCAAAGCCCCTAATCTTTTGTTTGGGAGATTTAGAACCTCTCCATAACTATTTAAGAACTAAAGAGCCCAAACCTGTTCTCTGGCTGCTTGAGAGGTGTTACTGATTCAGGTGGTGTTTGATCCCTCACCCCTGACCCCATGTGTGTACTGAACAAAGTCGCTACAGCAGAAATGGATGACTAGGTCTGCGTGATACTTTTTCCTCTTAGCTCTCAATTTCGTGGTCTGCATTCCAGGATGTTTCAGTCCCTACTTCTTACTTGACATTCCACCTCTGCTACTTAGTAAACACTTACAATCCATTTGTCACCCACATTCAGCTACTTGCTAGTCAACTCCCAATCATAAGGACTCTAAAAAGACAAAGGGAAAAAAACCTGGCAGATTATTACTTCAGCATTTCCCAGGTATATCATCTGCATCTTGAAACTGGAAGAAACCTTACTGTTCTTTCCAAGAATGCATTGGGAAGTAGTGCTTCCTAGGAATGCACTTTCTCTAAAAGCAAGTAACTCTGCATACATGAAATCACTGTTTTCCTGAACAGGGGAGGCGCTCTAAGTGGCAAATGAAAAAGAGATTTCCTTTAGGAAATTAAAGCCCTATGCCTCGTAAATGACATACACATGTATGGTCAGAAAAATGAAGTTCTACTAAAAAAGGAAAAGGTTAACAAAGTAAATATATATTATGATCATTTCTAAGGATGCTGAGACATTGCTATTCTGTGGTACTAATTGCACTGCAACTATAATGGACCTGTTTAGTGTTCTTTGGGGGCTTATAAATACTACAGAAAAAAAATGGTCTGTTCTGGCCAGGTGCAGTGGCTCACGCCTGTAATCCTGGCACTTTGGGAGGCAGAGGCAGGTGGATCACCTGAAGTCAGGAGTTTGAGACGAGCCTGACCAACGTGGAGAAACCCTGTGTTTACTAAAAATACAAAATTAGCCTGGTGTGGTGGCATACGCCTGTAATGCCAGCTACTCGGGAGGCTGAGGCAGGAGAATCGCTTGAAACTGGGAGGCGGAGGTTGTGGTGAGCTGAGATTGTGCCATTGCACTCCAGCCTGAGCAACAAGAGCAAATCTCCATCTCAAAAAAAAAAAAAAAAAAAAAAGCTTAAATCAGTCTATAATTTTGCATATTCAGAATAAAGTTGACAACCTTTAATTTAGATCCTTGTTATTTCATTTCATGTATTTATTAGTTTGCTGTTTGACTAGTATACAAATTACCTAAAGGTAAAGTTTCATTTCTAGCTAAAGCCCATAGTAGATGGAAGGGCACATATGTTGTAGAGGGAACTCTGAAAGATTTCTAAAGGGAACTATCTGGACATAATGAAAACATAACCCATTTAACCAGATAGAACGAAAACAAGTAAGTTCAGCTATAGTAAAAACTTGAAAGGACACTACTGATGTGTTGACAGACAACCCCCAAAAAGCTTTAAATTACCTTTCAATAATAATAGATTCTGCAGAGTAGGTCTTAGAAAAACAAAAGAATCTGGATTCTATCCCAGTACCTGAGAAACAAGAAAGAAAAAAGCCAAGGGAAAAACCATGCTCTCTGTTGGTGTAATTTCCTGCACTCTTTTCTCTAATCATAATAAAAAAGAAAAAATAAATTTTTAAAAAGGCTTTTACTGGAGAGTAAATTACTTAAAATCAAAATAAAGAGGTAATCAGTTGAGAGTTTTGAATTCTGAAACTTAAGGCTCTTTAGATTTTGGAAACAACTAGAGTGAGCAGCATAAAAGGAATTATGAATTGAGGGATTTCTCCAGCTGTGCCACCTCCCTCTGGCTAAGTAGCAAGTTGCCTGACATTTACAACCTGAAAACACAGCTGCTTTGCACAGAAGATTTGACAGGGAAGGTGGAAAAGCCTAAGGGTCCGACCATCTATCTATGGAGGAGGCCATGTATATAGCAGAAAACAACACTAATATTCACTATTTTTAAAAAGTGACCTAACTTAATCATAATTTATTTATGTTGTTAAAAACATACAAATGCTTTCCTACAACTGAAAAAATAAAATAGGCAAAGTCCAGAAACATAATGAATTTTAAGTTTTATAATTTTTAAAAAAATGCTTTTTTATTTCTTGGAGAACAATATATTGTCATAGAACAATAAATTTGTGGATAATTGGTACTTTAGGCAAAGATTATATTTAATTACTGGTAAATTTTCTTTACTATCCCTTGACTGATATCTTCCTGTACACTATTGGAAAAAGCAGTTACCACTACATATGAAAAATCACATTTGCTAAATATGTAGGTCTCCTGTATATTGGAGGGGAGATATTGGGTTTAATTTATTCAAAAAGATTCATTTCATAAACTGAATGAAATTTGCTGAGGGCATTTTAGTAATAAATAAATAAATAAATATTGGATTATAGTGTGTTTAATCTTCCCTTGACACAACATATTTATCTAACTCCTGTTCTATCTATCTCTTTGCTTATCTATAATTCCTAAGATGTCTTCCCTTCCTCACAGAAGTCTGGCTTCTGCTTTCACTGAAACTGCCCTTGTTAAAGTCCTTGACTTTCCAAAGCAAACTATGAAGGGCTGTTTTCAGTTCGACTCATTTACTTGAGGCACTTGACACTCTTGACCGCTCCTTCCTTAAAACTATCTTCAACCTCTGAGACAGCATGTGGTCCTGGTTTACATCTCTCTGACTCCTACTCTGCTTTTCTCTCTATTTTACTTCTCAGCTTATTCCTCAAATCTTCATATTTCTCAGAAGGAATTGGCATTAGCTACTTTTGCCGGCCCATTACCCCGTGTCCTTTCTTTTGTAATACTCCTCCCCAACCCTCAGTCCATGTGCTTCCGACGGGCTGACTTCAGGAGCGAGCAGGTGACCTAAGATGGGCCCACCACAGCATTGAATTCCCTCAGCCACAGCCATCAATCATTCATGGATGGACAAATTCGCCCAGGGCAGTGAATGCAAAACAGAATCAAGTTATATTTTGAACTGTGGGTTTCTAGGCTGGGGAAGGTGTACTGTATGTTACCAAGAGGAAAGACCCAGCTTGAAAACAGAGCCAGCAAAGGGAAAGTACCCCTGAGAGACAGAGAGAGACAATTTCTGGAGGTGAGTATGGGAGCCCTTGGGTACAGCTGTGTCTGAAAGCTGTATTAGGGCTTCTGCTTACCAACAGTTTGTTTCTTTCCTCCTTTCCTCTTTCCCTTCCTTCCTCCCTCTCCAGTCTCTCTCTTTCTTTTGCTTCAGTCTCAAAAATCACAACACTCTAACAAATATGTCTAGGTTCTACCTTTCACCATTTAGTTCTCAAATTCTATTTTGCTTATTTAAATATTCTCCTTAATTCCTAAAGATTTATTGCTTAATACTAATAATGCAAATTTTCTAATCCGTACGTTCGTGTACTCTATCATTTAAACTGTAGAAAAGTCCCATAGGGTACTCAACATTTGTTAGAAATGATCTGAGCTCAACAAGAAAGCTTACTTTCCTTTTGCCAGATTTTCTTTATTATTTCATATTGTTCCTCAAGATTCCTAGAAACCAAACACCATATTGGTCTCAGATCTATGAGAACAATTATTCTATCCTTAACGTATAGTCATTTTGTCTTTATTGATCCTGACTGTATTATCTTTGATATTTTCCAGAGATTTTAATGCTTTTCGATTTTACATTGACTAAATTTTATGCAGGCTGTGCATAGAACTTGAAATCTCCGAATAATTTACTAATTTTGGATTGATTTTGGGTGATAGGAGTTTTGTTTGCTTGCTTGTTTGTTTGTTTGTTTGTTTGTTGAGACGGAGTCTCGCTCTGTTGCCCAGGCTGGAGTACAGTGGCGCAATCTCGGCTCACTGCAAGCTCCGCCTTCCAGGTTCACGCCATTCTCCTGCCTCAGCCTCCCGAGTAGCGGGGACTACAGGCGCCCGCCACCACGCCCGGCTAATTTTTTGTATTTTTAGTAGAGACACCGTTTCACCATGTTAGCCAGGATGGTCTCGATCTCTTGACCTCATGATCCACCCGCCTCAGCATCCCAAAGTGCTGGGATTACAGGCGTGAGCCACCGCCCGGTCGGGTAACAGGAGTTTTTATAGAAACTGAATATCATGCACAAACATCATGTTGTCTTTTGGAAGATCTGGGTATCTGGTCCTCTTTGACATTTCATAGTCCTGGATTTCTGCCCTTTTTCTCTCTGTAGACTATATTCTTGCCACTAATCACAAAACATACAAGAATCCCATCCCAGACCATTATATTTCAACCAAGGATGATTAACGCTTATTGTATATTGCTAATCTTCAGTATACTGCAATCGATGTTCCTTTTACATAAAGTAAAACTTTTAAAAAAAGTAAATTAAAAAAATACAGCTTCCATGAGTTAGAGGGATGTTTCACAAATTAAATGGAATGCCCCATAAAGAAAAATTTGTGTTTTTCTCTATTGAGAGGAATAAATTATTAATAATACTAAGAGATGAAAGCAACTTATGGGGAAGTTAATGGAGCTGTGTTTGTTAAATAATTTTTTTTTTCAAATACAAGTGATTAAATCATAGGTTAATCTGTTCAGGAATCTAAAAAGAAATACTTTATATTTCTATAGTAAATAATAAAAATAAGGCAGAGAAAGTCAAATATCTAGAAATATGTATAAAAGAGTTTGAAAACCTTTTATATACCTAATATTAGTAGGTATTCATATTTCTTAAATTTTATACCTTTGTAAACTTTTTTTTTTTTGTACAAACAGGGACACATGTGTCAAACACAACTTGACTGCTTTACAAATAGGTATTCATCCATGTAAGCATCACCTAAGTCAACATAAAAAACATTGCCTCACTCTAGAAATCCTCATATGTTCCTTTCAAACCATCATTGTTTCTCTTCACCCTGTGAGAATAGCATCTTAAGTAGTATAGTAATAATTCACTTTTCCTCTTCAGGTAGATACGCATACCAAAGGATGAAGTTTAGATTTGCCTGGTTTTGAACCTTAAAAAAAAATACATTATACATATTTTTAAGCCTTGCTTCTTTAGCCCAACTTACATTTGTAAACTACAGTTATGTTGAGTGTGTCATAAACTATTTTTATTGTTCTATACTCTGATATTGTAATGGCAAAAACCACAATTAATGTATGCAGCCTACTGATGATGAGCATTTGAGCTTTTCAAACTATTAATGGTGCTTTTATGACTATTTACATACACGTACTTGGGTGGGCATGGACATGATTTTCTCTAGGGCACTTATCTAGGCTAGGTCATAGGGTATGCCTACCCACATGTTACGTATATTAAGGCCAAAGTGCTTTCCAAAGGGGTTGCACCATGGCATTATGTAATTTTAAAAATAAATATTTTATATTCGCTTCATAAATAAAATTACTACGAGTCTATGTAAGATATTTAAAAATACAGACTAGAGTTTTTATGCAGATGCTTTACTATAGTCCATCTAATCTTGAGGAATGATAGAAAGTTATCAGAAATGTGTAAGCAAATTTGTCCTGTAATTGGACATAACTTTAATGCCACATTAAATTAGTAAAGATCTGATGATGGGATCCTTATATCTTTGGAATGTACTTTTATCTGAAATATGCTTCTAAGAAAGATATAATTAATTATTTAGAGCATTTCACAATCTTTGTGGAATTTCCAAATGAGTTTAAATAGTCAATATTATCAGAATAATTAACATGATGAGTTCTGATTTCTGGTCACCTAAAGCTTGGCAGTTTAACTTATAATGCTTTATATACCTGTAGTTTTCACTATAATTCAGATGTTCATTTTATTTTTATTATAAAATTGCTTATTTTAACCCAGTGAACTGTCAATAAAAGTTGGAGTCAAGGAGGTATTTCAAGATGTATAAGGTCAAAGGTCTTCAGTTTAACATCTCCTTATTATTTTTACCTTGCCAAGTAAAATATAATATTTAATGAGTCTGTTAAAACTCTTTATGGCTTGAGAGCTGATTTAATTTGTATCAAATTCAATCATTTTATATATGGATGTGAGTGTCTGTATTGAACAAATGAAATTACTATTCAAAGTTTTGAGTTTACTTTTATGAAAGGAATATAGATTACTATCTTGAATGTTTTCTAATCTTAAATCAATTGACTCTTACACTACACTATGGTAGTATCACCTATAAGTGTCTGTTGTGAAACCTATGTCAAATTACTGTGCCTAAAGCAAGGTGTATTTTGTTATTCAGAACTTAATGACAGTCAGAAATAAGAAGTTTAAAATGCTCCCTCCTGCCTAGACACCATGTGAAGCGTGGGCACTTGTTGTGGCACCATGTCACTATCTTGTCAGTAAGAACAAATGTTTGGTACTAACTGTCTCTTCATCAGAAAATAATATATGTTTTAAAAAATTGTAATCAAAAATTTGCTAGATTTTTTAGGGGAAAATCAGGACAAACTTCTTGCATTATTTTCTAATCAATTATCAGGATGACTCCAAATTTCTTAGAATTGTTTCAGTTTTTGTCCAGCATGATTCTCTACTATTTAAAATCTTGCTTCTCTTATGTATAATAACTCTTCAAGCATCTATCCTTAGTCATTTTTATTTCTTTTTTATATGTTCTCTTTCCCAATAAGGAGTTTATTTATCTACCTTCAATTACTATAGTTACAGAAGTAATTGGGAAATTTTATATAAAATATGTCTCTCTTTGAGTACTGTGTTTGTCCTTTTAGACTTGTTGCTAGATATTCTACCAACTCCGTAAACTCAGCATGTTAGATCAGAAAACTTCTGGCTAGAATGTAATAACAAAGACTCTTCTGCCTTAAGCAACATAGTCCAGATATGAAATAACGCTTTTCAGGCATTGGATAACAAGTAGTGTAGGACTATGATCCCAAAAAGAATTAAAACAAAAGAGCCATTCAATTATACCAAATAATTGCCTATAGGGCATTTCTAGGCAAGCAAAGGGAGACAATCCAGCCATCTTGTGAAATTGAGGAAACAGAAATCAAACTGTGGAGAGTGAAGGAAACTAGATTTTACAGGGCAGAGTAAGAGAGAGGAGTAAGCTGCAGAGAGAGATAATTCTGTAGATCTTCAAGGGACTCTACCAAGCCTTTCACTGAGCAATTGTCTGTGTATTCATGAGAGAAAACTACCAGAGATCAGGGAAACAACCAAAAGAAAGAAGCAAGTAAAAATATTCCTGGAACTGTCAGAGGGCTGGGAATAATTCATGTTTCTACCTGTGACAGTAGAAAGGCCCCATAATACATAGGACCGACATCATCTAGCACCTTCAGAAGAATATTTCTTTAGTTTGGAAGCTAAATTAGCTTGGTCTAAAGGATTGTCAGGAACTGAGAAAGCTTTAAAAAAAAAGATTGATAACAATGTAAATAACATCAATTTATGTCATTGAGTTCCCAGGAAAGGGATGGCAAAAGTAGAGAACAAAATACTTGAAGACATATTGCGAGAATTTTCCCAAGTTGCTGAAAACTATAAACCTACAGAACAAAGGATAAAAAGAACCACGAGAAAATAAAAATAAAGAAATCACTCCAAGAAGTATTGTAATGGAACTACTGAAGGTCAGTGACAAAGAGAAAATATTGAGGTAGATGAAGAAAAAGGAAATATTGCATGCAGATAAAAAGAAAGAAAGGAGGCTTCTCACCAGAAACTATTCAAACCAGAAGACAATGGAAAGACATCTTTATAGTACTGTGGGAAAAAAAAAATCCATCATTCAAGAATTTTTTCCCATTGAAAATATAAAATTTATACAATAAAATATAGGAGAAAAATATGTGTCCTTGAATTTACCAGTTTCTTTCTTTGTTTGTTTCTTTTTTTTTTTTTTTTTTGAGGCAGAGTCTCACCCTGTTGCCCAGGCTGGAGTGCAATGGTGTGATCTTGGTTCACTGCAACCTCTGCCTCCTGGGTTCAAGCTCAGCCTCAGCCTCCAGAGTATCTGGGATTACAGGTGCATGCCACCACGCCTAGCTAATTTTTTGTATCTTTGATAGAGATGGGGTTTCACCATGTTAGCCAGACTGGTCTCGAACTCCTGACCTCGTGATCCGCCCGCCTTGGCCTCCCAAAGTGCTGGAATTACAGGCGTGAGCCACCACGCCCACCGAATTTACCAGTTTCTTAGATTGAAATCTAAAAACTCCAAACAAAAAAAAAAAATAATAAATGGATTCATTAAAAAAAAAAAGTCAGTCTTTGAAAGACTAGTAACAAAATAAAAGGCAAGCCAAACTAAGGCTGGGTGAAATATTTGTAATACATGTATGTAATAAAGGACATAGCACTAGTATACAGGATCTTATAACTCAATGTAAACCCAAGAAACTTAACTAAACATGTTTTTAAAGTCATTAATTTCACTAATGAAGTTATATGAATGGAAAATAAACACATGAAAAGATGATCAACATCATTAGTCATTGGAGAAATGCAAAACAAAACCACAGAAAATCACAGTAAGATAGGACTACATACTCATTAAAACAGCTAAAATTAACTTCTGTTATAGTACCAGATTTTACTGAAGATAAACAGCAACTCTCACTCATTGCTGGTGGAAAGGAAAAAAAATGCCAGTCACTTTGAAAACCAATTAGATTATTTTAAAGTTAAACATGCACTGTCATATAATCCAACAATTCCTCTCTAGGTATTTACCCAATGAATATATATATAAATATATTTACATGCAAACAATACATAAATATATTTACACACACTATATATATATATTTAAATATATTTACACTCTATATAAATACATTTACACAAAATATTTGAGTATTTATGCAGCTGTATAAATAATAGCAACATCTGGACATAAAGTTTGACAAATGAAAATTAAAACACAACATACCAAGACCTATGGGAAATAGCAAAAGCAGTGCTAAGAGGAGAGTTTATAGCAGTAAGTACCTACATCAAACAAATATACAGATTTCAAATAATCTAATGATGCATTTCAAGAAACTAGAAATGCAAGAACAAACCAAACTCAAAATTGGCAGAAGGAAAGAAATGATAAAGATCATAGCAGAGCTAAATGAAATAGTGACTAAAAAATAATACAAAGGATCAATGAAACACAAAGTTGGTCTCTGAAAACAATAAAATCAATGAAACACTTTCCAGACAGAAGAGTGAAGACCCAAATAAACAAAATCAGAAATGAAAAAGGAGACATTACAATGATATTGCAGAAATACAAAAGAATATCAAAGACTTTTATGAGCAACTATACACTAAGAAATTGGAACACATAGAGGAAATGGATAAATTCCTGGACACATACAACCTACCAAGATTGAATCAGGAAGAAATAGAAAACCAGAACAGACCAATAACAAGTAATGACATTGAATCAGTAATAAGAAGTCTCCAAACAAAGAAAAGCCCAGGACCACATTGCTTCACTGCTGAATTGACTTAACTTTCAGAGACTCTGCATCCCATGTTTATTGCAGCACTATTCACAATAGCAAAGATACAGAATTGACTAAATGTCCATCAATGGATGAATGGATAAAGAAAATGTTGTGTGTCACACACAATGACACACAATGAAATACTATTATGATGTAAAAAATGAATGAAATAATGTCATTTGCAGCAACATGGATGGAACAGAGGTGATATTAAGTGAAATAATCCAGGCACAGAAACACAGATACTGCATATTTTCACTCATATGTCAGGGCTAAAAATGCTGATCTCAGGGAGGTAGAGAACATGCAATGATGGATACCAGAGGCCAGGGAAGAATATGGGTGGGAGGTGGATGATGAGGAGGGGTTGGTGAATGAGTACAAACATACAGTTAGATAGAATTTGTAAGTTTTAATGTCTGATAGTAGAGTAAGCTAACTATACTAAGCAATGATATTTTGTATATTTCAAAATAACTAGAATTTGAACTGTTCCCAACACACAGAAATGATAAATGTTCAAAGTGATGTACACCCCAAATGCCTTGACTTCATCCTTATGCATTCTATGCTGCAACAAATCCTCATATGTACCCCCAAAATGTGTAAATATGTAAATTACATATCAATTTTAACTAAATGAGAAATATGATATATCCATTCTGTAGAATGCTACTCAGCACTAAAAAGGACTGCCTTACTTACGGGTTCATATGACAACATGGATGAGTTACAAAGATAGTGTCATTTCAGCTCTCAGAAATGACATGGACAAGGAAATTGAGGGCTGAGAGAATATGTGGCATATAATAAGTACCTATTAGTAATTGGATAAGTGATTATTACTCTTGTGTATAAGTGATTTTGTTTGAATGTGAGACACAAGATACTGGCAGCTCATGATATGATTCAGTGTGATTTTCTTGCAATGTTCGAAAGAATTTTGTTGGGGCAATGTTTGAAAGAATTTTGTTGGGGTGGCAAAAATCTTACAGAATTATTGTAATGATTACATGGTGCATCCGTGTTCTAGCATGTATCGGTATCTCATTGTTTTTATGGCTGAATAGTACTCCTCGCACAGATTATGTTATATTTTGTTTATCAATTCAGTGGGTGATAGGCATTTGGGTTGTTTCTAGCTTTGGGGTATTGAAAATAGTGCTGCAATGAATATTTGTGCTCAAGGTTTTGTTTGAACACCTATTTTTAATTCTCTTGGGAGCAGGATTGCTGGGTGATATAATTCTATATTTAACTTACTGAGAACAGTTCTTTTTAAATAAGATGTGTTCTTTGTTGTATTGATAGTATGGCTGATGAGGTTACAGAAGATTGTAAGTATAGATACATGTAGATATTAATGCCTTGATATAAATCTATTACTGATATATACACACATATATTATATATATATTTAGAAAAAACTTGTTAACATTAAAATGTTTTACCAATATTATTAGTGCTAATAAGCAACCACCATATGACAGATTCCATATTAAATGGTAAAAATATGAGCATAAATAAGGACAAGTCTCATATATGGTTCTCGACCTTAAAAAAATTAAAATCTAAATGAATATAAACCATATGCAGGAGAGCTAGGAAGAAACACAAGGTGAATGTGACTCAGAGTGAGGATGGGTAAAGAACTCTTATTTGTATGGACTTGAGAGAGAAGGTCTGTGTGGTGGATAAAATCTGCAGAGATTTATATGAGGGTAGAAACTGTACACTTAAAACATTCAGTTACCAAATTAACAAAAACATAAAGTCTGGGACAAATGAAAGCTGGATTGTTTCAGAGCCTAGAAGTAAATTCTAGCAATCTGACCTTACCAAACCAAGACCCAAACTGGCGTCCTGCCCAATCCTCTCTGAAATTTGGAACTGGACTTTCTGCAGGCTGGCTTTCAACATGGAATCAAGCTTTGGTTAGGTCCCCACCCAGCTGGAAGCACAGATGTAACAGTGGTCAAAAGATTCTTCTGAGACTGACACATCAGATTTCTTTGAGAATTCAGGAAAGCTACATGAAAAGGCTTTCCAATTCATTGCATCTTTGAGTCTGTGCTGCTGCTTCCCATGACATGGGAGAGAATGGATTTTGTGATTCAGATCATTTTGCAGGCTAAGAGTTTGAAACCCATAACAGATGGATGATTAGTGATTTATTTCAGGAAGGCTTCCATTTCAATCTTGCATCCCAGTCTTCCATCCCAGAAGTACACATTAGCACCCTTGGAGCAATCATTGAAAAAAGTACTTACAACTGTCAAATTATCTTCATAATAACATGGCACAGTTTATATGACTGGTTGCTTATGAACTACTGAAACCTCTCTTAAAATGGCCATTGTGGACTATTTAAAAATTTTGGTTTTACCACATTCATTCCTTCAGTTGTTTAATAGCCATCAAATAATAGTGAAGAATTCAGTGAAGACAGTGCAGAAGAAGTTTACAGAGATGCTCAACATCCTTGGCTTTTTTATGGATACAAACTCTGGCATGTGTATATAATAAGTGAGCAGCTTATAGCATTTTGCATATAGATAGCAGTGCTATTACTTGTTTATATATTTCTTTCTCTTGATAGTGTGAGGGCTCCTTAAGGAGGGCATATGTTTTCTTCATTTCTTTAGCCCAAACAGTCCATAGATATCAAACCTGCTGGCAATTTATAAATGATTATTGGTGAGTGAATGAGCATACAATGTATAGATTTCTTAATGGTTCCAGTGATGACTTTCAGGTAGGTCTCTAGCTGAATTTTTCTTTTCATTGTCAAACAATATGCCGGCCAAAATGCATTCATTACTGCCACATTGATATTAGCTTTTGCTCAGAAAGATCAAAGAAATGATTTGATTACCTCTTATTGCACCATGGCATTATCTGTTTAATTTTGATGCTCTGGGTTTTATTTTTGTTTTCTTTTGGGTATTTTCTTTTCAGGCTGTTTTAAATTTTTTCTGTAATTTTTCTATTTTTCAAATGCATTATTCAGAGCTGTGTTTCCCTTGAATAAAAACAATATTTGAAATGACCTTCAGATTTTACAAAAATGGTATGCTTCAAATAACACTTAATTTCATATAATAATTTGTTGTATCTAATTTTCACTTATTTGTTCTTATAAATCCACCTTAATATTAATGATGATCTCTCAGTCACTAATAATATAAATTCATGAAGACCATTGAGCAAAGGATATTTGTCTTAATAATGATGTATACGTGCATGTTTTTCTGTGGGACAAGAGAGTGGAATAGAAGGAAGAAGGCAAACAAATTCAGAGTATTTTTCTTACTGTATGTTGAAAAAATTTAAAATATACTTTTCCATATTTATCTCCTTTTTACTGTATCCTTACTTAAGATGTAATTCAATTCATAATAATTATATGATGTGTCAAGCTCATTTAAAAAATATGTTAAAATTGCTAAATAAACAGTGGCATAGGCACACAAAGACACACAAACATACTCACACACACTAGCAATAAAACCATAGCTTAAGCCAGCAGGATATTTAAAAATAGGGGCAAAAGAGAGTGCTCTTATAAGTTGCTCATCCTCTCATACATCGTGTTGCTATATTCGTTGTTTTGTCTAGTAAGGAAGATCATTCTGACAGCTATAACTTGTTAATGTTTCTCTATAAAATATGATGAGAAATATTATAGATATTCTTATGATCTGTTTGACATTTTAAGAGTATTATTTATACAATATTGAAAGAATGAGGACACAGTAGTCACATGTTCTTTATTCTTCAAAATTAGTCATCCTCAATTACCTCCATGGCAGCATTTCTCATTTGGCTTTGTTTAGAGAGGTAAAATCTCTCACGCCCTTACATTCAAGTGCCTAAAAGCACAATTGGGAAATAGGATGCTAAGAGACATGAGGTGATATTTATTGACAAAGGGGATGACAGTTTTATACAATGGTTAATACTGACATAATACATAAATTTTTTAAAATTATACACCAGTTAGAAACAAGTGCTCCATTTTAACTTCAGGTTCTAAATAACATTGTAAGACACCACGTTTTATTTACTAACTAAGCTTTGCCCAGGAATAACGCTTTTTAAAGTTCACTGAGTAAAGGGAAAAAATGTAATATCTATTACTAGCCTAATGCCAGTTCATAAATAGGGTAGAGAAAAGTGGAAACCTCCCTGGAATCATTGTACATAGTCATGCAGGACCACTTTTAGTTATCTATGTCCTTCTTATTTTTACTTTTGCCTCTATCATATACCATGTAATTGTCTTTAAAGTGTGACTACAACTCTAGCTTCCATTTTACTCACAGCTGCTAAAGACAGCTATTTATTTATTCAGTGCGTATCTGCTGTGTGCTTACTGTGCAGTCCCGGGACTGCAATACAACTGTAAAGATGAGGAACAAGTTCCCACCGTTATGAATTTTACAGACTAAATGTAGACAGCGAAATGTCCAAATAAAATGCAAGATATAAGTGGCAGCATCTTTAAATATGGAAAAGTAGATTTGCTTTTCTTTTCCTTTGAGTGGCTAATTTGCACACCTGCAGCCTCTGGACTGACACACTCTGCCTCGTGAACTTCTGCCCGTCTCAGGAGTAATTTACTCTGTGGATTTGTTCCCCCAGAGAGACGAGACTCAAACACATACTGATTCATTTTTGAAAACTTTGACTGAAGATGTAAACGATTCTAGCTTTATTTGCTTTTAGGTAGAAGTTTAATATTTCAGAGGCTACAGATTAGAGAAAATCAAGTTTTAAACGATCCAAAAGTGTTAAACTTGATCAAGTGCTCTGAAAAGACAGCATAACACATGAACTTCATTGAAAGGTTGTGAACCTATTACCATCTTCAATTTGAATGTTAGTTTGGTGTTTGATAGTGTGAAAAAACAAATGTCCAGTGACTTAAGCTCAGAACAGCACTGCTGTGTCACCAAAACTCTATCCCAGAGGGGAGGGAGCTTTGAAAACAATGTACACATACATTAAAAACAGATTTATTTTTTTAAAAGCAGCCAATGTGGTGAAAATATTTTTTTTCTTTCACAATGTATATAGTTTTAAACTCTATTTACCCATATACTTATTACATCCATTAGAGTTTAATGTGGAGAAACAAGCTGAGCAGAAATGTGAGCTCACGTTAAAGGGCCTGGAAGTGTTACAGAAAAACATTTTCAGAAGGGATTTCCTTTCTATGTCATTAAGAACAGAAAGGCTGGACCACTTCAGTGTATAAAGAGTTAAATTGTGTGTGGGGGAGGGGTGTGTGTGTACACACAGGAGAAGGAGGTACAGGTTAGGAGAAATGGTAATGCCAATTCCTCAAAAACATTTTCACTTTTGCTATAAGATTCGCTATTTGAATATGCTTGTTTAACTACTCCTAAGAGAAATCTTGTTCCTAACCAAGAAAGGTAATGTCATATCAACATAAATATTCAGCCATACATAGAATTTGCTGATCTGGTAATCAGGGACAAGGATACTGGTTAGATATAACAGTATCTGTTACTGTTACTATTTCTGTTACTGTCTTCCTAAGACATATCAAGATAATTGCTTTTTGTGCTTCAGTAAGATTCTATGCATACTATTTCACTTGCTGCATTATTTTATAACTACATATTTTTGTATGTATCTCTCTGCTTAAGGACAGGGAATCTTATTTGTGTTTCCATTCCCGGCCCGTACCTCAGTGCTTGGCTAAAGATTAGCACACAAACAATGTGGACTCAAAAATGGGTATGCTTACTGGCAGGTCAGGCTCCTCTATGACTCTTCAAGTTGTAAGATTCTTTCTTTAAAAACATTTAAAATAGAATTTGCATATTAAAGGACAGGAATTAATTATTAATTATTTGCCTAAGAAACAGCATTTGGATGGCATGAATCTAATGGAATCAGTAATATCCATGCATCTGTTGAAAACCAATCAACCCGTTTAAGATTTCAAATTACGATCTGAAATGTGAAAATGATTGGTAGATTATCAAACTCACTGGGCTGGACAGAGCAATATGTCAGCACCTTTGCCCACGTCCACAGCCTGAAAGCTTTTGAAGGTAAGCAGCGCCGTCATCATTTTGGCATTCTATTTTAGTCTAAGCCTACATCAGAAGCCTGCCAGGGCTCAGTGCTGATAACAAAGCACTATCGCTTTTCAAAGTGACAGAGCACAGTGACATATCAACACTAAGACTTAAACGAAAAGCCCCTTCTCATTTAACTGGGAATCTGCTGAAGCTGTATTCAGCCCAGCACTCGTTTTCAATTAAAACTTTCTTGTCGCAAGAGAAAAGTTTGGCATATCCTTTTCAACGACAGTTATGGAAGTGAGTGGAAAGGGTAGTGTAGTGTAGAGTATAGATGGTCCAGGAACAGCTAAGTACGTATCAGCCTTTTTCATCTACTAATTGCAGTACCTATGGTTCAACAAAAGTTTTACCTAATGACTCATGTTGCTGAAAGTCCTTCCTCTCAATACCACTGCTTTTCCAGGAATGCTACTCACACACAGCATATAAGGCAGTAAAGGGGACATGATGCATCAATAACTGAGTACCTGCTATGTGCCAGCTACTATGAGTAAGAAGGTGGAGGGTTCTTACCTGTGCTATTTCATGAAATTCCTACCAAGGTGTATGATATAAATAAGATTCTTTTCATTTTTTTTATTTTTATAGAAAAAAACGAAGTTTTAACGAACTTCTGTACAGTCATACATCTTTTAAGTAGTGGAGTTGGAATATGAATGTGCATCCATGTCGTTAGTCCAGTTGCTATAATTTTAAAGTGGAGAATTATGGGTAACATCAACACAGTGACATCATCATACTTTTCTTTTTAAATGTTATGGCACATTCAACAGCACATTTTCTTATCGTGGAGTTCCTGAAAAAGACTTAGTCCATAGTCTAATTTTGCTCTTAAAACCAGTTCAGGACAATTCAGCAAAACAAATTTCAAATACAAATCTATCACACATCTTAGAATCTGTTTTTGAGAACTTTATTTGGGTGCCTGTTCTTAGACTAAGGCATAGTTCAATAGAATTCCCAGTGAATTTACTGTAAAGATATGGCTAAGGGTGTTGTTTAGATATCACCTAATAGCTTTATGAAGCCCTAAGACAGATGTTTCTCACAAACCTCACTGTTAAAAATAATTCTGCAGCTTAAAAGTAACTGATATTAAAAACTTTGTATCTCACAGATACCACCCATTATATAACTAAGCTTTTACCCTTTGTGTTCAGTCACTAATAATCTCAGGGCCAAATTCATTTACATTTTAATGAGCTTATTAATTTTTTTCATATTTAAATTTATACTTAGATTGGTTTTAATATTTTTCTTTCTCTGTACCTTTGTATCCTTATCCTCATTCGTTCTGTGTTACTATGCATATTTTTACAATCTCCCCTACTACTTTTGGGAGTGGGATAAACTATTAGTAACAAACTAAACAGAATCTGGACTGGAGTCAGACAAAGGGTGTAGGCCAGACTTCTTGGTACACTTTCTATACCACTAGATCAAATCAGAGCATCTTTCAAAGTATTTCCTCATATTTCGCAGTGGTGTTTCAAATCACTAAACTGAAACATTGTGTTTTTCTTTAGATTGCTAGCAGTGAAAGAATAGACTTTCTTACTTCAGGGGATAAAAACCCTCACTACTGTTGATAAAAAATAATTTTAGTCACACACACAAGCACAGCACCAGTTAAAATTTTCAAAGGAGTATTTCCCTTTAGGGATAAAAACAAGTTTCTGGCAATTTGTCTCCGAGACAACCATTAAGCATAAAAAGTGTTTTACATATATATGTATATATTTAGTAGAGCTTATGTTCCTCCCTTAGAACACATTTTTCTTCAAAAAGTATTTTAGTGGATTGGCTCTACATCAAATCTCTGTCGTCTTTAAAATGGCATGAGTCAGTCTGCCATCCTTTGATTGATCAAAACTTGGACCAAAGAAGGGCAGCCATATGGCACCCAACTCAGTAATGCTATGCTGCATACTGCAGAATCTGGAATCAGCAAATGCCAAGAAGCAGAATGCATAGTGATGTATGAATTAATGCAGGCAGACAGGAATAAAAATATTGATGCATTTTTAAATCGATATTGATACATATACGTCAATGAATAGTTACCAAATTATTTTTACTTCCCAACAAATGCTCTAATGAAAGACTATGAAAAAGGCTTTGGTTCAAAAAAGGAGTCAAGTAGAACTGAACCTACATTCAAATTCATACTTTTGTTTTGGTTTAATTTTTTCTTTTGGAATATAATAACACTGGCATAAGAGATATCATATGGATATGTAATTCAATCATTTAGTAAATTATTTTCTGAGTACTTCCTAGTGCCAGACACTTTTCTAGGCTCTGATGATAGAGCAGTAAGTAAGACAGCCATGTTCCTGTTATGGAGCTTAGGTTCAAGTATGCCAGACAAAAATTAAAAAAGAGAGTTCTGCACAAGATAATTTCACATAAGTACTATGAAGAAAACAGTACAGGGTGATGTAATAAAATAATAGCAATGGGTAAAGAAGGAGTTACTTAAAACAGGGTGCTCACTGGGGACATATTTTTTGAGACCTAAATGAAAAGGAGTCAATTATAAGATATGCAGATGGGATGCACACTGAAGAATCAGTGGCAGGTACCTAGGCCCTTAAGTGGGAATAAACTTAGAATGTTGAATCAGTAGGAAAGCTTCTGTCACTTGAGCATAGGGAATGAAAGGGGGTAGGTGGGAGTTGAAAAAAGGAAAGACATCGTGATAATATGGGAGGCTTCTGTTGAAAATGACTTTTGTCTCTTGGACAAGCAAGACTTAACTTACCTGGACCTTACATTTCTCATAAGTCATGAGCTGATCTTTGGGGGTCCAACTCTAAAATATTCTGATAAAATAATTCTTCTTAGAGTCCTAGTTAGGCTTTGATTATTCCTTCACATTAACTATGTGTGGCCTTTAGAAACACGCTGTCTTTAACTAAAAGTGTTCATCCAGTTAACTGTATTAGCAATGTACTGCATTTTAAAAGTGATGGATAAAATATACAAGTAAAATAAGTTCTCCCAAAGTGCTCACTGCCATTAACTGGGAGTGTTGTCCATTTGTGGAAACTGCATTAAACTCTTTTAGGATGTTAGAATGCTACTCACTAAATTGCTGCTTTGGTTCAGCATATAGGAAAAGCATTTCCAGTTAGCTAAACTCTAAGCACATAAAGGTGAATATATAAAAGCAATAAACATTTAGGAATCCATTTTTTAAATCAATGGTTTTCAGCCCTTTTCCAAATGTGATACCATTCTCACATCCATTTCCATTAGTAATATTCCTTAATGGGGGAATAGAAATTACCCTACACGGATATTTGAATAATTTTATCCCATTTTGAGATGAAATTCTTCCTAGGGAAGTATACTCCCCCTTTCACTCTTCCCCTAGAGTTATTCTTTTAAAGTTATTAATTATACAAAGAAATCCACTAAGTTACTAAATGCCTTCTTACCTACTACTGCATATGTAGCTTTGCATTCATAACTTTGGCATCTTAGTACTCCATCACTTGGCTAATATCTGCCACCCAGGGCTTTGCAATATGCTGGTGTGACAGGATCAGATGAGATATGTTACTCACACAGTCATTCATTTAACACATTTTACTACGTAAACACTGAGTATAGGGTACTATTCTTTGTGCTAGGGATAGAACTGAGGTAAAGAGACATGATTTCTACCTCCTGGAGATCATGGTGTAGTATGTGTGTGTATGCCAGATATAAGGTGAGATGGTTACAGACAGCAGCCATCTTTACAGACAGATTACAGTGATGTACAATGTACAGTAATGAAGTCTATGATGGAGAAAGCACTGAGTGAAATAGGAGTACCAAAAATGCTACCTAGCACAGGTTGAAACAGCCAGAGACTATCCAGAACAAGGGACATTTAGACAGAAGTTGAGAAAAGAAGTGGCAATAACACATATAAAGTGGGACTTGAAAGAGGAGACTTCCAGATGGATTATTTTTTAAAATCCTGTGGTAAAAAATATGTTTTATTAGTTTATTAATATTAGGTTATATTACTGCATTTGTCGATTTGGTGACAGGAAGTTGAGATAAAATCTCCTCTTTTGGTTTCTACTTCCTCTGTGCCACCAGTAAATGAAATCATCTACTTAAAGGGAAAAGTTATGGGCCCTGAAGTATTAAGTATAGGTGAGAAAGTATGAAATATAAGTAGTGACATTGGTTCCACTTACCGCTGGGATGCAAAACGTTGCCATAAATTTTTGTTCCTATCCTAATACTAAGAACAATAGATAAGCTAAAAGACTGTAGATTTCTTTTTTATTTTTAACTTATCAGATAGCTGAAGATATTAAAAAAACAACTAAAAAGGACTAAATAGAAAACAAATACCTCGTTCTAGGAGCAACTATATCTGTAGTTACTTTCATACCTTGCTGAGTGACAGGAAGAGGAGAAATACACGGTAGACCTCAAGAAATAACGAAAAAATTACTATGGTGGCTCACTATGAACCAACTTTCCTAGGCTAGGAAGTTCCTTGAACTTTGGTCCAGGCAAAGTTAGAAGTGTTATATAAGTGGAGCCTTGAAAAGCACTTTTAAATTAGGGCTTATCTTTTTGGAACACTCCCTACAGGACTTCAGTTGCCATGATATAAGGAAATTGAGGTTATACTACTAGACTGAGAGGTCATATGGAGGCGCTCTGGAAGATGAAACACCATGTGAATATAGCAGTCACATGGAGAAGAATATGAAGGCCCCAGAAATAGGAGAGACGCCATCTTGGAACTTCCAGCCCAACCCAGCTACAACCATGTGAGAAACCTCAACAAATATCATGTAGAGCAGAAATGCCTGAACAACCAGAATCTGAGGAATGCAAATGTTTAAGCCACTGGTTTCATAGATATCTGATCTGGTATATCAGTTTAACCTTTAACAACGTTTTAATTATACATATGACATGCATGATGAATTAGAATCACAAGGAGGCTTAGCTATAGAACAAGCATGAATCCAGCCACAAACATTTCCCCAAAGGCATTTACCAAGTGCATAAAGTGGTATGCTGATGGCTAGGACAGAATAGAAGAGCTAAGAATGTTTCCACTGAGGCACGCAGAGAATATTTCCAGAGTAAGTCAGTGGTCTGGCTGAAGAGTGGCAGCAGGGCAGGAATGGTGAGGTAATAACTATGGTGTATTTTGGACTTTCACTGAGTAACTATTGAATGTTGGGTGGGGAAGAGAGGTATCTAAAAGAAGAAAAGTCTAAGATAATGACTCAAGATTCTAGAGAAAGAAGTTAGCAGAATAAGAGTAAAGTAAACCCAGAATAAGGCAATATTCAAGATAAGAGGAGAGGTCAACAAAATAGAAAAGAGACAACACAGTAGAGAAAACTAAAGTGAAAAATTGGTTCTTTGAAAAGATCAAGAAAAATGACAAACCCTGAGTTACTCTAATCAAGAAAAAGGAGATACTTACAGAAAAAAACGAAAAAAGAGAAGAACACAATCTACTGCTATCAGGGAAGAAAGATTATCGCAACAAACCCTGGAGACAGTATAAGAACAATTAGAGAATATCTTGAGCAACTTTATGCCAATAAATTGGGTAATTTAGGTGACAAACAGGTATCTTAAAAAATAAACATTGATTCCTGTCTCACTTAATGCCAAAAAAGATCATGGACCTGTACGAAAAATTAAGAATATATAGGAGAATATCTTCAAGCTTTGAAGGAGTCCAATATTTCTTATACAGGACACAAAAGCTCTTACCTTTAAATAAAAAACACTAACAATAAAAAAGTTATATTGAATTTCATCAAAATTAACAATGCCAAATCATCAAAAGATATCATTAAAAAGATGAATAAGCAAGTCAAGCTACAGACTGGAAAAAAATATCAGCAGTATTTATATCTAACATAGGTCTTATATACAAAATATATAAAGAACTTGACAAATCAATAATATAAACACAAATGACCCAATTAAATCTGAGAGAAAAAGAATAGGCACATCCTAAAAGAGATATATGAATGGTCACCAATCAAGTGAAAACGGTACTCAACATCATTAGTCATTACAGAGATGCAAATTAAACCACAATGAGATGACATTTCAGTTTACTAAAATGCTTAAAATCAACAATACAATTCCTAGTGTTAACAACCATGAGGAGCAACTGGAACTCTTACAAAATTCTAAGGGTTTTGTGCTGCAGGAGCATGAAATTTAATAATTATTTTAGAGAACTGCTTGCCACTTCGTTATAAAGCTAAACATAACCCTACTCAGCGTTTTCTAGCAATTCCAGTAATTCTCTAACAGATATTTACCTGAGATACATGAAAACGTATGTCCACAAAAATCTTGTGTGAGAATAATCATACCAATTGAAAACAATGCAAGTGCTCATATACATGGAAATAAACAAATTGTGGTATATTCATACAACGAAATACCGCTTAGCCATAAAAAGGAATGGGACTACTAATAAAACAACATTAATGAGACTCAAAAACATTTTGTTGAGCAAAATAAAACATACATGAAAGAATGCATATTTTAAGATTCCATTTACATGAATTTTAAGAATAGACATAACAAATTATGGGGATGCTATTCAGAAAATGTTGCCACTGGTGGATGTTAGAGTTGTAGAATTGATTAGAAATTTGCACAAGGCTACTTTCCAGAGGGATGCAAATGTTCTATAATTTGCTTCATTTGTAATTCCAAAGGTATAAGGTATAAACAATTGCTAAATTCTCTGGGCTTCACATTATATCAATATCATGTATCACTTAATATAATTGTTTTTATTTTATGTAAATTATATCATAATAAAGATTAGGTAAATTTCAAAATTTTAATTGACTTAAGATTTACTAAGTTTTCCAAGGTAGGGTAGATTTAATGATAGATTTTTTGGTGATGGATAATGCAGGTACAAATAACTTGCTGAGAATTATGCAAATCTCAGAGCCCATTTTATGTCACAGATAAGCCTAGGATCAAGGCCATCAACCTTGATTGTTACTGAAAACAAACAACAAAAACAAAAACAAATCAAAGAACAAATGAATTTTCGTTCTAGGCTACTTCTTTATAATCTAGTCTATACTATAGTGTTGCACACTTGATTTTTCTAAAAGGTTATTAAAACATGAAAATAACTGCTTTTGGGAAATCAAAACAATACGTGCTTAACTATTGTTAAAACAATTTGTGTTTATTAAACGTATATTAGAAGCTACCATTTTCCAGAACTTTTAATACAAATTTTGCTTTGAGTCCAAATTTTATCAGGTAACTGTCAGATTAGAATCCCTCCACCTTCAATTTTGTAAGCTATTCCAAATTTCATAAAACCTGACTTAATCTCTTCTCTTGTAGAAAATGCATCTAAGCTATTGCCCATATCTCTGTGATACACTTCAAAATAACCTTGGTTTGAATTAAACTTAAGGATAAATGGTGAGCATTAGGAAGCCTGTTTAATACCAAACTATTTTCTATAAAACAGTACTTTTATTTATATCCGTGGATTTTACCATTTCTCCCTAAAAATTGTACTATAAGAACCAAATGTGAAAAGCAAGTATTAACCATTTGTAATATTAATTTCTGCGACATTTTAATTAATTGAATTAAAAGCTTATTTTTAGGTTTCCTTATCAGAAAATATCATTTAATCAATGAAGGTTCCCAAAATAATTACTTTGTATAAATATTTTAAGTCCGACTTCATTTTGATTTTTTAGGTACATATGACACACATTTCTTAACCTTTTTAAGGTTTAGATTTAATTAAGATATATTTATTTCAAAATAATCTCACTTGAGGGCCTATATACTTAATGCAATGATGCTAAAAGCAGTTTGAGAACATCTCTCGACTGTGTCTTCAAATGTATTCTGAACCACAAAGAACATCAGTCACCTGACCTTATAAAAACATTTTAACCAAAAATATTTTAATATCTACATGCACTTTTTGCTTTCATACAAATTAAAGTCATACAGCCATTTTTCTAGGCTCACAAAATTTTCCTTGGATCATAAAAAGATAGATATTTTGAGAAAACACTAATAGGTCTAAGCTTTATGTATTTTATTATAATAATTTTATTTTATACTTTTGTTTTAGATTTGGTATTCTGCTTTAGAATTTTATTATAGTTCAACTATAATAGTGAATTAAAAAGTAGGAAATCTGAGCAAATTCTAGCCGATAGCCCACATTTCTAGTTGGGATGGGTTTCTGACTATACCTGAATATGTGTGGAGGTTTAAGCTAATCTAAATCTCATCTTGTTGTTCTTGATTATTTTTATTTTTTAGAGGAGTTTTACATTCACAGCAAAATTGAGAGGAAAGTATAGAGATTTCAAATATACTTCTTGTCCCACATATGGATAAGGTTGCCCCCATTACCAACATCCCCCACCAAAATAGTACACTTGTTAAAATTGCTGAACCTATGTTAACATCATTAACACCCAGATTCCTTTGTTTACCTTAGGGTTCACTCTATGCATGAGTTCAAACTCATTCTATGGGTTTAGACAAATGTATAACGACACACACTTGCCACTGTAGCATCATACAACATAGTTCCACTGTGCTAAAAATCCTCTGTGCTGTGCCTATTCATCCCTCCCTTTCTCTAACCCCTGACAACTACTGATATTTTTAATGTCTCCACAGTTTCGTCTTTTCTAGAATGTCATATAGTTTGAATCATACAATATGTAGCCTTTTCAGATTGGCTCTTTTCACATAGTAATATGCATTTAAGATTCCTCCATGTTTTTAAAATTCTATTGTTTAGATGTGCCACACTTTATCCATTCACCTATTAAAGAACATCTTAATTTCTTTCAAATGTGAACAATTATGAATAAAGCTATTTTAAATATCTGTGTACAGAGTTTTTGCATGGACCAAAATTTTTAACTCTTTTAGGTAACTACTCTTGGTCTATTCCTGATTTCTTTATTCTGTTACACTGATCTGTACATCTGTTCTTTCATCAGTATCACACTGTCTTGATTACTGTAGGTGTATTGTATATCTTGAAGTTCGCTGATGTCAGTCCTCCAACTTTGTTCATTATTGGCTATTCTGGGTCTTTTACTGTTCATATAAACTTTAGAATTAGTTTATTGATATCTACAAAATAACTTGCTGAGATTTTGACTGAGATTGCATTGAGTCTATAGACGAATTTTAGAAAAAACAACTTGAATATATTGAGTCTTCCTATTTATAAGTATGGAATATCTTCCCACTTTTTAATTTTTTTTATTCTATCAGGGTTTTTCAGTTTCTCACATAGATCTTGTCCATATTTTGTTAGACTTACACCTAAGTACTTCATTCTTTTGGTAGCCAATATACATGGTATTGTGTTTTTAATCTCAATTTCCACTTGTTTATTTCTGGTATATAGAAATATATAGCAGTTTTTTTCACTAAATATATAGTTTCAGTGAAATTTTGTTTTGTTTTGAGTTTTGTGCATTAATCTTAGATCCTGAAGCTCTGCTATAATCCATTATTAGTTCCAAAAGTTGTTGTGGAATTTTTGGAATTTTTACATAGAAGATCATGTCATCTGAGAAAAAAAAATAGTGTGTTGCTTTCTTCTCAATCTATATACCTTTTATTTCCTTTTCTTGTCTTATTGCATAAGCTAGAACTTATGCAATTTTTATAGCAAAATTAAATACCAGATGTTTCTTTTCTGCACATTCTCATGTATTTCTATTTTATCTTCTTTATTCATGTTCAGTTTTTCTAATTAATGCCATTATTTGCCCTCCTTAGGTGATTTTGCATAGAATCTTTGTTCTTTTCTATGTATTTATCTTAATTTTCAGTTTTGTTTACCTCTCTAGTAGTGACCATATTCCACCGACAATTACTACTACCTTTATGCTATATAAATTATCCCTTTTATATGTAAAATTCTGGCAGTAATGCACAAATTTAAAAGTGTTCCTCTTATACCAGTAGATTCTGTGTTTATAGTAATAATAATTACTAACTTATTGAATGTTTATAATATGTTCCACTAAGTACTAAATATTGTGCTGTGCTTTATATGCATTATGTTATTTAATCTATAATGAAAAATTTTAAATCTTGAGAGTCATATAATTTATGATCTTAATATAGTGGAGTAATTACCAAACAGTGTTCCTCACTAAAAGAGCATTAAAACCACCAGGTAAATAATGGAACCCTATTACATGGGTAGTGAGTTAAAGACTTGTGTTAAAGTTCTCCAAATCAAAATGGAGTCACTAATGTTAAAAAAAAAAATAAAAATAAAAAGACAAAAAATAAAAAATAAAACCTAATAGAGCAGGGGAAGACTATGAAGAGAGGGTTCTCATGCTTGTATGCTTGGTAACAACAGCTATCACAAAGACTCTACAAAAACCATAAAATTGCACAAATGCCATACCAAACTTACACAAAAATACTTCTACAAGGAAACCCTGTCTAAATTGGACTGATGTCACTCTTGCTATCGATTTTGTAGCCAATAACAATTATTTCAGAAAAAGTACGCAGTCATCCTCATCATTCCTTACAAACCTTTGTGTTCCTTTACCTCCCTGAATGTGCAGAGCTTACTACAGTGTGCATATTCCATTTGAAATGCTCTACTTCCAAATAAACATCTTTTTCTTTTGGAAATCCTCTCTCCCTTTTTATTTAGGTTGCCATTCAAAATATAGATTCAGTGAAATTTTTGTTTGGTTCTCAGAGCCAGGACTTAATTAGGAATCAAGCTGCCTAGCCTGTTGAAATCTCAGAATGCTCACTTGTAAAACATCGATAATAATAGGGTCTACTTTCAACTGTTTGAGGACTAAATGCATGTAGAGTGTGTGATTCAGTGACTGACACTCATAGTAAAGGCTGAATAGGTCATAGTTGCTTTAGTCTTGTGATGACATGCCATAGGATATCTGTATGACAAGGATATTTTGTACATCAGGATATTTAGCCCTTCTGACAATCCAAAAGAAAAAGTATTTGAAGGCTATTTTCCAAACTTTTCCAATTGTTTTCCCAATTTGATAAGAGCTATAAAACCAAAAATCTAAGAAAGCTCAAATAAACACAAATTCACACACACACACACACACACACACACATCAGGAAAAAGTCCAAGGCATATAATAAGCAAATTGCTAAAAATGAAACATAATGAGAAAAATGTGAAAGAAGCTCAAGAAAAAAAGGCTTATTATATCAAAGAGAACAATGATAGGAATTTTTTCTGACTTTTCTCACAAAAAATGCAAGACAAAGGACAATGAAACAAAATCTTTCAAGAGTTGAAAGTGTAAAGAAAAACACTGCTGTCCAATATTTTTTATCCAGCTAAAATGAAGTTGAAATAAAGATATTTGCTGAGCAATGTAATACAATTTGTCATCAGCAGATATGCACTTCAAAGAATGATAAAGAAAATTCTTCAAGTTAAATGAAAATGATACTAGATAGAAAATTCATTCCAAGTGAAGGAAGAAGAAAGCTGGAAATGATCAATAATAAAAGTGACTAATAGAAGATAAATAGCAAGAATACAGACCTAAACCCAAATTTATTCACAATTGCATTAAAGAAAAGAGACTAAAAATGTAAGCTAATCATTCAATTAAAGGGCAAAGATTGCCAGAGTGTATGACAGAGCTTGATTCAATTACTTGCTACGTATATGTGACTTTTTTTCTTTTTTTTTTTTTTTTTTTTAAGACGGAGTCTCGCTTTGTCATCCAGGCTGGAGGGCAGTGACATGATCTTGGTTCACTGTAACCTCCGCTTCCTGGGTTCAAGTGATTCTCCTGCTTCAGCCTCCTGGGCTACAGGCGTCTGCCACCATGCCTGGCTAATTTTTGTATTTTTAGTAGAGATGGGGTTTCACCATGCTGGCCAGGCTGGTCTCAAAGAGATACACTTTTAAAGTAAAGACACAAAAGAGTTAAAAGCAAAAGTATGATAAAAAACGATGTATTATAAGCACTGATCATAAGAAAGATGGAGTGCCGTATTAGACAAAGTTGACTTTAAGATAACGAATATTACCAGAGATAAAAGAGCATATTTTATAATGATGAAATGGTCAATTCGGCAAGTAGACATAGCAATACTAAATGTATATCCCTTAAAAGAAAACTTCAAAAATAAATGAAGCAAAGATTGACAATACGAAAGGAAGAAATAGAACATTTTTACCATTATATTCAGTTATTTTTCACTCTTGCTCTCAGTAATTGACAGGAAAATCAATTTAGTTATAAAAGATTTGACCAACCTTCTCAAACAATGTAACTGATACTTTTAGGACACTATATCAAACAACTTCAGAATATATCTCTTTTCAAGAGGAAAGCATAGGCAACTATCTTTGCAATCTTGAAGTAGGCAATATTTTTTAGATAAGAAATAGAAAGCACAAACTTATAAAAGAAAAAAAGCTTAAAACTCGGGCTTAATCATTTTTTAAAATTCACCTTATCAAAAGACATTGTAAAAAATAAGCAGCCACAGGTTAGGAGAAAATTATACATATATATGTGTATAATGTATATATTACACACACAGACACACACGACAAAGGACTTGTTTCCAGAATATATAAAGAACTCTTATAACTAATCAAAAGACAATCCAATTTTTAAATGGGTGAAATATCTGAAAAGACATTTTAAAATGAAACCATCCAAATAGCCAATAAACTCATAGAAAAGTGTTCAACAGCATTAGTTATCAGGAAGATGCAAACTGAAACCATCATAAGATGCCGCCACATCTCTACCAAAATAGATAGTCAACAAGACTGATCTCATTAACTGCTGGTGAAGATGTATTAAACTTAAACAGTCGCTATGGTCCAGCAATTCCATGCCTCGTTATTTACCTAAGAAAAGTAAAAACATGTCATAAAAACACTTATACAAAATTGTCTCATACACATGCTTCACTGATTTTTGACAAGGAGATAAAAGCAATTCAATGGAAAAATGATTCAACAAATGATGGTGGAACAATTGAACATACATAGACCAAACAATGAGCCTCAACTTAAACCTCATACCTTACATAAAAACTCTCAAAATGAAGAATAGTCTTAAATACAAAACACAAAATACAAAACTTTTAGGAATGTATACAAAACACACAGAATATCTTGGGATCTAGGGCTATGCAAAGATTTCTTAGACATGACATCAAAAGAATGATGGATAAAAGTAAAAATAAATAAATTGGGCTTTCTGCCCAATAGATAATTGGACTAATTTTTAGTGCCAAATTGGTTAGACTGTAGTGACCAGTTGTTTGGTCAAACCCCAAATTAAATGTTGCTGTGAATATATTTTTAAAATGTGATTAACATTTAAATGATACCTTGAATAAAGCAGATTACCCCCCATAACATGAATGGAATTCATCTTATCAGTTGAAGGCCTTAAGAGAAAAGACTTAGGTTTACCAAAGAAGAAATTCTGCCTCTACTGTAGCATAGAAATTCTGCCTAAGTTTCAGACTTTAGGCTGCAATATCAACTCTTACCTGAATCTCCATCCTGCCAGCTTTCCCTACAGATTTCAGACTTGCCAGCTCCTGCAATCACATAAACCAATTTCTTATAATCTCTCTCCCTCTCTCTATGGAAAGAAGTATATATATTTCTCATATACATATAGTTCTCTCTCTATATATATGAAATGTATAATTTTATATATAAAATTATATATTAATGTATATTATGTATAGTATTATACGTAGTATATTATGCACTATATACTATATATATGGTATGATATGTAGGACAATATATTATGTATAGTATTATGTAT
This sequence comes from Homo sapiens, assembly GCF_000001405.40. Lineage (NCBI taxonomy): Eukaryota > Metazoa > Chordata > Mammalia > Primates > Hominidae > Homo > Homo sapiens. Next base: position 9,550,534 of record NC_000009.12, read on the forward strand.
AGTATAGCATATATATATTATATAATGTTAATATATATCCCAATTTATCCTATTGGTTCTGTTGCTCTGGAAAGCCATAATACAAAGTTCATAAAAACAAGAACTTTTGCTCTGTAAAACCCCGCATGAAAAGAATGTAAAGATAAGTTACTTCCTGGGATAAACTAGTTGCAAATCACTTATCTGGCAAAGGGCTAGTATAAAAAATAAAGAACTCTCAAAATTCAACAATAAAAAAATAGCAAAGGAGCAAAAGACATGAACAGACATTTTACTAAAGAGGATATAGAGAGTATATAAGTACATGAAAATATGTTCAATATCATTAGCCATCAATGTAAATTAAAATCACAAGAACATATCACTACACATTAACTAAAAATGGCTAAAATAAAAATTAATGATATCACCAAATGTTGGCAAGTAGAGAAACTGTATCACTCATGAATTGCTAGTAGGAATATAAGTTCCTAGAGTTATCTGAAAAATGGTCTGAAAATTTATCATGCAAATTTAATCATGTAAATACTACATGACCCCATAGTTACACTCAATTTATAATTTAATGTATATTCTTGAAAAATAAGAACTTATGTTCACCCTAAACCTGCATATGAATGTTTCAAGGAGCTGGGGTAGTATGGAGGGGCTCATTTATAGTGATAATCAACCTGGCGCTAAATAAACTGCATAAATTTTACCTGAGAAGGATCAGTAAATGCTTAACTGAAAAATCTTATAAAGCTGACAAACGGAGGTCAAAACCTTACAAGCTTTAGAAATTCAGTATTTAAATTAAGGGTCTCTAATTATTCCCTAAAGGTGAATAATTCCAGTTATCTATTCGAATATTCTAGCTTTCCAGTGGTAGTACTAGGCAACATTGATTATATTTAATTTTACATCAATACAAGTCTTTTATTCTATACATAACACATTAGTGAAATGGTAATAGAATATATATATATGAAAATTCACTCTGTATCTACCTACTGGAGTTCTGACACAGGTTCGCATAAAGCTGGATTTGATCTTCCAGAGTACAGGCTGAAGATATTACATTAATGTTTGGCTCCTATATGGTTCTCAGTACATCCTTTGTTCTTCTTTCATCAAGCCTTCTTTAATTCCATTGGACTTTCCATTTTAATGGTGAATTAGTACATGCCAGTCCTACTGCATATAGCCTGGGATAAAAAGCTGATCTTAGAACCCCACAAACTAAGCCCCACCAGATTGTACCAGAGTAAGGGACACTGCCCCAAACCAACTTATGTATCTGCTAGTGGACTGTAATTTAGGATACTGTAAGTTGCTCCCCAAAAGGAAAATGTGGAACAATGGGATCATCTCTCAGTGAGTTTGAATTAAAGACATGCAGAAAGAAATCAGAGTTGGCTGACATAGAAGTGAGAAAAAAAAAATGAGGAAGTAAACTGAAGCCATGAGGCAAAAGAAGCAATCCATAAGCAAAAGTATAAAGACACATAAGCCCAACTCTTTATCACCATCACCTGAAGGGCTTTCTAGGTGTCAGACTCTCCTCTCACTTTCATAATAGTCAATATTCATTTACTCCTCAGTTAAGACAGGTATTAGTATCTCACTTTTACCAATAAAGAAACAAAGGCTCAGAGAGGTAAATTGATTTACCCAGTCTGATTCAAAAATCCATGCCATTTCCATTATTCCACGCCATCTCTTAACAAAACAGAAGGAAAGCAGTACATAAAGAGTATTGAAGAAGGAAGTGATTTTAATTTCAAGTCAGTCATTGTTTTTGCTTTTGTTGGATAATTTCGCAGTCAATTGCCATTTTCTATATTTAGTCATATTTTGAGACATTAGTAAAACTTTCAAACCTCTAAAATTTTGTTACTCCAAACGATGAGCTTTTCAATCAAATCTTGAAAAGTATTGACTATTAAATAATTTTAACTTCCTAAATGTAGTTCTTTATAACTTACTTCAGCTTATGAAATGAATTGTGCCAATTTTTAGTGGGACTTCTTTTATATGCAAATACTTGCTTCTCTGTAGTAAGCCTATAGCAAACTTCTTCTGTCTAATGACCTAAGAATGCTCTGAGATTTATCTAGTGTTTTGCAGACATTGCTTCTTGGGTTCAAGGTTAGTGCTCAAGAAGACTAGATTCCTCGGTTCAAGGTTAGTGACTGGGAAGACTTTAGAGATTTCTGCATTTTTGTGGAGCAAAATCACATTGTGACATGGCTGCTTTTCAAAGATGAATGCTTCATTCAGCACTTTGCTTCATTTCCTAATACAATTGAAAAGTCATTTGCTGACAGTAAACCAGTGGCAGGTGTGCTTTCGTGTTGACAGCTGCTATTCTGACATGGATCACAGACAAGCTCTACTGACAGTGCTAGAACATCTGGAGCATTTGGTCAGATTTCAAAAGCTAATTTAAGTGGACTGTCTTCTTCCATTTCAAAAAATGAAAGCAATTATGGACACTGGGACCATATTTACATTGTGATAGTATAATAATTTATTCAATTTCTTTTTTATTAAATATGGAGGCAAAGGCAGCAAAGCATGCCAATACATCTAATGTCTGGGAAGATAGTTTGTAATGTAGCTTACTGCAGTCGCCTGCTCCTATTAAGATTTCCTTTGATATTGTGAAAGCAATTGATTGACAGAAAATGAACTAAAATTTCATCCCTATAAATATGTTTCTGAGAAATTGTTATACGGATTTATACAAAGAAAACATTTAATATTTATTGAATGAATGAATTCAGTTTATTTTTTTCTAATTTCTTATTAATAATATTCATTGCCAACACTTACTAAGCAGCATTTCTGCCAACATTGTACAAACCTAATCACTTAATCTCCAGAAATACCCTTCAAGGTAATAACAAATGACATAATTCCCATTTAACAGATGAGGATACTGAAACTCAAATAATTAAGACAACTGCCCAAACTCTATAAGTAGAAGGTAGAAAAACTCGGATTTTTTTTTTCCACATTGGTATTCCAAAGATCATGCTCTTTCTACAGTGTTTTGGTGTTTCTAAATGACAGTATGGATACCCCTTACTTACTGAATTAATAAGGTTAGTAAAGAAAGCATACAATTTTTCTTTACTGAAAAGTAAATACAAATATGCTTGACTATATTGTTGACAATAAGGGACTTCCTAGCAAGCTATTCAGGTAGGAAGAAAATATTAAGTTTTATACTTGGAAATTGTTAGACAAATGAAGCAAAGGAATTTAATGTGTTTCAAAGTTCAATAATTACATTTAGACTAAGAAAATAATGCTTACACATTCTCACGTATCAGTTACTTAATTGCTGATTATTGGGCCCTACTGGAGTGAAGGAGGAAAGTTGACAGCTGCAGGCATATACCCTCTGACAACAAAGCTTACATATGTGAGCATTGCTTGCTACAGATTCTGGGTATTTTAAAAGCAATGAGTTGGACAATGATGGGAACATGACATCTGAGAATTGATGCCATTTATGAACATTTTATTATGGATGGGCTAGAAAAGTTAGATTGAAACTTCACCTTTTACGCTTTCATATGACAGTATTTCATGGGATATGTGGGCAAGAATCCAAAAATATTAATTGCAAACTCAACCACTGGTTCATGTGGGTGTATGAAATATGGAAAACACTATCAAGTAATTTATCTTCAATGTTGTGCCAATAAGGATGTGGCCTCTCACACACTGCACACCAGAGAATGTCCATTCAAATGAGATTTGAGCATTTTATGGGTGAATGTCTGACTAATGGATAGAGACTAATATATTCTTCTGCCTCAATATTATAAAGACTGCAGTATTTACTTACTAGTGCACACTGTGACAAATGGTCCTGTTTTATTTTTTTTTTTCTTTGATCCTACTCTTGTTTTTAGGTTACACTGGGAGCTATTTAGAAAAAATGTTGACATGGTTCGGGGGAGTGGGGGTCCATGTCAAGCAAATACTGTAGGGTTAAATATCTTGAAAGAAATATATTCTGGCACCATCCAAGAGAAAATGAACAATCACACTCCTCTGGCACCTGAAGATATTGGTCGTTGTTTGGCACCTGAAGAAATTACCCATGAAATGAACACTTGAGGCTTGACTCATTAGAATTCAACTCCAGTGTCTTCAAATGAATAAGAATCTCTACACGGATACTGAGAAATAGAGATAAAAAGAATTGCAGAGGAAACGTCAACACTTCTTAACTACGCAGGAAACTTAGACTTAATGGAATTTGCCCCATAATGTACATAATGTCAAGGTATAATCATAGGTCAATAAAGTGATTACATTCCAAGCCAGGAAAAACTGCATATTCAATTATTCAATGAAATAAAGTCTATCTGCAAAATGTGGATTTTAATTTGCTTGCTTATACGTCTACATATTCTATATTATACAAGCTATTTTATATCTATGATTTTGTCTAATGGGTTAGAATTTTTATCATTTGTGCAAAGAGGAAAATAATTCTATATTAGAAAATTTAGACTCAGTTCTAAAAGTGGTTTGTTTAAAGGCATAAGTGCATAATGTGAAACATTTCAGAGTTTTGAGCATGGACTTTAGAAGACTGTGTTTGTAATACTGCCAACATGTATGTATTATGAATATGTTCATTTTTTTACATAATATTTGACGTATGATATTATTTCTTATGCTTCTAGAAGACTTTCTAATATAATAAAATATCTTATTAGGGCAGATATATGGCCACAGTCTTTTCATTGTTTACCTATATAAACCTGAATGTTCCCCCCATAATTATTGACCAGTCACCTGTTGAGCAACATCACACATTATTGACTGAGTTCACCAGAAAAAGGGAGAAAGCTGGTGTTTATAGAGTTAGACAAGTATAAATAACCCTGTAGAGTGATTCCCTAAACCTGTCTTTATTTATCGTATTATAGTTTCATCAACTCTGGAAACACACACACATAAACATATACACATGCACATAATTACATGACACTTCATATATTGTGCCACTAAAATTCAGCATTATTGTAGGATGGAAAGCATCTTAACTGATTTCTTTCCTGTTTGCTTTCTATTTTAGAAATAGGCTAAGTTCAATATGTTGTAAATCTAGTACAAGAAGAAACCACGTTTGGCATTTAAGTAGGTCACAAAATATGTCCTGATTTCTTATGTTTCTGAATATACAGATAAAACTACAAAAAACATTAGCTATAAGTACCTTTCCCATTATATTATATGAGAAAATTATATCTAAATGCCTTATAAGAGATTAAATTTTTTAATGCAAATATTAACATTTAATAAATGCAAAACTAACGAATACACCTGAAAGTTCAAAAGATTGTCCTCCTCTAGAAATTATGCATATTAAAACTAAAATAGAACCTTTGCTTCCTTTTAAATTTATTTTTTGTGTCTTAAATTACTCCTTTTATGGCCTTAGATTGTACAGTTGACCCTTGAACAATGTGGGGGACCCCACAGGTAGCCAAAAATCTTTGTGTAACTTTTGATTCCCCATGAACTTAACTATGAATAACCTATTATTGACCAGAAACCTTACTGATAACATAGTCAATTAATACATATTTTGTATGTTATATGTATTATATATTGTATTATTAAAATAAAGTAAGCCAGAGAAAAGAAAATGTAATTAAGAAAATCATTAGAAAGCGAAAATATATTTACTGTTAAGTGAAAGTGGATCATCATAAAGGTCTTCATCCTCATTGTCTTCACACTGAGTAAGTTGAAGAAAGGAGGAAGAGGAGGGGTTGGTCTTGCTGTCTCAGGAAAGCAGAGGAAAAAGAGGTGGAGGAGGTAGAAGGGGAAGGAGGCACGTTTGGTGTAACATTTATTGAAAAAATTTACATATAAGTGGACCTGCCAGTCCAAATCTTTATTGTTCAAGGGTTCAACTCTATTTATTATTCATAACAGTCATAAATAGATTGTAAATTCCTAGAAGTCTATCAATTGTGTTTCACACTTTGAATCTAACTTGCCCCCAATTTTCTTGCCTGGTGCCTTCCCACATTGTAGATCCTCAGTTAATAATTTTCAGTAAGTTATTGTTGCTAGGGCCCCATCTAAGATAAATGAATTGTTTAAAGTATATAACTTTGTCTTTGTATCTCTGAGAGCTAACACAACCCAAATCCTTCAAATTTAGATGGTCAGATGATCAAGTTACATCCAAACTTCAAAATATAATTCCTGGCAAGAAATTGAGAGCTCTGTGGTTCAAAATCTTGATGATGATGGAGTGAAGCCTCAAAGATTTCTCAGTGCCTTGCAGGGTCCTTTCGTTATCAGAAAAGAACAAAGGATTAGAAACCTGTATTCTAATCTCAGACAGTATCTTCAATTCTACTGTAGAAAAGAGTAAAGATTTCAACTGAGATGGACATGGTGGTTCTGTTTGTTACTCTATCACTTTAGGGAACTTATCCCCCTGAGACTCAGTGCTTTATCCACAGAATGCTGATTCATTATTTTGAGTGTGAGAGATAACGTCCATCAATGGAAGAAAAGTAGTATCCTTTCAGCAAATTGTCTGGGTTTCATTGCCATTGTAAACCAAAAACAAAATTATAGCTCCCGCAATTGACTTGTATGTACCCTCCTCTCAGCCAAGGCATTCCAAATTAAACTTGAAAAACTAGTTCAGGCCATGATGGAAGGGGGGAAGGGTGTCCAGACATACCTAAATGTAGCCTCCTACCTTTGGAATTCAGGCACAATTGATCAGCATTAACATTAAAACAGAGATCTTAAGAATGACAAAGCAGACTCTTTGTACCAATAAGATACCGAACTCCAACCTAACTCTAACATAGCATTGCATAGCAGATAGCAAGCCCTGGAAGAAATTGAAGTATTTTATCCCAAAATAAAATTTTTTGACATATTTTGAAATGCACTGCAAAGCTCTCTCTCGGGAGAAAAAAATCTACATGCTATAGAGAAACCCCTTCCCTTTCCAGAGCTTTTCCTAATCCAACAGATATTAATTAAGAAACTGGTACCTTTTTAGATCTGAAAAGAGACTAATACCATCCATTCTTTCTGAAGACTGCTACCTAGAGACTTCATCTGCATAAGAACCTTGGTCTCCACACCCCCTTATCTTAACCAAAACATTCCTTTCTATTGATTCCAGATTTTTTGATAATTGCCAGTTAGAAAAGCTTTGAATCCACCTATGATCTGGAAGCCCCCTTCAAGTTGTCCCATGTGTCAGGTCCTGGAGTCCTGGTCCAGCCCATGCTGAAGTCTGAGGGGAGTGGGTGGATGGGCAGAAAGAACACTCAGGGGCTATAGGCAGGTGAATATGGTTTTATTCAGCGGCAGCTCTCTTACACAGCTTACTTAAACTAGCTTTCTCATTAGCAGCTTACTTTCACACTGTCCACCCTATCTTGGCTGCTTGAGCCAGCAGCCTGCATGCACAGCACACAGCCAGCTTTTACTTGCCTTCAGGGTCAGCAGCTTAACTCTTTCTTTCTCTGAGCACGAGTAAGCTGAGCTGTGACCTGGCTCCCTCCTGTCCATCTGCAAGATGGACAGCTTTGGCTCTCTCTGTCTTTCTCTGGGTGCCAGCGCGCCCACCATGTCAAGCCATGTTGAGCCGAGCTGAACCTCAAGAGCCAAGCAAGCCTGTACAGTGTTAGCAGGGCAGTTGTACCTTTTACAGACAATAGTGGCACAGAGCCAAGTAATGGCCTTTCCATGTTATGGCTACATGGTTGTGATAACAAGTGGAGTTATACATCTGTGCTCTAAACTCACTGAGTCATGCAGAATGTAAACATCCTAACTTGGCCTATCCTTGACTAAGGCACAGCCATATTCCTTACACTCCACCCCTTTGGCCGAGGGAGACATAGGGCTTGGACACACAGGTTTGATACACAGGTTTTGTCACACAGGCCTGCCATACAAACTTTGGGTACACACACCTGATACATAGACAGGCTTGACCCATAAGCCTGACATACAACTGGGAATGCAGGTCCGATACATACACAAGCAACTGAGCACGCAGGCCTGTTACATACATAAGCGTTGATAAACTGCCCATCTATTGGCACAGATTACCACAGATGTCACCTCCTTGGTGATTACCATTCACACTGCCCTGAGTTTAGCTTATTAGCTACTCCGTTTACACCTGGTTTTAAACCATATGTTATCAGTACTAGGCTGGACTGAGACAAAAGTCCAGGCAGAAGGAGCACCCCAGGTAGACCTATCTGTATATAATGCCCTATTACGAATTCGGGGACACCCTTCCTAACAGTGAAGGTTCAGGATCTAGGGGTGTCTCAGGCCCCATGACCTTAGGCCCCAAGGCCTTATGTTGCATTAGGACTACAGGTCCTAAGCCTTTTTGTAACTCTGCTACTAAGGGACTTGTACTCAGTGTACTTCAATGCTCTAAGTAGGCGCCCCACATCACTAAAGTGGATGTCCGCACGTTCCAGTCCGGGGGGGTAGCTATCCATGAGTGCACCCATCCCGTTATTGGGTAAGTCATCTGAATGATGACTGTAGCCTGTCCTGCCACACTCTTATGAGCCTAGAGGGCAGCATATGCAGTTACTAACTGCTTCCCAGTCTGGGGCGTGGTTACCCATCAACACACCCATCCCGCTATAGGGTAAGTTGTCTACAGGATGACTGTAGACTGTCCTACCACACTCTGAGCATGAAGGGCAGCATATGCAGTTACTAACTGCTTCCCAGTCTGGGAGTTGGTTACCCATGAACACACCCATCCCGCTATTACTAACTGCTTCTCTATTAATGAACACTGGCACTTAGCTCCCTCCCGCAGCTGGGACTAAAAGCCTACTGGCACTTCCAACTGCTCCAGCATTGTTTAGGCCCTAGCCAAAACTATCTGTGGTCACATGCACATTCAGTTTTAATAGGCACCCCTGGTTAACTACATGTAGGGCTTGTGCCTACTGAATAGGCTGCTTGGCTGTCTCAGCCTCATCATCCAATCCCAGGTAAGAGGGGCATTGCTGTTTCTAACTCTGCAAGAGAATGAGAGGTTAGCATAACATCATCAATAAGACTATGACATATAGTGGAGCTATGCACATAGCCCTCCAGCAACACTGCGAAAGTCCACTGTTGCCCTCCCATGAAGGTAAACTGTTCCTGGCTCTCTGGACAAGAAGTTCCAGTTCTGTTGTCAAGTGGTCCAGCAAGTCTGTGACAGACCGTACAGCTGCCAACCCATGAAAAACATCCACCCTCAGAATATCCTCAGGCATGGGAGAGACATAAGCGGTGCATAAGTGGAGAGCCAAGCTGCCAATGCCAAGGTGCAGACAGAGGTTTCACTTCCACTGACCAGCTTCCACAGCTGCCAATAAATGCAGTTCTGCCTGGAAACTTATCTGGGTTCAGAGACCAGTGGATTGCCAAGTCCACATGTGGCTCCGGTTGTCCGGTGCCCCCTCAAGTCGGGCTTCTCGGCCAGTTCTCTTACCAAACAGAAAAAAACTACACTTCCACCAACCACAGCAGGTACTCTTTGAACTGGAATGCTAGGGCAGGACTGGGTTGCACAGCAATGTTCTTCTCTCAGACGTCTTGCACTAAGTCTGTACATGACTGTGGACCTTACTTACTTAACTCCCACAACTCAGCCAGGACACAGGCACTAGAGGAAGTACACTCCACCACAGTAGGTGGTCTCTGGGACCACCCCTGGACCTAATAGCTTCTCATGCTCTATTTTCTGGTGGAATACAGGGCGAGCCTGCAAGAACATATGGTGGTAGATTCTAGAAATGTTGCATCTTGCAGGGACTAGGCATGTATTTCCCGCAGCACAGTTACAAATGCCTATCCGACTTTGCTGGCAAAGATATGTTCCTCCTTGGTGTTGTGCACCTCAGGTGCTTCAGCGCCTCCTCCACACTCACAGGGAATCTGTCCACTGCCTCCCATGTTTCCATTGAGGCTCATCCAAGCAGCACCACTGCCACCGGGTACCACAGCCCATGCTGCAGCCACATGGCTGACCGGGCAAGCCTCAGGGGCTGAAGACCCACTCACTTCATCCCACCCTTATTGCCAGTTGTCAGGTCCTAGGGTCCGGTTCCAGCCCATGCTGAAGTCCAAGGGGAGTGGGTGGATGGGCAGAAAGTACACTCTGGGGCCGTGGGCAGGTGAATATGGCTTTATTCAGCAGCAGCTCTCTTACACAGCTTAAAGTAGCTTTCTCATTAGCAGCTTACTTTCACACTGTCCGCCCTGTCTTGGCTGCTTGAGCCAGCTGCCCCCATGCACAGCTGTGCAGCAGGTTCTCCCTTGCCTTCATGGTCAGTAGCTTAACTCTTTCTCTTTCTGGGCACGAGCAAGCCGAGCTGTGTCCTGGCTCCCTCCTGTCTATCTGCAAGACAGGTAGCCTTCACTCTCTCTCTTTCTCTGGGTGCCATGTGCCTGCCATGTCAAGCCATGTTGAGCCGAGCTGAGCCCCAAGAGCCAAGCAAGCCTGTACAGCATTAGCAGGGCAGTTATACGTTTCACAGACAATAGTGTTGTAGAGCCAATGATGGCCTTCCTATGTTATGGCTACATGGTTGTGATAACAAGCGGAGTTATACGCCTGCGCTCTAAACTCACTGAGTCACTCAGGATGTAAACATCATACCTTGGCCTACCCCTGACTAAAGCACAGCCATGTTCCTTACACCACGTTTCCAGATCAAACCCATGGATACCTTGCATGTATTGATTGATGTCTGCCTGTGACTTCTGTCCCCCTAAAATGTATAAAAAATCAAGCTGTAACCTAAACAGTGTGGGCACATGTTCTCAGGACTTCTTGCAACTGTGCCTCACGTATTGGTCACGCATATTTGACGCAGAATAAATCCATTCAAATATTTTACATAATTTGACTCTTTTTCATCAACACTACTAAGTAAATGGCCACTGATTTATCATCAAACCATTTGGGGTAAAATTAGATTTTCACAAAGAACAAGCAAATGGACAAGTATAAAAAGAATAGCCTCTCTCTATTTTCAGAACTACAGTTAGAAATGTGCAGGGAAAAAGGCATTTAGGTTTAAGCCTTAACTGAAAAAAACACTCTTACTTTCCAAACAAAAGAAGGGTACTAATTTATAAAACATCCGTGTTGGTAAAAATCTGTTTCTCTTCAGAGGTGATGAGATCTTTTCTCTTAGATTGAAAGACATCACATACTTTTCTTTCTCTTTCTATCTACTGGTTGTACCTTCTCTCATTTGTTGGTTCCTTCTCCTTCCAAGCTCTTATTGTTGGAATGGCCCATGGCTCAGACTTAGACATTTTCTCTCTATGTATACATGCTGCTTTAAGGATTTTTCTCTCATTTTATGGCTTTAAATGTCATCTCTGTGCCACCAACATTCACTTTTTTAATCTTCTGGACTGACATTTCTTCCAAAATGAAGCCTCATATATCCATATGACTACTTGATACCCAACTTCGGAGTCTAAAAGACATCTGAAATTCAACATGTCCAAAATTGATCTGATTTTCTGTGTCCCCCATATCTGTTTTCCTCACACTCATATTCTTTATTTTTTCTTATTTTTATTTTTTGGTAAAAGGCAGCTCCACAGTTAAGTTCTTAGCTCTCAAATCCCCAAGCCATCCTTGATTCCTCTTTCTCTTATGTCCCTCAGGCAATTGGTTGGAAATTCTGCCAACAAATCCTTCAAAATTTACCTAGAAAATTTATCTAAATTCTTTTCATTGCCTCCTCTGCCACTATTCTGGATGAAGCCCCTATTATTTCTTATCTGCATTACGGTAGCCTTTAAAAATGGCTTCTGGCTTTAAGACCATACCCTATTTGCCATTGTCAACAGAGATAATTACCTTAGTATCATCCTTCTGCTTAAAATCCTTCAATGGCTTCTCACTGCTCTTAGTGTTAAAGCCAAAGCTCTACCTGACCTGCCTTCAACCCCACCTCTGTTACTATTCTGACCTCAGGTCCTAGAACTCTGCCTTCCTCTGCTCCTATTGCACTGTCCTCTTTGCTATTTTTCAAGCCTCCTTTCAGCCTTTGCCTTTACAATTAGACCCCTCTCCTTCATGGTATCTATATGGCTAACACCTTTAGTTCCTGAGCAAATTTGCCCAAATCTGTTGTTTTGGATAATTCAACTCTAAGCATCCTATTTACAATTATATTTCTACCCACCCCACATCTCCTTATCCCCAAATCTCCTATTTCCTTTCAACCTGTTCTACTTTTTGTTATTTTCTGTAAAATACATAACCTTTAAATATGCTAGATTATTCTATCACCATCTCTCCACACTGGAATCCAAGCTCCATGTGGGCAGACATCTTTGCCGCTTGTATTTACGGTGTAACTCAAGCAGAAAGACAATGGTCTAGAACACAGTAGCTGCTCACCAAATATTTATTGCTAGATGAATGACTATTAGAACATTTTTAATAAATCACCTTTTTCAACTGAATATAAAATTTTAGCTAATTGTATGGTTATAATTGTACCCACTTTATTATAAGAAATATATAATGTGTTTCAGTCTGACCCTTCTCTTTGGTAGGAGCAGAAAGAGATTAAAAATAAAAGGGGCAAGGGGTGGTCAAGATATAGTAATAAAAGTTGTAAGGAGCAAGTCTATCCCGATAAGTTTGAAATGTGAGAAGAATCCATGGCTTAGGTGCGCTGTGCAAATTTGCTGGGTTACTTCATTTGGGAACTACCTTATGGATAGACTATTATAAGGTGGGATCAGAATGCTTTGACAATATGATAACTCCAGTATCTTTTTAATTACCTTATTGTCATGATCATCAAAGTAGCTTTGGTTATTTTTCTTCTATCTGTACCCAAACCATGGATCACTCTCTCCTTATTTTATTCTGCATGGACAAGAAAGAAATATGGTGGTAGATTCTGGAAATACTGTGATTGCTGAAGAATAGACCAATTCCAGAACTCAGGGACAGCCTACAGAGCTGGAGCATAGTAAGAAAAATAAGGAAACCACATTCAGAGGATCAGGACAGCTGTTGATGCTTTTATCCTTGGCTTTTATGCCAAGGATTAAACATTATGTTATATGAAAATCATTCTGCAACCATATAAACAAAACCATAAAGCTTCCATTAAGTAATATCCCATGCATCCAATATATGATGTTTGAAAGAGATCATTAATACATTGGTATGCCCAAGTAATACTCTTATCTTGCATTCTCATACTATAGAACTAGAATTGACTCATATTGACAACCAACATGCTTTACCTGAGCATTTAAATCTTGACTTCAGTTAACCTTATCCATTGATATCCTGGCTTTCTTCTCCACATGACTTAGCCCAATGGCTCTCAAACCAAATGGGCATATGAGTCACTTAAAGAGGAAGTAAAAGACATGTTGGCCTAGGTTCAACTGAGTAGGTGAGAGCTTGGGTTGTTTTATATTTACCAAGTTTTCCAGCTCATTCTAATAGCTACCAGTGCTTGTGGATCATTAGAATAGCATGCTCATCTGGCCTCCCAAGAGTGTATTTAATGAGTATGTCAGCCAAAGAGGCTATTAGAAACACCAGCTGAGCTTTTTAAAGTTTAAGTACCTGTGTATTAACTTTGTAGATCCTTATTCATTTAACCTGAGGAGGAGCTCACAGATGTGCAAAAGAAAATCTCCATGAGTGATTCTGATGAGCTTTCCAAATGAAGGAGCTATGCCCAAGTTCTTGAAGTACTCTTTCTCCAAATTTTCATCAGTTGTGAGGAATGCTTCTCCTGTTACCCTTTAGAAACAAGTTAACTCAGAATCTCCCTGGCATAACAGAGTTGGCATGAGGAATGCAGGGGGCCTTGTCAATTTAAATTTATATTTTAAAAATTTCTGACTCCACATTAGATCAACTAAATTCGAATTTCTTAGGCTGAGGTTCGTGAATTCACACTTTTATCAGATTTACTAGATGATTCTCTTGCACACCAAATTGTGAGAACCTTTGGGTTGGAGCTTTCTTTTTTTAAACAATTTTCAAACTTACTGAACCAAAATCTTCGAATCCTGGGGTACATATGTCTTAAAAGCTTTCCAAGAAGATTTTTAAAGGTCATTATATTTAGGAACTCCTGTATTAATATGTAACTCAAGAAAACCCATCTCTGAATTGTTTTTCCTAACTCTAGTTCAGTGACTGTCTTTGGATTTATTAGCACTTAGAAAAAATATATCACACTTAGATTTTACTTCTGAAGATATTTCTTGTTCTGCCTCCAGAAATGTAAGCTGAACAAAAGAGAGACTTGAATCTTCTGTTTTTTTTTTTTTTTTTTTTTTTTTTTTTGCAGTGCACCTAAGGCTAACCTGTTATGGGCTATGTACTATTTGCTTCATAAAGATTTAAATGAATGACATGCAGTTTTCAAATTTACCTAGTTTCAAAATTATCTCAAGGTCTCCAATGTCCTGATAACTAACTTAATCTTACATAATCCCATAAAAAGAAGCTTAATAAAGTGAAAAGTTATATTCAAATATTTTATTAAAACTTACTAATATGTGTAAAAGGTTTTGTAAAGTGGAAAGGATTATCTGAATGAGTAATTGTAAACTAACAATATATTTTATTAATTTACCTCACTTTTTGCAACTCTAAACAAACCTTTTTAAGCTCACTAAACTCTTGCTTCATCTGTTTTGATTAGGAATTTTCTGATCTGAAAAAATATGCGGTTTTTAAAATTAACATTTATAGACTATGTAGAAATGGAGATACACTTCTGATGAGTGAAATGTTTATTAAATTTAAAATTGCAAAAAATTGCATGTATTGAATGATGTAATCTAAATGCAAATCTAAATAAGGATTGGAAAGGAAGGTATAAAAATCCTTTTTATTTTGATACCTCACAATCTGAATGCAGAATGATGATGGATTTCTGAAGAATAATTTTTCCTTTCTTTTTGTTATTTATATTGCAAGACTTTATTAATGTATAAAAATGCTTTTAATATTTTTAACATATAAGAAATATAAAGAAAATGCTACAAATAGCCACACGTTCAGAAATAAACTACAGGTACCTTTATTTTTTAAATCATTTTTACATTTTTTTGTACCTTAACATATTCCCAGAAACTGTTACATTATTATTCATTTTTTGTGCATTTAGGAAACCAGACAAATGTCCTTGTAAAAAAGGAAACAGAACATTAAACTTTGGCCCCGTTTCCTAGGATTTTGAAGAATTTATATGTTAGAGCTGTCAAGGATGGAATACAGAGAAATGAGATAAATGAAAATGACCAAGTAACCCTACTTAAACCCCTTTGTTGATGGTGTCTTCTATAGTAGGGAATCTATAATTTCATTTTTTTACTCTCTAACAGGCCAGAAGTGTCAGATGGATTTATAAATATGCTATGAAGGACACAAGATGAATCATTTATTGGCTGCCTCCTCATTTGTGACAACTTGAATTCTATGCTGTTAGGGCTTGCTTTTTTATTCCTGCACATTTTTTCTTCTCCAGCAATTTCATCTTGGTGTATATATATTTTTTTCTTTTCCAGTACTTATTAAAATTCTCACTAATTACATTTATACGTGGACAACACAAATCAAACTATTGTCATATTTTGAAGACTGTTATTATCTACTTATATGGATCTTTGAACTCGATAAGATAAAAATAATTTGCACATGTTGATCTGTCAAAAACTGTGATATATATGAAGGTAAATTATAATACACAACTATAAGAATTTTATTTGTTTAATGTACAATGAGCTTAAATTAATTACTCAAGAGCACAGCAATAAGCAATGGTGTTGTGGTCAAAAATTTAAACTCAGATTATTTCTCTCTGTACGTGCTTTTCGATTAAACTTGTGCGAGAGCTTATAATGGTTTGCCTAGGATATCAGGAAAAACAATGTAATTCTTGCTGGAGAATCAGTTTTACACAATAATACCTAAACATTCTTATATGCTAAATAAAACCTGGATGTTTTATTACATAGACTATGTATTTAACATAATTTAAAAAGGCTAAACACTATAAAATATAAAATTAGCACAATTTACAAAGATTAAACACCAGCTTTTAAGAAAAGCTTACACTCGTAGTGGGGTCATAACTAATTATATTTCATAGATCATCCTTTGTCAGTAAAGTTTTGGGGCAGTAAAACCTTTGGACATTTGTGGAAAATATTGAAAAGCGTTTCTTCGGCCTATCTTACTTTCTTCTCATGGAAAAATGAAAGAAATGCTCCGAACATTCGCTCTGCTTATGTACACTGACACTAACACTATTTTGTTGCCCAGGCACATACTCTAGCAAACACAGAGTAAACCTTACCTTATGACAGTGATTACAGAGTCAAATACTAAGGCAGCAAGGGCACCAATTTTACCCTCAAAGTGTGGAAAGTCCATTGCCGAGAGAGGTCAAGTAGATATAAAAAATATAAAATAATCAGTCTAATGGAAATATGTTGAAGGTCAATGGGAAAATGAAAGCGCACATAGGTCACCTGAAGATTCATGAAATACTGCATAAGGAGTGTGGCATTTGAGCTGAAATTTGAAGGAATGAAGGAATAGCAGTACCTTTTCTGTCAGTCAAAGGTGTGTGAGTGGGTCTTGGTCAAAGGAAAAATGCAGAGATGATTGATTGTGGGTGGGAGGTTCTGCTAGGGGTGGGATTGTTGTGTTATTGAGAGAACAGGATGGGTGAAGGCACCAGATTGAGAGCAAAGAACATAGGTATGCCGGTCTCATGGATGGTAACAGAGCAGCAAAACTGAGGGAGAAACCCCATTCTGTACATTTTTATACAGAAATTATTCTCTTGAAGATGAAAAGTCACTAAAGAATTTTGAGAAGAGATGTGGATGTAAACAATAACAATTGCCTACTTCCTAAGCAATCACCTGTTTAATTTGATGTGATTATCCCTGGGGACTTCATTCTAAAGTAAACTCACATTTTATCTATTATTGCCTCAGGGAAAATAAAAGTATTAATTCAAGAAGGATGTAGTACACCAACAAAGCATAATAACTATAACAGATACCACTGGTTGCCTAGCAAAGAACCATTTCTCCTTTTCTGCTTCTTAAGGGAACTTGAATTTTTTATCCCCCTCCATGCTTCTCTATGCAGCCTTGAGCTTCCATGGAAGCAGAACACATTTTTAAATGCAGAGGGTAAACACAACTGGTCTAAGCCAATAGTAAATGATCCTTATAGGCTGGGGCATATGACACATTTGATAGAAGAGATGTGAAAAGGTATTTGCTGGCAATAGGCAGAAGAGTGGGGATTGTCATAAAATCTTAATCTTTTATGGCATAAAAAGAAGGCAAAATCCCCTTTTTTTTTCTACTGGGTATCTCGTGCCTAGATATGTAACCTATAATTACGGCAGACATCTTTCAATATTGAGGGATTCTGGCCAAGGACAAACCTAAGATAGGACATTGGGCACAAAGATGAAAAGAACATAGGTCCCTGATTATGTCATTGAGTCATCCATGAAATTCTACAACTTCTTAACTTCTTATTTGTATAATAAGAAGCCTTTCTTAAAGCCTAAGCAAGTTAGTTTCCTGTTATTTGTGGCTCAAAGCATATCAACTGACATAATTAGAATAATTAAATTTAAAGCTTGAAAGGATTCAAAATTCATAGTGCACATCCTTCTTGTTTTGTAGTAGAACACATGGAAGACTTGAGAAAATAAATGACTGAGGTGGGAGGTCAAACGATTAATTATAAGCAGAATCAGGCTTCCTAAGTTCCACAAATATTCTGCCTTCTCATCTTTAATACATTTCAGATTTCTTAGAAGATCATTATACAAATAAAACCATCCAGAAGAGTATGTGACATGTAATAAATACTGAATAATACCTGACTGAAAATATGGACTCTTATTTCCAGCTTTGCCCAACTAGTGAACAGTTTTGATATTAACCATCCAATTATGACAGTGAGAAAATATATGCTACTTACAACTCACTGAGTCATACATGTATGGATTTATAGGTTTTCCTACATGCTTTCCTCTATGACGTTTACACATTTTTTTAAACGATAATCAGATGCTATGTCCCTTCATCTACTAATTATAACTTAATGGGAGGTAGCTCTTAATTTTCCACTGATGGGTAACTAAAGTTTTGATGGGGTGATAAGGATATACACATAGTATAGAGGACTTCACAGATGAAGACCTTTTTGTAGCTGGAGGATGACTGTAGACCCTACAAGCTCTCCAGGACTATAAATTTCCTATGGGTCCCTGTTAGCTGACTGTTTCCCAATACTAGCCCAATGCTTAGTACATACAGATGCTTAGTGGGTTTTGTTGAATAAAATAATGGGTATCTACAATAAGGAGTTGTGAATAAAAGAGAGAAAAAGGCAAAGACACTGGGGAAAGTCAGTTGAGAAAATGCACTATGCCCACTTTCTCATTTTGCTAGGTAATGGCCATTATACAGAGTTTAAAGTCAATTCATTTTCTTAATTCTTACTCTGTCATTGTCATCATCTGCAGCGAGTAATAATAGTAATAATCCTCTAACTATCTGCACATGTATCAACACAGATGATACGCTAGTCATTTGCGAATGTTATAAGTGTAATGAAATTAAAACCATTGATTAAATGGCACAATAATTTCTACAGAGCAGAGGGGAAAAAAAAAAGGTATTTAAAGGGAAGAACTGAGCCACAAAGTAAAGCTTACTTTAAAATATACATTTGAGTTTCAAGTTTAAAAAGTCAGTCACCAAAGATTTGTATCATGTGATAACAGTGGCAGTTTATTAATAATCTGTCATGTAAAGCTGACATATTAGAAGCTGAATTCTGCTCAGCTTTACAATAAAATCCCATCCATTTTATTGCTACCAGAATTAAATATATGCCATTGAAAGGCTTTAGTAAGCTTAAATATGTTCTAAAGCTCTTTTTTTTTCCCTAACACTTCGTTATCAACAAGTCAAATCGACAAAAGTCTAATCTCGATTTTCCCAGATATCCATAGTATATCAAAGAGGGAGCAAGATAACATACACATTTTTATAGAGGTTGATAAAGTTTGCCTTTAGACAAATAGGAAAGTCTTAGAAACTAAATTACTTGTTCCTGACATGTCGGGAACGGGGGAAGGCTAGATATAGTGTGTAAATCATATAGAGTAAGTATTAAAAGTTAAGCCTAGGGGATTCACAGATGGATAATTTATTTAATCAGAATTATGTGTGAGCTAGCCAGATAGGAATAATCTGTCCAAAGGTGTGAAGAGGTGATAATCCATATGTATTCAGACTAAAGGATTTAGGTGAGGCATTTTGTAACAAGTAAATATCACTGAACTAGTTTTTCAGAAATATCAGTTGAAAGTGCTCATCAGAACTAGAACTCCATTTTTCCCATATATTTTTTAGGGAAAAAAAATAACCCCACAGAACTGCACTTTAACAATTCTGTGTAATCAATTCATTATTGAATAGGAAGCAAAAATTTCCAGAAAGTATTTGTGCATGCAGTGATCTCAAATTCAAACTTCATTTATGTTACCAAAACTTTTTACCCACGTCTTTCTAACTGTATTATCATCATTATTATTATTATTTGGACTTCAAACGGTGTTTGTGACTTCAGATTAGACTTCTATTGCATAATTCAGTATTTAAATTTTGGGTCCAAATAATGCACAGTAATTCTTCAGTTTCCACTATTTTCCTTCATGCAGGATGTTACTTGTATGTCGTTTAACTTCATTTTTCCCCAAGCCCTGTCACCACTGTGAAAATAAACTAAGCTAATTTAACTGGCATCAATTACCTCTATATGTGGTTTGTGTTTCTTAACTGGATTTTTCCCTTTAACTATCACTTACATTCAGGGACACATGAAATAAATCCTGAAATATTTATTTCTATAACTTATGCTCTATTTCTCAGATAAGCTCATTATTTATCTTTTTGGAATGGCTGGTGGAGGATAAGAAGTATTAGTGCTACTTAAAGTCTTAGAACCAATCTTCAAGACAGCTATTTGTGTTTTACCTTTGTTCTCCCTGCTTTCATTATGACACAGAGATCGATAATTTAGAAAAAGTGAAAAACATCTAATTAGCTCTTGATTATTGCGCTCAATATTTCATCATGTTTGGCTACCTAAAACAGGCAAGAAAGCAGAAAGAAAAAAACAGGCAACCAAAATCTTCTGAAACAAATCCCAAGCTCTTCAAATATCCAAGTATATGGATTAATAAAATTCCATCTTTAGTTTCAAGGATTTTAATTTATAAACCCCAACATTTCTTTATTACATTGTTTCAATATTATGAAGAACTGAAACACGTTAGCTAACTACTAAAATAAGATACTATCTACTTTGCTGTTCTACTTCCATTGTGTTACATTATGAGTTACTCTTAAATCATGACATGGCTTAGACTAAGGACCCAGAGATGAAAAACAAACATTCTAAGAACGTATTTAAATGAAGATTGTTACTTCATGAGGAAAAACACATGCAATTCTAAAAAGGTGTATACTGCAACCTGTGGCAAACACATGTATGTTTGCATAACTGATACAAAATTTTTAAAAATAAACAATCCTGATTTTTATACCATCCTTTCTATCAGACACAAAATAAGTTGTGTTTTTGGTGAAAATTTTAAAACAAACAAAAAAAGATATGTATGTCTCTCTCTCTCTTCTCTCTCTATATATATCTCACAAGACAAGTATTAAATAAAATCTTAATGAAGCGCATATAACAGTATTCTGTAGTTAATACTTAAGGCTGTATTTATATTATGGCTGTTATATGCTTATATAACTTATTAGACATAATATTTTAGAAGCAATAAATATATTTTAACAATGATTACATTTAAATGCTTAAAGGTTAGCCTAATATTCTGATATTTTAATGATGCTGTAGAACATTCATATTGCATACTTTTGGTTCCCTTAATAATATCATATGGAAATAAATTATCATAATTCATTTAGGCTTAAAGTAAAATAATTTTGTTATAGTGCTGAATTTTCATTTCAAAATTGTGGCCACATAACTAATTGTTGCATGAAACTTATAATGGGCAATTCATAAATATATATATATTGATTTAACAAAATACTACATATTGCTTATTTTAATAGATACATTAAATTATTAAATAACTACATATCAATGTATTAATATTTATGTATGAATTTTATAATAAAACATTAAAACATATACAGAGCAATTACAATTCTAATGCAAATCTATTTATCTTAAATGCACAAGGTAATAAACATAGAACAATGTAACACCTGGAGTCCATTAACTGTAAAAGTTTAAACGATATTATGGTTTAGAGAAACCATAATATCTTAGTAACAACAGATAAGGCAAAAATATCTTAAATAGGACATAAAAAACTTTGATCATAGAAGGAAAATGAAAAAACCCTAATAAACAGAAATAAATCAAAATTAAGAACTTCTGTTCATCAAAATATATCATCCAGAGAGTAATGAGAAAATCCACCAAAGAGTTGAATATAAAGTGCAAATATTCAGTGGTGCTCTGGTAAATATTTCACAACTAGCTCTCCAGAAGGAAAAATAAAGCCATTATTTTTGGTGTTTCTCAAACTATGTTGTGAAAATACTTCTATCATGACTGATTTTCAAACCCATAATTGACACTTCCATAATTGGCTATGGTTAGTTTTGAGAAAGTATTTAAGAATGTAAGAATGTTAGTCGAAGAATATATTTGAATCAGGATTATTACTTCATGAGGAAAAACACATGCAATTCAAAAACCATACATAAAAGGACAATGTAATCTGTGGCAAGTACACATTTGCAGAATTGATTCTGAATTTTAAGAAAGAAATAATGCTGATTTATTAATTGGTAGTTTTAAATCCTCTATTGGATATATACAATGGCATATATATATGTATATATATATATATATATGTGTATATATATGTATATGTGTATATATATATCATACATATATGTATATATATGTATTTATGTATAAACATAACCCGATATGTATATTATGTATGTATAAACATATGTATGTATAAACATAACCTAATAATAAAGGACAAATAATCTAGTAAGAAAAAAAAGGCAAAAGTTTTAGGACATTTCAACGAATAGTGTAACCACATGAGAAATAAGAGCAAAAACAAATGTTTGATAGCATTAATATTCAATATATTCCAATTATAATACCCCTATTCACATACCCAAACTGCTGAAGTTAGGATGAAAAACCCCGGTGTCAGTGACTATAGGGAGCAACTGAACTCTTATATCCTGCTCCTAAAACTGATAAACACTTGGTGAATTGTCAATATGTACTGAAGCAGAACATGAGCATATCCTATGTACACAACAAAATACATACATGTGTTCTCCAAAAACACATGTTCCTGATATCCAAATCAACACTATTGATAAAGCCAAAGTCTGGAAGCTACTTAAGTTACTATCAATATTAGAAAGGGTTAATAATTTGGTCTATTCACAGAGTTGAATACTACACAGCAATGAAAATGAGCAATTTACCACTGCACACAATTTTACAAACATAATGTTGAGCAAAAGAAACAAAGCAATACCTACTGTATGATTTCATTTATAGAATACAGAAAAAGGAGCCTCCTTTTTCTATATTCTAGAAGCAAAGATACTTCTTATGTTCTGTATACTTCTAGAACTGAAGATATTGCTTATGCTCTATAGGTTTAGTGACTAGAAAGAGTATAACAGGACTCAAAGTACTCTAATGTTCTTTTTTTAAAAAAAAAAAACTTATGTCAGTATTGGTTATATGGGTGTAATTCATTTTGTAACAATTCACTAAAACTGCGCACTTAAGATATAAGTAATTTTCTCTATGTATATAAGATAATTAAAACACTGGAGATAATAGTAATTTTTAGAATACTTTTGTTTCTTATTATAAATTGAAATAATTTATTTAAAAAGTTCATTCAGGTATATTTGTGAAATATAATTTAAAACTTAAAAATAAGTACTTGGGGATAAAATTATTACTCAAAGTGTATCTAAATAATTTCTCCAAATTTCTCCCATTATCAGCAAAGTCCTCCTGGTAGAGCAGAGGAATTTCACTTTCCTCCTATATGACACTTGTTTTAAACAATCCTATGTTATGTTGAGTGTTTCTTTAAAAAGTAATGAAAAAGTATACCTTATAGTTCTTAGAGATGGCTGTTATCTACGATCATTTTAAAACATCTTTTTCAAGATACATTGCAATAATGCTATATGCCCAAATAGGAGTTTTAATCAACTGCCTTTGTGCTTCCAAGGATGTCATTTCCCCCAAGTATAGAATGTATGATACAAATGCCCACATTATCTGGATTTTATATATTTATTATAAAGTAAATCTTTATTATGTTTACTAATAAGCAACAGATAAACTCTGAAAGTTGGCTTAGTGAAAATTAATTTCATCAGTTTCAAAACACAAATAAACTCATATTTATGTATATTCTGTAGTCAATTATTAATATAATCCAGATTCACATTTTTGACAAACCTTATTGAATACATATAACCACAGAAGTTAATGAATAATTAAAGCCTTAAAAATTGCCTTAGAAGTCACTTGTTATTTATTACCATCTTATTTCCATAGTTACATACTTTACTCTCAACTTCCTGGAGCTCTAACATCATGCTTCATGGGGAGACCCAATTTTGATACATCTTGACAGGTGATAAAATAAGTTTTACTTTCAATAACTCATTGCCATCAAATAGACTTCATTATGAAAAATTTAATGGATAAAATTGTTATTCATGTTCAAAGAACAGTTTTCAGTGGTATCAATCTTTACCTTTGCGGGACATGCCTTAAAATTTACATAGAAATCTATCAAAGACTATATCAAATAACTGTATTACTATAATCTATCCAAGAACATAAACATTTTGATAGAAAATATCACATAATTTCTTCAACATTTATGGTTAAATATCAAATGACTTATTTGAATTTCCTTTACTTAAAAAAAACTGGACATGATCAAAAAGCGGTAATGAAAATAACTCTAAAATTAGGTAAATTAATTATAATCTTACCGTAAGCTCACAGGTTAGGAATTCGAAGAAAAAGTTCACCACCCTGAGACCTAGAAAAGTATAACACAAAACATTCTTTATTAGTACTAGTGTTCAATTTAAATTAAAGAACCTTAAGAGGTTAGTAATTCAATATGAGAAATGTTATTATATGAGTAATTAGTGTACATATCACTTGACAAACATTTTTGACTACAGTATTTGTCTGAAATAGCATTACCAGTTACTCATCTTACATCAAAGTATTGTGATTTGGGCTCTTTAATGCAGTGATGACAAACAAGCAGGCAATTATTGTCCACTTGCTTCTTGTAAGACTATAGCTGATGGATAACATTTGCAAGCTTAATGTATTTTGCTAGATAACCTTCTCTGTTACATTAATTTAACAATGTCAGATATAACATACATCCCGATATATACATGTGCAAACATGTACACACACAGCTGTGGCTATCATACCATAATCGTACTTTTTATCTTAGCTTTATCCATTTTAATCACTAATAAATAACTATCCGTGATATATTCTATAAAGTATGTAATAATTTTAAAGGCTGTACAGTACTCCATCGTTCACTGTACATCCTAAATTATTTAAGATATTTGATTTAATAATTATGCTAGTTATTATTATTGTCTTTAAATTGTCTTTAAAATACGCCAGTTAGTTACCATTGTGTGTGACTTTATATAATAGTTACTGAGGCCAGGTGCGGTGGCTCATGCCTGTAATCCCAGCACTTTGGGAGGCCGAGGTGGGTAGATCACAAGGTCAGGAGTTCAAGACAAGCCTGGCCAATATGGTGAAACCCTGTCTCTACTAAAAAATAGAAATATTAGCCACCTGTGGTGGTGCATGCCTGTAGTCCCAGCTACTCAGGAGGCTGAGGCAGGAGAATCACTGGAACCCGGGAGGTGGAGGTTGCAGTGAGCCAAGATCATGCCACTGCACTCCAGCCTGGGTGACAGAGCAAGACTGTCTCAAAAAAAAAAAAAAAAAAAAAAAAAAAAAGAAAGAAAGAAAAAGAAAAAAAGAAAAAGAAAGAAAAAGAAAAAAAAAAATAGTTACTGAGCCCTTTGTAAAAGTTTTCTCATTTTGGTGCAGTGGTAACTTTATCAACACACATTACTCGCCATCAAGTTTGTTTAATGCTTGATAGATACTATTTTATATGAACAAGAAAAGAAAACTAAATATTTAACCTCTGCCCTCAAAGAAGAAATTAGTAGTACTTGCAAACTCTTTAGAAAATTCATAAATGACTGGTAGGTCTACAAGTAGGTGCTCTACTGTGTAACCTCTAGCTAATTGCTATATAATTTAAAATAGAAAAGTTATAATAGATTGAGTCTTTTATGTCAATTCTTTAATTGTTGGTACTGTTTTGGGAGACTGTGTTTTTCTCAGTTTATGCATTAAACTGTTTCAACTAGTTTCTACCATAATTGAAGAAAATAGTTTATATAACTTCATTTATTTCATGAAGGAATAATACTTCATTCTTAGGAAGGATGATCATATGTGAAAGTGAATCTGACAGTAAAATGAACCACTTGAGAGGTGATATAAAATGTTTCTCTTTTTGATGAAATGTTAGAGGAAAACAAAATATCACTATCACGGAGGTGTAAAGGAGTACATTACAATTCTTCCAGTAGACCTCCCGGGCTCATTTGTACAGTATCACTTTCTGCTTTCATTAACCCTCCAGGAGCAAGGATAGAGATGATTTCAGGAGATCTATTCCTTATTGACATTTGTGAAAGGAGAATCCTCTCAAAAAAATCTAGTGTGATTTGAGATGCTCGTACTTTAAAAAGTCAATCAATGAATTAGAGTGACCTTCTTTCTTGCCCTCCCTTTTTATCTAGAGGTGCAGCAAATTAAATTTTGGTTAAATGTTAAAAGGTTGAGTATTAGAATTAACATTTGGCTGAAGCTAAATATTACCATTGTAGAATAAACTTCTTGGATACACAAATTAGAAGTTTTAATTGTTATTACTATTTTATTACTAAAAGTTTAAAGTCAAGCTTTAAGGTTTTAACATTATAGCGCAGAAACAATAATTTATTTTAGCACGATCAGATGCTAGATTACTCCTGCAGGCACTGTGTTGCATATTTGCAATATCAAATTGACACTTTTAAAAGAATGATGGAATTTCAACATAAAAATCACATAAAGAGATTTATGTCCTTTTGTTCTATCTAGAATGTTTATCTATATTTGAAACTGAATATTTTGATATTAACAATAAATCCAAAAGACATCCTTGTTTGTATTACTGACGTTGTTACACTGATCAGATATGTTGGGTATGTAGATTGTAAGTCATGGCTCATACTTAAGTTCAGGGATTCCAGAAATGATATTCAAAGTATTTGACTAGTTGGTCTTCCAAGGACAAATCCAAATCAGATAGGTAATTTTAGGCATACAAGAAGGTCAAAGCAGAAATACAGTTTATTCCAACTTTAATTTACCATTTTCAATGATTTGTGGAGCTTGACTCAGGCAAATATACATTTAAAAAGGAAAGCATTGGCTGGGCATGGTGGCTAATGTCTGTAACCTCAGCACTTTGGGAGGCTGAGGCAAGCAGATTGCTTGAGCCTAAGAGTTTGAGACCAGCCTCGGCAACATGGAGAAATCCCATCTCTACAAAAAAATACAAAAATTA
This sequence comes from Homo sapiens, assembly GCF_000001405.40. NCBI lineage: Eukaryota > Metazoa > Chordata > Mammalia > Primates > Hominidae > Homo > Homo sapiens. Next base: position 9,577,419 of record NC_000009.12, read on the forward strand.
GCCAGGGGTGGTGGTGTGTGCTTGTACTCCCAGCCACTTGGGGGCTTAGAAAGAAGGATCGCTTGAACCCTGGAAATTGAGGCTGCAGTGAGCCGAGATTGTGCCACTGCATCCAGCCTGGGGGACAAAGTAAGACCTTGTCTCAAAAAATAAATAAATAAAAATAAATAAAAAGGAGTTTATTTTAACACGATGTGCATAAATAACTATTTTCAGAGGAGAGATTTATGATGAATGACCAGTTATTAAACTGTCAGAGACTTTGACACTAGGTTAGAGTTTTATCCTTGATAAATTTTAAGAAATTTTATTTCACATAAAATTCTAGCCAAATAAATTGGATCAGTCCGGGCACGGTGGCTCACGCCTGTAATCCCAGCACTTTGGAAGGCTGAGGCGGGTGGATCACCTGAGGTTGGGAGTTCAAGACCAGCCTGTCCAACATGGTGAAACCCCTTCTCTTCTAAACATACAAAAATTAGCTGGGTATGGTAGTGCACACCTGTAGTCCCAGGTACTTGGGAGACTGAGGCCAGAGAATAGCTTGAACCCAGGAGGCAGAGGTTGCAGTGAGCCGAGATTGTACTACTGCACTCCAGCCTTGGTGACAGAGTAAGACTCTGTCTCAAAAAAAAAAAAAAAAAAAAAAAAAAGAGGATCAGATATACTTCTCTCATTTGTACTACTTATTTGAGGAACAACCATTCAGAAAGCACTGATGTTAAGCCAAGCAGGCAAACCACAAAAGAAATTATTGATAATTTTATAATTCTGGTATCCTAAACTTACCATGCTGAATAAGACATTCTTCAGAGTTGTGTTTGAATGATTTTCAAATTACTACAGAAATCTTGAAAAGTTATACATTCAAGTTTAATTTTTTAGTATTATTTTAGTATTTCTGTAGATAAATGCCTTTAATGAATGGATTTATTGGATCTATGATGTAGTGTTTGGAGAAATTCATGAAATTGGCATCTTAGATGGTGATTTCTTCCTCATTAAAAAGAATTAGAGTGCATTACTTCCTCTTGACTTAATTTTGCAAGGAGTCCAAAAATTTGGGGGAGGGAGAGGAAATTGAATAAAAATTATTTGGAAACCTAAAAATTGGAAAATCATTTTCAATAATAATTTTAAATAATTATAAATACTTCAAAATGATTGGGAATAATTTTAAAGACAGTTTGTTGGGTTTAGGAAAATAATATTTAATCAGCAATAAATAGTACTGTAATAGGATTTCTACATTGTATCTCATGTATCCTCAGTTGATGCTCAGAAAAGTTTCATATATTAGAGATTATTTTCCACATTTTCACAGAAGAGACTGAAAGCCAACAATTGCCTGAATAAACTACAAAAAAATCTTACTATCAATATGTTGTAAAGTTAAAATTGAACCTGAAGTTAACTAAATTCAGAATCCCAGTTAAGTCACATACCAGGATAGGATAATATTAGTAGACACCATTTACCAAACATATAATGTATGTAAGATCCTGGTCTCAGTATTTTTATGTATTAATTCATTTAATTCTGATAATTATATTTTTACTTTATAGATAAAACTGAGCTATAAGTATATTGTTCTTTATCATACACATTTTTAATCCAAGGAGTCTTGCTTCAGAGCCTATGCTCTTAGTCATTACATCTCTATATGATAGTTAATCATTGTACGGCATTCTTACAAGTGCTATTTCAATGCACATATATTCATTTATTCTTTTCAGTTTTAGGAGTCAAGTAATTATATATTTATTATGAGTCTAATATCATCTTAGTGGGCTGGTCCTCATTAATAACTACAGTTAACATTTACTGAACACATACTAAGTGCCAAGAAGTGTGTCAAAGTCTTTAAGTTCATCTCATTTAATCTCCATAGCAATCCTATCAGGTATTATGAGCATCTATGTTGTATAAGTAAGAACACTGACTAGAGAGGTAAACAAATATATCCAAGGACAGAGAGCTAGTAAGTAATATAGTTGAGTTTTTAAAATAATTATTTTAATTTTTAAGATCTGGGGTACACATACAGGATGTGTAGGCTTGTTACATAGGTAAACGTGTGCCATGGTGGTTTACTGCACCTATCAAATCATCACCTAGGTATTAAGCCCAGCATGCATGATCTTTTTTCCCTAATCCTCCCCTGCCACCTCCACACCTCCTCTAACAGGCCCTAGTAAGTGTTGTTCCCCTCCCTGTATGTTCAGCTACAGTTGAGTTTTAAGCACAAACTCTCCTACCCTTCAGTTAGATGTAGCTTAGAGATACAGATTGTTTGTGTAAATTTGAGGGGTATAAGTATAATTTGGTTATATGCATATATCACATAGTGGTGAAGTCAGGGCTTTTAGTATGTCCTTTACCAGAATAATATCCATTGTACCCATTAAGTAATTTGTCATCATTCATCTCCCTCCCACTCCCTTACCCTCTGAGTTTCCATTGTCAATCAACCCAAGCTCTAAGTCCATATGAACATATTATTTAGCTCCCACTTATAAGAGAGAATATGCAGTATTTTTCCTTCTGTGTCTGGGTTGTTTCACTTAAGATGATGACCTCCAGTTCCATCCATATTGCTGCAAAGACATGTTTCATCTTTTTTATGGCCGAATAGTGTTCCATACTATTGTGTGTGTATGTCTGCGTGTATTACATTTTCTTTATTCAATCATTTGTTGATAGACAGGTTATTTCATAACTTTGCTATTGTGAATAGAACTGCAATAAACATATGAGTACAGGTATCTTTTTGGTACAATGATTTCTTTTCCTTCGGGTATATATCAAGTAGTGGGATTGCTGGATCAAAGGGTGGTTCTATTCTTAGTTCTTTGAGAAATCTCCATACTGTTTTCCATAGAGGTTGTACTAATTTACATTCCCACCAACAGTGTATAAGTCTTCCCTTTTCTTTGTGTTCTTGCCAACACTTTTTTGTCTTTTTGTTAATAGCCATTCTGATTGATGTAAGATGATATGACATTGTAATTTTAACTTTAATCATTTTCTGATGATTAGTAATGATGAGCATTTTTGATGCGCTTGTTGGCCATTTGTATGTTTTCTTTTGAATGGTGTCTATTCATGTCCTTAGCTTACTTTATTTTCTTTTTTTTTTTTTTTTTTTGAGACAGAGTCTTGCTCTGTCACCCAGACAGAAGTGCAGTGGTGTGATCTCTGCTCACTGCAACCTCTGCCTCCATGATTCAAGCAATTCTCCTGCCTCAGCCTCCTGAATAGCTGGGATTACAGGAGCCTACCACCATGCCTGCCTAATTTTTGTATTTTTAGTAGAGATGGGCTTTCAGCACGTTGGCCAGGGTGGTCTCAAACTCCTGACCTCTTGTGATCCACCCACCTCAGCCTCCCAAAGTGCTGGGATTACAGGCATGAGCCACCGTGCCCAGCCCTTAGCCTACTTTTTAATGGGATTTGTTTTGTTGTTGTTGTTAAGTTGTTTGAGTTCATTGTAAATTCTGGATAAACAGTCCCTGTCAGTTGTGTTGTTGTCAAATATTATCTTCCATTCTGTGGGTTGTGTGTTCCCTGTGTTGATCAGATTCTTTTAAAGGGGAGGACATGTGAAAGAAATAGGGGGCTTGCATTTTAGTCAATTTAGAAAGAAACCCAAAATTGTATCTTCATAAAGCAGATACATAACTATATTCTCAGTTTTTTATAGATCTGTAAGAATAGTAAATAGATTAGAAAGCTTCTAGTCTTACAACTCTAATAAATTATAATTAATTTTAGATAGTGACAGCCCCACAGTACCTAGCTCATTAAATGCTAAATTGAACTTATGCATTATTTATCAGACATGTCAAATTCTAGAGTTTTCTGCCAATAAATTTTAGAATACATAATATTGTTACAAAATATGTAAATTGTAGGTAATATAAGAATGATTTTGGCATAGGTTATCAGAAACACTTTCTTGCAAAACCAGATAACCTTCTATCCATTTAGAAAAATGCAAATAAATGCTTTAAAAAATAACAACTTTGAACTCTTATCTTTCAAGACTGTGAAGCTTATCATCTCAGAAACACAATTCCTATTATAATTGTAGGCAACATATTTGGGAAAAAATGTAGACTGTTTCAGTAAAACCTTGCACATTATAAACTCTCGATAAATAATCAATGACCATCTAAGTGATGCAATAAAGAAATAATAACTGGATAGACCCTTGGGAAAAAAAATACCCCGTGTTTAGGTGTTAGAGTTTACCTTATCAAAATCTTCTCAACGTCTTAATCAATGCCTAACTTATTTCTTACAAAAAAGATCTTAAATCTTGGGAAAGTTGGAATGACTGGCAAGTGGTGAGACTAGCAAACTATCCTATGAATAATGTATGTAAATCTATTGAATACAATGGTATATAATGCTTGTTAAGTAATTTATACATTTATTCCACAAATATTTACTAAACAATTATTTACCAGCCACTACTATACTATAATGTGAGGTTAAAGTCACAAATAAGACAAAAACCATAATAGATTTGATATTCTGGTTACTAATGTTTAATAACTGTATATTTTATTGCCACTTCAAAAGCTACTAGACATTGTACAATTGCATTCTATAATCTCTTCCGGGATTTTTCTTTTGGTATTCCAAAATCTAGCTTGAGAAGTTTTATATAAGTTTGAGTGGGTTTAACACTATGGCAGAAACTTCTAGTTATCCCTCAACATCCATCTTACTTTACTTATTTTTTGCTAGGTTCATGACCACTTGGAATAAGACAACCATCCTTAGTCTCAATGCCATAAGATTAAGTTCTGGCAAAAGGACACATGTAGACGTTGGGTAAGCAAAGTCTAAACAGTGTCAGTGAATGTTAAGAGGCATGTTCCTCTTTGTCCCTCCGTCCCTAAGTAAAATTTCTGGTTAGAATGCAGAATTAATGCCTGGAGCTCCAGCAGTCATATATCATAAGAGGCCACCCCAACCTCTTTGTTTATCAGACTCCCAAGTAGAGCAATTAAAATAGGAGGAATCCAGATCAAATGACAGTGTGGCATGTTATCTCAGACTTGGATGAATTATTTCTTGAATCTGAGAGATAAATAAATTATATGGAAAAAGAAAGCAGATTAAAGTTTATCAGAGAATAAAACGTGGGAGGAATGGGGAATAACTGCTAATGGGTAAAGAATTACTTTTGCGATGATGAAATTATATCTCAATAAAGCTGTTATTTTTAAAAGTTCCTTACATTACTCTATTAGTTTATCTCTTAAATAATTTAAATGCATTTTATATTTTACAAAGATATTTGTGTGGTATATTCTTCTGGAGGCTCAAATTTGTCTGAATTTCTGAACCTGCTATAATGTATTAACGTGTTAGTATATATTAGGATGAATAAAATAAGAAAAAACTATAATCTTTGTCTTCCATTGTCTAAAACCTACTGGAAAGAAGATAAAGTCTATTCATGAATTAACACCAAGAAAAACCATTAACCTCCCAGAGCATTTGTTGGAATTTCATTATACAATTGAAAGTCATTTGAAAGTTTACTTGTTACCACATAACAAAATATGTGATTAAAAATATCTACAGAAAATGTTGCCAATAAATAGTATAGGCTGGAATTTGTATTTTAGCCTGTTGGTTGTAGTGCCTTTGATATCTTCCTCACTGAATGAATATCTGTTCCTAAATTATTCTCACAAAATCCAAAATGTCAAAATCTCTAAATAAACTTTCATACTCCTTCAAAAAGTATACAATGAAAGTGATTACAAATATTTTGGGTATCAATGATATATAAAATAACATCAAACAACTCATTTAGCAAGTGGGAATTTATGTCTCTTAACTGAAAATTTATACATCCTTATGTTTAATATTTTGACTCTTAGGCATTACTACTCAGAAAAATGCCGCTCTAAATTATTCAAAACACTAAAATCTTATTAAAATGTTTGATGCTGTATTGAAAAGATTGACAACAATAACCTCAATCTATAAATGGGTGCATTCCAAAAACGTCCTCTGAACCCTTTTTCATGAATGACATTGTCATAATTTTCCTTAGTTGACAATGAGCCAAACTAATTGGTAAAACCTAAAGAAATAATAATGCTCATCATAAAGTTGCCTTGTTATAGATAACTACGCATTTAAGAAGAAATTAAAATTATAAATTGTAACTCCCAGCATAATATACTGATCCTTTCATTTCTGGAGATAGTAATATTGAAAAATCTGTAAGTCCATGTGAAAGTTCACAAGATTGGTATAGCCTTTATGTAAATTCATGGTAACTATGGCAACATTCATTTTCATTTTACTTCAGCTGCTGCACTAAAGCTCAGATAAGCTTGGAGACTCAGTCTTATAGTTGCCATTATGACTAGCGGGTCCTTATCACTCCCTATTCTGAAAATATACAGCAGCATTTGGGTGCCACTTGTCCCTTTCTATCTTACTCGCCATGGTTGGCTACTTTAATCAAGCCGTGAAACTATCCTGTATTCTCTTCTTCCTTCATCCTTACCATACTTTTTTGCCAATTGGCAATTCAGAGGCAGAAGCTAAGTATACAGTGGTAACTCTCAAACTCAAATGCACATAAAAATCACCTGGATTTTTGTTGAAATACAGATTCTGATAGTTCTGCCTTGTTAGAAATACAGAATCTCAGACCCCATCCCAAAAACATGCATCAGAAGCTTCATTTTAGTAATACTAGCAAGCTATGTAAAGCTTCCTAAGCCACGGTTTGTTTATCTCAGAAATAGTTTATATATATGAAGTGCCCTGCAACCTCTGTCTCCCCTTAATCTCCCCTCACTCAAATCTACCCAATCTCATTTAGATGATGCTTCATAAACCCTACCAACCTTTTAATTTTTGGAAAAGAAAGCTACTACATTAAAACATTTTATTTCATCACCATTATTATTATTATTATTATTTGCTATGCTACCACAAAAGACCTCTATGTTGCTCATGTTTCACCATCACTATTCTTTCTCTACAGTTACCTAACCATTATATTCCTAATGCTGTAGCCACTAAAGTAAAATATCTCCAACTCCCTCCCATTTTGTACCTGCTTCTCTCTCCTGCTATGACATGACTTGTTCACATATTAAGTGTATGAACGTTATCCATGAGAACAACTTCAACTTCGTTATTCTACACTTTAAAAATCCATGTGCATCTTCATCCATTCCTCTTCTATTACTTTATTTCCAAGAAAGGATCTCTCTCCTCCTCGCAGTTTTGCTTTCATCCCCCCTTTTCAGTCCTGAATTACCATGCACCCTTTATGCTTTTTCTAATGACAACAAATTTCTCATTCTCCCCTTTATCTTTATTTTCAACCTGTAATGTCAAGGCTTATCTCTCTGGAGAACTTTGCCCTTGACCATCCTGAGTCTTCAAGCTTTATTTTCTTCTTGTGTGGATGCTTTACACGTCTTATGATTTGCAACATTTTTTTTCACCCAAAAAATTCTAATGATGCCCTTTATTGCACAACCACAAGGATGCCAAGACATCAAATACCATGTTCCTTTTAAAGTCATCATCACCCTGGAAAATTTACAGCACACAGAAGTTAACCACTTCTTCTTTCATAAAATTCTCTTTTTCCAGGAATTACAAGCTGCCTTCTAGTTTTGGATTATTATCATTTTTGTTTCATTATGTTTTTATGTTCTCATGATTACATCTTATTGTTTTTGCCTTTATTTTCTCTTCTTCCCAGTACTTTGAATGTAAAACTTCCCAGTTTTACAGCATGTTTATCTCAGTAGCAGACATAATGCCTAGGGGCAAAGCTGTGCTCAGGGATGTTTGAGTGAATGCAACAATCAAGGTATGAATATATTTTCGGATCCTGTCCTTTTTCTACTTATTCCTATGTGAACTTGTACTTAGACACTTGGTTGAAATCTTCATCTTTACAAGTTTCATCTTCAATTCACATCTTAACTTTCCAAATTAGTATTTCTAGACCTGAATGTATTTCTGGCCTAGGTGCTACTTTCCAAACTTCTTGGTAGATATTTCTAACTATATATTGCACAATTACTTTGAATTGAAAATGTCCAAACAAAATTTATCCTCTTCCTGCTAAAACCCACTTTGCTCCTTGGATTTTTCTTTCTATTAGTGACACTTCTAACTTGTCATTCACACAAACCTAAAAGGCTAGTCATTACTGATTCTTCCCTTTCTTTTCAGCCCTTCATCCAATCATTTTTCAAGCCCAACAATTCTACCTCTGTTGTCTTCATGAAAATGAAGAAAGACCATCCAGATGTGAATACGTAGGTACTATTTATTTGCAGTTGGCTATAGCAAGGGATTCAGCCATGCATCATTTGCATTTGCCAGAGACTCAAAGGTAGGTAGGGGAGCAGGAAAATCTAACAATGAATAAAAAGGGAAGGCTTGAGGTGTGTTCTGATTGGAGATAAATTAACATGGAGAAACTGGAAGCAGGCTAACCAGAAGTAGAGCAACCTATGTGTTTGCTTTGGGAGATATATTTGGCTTCCTCTGGTTAGTTCCGAGTTGGAAGCAGTGGATAAAAATTAAGGAAGTTGGTAGTCAGTGACCTGAAAATGTCCCCAACATCCTGGCCATTCTGAACCAATTGCAGAGGTTGTGGTTTGGTTTCCTGGGCTAGTTGCGGTGGAGGTGGTAGGTCAGAGTTTTGTCACATATGTTCTGGCTGTTAACCATTTGTATATTCAGTCTCTCATCTCTCATATTTCTTTTTCCCCTTCCAATTACAGGGCCATCCCTCAACACAGCCAGTAGTTTTGCTGTAGACCTCATTATTTGGTTCTTGAGATCAGATTGTCTCATCCTTCTACAACCAAAGAAGAGTATAATGTTTGACAGTATATTGGTTTAATGAATACTTACTAATACAAACAAATCTAGTATAATTGGCATAATGGAAATGATTATGTAGTCATAAGTACGCAGTAAGATTATAATTCTTGAGTTGAGTTTTATGTACCAGGCATTTTTTAGTAATAAAAATATTCTCATTGAACATTATTGCTTCTTCTGTCAGTTGTTCAATATGAAACCTATACAAACTATATTCAGGTTAATTTAGTTAATCTCAAGGCACAACATTATTTCCTACAATTCTATGAGGTGAAACATCTTTAGTTGAATAAATTAAATACCATTTTTAAAATAGAAAAACCCATAAATACTCACTTTTCGCTACCATTTATGCTAAATAGGTTGGACATTGATAAATGGAAAGAGATATAGTCAGAGAACATCTAAATTTTTAGTCCTGTGTACAGACCTAGGCCACTCTGAGGTATGACTGTTAAAAACAGAGGGGAAAAAAGAGATATATCACTTTGACATGATTTCTACAATCTCTGATTTTATTAGTATATCACATTTATTCCATTTTATCAGTGTTTGAAGAAGTAATTGGTAATGATCTTATTCTTCTTCATCAATTAGCAAGCATTTATTGAACATCTATGTTCCTAAGTGTCATTTCAGATACTGGAGAGCATAAGTCATCACTCTCTCCTGTGATGTTGAATTAAGGAAGCCAGTCTATCATAGCAATGTTGAAAAATATGAGAGGAGGAAATGTATGTGTATATAGGTAACAAAATGTGTTATGTGAATATAATTGTTGTAAAGAGGGGAGACAAAAAAATTATTTTAGAGGAAAATAAAGCTGGAATCAACTTCAGGCTTCTACTATTTTAGTTGTATTACATCCAGCAAGTTACTTAACTTAAGGAGGCCTAAATAATAATTATAATTGTTAATACTAATATATAAGAGATAATAGTAATGATATAAGCAAACACATGTGCACATTACATGTGTTTTAGGGTTTTTAATACACTAATCTATGAAATCCTCCTAACAACTCTAAGTGGTAGGCGCTTCTATTATATTTATTTTATAGACAAATTAACTTAGGCACAGAACAATGAAACTACTTGCCCATGGGCATAGATCTAGATAGGAGAGGGGCTTGCTAATGACACAGATTTATATGCTGTTAGAACTATTAATAGGTAATTTAATTGAAGTGCCCACTATGGTAACTGATTCCCAATGGCAGCCCAAAAAAGACCAGTTTGCTTCCTTCTAAGTATGAGATACTACAGTGCTTCTCAAACTTCAGAGTACATCATAAAGGCTGGGGGTCTCACTAATTCCCTCACTGGGGAATGGGATCCAAAATTAGCATTTCTAAACCAAGTTCCCAGGTGATGTTGATGCTGCTGTTCTGGGGATCTGGATGGAGCTGGAGGTCATTAAGTTGAAATAATCTAGTCACAGAAAGACAAATACTGCATGTTCTTACTCATATGTGGGAGCTAAACAAATTGATCTCATAGAGAATAGAATGGTAAATAGTAGGGACTGGGATGGGTTGGTGGTTGGAATTGGAGGATAAAGAGAGGTTGATTAATAGGTATAAACACATAGTTAGAAGAAATAAGTTTTAATGTTGGTTAGCCGACTAAAGTGACTATATCTAGCAACAGTATTTTGTATACTTCAAAGTAATAGAAAAGAGGACTTGAAATTATACCAACACATAGAAATAATACACAAGATCATGGATATCTCAAATATCCTGACTTGATCATAACACATTCCAAACATGTAACAAACATTCATCTGTACCCCTAAATATATAAACTATCATGTATTAATAACAGAAAAAAATAGACCCAGTGAAGCTATGGGACCTGCAAGGATTTTAACCATAGGCAGCGATAAGGACTAACCTTAGTCCTTATCGCTCAGCAGAATTGGAAGACAGAAGGGAGAAAAAATAAAGCGTCTTCATAAATGACCTGCTGATTTCAGTTCATTCAGTTCCTTTATTCATGGCAATGTTTGCTTCTACTGAGTTACATTTTCTATTTTGACAGTATGCACATTTAGATTGGTCATTCAAACTGCTCAGAGGAAAAATTGAAGACATGTCTCTGGGAGAACAGCCAATCAACTTAGGCAAGGGGGTAATGAAAGTCATAGCCACTTCATGTGCCAATCCAAATTTTATACTTTGGGAGGGGATTTTCTATAATATGGTAGTTTTTGATTACTCAGACTTTGATGATCAAGTTTATCTTATTAGTGAAAGATAGAAAACCCAGGAATATATTTCTTAAAGTTGCACAGAAATAATTAGGAATAACTCTGAAACTAATATTTTTTAATATCCATGTTTATGAAGGTTGGCAATTATATTACTTCCACTACCAGTCCTTGAATTGTTAATTAGAGAAAAAAGTGAAAAGACAAATGAAATGTTACGGGAACTGCATCAATATGTTTTCTAAATATTTTACTCATCAATGTCATCATTTTAGCTGAGTATAATGAGGAATTATTAAGAGCCAGAGCTTTTCTATGCATTTTGAAAGCATTTTATGAGTTATTCTTATAGTTGGGTTCAAACTCTTTGTATCTCCATTTGGAGAAACTGTGACTTAGAACATTTTAATATTAGAACTTGTAATATTATATTCAAATACAGCATTTTTAGTTTTGTGGCAAAATTTTTGTTCAATTTTAATTTTTATGTATTTATTTACAAGCAAGTTGACCACTTCCGTATGCTTATTAATAATTTGAAGCAATTCATGCCATTTCAACTTTCTTAGTTCTAGGCAACTAACTGGAGAAATATTTGTTTCTAAATGTATGAAATTGTGAAAACTGTGTATTAGTGAAAACCAATACAACAGTAGTTTATTTGGTGTGTATTTTTAAATATTTGATAGTAAAACATAGCACATAGTAGCATACAGCAGACAAAATCAGTAAAATCCTCTTAAGGATTTTATACATTTCCTACATAGAAAATTTAGATGTTCTTGGTTGCAGCTATTTTTTTTTTCATTTATTTAATAAAATGTCTTTCCCTTTTAAAAGGTTCTTGTTAACTCTTGTGGCATGTTCTCTCTTTCTCTTACATATTTCTTTAAAATATAGAACAAGTAATACTGATTTGTAGCAATTAAGACAGGTTGCTGGTGTTTCTGATTCCTCAGTAAGACCATGGAAAATAGGATTTTTCTTAGGAAGTTAATCAGCAATCTATGGCAACAATCAGTACACTGTGTTCCAGTGATATTTCAAAATGTTTAACAGCATTAGATAACTTTTGCAGTAATTACAATTAATATTCACAAATATAGCAATAGGATTTATGTGTTACTGGATTTTTAAAAATCTAAAATGCCATGGATTATAAGACAACCCATTATTTCATAGAGCTTTACAAAAGAAAAAAAAGTTAAATTATTCCATTGGGTATGCATCCTAATTTCAGAGATGTTGAAATTTGAACAACAACATGTGGTAAACACACATAGTAGTGATTGTTGTCATTAGTAGATGTTTGGAGTAGTGTTTATGAGCAAGGGAAATAAGCACACGTACACGGGGCTTGTGGGAGAAGATGCTGGGTCATTATTTCTACAGGTCATCTCGGCAATATCTATCCAAAGCGCTCAAACTATTCATACATTGTGATTCTCATTATGATTCCTCTTATTCAAAAGAGTAAGCAACTCTTACTCTTTTGTATAAGAATGTAACTTCTTTTACTTAAAAGAAAGAGTACAAACATTTATAATAAAACATATAATGTCAATAAAAATACAAGCCAGTTGGCTAAACACATTATGCCCATCACTTACTGTATGGTGACTGTTTCTATTTTTTAAACACATTTACATATTAGGATCATACAGCAAATACTGTTCTATGATCTATTTTTTTTTCCACAGGGCAATATATCACAAGAATTTTTTTCTGTATTATGACAGAATGTGAGCTCCTCACAGGCAGCAATCTTTGCTCCCTTTACTAATATATCCAAAGTGCTTAAAAGAGAGCTTAACACATAGTGGGTACTTAATAAATGTTTATAAAACTCTGTACCTATGACAGTGTTCAACCTTGAAAATGAAGGTTAGAAACACTGCTTACACTATGATCCCCAATTTTAAGTGTTTTTGTATGAACATTATAAAAAGACTACTTCTTCTTATTATCTGTATTCTTATTTCTAATGTATTTTATGTCTTATTTTCTATAATGAACATCAATTCCTTAACAATTCAGAAATATTAAACATGTAATTTTTAAAATAGAAATGGCTTCATATATTTATTTTTTATTTTATAAGACATTCAAGATAACACTTGTCTTTTTCATAATAAAATGATAATCATTTACATAAAAAGAGCATGAGCTTGAACCATTCTTACCCAAAATCTGAATCTTAGGCATATTACATTCTCAAATAAATCTAGAAATGAAAAGTTTCTCCCTTGCCTCCATTTGAAATACTGTTTATCTTTGTTTGCTTAATGAAAGTCCCTTAGAGGTTAATGATATTAACTCTTTCTCACGTATGTGGCACATGGATTTTCACAGAAAGTCATTTGCTTTGGGTATTATCGTGTTTTGGAGGAACAGAAGATGCAAAGCTTTATGTAATGAAACACAAAATGGGCTCCATTTTGGTATCTTAATTAGAATGCCTTCTGTGGTAAGCAGCACGACCCCCTAAAGGTGTCCGTGCCTTAATCCCTGGAACCTGTGTTACCTTCCATTGCAAAAGGGACTTTGCAGAAGCAATGAAGACTATGGACCTTAAAATAGGAGGATTGTCTGGGTAGGCCCATTCTAATCACACGAATCCTTAAAACGAAGAGAATTCTCTGGCTGTGGTTAGATGGATGTGGCGGAAGTCAGAGAGATTGAAAGCGTGAGAGGGAGGAACCTGCCATTCCTGCGGTGGGAGGACATATGGAAGGCATGAAAGGGAATGCAGGCAGCCTCGGGGACCAAAGACCATACCAGATGACAGCCAGCAAGGAAATGAAGAAAATGGATCTGTGTCCTACCTCCAAAAGGAAGTGATTAAGGCCAGCAAACTGTGTGAGCTTAGAAGCGGATTCATTCTTACAGCCTCCAGGGAGGAACACAACACTGCCAACATCTTGATGTTGGCCTTGTGAGAATTTAAGCAGAGGACCCAGTTGAGCTGCACTGCATCTGGAATCCTAACCTACAGAACTATGACATAGTAAACGAGTGTTGTTTCAAAGCACTAGGTCTGTCACAAAGTATAATGGCGGCAACTTAAGAAAACACAAATAAGCCTTCAATAAATTCAGTGAATACATATTTAGCTATGTATTTTTCTGGCACTTCTTAATATGTGTTCTTTCAGTTTTAATTGACACATAAGTGTGTATATTTGTGTGGTACAGTGGGATGTTTCCATATGAGTTACATTATGTAATGATCAAATCAGGGTCATTAGCATATTCATCACCTCAAATACTTATCATTTCTTTGTGGTGAGGGCATTCCAAATTTTATTTTATAGCCATTTTGAAATATACAATACATTGTCAACTATAGGCACTCTACTGTGTAGTGGAACACCAGAACTTATTCCTGCTATCTAATTGTAATTTTGTACCCAATCACCGGTCTCTCTCCATTCTCCCCACACAGCCTCTGGCAACCTCCATTCTACTCTCTACTTCTAGGAGATCAACTTGTTTTGATTTTTTATGTCTGATAACTTTAAATATTTGAAGTTTAGTTTTTTTCTTAAGGCTTTTTTCAATATGGACTTAAAAATATTTGTTCTCAAAATTATTTAGCCATTGTCATAACACTTGCTATGAAATAACTGGAGAATCATTTTCTTCACTAATTTAAAATACACCAATAAAGCATATAAAATCTTAGGTAAATTTATGGCCTTTTGCCTAAATTATATCTTGTTCCATTTCCATGCTGTAGATGAGTTTGTGTGAATGAGGCCTAGATAAAATCTATTGCGAAACAAATTCAAACAAAACAAAAATAATGCAAAACAAAATCAAACAAAACAAAATATAGAACACACTGTCGTTGTGTTTCTTCCTCCATGTATGCTTATATGTTCATATACAATATGAAAAATAATTGAAGAGCAAACTCCCAGTCTGTCCAGTGTGGGTGGAGGTTGACATTGAGGAAAACATTATTTAACAGTAGGAGAAGGTAATAAAAACAGGAAATTATTTAATTTGGGAGAGGATTTGAGCATCGAGCAAATCAATCTGAAATTTCTCCTCTAGCCAACTCTGTTAAGTTGATACTCCTTTCGTCATTCCCTACTCCTACAAGGAAGTGCCAATTTCCTGGTATCTACAGTGGATTTTTTCCCCATAGCCTACAAGCAAACAGATGAACAATTCATGTAGGTGAAGATTGCTAAAACCAATGTAATATCAATAGCAACAGGATTATATGGCTGTAGGGCATGGTGGCTCACACCTGTAATCCCAGCACTTTGGGAGGTTGAGGTGGGTGGATAACCTGAGGTCAGGAGTTCGAGATCAGTCTGGCCGACATGGTGAAACCTTGTCTCTACTAAAAATACAAAAATTAGCCAGATGTGGTGGTACACACCTGTAGTCCCAGCTACCTGGGAGGCTGAGACATGAGAATCACTTGAACCTGGGAGGTGGAGGCTGCAGTGAGCCAAGATTGTGCCACTGCATTCCAGCCTGGGTGAGAGAGCAAGACTCTGTCAAAAAGAGAAAGAGAAAGAGAGAAAGAAAAAAAGAAAGAGAGAGAGGAAGAAAGACAGAGAGAGAGAAAGGAAGGAAGGAAAGGAAAGGAAAGGAAAGGGAAAGAAAAGAAAAGAAAAAAGAAAAATGAATTTATTGAGTTTTTACCAGTTTTGTTTTTTTTTTGTTTTTGTTTTTCCCCCCCCTCAAAGAAAAGGGGGATTTCTTGTACTGTGGATAGGTAGGATTGTCCACACTATTTTTTATGGAAACTTAACTTTTTTTTTTTTTGCTTGCTTTTCTTTATTGCAGAAGGAGTAAGAAATACAAATATTTGTATGTACATGTGTATGTATATGCTATATTTATATCTCCAAGGCTTGAGTATTGAGCAATTTAAATGTTTTAAAGAAAAGTAAACATGGTTTTGTTGTTGTTGCTCGGATTTTATAGCCTATAGAAGACATATTTGAGAGAATATGGATTTTGAGGCATGAGAAAACTCCTGATAAAAAATGTTAATATGGAGGGAGTCACCCCAGATTACTAAAAAGTTGGAGAACAAATGTCAAGTGAAGGAATGTGGAGGCAGCCCCACAGAGCACCATGAGAGCTTAGTGAATTTGCCCAAGAAAAAAGAGAACCCTCTGTCCTAAAAGTTAGAACTAGGGGAGAACCAAAGTAAAGGTCACTGAGGAACACAATGAAGGTCACTGAGGAAATGCAGTCATTTTTCACCTGATTATTAGCCACAATTGGAGTAAGAATTTCCATTCACTTGTAATCTGAAGAAATCATCCCTTCTTCAACACAGCACCCCACCAACTAATTGTGCAGAAGGAGTGACACCCCTCATGACTTACTTCAGTAACTTTTGTTAGCCAAAGAAGATACTCTAATTTCAGAAGATCTCAGATATCTGTAACCTGAGAAAAGGGGATTGGAGCCCTGGCTATCTATTGGTATGACAATATAGGATAGTACAGTGGTACTTGTATGTGGACAATGGACGATAGTTAATGAGGCAGTGATTAAAATTCTATAGTATTCCTGTTGCATTGAAAATATCAGTTCAGTATGAATCATTTTAGAATATGAAAGAAGATCACTTACTAATCTAGAAGTTATTTAAAAAATAAGCATTATAAGATAACTGAGCTACACATTTCCCAGGACACACATGTGAGAGAGTATATCTTTCCTAAGATACACATGCCAATTCTATAGATGGGCTATATAATGGAGTTAATTTAAAATATTCCTATTACTATTTATCTTTGTTCTTATGGCATTTGCTTTTGGGTTCTTGGTCATGAAATCCTTGCCTAAGCCAACGCTTAGAAGGGTTTTTCCAATGTTAGCTTGTAGAATTTTTATAGTTTTAGGTCTTAGATTTAAGTCCTTGATGAATCTTGAGTTGATTTTTGCATAAGGTGAGAGATGAGGATCCAGTTTCATTCTCCTACATGTGGCTTGCCAATTATCCCAGCACCATTTGTTGAATAGGGTGTCCTTTCCCAATTTATGTTTTTGTTTGCTTTGTCAAAGATCAGTTGGCTGTAAGTATTTGGGTTTATTTCTGGGTTCTGTATTCTGTCCCATTGGTCTGTGTGCCTATTTTAACAGTACCATGCTGTTTTGGTGACTATGGCCTTATAGTATAGTTTGAAATCAGGTAATGTGATGCCTCTAGATTTATTCTTTTTGCTTAGTCTAGCTTTGGCTATGTCGGCTTTTTGCACAGCAAAAGGAATAGTCAGCAGAGTAAACAGACAACCCACAGAGTGGGAGAAAATCTTCACAATCTGTACATCTGACAAAGGACTAAAATACAGAATCTACAAAGAACTCAAACAAATCAGCAAGAAAAAACAAACAAACAATCCCTTCAAAAAGTGGGCTAAGGACATGAATAGACAATTCTCAAAAGAAGATCTACAAATGGTCAACAAACATATGGAAAAATGCTCAACATCACTAATGATTAGGGGAATGCAAATCAAAACCACAATGCAATACTACCTTACTCCAGCAAGAATGGTCATCATTAACAATTCAAAAAATAATAGATGTTGGCGTAGATGCGGTGAACAGGGAACGCTTCTACGCTGCTGATGGGAATGTAAACCAGTGCAACCGCTATGGAAAACAGTGTGGAGATTCCTTAAATAACTAAAAGTAGAACTACCATTTGATCCAGCAATCCCACTACTGGGGTATCTACCCAGAGGGAAATAAGTCTTTATATGAAAAGGATTATATATATATTATATATATATATATATATATATTATATATATTTTATATATATAATATATATTGTATATTCATCATATATATGATGGATAAACTGTGATATATATATTCCACCATATACATATATACATATATATACAAATGTACACATATACACACGTGTACACATGCATACACATGTACGCATATGTACACATGCATACACATGTATGCATATGTACACATGTACACATATGCATACATATATACACACGTATGCATATGTATGTGTGTTTGTGTGTGTGTGTGTGTGTGTGTGTGTATATACATATATATATGATGGAATACAATTCAGCCATTAAAAGGAATGAATTAATGGCCTTTGCCGCAACCTCAATGAGATTGCAGGCTACTATTCTAAGTGAAGTAACACAGGAATGGAAAACCAAACATCGCATGTTCTCACTCATAAGTGGAAGCTAAGCTATGATGATGCAAAGACATAAGAATGATACAATGGACTTTGAGGACTCAGGGGGAAAGGGTGGGAAGGGGGAGAAGGATAAAAGACTACAAGCTGGGTGTAGTGTATACTGCTCAATGATAGGTACACCAAAATTTCACAAATCAACTGCTAAAGAACTTGCTCATGTAATCAAACACCACTTCTTCCCGAATAACCTATGGAAATAAAAAAAAAATAAAAAATAAATTAAATATTCCTATTAGTATCCATCACAAGGGATTTTGCTCTTTGAAGTTTGTGTGATCTCATGGTTACATATGTCCTTATGCAAGAGTTTGTGTTTAATCAAAATATATTCACTTAGATATAACCATAGTACCCATATGTGTGCAAAGGAATACCCATGGATACACTATTTATCATTATGCTTAAGTTAAACAAATAATTTATACATTGTATTTAGTCCCATGTGTCAAAATGCCAAACTTAAATAGGTTATATTAAAGACATCTTTAATGAATATTTTGTGATATATATCAGATAAAATAGCATATCAATAGAATATTCCTGAAGAATAGTAATTCTTTATGTGTATTAAACATGTTACACATATATTATATAGAAATACCTTTACATATTCGGTAAAATATCCAGAGGTACCCTTTACATTTCCTTAAGAGTCTTATAGGGACGATATTATACTGAATTATTTTCTACTGTTCACTTTGTAGAAAATCTTGCCTTTTTATTTACAAAGGTTGTTATTGCTAATACACAGAAATATTTTTAATCCATCACTATCATCTGATATATCATTTGTGATTTTAGCAATGTTTTTCTAAGACTAGCAAAATCTACAAGAAATGATTTATTGCTAGTCTCCTTTCAAATGATACAGTGACAAATAAAAAGCTGAATTCATATAGTCTAGGGTATGGTTCAGTATTAAAGACTTGATTGTGTAAATCAGTCCATATCCTTCTGGTTGGTATCTAAAGTACCTAATAGGCTTGTGTATATGAAGGAGGCAATGAATTGAAATAATGTTAGCTTAAGTTAATTCTAAACATTTGCAAATATAGAAATATAAAACACAATCTGCCCTCAACTTAAAATAACTTTTAGAATTACAAATTAAAATATATGATATCATTCACAGATCACACAAATCAGTATACAAAATTTATTGTTGGTGAAACTGAAATCTATTGTTTAGAAAGGATTATTCTGCCCCAAAGAAACTGAAGGGATCAGAGAAAGAGAATGCCTCCAGACTGACAAGTAAGTAATTGGCATGAGTGGAGATGAATAGACTTATGCCAAAAAAGCTGCAGGTAAGAAGTTCCCAGTAGTCATTGAAAAACGAATGAAAGTAATCAGTGAGACAGAATAGGCCTTAAACATCTTCCTGCTCTCCAACACTGTGGAAGCAGGCTGAGGGTGGGGGGAATAAAAATCATCCTTAAAACAGAAAGTGGATAAAGAGAAAAGGCCAACAGATATAACCTCCCCCACCGCAGGATATCATCCCATCAAAGTGGGAAAGGGAAAAAGACATACATTTAAACAAAGTTAACAATGTTCATAGCTATATTGATGTTGGCACAAAATTACACTGAATGGAAGACAACTTATACTTTTAAATGACTAGCAAGTCATGGGAACTGGCTTAAATTCCATCGAGGAATAAAGGACCGGTTCCACAGATAAGTCATTAAGCTAAAGGAAAAATAAAAACATAATGAAGTTACTTTTAGAAAATATCCCTTGAAAACTGATTGTTCAACATGATTATTATAAAGAATGTCTGTTATAGGAATATTCAAGAGGAAAAGTACCGTAGAACTGCAAAAACGAAAGCAGGAGAGAATTTTACAAAGCTGGGGGAAGTCAACAGTATCACATATAGTAGAGAAAGAAGTCAAGAAATGGGACATTAAAAAGGTCACTGATTTGTGGAAAAAAGATATGTAATTGATGGAGAAAAAGTGGAGAAAATAGTTTCAGCTCAGTAGTGCGAAGAGACAGGTGAACAAGAAATAAAGGTAACAGATACATGTATATATTGGAATATACATATTCATTTGAGAAATTTGGCAGCAAAGTAGAAAAATAATAAGATGTTAAATAAAATGGAGTATGCGAAATCCTAAATAAGCAGTGTTGATAAAAGAATAAAATCTTTCCCTAATTTTCTGTGATATCCAAACTAATGTTTTTGTTTATTATATTTTTTCATCATCACTACATTAAGATTAAATGCAAAAACCATGTATCCTGATTAAAGACCTTTTTCCTGCAAACTGTCCTGCCACTTGTACAGGACTTAAGTTGCTGTCTGGCTTGGGCAAACTGCACACAGTTAGTACATTTGTACTACTACTATCCCCAACACTCCTTCAAAACCAAGAGACTCACGACTAGAGGCCTCAATTCCACCATGGCACAGAGGTACAAGAATAAGAGTAAAGGGGTTGCCAATGAGAAAATAGCCCTCCTTCCTCAAGGTGGACACAGTCCCACATCAGGGCTGAGTTATGCCTTTCTTCACCCCCTTGGACAAGATGCCTTAACTACTGTATATGGTAGAAGAAACAAAATAGAAAATGGGGATGTCGAGTAGGAGAGGGCAGAGAGAAGAAAAAGGAGAGGAAATCCTGCCTTTACTATTCTCTCTATCCTGAGCTCATTATTCTTGGAAACCATTGCCCTACTTCAGAATCCCAACTCCACTTTGTTAAAAAAACAGTTACTTTTAATAAAATAATTTAAAAATAATAAAAAATGTTCATGGTAGAAAATTATGAAGTTATACAGAATACAGTTTTTGAAGAAGCAACTACTATAGACCTACTATAGACCTTTTGATTAACTATTTTATAGACCTTTTAAAACTTCTATTTAAAGAAGTCTTACAATTTTTTTGTTATAAGTTATTTACAAAATTTATATCCTATTTTTTCACAGTATTAAATGTTTATTTCTGTCCCATTATTGGTAAGCATAACTTTTAATGCCTTTCCCTCACTTGTCCCATATTTAATTAATCAATCTCTATCACAGTGGCTTATAAGAAAGTGATTTGTAAGAGGTGGACTTGAGTTTGAATTCTGGCTTTACTAATTCTCAGCTGTGCCATTTTGGCCAAAGATTTCCTTCTGAAGCTTCAGAATTTTATGATCCAGAGTGCCCCCTGTCTGACATTTTAGCTCATCATCACAGTTCTTGGTTCCTAAGCCCCTCATATTGTACTCTTTCGAACTAATACATGAGAATAATATTTTTACACTGCTAGAAAAATGGATGATACAATGGATGATAAATGTTTTTGCCCAGAGATTATCTAACCACATCATAATAAGATCTTAGAATATTATTTAGTACCCATGACTCTATACAGTAAATGAATATAATTATTACTACATTTCTAGAATCCAATAAAAGGTGACATTATATGAGTGCTTTACATGCTAGGCACAATGCTAAAGTAATACCCTTCTATTATCTGAGTCCCATGATAATGTCATAAATTAGTAACTCTTCCGATGCTCGTTAGGAATATAGGGAGACTCAGCCTTAGAAAGGACACACAATTTACAGATGCCCACTGGCTCTTTTAGTAAATGTCTGAGTTGGGATTTTATCTGATACCAAGGCAACCACTAAATCCATGCCCTTAACCAGGAAGCCTCAAGCACTCAAGCCCTTACCCGATGTTCACCATAACAGTGTTGGGCTTCCTGGGCTGGGTGTGGATACAGCCCTTCCTCCAATATCTACAGTCTCAGCTTCTGGAACTTTTTACCTTGGCTGGTGTTACTCATTCTATTCTTCAGGTATCTTAATTTCTTTGTTTTCATATATTTATCTTTATCTTTATGTGTTTCATTCTGAGTAATTTCCACAAATTTATCTTCTACTATACCATTTTTTCTCTTTGGTTTTATCCATGTCTTAATTCATATTTCTAAAATTCTAATTGCTATAATCAGTATTTCTAGAATTCCTGTAATTTAAAAACACTGGCACATCTCTATTAGCAAACACAAGCTTAAAAATAAAATAGAACATAGGCTGCCATTAACAATATAAACAAATGCTATTAAATATCTAGTTATTAGTCAAATAAAGAATATTTAAAGACTTTATGAAGCAAATTGTAAAACTCAATTTAAGGATATTAAAGATCAATAGGTGAAGAAATATGTCAACTGACAGAATTATTTAATATTGTTACCATCTCAATTGTCCCCAGAGTATTCCCCTTGCTCTATGGGCTTGTTTCTATAATAGGTAAAATGCATTCTAAATCCAAGCAGATGAGTTACAATAAATTTTTGAAACATTGCAGTTGTTATCTGAGGACTGATCTTATGTTGTTTATGTGTGCGGTATACACCGACTAATAATTTGGGGGAAAATGACACGATAGAGGTACAAGAAAGCATAGAAACAAGAAAGACTTTCTAGCAAGGTCTTTGTGACACAAATTATTTGCCAGGATAATAGTGAACTTTGCAGTTGGAACTTAATAATGGCAGGAGAGGAAGTACAATTAACAGGTTTAAGTAAAAAATGTACACACCAGTATGTTTCTTTTTTGCACAAGCTCACAATGAAAAGATACAACTGTAATAAATTATTTTCCTCTGAGGATACTACTCATGGATCATTATGCATTCATTCATTTCTTCATTCATTCATTGTATTAGCCCCCGTTTTAAGGTTTAGGTACATCATCGAGAATCAACATTCTAGTCTGGCACACTGGCATGTGAAGACAGCCATTTATTTTGGTTTAAAAAGTGTCTTACGAGGTGTGTGGTGTTCAAGAGGAAGGAGGCATAAACATAGTTTGGGTATCTGTCTGTCAGCCCTATCTGACAACCAAGAGGCCCTCCCCTACATGGAGCTGGCATCAACTGTTTTGTGAGTTCCCTTTAACTGTTCTTTCTTCTCTGATTATTCTATGAATCTCACAAGCTATGGGTAGTATTGAATAACAATTATAACAGAACCGTCCATCCTTCCGATTTTATTCACTGGATGCTAACTTTACACATATATTTAAAATCCTTTTGTACTAAAATGTTACTGGTCTGGCTTCTAAATAGTTGCTGTGATAAGGATGTGTCAACTAATAACACAAACTATATTTTTTCTACTTGTATATTTCATGATATGTTTGGTTTTTAAGGTGGCTTTCTTGTTTTTGGTTTGTGATGTATCTAAAACCACCTGGCCATTGGTAATGAGACCTGGATATTTTATTTGAGAAATGGCTCAAAAATATGACAGGAAGAACACAATGCTGACAAACTAATTGACGAAACAAAGAAAACTCATTGGTATCACACAGGATAAATACACTGGGAAAAGAGATTAATATATGTGTGTGTGTGTGTGTGTGTGTGTGTGTGTGTGTGTGTATGGGGGGGGGAGAGTGGGGAGAGAGAGAGAAAGAAAGAGATTTGGAATTCAGTAATTAACTTGCTATAATATTTGAGTTATAATTACTTTTGATAAAAATTTTCTTTTTGCATGGTCAAAGATGAAGCTTTGTGAGATTTTAAACTTGCAGTTCAAGCTGAAAATTGACACTGATAGTTGCTAATTTTCCAGGAACAGTGACCTTCACATCTGTACTCTGTAGCTAAATCAGGGAACTGTTACAGGGAAAATTACAAATGTTTAGAAGGAATTGATGGTTATTGTTTCACCATATATAAACATATAAACAATACATGATTAGAGCCAGATCATAGATAGAGTCACTGCTGCATCCTAAAATGATAAAACCATGAACAATCTATTATTTTTGGAAGAATGGAGTTAGAGATATTTAGATCAGCAATTCAATGCTCAAATTTACATTCTCAGTTTTTTGCTCAAAATTAACACTCTTATTCTTAATACAAGATATATGCAGTCATCATAAATATGATCCTTGATTCAGTAAATAATAAGGGACTACTGTGTATAAGAACTGTTCTAGATGTGCTTTTGAATAGAAAAGGTTAAGATCATTGTTCTGGTGGAAACTACATTACAGCAGGTGGAGCAGACCATAAACACTAAATATAATACAAAAGTAAATTATGTAGTACACTAGATGGTGAGAAGTCTATGAAAAACAAATAGGGCTAAAGAGGATTTAAAGTCTTTGGGGTGAGCATGTAGAGAATAAATCATTATAGACTCTTGGGTCACCATATATCTGTGAATTCTATATTTTCTACCACTACATACATAAAAGTAGTTTTAATTGAAGATTGGCAGATTTGTGTGTATGCATATGTGAATATTTTTGTAGGCAGATGATCTACTGGTTTCATCAGACTCTTGATGGAATCATGTTCTAAAATTAAAATGATTGAAAATTCCAATATTTTTTCATAAAAGCAGACAACATTGTTCACTTCATTCCTATTACCTTTGCTTTTCAATAATTGTGAAAACCAGACTTTTTGAAGAAAACTATGTTATCATTAAACATGTTAATATTTACTTTCAGTCTGAAAAAATATACATGATAAAATGCATTATACAAATGATTTAGGCATTTTAGGCCTTTTCAATTTGAAATGAAAATGAACTTGGAAATATTTAATATAATAACAACTACAGATCCCTCTAATATATTTAATTTATATTTTTAAAGCAATGGTCATTTAAAACAACATTTTCTACAATGTGTTAAGTACGTGGTGAAACAATAACCATCAATTCCTTCTAAACATTTGTAATTTTATTCCATATAAGATTATATAACTTCAGTTATTTATATCTAAAAGAATAAGAGTAATTCCTGTCTCAAAAGATTGTTACAGGAGTTAAATGAGGTAGTACCTGAGTACCCTCATCGCTCATTATATTCCTTTTTATTTTTAAATAATACGTACCTATCTTTTTTTCATTATTACAAAAAATAGATATACAAGCATTCTTTTGTTGTGATGGAGTCATATTTCACATGTTGTTTCTCTAGTGTTACTCTATCTTATTCCCGTCTGGATAAAAGATCTTGAAATGTTCTTTCATGGAGATGAAACTGCTTTCCTCCTGGTCTTCTTCTTTATAATGAGGCCTACGATGCCAGTCATAACTGGTTTATTATCTATTCCCTCAAGCTATGTCTATGTGAATGATTCAGCAACCACATATTATAAAATTCTAAATAATTTGAATAAGAAACAACTTATGATCCTGGATAAAATTATTTTTTTAAGATAAGCAAATTGGCTGCTATATTTTGAAAGATTAGGTTGTGTTACAAAATACACTAGTAAAAGAGTAAGAAAAAAAAAGACTAGTTCCCTTAAAAAGAATTCTTGATTGAAATTAATCTGTGAACGTAATGATTAGGATAAAATGCTGCTAATATATGGCTAGAAGGAAATAAGAATGGGCAATGCATAAGTGAGATAAATTGCATAGATAGGGTTCTTCTGAAAGGGTAAACATTAAGACTGAACATATGTGGTCAGTTGCTGTCGGAATAGCTTTATGTTGTCCATACTAGACAGGAATGGGGCAATAGTATGAGCTCCTACACCCCTTGCATAGGCATGAGTCAGACACATGGTCAAAAAAAGTATAACAGACTAAACAAATTCAATAGCTGTGAGATGTTTAAGTACCAGCTTTGAGAATCAGCTATGGTACCCTAATTTCAATGTAATTAGAAATAGCAAATAAAGGTTATATAAGCCATATTAGGCTATAAACCAGAGGTCCCCAACCCTAAGGACACAGACTTGAACCAGTCCTTGGCCTGTCAGGAACCAGGCGGCATACCCGGAAGTGAGCAGCAGGCAAGCAAGCATTACCACCTGAGCTCCACCTCCTGTGCCATCAGCAGTGACATTAAAGTCTGTATAGGAGCTCAAACCCTATTGTGAACAGTGCATGTGTGAGGGATCTGAGTTTGGAGCTCCTTATGAGAATCTAATGCCTGATGATTTGAGGTGGAATAGTTTCATCCAGAAACTATCCCCACCATGTGTGGAAAAGTTGCCTTCCATGAATCAAGTCCCTGGTGGCCAAAAGTTTGGGGATCACTGCTATAAAGTATATAGAAATCCTAGAACTTTTAGTAAGAGTAAAAATCTGTGAAATACATTTTTTTTTTTAACTTTTATTTTAGTTTCAGGGGTACAGGTGCAGGTTTTTTACAGAGGTCAACTGTGTGTCACTTTTGGTGTACAGATAATTTCTTTAACATAAATTTCAACTGACACAAAGCAAGAAATACAACTCATTAAAATTTTTTTTAAATTTTATTTTTGCTGTGAAATATACTACTTTTAACTAAAAATTTTGTGGCATTAGTTTGATTAATATAATTTTGCTTTTATTACTAAAATTTCTTTTTTTTCTGGGAAAAATAACAGCTAAGTTTTGGAGAGTTGATCCCTAGTTTTTCAGATATTAGAACATAAGCCACTGATTAAACTGTCTAAATGCATCTGGGCAATTCAATACTATTTCATTGAAAACACATCCTGTAGAAATGCAGAATTAATCTGTTCACACATTTAAATGTATTTCTTTTAATTCATTAAAATATGACAGGCACAACCTTGAAAATAAAATTTTATTTATCAAAGTCAATTAATATTCAACTTAAGCAAGGGTATAAGCATATTTTGTGAGGGAAATATTTGGCCTTTGTAATCTAAATAATTTATACATAAAATAAGAGAGATCAGTGGAATTTTAGTTCTGATTATAACAAATTATTTGTATGTTTTAGAATGTATGCTTTCTGTTAAATAAAGGTGTTCTAACTTTTAGTGTAAGAAATCATATAAACTCTTTTTGGAAAACTTTAAATATTCATTTTGTTCTACAAAGTGTTCTTTGAACTTGAAATTTTGCTGTGGTCCAGTCCAAAACTACCATTACTACTACATTTTATTTTGTCAAAAATATTGAGTTTTACATAGCTCGTTATGATTACATTTTTAAACCATATCTATATGTATGGGTGGCAAATTTAAAAGGGTATTTGTTTGACAAAGTCAAACATCATCCATTTCTATGGCTAAAAGTTTACATTTTTGTTTTTAAATCACATGTTTTGCCATTCTTCAGTGTACTACCATAGGAACATAGCCTAGAATATCAAAAAAAGAAAACTATTATTAAAGAACAAAAAAAAAAGAGAGGTATATTATGACCACTTTCTTAAAAACTTTACAATATTATTTTAACAGGAGGTGGTCCCTGATATTATTTGTGTAAAATCTAATGGGCCAGAGCTTATTCTCAACTGTGAAATATATGCTCATAAACTCAGATTGTTGCCTTTTTATTTCTTTTTAATCTATTTGAATGGAACTTACAAAGCATCTATTTTCATCTAGCAAAACATTTCCCTTCCCATTTACCCAGTAGATTCACATAACGTATACACTGGAACATTACCATTATTCCCTGGGTCTACATGGCAATTCTGCATTAGACAATATTCAATAATACAATACTTTTCACAGTGAAATAAAGTAAAATTTAGAAAACGATTCAGTGTACCTAATATGTATAAAGCACTCTGCTATGATTGAAACATGTTTAGTATATGTGGTCCACTTTTAAAATTTCCTCAGATATGTGCAGTCCCTGACCTATAGTGTCTATGTCATTGGAAGCTATGAACTCCTTAAATGAAGAAATAAGTAGGGAAAAGTCATGCAAAGAAGTGGAACACCTGCTTCTACGTATATTGTCACTATATCTTTAATAAATTTTTGGTTTCTTTATATGTTTGCATGTGTTATAAAAAACATGGTTCCCCACAACAAAAGTTTTCTAGACTATATGGTTTGCTAATGATTTAGACTTTAACTTGTAGGCAATGAGGAGCCACTGTAGATGTATCATTATGCAAATTATATAACAAAATTTGTGTTTTAGGTCATCAATATAGAGGATGAACTAGAAGTTGAGACTGGAGTCAGGGAGAACAATTAGGAAGTGAGGCCAATAATACAAGGGCAACAACTAGATTTGAAACTCCTTTAAAATTTTCAGTTGTTACAAATGCTTGTTATTATTATTGAGATTAATGCTTCTGGTAATTAAACTTTCTTGGATTAGTTGTAAGAATGATTTGCATTACACGAATTTCCAACGATAACGGAACTTGTCATAATGAGGCTCTTTTATGTTATAAGTAAAGGCCAAAGTGCAAAACTAAGCTGCTGCTTGACTATTTTGCACTACAATGGTTCGGCTGTCATTTAAATAACTCATGCTAAAAAGGAATCTGTTATTATATTAACATCTCTTGATACTACACAAAATGCTTCAAAACTGTTCCACAGTTTCTTTTAAGAGTGGCCTTGAAGACTAGAATGAATTTTCCTAGATGTAACCTAATTTAAATGGCATATAAATCTCCAATTTGCTATTTGCTTGTAGATAACCATAAGCACTTTAATAAGAAAATGTAGGTGTCATTACACTCGGTCAAACTTACTATTAAATGCCTAATAGACTTAGACAATTTTACATCCTTTATCGATGGAGATGTCATTAACAACAGACCCTGGAGCTATTTCCTGAATTTCACTCTAAAATCAAAGCATATTATCATTTTCTGGTTCTATCTCATTATAATTAGCTTGGTCTTAAAACAACAGCAATTTCTTTAAAACATAGTGTGTGTTAGAATAAAATCTGGTGTTTTTTTGTTAACTATAATTAGCTTTCAGGTATTTACTCTCTTTATCCCCGTCCATCTCTATACTCTTTCCATTATTAAATTGTGTCACATGGCTTGTATGGCGATCTCCCAATATTTGGGAAGTTATATTACAATATCTGGCAATCTTGGCAGAAAGCTGTGCTCTATATGTTAAATTAAGGAGTCTTTAATCATATAAATTCTGTGGAAAAGCAGCCTTAATATTCCTGAATTTTAGCCTGTAGAAAGGACAGACCCTTTATTATGTATTTATACTACCAACCACCAGGGGGTAATAGAATACTCTAAAAACAAGGTCGACTAACTTCAAGAAAACAACAGAAGTTCTTACTAAATGGGTAGATAGAGGTGGACAAATACATTTCTTAGCACCTAAGACAATAAATGATCATCAAGCACACACAGATTGTGTCTGACTATCCTCCAAGCACAGCCTGCAAGCTATACTTTCGAGAATAGGTTCGCCTAACAATTAAGGCAGACAGGGCTATCTGGAAAGCTAATTTTGGTGCAGTATCTGATTACTCAGCACTGCTAAAAAAAAAAAAAAAAAAAAAAAAAAAAAAAAAAAAAAAAGTGTTTCTGCCATGTCACCGACCAGCATAATTCAGAGGAATTCACCCTTAAATGGAAACTCCCCAACACAAAGCACGTGGCCTGTAACACTCTTTATATTTAGGTTTACACAGACTGAATGCAATGAGTTATTTATTTATGCACATCAAAGCCCTCTGAGGGTGAGGATTAGAAGAGTAGCAACATAATTTTGATGACTTAGAGCATAAGTTGAAAGAATCACAAGTAGTAACCCAATCACACTGGAGTCTATGGGGATTACTGGCCATTTCTGTTTTTACTAATGGGTCTTTTATCCAAATAATAAACGCTTTTTAGAGAAAAATCATAACAGTTTAAATGTTTTAGTTCATACTATGCACTGGACACTATATGCTCCACGAATCTAACAAATTAATTCTCACAACAAGCTGAAGAAAGAGAAATTATTAATACCTGTGTTCTACAAATAAGGAAACTAGCTGAAAACCAAATAGCTATGGTGAGGTGGGATTTGATTATTTGAGTCTAACCACTTTCTTTAAGAAACCAAAAGATGCAAAGTTTATATGTCTTCTTTATCCATCCTCAGTCTATCCAGAAATATCAGGAACAATGTGAATTTGAAACGCCTGAGAGGAGAAGGTTTAACCTCAGAGCATCCTGCAAACCCTTATCATTCCTGACATTGTGCTTTCAAGAGTCAGTTACCACTATTGTTATTGCTGATGTTATTATAATACAAAGAATAGACTGTTAGTAAAAAAAAAAAAAAAAATTCATTGGCAGACGTTTTGAGGGATGTATCTCCTGATAGATTCCGAAGGCTTGCCCCAAAAGAGCTTCAAGGGTAACCAAGAAAAAGCTGTCAGGTGGGTAGTGACTGACAAAAAAAAAATTTAGAAAACGCACTTGAGCTGTCCTCAGTCAAATACACCCAGCAGATCCTGCATTCGGATAAAGGGCAGCTTGGCAGTGAGGAAACAGTCTGGATTTGGGAGAGCAATCGATGGGTTAAATTCTGATTAGAATCAGACTCCACTGCTTACTAGGCAAAACATCTAATCATGAAACTCAAAGAGGTTAAGATCACTGGCTCCAAAATCAGTTCAGCTGCTTTGTTTTCTATATTTGAAAAATAGAGGTAATAGTAGTAGCTACCTCATTGATTGACATAAGAATTAAGTGAATCACCTCATATGAGGTACACAATATAATTCCTGACATGGTGCTTTCAAGAGTCAGTTACTACTACTGTTATTGCTGTTATTATTAT
The DNA here is from genome assembly GCF_000001405.40 of Homo sapiens. NCBI lineage: Eukaryota > Metazoa > Chordata > Mammalia > Primates > Hominidae > Homo > Homo sapiens. The sequence goes on from NC_000009.12 coordinate 9,608,261, forward strand.
AATTGCATTACATTAGTATCATTTTTGATGTACTAAAGTAATATATACAATTTTAAAGCCTCTGGTGCATGGTTATTTAACCTTATTGATACATCGTCTTTGTTAAACCTTTTAATACTGTACTAAAAGTTTTTAAATCTAGGCTGTCCAGTAAGGGAAAATTTCTATTCTTAAAAAGCTGAGTGACTCCTCAGGTAAAACATTATTTCTCTAAATACTTTTCTCCCGCATAAAGTAACCAATGGTCCTTTATGCCAGGGGCATATTTTCCAGAAGACTAATTGGCCCCACCTCTAACCAACTATTTAGTGAATAGAAGGTAGACATGTAGAAGAACAAAATGTCATCCTTGAGGTTGTGGAGATGATCAAACACTGCTTCATTCTGGCATAGAATCCTTACAATTTATGTTTTTTGTCTCTGCACCTACTCAGAATTTCTACCCAGTCCTCAAGTGACAGCTGTGGCACACAAGCTAAAGGCACTTAACTTGCTTCATGATTTCTTGACCAGCTCTTTATTAAGAGTTAGATTTAGCAGGGTTTGCTTGATTCCTTGGTCGATTATTCTGTACATTACTTCTAAGAATTACCTTCTTTCCTGACTCATTGCCTTTCATATGCAGTCTCCAACACTTCATTTATTGTTTATTCTTTATTCGGAGGGAAAAATACTACTTCCCTTTGTTCTGATTCTTTATTTTTCCTGTCTACTTGCAAACTGCTAGAGTATTGTGATTATACCCAATTTCTCAAATTCAAAATGTATTATGTATTGAATTTTCTTTAAAAAATGAAATATAGATCTGTGAGTCTATATTGCTTAAGAAGTGAAGAAATTGGACTTACAATTTGTGCACATATACTTAATTTTTCTATATTCTCGTAGTGATTATCCCTGACATTTATGAATCTACATTGATTTATTAAGTGAAAATTTTAAAAGCCCAATATTTAAAAACTCAGCATGTACTTAAAATGATGAACCTAAAATAGAATCATCTGATTGATCATCAATAAACCCGACAACAATTCAGTCTGAGGTTGTTTCTATATACATACCTAGAAATTTGGAATCTTTCTTTAAACATTTCCCATGCTACCTTAAAAAAACAAAAACAAAACAAAAAAACAGAAGCACAGACAAAAGAAACTTTGGGAAGAAGAGATGTATATCAAGTAACAATGTGAAGGTGTTTTTTGTTGTCGTTGTTTGTTTTTGGGACAGAGTCTCGCTCTGTAGCCCAGGGTAGAGTGCAGTGGTGCAATCTTGGTTCACTGCAACCTCTGCCTCCCAGGTTCAAGCAATTCTCGTGCCTCAGCCTCCCGAGTAGCTGGGATTACAGATGTACGCCACCACACCTGGCTAATTTTTGTATTTTTAGTAGAGATGGGGTTTCCCCATGTTGGCCAGGCTGGTCTGGATCTCCCAACCTTAAGTGATCCACCCGCCTTGTCCTCCCAAAGCGCTGGGATCACAGGTGTGAGACACCGCACCTGGCACAATGTGAACTTTCATAAGCTTGAACTCTCCCTGTGGGAAAACCAAATCCTGTTAGGCTGGTGGGTTGTGTTTTGTCAATTCAGCGTGTAAAAAACACTGTGAAAATGTACATTTAAAAAGTAGATAACTAATTTATAAAAAAATAAGAACATTTAGGCTAATACTCCTGATTGGCAAAATTATGTGAAGATGAATATCGGCGGCCCCTTCTACTCATGGCATATATTTACCAAATGCCTGGTGGGTCCCTTCTTTCCAGCCTTCTCCTCTCATTTATGTTAGTAGTCTGGATTCCGTAGACATTTTGGCTTGGGGGACTACTGACATAGAAATAAAGATGTGCCAAGCTCTGACAATCAGCTATAAACCAGTAGAAATACGTTAGGAATCTTTCGAAAGGCTTTTATAATGTAGCGTATTTCAACGTAATAAGAGCCACGATGAAAATGAGGATAATTACCCACTCAGTCCTTGAACAACTACAACATTATGCAGCCATTAAACATATTTTCAAAAAAATGCCGTATGAAAATATAAACAAGATTTAGTTAAATAACAAAATTAGATCACACAGTTGTAGGTAAATTAGTATTGAGTTATATTATAAAGAGAATTAAGACTACATTTGCACTAGCAAAGCAATAATATCAACGGATTGATAATCACTTAGAAATGTGCTAAATCATGCTAGGGTAACCAATTCTAGGAGCAAGGATTCATATTTACACATTAATTGCAATTAATTATATTTTCATTGAATTTTTTTAGGACAAATTAGTGAGACCAGTATGCTACCTTGGAATAGATGGGGGAAAGTGAAATATTATTTTACAAATATTGTCTAAACTTTAAGGTCTACAGGGGATGTTTGAAAACTTGAGAAGGATGAAAGATGACAATTATCTGAGATTTATGAAGACAGTATTGGTTAAGCAGCATTTTAACTAGTATAATTATTGTTCTGATTACCTTTTTTTAATCATAAAAGTAATTCATTCTCATTGTAGGTGATTGGAGGATAGACAAAGGTAAAAATAAGAAAACAAAAATCATCTGTAATTTTATCAACAATATTTATTAGTAAAAGTTTTGAACTTTCGTTTCCAGTTTTATTTCTGCTAAAACAACCCACATGAAGACCAGGGGCTACCATTTCACTGACCAGTATGTCCAAGCACCTAGAACAGTGATTGGCAAAAACAAGCAATTAGGCACTCAACACATTGATTGAATATGTAATTTCAAAATTAGTCTTCTATTGTACCCTTAATTTTGTGTGTAATTCTCTCTTTTAACATCATATTGTAAACATCGTCCTCTATCATTTAATGTACAAATACAATACCTTTTAATATGGCTACATGATGTACCATAATTCCTTCTGTTGAATATTTAGGTTGTCTTCAAATTATCACTGTCATCAAAATGCTTCAGTGAACATCTCTGCACATAAAGCCAGTAGCATCTGATTATTTAATGATGACATATAAATAACAGAATTGGAAAATCTAGATCAAAATACGCAAATGATTTAATATGTTTTTGCTATATGCCATACACATATCTCCACCAGCAGTGAATGAAGAGCATTGATGCTGACCATTATAAATTTTTTTTCAAATTTTGCAAGAAAAATAAATAGTATATAATTGTTTTGATTCGTAATTATTTAATTACTGATAGTGCTGAATATTTTTGTATATGTCAATAACATCATCTTTAATTGGAAATACTGTTATTCTAAAAATTTAACATAGAATCTGATGTATAAAACATTTGGATGTATCTAATCTGTATATGACTATAAACATAGTCATATATATTTTCATGCTAAATAATGTTATTCATATTATATTGGTCATCCATAGTTTCAGAACACACACACACACCCACGTGTGTATCCATTGTACAATCATTGACATATGTATGTATATATATTTATATATAGTCTGATGACACATGTATATTTATTGACTGATGTAGAAGTATTTAACAGTAAAAATATTAGTGTTGATATGGTTAAAGTATGGAATATTAATTCCTGGTTTATGTTACACATAAAAATGTAATTATGTTTCAAATAATAAAGCTATGCTCATTCTCTCTCTCATACGCACTTTGAACTGGCATGAACAAAATCTCCTGTAGTAATTTCATATACATAAGACTTGACAGACACTTTATATACTTTCACAAGAATTTAAATATATCAGATATTTTTTAGTGTAAAATTAGAAAAAATAATTTAACATGACTATCAATATATTTTAAATTTTCAGCTTTGAGAGACATAATTTATCTGCTATTTTGATAAATTTTATCTATATATAATGAAAATATATGTAAATGAATATAGAAAATTGTGTAATAAAATTGAGTACATATTTACATTAAGTTCCTTTTTTCTTTTTTTATTTGTGGAAAGATGTTTCATTATACCTATCTGTAGGGGGAATAAAAAAAACAGTACTGAAGCTTCTGAAATGAAGTTAGAAAGGTGGTCTTGACTGAGTTCTCAGATGCGAATAGTACAGCTTGTGAGTATGCTTACTGTTCACAGAAGCCCTCTGCCCTGCCACCCCACGACACAAATCTGGTTGCTGCTGGGCATATTTCAAATTCAGAATCATGTAACTAGCAGCAGATGTGTCTGTCTGCAACTGTGATAGGCTCCATCTGCAGTTTGCACCTGTTGTTTTGCTGAGGCCAGAGTGCAGGTGTGCATATAAAAACTCAAAGGGCAAGTAGACAGCAAAATTAAGGAAGTGGTTTTTCCTCTCTCATGATCTGCGTTCCTGTTTTCTTTCTTTCCTTCCACTTCAAAAATTGAGATGCTGATGGAATCATAACCTGTGGTCAGCATCAGCCAATTATCCTAAGATAGTAATTATTGTAATTTTTCACTACAATCTTTGAAAAAAAAGGAATATAAGAAAAACAAATTTGAGAGCCAAAAGAAAAAAAAAGGAGATACATAATTCTTCAAGAGCAGCCTCTGCTTGGACTATTTTGATTCATGTTGATATAAGAAACACTTTGCTGTCAAGGGAAATATTGCTAGTGTGTGATTACATATTCAGAACTTCATCTATTTTTAAGAACATATTTTGTTTAAATATAGTTTTGAAAAACAATACTGAGATATTTTCTAGGGTATTTACATGGCCAGTTCTAGTTTTAAAATCACACTTCTGTAGACCGGTGGTTCTCAAACTTTATTGTACATATGAAGCCACTGCTGATATTGTTAAAATATAGATTTAGGGTAGGGCTGGGGCCTAAGCTTCGCCTTCTGAACAAAGTCTCATGATGCTGATGCTGCTGGTTCAGGGACCATACATATAATAGCTAGGCTGCAGTATACATACATACATATATATATATATATATATATATATATATATATATATGATTGCATCATATGAAGCATGTGGAATAATTTTGAAAACTGTGAAATCATTTAACAAATATAAACAATTTAAATATTAAAACTTTTCGATTACATTGATAATGAACATAATTAATGATAAATCTAAAAAACGTCATTCAATCAGTTATTAAATTATCACATTAGTGTTTTAAGCATTCAGCTATCTTGAGAAAGACATTGGCTTGAGTTCTAATGATAATTGCCTTCACGATCATTGTCCCTGGGTGTGATAGATAGATAAGCATTCTGTTCTTTTTGCCATCTACTTTTGATACATTCTTGCCCTTGTTGTGAGTTTCTTCATGATGTTTACAGAAGGATCTCCCAAATTCTCCCTTCTTCTTTTAGAGCCAAGAAGTTACAAAGCATATCCTTCATTGATCTCTTTAGTTTTTCTATTAAGTTGAACAGCTGAAATCTTAAGTTTATTTGGATCTCACTAATATATCGGTCTTTTCCAATCACATTTTTCTCTTACTCATTTCTACAGTAAGTATGGTTCATGGACTAGTAGCATGGGCACCAAGTGACAGCTTGTTAGAATCTCAGGCCCACCCCCTAGTCTACTAGGAGCCTGTATTTTATAGAGATCCTCGGGTGACTTGTGGGCACGTGAAAATTTGAGAAGCAGTGCTCTGGATAACACTTCTAATAATAAAATATAAATCTCTACTTTAACCTAGATTTAGAAACATGCCTAAAATCAATGGGAGTTTTGGAGACAGACAGATAACTCTTCAAATCCCAGCTGTTCAGCTTTTGAAATGATGCTCTGTTACAGTCTCCTCACGGTCCTCATCAATAATACCTTCTTCACATGTTGTCATAATAGAAGTGTGATGAAAATACAATGTACTCAGTACAGTGTCTGGCATATAATAAATAATCAATTGTTGCTAAAAACATGTATATACGTATGTGTGTATAAATATATAATATACATATATTTATAATTATAGATAAAGAAATTAGAGGAAGGAAAGTTTATGATTGCCAGAGATTACAAAGTGGTTAATTTTAGATCTTTGTGGATCAATGCTGACCTGATTACCAGTGTGATACATTCAAATACCATGTCACTTTGCTATAATAAAGCAATTCTCAGCAGTTCAACTAACTTCATATTTGCAAAGATTCTTACTTTTTCCCTGGCATCATGATCAGCATAGTAATTTTTCTTTTATTATTTTCTCTGAGAAACATTTTTTTAAATGAGGAAAAAATAAGCCCTCTCACAATATATCAATGCAATGTAAAAGACTGTTTAAAATATATTTCTTTGCAAAACATATTAAATGGATCATTATTTACATGAGATCTTCAGAAGTTATCATGGTCTATTGTGCAAATTTTAAACTGACACCAGAAAGGTAAATTATGTTTAGGCAGCTTTCAAAAACTGGAGTTTTGATTCAATAGACCGTAGCATCTCTTTGATGTGCTATTTTGTAATTCTTCAAATTATTTTGCAGTATATGCATAGCTATCATGATGCTGATAGATATTCATATTTAAATTATGAACTAAAGTAACCTTATACCTATATATGCCAATTTTTCATATCAAAAAACACAGAACTGAAAAAGCTGTAGAGCAGAACACAGTATTTGAACACATTTTTGTGGTGGGGTGATTTCTAGATTATCTCTGCATTCGTTAGGCATATCTGCTGTGTCACTTACCAATTTATTGCCTCAGCTCCCAATGCACCCTTCAATATAATAATCAACAGAATTTGTTTAAGCATTTCTCCTTAAAGTGAAGGTGATGTTAAGCTTTCTCAGTAGAAGGCACTGGGGAGAAATTGCAGGAGGAAGGGGCTTCCTGCAATTTCCAGCCCAGGCCAGAAGGGTCAGCAACGTGGGTGTAAGAATATCTAATAGATAATGTCCCAGCAGCCACTGGCTCAATACTTGTCCTTTTGTGACCTTGTTGCCTTGACCTGGCAATATTTCCACAGACACCTTGGACTCCCTGGGCAAGCCCTGCCTAGCTGGCCTGCACTCAACCACCTGCGTCCCAGAGGCTCACAACACCAAGTAGTTGCTCCTCCTGCCAGGTGCAGGCTCTGAAAACCTTCCACCTCCACCAGCACCTGGACTACCTTGCACTTCACACCGGCCACCAGGCGCTGATCTGTTGCTCCTCACCTGCTGGCACTGCACTATAAAGGGTGGCGTGTTTGTGAAGCAGCACCAGACAGCTCCAGCCCGGCCAAACCAGTAAACATCTCTGCTCTCCATTACCAAACCATGTCTTCTCCAAGGGAAGTCTTCCCTATTTGTCCTTCCTTGGATCAAGGGTTGTCTGCTTAGGTTGCCATATAAAATTTCCTTCTATCTTATAGCTACATTTACCATAGTTTGTTTGTTTGTTTGTTCATTAAAGTACTCCCTCTTTAACCTACTGTATGGTTTCTATCTCCTAGTTGGATCCAGACTGCTAGATTGGCTTTCTATAATTAGAAGTGAAAATTGTTCTGGAGATCATTTTGCTATCATAAGGGCTACTACTTAGTGTGAATTACCTTTGTGCCAGGCTCTTTACAAACATTATCTAATTTAATCCTGACAAAAAATCTTATAAAGTGAGTATTATAATCCACATTTTACAGATGAAGTAACTAAGCCTTAAACTTAGAAAATGTACTCAGAGCCAAGTGATAGAGTTGGGCTTCAAAACAAGTCCTCTCTCAATAGGATGGCTGTGTGTATAACTACTCTCTATTTTGTAACCATCCCAAAACTTAACTGTCCAAGAAAACTCCATTTTATTTCTATAATGACTAATGAACGTAATATTTTTAAAGGTTTATTATCCAAATAGAAATCAAAACGTTTCTAGAATGCATTAGCCTGTAGTGCTTATATAGGACATGGTCTTTACCTTCTGAGCTTTCCTGGTTCTGCCAAATTGATACGGTAATATACAGGCTCATAAGAAAGAAAGACACGCTTCAGAAGAGTATATTGTCCGATAACATACAGAGGTCTCGTTACATTTAAATTTCAAATGAAATGATGATTTTCTTTTTTATAAGTATATCCCAAGTAATACAGTGACACCCCCCAAAATTATTTTTTGTTTACCTAAAATTCGAATTTAACTCCATGCCCTGTGTTTTTATTTGCTAAATCTGGCAAGCCTACAAGAGAAGTTTCTCCTTTGCCTGTTACTGTTCCTGTAAGTTTCTGTGAATCTTATCGCAACAAAAGTAAGCTCAAAATAAGACAATGCATCTAGGATACGACCCCACTTTCCAAATACATAAAGTTGTTCAAGTTCAAATACATAAGGTTTATTCTAAGTTTTCTCATAGACACGAAATAAATTTTAAGATTGAAATAAATTCCTAGTAGACCTAGTTTTATTATTATATCATGACTTCTGATCTTATTCGTGAGGGCTGCTAAGAGTTTTAAGAGACCCCAAAACTCGTTGGGGCTAAAACACGGCTATATGAAAAAGTTCATGATCACATAAGAAAACAGATAGAAACTGGACCTTTTCTAGAAAACTCACGAATTATCCACCCCTTGTTTAGCATATGATCAGGAAATAACCATAAAAGTAGCCAACCAACAGCTCTCAGGGCTGCTCTGCCTATGGAGTAGCCACTATAATTTTTTTAAAATTTCATAATAAACCTGAGTTCTAATTTGATTGCACTATGGTCTGAGAGACTGTTTGTTATGATTTCCATTCTTTTGCATTTGCTGAGGAGTGTTTTACTTCCAATTATGGTCAATTTTAAAATAAACTTGTTTTCCCTTTACTCTGTGGGCTAACTCTTAAAATTCCTTCCTGTATAAAGCCAAGAACTCAAGTGACCTCCCAGAATGAACCCCAATTTGGAGTTTCACCCTGTGAAAAGAGCCACTGTTAATATTGTTATTCTTGTTATGTGATGCTGAGCTTAATTGTAAAGAATAGAATGCTTATTCTGGGAGTTTTATATTTTTATTTTTCCAACTTATTAATAGAAGGGAAATCTTAGAAATATATATCTACAGAGAAAGAGGAACCAGAATGGATAAACTGCTGAGTGGAAAGGAGAATTAGACTCCTCGTAGCCAGTCTAATTAAAAACTAATTCAGGTCCTCTGCATTAATTAAAAGCATGTTATTGGAGGTAGAGTTATGAAAAGATAATGTACCAACAGAAGAGCTGATTGTACTACTGGGTAGGATATAATATAATATAGACAATTAGAGTAAAGTATATAAAGTGTCATGAATGAACTATGCACAATCTTTTACGGAAATAAGTAGGATAATCCTGGACACAGATTGAATAATGGAAGTGTATGGAAAGGTTGACAAATGTGTGTGAGTCCTGATGGCTGAGCAGGTATTTCGTTGAATGAAAAAAGAGAGTTCTAGGTAAACTGAGAAGCTTCTGCAAAGGTAAATGTGCATGAAAAAAGAAGTCTCTTTGGGAATACACTAAGGATTTCTATAAAACCAGAGCATAGTATTTGAAGGGTGGGGTGAAGTAGGGCCAGTGTAAGAGATTAGGATGGTGAGGGTGTCCTCTAAGCCTTGGAAGGATGTTTAGATGTTTTTATCTTGACTTTTTTTAAGAAATATGATTTTGGGCCCGGCGCGGTGGCTCATGTCTGTAATCCCAGCACTTTGGGAGGCAGAGGCGGGCAGATCACGAGGTCAGGAGATCGAGACCATTCTGGCTAACATGGTGAAACCCTGTCTCTACTAAAAATACAAAAAATTAGCCGGGCATGGTGGCGGGCGCCTGCGGTCCCTGCTACTCGGGAGCCTGAGGCAGGAGAATGGCGTGAACCCGGGAGGCGGAGCTTGCAGTGAGCCCAGATCGCGCCACTGCACTCCAGCCTGGGCGACAGAGCGAGACTCCATCTCAAAAAAAAAAAAAAAAAAAAAAAAAAAAAAAAAGATTTTGTCTTCTGGTTGGAGAATAGATTGGAAAAAGGCAAGATTGGAGGTGGGGTATTCCTTAATACATAAAAGGAAAAGCTAATGTCACATATCTAATCTGTGTTAGACACCATCCTTAGATTTTAATATGTATTCTCACTCTTCATCATTATACTAACCCTTCCGGGAAGACAGTAGTATTATCACAATTTTAAGTTGAGATTTAGCAAAATTAGAGGATTACTCAAGTCATTAGAGACTACACTTTAACCTCTTTTTTCCTCCATACCTATGGATTAAGAAAAAAAAAACAATAATATAGTGCTTTATTTTTAGCTACATCAGCAATTGGCTTTGCCAAATACCCTAGATGAGAAGAGTTGAGAACATGAGCTATGGCAGTGACACTGCAGAGGAGAGGACAGATGGAAGTGATATTAGGAAGGTGAGTAACTGATCTTGATGTGGAAAGGGTGGGAAGAAAGAAGGATCTTAATCTTTGGAAACTGTACTGTTAAAGAGAGGAAACAGAAGGAAAAAAAGTGAAAGTAGTAAGATAATACATTATCTTTGGGATGTGTTTAATGTAAGATAGGTATCAGATATTCAAATACAAATATCAAGTAGGTATTAAATATATACTTCTGAATTTCAGGAAAGAATTTTAAGTGGGAGATACAGATTTGGAAGTCATAATATTCAAGGTGATACTTGAAGTCTTGAATTTAAATAGGATCACCCAAGGATAATGTATAGAAAGAAAGGCAGGAGGTTAGGGAAGGCCCTGGAAAATACTGCCACTTAAGTCGCAAACAAAGGAAAAAAAACCTCTGAAGGTAGTTGAGAATAAATGTCCCAAGACATAGGAAAAAGCAGAAGAGAGTAGAGTCCTGGAAGCAAAGCAAGAAGAATGTTTCTGAAACGAGATGCCACAGAGAAAACAAGAAAAAGAATAAAAAAATATGTGCTTTTGCTTTAGCAATGTAGAGATCATTGACTAGAATAGTGGACTGGTGGTACAAATTTCATATTATACTAAGGCAAACGCATGAGTTGTGAGGAGGTATGCACTTAGAGAAAACAACTCTTTCAAGACACTTGACTATGAAAAGAAAGGTGACAGCTATAGTCAAGGAGGGTTTTATGGTTGTTTAAGATTATAGACTTGCAGATGTTGAAATGAAGTTGCAGTATCATTTTGAGACTAGACGATTAAGATACAGGAGAAAGGAAATAAATGACAAAACTCTCAAGAAGGGAGAAAGTATGAAGAGGAGGCTTCAAATATCACAGAAGGTGGCTAAACTTTGACACTGATCCAACCTAAATTATGAAAAACAATTTAATATATATCTATATAAGCATGTCTATGTGTGGGTATATATTCACATATTCTATATAATCTATATATATTATATTATATAAATATAATATATAAATGACTATATTTATATAGAAATTCCATATATTATCTAATATGTCTAGATTAATATATCATATATGTTAGAGAGATAATATACAAATATCTATATATAATAATCTATATGTTAATATTTATATTGTATAGAAATATTTTAATATTTCTATAATATATATTCAAATATTTCTATATAGAAATATATGTATTTATATATAATCGTGTATTTAATTTTCTATAGATGTAATATTTATATATAATCTATATAAGTATATACAAATATCTATCTATATAGAAATACATTTATATAAATATATTTAATCTTTATATATGTTAGCTTTTTATTTCTATATAGAAACATCTATATATAATATAGATGTTTTTATATACAGATATTTCAGTATAGAAGTATATATGTAATATAGATAGATATTTCTACATATAGATAGAAATATCTCCACATATATATGGAGAAAGAGAGAGAGAAAGAGAGAAAGAGAGAGAGGTGGAGAGAGTTTGTTTTCAGTATGTAGAATGGGCATTGTTAACCTTGTATGGTTTTCCTTGGCATTGAAGTCCTTCTGATGAATTTTCCAATTGCCTGGGATTCATAAACCCATGTTTTGGAATTTCTAATTTCCTACTTAATGTTCTCCAGGTCCTCCACATAACAGAAGATGATGAATATTCAGAAGAGCACAGCCCTAATGTTGAAATTGCAGAGAAAGAAAAGTGCACACATTTCAGAGCATAAAAGGATACCGATACCTACATTTATCTAGACTGTAAGTCCCATGAAGGTAAGAACTATGCCAAATTGTTCTTTAATCTATTAATTAACCTACTTTTCAATGCTAGGCCGGTAAATAAGATAGTCTGATAACCATATTTATCCTCAGCTGGTATCTTGGGAGGATTGTATTCCATAACATTCTTTATGTAAGAGCTGTATCATCTGAACTGATTCCTTCCAATATTAAACCATACCAAATAAAATATTAAGCCCTTTCTTACAACAGAGTATTTCAAGTTTCACTGTATTTCTCATCAATTTTTACATTATTTCTTTTATTTCAATTAGCTCCTTTCTACCTCCTGTAGTTTTCAAGTTTGACCTTTCAACATCAATTTGAAGGTTATGACCTAGGCCCACATTGAGATAACTCTTTTTCACTATTTTGACACAATTAAAACAGGTTCTGGCTTCAGAAAAAAAAATCAACATAATATATGTTAGCTCTTCATTTCCTTAGAGTTTTTGAGATTCAAGTGATGACATAGAACTTTATCGTCAGCTACATCAGCAGTTAGCTTTGCCAAGTGAGGTTGCTAGCTCTTCTAAATGCAAATTGAAAGAGAGGAGAAAAAAAAAAAAAAGAGCAAAGCATTAGTAGGCAAGGAAATGATATGGTACTTGGCCAACGAGGTAATAGCCTTTATTGCAAGCCAGTCAGTGCTCCACAGATGGAGAATTATCATACCAATAGTGTTTGATGTAAGACCCAATTCCCCTTGTGTTGGTGTCTCTGGGCAGGGGTTAGTCTGCAGTGGGAGGTAAATAAACCCCTCACTAAACCAGTATTCTTAATTAATTCCTGTGGAAGTACTCACTGACCAGGCTGTAAGAATACCAAGGAGGATGTGCATAATATTTCTCCTAACTGTGAATACTTGGCAACAAGAAAGAATCTGCAGTGCCCTCTTCATTCACAAAGGACAATATGCCTATATATTATCTAACAGTGGATATTAGAACATCTCATCTATTTTTAGAGTTTTATTTCATGTTCATAAAAACATTCCCATTTTTCTCTTCCTGAAGGGTGCTGCTTGAACTGAAACTGCCAATGACTTTCCACATCCCTCATCCTATTTTATTATAGAAACGCTCATAAAGACACAATTTTCTCCTATCAATAAATATGTTTGATGTTCCATAGAAGTTCTGTGTAATACATGCAGAACAATGGAGTCAGACTCTGGAATAAATTATTACCAAAACAACTTTAAGCGATGAGGCTGCCTTTGGATGCTCTCCTGTGGATGTGATGTGGATGCTCAGTGTGAAAGCAGGATGAACAATAAAGCCCATGAGTCATAATCATAAATCCCAAATAGGCATTACCCTTCCTTAAGACATTTTTAAACCCTTTGAAAAAGAAGACTATAAGGTGCAATCTGGTTTTAGGGGCATTCTATTCTTTAATACATTTAGTTAAAGTGTGAAGTGGAGCACGCCTGGGCTGGGGTGATTTTTAGATGCAGCAGCATGCTCAGCCGGCAGCTCTGTGTGGATAGTGATGGTGTGATGGAAACACGGAGTGTGCTGCCTGTGGTGTTCTGGACAGGGCCTTATTTACTTTATTTAGGTTTGTTTTATTTTTACAACATATTCCTCTTGAAGGCTTCTAAAATCCCCTGCCTATAAAGTAAGGCAAATAAGCTTAGGCATCCAGTCACCCATACTGAACGGAGGCGAGGAGACCTGGTCATCTCTACAAAGTAAGAAGAGGTTTACAAGTATTATTATTTGGATATATGTTGCCTTTCACAATTTACTAACTTTCTCAAAACACAGACTCTACATAGAAAGTATTAGGGAACAAGAATAATTTGATGTGATTGTTTATCAGATAGGCAATAAAAAGGCACTAATGTTCTTCAAATTAGACCATTAGACCTGCTATGTTCAACTCTGATTCTACCTGTTTAACACTCATTAAACACAAAATTCAGGGTGCTGACTGTCAAGATAAATAGGGTTATTTTCTGCTTTTCCTATTTTCTCACAGGAAGACACATATACCACGCAATCAAGTAGTAATTTCAGAACTAGACACATTATGTGGAAAATGTCATGCTGAATATATCTCCACTAGTACAGCCTAGCTAAGCCCTTGATTAATATACAGGAGATGAAAGTTTCTTTTTCTTATTATTTTTATCATTTACGTATTGTACAAATAAAATGTTATTGCATCTCAGAAGAAAAAAGATTTACTAAAATGTTTGTCCACAAAATCTCATACTAACTTATCACTGAATTTCTGATACGCTGCATTTCCCATGAAGCTTAGTACAAGTTCAGTGAGAATTACTGAAGCCCACCATCATGTAAGTTCTGATCATTGCTGGGATCACCGAAAAAAAGTTCATAAAGTCAACTCAAAGTATTGGTAAAATATATTTATAATGTTAAAATAACATAGATATATTAAGGCAAGGAGCATTTTTAAAGATCACCCAACAATGGCATACATTTTGCATACTTGGTAAAGGGATAAACACTGCTCAGGAATCTCACAACAGGGGTCTTTATTACATCTAGCAGCTCTACCAGTTATTTGCCATTGCAGCTTTAAGGGAAAAGATTCTAAAATCTCAGGTAGAATGCCATGAGTATACAGCCTCAAGTTCTAGAGATTTCACATCATTGAGATAGGTTACCTATGCCTCCTTCAATGAGCAATCAGATAGAGATATACAGTTTGCTACCTTGTGTGGTAATAGAAAATGTTAGCTTAGGCATTCAATCAACCATACCAAATTGGGCTGGGGAGACATAGCTAAATCTATAAAGAAGAGATTTATAAATCCTTTATTACTTGCATATATGTTGCCTTTCACAATTTACCAACTTACTTTCACGTAACTCATTTCATATAATAATTATATTGAGACAAGATATTGTTTTTGTATTTTTCTTACTAGCATCTCCTTTGTATGAATCAAGAAACAGAGACTTAAAAGAAACTGGGTGGTTCTTTCAGTTTTGCACAATGAGGATGTTTTAGCAGTAGGAGTTCATCACTTCTTTAACTCCTATCAATTATCACTTTACTAACATCTACATATTATCTCAAAATGATGTTTTCACTTTTAAAAACCCCTCATTAGATGCCGTGCTATTCAGAAGCATGCAGTATAACAATGTGTCTTTTTCCAGTATAGGCAATATTCTCCAGTACTTGACAGGCACTCACTGACGGCTGAACCATTGAATCACTGGATGAATGAATGAGTACCTCATATTACCCCCTTTCTAGTAACACCTTTGATTATTGATTCATTTCTTACTAAAGACCCAGCACAGTGTCACACCGTGGGAAATAAATGATACAACAATCAATTACATGGTTACTCCTGTGTGGTACAATGGCCAGCCTGCTGCCATCTGGATGCTTGCTACAAATCCAAATTCCTGGGTTCCATCCCAGATTTGCTGAATTAGAATCTCATATATACTAAAGCTTGAAAAGCATTCCACAATACATTGACAGTCAACTTGTGAAAACAAGTCAGTGGATTTAAAAATATCACTTTCAAGAAACAGTGCTTCTTACAACTATTCTACAATATTTTTCCCGTGCAATCTCTCTTAGATTGCCCAAAACTAAAATTTTGAGGAAGTGGCAAAATAAAGACATGTCAGTGAAAGTTCAAAACTGAGGAAAAGAGCGAGCTAGTTTTGTGGGTCTGGAAACTCAAAAACAAAAGCATTTCTGGGAATATGAGCTCATAAAAAGCACTAATGATTAGAGCAAATCAGACACAGATCAACCAATGACATGATCGTCATAATCAAATGTCCTTATGTAACTATGGTTATGTGGAAAATGAAAATACTTATTCCGAGTAGTGGATAAAGCAAGTCTTAATTGCCATCATCTTACATTGTATTATTTTTTTTAATTGCACTATTAACTCTGCTACTTTCCTGTCTTCTGCTGGTTGACTATTTCTATTACTTTGTATTTCAGTAGCTAGTTTTTTTTTTGTTTGTTTGTTTGTTTGTTTTTGACAGAGTCTCACTCTGTCACCCAGGCTGGAGTACAGTGGCATGATCTCAGCTCACTGCAACCTCAGCCTCTTGGGTTCAAGTGATTCTCCTGCCTCAGCCTCCTGAGTTGCTGGGATTACAGGCATATGCCACCATGTCTGGCTAATTTTTTTTTTGTATTTTTAGTAGAGACAGGTTTTTGCCATGTTGGCCAGGCTGGTCTCAAACCCCCAACCTCAGGTGATCTGCCTGCCTTGGCCTCCCAAGGTGCTAGGATTACAGGTATGAGCCACTGTACCTGGCCGTATTTTGGTAGCTGTTGTTTTAACCACCATAACTATTTTGTAACTGTCAAAGCCCAGCTTACTGAAACCCACCACAAAGTTAAAAAGCCCAGTTTGCTTACTTTCTCAAACATCTCAGTGGGATCGATTTAATATTATCAAACAGATGCAGATCTGGGGAGTTTCCAGCAGTCTCAGTTCTCAGAGTTCTGGCCATGTTTCTTTAGGTTAAGTTGTTACAAATAAACTGAATAGATGCATTGAAAAAAAAAAAAAGTGGGGGTTTTAGAGTCAAATGTAGCTGCGATTAATCTGTTGGTTACCAGCAGTGTGGCCTTGGGTTACTTATTAAGTGTGCTTTTCTTTAACATTTGGTCAACACAATATTAAAGAATTATTGCAAGGAAGAAAAATAAATACTTGCCTTGTGCCTACTGATTTACAGGGCCAAAAATAACCACTGTTGTTAAATGACTCTTAAATCCATAGTGATGACTTGAAAGCCTAGACAGGGAAATCAAATTATTCGAAGTCACCAAGCCATTAAAGTCCACAGTAGTTCTTGGACCTGCCTTTATTCAGTCCTTATCCAGGATTGTTTCCATTCTATGACATCTCCTTCTAAAGTTGGAGGTATGTCACAGTGGGGATATGGACAGTACACACAAGGCCAGAAGAGTGTGGACATGGGCAAGGGAGCAGAAGCACATGCTGGAGTGCACAGATCCCAGGTAAAACAAGAAAGCCTATTGGCTGGTGTCTGATGTGCTGCTCAAGTGTGAATACCTGTAAGCTGCTTATAACCTGGCGCATGCTGTTAGAGTGGCTAGGAGTACGTCTTCGCACTGTATTAATAGCACCAGCGTCTGGGAGCTTCTGTCAGTTCTTAACCATAGGCAGCTCCAGCATCCTGATTGGACCGTACCACCCCAACAGCTTCTCTGAATTACTGTGAGGTGATTTCCTGACCAAATATTGTTCCTCTATTTTTTTTTTTTTTGTTTTGAGTGAGGGGAGGATGGGACTCAAAATAAAAACCAAACCAAATGGAAAAACATAAGGGCTCAAAGTCTGAGATAGTCACCATTTTGTATAACTACGGGAAATCTCTTAGGTTATTGCAGATGGTATGGGTCGCAGCAAGGGAATTATGAGGCCATTATGGGAAGTTTCTTCACATGCAACAAGTAGGGACATTTTATCCGAACGGCCAGCAAAGCAAAGAACAGTTAATTGTAGAAAGAATGGAGGCAATTATAACATGTCTCTGTCTTGTTTAGGGAACCAGCTCTCTGGTAGACATTGGTAGAGGTTTTTCTCTAGAGCAGGAGTCAGCAGACTTTATCTGTAAAAGGCTAGATGATAAATGTTTTTGTCCTTGTGGGCCATAAACTTTTGCTGCAACTACTGAGTTCTGCCTTTGTAGCACAAAAAAACAGCAATCAACAATAGGTAAGCGAAAGAGCATGGTTGAGTTACAACTGGACTTTACTTGCAAAAACAGGCAAAGAACTGAATTAGGTCTACGAGCCACAGTTTATCAACGTGTGGTCTAGAATTAAAAAGTTCAAAATGAGAAAATATCCAGGAAGTTTTCTTGCTTCCAGCCCCACTCTCCACTAGACAGAGCAGATGCCTGATTTTTATTTCCTTTCACGTAACTCAGAATATATCTGCCGGTGGTAGTGCAGTGCTTTAGTGTGAGTAGGGTGCTAGTAATGACTACTTTTATAATGACGCTTGCAAAGTGGACTAAAAGCTAAGGCTCTGTCTGATTTTATACCCTGCTGTTCTTCAGCAGCCAGCATAGTGCCTAACAAGTCACAGGATTTAATAAATTTGTAGTAAAGAAAGGCCATTCATGTACATGCAAATTCTTACCTCAGAACTACTGGGGGAAAATCGATCTCAAATGGCTTCAAATATTGAAACCTGTGTTGGCACTTTTAGTTGAATGATTTGATTAAAAATGGAAAAAGAAGAGGAAGGAAGGAAGGGACGGAGAAAAGGAGGGAGAAAGAAAGGTGATTTTTCTTAAAAGTTTCACAGAGTCAGGTATGTTTTAATTCATTGATGAGAACTGAGTATTTATGACACAAGTACTGTACATATAATATTTAATCTGAAACTGAAGCAAATCTCTCTGAGGTAGGGTTAGGGTTACCCATTGTAGAGATAAGAATACATTTTCAGAGGTAAAATGAAATGGCTCGCCCCAAATTAACAATCCATACAAACACAAATTTAGACATTCTTCCTCCAAATCTGTTTTTCTCACCAACATAACAGACCTATATGAATGTTAAGTGAAAGGAGATGAAGGAAAAATGGGAGAAGCAAGTTGAAGGATACAAACTGTCAACATGAAGTATTAATTTAATATGAATTTCAAGATAATTTAGGAATAGTATAAGACAGACAGGGAGCTTTCCAGATTTCAAGGAAAATTAAATTCTCGTTTGCAGGCTGGGTGTGGTGGCTCGTGCCTGTAATTCCCACACTTTGGGAGGCCAAGGCTGTCAGATCACTTGAGGTCAGGAGTTCGAGACCAGCCTGGCCAACATGGTGAAACCCCATCTCTACCAAAAAATACAAAAATTAGCCAGGTGTACATCTGTAGTCCCAGCTACTTGGGAGGCTGAAGCAGGAGAATCGCTTGAATCTGAGAAGCAGAGGTTGCACTGAGCCGAGATTGGGCCACTTCACTACAACATGGGCGACAGAGTGAGACTCTGTCTCAAAAAAATTCTATTTTGCAGAAGCAATAACAAAGTCCACTGTAGATGCTTAGTCAATTCTCCTGCTTAATTTGTGTGTATTCGTTTGTCATCTATGTTAATAATTTGTTACTTTGCTCTGATGAGAGAGCTAGAGATCAATGAATCAATTTGAACTACTTGATGGGATTTTTCTCTAAAAAGTAACTACATTTCTATAGCAGTAGAACTTCACAGTGTTTTCTCTTCTTCTCTGTAAGGTGGGGCTGGAGGGTGAGGTAACGATAAAGTGTAACACAAACTGTATTTTAACAAATAACACTTAAATTGCTTTGCACAATTGTTGAATAGCTGAATTCTTCCTATTTTTTCTAATAAAGACTAATAGGAGACAGTGGTAGAGAGAGAGAGCTTTCCAAGAAAGGTTAGAATGGTTTCAATATGTGAAGCCATTTGAGATCAGTTCTTCCCCAATAGTTCTGAAGTATGAATTTGCATGTATGTGACTGACTTTCCTTTATTACAAATTCATTAAATTCTATGACTTGTTAGGTACTATGCTAGGTGCTGAGAAACAGCAGGGTATAACAGAGGTTAGAGAAGTTAGAGAAAAAGTGTATGTTAGAGAGAGGGGAGTAACCAAAACCTATATTTTACAACATATGTTTTTTTTAAGTGGCACATCAATGTATTCAAGAAAGTTGGATACTCTTCAACAACTGCTTCAAAAATATAAGAAACTAATATTTGTATATTTGCATTTAACATGGGATTTCCTTTGGTTAGTTTTCCCACTTATATTGTTTCTCACAGATTTGCCTTCTAAAATTTTAATCATTAGTCAACTCTCATTATGATACTGTATAAATGTAGGCTTTAGCTGACACTATTTCTTAATTTTTCTCCTTCCTGTGGCCCCAGTTTGGTCTCTCCAGTCACTTCACCCATAACACATGTGTGATAACTCCTGCGTCCATGGCCCACTCTGAGGAATCTTTCATGCTCTAGTTTTGCTCTTACAGGGGCTTATTCCATATCCTACCAGCAGCTCAAAATCAGCATATCCAAAAACACAATCAATTGCCAGGTTCCCTTTTTTGTTCCCCCTTTCTGCTGGCATCTTTGATATCTCCCCATACATCTTTCAGAATCCATTCTGATGATTTCTCAATTGCTACATCTCTTTCACTTCTTAGCTTGCCATTGGTATCCAGGATCTGCACACAGCTGCTACACAGAGTTCCTAGAACAGCTCAAATCCTTTCACTCCCCTTGGCAAAAGCTTTATTATTCCAAAGATATTTCAGATTAAAAAACTCTTAATGACAGAAAGTAACTAAAAAATACTATTTTCTTTAGAAATATTGAAAGAAACAGACATTCCCAATTCCAACCTCCTTCTTAGTAATCTTAAGAGGCAAGTGCTAATGACTATTTATTAACTATCTTCTCAGGTTTTTCCATGATTATGTAATCTCAATACTCTATGAAATTTCTATACATTTTTATAGGAATAAAATCATTATATATACTGATTTGATGTACATCAAATATATCATAATACATATTTATATATAATGATTTTATTTCTATAAAATATACATAGTGGCCAGGTGCAGTGGCCCACACCTGTAATCCCAGCACTTTGGGAGGCCGAGGCGGGCAGATCATGAGGTCATGAGTTTGAGACCAGCCTGACCAACATGGTGAAACCCCATCTCTACCAAAAATACAAAAAAATTAGCCAGGCATGGTGGTGTGCACCTGTAATCCCAGCTACTCAGGAGGCTGAGGCAGGAGAATCACTTGAACCCGGGAGGCGGAGGTTGCAGTGAGCCAAGATCACGCCATTGCACTCCAGCCTGGGTGACAGAGCGAGACTCTGTGAAAAAATAAATAAATAAATAAAAATTAAAAAATGAAAATTCTGGGGAGATATATATGTGTGTGTGTGTATATATATATATATATATGAACACTTTATGTATGTATGTATATATGTGTATATATATATTATATTTTAGGTATTTATTTAGTTACTTAACTTTAATTATATATCACTATGATAAACCACCTAAAATGCCACTTCCTTTATTTCAGGACTGTTTTCTTCATTCTTTTAATAGCAAGTGTGTCTTCTTCCATAGGCCAGAAAACTGTCTTTGAATCTTTATTACTGCATATGTAACAGGATGCTGATTGTAATTTGGGGATATTTTTAGACTTGTGGCTAAGACCTATAGCTGAGAAATTAAATGCACAAAATACTTCACTTTAAAATTCCAAGACCCACCAGCCCTGAGGGACAGCCTATTCTGCACCAGAATTACTGAGGAGTGACAGATCAGATAACTTGATCTAACAGATACCAACAACAAACTACCTGTTGCTGTCTCTATCCCTATGCCCGTGGATGGAAGAGGGTAAGGAGAGAGGAAAATGTCTTTTGGGGAAAGGAATAGGCTCTTTCCCTTCTGAATTCAAACCGCTAGAGACAGGTGATTAAAAAGAATTACCCAAAACTACACTGACAGCTTACAAGAAGGAAAAACCAGCACTGTATCTCACCAGTGGATGTCTGCTTAAGCAGTGATCTTGGCTTGTTATGTAGCAAGAGAGTAGGGGAAATGAGAGTAGGTGAGATTAGACAAAGTGAAAAACTTCCAGGAAGGAAAAGGTTAAGACAGCAGCCTCCCTTTTTTTTCCAGCTTTTGGAAAGTAAGGAAGATTGGTGCCCTGTGTATCCCTGGATCTGAGAGTTACTCTAGGAGGAGGACACAGGTTTTCTGGGACCACCACAAGAAAAAGGATTATATGGAAACACATGCATTAGGGGAGATGTGCCAGCACAAGTTCAGCCAGAAGTACTGGCCAGGTCTTTTACAGGACTTACAAATGCTGAAGCTTGCTGAGTGAAGATAAGCTCTTCTTAATGGGGATAGGTTGGAGGTTGCCACCATTTTCATTTAGGTCATAGACAACATACCAGGTGTTGGTTTTATATAGCAAAGAAAAAGAATTGATCTTTTCCAGTTACCTAAGAAGAGACCTGCTCTTTTCCTGATTTCCCCTCTCATTAACCTAAAGGAGAAGGCAGGGAGAGGATGGTTTCTAAGATCCAACCAATGTCCCACTTTTCCTACACCTTCTACTTCGAGTCCCTGAAGGTACAGCACTAGCCTGAAGTGACGGAAGGGGAGGAAAGGAGATAACAATTGACCTTGAAATTGTAAACTGAACTAGAATTAGGCTTAAATACTTGAATAAGAAATGTTTATTAACCAAAATTGGTGACAATTTATGAAATTTGAGTAAAATGCCATTTAAAAGAGCTGATGAAAAAGAGGAGAGTCAGTATGCAAAATCCGGGAGGAAAATAGTGACTGGAAGATAAATGTATTCCCCTCTTATATTCCAAATAGTGGACACTTTTCAATAAATTGATTTTATAATATTCACATATTAAATTTTATTACATTTATTTACATAAATGTCTGGTGCCACAAATAAGATTGTAAACTTCTTTGGGTCAGGAATTAGATAGTAAGCAATATTTCCCAGGACGTAGAATGTACTTATATGTAAAAGATGTTCAATAAATATTTGTCAATTAAAACATAAGGAATTAAATTGTAGTACATTAGAAAACAAAAAGGATAAAATACAGGAATAATGGATGCGAAGTATATAAATCCCTTTCATTTTCAATGCCTTTAATGAAAGGGGCAGTCAACTATAAAGAGGTAGGCATGACTCTGTCATTTAAAAACAATAAAGACTGTATAAAATATGAAGAGCAGAGCATTTGTAATCACATAGACAAGGATTTAATCCTCAGTTCTGCTACTCCTTAGCTGTGTGGTCCTTAGACAAGCAGCTGTGGTACTCCTTAGACAAGTATCTCATTCATAAATAAATAAATAAATAAATAAATAAATAAAAAGAAAAAGAAAAAAAAAAAAGAAAGAGTGAGCTCTGGGTGGAGTATAGACTCTAATGTTACTCCTAGGTATAAAATTCTACAAATTGTGAAAATATGCAGCAAGATACAGCTGAAGGAACGATTACATCATAGTCCTTATAATCTACATCAATAGTTTCTTTTGGCATGCACATTCAGCCACAAGTTATTCTTTCAAATGTTAAATTTGACTCATTTGGGTAAAAGCAAGCTGCAAGTTTTCTTGGTTCACTGAGTTTTTGAAGCAGCACTCTTTATTCAAAGTATAGGGCCTTTTTTTCTTGTTTTCTAAACATAGTCTGTAAGATTCAGCAGGTTTCAGAGTTGTATTACAAGAGAAAATACAAGTCAAGTAGGTTCAGCCTAATCCCTCACCCAGCGCAGACACAAGCAATGTCAGGTAACATAGGGAAAGGAGCAAGTTGCCCTCTCTATATTCTAAGTGCATCTTCTCCTGTCAGTGTTGATGATATTGGACACAGCAAAGCATAAAAACAACCACCTAAAATTAGTAGGGAGCGTTATCCTACGATGGAAAAATAATCAGAGCCTCATTTACACCACAAGAACAAATAACCCAATTCAGCCACTTGCCGGGCAGTTATTTTAATTATTAGAAAATATAAGTAATTGGAAAAGATAAATCATTACATGTCAATAAAGAATTAGTGCTGATACTAATTCTCTCTAAGAAGCTCACCAGGTGATATAAAAAGTAAGGTTTATAATGGAAAAAGGGTTTAACAATAAAGTGAATTTCTCAAATCATGGCAAATCATTCCAATGCAAAAGATACTAGGAACAAAATAGCATGACAGAAAAGAGTTAATATGTCCACATGAAAACTTGTATGTGTACATTCATAGCAGCGTTATTCACAATAGCCACAAAGTGGAAACAATCCAAGTGTCCATGAACTGCTGAATGGATAAACTGTTGACTATCTGTATGATGGACTATTACACAACCATCAAAAGTGATAAAGTATGAATACAGTCCATGTTACAACATGGATAAACCTTGAAAACATTACACTAAGGAAACAAAATCAGACAATAGGCTGTATATAAATGATTCATGTAAATGTTTCCATTTACATGAAATGTCCAGAATAGGCAAATCTTTAAAGTAGAAAGAAGACTATTGATAGCCAGAGTTGGGGAGGAGAGAATGGAAAGTGACTTTTGATGGTTGTTTTTGTAGGGAAGGAGTATTAAAAATGTTTCCAAGTTAGGTAGTGGTGATGATTGTACAATCTTGTAAATATATTAAAAACAACTATATTGTTCACTTGCAAATGGTGCA
Source organism: Homo sapiens (assembly GCF_000001405.40). Lineage (NCBI taxonomy): Eukaryota > Metazoa > Chordata > Mammalia > Primates > Hominidae > Homo > Homo sapiens. Next base: position 9,632,551 of record NC_000009.12, read on the forward strand.
CTTGGTATGTGAATTTTTTCTAAACAAATCATACTTTTTAAAGTAAAACAAAAGAGAGAAAGTTAAAAAAAAAAAGGAGAGATAGTTCAAATGTTGGTTTGCTTCATTTTTCTGCTTCTACACACCTTTTATGTAGAACATAAACCCTGACCTCAAGAATTTTACCAGGTGGTTCAACAGGATGCCTGACAAACTATAAAATAAATGGGACAGTTACATAGGTATAAATATAGATAAAGATAAAAATGTGGCACTATGGGAACTAAGAATGGTTTGGAAGACTTCCCAGAGGATGTGATTTTGAGCAAGTGTTAATGAACAAGGAAGAATTGTTAGGTTTGAATGAAGAGAGAGATTTCATGGAGAAGGAATAGTAAGATCTAAGAAACAGAGTGCCCTTGGGAAACATTATAGCCAAATGGGAAGGTATGAGACAAAAAGATGAAATTAGAAAGAGTAGCTGGCTAGGCATGGTGGTTCACGCCTATAATCCCAGCACTTTGGGAGGTGGAGGCAGGTGGATCACTTGAGGTCAGGAGTTCGAGACCATCCTGGCCAACATGGTGAAATCCTGTCTCTACTAAAAATACAAAAATTAAACATGTGTGAGGGTGGGCGCCTGTAATTCCAGCTACTCAGGAGGCTGAAGCAAGAGAATCACTTGAACCTGGGAGGCGGAGGTTGAAGTAAGCCTAGATCACACCACTGCATTCCACACTCCAGCCTGGGAGAGAGAGTGAGACTCCATCTCAGGGAAAAAAAAAAAGAAAGAAAAGTTATGGTCAGTGGGTAGGGAAATTCAAGATAACACTTGCTGAGGAATTTGAAGTGTATTTTATAGATTGTAGGGAGTCACCAAATATCAAAGAATTCAAACGACTTCCAAAATCTAGGCATGTTTTCAAAATAACACATATATTAATTCCTTGCATTGCCACTGCATATAGAATTTAGATGTAAGGTTAAAAGTGATTATAAGCAGATATTATTTCTTTATAGCTATCATAAGCAAGGAGTCTGATTCTCTCTCAGTGAGAGATATTTCTAGCTCACTCCCTCAGCTCAGTCTGGTTAATCTTATTATTCATGTTCGAAGGAAAGTAATAATTAAAAATATTTTCTAAAGGTTGTAGGTTATCCCATATATTTATAGTTATAGGGTAAGGCTCAATGAAGGTAGAACAGGAGGAAAGCTACACTAATCGCAAACATATTTTTTAAGGTAAAATCATCTGCTTAAAATTTAGAAAGTTTTTGAAGACTATTTCAAAATAATGTGTTGTCTTTTCCAGTGCAAATCATTAACATAAATAGATTGTATATTCATGCAGTATATCTTGCCCAAAAAACCACCTGTATGTAAATCACCAAGTTCAAATTAGAAGTCTATGTGATTAACTTTTCCCCTTTATGATACTGCTGTCAAGGGTGGGAGAAAAACATGTTATCTGAATATAAATCTTTATGATATAGACAGCACATATCAGATCTTAATTCTTTTTATTTTTTACTTAAAAATGGTATATAATACCAGAGAGTAATATGTTCATCTTGACAAAAGCAGCTTCAATTGTGTGGTCAAAAATTCTACATCATCATAAAGGGATGATGCTCCTTACCAAATTAACATATGCCAAAACTCTGTTCAAATATGGGTGTATCAAAAACGTTGGTGGATATACTGAAATTACTATAAACATTAAAGTACCTAAAAACACCTAATGTGGAGTCTGGTAAATAATAGCTCATCAATAAATGTTAATTTTATTTGTTTTCCTGATTTCTCACAAGAAATGATATGGGGAAGAAGTGGTCATTGTTAATATTAATTGCAATGCTAGAAATATCAGTGCAACTAGAAGACTGAAGCAATAAATGAGAGCAATGGCAAATATAATTTATACAATCCATGAGACTGTGTGTTTGTTTCTGCTATTGGTAATTCAACAATAAATTTGCTGATTATTTAAAATTCACATAATTGTTTCTACCATAAGAGGAAGGAAATAAATGCTTGATCATATCTTTACCAGGTAAAATTCTTGTTCTCTAATACAACCACCAAAATATGAACACAAAATAAAATATCTTTCTCAGCAGGTTCTATCTTGTCAAAAGATAAATCCAAGAAGCAGTCAATTCTTAAAGCTCAAAAATCATGATATCTTATTTGAGTAGATTTCTGTGCATACTACGTATATATTTTAATTTGAATGTGTATAGAGTTAAGTGTATAATATAACATCCCACTGTGTTAATGGGAACTCTAAGTACCAATTCCCACAGAGCAGGGATTACAAGTTACTTTTATGTTGAGTACTTGTGCTATTTTGAATGTTAGCTACATTGTAGAATAACCAGCCAGAGAGGTAAGTCATATGTGTAAAGCTGTAGGAGGCAAAGAAAAGATTTAAGATAAAATAAGGATATGTGAAACACAAATGAAAGGATGGATTAGATGTTCAACAATATATTGAGTGAATGGTATTTAAAGTTTGAGCAATAGGACATATCCTTACTATTTTTTAATGGATTAGACCATTAGAGATACAGTGTCCATCTATGGCTAAGAAGGACATCTGTAGCCACACAAACTGGAATAAGCCTATAAAGCTTCTTTTTCTTTCCTTTTTAAGATATAAGATCATCAACAGAAAATAAAGAAACCCCCTTATGTCTGAGGGATGTATGCTTTCAAAGTACATTGAGAGCATACTGTGTGTTACTTTTTGGCCTTCCAGCAATTTGCTAGTGGAAGAGTCTGCTAAATGATTAAATCCCGTATGTCCAACTTAGAAGCTTTTTGGTTCAGGGTAGGTAGCATATTCCTCTCGCACCAAGTGGCTCCCGAACTTTATTGTAAGGTCTAGTGCTTCCTATAGAAACAGCTTCTGGCTGGACACTCAATGATTTCACATGGACCAAGAGTGATTGGTCACTCAGTTTCATTCAATTCTGGGGACTGTGATGAGCTGTGTGGGTTATGCTTTTACAGCTGAAGAAAGCCATTGCTCAGATTTTGGAACCATTGACAGATTTAAGGAACTCAAATGCAGTACTCCTGTAACCTGTCAGCCTTGTTGTCATTCTTTTCAGATACTCTGTTACTTCTTATTGTAGAGTCTCAACATGGTTCATTTCCCTGGACTACCAGTTACTTCAGCGAGCCTGAAACCCAGAAGTCATTGTCAACACCACCTACTTCCTTGCTTCCTAAAACACTCATGCAAACCATCTCAAATCTTGTCAAGTTTTCCTTCTAAATAAATGTCATATCAATCTACTTCTCTACATTTTCACTACCAACACCTAAGTCAAAGTATCACCATCCTTCACCTGGAAAAATTATTCTCTCCCAGTGTTCATTTTAAGTCCCATTCACAGCAGAAAAAAATGATATTGCAATGACTCTCCATTGTTCTTAGGAAAAAGATACAAAACTCTTCACTGATATATGTAAGGCTTTCTCCAGCTTCATCTAAATGCAAAGACCCATCTTTGCACTCTCAGTCAAAGCCCCACCACACTTTTTCAGGTTCTTCATTTGCTCAATTTTCTCCAGCTTACAGGATATTTTTCACGTGTTCTTCTCCTGACCTGAAACACTTTTTTGCCCACTCCTCACTCATTCAAACCCTACTTATTAACTTTCATTTCTCCTTAAGCCTCCTCAGGAAAGTCTTTCCCGACACTGTATTTCCATGGTACAGACTTTTAAACAATGTCTAGGACTTTTTGCATAGTTTGCATTTGTAATTTTACATTTGTTTCTTTGATTTATTGAGTAATGACTGTAGTAGACATTTTGGTTGATTTTCAACATCCACATAATATTAGATAATTACTTTAGATCAAACATAGGAATTCCTTCACCTTTCTCCAATGACAGATTCAAACATATAGATATAGATGTAGATACAGTTATATAGATATTGATATAGATATACACATACACAGAGCCTCAACTTGGTCAATGAGATATAAGAAGAAATCTGATGAGGGAATTCTGAGAATCTTATCACCACATCTATGATAGACACTAAAGGAGAAACAGTCTTCTTTTTCCTCTGGATATTTTGTGTTTGGGTATAGTCTCTGAAAGTATAGAAGACAGATTGTCACCAGCTTGTGGATGACCCAACAACAAAAGTGGCAGAATAGAGAGAAAGATTTCAATATATTTAGTTATGTCACTGAGCCATTTAATTATTTAACATTGTGTCAGTCTCTTTATCCTGCTATAACAGAATATCAAATATGAGGTAAATTATAAACATAAATTTGTTTCTCATAGTCTTGGAGGCTGGGAAGCCTAAGATCAATGTGCCAACAATTTCAGCATCTGGTAAGGGGGGCGAGTCTCTGCTTCCAAGGTGCACCTTGAAGCTTGTATCCTCCAGAGTTGGGGAATGGTGTGTCCTCACATGGTAGAAGCAGAAGTGAAAAAATAATCGAACTCCCTACATTAAACCCTTTTTAATGGAATTCATTCATTCACAAAGATAACACTCTCATGATGTAAATATCTCCCAAAGGGCCCCACCTCCCAAAACTATTACAGTATGGATTAAGTTTCCAACACATGAATTGTGGGGGACATTGAGATCATAGCACTCCACCCCAGAACCCCCAAATTTATGTCATTTTCACACACAAAATACCTTCATTTCACCCTGATAGCCCCCAAAGTCTTAATTCACTCTAGCATAAACTCAATAGTCTGAAGTCCAGAGTTTCATTTAAATATCAAATATGGGTGAGATTCGTATCGGGGCAACTTGCTCTCCAGCTGTGAGGCTGTGAAATCAAACAAGTTATGTACTTCCAAAATATGATGGTAAAACAAGCATAGAATATACATTCCAATTCCAAAAGGGAGCAATAGAAAAGAAGGAAGGAGTAATGGGTCACATGTAATTCCAAAACTCAGCAGCATAAATAGCATTCTTCAAACTTGAACTTAATCTTCCTTTACTCATTTACACACCTTCCTGGTACACTGGGGTGGATGTGGTTCCCCTAATGCCTTGGGCAGCTCCCCGCATATGGCTTTTCTGGGTGCAGACCATGCTTTAGCTCTCATACATTGAAATGCATGCCTGAGGCCTTTCCAGGCTGCTACTGCATGCTGGTGGCTCTATAGTTCTGGGGTCTTTGGAATGGCCCTGCTCCCATGGCTCCTTAGGCATTGCCCTATTGAGAACTCTCTGTGGTAGCCCAGATCCCACAGTTCTGCTCGGCATTGCCCTAGTGGGGCACTGTGTGGCAGTTCCACCCCTGCAGTAGGTCTCGACCTGGCACTGAGACTCTCTGAGGCATCTTCTAAAATCTAGTGGAAGGAAGCCATGCCTTCACAGATCTATACTCTGTGAGCCTACAGACTTAGCATCATGTGAACATCACCAAGGTTACAGCTCATGCCTTAGGTCCCTGGCCCTCACCCCAAAGGCCCTGGCATTCTGGGCCTGTATAGGAGGGAATACCTCAAAGTTCTTCAAAATGTCTTTGGGGTCATTATCCCATTGTCTTGATAAATAATATCAGGCTGCCTTCTATCCATACTAATATCCATATCAAACCTGTGATTTTTTCCTCTCAAAATACTGCTTTATTCTTTACTTGGCCAGGCTGAAAATTTCCCAAATCTTCATATTTTGCTTCTCTTTTAATTATGAATTGCATCTTGAAATCATTTCTCTCTTTTCACATTTTACTACAAGCAGTCCAAAGAAGCCACACAGCATTCTGAACGCTGCTGCTAGAGACTTCTTCTGCCAAATATCCTGGTTCATCACTCTTAAGTTCTGCCTTCCACAAAGTCCTAGGGCATGGATATAATTCATCAAAGTTCTTTGCCACTTTATAACTAGAATGACCATTTATCCAGTTTTAAATATCCTTGTTCCTCGTTTCTGTGTAAAACCTCATCAGAAAAGTCTTCACTGACATGATCAATTAAGTAATGTCTAAGAAGACTGAGGGTTTTCCTATACCCCTTCTTTTCTTCTGAGCCCTCACCTGAATCACCCTAATGCTCCATTCATAGCAAAGTAGACTTCTTCCAGTATTCATATCAAAACTCTTCCAGCCTCTATCCATTACCTAGTGCCGAAACCACTTCTATATATTTAGGTATTTGTTAAGGCAACAGGCCACTTCTCTGGTATCAACTTCTGTCTTAGTGTGTTTGTGCTACTATAACAGATTACCGCAAACTAACTTATAACCAATAGACAGTCCTCACAGTTCTAGAGGCTGGCAGATTTGGTGTCTGGTGAGGGTCTGGTCCTGGCTTCCGAGATGTTGCTATGAATGCTGCATCCTCCAAAGGGGAGTAATGCTATGTCTTCACAGAGCAGAAGGTGAAGGAGTAGAAAGAACAAAACTCTCTCCTTCAAACTCTTTCATAATGGCACAAACCCATGCCACTCTGCCCTCATCACCAAAACACCTCCCAAAAGGCCCCACCTCCCAATACTGTTGCATTCGGAATTAAATTTCCAACACATACATTTTGGAGGACTAATTCAAACCATAGCAAATCTCGAATCCTTTCCAACATCTGTATTTACAGTTTTATGAGTTAATAATTATTAAATCACTTTGATTTGGGGTCTGCAAGCAACAGCAGCCTAACTTATTGTGTTAATATTATTTATCTCAGTCTTAGATCCTAAGCTCCATGAAAGTAGACTCTAGGATTGTTTCTACTCATCATTTTAGTGCTAGCATCTAGTTTAGTGCCTACATTTTATAGTTTGTGTTTATTAAATATTTACTGAGTGAACGGACAGATGAATACCAAACATTTTCTGAAAAACTCCTTGGGATATTCATTGTTTCCCTTTTAGCTTTGGATTATTCTTATTATCCATGTGGCCAGTTGCTTCTGTTTCTCAAAAGGCATAGTTTCACTCTGGCCATTTTCCTATTAGCAGGCTATGTTTATCTCAATACCTCCAAAATACGACATTTAGTACTAGGCAAAATTGTTCAGCTATTCTCTTGCCAGGTAGATAACAGTTATATTGTTTCTCTCATTCTATAAAGATCAATGATTTTATAAATAAAATTGTATATGAGACTTATTCTGAAGCTTTTTAAAAACATAAATACCTTTGAGGTCCTCCAAAATTATGGGTGATAGATCTGGTATCGTTGATACACAGGCATATTTACATTTTGGTGCCCTATCAGGTAATTCTCATGTGTTTTCAAGTATTATATCCATTGTTCCATATACTAAATCTCTGTTGACTTTGCTTAGGTTTGTATTAACTCTTTGGTGATCTTATTATCTCTAAGCTAAATTTATTATAGCTTAGAGAAAGAACATTATTTCTTCAAAATGAAGAGATTATAGGAAAAGAAAATACAGGCTTTGTTCTGTAGAGTATGAGGAATTAATTATTACTTGATGATAGAAACACCTAAGAAGGTAAACTTTGTTAGACTGTAAGGACAAAGATATTCCAATAATTTGTTTCCTCTTTCCTTGGTAACTGAACCTTGATTTCATCTTAGAGACCCATACCGAAACTTTCAGCCCATGTGGGATGAGTAGACCTTGATCAAACCTTGATTCAAGAGCAGATATGTGGTGTTGGGCAAAATAAATCAGAGTACCCCATTCTTCTCACCAGAAGTGATGATCTCAGTGGCATGCATGTGATCTAAATATGGCCAATGAGGTGCAATGTGATTTTTGCTTGGAATGCTTAAACAGTGACTGGCACTCTTTCCGAGGAACAGTTTTTGAAGCTGAGCCAATGTAAGATCCTAAGTCTGGTGTAGTCATTTTATGCATTTAGGGAGAGACCCTGTGTGAAAGCAATGAAGCAGAACTGAGAGAGGAACAAGGGCCTGTTGACATTGTTTTCTTATCTCTATATTCTGCCCTGCCAGAAGCCTCTGCACTTTTCATTTAGTTGAGGCAATAAATCACTATTTCATTCAAGACAGGTTAGATCAGGTTTTCTGTCACGTGGAACAGAATCATAACTGATAAAATGTGGAAGAACTTTTAAATATATGTTCACATAGAAGGTAAGCCTGTAAGTATGAAGATTCTAATCATTAGAAGAATTTTTATGGAGGAGTTAGACAATTACTTGAAATAAATATTTAAAATGGACCAATCATCAGAATAGTGATTGGTCTTGATCACATTTATGAGGCTGGGAAGTAGAGGGGTGACCCCAGGAAGCAATAAATCAAAAAGAAGGGAGAAGAGAATCTTAAGAGGGTATCCTTTGGCCCTAGGCCATCTATCCAATCCTGTTATTGCTAAGAGGTCATTGTAAATAACGGATACTTAAAGCAAGTACATTATATGCCAAGCACTGCAGACACTAAGTGATTTAAATTGAATGATCTGGTCAGAGTCAACGTAAGATCAAATCCAACTGGCTTACTGCCAAAATAGTTCTATGTGCCTAACAGGTAGTGATACCTCATATTGGCAATGCTGGATCAGCAGAAATTACTAATGATTTTGGCAGCCAACAAGCTCCATGAGGTAATAATGAAAGCTATAGCTTTAAATAGCTCAATGGAAAAATTCAATGGGGCAGAAGGGAATTGCAATGGGCTTTCTGAACTGTTCTGTTGATGCTGCTTAGCAAATGTAGCTCCTTGAGTTGTTTTCATTTCATCAAAATCATGATACTCTTGAGTGTTGGCAAGGAAATATCAGGTAATGATAAAGTGGTGAACATGCCTTTCATCAGCTGAAAATCTTTAATTGTAAATGCAGCATGTAATGGTGTAATTAGTTGTCTAAGTGACAGGATAGGCTCAAATCTTTGCTAGTATTTTGCAAAAAGACCATTAGGTTTCCACATCCCTTTCTTCAAATAAGATGATGAGCAGGCAAAGATAAGTAAGGGATTCATTTTTAACCCCATGAACTGAGCACACTCCCCGCTAGAAATGATAAGAGGCTATAGGAAAGTACCATAGTGTGTCAGGCCAGATCTCACTGACACAGACCTCCATAACAACTGTTTCTGTACTGACTGAGTGGTTAAGTTAAATATTAAAAGCCAGTGCCCTTATACAAAAGCTGGGATGTAAGAAAAGCCCACCAACAGTTTTGCCTAGGCCTTTTCTGGACCTTAAAGCATGACAAAAATAACAAAGGAATTTTTAACAGGATCCATTTAGGATTAAACAAGTCTAACTGTGGGTCTGAAGAAACTCCCCAGGCCTCCACAAACGTGTTTGCCAGCGGGGCTGAAGGAACTCCCCAAACCACCGTGATTTAGCAGGAGACAAGATGAGGGTAATCACCCTAGCACCTGGACCCATTTAGATTAAGTAAGTTTACTGAGACTCCAGAGGAAGGCCTCAGGACTCAGACCTTAGCTATAGATTAAAATAAGTTAATCATGCTGCTATAAAGACACATGCACACGTATGTTTATTGCGGCATTATTCACAATAGCAAAGACTTGGAACCAACCCAAATGTCCAACAATGATAGACTGGATTAAGAAAATGTGGCACATATACACCATGGAATACTATGCAGCCATAAAAAATGATGAGTTCATATCCTTTGTAGGGACATGGATGAAATTGGAAATCATCATTCTCAGTAAACTATCGCAAGAACAAAAAACCAAACACCGTATATTCTCACTCATAGGTGGGAATTGAACAATGAGATCACATGGACACATGAAGGGGAATACCACACTCTGGGGACTGTGGTGGGGTGGGGGGAGGGGGGAGGGATAGCATTGGGAGATATACCTAAGGCTAGATGACGAGTTAGTGGGTGCAGCGCACCAGCATGGCACATGTATACATATGTAACTAACCTGCACAATGTGCACATGTACCCTAAAACTTAAAGTATAATAAAAAAAATAAGTTAATCACTTATGTCTTTAGATGAATGCATACTTTCACCTAGACATATAGCTTAGAAGGTATATAAGCTCTGGAAAACTTTGTAATTTTGAGTTGGTCTGGTGATAATTTCCAGGCCTTCTCTCTGTAACTGTTTGCAGATATGAAAGCTCTCTCCCTCCCCAATTCATCTTGATTTTGTTATTGGGCCACGAGAAATAGCAGCCGGACCCACACTTTGGTCCAGAAACAATAGGTTAGTACTGCTACTCAGATATGTGTTGGTTCTAAAGAAAACACACACAGAGGTAAATAGTAAGGATCATATTTTAAGCAACTCAAGGAACTATAAATATATTTGCTCCCTAAATCTTAGACACAATCTTGCAAAACAGGTATTATTATTTCCATTTTTCATACAAGACAATTGGGGCTCATAGAAATTGAGAACATATTTAGGGTCCCACAGCTAGTATGTTGCAAAAACAGAGCTGTGATTTGTACCTAGTGCAAAATCTAAGTGTCAAACTTCAAAGTTCTTTAAACAGAATACCTTCAACTGTCTTTAAACTTTTAGAAAGCTGGTTCTAAAATTTCTCTACATACAAGAATTATAGAAAAGCTTGCTAAAATATGAGTTTCCATGAGCACATACATGTGTATGACAGAGAGGGAGAGAGAGATTTGAGTTGGTAGATTATGAATGCAGCTAAGAAATTTGCAATTTAACTACTTCCTCAGGGAATCTTGAGGCAGGTATTCCTCAGACCACACAGTTTAGAATGTCCTTTGCAAAATCCTGTATGACAGAAGTCTGGAGATTTTTATACAGGGACATCATACAATGAGGCTTCTAATAGAATCTTGATGACAAACTGCAACATGTAAAAAGACAGACTTATACTTAATCAGAACCAGTTGCATAGAAAGCCCTAGGCTTTTTAAAGTTACATTAAAAAAAGAACATAGGGCCTCAATCACTAAACTCAAATTGGATTTGTAACTCCAGGACTGTTAGAAAAACAGCTTTTTCATCTGCACCTGTTATGGTGGAGATGATTCTAGAATGAGCAGAGTGAATCCAAGAAAGTATTTTTCTTCATGAAGGAAACAAATAGTGCTCTAGGCAACTGTGGTTGATGGATGTGATAGCAGATCCTTTCTTAGCATCCTCACCTTATAAAATTAATAGATCCTCACTTTTAAACATATTATAGAAAATGGAAAAGAGAATCAAACGAACAAAATCTATTTTTCTAAATTAAAAAGCTTGAAAAAGCCCTGCTTCCTTTGTCTGTCATAATGATATCGCTGGATCACTGCCAAATCAGAAGCTATATGAATGATTGTTCTTAGATAATAGTTCCTTCTGCAAAATATAAAGCTACTTTTCCCAAAACTCATACCATGAGTTTCCAAACATAATAAATCCTAGTTTTCTAAAAATATCTTTTATTTTGGAACTGATTTTGCCTTAATTTTAACCACTGCCCGCTAAAGAATTATGTCAGTTATACTCATAGGCATTTCAATGTTGTACAACTATTACCATTGTACAAATTCTACTGTCTGCTTAGTAATGCTGCCAACATCATTAATTTTAACAGAAAGATTTATACATTGCAAAGATATGCTTTTTAAAATGCTGGTCCCTCAAAGTTTTTTTTCTGTACAACTATAAGTATTGTATTTTATTCAAGACAATCAAAAGTGTTTTTGGTAATTACATTTATTCATAAAAATGTTTATATAGATTTCTTTGTGACAGTAGCAGCAAGTATGCATTGTCGTAGCCTTATCCAACCCTCTTGACATTTTGCTTTTCCCTTGTGCAGGAAATGGGGAGGTTTCAAGTGGTGAGGGCAGGCTGGAACTGGGAGGGGAAGAGGAAGGAATCAGAACAGCAAGGCTTTTGTGGTTTTCTGGGCTTCTCAGTTGATTTAATGCAGCAGAAATCAGATAACCAGTATCATCAATCATGACAATCATATGAACTGTCTCCATGCTTAGATTGCTTTATTCTCAGAATCATTATTTTCAAATTATTTGGTCTGAATAAAGATTTCCATGCCAGTTAAAAAATGATCCTCTATATCTCCCATTTCAGCTATGAAGCAATGAAAATAACAAATACAGCTTTCTTTGAGAAAACCTGAATTTGAATCTTGACATTGATACAAATAGGAAGCAGACAAATGCTGGGTAGAAGAGGGAGGTTCCCCAGCAAAGGCCCTGGCCTTAAGGCTGGAAACTATGGCCCCTAAATGAGAACAGTTATCCCCATTTTCCAGCCAAAATGTTGCTTTTTCCAAAACCACACTGGCCCACCAATCCCCACATCCTGTACCCATAAAAACCACAAACCCCACTGGCAGAGGAGCAGAGTGGCTTGGCAGAGAAGGAGAGAAGAGAAGAAGCATCTCAACGTCAAGAGGAGAAGATTCTTTTCCCACTTCACCCCCTTTCCAGCTTCCCATCCCACTGAGTGCCACCTCCATCATTCAATAAAATCTCTGCATCTTTCAAGTCTGTGTAACCTGATTCTTCCTGGATGCCACACAAGAACCTGGTTACCAAGAGGGCAGGGTGTAAAAGGCTGTCACCTTGACTCTCCATTGAGATGGTTAACACTTAGCCATCTGCAGACAGCAACTGCTAAAAGAGCATTAATTGTAAAACACCCCTAAACACTGCCATGGGGCCAGAGCCCAAAAGCGCTCTCCCTGGCTCCTGCACCTGCTCACCTGCGTGCTTGCCCTCCAGGAAAGGGCTTGAGCCACATCCCCATTGCAAGTTCCCAGAGCGGGTCAAGGGAGCCTTGTGGGCCCTTGGGTGAGTTACTTAAGTCACTGAGTTTCAGTTTTGTCACCTGTAAAATGGAGACAATAATGCCTATTTCTCAGAGTTGCTCTAGAGACAAAATGATACAGTATTTTGAGGAGAGCTCATTCATATTAAACTCCCAATTTTTTTGTTTGTTTGGGAAGACTAATATAAGTGTTGATTTGCTTTGTTTTTTTCATTATAATTATCAGGTTTCCCTACATATATGTATATATATATATATATATATATTTTCTATTTGCTTCTATTTGAAATATCAAGTGAACAAAACATTTTTTAATAACTTCTCAGCATTCTAGCTTGAGATTTTAAGCTGTAATCTATCCCAGAATTTCTGATGTCTTCAATGGCTGCTACAAAACAAAAACATAAACTTTAAATGCAACTCATTTGGATTTTTTCCCCTTTCTTGCTTTCCTCTGATTGATATTTTCTTTCATTTTTCTTATTTCACTTCTTCCCACTGTTTCCTTGAAAATTATACTCCTGTATAACCTTTTAGCTTTAATATCCACCATTTTAACATTCATATCTTTATCTTTCTCCTGAATAATTTAAAGATATTACAGTGAGTATATTTTAATGCTAAATACTTTTCATCAAATGTACAAGCAAATTTCCTAAAGCATTTCAAAATTGTTTTAAATTTATTATTAATTGTTGTGGATACATACTAGTTGTACATATTTTGGGGGTACATATGATATTTTAATGCACAACATTTTCTTCTATACTGTTTCCTGCTCCATAAATGAGACAGTGTTGTTGATGCTGTTTTGTGTTGCTTTAGAATACAATTCATGTTTATTTGTATTTAATACACATTTACAATTATTTTTACTTAGCAAGATGCTTTCCATCTAAGACAGTCCATTTGTGATAGTATTCCCTCTGCCTAAATTACATATTTAGAAGTTTGTTTTTTGAGGGTCTGTTGGTGGTAAACTTAATATTTGTTTGTCTGTAGATTTGTTATCTTGCCTCTGCTCTTGATGGAAAGTTTTCTTGGATGTTGTTAGTCTATAGAATTGTAGGGTGACCATTTTGGGAGGGGTGTGTGTGTGTGTGGGTGTGTGTGTGTGTGTGTGTGTGTGGGTGTGTGTGTGTGTGTGTATTTGCCCAGCACAGGTATGTTATTCTGCTGTTTTCTAATTCCATTGTTGAAAAACCATTTAGCAGAGTAAGTACCAGTCCTTTGAAGGAAATCTGCCTGTTTCCTCTGTCTACTATTAAGTTTTCTGTTTATTTTTCTGCTGGCTCGCTATGATGTATCAGAATGTAGGTATTATTATCTGTTTATACTGAGAATCAATGTGTTTTTCAACAATTTTCAAAGGTATCAGCCAGCTATCATCTAGTTGAATATGCCTTCTTCCTCCTCTTTATACTATCCTATAAAAAATAGTAGTCCCTCTCTTATCCACAGGGCGTACATTCTAAGACCCTCAGTGGATGCCTGAAACTGCAGATAGTACTGAACCCTACGTACACTGTGTTTTTTCCTATACATGCATATCTATAATAAAGTTTAAAATTAGTTTATAAATTAGGCACAGGAAAAGATGAACAACAATAACTAAGAATAGAACAATTATAAAAGTATATTGTAGTACAATAATGTGGTCTTTCTCTCTCTCAGAACACCTTGTTGTACTATACCACAGGTTGGCTGAAACTATGGAAAGCAAAACTGTGGATAAGCTGGGGAGGTGCAGGGGGCTCATATAGAGTATATACTGTTGTGGACATTTATACACTGGCCTACATTTTTTACCCTCTCATAATTTCCATCTCTTTGCCCATCTGTGCTTAATTCTAAATAACTTCTTCAGGTCTGAATAAATTTTTCGGGTCTGTTGTTGATGTCTAGGCTAATCTACTATCTGATTCACCATTGAGGTTTTAAATCTAATTATTGCATCTTTCCCCCCCCTCTTTCTAGTCATTCCATTCATTTCCTTCTCAAATGTGCCAGTTGTTTTTGTAGCCTCTTATTTATTGCTTATATTCTCAAACTTTAAAAAATTAAAGACAATTTATTTGATGACTGCTAATTGCAAAATCTAAATAATTTTGTATCTGATTCTGTTTCCTTGTTTCTACTGGCTTTCTCCCAGGATAATTTGTTTTTTTATGCCTTGTATTCTTCTGGAACTTTTGGTTACGGGTGAATAATACTCTTCAGAATGTTATCTTTAGGTGTTATTTTAAGCCTGGGTTAAATATGCATTTCTCCCAAGAATATGTGTGCTTACTTTTGCCAGTCTTATATATGTATTACCTATAAGAGACCACCTTACATTTATCTTTTCCCTACAGTATACTATGAATGTGGGCCAAAAATCAAATTTTGTTTATGGTCATAAATTCTCAGGGGAAGCCTGTTTTCCCTTTGACTCAGTGCCAAGGTCAAGACATGCAAGACATTGCAAACTCTCTGAGCAATGTTCTAATTTCTTGTTCAGCCTTATTGTGACAGCAGACCTTTTTGTCTTGGCTTTATGTAGGGCACTTCCTATTAGTCTTCACACCTTGGGTATGCCCAAAATTTTAAATCCTGTCTCTCCCACTCCCTGAGAGAAATTTAAAATAGAAGTTCAAATTAAAAGTTCTCAAAACCCTAAGATCAAAATGTTGCTCTGAGAAACACTTAAGTCCCCAGATCTCATACTTTAATTGTGTGTGGCTTCTGCATACTCTTTCTTTTGTTGAAGCACAAAATCTACTTTACAATAATTTTTTAAAAACTATTCCTTAAACATAGTGATCTTTTATGTCTTTGCCATTTTTCTGCTAACTCCCCTGCACCTACCAAGTTACGACAATTGGACTTCTCCCCTCATCACTATATTCTGAAAGAATAATTTTTGTCATATATTTATTTTAATGCATATTACAAATATGTACTTATACTCAGAAATCATTTTATTTTCACTTATTTGAATCTATGTATAAATCTTATATAGCCTATTAAAAAAAAAACACTAAAGTGTATATTTAGAGCCAAAAAAACATTTAGAGAGCACCTAGACCTAACCTTTGGAAGGTGCAGGGACTTTCCTAATATTACAAGGTGTCAGGTGGGACCAGAATCCAACTCTAGGGTAATCTGATACAGTGTTCTTCCTACCAAAACAAGGTTTATTTTTAAAGTATGGTCATAACGTTCTGTCTTCTAAACAAAATTCATTTTATCTAATGAGGAAGTGAGCTTAAAATAAAGATTTGATGTTTCTGACCTGATGGTAATTTTCACAAATCTCAGACATTGATGCTGGAGAGGAGAAATTTCAATTAGATATTTGATGATCACTACAGACAAAGCTGAATAATCATAATCTCATGTGGGTGGTGATATATTTAGCAAACAGTAAACATGAGAGACTACACTAAGGAGTTGTAGCACAAAACCATAT
Source organism: Homo sapiens (assembly GCF_000001405.40). Lineage (NCBI taxonomy): Eukaryota > Metazoa > Chordata > Mammalia > Primates > Hominidae > Homo > Homo sapiens. Next base: position 9,648,666 of record NC_000009.12, read on the forward strand.
TTTGTCTATATTTATTGAAAACTAATTAGCCATGAATTGCAGGGAAATTGCTTGAATTTATTAGTGAGGTGCAAGTCTAAGATATAAACGTAATGTTCTTATATTGTATTGTGTACTTTTCTAAATTTGTAAACTTTTCATTCCAAAAGTTTAATGGCCCACACTCTCAAATAAGCTGTAGATGGGAAACAGAAAAATGAAATCCCTCAGGGAAGTATTAGCTAAGATAATGATCAAGTAAGCAAAGTATAGATAACAACAGTGAAGGCCAGCAGCAGAAAAACCGGCTCACCAAGGAAGAAAATATCATAGGAGTGTCTGCATTTCTGGGAAACCAAGCAGAGGGGCCTTTGTGTTGAGGCCTCAGTTTCCCAAGTCTCAAGGATGAGCCAGGGGAATTGGGCGAGAGTTTGGGAGGTAGTAAACAAACCAAGACGCAGTGTTATTCAGGGTCTGTGACTAATGAGATAGCGACCATATATCATGTAGCCATATATCAGTAATTTTCTAGGAGGCTCCTCATTTCATACATTCTGACCCTGTGTACATATTAGCAGAATAAACTGAAAATTCCAAGATGGTGTATTCCCACTGTATTGCCAAAACTGCCTCTAGAACTCAACAAAGGCACAGAAATCCCTTCTCATACTACATATTACATTTTAGAGTCAAATAATGTGTACACTCTATCTGTAAAATGGCAAAATCAGAGAAAAATTTGAATGGCAGCAGTGATTATAAACTGCTTAAGTTTAATGGCATTCATTTAATCATAAATATATGGAAAGAAACACTGGGAAATTAACTGCATGATCTTAAAATGAGAAAGAGTCTTCTAAACAGAAAAACAAAAATGATAGATTAGTCTATATTATAAAAAGAAATAAAAGGCAAAATGTATATCTACCCTACTTTGAGTGAGACTAAATATCACTGCCTTAGAGCACTAAAATATTTCTCACATCAACGATCATATCTGAAATTCTCATAACTAGAGTCACTCATTTTGCACTCATTAATGTGGTTCCACCTTGGAGTGGGATAATGTATTTCATTTAACATGTTAACATACAATTACAGATATATTTACCTGATTATTCTCTCAGTGCTACTGTCATTTTAAATTTAAGACAAAACTTAAGCTTTAACATTTAATAAAATATTTTGAATTTTATTTTATAATTTATGCATCTTTTCATTTTTCCTCATTTCTCAGAAAGTGAAATAAATATATTTGGAGCAATCAAGTTTTAGAAATGTGATAGTATACTGTGCTAGCGATAGAAAAAATGAAACGGAGGGAGAATTGAAAATGAAAGCATGCCAGGGGTAGAATGATATGGTTTGGTTCTGTGTCCCCACCAAAATCTCATCTCAAATTGTAATTCCCATGTGTCAAGGGAGGAACCTGGTGGGAGGTGACTGGATCATGGGGCAGTTTCCCCCATGCTGTTCTCACAACAATGAGATCTGAAGGTTTAAAAGGGTTTAAAAGTGTGCAGTGGTTTTCCCCCAACCACTCTCCTGTCACCATGTAAGATGTGCCTTGCTTCCCCATTGCCTTCTGCCATAATTATAAGCTTCCTGAGGCCTCCCCAGCCATGCAGAACCGTGAGACAATTAAACTTATTTTCTTTATAAATTACCCAGTCTCAGGTAGTTCTTTATAGCATTGTGAAAATGGACTAATGCAGTGATGAATCACATTTACTGATTTGCTTATGTTGAACCAACCTTGTTTCCCTACTTGATTATGGTGGATAAGCTTTTAGATGTGGTACTAAATTTGGTTTGCTGATACTTTGTAGAGGATTTTTGCATCAATGTTCAACAAGGATAATGCCCTGAAATTTTCTTTTTTTGTTGTATCTTTGGCAGGTTTTGGTATCAGGATGATGCTGGCCTCATTATATGAACATATGGACACCTAGAGGGGAACAACATATACTAGGGCCTCTCAGAGAATGAAGGGTGAGAGGAGAGATAGTATCAGGAAAAATAACTAACGAGTACTAGGCTTAATACCTGGGTGATTAAATAATCTGTACAACAAATCCCCATGACACAAGTTTATCTATGTAACAAAGCTGCACATGTACCTCTGAACTTGAAAGTGAAAAAAAAATCTTCAGTATGTCATATTTCAAAATACAGTAATATAAATTTGTACACCTATTTATCAGACTAAATTTATGGAATATATATAAATAATTAGCTAAAATATAAATAAATGTTACATTTATAAATTAAGTATATTATCTACAAATAGCAATTCTAGAGTGTATAAAACATATATTTATGAGGACATTTATATTAAATTATACAAATAATTTATCTTCGCAAAAAGACTATTAATTAGGATTACCCTTATTGTATAATAAGGAAACTTGTACTAAGAAAGGATAAATAATATACCCATGGTTACTCTTCTAATAACTGGGATATCTCAGTCTTATGCTTTTCCATCACCAAATCATTGGTTCTTGTGTAAAATACATTTTATCATTTCTATGAATAAACCTAGAAAATTATTTTGGCTGTGTGCATTTAACCTTATTTATAACACCAATAACATCTTTTTTTTAAACTTTTAAGTTCAAGGATACAAGTGCAGATTTGTTACATAGGCAAACTTGTATCATTGAGGGTTTGTTTTATAGATTATTTCACTACCCAGTTATTAAGTCTAGTGACCATTAGTTATTTTTCCTGAACCTCTTCCTCCTCCCACCTTCCAACTTCCAAAAAACCTTAGGGAGTGTTGTTCCCCTCTATGTGTCCATTTGTTCTCATCATTTGGCTCCCACTTGCAAGCGAGAACATGTGGTATTTGGTTTTCTGTTCCTGTGTTAGTTTGCTAAGGATAATGACCTCCAGCTCCATCCATGTCCTGCAAAGGACATGATTGTGTTCTTTATTATGGCTGCATAGTATTCCATGGTATATATGTACCACATTTTCTTTATACAGTCTATCATTCATGGGCATTTAGCTTGATTCCATGTCTTTGCTATTGTGAATGGTGCTGCAATGAACATATGTGTACTTGTGTCTTTATAATAGAATGATTTATATTCATTGGGTATATATCCATTAATGGGATTGCTGGGTCAAATGATATTAGGGAATACCACACTGCCTTTGTATTTATTCAAGGTTTGTTTTTTTTTTTTTTTTTTTTTTTTTTTTAATGGAGTCTCGCTCTGTCACCCAGGCTGGAGTGCAGTGGAGCGATCTTGGCTCACTGCAAGTTCCGTCTCCTGGGTTCACACCATTCTCCCACCTCAGCCTCCCAAGTAGCTGGGACCACAGGCGCCTGCCACCAGGCCTGGCTAATTTTTGTTTTTTTGTATTTTTAGTAGAGACAGGGTTTCACCATGTTAGCCAGGATGGGCTCAATCTACTGACCTCGTGATCCGCCTGCCTTGGCCTCCCAAAGCGCTGGGATTTACAGGCATGAGCCACCATGCCTGGCCTATTCAAGCTTTAATTGTACTTTCTCAAAGTCATGCCTCAAAGCCTTTCTGCTCTATTACCAGTGTATCCTTGTCTTACTATCTGCTGGCTTGGCTGATGCCTTTTGTTCTCTCTCTCTACACTTCAGGTTCCTGGGTTCTTCTACCTTGCCCATTCTCACATGAATTTCCCAGGCAATAATCTGAGACAAAGTTTCTGAAACTTATCATTGGCATTAATATATGTAATTATGTGTCCTTTTAGTTTTTATAACCTTATCTCCTACATAATGAAACGTAGGAACTTGTAGTTGGGGAAGGTATTTAGAGTTCTTGATATCACCAACATGGTTGCAGTTGACTACTATAATTTCAATAGGCTCCCTATAATACCTTTATTGCCTATCTGAAAGGGTCAGATTGTGAAATCCTTCAGGACAAATTCAAGGTCTTTTACTTGTCTTTTTATCTCTCTAAATTATAAAATAATATACCACTTTTTTTTTTTTTTGAGATGTAGTTTCACTCTTTTTGCCCAGGCTGGAGTGCAATGGCACGATCTCGGCTCACTGCAATCTCCACCTCCCAGGTTCAAGCAATTCTCCTACCTCAGCCTCCCAAGTAGCTGGGATTACAGGTATGTACCACCATTCCCTGCTAATTTTTTGTATCTAGTAGTGATGGGGCTTCACCATATTAGACAGGCTGCTCTCAAACTCCTGACCTCAGGTGATCCACCTGCCTCAGCCTTTGAAAGTGCTGGGATTATAGGCATGTGCCACTATGCCCAGCCAATAATATACCACTTTTAAAGTGCTAAATATTTTCTTGCTTAGTTTCATTCCTAGTCACAATTTATTCTTTATGGGAAATGTTCAATATGGACTTAATCAAAGCCCCTATTTTTCCTTCAAATAATGCCCTTTAAAAAGTGCCTCATGGCCGGGCGCGGTGGCTCACGCCTGTAATCCCAGCACTTTGGGAGGCCGAGGCGGGTGGATCATGAGGTCAGGAGATCGAGACCATCCTGGCTAACAAGGTGAAACCCCGTCTCTACTAAAAATACAAAAAATTAGCCGGGCGCGGTGGCGGGCGCCTGTAGTCCCAGCTACTCGGGAGGCTGAGGCAGGAGAATGGCGTGAACCCGGGAAGCGGAGCTTGCAGTGAGCCGAGATTGCGCCACTGCAGTCCGCAGTCCGGCCTGGGCGACAGAGCGAGACTCCGTCTCAAAAAAAAAAAAAAAAAAAAAAAAAAAAAAAAAAAAAAGTGCCTCATTCTCATTTTACGCCTAAAGAAAATATAATGGTTAGCAAATATAGGTCCTTTGGTAAACTTAAAAATGAATATATTTTTTTCAAAATGCAAAAGAAAAAACTGCACCTAAACTTGTCCAGAAGCATCAGTTAAACAAAAGCAGTCAACAGCCTCCAGCTTCCATTGTAAATGAACTTTGTAATAGGCTGCTTACCTGTTTTTGTGGTTAGAAACATTACTGAACAGCATGAGGTCCTGTATTATAATGTGGTTGAAGAAAAAAGCATTCCAATATAAGCTTTGAAATTGTTTGCTTATAGAAATCCAGACCAATGGTAAAAATTAGTGTTTTGGATATTGCCAACATTTTACTCCTTGATACACTTATAAAGCTCCTTCCTCTAAAGGGATTTGGCTTTGATGGACTATTAACTAAGGACACATGGTATCTGAAGTGATAAAGACAAATTAGATTTATTTTCTTGCTCCCTTATGAAAGTCTTGAAATCTATTATTATTTTCAATGGAAGGCTTATTTAAATGATGTTTCTGGTGGTTTTTATTATATATAAACTTTTTTATTTTTGCTTTGATGTAGCTAAGATATTACAGACTTCACTTAGAATATGATGAAAGGAAGGTTAGGGTTACAAAATTGAAACCTCACAAGACCACTGTCTTAGATCAAAGACTTCAGCTGAAAATAATGGGCTGGGTTCTGATAATTCATTCTTACAAAGGAGTACACTTTTATCCAACCCAGGCTACATTATAATGTTTCTTTGCCGTATAATGTAACTAGGCAGGTAATAGCACTGAAAGACTTTTTAATAACCTTATTGTCTCCTAATCTTAATATCTTTAGTAAGAGTGAGAAGCTATAAAAATAGTAAAATATGTGATGTATAATTTTAAGAGGGATAGTAACATACTCTTCTTATAAAAAGTTTAATGCTTAAGATAAGTAATGATTTCAATATGAGCATTATGTAAATTATATTTATACACATGTCTAAGTATGTTTGCAAATATATCATACATATATACATATATATGTGTGTGTGTGCACATGTATACACACACATTACCCAGAGCACACAACCATTCATAATAATGCCACATTTAACTGGCAATCACTTAGGTGTTATAAAGACTACTGAGAATGTGGAAATAAACAAAACAGCACCTGAACATTACAAATCAATTACGTAAAACACTTTCATTTAAGATTGTGAATATTATTTGTAGGAACATTCTACATTCCCATGTTTGGTTATCTAATTTTTCTGTCCTCAGGTTAAAATATTCTGATTCTGAGTTTAGCTAGAAGGAGTAACAGTGTCAAAAGCAAGACATTGTCAATTGATATCTGCATACATGCAAATATGTAGCACATTTATACACACATCAGGTTTGTTTATTAAGTGTATAACAAATGACTTTCTCTCTTTAACTGATACTGAAGGCATCCCTATATTAAAAGCCCAAGATAAAATTGGTCATAGCAATGATATATGAAATCCTTCAATGATTTTATACAATTAGCTTTTGAAAGTAAAATATGTGTATGCTATACTGAAGAATAACACATTTACACAAATATTTTTTAAACTGAAGCATATATATATATAGATATAGATATATAGATATAGATATAGTCTACCTATCTGAAATGTTTACTTTAGGCCTTGAGAAAGAGAATATATTTATTCTAAACCTATTTTTTTAATAATTAAATTGGTATCATAACACACACCTTGTTATAAAAACTATATGATTAAGAGAATAAGACAAGCCACAGGGTGGAAGAAACATTTGCACAAGATATAGCTGATAAAAAACTGTTATCCAAAATATGCAAAGAACTCTTCAAACTCAACAATAAGAAAACAATCTGATTAAAAAATGCTCAAGGCTGGGTGCCATGGCTCATGCCTGTAATCCCAACACTTCGGGAGGTCAAGGTGGGCAGATCACCTGAGGTCAGGAGTTCAAGACTATTCTGACCAATATGGTGAAACCCCGTCTGTACTAAAATACAAAAATTAGCTGGGCGTGGTGGCATGTGTTTGTGGTCCCAGCTACACAGGAGGCTAAGACAGGAGAATTGCTTGAACCCAGGAGGCAGAGGTTGCAGTGAGCCGAAATTGCATCACTGCACTCCAGCCTGGGTGATAAAATGAGACTCCATCTCAAAGGGAAAACCAAACCAAACCAAACCAAACCAAACCAAACCAAACCAAGCCAAACCAAACCAAACCAAACCGGAAAAACACCTTAAAAGATCTGAACACACATCTCACCATAAAATAAATGAAAAGAGCTGGGTGCGGTGGCTCACAACTGTAATCCCCGCACTTTGGGAGGCAGAGGCGGGCAGATCACCTGAGGTCAGGAGTTTGAGACCAACCTGGCCAGTATGGTGAAACCCCATGTCTACTAAAAATGCAAAAATTAGCTGGGCGTGGTGGGAGGTGCCTGTAATCCGAGATACTCAGGAGACTGAGGTAGGAGAATTGCTTAAACCCAGGAGACGGAGGTTGCAGTGAACCGAGATTGCACCATCGCTCTCCAGCGGGGGCAACACAGTGAGACTCCATCTCAAAAAAATAAAATGAATAAATAATGGAAGATAAGCATATGAAAAGTTGCTCAACATCATATGACATTAAGAAAGTGAAAATTAAAACAATGCGGTACCACTACGATCTATTCCCATGGGGAAAATCCAAAACACTGACAACATTAAATTATGGTAAGGATGTGGAACAACAGAAATTATCATTTATTTCCAGTGGGAATCCAAAATGATACAGCCATTTTGGAAGATAGTTTGACAGTTTCTTATAAAATTAAACATACACCTACCATACGTTCACATTCTTTAGTATTTACCAAAATGCGTTGAAAACTTATGTCCACATAAAATCCTACACAGATGCTTAGGGGAGCTTTATTGACAATTGTCAAAACTTGGAAACTCCAAGATGTCCTTCAGTAGGTAAATGTACAAATACACTGATACATCCAGACAATAGAATATTATTCAGTGCTAAAAAGAAATGATCTCCTAAGCCATGAAAGAAATGTAGGAAAATTAAATACATATCACTAAGAGAAAGAAGCTGATCTTAAAGGGCTACATACTGCATGATTCCAATTACATGAAATTCTAAAAAATAATAAATAAATAAAGGCAATACTATTGATATATTTAAAAGATCCATGATTGCCAGGTTAGGGAGCAGTGCAGAGGAATAGGTAGAACATGGAGGATTTTTAGGGTGATGAAACAGTCTGTATGATACTATAATGGTGGATACATCATTAAAATTTGCTCAAACCTATAGAAGATGCAGCAAGAGTGAATCCTAATGTGAACTATGAACTCTGAGTGATAATAATGTGTTGACATAGGTTCATCAATTGTAACAAATGTACTTCTCTGGTGGGGGATGTTGATAGTGGGAAAGGTTGTAGGTGAATAGGAAAAGATATATATATATATATACATAGGAACACTGTAATTTCCTCTTGATTTCTCTGTGAACCTACAACTGCTCTAAAAATGTAAAGTCTACATATTTACAAAAAAACTAAATGAGAAGACAAAAGTATGCAAGAGTTTAGCATCATGTTTGATGTGTAGTATGCACTCAATAAATAACAACCACTTGAATAGTTAATAATGTTAAATCCCAAACACCTAGCAGAGAGTCTCACACACAATATGTACTTGGAAAATATTTTTACTAAGTGAATGAATAAAACATTGGATCCTCCACCTGTGTCATGTCAAAAGAAACATAATAAAATGAAATAAAGTTTATAAATTTTATAGTAAAAAATTGAGACAAATTATCTATGGTTTCAAGATACACCGTGAAATACTATGCAGCCATAAAAAAAAAGGTCATGTCCTTTGCAGGGACATGGATGAAACTGGAAACCACCATTCTCAGCAAAGTTACACAAGAAGAAAAAAACAAACACCACATATTCTCACTCATAAGTGGGAGTTGAACAGTGAGAACGCATGGACACAGGGAGGAGAACATCACACACCGGGGGCCTGTCGAGGGTTGGGAGGTGGGGTGGGATAGCATTAGGAGAAATACCTAATGTAAATGACGAGTTGATGAGTGCAGCAAACCAACATGGCACAGGTATACCTATGTAACAAACATGCACGTTGTGCATATGTACCCCAGAACTTGAAATATAATAATAGTGAAAAATAAATAAGTAAAAAAGAAAAAGAAAATAATCATGGCTAAATGTTGTTTATGACCGAATCTTTGTTTTTATTATTGGCAGAATTTTTTTAAAAGAATACAAGATTGAAGAAATATAAAGCATTCTTTGACATAGGACCCACAAGGCTTGCCACATGGGGGCAAACCAATTGTACATCGTCCTTCCTTTGATGGTGGTCTATGCCATATGCTTTAGAGTAACACAAATGGACAAAACCTCCATAAGTACCTAGTTGAGGAGTGCAATATAAAACAGTGAGATTTTCCCCCCGACCTAAAGAGAGGATGGGTCCCAATGGCCCTTACATATTTAATTCAGCCAAGTGGAACTCATTTGACTTTTATGCTTAATTTTGAGTTTTATGTTTAGTTTCTTTTTGTGAATTTCGCTAAAATATTTGCCTCCATATGTCTTCCAGCGGTATCTTTTGCAAAGTCACAATGATTCTTCTATGTATTACAGGTGCTGTTTTATTTTTTTTATTTAATGAGAGTAATGTCAGCATTATCTAAATGGAGAATTGAGTATGATGGTTTTCATCATTGATATAATCAAAAGTCAGATGTACCAGGAAACTAAAACTCTGATGGTAAAATCATTCATTATCCAATTGCTCTGGAAGAACAAAGAGGATATACTAGGTTGTTTTTGGTGAAAATTTAAACATCATTTCGCCTTATATCCTACCCATTTATCTCCCGAACTGGGTTGGCTGTTTCTTTACCCTAAAAGGACTTCACATTTAGTACTTATAATGTATTAAAATTGACTCTTCATTTTCTCTCAAACTTGACTAGAAATTTCCTAAAAGGAAAGATTTCCTTCTTTACTGTTTTTCCGAACATCTAGTACAATGAATGACATGTAGTAGGAGTTTGATAACTGTTTGTAAAGCTAGAGTTCATACTTGGGAAGCAGCCTCGATCTCTCCAAGAAGATCACTTGTGAGATCCCTTCATTGTTCAGACAGATCTGGTTCTTTTATTGGCAGAGAAGGTTATATGCTATGAAAATTCTGGTCACTTCTTTCTGAAAAATGCCACCATTCAAGAGTCATTAAGTAGCTTAAGATATTTTATCCTGGTCATTATCACTAGTACTCTTAATACGGCCGGCACTGCTGGGAAATCTTTATTGAGATCTTATTCCGTGTTAGGTACTGTGCTTTATAAGCATTATCTTATTTAATTGTCACAACAATTCTTGGTGCTTGTTATTATTGCTTATATTGAACATTGAAGCCCAGGCTTACTGAGGTAATAAGAGTTAGAGCCTAGATTTAAATCTGGCAGTTTGATTCAAGAGTTAGAAAGCAATCACATTTCAAAGAAGTAGAACACAAACTATCAAAACATTCTACTATGTGAATGTGATTATAATTATTTTTTATCTAAAAGCCAGGCAGGACTTTGGAAAGATGAGAATGAAAGAAAAGAGGTGAAGATATAATTACAGGATACATAAAAACAGTTGCTTTTTTATTAAATTGATCACTAAACTATATATTAGTATTCAACTTGCAATTCATTAGTTACAAGTGAGGTGGAATATCACTTCATGCTTCCTATGTTTTTATTTAATATGTTTCAAATTTTCCCTAAAAATTTTACATATGTGTAGCTTAAAGATTCAAATCATTGTACAAGAATTATTTCCACAGGCAGTTGTTTTATATGGCCTCCAATTCTTTATCTGAATATTTGAGAGAGAAAAAATTTCAACAAATAAATGTTTCAATGTTTTCAAAGTAAAATTATGTTGCCAGGTGAAATTATAATATAGTGGCTATTAACCTTTGTTGCTTATTATACTGGGGGCTTTTGGAAACCTTAACGCCAGGGCTATACATCAAATCAATTAAGTCAGAATCTCTGGACATAGGACTCAGGTGTTAGTATTTTTTTTAAACCCCTGGGCATTCCAAAGTTGAGAATTACTGTTACAGAACCATTTGGAATAGTTAATGATATACAAAATACCCTGAAAAAAAGCTTTTCCCTAGCAGTAACAGCTAGAGCTTCAGCTGTCAATGAAAAAATAAATAGTACAATAAAAAGTCACTAAAAGGGAAAATTATTACTACCAGTCATTGCTATTTGCATTCCTAAAAGGTGATTCAATCTCATCACAAGCAAACAAATATTTTGTAGTTGTACTCACAACCATTGAAAATTGGGACGTTCCCAATAAACTAAAAGCAGAAGATAAACAGAACAGGAATAACCTATTCTACTTTGGAGATGAGGATACCTAAAATAAGTTTTCAAGGTGAGGAAGCAACTTTATAGTCCTTTTCATAAATATACAGTGCTCATGATTACATATATTACTCTCTTCTGGGCTGTAAATGAATTTCCCTTGTATAATACATAGTCACAAATACCACTTAAAACACAATATATTTATTTTTAACATACTTTATTTAAATTAACATAGACTGGTATATGCCTTTTTTGTTTGTAAAGCTATTGGCCTAATTTTTATATGCTAACAGTATTTTTGCACTTCAAAAATTTCATGTAATTCCCCCGTGGTCAAAAGATAAATGAGAGCAGATAAAGAAACACCTGGGCATATAAGATTTTGGATATTATTTTAGGTGACATCGGAAGCCTTTGGAGGTTGAGAGTGGAGGACTGACATGGCTTGATTTACACATTAACAGAACATCTCCTCTGTGAAGAATAGACTATAGGGAGGTAAGGGGGCAAGCAAGAGGACAGGTTAAAGAGTTATTTCAGCTACCTTATTTTAGCTACAGCCAAGTATGAGATGTTGGTGGCCCTGGGTCAGTGAGTAGTAGAGATGCTTTGAGTGATGGGATCTTGAATATAGTTTAATAGATAATATTTTTCAAGACATAGATGTGGGTTATACTTGGGATATAGGATGTAGAAAAGAGGAGTCAAAGTAAATATGTAACTCTATCACAAGTTATTTGTGTTCAGAAACTGAGAGTTGCCCTAATATGATTATTAAGTAGGCATTTTTGAAATTTTAATTTCTTGATTTGTCTCACCAATGATGATCACTTTCTCAGGATTTTGAAGAAACTCACAGTTCTTGTAGTTCAGATATGCATATATAACATAAACAAAGTGATTTCTAGTGATTTCCTTTGCCTTTATTCCAACATATACACAGATTATGCATAGAAAATTAATCTTGCAACAACTCAAATAACCTCATAAGTTATTTAGCTCCTTCTCATTATTATAAACTCAGAGCCTGAATCACTGGAAAGCTACGCTGCCACCAATGCCAGGATTCATGACTTTGTCATTGTGTCACGTTTCAGCAGTGACTTTCAATAACCAGAAGTTGTGAAGATGTTAGGCAGCTTCATATGGAAATAACGCTTTATTCAGGTAATGATCTAAATGTCCATTTTTTGTTACTAATAAACCACCACGTAACTTTCCATAAAGAAATGAAACTTCCTACTTCAGAAAAACACTATTCTATTAATTTTTCTCTATGTGGGGGTCTAAATTAAATATGAAACCTGTGCCATATATTTCCAATGAGAGGCTATGCAAATTTTCTATAAATATTCAAGGTGGACCTGTCCCTTCCTCATTTCTCTACATTCCATTTTCTAATTAAGACTCGATTTTCAATAAATAAAAACTAATTATATGAAAATACTGGCCACTACCCCAAAAGTAATATCTTAACAATCAGTGCTTCAGATGAATTAAACTAACTGTATATTTTTTTAAATTGCTAAACTAGATTCAGTTCATCTCTTTCTTAAATGTTTTCAAATCATATCTTTTGAATGTTTCAACCTAGAAGCATCTTCATGTTGCTGCCATTTAACATTATATTAAACTATGGTATCGTTGGACAATAATTGCTACCATTTAACAATTATGCTAAACTATGGTATCATTAGACAATATAGAATACTTATGACTTACTCTACCTATACAGAATTTTCATATATGCTGTTTATATTTGTCTTTCCATCACTGCAAGCTTCATAAAAACAAACAAACAAAAAAGTATGTCTAATTTGTTTGCCACTATTCAACTAGGGTCTTGCAAATAGCACTAGGTTTGACATACAACATGATTCGAAGAAGATGGTGATGTAAGATGTTTACATTTTAGTCATCTAAGAAAATAAAGGAAGAAAGAGAAGGAAAAAGGGAGATAACTTGAAGAGGAGGAGGGCTGGAAGAGAAAAAGACCTTGTGTAAATAAGGAGATTTGAGTGCTTGTTTCAGCCCAGATATTAAACAGTTAAGTTATTTTGAAGCAAGTGCTACTCTGGTGGAACAGTGAATTTAATCATCTGAACTCTGAAGTTCTTTCCAGATTTTATACTTCTTAACCTTAATTTGCAATATAGGTACATATGCACCAAACACATGTATGATATATATGATTCCTGATACAATTTAAAGTATATCAATGCCAAGTTTTATAAAAGTATTCAAATACTATATGAGAAATTACAAGATAGCATTCTTCTCATTGAGAGTAAAGAACTGTGTAATTCTTAACACTCCATACAGTTACAAAATATCTTGAGAGCTTGGAAGGCAGTCTCAGTTCCAGTATTTACCTACAGTATTACAGAACCTGCTACTATAAAGTATCATAACAAAACCATTACCTAATTGTTCTGGGAGTGACATTCAACTCTATATGTAGTAGAAAAAGAAAATTGTTCAAATGTATACCTTAGGTAGTTAACTTGGAAAACTGCACTTGCATTTCCTGAAGGAATGTAATCATGATCATTTCATTTGTGCCACATAACTGCTATAACAGCAAGACGCTTTTTCTTAAGAGAACACATTTGTGCCATAAATAAGCAATAATGTATAGAGAAAACCATCAGCAAGGATATGAAAGCTGAGTTTTGCTATGGCATTCCTTATTATTTTATGACATTTGAAGCAATAGAGTTTTTTCCTTCTGTTAAGAAATCTGAATAGTATCAACATGAAAAGGCTAAGAAAACATTTTCTATTAATACTTCGATAGATTCTATATGTAGGGGAAATGTGCTCAGTACAAAGTAAGATTCCTAAAAGACAAAGTAATATTTCTAAAAATAACTAGACAACACATATCTACTGAAGGCTTGTCCGTTTTTAGAATTACATAAATTAATCCAGAAATGGGATTGCTATAAGGCATTAAAACCACATGTATCTTAGTGTCTTTCACATGATGCTCATGTTATTCTGCCTTGTTTTATTGCTGTGTACTAGTTTGATTCCCTGATAGATTGTACAGTATTTGAGAATAAAGTTTGTTTTCACTGCAGTTCTTAACAATTTATGAATCTGATACAGTTTAATGGAGGCATCAGTTGGGCTCACTATTTTTCTTTATGCATAAGTTTATTTAAATAATATTTTGAACATAAACTGACATTATGATTCCTATCTAATTTTGAGATACATAAATAGCAAAATTTCATTTGATGTGAAAAAATCACAAGCTGTTATGTGTGTGTTTATATGCATGTAGATATTATAGTTAGCAATTTTTTGATAATCAAAAACTCAGAATTAAAATTAAATGTCAGAATAGGTTTATCTCATAGGTCTTTTAATCTCCACATTACTCAGTAGTCATGGAAAGAAAATACAACTTATTTTTAAATAGGATTATATAATTGTACTGATTAATATATAGAAGTAAAAAATAACCATTGTAAATATCTATATTTATATGAAATCACTAGTTATATCAATAAACTTAATTTCAAAGAAATACTAAAGAAATATATAATTCAATATAATTTTTAAAAAGTGACTACAGTATCTTCATAAGATGGTTTTAACACAGAATTCAACCCAGATTGGTAGAAAAAAATTATCCACTTCACTTTTTTGTCTGTCTTCTCATTGGTAGCTCAATCATAAGCTAAGCAGAATTCCATCCCTAACAAATTCCATCCCTATCAAACTCCCATAATAGTGAACAATGTCACCATCTAACTTGTTGCTCAATTTAAAAACTTGAGCGTCATCACTGACAACTCTCTCTCCTTCCGCTTCATATCCAAATGATCACTAACACCTGAATTTGATCTTTATTTAAACTTTCACTTATTTATTGGCAAAATTACATAGAACTTCACACAGCTGTATTAAGTGATATATACCTAAATATATGTATATAATATATGGCATGTTATTCTGATAGTTTTAACAGCTGTAACAGTTGATTAATTTTACACTTTGGAATGTCAAAAGCAAAGTTGTATGTGAAAAATTAATCTTATTACTAGTGTACTAGTGTGGTAGCTGGATTTGAATAGTTTTTAAGATAAAGTTTTAGAAACTCTTTCACATAGAAATTCATCCTATATAACATATTACAATGAAGGAGAACTTATGTTTTAAGTTACTTTGGATTATGTTCACTGATACATTAGGTTTTAAATAGACTGTATCAATATCTACATATACAAACATTTACACTCCTGTGTAAAAAAAAAAAAAAAAAAAGAAGTTATGACTCTAGGGAGAAGAAGAGCTATGAGTTACACGTAAAGAGTCCCTTACACAGCCTGGCTTTAAAATTAAAATTAAAAAAATAAATAAAAACCAGGTATGGGTTCTGACTATTTATATAGTGATTATTGATAGTGATAACCATCTATGAACTTAATAACTGCTATTAGTGAATAACTTGATAAAATATATTTAAAAAGAAGAAAGCTTTTCTAACGCATAGGGCAAAAAAGATCAACTTCTAATACTGCTTCAGCCTTTGTTAAGAATCACTTCTCTTCTCATACATTAACTACATTTATGAACTATGCTAGAATTCAATGGTCGTAAGAAACCAGATCTGACATATCTGCCCGGACATGCAATTAGATCAGCTCTTTTTCCATTTTAATCCTAATACAAGAGTTTCTAATTTAAGCATTCAAACTAAATGGAAACCTCTAAGGTCTGTCAGTTTCATCCACAAAGCTCTTTTGTTAGACAGTTCCATCAAAAGTTAGACAATTCATTTTACTAGGAAAAGAACTGATCAGTAGAAGAATAAATTGTATCCTTAATGCATGGACAGATCACTGGATTACTGTTAAAGTATTATTACTTAAGCAGAATCTCCTTTTGAAGGAGTCTTGCAGTCCATGTCATAAACTGATTAAAAATCAGTGAATGAGTACTTTCTACCTTTGTTGTATGTTAATGAGAAAGCCTCTATCCCAGAAAGCTTTTCTGGAAGCTGGTAACCTTTAGCTTCCTGAAACTAGAGCATATTAGAGCTATGCAAGCACAAAAGTTCTAATCACCAGTTCCTAGAACAGAAACTTGTATTTTAAAATATAATTTATTTCATTGAATGAAAACTTTTTATATTTGATTACCAGCCTTCATACTCATATTATTATATGTCAACAAATAATGAAATCATGTCACTCTTCATATGTGTATATTTGTTTGTATTAAGGAGAATGATACATAAGAAAGAGTATTTTATGTGTGCATCTATGTGTGTATGTGGGGAGAGAGAGAGGGGTGAGGAATAATTACTCAGAAAGTACTAGCTATAGAAAATAGTCTTCTGACTCAGAACGGCAAAGAGCCAACTTTCTTGTAACGAATAAAACCTTAGAATGGTCCATTTAAAAACCACAAATAATTGATGTAAATAGAAACACGGCATAAATACAAAGCATTTATTAGTATTTTCATTTAATCTCGTTTGAGCTGTATACACTTAGAAAAGTGGCTTAAAAAGATTGCATCAGAGTATTTTTAAAGGACAAAATAGATGTTTTTTATTTAATATCAAAACTTATAAATGCTCACTGTGATAGAATATAGAAGAAAGAAAACTAAAATTTATTAGATACTTAACTATGTTCTGGCTTTCTGACCTTCTGACATATGTGAGATCCTAATTATTCAGTTAAGAAAACTGAGGTTCTATCTAGTAAATATCTTACTCAGAGTCCCCCAGTTACAGAATGGGACGAGGATTCAAATTTAGGTCTGTGGAATTTCGAGGTTCATTCTCTCTCAGCTGTGTCTCCACCTTCCACATGTAAGATACTCAGAATAGTTCTATTTGAATTTATTTATATCCTTTTTTCCTAGCCCACATTAATGATATTAATGTAAAAGTGAAGTCTTCAAAATGAGATTGATGTTTTAACGTAACACTCCCTTCACAGTACTGAGGTAAACTAAGAAATTTGTTTGGCAAAATTCCAGGGAGCACATTTCTGAGAATTTAATTGGTAATTTGATTGAAGTGACATACCATATTTCAAATGTTTATTTTTTACTGGTTTGAATAACCAAAGAATGTATATAAAGTCCAGAAAGAGGAAAGGAATAAATTATAAAGATATGAAAGTCCTTTATCTTTCCAGTTTGAAATAAGTGTTCTGCATACAAAAATAAAATGTTGTCATCAATAAGTTGATGTAAGTTTTCTGGAGTTATTCGGTAACTATCCACATATCAAGTTGTATACCCATAAACCCCCAAAATTCTACCTAGGCCTTAATACAGATGAAGTATATATGTATTAAAGCAACTGAAACTTTATTTATAGCACTAAAACAGGAAATGATTAATGCCTATTGGTGAGGGATTGGTTAATTAAAACATTAAACATTTATACACTGGTATCCTGTACAGTAATTCAAAAGGATGAGTAGGACTATATTTTATTGACATGTAAAGATGTCTATGATATATTGTTTATTTTAAAAAGTAGTATCAAAAATAAACAGTAAAAAAATTATGATCTTATTTGTATAACTTGCAAAATTTGTCTATCTTTCGTAGAGGAGAATGTTCAACTTCTAAGATCTCACCTCTCTCTGGTGGGAGTTTGTGTGGCTTTTACTTTCTCCTTTGTGTTTAAAAGTTACACACAGCTCAATTTTACCAAAACAATGACAAAACTTACAAACAATAATAAAACAATAATCATCATCATGGCATGTGTCTTTGAAGTCATTGACCTCATATTTAATAAGTTGGCAAATTGTATCGATTCAATCTCTATGTCTTATTTTTGGCTTCTACTGTTCTACCTAAGGTCTTTACTTTCAACTGTCTTGTGGCAGTAGTTCCTTTATTGTTGCATCTAGTTTCTCATTCCCCTTCAATGAGTTCCACACATTCTAAAACTGAAATCTAAAACCAAAAATGTGTTTAATGTCATAATAATCTATCAACTCTAAGGATAATTTTAGGGTAAATATCACATTTTTCTTCTACTCCTTTTTTCCCTTAATGCTTTACCTCGCTTTTTATGGATACATTGTTGTATTTAATGCAAAAGCCTTGAGTTTGGGTTATAGGAACTACTGATGAGTGTTTTTTGTAACATTATTAAAAATAGACTAAAGTCATCGTTTCTCTTTAAATATATTACTTGGTTACCCTCAAAGTGCAAACATAAAAGGATACAAATTTGTTAGCCAGTCTTTAAGGTGGCTTCACAATCTGATTCCTGTATAGCTTTATATCTTCTTTACTCTCTTTTCTACCACGTGCTTTGTTTATTACTGATTACTCATGGCTGTGACCCCCAACCCAACCAACTTTCATCCTGTTTTCTTAGGCTGATACTTCTTACAGCAGTGCAATCATTTCCACCTCTATCAAAGCTCCAAATATTACCATACCTTGCTCAAATTCTATTATTTCCCCAAGCCTTATGAGATCTTCCCATTCATCATTTACCCCTCTCATCCTCACTTTCCAACTAGATGTTTTAATTTTCTTATAGTGCTCAACTACTGAATAGGCCTATGCGTATTGTGATCACAGCCAGCAAAACTGTCTCTCCATCAGTCACTGGTTTGCCCGAAAGTCATAAAATAGTTTATGTTCATTCATTTTACAAATTATACAGCAGTAAAAACGGTAAGGAAGTATTATTTAAATTATGTGTAGTAGCATTTTCTACCCCTTAGAAGCTGGCTCTAACCCTAAAAGTGAATTCATTTAAGCACACAGGGATTTCTAGAGGTGATCTGAGTGCTGACAGTGATGGCCAACTCATCTAGAAACTAGACAATCATCCAGTTTGGATTAGCTGCAACATACTGCTGAATGTTTAGAGAACTGGTCACCAAGCATTAGCGTACCTCTGAATCATTTGTGGTGCTTGGCAGAAGGCAGGTTTTCAGATTGATGTCCAGAAACATTTATTCAGAGGTCTGTAGGGTAGGACAGGGAAGCAGTAATCTGCATTTTGTCAAGCATCCTTGGTGACCTTGCCACAAATGGTCTGGGGTGGAGAGCTCCCACTTTGTAAAACATTCTCTTAGCAATGGAACAATTACAGATATTTCTAAATAAAGACTTATGAGCTGCAAAGATTATTGGAACAACCTGCAGTAAAATAAAATTCTTGTGAAAATGGACAGATTATCATCCATTTTCAAATTCAAAATCAGAGCTAAAATCATAGATTGCCCTCATCCCACCCAAACTCAACTGATGGTTTGTTAAAGTTAAAACAAAATGATCTCCACGTATCATCTGAATAAGAAGCCACCAGGTCTCACTCATGAAAAGTGGAAGAAACTCTTATAACAATAACTGATTATAAGCACAACCGATAAAACGAAATCATTCTACTGTCAATTTTCCCCCTTATGCAACACTATTGAATAACCATCTGGACCCGACAATTTATTTCCTGAATGGTCTTCAGCAAGTCTTCGCATTTCCTCTCCAGAAATAAAAAATTTCAAAGGATTTTGCTTATTTGGGGAAATTTTTGCTAACTGCAGTCTTCAAAGTCTAAATTAGGCCTGATTTGGTTACCCTGAGACATACAACATTAGAATATATTGTATTAATCCTTAAATGCCTTAATTACTACTGCCTTTTTAGTACATTGTTGATTTTTTCTTCTAAACAGATCCAATTAAGTTTTGATTGGCCATTTTTTTTCCCACTGAAATTATAAACTAACTCTTAACTTCTTTGCTCATAATAGATTTGTTCATTCAGCATAAAGAGAAATTCAGTTGTATTAATCACTTAAGCCATAAACTTGCCCCTGGCATTTGTTAACATTCTAAAGCTACTTTTACCTATTTATTTTTATTATTACTTTGCGTACTCTTAATTAGTTCAGCTAACTGATTTTCGTTTCATCTTTAATTGATATCATTTTAAAAATTCAGGACACTGGTGTTCATAATCATTCTTATAAAACTGTCTTAATTTTCTCCTGCATCTCACACCACAGTATTTTGGGAAAAACTGCACTCCGTGAGGCAGAGTGGTCTCCTATTGACCAATCCTGAACTTTAGTGTTGAATGAAATTTTGATTCATATGTTTCTTTAACTCAGCTCTTGATTAGCTACTGTAGTGGGAAAAAAAAGTGAAACAGTAAATTAATAGCAGATTGTTTCTACAATGGCAACAAAGGGTAATTTTTTTTGGCTTAAATAATCTCTTTATTCTAAAAAAGATTTTCTAGTTCTACTTTTTTTATTATTATCATTATACTTTAAGTTTTAGGGTACATGTGCATCCCATTACTGGGTATATACCCAAAGGATTATAAATCATGCTGCTATAAAGACACATGCACAACTATGTTTATTGCAGCACTATTCACAAGAGCAAAGACTTGGAACAAAGGGTAATTTTAACCTCTACAGTTGGCGAGATACACAAGGAACACAACAGATAGAGATTCTATTAGTATGACTGATAGTAGCATCTTGTTCCTGATTGGTATGGAATTAGTTCTGGACCAAACGTAGGTAATCTAATTTCTATCACTAGGAAATTGATATTATTGAAAGAAGGAGACCAAAAGATCAAAGTGGTGCATCAAGTAGAGTTCTAAAAACAATTTGTGAGTGCTTTAGAAGGAATAAAGACCATTTTTAAAGTACCACATTAAACACATTTTGAAAATTGATACTTCTTATGTGTGAGTGTTTGAAGTATTGAAAAATGATGTTTTTAAACTTGTTAAAAATATCAGATTTATTGTACTATTCCAAATAAATTATAACAGTTAAAAATCTATATATTTGTCTTTAATGAATACATTTATGAGTCAGAAACTAAATTTTCATATAATCTGGCCAGTTTGAATAACTTCATTGTTCTTCAACATCATTTTTATAATTCAAAAGTCCCCATATAAAAATGTTTAAATATAAACCTTTATGAGAATATTGAGGATCATGTATATACATATTAAAATTATCAGCAAATTTAGATAGTGACTATACAAATGTCAATGATTATAGCCATGTGTCCATAAAGATATGCTTAGCACCCAATGACATCAACGACTGTAAAGTTATTAATTCATTTACCATATCCCTTTACAAATGTTCTAATTGCCCCTCAATATCTTTTAGCTTCCTTTTTTAGCATTTTATCAGATACAATGAGAAAGAGGGAGAGATCTTAAAACTTTAATCAGCTAACAGTAAATTGGAGTAATATTTGGCAGATAATTAGTAATTTGTAAAATTTGTAAAATTAGCAATTAGTAATTAGTAATTTGTAATTTCTGTTGAACAAAGAGTAAATATAAGACACCATAAAAATTGTGTTTAATGTAGAAGCAACAAGACCAGGGAAGCTGAGGGGAATGATATGGTTTGGCTGTGTCCCCACCCAAATCTCATCTTTGAACTTGAGAGAGATGATTTATGGTATCTGGCAGAAGTAATTTCCAAGCAGCAAAGCATTCAAGAGGTGACTTGGGTGCCATTAAAGGCTTTTAGTTTTGTAAGGGGAGCAGAGCATAAAAGTTAAGAAAATTTCCAGCCTGGCAAAGTGATAGAAAAGAAACACCCATTTTCTGAGGAGAAATTCAAGCTGGCTTCAGAAATTCACACAAGTAACAAGGAACCAAATGTTAATCCCCAAGACAATAAGGGAAAACGGAAAATGTCTCTAGGGAATATTAGAGGTCTTCATGGCAGCCCCTCCCATCACAGGCCTAGATGCTTAGGAGAAAATGGTTCTGTGGGCCTGGCCCAGTGTCCTGGTGCTGTGTGCAGCTTAGAGACTTGGTGCCCTGCGTCCCAGCTGTGCCTGCCATGGCTGAAAGTGGCCAACATAGAGCTCAGGCTGTGGCTTCAGAGGTTGCAGGCCTCAAGCCTTGACAGCTTCCACATGGTGTTGAGCCTGCGGGTGCACAGAAGTCAAGAACTGGGGTTTGGGAACATCCACCTAGATTTCAGAAGATATATGGAAATGCCTGGATGCCCAGGCAGAAGTTTGTTGCAGGGGCAGTGCACTCATGGAGAACTCTGTTAGGGCTGTGAGGAAAGGAAATGTGGGGTTGGAGATCCCCACAGAGTCTCTACTCGTAGTGGAGTAGTAAGAAGAGTAAGAAGAGTCTCTATTCCCTAGTGGAGCTGTAAGAAGAGGGCCACCATACTCCAGATCCACCAACAGCTTGCACCATTCACCTGGAAAAACCACAGACACTCAATGCCAGCTCATGAAAGCAGCTGGGAGGGAAACTGTACCCTACAAAGCCACAGGAGTGGAGCTGCCCAAGACCATGGGAAGCCACCTCTTGCATACAGTGACCTGGATGTAAGACCAGGAGTCAAAGGAGATCATTTTGGAGCTTTAAAATTTGACTGCTCTGCTGGATTTCAGACTTGCATGGGCCCTGTAACCCCTTTGTTTTGGCCAATGTCTCCCACTTGGAATGGCTATAGTTACCCAATACCTGTATTCCCATTGTATCTGGGAAGTAACTAGCTTGCTTTGGATTTTACAGGCTCATAGGCAGAAGGGATTTGTCTTGTCTCAAATGAGACTACGGACTGTGGACTTTTAGGTTAATGCTGAAATGAGTTAAGTCTTTGGGGGACTGTTGGGGAGGCATAATTGGTTTTGAAATGTGAGGACTGAGATTTGGAGGGGCCAGGGGCAGAATGACATGGTTTGGCTGTGTCCCCCACAAAATCTCTTCTTGAATTGTACTCCTATAATTTCCACATCTTGTGGGAGGGACCCAGTGGGAGATAATTTGAATCGTGAGGGCAGTTTCCCCCATACTGTTCTCATGGTAGTGAATAAATCTCACAAGATCTGATGGTTTCATAAGGGGTTTGCACTTTTGCATCTTCCTCATTTTCTGTTGCCACCACCGCCATGTCAGAAGTGCCTTTCACCTCCCGCCATGATTCTAAGGCCTCCCAGCCATGTAGAACTGTAAGTCTAATTAAAACTCTTTTTCTTCCCAGTCTCAGGTATGTCTTTATCAGCAGCATGAAAATGGACTAATACAGGGGAAGACTTACATTTGCCACAAACATTCCTGTATAAACATCCAAACCAAAGAAGACTATCATTAGGGGGTTGTTATGAGATGTGATGAGAAGAATAAAAATTGCTACTGTACATTAAAACATCACAACTTGTCAGGGATGCATTTGAGAGAATGAGGCAACCTTTATAGTCACTGTATCTGCTGTGAGAAATGAATCACATTGAACTAATCACTATAGTAGGGGCAATGCATTTATTAAGGAGTCTGCAGCATAAAGCAAGAAGAATATTATTTTTTCACTATGTAAAGAAAACAGGTATAATTCTATATGATTCCATATTAAAACCACAATATAATTTTCTGAAAACAGTAAATTTTTAGCAAATTCTATCATCTAAAGACTATTTTTAATAAATTGGAAAATATTGATGTATGGTTTATGATGGGCAAAAAATAAAAATAAATTACCTATATAGCAGAATGGCTATAATGATATTATTATCTACATTTAGGTATTGGTTATTATGTGCCTGCTGCTGTTTTGAGTATCTTATTTGATATCAACTAATGTAATAATCAAAACAATCCTATAAAAATACATGATTACTTATTTTACCTATGAAGCACAGAAGCCCAGCAAAGTTAGTAGCTTGCCAAATATCACAGAGCTAATACATGGTAGAGATGGAATTCCCAACCAATTTAACCTTAAAGCTCATGATCTGAACATTTGTACTTAGCTACTTCACATAGAGAATGAGATTTGAAGTAAATTTTTGAGCTCTATCTACTGATCCATCTATTTATCATCAATTTATTCTCTACAGAAATCCTGACAGGGAGTTATTATCCACCCAGTTTCACTACTGAGAAAACAAAAGCTACAAAAAAAAATTAGTGATGTATGACTGTATAGCTAGTAAAAGTAATCTAGACATACGACCTAAATCTGCATATTTCTAATGCCTGAAAATGGAAATAAAAACAGTATAAAAGTGCTAAAGAAGTATATGTAGATGGTAAAATGCATGCATTAATGCATTTGTATTCATTTCCTGACATTGGTATTTGACTCTAGCGTAAATCTGTTATAAAATCCCTGTTAACTAAGAGACAGACACATAGACCTTGATTATAACGTATACAAATTAAAATATAAAAATACAGACAAATTACCAATGCTGCAGAAGTCTGTTAATAGTGATTCAAGGGACACTTCACTAGGCTGACAAACAGGTACAAATTTTGAAGTTAATTCTAGGGAATTGTGCAATATTACCCTTTTTATCACACATTTTCAAAATCCTGTTAATAATCTTTAAGAATTTTTAAAACTCCTAATAGCCCAATTGTTTATGTGTTGATTTCTTTCCCTATTAATTTTCATTATTCCACCATTGAACTATCAGCTACAGGAAGAAAAAGACCATGTCTGTTTCATTCACCATGATATACTTGTAGCCTATACTGTTAACTCAGAGAAACTACTCAAATATATTTGTTAATGAATAATTATGCTCAAATTATTAGATAGAACTCTGGAAAAAAAGGATAAACTTCCCATAGTAAGAAATGTAACTCTTGAAATAAAAATTTCAATGAATGGTTAGATTAATCCCACTGTAGACACAGTAAAAGAAAGAAAAATAGCAAACTGGGAAATATTTCTGAAGAAATTACCCAAAAAGAAAAGATGAACACTACAAATTGAGTTTAAGCATTAAGGACTCTTGATATATTGAGAATAGATGAATGAAAAATAATATTTGATAAGATAACTAAAAATATTTCTGTATCAATGAAAATTAAAAATCTATAGATACAGGAATCAAAACCTATATTGAGAAGACAATTTAGAAAAAAAAAAGCATACCTGGATACACTGTAATAAAACTTCAATGGTAGAAATACAGAAACCCCAAAAAGATCAGGAAAGACAGATTACATATAAGGAAAAATGAGTGGGCTGACAGCATACCAAAAGATGTAACAATTAAACCCCAAAGACAATAATATATCATACTTAAAGTACTCGATAGAAGTAACTCCCAATATAGAACACTATACTTTCCAAAACTATCTTTCAAGAAAAATGATGAAATAATGACATTTACAGATAAGCAAACAGTGGGAAAGTTTAGTCTCCCAGATCTTGTTGGAGTAACAGCTACAGGAGGAAGAGAGAAAATAATACAAGAAAGATAGTCTGAACTACAAATAAGCAAAATTCATAAATATGTAGATAAATACTGTCTGTGTAAAATAGTATATTTGATTTGGGGAGTTAAAAATGAACAAAAGTAAAAACTAAAATATAAACAAAAGTAGTAAATAAATGGTAATGGAGCTGATAGGCATTGTTCAGGTATTTTAGGTATTGATACTGTTTACAAGGATGGCTTATAATATTAACTTTAAACTTTGCAATGTATATTTCCACAAGTACATACAACCACCATCAAAGAATCAAAGTAGGTTACAGGACTATTACCTTCTCCGTGATAAAGTGCAACAATGAAAGATGGGAACAACAACATTAAATTGAAAGAAAAAAAGAAAAAATGGAAGAGAAAAAACATATAGAATATTTGAAAAATTAAAATGTAGTCATATATTAATAATCCCAACATATGTTAATAAACCAGCTGAAAGACAAGAAGTGTTTAGTTGATTTTTAAAAATTAAATATGCTATGTAAGACACGTTCATATACTATAAGAAAAGAGAAAGATTAAAACTACAGGACAGCAAAAAATAAACAAGCCAAATACATACCTTGAAATGCTAACTAAGCGAATTATATTAATCTTAGGCAAAATCAGCATTTTGATAAAAAGATCGTTAGGGTAATAAAATGTCACTACATTATGATAAAATATTTGATTTACTGGGAAGATGTACAATTCTCAACATATATTTCAAATAAAAAGATTTTGATACATATAAAGTAAAAGCATTCTTTATGTCACTGGTAGCTGGTGTTGAGCAAGGAAGAGGATTGTGAAGTTAATCACAATAGTGAGAAATATGAACATGACTCCCTCAAATGGTGAACAAAAAGACAAAAAAAAGTAGTTTAAGTATAGAAGGTTAGAAATAACAAGCCTGATTATTGGACAGATAGGATACATAGAATTCTAGATAACAACTAAAGAATGAATTCTTCTCATGTCAAGATCATATTCAAAATTTATAAAACCTCTAGCACATGGAACAAGTCTAACATATTTAAGAGATTTTTGACAAACACAATCTGATGGCAATTACATTCAAAGTCAATTATGAAAGAGAAACAAACAATCTGTATACGTTTAAATACTCCAAAGTATCTCATGTGTCCTTAGAGAAACCATTTTAAAAACATTTTGAACTTAATGATTTAAAGTTTTTGTTTGTATCAAAATCTGTAGATGCAGTAAAAGGACTTTCAGAGTAATATATATTCTTAAATGCTCATAATAAAAATATGAAGAATGCCTAAAAATTAATCAACTAATATCTCATCCAGGAATTTGGAGAATAAACATTAGAACAATTCTAAAGAAATAAATAGAAAACAATAATACAGAGAAGATCAACAAAATTAAAAGCAAATTGTTTAAAAATATGATAAATACAAGAAATTATAAAAAATAAAAAGGTCAGATTTTAAAAGAGACTACAAATACTTAGTACTGCATTTTTATAGGACAGTCATATACATTCAAAGTAGATTAAAATAACATTTTAAAGCAATATAAAAATTTAATCCAATAATTTGAAAACAGATGAAAAAATAAAGTAATAAAATTCTATGAAATTAGCACCAGAGGAAACAGAAAAATCTGAAATGCACTGTAAAGAAAATAGGTCCACCAAAATGCTTGTATTGGTGAGTTCTATCACAATACAAAGATTCTTCTGGGTATTTTAAAAGCGTCCCAATTCATTCAGTAAAATCAATCTAACTTTAATATAAAAACATCGACCTAATCTTAATATAAAAACAGGCAAAAATAGTATGAGAGGAAAAAGTTATACCCAATCTCTGTCAGCATCATTGATGTAAAAATTCCAATCAAAATATTAACCAACTATACCCAACAATGTTTCAAAAATGCTAAGACTGAGTTTGATTTACCACATATTGCAAGGGTTCTGTAGCACTAAAAAAATACAAATATCATTTATCACATGAACAGATTAAGTAATAAAATGTACATAATTATCTCAAAATATATTCTAAAAGAATTTTGTGTAATCCAGTTTTTGTAAGTTTTTTTAATGTTGGTTTTTTATTATACTTTAAGTTTTAGGGTACATGTGCACAACGTGCAGGTTAGTTACGTATGTATACATGTGCCATGTTGGTGTGCCGCACCCAGTAACTCGTCATTTAACGTTAGGTGTATCTCCTAATGCTATCCCTCCACCCTCCCCCCACCCCACAACAGGCCCCAGTGTGTGATGTTCCCCTTCCTGTGTCCATGTGTTCTCATTGTTCAATTCCCACCTATGAGGGAGAACATGCGGTGTTTGGTTTTTTGTCCTTGTGATAGTTTGCTGAGAATGATGGTTTCCAGCTTCATCCATGTCCCTACAAAGGACATGAACTCATCATTTTTTATGGCTGCATAGTATTCCATGGTGTATATGTGCCACATTTTCTTAATCCAGTCTACCATTGATGGACATTTGGCTTGGTTCCAAGTCTTTGTTATTGTGAATAGTGCTGCAATAAACATACATGTGCATGTGTCTTTATAGCATCATGATTTATAATCCTTTGGGTATATACCCAGTAATGGGATGGCTGGATCAAATGGTATTTCTAGTTCTAGATCCCTGAGGAATCGCCACACTGACTTCCACAATGGTTGAACTAGTTTACAGTCCCACCAACGTGTAAAAGTGTTCCTATTTCTCCACATCCTCTCCAGCACCTGTTGTTTCCTGACTTTTTAATGATCGCCATTTTAACTGGTGTGAGATGGTATCTCATTGTGGTTTTGATTTGCATTTCTCTGATGGCCAGTGATGATGAGCATTTTTTCATGTGTTTTTTGGCTGCATGAATGTCTTCTTTTGAGAAGTGTCTGTTCATATCCTTCGCCCACTTGTTGATGGGGTTGTTTGTTTTTTTTCTTGTAAATTTGTTTGAGTTCCTTGTAGATTCTGGATATTAGCCCTTTGTCAGAAGAGTAGGTTGCAAAAATTTTCTCCCATTTTGTAGGTTGCCTGTTCACTCTGATGGTAGTTTCTTTTGATGTGCAGAAGCTCTTTAGTTTAATTAGATCCCATTTGTCAATTTTGGCTTTTGTTGCCATTGCTTTTTGGTGTTTTAGACATGAAGTCCTTGCCCATGCCTATGTCCTGAATGGTATTGCCTAGGTTGTCTTCCAGGGTTTTTATGGTTTTAGGTCTAACATTTAAGTCTTTAATCCATCTTGAGTTAATTTTTGTATAAGGTGTAAGGAAGGGATCCAGTTTCAGCTTTCTACATATGGCTAGCCAGTTTTCCCAGCACCATGATCAAGTGGGCTTCATCCCTGGGATGCAAGGCTGGTTCAACATATACAAATCAATAAACGTTTTCCAGCATATAAACAGAACCAATGACAAAAGCCTTATGATTATCTCAATAGATGCAGAAAAGGCCTTTGACAAAATTCAACAACACTTCATGCTAAAAACTCTCAATAAATTAGGTATTGATGGGACGTATCTCAAAATAATAAGAGCTATCTATGACAAACCCACAGCCAGTATCATACTGAATGGACAAAAACTGGAAGCATTCCCTTTGAAAACTGGCACAAGACAGGGATGCCCTCTCTCACCACTCCTATTCAACATAGTGTTGGAAGTTCTGGCCAGGGCTATCAGGCAGGAGAAGGAAATAAAGGGCATTCAATTAGGAAAAGAGGAAGTCAAATCGTCCCTGTTTGCAGATGACATGATTGTATATCTAGAAAACCCTATCATCTCAGCCCAAAATCTCCTTAAGTTGATAGGCAAGTTCAGCAAAGTCTCAGGATACAAAATCAATGTGCAAAAATCACAAGCGTTCTTACACACCAATAACAGACAAACAGAGAGCCAAATCATGAGGGAACTCCCATTCACAATTGCTTCAAAGAGAATAAAATACCTAGGAATTCAACTTACAAGGGATGTGAAGGACCTCTTCAAGGAGAACTACAAATCACTGCTCAAAAAATAAAAGAGGATACAAACAAATGGAAGAACATTCCATGCTCATGGGTAGGAAGAATCAATATCGTGAAAATGGCCATACTGCCCAAGGTAATTTATAGATTCAATGCCATCCCCATCAAGCTACCAATGACTTTCTTCACAGAATTGGAAACAACTACTTTAAAGTTCATATGGAACCAAAAAAGAGTCCACATTGCCAAGACAATCTTAAGCCAAAAGAAGAAAGCTGGAGGCATCATGCTACCTGACTTCAAACTATACTACAAGGCTACAGTAACCAAAACAACATGGTACTGGTACCAAAACAGAGATATAGACCAATGGAACAGAACAAAGCCCTCAGAAATAATGCCGCATATCTACAACCATCTGATCTTTGACAAACCTGACAAAAACAAGAAATGGGGAAACGATTCCCAGTTTATGTAATTTTTAAGAGCTCCTAGAAAACTTACACAATAAAAAATCCTTCGTATTTTTATTAGATACCTCAAAGATATTTAATAAAAATTATAGTGAACATCATTATTAATAGTGAACTATTACAAGCATCATTTGGCAACTTTGGTGACTATTCAGGGTTCTGTCTCGCCATGCTCCAAAAGTAAAAAGACCTTATAGAACAATTAGAAGAAAAAAACAAAACTCTAAAAAAAAATAGCTCTCAGCATAACAAGGAGTCAGTCTAAACTTTAAGACAACTGTATGTATAAAAAGAAGAAAAACTACCACATTCCAGTGAATGATCTCTCACATTCCTGTCATAAATTTTGTGATGATCAAGGGTAGTCAGAGAAACACTACAGGCAAAGGGAAGACAGGATCAAAGTGGCAGTTCAAAAATCACTCTAAAACTCATGCCAGAAAATGAAGTCCACCTTGTGGGAAAATATTTTAAAAAATTAAATTTAGAAAATGAATTTTGGTACATCAGAGTAATAATGCTAGAAAAGAGGGTTAAATGCATACAATATATAGAAATTGTCTTTAAAGCTTATTAGGGAGTCAAAATTTCAAAAGAGGAGAGAGATACCCTTTGGTAATTAGGTTGAAAAAGGGGGAAAAAAAAAAAAACCTAGAAGAAAATGAATTCCTAAAAGACAAACAACCAGAACAATCTAAAGATAGCACAAACGTGCCTTATCTTCTTTTACTCTTCCTCTCTCTCTCTCTTTCTCTCTCCCTCCTTCCCCCACTCCCTTCACACACAAGCGCTTTGCTACACACAAAAGATGGCACCATTGATCTAGAAATGTCTTAAACTACAAATAAATTAATACATATGAGATCAGTAACATTGTTGAATATATAGTCAATCAATCCATAAATATAAAGTAATTACCTATAGAAGAAACAAACTGTCAAAAACCTGAACTTTAAAAATAAATTAGAGACCATGTGGCACCTGATAGAATGACGGATCCCCCTGTGAATTAATCTTGCTGAAAAATCATAATTAAATGGATCAGTCCTCTGTGTTTAAATAATAATTTACCGAGGAATGCTTTAAACAGCATCACAGAATGACAACTGCAAATATCAACTGTGGGAACTTTTATGAAGTAGTCATTAAACAAATATAGACCAGGTCAAAGTAGCTGGGTGCCCTAGATTCTCCAACTTGTTAGCGATTAACAGAGTCAAATTTTAAAAACTAAAAGATGTAAGAAAGGAAAATAACCAAAATCATGAAGGCCTGATTTGCCAATGCAATTGCATTTCAGTGACTCAAAGATGTTTTGATTAAAAACAAATTGAAGGTGTAGAAAATCTGCCAATCTTCCTAGAAATCTGGAGTCTGTCAATAATTTTCAGAATAAATAACAGCACATTGGAGTAAAATAGTGTGCTTATACAAATAGCAAAATTAAAATAAGATATGCAAAACTGCCATAAGTGTATTTGAATACTTCTCTTGCTTTTGAATATAATTTGTTTATTCCTGTAGAGAACAATATTTTAAAAATAATATTTCTCTTTGAAATTTTCTCAAGATAAATATGGTATCAGGGAAACAATGAATACTGCTAAGTTTCACTTACTCTTGACAGTTATATGTCTCCTAATAGCTTCTCAACCTTACAGAGATACTTTATTTCCAGCAATCCTGTCAAGGTAATTTTTCATCACAACTATTTCTCCACTTAAAATGATAAAAAAGCCTTTATCTTTGGTAATCTACAAGAAGATAAGTACATTTTCTGATTTGCAAGAAGAGGATGTTTCAAAGCTGGGACTCCAGTGAATCTAATTCATATTTAAATATATTGCTTTGGAAAATTAGAAAATAAAAAGAAAAGCTTATTTCGGCATCATTTGTGGATCAAGCCCAGAAATTATAAGAAAACATTTTCAAAAATTGCTAGAATTCTTTCTGGTACTTCTAGGTTTAAAAGTTCATAACACAAATTCTTTTATCATAATTTGATGAGCCACTATTAATGAGAAATAGTTTTATATTGTCCCAAAAGTGATATACTTAACAGAGGTTTATCACAAAATTGTTGAAACTTAAAGAAAGGCTAAGGTAATATGAATTGGAAAGAACTATTGAGAATAGCTAACTGGACACCACCTACTACTAAAATATAGCTTGGAGGTGTGATTGCCTAAGTACCTTGACTCCCTCCCACCATCTCCTCCTAGGATTGAGAGGAGGAAGGGATGCAACTTCATAACTATTTGGGGAGTAACTAACAGAGGAAGAGGAGAAAAGAAAAAAAAAATTGCTGCTTGAGCTGATTAACTGCCTGCCAGCTATGCAGACCATCCTCCCTCCTCTTGTGGGTGAGCTGAAGGAGCACATATCTTTTCTTACTGTTATGAGCATTAATATTGTGGTACCCTCTCTTGTTTCTTGCTGCCTTAAAGGCCCACAAGAATCAATCTTCACGAATATATCACTATATTTTTCTCATTTAGTTCTTTAATATGGGACTTGGTAAAATTTTTCACACAGAGCAGCAGTTGGAAATTGTTATTTTATTGCACTTTTCAAATTTGTAATAGAGATTTCAAAATAAGCATATGTTAGAGTCAAATAAATATTTCTAAAAAATGGAAATACTCAAAGCCAATTTCCATTCACTTGAATCTGGGATACCTTCTTATAAATAATGTAATGAAAACATTTATATTTTCAAAGTATCTTACACTGAAACATAATGTTCTTCCTGAAGTGTAAGTGTAGGGTGCGGAGCCCTGTTTCCTTGGTGGACAGATTGTTTGTCTCATCAACTCTGTGATAAAATATGGACTCAACTATTATCTTGAAGTTTAAGACATTAAAAATATCTGAATGGATATCATTCTCCCTTATTTTTCCTCTTTCATTATCTCCTCTACTATTGAGTCTCCTAACACTCTGAGTAAATATTGGCCCCAAGCAATATTTGAGTAGCATCAAAACAAATGTTATATAAAGATATGATCTTGACACATAAGCCCTACTGAAAGTAATCCCGTCTAAACCCAGTATGACCCCACCTATCAGGCCCCATCCCCTCCCCATGTGACCTTTTCTCACTTTGATATCTCTTTTAATCAGGCCATCTTAAAAGAAGCAAACACCAGATTGCGTCCCTTCTCCTTACATCTTTTATCTCCTTGAGAGAAATTAATCTGTTCCATGTTATCCCTGTGCAGCAAACAGGTCATTTTAATAACAGAAAATTGAATGTTGAGACTAGCAGTTACTTTAATTAAAAGGTGGTCACTAGAGAATTGATTTCCTAGCTGGTTGTTGACTTACAAACAGAAAATAATTGGCACATAAACCCAGCAGAGGGACTCTACTCAGAACATAGAATCTGTTGACAAGAAGAAAGTAATAATGCAGGAAAATCATTTACATTTATATAGAAGATGTTATATTTATGTCTATTTCCAGTTATTAGCATTCTAGAGATTAGGAAAGACATCACCTTGAACTTTCTCATCATTACCCACTCTCTTTCTCTGACAATTGATGAGCCTGACAATCTCGTTAAACTGCCAACTACATAATTTGCAGAGGCTCTAACTTGCCAGCCCCTGGAAAACAGCAAAGTGATTGTTTAACACAAACCTGGCACTAATCTTAATGAAAATTTTATTTTATAAGCCAGATTGCTAGCATATCCCCCTCCTCGAAGTCTGCACTAGCTTGAAGCAACACTGCAAAGAAGACAGGGACAGGAATAGGTGATCTTTTAAGGTTTTTCTTACCTGGTTTTCTCTAGTCCTATAGTTATATTGGATCCTCTTTCCCATTCTACCAAAGATACACTATATTTTTTATTTTCTAATGACTATTCCCATTT
This sequence comes from Homo sapiens, assembly GCF_000001405.40. Classification (NCBI taxonomy): domain Eukaryota; kingdom Metazoa; phylum Chordata; class Mammalia; order Primates; family Hominidae; genus Homo; species Homo sapiens. The sequence continues at coordinate 9,682,362 of NC_000009.12, forward strand.
TTGCCATCTCCTACTGAGAATGCTCACATTTTCTGTCAAAGTCAGGAGGTGATTCTGGCTCTGGGTTTCAGAGACTTTCAAGGTTTATTTCCAAAGAACAAGAAGAAAATTTGTTGTTGCCATTGTTTTATTTATGGTAGGGTAGATCAATGCAAGTGATAGGGTAGATCAATGCAAGTGTGGGTCCTTATGGAGGAATGTTGGGGAAAGAAAAGAAGGTAGGGAAGGGAGTTACCAGCTTGGGAGCTAAGCCTTGGAAGTGCTTAGGGAGACAGACTGTCCAGTCTCTGTCCAGGTGTTGGTAGAGTACACCAGGACATGCTCAGCAGATAAGGAAATTGTCTGGAGGCCAACTATTCTTCTTTCCAGCAAGAACTTTCCTCTCCAGCATGCAAAATCCTTTAAGAAAGTCTGCTACCAGCACATAGCCACGTGACTGTTCAGTCCAAATACTGCCTATCAGTACTACAGCATTTTTCTCAGTTCCACAAATACTCCAGGACCTCATATTTACAGGGAAAAAGAGAGTTTTCTGGGTCTCTAATAAGGTGGTGATGGGGAATGCCACTGGAAAGAGCTTTAACTGATGAACAAGATATGTACAGTCATTAGTGATAGCCTCTTTACCTTTTGTAATATAAGCTAGATAGACATATTGGGGGTTATAGTATAAAATCACAGATATTTTGAAAGATAGGGGACTTAAATATAATGCTTATGGCAAGGTCATTAGGCTAAGGTTCTAGATTCTCTTTTGATGACTATTCTTTTTCAACAAATTGGTGGAACCATTTGGACGAATAAGTTAGGCAGTCCCTGAAATTATGACAGTTATATTCAATGAGTTAAGTGACCTGTTGTTAATTAAGAAGCTGAACATGAAGTATTAGTGGTTCCCAATTAAAGGAGGGTGTGGGAATATTACCAGGCACTCAGGGGTAAATTGATTTTCTTTGGAAGCCTACATAGGGAGTCTACTGGCATCACAGAACTTTGTCAGCTGAACAGTATGGTTTGTGGCACAAGGGTGAGATTTGGAGACAGATACCAGCACCTGGTAAAACAGACTAGTGAGGAGATATAATAATCCAGGAAAAATAAACATCAAAAATCAAAAGCAAAGCAATAAAATATGTACTTTTTTCCTTCCTATAAAAACAATTCAAGAAGCGACAATGCATATAAAGCATAACATCCCTAGTTTGCTTTTGGAAAGGAAAAAGGGGACTAATAAGAATTTCAAAGAAAAACACAGAATGTCAACTCTGAAGTAATAAGATTTATTGGCATGCTGCATTTTAGTATTAGATTTTAATAATCACATTATAATAGGAATCCACAATGAAAACTGAAAAAGCACATAAAAAGGTAAGAATTCACCTAGTGTTATTAAAATAGCATTGTGAGATATAATTATGTAATGTATAATTTTATACATAAAAAATCATTTTAACGAATTGATATTTATAATCAGAGTGGCATCTTTTTTAAGACTTTAAGTTAGTTCGGGTTCTAACATACCAACTATTCTAATTTTATAGTAATTATATGACTCCAGCAACCCAAGCTGGTAGAAGTAAATATGATCAACATTCATGTCCTTGACTGCCAAAACACGCTCTGAAAATGACAGTGAGGGCTTCTTTGTAGCCTAAAGAGGATTATGTAGACCTCTAGGGAACTGTTTTCACAATTTTAAAAGCAGTGAAGGCCAGATACTCGAATCATTTTGAAGTGGCCACTTACACCTTGTTCAACAAAAAGGCAGCCTGAACACATAAGATCATATTAGACATGCTTGGTTAAAAAAAAAGACCTTTTAACATTTTATGTCACTCAAGGAATCATGTTTTATTTCAAATAGCCAAGAATAATTTAAAACTAAGCCTTTAAGTAATCTAACCTTATTCAACATACCTTTCTGGACTAGTCACCATGACACTCTAATATGTGAGATGTTATTCTTTTCTAGCATCCAGATCCTATCAATGTTGGGTGCATTTTCATTAATATTTTACTGAGGCATTTTGAACAACAGATGTTAATTTTCCAGATTAGTTCGACTCTAAAAACATCTAACACCTTACATTCTCTATGGCCTCATTTAGATGGTCTTTGTCAACTCAATGCAATTCAAAGAAAGACTCTACCTAAGATAGTTGCTTATTATTTTAGCTGGTAATTGAGTAATAATATTAATACTTGGGAGGAGACTGAGTGGGTAGGCAGGAACTTCCTTCTTAAATATTCACTAAATACATAAAAGGCCTTTTTTGTTAGCAATAGACAAATTTGTTACAAATTATTTTTATAAGCATTGAAATACAGCATTTGTGTGTGTGTGTGTGTATGTGTGTGTGTGTGGTTTTCTTACTCTTTTTCTTAGATGGGATTATTCGCTCTAATTCAGGCATTCCAGAAGTTTGCGGTCTTTAGAGCAGTGCAAATGAATGATTACAGTCAAGGAATTTAAAGTCACACTACTTAGATTCCAATATTTTATCTGTCATTTATTATTGATCCACAGCATGTTACTTAAGCTCTGTGTTGTATTAATTTTTTCCTATCTAAAATAAGAATAGATTATACATCACAGTTGTGTTAAGAATCTTATTTCGGTTGATAGCCTGAAGCCCATGTCCTTAGAACACAGTCAGCACTTAAGAATTATTATCTATTTTTCAGCATAAAACTTTAAACTTTTACAGGTGAATTTTTGAAGAAAATATGAAAGTATAAATTTAGGTGTGTAATTTCATCCACATTTTTATTTTTAAGAAAGTTGATTACCATCCCTTCAACTTAGAAGATAAAATGTGAAAAATAAAAGTTTCTGGCTCATGAGTACATACAATCATTAAATGTGTGGTTATTTTTGTATAGCATATATATTATATATGCTTATTATATATATATATGTATCCATAGTTTATAGATTTTACGTAAGAATGCAAATGGAATCCACATATATGCACATATACACTTAAACATGTACTTATTAAAAACAAGAGTAGGCTCCCAAATGCAAGTTCAGTAAAAGTTTATTACATTTTCAATTGAGAGTAAAAATATTTTATTTGGAATAAACTATTACTTTTACATTTCATGATTTAAATGCTTTCAAGTGTCTAACTTTTGTGTTCCTTTAGATATATATTTGAACTTAATTTTTTCTGGCAATATTTTAAAACATAAAGAAAAATAAATCTTAACAACCAAATCAAAATATTCAGACACCCTCATTGAATTAAAGAAACAAGGAAAAGTATGTTGCTTGTCTACTAGTAGTTAGCTAAGCTACAGATTAGAATTGGCTGCTCTTAAGTAATAAGTCACCATTACCCAGAAAAAAAAAAACTTTGAAAAGTAAACCAGAATATTTTAGCAGTAAAATTTTATAGGCAGTTTCAGGATGACATTTAATACTATTTGCCAAATATTCTATTTCTTTTTTAGTACTTAAAGCTCTACAACTCTTCATTATTATATACCAGTAACTTTGATTCATTCTTCTTTCTCAAAAAGGAATTACTATAGTTTATATTGTCTTAGCTGAAATGATAAAAATATTATCTCTTAATTTTAAATAAATATCCAATTTTTTGGAAGTATTGGTAACTGAAAAAATCTTCCTGACAATCTGGAATTCTTAGAAGACATTTTGGTGTTTTCAGGAGAGCATAAGAAAATTTAAGGCAGAAATATATATTAAGTTATATTTTGGGAAGTTTATTTGGAGAACTAGATGCTCTATATCTGTTGGATTTTTGTTGTTGCTGTTGTTGAAATAATTTTTTTTAATTTTCAAATGTTACGTATATAATTTTGTCCTTCTTAAATTTTCATTCATTCAGATGTTGTAATACTGTATTCTACCAATTTTACTCCTACCTTGAAAATTAATCCTCTCATATTTGAGATGTATGTATGAATTATTTTTTCTAAAAATTCTATATTTAAACTCATTTTTTTACTGTGTATTCTGTATATCATTTCAATTACGCACTTCAACAAATATTTGCTGATCTGATATATATTTTCCAAGTCATTCTTATTCTATAGACAGACCTACAGTGATTATCTAGAATAGATAATACATTATATAATATTAATAATTTATAGATCATTATTCTATGTAGATATTATCTATTCACAGATAATAATCTATGCTGACAGAAGTCCAAACAGTGGTCACCTTTGTGGTGGCTAATAGGAAGGCAGCAGGAGAGAGACTTTTTACATTTCTACATAAATTTTATCTAGAAATTGGTGTTGATTTGGTAACAATTTATCAAATTCTACCCTTAACATTTGTGTACTTTATGTAATACATCAATGAATATTTACAAGTTATATGCATATAACATATACTTACATATAACAGGTAATACATTGTGTACATATATACAGTGACTATGCATAAATATAACTATAAGCAAAGAGAGATACTCTTAGAAGTTATCATACTTAACTACATTGAGACCAAAATTTGAACTTTGAGAGCAATGATTCTTAGTCAACAGACATATGCTAACTTCTTCCAATATGTCTGGCCTGTTGCTTGGTGCTACAGGAAACAAAAATGTATAAGACATTGTCCCTGCCTTGCCAAAGACTTCTACCTTATTATTACGTTGTGAGCTCATTTAATACAAGTTGTGCATTATTAATTTCTCTATCCCAGCACCTAACAGTGTAGTGTTCAAAAAAGGTATTCAGTAAGTATATAATAAATTAACTCAGTAGAAGGTGAGGAGAGTGAGCCAAATGCATAAACAAAACATATAGATCTACACAGCACATCATTAACCATAAAGGCACACTCGTGAGTTCCTAGGAAACAGGGAGAAGCTATGTTTAAAACCTTGAGACATTTGTCTACCCAATGTTAGAAAAATACAGACCTTGCTAAAATGAAGAAACAGGATCTACTAAAATAAACCTTACACAGGTGGGAGAAATATCTTGCTTAGATGACAAGATAAGTGGAGCTCCCTTTGTGGAAGCCTTCATAAGGGAGGTTTTATCCTCTTGAGCTGTTTCTCAGGGTTTCCTGATGGGTAAACAGCCTTGGACTGCCTATGGGAAACTGATTCCCAAATGTCAGACACCAGTTATGTTTTCTCTAGTCCTCAGGAAACTGAAAAATATAGGGAGAGCATAGGGCAATTTCATATTGTTAAATGTACTTACCTAAAATAACTTTTTACATATGTTACTAACCTGCACATTGTGCACATGTACCCTAAAACTTAAAGTATAATAATAAAAAAAGAAAAAAAAAAGATTATGCAATCTTTAACATGATATTAAAATGCCTTCTCTATGCCTTCTCTGAAATCATGAAATCAAGATTCTATTTTCATTTTATTGGTCTCAATTGGTCAAAAACAAAATGTTGATAACAATAAGTAGACCTCCTTCAGGTCTACTTATGAGATAATTATATACATGTATGCACACACAGATACATTATTATGGGTGTGTGTGATATTGTTTGGCTCTATGTCCCCACCCAACTCTTATCTCGAATTGTAATCCCAATAAGTTAAGGGAAGAACCTGGTGGGAGGTGATTGGATCATGGGGGCAGTTTCACTCACGCTGTTTTCATAATAGTGAGGGAATTCTCATGGGATCTGATGATTTCAAACGTGGCAGTTTCCCCTGCACTCTCTTTCCTTTCTTTCTCCTGCTGCCTTGTGAAGAAGTTGCCTGCTTCTCCCTCAACTTCTGCCACGACTGTAAGTTTCCTGAGGCTTCCTCAACCATGTGGAATTGTGAGTCAATTAAACCTCTTTTCTTTATAAATTCCACTCTTGGGCAGTATCTTTATAGCAGTGTATAAACGGACTAATAACAATATATATAAGCTGGCCTTTTAAAACCAAAATCCTAGAAATATTTACAAAAACTAATCCAACTAAATAAGGCACTTCAATTTAAGAAACCATACAAAACGTGAACTGAGCTCTAGCTTTTCATTTATTTGTTTGTTTGGTGTTTATGCCAATGTACCTAGGAAGACAAGAATAGAATTTCCTTTGGACCTTGCAGGATTAGGCCCCAATATGTATTTGGTTCCTTCCCCTCAATGTTTTGTTGTTGCTGCTGTTTTGTCTGGGTAAATGAGCCTATGATTAAGATCAAAGGCTAACTATGGGGTAACAGGTATACAACAGTCATAAATAGTAGAACCCTGCATACAGATAAAGAAAATATGAGTACGACAAAGTTTGCGTGAGTGATGAGGAAATGAAGACAATGAATGCATATGAACTGCTGGTCAACAGGCCAGTGAGGCCACTAGTCCATTATCTTGTATACTCTAATCTCTTAATATTCTATTTCTTCTGGAGTGGTGATATTTCTCTAATTTCCTTAGATAGACTACTCTACCAGTAATACACCTTCTTCTGCAGGTTTTTCACACATTTTAAATCTTCCAAGTTCCAGAGATATTTTACCCAGGCATTTAAAAAAAACAAAGCTAAGGGGGTACTTGTTTTTTTTTAAATGACTGATGATATATCCTGAATACTAATAGATGGATATGTGAATGGCTAGCTAGGTAAACAGTAGATATAGATACATAGATGTATACATACATACATATAAACAGACTCCAGCATACAAAAACAACAAAATTGCAATTAATGTTAAATTAAATGTACACAAACTTATCAATGAGTAAAGTGAAACTCAACTAAATTCTTATATAATTTAAAGAATGTGAGTGTTTTTATCCTTTTCTGTTTGAGTTTCTTATCAATTGTATAACGATAAAAATTATGGTTTTAGATTCCAATTTCACGACCAGAGACTACTTATTTAGCTTTTCTGCTTTACTTTCCTCATTTGTAAAATCAGTAAAATAATTCCACATAAGGTCTCTGTAGACTGAGTGAAATATGGTAACATCTTCAAAAGTTCTGTGTTATGTTAATCATTCCAGAAATAACAGTCTAGAATAAAATATGGAATTAATGTCAATTAAATATATATGCATTTTACTTTTTATTGATATATAAGAGATGCACATGTTTCAGGGTTTATGTAACTTTTGATGCATTTATATAACATGTAATATATCTATGATCTTAAATATTTATCTTTTATTTATGTTGTGAATATGTGACTTATTCTCTACTATTTTGAAATGTACTATAGATTATTGTTATTTTGACTATAGTCACTCCACTGATTTATCGATACTAGGACTTATTTTTTCTAAGTGTATTTTTTGTTTTACTATTAAGGAACCTCTGTTTATCCACTCCTCCCCTCTACTCTTCATGGCCTCTGCTAACCAGCAATATACTCTCTAGCTTCTTGAGATTCACTTTATAAGTTCCCATATATGAGGAAGAGTACAATATTTGTCTTTTTGTGTTTGGCTTATTTCACTGAACATAATGACCTCCAGTTCCGTAGACGTTGCTGCAAATGACAGGATTTCATTTTTTAATGGCTGAATACCATTTCATTATGTATGTACACATTTTCGTTATCCATTCATCCATTACTAGGCACTTAATTAGGTTGCTTCTATATTTAACTACTGTGAATAGTGCTGCAATAAACATGGGAGTGCAGATCTCTCTCTTATGTATTGATTTCCTTTCTTTTGGATGTATATCCAGTTATCGGCTCCATATACTGGGTTATATAGCAGTTCTATTTGTAGATATTTGAGGACCCTCCATACTATTTTCCCTAGTAGCTGTACTAATTTATACTCCTTCCCACATTGTATGGGGGTTCTCCTTTCTCTACATTCTCTCCAGCATTCGTTATTGCCTGTCTTTGGATATAAGCCATTTTAAGTGGAGTGAAATATCTGACTGTAGTTTTGATTTGTATTTCTCTGATGATCAATGATGTTGATCACCTTTTTATATACCTGTTGGCCATTTGTGTGTCTTCTTCTGAGAACTGTCTATTCAGATCTTTTGCCCATTTTTAAAACAGATGTTTTCCTTCCTATCGAGTTGTCTGAAGTCCTTATATTCTGATTATTAGTTCCTTGTCAGATGGACAGATTGAAGATATTTTCACCCATCCTGTGGGTCATCTCTTCACTTTGTTGATTGTTACCTTTACTGTGCAGAAGATGTTTAGCTTGATATAATCCCATTTGTTTTTGTTGTCTGTGCTTTTGAGGTCTTATCCCCTCAAATCATTGCCCAGAGCAATATCCTATAGCATTTCCCCAAAGTTAGCTTCTAGTAATTTCATAGTTTTAAGTCTTAGATTTAAGCCTTATTCCATTTTGATTTGTTTTATATGTTGAGAGATAGGGGTCTAGGATTTTTCCATATAGGTTATTCAGTTTTCCCAGCACATTTGATTGAAGAGCCTGTTATTTTGCCAATGTACACTTTCAACACCTTTGTTGAAAATGAGTTGGCTGTAAATGTGTGGACTTATTTCTGGTCTCTATTCTGTTTCATTGGTGTATGTGTCTTCTTTTATGCTAGTGCCATGCTGTTTTGGTTACTATGGCTTTGTAGTATATTTTGAAGTTAAGTCATGTGATGACTTTAGTTTGTTCTTGTTGCTCAGGATTGCTTTAGCAATTCAGGGTGTTTTATGGTTTCATATACATTTTAGGATATTTTTCTATATATTTAAAGAGTGTCATTCTTTTTAATTTTTGTGGGTACATAATAGGTGTATATACTTATGGTGTACACGAGATATTTTGGTACAGGCATGCAATGCATAATAATAACATCATGGAAAAATGGGTATAAATCCATTCAAGCATTATCCTTTGTGTTTTAAACAATTTTTACTCTTTCAGTGATTGTTAAATATACAATTAGATTATTATTAACAATAGTCCCCGTTTTGTGAAAAAATACCAGATCTTATTTGTTCTATTTTGTATGCACTAGCCATCCCTACCTCCCTCCCACACTCCCACTACCCTTCCTAGCCTTTTGAAACCATCCTTATATTCTGTTTCCATGAGTTCAATTGTTTTATTTTTTAAACTCATAAATAAATGAGAACATGCAATGTTTGTTTTTCTGTGCCTGGCTTATTTCACTTAACATGATGACCTCCAGTTCTATCCATGTTGTTGCAAATGACAGAATCTCATTCTTTTTATGGCTGAATAGTACTCCATTGTGTGGAAGTGCTATGTGTTCTTTATTCATCTGTTGATGGAAACTTAAGTTGCTTTTACATTTTGGCTACTGTGAACAGTGCTGCAACAAACATGACAGTGCAGATTCAATATACTGATTTCCTTTCTTTTGGGTTTATACTCAGCTTTGGGGTTGTTGGATTGTATGACAGCTATATTTTTAGTTTTTTGAGGAACCTACAAACTGTTCTCCATAGTAGTTGTACTAATTTACATTCCCACCAATAGTATACAAGGCTTCCCTTTTCTCCACATTCTCGCCAGCGTTTGTTATTGCCTGTCTTTGGACAAAACCCATTTTAGCTGAGGTGAATGGATATCTCATTGTAGTTTTGATTTGCATTTCTCTGATGATCAATGATGTTAAACATTTTTTATATACCTGTTTGCCATTTGTATGCCTTCTTCTGGGAACTGTCTATTGAAATATTTTGCCCATTTTTCAATCAGATTATGAGATCTTTTCCTTTGGGATTGTTTGAACTCCATATATACTCTGGTTATTAATCTCCTGTCAAGTGAGTAGTTTGGAAATATTTTCTCCCATTCTGTGTGTTGTCTCTTCGCTTTATTGATTGTTTCCTTTGATGTGAAGAAGATTTTAAACTTGATGTGATTCCATTTGTCCATTTTTGCTTTGGTTGCCTATGCTTGTGGGATATTCATGAAGAAACATTTGCCCAGAACAATGTGCTGGAGAGTTTCCTCAATCTATTCTTGTAGTAGTATCATAGTTTGAGGTCTTAGATTTATGTCTGTAATCCACTTTTTAATTTGATTGGTGTATAAAGCAAGAGGTAGGGATAAAGTTTCATTCTTCTGCATATGGATATCCAGTATTCCCAGCACCATTTATTGAAGAGACTGTCTTTTCCCTAGCATACGTTCTTGGCACCTTTGTCAAAAATGAGCCCACTGTAGGTGTGTGGATTTGTTTCTGGGTTGTCTATTCTATTCCATTAGTTTATGTGTCTGTTTTTATGCCAGTACTATGCTGTTTTGGTTGCTATAACTCTGTAGTACAATTTGAAAGCAAGTAATGTGATTTCTTCAGTTTTGTTCTTTTTGCTCAGCATAGCTTGGCTAGTCTGGATATTTTGTGATTCTATATAAATTTTAAGTTTTTTTTTTTTCTATTTCTGTGAAGACTGTCATTGGTATTGTGATAAGAATTGCATTGAATCTGCAGATTGCTTTCTGTAGTACAGACAATTCAACAATACTGATTCTTCCAATCCATGAACATGAAAATTGTTTCCATTTTTTTTAGTGGCCTCTTAAATTTCTTTCATCAGTGTTTTATAGTTTTCACTGTAGAGATGTTTTACCTCTTTGGTTAATTCCTAGGTATTTAATTTTATTTGTGGCTATTGTAAATGAGATTAATTTTTATTTCTTTTTCATATTGTTCACTGTTGGCATATAGAAATGATACTGATTACTGTATGTTGATTTTGTAACCTGAGAGTTTGCTGAATTTATCAGTTCTAATATGTTTTTGGTAGAGTCTTTAGGATTCTCAAAATATAAGATCATATAATCTACAAACAATGATAATATGACTTCTTCCTTTCCAATTTGGATGCCCTTTATTTCTTTCTCTTGTCTGTTTGGTCTAGCTAAGACTTCAGTAATATGTTGAATAACAGTAGTAAAAGTGGGCATCCTTGTCTTGTTCCAGATCTGGTATGGTTTAGCTTTGTGTTCGCACTAAATCTCATCTTGAATTGTAATCCCCTGTGTTTAGGGAGGAATCTGGTGAGAAGTGACTGGGTTAGGGGAATGGTTTCCCGCATAATGTTCTCATGTTTGTGAGTGGATTATCATGAGATCTGATGGTTTTATAGTTTTTCCTGTACTCTCACAGACACTCTCTCACCTGCTGCCATGTAAGACATGCCAGCTTCTTCTTCCACCATAATTGTAAGTTTCCTCCCCCCGCCATGTGCAACTATGAGTCATTTAAATGTCTTTTCTTTATGACTTACTCAGTCATGGTCTGTTCTTTATAGCCGTGTGAAAATGGACTAATACAAGATCTAAGAGGTAGTCTTATTTAGGTTAAGTATGCTTGCTGTTCTATAATCTTCTTGTACATGAATGTTAATATATTTCTCTAGGTTTGGGAAGTTTTCTGCTATTATCCCTTCGAATAAACTTTCTACTTCTATGTCTTTCTCTACCTCCTCTTTAATTAAGGCCACTCTTAGACTTACCCTTTTGAGGATATTTTCTAGATCTTGTAGATGTGCTTCATTTTTTAATATTCTCTTTGCTTTTGTCTCCTCTGACTGTATTTTCAAATAAACTGCCTTCAGGCTCACTCCTTTTTTATCAATTGCTTGATCAATTCTGCTATTAAGAGACTCTGTTGCATTCTTCATCATGTCAATTGCATATTTTCACTCTATAATTTCTGCTTGATTCTTTTTAAATATCTCAATCTCTGTTAAATTTATCCGACAGAATTGTGAATTCCTTCTCTGCATAATCTTGAATTTCTTTGAGTTTCCTCAAAACAGCAATTTTGAATATTTTGCCTCAAAGGTTATATAGCTCTGTTTCTCCTGGATTGGACCTTGGTGCCTTATTCAGTTCATCTGGTGAGGTCATGTTTTCCTGGCGTGTTGATTTTTACAGATGTTTGTTTGTGCCTGGGCATTGAAGAGTTAGGTATTTATTGTATTCTTCACCATCTGGGCTTGTTTCTGCCTGTCCTTCTTGGGAAGGTTTTCCAGGTATGCAAAGGGTCTTGAACCCCAAGCATAATCCTGTGGTTCTTGCAGACTTGTAGTGGTACTCTCTTGGTGGTCTTGGATAAGATCTGGATGAATTCTCTACATTGCTAGGCAGAGACTTTTGTTCTTTTCCCTTACATTTTCCCAAACATATGGAGTCTCTCTCTCTGTAGTGAGCCACCTGGAATGGGCAGGTGTGTTGATGCAAGCTCCTTTGTGGCCACCACCACCAGGACTGTGCTGGGTCAGATCTGAAGCCAGCAGAGTACTGGGCCTTGTCAAAGGCTCTACCCTTCAGGATTGCGAGTTCCAGGAATGTCCAGAGATGCTGTCCGGAAGCCAGGGATTAAAGTAAAAAAACCTTAGCAACTGATGTTGCTGACCTGATGTTCCATTCTACTGTGGCTAAACTGGCACTCAAACTACCACACCAAGTCCTTCCCACTCTTCCCTTCACTTACCAAAGGAAGAGGAGCCTCTCCCTGTGGCTGCCACCACCACTGGTTCATCTGCCATGCCACCACCAATGTTCGCTTAAAGACAAAGCACTCTTCTATTGGCTTGTGGTGAACGCTACCAGGCCTAGGACTCACTCTTCAGGCCCTGGGGTGCCCTTTGACCTTGGTCAGGTCCAGAAATGCCGTCCAAGAGCCTAAGCCTGGACTCGGACTCCCAAGAGCCTGCTTGTTGCTCTACCCTACTGTGGCCAAGCTGGTACCTAGTGTGCAAGACAAAGTCTCCTTTACTTTTCCCTCTGCTTTACTCAAACAGAAGGAATCATTCACTGTAGCCACCGTAGCTGAGAGTATGCTGGGTCTCCTCCACATTCAACACATTTCAGAGCCCAAAGCCCATGGCATACTCTCTGGGTATCGCTGGTGGTTATTCAGGGCTCAAGGGCTCTTTAGTCAGAAGTCGATGAATCTTGCCAGGACTGGGTCCTTCCCTCCAAGGCACTGGGTTCCATTTTGGCCCAGAGTGTGTCAAGAAATGTTGTCTGGGAGCTATGTCCTCACAACTCTGCCCAGTGCCCTATCCTACTGTGACTGAGCTGGTATCCATGACATAAGACAAAGTTCTCTTCACTCTCCTCTTTTTAAGCAGAAGGAGAGAATCACTCTCATTGCTATGAGCTGGGTTGCCTGAAGTTGGGGGAAGGATTGTGCAAACCCTCTCTTAGCTGTGCCCATGGTGTCTCCCTAGGTCATATGTGACCTTAGTTCACTGGCTCTAAGCTCAGCCTAGCACTAGGAATTGAATAGGAATTGCAGTCCTTGTGTCCTAATCATATATGGCATTTATTATTTCGAGGTATGTTCCTTTTATACCCAGTTTATTGAGAGTTTTTATTACAAGTTGGTGTTAATTTTTATCTAATGCTTTTCAGCATCTATGAAATGATCAAATGTGTTTGTTCTCGGTTTTGTTAATGTGATGCATCATGTTCACTGTTTTGCATATGTTTAACCATTCTTGTATCCCTGGATTGAATCCTATATGATCATGGTGATAGATCATTTTAATGTGTTGTTGAATTAGGTTTGCTAATATTTTGTTGAGGATGTTTACATCTGTGTTTATCAGGAATATTGACCTGTAGTTTTCTTTTATATAGCATCCTTGTCTGGGTTTGGTATCAGGGTAATGCAGTTCTTATAAAATAATTTTGGAAGTATTTCCTCCTTTTCAATTTTTTTTTAGTTTGAATACAATTGGTGTTAGTTCGTAAATATTGGGAGAATTCAGCAGTGAAGTCATTAGGTCCTGGGCTCTTTTTTGATGGGAGACTTTTTATTACAGCTTCGACCTTGTTAGTTTTTATTGGTTTGCTCCAGTTTTCTATTTCTTCAAGATTCATCCTTTAGTAAGTTATATGTGCCCATGAATATATTCCATTATGGTCATAAAAGGTACTTGATCTAATTTTGACTTTTTGAATTTGTTAAGAATAATTTTGTAGCCTAACTATAGTCTATTCTTGAGAATGTTTCATACGTTTATAAGAAAAATGTGTATTCTGCAGCAATTGGATGAAATGTTCTACAAATATTAGTTAGGCCCATTTGGTCTAGTGTTTAATTTATCTCTGATGTTTCTTCATTGACCTTCTGCCTGGATAACCTGTTCATTACTGCGAGAGAGGTGTTGAAGTCCCATGCTATTATTGTATTGCAGTCTAGCTCTCCTTTTAGATCTATTAATGTTTGCTTTTTATAATTGGGTGCTCCTGTTTTGTGTGCATAGATATTTGTAATTGTTATATCCTTTCATGGGACTCATCCTTTTATCATTATGTAGTGTCCTCCTTTGCCTATTTTTGTAGTATTTGACTTAAAAGTCTATGTTATCTGATTTAAATATAGCTACTCTTGCTTTTTTGTTTCCATTTGCATAAACTATCTTATTCCCTTTCTTCAACTTATAGTCTATGTGTGTCTTTATAGGTGAAATGGGTTTCTTGTAGGCAGCATATAGTTGTGCCTTGTTTCTTTATTCGTTCAGACACTCTTTGCCATTTAATGGAATAATTTAGTCTATTTAAACACAATGTTATTATTGATAGGTAAAGATTTACTATTGCAATTTTGTTACTTGCTTTCTGGTTGTTTTACAAATTCTCTCTCACTTTCTTCCTTTGTGGTTAAGTGATTTTCTCTGATTGTATATTTTGGTTTGTTGCTTTTCATATTTAGTGTATTCATTACATGTGTTTCTTCTGTGAGGCTTACAAAAACATATAAAAATTTTATTTTAAATAGACAACTTATCTGATCACAAAGAAAAAATTAGAAACAAAGGAATAGTTAAAACAAATTGTACACTTTAACTTCATATCCATTTAGATTTTTCTTGCCTCAATTTACATATTTTTATAGTGCCTGTCTCTTAAGTTGTTGTAGCTATTTTTTTGATAGATTGCTTTTTAGTCTTCACACTAGAGTTATAAGTGGATTGCAAATCACAATTACAGTGTTAGAATATTGTGAGTTTGTCTGTGTCCTTACTTTTACAAGTGAACTTAATAACTTCAAATGTTTTCTCTTTGCATATTAGTGTTATTTTTTCTTTCAGATTGAAAAACTCCCTACAGAATTTCTTGTAAGATGGGTCTGATGGTTATAAGTTCCCCATCTTTTGTTTCTCTGGGAAAGACTATTTCTCCTTCATGTTTGAAGAATAGCTTTGTTGGGTACATAATTTTTGTTTCAGAGTTTTCATTTTTTTAAATTTCAACATTTTTGCATGTTTTCCCACTTCTACTGGCCTATATATTTTCTAATAAGAAGTCTGTTGCCAAAAAAATTGGAAGTCTCTCATATGTTTTTTGCTTCTTTTCTCTTGTTGCTTTTAGAATTCTCCTTTTGTGTTTGACCTTTGAGAGTTTAATTATTATATGCCTTGGGGTAGTTTTATCTGGGTGAAATCTGTTTGGTAATCTCTGACCTGCATATTTATATAGTGTTTTTGAAAGCTGTCATTTCTTTTAATAAACTTTCTACCCCTTGGTCTTGCTCAACTTCCTCGAACACAAATAATTCTTAGATTTCCTCTTTTGAGATAATTTTACATATCTTGTAGGAATTCTTTATTCATTATTTTTCCTCTTTGTGTATTTTGCAAATAGCCTGTCTTTGAGCTCACTGATTCTTTCCTCTACTTGATCCATTCTGCTATTGAGAGACTTTAATGACTTTTTCAGTTCAGCAAACATATTTCTCAGCTCCAGGAATTCTGTTTCAATTTTTAATTATTTCTCTGTTAAATTTCCCTGATAAATTTTTGACTTTTATTCTGTGTTATTTTGGAAATTAATGAGTTTCCTTCAGATTACTATTTTGGATTTTTATCAGAGAGCTCTTCTATCACCATCTTATTAGGGTCTTTCACTGGCTCCTTACTTTGTACACTTCGGAAGGTCATAGTTCCCTCTTTACTGTTTTTTCTTGTGGAGGTACACCTCCGTCTTCCCATCAAAGGACTAGTCTTTTATTTCAGTCTTCTCTTTCTGGGTTGGTGTTTTTACTGGATATGTTTCCTTAGAGGTTTCTTTGCAATATAGTTACTGAGTATCTTTTCTGCTAAGTTACTTTCTCCTTTTTAGCACTAAAGAGTGCCTTAAGCCCGGGTTTGTCTTGGCTTTAGTGAAATTCAGTGTGTTGCCTGTCCCAGATAGGGGAGATCCCAAAGGGCAAATGCCAACAGTATGAGAAGACTGGGTAGGGGTTTATTCCCAGGAAACCCATGGGACATGCCAACAACAGTATGGTCCTGCTGGATGGCTACTCTAATTTGGCATCTCCTTTGGCTGGGATAGAACAAAGTTTTCTGGTCTGGTAATGGTAGTCCTGCCACCCTCCCCACTCCAGTCTCTGGCTGTCTTCAGGGATATTTCTGCCTTCACGCCCTCCCAATGCTTCCTATGGGTTGAGGCAGGAACAGGTCTCCTGCCAGTGCACCCAAGAGGTTGAAAAGCTGGCTGTTCAATTTGATCTCACTCTTGTAATGGAGTATCCATAAGTCTCGGAGAAATTTTCCACCTACTTGGTGCCTGGAAGATTTGAGAAAGGGCATCACAGATATAAAAGTCTGATTAGCCTAACAACATAGCCTAACTCCTAGCATGGAGTTTTTACTTCTCTGTAGCCTCAGATGCTGTCTCATCCTCACATATAAATGGTGATATATTGCTAGAAGTTCGGTAATTCACTGTTCCTTGTGTCTAACTTTTTAATAAAACGATTGTCTTTGGCATGACTTTCTCTCTGCTACTATAAAATGTTTTAATATATCCTTCTTCTACTCATGTTTATTGACTGTGAAAATGGCTGTATTTCTTCAATTAAGAATAATCCAATTTTCTAAAAAAAGAACTGATAATTGGCTATTTTCGTTGTGGTTATCATGGTAACAATAACATAGTTCTGGTACTTACATTTCAGTCAAGCTGTTTCTCTGAAATACATTTTTCTTCTACATGCATACCTTATACTGAGTTATGTGAGACCTAGGTGTTTTTTCAAGCACAATGGCAATAATCAAGATCTAAATAATTTCCTTTTCATATTATGTCAAAATTACTAACCACCATTATCTTTTAATAAAATATTTTTAAAACTTGTGGATTTATACTTAAGCTAAAATTCCTTTTTGTTCTTTTTTGTCCCCCTTAGGAATGAAATGCCTGAATTGTAATATTAGGGTCTTTGGTGCCACATTCTCAGAGCACAGGGGTGTATGTGTCTGATAGTTTAAATAACAGTTAAATCAAATTAGAACTCTAAAATGAATCTTATCTATTAGAACAGTTTTTACCCCCCCAATACAGCTACTTAAAATATCCCATTTCGGAAAATGCTCACTTAGAAGAATATGTGTTTTCTTTTGACCAACTAAGTGCCTTGGTCACAACAGCAGGGCTTCTATTTGCTAACAGAGCTGTTTCTTGCACTTATTGAAAGAAGAGGGACCGTTAAAGTTTTAGTAGTTGAAAATTATCCACTAATTAGAACTGGAAGCAAGAAGCCATGAAGTACAGGTGATAACTATAAATCAGAACAATTAGTCTGTCTAGAAAAGCAACATGATCAAATCAGAGTCAGCATACCAGCTGCTCATTTAATCTAGGGTTGCAATGTTTTTCCCTTTTTGTGAGATAACCCTGTACAGCAGGAGCTTGGATTTGACAAGTATGCATTCCTCAGAATTATTTATGAATTCAAGAAAGTGTTGGTACGCTGATGTTACTTTTACAGAAATGCTTGGATTTGAATAAGAAAATAAATGACATTCAGAATGTGAAATTCCTTAAATATGATGTTGCATTTTCACCTAGCATAAATATTTACATCGGCAAAGGTACTGAACTATATATTTTTCTTTCTGATTGCTATTGCTTGAGAAATATATATTATGTGAATATCATCATTTTGTTGTAGTACTGCCCTTCGGAAATACATTAAACTTCTACATAAAAGTGGAATTATTTTATAATAAATGAAATTTTAATATTCCTCTAAATCATTACTTGAAATCTGTTTTTATTTTCTTAGACATTCTGGCAGTATTAGAGAAATAAGTATTTTGAGTGCACACACAATGAACAACAGCAATATACAAGACAATATTTATATACTAATGCTGTTTCCTTCTGTAATATGGTAATTTTATTACACAGTATTTCTAGAGTTGAGATGTGTAAGGCACTCTACATGGTTTTGGAACCATACTATTCTAAAATCTGACTTGTTTTTAAAACATTATATGTTTGTAGAGAAATGAGATAATTAGACAAACAACAAAAACAAAAGCTGAAAGTGGTAACAATTGTTACAGAAATGATAAAGCAAATGAAAGATCAGAAATTTCAATAATTCAATGTATGATGATGAATTACAGTCATATACAATAATTCCTCATTGTGTATACAATATAATATGTAATTCCTTATTGCTTATATAACCATTATCATTATTATAAAATGGTCTTGTTTTCTGACCCTAACTAAGTTTAAGACTTATCTCCTATTTTCATCTCCATAAAAATTTCTAGTAGATTTCAGGCAGATCCTAAGATTTTGGAATATAAAGACAAATGAAAAAATGTGGCTTCTGCCATCAAATAACTGACAATCTAACAGAAAGTTACAGATGTAAACAAACCATTACAATACTAGGTGTTAACAGCAAAGTAGAAATGTGTGCAAAGAGTTGTAGGAACTCAGAGAAACGAGTACTTCATTCCCCTAGAAGTCAGAAAAGCTTTCTAAACACTTCATCCTGAGATTAAAAAAAAAAAAAAAATTGAATAGGTATTCCCCCTGTTGGAATATGTTGGGAAGATATTAAAGAATGGAGAGCAGCTCATACACAGGCATTGAGAGATGTGTATAACCCATTCTTGGATGAGCTTAGGAATTTGGCATAGTGTTGCCTAAATATACAAGGAAGCCATTTTGGGAGGTAACACTGAAAACTTAGAGCAAATAACTAAGAATGTTTTAAACATGATGGTAGTTATATCTCATATACAATAAGGAGCCATTTAAAAACTTCAAACTAATTAAGGACAAAAGCAGGTTTGCATTATAAAAAAAAGTTATGCTAATAATTACATGGTGTGAACTGGAAGCAGAGAAACTGGAGACAGGGGTCCAGATAGAAACATAGGGGAACAACCTAGAGATTGTAGGTAACTCCCAGTTGTACTAAAGAGTTAGTACTCAAAGGTTTTAAATTTCACAGTCAAATTAGCAACAAACCATAATACTTGTTGTATTTTGTATTTGGGAAGGCATTGATGACCATTTTGCATTTAGCAAGCCACAAAGTCTTCTGAATGGTAGAGGTGGGGATGGCAAATGGGAGATACATATGAAAGACCTTGCAGAGGAAAATAGACAGTACTTAGAAATTCATTAGATGTGAAATAGAATATTAAAGTTGAATTCAACCAAAAAATTCCTTTTCAAATGAGAAGGATGAATATGCTATTAATACAATTTGGGAGTCTACACGAGAGTTTCAGAGGGAAGAAATGAAGCTTTCTATATAAACTGATAAGCTATTTGAAAACTAAAGTATTGGCCAGGTGTGGTGGCTCACTCCTGTAATCCCAGCATTTTGGGAGGCCGAGGCGGGTGGACCACCTGAGGTCAGGAGTTCAAGACAAGCCTGGCCAACATGGTGAAACTCCGTCTCTACTAAAAATACAAAAATTAGCCAGGCATGGTGGTGCATGCCTGTATTCCCCACTACTAGGGGTAGCTGAGGCAGGGGGATTGCTTGAACATGGGAGGCAGAGGTTGCAGTGAGCCGAGATTGTGCCACTGCACTCCAGCCTGGGCAACAGAGCAAGACTCCGTCTCAAAAGAAAGAGAGAGAGAGAGAGAAAGAAAGAGAGGAAACTAAAGTATCATGATGACGAGAAAGAAAAGGGCTAAGAACATTTATGGGAGTCATATGAACGAAGACATAGTTGAAGTCACTTAGGGAGAGGGTGCATAAAACAGTGTAATCTAAAGAGAACTTTGGTTGTGTTTACAATTAGAGAATTGGTAACAAGAGAGGAATTAATGCAGAGAATGGGGCAATAGTGTGAGATCACAACAGTATAATATCATGGAACCCAAAGAAGCATAGTTTCACAGTGGGCTTTTTCTGGGTCAGATGTTCTAAAGATGACAAATAGACTCAGAAAATCCTTGCGTTTGATGGCTGGAGGTACCAGTGATCTTCCAAGAGAGTAATTGTGTTATTATATATGCTGAAGTGGTTATTGGGAAATAGATTTCAGGTGGATAGTTAATGAAGCACAGACAAGAGAAAAACAGTACTTTCAAGCCACTTTTTGAGAAAACTGGTAGTGAGGAGAAAACAGAAAAGATATTTCAGAAAAACGTGTTTCTTGAAGTAGACTGCTTATGGAGGAAAAGTGGAGAAAGTAGCTGACATAGAAATGGTAGTAACTAATTATGTGTTTATAGAAGTGGAAATGCATAAAAAGAGCAGTAAAGATAATGGTTATCAATTAATACACTTAATGGCTAGCTTATGGTAAGATCTAAAACAAGAAAGTGAATGTGATCAGGAGAGTAAAGAATAACAAGATCTTAACATTTCTGACTCTATTTGTATAGGGTGAAAAATCCGTAAAGCCAATCCATACATGGATCTATATATGAGTCTAGATCCAGAAAGCCAATCTAATACTATTCTCTTTTTAAACAGAATGTACTACTGATATGCTTGGCTCTGTGTCCCCACCCAAATCTCATCTCGAATTGTAATCCTCATAATCCTCAGGTGTTGAGGGAAGAACTGATAAGAGGTGATTGGATGGTGGGGGCAGTTCCCCTATGCTGTTCTCGCGATGGTGACTTCTCATGAAATCTGATGGTTTTATACATTTAACAGTCCCTCCCTCACACACTCTTGCTCTCTCTTGCCGTCTTGTGCCTGCTTCCCTTTCACCTTCTGCCATGATTTTAAGTTTCCAGAGGCCTTCCTAGCCATGCTGAACTGTGAGTCAATTAAACTCTTTCCATTATAAATTACCCAATCTCAGGTATTTCTTTATAGCAGTGTGAAAATGGACTAATACAATTATCAAAACTCAAACTTTTATGATACTCTAAATTTATCTGATATTCTTTTAACATTAAACCTCCAGTAATCAAAGTGGGGTTTACATGGCAGAAACATTACATTCACCAGGAAGCTTGTTACCAAACGCAGAAACTTAGGTTTCACCCCAGACTTATGGAATCGTCATCTGAATTTTGAAAAGATTGGCAGGTGATTAATGTACACATTACATTTTGAGAAACATTGATGCATAGCATATTAATTTAAATAATATTATTATATACATTTATGTGGCTAGTAATTTTGCTATCTGTTGATTTGTTCTGTACAGTTTACCTCCCTGAGAGAAAATCTATTTGTTAATAAGTGATTTTATTTTTTTGCCAAGAATACAAATTTAATTTGCTCTTAGAAATCAGGGAGATTAATAAAATAACCCTAAAGAGTTGAAGTTAGTTAGAATAAAAATGTATACAGTATTTTAAAACCATGTTGAGAACATATAGAATGCAATAAACTTTATCCAGTAGAAAAAATAATTACTTGATTAATTTTACTTTCTTTGAGATAGGGTCTCACTCTGTTACTCAGGCTGGAGTGCAGTGGCATAACCACCACTCACTGCAGCCCTGATCTCCCAGGCTCAAACAATTTCCACCTCAGCCTCCCAAGTAGCTGGGACTACTGGCATGAGCCACTGCACCTGGCCTAATTTTAGTTTTTATTTTAAAAATGAAATTTCTGTAAGACCCTGAAACCAGATAATAGCCTTTTTAAAATTTATATGTTAATTTTCTGAATCTCATAATGCAAAGTGGCTTTCCGTGGGTCTCCTTCAAACTCAAGTACAGCACATCTACATACATTTTAACGAACTATTGTCTGTGATATTGCCATCAAATCGCATTCTTCTTTTTTCTTTTTTTTTGTCACCAGCATTCTACTTTATTGCAGCTCACTAAAAAAAAAATTGTAGCCCTTTACGTCTGTTTAATCATAGTTAGTAAAATTATATCCACTCGACATATTATTTTGAATCATTAATATGCTCAGCATCTCTAGCTAAGGCAAATCAGAAGAGAAAAAGAGAACGTTGGGTGAGAATCTGGTTTGTCATTCCCCATGTATGGTGGTTGAAAGATAGCCACAAGTTCTTTGATAACTCCCCAATTCAAAGATTGGGTCCAATTCCCCTTACCTTGTATTTGGACTAGCCTTAAAGACTTATGTGAACAACAACAACAAAAATGCAGCCAAAGTAACGTTCTGGAACTTCCAAGAATATTTCACAATAATTATTACAGCTTTTGCCCAGGACTCTTAGAATATTTTCTTTGGGATCCCTGATCCATCAGGAAAAAAATCTGACTACCTGAGACCACTGTGATAAAGTGTGCACATGAAGTGCTCTTGTTGACAGTCCCTGCTGTGCCTAGGCTACTAGCCATACCCACCAAAGTGACAGACATAAGTGAAACCATCTTATAGATTCCAAACGAGTCATTTTCCAGTTGAAAACCATCAAGAGATATCTGTTGATGCCACATGAAACAAAATAATCACTCAACTGAGGCCTGTCCAAAATTCTTGACCCCAAAATTTATAAGAAAAAGTAAAATGACTGTTTTAAGCCACTAAATTTTGGGGTAGTTTGTTAATTAGCAACAGATTAATGAAGTTACATGTTTTTTATATGCCATCCCCTCCTTTTCTTTTCTTTTGTTTAATGGAAGCAATGTGAGCATTTTCTAGCACTACACAGAGCACTTCACGTGAAGCTAGAAATTCATCCTACATACTTGGCTGAATCTTTGCTCAAATACAATTCAGTATATATTCATAGAATTGCATATGACAGATAATATTTCATAATGGTTCCCTTATTCTCATGCCAGTGGTTTTGTGGTGCTGAATTACTATAAATGAATTAGGATTTTAGCAGCATTTTGAAATGTAGAATTATACATTTTTCCATTATGATTATCTTAATTAGATGGAGAATTAAGCCAAGGAAGAATGCAAAGGCTGAAACCTAATATTTTGAAATATGATTATGTTGAAATCAAAAATTCAATTTTCCCTTTTTATATTAAAACACTCTGAAGTGGCCTTAATATAACACACAAAGGGCTTTTCTATTTTATTTTACATTTACCAAGAATGAGATCACTTCTACTATCTAAAATAGAAACTGTACTCTCAAGCACTTGAGGTCTTTGCTCTCCATGATCTTAGAAGCATATAATAAAGATAGTAATAGTGTATGAGTAATTCTCAACATTTCTCAGCTAATGAAAATATTTTATCTTAAAATATATTTTAAAATAAATATACCTACTTCTAAGTATCAAAAGTTAATTTAACTACCTTAACCAGTTTTGTCATACTAATGTACAAAAAAATCAAAAAAGTTTTTTATCTGTGCAGAATGATTTTTAAATTAAATATCTTTATCAACTTATACCATTCTTGAAGTCTAATTGTAATCTATGACATTAATATTTACTCAATCACTTTGAAATTTATTGTGTTTTCTGGCAGTGACCTCAAAGAGAGGTAGTATGGCTTAGTGGAAAGTATGTATTAGGCATCAAAGTGCAATAGACGATGGTCTACATAGCTCCTGGGCCAATTAATGGCTTTGGGCAATGTTTCCCTCATCTTTAAAATGGACATGATAATATCTTCTTGCAAATTAATCATGAGGATGAAGTTAAATAATCTAAGTAACACGCATAACAGTTCCTGGCACAATACTGAATAAATAACAGCTATTATTATGAATAATAGTACTTCTCTTAAAACTAATTACCACAGTTTGTTTTGAATTACTCCCTAATCTAGGGAAATATACAGTTGTTACAAAAGAAAACCCCAATCTGTTTTAGATTTCATATTTTATCAAGTATTATGTATTTTACATTAAAAAATTCTCCTAAACAATTATTCTAAAATATTTTACATATATGATCAAGTTTCATACGTACATTGATTTATTTCTCATGAAGTTTCCTTCCAATGTATTATCAGACACCAAAATAAGAGTACTATTGTACTATTGTTATTTACAATATGTCATTGCACATCACCGTACTTTTGCTAACTCTTTTTTTTTTTTGAGATGGAGTTTCACTCTGGTCTCACAGGCTGGAGTGCAATGACACAATCTTGGCTCACTGCAACCTCCACCTCCTGGGTTCAAGCAATTCTCCTGCTTCAGCCTCCCGAGTAGATGGGACTACAGTTGTGTGCCACCACACCCAGCTATTTTTTGTATTTTTAGTAGAGACAGGGTTTCATTATGTTGGCCAACCTGGTCTCGAATTCTTGACCTCAGGTGATCCGTCTGCCTCAGCCTCCCAAAGTGCTAGCATTGCAGGCATGAGCCACCATGCCTGGCCTACTAACTCTTAAAAAACTCCATTGAGTATCCAAATAATTTGTCCACCGGAAACATATATATAAGATGCAAAAGAACAAAAGCCTGTTTGGGGTGGGAATGGGGCGAGGTAGGTAGTGCTGCTGGAGGACATGTATTAAATAAAATGAAACAAAAAGGCAAAAAGCAATTGAAAAGTCTGAAAAATCTTGCATCCAAAGGACCATTTGGCCCCACTAAAATAATTTGTTATCAGCAAAGATAAAATAGAATAAGTTAAAAGTATAGAAGTGAAAAATACCACTCAAGAAAATATTATCTGAGATTACAGATAAGAAAATGAACAGATGTCCTTTTTATTAAAATTCCAAGTTGCTAACAATGGCATATGTACGTCTGACTGACATGTTTGAAATGCCATAAAGGGATTCTTTTGTATATCGGTAATATTTTTCCAATGCCTTTAAAAATGGTATTTATGTACATGTAAGGTATATTCTGAAAATTATAATTATGGGTATTGTTAATTAAAACCAGTGTGCTGTTAAAACAAAATAAGAATATTTTTGGGCAGCCTATCTATTTTGGGGCCTTAGAGATCACAGTTGTGAATAAATCCCTTCAAGTCACTATTCGATTTACACAAGATACAAATTATTATGTCAGAGATGAGATATATTTCATTTGTAATCCCTCTCTAATAGAACTTATAACAAAGTAGAGGACGTTGCTTGTTTTGATTGAAAATGGCATTTGATGTACAATAGAACCGGTACAAATAATTCATTCCTAAACAATGCTGGCATACTCACTGGAATAACAGCGTGATTATTGTTTAATTTTACATTATCTAGGATACCATCTCTAAAATAATGCAATAGCCTACATTTTTCTGAAGTTATTAGCAAAAAATAGTTTTGCCTATGAATTATCCAATAAATTAAGCTTTTTCCTTTAAAATACAACTTTTTTCTAAAATGTATAAAATACTTAAACCCTTTCTTATAGTCACATCATGTACGTTTATCTTATTTTTGATGATAGAGTTAGCAGTGCCACTATTCTATTGGCCTGCATTCTGCTATATAAAGGACTATTGAAACCTGTAGTTATTTGTCCACACAATCAATGACTCCACCTGCTATGTTTTGAAATTCCTTAGTCCTGTTAGAGTACTCATTATTTTCTCTCTTTCATTGTAACTTTTTACTTCTCATAGACATATACCTAGCAGTAAGAAATCTGATCACCCTTTAATGTACTTCTTTCATTTAGAAATACGAGATAAAAACATAGGATCAAGCTTATAAAGACTTGCTGTAAGCCAAGAACAAAGAGACTTTCAATGACAAAGAGATGTCTCCGTAAGAACTGGCACCAATAATGGTACAGATTACTACGTTGATTTAGTTCTATAGTTCTGCCTACGTTAGTCAAATTGACAAAACATATTTCTAGAAATAATATGTTTACAGAAAGTTCTGCAGTTGCTGGGCCCAATTTCATTAATTTTAGGACATTCCATCAGTGATGCATTCAGCTATGTGTTTACTCTTTCTCTCTACCTGGAGTTTCTCTTCAGAATGGCAATTCTCTTCCCTCATACTTTTGCTGGAGAGATCATCCAGGGTGAAAGATAAGAGAAGAAACCCAAATGAGACAGACTATATTTCATTTATTCTTACTAAAATATATTTAAATTTCAGCCATGTCTCCTTGGGAGGACTTCTGACTGGATTCACATTACATAGTCAATTATTTGCATTATTACTGCCATTATTGTTTTTGAATTGTCATTATTCCTATACTAGTGAGCTAATCACTGTCATTGAGTGTGAATTTTACTAACATAACTCTCAGAGGACAACCCGATTTCAAAGTCCTCAAGAGTATTTCACGGTTTTCCTAGTGTAGAGACAACAAAACTGTTTTACTTTTACAGACATTAAAAAAACTATATTAAATTTTAAAAAGAGAGATAAGTCTATACCCGTCAGATAACTCTTGATTGATGAAAATTCACTTAAAATTGGTAGAAACTTGCATAATACCTGGAGTTTCAAAAATATAATTCAGAATGCCATTGCAAGAAAAACGTGGTGTGTTTTCTATATTTTTGTTTAGTTACACCTCATTGTAAATTTAAAAAACACAATTTTTAAAATTATAATTCTGCAAACTAGAATATTTTCCCTTCCATTTTGTTAATCACAGAAGATCTTTCTTAGAGACTCTCCAGATTACATTATATAGCATCAATTATACCATGAGCTTCTTGAGGACAATAATTATATCTTTTCAAGTCTGCAGTCTTAATTTCATGAGTGAATGAATGTCAATAGTTTAAGATCTTATAAAACATTTTCTTACTCTGAATAAATTGGCATATAAGTTATAAGGTAAGAACTTGTGGTTTTGCAAGATTCAAATACCAAAACAAACTGAATATTTTTAAAATATGCTTAGTCATGAATGCTTAGTATTTTCTTACAACTTTCTATACCCCTATATTTTTATTTCTCTTTTGGATTGTGTATTTTGAAGTATTGTTATTATAAAATGCCCAAAATTAATTTTAATAAATGTTAAGATATCATCAACTAATATGACTTTCTATAACTTTCTCAATAATCTCTTAAAACTGAAATGGCAAGATACCACATGTGCACTCTTTTGCTGTGGTAAAGACATACATGTTATCAAATTTTACAGGTAGGCCAACACTCAGGTAGTAAACTATAGACCTGAACAATAAAAAACTAAAAATAAAACTGATAAATTAGTATAAAACAAGAAACAAATAATGAGCTACTTTGATTTATGGTATTCATTTCCATTTCACATAAGCAATCTATCTTAATACATACTACAAACCTTGCATCTGCTTTATTAAGTAGTACATTTCACATTCAGCCATTCTAAAAGAGAAAGATAGTATTTGGGTGATGGAGCAGATCATTTCTGTTTATCAGAAGGAAAAATTTAAGCAAATCTTAAAGGGGCAAATTTTTATAGTACTATTTGCTCTGTATTATTGACCTAAGTACTGTAATCACCATTGATATAGTAGACGTCATTAAATCATATTTTGTAAATTTAGAGATATTCCATTACAGATTGATTTCTCTATGTATACGTATGTATGAATATGCTTCCTGAGGAAACCTGTTTAATTAAATCCCATTAATAGAATATCCTTTTTCTGCATTGTACACGCATTTATGTAAATATATACAAAATTATCTTCTAGTCTGAAGGCGCTATAGTTCAGTGAATAGCATCATGCTGATTACATCCAATGAGCTTTTTAAAAGCAGATTTTGTTTCTTTAAAAAAAAAAATAGAATAGGTCTCTGCCATTCTTACCATGAATGCCATTTTGCTAAGCAAAAAGATTATCAGAGCAATCTGAATTTATCTGTGTAGCAAATACATTTTAGTACTTAGTATCATTTGTTACAAAATTATAATGAAGGTAAGAGAGGGAATTTACTCCATTTTCCTTTTTTTCTTTATAGAAACTAAAGCTCAAATAAGACTAGGTTATTTGGCTAATTTACATAGCTAATCCATAGCAAAAAGAAGGCAAAGCCCAGAACTCTAAAATTTAGTCTTAACTTCTTTCCACATATCAAGAGGTACTTGTACTTACAATGGGAAAGGTGATTAAGAAACTTACTTAATCACCTTTCCCATTATAAGATTTAGGCCTGCAGTAACAAAATTCAATTCATGGTAAATATGTAAAAACAGAAATTTTAATGGTTTTATTTCAAATACTTGATTCTCACTTATGAATTGGAAAGCAACTCATGGTGGATTTGAAGGATTGCTTCTTAATTCAGGTCATTCTGACTCCATGCAAAGATTTAATATCATCTATTCTGTTTTTTTTTTAATTTAGGAGATTCATAAGATAATTAGAAAATTTTACTTCCTAAAAAATTAACTAAATTCCATTTTCATCTTCAAATTTCCTCTTTAAGGTATGAAGTACTATACTAATAATTTCTGAGTTGATCCAGAAAGTTGTCTATCCACATTAACATTATTGACACCAACCTGTTGGACACACACACACACACAGCAGTTTCTAGAATAATGTTATTTCATTCAATACCGTTTGCTAAAAATATTGATGAGAAGAAGACATGATTTCCAGCCAGGGCCGTGATTTGTATGGAATTTGCATGTTCTCTCCAGGTGAACTGGCACATCTAAATGGTCCTAGTCTGAGAGCGAGCGAGCGAGAGAGAGCGTGTGTGTGTGTGTGTGTGTATGCACACGACAACGTGTGAATGTGCCCTACGATGGAATGGCATCCTGTCCAGAGTTGGTTCCCACCTTGTGCCGAGCTACCTGGATAGGATCAGGCCATGCGAGACCCTAAACTGTAATAAGCAGGTAAATTATTGTTTTTACTAATCATTCTAAAACATATGTATAGCTCATATTTATTTTAATGTTTAATATTAGAAGTGATTTAAGTGCTTGAATCTTTAAAAAATGCAGTGATGTGTTTGTGAGCAGAAATATGCCATAGGAACTGTATTCTTGTTTATATCAATTAACCTTTGGTAAAATTGGTTTCCTAATATGTTGTTTCACTTAAGACGGCAGTTTCCAAGAATCTACCAACGATGATAAATGAGGTATTACTGTACTTCGTTGGTAATATATGCACTTTGTTCCTATTTACTTTGTATCTATTATTAGAAAAACATATAACTCTGGCAACAATAACAAAAACAGGCTAAAATAAAATTATATGCCTAATAATAATAATTATAATTAGACTACTTAATATCTTGTTTTAATGATAAATTCTCAGAGATGGGACATATACTGAGAGTATACTATTTCTATTGGAGCTATGTCCACTTTATTCCAGTGGTTCTCAACAAAGGGTAAACTTACTCTCCAAATGGTGACATTCTCAAGGTCAACAGACACTTTTGATGATCAGAACTGGCTAGTTACTACTACATGTAGCGGGGAGAAACTAGAGACACTGCTAAGCGTTCTGTAATATATATAGCATGACCTTAAATGTCAATAGTGCAGAGACCGAAAAACTCTGCCTTTCAAACAGCTCTCTTATTTTGAGCTGGATTCACACAGCCTCAATAATTAGACATGCCTGATTCAGAGTCATGGCATGATTTCCTAGCTAAACCACTACATCTAACTATATGAAGGGTTGTTCACTGGGAAAATAAGCCAACAGCATCTCCCTGGGCACAAATACTGTCATTCTGATGCATGAATGTACATAATTTTTCCTTTAGCATTCAATTCAGCATTAGCATTGTGAGATCTCGCACCGACTTAGCAAAACTCAAAAATTTAAACAAGTTTTTCGTTGATTTTAACCTGCGGAATTTAATTTTGAGTTTCTATGGCATTTGAAACCAAATATAAAATTATAACAATAAGAGTATCCATTAAATTTTTTTTGTCTCTTACTTCTGATTTACTTTATCAATGAACATTAAAAAGTAGCCATCTGGACTGAGAAAGAAAATAATAACATTTCTCATTTTTAAAAGAATTCGGTAATAACCATAAGCACAAAGAAATAAAATTCATCAGATTTTTTTCTCCTATTGCTTCAGCCTAGGGACACAGTGATAGGCTGACAAATCTGAATAGGAACATAAACTTTGATTGTAATTTAATTAAAAAAAATTATTTTACTTTTTACTCCAGTTCATTAATATTTTTAATTCATGCACTTGCCAAAAGCATGATGCTCTCTTTCAGTCAAAAACACATTGAACCCGCAGGGAAGAAATACTACCCCACGAGTAAAGGTTCCTTCCTCAGCTTGTCAAGAAAGTCATTCCAAACTCAAACAATGGCAGACGGCAGATCTTGCTATATAACACATCTATTCTATGATACACTGCCATTCTTGAACGTACATGTATCCTTCAGAAACTACAATGGATTATAATACAAATTAGGCTGACAAAAGTTCTCTTAGTTTATCCATTGGTCTCAGAATAATGCAGATTTTCTTGCTTCATCTGAGCACTTAAAACTCAATAATATGCCAGACCTACCTAAGAAATGCCTTAAAAGTAGTTTATTATCTAGCATAGCTTTCAAAAAGAGAAAAAACTATTTTATGGTATTTGTTTTTAATAGGTTATGTTATTGCTATAGTGACAGAAAGAACTGAAAAGACCTACTGTATGTATCCTTGTATAAGAAATACACAAAACATTAATGAAAAAACTCATTTGCTAAATCAGTCGCTAATCTTGTCCAGTTTAACTTTCTGTAATCCCTGACAAACAATCCTAATATTCATCACTCATCAAGTCATGCACAAACTTTTAAATAAAATAATTGTATATGGGCAAGATTATTCTACTTGGCAAATGGCCTATTGCACTGATATCCACCTTTGGTTTTTTAGAAATGAAATAATCACAGTCTTGCAGCTTATTTCTGCCAGAAAACTTCAGACAGAAAATGTGTATTAATACAATACTCTATGTCTGCCTAAGAATAAGCTTAAAGACACAAATTCTCCTTCTATATTGTTGAAATAAAACAGAATCATAGACCAAGAAAATTAGAATGGGGAAAGGGAATATTTCTAATGAGTTAGGAATGATTAAGTAAGATGCATCAAAAATGTCACTCGTCCTCTTAGATATCTAGACTCTATGCTATGCATTATGGAGGACAGCAAGAAATGTGAGCCATAATTTTGTCCTTGATTACAATTAATGGAGAAGAAAGGAATTATAAATATTTAGAAAAATATTATAACAACAGATTATGCCAAGTGCAAACTATAGGGTTCAAAGCATAAATGAATATTATCCAAGACTATGAGAGATTTTTGACATTTTGAGACATTATGCAAGAAGCAAAATTGAGCTGGTCCTTGAAAGGATGGGTCGATTTAGAAAAATAAATGCAGAGCTTCATAAATCACCGTTTCAAGAGATGAGGACATTATATAAACTATTCCATTCATGCTTTTATTACAGGGACAGTGGGAGGAAAGAGAACAGAATATTGGTAGAACTAATCTTCAGCATGATGTTGGCAGATCTCAATAAAATTATGGCCACTTGTCTCCAATGTTACAATTCAGGGCTTTGGAGAGTCTTATTTTATAGGCTTCCTCATTAATCATGGGATGTCTTTCTCCAAACTTATGTTTCTACAGTGTAAGTGTGAGATGCTCTCAAAAGAACTTCCAGGAAGGTAGGTTACCCTCCTTACTTGTAGACACCAGCAAGCTGGTTTTTATCTCCAAAGTAGAATGTCTTGGACCCAGTGTAGCTTATGCAGATATATAAATGGCACAATGACCCCAGTACATCTTTTACAAGATGTTGTTCACTTGCGCAAAAAAAAAAAAAAAAAAAAATTTGAATACAAGGGACACTGATTTCCTTCACTAAAGCTTCCTGTATTTAAAGCTGAAATGAAGTTGCACTTTTTACTCTTAATTGATTTATATGCTACTTTTACCATGGGGCTATAGCACATGTTGTCTTGTAACTGTTTTTCAGAGAAGGGTCATTAGGTTGATATATTTTTGTACAGCAACAGGAATGACTGCTCTGCTAAATCACTAAAAATTAAGACAAAGACAAACTGAAATCTGCAAGGATTGACTTGGCTTCTGTCCATAGCCATATCATTCTTGGCAAATGTGAAACCATTTTAAAAGTTTTTATTATTGGCATGGAACATATTTTGGCATACACATATACAAAATGAACATTATAATGACAATAAGAATACCACCTTGTTAGTTTAAATCAGTAAGAATATTGATTACTCAGTAATGTAATTCAGACTATTAGCTAGGTTTTGCCAAAAGTAAAGTAACCCTGTATTTCTTTAGCATATCTTGCAGAAAATTCAGATTCATCTAAAGGAAACAAATAAATAAAAAACATTCTAACAATGAAAAGAGAAAATACAGTGAGTACTGAAGAGTGGTGGAGCTGATCATACTGATAGCTGTGAGTTCTCTGCTGATGGTGGGAGGTGGGTGGCAGAGCCCATGGAGGTGAAAGATCTAAAAGTTCAAGGCAGCAATGTTCCTTCTGAGTTTGAGAAATATCATTTAGCAGGGTAGATGCTCAATATTCCTTTCCTTCCTTTATCCTGATATGAAAAATGGAGATGTTGTGGTAAATAGGGGGGTAAATTGGGCATGGAGGAAGAATTAAAATATTTAGTATATTATGTTTTTTATTGTTGGCTTATGTTCATGACTATTGTGTTTCTTTTTTCAGCTTTTAGGGGAAGAAGAAAGTACCAGCAATAATTCATTTCTTACAGAATTTAGCTGTGGTTTCGTAGAGAAGAAATTAGAAGACCTGGGTTTATGCTGGATCCTCGTCCAAATAACTTTGTGACTTTGGGCAAATTACTTTATGTCACTGGACTTCACATTTTCTGTATGTAAAGCAAGATGTTTTGATTACATTCTTCCACTGGTATGCGTACAATTATGGTACTGCAATTTATGACTTTCTGTTCCTACTATATTGCGGGCAATTTGAAGGAAGACAATACATTTTTCAACTCTAAATTCTCAAGGCTTGACACTGGTTGGCATACAGTTAATGCTCTGTAAATGTTTGTTGAATTGACTTATGTTGATTATCTTACTTCCAAGTCCTTGCAGAAATGACGTGTTATAAATAACCTCTCTATCATTTCATAACATTAGTGATAGAAAGCCGTATTAGTGCCTTGGTGGGAGCCAAGAAATAAAAAAATAAAAAATATATTTTCTACAACAAAAAAAATTAAGATGGACAGTTTTACTTGATTTCTGAAATCAGAGAACAAACACCTGTTCCAGTAAAACTGAAAAGACAAAATATACATTAACTAAATCTGTGGAAACCCTCAACTTCAAATAGAATCTAGATAGAGATACTTCATCTGGATGGAGAAAATAATACATCGCAGTATTAAGAGAATGTATTTGTTCCTAACAATGAGCTCTTTCACTTCAATATTAAAATCCTATTTCAAAGAGAGGTTAATCAAAGCTGAAGACTATTGTGTATTGCGATTTTCACAGAATATATAATTCTAACACGGACCCCTTTAATAATCAAACTGTTGCTAAGAAGCTTCTTTTGTTATTATTATTATTATTATACTTTAAGTTTTAGGGTACATGTGCACAATGTGCAGGTTAGTTACGTATGTATACATGTGCCATGCTGGTGCGCTGCACCCATTAACTCATCATCTAGCATTAGGTATATGTCCTAAAGCTATCCCTCCCCTCTCCCCCCACCCCACAACAGTCCCCAGAGTGTGATGTCCCCCTTCCTGTGTCCATGTGATCTCATTGTTCAGTTCCCACCTATGAGTGAGAATATGCGGTGTTTGGTTTTTTGTTCTTGCGATAGTTTACTGAGAATGATTATTTCCAATTTCCTCCAAGTCCCTACAAAGGACATGAACTCATCATTTTTTATGGCTGCATAGTATTCCATGGTGTATATGTGCCACATTTTTTTAATTCAGTCTATCATTGTTGGACATTTGGGTTGGTTTCAAGTCTTTGCTATTGTGAATAGTGCTGTAATAAACATACGTGTGCATGTGTCTTTATAGCAGCATGATTTATAGTCCTTTGGGTATATACCCAGTAATGGGATGGCTGGGTCAAATGGTATTTCTAGTTCTAGATCCCTGAGGAATCGCCACACTGACTTCCACAAGGGTTGAACTAGTTTACAGTCCCACCAACAGTGTAAAAGTGTTCCTATTTCTCCACATCCTCTCCAGCACCTGTTGTTTCCTGACTTTTTAATGATTGCCGTTCTAACTGGTGTGAGATTGTATCTCATTGTGGTTTTGATTTGCATTTCTCTGATGGCCAGTGATGGTGAGCATTTTTTCATGTGTTTTTTGGCTGCATAAATGTCTTCTTTAGAGAAGTGTCTGTTCATGTCCTTTGCCCACTTTTTGATGGGGTTGTTTTTTTCTTGTAAATTTGTTTGAGTTCCTTGTAGATTCTGGATATTAGCCCTTTGTCAGATGAGTAGGTTGCAAAAATTTTCTCCCATTTTGTAGGTTGCCTGTTCACTTTGATGGTAGTTTCTTTTGCTGTGCAGAAGCTCTTTAGTTTAATGAGATCCCATTTGTCAATTTTGGCTTTTGTTGCCATTGCTTTTGGTGTTTTAGACATGAAGTCCTTGCCCATGCCTATGTCCTGAATGGTAATGCCTAGGATGTCTTCTAGGATTTTTATGGTTTTAGATCTAATGTTGAAGTCTTTAATCCATCTTGAATTGATTTTTGTATAAGGTGTAAGGAAGGGAACCAGTTTCAGCTTTCTCCATATGGCTAGCCAGTTTTCCCAGCACCATTTATTAAATAGGGAATCCTTTCCCCATTGCTTGTTTTTGTCAGGTTTGTCAAAGATCAGATAGTTGTAGATATGCGGCGTTATTTCTGAGGGCTCTGTTCTGTTCCATTGATCTATATCTCTGTTTTGGTACCAGTACCATGCTGTTTTGCTTACTATAGCCTTGTAGTATAGTTTGAAGTCAGGTAGCGTGATGCCTCCAGCTTTGTTCTTTTCACTTAGGATTGACTTGGTAATGCGGGCTCTTTTTTGGTTCCATATGAACTTTAAAGTAGTTTTTTCCAATTCTGTGAAGAAAGTCATTGGTAGCTTGATGGGGATGGTATTGAATCTATAAATTACCTTGGGCAGTATGGCCATTTTCATGATATTGAGCTAAGAAGCTTTTTAATGAAGTCATCTTTCAATGTAAGCATATATAAAACTCACTCATTTTGTTTACATTACTTTTGTGGTCATTTCAACCAGTGTTTAACAAGTTAGTTTTGAAAACAGCAGACATGGAAGGAATGATTCAAAACAAAGATGTCTTATGATTTCAGGGGAATATTTTATTACAAATATGGAACACTTAACCCATGAACTTAGCTCCACAAGTCTTTGACAATTTAGGGAATAATGGGAATACCAAGCCAGATTTCTGTGCAGTGGATGGAAGGAATTAATCTTAGCAAGGTAAACCCTTGTTTTTGATTTCTCAGACCCTCCATTTATAAAAATAATATGGGAACATACAAACCACTTGATACTTTTATCTGTAAAACACTTAGGGCAAAAAATATATATTATTATAGGAATCAAAAAATTAAAAATAAAATTAGCATTGGAAAGACTTGAAATAAAAAAATCCATTTTGTCTTTGTAAATCTAAGTATAAATTCAAATCATCCTCAGCTTTCCAAAAAATACCCTCACAAAATTTCCTTACCTACTGGGGTGAAATAGGCATTGCTGTTAAACGATGCTAACTAAACGAATTCTGCTCTTTTCAGAAAATAGTATATATTTTACAAATATCCTTCTTTAGTTTATCAAGAAATAGACACAAATACAACAAATACTTGAGTTATACATTGGCTTTCTTTAAAGAAAGTACATGAAAATATTTTCTTTTATAAGAGGAGATGGCATTGAAAACATGAGTATGAAAATAGCAACATTAAAGAAAAATTCTATCATGCTAGCAGGAGTTTCATGTTCATCTCTATATGAAATTGTATGCATTGAAGTAAAAAATAAACACTGACGGCTGCAGAAGCCCATCTAGAGTGGCCGCTGTGAGGATGCCAGCTGCAGCAGGGGAGGTGCAGCTGGGGCTGTGTGCTCCATGGAACTGATGGGGGAGGGGAACAGGTGATCCCAGTGGGAGCCCTGCGCCCAACTAAATAGTGAGGTGGGAGCTCCTGCTCCCAGGCACAGCTGCAGCTGCCCAGCCACGGCTCCAGACCCAGGCATCCCTGTGCTCTCAGAGACCCAGGAAGCCCCCTTCCCCTGCAGGCTCAGAAGTGCCTCTGCACCCACTCCCTGGCCTCTCCCTGCTCCAAGCACCTGCTCTGTGGTGGAGCAAAGTTGTGGACATGTCCCAATAGCTAAGCCCAGGTGCTGTTGTGACCTGGTCAGGTGTGCCTGTACTTGGGGGCAGCACTGACATGCTGGTCCCCTGCTGTCTTGGCCCCCTCTGGAAACTGCTTCTGAGGCTAAAACTTTGGGTGCCAACAAGCACAGGAGGGAGGCTGGGTGTCTGAGATTGGCTTGGCACGTGCCTGGTGTTGACCCTCGGCAAAGACAGCCTGGACACCATGGAGGGCACATTAATGGCAGCCGGAGGCAGACAGGTTCCTAAGTGGGAAGCTGTGGGTCCCTGGTGAAACCCACCTTCAAGCCAGGGATGACCTGAAGCCTGGGGGCCAGGATGCCAGTTTTGGGTGGAGTCAGTGACCTGGAGTCAGAACTTCCTTGATGTCTTATGGCCAGTTGAATGGTGCTTTTTCCAGGCCTGTCCATGGCCACTCACTGACAAAACAGCATGCACTTCTGCCATTCTGAGCCCATAACATCTCCAGACTCAGCCAGATCCAGAGACTTGTGAGGATGACCTGCCTGCAGATAGGAGCTACCCACTTCAGGTAACCTCTCTGCTGAGAGCTGTGCTGTCACTTAATAAAGCTCCTCTCCACCATGTTCAACCTCCAGTTGTCCACATAACCTCATTCTTCTTGGACATGGGACAAGAACTCAAGATCCACCAAACAGTGGGAGTGAAAAAAGCCATAATATATTTCTGGCCAGCTTGCTAAGTCATGGGCAGTGACATGCTCCTGGACCACAGGATTGAAGAGTGGTGAACCTTCTGGGGGCTCAGACCTCTGGATTCCCCAAGCCAGAGCTGCTTTAACGTCATAGCCCTCCTGCCCTCTGCTGGTACCAGGCAGCTTCCCCAAACAGGAAGCAGCAGCGAGGCAAGCCAGCCCAGGATTTGCAGGCCAGAACAAGGTGGCAGGACTGAAAGAGTTGTAACACAAACGGTCTGAAACACACCTGCTCTGCAACATCCCCCTCACAGCTCGCTATGCTGCGGCGGTGAGGGGAGAAGGGCTGTAAACCTTCTGGGATCCCCGACCTCAGGGCTCCCCATGTCAGGGCTGTGTCATTCGGTAACACCCTCTTTGGGGTTCTGCGGTTTCTGGCATCTCTACGCTTTCAGGCGCACTGCATTCCCCTCATCCGGACATTGGTCCTACAGTAGAAGCCTCTTGCAGTACACCTGGTCCAGTCTCAGTCTCTCATGGTGCTGCCACCTGTGCTAGTGCGTGGAGCTGCCAGCGCTGCTCAAGTAGCCAACATGACTAACTGTGTGCACTGGCAGGACCCCACGCTTGATTGTTTACACACCCTTGCCACTCCACACCTGGCTCACCCTTGGCAGGCATGGGATCTGTGTTGGTAGCACGAGCCAATCAAAGACTGCAAGGCTGAGTGGGTGAAACTAGCCCAGCAGGCATGAGCAAAACTCAAGCAGAGGTGCTGTTGACCCCAGATGTTTCCAGCTGGCAAAGTGACATCCTGCATCAACATCTTATAATCGTTTACTAGGTATAAAAAAGGGGTAGCAGTGAGCATTTTCATCCAAAGTAGATCTTCATAATTGGAAATAATTTACACTTATACTCTCACTTTATAGATGAGAAATCTCAGATACAGAGATTGCAAATTGTCAACAGTCACAGAAGAAGTCAGTATTAAAAGAGCCCTACAACTGAATCTCAAGGAACATAAAGAGTTTACTGGAGAAAAATATCATTTCCATAGCTATATATGTTCCAACCAAGAATATGTCACTAGGCGTTTTACATTCTTATTTACTTAAGGACATGAAGCCGAAAGTCAGAAGTTAGGACAGACTTAGAAAATACTGGCAGGGTAGTAAACATATATAGAATGACTGTGTGTTGCTTTGAGTTAGAAGTGATGGGAATAACCTGCCACCTCCATACGTGAATCTAAATCCCATGCAGGTGACTACTACTGAGAAAATCTGGCTTCATTTGCTGCATTGAGACAGTGCAAAAAATAAGAGTGTTCATAAACATACATACACAGGAGTTTAAATTGCAGTACTATTCACAATAGCAAAGATATGGAATCAACCTAAATGCCCATCAATGACAGGTTGGATAAATAAAATGCGATATATATACACCATGGAATACTATGCAACCAAAAAAAAGAATGATATCATGTCTTTTGTTGGAACATGGATGGAGTGGAGGATGTTATCCTTAGCAAACTAATGCACGGACATATACCCCATGTTCTCACTTCAAAGTGGGAGGTAAATGTTAAGAACTCATGGAAGCAAAGAGGGGAACAACACACTGGAGACTATTTGAGGGTGTAGGGTGGGAGGAGCAAGAAGGGTACAAAAAAAAATAACTGTTGGGTACGAGGCTTAGTACCTAGGTGATAAAATAATCTGTACAACAAACCTCTGTGACATGAGTTTATCTATATAACAAACCTGCATATGTACCCCTGAAACTAAAGTAAAAATTAAATAAAATACTAAAGTGTGGATAAACATCTTTTAA
Organism: Homo sapiens; assembly: GCF_000001405.40. Classification (NCBI taxonomy): domain Eukaryota; kingdom Metazoa; phylum Chordata; class Mammalia; order Primates; family Hominidae; genus Homo; species Homo sapiens. Next base: position 9,721,181 of record NC_000009.12, read on the forward strand.
AAAGAGTATAGAAAGTTGCAATAGAGGATCATGGAATATCTTCAAGACATCTCAGATTTTATCATTAAATTTAAAAATTATAAAATGTATGTTCATTCCCACCAAATATATTGCAAAATAATAAAATAGATCCCCTAAACTTTTCTCTTCTAAATTTGACAAGGGGACAAAAGAGTATAAGGACTATACTATTTTTAATGAGAGAGAGAAAATAGTCTTGCTCCTTTGTAGAAATAATTTATAAGAATATGCCACAATAAAGCCTGAAGTATGTGCCTCTATTCTATAGGGGGCACAGGTTCAAAACAAGATATTTGACCTATTTTCCACTATGAGAACAGGATTTTTTACTTTAATTCCTTAGACATGACAAGTTGATAGGAAAAGCCCGCATTTTGCTAAGATACAGTCATGATGCTACGGGAGTTAAATGAACAACTTTACTAAAGTCTTGGTCAATCTGACTTTAGTATTCTGGATTTATGATGTCATGTGTTTAAACTCTCCCTGATAAAATTATTAAAGAGATAGACCCTGAGGTCACATAAATTCTTACCCATATCTCACTTGTTTGTCATTCAGGTCATTTCTATGTTTGTTGGAAGGTGAATTAATCACATTAGTAATAAAAATTAACAGCACTGAATCATTTTAGTGCATTGAAATGTGGAATGAACAGTAATAATCAAAGAGTAGGAAAACAATAAAATCTGAGTTCTTACATAAGAATTTGAGTTGTGAATACCAGGCAAGGCTTTTGTACATATGATTTTTTAAATATTTTGGTTTATGCCTAGATTAAGGTATGTGTGAGTGTTAGAGAGTCTTATCTCCTTAAGTTTTAATATATCATATTTATCCCAGTTTCTTTTTTTTCTCCCTTTTTAAGGAATCACTTTATTAAGATATATTTTACACACCATAAAACTCTCCCTTTTAAAGTATACAATTCAGCAGTTTTTTTGTTAACTCACAAAGTTGTGTAACCATCACAACTACTTAATTTTAGAACATTTTTTAAATCCCCAAAAGAAATCCTATACTTATCAGCAGACAGCCTCTTCTTCTTCCTCAGCTCTTGGCAACCAAATCTATGGATTTCCCTATTCTGGATAATTCAGGTAAACATAATAATAAAATATGTGGTCTATTGTAACTGGCTTCTTTCAAATAGAATAATGTTTTCCAGATTCATTCATATTACAGCACGTAACAGTACTTCATTTCTTTTACTTTTGGAAAAATAGCATTGTAAAATCTATACCATATTTAAAAAATTTATTCATCAATTGATGGACATTGTGATTGTTTCTATTTTTTAGCTGTTATGAATAATGTTCCTCGGAATTTGGGGGCAAGTTTTTATATAGACATATATTTTCATTTTTCTTGTGTACATACCTAAGAGTAGAATTTCCAAGTCACGTAGTAATGCTGTGTTTAATCATTTGAAGAACTGCTAAACTACATCTGAAGTGTCTGCATCATTTTGCATTCCCACCAGCAATTGATAACAATTCCAATTCCTCCACATCCTTGACAACACTTAATATCTGACTTTTTGATTCTAGGCATCCTAGTGGGTGAGAAGCAGTACCTTGTGGTTTTGATTTGCCTTTCTTTGTTAACTAGTGATTTTCATATGCTTTTGACCATTTCTATACCTTTGGAGAGATTTCTATGCAAGTCATTTGCATTTTTTAAATTGGGTTGTCTTTTTATGTTTGAGTTGAGCTCTTTATATATTTTAGATGCTAATGTCTTATTGGATATATGATTTCACAACACTTTCTCCCATTCTTTGAATTATGTTTTCACATTTTTGATGGCATTATTTAAAGCACAGAAGACTTTAAGTTCAATGAAATTCAATTTATCTATTTTTCTTTGATGTTGTAGTTAAGAACCACTGTGTAACACAAGGTCACAAAGATTTACTCCTATGTTTTCTTCTAAGAATTTTATAGTTTTGCCTTTTATATTTAGGCCTGTGATCTATTTTGAGTTATATGTGGTTTGAGATAGGGATCTGACTTCATTCTTTTACATAAGACTATCCAGTTGTCTCAGCACCATTTGCTGGGAATAAAATATTACTTTCTCCATTGGGTTATCTTGGCACCTTTGTCAAAGATCAGTTAGCCATAAACTTATGGCTTTATTTCTGGACATTCAATTCTATTCCATTGATTTATTCGTTAGGCCAATTTTGTCTATGCTTGTAACAATGCCATACTTCATTGATTCTCATGGTTTTATAGTAAATTTTGAAATCAGAAACTATGAGTCCTCCTACTTTGTTCTTTTTTAAAGATTTGGCTATTCTGGGTCCTTGACAATGCCATGTGAATTTTAGAATCAGCTTGTTAGTTTCTACAAAGAAGTGAGCTGGGATTCCGATTGAGATTACATTGAGGTTGCAGATCAATTTGGGGAATACTGCCATCTTAACAATGTTAAGTCTTCCAATCCATGAATATATTTTTTCCATTCATGTAGATCTTTGGTTTTCCCCATTAATTGAAGTTTTCTGAATATCAGTTTTACACCTCTTTTGTTAAGTTTATTCTTAAGTATTTTACTTGATACTGTTTTGAATAGAAGTGTTTTCCTATTTTCATATTTGGGCTGTTCATTACGAATGTATAGAAATATCATTGGTTTGTAAAGTATTAATCTTGTATCCTGAAACCTTGCTGAACTCATTAGTTCTGATATATATTTAAGTAGATTCCTTAGGATTTTCTACATATACAATTATGTAATCTAGAGATAGAGATTCTTTCCAATGTGGATCCTTTTTATTTCTTTTTCTTTCTCAATTGCCCTGGCTAGAACCTCCAGTACAACGTTGAATAGAAGTGGCCACCACTTATCACTCCTGGCCAAAATTATTTATGTCTTCTTTTAATAAAAACATTAAGATGTTTTTTGTTATTGTTGTAGCTAAATTCATGTGATTGACTTCTAGTTTCAGTACAGTCTTTAGAAAATGTGAATTGTACATTTTTGGGGATCACCTTTAAAGTTGTCTCTGTTTCAATGTACCTGTTCTTTTTTAAAGGTTGCATCCAAAGTTTGAGATATATCTTTTATCTTAGGTCAATATTTGAAATAGTCATTCAAGGAAACATCACAGTTACAGATTAAATGCTTTTGAGGGTGTTTATCATCTCTCAAAGCTCAACTCAATAAACATAGTGTTCAAGTTGTGTGCTTAATAGGCCTTTGCCAGAGTTACGTCACTTGTACTTTCTTTCCCAGAATGGAAATAACCTGATGTACATATGAATATATATTGAGGTAGTAAGGCTTGGATAGCCTTACTCCCATAATTAAATCCTGTATAGAGCAGCCAACTATATTCAACTGTGAGGTCTTTACTCAATATTAACAGATCCTTAAGTGGATGAAAGAAGGTCACAGAATGCTTGGAAAGTATTTCTGATCCAGTTGAAGAAAGCATTAGATCAAAATGTGAAGGATGAAGGTGATAAAAATGATAGACAACACTTCTTGCCTGATATTGTTGTAAGCACTACAAAAGTTGCATGTAATATCTTTACAACTGCTCTTTAAGGTATCCCCATTTACAGTGGAGGAAATGGAGGTACACAGACATTAAATAACTCACCCAAGTTCATGCAGGTAACAAGTGATATAGCTGGGATTTGAGCCTAGGCAAACTAACTTCCAAACTGTCCTCTGATTACTAAGCTACAGTACAATGAAGATCAATGGCAGAGGAGTGGTCAGAACACTACCTGGCTTTGGGAGACTCGCAGAGTTTATTTGGTGTCCCTTCCTGCATTCCCTACTTTGTCACCCACATTATCAAGAGGGAAACAGGAAGATTTCAGACTGCATAAGTGGGGAGAGCTGGTAAAATATCTGGGGTAGGTTAGTCAGAGTGTCCTTAACACATCCTCTTTTGCTTCAAAGGTGATATGGTTTGGTTCTGTGTCCCCAATCAAATCTCATCTTGTAGCTCCTAAAATTCCCTCGTGTTCTGGGAAGGATCTGGTAAGAGATAACTGAATCATGGGGGCAAGTCTTTCCCATGCTGTTCCCATGATAGTGAATAAGTCTCATGAGATCTGACGGTATTAAAAATGGGAGTTTCCCTGCACAAGCTTTTTTTTTTTTTGCCTGCTGCCATCCATGTAAAAGACATAACTCACTCCTCCTTGCCTTCCACCATTATTGTAAGGCCTCCCCAGCTACGTGGAACCATAAGTCCATTAAACGTCTTTTTCTTCCTATTCTCAGCTTATGTCGTTATCAAGAGTGTGAAAATGGACTAAGAAAGGCTAAGAGAAAAGGCACTGAAGCTCTAACCACATAAGCACTTTATCTGAGCACTTCCTCTGTCTACATTCAGGGCTTGCTTAATAAGTTGGTTCTCCTTATCTCCATTCCATTTTTGTCTCATATTCTGGTTTCTTGAATTTCATTTCCAGATTGACATTATTTGTAATTATTCAACTACATGTTTGTAGAAAGAAACAAATGTGTATGTTTATTTTTCTTCAAGAAGAATAAACATTTGAGAAGTTTTCTGTGGTGACAAATATTTTTGTGAAAATTAGTGACAAATTATTATACTTTGGGGAACTGTAGGACATTTTTTCTTTACAAGAGAATTCTTCTTTCAAGATAGCCCTCACAACAAAACTTGGCTATGTCTCTAATCGTTGGATGTTTCATTCTCTCTCTGTCTTTCCCAGCAGTACGCATTGTTTAGGGAAGCAGATGACTTCAGGACAGTCATGTAAAAGACAAGACAAATCCCAACCAAGCCAGCGTTAGGGGTAATACAGTAACTACATGGCTATGAATGTTTGAAACAGTATTAATTTGATTTGTTAGAATTTAAGTAGAAAAATAAGAAATTTCTCATTGTTTTTTAAGGACAACTTGTACATCTATTAAACAGAACATTGACATTGCTATAATACCAAGAAAATGTTATCCCATAATTAATCTTCTATTAGGATCTGTCTCAGAACCTCCTCGGTTAACTCCATTCCATCCTACACCAAAAAAACTTCACTATCGGATATCCGCATAACACTGACATTGGCATGCACACATTCCAAGCATTTAACTGTCTTCCACATGTCCAAATCATACACCTTCCCAGGCTGTAAGGGGTATCTCAGAAGTAAGAAATGAAGATAAAGTGGGATTCCCATTCAGAGGTAGGTGGCCATAAGCAGGACAGTGTAAAATTATTTGTCTATACTCCATATTAGCATAACCTCATTCCCTTAAAGCCTGCCTAACAGCCCTACCACTTACCATTGTTCAGTGCTTTAGGAAGATGCTATGTTATTCTTTAAGCATGATTTTTTAAACCATTTTAGTTTAAATGTTAAACAGTTAAACTTATTGTGTAATATTTCATTTCAGGAATCTCAATCATCTTCCACTATTTCTCATTTGCAAAAATGGTAAGCCAATTCAGCATCAACTAGAAAATAGAAATAATATGTGAAAAGACATTTTCATATGTCTCAACATGTTTGTGGATAACTTTTCAAGGCTTACATCTTTCTTTGACATTAGAGTTTGTATAGCAAGAATGATACACAGGCTCAGGCAAAGTGGAAATATTCTCTTATTACAAATAAGGGAGGAGAATGAAAAATGGATAGGAGTGTCAGCTGAAAATTGTAGAATGTTCTGTATCAAGAACACATAATACTTGTTAAATAATAAGTACAGTGTTCTGAGTACCCAAGGTTTTGTTAAAAAGTATGTACAATAACAAACAGAGAATAATAAGCAGAGAGCTTTTGAAATTAGGGAAGAACTATAGGATAGTATTTATATTTTGGTGAACACCTGGAGAAGAGCTGCTTGATTTAGGACAGGAGGCAAGAAATCATACAGCAAATGTGTGCTTAATTAACCACAAAACGTTCTTTCAATGTATTAGCAATATGATAGATAATGTCAGACTTATTAGAATCACTATATAAATTATTCTTGGCCGGGCGTGGTGGCTCACACCTATAATTCTGGCATTCTGGGTGGCTGAGGCAGGTGAATTGTCCAGGAATTCAAGACCAGCTTGGGCAACATACTGAAACCCCATTTCTACTAAAAATACAAAAAGTTAGCCAGGCGTGATGGCACAAGCCTATAATCCCAGCTACTCAGAAGTTGAGGCAGGAGGATCACCTGAGCCTAGGATGTCAAGGGTGCAATGAGCCAAGATCGCACCACTGCACTCTAGCCTGGATAACCAGAGTGAGACCCTGTCTGAAAATTAAATTAAATGAAAATATCTTCATAAAAGCATTCATAAATATTTTATGTCAGATGAGAGGCTAAAATAAAAAAGTAGATAGTTTAACTTCCCACTAAGTGATCACTCTTCCATGTAGTCCAATTATTAACACTCTTAGTGTCAATTCCTTGGAGTGTTAACAAATGCATAAGTCCTATGCTACCCTGAGGGGCAATTATGAATATAATGTAATTTTTGCTTAATGCCAAAGAAACATGTTTAAACACTGGTAGTCCTTCTGAAATGAAACTTGCCGTCTTGTGAATGTTTAATGAATGCTATCCTGATGGTGAAATTAGGTGAAAAGCAAGCTGATACTCAGTGAATGAAAGCTATCGTAGGTATGTAACCTCTCAAGTTGGGTTGAACTCCACATGTAGGAATTCTGATTCTTACACATTGAATAAACTTTATAGAGGTAGATTTTAATGTCCTGATATGATTTGGCTGTGTTCTCAGTCAAATCCCATCTTGAATTGTAGCTCCCATAATTCCCATGTGTTGTGAGAGGGACCCATGGGGAGGCAATTGAATCATGGGGGCAGTTTCCCCCATACAGTTCTTGTGGTAGTGAATAAGTCTCATGCGATCTGACGGCTTTATAAGGGGTTTCCTCTTTTTGCTTGGCTCCCATTATCTCTTGCCTACCACCATGTAAGATGTGCCTTTCACCTTCTGCCATGATTGTGAGACTCCCCCAGCCACCTGGAACTGTGAGCCCATTAAACCTCTTTTTCGTTATAAATTACCCAGTCTCTGGTATGTCTTTATCTGCAGAGTGAAAACAAACTAATACATGTCCCATGAATATTTTAGAGGCTATTAGTGATTGACACAAAATACTTTATGAGTCATAATTTGTTGTGCCTCCTTCCTTAGTGATAAATTGAAATCCTTTTAATTCCAGGTAATTGTATACAATTATTTTTGATCTCTAGTCCTATGTGTGAAGAAAAGAAGTTTAACTAATTAGCTGTTGTAGAAATGAATGATGCTAGTTGGCATGTTGGTGGCATTTAAATTACTATGGATCCTAAAAAGTAAAAATGAAATAGCAGAGGGAGACTTCCACTCTAAAAGGTAAAAAGAGCCAAAGACATAGGAAGCAGGTGGTGATTCAGGTCATTCCAGAAACTAAGGCAAGAGTTGAACATAGTAAACTTTGGGCACCACATCAAAATAAAATTATCTAAGATACAGTGGCTCCTTTAATTTAGAAATTGTTGTTAGATGGTCTTTAATATGGATTGTTGCTTAATGACAGTTAAGATTAAAGAACTTCAACTATTATTAAAAGAATGCTGTCCATTTTCCTATTAGAAAGTAGACCATTTTGAGTGTAGATATGTATCTTGTAGATTTTTTCCTATTTCATGTTTTTTTAGTTTATCTAGTGACATTTGTTAAGTGATTCATAGTTGATTTTTATTAAAATTTGTAGTACTATTTATCCCAAGTCTTCTATTTTGGAGGCCTAAGTTGCCTGCTTTACCACACAAGTAAATGGTACTGCAGGTTATTTGGTAAAAGTCAGGAGAGAATTATTTCAAAGTCTAAAATAAAATTGTCAAAATATGTCTTTGGAAACGTGGCTCTAGATTTCAGAAATACCCAAACATAATAGCTCCCATTTCCGTTTGAGTAGTTTGGGCGGGCTTTATGCTGCTGTAACAAACAAAACAAAAATAAAATGCAACTCAGTTGCTTAAGAAAACAGAATTCATCTGTTGTTCAGATAAGTTAGCTGTGAAACTGGGAGTATCTTCACTGCAGCTGTCCTCCATCAGGTGACTCAGGGATTAGGAAGATTCAGTCTTGTGGCTCTACTGTCTCAAATGCATGCCTCCTCTACAATCTCCTTTGCAGAGGAAGAGAAAGACTGAAAATGCACATAGAGGATTTTTATCTCCTCTGCACAGAAGTGATATACTTTACTTCCATTTTCCCTTGGCCAAAAGTAATCCTATGACCACACCTAACTGCAAGGTGGAAGGAAAATATGATTTTCTATATGGTCAATAAAGAAAGAAACCCAGATATTAATGCACACCAATAGTATCACTCTCACCATCCTTATGATTTCTAATAACCTGCTATCCCAGCAAGCTAAAGGGAATAAAAGGCTTAAAGCAAATGCTCATAATTTTAAATAACTTTTTTAAAAATGATAAATAAAAGCACCTAATTATACAGGAAACATAAAATTAAGGTCCTTGAAGTTGGGGTCATGTCATATCCTTTTTATATTACCCAATCCCTATCAAATGGTTTGCAACAAAAAAAAAAATTGTGAGAGAACGAACATATTAGTAAATTCATGAGAGTATGATTCCTTCCTTTGGTCAGGGAACACATGATTTATGTTCATATCATGACATAAATTTACATCAGGATAGCATACTAGCAGTAATAACAACTTTAATAACTGTGTATAATGTTAAAATGTGCAAAGCATTATCATATACTATATGCTTAAAAAGTCAAAACTGTGAGATTGGTATATATGTTTGGTTTGTTCTCTACAATTTAAATACATAACATAACAACCTTGAAAACAGTAACATCATTTTAACACAAAACATTTAATTTTTGAGGGGAGAGTATCTTGTAGATAAAACATCAGAATATTTTTGGTACATATAAAAGAAATACACTTTTTAAACTCTCTAGATGGAAATAGCATTCAATTCTTGGAAAATACAATACTACATTTGAATTAATTTGTATTATTTGAAAGATATTGTATGACTAATGCTAAGCACATGAATTTAATTTGCAAGTTACCTATAATACTGTTAAAAAAAATTCAGGACGGCCAAACTTGCATAAAATTTGCATTAGAAAACTGAGAACACTAATGAGGAAATGAAACAGCCATTAATCATCATTGCGTGACTGCAGAAGGGTTAAGTGGGTTTCTATAGATTTTGCTTCACTTATTAATGACATGGTTTTACAGGTATAAAAGATATGTATACACAGATCCAAAATTGGGGCGTAGGCTGTGGCAATTTATTTCCCCTTGGATTTAAAGTAACTATCTCTGAATTTTTCTCAATAACTATATAAGTACAAAAGATAAAATCTTGTTTTAACTATCTATGTATAAACTTTCCTAAGAGCTCCAGATCAGGGTTACTACTCAAATATATGTAGAATTGGGTTTTATTAAAAACTTACTAGGATAATAGTATCTCAGTATATATAGTCTTTAGAGTCCAAAGGATAGACTGAAATCTCAGCATCTTGATTCATTAAGTATGAGACTGTAGATGAACTAATTAAGCTCTCTGACCATTAGTCTCATCTCTAAAGTGATATTAAAATGCCCTTTACAAAGTGAGACTGGAAGCATGAAATGAGAATACACAGATAAAGCACCTAGCATTGCACCTGACAAACGGTGAAAGCTTGAAAATTCAAATTCTCTTTGAGTGTACATCATTGTGCATATGTTATTATTTTGACCTCTTAAAAGGTCCAAAATCCAGGTGCAGAAAATAAAATACATGAATTGGAACAAATTGCCAGAACTACACACACAGATACAAAATTCAGTGATTCGTAAACATTAAACACATTACCTTATTTAAGTGAAAAAATGCTGCAATAAGATTTTCTGTAAATATTTTACCTGCTATGTAGGAAGTGTCAGTTCTTTACTTTGAAGTAAATTTTTACTGCTGGTATTTAGTTCCAGAGTAAATATTTTTTTTACTTGAGAATTATATCATAATTTAATGGAGTATTTTTAATGTATTTAATTTGGAATCTAAGTTTGCATATTATCATTTGTATTTCAATAGTACTCTGGTTTTAATTTTACATTTATTTTCATTTCTCTCAAATGGCACTCAGTTTTGTAGAGTGTATCATGATAATTCAGAATGTTTTTCAAATACTATTAACCATCCTTCACATTCACAGCATTGTTTTCTTTCAAAATGATAACTAGAAGCAAGCAATTCTAGAAATGGAAATTTAAGGTTTTTTTTTAATTATACTTTAAGTTCTAGGGTACATGTGCACAATGTGCAGGTTTGTTATGGATGTATACATGTGCCATGTTGGTATGCTGCACCCATTAACTCGTCATTTACATTAGGTATATCTCCTAATGCTATCCTTCCCCCCTCCCTACACCCCACAATGCAGCCATAAAAAAGGATGAGTTCATGTCCTTTGTAGGGACATGGATGAAGCTGGAAAACATCTCAGCAAACTATCACAAGGACAAAAAACCGAACACCGCATGTTCTCACTCATGGGTGGGAATTGAACAATGAGAACACTTGGACACAGTAAGGTTATTTTTTAAGTAAAGGTGAAATCCTAAATAAGTTAGTTAATTGAAAATATTGAGGAACTACTAAACATAGAGCAATGTGTTAGGTATGCTGCAGTAAAGAGAACAAGATGACATTGTTTCCTCATTTAGCAAACTTGCAGAATTGCTGAGTAGAAAACATGCACACAACACAAGAACCTTAGAACATATGACAGTGTAAGGTAAAGTGCTATGCTTTGTCATCTTAAAAACAAAGAGTTCAAGGACAGGGGGAATCAAACTACAATATTGAAAACAATGAAGACTTCCAGGAGAAAGTGGGACTTGAATTTGGCCTTGAGGAATGAATAGGAAATGGGGATACGAGCAGACACACTGATCATGCTGGTCACAGAAGCAGAAATAGTGATGGTGGGGCTTGTAAAGGGAGAAAACTGAACAACCTTATTAGCTTTGAGATTTCTGGTATGTACTGAAGAAAGATTGCTTTTGGATAACTGTGGCAATACTTAATTGTATAACTTGTATATCAAACTAGGGAAAAAAAACTCATACATTTTCCCACACTGGTCACATTAAAAAACAAACAAACAAACAAGCAGGAGAATAAGTGTTTTAGAATCCATCACCTGGTAGTATATTAAGAATGGATTTGAAATAAGATATATTAGAAGATAGAAGACCACCCAAAAGATCATTTTGGCCATCCAGAATTGGAAATTCATACTGACAATTTAAATGAAAAATGATGGAATTTAGGCAAAAGGACAATTACAGGAGGAGGGTCCAGATCCAACTTTTGCAACTAAGGACAGCTTTAGGATGGAAAAAGTATAGAGGACCTCTAGGATTTGTTATGATGGAAATGGGGAGGCAAAATTTGTGCTACCTAAAATACCCCAGTTCCTCAAGAAATGCTTAAGCAAAGCTTTCCATTTGCAGAAAGTGCTGAGGGAGATGGAAGGCTAACCCTCATTCTCATTTTGCGGCTAAATATTGACTAATACTTTGATGAATACTTTTAAAAATCATTAAGGCAGCCAGGGACCGTGGTGTGGCTCTGTCGTCTCAGCGATTCTGGAGGCTGAGGTAGGAGGATTTCTTGAACCCAGGAGGCCAGCATGGGCAACACAGTGAAACCTTGTTTCCAAAAAAAAAAATTACTAAGAAAAAATATAATTTCAAGTTCCTTTTGTTCATATTTATGGTTAAATATGTAGGACTGAATTCATCATTGTGAATAGGTATTTGTTTGGTAGAAATTTCTATTTACCACTCTCCAAAGGTAATGCAAAATTCTACTCAGGCCTAGTAAAAGCCTGCACAATGAAAGGCTAAACTAGTCTCGCAATAAACAGAAGCTTGCCTTCACTGTGGGCTGGTTAAAGTTATGACAGAACATTTTAATGTCAACTTATTCTTCACGTATCTTGCAGGACTCAAATATAAGGAATAAGACAGAGAGAAATATGTCAAAGTGTATTCTTCTGGGAGGGATGCAGACCCCAGTGGTTCATGGTGCACTGATGATGGAGAGAGACAAAGCATACATCTCTATGGGAAAGGCATCATTCAGTGGCTTTCTTAGTGATGAGATCTGATATACAACTTTAAGTTTTCTGTTTGTGTGCAATAATTCTGTTTAACCTCAAGTCTTCAGTAACGTTTGTTCAACATGACAGTTTACTATCAAATGTGGTACTGTTTGGTGGGAAGTGTGAACTTGAAGGATGAAACCCACATGGAAATGAAATGATTATAACATATTGAGAAATCCTGAAAGCATTTGGTTTTAGGAAGATAATGAACAACAGCAAGGAGATACTGGACCTTCACTGCTCTCCCACTCCCATCCAGCAATACCCAGTTATTACTAAATAATGGAGTACAAGATTGTATTTCTGCAGTCCATCAAGTTAGAATCTCATTCTTGGTTCAGTATTATGGAAAGGGTCACTGCGTCAGATGAGTTGGGACATCCAGTCTACACACGTATCTAAGCTAGAGATTTCTTCATAGTATTAAATGAGATAAAATGTTTGATAATCTTGTATACACTCAGAACATAGTAGGATCCCAATGTATGAATGTGATAGTGAGCAATATTTCAATAATATTTGAAGAAAAAAGACTGGGTGGATTCAAACATGAATACAAAGCTGCTGTTTGGAAAAATACACAACTTCACAGAAAACCTCCTATCTCAACCAGTACAGCTTTATCATCCCTGTAATGCATGTCCCAGGAAAATGTTGCAAGGATTTTAAGAGTTTCCATGTGGAAAAGATCAGTGTGTTCAGTGTGTTTCTAGCTTTACAACATGTAAATTATACTCTCAGCATTGTACTACTGAAAAACTTTTAAACACCCAATTTTTGTGTCAGCTCATCTTTGGTTTTTATCTTGCTTCTGCATTTGATCTATTTTTAAAGAAAAATTTTCCACATTTTACCGCATAATCCTCTGTCCTATCACGAACTCTTTCAGTGGGGATTTAATTTCCTTAAGAAACAAATGCTCCCTCTGTTTGGAATGTTCTTCTAACCCATGAAGTTGAATCTCCAAGAAGTATCTGGACTTATCATATTGTCTAATATTGGTTAAGATGTAACTGGACTTATGAGATTCAAACTCAGAAGATGGAAATGAGGGGAGATTTTTTTTTAAGGATTAAGCCTGACACAGAAATAAAAACATACTCCAAGGAATAGTGACAAACAAAATAAAAATATCAGAAGACTGAGAGTCCCAAAGAAAAAAATATCTCACCAGATTTTTGAAGTTACCAGAAGATCAAGGAGTCCAAGCCTGATAAAAAGCAAAACAGAGGAAAGACAGAAAATAAGAGTTTTTGTTTCAGAAAAAATAGACAATAAAATGCTATAATTCTACAATATTATTCTATTTACAAGTACTGCTGGCTGAATAAACACTTTAAGACATAATTTCTGTAGATGAAAATGTGTCTTTAACTTAAACTGAAGTGTTTAACTTACATTGTGCCATTAAAACAAAGGAAAAAAGGAAATGTTCTAGCTCTAGAAAATATTTTTTCCAATTATTTAGGTGACGATAATTATTTGGTTAATTCTTTAAGTTCTCAAAGAAGGGAGATTATTATTAAATGCACTTGAAATTCTCTAATAATTAGTACATAAATTTAATGTTTTTATGGGAGAAGCAGACCAAAGTTTCATTTTAAAAGACTTTTCCCATTTTTCAGGTTTTTGCTGGCTATGACAATAATTAGTTCTGGCTTTGATTTATTTTTGAAAAGTAAAACCATGAAAGATATTATAATGACAAAGATAAAAGGCTTTTAATTTTTAAATGATACTAAAATGCAGCCTCTATTTTTTAAAGGTGTTTGAAGTTCAAATGAAAGGCAATATCTGAACAGCACAAATTCCCAAGAGGAGACCCAGCACCTGCCATGGGATGCAAAGGTTTTATAAATGTTGTCTTGTGTAAAGAAAATGGCAAACATTGTGAGGCCTTTTGCAAATATGCCTGCCTGCTTCTGTGTTTGAGCAGAAATATTGAACTTCTAACCATTATTATTATAAAATAAAGGAGATTATTCTTTAAACATTTGATGGTAGCCTTTTCCTTTTGTCTTGGGAATCGAGTTTGAAACTACACATTTGAAAAACACATGTCTTTCTTTGAAAGAGAATGGAGAACACGGTAAGTGTGAAAGGAGTTGACACTATTGTGTAAGGTTTTATATGTGCATATGAATATGTGTCTGCATCTTACTGTCAGAAAATTTAAATTAGGTTATTTCTGTTGGGCCAGAATAATCTCCATAATGCTGGACCACTAATTGGTAACAAATCATCCCGAAGGAAGCTATTAATATTCCTTCTCTAGTGTCTAAAATCATTTGAGAAGATCAATGCTTCACTTTTGAAGAGTAAGTAATGGATCTTGTCATATTATTAGAGACCTTACTGAATTCTCTAGCCTGGCTTCAAAGATGTAAAACGGATGATCTATCTCTTAGAAACCTTTGTCCATGGATCTTAGTTCTATTAACGACCTAAGAAAATAATCTGATACATTCTTTTATTGTCATATTTTAAGTTATTTCTTTGCGGTGCGTTATAAACCACAAAAGATTTGCAAAAATAGAAATGTATACAGCTCAATAAATTATCACAAAGTCAATGCTCATGTAATTATTACACAGATAAACACCTTGAAGTTAACCAGTACATAGAAGCCTGTGGCTTGTTCTGTCACACTGGGTAAGTGTATATGTATATACAAAGATACATGTGCAGAGATTTGTAATCATGCTGCATTAATGTCTCATGTTCATCACAATATTTCAAGTCATTTGACTGTGTGTTACCAGGGAGGGACAACACCTTGAACATATCATAGGATGTCATTGAATATATTGTACACTGTAATCTCAGTAAACTATTAATTATCTGTATTTGTCAAAGTATCTGGATTTTTTGTCCAGCCTATGGTTCTAACTTAAGTTTTAAACTTTATCTACTTGGAATCATGTACTACATCTCTCTCTCTGTGTACTTCCTTTCCTTTAAAATCTTATTTATGAGATTCATTCATCTTGTTGCTCATAACTGCAGTTAGTTTTCATTACTCCTATAGTATTCCATTGGATAAATATTCCACAATTTACATATTCAATCCACTATTGGCAGATATGTGGATTGTTTCCACTTTGGGGTTATTAAGAATTACCCTACCATAAGCATCCTTTGTTAAGAGTGACATTACTGGGTCAGAAAATATGCCTATGTTCTACTTTAGCAAATAATTTAAATAGTGTTACGAGAATTGCCATTGTTGCACTTTTCCAGAAAATATTTCTTTTCTGCTTAATTTTAGCTATCAGTTTACTATTTAGTGGAATATTTCTGTACTTTTCATTTACATTATCTTCATAACAAATTTTAGTGCATTTTCATATGTTTATTAGTCATACACATGTGTATTCATCTGAGAAGGTTTTTTTAAGTTATTTTTATGCATTTTATATGGGTAGTCTTTCCTTATCGATTCACAGAAGTGCTTTATGTATTCTAGATGCGAGTCCTTTGTTGGTTATATATTGTGAAAATCTGTTCCCTACTCCATGGCTTCCTTTTTTACTCACTTACTGTTTCTTACGTTGAACACCTATTGTTAATTTTAATGCAGTCCTATTGAATCATCTTTACTTATGTGTCCTGTTTATTACATAAAATAATCATATATACACATCTGTATTTGCTTCTAAAAATCTTTTTATGTTATGATTACTTTGCCTTTCACGTCTAATCCAAAAATCTACCTGAAATTTACATTTTGAGTTGGGGTAAAATTTCATTATTTTTCCAAATTGGTCCAGCAAAATTTATTGAAAATATGACATTTTCAAACTGCTCTACAATATTAGTCATGAATTCAGTACCCATGGGTGCTTGGCTCTGTTTCTAGACATTTGTGTGTTCCACTGAACAATTTGTCTATATTGTACTGTCTTACACAATATGCCTAATAATATGCTTTGATAGCTGGTAGAGATTTTTCTACCCTTTCTTTCAATATGAGTGTGTTGACTTTTTACTATATTGATATAATTTACATAATGTTTACTATTTAAAATTCTACAATTGTTTTTTCAGTATGTTCAGTTTGTGCAAAGATAACTACTAATTCCAGAATGTTTCTAACACCTTAAAAGAAAACCCTATATAGTACCTATTAGCAGCCAATATCTGATTCTCTTGTATCTTCTTCCCCTGATAACTCCTAATCTATTGTCTCTCTGGATTTGCCTATTCTGTACACTTCATATAAATGGAATCACACAACATGTGACCTTTTGTGTCTGCCTTAATTTAAAATATTTTTAAAGTCCATTTATACTGTTGCAATATAATAGTACTTTATTCCTTATGTTGCTAAAAAATATTTCATCGAATGGATATACCACATATTGTTTATTCACTAGCCGAAGGACATTTAGGTTTTCATTTTTTTGCTATTATGAATAACAATGCTATGAACATTCCTATATGTGTTTTCTTGTGTGAACATTTGTTTACAGTCCTCCTGGGTATATACTTAGGAATTTCAGGGTCATCTGGTAATTCTATGTGTTTGATGAACTGCCAAACTGTCTTCCACAGCAACTGCATCATTTCACATTTCCACTAGCAAGGCATAAGGTTTACAATTTCTCCATATCCTTGCCAACACTTATTTTCTATTTTATTAAAAAAATCAAACACCGCATGTTCTCACTCATAGTTGGGAATTGAACAACGAGAACACGTGGACACAGGAAGGGGAACATCACACACCGGGGCCTGTTGTGAGGTGGGGGGATGGGGGAGGGATAGCATTAGGAGATATACCTAATGTTAAATGACGAGTTAACGGGTGAGGCACACCAACGTGGCACATGTATACATATGTAACAAACCTGCACGTTGTGCACATGTACCCTAAAACTTAAAGTATGATAAAAACAAAAATTCAAACAACAACAACAAAAAATCATAGCTATATGGTGGAATGTGATGGATCTCACTGTAGTTTTAATGTTTGTCTCCCTAATGACTAATAATGTTGAACATTTTTTTCATATGGTTATTGCCCATTTTTTAATCTTCTTTGGAGAAATATGTATTAAAATTCTTCACTCACTCACTTTTTTTTTTTTTTTTTTTTTTGAGATGGAGTCTTGCTCTGTCACCCAGGTTAGAGACCATCAGTGCGATCTTGGCTCACTACAACCTCTGCCTCCTGGGTTCAAGTGATTCTCCTGACCCAGCCTCCTTCTGTGATTACAGGCACGTGCCACCATCACGCCTGACTAATTTTTGTATTTTTAGTAGAGATGGGGTTTCACCATGTTGGCCAGGCTGGTCTCGAACTCCTGACCTCAAGTGATCTGCCTGCCTCGGCCTCCCAAAGTGCTGGGATTACAGGCGTGAACCACCACACCTGACCTCTTTGCTCACTTTTTAATTGGGTTGTCTTTTTATTGTTGAGTTCTAAGTGATCTCAATATTTTATTAGATATGTGATTTGCAAATATTTCCTCCCATTTTGTGTTGTCTTTCACTCTATGGTATTATTTTATCCCAATAATGTAGAATTTTCTACATATAGCTTTACATCTTTCAGTAGATGCATTCTGATTTGATATTTTTATGTTACCAGACATGGTATTTTTATATTACTTGTATATAGAAATGCATTTGATTTCTTAGTGAGGAACCTCAATAAAAAATCATATATTAAAATTAATAATCTGGTACATTCCTTTCAATTTACTATCCACACTTACACAATAATAGTTTTATCTAGTCTATTCAAATCCTTTAACTTTACTAAAAAGGCATGCATGTGTGTATGCATGAATTCACGTGTATATGCACGTATACATTTTGCATTCACGCATTTACCAAGACCACAAATACAACACTGAATACAAGTGGTGATACTGGGCATCCTTGTCTTTATCTCAAAAGGAACCACTGCTACTAAGTGTGATATTAGTTGTAAGCGTTTGCTAGATATTTTTATATCATAATAAGAAAGCACACTTCTATAAGAATGTTTATAATAAAGGGTTTTTTTGTTGTCCATTACTTAAATAGTTACATAATTACTTAGAGTGTCTTTTTCTTGCGCTTCTCATCTTTGCTAAGTTGTATTTTTCTAGAAATTTTATTCAAAATTCTATGTTTTTAGAAAAGTAATTTCTAACATCCTCTCAACATCCTTTTAGTATCATCAGGGTTTATAGTGATTTAACTGACATTAGCTTTCCTTGAATCCTCTATTTTTTTTACTTGGCAAGTTGCATCACTGTCACTTTCATCAGTTTATTTAAAAAAAAAAGCCAGTTGTGGTTTTGTTGATCCCCTCTGTTGTATGCAGTACAATATATGATATAATATTTTCCATTATATTACCTTCTGATATTTATTATTTCTCTTCTTTTGTATTTGAGATATATGTGCTGGGTCCTTCCTAACTTGTTGAGATAGATACTTATATTATTTTTCTGCCTTTTTCTCTACATATATATATATATGTGTGTAAATTACAGGTTTCACTTGTAATACTGGCTTTCATTTTCAAACAGCATTTTAATTTGTATTCATTTCTAAATATTTTCAAGTTGTGTTTTAAGAAATTCCAAAAATATAAATATCTATGTTTTAAATGTCCTAATATCTGAAGATTTTCTACCTCATATTAATTTGTACACAAAGCACTTACTCTATGTAATCTCAATCCTCTGAATGTATTGAAACTTGCCTTATGATTCAGCATCTGGTCATTTTTTATGAATGCTCTATATGTACTTAAAATTATATTGTAAAATTATATACATAAATTACCTTAAATGTGTTGATCTTGTGGTTTATTCAAATATTAGAAGATGCATGTTGTCATATCCCACCATGATTTGGGATTCATCTTTCTTTCCCTATAAGCTACATCATTTTTCCTTGTTATGCATATTAGCCATTAATATATAAACATTTGAAATATTCATAGTCTTTTGTTCAACAGATACTATTATGAAGTTGTTCCATTTTATCTCTAAAACTACTATTTTTTTTTTTTTGGAGATGGAGTCTCGCTCTGTCGCCCAGGCTGGAGTGCAGTGGCGTAATCTGGGCTCACTGCAAGCTCCGCCTCCCGGGTTCACGCCATTCTCCTGCTTTAGCCTCCCGAGTAGCTGGGACTATAGGCGCCCGCCACCACGCCCGGCTAATTTTTTTTGTGTATTTTTAGTAGAGACGGGGTTTCACCGTGTTAGCCAGGATGGTCTGGATCTCCTGCCCTCGTGATCTGTCTGCCTTGGCTCCCTTTCAAAGTGCTGGGATTACAGGCCTGAGCCACCGCACCTGGCCTCTAAGACCACTTTTCTTTCTAAGTAGGTTTTGTTTGAAATTAATAGAACCATACCAGTATTTTCATTGTTTTTTCTCAATACAATAACAAATAATTTTAGTGGAAAGTATTACATGTTAAAGTAAATTCTCGGGCTGTAAACTCACTAGTGGAAGCTACCAGCTCTTCCAAGGAAAGTCAACGAATGCTTTGACTGGAGTGAATACATATTCTAAACAGAGAAAATACCATATTCAACAACATAGATGGTAGTATATTCTATGTGGCTGAAGTCTGAGGTTCATTGTGGAAATAGATATAACCCAACATTGGAAACTAGAATTTCAGACGCGATTTGAGAGACTTGATAATGGAAAGACTTCGGTAACTGGCAATTTGAAGATAAGGCAAAGAAGATTTTGGGCAACCGGGTGATGATATCCTTCACTAAAACAAACCAATATGAGGAAGTAGTAGAGGAATATAAAGTAAAATGTAAATGTATTGAGTTTGAAAACGCTATAGCTTTTTCTGGGTACATAGTTCTGAAATCTGTACATGTAAATCTGTGGCTCAGGAGAATTTTACAAATTAGAGGTACACATTTGGAATTTATTAGTACTTTAGTGATAGAAGAAACATGGGAGAAAAGAAGGACACAGAATTAATAACCAATAATAGATACACAGGCAATCAATGAAATTTCAAAAATAGAATTTTTTTTACAAGGAGTAGTATGTTTAACTTTTATTTTTATGAACTTTACAAGTTAACAACAACAAAAATCCAGAAACGTTTGAGTTGGCTTTTTTTTTTAAATTATGATTATACTTATAAGTTCTGGGATACATGTGCAGAACTGGCAGGTTTGTTACATAGGTATACATGTGCCATGGTGGTTTGCTGCACCCATCAACCCATCATCTACATTAGGTATTTCTCCTAATGCTATCCCTCCCATAGTCCCCCAAACCCTGACAGGCCCCAGTGTGTGATGTTCGCCTCCCTGCGTTGGTGTATTCTCATTGTTCAGTTCCCACCTATGAGTGAGAATATGCAGTGTTTGGTTTTCTTTTCCTGTGTTAGTTTGCTGAGAATGATGATTTCCAGCTTCATCCATGTCCCTGCAAATGACATGAACTCATTCTTTTTTATGGCTGCATAGTATTCCATGGTGTATATGTACCACATTTTCTTTATCCAGTCTATCATTGATGGGCATTTGGGTTGGTTCCAAGTCTTTGCTATCGTGAACAGTGCTGCAATAAACATACATGAGCATGTGTCTTTATAGTAGAATGATTTATAATCCTTTGGGTATATACCTAGTAATGCAATTGTTGGGTCAAATGGTATTTCCGGTTCTAGATCTTTGAGGAATAGCCACACTGTCTTCAACAATGGTTGAACTAATTTAGACTCCCACCAACAGTGTTTTTAATATTCGCCATTCTAACTAGTGTGAAATGGTATCTCATTGTGGTTTTGATTTGCATTTCTCTAATGACCAGTGATGATGAGCTTTTTCCATACATTTGTTGGCTGCATAAATGTCTTCTTTTGAGAAGTGTCTGTTCAAATTAAATTAGTAAAATTGGCTGAGAAACTTAAGGAAGAGACGTGCAAGGAAGGAGCATGTATGATGGGGACCAAGAACAAGATTGTCAGCAAGATGGAATGTTCTTCAGCGCATTCCAAGAGCATGTAAAAAGAAATGTGACCTTCACTTTCACCTTTCGTAGAGAAATGTATGCAGAATACTCAAATTAGAAGCATCATGTATTCAGTAATAAATGGTAATTTATAGAAATATAATTGTAATTGAATGTATGATTTTCTTTTTTGTAATTTTGATAAAGAAAGGAAGAAAAGGGTACTATTCATACCTTTTGAGAATGAGGATATGGGTTAAGGAAAGGTAGCTCTTGTTTAGGAACATGTTATGCTAAAACTTTGAGGTCATCAGAGAGCCTGAGCCATATTCTTTATCAACCTTAAAAAAAAACCTGGCAGATTTACAAAAAACATGGTATGTTCCTTCCTTCATCTCAAATATGTAACACAAGACTTTTATACCTAGACCTTAGTGTTTCCACTTAGACACACCTGTTATAAATATCAACTCTTTCCTTCCTCTACTAGCTTCTTTTGACCAAGATATGTAATTCAAATGACATATCTGTGGGATTAAATTCAACTACTATTGCTAAAATCTCAAGGTTTTGCTTTTTTATTGTTGTTATGCATACTCATTATACTGGCATAGAGAGACCTAAAATCAATTATACTGTTACTATCCTTCTTTAGTGTCTTCCTTTCTAATAATTAATAGGCATAACTGTACTTCTATGTCATACCAATTACTCCAAATGATGTGTATTTTTACATTCTTATTTATATAATTTATCTTGTCCTTTCAGTTATGCTTTTTGGGATACTCTGTTCCCACATAGCCTTACCTTCTCTCTACATCCCCCTGCAATGGCTCATGAGCCATAGGCTCTCAGACAGTGTTTATAAAATATGTATGAATGATAAAAATGCATTCATAAATAAAACAATTTTATATAAATGTAAAGTCACATGCCAAATGCATATTTCAGATCCTTTGGAGGGAGGTAGCCATGTTATGAGTCCAAGAGGGCTGGAACCAAAATGTCAAGAGTCTGTGTTCTGACTTTACTGCTTTTTAGATGTATTCATTTGGATAATTTGCCTAACCTTCAGTTTTCTTATATATAAACAGAAGATCTTAATGCCTAGATCTAATTACCTAGCTCAGGAATGTTATAAGGATTAAATAAGTTGTTCCTATGAAGGCACCTAGGTCAGCGCTTGTACTCAAGTGAGGGCTTAATATTAGATAATCCTGGACTTCATGGGCCATCTGACCTCCCTAAGGGCCCATTTCTCTGGTACCATAAATCATGACCTAGTTCTTGACACTACCTGTTCACAATCCACACCCTCTTCCTTTTCCAAAGGCATGACCTTTAACTGTCATGTTAAGACAGAAGAAGAAATGAAAACACTCCTTTGGCACCCCATAGTCCAAATCTTACTTCTTCATAGCAAAAACTCAGTCTATACACACACACACACACACACACACACACACACACACACAATTTATACTGACTGTATAAATTTCCCTCCAAAAAATTAAAGGTGGGTTCGATGATTTCTATTTGACTCTCTATAAGGTCTTGAATTTTTATCCAAGAAGAAAATATGCAGGCTAATTGATCCGATAAATCTATACATTGTAGCCTCTCTACTCCTTATAGAAACAGTGACATTAAATAACCTACACCTCCTATATCCTAACTTGTATATGTTCTACATAATGCATCTGAGTGGGCAGCATCTTGATGACGTCATTCTATTTGTAAGACTTTTACATATACTTCTTCAACTTAACAGCGTTTCTTTAAGCCTAGGAATTTTCTTGCATGAATACTTATTACCACCATTTTCGATAGGAATTTTAACTCACTTGAGGAGATTTAATTCAACCTTCCAAATGATCACACTTCCCAAACAAGTCATAATCAACGATATATCGTCAAGGAGATTCGTGCAATTATCTACAAGTCTTCTAATTGGAAATACACATTTTACCTTTCCTTTGGAGGGAAATGAGTCGTTTTAGAGTAGAGTGGCTGCAATTGAGGCAAACAATTTAAGTAAAAACAAATGGGTTTTATAAACCTTGCATGTAGATGTTGAGGACTGCATATATTGTTACCAATTTTGTTAGTTATTTTACTCTGCAAGACTGAGTTTGAGAATTTAATGACCAGTGATACATTTTCCACAGTGAGCTTACAGAACTTACCTCAATTTAGTTCAAATATCTCTAATTTATATTTGCATAAGGTTTCTATTTCAATACCCATAACCTTTGCTATTGTAGCAATGTCTTCTCTAATGACATAAGTGAACACTACCTAAATTCTGCTTGGAAGAAAAATGCTACTGTCACAAATACTTTGTGAAATATACATATACATAAATATATCTTCAAGTATATGTATGTTGAATAAAAGAGTAAAAGAGTAAACAAATTAATGAAGAACAGAAAAAGAATATAAATCTCCTAGCCTGGTATGCTTGATAATTAGTAAGTGCTAGATAAATACTATTAATATAATCCACATCATAATCTAATTCATCACACAGCTTTTATGTGAGCCCTCCAGCAATTTTAATAATACCAACAATTTTACAACTAAAAATATGTGCTTGAGTATATCATTTGCATGTAGTTCTAATGCTGCCCTGGAATATTATCTACACATCAGAAATCAATAGAAAGCATTTTCTTGAATCTCATTTCCATAATCAACAAGCTAATTCAAATCCATGTAGAGCAAATAAGTGATTTCGATTGAAACATTTTTAATGTCTTCAAAAAAGTGGACTGATAAAATACTTTAAACATGAAAAGTAACTTAATTATTAAAAATTATAATTATAAAAATAGTTAACCAGAAGAAAAAACTCAAAATTCAGATATTTTTAAAGCACTATAGTTTATCATGTCTCTACTTTTTCTTGTGCAATTTTTATAACATGAAATAGATTGTGTGGCTGTTGTTTCAATGCAATGGGGAAACAAAATAGCCTTAAATGCTGTGGACTATGCTAAATATGAACTTATTTTCAAGGAAAAATTCAGTAATTCTGACTACTTTTTTTGTTAAGCTGCTTCCTAGAAGTGAAATGAAGGCTTCGGTCCCACCAGAGAGGCAAGTAGCACAAAGAAGTTTTCCTTTCTCTTTCTTCCAGCAAAATGACTCAGACTATGAAATTAAAATTTGGAAAACATCACCCTATTAAATTTCCCTCTCTTTATCACCATCGTGGCAGGGCAAATGAATGTTCCCTTCAGCTGTGTTCCCATGATTTTTATCCATTTACATATTGCAATTCCTCAAAAAAAAATTTAACTATTTCATTCCCTTGTACAAACTTTCTGAAGATTCTGAACTCAAGAGCAGAAAGTGCCTTATTGCTCATGATCCTTGTCACAGTCTAGATAATCTTGTAGACTCTAGCCCTTTGCCTACCTTTCTGGCCTCAATTTTGTTTTCCTCACTGTACTCTAGCTACACAGGACATATTTCAGTTTCTAAAGTGTGTTCCCTGACCCCATCACAGTGCTTTTCATATAGTATATAGTAAGGTAGCTAAATGCTAGAATAGCTCTCCCAGTTGTTGTCTCTAGAACAAGAGAACAACTGAAATCACAGTATAATAGGCTTTAATAATAAACACATTAAATAAAATGGTAGCCCTTCTTATTTAAAACAATGTCATCTTCATTGCTTGGGATGGGGAAAAAAAGAACTCAATTAACTTTGCAAATGAAATAAGATTTTATATGAGTACTCTAGTATGAGAAACCAAGTTTCCTCAGGAAACCCAAGAGAAAATCTGCAATGCTTAAAAAAGTTTACTTCAGTTTGCCCAAGAGAATGAAATTATGAAAGAACAAATAAAGACAGCTTGATCTAGAAGAAGAAAAAGATTATTCTTAAGAGGTATGTTGTGATCTTAAAGGGTAAGCTAAGCACATATAAAATAAAAGAGACGACATGCTCAGGTCAAACTTTTTAGAAGGGTTTCAGAAAAAAAGAGAAGAGGTTTTAATCATTACTAGATTGGAAAGTTACTTGTGCCCAATAAATATAACCAAAGAAAGGAGACAGTCTCAGAGACTCAACTCTTTTGGAGAAAACATATCTAAAAATCTATCAGGGGAACAAATCTGCAGATAGAGTAATTAGCACAATGAGGAACCACCTCTTCAGTACTTAGATAATCAGACCACATGGCATCTGAACTTCTGTAATTGAGAGGAAAATTGCCAAAAAGATCAATATAGAATTCTTAAAATTGTTTCACGTAAATATTGTGAGTCGATATTCACTAAATTGGCATAATTTATAACAAATTGGGATATGAGTGTTGCTTAGCCATTAGGGATTCTGAGAAGTTGGATGAGAAGTGAAATAAGGCATAGAAAAGATGAAACACAGTAAACAAGAACCCAGCAGGCAATAATATACTGAATCCAGAGCTAGCTCACACGCTCTGTAGGAATGTCCATCTTGGGTCACAGTTTTTTACTTCAGGGTGTGAAGATAGACAAGATGTGCTTGAAAAGTTTTTTTTTTTTTTTTTTGGCAGATGCAGTACTCATTTATTTTTTAACTGTCATAAGACAAAATATAGACAAGTATATGAATTCCTGGACTGCAAAGCAAAGTTGAATAAAAAGGAAACAGTACATTCTGAATCTGCAAACAGTAGTAGCCCTGTAGGTGTTAGGAAACGTTTAACATGTTAAACAGTTAAAAATTCACCTGAGCCTCCTAGAAATGTGGAAGGAAACAATAGCAGGAAATAGAATACTGGGGTCATGCTCCACTGCTGGAGAGAAATGTATTGTAGAAATAAAGAAGTTTCTGATGTCCCTAAAAGAATACAAGTTTTTCAAAGCCTGGAAAAGAGGGAAGAAGCACTCTGAGCAGGAGCCACTGACAGAGGTATTGGGCTTAGCAGACCACCTGGGGATGCACATTTCAGGACTATCAACAGCTTCTGTTCAGGCTCATGATTTCCGATATGAAATAAATATGGGGCTAAAAGAGGAACCCTCCCAAGAAAACATGTTGCACAGGTTTCAGCATCTCCATTTCTAGAGTTCATGGCAGCAACTCGTGCAGCACAGAACTTTATATATCTGCTCACAATAGAGTGTGTGAGCCATGCTACAAGACAGAATCCACATTCGTTACAAAACTGGGGCTGAAAATTAAATTGCTTTGAATATACTATTTGGGGAAAAATGGTGCCTCAGATTATACCTGGTGACTGAATCTTTTTTGTTTTTTTTTTTTTTTTTTCTCCCTGAGATGGAGTTTCACTCTTTTCGCCCAGGCTGGAGTTCAATGGCACCATCTCAGCTCACTGCAACCTTCGTCTCGCAGGTTCACACAATTCTCCTGCCTCAGCCTCCTGAGTAGCTGGGATTACAGGTACCCACCACCACACCTGGCTAATTTTTTTGTGTGTATTTTTAGTAGAGACAGGGTTTCACCATTTTGGCCGGGCTGGTCTCAAACTACTGACCTCAGGTGATCTACCTGCCTCGGCCTCCCAAAGTGCTGGGATTAGAGACGTGAGCCACTGCACCTGGCCTGAGTCTACCATTTTTACAAATTTCTAAACTTAGCAGTATGGCCGGAATGTTTCAAAAACACTCTTTGAGAAAGGAATGTATAAACAGGTGGATTTCCTCTGAGTCACTGTCCATGCAATGTTGTGATTAAGCTTATGACAGAAGAATTAGATCACGTGGAGATCACAGCTCTTGGAATCCAGAAAAATGGCATGAACTGAATGGCATCTCAGCAAGGGTGGTCCAAGCAAGATTTTCCTGGGATATATTCTTTCCATCATTCATCAGTGAATCACTGGTTCACTGCTGTAAAATAGTGGGTTGCTGTGTTTTCTGAACTTGGTGCATATAAAGATAGTATGGTAATAATCTTCTATGTCTTATTACTTTTATTTACTTTTTATTACTTCTATGTCCTCTGTACTTTTTAAACAGTGGGATCCTACACTAAAATCTTTGCATATTTGCATGAATGTTCACACCAGAATTGTTCTTAATAACAAAAATAAGAAGGGACAATGATCCATAGAAGTGTTTAATAAATTGTGCCATATTCTATCAATGAGCTATTGCTACGTGCATTAACATGGACAGTTCAGAAACCAAGATCAAAATAAAGACGAAAAAAGATCTGTCAATTGTGATTCAACTTATTTTGAAAACAGAAAAATAAACAACACATCGTAAGGGATACATACTTAAATAATTATAACGACAGAAAAGCAGGATGGTGTTTACCTCAATGAGGAGGAGTACTGCTGAGGTACTGAAGGAACTACAACCAATTTCAATGACTGATAGCTGCTGAAGTCACCCACACTACTTGGGAATCAGAGCAGTTAGCTGTCTGGCTGAGCAAATAAAAAAATTATTTCAGGCTTTCGTTTCTTTGGCCTTTAACTTACGAATTTTGGCCTTTGATTTGACTGGATTTTTACACAGCAAAGTGATTTCATTTGGAGATTTATGTCAACCTCTGGAAATGTAATAATGGAAGAGTTATAGTGTCCACATTTGGTTCTTTCAGTATCAGTGACATTATATTATTGTCTGCATACTGATATTCATTTATTGTGTACTACTGTAATCTACATTTGACAACATGGCTGGTGATAATTTGAGGTGGGAAAAATCAATAGTGTGGCAAAACCCAATAGGCTAACAGAACCAATACCTGCAGGATGTGGAGTATAATCTCCCTTCTTCTTCTTTCCTCTGGTTTTTGTGAGTGTCTCCATTAGAACAATCCACCTGATCTTCTCTTTACTCCTCTGATTCTAAAGTTTGGCAGAAGACCCTGAGCACATCCACTTCAGCCCCCTCTTGACTCCTGCCTCTCTCCATGCCTCTCAGTTTCAAATCTCAGTCAATTTCTATGCTGTCATGTGATGATCAGGGAGGGCCAACTCTGCCCTGTTTGGGAGGCATTTGGTTGTTCAGCTGCACCAATTATCAGGTTGGTAAGTTGGCTTAACTCAGTGGTAGGGTATTAAGCCTTTTTGCCCATGCCTTTATAACCACGTTTTCCAATCATCTCTATAATAAAACTATTTGACCTCCATTTGTCTGTCTCCTGAGTCTTAATTCTGAATTGATTCCAGGCTCAGGAGGGGAAGAACAGGGAATTATTTATTGATCCCCTAAACCCTAAGAGCAGTGATTATAATAAAACACTGGATGACATTATCAGATATTTATTATTATCAGATCAATCATTGTTTAACAGTCTTAATTCCTTTCATGACTCCATAACAAGACAATATTCTATAGACAATCCACAGAATGTACACACCACAGGGTCAGTAAAAGAGGAATGCCTTTTTAATAATAAATCATTTTTTGTGTGTTCCAATATTTTCAAGGAAGGAAGGCCTCAGGAAGAGATTTATATTAAGAGTCTGACAGTTCATTTGGAAACCTCATAAGGCAAAAGTTAGGAGTATAGTTATTAGAACAACTCTCAGGTTAGTCACGCTTCCTGTCTCTTTCCTCCCCTCATCCATTAAAAAGAGGAGGAAGAAAGAAAATAAGTTTCATAAGTTGAAGTTGGATTTAGCTAAGGTCACTTGAAATAACCAGCAGTATTTTTTCACTGCCTATATAAAATAATAGAAGATGCTCATATGTTGACTGATGTGTGTGGAACTACTTGCACAGCCTTCATAACAAAGAGCTCTGGGGTTTTGAAGATGGGTATTTTAATTGAAAACAACTACGAAAAATAAACTTTTATATGATTAATGTAAAGCAGTTTTACTTAACATTACACAATTACTAATACAAATTGTAAAAGTTTTGCCAATATGCTAAATCCTTTATTCCTCTCTCTAGCGCATATCCTAAATGCAATCAAAGGTGATGATTAGATGTTTTAAATTTATTCTAGCAATTATATACTTTATGTAACTATTATTGAAATGCTCAAAAATAAAATAATGTGAATGGCAATCACAGATTTTAAAAACTGTCTTTGCTTTAGTTATCAAGCCATCCAAAAAAAAAGAGCTGGAAATAGAGATTAAACATCTAATCTATAGCACCATTACAGAGAAATTATAGACTCCCTCAGCTTATATACAAACCATGATGCCTCTACCCCACATTCTCTTTGATGAGAAAACATGATCCAAAACTTCTCCTCCCTTTGTTTAACCCAGTTCTGCACCAAGACTTCTACTTACCTCACCATAACCAATCTCAGTAAGAGTTCTTTAAAGCAAAGGGTGAGCCCAACAGATTCACATTAAATTGTAATGTGAAACTCTAACTTCCTACAGAGGTTTGCACTAGGGGTGTGGGTATGTGTGTGTGTGCATAGTTTCTTCTGCAGCTTACCCTTTAACAAAACATAAGAAATCTTAAATAAGTGAAACATTTTCAATCACTAACAAGATATCTTGAGGAAGGACAACTATGAACTCCAGGGACTCAGGGCTTAATGGGAACTTTTCTATTTAATCTCTAAATTTTATTTCCCCTCCCCTAATTCCTGAAGTCTATATGCTTCCTCCAAAGGCCCAAGGTTCTGCCCTATTCCATTTCTGTGTAGGACATGAAATGGAGGTGCTCAGGGCAGAACAAGATTAATGAGCAGCCAGTTGGCTTCACATGTCGCAATCATTAAAGTGCATTAAATCATCACTGGAGAAAGAAATCAAATACAGTGCCTAATTTTGATTTTCCAATGCAACTTACACGACTTCAGAATGTTCGTGGCCTCTCCTGCCACAGCAGACAGGTTCTTGAATGAAGATTCTAAACATGCACACTCTTATCCACACAATAAAACAAACAGAAAATTGCTCCTAGGTGCTATTTTTAAATCTCCACTAAGTATTGAACTTAAAAAAAATATTTTTACAAGAGTATCCCATTATTAGACTTCCTAGGATTACTATAAGTCCCCTGCAAGATGACTTTAGTTCCAGGCTTATTTATTCATTTATTTTTAAATCACTGCTCAAAGCTTGGAGACACTAAGAATTAACTCCAACAAGTGGATATGAAGTCCAACTTCACCACTGACTGGGTTTTGAACTCCAGAAAAATTAATGCAACATTAGAACCTGAGTTAACTCATCTCTACAATGGGAATAATAATGAGAATAATGACTACCTTTTATAAATTGAATTATGTCACCCTCAAAAAAGGTGTGTCTGAAGTCCTAACCACCAGTACCTCAGAATGTGACTTTCTTTGGAAAGAGAAACTTTAACAGAGGAAATCAAATTAAAATGAGGTCATGTTGAAGTGGGATGGACCACTTATCCAACATAACTAGCGTCCTTTTAAAAAGAATAACGTGAAGAAGAGACACACGGTACAAACATCATGTGAAGATGAAGACAGAGATTGGAATGATATATCTACTAGTCAAGGAGTGCCAAAGATTGCCAGCACACCATCAGAGCTAGGAGGGGGCGTGTCTCATCTCCAGAGCTATGAAATAATCAATGTCTGTTGTTTAAGCTGCTCAGTTTGTACTACTTTGCAATAGCAGGCTCAGAAAACTGACACACTACTCAAAAAGGTGATTGTGAGGTTTAAATAAAGTGATATATAAAGCATGTCACACAGGATAAGCTCTTAATAAATTAATATTAAAAATAGTAACAGTGGTGGGATATTTTGAAACATAACCATTTGGTAGATTATACAACAACTATATTCGATTTATTCTTCATTTCTATTTTTAGGAATTTAAATAAGAAAATATTCCAGTGGTAAGTCAGGAGACAATGAAGGAATTATAAAGGAGATAAATTTCTTACCAGTCAGTGTGTGCTAATTGTTTCAATCCCCTGTAAATGGTTTGGCACGAGAGGAGGTTGGAACACTTAGCTAAATTGAAGTTTGGGGATTATCTGTGAATTTAAAGTATCTATGCCATTTTGGCCCCTATTAGCACAAGTAATTGAGAGGAAAATCTTGCCAGTTATGCTTTTCCATAAGGCTTAATGTGGACTTCGATATTTAAGTAATTCATTAGCAGGCTTAAATGGTATCATGGAACAACATTAAAGTACGTAAGAGATAGTCTGTGACCTTCATTTTAGAGATGAACAAATTGAGACCCATAGAGGTTATAATGAACTCAAGGTTTATTATAACAGTTTACAGTGGAAAAGCTGACACTGGAATCCTTGTGTACTAGTTTCTTGTAAAAATGGAGTGTGCCTTTCAAAATTCTGTGAGTTTGATTTTTAGAATCCCGTGGAGCTTTTTAAATTATCAGAACTCCAAATTCTGCACATGGAACTTTAAGATCGAGGTTGAGGGAACTCAGATCCAGGGAGAAGAAAATGACATTAACATTTTCAGTAAAGAAACCTCAAAAGTTTCATTTGGGGAAGGAGATGCAGTGGGGACGGAGGGCAAGTATTTTTACACTAAAATTATCAGCTGTATACAATTTTAGAAAAATCGTTTTACATTGTTTAGAAGATCCATTAAATATGGCCTGGCACGACCTTTCTAGGACAAGTCATTAAAGCCCTAAATGGTATTTGGAAATGCTGCTACCTCAGATTGAGGTCATTTGCATTATATAATAAAACACACAGCATACTTTGCTTGGCAAGTTCACTGGAATGGCTGAACTTTGGCCCCTTGCATGATTTTGCAAATACAGAGTGTACTTGTTCTCTACTTAACAACTAACCCCACTTAAATTAAAACAAGCTGCCCCCTTTTCACCTCTGGTGTGCTCTGCTTTTAAGTATGCATTGTGAGAAGAAATGTTAGACTTTTAATACAACAAACTTTGTTTCATTGCATTAGTTTTTTCACTTTGGTTTATTATTTTATATTTTCAGTTTTTATAGGACATTTCCATGTGGTCTTTCCCCAAGGACATCACTACTGTAATTGAGGGGCCCAGTACAGAATCTATTCCAGAAAGAATCATTCAGTTTCATTTTGTAGCTTCATAGCCCAGAACCAAAACGTTTCAAAAAACACTCAATAACACCAATACAGGGACCCCTCTGGACAACATATCAATTTGTGTTATGAAGTGAATTATAGCTGGACCCGCCAGAGCTGGTATAGTTAAGTGTCTGTCAGTGTTTCCATTATACTTTGAGGGCTTTGTTCTTGGTTGCAAAAATACCCTTCAGGCTAAAGCACGCAAGGCTAATGTGGGGAGTGACTGTTCCCTTTGTTTATTTTTTACCATTTAAAAACACTAGCTCTCTTGTGTGTTTGCTTGTTATACATTTTAAAATAAAGAAATTTTGGTTTTATAAATCAACAGTCTGCCAGAGTGATGGTGGTTTTAATGGGGTGAGCTTAGGGTATGAAAGTTCACAAGAGTTGGTGTGATCCACATTGTGCATCCTGGAGGTTATCAAAGCCTCAAAAAGGAAGGTCCAATGTGTCGCAGATGCTCTCTGAAAATTACAGGTGTAATTATTGGGCCTCTAAATTTTAAATTCAGAGGTCACCATTTATATCTTGGATGGAATATGACTGCATTATGTTTAGGGTTTAGCTTTGTCTTCCCTTTTTCATGCCCCTATCCTTACATTGAATCCATGCAAATTCTTCCCTTAAGAACCTAGCTCAAATTTCCTATTTTCTAAGAAAACTCGGATTTCCTCAAATAGACTCAGATGTTCTTCCCATAAGCTTACTTAGATCCCCTAGATCCAATATAGCAATTATTATATTATACCATTTGTCTGTGTGTCTTTTTCTTCACCAGGCTGGATGATCTGAGGAAAAGAACTACTTATTAGCAGAATGCTAGACATATTAAATATTAAATATGCTCAGTAAAAACTGATTGCTTGAATGAAAGGATGGAGGGATGAATGGAAATGTGTTCTGTGAAACAGAATTAATGACAAGGGAACTGGAGGAATGAAAGAGTCTTTGAAAAACAGGGACTATCTTTAATATGACTTCCTGGTTCTAGTTTTCAATCTTCCAGAGGGTACAAATTCTTACACGCCCCGTAATGAAGAACCTCCCAGGAAACTGGATGACTTGTAAACTTTTACTGGAAGAAATAAATGCAATGGGATTTGTTGAGAAAACTACTGTTCAAGGAGCAAGGAGATGAAATGTTTATTCTGACTTAGTCACTGACTCGGTGACCCTCTTCAAGTTACTTAACAGCTCAGTGATTCCATCTCTCTGCAAATGGTGATAAATAATAGCAGTTCTTGACGGCTTCACAAGAATATTTGGCAAAAAATGCATTAGCATCTTTGAGACATTTTATTAACAAACAAACTATATATATTACACAATATTATACTGATATTACATGCTATGTACTAAATAATTTATTTTTAAGGGCACTATATTGTTGAAATTACATTAACCTAATCACAAAGTATAATTGGAAGGTTTGTTTCTTCTACTTGTTACAGGCAGTTGGACTATATTCTAAAAAGAAAGTTTATGTAAAGTAGATTGTTCAATTGTTTCTGCATTTAGCATGTGAGGACAGCCTATGTGATTGGTATGCTGAATAAGCTGTCACGTTCTACCTGAATCACCAAACACATCTTCAATAAAAGGTGCTAAGGAGAATTACCAATGCTTTTAGAAGAAAATGATGGAGGAAATTATTTTTTTTAATCACAGGTTTGCAAAGCAGGTTAGACTTTAAGGACTTGAAAGCTTCCAGTGTTTATCAAAGGATAATTTGCGAATCAGCTGCTTTGATGTAACCTGGAATATTGTACTGCAGAGCCACAGACCCCATTCTGGATTTAAGGAATAAGAAATTTTGGGGAGATATACAAGAATCTGCATATTAAACAAGATCTCCAGATGATTCCTATAATCACTCAGGTTTGAGAACCCCAGTGAGATCTTGCATCTTTTGGTTCAGGAGGCAAATGAAAAGAGTACAGACTGCAGAAGATCAGGAGAAGGAAATTGAACTTCCCAGTGTACCAAGGGGTGATAAATGATCATCTCCCTTTAAAATCACTGAGTATGCTACCTTTTGTAGAATTTGAGAAGGAATTAGAAATTGTTTTAAGGGTAAAAATTGGGAAAAAATTGTACTAAAAAGACAGGAAAAAGGAATTGACAGCTTCAGTTTGTTGTCTGTTACCACGGTTTAAGGGTAGATTGTATTTTTGGAAGAATAAGGCAGAGCTCCTCAAACTCTTCCTCATTCTTTCTTCCTCAGGCCTTTGGAGGCAAGCTGATCTGCTTAAGGTTCACAATCAGTTTTATATTTTTCTAAAGGTTTGTGCTTCCAGCAACTATGAAGAAAAATTGGGTAAAATAACAAATATAGTACAGTTATTATAATCCTTCGCTACTGTTACTTGATACAGCTTGGTTGCTTTGTTTCTATTAGTAAGGTAGCATTTACACACGTGGAAATTTAAGCAATTGTATAAAAGAATACAAAGGCAAACGAAAAACACCTGAGGTTCTGATACAGCATAGGAATTACTGCTCTCATTTTGGTAAAAATTCATTTAGACTTACTTACTCATTGTCAAATATTATTCAATTTATATAAAATTATACCTGTAATTACATTTACATATTTTACATATATAAACATAAAACATATAATTTTATATTTTAAAACATTTTATGGTTTGCTTTTCCATGTCAATGATGCTTTTAATAATTATATAATCATGAATACCGTTCTTATCAAGTAGAAAATAATTAGACCGAGGTTAGAGCTGCTGTCAGCTGTTTTATCTCCTTCAATTCTTATATTGAAGAAATGCATTCCCTCTCATAAACCTTTATATTCCTCTTATTTTTAGATTGAGGATATCTGGAAAACTCCCTCCTTCTTTCAACACCTCTCTGTTCTAATATCGACCTCAAGCCACTTTAGAAAAAAATATTCTGACGAACGACAGAGATGAACATAAATTCTAACTCTGAGTCTTCTGGAGCACCAGAGGGTTATGTGAGATTCATTAGCTTCTAAATAAGACAAAGTCTATGGTTTCTCTCTCAGTATTTGCCTCTTGTGATGACTTTGATCCACACTTCCTGGAGAGTGCTTGCTAGAACACTAGTTCCTTTGGATTCAAAAGAGAGCTACACAAGTTTAACATTGTAACATTTATTCAGTTTTAACAATGGTTTACGTTCATTGTATTGGTTACTTTATTGAATTCTTACAACCACCATATAAGGTAAAAGCCATTTCTATCTATATAGGAATAAGTGGGAAACTGAGCCTCAAAGAGGGTAAGCAGAAGGTCCACACAACTTATTCAAGTGGAGCAGATAGGGGGTGGGGGTTGGAGGAATGGGGAACAACTGTTTAGTGGATACAGAGTTTTCCTTTGGGGTAATGAAAATGTTTTGGAACTGGATAGAGTTTGTGAATACATTGTGAATGTACTAACTGCCACTGCATTGTTCACTTTAACATGGTTATTTTTATGGTATATGAATTTTACCTCAATAAAAAAATTAGTAGAGCAAGCAATTAAACCCTGTCAGATTCCAGAGACCACAGTCTTAAAGATTACAAAATACTGCCTCCCATGTGGTTAAGCTAGCTCCACATTTTTCTAGACTGAACATTAGTGACTTTCTACTGCAGAAGTTTTCAATGTCTTTGTTGTGCTGAAAAACATGCTAGTCGTTTTCAAATTACTTTTTCTGTGAAGCTCATTTTACCTGGAAAGTTTCCACAAGAATGTGTTTCATAAAATACTTTTATAGAATCACTGTTTTCTTCAAACCAATGAAAAGAATGTTTATTACAGAATTATTTTATCTTAGATGGTCTACTTAGTATGACAGCAAAAGTTCACAGGAATTCAGGCCCTATAACAAAGATTGGGCAGTTTACCGAGATTCCCTTTATGACCATTCCTTAGCAGTTGTTCATAATATAAAGAGTAAAAGTGCAAAGGATACTAATCAATTTTATCTTTTATTCTCTGCTTGAAAACATTTAATATTTACTCTTCGGTTAAGTTTCATGCAAATAGTAGCTCTGCTACATGCACATAAATCTATTTAAATATCATGATAAAAGACAAAAGATGTAAGGAAGTATACATTGGCATCTGCAATTTTTAACACAGCAGCTTCTGGGCTTAAATAAGTCTTTCATAAGCAACTGAAAACACTAATTTTATGAATTTGAAAAAACAAATGGATGTTTAATGTAAATTTTCAGTATCATTTTTGTTCAGTTATTTTCTCAATAGGGAAGACAACG
This sequence comes from Homo sapiens, assembly GCF_000001405.40. NCBI lineage: Eukaryota > Metazoa > Chordata > Mammalia > Primates > Hominidae > Homo > Homo sapiens. Next base: position 9,757,510 of record NC_000009.12, read on the forward strand.
ATTTCAGAAAAAGTTAAAACACTTGGAAATTCAGAGCAATAATTTATTATAACATAATTATCTCTTATTTGATCAAAATAACTTATAACCCAATCTTCCTATTCTCTTTTTAATATATTAGCCACTAGAATTTCATAGAAAGGATGTGGGGTTTGGGATTAGCTAAAACTCAGTTTGCCTGTCACATATTATGCATTCTATTATTCAGTTTCTCATATAAATATAAGAAAGGATATGCCTATCTTATAAAATCTTCATCATGAATTCATAAGCCATCCTTCCAAAAATATGTATATACTTTTAACCATCTTACTCATCATAACTAAGAATTTTGACTCTGCTAATTTTTACCAGCCTGCCATTATTGACTTCACTTCCTTCTTTGCACATTGTGGAGCCCAAGTGAAGCCATTTCCTGGGGGGTTCCTAGAACCCCCGAATCTCTGATCTAAGTCATAATTATTACCAACTTATCAGTGCTTACATTTGGATAGTTCCACTGCCATATCTGCCGGTGAGCCTCTCGTGTTGCTGGGGAAAAGTCCCCAAATAATACTGATTGGGTGTATTGCAAACACATCCTAACACCTGCGGGCTGTATTTGAACTGCTCAGTTCACATCTCAAGAGTAAAAATGGCAAAAAAAAAAAAAAATTGTATTCTCCCTTAGCAGACTTTTTTTTTTATTCCTGAATAAAAACATCACTTATTTCCTTATAAAAAAACAGACATTATTCAATGTAGCTCTCTTACTTCCATTCGCTTGGCTTTTGTATATTTTTATTGATGTTTACTTTTAAGGCAGTTTTTATTTTATGAAAGCAACACAAACCCATGTACCTTCTCATATGTGAAGACTGCTATATGCCCACCTGTGATGGTGGCTGATGAGGGGTAGGGATGGGTAGGAGAAGGTCAAACCTCAGCCAGCTCTGCCACATTAGGCAACACTATAGAAGTGCCCTCAAGAAGTAATCTGAAGAATCACCAAATGATTGTGAGAGAGGCAGCGTGTGAGTTCCAGGTTCTCAGAAAGTACATAAAGCCAAAGATAGAACAGTGGCTACAACCAACAAAGGAGAGACAGCACTTGCCAAGGAGAGTTACATATGGAAGGACTGTGTCCCTCCTTCCTCCCTTGCCCCAACCAAGACAGACAGCAGGGAAGCAGAAAAAGACATGAGAAAGCAAGGACGCTCCAGAACCTCTTACCATTCCCTCATCGCCACCCACCCCCAACCCCCATCCCACTACTCCCACCCCCCATATATTCAGAGCAACTGGAACATCAAGTCTCTCTTGTGTACAGGCAAGGGGAAGATCTCTGAATCAAATATGAGGTTGAAGATTTAAAATAATCAAAACTAATTCTTAATAATAAAAATAAGACACTTTAATAACAAAAAGTGACTGAAAAGCTATAGAATTGTCAAATGTGATTAAGGTAGCAAGTATGTTACCCAGCAAGAAAGGAATGCTGTCAGAGAATGGAAGGTGGTGTTTAAAGAAAAAAAGTTGTATCATTTTATACCCTCAAGATTTCAGACTTTTTATCAAACCAATTTTGATGATTTCCGTAGTAAAATAATTTTCAAAAATAACTTATTCCTTAATTTCTATCTTTGAGCAAGCAGGTCCCTAGCTCCTTTTTCACAGTAAATCTATTCCTAGCCTGATGCCCCTGAGATCCTATAGTAATACACATATGGTCTAGCCTGTGTTCAGTCAGTCTGTACTGGTAATGATTACATTGGTTATTAAAATATTAAACTACTATGTACCATTGGTAAACTGGCACTGACTGCCGCAAACCCCAGCCCCTAGTGCTCTGGTAGTCTTGGTCGCTCCTCAAGAAGTCCCCACAACCCAGTAATTAAAGTGTTAATGCTAGTACAGCTGAGGAGCCTCCCAGTCCCTGCTCTACTGAGTGGAGTTCTGTTTGGTTAGCACCAGTACCTTATTAGTTTTAAATTTTGAGTATAAACTCAGTCTGTAATGTAGAATTCAGAAAATGATGCAAACATCTTCAAATAGTCAAGGTCTGTCTTTTTTTTTTTTTTTTTTTTGAGATGGAGTCTCACTCTGTCACCCAGGCTGAAGTGTAGTGACGCGATCTCAGCTCACTGCAACCTCTACCTCCCAGGTTCAAGCAATTCTCTTGCCTCAGCCTCCCAAGTAGCTGAGATTACAGGTGCCCACCAATACGCCCAACTAACTTTTTTTATTTTTAGTAGAGACGGGGTTTCACCATGTTGGCCAGGCTGGTCTCAAACTCCTCACCTTGTGATTCCCCTGCCTCGGGCTCCCAAAGTGCTGAGATTACAGGCATGGGCCACTGTGCCCGGCCAAGGTCTGTCTGAAATGATAAATTGTTTCCTTTGCCACTGGATCTCCTCTGTAAACAAATATGCTCTATTCTTTCTATAATTTCAAATATATCTTTCTTTCCTTCTCCTCTAACCTGGTGTTGTACATTTTGCTCATGTTAAACTTCCAGTATTGCCTGCTTAACTAGATTGCCAAGATTGTCTATCACTAGACATTCAAGATAATGGATTTTCCCTCTGAAGTTTCTCATAGTGTCTTGAGAAGGATCTCGTTACAAAGTGGATATCGCTACCCTATTTCTGTGTGTAATCTGAGTTCTAGATTGTAGCCTCAGCAAGCTTTTCCTGTCTCCCCGGGTCTATGCCACATATCAAAAATACATCTACTTTTTTTTTGTTACTGAAAACATTCATACATCTTACTGAAACCACTCAAATGCTGGTAGTATTTAAGGTGTATGATAAGTGAGAAAACCTTAGTGTTTTATGTAAGACAAAGTCCAGGAAATAGAAGAGTATTTATTTACATACAGTAAAATTTTTGAGGGTAAAACATTATTCTGAATTTCAAGGAGACACAAGGGCTTGATATTTTTGCCCTCCAAGACCTGCTCCAATACCTTCTTAACTGTCACATGTTCATAACCTTTATTTCTATCCTTTATTGCTTCTCAGGACTTCGGACTTATATGTACAGCCTCCTGATTGTCTGTCTGGACTTTGAGAGATCTCTTCTTCCCCATCATCTTTACTCAGCTATCATACACACACACACACACACACACACACACACACACACACACACACACACACACACATATATATATATATTCCAGCACTGTTCATACGTGTACTCAAAACTCAGCAGTTTACAAATAATCTGATGAGGAAATAGGCAAACTACATGAAGATTTCACTGAAGAAGATAGACAGATGGTGAGTAACCACATGAAAAGACGTTCAACATCAATAGCCATTAGAGAAATGCAAATTAAAAATATTAATTCAATGAGATATCAGTATATACCTATCAGAATGGCTAAAATAAGAACGATCAACACCACCAAATGCTGGCAGGGATACAGAGAAATGAGCTAACTCATACATCACTGCTAGGAATATAAAATGGTACAGCTACACTGAAAAACAGTTGGGCAGTTTCTTATAAGACTAAACATGTAACTGCCATACAATCTAGCAACTGTAGTCTTGGGCATTTATTCCAGATAAAGGAAGACATATTCATATAAAAACACGTATACAAATGCTTATACATTAGTGTAACAGACAAAAACTGGAATCAGCCCAGGTGTCTTTCAACAGATAAAAAGTTAAACTGTAGCACATACATACAATGGAATGCTGATCAAAAATAAAAATGAACAAACTATTGATACATGCAACAACTTGGGTGAATCTCCAAAAATTAGGCTAAGCAAAAACCCAATCCCAAAAGGTATGATTCCATTTATATATCATGTTTAAAATGACAACATTTTAGAAATGGAAGACAGAGTAGTGTTGCCAGGAAGTATTGTTTAGGAAGAGGGTTGGGGTGGAAAAATGGAGGGAGGTGAGTGTAGTTATAAAAAGGCAACCTGTCAAATGCTCGTAGTGTTGGAACTATTCAATGTCTTGACTGTGGGGTAGGATACTTAAACTTACAAGGTGATAGCATTTTATAGAACATAATGAAGACAAACATGATTACAATGGGCATGGGGTAAATCTGAACAATATTGGGGGTTTATCTCAATTTCAATATGCTGGTTGTGATATTATACTATAGTTTTCCAAAATGTTGCCATTAGGGAAAACTTGGCAATGTGTACAGACTCTCTTATGTTTTATAGCTGCATATGAATGTAAAATTATCTCAATAAAAATTTCGATGAAATTAAAAAAAAACTATTCATTATCATTCCATCAAATTGTCTCCCCTTCCCCCCACTCTGTATTTCTACATAAACTGAACAGAATTAGTCCCAATTGCCTACATCAAAATCTGCGAATTATTCCATGCTCCACCTCTTTCCTCTTTATTTTGATCATGTTTGCAAAATATAATATTTTAATATTCATTGCTTTGGGATATTGGTCTGCTTGGGCTGGCTTAACAAAATACCAAAGACTGAATGACTTAAACATAAATTTATTTTCTAATTCTGGAGGAGAGAAAGTCCAAGATCAAGTGTGGCAGCACCACCTCCATAACTGTAGGCCAGTGTCCGAATCCCAAGGCTATAGGAAACCCCACCCTTACATCACTCCAGGACAGTCCTGCCCTCAAGGCTCTGAACAGAGGTTGTCTGACCTGTTGAAACTGTGGCAGTAGCCCTGATAACTTCCCTCTTGGAAGAATAGTGAATGTTTGCAGCCAAAAAGCCCTATTGTCCTGTCAAGTCCAAGAAGTCCAACAGTCTTTCTTCACTTTGTCCCATCTTTGTCCCTTCAGTAAAAACTGGCAGGATTTCAGCTGGTATAATCCCAAAAGCTCTTCTTGAAGTGACAGTCTAGCTACACTCTTGGTGTTCTCTTCAGAGTACGCTTGCTTTTTTTGCAATATAAACAGACTGAAAATTTTCCAAATCTTTAGGTTTGGTTCCTTTTATTTTTGTTTAACAGTTTGTTCTTCAATTCCTCTCTCTCCTCTGACATTTTACCATAGCAATCAAGAGGGACTAAGCCACCCTTTCAACACTTTGCTCAGAAACCTCCTCAGCTAAACATCTAATTTTATTGCTCATAAGTTCCACAAAACACTAGAACACTATTCAGCCAAGTTCTTTGCTGCCTTATAAAAAGGATTGATTCTCTTCCAGTTTACACTGACATGATCCTCATTTCTACATAAGACTTCATCAGAACCGCATATATTTCTTTCATGCAACTCAGAACTCTTCTAGCCTTTATTATCAAGATGTGAAGACACTTCCAGATTTTTTAGGTATTATTCATAGCAGCACCCTATTTCTTGATGTCAAAGTTTGTCTTAATCAGCTGGGTTGCCATAGCAAGATACCATAGACCAAGTGGCTTAAACAAATGAAATTTCTTTCTCACATTTCTGGAGGCTGGGAAGTTCAATACCAAGGTGACAACAAGGTAGATTTTATTCTGAAGCTCTTCTCTTGGCTTGTTGGTGGTTGCCATCTTGCTGTGTGTTCACATGATCTCTCCTTTGTGTGTAAGCAGAGAGGGAAAGAGAGAGCGATCTCTTCCTCTTCTTATACAGCCTCCAATTCTATCAAATTAGGATCCCACCTTTATGACCTCACTTAACCTTAATTACCTCTTCAAAACCCTGTCTTTATAGCAGCTGTGTTAGAAGTTATTCAATGGATTCATCCTACAAAATGTAAAACACATCAAAGTTTCAAGAAAAAATAGAAATCACACATATGCATACCCATGACATAGAGATAATCACTGTTAATAATGATGGGTGTGTTTCTTTTCAGTCTTTTTCTAAGCATTTTCCTGAACCCTGTCCCCTAACAAAAGCACATCAAATACATGACTGAGTACCCATCCATATGTATCTGTTTTACATACATAATATATATGTATTAAAGGGGTATGGTATTATAATATTATTTCACAATTTGTCCTGTTTTTAAGAACAGTCTTCTTTAAAAAATCTTCAAAATTATAATTTTAGTAACAGTAAAATATCCCACATTTTATCAAAATTTATAAAAGGTTCCTTATTATTTTGTTTCCCATTATCATGTTACAAATAACAATATGATAAACACATCATTCATAAATCTTAGCTCTGTAAAAATAACCTAACTATAATCTACATCTACCTTCAAGAACAAAGTAAAAGGGTTCAGCTCCCCACTTTCCAATCTGTACACTTACTGCTACTATCATTGTTTGACTTCAGACAACACATTCTTTATTTCACTGTCCTTCTTCTTTTTTGATAATTTGCATTAAAAAGTTTATTAACCCCTAAGTACTTTAATTCCTTTTGTCATGTCACAGAAAGAATTGAAAATTATATATTTTTAAATAGACACAATCACATTGAAATATTATGCATTCTTGACGACCTCTCACCCTCATGCCTCTATATATGACTGATATTTGGCCAATTCCTCATTTTTTAAAATATATGAGGTGTCAACCCCTCCAAGAAGCCAGATTGATTAAAATTTATTTTATATTTGCACGACCCCCATTCCTTGAGCACCTCTCCATTGTAGCATATTGTGTTAAAATTAATGTATTTACATGTCTCTTCCCATCTAAGATTATAACTCTTATGAAGGCAAATAATGTATCTGTTTCTTCTTTGTACCCTTAGCACCTAATGCCATATGACACATAATTATTTATTAATGAGAGTTGAAACAAACATTTGAACTAAAATATTATGGGCATGCTATGGAGGTATAATTTTTTCTAATCTATCTACATTTTATAATGCGGTGTTCCATCTTTGATCATACTAACAAAACCTAAAATTAAATCAAATGCATTCAAAATATGCTTGTGCAACATGAAGACCCCTTATGTATGACACACAAATCTTTAAAAAATAAATGAAATTTTGAAAAGAAGTTCGCAAAAACCGTTGCCCCCACTTCAAAGAAAAGAGTGCCCACCTAAAAAGATAAAGACAAATATTATCACATGTGCTTACATAACTCAAAACTTACAAGTGTATATTAGAATCATTCCTCTTCTATTAATAGGATGATTGAGATTATTATTAAGAAGTTTAAAACAAAATCCAGCTGATTACAGAAATGGAAAAAAGTAAAATCATATTTATTATATGTTTATTACATAACAGATATAAGAAACACTTTAGGCTAATTGTATCATTTTAATGCCTCCACAACCCCTGTGATTATTGTTAATAAATTCATTTTATATCTTAGGTAGCTTCTCCAGGATTCCACGGATAGCAAGTGACAGACTCATACTTCAAACCCAGGAAGGTCCAATTTCAAAGTCACGATCCCCCCAACTGCCTCACAGTGTAATAACACCTAGGAAATGTTCTAGTTTTCAGTTCATTACCAGAAATATCATTTTCTGGAATATCAGGAGAAAAGAGTGGTAATGACTAACAGCAGGCTCGAGGTTGAAGCTGCACATCCATGGGAAACTGAGATTATTTGCATTGTGCTATGTTTGATTAAGTCCCTGCCAAATGTCATGCCAAAGCCTTGACACAACAGAGATTTGTGCCTGGAGCCATTCATTCCCTGTCTGGCAGTGCACGTCAGCTGGCTTATTTTCTTTGGATATTCTAAAGTCACATTAGTCTCTTTACAGATATGGAAAATGACCAAAAAATTATATGAAAAAGAGTGGCAAAAAAAATATCTGGGAGAGTTTTCAATTTTATTATCTCAGAAAATTATTAACATACGCATTTATAGGAGGCTTTCTTCTTCCATATGAGTAACACTGCAGAAAACATAGAGTATGTTTTGGGCCAAATAAAAAATATGAGTATGTACATATAACCGTATTTCCCCAAGCATTACGTTTGCATGAGATAGAACAGGCATCAATTACTAATGATAGTATATATGCCTACATTTTTCTGATAACCTCAAACCAAGGATGCCCAACTTTTATTTCAATGTAAAATTACTCTAATACAGGGAAAAATAAAGAACAGTGACTCATCAAGTCATGTGTGGGGCTGGAAGAACCTTGAATAGGATAGCTGATGTAGAGAAGTTTTAGAGAAACCCTTGTCAGACATTGTGAATCTATTCAATATTTAAATATATCTACAAAAATGATAACTAACCTTCTCCCACTACCTAATCCTGAAGCTTACGTAAATTCTTTTATTCGTTTATTTATTTTTGAGACGGAGTCTCGCTCTGTCGCCCAGGCTGGAGTGCAGTGGCATGATCTCGGCTCACTGCAAGCTTCACCTCCTGGGTTCACGCCATTCTCCTGCCACTGCCTCCTGAGTAGCTGGGACTACAGGCACCCACCACCACCCCTGGCTAATTTTTTTTTTATTTTTAGTAGAGACGGGGTTTCACCGTGTTAGCCAGGATGGTCTCGATCTCCTGACCTCGTGATCCGCCCGCCTCAGCCTCCCAAAGTGCTGGGATTACAGGCGTGAGCCACCGCGCCCAGCCCGTAAATTCTTTATATGTTAGTTCAAGCAATTTTTCTCTTGTTAATTTCTCTTTAGAGAAGCCGTGATAATTAATAGCTCCTGTATGTGATATTTATTTTGTCAGTTGTCATCCTCCTTCACGACTGTCCTCAGGAATCTTAGTTCCCTTACTCAGTACTCACAGGTTTTCCTCTATGTAACGTTTATTCATCTTATACATTTTCTTTTCAACTCTCTTTTATAACTCAGTTATAGCTCATGATCTTTTCAATAATCTTTAATAACATCTTTTTTCATGATAGCATTCCAGTTTGAAATAACAGGCATTGTGTATTAACCTTGAACTATCCCCCCTATCTTTCATGTAGTACGTTTATATACTGTTTACTGAGCTGTTAATGTGTTTATTTTCCTAATTCCTTCCTCTTTTTAAATTGGTTTTAATTCTAAATGTATTTCTCTATTTGTTCCCCCAAAACCTAGATACTTTTAGGTAGTTCTTGCCTGATAATTTAATTTACATATGTCCTATTTCAATAATTTCATCTTCAGAGTCATTAAAGACATGTTAAACATCTTTCATCAACCTTTGAATAGTTCCATTATTTAACTTGCAAGAGCATTAGTGTTAACAGTTCTTTTAATATAGATTTTATGGATTAAGGCTTTCTGTACCCAGGCAATGGTATATATTTGATAGCCAGAATTCTAATTCTGATGTTTTCTCACTATTACATATTACCAGACAAAAAGTGCATGTCCCATGATACCGTATTTCCAAGCATGCAACAGTAATATAATTATTGTCATAATATTTTTATACTTCATTTATGGAGAAATTTTAAAATATATTTTAAATATACTCACCTTTGTCCAAGGCACATTCTGCTGTGGTCTCAGGACAGAAACCTAATATAAAAGAAAGAATATTTCTATTAATATACTTAGTAAATGCATAGATTGAGAAATACCAATATATAAAACTAAAATAAGAACAAATTTTAAAACTCCATCATTGCTCATATTGTGTATCTTCCCATTAATTTCAAAAAGATGTCTTATCTTTTTTTTTTAATTAAAGCACATTAAGACAAAAAAGACAGAATGCAAATACTCTGTAATACTTCATAATTTGAACCCAAAGGACTTCTGTTCCTTTATGTCTTAAAATAAACTTTCCAGGAAAAAATTATAGAAAGAAAGAACATATACAGATATCAATTTTATGCAAAAAATCAAACATCGCTTTTCAAAAATGCTACATGAATTATTAGATTTAAATCAGAAAGATGAAGCAGGTTAAATAGATTTTATAATAAAAGCATTATAATGTTTGTTCATCAAAAAGTGGCAGTGAAGCACTCATTAAAGTTAACAGAGATAGACTTTTATAGTAATAATGTTTCAAAAACTTTCAGGCAGTGCATCTAGAATGAAGGCACAGATAATAGATTTAAATATGTTCTAATGAACTTGAGTACTTTAAACATCAAAAGAGAAAATAGAATTGCTGAGTTGAAGCACCAAATTTCTATTATTTCTAGCTTATTATTCTATCAGATGCAGTGTCACATTTCTAAATATGTTCAGAAACTCATCTACCTAAAGGCACAGATTATCTAAATCTGAGAACTCACATTGCAAATGTGATAAATCTAATTATAAGAATTTCAATTAAATGTAGAAGGAAAAAATCACTTTGTTCATATGTTCTGGCATTCTATCTGCCTAAAATTTCCAGAAAAAATCTATTTATCTTGTGATCTCTACCACTATTTTGGAGTAAAATTTTTTGCTATGAATGAAAAATAACACCCTAAAAAAATAGAAGTATAAGCAATTTTCTTCCATATTTAATATTCTCAAACTCAAAGAATTTCAGTTCTAGAAGAAACCTAACTGGACCATCCAGTAAACTGGATTCAGACTTATGATTTAAGGGATTGGTTGTTATTGTTATATGAAGATGTCTATGGAGCTACTGGGTGATGGAAGGAAATCAGGTTACTGTGTGTTCTAGAATGCTCCGTAAGCTATCATCGAAACAGCACAAAATACAAGTGCATCCATACATACACCATCACTTAGATCATATAATAATTAGCAACAGGATGTTGTTGCTTAAAATACATTTATGCTTGTGGTTTTATACATATATAAAATCCCCTAGGCCAACTTCTTTATTTGATGGCCAAAACTAGTCTTTTTCACACCTTCTAGATTTTATTTGAATCTTGGTTCCTTGGATAGCTAATCAGCCAACGCTGTAGACTACTTACATACCCTCTCTGAGACTTGAATTTTCATGTACAATGAAGCAGTTGTAAAGATTAAATGAGTCATTACAAATAAATTGCTTAGAACAGTTTTTGGGACATAGTGACTAATAAATGTTAGCTATTAAAACTATTAACATTTGAAAAGTAAAATATTAAATAATTTTGATATTTTAAATATACTTATGTCTTATTCATAAATGATATTTCTACTCTACCACCCGTCAGTGTAAAAACCTTAGCTTATGTTTCATTTCTTCTCTTATTATGTTCAAATTAATTGAGAAACACAAGTATGGATGATAAACTTTATTCATGAATTTTACATCAGAGAAATCAAAGTAAAAATGGCAGTACTTTTTTTTTGGCAGGGACGAAATGAGGCATTTTAAATTCTTCCTAATAGCTATAATTTTATGTTCTATGCTTACATGCAGTCTGGCATGACTAGAGAAACAGAAAACCTCCTTAAATGACAAGGAAACAAAGTTTTCCACAGGTCACATAAGAATCCAATTGTCTAATAGCCATGAAAACAAAAGTATGGGGTAAAGGGATTGCTTAAACCTCTGAATAGTCAGCATTACTGCCAGGCTATGATGAATTTATCACAGAGAAACGTGGTACGAACGTAATCAGGGTTGAGCTTAAAGAGTAAACAGACAAACTTCAGTTTGTAACATGCACATCTCTCTAGCCATTAGGAATAGCTTCGGCATTATAATCGGATTAAGGTTACTTGTTCTGATTTTTCTGATAGGCACATACACCCTAGGATGGGAATAAGTTATAGAACGAAGGAAAGGAGGAGGCATATTTACTATTTAAGATTGGTTTAATTTAACTTTAATATAGGCTAATATTAGGAGGAAATAAGACTTCAGAAGACAAAAAGAAAAAATGAACAAAATAACAACAAGGAAAGAAGAAAAATAAAACGACTATGAGCTTAATAAGAAAAGTTCTGAAAGTCAAGCTTACAGGGTGGACGATATATTTTGTAAACTACATTTTAACCAGAAGCCCTTTTATACACTGGTGGTGTCAAGCTTACAGGGTGGACAAGATATTTTGTAAACTATGTTTTAACCAGAAGCCCTTTTTTTTTTTTTTTTTTTTTTTTTTGAGATGGAGTCTCACTGTGTCACCTAGGCTGGAGTGCAGTGGTGCAATCTCCGCTCACTGCAAGCTCCGCCTCCCGGGTTCACACCATTCTCCTGCCTCAGCCTCCCGAGCAGCTGGGACTACAGGTGCCCGCCACCACACCCGGCTAATTTTTTGTATTTTTTAGTAGAGACGAGGTTTCACCGTGTTAGCCAGGATGGGCTCGATCTCCTGACCTCGTGATCCGCTTGCCTTGGCCTCCCAAAGTGCTGGGATTACAGGCTTGAGCCACCGTGCCCGGCCACCAGAAGCCCTTTTATACACATGTGCAGAACTTGCAGGTTTGTTACACAGGTATATATGTGCCATGGTGGTTTGCTGCACCCATCAACCCATCATCTACATTAGGTATTTCTCCTAATGCTATCCCTCCCCTAGCCCCCCACCCACCAACAGGCCCCGGTGTGTGATGTTCCCCTCCCTGTGTCCATGTGTTCTCATTGTTCAACTCCCACTTACAAGTGAGAACATGTGGTGTCTGGTTTTCTGTTCCTGTATTAGTTTTCTGAGAATGACGGTTTCCAGCTTCATCCATGTCCCTGCAAAGGACATGAACTCATTCTTTTTATGGCTGCATAGTATTCCATGGTGTATATGTGCCACATTTTCTTTATCCAGTCTATCACTGATGGGCATTTGGGTTGGTCCCAAGTCTTTGCTATTGTGAACAGTGCTGCAATAAACATTCATGTGCATGTGACTTTATAGTAGAATAATTTATAATCCTTGGAGTATATATCCAGTAATGAGATTGCTGGGTCAAATGGTACTTCTAGTTCTAGATCCTTGAGGAATCGCCACACTGTCTTCCACAATGGTTGAACTAATTTACACTCACACCAAAAGTGTAAAAGCGTTCCTATTTCTCCACATACTTTCCAGAATCTGTAGTTTCCTGACTTTTTAATGATTGCCATTCTTACAGCGTGAGAGAAATTTTATATTACATCACAATTTAACAAGTAACAACCAAAGTCACTTTTAAGAAAAATACGGTGGTTTAATCTTACTTTTTTTAAAATTTACACCAAAATAACAACTGAACTTCCATAAGCAAAACTAAGATACATTTGTATTGGTATTAGTTATATAAAGATGCAATATGTTCAGTGCCTTGAAATAAAACTAATCCTTGAACACAGTATTATTTTTTGTCACCATTTAATGTAATCTAAAGTGAAATTTTCCACTATTCTCATTCTGCTTGTTTTCAAATGTCTCATTCCTATCATAATACTCAGAGTACTTAACCTGTAAAATATGAATGTTTTCTTAATATTGATTTAGTGATGCTGACAACATAAAAAACAGGCCATGTTTGTTTGTTGATTGCTTCCAAGTATATTCACTGCACAGGTTGAAAATCTGGAGAAAAAAATAATTCCATAAAACAGTTCATTAATTACAGATGGATTTCTAGAGCCAAAGAAGTATATTGATGAAATGAGAAGAGGAAGGGTAGGAGGTGAGGGGAATTTTGTTTTTGTTGCTGTTATTTTACAGTTACTGTGCTTTAAAAGAGAGGTCTATATTTAGAGCCTACTTGGAAATGGTCAAATATGCACAGTAATGCAGTATCATTAGAACTACAAATCTTTCCTGTGTTTTGACTACAATAAGAGGTATTCTTACAAAAGCAGATGGAAGTCAACAATTATTACTTCACCAGAGCAGAATCACTATTTTACTCCAAAACAAATTAAATGATCATCACAATGATTTATGCACCTTATGCCCAATCTGAATGTTGTAAAGTTGCTCAAGATTATGTTCTTTTTCCCACCTTTATTAACTATTAGTATCTAATAAATTTGACTACATAATATATCTATATAATTTCCAGAGATACACATAGAGTCAATGTTTTATATCATTTCTCATCACTGTCTATTTCTTTTAAGGTATCTGATAGTTAACACATTCATAAGTGTGTGTATATATAAGCTGCATTTAAAAAACATATTTCCAAACCTAATTCATATTCTGAAGTACATAATTATTTTATGTCATTTGTGGTCAAAATTCGATGTATCCATCTTGTTACTGTAATGGAACCAACCATGTCACACATGACAAGTTTATAACCATAAGAAGTTGAGCTTATCGTGGAAGCCTTTCTCTCAGTTGTATCATTGTTTCCCTGTCAAAGCTGTCAGAAGATCATAAGGATAGGCAGCAGAGTTACTCCACATCACCTTATTTAAATGTTAAGCCTTTAAAATAACTTACTTTTTTCAACCTATCTTGGAGGAACTTTTAACTTCATTTTAAATTCCCTACTGACATACAACCCAATTTCAAGAGCATACATCCCTACTGATGTGTGACGTTTCAATGACATTCTGTATTCCAAAGAAAGATGCTCTATACAGTGTGTAAACCGAATTTAAGAAATCAAATAAAATTATTATTAAATCCAATGTCTTTGTATCTGCTTAAACCAGATGTGTTGTAAACAGAATGACTTCAAAATAAATCCAGAACAATAAGTGTGCAACATATTTTACTCTCATAAAAGACAGTAATGATGCCATAATAATTAGTGAATAAACAGATAAGCATCATTGTTTATTTGTATTACATTTTAAGAAGAAACTAGAAATTTCAACATATTGGTGTTATGCGCTGAATTGTGTCCCATAAAATTCCTGTGTTGAAGTCCTAACCCCCAGTACCTCAGAGTATAAGTGTATTTAGAGATAGGATATTTTAAAGGGTCATTAAGTTAAAATAATGCCATTAGTTTGAGCCCTAATCCAATGTGACTGGTGTCCTTAAAGAGGAGGATGCTAGAACACAGCGAGAGATACACAGAAGACAGACCACATGAAGACACAGAGAAGACGGCCATCTACGAGACAAGGAGAAAGACTCTCAGAAGAAATTAACCTTGCTGATAGCTTGGTCTTGAACTTTTAGCCTACAAAATCATGAAAACATACATTTCTGTGGTTTAAGCTACCCAGGGTGTGGTACTTTTCTATGGCAGTTCTAGTAAACTAATACAACTGATAATTTCCAGTTAGAGTGTAGCTTTACACAAATATGCGACGGGTAAATTTTATCCTTAGTGTTCTTGCATTTTACATTTAACATTTATCTCTCACGGGCTCATATAATAGAAGCTCTCTTGATATTCCTAGGTTTCAAAGGGTTGTCCATCAGTGGACACAAGCTTCTCTTTCCTGCTCTGCAAATGCCTTCTAAAGCAATCTATTGACCTGAAGATTGTCTATCACAAACACTTTAGTTACTGAGAATAGCTTAGTATATATCTGTCTCTGATGATATCTGTCTATATAAAGTAAATATTATCTTTTTTCATATAGCAAGTCTTTCACATTGTTTTGATAGTAATGAGCAGGTGTGATAAAATTGCCATCTTCACTCATTGCTGGTGGCACTATAAATTGAAAAGCAATTTACAAGCTTGCATCAAAGTCTTAAAAAATATTTGCTCCCTTTTACTCAGTTATTTCACTTCTAGGAATCTCTCAAAACGACACATTCACGTATGCTGACAAACATTGATGTATTCTGATCATCCATTTCAGTACTATTTATGCTAGTCCCCTTCTTTCTAAAAAAGGAAATAAGCTAAATGCCTTATCATAGAATAAACAAACTGTAGTATTCCCATAGCACATAGGAAATATTGTGCTTTTATTTGTAAACCATGTTTTCAAAGATAACTTACTGTCATATGAATATCAAGTGAATTTTATGGTTTTAGATGAAGAGATAAGTGTATAAAAAGATCTCATTGGGTTAAACTATATTAATACAAGAAAATCAAGAATTCCCTTTAATGTAAACCTCCTTTCCCTCCTCATCCCCCCAAATGAATAGTTTCTTTTTATAAATCAGAGTAAAACACTCAGAATAAAGAAGGATATATGCCTTACAAGGGTTTTTCAGCACAGTTCTCCATCCTCTTAGGAAGCCCAGGGAGAAGAATGTTTCTTCCCACAGTTATAATATATGAATACAATGTGGTAACTGCTTCACTCTTGAAGTCTCCTGCTTCTCTCTAATATATACATGATGATTGACAGTGATGACATCCAATTAAAACTTCCCCTTTCTCATTTGGAGGATCAAAAGGTAATCTTCCTTAATTCTCTAAGAGAGGTATTATAGAATATCTCATGACATAAGACATAAAGAATAAAGAGTATTCCATCCTCTGCTCCATTCCCTCATTATAAGGTACATACACTGCTATATTAGAATGAAACAGTCTAAGCCTTGTTGTACCATGATCTCCAAGTGAGAGTTTAGCAAATTCATATTTTTACAAATAAAGAAAGCATTGTAAAAGGCACCTGGTCATGAATGCCAATTTATGCTGCTGAAGCAAGACTGATACCAGGTTGCCTGGAACATTCCAACATCCAATTCTTTTATAAACTGTGAAGACAGGTGCAAGGCCCTTTTGGTATACTCTACCCACAGAAATCTTGGGGAAAAAAAAAGATAAGCACTGTTCTTAGTGGTTATCTCTGAGTTGTGATTTTCTTTATTCTGCATCTTTAAATTATTTTTCCACCATAATATTATATTGCCTGTACAGGCAATGTCAATGTTTTATTCCAGAGGAGTGAAGTGTTAATCTCCTATTCTACAAACATGAAAAATAGGCTGGACTCATGCAGGTAAGTGGACATCTACTCTGCCTTTGCACTAAGGTCTGCCTTGTTCAAGTCATAGTGCTCAAAATGAGTTATACTGACAATGCTAAGGATATCGGAATCAAGAGTTCCAGGTCACAGTGTGCCCCGCAGCTAGAAATGATGAATCTTCAGGTGCTACTTGGCTCTTCAAGATCATTAAAACACATGGAGTTTGATTTTAATTTGTATCATCCTAGAGGACTTTTTATCTAAAATTCAAATTTCCTAAATTTAGAATTTTGGGGGCTAAGAGAATATTGATACATATTTACATACATTCACATTTTAAGATGTATTTTACTATCTAAACAACAGTGCACTGGTGAAAGTGCAAAATCCTTTTAACACAGTGGATAGGGTGATGATTTGGGCTCAGGGTCCAAGGGTTCAAGCACGAGGTTCCATCATTTATTAACCTATGTTCTTTAAGAAATCACTTGTCCTTACTAGGAATTGTAGTTGTCTGATTAATCTCATAGTGAATACCATCAACTTCAACAGCCAGCTAAGGCCACCAGCCTAAATAAATATCTGTACCTATAAAACATTCTTTCTATATATGAGCTACTAGTTCTATTCATCAGGCATTGAGCTCTTTAGTTTGAAGGATCCATTATACTTTTAAATGTGATGTAGGCATTCATATAGAAGCCTTGAGGGAGTTATTTTTTTAAAAAAGATTCTAAGTAAATGCTAATCATTACAGTGTGTCATAGCCTTAACATATTTCTTTTGTCTCCGTTTTGTTAACATATTGTAAACCTGGCAGTCTCCAGGAGGGTTAATCGTTATATTCTTTTGCTGTTTTATGCATGATAGTACCTCATAAATGCCTGATCTTCAAAACAATCATAAGCTACAGCAACAGAAAACAAAGTAATAATGGAATTAATGTGGAGTAATGGCAGCTCTGACATTATGCTGGGTTGTACATCATTATCGAAATGTAGCATTAGTACCTGAAAAGGAGACAAGATGAAGGAAGTAAGTCCCTCATTATTTCTGAGAGCTAAACTTGAGCACCAGTTTGGAGAGTCGAATGCTCCATTATCATCAGTCTGTAACAGGCATTTACGTATCTGTCACCCCACAAGTTCATCAACTAATTGCATTAATAATCGAATCCCATTTTCCTGTGTCTTTTTAATTTTAACCACAGAGAATTTTATCCATGAAGGTCACTTGTTTTATTGTACTGCTAACACAGACATATCACCATTAATACTTGAGTTAAAATATTTCTCTGAAGCTGAAGGGCTGGTTCCTTGTGAATTTTAATCTACGGGTTTTAAGAAGGAGGAGATCAGGGTCCTAAATTCTTGTTTAGTCAGAATCTCTCCATCTTTGGGCAAGTTATTTAACCTGTTTGACCTCATTTCCCTCATCATAGAATAAAATAATTAGAATTACAATCAAATAATTAATTCACCTCTGTATTTCTAGGATTTTACACCTAAACTTTCTTCTGGAGAGAAGAGTAGTAGATAAAAGATTCATGCAGCATTCAGAGGCTAGAATTCCTAATTGATCTCCCCACCTTCAATTTTATCTTCATCCAATCTCCCTTTCATTCTATTATAGGGAGATTACTAAAAAGCGAATTCTTGGCTGGTTGCGGTGGCTCACGCCTGTAATCCCAGCACTTTGGGAGGCCAAGGCGGGTGGATCACGAGGTCAGGAGACTGAGACCATCCTGGCTAACACGGTGAAACCCAGTCTCTACTGAAAATAGAAAACAAACAAACAAAAAAATAGCCGGGCATGGTGGCGGACGCCTGCAGTCCCAGCTACTTGGGAGGCTGAGGCAGGAGAATGGTGTGAACCAGGGAGGCGGAGCTTGCAGTGAGCCAAGATCGGGCCACTGCCTCCAGCCTGGGCAACAGAGCAAGACTCTGTCTCAAAAAAAAAAAAAAAAAAAAAAAAAGCAAATCCTTTTTATGTCACTCCCACTAAAGTTCTTAAAGAGCTTCTCATCACCTAGGTTAATATAAGCACTTTCTAGTAAAAGATTTCATCAAGTGAGTGACTCCTGCCTTGCTCAGCAGTCTTACATGCCCACATTTAGCCATGCCCACGTTCTGCTGGAGGAAAACTAAACCACTTGCTGTCCACTGAATATGTATGTTCTCTTTCATTTTTGAATGTTTAGATTCTATTCCTTGTTCTTGGAATACCCTTTTCCTGTTTATCCTCCTATCTAAAACTCTACTGAGGCTAATTCTTTCAGTACTAAGTTCATACCATCCCCCTTTCCATCTTTATCCTAGTCTTAGTTGTATGTTCCTAATTCCTCTTATATCTCTTGAACTCGTGTGCCATAACCCTTTCCTGCAATTGTTGCTTTACTGATCTGTATCTTCCATTATACTTATGAGCTTCCAGCCCTAATAAACTTTGCTTTTTGATTTTTCTCATCTAGCATCTAGCATAATGCCTGGCACACAACAGACACTGAGAAAACATCTGTTGAATGGATATGTGAAAAAATAAACAATATGATTCATAGTGTAATTTATTATTTGTTGCTCTTTTTGCATGTGTTGAATCCAAAATACGATCTACTCCCTTCTAGCTAACAAGAAAAAAAAGAACATGCTAGTTTAACAACCTAATCAGCCATTACATGTTAAAATGAAGATAGTGACTTTTACTAAACTTTTCCTTTACTTTAAAATTACTTTTTTTCAAAACCTTAAATTGAAAACAAAAGGAAGATCAATATAGTCTCATAAAGCACTATTTATATTCTCTTTCCAACAACTGCTCACTTCCACTTCATAGCACACCAGACAGCAAAGCCCATTCGTTAACTAGATAATAACCAGCTAATTTTACACACACATTTTCCAGTCAGTACATACTTTCTCCTGTCCTCTGGGTTGAAAGGCATAAATTCAGGGGATCAATTTTCTAGTCATTTACTAAAAATACCTTTTAAATTGAACATCCATGTGAGGACAGTCTGGGTACCACTGAAGAGTTGTTTTATAAACACATAGCTTGTCATGTACAACTTTACATTTTGAAACAGATATGCTAGTTGTTATGGCTAACATGTAATATAGTAAGAACACTGGAAAGTAAAAAATTAGAAACACTCTTACCTCTGGTCCTCAGATGTTCCTCAATAAAATGAAGTGATCAAAATACATTTTTAAAAACATTCTAAGTCCAGGATACTTATTTTGGAGGAGAAAAATCTTTCATAAATATCTGGTACCACTTTCCTCTGAAGCATCCCCAACACAAATAAAAATATGCACATACATGCACACACACACACACACACACACACACACCCCTAAATGTTTACGTGTCAAAAATAAATTCAACTATTTAAGATAAATATATAATTCCAGCTAGGTGTGGTGGCTAATGCTTGTAATCCCAGCCATTTGGGAGGCCGAGGTAGGTGGATCACTTGAGCCCAAGAGTTTGAGACCAGCCTAGAGAACATGAAAAAACCCTGCCTTTAAAGAAGAAAACACAAAATTTAGCCAGTTATGGTGGCACATGCCTGTTGTCCCAGCTACTCAAGAGCCGGAGGTGGGAGAATTGCTTGAGCCAGGAGGTCAAGTTTCCAGTGAGCCATCATCACATCACTGCACTGTAGTGTGCGCAACAGAGTGAGCCTCTATCTCAACAACAAAAACAAAAAAGTTAAATAAATAACTCTGGAAACATGTTGATATTGTATACTAATATTAAAGAAGGTTTTAATGGTTTTTTTTGTAAAATGCATTATAATCAGTAAAATGCATAAATTGTAAATTTCTATAAAGAGAATTAGAGTACCATCAGGTGAAAACATCATACCCTTCAACACAATTACCCCAAATGGGTTTATACATGAGTCATTGTCTATAATGCCATCTGAATAGCAGAAAGAAAATGCTAGAAAAGCATGGACAAAGAGGATATTCCAAGAATAGGACTAGCACTAGCTGTGATTCCTCAAGAAAGGCAGTGATAGAGAGGGGAGACAAGATGGCTGAAGAGACGCAGCTAGGAAGTGACACTCCCATTGAGAGAGATCCAGTTATTGACTAAACTACCATAATATGGGCAGATGTTTGGAAACAAAAAGCTGTGGTGGATGGAGAGGTGACATTGAAGGCAAGGCTGAAGAGGAAGGAAGTTAGGAACCCTGCACAGCATAAGGGAATGCTAGGGCTAGTTCCCAGCCCCGAATGGCTCCTGGGAGAGGGGTGAGTGCAGGAACTAAGGGATAACTCACTCTCTCTGTGGACCTCTAGGATCCTAGCTACAGGGTAAGCTGTGTCCTCCATGAATATGTGATCTGGCAGGGGGATTTCCCTGGGGAAAAGGCAGAGACAGGCCTTCAGGTGGTGTGTAGCACAGAAATGTTTGTGTGCTGGGCAGCTCCAGCAAAAAGTAGCCATAGACGCCCATCCCCGGGAACTCCCCGATTCCCGGAGGCATTGTTCTCAGCTGACCTCCGAGTCAGGAGAGGGCAAGACTGGCTTCCCCATGACTAAGGCATGTCTGTTTTGTAAGTCCTGCTGTCTGTCTGCCCCTCCCATGCTCCCTGTCTGCCCCCTCCTAGGGGCCACGCATAGCCACTCTGCAGGAACAGGTACACAGTGTAGCCTTAGCAGCCCAGCCTGAATGCTCTACGTTCATACACTCCTGGTGACCGAGAATTACATCAGATCCCCAAATACAGCTGGAACCTGACCTAGGCCATGTTCTGGTGCCTCCAGGCTATGGCACAAAGTATGGGAGTACAGAGTTATTCCTACAAAACAACCAAAGTCATTGTTCACAAAATTAGAAAAAAATTTCTAAAATTTATATGGAACCATAAAGAACCCCAATAGTAAAAGCAATCCTAAGTAAAAAGAACAAAGCCAGGGCATCACACTACCCAACTTCAAACTATAAAGCTATAGCAACCAAAATAGCATGATACTGGTACAAAAACAGAGACACAGACCAGTGAAACAGAATAGAAAACTCAAAGCCTCACACCTACAGCCATGTGATCTTTCATAAGACTGACAAAAAAAAAAAAAAAAAAAAAAAAAAGCAATGGGGAAAGGACTCCCTATTCAATAAATGATACTGCTAGCCACATGGAAAAGAATGAAATTAGGGTCTCACCTTTCACCATATACAAAAATTAACTTGAGATGTATTAATGATTTAAATGTAAGACTTCAAATTATAAAAATCCTAGAAGAAAACCTAGAAAATACACTTCCAGACATTGGCTTTGACAAAAAAAATTTGGCTAAGTTCTGAAAGCAATTACAACAAAAACAAAAACTGATAAGTGGCATGGGATAAACTAAACAGCTTCTGCACAGCGAAAGAAACTATCAACAGAATAAACAGACAACATGCAGAATGGGAGGAAATATTCACAACCTATGCATCCAACAAAGGTCTAATATCCGGAATGTATAAGAAACTTAAACAAATGCAACAAGCAAAAACCAAATAACTTTATTTAAAAAAATGGACAAAATATGTGAACAGACACTTCACAAAAGACAAACAGGCAGCCAAGAAACATATATAAAAAATGCTCAACATCATTAATCATCAGAAAAATGCCAATCAAAACCACAGTGAGATACCATTTTACACTAGTCAGAATGGCTATTATTAAAAAGTCAATAAACAACAGCTGGTAAGGCTATGGAGAAAAGGGAGCACCAACTTATATTCCTACCAACAAGGTTTAAGTGTTCCCTTTTCTCCACAGTCTTACCAGCTATGTAAATTAGTATGTAAATTAGTTCAGCCACTTGGGGAAAGCAGTTTGGAGGTTTCTCAAAAAACTTAAAATAGAGCTACCATTCAACCCAGCAATCCCATTACTGGGTATATACCCCAAAGAAAATAGGTCATTATGCCAAAAAGACACATACGCTCATATGTTCATCATTGTGTCATTCATCATAGCGAAGACGACATGGAATCAGCCTAGGTGTCCATCAGTGGATTGGATTTCTTTTTTTAAAGAGATACATATACACCATGGAATAATATGCAGCCATTAAAAGGTAGGAAATCACATTCTTTGGAGCAGTATGGATGGAGCTGGAGACCATAATCCTGAGTTAACACAGAACAAGAAAGCCAAATATTGCGTATTCTCACTTATAAGTGGGAGCTAAACATTGAACACACATCAACATAAACATGAGAACAATAGACACTGCAGATTCCAAGAGGGGTCAGTGAGGGAGGGGAGCATGATTTGAAAAACTACCACTGGGTGCTGTGCTTACTACCTGAGTGCAATATACCCATGTAACAAATCTGCATATGTACCCCTGTATTTAAAATAAAAGTTGAAATTTTAAAATTAAAAAAATAAAAGCAATTAAAACAATACCCAATTTTCAAATGGGCAAAGCATCTGAACAGACATCTCACCAAAGAAGATATATAGATAACAAATATGCATATGAAAAGATGCTGATCATATATCATTGGTAACAAAGAGTTACCACCAAATGTTAGCAAACACAGAATAACAAGGACTCTTATTAATTGCTGGTATAATAATGCAAAAATGGCACAGGCACTTTGGAAGACAGTTTGGTGATTTCTTACAAAGCTAAATGATATGATTTAACCATCACACACCTAGGTATTTATCAGAATGATTAGAAAATTTAAGTCCTGACAAGAACCTGTGCATTAATATTTAGAGCAGCCTTATTCATAATTCTCACAAACTGGAAGCAACTAAAATATCCATGAAAACAGTAGTTTATAAACAAACTCTGATACATCCACATAGTGGAATACTATTCATTGATAAAATGATATCAACTATCAAGCCAAGACAAAGCATGGAGGAACCTGAATAACAAATGACTGAGTGAAAGAGGCCAGTCTAGAAAATCTGTGCACTGTATATTCCAAGTGTATGACTTTCTGTAATAAGCAAAGCTATACAACATAAAGATCAGTGATGGCCAGGGGTTGGCAGGGAGGGTGGAGACCGAGGAACAAATAGGAGGAGCACAGGGGGTTTTCAGGGCAGTGAAACTATTCTGCTTGATGCTTTCATGGTGGACATTAGGTATTAGTCAAAACCCATAGAATGTACAAGAACAACAGTGAGCCCAGATGTAAGCTATGGAATTCAGTTAATAATAATGCAGCAACAGTGGTTCATCAGGGGTAACAAATATATCAAAGTAAAGATGTCAATAATGGGTTTAACTGACAGTGGGAAGAGGGAATTCCTTGTTATAAACTCAATATTTTGTACATCTAACACTGTTCTAAAAATACACAAGTAATTTAAAATAATTTAATAGTATATATGATTTTATAAACATTCGATAAAAATACGCAAAAATGCTCAAGTTAAATGCTATGTAATGGGAAAAAAAGAAAGACAACGGTGACATTGGAAGAAGGAAATCTAGTCAAATTTAATCAAATCAGTAAGATCTAATTGACCAATAATATACAGTTGCCTAATTGAAGTATCAGGTGTGGCTATTTGAAGACATGTGAAGGCATGTAACACAGGAAGTCTGAAGCACCAAGCACACTGAAATACAGTAGGTGCTCAACAAGTGTTTCCTTTCCCTGAATTATGCTGAAACTTTTGGAGTTTAGCCTTAATGAACTTTACAACTTTCTCGAAAAGACTATTCTCTCTCTATCCAGTAGGTTTTTACACAATCCGATTTGCTAAGTCCCATCTCCCTCTATTATCTTTTGACTAACATTTTTTGTCTGGACTCATATTTTTTTTTTTTTTAGACGGAGTCTCGCTCTGTCGCCCAGGCTGGAGTGCAGTGGCGCAATCTCGGCTCGCTGCAAGCTCCGCCTCCCGAGTTCACGCCATTCTCCTGCCTCAGCCTCCCAAGTAGCTGGGACTACAGGCGCCCACTACCACGCCCGGCTAATTTTATGTATTTTTAGTAGAGGTGGGGTTTCACCGTGTTAACCAGGATGGTCTCGATCTCCTGACCTTATGATCTGCCGTCTCAGCCTCCCAAAGTGCTGGGATTACAGGCGTGAGCCACCGCACCCGGCCTTTGGACTCAATTTTGATACCTTTCTCCAGAAGTATTCTTTGACTCCCGGTGGTTGCTTGGTTTCTTTTTCCAGAAATTTTCATAATATCCTACAGTCATCTCAACACAGTGTGTATATGTATGCATGAACATGGTCAGTATCTCAGTAAACACTCCCTGGATGTCATAAGATATACTGTCTTACAGGTACCTCTAAGTCCTAATTTAAATTATAATTTAAAATGCCGATGAGATTAAGATTTTCTAAGAATTCCTAACCCCTTAAAGTTACTAATCACAATGTCTATTGCTATGATTGTTCATTGATTGACAGTCTGTCAATTGGAGGAACACATTTGCATCTTTAAATGATTATTGAGAATCATAGACTAATTGAGGTATGTTACCAACTGATTAACTGAGGAAAGAATATTTTCTAAACATTTAACAGATGAGGAAACCCTAGGTTGTGATAAATTAAGAAACATAAAACTGGACTCCCTCAACTTTGAACTCCCTGCCCAGTAATCCTTTGACTTAACCATGCTGTTCCTGGGGAAAAATTATTGCAATGAGTATAGATAGCTCTGAGTTATTTATGTGGAAGACAAAAGAAGGAAACAAAAGGTTATGTGGGACCTTCTTAATTATAACATTCTCTCAAGTCCTCACAGTTATTATAATAAAACTCCAGTGTATAACAAGTTATCGAAATTTGAAATCAGCATGGTATTCTGAATACTCAGGAAACCCACAAAACGAAAGTTCATCTTACTGTTTTGTGATTGGATACATCTGCTTCCTTGGAATTTGTCTAATGCTATTCTTCCAGTACTTTATAAATACATGTTGACTGACTTATTTTGTATTTTAAGATATCTGGATAGATAAGCCCAAATTATGAAGTCATATAATCTAAATACATGAAAGTAACCAAATCATCATGGAATTTATTATTCTGCCTTTATATGTATGTTTAATTATCTTGTTTAAATTCTTCCAAGATTATCAGTGATTTTCATTCCTTGACAATTAAAAAAAGACTAATGTTGAAACTTTTCTCCCACGCAACAGTAATTCTTAAAGTTTATTTAGAAAAGTAAAGCTGTTTGTTTTTGATTCTGTGCATATTTGCTATCCTCAAATGATTTTCCCCATTATAGGAGATGTGCATTTGTATATTTTTTTACCAAGGTTTTAAAGTGAGCGTATTATACAGTGCAGTGAGGAAAATTTCCAATTTCTTTCTTGCATGAAATATCTGAGCTAATAATTGGACTAGGAGAAGTAGAATCTTTCTTTTCATTAGACTTCTCTTTTCAACAAAAGCTTTGTTAGCCTACTGAATCATGACAAGTAATCCTTTATATGCTGGGGTACACTGTTCTTCCTGATGAACTTACAAATTAAAATGTAATGTGAAACGATGGCACTGGGAATACTGAGGAATAGCCACTGATGTGGGAAGAGATCTATAATTAAACCAAGATGTACATTTTAATTATAATTTTATCAAACTGATAATACAGAATAAAATACAGTTGGAGAAATCCAAGGAAGTCATAATAAAGAGCACAAGAACGCTACTTTGTACCCCTTGTTGTCTCCTCTACCTTCTTTTGCCAGTTCCTCCCCTCCCAAGCCTTATTTTAATATATCTTGCCAAAGATTAGAAAGCAATCAAGTGATTTTTCACCACCTTTATCCCAGGCTAAGGTAATTATTCATCTGTTTTTCTCTCCTGCTTCGTTTTTTTTTTTTTTTTTTAATTAAACTTGGTTTGCTCAAGAGTAAAATGAACCACAGTACTTATCAGCTCAGTGCATACGCAAGTGATACTGAAGGCAACTGCCAGAGAC
This sequence comes from Homo sapiens, assembly GCF_000001405.40. Lineage (NCBI taxonomy): Eukaryota > Metazoa > Chordata > Mammalia > Primates > Hominidae > Homo > Homo sapiens. Next base: position 9,783,930 of record NC_000009.12, read on the forward strand.
TAAAGCCATAGGTTAGCTGCAAATCCATTAGTGATTTTAAATAGTGGGGAAAAAATTCTTGGTGAGTCATGATAAAGCTGAACAATAACTGCAGAAGTCACAAAACATGAAAATGTAATTTGCATCAATATGTCGTCAGACAGATTTACAGAAAGCTAACACAAGTGCGAAAGATTTCCTATAAGATAAGCAAAGCCATATTTGCTGTTAATGTTTATAAAAGTATTTTTTAAATTATTCTTTGACATATAATGCATAGTTTTAAGGGTCATAGTTTAGGAAGAGCTGTACAAAGGATAAAGCTAACATATCTAAAAGATATTCTTCCCAACTGCAAAGCATTCATAAATCAGAGAAATACTTGGAATTTACTATGGAAAATTTTAAAGTGAATATTAAGAAAAAAATCTAGTGACGTAATTTTTATTTAACCTTGCAAGCTTTTTATGGCTTATTTACAATAAATAAGCTTTCAACCACAGCATCCACAATTATACTGAAGGAAAAAGATATTATTTTAAGTCATTCTAATCTCACATTCTAGAACTACAACTTATTTTACTACTTTCTTTTTCCTGTTTCACAAATTTCCTTCCAAAGCCATGGTAAACTTCCATAAGGGAGCTCTAAAGTCAAATCCATTAAGCCATCAAGGTACATCTTATTTCAAGATTTTTTAAATTAGCAGATCAATAACCTAGCAGACCATACTGACTCACTCAAAGCAATTACAAAGTATTTGTTCATTAGTGGAACTGTGCTAGCTTAAAATCTGAAGTGAAGTCCAGTGTCAAAATATATTGTCCATGTTTATTACCAGCATTTAAAATTTTATGTGTGTGTGTATATATAGATATATATATGTTTATATCTATATCATAAAACATATATTAGATATATGTATGATGTCTTAATAATGTATTATATATTATATATATACACACACACACGCACACACCTATACACACATATAATCTCTCCTACATTTTATCAACAAATTGTATATGGTTTGAGCAGGGTTTGCTATGTACAGGGTTTGGGTGAATATAACTGCTTTCACCAACACGGTTTAGCTAAAAACATGTTTTGGAAAAAAAAAACTCTAGTCCAACCTAGCTAGAGTCTTTAGAAAGAATGAAAGAAAAGTTTTATAAAATAAGTAGGAACAAAAATATGAAATTGTATATTTTTGTTTCTGCTCAATATTGATGGCAAATACTATTTTAAGTAACAAAAATCTTATTGTATAATAAATATAGAAAGGATCAGAAAAATACAAAATTGCCATTCAGGAAACACTACAGTAGTAATTATTGCAGGCAAGATTCGCAAGGGATACCAAAATTACTGGGTGAAGCAGGATATTTGCATAATCTCACAGTATCTCCTACAGTATATTTATTAGCTATGAAGGGAAAAACACTAAATTTATGGTGGAAAAACCTAGTACATGCTACTTTCTCATAGACAAAGTATATATCATTATCATGTACCTTGATATGATGTACTGAAAAGGACACAACATAGTTTCTGTAGTCTTTATGCCCAAAATTCAGAACCTTAGTCTAATCATTCATAAATATTACATAAACCAAAGTGAGAGGCATTCCGCAAAACAACTAAATGGTACTCATAAAATGTTTCAAGATAATGAAAGATAAAGAGAGATTTAGCAATGGTCACAGATCAGCAGAAACTAAGGAAATGGAGCATTTAAATGCAATTCGACATAGTAATTTGGGTGCTGGAACAGAAAAAGAATATTTGTTGAAAAACTAGTAAAATTCCAATAATGTCTCATATTAATTAATATTATAGTACCAGTGTTAATTATACAATTGTACAAATAAATTTTACAATGGCTATGTCAGTTGTTAACATTAGGGGAAGCTGGATATGGGGTACATACAAAAGGTACCATTTTTGCACAATTCCTGCTAGTCAATAATTATTCAAAAAAAATTCAAAGCCAATGCTTCAAGTAGGTCATGATGAAATGAAGGCAACATGCTCCAACATTTTCTTTGTAACCACTAAGTTATTTATTACCACTTTGCTAATGTTATAATTATTCACTATCCTGGTTTTTTCTCCAAATACAATGATGAGAATATATTACTTCTCCATATTTCATTATCAATAATACAAACCAATGGCCTAAGCCTGTTTTCTATTATTATATTTACCTAACCTAAAAATTTTTCATGTCTATTAGAGTATTTCATCAAATTCAAGACAAGCATTTATTGATTGCCATTATTTGCCATGCACTGAAGCAGCTGTAAGATGATTACATTTACCTGCATAAACTAATGAAAACTAGAAAAATTTACATCTTCTATGCCTACTCTAACCCATTATAAGTTAAAACTATTTTGAGAATTATTGATACATTTGCATGCATTTCATGGTTATATTCATGGTGGAAAACTTTATTAGCATCGAGAGAGTATCAAGAACCTGAAGAATTTTACTGTAATAGATTTGTATATAATGGTATGAGGTCATATAAGCATAAGAGTAAAATAAATTACCACATAATCAGCATTTTGTACCATAAATGCTAATACTGAAAACAGCATGTGAGAAACACAACAGAATGTTATAGGCACAGAAGTAAATCACAGTGGACATTCCCTTGCTGGTAGAAGCAAGACGAGGAGTACTTTAAAATCACTTGCAGGTGGCTGGGTCAAATGGTATTTCTAGATCTCGATCCTTGAGGAATCGCCACACTAATGTAAATGATCAGTTAATGGGTGCAGCACACCAACATGGCACATGTACACATACGTAACAAACCTGCATGTTGTGCACATGTACCCTAGAACTTAAAGTATAATAAAAAAAAATCACTTGCAGGTAAGTTGCACTCTAGAGATTCCCATCTTAATACTAATTTTTATTAACTTCATATTTTTACTTATAAAATTGGCTGGGCACAGTGGCTTACATCTGTCTTCCCAGCACTTTGGGAGGCCGAGGCAGGTGGATCAGGAGTTTTGAGACCAGCCTGGCCAAAAGGGCGAAACCCCATCTCTACTAAAGATTCAAAAAAATTAGCTTGTGTGGTGGTGTGCGCCTGAAGTCCCAACTACTTGGAAGTCTGAAGCATGATAATTGCTTGAACCCGGGCAGCGGAGGTTGCAGTGATCTGAGATCGCACCACTACACTCCAGCCTGGGCGACAGAGTGAAATTCCATCTCAATTTAATAAAAAAAAAATACATAAAAATGTTTAAAAATCAATTTTATTTCTCATTTAACTAGATTTTATAAAATATTTCATTAAAAAAAAAAGAACAAACAGTACTACACAACAGTGACACTCTCAGTAGTAAAATAGTTGGGTGGTAGAGAGTGCTACCTCACCAAGCTCAAAATCTTTGTCAGCTTCCAGGTAAAGGTCCAATTGGTTTATGATATATGATGACATATAACGCATTGACAAATATGTATCAAGATTCAGGAAGTGTTTATGTCAACTATGTAAAAAAAAAAAAAAAAGGCCAAATCCTTTACAGTCCAAAATTTAATTAATGTTACTTTTTTTCTGTCAATTTTCTTTTGTCACAGTTTAACTAATATACTCTCCTAAATACATCATTTCATAAAGCAAAGGAAGGGTAAAATAAGATTTCAGAAAAAGAAAAAGAAGATTGAGGAATGGAGAAAAACATACCAGGTAAAAGGGATTTGGGACACCCAATAAGGTGGATAAAGGAAAAGAGGATAAAATAATGCTACTACAAAAGGTCAGAGACCTGAGAAAGATTAAAGACACAAAAGAAATGACAAACAGTAGAAAAATTTGAATCTGAACAACGTATATCAATTTTTTATTTATTATTATTATTATTATTATTATTTGAGACAGTGTCTTGCTCTGTCTCCCAGGCTGGAGTGCAATGGCGTGATCTCGGCTCACTGCAACCTCCACCTCCCAGGTTCAAGAGATTCTCCTGCCTTAGCCTCCTAAGTAGCTGGGACTACAGGCGCCTGCCACCATGCCTGGCTAATTTTTTGTGTTTTTAGTAAAGACAGGATTTTGCCATTTTGACCAGGCTGGCCTCAAACTCCCGACTTAAGGTGATCCACCCCACCTCGGCCTCCCAAAGTGCTGGGATTACAGGCGTGAGCCATCGCGCCCAGCCTGTATACCACTTTTACAATCAGTAGACACTTGGGAAATACAAATAAATCATGAAGTTATAATTTTTCTAAAAATGTTTCTTTCCTTTTATTGTTTTATACACATATGAATGTACAGAGGACAAGCTCCTAGTCAAATTTTCTTTCACAAAAGGATGCCATGAAAAAAGATATAAAAATAGCTCTCTGGCCGGGCGCGGTGACTCACACCTGTAATCCCAGCACTTTGGGAGGCCGAGGTGGGTGGATCACGAAGTCAGGAGATCGAGACCATCCTGACTAACACGGTGAAACCCCGTCCCTACTAAAAATACAAAAAAATTACCCGGGCATGGTGGCAGGCGCCTGTAGTCCCAGCTGCTGGGGAGGCTGAGGCAGGAGAATGGCATGAACCCGGGAGGCAGAGCTTGCAGTGAGCCGAGATCGGGCCACGGCACTCCAGCCTGGGCAACAGTGAGAAGCTCCGTCTCAAAAAAAAAAAAAAGAAAGAAAAAAAAAAGAAAACTAAAACAGCTTTCTAAGGGGTGGTAATGGATTTTATTTAAATCCCGTAGACACAGTATATAATATTAATCTGATACAAAAGAAAAAAATGTTTAAAGGGGGAGAAGTAAAAAGAAAAGCCCAAATAGCCACCAGGTGAGCTCCAGGTGGTTATAACATTTTAGGAAATGTGATAACCAAATCTGGCCATATTTTAAAGAATATTTTTTTTTTCTGCATGAAGTTGACATGCAATAATCAGTGAAGTGTTTAAACAACTATCTAACTCTTCTTTCATGGTCTTCATCTAGGGTCAAAATTAGATCTAAAGTGGAAACAACTAAAAGAACCCTCTGCTTTAGTTATCGCTTTACTCACAAGTTTCCGGTGCCTCTCTAACACTTTCAAAAATTGATTCAAAGTCCTTCATTAAGTTTATGTCTATATTTCATCACCTATCAGCCTACCTGACACATTATACATGTTTAAATATTTTCTGGCTGGCTACATGGACATCTGGAGGGATCTTATAACATTTTTTGCCTTTCCATACATAGTATTTATTGTAGTCTACTTTGAGTTGATATTTATATTTGTATGCCTATATATTTTTCTAAATAGGAATTACATGTTAAAACGTTTCAGAAACCAGGCTCTAACTTTGGTGGAGAAAGCATTAATATACATCCAAGGTAAGCATCATCAAGCGGAATGCCTTGGCCTATAGGCAAGTTCCCGTAGCGTATGAGATTTTCAGTGCGTAACTATTCAAGCTTGGGAAGTGCACTGGATGTCACATAAGAAGTTCACAGAATATAAATAAACTCAAACAATAAATTACTTGCTCCAAAATATTTTATTCTGCACTATTTTTCCCTGTTCACAGGCCAAGACACTCTACTGAGGGGGAGATAATCGACATATTCCCTAGGTGATTAAAACTTTTAAATCGGCCAGGTGCGGTGGCTCACGCCTGTAATCCCAGCACTTTGGGAGGCCGAGGCGGGCGGATCAGGAGATCAGGAGATCAAGACTATCCTGGCTAACACGATGAAACCCCGTCCCTACTAAAAATACAAAAACTTAGCTGGGCGTGGTGGTGGGCGCCTGTAGTCCCAGCTACACAGGAGGCTGAGGAAGGAGAATGGCGTGAACCTGGGAGGCAGAGCTTGCAGTGAGCCGAGATTGCGCCACTGCACTCCAGCCTGGGCAACAGAGCCAAACTCTGTCTCAAAAAAAAAAAAAAAAAAAAAAAAAAAAATTAAATCGAGTCGTAATTTATCAGGACAAGTGCAAATCAAACTTAAGGTAAACATTGTAGCTACTGAAATCTCTCATAAATTCTCTGGATGAACTTCAATTATATTCAGGTCTTCAAAAACAGAGGTTAATCATTTGAGCAAATATTTTATTTATCTTTGTGAAACAACTAAAAGAACACACATAATTTCTTAACTTCATGGGATCAAAGATGATCTTAGCAGGCCAGAACCTCTTTCTAATCTGGTCCCAATTTCCTCTAATTTTAATGTAGAGGTGGGAATATCTGGCTGGGAATCTAGACTGTACTATTCGTTAGCTCTCCATCCTCAGATTTAATGTACCCAAGTCTCGAGTTTCATAGCCTTAAAAAGTGAATGTTTGTTTTGTTTTCTTGATGTATTGTCTTGGACATTGGACAATTTTTCTTAAATGAGAAAAAATATGGCAAAGAATTTTATAAAATGTTTATCCTCCTCATCATCTAATTTGTTTCCTGCCGCTGAAAGCCACCTTCCCCAGGGGCTTGAGAATGACACCTGTCCACTGTGTCACCAGTTGGTTTGCTTCCCTGCTTATTGTTTTCTCTATGAAATCTTAAAACCTAACTAAGGCTTTGCTGCCCACTGCAGGTGGAGAGGAGAATAAATCAATTCCCTTCTGCCTGATTTCAGTGGCTTTATCTCAAATGTTTTGTAAGTTATTCTGTTGCTAATTAAACAATCTCATTTATAGATATTTTCTTCCTATGAACTCAATACTAGTTTAATAGGTATAAATATAAGTTTTGATCAATTATTAAATCCATAACAAAGAAAAATAACAAGGACTTAATGTATATCAATAATTATGTTAGCTTGAAATTAGACATTCACACAAATGTTTGTCTGTCAAATTCAGTTCTTATATTTTTGGCTATTTTCATATTAAAATTGTCTAATGAATCTCTTCAAAACTTGTAATGTGTTTCAGTAGTTGCCTAGAATGGGACCAAGTATGACAATAGGCAATAAATATATTTTGAATAAATGAATGGATCTACACTAATATACAAGTACATGTAAAAACCCAAACTAGCCTTATAACAAGTATGGTAACTAGTTCAGTTTGAACAGGTCCTATGGCATCTTGGAAGACAGATGGTTCAGTACATATCATAAATATATATAATGAACCAGAAAACGTAATAGATAAATGCACTGTGTTTTAACAGCTTATAGTAGAATGCATTAAAGGATTTTCCTTAAAATTTCTACTCTAGTAAAATTTTGTTACAGATTTTTTTTAGGAACTATAAAATATTTTTTCCCACTGTCTTTTTGTTATGCTGCATATAGCCATCATTAAGGGGATTCTCAGCTGGTTTTAAAAGATTTTAGTTTAGTTATATCCTCAGTTAATTGTGTTAGCTAAAATCGGATTATACCTTTAAAAATGAAAAAGGTGTTCTGGAATTATTTGTTAACTGCACACGTTTGTTCTTTAAGAAATTCATAAGATCATAGAATCATGTTTTTTTTAAGCTGAAATAGACTTTAAAAGATGGTAAATGTAAGAAGTTTGTTTTGAACCTGTGCAATTATAATAACGACCTTTAATTCTTTTCTAATGGCCTAGATGGAATTAATTGGTTATTTCAATATCAGGGCTCATCTTGTGTGGAATCATAAAAGAGTCTCTTTCTTATAATGGGTTCTATCACCCCTGATGATAAGTTTCTCTATCAAGCTTATTTAACATGTTCTGAAAGCACATTTTTAAGAGCCTTGGCATTCTCTGTCTTTCTTCCTTTCATCTTTCTTTTACATTATTTGCAGGGAGGAAGAATCCATTTTTGTTTCTTTGTAATTTTGTTTTGGTCAAGCTATCATTTAGATCTTACCAACAGTCTTTCCTTTTAATTATGTTTCCTATATTGAGACTTTTTTTGATTGGAAATAGTATACTATTTACAAAAATCGAGAAATCATTTTTTGCTTATGGGAAGTTATAAGCTATCCAATTTCTAAATAGCAGCCATGCTGCCATCTTCTGGTTATCTTGTAAGAATTTTCTTATGCTTAGAAGCTTTATTTTAAAATGCATCTTGATGTACCTTGAATTTTTTTTTATGTCTACTAAGGACACATATTTGAATAATTAGAGCACTGCATCTAGAGTTCTGTTGTCCTGAAGTCCTAAAGCAAATAAAAACTTAAGTCTTATCATTTTAAATATTATAATCGAATGGGACTCCAAGGATTAAAAAAAATGTTTTATCCCATGATTTGGAGGCCAGTGAGATTTTCTGACACTTTTTAAAAAAATCACATTACTCTTTATTTTTTTCACAGCTTTTCAGTGTGGCAGCAAGATGACCACCCTTCCCTCAGTGAGTGTGAAACTTTTCCAAATCCACAGTTCCTGTTAATATTAGTACTGCATGTTATTTAATGCTGTTTCAGGTAGCACTGAACCACTTGCCAATTTAACTGTCTTATTTCATTTGAAAACTCTGCCAGCACCTATAGTGCAGGCCAAGGGCCACAAAGGAAGGGTAGAAGGAAGCGAGAGTTTCATCTATCTTTAAGAGCTTTTTCATTTTAAGTGATCATTAAGACTTATAGCACTCTTTTTTTGTACATTAGTGTAACCTAATGATGTTCAATTTTTGTATGTGTGAAAATTCCCATTTACCCCACTGGCATTCTTCTCCTAGTAGCCCTGGAGGAAAAAATAGAACAATTTTAGGAGATAAATTTATGTCTCACACTGAAAACTGATTTTAAAATGTAAGATATTACATACATTGCTTCAAATTCAAATGAGGAAGTACACTCAGTGGCTTCAAGCTCTGTGCTATTTTCAGATGACTATATGAGAGTATAAATCATAATAGCTCATTGAAAATCAGAATGCAAATGGCCCCAGTAAATGTTTAGCAACAGAGGATTTTCTCAACTGTTTATTAAGAGCAATCCAAAATCTAAAGCAGCTGGGACAGGTGTTAATTTCAATCCTGTTATTTGTAATTAGTGATGAAATTTAATGGTGTTTATAAGTAACTCTGAAACATTTGTCATATAAACATGGTCTAAATTTAAGGGGTATTAAAATGGAGTTTTTAAGCTTAATAGACTTGGGCAAACAGGTATTTTGAATAATCAACACCTCTGAGAGCATATACCAAATTTAAATGGCAAAATTGGCCCATTTATTGTAGGCACAAAAATGACCTTGTAACTTCTGGATACTGTGTGTGAATGGATATGGATGTGAATTGTACCATACCTAGATGGTTGATTACTATTTGTTTACTAAAATACAGGACCTGAAATTCCATTATTTTGCCATGACAAAATTATTTTTAGTCTCCTATATTCACAAAAATTGCTATTATCATAAGTTGATAGATGCCAATTGAATGGAAATTTTATCATCCCATAGCTTTACTATGAATAAAATGGATGTATCTATAAAACGTGCCATTTGATCCATTTCTCTGAGTTGTTTTGTTTTCTTCCAATTACGAAGACATAATCTTTTTTCATATCCAGAAACAAAAGTAAAACTCCTACTTGGTCAAACTCATGATCTTCTATTATCAGCAGCAAAGTAGAAGTAAATGTATTAAAATGCCCACACATATGTATATGTTATCAATATAAGTAGATAGACAAATGGATGGATGGACGGACAGATAGATATGTACGTCTGTCAACATGTGTTTCCTAAATTTATTTTATGCTGTTAAGAAAGATTATCTCTGTTAGTAAAAAGCATAAATTATTTATTCAGAAATTTACTCCTATTATATATATCCTAAACGTGAATCAAGCGGGAAAAATTTTTTATTCAGTATTTTCAAAGGTTTCAAATTCAGCTCAGAATATATTATTTTAGAAAAAAAAATGTAATGGTAAAAAGTATCTTATTTGTTCTTCCTTCTGTGTAGTTCCTACTTGGTTTCCATTAGATTAAATCCCAAATTCCAGTTAACTTTAATAAATGGACAAAAAGTATAAAATAGTAACAATATTAAAATTAAAAAGTTTTGAGGATAAAATGGGACTTTTAGTTGTATGGTACTGGAAATAGTTTATGAAATTCAACCCACTACTTCCTAAAATATAAGAGTATCAAAGAGCTGAAGAATAATCAAAAGGAGTAAGAAATAAAAAGACTTAATCTGATTCCACCAACATGTATTGATCTTTTGTCCTACGCGAGGCATTAAGCTAGGTTAAAAAATACGTGTTTGGCACTTGTCCTTCCCTCAGGTGTTCAGAGCTCATCAAGAGAGTTAGACAGATAAACATCTATTAAAACAATACAATGAATGTATATATGTACATGTATATATATATATACATGTATATATACATATGTGTGTGTGTGTATATATATATATATACACGTACATATACATATATATATATGGTGTTCCAAAAAGTACAAATTACAGTCCCATTAATTATGCCCATGTTGACCATGGAAGGTGTTACCAAGAAATGACATAAGGACTAGGCCTTAAAGGATGCTTAGATTTTTGCAAGGCAAATGAGTGGGTATTTGAAAAAACATGAGTAATATAGTGAAAGGTATGGAGACTTAACGATTTATGGTATTTGGGGTACTGGTGGCAGAGGCAAAAGTGAGTGTATCAATGTGGCTAGAGCAGAGAAGGCATGGGGGGTATATGTAGATGACAAAAATAGAGAGGTAAGTGAGGGATACTGAACGATAAGCTAATCAAACAAGGAGAATTTAGACTCTTTAAAGAGATGAGTCTTGATGATAATCATGACTAACATTGTTTGTCGACTATTTCACATGTGAGATTTAATCTGATCTTCAAAAGAGCCCTGAAATATAAGAATTACTATGTTCTCAATTTTACAGATAATAAAACCATGGCTTAGAGAAGATAAATATTCTGTCTGGAATCAAACCTGTAGTAAGTAACTCAAACTGAGTATCTCTCTAAAGGTCTTATCTCTTCTGCTAAACTGCCAACCTGACTAGAATGGTGTTTTAAAAGATAACTTTACTGGCAGTGCTAAATTAGAATAAATTGAAGGGAAGAGAACCTAAAAGGGGAAGATAACAGTTTAGAAGATGCTGCAATCATCTAAACCAGAAATATCACAGGTCTAAATGAATGAGGGAGTGGAAAGAGCAGAGGTAGCTTCACCTTAAAACCAACAGCTTGAGCTTCAATGTGCTCACTGGCACAGGCCACTCCCAAGCCCCTGGGAGGAGCCCTTGCGTGGGCTTCACATGATCATATATGGTTTAAAACGTGAGAATACTTTAACTATGTATAGTTAAGGCTCCTGTCTCTTTCTACTTTGTCTTCCAATCTGTCACACTTTTGCTCCTGTCCTATGGTGTTGGAAAGGCCACATGTATTTGGAGATCTGGATAGAGAAATATTTGAGAATATATTTAATTTGGAAATAGTGGGGTATATTGAGTTTTAGAATAGTGGGACCTAACTATCCCATTGTAGGGAAAGTTTTTAGGAATACTATCACCAGATATTAACTCACCCAGCTTTGAAATACTGTTATAGGGCTAGAGATCTGATCACAATATTGAGGGCCATTGCCACCCAGCCAAGGAAGCATTTGGATAGTGGAAAAAAACAAGGTTTGTATTTAAGGAACCAAAAACAAGTCTGAGGAAAATTCGTATTCATGAAACAAATAAAGTATAAGCATAGTATTGTGTTATCATTGATACTTAGTCAAAAAGGGACGTCAAAAGGGAGTATACATGCTAGATAATGAAGCATATACAATTATAAACATGTCATTAACCTTTTTCTTATTTTTGATGGAAATAAAATAAAATAGATTTGATTAGTATTTCTTTGTGGTAGGACAAAAACCTCCAGCAGTACTTCAAACTGCAAATACACCTGTGTATGAAGTTGCATGGTTTATGTTTCCTATTGTATCCTATTGTATCAGATCATGTCTTACCACATCTGACACATCTTCTTCTGACAATGTCTGGGAGTTCCAGACTAAACAGTAGGTAAAATTGCCACTGACATAACAAAATGATCCAAATATACTAGAAAAAATAAAAAGTACATTTCTAGTCTCTCTACAGAAACTATCACAGGATTGTTTCTATGTGAAGAATATATCAATGACTATGCACCACCGTCACAAGAAAAAAGAAAATATATAGAATTACAGAATTATATTAAGAAAAAGATTCTTCTAAATTTTAAGGTATTTTTCAGTTTTTTTAATATGCAATTTATTGTGATTTCTTTGTTCATTCTAATCAAATATTCACTTCCAAACAGAGGCTGTATTTTTAAAGAGGATCCCCAAATGGATACTAAGTTTTGTTTCTGAAACACAAATCCTTTCCTCAGTTGAAAGAAGAAGAAGAAAAGGAGGCTGGGATATCTGAGAAACGTTTTGAAGATAAACTTGCTAATACTTCTTAATCCAGTTGCAGGGAGAGTAAGATAAAATTCCATGGTGCCTATCATGGATAGAGTACTGAAAAGGATTCAAGGTTTGCATAGAAGACAGCTCAATTTTAGATATGTGCTGTCTGAGGAATCAATGAAATTACGGGAAGAAATATCCGGGAGGAGGTTGAAATGATGGCTCTGATGTTCAGGAGAAAATTGAAAAATAGTCATGTAAATTTGAAGAAACTAAGCATTTGCTGACAGCTAAAGCTAAGAAAGTAGATGAGAATTCTCAGGGAGGGACTTTTCAGTTGGAAGAAATGAAGAGAGGTACAAAACCTGTAGCCTGATAAATGTGTGGAGTAAAATGAGGAACCAAAGCACATAAAAGAAGAAAAAACAAGCAAAAATTGCATTCAAAAAGGTAGGCAAGAACTAGTAGAAAGCTGAATTTGGAAGGTAAAGTCGGAAAGGACTTCATGAAAAACCTAAAAATAGCAAAGTCTTCAGGAATGAAAGGGCCATGAGGACTGAGAAAAGGATGCTAGTGTTTTGGGGTTCCTTTAAACCACTTTATTGAGGTATGATTTGGCATATACAAAGCTACATAAATTCAACATATACAACTTGATGAGTTTGGAGAGAAGTATACACCATTACGTCATTGCCACAATCAAGGCCATAAACTTATTCATCATCTGAATAGTAATATTTAAAAGGATGGTGGTAAACTCAGTGTAAGAAGTTTTTATCAACTAATAGAGATGGAAGATTGAACATAGTTTTCTGAATAGTAGATGGGATATCTGAGAGCAAAGACAGTGGTCACACACTGTACTTTAAAGAAATACATGGGGAAGGAATAAAAAACACATTTTAGAAGAGAGTGTTACAAAGTATTTGGTACAGAATTAGCTTAATTTAAAAAAATACAACATATGCATAAAATATCTAGATTTATACCAAAATAGTAATACCCTAGGTAGCAGAATTTCAGGCAGTTTTTTTTTTTTTTTTTTTTTTAAACAGGCAGTTTAGTTGTTTGGGTTTTTTTGCATGTATTTCAAATTTTTAAAAAAATTAAATTATTTTATAAGAAAATACTATAAATTACATATTTAAAATGTGCAAAGCAAATTTATAAAATTTAAGAAGGTAATTATTGTTTAAGAAAGTAGTAGTTAAGATTAGAAGGTTCTGGAAAATAAGGAAAACATCAAAGATAATAGATGGACCAAAAATCTAGAAAAATGAGAAAGAATAGAGTGAATAATCCAAAACTGATGAGGCTATACTTGACGAAAAGGATCGTCTTCTGTCAGGTCGTGCATGGTGGCTCATGCCTGTAATCCCAGCACTTTGGGAGGCTGAGGCGTGTGGATCGCCTGAGGTCAGGAGTTCAAGTCCAGCCTGACCAATATGGTGAAACCCTGTCTCTACTAAAAATACAAAAACTAGCCAGGACTTGTGGCAGGCACCTGTAATCCCAGCTACTCGGGGGGGGCTGAGGCAGGAGATTCACTTGACCCCAGGCTGTGGAGGTTGTAGTAAGCTGAGATCGCGCCATCGCACACCAGCCTGGCGGACAACAGCGAGACTTAATCTCAAAAAAATAAAAAATAAAAAAAATCATCCTCTGTCATAAAATTGGGAAGGAAGTAGTAATAAAGTTAGAAAATGATGGATTTGAGGTGAAATAAAAGTAAGTTAAAGAGTTAATGTCTGAATACACGAATGTTCTTGATCATATTAGAGATACATATTTCAGCAAAATTTGAAAAAGTCAAAAGACGATTGGAACCTCACAGAATAGCCACCAGGGAGAGAGGACAAGGAAGGGAAATAAAACAAAAGAATTTACCAAGTGATATTGGGGGCCCAAGCAGTGTCTGATAATCATAAATTTTAATAAATTAATAAATACTATGTTATTTTCTTCGATAACATTGTAGGGGAGGAAACCTTTATTCATTCCTCACTAGATTTATGGCTGAGACATATGTAATAAAAGAGGTCAACAAGGGAAAATCATATTTATTTAATATGAGTTTTACCTGACACAGACACCTTCAGAAATGAAGACTCAAAGAAATAGAGAAACCTGTGTATTTTTACGCTACATTTGATGAAGTAAATAGTTGTGAAGTATGATTGGACAAAAAGGATAAGATCTAATGGGAATAAATTGGGGGGAATTTATCAAGGGTTGTTTGTTCAGTTTCCTCTGTGTCCTTGTGTCTTCAGACATAAGGACGTTCCTTTCTTCCAAGGATAGGGAAGGGACTTCTCAGACAAGAATCTTATGACCCATTTCATGGGAGAAGGTCAGAGAATGACCTTTCTGCTTCTGCTATTTTTCTCAAATGTTAAGATGCCATATTTTGGGGTATCATGTTCTGAATTCCATCAGCATGCAGCAGCCTAGAAGTAGAAATGCAGTAAGAAATGGTTTGGAATAAGCCATATGTAGAGAAGAGAACAAGAAGGAAATAAAGTAGTTGCTGAGAGCGCAGGTAAAATGACTGATTTATGAAGCAGACACAGCAAATTGGAAGCAAAATCAGGTAGAGGTCTTAGATATGGAGATATAATCAGAGATTAGAAAATATCACCCAAATTACCAAAGCATAGTGGGTGTGAATCTCTAATCCTGAGACATAATGGAGGTAAAATGTTTTGGTTTTTCTTTTAATGTTTTTAAAAATGCTTTGTTCTCAAAAATATTTTGAAAGTTGGGACATTTTTCACATTAGATCCCCATCTTACTTATTAACGTAACATCAGAACATTATTCCTGTTATTATTACGGGAATGACTGCAGAATCAAAACTTATATATCTTATCTACACATTTTAAAATTCATTTGACCAGAAGGTTCCCTCCAATTTATATATTTTAAAAATAAATGCAATTAACTTCCATATAGCAAATAAATGAGATAGGTTTGTAGTCAGGTTGAAGAGCACATTAAATGCTAATAGATTAGGTTGAGATAATATGTTTTGGAAGGAGAGTTAAACTTAAAAATTAAAGATCTTACAGAGAGAGCAATTATAGAATGTAGCTCTTTAAATGAGTTAATCAATAGAATAGAATCAAAGACCACTGGAATTTGAAAGTCTTCAGAGTTCAGAATGGAACATTCAGAGGATACTAAAGTTATCCACAATGTTTTGAAGCCCTAAGGGTAGAAAGGGACTCTAAAGGCCAGGCCAAATACTTCTAAAAATGAAAGTAACCACTTGCAAATCAGTAAGCCTTGCTTTTGAAAGAATGATACACTGTGTTTCCTTGGGGGCAGATAAGGAAGAGTCATAACCTAAGTGTTGTCAGTTCAATATTCCATAAACACTAATGAGAACCAAGGTAAAGCATACATTTGCTAATGCTAAAATTCACAAGAGACCGAACTGTCTCTTTACAAACAATAAAAAGGGGGGTAAGCATTAGAGGAAGGTTAGGCTTCAATAAAAGTTGGAAATAAAATGATGTCCCAATGAATATAAATAAAGGGTTAAAAGTAACAAAAGAGTTTGAGGCCTTAACAAAAGGACAAAGCAAGGAAGATAAAATAGTCATCTAAAGGGAATCTAGACTGAGAGAGACTAGGTGGAGAGCTTTCTTTTTGAACTCTGATTAATCACGAAGACAAAAGAAAAAGACTTAGAAACACAGAGAAAAAGGACAAGGATTAAACCTGCTTCAAAGTACAAAAAGAAATTCCTTTCAGTCTCCAAATTTTCATTCTCAACTATTCCTACAGGTGGATGAGCCACTTGACATTCTTGTCAAAAGAAAAAATAATAATAAAATATTGAATTCCCGAAGAGATTTCTGTCAAAATAAGTAAAATAAAGTTTCCAAAGTGAAATACATTTTGGAAGTCCTGCATACCACACTCTTTTGGGATTATCTTAATGCCCATTTGTTTTATAAAATGTTTGATTAGCCAGGCGGGGTGGTGCACTTGCAGTACCAGCTACTCCAGAGACTGAGGCGGAAGGATGGCTTGAGTCAAGGAATTCCAGCCTACAGTGAGCTATGATTGAGTCACTGTGCTCCATCCTGGGGACAGAGCAAGATCTTGTCTCTAAAAAAATAAAATATTTAAGATATTCCCCAGTTTTGCAAAAATCTGTATTTAATATTTCATAAATGTATATGAACTCAGCCATTTGGAAAGAAAAGGGACTAGTGTGATCCTGAATCACAGGATCCCTGGAGAAAAAGGGTAAAAGCAAACGGCCAATTGATTAAATGATTTTAAAAGATCCTTTAATGATTTATAACTAATGAATTATAGGTCTGTAAAGAGAGAACGGATTATTTGAAATTTAATAGATGAACAAAGGAAGGATCATTGTCTATAGACCATGAGGTCTTGGAAGACAGAAACCACTTGTTTGATACTTTGTAGCTCTGTCAGCACATGGTAAGTACCTGATAAATGTATTTTGACTGATTGAATGATATGTCATTAATATTAGGTATTTAATTATATTTGCCCAATTTATCCAATGTTGAAAGGTGTTCAAGGGTCAATAAAGGAGCTCATCCACATCTCTAGCTGATAGCAGTACCTATAATAAGCAATTTAAAGCTTGTAAAACAACAGCCACTCAAAATTTAATAAACATTTCTTAAGGGATATGCAACAGAAGCATTTACATCTCTGAAGGAGATACACGATTAGTTGAGCTTTTTGACAACTGTCCAAGCACTAATCTCCTTGTTCTATACTAAGAGTTTAGAATGTATTTAAATAAGAAAGATATTATAAATAGCTACTCAACTGTTATTTATTATTTATTTATTTGCATTTGAGAAGGAAAAAAGAATCAGACACTTATTTAAAAGTCATCTTATATCAAAAGTAAATATTAGGCACTTCCATCATGTAACAACTTTGATTTTAGAGGTCTTTTTAGTGACAAATATAAAAGCAATTTTTAAATCATTAGTACCCGGTATACATTCATAGAAAGGAAAATGCTTTCATGCATATAAGTCCTCTCTTGACAAAGTAAAGCTACTAGCTTTAAGCTGACCCACTTTTCTCTATGCTGTATCAGGTATAAGCAAGCTAAAGAGGATTAAAAAAAAAAAAGTAACTTTCAGTATAAAACAGGAATGGAAATGCTCTGCACCTAAACTCCAATGGGATTTTCCTTTTGTCAAAGGCTGCCCTTCTATAACCTGTTCTGAGTTTATAAAGCAAACAAATCTCACTGAGGCTCTTATTACACCTCTTTAGTTGTTAATTTTAAATAATCTGTACAAAGGCAAGTTTACCAAGGTATATAAAGGGAGCATATTTCTGTGGCCACTGGAGAGTAAGTGAACAAAACTTTTGTTGGACTAAGAAAAGTAGTTTTACCTGCAATTCTGAAAATTCATTTTATTAACTGATTGGTCAATAATTGTTTTGAGTTTATAGGGTAATAATTTCACTGTTGGAAATTATTGGAGGACACATTTCAGCTAACTATTAAAGGTTAAATTCACCAAACAGGAGGATACTAATTAACTGCCTCTTAAGAAATTGACAAGGCCACTGCAAGTTCTTTTATCCGTTGTCTATAAATCAGAAGGATGCCCTTTAAGGCATTTCCATCAGGATACATGTTGGCACAAAACTCAGGCAAGCAGTGCTTACAATCAGAATACTATAATGATAACAAATAAAGGTTATTGTTCTGTTTATACAAGAATGGAGTCAGCTTGGATAATTTTCAAAATTCAAGGATATATGGCAAGTTGGTGAGTATTGAGAAAAAAATAGTCTGTTTCATCTTATGCATTTCAAATTGAATGTGTTTAGCACCAATTGCTTAATTGCGACTCAAGTTGCTTAAGGTTTATTAGAATATTGTGTTTCATCTCCTTGAATTGGTGCAGACACAGTCTGGTCCAGGTGTGAGGTCCAATATGATAATTTAAACTCAGTTTAAAATTGCTTTTACTTTACTCCTGAAATGCAAATGTAATGGAAGTGTTTGAGATCAAGATTCCTATGGGTTGATAGGAATCCTGTTGTTTCCCTCGTTTTTCATCCAAATATGTCCATATTTTGTATTCTTAGCAATTGTATAAACTAAGATGTCCTTAGGTCAAAAGGGCACATAATTATAGCTTGCTCCCTGCCTCCTTAGAATTTGAAGTTAATGCACTACCTTATATTAGGCCATAATTTGCTCCTAAATTAGCCACAGAACTCAAACTTAAACTCCAGGTTCAAAATATGAAATATCTTGTTGTTCTAACATTTGGATAATCTCCACTTTATACATCTCTGGCTCTATAGACTAGGGAACTCTTATAAATGTATGTTTGGAAACTTTTTGTGGGAAAGCTTAGCCATATAGTAACTCATATCACACAAAGCCCAGGATGCTAGGAACGTTTTTTTTTAAAAAAAATTCAACTCTCCATACCCAGTATCCAGAATAGGACCTAGCTTATAGTTGGAGCTCAATAAATGCTTGTTGAATGAATACACCTATCAGTTTTTTCTCCATATATTATCTGAGGACTTCTAACACATGCTGGCAACCTCCCCCTCCCTCAGAAAAAAATTCTAATGAAACAAACTTACAATTGTTTATTCATTCTCTCTTTCTCACACACATTTTCTTTTGCATTACACTAATAATGCATATAATTTGAGCTATTTTAAGAGTACCAAATACTATACTAATTATATTAATTTTAAGCATGGTAAATTTACTATTACTGAACTACAAGGAATTTACTTGGAAAACCTAGTTCCACAAAATATTTTAATCTGATCCAGCAAAACCTAAGACATATTTTGCAGCATATGCATATCGGTTTATTGTAAATTTAAAAATCTATAATTAGGTAAATATATTGCCAGACATGTAAGCATTACGCAAATAGAAAAAGATACGCTAAATCACTGAAAATTGTGGTGGTCTAATATTGGAGTAATCTGGGGAAAATACTAATGTTACTTTCACCTTCACTGAACTGGACGTTTTGATAAAAAAGAAAAAAAAAAAAAGCAAGTCAGTAAACCGCTCAGTGATAATCCTCATTGGTAGTAAAAAATGTCAAACTCTTATGAGAAACACAAAATTTTTAAGTCACTCTCAATATAGCTGCAGAATTGAAGAAACTATTTTTTCATTAGATTGCTTCAGTATCTACAATTCAGAAATAATTATTTATTTTCTTAAATTAATGGGATATCACCTCCAACAATAGTTTTTCTGCATTTTCTCATTTTAAATACATCAGTGATATTTCAACTTATCATGATGAGCATCCCAAATAGATAAAACTTCATGGCCAGCAGAGTTAGTACTGTTTTAATAAGGCATCTGACAAATAAATATAATTGTAACTGGTGCCTTCTTGATGTCTAGGATCTCTGCCTGGTATACCAATGATGTCTGTGAGGAGAAAACAAAATTTTTAATTTATAAATGCATTTTTTTCTCTTTTCTTTCAGGAAAGAAACTGGTTTTCCTGTAAAACTAATACATGTGATTATTAAAGGTAAAAACATAACAAATCAAATAAAAAAGGATTAATCATTTAAAGAGAAGCTCATATGTTAATGAGCTTGGAGTAGTGTAATGAAATATCAGAAAGATCCTGACATAGTAGTTTTACAATACACAAGAGCATACAAGAGATCTAGATTTTGTTTAGTGTTTCACTATCTCACTAGAAGTTTATGGGTGCCTATCTTAACTGAGTTCTCTTACTGGAGCAATGGAACAAGAATTATGCCCACATTGCTTCATTCCAATGTTAAAATCTACATTATCAGAAATGTAGTGTGTGAGTTATTTTTTTTCTTTTAATACACAAAGATTATCTGATGGCTGTTTTTGATCAGCTTCTAACCTCAAGAAAAACTATTTTTCACTGGAATCAACTACTGCTATGTATACCCAGTCTCATCCCTCTACATTTCCTTCAGTCACATAGGGCTCTTTTAGCTGAAAGAAGCTTTGATTCTGAAGTAAGACAAGATAATTATATAATCATGCAATATTTCATAAAATAGCAGTACACTGCACTGAATTTCCCATCCCTAAAGCCCGCTTGGAAATGGCTGGAAATATGGATCCAGCCACTGAATCACACATTAATGTATCAGCACACAGGAAACTAATAAAAAAAGTTTAAATGGGTAAATTGAATGTCTACTAAAATTGTGAATTTATGAATGTGTTCTAAAATTTCTATGAACAAAAAATTTTATATGGCTTTTAACAACATTATAAATTTTCAACCAGAAAGGAACTTTTTATCTTTCCTTAACTCTTTTGAGGAAGACTCTCAGATTTTATTTCAACCAGTTCTTGGCACCTAGTAGGTGTTGAATAAATTTTTACTGAATTCATACATAAAATTTTAAATTATTTGTGGGGAGAAAGCATATTATGAAACTCATGAACATAAAGGCATTTAATCTAAACAAGACTTTGAGCTAATAAAAAGCTTACTTCTTTAGCATACCATGCACTTGGTAGAGATATGAGGTGTGCTTTTTATATATAAAATGTTTGATTATAATCAGATGATTCAAAATATAATTTTTATAATATTATGTTAAATTTCATCCACATTTTACATAAGCAATTGAAATATTTACTTGATAGAAGAAATTCCTTGTTAAGTATTATAATTTTATATGATTGTTCTAAAGGTGAAAATGTGATCATGCATAAAATATATTTAAAATTTACTGATAGTAACACCTTACATTTGTAAAATATTGTACAGATTATATAGTGCAATTATGTAATATCTAAATTGATCCTCATAGGGACTTTGAAGTTAAGTGTAAACACTCTCTTTTAATTAGAAAAAATAAATACCATAGTAGCTTGGATTCTGGGGCCAGGCTTTGGGTTTTGGGGCCAGGCTTACCCAAATTCTGCCATTTACTGTGTGGCCTCAAGCAAATGTCTCAATAACCCCCAAATGAATGATGTTAACAACCTCACAATGACCTAGTAGTATGAGAAGAAGTAATATATAAAGTGCTTTGCCTAGTGCCCTTTGTTTGGTAAATGTACAATAATGATTTCATTATTAGCATCAGTCTTTATAGTGATATTGTTATTAATGAGAGATTGGGCTGTCAATTAAGTGACCGGTTAGGAAGCAACAGTATTAGAAAAGAGGAAGAGTTCAAACGCAAGGTGATTTGACTTCACAGGTTTATTCCTAGATCAACTCTGTACCAGCTCAGTTAAGTGGAAAACAGATCCAATGTAAATATTTGCTATCTGAAGGAACCCTTTCAGATTAGTTTTACAAAATAAAAAAGTAAATTTGAATATTTAAAGCTTTTCTTTTATTATAACTCAGGGTTTATACATACTGAGATTTCTTAAAGTACACTTTTATGCCTTTATTATTGGTGCTAGAAAAGCTATTCTTCAGTGAAAGCTAGATCCTAACTTTTTCAGCTTAAAAAGCAATTTGGTTGAAATGGTACCTAATTACTCTATTCTCAAAGGAAGAATGACCTTTCAAACGTTTGTTTATCAGCGTCTTGCTTAAGAACATTAATGTTCCTCTTGAACTCAGAAAAATACTCCTATTGAGTGAGAAATAGAGCTTAGAAACAACATTAACAGACTTCTGTAAGAAGAACAGAAAGAAGAAAAGGCACAAAGTAGAAAAGAAGTACAAAAAAACATAAAGTGAACCAAATTAATATATTCACTCAACAAATAGCTTACACAGAGGTAGCTTTTAGAGGGAATGGTGATCCTAACCCTCAAGTGGTTTACCATGCAAAAGCCATTACATATAAAGGATTACTAAAGAAAATAGTAACAGGAGATGAAGTAAATTTACAGAGGCATAAGAATTATAAGATGCACGGGTCTTATTTAAAGGTTGCTGGTGTTAGAGTAGGTAGGCAGCCATGAGCAAGGCAAGAGAGCTCCAATTCACCCCCAGGAATGTCAGGCAACCATCAGAAGATGGTCAGGCCGTTATCACACTGTCTCTCTAAAATAATAGTTGGTTGTAGACAGTGCCAAAAAAAAAGGCAGTCTCCCGATACATAGAAAACACGTGAAGCTGGTGGTGATTTTAAGGTCCTCTGAGCTGGCCGCACCATCGTCAAGCCATTATGACATTCCCCCGCCTTTCTGATAATGTACTTTGTGATATTCCCATCCTTGTGAATGTATTTTGTAACATTCCTCCCCGCTCTTGTGACAATACACCCTCCCCGCCCTTGTGAATGTACTTTGTAACATTCTCCCAGCCCTTGAGAATGTACTTTGTAACATCCATCCCCTGCCCGCAAAAAATTGCTCCTGACTCCACCGCCTATGCCAAACCTGTAAGAACCAATGATAATCCCACCACCCTTTACTGACTCCTTTCTCAGACTCAGCCCACTTGCGCCCAAGTGAATAAAGAGCCTTGCTGCTCACACTAAGCCTGCTCAGGCGGTCTCTTATACAGACATGCCTAACAGTGATCAGCAGCTTCCCAAAAAGATCTCAGGAGTTGAGCGAGTGGGCTCAAGCATGCACACTAAGAGGCAAAATGGCGGGGTTTGACTGGTATCTGACCTACCTCTAGGAACACTGAACAGGTAAGAGAAAAACAGCTCTTGTGAGCATGCATGTAACTTCAGTAAACACACTGCACTTGTGGCCCCTCCCAAGTGCTGGCAGGCCACTGAGTATGTGAACAGCCCACTCCAAAGGAAGAACCTGGGGAAAAGAAATGCAAACCTCAGAACAAAGACAATATGTAAAAACCCCAAGACAAGAGTCAGATGGAATACTCGGATCTCTCAAGTCACCTACTTGGCCCTCTTCCAAGTATATTTCTTTTTGTTTCTGCTCTAAAATCTTTTAATAAACTTTCACTCCCGCTGCAAAACTTGCCTCAGTCTCTATCTTATGCCCCTCAGCAGAATTATTTCCATTGAGGAGGCAAGAATTGAGTTGCTACAGGAGTTACTAAAGATTTTGAGCAAGCAGGTAACAATCTGAGTGGTGTGGTGGAAGATACCCTACAAATGTGCTTAATTACCAAATACACATTTTCTATTCCCTGTCCTCTTCTTGTTAACACATGCAAGCACACTTCACATACTTATGTGAAGATAAGTATTGAAAATCCTGATTTCACGAAACAGGTGGGCATGAGTTCAGTTATGGTTATCAAACAAGATGCGATGTTGGCTAGGAAGCTTGTGGGAAGATTTCAGAGAAAAGGCAATAGTAGTGTGAAGAGATAGATTCCCTCTGCTCTGACTTCTCCCCTTGTTAAGCATTTTCCCATATGCCCCAAGAATACTCTCCACTGATGCTTGCAGCTACAGCATTTACCCTGAGATAACTTTGTGAAAATATCTTGCTTTTATTATTATTTACACATTGCTCTAGCATATTCACTTCGGAAACAAAAGACATCATTCTATTTACAGCATTCTATTTCTACTAGTGGTATTTTCATTTACAAAAATATAGTGATTCTTGATCGCTGAAAATTTCAAATCCTGGAAAACATAGGATTTCTACTCATGATGCTAACATCATTAGGGAACTGCTATTGGCTGAAGATTCATTGGAAGAATCCGATTTTTCCAAAACAGATGATTCTGATGACTCATATAATTCTGATGTTTGTTCTGATTAGAAATAACCCTAAGAGCAGTTTTTATATTGTATTTTCATATTGAAAGTCAGATTTGCTTCTACCTCAAAGAATGTTTATGTAAAAATTAAATGAGTGCTGATGGTGAGCTGTCCCCTTTTGTTTTTCTAAATGAGAAAGGAGTGAAACCAAAATAGGCAACTATCCAGCTTGAGAATATATGAATATATGAGATTATGAATCCTTGTTTAAGCCACACTTAATCAGGTTCTCTAATCCTTATGTTTGAAATTGTGTGTAACTGTTGCATACTTCATAACTATTATGTTTTATAGGTTATTGGGGCACAGAGAACGATTCTCCAAAGTATAGAGCTTTGGTCTGATGAGCATTTCGAATTAAATTAAATTGGAAGTCCCTACATCTTCCTCAGATACAAGAACTTTTTAATCTCTTGTTCTTCTTGCCCACCTCCACCTGAAGCCCTGAAAGGAACTTTGGAATTTCCTTATCTGACCAGGAAACTCCTTTCCATAGAAATGAAATTGTCTTAAAACCCCCTTTCTAGGAACCTAATCAATTGACCAGAAAAGATTAACCACTAGAGAAAAGAAAAGACAAAATATCACCACCGTACCCGGATAGGCTTTGTATCTATTTTTCTGAGGGCAGCACAGAGAGAGACTGCCTGGGAGACTTTATCTATATAATAAGACCATCGTTGTTTACAGTGCAGTTTTGCCCCTCATTTTCCTTTAACTTGCTTATCCCATTCAGTTTTTTAAATAAAATCGTTTAAAAGATAATGTCTGCCTCCTGGTTCCATTTATTTCCTCTAAAAATTATTTACTATCCACTCTAAAATTGCCTAGAGACCCAACTTTCATCTCCCTTATGACTGGGGTATTAGTTTAATTTTTACTTAATTAATTTAGATACTGGGTCTTGCTTTGTTTTACAGGCTAGAACGCAGTGGCTCAATCATAGCTCACTGAAACCTCAAACTCCTGGGCTCAAGCTATCTTCCCACCTTACCTCCTGAGCATCTAAGCCTAATGGTACATGCCACAATGCCTGGCTAATTTTTATTTTGTATTTTTTTTTTTTTTTTGTAGAAACAAGATCTCACTATGTTGCCCAGGCTAGTCTCAAATTTTTAGCCTCAACTGGCCCTCCCACCTTAGTCTCACAGAGACCTAGGATTACAGGCAGAAGCCTCCGTGCCTAGCCTGAAGAGGGCATTTAATCCCCAACTATGTGGCCCTTCTTTTGGGTCTCATATTTGTGGGTCTCCCATGTCAATGTGCATGTTAATAGGTTTGTAGGCCTTTTTTTCTGTCTATTCTGTCTATTGTCAGTTCATTTCAGCAGTGAACCTTCAGCAGATAAAGGGCCTTAGCCACAAGAGATTTTTTTTTTTTTTTTTTTTTCAGACGCAGTCTCACTCTGTCTCCCAAACTGGAGTGCAGTGGCCTGATCTCGGCTCACTGCAAGTTCCACCTCTTGGGTTCACACCATTCTCCCACCTCAGCCTCCCAAGTAGCTGGGACTACAGGTGCCCACCACCACGCCTGGCTAATTTTTTGTATTTTTAGTAGAGACGGGGTTTCACCATTCACAGGATGGTCTCTATCTCCTGACCTCGTTATCCGCCTGCCTCGGCCTCCCAAAGTGCTGGGATTACAGGCGTGAGCCACTGCTCCCAGCAGGATCAAGTGATTTTACAATGATTTATGCAGAGTAAATAAATAAAAGTTTGAATGAATCTTGTCAGTTGTTCATGAGAGGGGTAATGGAATTAGGAGTGAGAATGTAACATCAGTTGAATTTTTCAAATAATTGGCTAAACACTAGAAGAGAAGGAAAAGGGAAATATGAAGCTAACACTGACATTCAGAATGTGTCTGACCAAGACAGGTGACATTCCATGATCAGGGACAGGAAATCAGAAGGGAAAATGGTGACTTTGATACTGGATATAAATTTGAGGTTGGAGCAAAACATTCAGGAGGTTGGAAATTATCAAATACATATCAAGTGGCAGTTAACAATAGAAGCATTTATGTAAATTCAATAACAGAGTTGAAGTACACTTGGCCCACATGGGTTTGAACTGTGTGAGTTCACATATATGTGGATTTTTTCCAATAAAAGTTATACCAAGTGTGCCTGCCTCTCCTGCCTACCCTTCCACCTCCCCTTCCTCCTGCACCTCCTCTTCAGGCTACTCAGTGTAAAGATGAAGATGAAGAACCCTATCATGATCTACTTCCAGGTTAAAAAAAAAAAAAAAAGCAAATATATTTTTTCTTCCACACGATAGTTTTAAGAAGCATTTTATTTTGTTTAGGTTACTTTATTGTAAGAATATATACTACATAGACTATACAAAATATGTGTTAATCAACTGCTTGTGTTATTGATAAGGCTTTCAGTCAATGTAGACAAAATAGCCTTCTATTGAAAAAGGATGCCATCTAGCACTCTGATGGCAAAAAAGGAGACGTCAATACCTGGCTTCAAAGCTTCAAAGGACTGGTTTACTCTCTTGTTAAGGGCTAATGCAGCTGGTGACCATAGGTTGAATCCAATGCTGATTTACCATACTGAAAATCCTAGGGCCCTTAATAATTATGTTAAATCTACTCTGTCGGTGCTCTAGAAATAAAACAACAAAGACTGGATGACAGCAAAACTTTACCACATGGTTGATGGAATATTTTAAGTTACTTGTTGAAACCTATTGCTCAGAAGAAAAAAAAAAAAAGATTTCGTTTAAAATACTATTGCTCATTGACAATGCACATAGTAACCTAAAGAGCTCTCTGATGAAGGTATAAAGGATATCAATGTTTTTATGCCTGCTAACACAATATCCATACTGCAACCCATGAATCAAGTAGTAATTTTGACTCTCAGGTCTTATTG
This sequence comes from Homo sapiens, assembly GCF_000001405.40. NCBI lineage: Eukaryota > Metazoa > Chordata > Mammalia > Primates > Hominidae > Homo > Homo sapiens. The sequence goes on from NC_000009.12 coordinate 9,810,784, forward strand.
TTAAACAAATACATCTTTTAAAGCTGTAGCTGCCATAGATAGTGACTCTTCTGATGGATCTGGGCAAAGTAAATCAAACACCATCTGGAAAGGATTCAGCATTCTAGATGCCAGTAAGAACATTTGTGATTCATGGGAGGAAGTCAAAATAGCAACATTAAAAGCAGTTCGCGGCCAGGTGCACTCGCTCACGTCTGTAATCCCAACACTTTGGGAGGCCTAGACGGGAGAATCACTTGAGGTCAGGAGTTTGAGACCAGCTTGAACAACATGGTGAAACTCCATCTGTACTAAAAATACAAAAATTAGCTGGGCATGGTGGTGCACACCTATAATTCCAGCTACTCAGGAGGCTGAGGCAAGAGAGCCGAGATTGTGACATAGTACCTCAGCCTGCGCAACAAGAATGAACTCTGTCTCAAAATAAATCAATAAAAGCAGTTAGCAAGAGATTGAGTCTAACCTTCATGGATGGCTTTGAAGGGTTCAGGAACGCAGTGAAAGAAGAAACTACAGATGTGGTAGAAATGCAAGAGAACTAGAACTACAAGTGGAGCCTGAAGATGGGACAGCATTGCCAAAATCTCATGATGAAACTTTAACAAATGAGAAGTTGCTTCTTAAGGATGAGCAAAGAAAGTGGGCCAGGCGCGGTGGCTCAGGCCTGTAATCCCAGCACTTTGGGAGGCCGAGGTGGGCGGATCATGAGGTCAGGAGATCGAGACCATCCTGGCTGACACGGTGAAGCCCCATCTCTACTAAAAATATAAAAAATTAGCCAGGTGTGGTGGCAGGCGCCTGTAGTCCCAGCTACTCAGAAGGCTGAGGCAGAAGAACGGTGTGAACACAGGAGGTGGAGTTTGCAGTGAGCTGAGACCAGGCCACTGCACTCCAGCCTGGGTGACAGAGCGAGACTCCATCTCAAAAACAAAACAAAAAATGGTTTATTGCAGTGGAACCTACTCCTGATGAAGATGCTGTGGATATTGTTGAAATGACAACAAAATATTAGAACATTACATAAACCTAGTTAATAAAGCAGTGATAGAGTTTGAGGGGATTGACTCTAATTGTGAAAGAAGTCCTATTGTGGATAAAATTCTATCAAACAACATTGTATGCTACATAGAAATCTTTCAGGACAGGAAGAGTCAATCAACGTGGCAAACTTTACTGTTATCTTAAAAAAATGCACCAGCTACTTCCACCTTCAGCAATTACCACCCTGATCAGTTAGCAGCCATCAACATTGAGGCAAGACGCTTCATAAGCAAAAAGATTACAACTCACTGAAGGCTCATATAATTGTTAGCAGTTTTTAGCAACAAGTTAATTTTTAATGAAGGTATATGCATTTTTTTTTAGACATATGCTATTTCACACTTCATAGACCACAGTATAGTATAAACGTAACTTTTATATTTATGGGAAACCAAAAATTTTGTATCACTCACTTCATAGTGATGTTTGCTTTATGGTGATATACTGGAACTGAACCTGTAATACCTCAAAGGTATGCCTGTAATAAGTCCTTGCCAATCAATAATTGCTTTAATTGTAAACAGATGAAATTATCCAATCAAGAAATACAAAGTGACTTAGTGGATTTGAAAAAAAAAAAGTTGCAGCAATATGCTCCCTGTGAGAGACTAACTTTAGCTTTAAGGTCACACATAGGCTAAAAGCGAAGGGACAGAAAAAGATATTCCATGGAAATGGTAACCAAAAGGAAGCAGTAGTACTTATATGAGACAAAATAGACTTTCAGTCAAAATCTGTCACAAAAAAAGTCACTATATAATGATAAAGGAATCAATTCATCAAAAGGATGTAACAATTGTAAATATACATGTACTCTATATTGGAGCACCTAAATATGTAAAGAAAATATAAACAGGACTGAAAGGAAAAATAGTAAGGGATTTCAATAATGGATATATCATCCAGACAGAAAATCAATAAGGAAACAGCAGACTTGACTAACACTATATCAAATGGACCTTGGAGACATATGCAGAAAATGCCATTTAAGAAAAGCAGAAGACACATTCTTCTCAAGTGTACGCAGAATATTCTCCAGGGTATATTGTGTTAGACTGTAAATCTGAGCAAATTTAAGAGGACTGAAATTATATCAAATATCTTAAAAGATACTTGTTATCATATTTGGTAAGATTGGTATCAATCCAGTGGTAAGAAACTAGAAGTCTATAAGAGGAGAAAATAGGAAAATTCACAAATATGTGGAAAGTAAACAACACACTCTTAATGCAATCAATGGGCCAAAGAAGAAATCAAAAAGTATAAGGAGACAAATGAAAAAGAAAAAGACAACATGCAAAAATGTATAAGACGCAGTACAAGAAGTCCTAAGAGGGAAGTTCATAGTGACAAATGCTTACATTTATTAATAATAAAGATCTCAAATAAGCAACCTAATTTTACATCTGAAGAAACTAGAAAAAGAACAAACTAAATAAACCCAGAATTAGCAGAAAGAAAATAATGAAGATTAGAGCATAAATGAAATGGATACTAGAAAGACAATTAAAATGATCAACAAAACTGAGAGTTTCTAAAGAAAAACAAAATTGATAAACCTTTAGCAAAAATAGAACAAAAGACAGAGCTCAATAAATTAGAAATGAAAGAGAAGATCTAAGAACTTATGCCATAGTAATACAAAAGATTATAGCAGGTTATTAACAATACACCAATAAATTGGATAGCCTAGAAGAAATTAATAAATTCCAAGTAGCATATAGCCTACTAGAACTGAGTAATGAAGAAATAGAAAATATAAATAGACTAATAATGATCATGCAAAGGTTTGAAGCACTTATGAAAATCTCCCAAAAAGAAAAGTCTGGGGCAAAACGTCCTCACGAATGAATTCAACCAAATATTTAAGTGATTAAAAGCAGTCCTTTTCAAACTTTTCTAAAAATTTGAAAAGGGAATACTTCTAAACTCATTTTAAAAGGTCAGAATTACCCTCATACCAAACCCAGATAAAGATGCGAAAAGAAAATTATAGACCAACATTTCTGATGCACATAGATGTAAAAATCCTCAACAAAATATTAGCAAATTTAATTCATCATCACTTTAAAAGGATCATTCACAATGATCAATTGGGATTTATCCCTTGCAAATGGGTCATTCACCATAATCAAGTGGGATTTATCTCTGGGCTGAAAGATGGTTCAACATATGCAAGTCAATAAGTTTTGTACACTACACTAACAGAATGAAGGATAAATATCACATGATCTCAATAGATGCAGAAAATGAATTTGATAAAATTTATTATCTTTCCATGATAAAACTCTGAAGAATTTAGGTGTAGAAGACATGTAAATCAACATAATAAAAGCCACATGTGACAAGCCAAAAGTAAACATTAGACTCAATGATGAAAAGTTGAAAGGTTTTCTTTTAAGATCGGGACCAAGACAAATGTGTCTCTCTTACCACTTCTATTCGATGTAATAACGTCCTAACCTGAGCAATTAGGTAAGAAAGAAAAAAAAAAAAGCATCCAAATCAGAAAGGAGGAAGCCAAAGTATTTGTTTGAAAATGACTTCATTTTATATAGATAAAACCCTCAACCCCCCACTATAAAACCGTTAGAATAAATGATTTCAGTAAAGTTTTGTGATACAAAATCAACATAAAAAATCGTGTTGCATTTTTATACACTAACAATTAACTATCTGAGAACAAAATTAAGAAAACAATCCCATTTGCAATAACTTCAGAAAGGATAAAATACTTATGAATAAATTTAACCAAGGAGGTAGAAGATCTGTACAATGAAAACTGTCAAACAGTGGTGAAATAAATTGAAGAAGACACAAGTAAATAAAATGTTCAAATGTCCATACTACCTCAAACAATCTACAGGTTCCACGCAATCCCTACCAAATTCCAATAGCATTTTTCACAGAAATAAAAAATACAATTCTAAAATGTATATGAAACCATGAACGCTCCAAATACCAAAGTGACTTTTTTTTTTTTTTTTTTTTTCGATACAGAATTTCACTCTGTCACATGGGCTGGAGTACAGTGGCACGATCACGGTTCACTGCAGCCTCAACCTCCTGGGCTCAAGCGATCCTTTCACCTCAGCCTCTTGAGTAGCTGGGACTACAGGTGCACGCCACCACACCTGACTAATTTTTATATGGTCTCAAACTCCTGGGCTCAAGTGCTTCACCCACCTCAGCCTCCCAAAGTGTTCGTAAAGCCTCCCAAACTACAAGTAATTTTGAGTAAAAACAACAAAGCTTGATGCACTACATTTCCTGAATTCAAACTATATTACAAAGCTATAGTAATAAAAAATATGATATTGGCATAAAAACAGACACATAGACTAATGGATCAGAATAGAGAGCCCATACTCATGCGTACATACATTGTCCACATATAAGGTCGGCTAATCTTTGATGAGAGTGCCAAGGATTCACAATGGAGAAAGGACAGTATCTTCAATAAATGGTGCCTGGAAAACTGGATATTCACAGACAAAGGAATGAAACTGGACACTTAACTTACATAGTACACAAACATTAAATCAAAATAGATTAAATACTTAAATATGAGAACTAAAGCTATAAAACTAAAAGGAAACGTAGAGAAAAGTCTCCTTGAAATTGATCTGGGAAATGATTTTTTTAGATGACACCGAAAGCAAAGTCAACAAAAGCAAAAATAAACCAGTGGTCTATATCAAAGTAAAAATCTTCTACACAGCAAAGGAAACAATAAACAAAATGTAAAGAAATCCTACAGACTGGGAAAATGCAATCCTTATATGCTTCCATTATGCTAAGTGAAATAAGCCAGATACAGCAAGATACATATAGTGATGTATGATATCACTTATATGTGGAATCTAAAAAGTCGAACTCTGAAAAGCAGAGAGTAGAATGGTTGATTTTAGCGGATGGAAGGAGGTAGGGGATGGGGCATGAGAGTATGTTGGTCAAAGAGTCCAGACTTATAAGACGAATAAGTTCTGGGGATTTAATGTATGACATGGTGACTGTAGTTAGTAACACTGTATTTTTTACTTAAGATTTTCTAAGAAAGATGCTAAGTCCAAGATACTAAGTGTTCTCACCACACATACACAAATGGTAGCTATGTGAGGTGAACTTTTTTAAGTGAAAGTGTGGAGATTTATTGCAAAGCGAAAGTACACACTGAAGAAAGGGACATGCAGGTGTACTCAAGAGTCACTGCAAGGAATGTTTCAATAAGCATGGTTGTGGTCATCATTTTACAATATATTCACCTATCATATCACCATATACTACACCTTAAATTATATGTAATTTTTATTTAATTTATTCTTCAATAAAGCTGGAAAACAAAATATTTGTTTTCTTGGCTAGTCTGAAAGAAGCAGACAATTTTCATGTTTAAAGTTCTAACATGTTTTATGCTAAACAAATTTTTTCCGTTAAAGAAATATAAATCAATATATTCAAACCTAGAAAACTACTTATAATAAAGACCTATAATGTATATTGCCACATTAAAACAAACAAAAATCATCTTTTATTGGAAAGATCAACCACATTATCGATTTAATAAATAGCCTTATGTTCCACACAAATAAGCTATCTAATGCATCATAATTGCTAAAGTGCTTTGGTACATTTACATAAATCTCACTATTTGAACAATATAATTTGAATAATATATTTGAATATTTGAATAATATAGTTGAATATATATTTGAACAATATATTTGAATAATATATTGAACAATATAATACTTTCCTGTTAACATATTTAAAGTAATATTTTCCCCTCAAATGCCTTATGAGCTTAAAAAAGATGGAAAAAGGGAAGACCTTTTGCGTATTCTGAAGCCTATAAACACGTAGCTTAAACTTTTCTGGGATGCCTTACCCCAAAATATCACTGTGGCTAAACCACTATCATCAATAAAAGTCATGCATAAGGTGCATTCCTTTAGTAATAGATAGTGAACTGGAAAAAAAATCCTTCAATAGTAAGAGCTGGATCTCTCTTATCCTATGCATGAAATGTTAATCACCATTACACTAAGGTGAGAACAAAAATCACAAGATACTAATAATAATAAAGAAAAAAAAGTTTGTTTTTTCTTAGTGGAACAATTAATAGAAAATAAGGATTCTTTAACTGAAGATTATTATTTTATATACGTAACTACAGCATTAGAAAACATAATCAGGAAGCTGTAAATAAGTAAATTACCAGCTGTCAAAAAAATTATCACTATCAAATTAAATGAGCTTCCCCTAGGCAAGCTAAGATTGCTTTTGCCTGAAGGCTGGCTCAAAAATGAATCATGAGGGAGACAAGTCATATAAATAAAACAAATTTTAAATTAATCATGACTGTGTAGACTAACTTGAAAAATAAATCTTAAAACTCATTGCTAAATCTTTTAACAACTAACTACAACGATTAGGGACTACTGTAAACCAGACTAAATATGCCTCAATGAACTCTGATTTGTTTTTAGATTAACATACTTATATAATATTAACTTAGATAGTATACATGTCATTCCTGTAGGTCAGAGTAAGGGATGACTTTCAACACGAAAAGTGGAAGTAAGTTGGTTATTTATAGATATTTAATAAACTACAAGTTAACTATTTATTTCCACTTTGACTAACTACTCAAAAATTGCTTCAAATATGTCTTTAGAGGCCAAATCTAAAAGAAATATATTTCTTCTCATCCTGTCAAGTTTACTTTTGTCCTGTATTTACACAGATAGGTCCATAAAAAACTGAATGTAAAATACTGATGACAGTTAATTTTGTTTCTTTCATCTTATTTACATTATTTTTGTCCACCCATTGTCCACAGGGAATAAAACAAACGGGCTAAGGGGTTAGGGGTCTTCTGTGATGATTACAGAGAGAAAAACAAAGAGGATAACTGTCCTGATACAAGGGTGCCTTGAAAGCACATCAGATGCTTTAGCAGTGTCAAAAAGTCACAGGCTTTTAAAAGTGTTAAAGAAATTTAAAATTAGCCCCTTGTGTCTCACGGAAACCAGAAGAGCTGTGCCTGCCATTGTGGAGCTAGTTAGCAAGATCAATGTACAGGATACTCCACCATTTTAAGGACTCCTATGAGGCATTTTAGGTATAGAGTCAAAATGTTGATCTCCTGAGGGACTTTCTTCAATCCAATTCCAAGGGCTGATCTTGGGGAAAGAAGTTAATATGTTGTATGTAACTTTGGTTCTCTCACAGTGGCTTATGTTTGGATATGATACTTATTTAGCTGATAATCCATCTAAATGCCCTCTGAGTATCACTGACATGGAGAATGACAAGGATTTAGAAATAATATGTATTTTTAATGGGACCCACACCAACAAGAAGTGTCAGACCTAAAGAAATCGGTCTTTAAATGGTGAAATCTCCAAAATTGCAGTAATGTACGCTGTTCTATATCCCCTAGACAATATTACATAGCTGCCAATGTGTAAAATCAAACTTTTTAAAGCCTGGTGAGGGAGGTAAGCCTTTTTATCAGCTGAGCATTTCAGCCTTGTGTTTCTTCTGCTCATTAACCAAGCTGGTGTGACAAGTAAGGGAATACAACTCCTAGATGCTATGTTTCCTCTTAATTACAGAGGTTCCAGAAACATTATTTAGTTTATGAGTAATGTTGATGTTACTAGGAGAAATAATATATAAGTAGAAATGTAGGTAGGGAAGGACAGAGAGAGATAGAAAGAGGCAGACGATTTAGGAAAACTACATTGTGATTGTGATTGCCATTAGACCAATACTAACAAACATTATTATTCCAGTAAAGAAAATGGGTCGGGCGTGGTGGCTCATGCCTGTAATCCCAGCACTTTGGGAGGCCGAGATGGGTGGACCACGAGGTCAGGAGTTCGAAGTCACCCTGGCTGACATGGTGAAATCCAGTCTCTACTAAAAATACAAAAAGTAGCTGGGTGTAGTGGTGTGCGCCTGTAATCCCAGCTACTCGGGAGGCTGAGGCTGGAAAATTGCTTGAAACTGGGAGGTAGAGGTTTCAGTGAGCCAAGATTGTGGCACTGCACTCCAGCCTGGGCAACAGAGCAAGACACTGTCTCAAAAAAAAAAAAAAAAAAAAAAAGTTCGTATGTATGTCTTTCAATTATTTTATTGTAATAGCTGACAAAGATTTATCATTTTCTCATTTAAATGTAAAGCACTTCACCAACATGTTTTACTTGATCCTGAGATACTGTCGAAATGTTCCCTGATAGGTAGCATATATTTGAATAATGCAGTCCCACATCATGATCTACTGAGCTTGCTGGGGCTTTGGAAGGCTGGAGGCAGAGATTGGTAAGGAACACTGACTTCAGCCTCTCCCTGCCCCTCATAACTTCTCTCCAATGTGAGGAAGTGTCTTCATTGATGTTGAGTTTGGCTGGAGTATCGGCAGAAATTACAGGTCTCTATAACGATTTATTACAGGTCTCTATAACTATTTATTTTTAAAGGCTTTTACAGTATAAATTCCTCCAGAATGAGATGAAGCCCCAAATGAACTTTGGCGGAGGTTTAATAAGAATTGCACTTTGCAGATTTGATATGATTCACCTTTGGTTTAAGGACATAAGCCTAATGATAATTAATTTCTACTGCATATATTGCTGTAATACATAACTTACTTCTGTGAAGTTTTTATTGAAATAACTTTTTTCAGCTTTTATTTTAGCTTCATAGGGTACATGTGCAGGTTTGTTACCTGTGTACGTTGTGTGATGCTGAGGATTGGGGTACGAATGATCCTATCACCCAGGTACTGAGCATAGTCCCCAACGGTTAGTTTTTCATCCCTTGTCCCCCTCCCTCTTTCCCTCTTCTAGTAGTCCCCAGATTCTATTGTTGCCATTTTCATGTCCATGAGCATCCGACACTTAGCTCCCACTTATGAGTGAGAACATGTTCCTGCACCAATTTGCTTAGGATAATGGCCTCCAGCACAGCCATGTTGCTGCAAAGGACACAATTTTTTTTTCTTTTATGGCTATGCAGTATTCATGGTATATATGTACCACATTTTCTTTGTTCAGTCCATTGTTGATGGACACATAGATTGATTCCATATCTTTGCTATTGTGAATAGCACTGCAATGAAAATGCGAGTACGTGTCTTTTTGGTAGAACAGTTTGCTTTGGATATATACCAAGTAACAGGATTGCTGGGTTGTATGATAGTCCTGTTCTATGTTCTTTGAGAAGTCTCCAAATTGCTTTCCGCAGTGGCTGAAGTAATTTATATTCTTACCAACAGTGTATAAGCATTCCCTTGAAACCACACCTTGCTACCATTTGTTGTTTTTTGACTTCTTAGTAATAACCATTCTGATTGGTGCATACGGTATCTCATTATGGTTTTCATTTGCAGTTCTCTGATGATCAGTAAGGTTGAGCATTTTTTTCAGATGTTTGTTTACCGCTCATATGTCTTCTTTTAAAAAGTGTCTGTTCTTATATTTTGCCCATTTTTAAAATGGGGCTGTTTTTGGTTGTTCAATTGTTTCAGTTCCTTGTAGATTGTGAATATTAGGCCTTTGTTGGATGCATGGGTTGTAAACATTTTCTCTCATTTTGTATGTTGTCTGTTTACTCTGTTGCTAGTACATTTGTTATGCAGAAGCTCTTTAGTTTAATTAGGTTCCACTTGTCAATTTTTGTTGTTGTTGCAATTGCTTTTGAGGGCTTAGTCATAAATTCTTTCCCAAGGCCCCTGTACAGAATGGCATTTCCTAGGTTTTCTTCTAGGATTCTTGTGGTTTGAGGTCTTACATTTAAATCTTTAATCCATCTTGAGTTAATTTTACATATGGCAAAAGGTAGGAGTCCAGTTTCATTCTTCTACATGTGGCTAACCAGTATCCCAGTACTATTTATTAAATAGGCAGTCCCTTCCCCATTGCTTATTTTTGTCAGCTTCATTGTATATCAGATGGCCTGTAGGTGTGTGGCTTTATTTCTGGGTTCTCTATTCTGTTCCATTGATTTATGTGTCTGTTTTTGTACCAGTACCATGCTGTTTTGGCTACTATGGACTTGCAGCATAGTTTGAAACTGGGTAATGTAATGCCTCTGTCCTTGTTCTTTTTGTTCAGGATTGCTTTGGCTATTTTTTGGTTCCATATGAATTTTAGAATAGTTTTCTTTTTTCTAGTTCCATGAAACATGTTGGTAGTTTGATAGGAATAGCACTGAATCTGTATATTGCTTCGGGCAGTATGTCCATTTTAATGACATTGATTATTTCAATCCATGAGCATAAATTTTTTCCCATTTGTGTCATCTATGTTTTCTGTTAAGTATTTTTGTGTGTATACGTGGCTACTATAAATGGTGTTGCATTCTTGATTTGGCTCTCAACTTGAAGGTTATTAGTGTGTAAAAATGCTACCAATTTTTGTAACATTGATTTTGTACCCTGAAACTTTACTGAAGTCAGTATTTTGAGACATTTAACCACTGAAATGTCAAATGTAATTGAATTTTATGGCTTCTTGGGGTATGTGGTAGGGTGGAAGGGATTGTACACACATTTGTGTGTGGCTTTCCCTCTAGTCAACTTTTAGCCTACCTGGACCAATACATCCATTATGTTTGGAAAGCTTTCAAAACTTACCTGAATATTCCCTAGATATGTAGTTATATAAAGACTGTCATGTTTTGTATAGAGAATCAGAGAGGCTGAAGAGAAAATATATAAGATATAGATAAATATCATAATGATTATTGCATAGGCTATTCTCTCTTCTTGTAATGTGTTTTCTTCCTATGCATAAAAATACTGATATTGTTGCCACACGTATTTTTAAGCATTTGTATCTATTATTAAATGTAGCATTATCAATAGCCCTCTGAAATAGGTTACTATTATTATTCAAATTTTACTGAAGACTTTGAGAGATAACTACATTGGCCAATACCACATAGATAATAAGCAGTAAAGCAAGGATTTGAATTTAAATATGCTTACAACTTTTCACTTAAAACTTCCAAAAATAAAGGACATGCATGTGCATGCCTGTATATGTATGTGTGCATGACTGAATACTTTCCTTGATTTATGACATATATATTTATAATATTTATATATATTTATATATATTAAATTTTGTAGGATAAGATAATTCAAATCTGTGACTGAAGTCTTATTCAGCTCTGTGGTAGTAAATATCACCTTATCTGTACATTTGCCAAAGGCATCATGTCCAAAAATCATTATAACTGTAAATTTATCACATAAACTCACTTGAAAATTGGCCTTATAAATATAGATAGAATAGGCTGGATGTGGTGGCTCACTCCTGTATTTTTCGCACTTTGGGAGGCTGAGGTGGGTGGATCATGAGGTCAAGAGATCAAGACCATCCTGGCCAACATGGTGAAACCCCTTCTCTACTAAAAGTACAAAAGTTAGCTGGGCATGGTGGTGCATGCCTGTAGTTCCAGCTACTATGGAGGCTGAGGCAGGAGAATCACTTGAACCTGGGAGGCGTAAGTTGCAGTGAGCCAAGATCACACCACTGCATTCCAGCCTGGTGACAGAGCAGGACTCCATCTCAAAAAATATATAATATATACATAATATATAATATATACATAATATACAATATATATGTAATATATACATAATATATACAGAACATATAATATATATGTAATATATACATAATATATTATATATAGTTAAAATAACCAACTACAAATAGTATCATATCATCCATTTATTTTTTTCCTTTCTTCTTGTTAAATTATTTGTAATGTTATTTTTTAAAGATATTCTGGCTTATTAAATATTTTTAAACTTACAGTCAAAACATATCTTCATAACAGAAAATAATCACAACCTACACGTACTACAGATTGAGAATCACTAATCCAAAATTCTGAAAGCTAAAATGCTCCAAAATATGCAATTTTTTGAGTGCTGACATGACCTCATGTGACGATTCTCAGCGAAATAATAATAGATGCTGGTGAGGATGTGGAGAAAAGGGAATGCTCATACACTGTTGGTGGGAATGTAAGTCAACGCAGTCACTATGAAAAACAGAATGGTACGTCCACAGAAAAGTTAAAAATAGTACTACCATTTATTCCAGCAATCCCACCATTGCATTCTTATCCAAAAGAAAGAAAATCAGTATACTGAAGAGGTTTCTACACTCTCCAATTTATTGCAGCACTATTCACAATAGCCAATATATGGAATCAAAATATGTGTCCATCAATGGATGGACAGATAAAGAAAATGTGGTACATATACATACATTCGGCCATTCTTGCATTGCTATAAAGAAATACCTGAGACTGGGTAATTTATAAAGAAAAGAGGTAATCAGTTCATAGTTCTGCAGGCTTTATAGGAAGCACAGTGCCTCCATCTGCCTGGCTTCTGGGAAGGCCTCAGGAAGCTTACAATCATGATGGAAGGCAAAGGGGGAGCAGGCACATCACATGGTGAAAATAGGAGCAAGAGAGAAAGAGTGAGGGCGGAGATGACACGTACTTTTAAATGACCAGATCTCGTGAGAACTTACTATTGCAAAGACAGCACAAGCCTGGAGGGATCTGTCCCCATGACCCAAACACCTCCCACTAGGCCCCATCTCCAGCATTGGGGATTACAATTGAACATGAGATTTGGCTAGGGACAAATATCCAAACTATACCAATATACTATATGATATTATTCAGCCATAAAAAAGAATAAGATCCTATCATTTGAAACAACATGAATGGAACTAGAGAAAATTATGTTAAATGAAATAATCCAGTTACAGAAAGACAAATATCACATGTTCTCACTCATATGTGTGAGTTAAAAAATTTGATGTCATGGAGGTAGAGAGTAGAATAATGACTACCAGAGGCTAGGAATTATAGTGGGTGATAAAGAGGGATGGGTCCAAAAATACAGTCAGATAGAAGAAATAAAATCTAGTGTTCAGTAGCACAATAGGACAGCTATAATGACCATAATGTATTGTATATTTCAAAATAATTAGAGGAGCAAATCTGAAATGTTCCCAACACAAAGAAACAATAAATGTTTGAGATAATGAATATCTCAATTATGTTGATTTGATCATTACACATTTTATGTTTGTATCAAAATATCACATGTACCCCATAAATATGTACAACTATTATGCATTCATAAAAATGTAAAAATGAAAAGAAATGCAGTCAACTCTTAGTTTCATGCACAAAATTATTAAAAATATTATATAAAATTATCTTCAGTCTATAAAGCATATAAGAATGATAAATGAATTTTTTGTTTAGACCTGGACCCTTAGCAAAGGTATCTCATTATGTATTTGCAAGTTATCAAAAAAAAAATTCAGAAATCCAAAACATTTCTCAAGCCAGGAATTTTGGATTAGAAATACTCAACCTGCATCTTTATTTATCCTTAGTCTTTTCCCAAATGTACTATTTCTACTTTCTTCATTACTTATGACTGAAATTTATTTTATATTAAACTACATAATTTCTGAATAGAATTTGACATAGCACAGTATTTTTCACATGCTGTTTACTTGAGAACTAAATAATTTTTGTCATACCTACCATTCATACTACAATTTGCTTAATGCTTTGTGTGCTTTATTACATGAATACAGCTTTATATTACTTCTGTAATAAAATATATAAAGTTTTACTGTTATGAATTAACTGTAAAAATTAATACAGCAAAAACCCAAGCATATTAATAATAAATTATGGTTAGATCACTTTGTGAGTATGAGACCTAGTCTTTCTTACAAAGAAAACAACTGGAACATATTTCAGTTGTAAAAGATATTCTAGTATCAAAACATGTTTTTATTGTTAGGAATCAGAAAAACTGAAAAATTAAACAGGTAATAACTTTCTCAATATGTGATTTAAATTTACTGAGATGATTTTGTGAGTCTTCAATACAAGTTGTATTAATGATCATTTAAAATCTTGCCTGGTAAGACAAAGCTCATCACAAAATACAAACTGCTCTATACCAGTATTCATGTCCAGGCACAAAAATGAAAGGCCCAGATAAAACTGTGAATTAAGACAAAGCATATAAAGTGGGCTCTGGTACCAGATGATCTGGTTTTGAATCCTCACTGGTACTTACTAGCTGTGAAATCTTGCACAATTGAACTAATCCATCTGAGTGTCAGTTTCTTATTTGTTAGTAGCCATTTATGCTCAGTTCCTAAATCCATTAATTAATGTCTAGTTTCAAATGTGATCATCTGATACTGCAGTTTTTATGTTATTTATTTGATGAAATACTTTTATATAATGAGACAATTCCCCTATCTGCCATTTTGTTTCTTCTCAGTGGTAGAGTTCATATAGGAAAGACAGAATAAATGCTTGATTTTAATTTTATTTACTAGTTTTCAAAATAAAGATTTAAGAGCTTCTCAACCTCTGAAATATATTTAAATATACATTGGCAGGTAGGAAGAAAGAGAAAGAAAGAGAGAGAGAAAGAGACAAAGAAAGAGACAAAGAGACACAGAGAGAGACACAGAGAGACAGAGAGAGAGAGACAGAGAGAGAAAGAGAGAGAGAAAGAAAAAGGGAGAAAGGAGGAAGAAAGAAAGAGAAAGAGAGAAAGAAAGAGACCGAGAGACAGAGAGAAAGACAGACAGAAACAGACAGGTAGGCAGTCAGTGCATATAGACACTGCATACTGTAGTCTCTGACTTTTAACCATTACTTAGCTTTATTTCTGTGAGTAATCACATTTTAAATGTTCACCATTAACTAGTTGTCTGAAGCTTATTCTACGGGGTATTCTCAGGGAAAACTTAAAGAAACGATGGAGTACAATGATAACAGGTTTTCTGTGCCCTTAACAACTCAAAGTTCCTTTTTCTGAATATAACCTTTTTGGTTCACGTAACTCTCATTTTCTTTCTTCATGTATCTCCATTATGTTACCACATTTTCTTCAAAAATTGGGTTTATATTTTTAAAATTATAATTTTTCTTCCTTTTATTAGTCAATTTATTCTTTTCCATAGGTGTCCAAATGACACATTTATTCTTTTTTCTTTAAGATCTATTATTTTATTATAATATTTCTTGGTACTAATAATTCCAGGTTGATATCCTTAAGTACATGAAATTAGATTATCTTTCAATACATAGCTTCCAATATCAGCAGGAAATTATTCATGATCATAATTTTGAGTTATCTGTTCTGCTCTCTTTTATTTGTTTTTCTTCTTCAGGGACTCCTGCTTGTATGTTGGTCTTCCTTGTGTATCTTTAATATTTATTAATTTGTCTTTAATAGTTTTTACGTCTTTCTACACTTTTCTTTTTACTTTCTAAAATATGACTTCCTTTAACTTTTTCTTAGTGCTTCATCCATCAGGTATATTTGTTTGCTCTTATCTTCTTTCTAGTTCAGTCTTCATTTCTGAAATGATTTTCTTTTATCTATATTTCTTTCCTGAGCTCCATCAGCTCCTTTCTGAGATTTTCTAATACTGATTAATGTTGCTCATTATTGTTTACTTTTACTGGTTGCCTTTCAATTATTTAAAAAAAATACAATTTTGAAGTATTTTGAAGGCAGACTTTACTGGCTAGATTTTATTTTCAGTCATATGGTTATTTTGAGTATGAAATTAGCTAATCCAGAGACAGTACCATTATAAAGTAATTTATCAAAAAATAGAGACTTTCAGTTCCTCAAATAGCCATTATTGATTATAAAATGATGGAAAAGTAGATGTATACATATTCTGCTATTTGGTACTCATAGTATACTTAGTGTCCTTAGTAGTGATATTCTCTTATAAAACTTTAAGCAAGATGTGTAATTTTCAAACACTTTTTTAAAAAGATCTTTTGCAAAGAGGGACAATTTGACTTCTTCATGATTATGTATCTAGAAAACCCCATTGTCTCAGCCCAAAATCTCCTTAAGCTAATAAGCAACTTCAGCAAAGTCTCAGGATACAAAATCAATGTGCAAAAATTGCAAGCATTCTTATACACCAATAACAGACAAACAGCCAAATCATGAGTGAACTCACATTCACAATTACTTCAAAGAAAATAAAATATCTAGGAATCCAACTTACAAGGGATGTGAAGGACCTCTTCAAGGAGAACTACAAATCACTGCTCAATGAAATAAATGAGGATACAAACAAATGGAAGAACATTCCATGCTCATGGATAAGAAGAATCAATATCGTGAAAATGGCCATACTGCCCAAGGTAATTGACAGACTCAATGCCATCCTCCCCATCAAGCTACCAATGACTTTCTTCACAGAATTGGAAAAAACTACTTTAAAGTTCATATGGAACCAAAAAAGAGCCCACATTGCCAAGTCAATCCTAAGCCAAAAGAACAAAGCTGGAGGCATCACACTACCTGACCTCAAACTATCCTACAAGGCTGCAGTCACCAAAACAGCATGGTACTGGTACCAAAACAGAGATATAGACCAATGGAACAGAACAGAGCCCTCAGAAATAATGCCGCATATCTACAGCTATCTGATCTTTGACAAACCTGACAAAAACAAGCAATGGGGAAAGGATTCCCTATTTAATAAATGGTGCTGGGAAAACTGGCTAGCCATATGTAGAAAGCTGAAACTGGATCCCTTCCTTACACTTTATACAAAAATTAATTCAAGATGGATTAAAGACTTAAATGTTAGACCTAAAACCGTAAAAACCCTAGAAGAAAACCTAGGCAATACCATTCAGGACACAGGCATGGGCAAGGACTTCATGTCTAAAACACCAAAAACAATGGCAACAAAAGCCAAAACTGATAAACGGGATCTAATTAAACTAAAGAGCTTCTGCACAGCAAAAGAAACTATCATCAGAATGAACAGAAAACCTACAGAATGGGAGAAAATGTTTGCAATCTACTCATCTGACAAAGGGCTAATATCTAGAATCTACAAAGAACTCAAACAAATTTACAAGAAAAAAACAACCCCATCAACAAGTGGGTGAAGGATATGAACAGACACTTGTCAACAGAAGACAATTATGCAGCCAAAAGACACATGAAAAAATGCTCATCATCACTGGCCATCAGAGAAATGCAAATCAAAACCACAATGAGATACAATCTCACACCAGTTAGAATGGCGATCGTTAAAAAGTCAGGAAACAACAGGTGCTGGAGAGGATGTGGAGAAATAGGAACACTTTTACACTGTTGGTGGGACTGTAAACTAGCTCAACCCTTGTGGAAGTCAGTGTGGCGATTCCTCAGGGATCTAGAACTAGAAATAACATTTGACCCAGCCATCCCATTACTGAGTATATACCCAAAGGATTATAAATCATGCTGCTATAAAGACACATACACACGCATGTTTATTGTGGCACTATTCACAATAGCAAAGACTTGGAACCAACCCAAATGTCCAACAATGATAGACTGGATTAAGAAAATGTGGCACATATACATCATGGAATACTATGCAGCCATAAAAAAGGATGAGTTCAAGTCCTTTGTAAGGACATGGATGAAACTGGAAATCATTCTCAGTAAACTATCACAAGGACAAAAAACCAAACACTGCATGTTCTCACTCATAGGTGGGAATTGAACAATGAGAACACATGGACACAGGAAGGGGAACATCACACACCGGGGTCTGTTGTGAGGTGTGGGGAGAGGGGAGGGATAGCATTAGGAGATATACTTAATGTTAAATGACAACTTAATGGGTGAAGCACACCAACAGGGCACATGTATACATATGTAACAAACCTACACGTTGTGCACGTGTACCATAAAACTTAAAGTATAATAATAAAAGATCTTTTGCTAATTTACTTCCTAATGAAAATCTAAAGGTAAGAACCTAAGCAGGATTTTTTTTTTTTTTACTTTGCTTGTAGTTAGTTACTTTACCTTCCAACAATCAATATAACTACTTGAAGTAGTGTTTATACCATCATCTAGTTATTGGTAATTAAAAGCATTTCATGCTAGAAAGAAGATAACCACAAAATGTATTAGATGGTGCTCACTTCCATTTAACTCTATCTTTATATATGCTGTTTCAATTGAAATTTTTGCTGTAAATGTAGACTTACATAAATTTAAAATTGTAAGGAAACATTATCTTGCAGATTTATCCTGCCTAATACATCTGAAATGAGTTGATACAAATTATTATTTTACTACTGATGCATCCTGATGTTTAAATGAATGAGGTATAGCGGGGAATAAAAAATTTAAACATATTTTACATTTATCTATGACTTTGCTATTTATATTTATAAGGCATACTAAAGAATATTACGTAGAACATTGTATTAAAAGTTAGGAAAGATGAATTCAAATTGGTGTTGACATATTTCTATAAACTGGTAGCATGTATAACATAAGAATACCTACAGTGATGTTCGTCTTCTGAATGTTTACAGATAATCTAAAAATACCTATCTTTTGATTTCTACTAATCTATAAGAACTGATCTGTGATAAATATATCAAATAAAACAAGTCCATATTTATTCATGGGTATTAAGCTTTTATAGTGAAATCTGTAATAAATGTATACAAGCACAGGTGTTGTGGAATTCATTTTGTTCTGATTTTAATATCCCAATTCCTCTGGCTTTAATGTGGTCAAATGATGATCCTAGAGAAAAATTCCTAAAATAATATTTGTAATCTTTGTTACAGAAAGATTTTAAATAT
The DNA here is from genome assembly GCF_000001405.40 of Homo sapiens. Lineage (NCBI taxonomy): Eukaryota > Metazoa > Chordata > Mammalia > Primates > Hominidae > Homo > Homo sapiens. The sequence continues at coordinate 9,829,549 of NC_000009.12, forward strand.
ATGGATGGCTATTTGGCAGTATGTTACCTATTATTTTGATACGCAGTTAGCCACAAAATCAATGTGACATGTTTTTCCATATACAGGATAACATTAACCAAAACCACTACATTAAATGAGGCTCAATTTTAGACACTGAATGTTTCAGCTGCAGATTACAATTCTTTATTTTTTCTTTATTTTTAGCTCAGAAAGGAAATCTGGCAGACAATAGACTTGGAAATTACTTTCAACTATAGAAACCTACATTATCATTATTATTACTTTTAAGAGATCCATTGTTTTGAAAGAATATTCTGTCATCAAGCATTTGCTACTATTTCTATTATGTTTATAAAATTTTTGAGCCCCTACAAATAATCATAGAACTCATATTCATTTAACAAATTTTTACTGAGTGCTTACAATAGAGTAGACTTTCTTTTGCATGCTTATCTGTTAAAGTATAGCAGAAGGTTAATAGTTCCATGTGGTATCAACTAAAAGCCTCAGCAAGTTTTCCTAAACATTCATCTCTATTTCTTGGCATTATTAAGTAAAAATAATATTGTTTTATAATTTTATTTTAAAAATTCATATATATCTTTTTACTTAAAACTTTAATAATATTTGTGTGGCTTTTGTGAATCCAAAGTAAAAAAGTAAAATTAATCAAATATTTTTAAAAAGTTTTATTACTACTGATAGAGTATCTTTCAAATGTCTATTTGAAATATATTTTTCACTTATAAATTTATCTTCATGGCCACATCCCATTTTTTATTTGCCTTTTTATTTGTTTTCATTTCATTTTAAAATGATTGTTCAGATCACTATTTGTCAACATAGAAAATATACCTGATATTTGTTAAATGGGGTGAAGGGAAGCAGCTTATAAAAGATTACATAAAGTATGATCCTATTTTTGATAGATAATCATATGTACATTTACCTTGTTTTCATGACTCCTAGCATTGTAACATCTTTATGATTTAAAAACTTGTTAATTTTATTAATCAAATGAGAAGTAGAGTTCACTTCCAACTATGGAAGTCAACAAAGGGAACAGAGCTTCCTCTTCTCATGTACTGCAGCTAGCACCTGAGTGTGTTAGCCAAGATCATTCATAATCTTTGCATATTGACAGACTGGCACAAATAAATCAGGACAATATAATATTGAAAGACTGGCAGTGAAATGGTGTGAAGTCCACTGATGTGGTATCAACAGAGTAGTCTTAAGCAGACTTTCAAGGCAGGTCCTTAGCTGTGACCCCATTACAAACTCTTCTATTTCTAGCCTTGTTTTCAAAATCTATCCAATATATTCCTTTTCTACTTAATTATTTTTTTTTACTGTTTCTTAGAATCAAAATTGTCCAACGTAAAATGTATTGTAGGTATCAGACCCTCAAGAATATGCAAGAACTCTGGATTTGTTAGCTGACTGCATTAGGATTGGAGACAGGGAATTTTCATTAACAATTTAAGAAAGGAATCCTAAATTGCATGCATTTTAGCATGGAAGGTGAAATGCCTTATTTATTATAGCCTATGGTCACCCAGTAGAAGCAAAGCTTCAGGGTGTAGCACTGATGTCGTCATTAAGCACTATGAAGGTTAAGAGGAATTTAATGACAGCATGGTTGAGTAGGTATGTTAAAATGCACTGGATAGCATAAATACAGTGAACGACACACACTTCTAAATTCTCTGCTAAAGGAACAGACTGAAACCTAGAGACATTTTTTGACATTGCTTAAAGCATCTCCTATCTCTTTTAGCCTCAGGCTGAGGTAACCAAAATACAAAAGCAAAATTAAATCCTATTACTTATGATTTTTAATGTCAGCTGAATTCACAAGGTTACTACATTTTTTAGATGAGAGAGTATGAGTTTGGAAAGAGTTATACCCTGAAATTGAAATGGGAATACCCCAATCATCTAAAGTTTCTGCTCTCCCTTAACTGACAAGTACCCTTTTATAACTTGTCTGATAGGGTTGCTCATCGTAAGATTGAAGATGATGATATTCTTTTTCCTGTAGGAGTTGACTTGCAACAGAAAGTCAGTAATCCACATGCTTGCTAACCAACTACCTCTCAATGTTCTTTACCTGTATTATCAGATTCCAGCATAACCTGAAGAGCTGATTACAGGCTGAAGCATTTTATCTATAGACAAACTGCGTAATTTCCCTAATTTATATCATCAATAAGGAATTTTGAAAATCAGTAAATCTTTGGCTTCTAATGTTATTTCACCAAGGTGGAGGGATGTATTTTTAGATCAGGTTCAATTTATTAATATGGATACATTTGCCAGAGTTTCTATATTCTTTATGCTAATTTGAATCTCTGGATGATGCAATAGATTTCTTGGCTGGTTGGCAAAAATGTGGACCCAACCGCGAATCTCATTAAGTGGCATTTCAATGTCAGACATTACTGGGTATGCCATAGAATAAGGAATCCAAAATGTTGAGTAAATGGAAATGTTGGAGATGACATTTTATGTCTTTAACCTACCATTCTCTCCCTAAAAACACCTCTCCAGTATATAAGGGTAATAACTTGCCTATAATCTTGAAAAATGCATAAGTGAGCCAAGCTGGTGTTGTGACATGTGCTATTTTGAAGACTATCAAGCTAGTGAAAAACACCGTAGTTGAAAACAAACCATTTATTTTAATGGGAAGTAGATCTTGGAGTAGCAGACGAAAGAGTATCTACAATGAAGTACCAGAAGCAAAGTAGACAATGCATAGCAGGCAACACAGCCTGCTAAGAAAATACCCCTATCTATAGGGATGGATATCTGAAGATATGTAACTGTGTATTTTTCAGGACCAAAATAATAGATAATTCATTAAAGTTCTATATAGCAGATATTACTGATGGACTATGTAACAGTCATAGTCATTTACTGTTCCATGTTAACAGAACTCTAATTATTTTCAGGTACATAGCATGCCTAAAAATTAATTTATGTGTCCTCCCTCATCCGACAAAAATGTGGATATCTAAGTGACTTTGGTTACCTCATTCATACTTCTAGGGTAATTTAGGTTTGGGGGTCTGTGATAAAATTATGAAACATAAGAGAGAACTTCCAGGACTTCCTGGAAAGGAAGCTTTTAAAAAGAGTTTTTAAAATAAATGCAAGGAAGACATAGACACTTTCCTATCAGTGGAACATAACCTCTCTGGATGATGCCTAGAACTGCAGCAGCCATCCAGTGATGATGAGGCAACTAGCCAATGGACCAGGATTACATGCTGACTGTAGCAGAGCAAAAATATACAAAGACTCCTCAATGAGTTTTTGTAGGAATTCAATTAAAGAATGGGAAGCTTTTTTTCTATGTTTTTTTTTTTCCCATATGAGAGAGGAAAAAAAGTCCTTATTGTTTTAGAAATTTTAAGTAATATTATTTTATACTTGTGGGAAAATAATTCCAGGCCTGTTTTGCTGGAAGAAAGATGCTTTACTGGAGCCAAAATGGTAGAAATTCATGGTTCCTCTAATAATACCTGACAAACATAGAACCTCTGTAATGAAGAGAAGGGGCAAGGCCAGGTAATAGCAATACAGATATATTTCTAAGGAACAAAATAACTAGACAATCTGTTAAGGGTTCTATCAGGGGACCTGCCCCGATAATCACATAGGTTTTCTATTTTCCAAAGCGTCGACTGGCTTGAGAAATAAAAGGACAGAGTACAAAAGAGATAAATTTTAAAGCTGGGCATCCGGGGGAAACATCATACATTGGTAGGATCCGTGATGCCCCACAAGCCACAAAAACCAGCAAGTTTTTATTAGGGAGTTTCAAAAGGGGAGGGAGTATACGAATAGGTGTGGGTGACAGACATCAAGTACTTAACAGGGTAATAGAATATCACAAGGCAAGTGGAGGCAGGGCGAGATCACAGGACCACAGGACCGAGGCGAAATTAAAATTGCTAATGAAGTTTCGGGCACCATTGTCATTGATAACATCTTATCAGGAGACAGGGTTTTGAGATCAACCGGTCTGACCAAAATTTATTAGGCGGGAATTTCCTCTTCCTAATAAGCGTGGGAGTGCTATGGGAGACTGGAGTTTATTTCACCTCTGCAGTCTCAACCATAAGAGACAGGTACGCTCCGGAGAGGGGGGCAGTTCAGAGACCTACCCCTAGGTGCACATTCTCTTTCTCAGGGACGTTCCATGCTGAGAAAAAGAATTCAGCAATATTTCTCCCATTTGCTTTTGAAAGAAGAGAAATATGGCTCTGTTCTGCCCGGCTCACCGGTGGTCAGAGCTTAAGGTTATGTCTCTTATTCCCTGAACAACTGCTGTTATCCTGTTCTTTTTTCAGGATGTCCACATTTCATATTGCTCAAACACACATGCTGTATAATTTTTGTAGTTAACGCAATTATTACAGGGTCCTGGAACGATATACATCCTCCTCAACTGACAGGATTAAGAGATTGAAGTAAAGACAGGCATAGGAAATCACAAGGTTATTGACTGGGGAAGTGATAAGTGTCCATGAAATCTTTACAATTTATGTTTAGAGATTGCAGTAAAGACAGGCATAAGAAATTACAAAAGTATTAATTTGGGGAACTAATATATGTCCATAAAATCTTCACAATCCACGTTCTTCTGCCATGGCTTCAGCCGGTCCCTCTGTTTGGGGTCCCTGACTTCCCACAACAGGGTTCTAAATCACAGGTACTACTATTGGACTATGTAACAGTCATTCACTGTATGTAGTGTGGAAATTTATCATAATCTCCATGCTATGAAAAAAGAAAAAAGCCCAGATCTACCATGGATTATTGCATAGTGGCTCTGATTGACATTAGCATTAACTGTTGAGAACCCTGAACTCCACAAATTCACCAATCAGGGTGAAAGTTTATAGTGGTCAGGTGAAGTTTTGCCCCCAAATTTGCCTCATAATCAGCCCAGTGAGATCTCCAATTCACCCTGTGTTTATTCTACCAGTTCCTAAGTATGCATTTGGAAAAGATAACAGCCACCAGCAGGATTATTTTACTGGTCCATCAGTTTCTGAAATAAGTACTAGTTTGGCAGGAAGGAGCAACCCAAAGCCTCTGGGGTCATTTCTTATTCAAACAGTTAATAAAAATTAATTGCATATCTCTAGGAAGGGTAAAACATTAGTACAGCCACCTAAGATTTTAAAAACCTAGGATGGTGATTCCTATTGCATCCTCATTTAATTGTCCATTTGGGTTAGTGAAGATAGCTGCTAAAGAGGGACACTAGATTAGCATATATTTAATTGATTGGTGATAACAGTTAGAGTTCCAGATGTGGTTTCTTTCCTGGAGCAAAAACTGTGTCCTCTGGTCAAAGTAAATAAATATTAACCTAACAGGTACTTTTGTTTTTTTTTTGTTCCATCCCAGATAAGAGCAGATTCACTTTGTTTTATCTGGTAGCAAGAGAGTACTTCTACCACCTTCCTTTATTGTTATATAGTAGATAGGGTACTTAGTTACATAATCATCCAAAAGGGCATAAACTTTTCTACTATTTGATGGCATCATATTGCTAGTACCAAAGCAGCAAGGATTATATCCTAGATATCTAAATTTAATACATAGTGTTAGTACAAAATACAAGTATCTGCAATTTCAGTTATATTTCTGCGGATCCACTAATCTTGGCTCCAGCAGGATAATACATTCCAAAATGAAGGCCACTTGTGCCTCTGCCATGAGATAACCATACAACCCCTGAGACTTTTTTTTACATTTTGGATTCAATAAACAGTACATTTAGTTATATAGATATGATCCATTAATCAGTTACCTGAAAGGATGCCACTTTTGAAGAAGGCTCAGAGCAAAAGAAGGCTTTCTAACTTGTAAAGGTGGCAGTGCAAGAATCTCTGTTATTAAGAAGATACAGTGATGTACATTGTATTGTTGGCACACTGGAATAGAGTATGCGGAAAGAAAGAAACTCCCAAATGAGAATTAAACTGGAGACAAATGGGGTTTGAAACAAATTCATGCCTTCTTTAGCAAGCAGCTCATCTTCTTTTGACAAATAGCTCTTGGCCTGCACTGGAATTTGACAGAGTCTGAGTATGAAAATACCTAATGACAGGACAGAAGATGACATTGTGACCATACCAAAGTAAGTATTTCCTGATCTACTTCATTCTGAAGGTCAGAGTGACCAGCACAGGACTCCATCATAACACAGGAGTGGAATCAACTGAAGGAATGAGATAAGCAGATGGCACACATTCTCAATCTTAGTGCCACCCTCCTGCCATATTGTAATCCCTTCTATAATAATCTTATGGAGAGTAGTCAATCATCATTCAGTGAGAAGAAAATGCTGGTGCCAGTTTTACAATAAGTGATGAATGATATTCTACCACTAGATGGAAATTACTCTTATAGAATTACACTATCAGTTTTCTTTGAAAGACTATAAAAAGAGGCTAATTCTTCTAGTACAAGGAACTTTTAAAAGTGTATGTTACTGCTCACATCTTTCTGGAAGAGATGATGGCCTAAAGCAAAAATCTACACTAAATCATGGGCAGAGCCCAATGGTTTGGACAAATGTTTAAGGAAATGGGAATATCAAGAGTCCAGGATTAGTAACAAGGCAGCTCGTGGAAGAAACATATGGAAGGACATCCTAGAGTAGCCCCAGAATGTGAGCATATGAGTGCTCCATGTACAAGTTAACTTAAGGCTTATTTGAATACTTCCAGAATGGAGGAAACTTTTAATATCATGTAGACAATATCAGGTAAACAAGACGATCTGCTCAGTGGATCTCAGAAGCTCTCATTCTCTAATCTCTGATGGGACTGCTGAATGGGCTCATTACCCACGTGGTCATAGTAGCAGTAACAGAGATTAATGCAAACCCTCAAAAATTTGAACTTTCTCTTACCAAATCTCGCCTGACTACTACCACTGATAAATGCCAAATTTGCCAATAATAGATATCAGCATTCTAGTTTATGGGGTGACTGAACTTAAAATTGTAGTTTATTGGGTGGTTGAACCTGAAAGTAATATCAATCCTCTTCAAAGGATGCAGAGAGTAACATAGAGAAAAACTGTGTGCTTCTATGGAGCATTCTTTCACACAGCATAGACTACGTGGGTAAACATCCTGGTTCCACTACTTACTACCTGTGTGAATTTGAGCAAGTTATATAAACTCTATAAAATAAGGAAGAAAACTTACCTATGTCTCAGGGTTGTTAAATGACTTACTATATGTAAAACACTTAGAGCAGTGACAGATATATAGCAAATACCATGTAATGGTTCAATAAATAGAAAACTACCATATCAAGAGGTAGATAAATTAATAGATTATAACATGACTGTTATACCTCTTTCAAGATTGAATGTGTGGGGCACACCAGTTGGTAAAAAGCCTCACCTATGTGTGGTATTAATTGAAGATAAACATAAGTGAATGCATGAAAACTAATTATATCCTTATAGGTGCAGAAATGAGGTCTATAGTAGCTCTACATACATTCTTTTCCCTATGTTATGTGTATTAGAGTAAATATTCACTTCACTTTCCCCAATGTTTAGCCAATTTTTGTGTATTAAGTATGTGTGTGGTGGTAAATTTTCAATGTAGCTCCCAGTTTGCAAGATAATGAGATGGATCATAATAAATGAGAAAAGAAATGGGCATCATCCAGGAATACCGTAGCTGACACTAGGTGAGTGATGAAAATATGGGACTATTCTTTTGAGAGGATGGTTTAATGAGAGATAGTTACAATATCTAACACAGGAGCAGTGATAAGAAAGATGGATGTAGCTATTGCATGGCTAATGTTCTAGAACCAATTGCATTTTAGTCAATAACCAAATTTTAGGTTCTCTTTTCCTTTTGGAAGCCTTCCCCATTGTATTAATCTTGATGGGAAGTAGGTCCAGTGTCGCATATAAAAGTCAAAAGGGCCATATAGCTGAAGATAGAGGGGTATGTTTTAGGTTTAAGCAACCAGTCTTTGATTTGCTTTTGACTTTTGATGGGGTAAAGCAAAGACCTAGTTTCTTGGGGAAATTAATCTAGGCACATATGAAAATGTCAAAGGCCCTGCAGTGTCAGTGACATGAGGGGAGTGGCTGTAATAACAGTGGTAGCATCCTAACCAGACTGGTATGACTTTGGCTGTGTTTTCTGTTCTCTGTCCTTGCTGCATTTTTTTATTCTTTTATTTTATTATTATTATACTTTAAGTTTTAGGGTACATGTGCACAATGTGCAGGTTAGTTACATATGTATACATGTGCCATGTTGGTGCGCTGCACCCATTAACTCGTCATTTAGCATTAGGTATATCTCCTAATGTTATCCCTCCCCACTCCCCCAACCCCACAACAGTCCCCAGAGTATGATGTTCCCCTTCCTGTGTCCATGTGTTCTCATTGCTCAATTCCCACCAATGAGTGAGAACACACGGTGTTTGGTTTTGTGTCCTTGCGATAGTTTACTGAGAATGATGATTTCCAGTTTCATCCATGTCCCTACAAAGGACATGAACTCATCATTTTTTATGGCCGCCTAGTATTCCATGGTGTATTTGTGCCACATTTTCTTAATCCAGTCTATCATTGTTGGACATTTGGGTTGGTTCCAAGTCTTTGCTATTGTGAATAGTGCTGCAATAAACATAGGTGTGCATGTGTCTTTATAGCAGCATGATTTGTAGTCCTTTGGGTATATACCCAGTAATGGGATGGCTGGGTCAAATGGTATTTCTAGTTCTAGATCCCTGAGGAATCGCCACACTGACTTCCACAATGGTTGAACTAGTTTACAGTCCCACCAACAGTGTAAAAGTGTTCCTATTTCTCCACATCCTCTCCAGCACCTGTTGTTTCCTGACTTTTTAATGATTGCCATTCTAACTGGTGTGAGATTGTATCTCATTGTGGTTTTGATTTGCATTTCTCTGATGGCCAGTGATGGTGAGCATTTTTTCATGTGTTTTTTGGCTGCATAAATGTCTTCTTTTGAGAAGTGTCTGTTCATGTCCTTCACCCACTTTTTAATTGGGTTGCTTTTTTCTTGTAAATTTGTTTGAGTTCATTGTAGATTCTGGATATTAGCCCTTTGTCAGATGAGTAGGTTGTGAAAATTTTCTCCCATTTTTTTAGGTTGCCTGTTCACTCTGATGGTAGTTTCTTTTGCTGTGCAGAAACTCTTTAGTTTAATTAGATCCCATTTATCAATTTTGGCTTTTGTTGCCATTGCTTTTGGTGTTTTAGACATGAAGTCCTTGCCCATGCCTATGTCCTGAATGGTAATGCCTAGGTTTTCTTCTAGGATTTTTATGGTTTTAGGTCTAATGTTTAAGTCTTTAATCCATCTTGAATTAATTTTTGTATAAGGTGTAAGGAAGGGATCCAGTTTCAGCTTTCTACATATGGCTAGCCAGTTTTCCCAGCACCATTTATTAAATAGGGAATCCTTTCCCCATTGCTTGTTTTTGTCAGGTTTGTCAAAGATCAGATAGTTGTAGATATGCGGCGTTATTTTTGAGGGCTCTGTGCTGTTCCATTGATCTATATCTCTGTTTTGGTACCAGTACCATGCTGTTTTGGTTACTGTAGCCTTGTAGTATAGTGTTGGAAGTTCTGGCCAGGACAATTAGGCAGGAGAAGGAAATACAGGGTATTCAATTAGGAAAAGAGGAAGTCAAATTGTCCCTGTTTGCAGATGACATGATTGTATATCTAGAAAACCCCATTGTCTCAGCCCAAAATCTCCTTAAGCTGATAAGCAAATTCAGCAAAGTCTCAGGATACAAAATCAATGTACAAAAATCACAAGCATTCTTACACACCAATAACAGACAAACAGAGAGGGAAATCATGAGGGAACTCCCATTCACAATTGCTTCAAAGAGAATAAAATACCTAGGAATCCAACTTACAAGGGACATGAAGGACCTCTTCAAGGAGAACTACAAACCACTGCTCAATGAAATAAAAGAGGATACAAACAAATGGAAGAACATTCCATGTTCATGGGTAGGAAGAATCAATATCGTGAAAATGGCCATACTGCCCAAGGTAATTTACAGATTCAATGCCATCCCCATCAAGCTACCAATGACTTTCTTCACAGAATTGGAAAAAACGACTTTAAAGTTCGTATGGAACCAAAAAAGAGCCCGCATCGCCAAGTCAGTCCTAAGCTAAAAGAACAAAGCTGGAGGCATCACGCTACCTGATTTCAAACTTGCTGCATTTTTTTAAGAAGCCTCGATCTCTAATCTCCCCAATATCCTTCTTTCTGTTGCTGGTAATCAATAAATCTAATATTTATTTAAACATATATTGATATGCATTTTTAAACACACACACACACAAGTTGAAAATTTGTATATATAAATAGTACTAAAAATAACGAAAAGTCATACATCCAAATACTAACAGTAGTTAGAGTGATTCAATTTTATGGTTGGTTTTTATTATTATTATTTATTATTTTTCTGAGACAGAGTCTCGCTCTGTCACCCAGGCTGAAGTGCAGTGGTGTGATCTCAGCTCACTGCAACTTCCACCTCCCGGGTTCAAGTGATTCTCCTGTCGCAGCCTTCCAAGTACCTGGCATTACAGGCACTCACCACCACGCCCAGCTAATTTTTGCATTTTTTGTAGAGATGGGGTTTTAAACTCCTGGCCTCAAGCGATCCTCCCACCTCCTAAAGTGCTGCATGAGCCACTATGGCTGGCCTGTATTTTCTTATTTTTTCTAGTATATTACTTTTAAATTTAGTTAAGGAAAACACAAATTTAATCAGATTTGAAAAATAGACTTTGTTTTTTTCCAGTTGTTGAAACATTATCCTTCAGTCTTCAAGTTAAACTTTTTCAGAGGGTATAAAACAAAGTAAATACGTAAATGTGATTTGCCTAATAATGGCATGCCTGAGTTTATTCTTACATTATGTTTGGTCATTTCATTGGAGTAAGGAGCCAAAAGTAAAATAAAATTATAAAATTGTATTAGAAAAACAAAATAGTGAATCGGAAAGAAATGGGAAGGGAATTAGCTGGGCGTGGTGGCGCGTGCCTGTAGTCCCAGCTACTCAGGAGGCTGAGGCAGGAGAATCGCTTGAACACGGGAGGCAGAGCTTGCATTGAGCCAAGATGGCACCACTGCACTCCAGCCTGGCGACAGAGCAAGACTCCGTTTCAAAAAAAAAAAAAAAAAAAAAAAAAAAAAAAAAAAAAACAGAAAGGGGAAGGGAAATACACTGGAATGCAATCTATGTATGTATTTATTTATATTTCTTCCAATTTGGTTTGGTGATAAATATAAGGAGTTCAATTTTTATATTCAGCAGATCCTGGGATCTGTACTGTTCTTAAATAGAGATGGACAATAAACTGTGAGTGATGGTGAATAAAGGACCACTGAGCTAGATCCAAACACCATGCTTTAGCAGGAAGTTGTTGTGAGGGGAGCTGAAGCTGCACTGGATTTAGAGAAAATTATCTTTGTACAACAAAGTGTTTTTGTCTATTTTTCTTGTTAAATTTGAGCTGAATATATTTTAAAGGTTGCCTAAAATATTTACCAGTAAAAATATCTAAATTATTTTGCATCGTCGGAATCATACTGGGGGATAGGAGTAGTGGTAGTGGGGTTAACAGAAATAATAAGGGTACGTAATGTACATATTGGTATACATAAGTATAATACACACACAAAAAAGTTGAAGTGTAATGGGCTGATGAATCACTGAGTCTTGCGTTTATTCATAATTTCTCTTACTAGCTATATAACTTGTGCAAGTTACTTTTTTTTCTAAGTCTTCTGTTCCTGATGTTAAAATAAGCAAAATAACTATGTTACTCTTTGATTTGGGATAAGTAGTACATGAGATAATCCATGAAGAAAATGTATGCCAGTTCATGACAAAAAGTAGGAGTACAATAAATTTTAGTTAGTATTATTTTTACATATTTCTGTTATTAGAATATATACGCTAGAACATGGACCTAGCGATAGAACGGCCCTTAGAAAGCATTTGTTTCATTTCCTTTGCACCATTAAAGATGAAGTTGTTAGCACTGGAGATAGCAAGTAGTTACTTAAGGTTCACATATTTTTAGTGGTAAAACTAAAAATAGAATCTGACTTTCCTGAATCTTACCTTGTATTTTTCTCTATCTGGTATCTCTTGGCTTCTCAGATTTCTGTACAAATGCATAACCCATACACACATGCCATAAGGACATTCATGTACCTTAGGTTAAATACTAGCATAAATATTTACACTGCATTTGTAAAATCTTAAGAAATATCTGTTGGATTTTTCTTCTTAGAATTGTTAGTTCCTTAAATATGTTGGAAAGTACACATAAGTACTCATGTTAAAAACATTTTTTTTTATCTTTGCTAGGACAAGGAAGTAGGATAAATATTTAATATGTCTATGAACAACTATACATGTTTAATATTGGGAAAAATTGCTTATTTTTTCTGCTGAAATAGCTAAAGGAGGATATTTTTGGATGTATATATACATATTTATACACTCATCTATATTTTAAATCATGAGTGAAAACTAAGAAGAATATTGAGAATTTATGCTTAAATTTTTTCTTTTACAAGGCTTTTCAAGTCTGCTTCTTTGGAACCAACACACTTATGGTTGTCTTTTTAGATTAATTATGAAGGGCAATGATTCAAAACACAAAAAACTCAAAGTCTACTGAAGGAGAGCATTTTTTTTTTTTTTTTTTTTTTTTGTCATGGACACCAAGAAGGAAAACTCTAGTATGGTGCTGTGTAGTAACACTGTAGGATTTTTCCATTTCATCTTTCCTAAGTGAAAAGTGGGATTAAATCCATGATAATATTGATAGCTATTAACCAAAGCTATTAATTCAAGTGGGCTTTAAGAAATAAATAAGAAGGAAGAAAGAGAGTGTGGGAGGGAAGAAAAAAGAAATATTTGGGAACAAAAAAGAGAGACTAGATGTCAGTATTAATTATAAAACTAGTATCGTTGTTAAAACCTGATATTCTGATTATGAAGAAAACTGTCCTTTAAGTAACATACCAGTTAAAAACTAATCAACTATCTAAAAAAGTTGTTTTTTTTTTTTTTCTTTTCCCCCCAGATCATTGCTTCATTGGCTTTACCTTGGACAGGATTCATCAGTGTTGTGCTTCATACACCAGGTGGTGGCCCACACAGTCCACATGATGTGGAAGAAAAGGGAATGTCTTTTTACGTATTTTATTTGATCTTCAGTGGATTTTTTTTTGCATGTTTCATACTGAACATAATTAGAACAGTAGTACTTGTGATATTCTATAAGTAAAATAATGTATCAGGGTACTCATGTAAAACTTTCTATACGGTTGTATATATAAGTTGTTTAGAGATCACTAGTCTACACTGTAAGGCAGGAGTTAGCAAACTATGGCCCTTGGACCAATTCAACATCTAACACTTGTGTTCATAAATAAGGTTTTATTGGAACACAGCTATGTTTGAATATTTTCCATAAAGGATTTTGGGCTATAATGTCAGAGTTAAGTTGTTACAACAGAAACCTTATGGCTTCTAGACCTTCAAATATTTATTCCCTAGGCATTTACAGAAAAAGTCTGCTACTCACTGTTCTAAAGAGACAAGAATTCAGGTCAAAGTTGTTTGTAGACAAGGCGGAAATCATAATATCGCTTAGGGACTTGGTTCCGGGCTTTATAAATAGTTGTTACACCTTGAAATTTTCTCAGCTAACAAAAAAAGGTGCAAATGTATCACATTTTTTTTTAGCCATAAATGCTAAGCACACTTTCTGTCTGTTTCTCAAATTAGGCCTTTTCTTTATTGCTAAAGGTTAATGACCTTGGCCAAGTTACTTATATACTCTAAACCTTAGTTTACCTATATAAGAAAATTAAAATAAATAATATCTTATAAGGTTTTATAAGAATTATAATACCTGCATGTGTCCCAAATTTGCAAAATGAGCCCTCAGTAAATGATAAATGCCTCTCCACCCACACATTTTGACAGGATATATCTCATGTAGGTTTGACTTTAATAAAAGTAACAGCAATAGATGAATATTTCTCGATCTTTGAAAACACATATATTAAACTTTGTTTATATAAATTGTATATCTAGAAAATCAACATAAGCAAAAATATGTATAAAAACAAGATATAAATTGCTGATTAAATAATATTAAAATGAAAACCGAAATTTAAATAGAGGTACAGGAAAACTGTGGCTGATCTTCAATGGTTGTTAACTGATTGATGGAATTTAGCTAGGATTTTAGCCAGTTATCTTATCGAATAGACCATGACAACATGGCTCAGTTTGTGGGCTTAAGATTCATTGGGGAAGAGCTTCACTACATTTAATGGTTTTAATTAGAAACATATACCTATGTATATGTCTTCAAATACAGGTGTTCTAGTGCTGTAGTTCCAGTGCCATAGGCTTCATTTCAACCATGTTCTTTGGGTACTTTAATGACTTTGGATTTTGTTAATAAAATCCTATATTCTTAATGAAAGTAGCAATTGATTTTTTTCATTGTTTACTGCCTTAATTTTATTGTTTTTTGTCTAGCTTTCACTTTCTTGAATTAAAATTTTAATTGACAAAGACTGAATATATTCAAGTTTAATGTGATTTTTATACACACACTTTCTGTAATAATTATCACAAACACATCCATCATCACCCATGCTGTACATTAGATCATAATGCCACTAGACATCATGCTAAGTGAAATAAGCCAGAAACAGAAAGACTAATACTACATGATCTAATTTATATAGGAAACTTTAAAAAGTCAAACTCAAAGAAACAGAGTAGGATGATGGCTGCCCGGGCTGAGGTGTGGGGTAAATGAGATCTTGATCAAAGGGAACAATTGATTTTTATCTTTATAATCCTAATATCTGCCTGGGTGCCTAGAAAATATTAAATTCCAAGTAAATATTTATAGCATAAACAAAAAATAAAAGGAATTGATATGACATATTAATTAGAAAAATAGGGGAGAAAGGACAAAATAGTCCCTCATAACTACGACAAATTACACCAATTAACAGTTATTAGCTTTATTTATTATTTATCTTTTAGTGATCAGTATTATATTGTATAAATAAATCTCATTAACTAGAATTTGTTTAGGACACAAGTTCCTAGCAGAAAAATCCAGGAGTTTTAGAATACTTAAAACTTGTTATTGAGGTGAGCATCTGGAATGTTCAAAATTTAAAAAGTGTCAGAATTTGTGGCATTTTATTTTATAAACTGAAAAACAAATAAATAAAAGAAATTCCCAGGCTTGTTAGCACAGAAAACTTGTAACACAGACATTGTGTTATAACTTGGACGGTCTATTTTAAGTCTATATGCAAGTTACCAACTTTAAATATGTTTTTTAATAAACCACTGAAATACTGTATGTATATATATACTGCTATATATATATAGCTATATATAGAGCAATATATATATATATATTGCTCTATATATATAGCTATATATATACTGCTATATATATTGCTCTATATATAGAGCAATATATATATATATTGCTCTATATATAGAGCAATATATATATATATATTGCTCTATATATATAGCTATATATATACTGCTATATATATATATATATAGCAATAGTGATCTTAACAATTCTATTTAGAAACCTATTTCAGTATTTTCAAAGAGAAAAGAGAGAAAGGGATATATTACAAAGTCAAAAATGCTTATCTGACATAACTTGAATGATCTTGTCCACAAAAGACTTTGGCAGTGTCCATAAGGCACACATTTGAAGGCAAGGACCACCAGGGCATAGATTAGACCTAGTGATCTACAGAGGACACCCCTTAAGTGAATTATAGAAGCTCATGAGCATATACGTGTGTGTGTTTGAGGGTGAGGTGGGGGGCATCAATTCATGTTAAATTTGAGCTGTTTTCAATACCTAAGGACTTCTGATATGGCTAGAGACTCCAAATCATAGGGTCCTTCAGTTAGTGGTGATATTCAAAATCATGTCCTATTCTCTAAGATATGTTGGATTGAGGCAGGTCTAAACAATAAACTTGAGGTAGAAAGAATCTACCCATACTCGAAAAAAGTCCTCAGCAAGAGGACGTGAAATCAATCATATGAGAGAAAATCTAAAATGCTAAGCACAGACAAGACAAAGTAAATCATAATGTTAATTTTATGGACTCAGTATGCAAACCTGGCAATAGCTAGCAGAAGGCTGCAATTAAATAGCTAACTGGTTGTCAGTTATGGAGCTATTCCCAGCTCCATGTCCAGAGGAAGTTAATGACATACACCTGGAGCAGAGAAGGAGCAGAGTAACTCAAAGAAAAAGCAACAGTTTGATGCTCTTCATTACCAACAACTGGGAGGAACTAAGGCGGGCAGGATATTAATCTACTTTTGTCTTGAGAAAGAGTAATTCCTAGTGTTATACAAATTATGTAGCTAGGCATGGAAAGTAACTTTCTATTTTTAATATTAGCTATTTATCAGTTATCTAAACGTTAAATAGGTAATATGCTTCCTCCCTCCCCAAGCAAGATATTTTATTTCTCCATTTAACATTGTATTGTTCTTACCCAAATCACCCCTAGATTGTAGATCTTTACACCTGTGCATAAAGCACTGCAGCAAGGGATATTTCACAAACTCAGTACCCTACAGCATTCCCAATCAAAATTACTTGTCATCTCCAATGCTATGCTCAGTTTTCACAAAATTTATCCAAAGTCTAGGTAAGAAATCAGACTTGTGACAAGTAAGCAACTTTCATATGAAGATACATAGCTACACTCTCGAGACTTTATCTTTAGAGAAATTAAGCCCTTAAAACTACTATAAATAATTGTTTCTAAATATGTAAATCAAGTTATTATAAAATAAATTCTTTTCAGGTAACTTAGCTCATGAGAGTGAAATTCTTTCAACATATAGCAATCATGGGTATCAAAACATGGTGTACATAAAGAGTTACCAGACGAGTTTGCAGCTAGGTGGACTATGTCAAGGAGTTCTGGTTTTGTATTGTGAAGACAGAGCATGGAAACTTATTTTTAAGAAAGCTACCCAGCTTGTTATTCTGCCAAACACCAACTAAACCAAATGAAAGAAAAATGAAACTGAAAGGTATTAGTGCTGACACTGCTTGGACAGCATAAATGAAACATTGAGAGCTGGAGGAAGGAGGATTTCCTTTTGATTGACTAAAAACTGCCAAAATCAACTTTGAAGGAAGTTATGTTTAAGCCCACAGGAGAATTAAAGAGAGTAGGGGATTATGATAAAGGTTTTATCTTGAACAGAACTGGAGTGACTGTACTGTGATGTGTAAAACTAGCAGGGAGAATATCATGCCATAAAATATATATTTTTTTGAGTATGCCAGAAAAAAATAAAGCATCCAGACATTCAAGTAATTAGGTTTTTCTTCTGAATAGTTTTAGTTTTAAAATATTAAATTGCCAAGTAAAATTTTTCTTTAACTTAAATACTCTTAAGTAGAACGAATAACTAAATGTAGTTCTAAATGTCCTTTCAGAGTGGTTAAAATTAAGCCCTGTTTTTCTTTGTCCCTGTACATGATTAAAAATAAACAACCAAATCACATTTGGCTCTATACCCCAAAAGTGATTACTTTGTTATTTTCACTTCAATGGGACACATACTATCATCCATAAGAAATTACTGATGTGTTCTATGGTATTTTGAAAATAAATACAATGTATTTTTACTCATGAGTACCATCTGCAGGATTTCAAGCATGTCAAATATTTTGATACTTCAGGAAATTTTATACAATTGATGCTATATTTTTCCGAGAAATGACTTAAATGACTGATTATGAAATATCTACCCAGTTTAATTTGCACTAACTTTTGAAAATAACGTCCCTGTTCTCTGGACCTAATATGCACAGTCACCCCACTTTTTCACCAATGCCCCCTAGGTTTGTCATATTCTTGCCACTTTACAGGAAAACAAAACAAACCTTACTAGTTAGCTAAGTACTCTCAACCCATTATTCCATTCCTTCTGTTTCTGTGGTAGCTTTCCAGGCAGGGCCAAGTCTTCTTGTCATGCTGTTGCTCTTGACCAGGAAACCTAATTATCCCAGACTTACCAGAACTATCTGGTGCCTGTGAAGTTATTTCGGAGCATTAAAAGAGGAGCTGGTAGGGCTGTCGGTGGAGCTGAGCCCTCAGGCTGGGAAATGAAAGTGCTTTGCCTTTCCACTGATCCAGCTGAGATACCTGCCTGTAGGTGATGTACATCACACTTTTTAAAAAAGGCAGATCCACGTGATGAAGCTACATCCTGCTAGAACAGCCCCCAGCAAGAAGTGCCAGAAAACGAAAATCACACAAAGGCAGTGGCAGTCCATGTGATTCACAAGCAGCATTGAAGACTTTTCTCATAAGAAAAGACTTGTGAATAAGTCAGATGAGCTGAGATGCCAAATTGAGAGCACTGGAAAGGGGGAAATCTTTAAAAGGGCCTCTAAACAGCTGTAACACGCTTCAGAGTTTTCTATTTTCTGTCTGATCTTTATACTGACCTCATGAATTAACCCATAGATTTTACATTGTAATTTTCAGAGGCACTAGCTGTAAAGCCACAGATTCCCCAGTACTGCTTCTGTTATGTTCATTTATATCAACACATGTCCCCTTAATGCTATATCTTAGCTTGGGGGTTGTAAATAAAGAAACATGGCCACTAGACCATATGCTTCCTGAGGGCCAGAAATGCATTTCAAAAGTAGAATCAAAATCACGTAAAATGATGGTAAATGCTTAGATGTGTATAGAAAAGAACAAATAGGGATAATGACATTTATCCATTAATAAGCATTTACATGGCTTATTTCGTTTAATTCTCATAACTCAAAAGGAAAGTGATGAGAAGACTGAGACTTTAAGAATTGAAGACCTTGTCCAATATGACAGCCTTTAAGTGGTAGATCCAAGCTTGAAACTCAAGCTTTCTACCCCAGAAAGCTGTGCCTTCAATCTATATTTTCTATGTATTCAGTAACACATGTTAAAGAGATTTAGAAGAAAATATATCACACAAAATAGATAAATATCAAATATATCCTTACATCTTCATCATTTTAATACAAAAACAATTTTCAAAAGTGTGCTCATGTAGACAGAACCCATTACAGCCTCATTTCCCTTTCTTGTAAGAAAAAAACTAATAGCTATTTGATCTTCAAGATGCCTAAGTATTAAATGTAAATCAATTGCCTCAATAACATACTTTAAATTTCTTTAAAAATCAATTAATAAAAAATGAGCACTTTGGTAATTTCTAATTAATAACATATTTATTGAATAATCCAACATACTTCCTAAACAGACACAGAGAAATGTCTGAGCACGTCCAGTTACCCGAAAAACAGGGTGTGTCTATGTATTTGGATGGTCACTTAAATACATAGACACACCCTGTTTTACCCTATGTTTTTAAATACATAGACACAGGGTGGTCACTTAAAAAATAAAGTTGTTGATTTACTTTCCGTTCAAAGTTGCAGTAAAGGAAACAGTTATTGGGGAAATTGGTTCCCTGGGCTACTCACAATGAATTCCAGCAGATCCCAAAGGATCACGCTGTAGAGAGAGAATGTACAAGCTGTATAAGGAGAGCTTTAGGAAGGAAACACATGTCTGAATTTATTCTAGAAGACAGGTAGTAAAAGAAAAATAAAGCAATTAACCCAGGCATCAAATAAAAAAAAATTGAGAAGATTCTGATTATCAATGCTCTCTTTCAGTTTTTACACAAAAGCTACTGATTAACTTTACCTGTGCTAGTTTGGCTAAATGAGAACAGAAAGTCAAGATATTACTATATTCTTAAATTTATATATAGAAGTCTGATGGTGATGCTATTGTCCATTCCAAGTTTTGAAAAGAATGATGATGAGCCAGGAAAAGGAAAGAATTTCCAGGATTAACATAATGAACTGTTGTGAATCATTCTAGATTTCAAGTAGAAGCACATTTATGTAAGGTGTGATTGCTAAGCTCTTGACTGGCATTTTAATATCTTAGTTCATGATCTTCAGATGTCAGTCCCCACTGAATCAGTGCTAAGGAAATACTAGCTGTGTGCTAATTTGAGTGGACTTTTGCATCCAGCTGATGCCCCACTCCAAACCAGAAAGCCTCTAAGAATCAAATCAAAATCTTCAAATGCTTTTCCTGAACACAGGAAAACATTGAAACTGTAGTAGTTAGGTACACTTTAGGGATTAACATAGTAAAAGTCAAGGAAGAGCATGGTCCTACAGCGGAATAAGATCTGTTAACTCAGCTCCTAGTTCAGAGCAGTCATCAAGATAATGTGAAAATAAATGCATAGAGAGATGGCATTGATAAACACCAGAGCCGGATCATGCTTGCGTAGTGAACTCACGAACAGAGTAGTTACCCAGATATTCCAAATCAACAAACACCAGCCCGTCACACCCCAGATCCACCACCCAAATCACTTAGATTTAACTTTAGACCAAAAAGTTACCACTGAAAGGTATTTATTTCTTCAAGGATGTAAAAAGCTGAATTTTAGCCTTTCTTTTTGAATACTGAAACGCTAATCTTTCCTGTGATGCTTTGTGGGTTTCAGACGCATTCTAAACTTGAGGCTTGGGAGATCAGAAGTCATGCTGGAGACAGGAAAGAATTCTGGCTCATCATATAGTAAAGAAGTGGAGTTAACATGTAAATGTTTGTTCTTGTTATTATTAGTAGTATTGCTATTGTCCTGGTTTTCTACTTAGTTAACTGATTGGATAGATGACTGAAACACCACATATACATGAGCTTAAGCAACATTTTCTGGAGTCATGTGATGAATTTCAGATAATTCATAACTAAAACAAAAATTAAATGGAAGGGGAAGAGAATATTTAATATTTCATTTTTATATTTTTAAATAGACAAATTAAAATTGTATATATAGTGTAAATGATGATGTAAAATATATAGAATACTATGGAATGATGAAATCAAGCTAAGTAAATTATGTATTGTATCACATATTTGTTTTTTATTGTGAGAACACTTAAAATCTACTCTCTAAGCAATTTTCAAGTATAAAACACATTGTTATTAACTGTAGTCACTATGTTGTCCTACATATTTTTGAATTTATACCTTCTAACCAAAATATTATATCCTTTGACCAACTCTGCTAACCTCCTCCACCTACCACCACCACTCTCCACTGATAATCACCATTTTACTCTCTGCTTCTATGAATTTGACCTTTTCTTGACTAAGGAGAGATTTAATCTTAAGCAAAAGGCTTTGGAAAATGTTAAACAAAGCTACAATGATTATCTTTGGAACCAGAAAGACCTTAGTTGCCACCTGCTAGCTATGTGATTTTAGACAAAATTATTTAACCTAACTTCAGATTCTTTATCTGCAAATTGGGGATCACAATACCTAAAAGTTATAAGCTTATTTAAGGATGAAATGAAATTGTGAAGTTAAAGTACAGTGCTTAGCATACAATAAACTTTCTATGTTGTTCTATATTCTTCTCTACTATTTTAATAGAAATAATATAAGCAAAAGTAGAATTAGTATTACAGGCATTATCAAAAGTGTCTCTGAGTGAAACTTGTCTCCTGAGGGTTAATGCAGTATCGTATTGCTGACTGCGAGATTCAAAGTTTAAGGTGAACTGCTCTCGTCAGGCCAGCCTTGGCATGGCAGCTTCTACACAGAAATAACTGTTATATCTGTTCCATTGAGTCAATGGAGGATCAATTATATCTTCTAGAATGTACATTATAAAGATTTAAATATTGCCTCTTTTTGTTTTGGTTCAAGTGAAGTTACAACAAGTACTGCAGGGCCTAAAGATTCACATTCTTCAAGCAACTATCTGCATGATAATATTGAATTACATTATTTACAAAAGGTGTAAATATAAAGTTAGTGCAGGTACTTTTGTAGGATGTATCTATAATATGTATTCATTTATAATTTCACTGGGTTAGCTGGGCGTTGTGGTGCACACCTATAGTCCCCATTATGTGGGAAGCTGAGGCAGAAGGATCACTTGAACGCAGGAGGTAAAGGCTACAGTTAGCCATGTTTGCACCACTGCATTCCAACCTGGACAACACAGCGAGACCCTGTCTCAATTAAAAACAACAACAACTAAGTATAATTTCACTGGGCACATATGTGTTTGTTGCTTCTTACAAATCATTGTCATAATAAGAACCATGATCCCTTACTGTTAACATTGACAACATCATTGTCATAAAAGAAATCACAAAGTCTATGAGCTATTTATATTCACTGAAAATGTTAACAGACTTGCAAATTAAGTTCTGTGAAGTCCCCGATTTCAGATTTAACATGGAAATTTCTCTTCCTGAAGTACAGAATATAGTATATAACTCTTCTCATCTGCAGAGCATTGAACAGAGACCAGACATATAAAACAAGGGAAGATCGATGCATTAAAATGTTCTCGGAAAGAGATAAGAAAAATTATATGGCCAACTGAATCTAATTAAAAAAAAAATTTGTTTTTGAAATGAAATATGGAATGAAAAGGATTTTTGCAAAAATAAAATTTACAGAAGAAAGTAGAAGAATCTTCCTTAGGGAAGAGATGATGAGAGCAGTTGATCTAAAATCAGAATTTTGAATAAAAAATTCTGTAGGCCAAGACATTGAAAAACAATTTTTTTGTTAGCTATTATTCCCATCAATACGAAAGCTACCCAGACATAAAAGAATGTGGAACTAGGATAAATGCTAGTAGCAGACAAAAACTATTAGATATGGAGATTAAGAAAAAAAAGAATAAAAGTCATTTTTCCTATTTTAACATATATTTAATGAAAATAATTAAAAGGTAAAGTGAGAAACCTGCTATAGTGTCTAGAGTTATATAGAAATATGCTCAGGTTAATTATATAAAAACTAGATATAATTATCACTCCCTCATATAGATTTGATAATTTTCATATAATCCTTTATATTGTCTTTATAAATAAGATAAAGATTATTCCTTTTTTCTTTTAAACTTTTAAAGTAACAATTACCAAATTTTATTCAACATTTATTGTGTATCAGACATGATGCTAGCAGAGGCAAGATTTCATTTATTCTAAATTATACTATGAGATAGATACAATTGTTTTTCTATTCTTCAAATAATATTACAAAACTCCAGGGAAGTTTAGTGGTTTCTCTAATCACATAAGATATGCATAAATCTACACAATAGCAGATCAAGTAGGGGCTCTTGATCTGTGCACTATACCTGAGTGAATCAGCTGGATATCTAATGGTGTTCCACAAACAAGGTTTTGGTTCCCAGCAGTGAGCACACTAAATAGGATCACCCTTATAGCATCATGTACAACACTTCACATGGTCTAATTCTATGCTCTCCATAGAGGTACCATACATTATTTAAGTCACATATTATTTAAATGTACCCTATGACATAGAAGACCTCTAGTCTCGGCAGAAGGAGTGCTAAATATTTTCTGTAAAGGGGCAGATAGTAAATATCTTAGCCTTTTCAGGACAAACAGGCTTTATTGCAAGTACTCAACTCTATGGTTATAAGCAGCATAGGAGCTATAGACAACATGGAAACAACTGAACATGGGTGTGTTACAGTATAGTTTTATTTATAGATACTAAAATTCAAGTTTCATATAATTCTTATGTCATAAAACATTCTTCTTGGTTTTTTCTCAGCCATTTACAAATGTAGAACAACATTCTTGTTTCAGGACCATATGAAAACAGGCAATGGACCTGATTTGACTCACAGACAATATATAGTTTGCTAATGCCTAGCTCTACAGTGATTCGGTTCTTAGTGGTAGTGGCTTATGCAACTGTGTATTATTGTGTATTAATATTTTTAAGGGTTTTTTTTGTTGTTTTTTGGTTTTTTTTTAGATGGAGTGTCACTCTGTTGCCAGGCTGGAGTGCGGTGGTACTATCTCAGGTCGCTGCAACCTCTCCCTCCCAGGTTCAAGCAATTCTCCTGCCTCAGCCTCCTGAGTAGTTGGGACTACAGGTGCACAGCACTACACCCAGCTAATGTTTGTATTTTTAGTAGAGACGGGGTTTCACCATGTTGGCCAGGATGGTCTCAATGGTCTCAATTTCTTGACCTCATGATCCGCCCGCCTCAGCCTCCCAAAGTGCTGAGATTATAGGCGTGAGCCACCACGCCAGCCCAGTTATTTTTAAAATGAATAACACATAATTGTACATATTTAATGGGGCACAATGTGATGTTTCCATCTGTGTATACACTGTGTAATAATCAAATCAAGGTATTTAGCAGATTCATCACCTTAAACATTTATCATTTCTTTGTGATGAGAACATTCAAAAACCTCTCTTCTAGCTAGTTAAAAATATACATTATCATTAACTCTATTCATCACACCATGCAACAGAACATCACCACTTACTCCTCCTATCTAATTGTAGTCTTGTAACCATTGACAGATCTCATAAAATCCTCTATTACTCTAACCTGCTATTTACATTAAATGTTAAGCTTTAATTTACTATTTTGTGCAATCTTTTTAAGGTACTATGCAGCTTTGAGATGATACAATTAATTATACCTATATGGCACAAGTTAAGCAACCCATGGTCATATAGGGAACAAGACAGAGCTTATCTTTAAAACTAACTTGTATTTGCCATAATTAGAATTTAATCATAGGTCCTGGAATCAAGGAAAAAAGCATTGGGAATTTCTTCTGCATTTGACAGAGTGAGGGTTGGGAAATATTTATCCTATGAATCATATAAAGTTTGTCAAGGAGTAACTTACAAGATTCCCAAGAATCTTTTCTCAGAAAAAAAAGATATCTAATTTTTTTCTCAGAAAAAAAAAGATATCTAATCTTTTCTCAGAAGATTTCTACTGGTATATATAAATTTAACTACCACAGATAAATTTATTATCATTTTTTGTACTTCTCTTATTCTTTCAAGAAATGATGCCCACCATATTTTTACTTGTTTTTGATTACTTATCTAAATTGTTATTTGAATTATAATCCAGTTTTTTTTAAATCCCTTTCAACTTCATCTTTTCAGCAAAGCCAGTACCCCCAGAAAACCAGCAAAAACAAAAACAGAATATCTGACCTTTTGCTAATTTTGACAGTGTTTCTGGGTGTAATTGTACCTTTTGCTATAACTATGGATAATACTCAAAAACTTCCAGGAGACACCAGTAGCACTAACTTTAGTTTATTCCCACAACTGGACCAACAAATTGAGGAATTTGGGATACTTTTATACTAAGCTTTAAAATTAATGGAAGAAACATGATACATTATTTTGTCAAATGGCCATAAAATGAAGCAAAATCAACAAATCCTATAACAACAACATATTTTCAAGCTTTCCCCATAGCCGATGGTGGCTTTGCAGACATCTAAGTGATTCAACATTGGAGTTGTCCTGATCAACCTACTGTCATCATTCAGTGTTGGCTTTAAGTCCAAGTCAAGGTAGCCTTTCTTCTTTTACAAGAGCAAAGGGTATATAATGTTTTACTTTTTAACTTACAGCAGCTAAAATGAAACATTACAGGAAGGAAATTTAAAAAAGGAAAAGCCAAAGGATCTATGACTTTCATTTATACAAAGCTTTGAAGTATTCAATATATGGTAACAAACTTCTCCCCAGCTGAACTTCACAGGAACGCTGAGTAAAACAAAGGGGAGGAGCTCCTTCTAAAATAGCAGAGGCTCTCTCTACTTTGCCACATCATAGCTGATCATAAGAAACAAAAAGGAGAGGCTAGAATTGAATAAAGAGAATACTACTTGAAGTACTAGGAAATTAAAACCTACTTTAAAAGTAAAGCAGGATATTTTCCTGATCCTTTTCGTGGGAATTGTGAGGGTGCCTCATTTCCTCAACCTGCCGCTCTCAACAATTTGACGGAGGGAGCGCACAAGTAAACAAAGCGGGAACTGGAGTGCAGAAGCACTGGAACCAGCCAGCCGCTTCCGCACCTGCAGGAGTGAACTCCACCCCTCCAGGAGGCAACACGCAGGAGAGTGGGTGCAGGAGCCAGGGCGAACACTTTTGGGAGCTGGGAGGAGCAAACTTTGTGCGGGCCCCATGGCAAGTCCAGGAGGGATGCCTTCAACTCCTGAAGCCCCAGAGGGCATGTTAGGGCTTTTTAGCTCTGCAGTCCATGGACGGCTTTAAGCGCTAGCAGCTCAGTGGGTCATCTGCCTTTTCATGTGAGGCAGCTGCTCTCTACCGGTGAGGGTAAAGGGGCCAGTGTGACAGCATCCTGTATCCTCACTTGTGGCTCCAGAACTCTTGTCCAGCATCCAGGAAAAATGAGATCGCAAGAATGAGTGGAAGAATGGTAAATGCAGGGGATTTTATTGCTGATGAAAGTGGCCCTCAGTGGGAAGGGGAGCTGAGAAAGGGATAAGGTGGGTAGGTAATCTTCACCTGAAGTCCGGCCATCTGCGGCAGGATTATTCTCTGAAGTTGCACCGTCAAGCTGTCCCTCTGAAGTCAAGCCGCTTCTGACATCCAGCTGTAGTCCCTGACATCCAGCCACTCTTCCTCTCTGCCAGATGAGCTTAGGGTCTTTATAGGCACAGGATGGTGCAGGGCTGGGCCATGGGTGGTTTACGAAAAGGCAACATTTGAGTGGGGAAACGGGATAGAAGTTCTCACTTTGAGCCACGGTCTCAGGGTTTTTGGCTTGAGGGTAGGGCTTCACCAGGGACCCATCCTTTTCTGCCTAGAATTTCTCTTCCTCCTGTCTCTATCAAAAGTACAGTAACAAAAAGAAATGCATCCAGTGTATGAAGCAAAGTAATGGAATCTTCATTCCTCAAGATTAACAAGAATGGCAAGAGGAGTAAAGCCAAAAGACAGGATCTCAAGGTATGAAATGGGATGAGTGACAATTCCCAGCAATCAGAGAGGAAATGAATTGTTAAAAAAAAAGAAGAAAATTTACCAAAAAAAAAAAATTATTGTGAAAACCTTTGGTGGGAATTTGTTATAGAATCTGTTAAAGCTGTCCCAATTTTCTGATGGACCCTGCAGCAGCGGGATACTTTTCTCAGCTGAACTTAACTCTCTGTATTCCCCCTTCTTTCTTGAATGGATGCCCCCATGGAAAATGGTGTTGCTTGATGGGACTGGAAGACCTCTATTGATAAGTGAGCTGAGAAGGAGAAAGGAATGTACAAGGATAAAATGTAAAATAGAAATTTAGAAAAATAAGCTAGAATAAAATGTGAATTAGGTCACTTAAAAATGGGAAATGAAAGCAGTGGTTATTCTTAATGGACCAATGTATTATTTTTCCTCTTTTTGACCTCTCAAGATCAGCTGTGAGCCTTGGAAGTAGGCACTTTGGTTACAGCCCTCAAAGCCATAGCTTTGTGCGGGCCCCGGGGCAGCATAAAGACATTAATCCTCAACTTTGTGGAAACTGTACTTAGTTTCAATCCATTTGCCTAGTTGTTACTATGATTGTTTATGTCACAATTTCAAATGCTTTGCCCTCAATGTCTGGCATTCGAAATGGAATGAAGGCCATTTTCATGTTTTTGTCTTTCCCCTAATGGTAGCTTTCTCAAGTTCTCAAAATTCTCTGAGTTCTTGTTACCAGGGTGTGAAGCATCATTCTGCTACTTCCAATTTGACTTGGCATATATTAGGGAGGATGGAGAAGAGAACAACAATTCATTGGAATGGAGCCCTGAGTAAGTTAAATGCTTCCTGAATAAATGTGCAGTATCTCTTTCCCAGGCCTAGGTAATTGCTTTTTTATTTATCTCAAACCATTTTCATCCTCTCCTATAGCCTAATAGAGTCACTCTCTGCACACGGTGCATTTCTATCACAGAAGCTCACAGGATGCTGGCTCTGCTGATAATAAATAAATAAATAAAATCATGGAGTCCATATTACAGCTAGTGGAAGCTGAAGTTTTACATTTATATATTAAATTAAAATGCTTTCTGCCCATATTATACAAAATGTAAATGGTAGTTAAGTCAGGCAGCAGACAGAAGTTGGCTACTTTTTGAGCAGAGATGTCTTAAATGTCTGTTTCAGGGCAAACACTCCTCACGGACCACACAGATATTTATTAAGAAGCTAATATGGCTGTGCTCATTCTAATCACATTTAGTATTTGTCTTCTGAAAGAGTATAAGTCTGGTTGAAGAAAGAGAACATTAATATCTTTTAAATGAGCATAGTTGATTAATACTCTACTTTTTTCATAAAGTAAATGAAAAAAATTCAAATGGAAAGAAATAATTTTAAGTGAGTGAAAAGTGAAGATATGAAGAATGCATTATCATGCTATAATGAACCATTATCTATGTCAAAAGATTCACTCCTTAACACCAATCAGAACTTGATACTCTTTTCCTTTAACCAGACATTCAGGAACTGTGCTATATAGTCTGTGCAATTGTTTTAGTGAATAGAGAGCCACAGGCCCTGAATTATAAAAATACATTTTAGTAATGATAAATCTTTTTCATCATTAAAATACGGATTATTTCATGATGCTCTGGAAGCCCTATAACTAAAAGACAATTGCTAGTAGCAGACAAATGTGGACAATAAATATGATGGCACCAAATATTTTTGCTTTGTATTTAGCCAGCATAATGGAAACATATCTGATTTTAGAGACACAAACACCTTTCCAGAAAATAGTGCCTGTGACTTCAAACCTGCTTCAACCTTCTCTGCTCTCAAATTTGGTGCATAATGACTGTTCTAGTTAAACAAATATTTGGGATAGCATTTAATCTATCGATGAAGAATGACAAACACCTGGCAAATGTGCCAACATTCTCACATTCTACTCTCAGAAGAGACACAACTAATTCATTATGGCACCTTTTCCACCAAGCCAATAATTGCACGCAGATGACTCAGAACATGAAGCAGCAGTTAGCCATTGGTCCGTGTCTCAGTTTCTTAATTATTAGTATAGGTAAACAAACTTCTGGCTTACAGGGTTGTATATAAAATTAAGAATGATATAATGAAAAATGTATTCTAAAAATCTAGTTAGTATAATCTTATTTTACAGATAGAGAAAATAAAGCCAAAACAGGTAAGTGATTTACCCAAATCAACAGTTACTTTTAGACCCAAATCAACAGTTATTTGTAGTTCAGAAAAGGTCCCTGGGGAAAAAATTAATCCAACCCATCCATTTCACAGATATGGAAACTGGAACTCAGAGCAGAAAACTTTGCCCAAGAACAGGCATCACCTCTCATACTGATACGGTTTGGCTCTGTGCCCCCACCCAAATCTCATCTCGAATAGGAATCCCCACCTGTCTAGGGAGGGACCTATTGGGAGGTGATTGGATGATGAGGGCAGTTTTCCTCATGCTGTTCTCGTGACAGTGAGTTCTCAAAAAAGGGCTGATGATTTTAAAGTGCAGCACTCCCCCATGCTCACACGCACACTCTCTCTCTTCTACTGCCTTGTGAAGAAGGTACCTGCTTCCCCTTTGCCTTCTGCCGTGATTGTAAGTTTCCTGATGCTTCCCCAGCCATGTAGAACTAGAAGTTAATGAAACTTCTTTTGCTTATAAATTACCCAGTCTCAGGTAAGTATCTTTATAGTAGTGTGAAAACAGACTAATACCCATACCAATCACAATCAATTGCAACAGCTTCCTGGACTATTGGTGTTGAGGAAGATTCTAAAGTTGAGTCTGAGCCTAATGGAAAATAATGCCTTGGTCAACCAATAATTTGTCTTAGCTTTGTTTGTGGGTAAGGACGGGCAGAAGAAAACATGCTATATGTTATGCATTATTTAACATCCTTATCCTGAGCCAAATTGCACCAAAATAAGTTTATAATAATGATTTAGATTCCCACATAACTCCCCCCACCTTCAAGGAGAGAATGCTCTTGTCATATTTGTATAAATATTCTAGCTCATAGGAAAGTAATATTTGTCAATAGCTATAAATAAGCTGGTATTCTGATTTAATACAACAATTCTGTGAACTTAGTTAATGCTCCTGAGATCTAGTCTCATACTGCTGACAAATTTAAATTTCTGAGTCTTCAAGTTTCAAGGTCAGACTCTGGAATACGGTATCCTTACCAAAGTAATTTGTTTTGGGGGAAGCCAGCTGACTTTCTCCTTATAACATGGCTCTGTTTCTTCTTGTGCCATGTACCGTTTTCTTCAAACTTTCTACCAGTATATTTGTACCTATTTATAGTCAACAGTATAGAAAAATTGCAACTTAGAAAACAGAATATTTCACATTTTAAAAAGTGTTTATCACAAGATCTCTAACAACAACAACAAACTCCTCTGGTACAATTCAAATAATATTTGATTCTCCTGCATTATTTAAAAATAACTGTTTAGTAACATATATGCACACAATGAATAAAGTAAAATTCACATGGCCATGAACAATATCTACTATAAAACAAAAGCCAAATAATTGGTAAGGTAAAACTATTTCTTATTCTAGAGTCAGATGGTACATGGTATTTCACAAGATCTGCTTTTGAAGAGTGCCAATTATTTTTTACTGTGGAGTCACTAAAGACAACACAAATGATGGAAAAGAATTACAAATTCAGCTACAAAAATCATCATTGTTAACAACTTGTATGTGAAAACTTAACTAAAGGACAATTGAACTATGTTTGGAGGAATTCTGTTTCTTTCTTGAAGAAATGTTTGGTTGTCTGCATATAAAGTAGGTACATTTGCCTTATGTGGGTAAGGAGAAACAAAACATCACTTTTCATGGTTTCTTGTTTATTGTTCACATGTGTTTACAAGAAGATAAAGATATTGAGCAATATTTTACTGATCTTTCTGGATAGTTGTTGTTGCCCATTCGTTCTCTGCTGGTACTACATTTGATTGCCTTATGCCTAGCTTGCAAGAATACCAGTCTCTGATGATGACAAATACATTTCACACTCTGAAGGAAAACAGGCAAAAGCTAGATTGAATGGTGAAGCAGAATATGTCAATGTCACTTAGACTATCCCATTTTATAAATATATACATGAAGCTTTCCTAGGACCACTAAACAATTGTAGTTCATTACTGATCCACACCACAGGGGTCTTGTGTCTAGTGGTATCCCTTGGTCAAAGATTTCTTTGTGGCTTTTATCACCAAAGCACAAAACAGAGATGTTGGTTTTGTTGTTTTCTTTAACTAGCATCACAAAATTGCTATACTCAGCATGTGAATCTGAAAACTGGCAACTCTTAAGAAAAATGCAGTTTTGGGAAAAAGCTAAAATTGTGTATTGGATTATTAAAAAATAACAGAACTGTTGGAAAAATAGACATTATAGTTGGAAGCTTTTTGAATTAGGCAATTATTTTTTAAAAAAGAGAAATCATTATTTCTTTCAACAGTAAAATGAATCCCAGTTGGCTTTTGCTATTCTACACTAGCATCTATAATAAATTATTGTTACTTCCTAACCACATTTTGACCACATTTCTATCACATGAGTGTATTGGGAGAAGTAAATATTCTATTACCCCACTGAGATACAGTTACTGCAGTGAGACTCACATGGTATGAAAGTAATTAAGATTGAAATAGTTATTTTATTTTATTTTTTTGTTTTTTGCTTTTTGTTTTTGAGACAGAGTCTTGCTCTGTCTCCCAGGCTGGAGTGCATTGGCGCCATCTCGGCTCACTGCAACCTCCGCCTCCCAGGTTCAAGCGATTCTCCTGCCTCAGCCTCCCGAGTAGCTGGGACTACAGGCATGCACCACCATGCCCAGGCTAATTTTTGTATTTTTAGTAGAGATGGGGTTTCACCATGATGGCCAGGATGGTCTCAATCTCATGACCTCGTGATCCGCCCACCTCGGCCTCTCAAAGTGCTGGATTACTGGCGTGAGCCACCGCACATGGCCGAAATAGTTATTTTTTATCAAAACTCATGGAAAGAATATTTAGATGTTAACTATTGATATACAGTATAATATTTTGTTTGTAGTGATATGATTCATATCTTTGCAGAAAAATCAGAAATATATTGAGCTTATATATAGAAGCACTAGTTTAAAAAAGTAAATAAATTCATAAAATTATTTTCAAAAGACTAAGTTGGTAATGACAAGAAAAACAAGTCAGAATTTTCACAAATAATTACATCTATGTTTATATGTAGAGGTATGTTTATTACTCTCCCCCTGCATCATATTTACCTTACCTGTTTTGATTATAATAGCAGCATATGCTCTGGTTAAAGAATTTGCCATGTGAAACTCAAAAATATTTGGTTATTTCCATTTTTTATTATGAGTAACAATGTGATGGCCATCACTGTCTGCATATATGTTAAAGAAATTCACTGATTCTTAAGAATAGATTTGAAAAGATAAGATTATGTGCTAAATGCTACATACATTTGTAAACTCTCCCTATATATTACAAGATGGTTTGCTTCAAAAGCTTTTTTCTCACCAACTTATTCCCACAAGCAGTATTAAAGACACCTCTTGCCAAACTTGTTTGTATTGAGTGCCATCATTGGAAAAAAAAAAAAAGTGTTTACCATTTTGAAAAGCAAAGACACATTTAGACAAAACAAATTGCTATAAATCCATTTAAAAGTTATATTGCATTCTGCAAAAAGAAAGGAAACACAAATTAGGTTAATGAAAGATCTGCCCCATCTATGCAGACACAGGAACTAACTGCTGTAACTAACTGCCGTATATCCAAACCTGCCTGGTAAGTGTCAGTAGTTCTTCAAGATATGAAGTGAAAACAAAACAAAACAAAAAGCCATCTTCCTTGGGCTTAGGGAGAGGTTTCTCAAAGCTTTTTCCCATATTTTCTCATCCCTGTTTTAATTTTCTGACATGGCAAAGGCTTCAGAAACTGCGAGAATCAAAAACACCTGCATCTGATTGAAAGTGAGATAAGAAATACTACTCAGAGGAGAAATGATTTGTATGTAGAAATACTTGTTGTGGTGTGTTGAGCTGAGCTCCCCAAGTTCTGCCTGTCTCTGAAGAAAGTTTACTGCACATGCTATTGGTGGGGGGCGGGGGGGGGAGTAGTCCCTCAAACACCAACCCTAACACTTAACCAAAGTATGTATTGGATTTTTAAGAAAAGTATCTACAATTTTCTAAGATGCTTCTATTTAAGTCTTTCTGTATACATTCTATTTCAGGTTTTCTTGTGCCTTTTCTGTTATGTTTTAGTAGAAAAAACACAACAAAATATTTGGGGCATTGAAATTCACCTTATTTCATAAAATAGTTTGTAAACTTTTTCAACCATTATTTCTTCAATAATATAGGAGACTTAAGAACAAATGACAATAGGAAAAAAAGCACTTTGTAGCTCTTTTTTGAGATTTTTTAAATTTTACTCATTCAACAAAAATATTTGAGTGCCTGAAGTATTTGAGTCTAGAAAATGCTGAATTAGGAAATATGAAGATAAATTTGACAAATCTCTTCACTTGAAAAGCTGACAACAGTCCACAGAAAAGATGAGAGAGAAGTCCACTGCAAATTCTAAAGCAGATTAAAGGTTCACGGACTAAGACAAAGACAGAATGGAAGTGGTGCAGGGGAGTTGGATTAATAACTATTTGAGATACATTCTAAAAAATTTGATAATTGATAAAGGAAAGAGTCAAGAATGAATCTAAGTTTTCTAGCTCGACACCCGACAGTCATATTTTTAAATGTAAAATCAAGAATGTAAGAGTGAGCATGTTTGGGGGCAAGGAGGGTATAGTGAACGTTGAATGTGTCTGATCAGTTTCCACCTCATCTTTCTCCCATTGTGTAGCAACTAAACAATTTGGGGGAATTGATCTCATGTCCAGAGACAAACTTGATTAATCTAAGCTAATCAAGATTATGACATCCTCCTTGCCAAAGTAATGGCTTCAGAGGAGGCAAACTTGAGCCCATTGAGCAAGGCATTCTTTTCCTTTTCCCCAGAGATTTATTAAGAATGGACATGTGACCCTCTTACGTCACTGAAATATTTGTGAGAGGGCTATTGGAGATGAAAAGAGACATAAGACAGAATTGTCCTAGCTACTATAAACAAACTTCAGAAAGACACTCTCTTTTGTCTGTGAACAAGGTAGCAAGAATTGCTATTCCAGCAGCCAACCTACATGCAGGACGGAAAAAAAAAAAAAAGCAGTACAAAGAAATGGACCCAAAGATTTGATTGAACTATACCTGATCCCTGTCCAGTCTCTGAATTTTGCAGTTATGTGAGTTATTTTGAGTTGGTTGATTTCTCATTTATTACTTGCTAGAAATATCCAAAAGATTGTTCCATATGAGGCCTAGTAAGTTTGAAAGGTTTGGCCGGGCGCGGTGGCTCATGCCTATAATCCCAGCACTTTAGGAGGCCGAAGTGGGTGGAACATTTGAGGTCAGGAGTTTGAGACCAGCCTGGCCAACATGGTGAAACCCCACCTCTACTAAAAAATACAAAAATTAGCTGGGTGTGGTGGCGGGTGCCCGCAGTCCCAGCTACTTGGGAAGCTGAGGCAGAAGAATCGCTTGAACCCGGGAGGCGGAGGTTGCAGTGAGCCGAGATCGCGCCTCTGCACTCCAGCCTGGGTAACAGAGTGAGACTCAGTCTTAAGAAAAAGAAAAAGAGAAAGATTAAAAAAAAAAAAAGTTTTGTGGGATATACAGATATAGCTATGAAGTAAGAAGTTGGGAATAGAGGTCTAGAACTGAAGGAAATACATGGGGTGTGTGACATAGATTCCGTGGTCTGCAAAGTATGATCAGAAATACAGAAAACACTAATATACAGTTTCTGTTTCGGATTTTGTTGTTTGTTTTTACTTTTTGTTTGTTTGTTTTTTGAGGCACGGTCTCACTCTGTTACCCTGACTGGAGTGCAGTGGCATGAACATGGCTCACTGCAGCCTCGATCTCTTGGGCTCAAGTGATCCTCCTGCCTTAGCATCTTATGTAGCTGGGACCACAGGCGCACACCACCAAGCCCAGCTAATTTTTTAATTTTCTGTAGAGACAGGGTGTCACTTTGTTGCCTAGGCTTGAACTGCTGGGCTCAAGCAATTCTCCCACCTTTGCCTCCCAGAGCACTAGGATTGCAGACATGAACCACCAGCCCCAACCCAGCTTCTGTGCACTTCGTAGTAAAGGGTGCATTATTCACATTAAAATTTATTACACATTTTATACTTTCTAGAAGATTTCATCTTTAAAAATTATATTTTAGGATAAATTATAAAATAATGATTTTTAATGTATTTCTGATATTATGGTGTATATTATAGATTCTATTAAATAGATTATCTCTATATTAAAACATAAACAAAAATACCTCTATATTCTTATTTGAAGTGTGATGTATTTTATTGTGTTCTAATTTTTCCTCTACAAATTGCAAATCTACTGTTTCTAAAAGATCATAGACAATGATATTTGTAAAAGTTTATGTATGCATTGGGATGAATGACAAAAACATATTCCTATTTCAGGGCTGTGTGTCACAAGCAATAAATCTATTTACATTTGAAAATCAGGTTACTGCTATTGTTTAAACGTCCCTTCCAAAAGTCACGTTGAAACTTAGTTCCCAATGTGGCAGTATTGAGAGGCGGAGGCTTTAAGAAATGATTAAATACTGAGAGCTCTGCCATCATGGATGGATTAATCTATTCCCAGATTAATGGATTAATGCATTATCATGGGAGAGGGACTGGTGACTTTATAAGGACAGACAGAAGCCTTTGCTAACATATAAGCGTGCTCAGCCCCTTTGCCATGTGACACTCTGTGTCACCTAGGGACACCACAGTGTCCCCACAAGCAAGAAGATTCTCATCAGTGTGCCCTCTCAACCTTAAATTTCCCAGCCTCCATAACTGTAAGAAATTCCTTTTCTTTATAAGTCACCCAGTTTCAGATATTCTGTTATAAACAACAGAAAATGGACTAAGACAATAATGGGAGAAATAAGAAAGTTCTCTGTAATTACCATCAAGATCATCAGTTGGTTCTCTGGTCAATACTCTGTAATTTTCTGCTAAAAGAATAGTTCCCTTACTAAGAAATATAAGCTATCTTGGGTATTTATTATAACATGTGATAACAAAAGTAACATTCCATTTTAGCCGATTAAAGATAATTTAGCTCTTTTCAAAGCAAGTCTCATAACACCAATTTCCTCATGTCGTTTTTATCTGTAAGAATCTGTAATGGCTTCCAATTGTCCACAGACTGAAGACAGCGTCCCTCAGTGTGTTCCTCCCATCTGAACAATTCAAGGAAGAGTCCCAGACACTGCTCCCTTCTAATCTTCTTTGTTCCCTTCTCATGCCATTCTCGTACACTTGCCTTCCTCTGTACATATGCACTTATAAACACGGTTATGTGCCTCTGAAACCTACTTCTTTTTCATTTAAAATTTATCTACATTTAATATCTAGTTAAGGTTATATCCATTTTCTAAAATATGTCTAAGTTGATTTTTATTCCCTAGACTGTTTTTAATGTTAGTAATTTGTACTACACACTTTAGAATCTGCTATATATGTCATAGCCTTAATCAGTTGTAGTTTTGTTAACATTATTTTCATGAAAGTGAATTACATAGAAAAGTATTTCATAACACTTATTACAGTGTTATAGCTTTAGGAATAATTTGATAGCTTTAAAAAATGTTAAGTAAGCAGCCACAAATTCCCAAGACATGTAATGTGGTGGCCATAAATATGTTTTTATACAGTATGACCAGAAATTTTTGTCTCTTAAGCAAAGGTTCTAGATAAAGCTCGTATTCTTAGAATTTTAGAGGCTCTTTTGGTGCCATTTATATCAAAAAGAAACAGGTAATAAGATTAGTTATATACATAACTATCCGCTCAAAAATTTAAAGAGGGGAATAATAGTGAAAATAAAACAAAGTGAAAAGTAGAAGGAGAATATGTTTTAAATTTTCTTCTTGAAATTAGCATAAGCTTCTATTGAGATTTCTGGGTTGATTTCAACATTTCTTAGATAATTGTGAATACGCCCTTGTGGAAAACATCTTTTATATTTTATGACTGTATTTATATCAAAATATGTTATATTTATAAAATATGTTAAGTCTTTAAGTAGCTTCTAAGTTTAATGCCTAAACACAACTTCAGTAATGCTACTCAACATAACTGGAAAATAGTGTTTCAAATGTATCTAGAACAACAAAGTTCCTATTAAACCGCAACAGTTTTTGCTTTTTGGTGGGGTGTAAGTACAGCTTATACTAATTTGTTCTTTCATATTTTGTTTGAGTATAGTCATGTTATTTCTTTTGGCTTTATAGTATTCAAACTTAGTACTTAGACTGGAAGTTTTCTCTATATAGACTCAAAGTTTACAAACAAAAGGGTTTCTTTACAAAATCATAGAGGTTCACCTATGCTACTGTTCCAATTAACGGAAAAGGAGTCAATATTATTGTATATTTTTCCCTAAAGCTTAACTGGTAAGGATTAAGGATTAGAACCCAAGTCTCCTGATAAGTTGAATTACTTGTTTATTTTCCTGATCACATAGTTGGCTTACTCAAAGATACGATTCATTCTGCTTTTTAAATGGGAGTTCTTAGGCAGCTATGAATAATGAAATCATTATACCCAGTCTCAAATTATCTTCCTATTTAATTATACCATATTCTCAAATTATGCCTCTTGTTGGGTGGGATTAAAAATTCCTTTATTGATTTATGATACCTATCTTCCAAACAGATTCAAGATATTCTGCATGATTAAATATGGTACATAATAAACATATTTTCCTCAACATATTGCTTCTATAAATAATATTAATAAAGGAAGAATCTCAGAGGAACTGAGATTCAAAATAATTTCCTCATAAATGTGACCAGTTGCTATTTCAAAGGAGAATAAAAAATAAAAAGCTCTTGGCTCACATGAAAAATGAAGC
Organism: Homo sapiens; assembly: GCF_000001405.40. Taxonomy (NCBI): domain Eukaryota; kingdom Metazoa; phylum Chordata; class Mammalia; order Primates; family Hominidae; genus Homo; species Homo sapiens. The sequence goes on from NC_000009.12 coordinate 9,867,631, forward strand.
TAACTGATACTTCAAGAAAGATATAATCTCCCCAAATCTAGGTGGAGAAAAGTATCCGGAGTCCCTTTAATTCTCAACTCAAACCTATTGTTTTCTCTTAGGTCAAGAAATTATGGAGTTGGCAGGCAAGTAGGTTTAAGCTCAAACATTAAAAAGGAACTTCCTCCTCCATGGTATAAAAGCATGGCAACCAGTGAAGAAGATTCAAAATGGGACAGAAACTGAGGAGACCTTGGCCCCAGGGTAGGGGAGGCAAGTCTTCTGATCCCCAGAAAGAAATCTGGAAGGAGCCAAACATGAGTAAGACTGTTTTTCTCACTCCACAAAGAGCTGCACATGAGCTGAATAGCTAGACTAATTCCTTTCCCCTCACAAGGTCAGGGGAGTATAAAGGGACTTGGTAGGAAAAACGGCCTTCTCCTGGACCAACCTGATTGATGGTGTGCCTACAGCCCACAGGTGCAGATAGACCACTATGCTTTTGGCAGTCTATACCGCTGCTTCAGGATTCCAAGCAGCTGAGTCCTAGTGAGTAGAACAAAAATAGTTTTAGCACTGTAAAATGTTCATTAGCTTGAAAGAGAAAGATCAAAGATAATCATCAAAACAAACCTCTAATGTGAGATATCGAAGATGACAGAAAAGAACTTGAAGTTATAATTAATATAATAATAATTACAGCAATAATACAAGTAGAGTAAATTAAATACAGTCCAAAATGCTTTTCTGGAATAAGAATTTTTTAACTAAAATTTTGCTATATACACTGAAGAAGAACACAGTTCCTGTCATAACTCTAGTTATTGGTGTGAAAGAGCAAGTCAAAGATCAAAGTAGAATTTAAAGACATTGTAGTCAAGAGAGAAAGATAAGAGATTTGGAGGTAGATTCAGGAAATATAGCTTGAGAATAAAAGCTTTCTATGTGAATAAAAAGTAGGGATAGAAAGGTGACAATGAGATAAATTATTAAAAAAAAAAATCCCTGAGCGGGAGAATACCCTAACGTGCAGTGTAACAGGGTTTGGCTAGTTTCAAGCAGGGTATTATGAGGAAAGATACACACCTAGGAATATCCTAATAATATACTTAAACTCCTGGAACAAAGAAAAATGAAATCTTAAAAACTTTCAAACAGAAAGCACAAATGACTTATAAACAATAAAGAATTTGGCTGTTATTAAATCTCTCATCTACAACACCAGATTCTAAAAGTTGATAGAGAAACTTCTACAAACTCCTAAGAGAAAAAGTCTGAAATCAAAATTCCTTTATGTAAGAAAGATATCCTTCAACCATTGACAAGGAAAAAAAAGAATATTTGCAAATATACAAGGATTCAGGGACTATATCATTCACCTGAACAAATGCATCTAATTAAGAGGCATAATTTGAGAATATGGTATAATTAAAAGCCTGCATGCAGCAACCAATACATCAACTACTTACATAAAACCAAAACTATGAAAAATGTATGAAATTCACCATTGGAGGTAAAATGAGGACAGATACTTACTTTTTTATAAATTGATAAAGGGAATCAATCAAGCATTATCTTGACTTTTCTGAACAAACCAAATAGGCTGCAAATATTCATGTGATCAAATGGCTGACAAAGGAAAGTCTTCTTTATGGAAGTCTTGCTAACAAATGCAGAAGAAATGTTGCATTTAGAAAATCACCATTTTAAAACCACTAATAAAACAATGTGGTTAGACCATGATTATTAATGGATTCCAAAATCATCAGGTGAAAGTTGTTGGGACACTTTATTAAGAATGGATTAGGTTGACACCAGCTGAATTCACCTATATCTTCTCTGTGGACACTACCTGGACTCACCTATAGCTTCTCTTTTATTGTAGAACGTTCCACATGCTGGATTTGTCCCACATTCAGATTGTATCTGACATTGTATGTTTCCTGACGGGATATAATAGCAAGCATATAATGCCACCAATGAAGTATTCTTTGAAAAAGTAAAAGACAATACCTAAATCTAACCAAAAATCTAGATGTAATGATCAAACATAAAACCTGGGTGAATGAGGATGGTTTAAATGTCATCAAGAGCAAGCCTGCAGGAAAATCTAGAATGTGGAACATTCTATAAATTAGTAACAAAAACAGTTTTCAACAAGTAAACTGCATTAAAAAAAATACAGAGGAAAAGAAAGGAGACATGCAACATGGAGAACTGTTTGGAGACTATGTGAACAAACCAACTGTAAAAATACAGCAGAGATTGAGACAAGTGGGAAAACAATTAGAGAACAGCCACTAGATGACATTAAGCAATGGTTGCTAATTTTGTAAAGTTTGTCCATAGCACTGTAGCATGTGTATATATGTATACAAACATAAAATATTTGTTAGCTTACATCAATATTATCTGTTAGGGTAGGTCCTATTGAAGTATCTACAGGTACTTGATACATATATCTTAACATGATATCTTAGATTTGTTTCAAAATATTATACAACAAATGGAAAAGGTAATCTCTAAGATTGGTAAAAAGGTAAAATCATTGAAGATGGGTGGATGGGTTCATGGAGACTACTTATACAATAATTTCTATTTTGAAGTATGTTTGAAAATTCCCGAATAAAAAGATTTTTAAAATTCAAAGAATCTTGATATAAAAACAATTATAATGATAGATTTCAATATATCATTCTTCTTCAAAATCTCAATGGATACATTAGACAAAGAAGAAATAAAATAATGAAGTTAAATAGGGCAGCCTACAATCTATATTTACTATAGACAACTTTGTTACTTGCATATAGATTTTCATATATCCACAGAAAATGTAAAATAAATAAGTTGCCCATACCCTTTAATATGCTCATAAAGTTGAGATTTTACAGCAACCTTTTTTGATTATAATGTATTTCATTTGAAATAAAAATTACACTTACAAAATATTGTTGAGATAATTATAGTAATTTCTATAAGAATTACTTATTATTTATATTATTTCTATTTCACTGATGTTAAATTTCTTGGTTTTGATAATGCTATTTTGGTCATGTATGAGAATGACTTTGTTCTTAAGACATGTCTTCTGAAAGATTTGAGGATGAAGTGTACTGATGTTCGCAATCTAATATTAAATAATTTAGCCAAAAAAATTTATACACACACTCCAGGGGAAATTGCAGATAAAGGGAAAGAGAAGGTAGGATAGACACTTAGTGTTGAAATATCTTAACAATTGTTGAGCCTGGATGAAGGGATAAGGGATATATACGTGTTATAACAACATACATTCAACTTTCTGTACATGTGAAGTTTGTGTGGCAAAGAGTTGGAGAGAGAAATAAAATTAAGACATATTAATACTAAACTGTTCAATTAACAAATTACTACTCCATAAAAATTAAGAGATGTATTCATTTGATCCCTTGAATCAGAAAGGATAAAAATATGAATTTACATTCTCTCTAGTCTAAAACATTTTGTACAGATACTAATGGGTTCAACAAAAGGTGTTATATGAAAACTTGAAGCCTACAAAAATTAGAAAGAAAATAAAATAATTTAGTCCTTACATTAAGAAATTACAATATAAAATAGAATAAACCAATTACAAGTCAAACAAGAGAGTAAGTATGGATACAATTTTAGCTTCATGAAATAGCAAAAATAACAGTAAGACCAAAAGGGTAGGTAATGACAATTGCACAAGAGAAATCCATTGACACAAAATCCTTCTGAGAAGTTTAATTTCATGTAGTCTTGTATCCTTGATGGAGCCTTGTCTATTCTCCATTTTGAATATTTTCTGATATTTTACTGCAATATCCTCTCTGGTTTAGTATACGAAAGGATGGGTGAAAACCAAGAGAGATTGGATTCAGGGGAGCCGCTGTATTTCTAACTCTAGCTCTTCAAGGAAGCTCAGGGGCAGAGTGTAAGCAACCTAACCTCCTTGGGCCCTAAGATTATCTTCTGGAAAGGGGCCTGGGAGGAGAAGTGCAGGGGCAGAGGGTAAGCAACCTAACCTCCTTGGGCCCTAAGATTACCTTCTGGAAAGGGGCCTGGGAGAAGAAGTGCAGGGGCAGAGGGTATGCAACCTAACCTCTTTGGACCCTAAGATTATCTTCCGGAAAGGGGCCTGGGAGGAGAAGCTCATGGGCAGAGGGTAAGCAACCTAACCTCCTTAGGCCCTAAGATTATCTTCTGGAAAGGGGCCTGGGGGGAGGGGTTGGCTTGATCTTTTCCTTTAACAATAGGAATGCATAAGTCTAACTATTCTAAATAAATCATAATAACAAAAACTAAGGTTTATTGCCTATTTTACAATTGCCAGACAAACAACTAAACACTCTACATGTATAACTTCATTTAATCCTCACCACAAATTCAAGAGTAAGCATTAGTATCCTCCTGACTTGACAATAGTACCACAGACTATTGTCTGTGGTGGGGTCATGATGGCTCCCCTCTATAATTGTTCACACTATAATCACTCATCAGTTTCATCTTGCACTTATCCATCAAAGTTGGCAATCACCATGTTCCCATAAACGAAAGGTATCATTTCCTGTGTCTAACTTAGCATAATGATTAAAAGTGTAGGCTCTGAAGGCAGCCAGCTTGCAAATTGAATTCCAGCCAGAATATATAGGATCCATGTCACCCTGGGCAAGTGATTTGCCCTCACAGTCCCTCAATTTCCTCCACAATTAAATGGAGACTCATGGCTGTAATTCCAATACTTTGGGAGGCCGAGGCAGGAGAATTGCTTGAGCATAGGAGTTTGAGACAAGCCTAAGCAACATAGTGAGACCCTGTCTCTACAAAAGAAAATTTTAATTAGCTGGGCATGGGGGCACATATCTGTAGTCCCAGCTACTCTGGAGTCTGAGGTGGGAGGATTGCTTGAGCCGAGGATATCGAGGCTATAGTGAGTCACTGTACTCCAGCCTGGGCAACAGAGCAAGGCCCTGTGTCAAAACAACCACCACCACCACCACCAATAAAATGGAGATAACACAGCTTTACAAGGAGATAGAATTACATGAGATAGATACACTTAAAGGACATAGCACAGTGCCTGGTACCTTGAATGTATACATTAAATGCTAGATATCATCATGATGGTACATTACTTAGTGAAGTAACTTCAAGTAGTTTTTAAAAAAGTAATTGAGTATGTTCCCAAATGAAAAACCTTCAAGAGAAGATGGAGGAGAGGCAGAAACTGAAAGCAGCAATATTAATCAGCTAAGTAGAAGACAGCCTATATTCAATCATATCCGCAAGCAGAGGGCCTGATTAATATTTATTAAGTATGGGCTTGATAAACATTGGCCAAATAACTCAACAATCAATGTCTAAGCACTTTACAATTGAGAAGAGTTAGAAGATCAATACTATTTTGATAATCCTTTTTAAAATAAGAAATAATCTATATAATAGGATTAAGATATGAAATGTGGAGTGTTTAATGATTATTCCATGAAGTCAGCACATTTCACTGAATCTCCTACCATAGTGAAGGAAGATCCGACGAAGAAATATTATCAAAGAAAGACTCATCACCAATGTATTGGGAACATTCAGCACTGTCTACTTAACATGGAAAGATAAACTGTTCTAACCTTTCATGTAAATAAAGGTTTTCTTTTGAGCTCTCTGCTTTCAGTGGTGGAAACATTAGCCTTGGGTGGCTAACCTGCACCTCTCCTTCCTATTTTATCAAAGGAATAATTAAGAATGAAATAATCCTTAAAGCACAAAGCATGGTCAATATATTTCCCATCCATTTACAAAAAAAAATAATTATCCAGAAACTCATAAGCTCTAACTAAAACCTGGATCTTACTTACTTTTTTTTTTCTATAAGGGCAGTTAATAAGAGGTAAAGTAACAATGACTCTCTGGGTAATTTACCACAGAGTCCAAGGAGGAGGGCACAGAATTTGTTAAAGGAAATACTGCTCCCTTCCTGCATTCTACATCTCCATTAATGCCATGCCTATAGTTATCTAAACATCTAAAATATAACAGCAAATTAGAATGTAGTTTGCTATTTAAATAACACGAATTATGTAAATGCTCCAAACTGAGATAATAAATGAGCATTCTTAATTCTTTTAATTAAAATATTCTTTCTCCATCCTGAGGCTCATATTTCTGAGTATCCCCATAGCAGCATAAGTTACAGAAGCATATCTCAAGACCTATTGGGAATTAGTGTTATGAAAAAAGAAATGAAGACATGCTTGAACTTGGTAAATCATTTTAATGGGTTTTATACTTACTAAAGTAAAACAATAGCTGACGTGTATTGAAGTAGTAATAGTGTATATTATTATATATAAAAGAAAGAAACAAATATGACCAAGAGACCAATTTCTTCTTAAAGCAGATTTTAGGATTTTAAGATATTTTTAGGACCTCACAACAGATGAAATGTTTTTAGGACAAAAACATTTTAAAGGACCTTGCCCTTGTAGAATAGAGAGTGGTCTGGATGAGTAAGAGTAAAACAAAAAGAAGGGTAAATTACTATGTATAATAAATGAACAGAAGCCTGTCAAGGGGACATGCCAGTGGGCTGTGGAGTGAGACAGGAGGCCGAAGACGAGAGAGAGGGCTATGTATACAGGGGAGCTCTACTAGTAAAGCTGGCTATTATTCATTTTTAAATGATCTAATTTTTGATTATATAATCCCTAGCCATAACCTCCAAATCTTAACTAAAAGTCTCTTAAAAACAATCAACTACATTACATGAGTGATGTTATACAGGATATCAATATTATATACATTTGGGTCAGAAAGAAAGGAACAGTCACAACATATGCAACGCAGAACTGGTGGAAACAGGAAGTTAAATGTAAGCAGGACTTAAATGTAAGCGTGCCTTTCACCAATCCAGAGACCTAAAACAGGTGCTAGATTTAGCAAAATGTATTTGAATTAGAAAGGAAAGAAAATGAACTCAACTTACATCATTCTAATTCCTCGTTCTCTTTTATCTCAAATAATAAACTTTGAAATATGTTTTTGCTTTCTATCAAGCAATATGTTCACAGTCCTCCAGTCAAACATTAAATGATTTATTTATTACTCAGCACAAGACGGTCTCCCTAAATCACGTGAATTAATGCTTATTCACATGTACTTGTGAAATTCCTGTACATTTGGAAACGTATGTAGGATAGATCTAAACCTTAATATTTTGTGTCCAGGGAATTTGAGATTAGTGATACATTATCCTGTGGTGCAGTCTGTAGGCTAGAAATATAAAATACTTTCCAGGATAAAATCTTATGATTCCAAGGTTTATAATAGATAGATTACCTTAAAATTTCTGAGCTTTTGTCCAATCATTTGAATAAAGAGCACAATCACTTGTTTCCTGCTACAAAGGATTCTGAGAATGATTAGATAACTCAAGTGAACACAATGGATAAGTTTTAACCTATACATCAATAAGGCTTTTTATTGTAATTCTTAAATATTTAGTTCTTACTGAGATCCTGCATTCTCTAGTCAGTTTACCCCAATGTTCTCTATACCTTTGCCTAGAACAGTATCAACTTGGGGCCCTAGATAATTTCTTAAAATTATATATCTTTTGAGATCCTTTATGTTTATTTTACAGAGAAGCAAAATTACACATCACTAATAATGCAGTTAGGTACTGATATTGCTAAATTACTGAGGAAAAATAAGTTTTATTGTACAGTACCCTAGCCTGGATGATAGAGTGAGACTCTGGCTCAAAAACAAAAATAAAAAATAAACTTTAAAAATACAAAGGCTGGATAATTTCAAGAACATTGAATATCTGTTAATAACCTAAGTAGGATGCAAACCAAAGAGTATCTGACCAATCTACACTGCCTTCTTATTTTACTTTGCATATGCTTTACTCTCAGGACCACCAACTTAGATAACTACCAGAATTATTGTAGGTTAACTATTAGAATTATTAAATTATCTAATATCTAACTAATAGAATTATTGTAGGTTAACAATGTCTTATCAGTTTGGAAACACAGTCTGAAACCTAGTACTTAGTAATAACGTAGTTTCTGTGGATCCATGCTCTAGACAGCTGAACTAAAAGCAGAGTATTTGGAATATTAACCCTTTATAAATAAAAAACATCCAGGTTTAAGACAAAATAACAATCCACAACACCAGTTAATCTTAGTAAAATGTGATAAATATTAATTTATGTTAACTGATAAAAGTTAAAATACTATAAAAAAGGAAATGCAGAGATTGGTGAATACAGGGTCCAAGATAATGGTTTTCTCTAGTGAATGGAAGCAGAAAGATGGGATGAGAGAGACATATGACTACTGCAGGATCATCTGGAGATCCTGACTTTGTTTTGCCTGGTGAGTTTGCAGGTGCTTAATTCATTATTGTAAGAAAAGGAAGCAAAGAAGGAAGGAATAAAGGATAGTTGGAAGGAAGGGAGGAAGATGGGCCATGCATAGGCCAGTAAGAGATTGTGTTTTGAACCAAGGATTATGATTACTATGATTATGGGTACCTGAGTTCCAATGGTGAGTCAGGGAAGGGATAGAGTTAGATTTCACATTTGCTATAAAAATTTAGGAAACTTAGTTGTACACAATCAGATTTTTCTTGTTTATCAAAATGAATATATGATTTCTTTCTAATAAAGAATCCTACTAAATGAAACAATCACTGAAAAGGTCTTAGGAAAAATACTTTGAAAGACTCTTTTTAAAGTAGGGCTTCAGTAGCAAGCATGCATTTAGAAATTTTGGCTAACATCTGTGAAATTTCACTTATATTTAAACGGAGCTGTGAATGTCTCTTCAGGGCACCTACAATTCTATTTTAATTATATCACCTCGAAAAAAAAACTGTTTTAACAACTAACAAAGCACACATGATGTGAAAACACTTGTTAAACCACCTCTGCAGTTTTAACAATAAGACAAATATGAGATCATTACATTTCTTAATGCTCATTATATGAGAATTAGTGCAGTGGCACTATTTTTGGAAAGCATTTGCCCTTGGCAGCATCTCCTTTTTACACATATTTGTCATTTTGGGAGCTCTTTCTCAAATTTGCTTTATACAAATTCTATGTCAGAATCATGCAACATCATAAAATAACACTATGTTATGTTATTGTGGTGACACAAACATACTCAAGAAATTCAAAATAATGACGGCATGCCATGCATTAAGGATGACTTTAAGTCATGTTTTTATGACAAACTGTCATCTTAAAAGACAAATTACAGGATTTTTACTCATTCGTGTCACATCAAATACATTATTTAAATAGACTAATTTTATTTTAAGAAACAAGAAAACATAAGTTGCCTGTATAAATAGGCTGAATTATTTATCCTTGCTGAAGTTTTGGGTTCAGTTACATTGCTCAAGCCACTTATTTAAGCTTTTTGATGCCTGAATGCTACAGAATTCAAGCATCCAGGCACCAAAAAGATCTAATTACAGAGATATATTTCAGCTGTCATTTGAAATTTATCATAGTAATTCTTGGGATATAGTGGTAGCACTTCAGTATGGACTTGGTTAACTAGTGAGTCATGCATCTCCTGAGTAACTGGTAATGCAGGTAATTCTATATTTTTCTTATAAAACAGATAGTGACCCAAGAACAACTGTCTTGGGACAAAATAAATAAATATTAGCTTCATAAATATACTCTTTTCCTCCACAGTCCAATGTCATGGGGAGGATAAGGGAGGAAGATTTGAGGCAAAGACTTCAAGCCACTTTTCCTCCACTCTTTAGTCCAAGAGGAGAAACTTTAATTTGTGATATGGATCAGTAACAAATCAGGGATTCTTGAATGATATGTTAGAACCACTGTATGAGGTGGAGATTCTTTTCTTTTTCATGACTCCTATGATCAAAGTGAGAGTGAATCTTAGGTGAAAGGAGGAAGGAGAATGTTTTCTGCTCCAAGACTTCATAGTTGAAGGTAAAAAGAATTCTTAATTATTGTGTTGGGTACATTCTAGATCACCAAGATAGGAAAACAGGTTTTGATTAAGTGTACAAACTCTTGAAGAAATGCTGGGCCAGGCACAGTGGCTCACGCCTGTAATCCCAGCACTTTGGGAGGACGAGGCAGGCAGATCACCTGAGGTAGGGAGTTCTAGAACATCCTGACTAACGAGGAGAAACCTGTCTCTACTGAAAATACAAAATTAGCCAGGCACGGTGGCCCATGCCTGTAATCCTGGCTACTTGGGAGGCTGAGGCAGGAGAATTGCTTTACCCCGGGAGGTGGAGGTTGCGGTGAGCTGAGATCACGCCATTGCACTCCAACCTGGGCAACAATAGCAAAACTCCATCTCAAAAAAAAAAAAAAAAAAAAAATGCATGTTTGCCCTTCTCACTATATCCATCGGTTGCCCCTCTAAAATTCAAGTATAATCTCACTGATTGTTTGATCAGATAAAGGACCCTGCCAACTGTGGTAGAGATTAAAGAATTCAACCTCTTCTCAGGACATCCAGCTAGAGAACAATAGTGGCTTTAGTATGCTTAATTTTATTGAAATATACTTAAATACTACACAAAATACCTGAGAAAGTATCACGCAGAAAGACATTCATTTAGTCACATAGGAATATATATGTCATGTACTAGTTATTACATCATGCTAGATATTATATGCTATGCTATTTGAGAGAGTTCCAAGAGCTTACATTGTAGTGGAAGTGTGAGTGGACCTAGGCCATCACAATCACTGGGAATGCTAGCTATCGTGGGAGAATTATAGGGACAGCATACTGAGGGGACACCTGCAAACTTGCAGAGAAGACTAAGGAGAGTCATCTAAGTGAAGACTTAAAGGATGAATAGGCATTATCCAGGAGGGGCAAATAAATGTAATAGCAGACAAATTAACCTGAATGTAAGAGACTTGGTAAGTTAGAAAATAGAGAAAATGTTTAGACCTATAAGAGTAAGGTCTGTCAACCTAAGTCCTGCGTACATTGCTGGATGAATGATAGAACTCTTGGATTGTTTCTTCATTTTCAAATAGCATTGTTAGAATGAACTGTCTTTAAGCATAACCCACCAAATAGAGCATAGGTGGATTTCTCATAATTGTTAGATACTTCCTGCCTTAACTTTCCTCTATCTACATTCTTCTTCTAATAATACATGGCTTTTATCACATGTATTATTAGAATTTCCACAACTAAAAAAGATGAAGAGGAAGAACCATTTTTCCTTTACCTTCCTCCTTCCCTCCACAATCAAACATCAGCTATTGATGTCCTTATCAGTCTGGACTTTATTATAGGCTCCAGTCACATTATAGGTTTTGAATGAATGGATGAATGAATAAATGGGAGGAGATTTGTTACTCTATGTGCCCTCAAAATAGATTATTTTATCAACCCTCAAAATTTTTCATTCAGTATTTTCTATGGTGTTTTATAATTCTATGTTGACTATCAAGTCTTCTTTCTGAATGTGAATCTATAATTTAGCCTTAGGCTCCATTCTCCATAGAGACAGAGTATGAAGGACTAGAGAAATTGTAATCAGTAGTATTTGCCCTTTTTTCTTTTGTTTATTCTAAAGGTTTTTCAACCTCCTTAGTATTAACATTTGAGACAGATAATTCTGTGTCATGAGGGGCTATCTTGTGTGTAGGTTGTTTAGTAGCATCCCTGGCCTCTATCCATGAAATGTCTGTATTACTTCACTCCCACTTGTGATGAGAAAAAAATGCCTCTAGGTAGAATTGAATCTGCCTAAGGGCAACCTCCCTCCCCCAGTGAGAAACAGAACTATACTATAAACAACATTCCATTCAAAATAGCTTGTATCATAGAGGAAGTGATTGATTTATCTTATTTGGAAAATTAAATAGAGGGTAAATTCTGAGGATTGAAGAAAAAGGTAAAATTGAAGCTTGCAAGTATTTGACACTGCAACAATTATATATTTTTTTCCAACACAACCAACTCTCCACTCACATCTGTCAGACCAGGAATATACTGACTAAAATTGACAGAGATCCTAAGTGAAAGTTTAGGTTTTTTGATTTAGAGAACAGAAGCCTCAAGATCAAGAGGTGAGATGTCTCTGAGATAAGATCAGATCATCCCCAGAGATAAGAAGCTTGAAAGGGTGGAACATTTCTTGCTTCTTGGTTTTTCTGATCAGCTTAATATTGAAGAACAGCTTGAATTTCCAGTTCGTCTTGCTTCAGAGAGCCTGGAGATAAGAATAATCACTGCCAGTTGGGTCAGTATTGCCAAGAAAATTATATTGGAAGTTTGAAGCTGTCTATAAACTTTATGCCTGAAGTAAAAACATGTCTGAATTTCTTTCTACAGGTGTGATATGGCTTGCCTCTGTGTCCCCACCCAAATCTCATCTCTAACTCTAATCCCCACATGTCGAGGGGGGGACCTATATCCCCAAGTGTCCAGGGAGGGAGGTGATTGGATCATGGGGGCAGTTCCCTGATGGTGTTCTTGTGATAGTGAGTGAACTCACAAGATCTGGTTAAGTGTTCTCACTTTGTGCACTCTTTCTCTATTGCTTGCTGCCATGTAAGACATGCCTGCTTCCCCTTCCGCCATGATTTTAAGTTTCCTGAGGCCTCCTCAGCCATGTGGAACTGTGAGTCAATTAAACCTCTTTTCTTTATAAATCACCCAGTCTCAGGTAGTATTTTTATAGCAGTGTGAGAATGGACTAAAACAAGATGCCTAAAAGATAACTACGTGGTTAATGGCTAGCATTTAAGTGAAAATGTTAATGTACTCCTCAGATGTTATTTACTTTTTTAGAATTTCAAAAATCAGATATCACCATTATCACTGTGTATAATTCTAAACAGTATAGAATTTATATACAAATTAAAATTATCATATATAATCTTCAGATATTTACTTTTATTTTTGTATCAGGTATGAGTCCCTAGTTTACTTTACCTTGGCTTCAATGCACTAGAGGAGAATTTAATTTGTTTCTTTGGGACTCTGTGTGTGTTGTGTGCTTGTGTGTGATAAGCAGTGTTTTATACACACTGAGCAGTAATTATTATTACAATTCATTTTTTGTAACTATAGTAAAAGATCTTTTTAAGCAGATGCTATTTAGTGGTGAGACTATTAAATTCAGCCAAGCATGTATTTCTATTGATCTGTTAGCCTCAGAAAGTTCCTTAGACTGATGCTGCTTTGACCTTTGCTGGTCATTTATTTTTTTTTCCTACTGTCTGAAACTGACTTTTGGTTGTTTTATTTTGGAAAATAATTACATATTTGTATGTGTTCGAAATAGTTTAAGTGAACAAAAATCTTTCCTTTTACCAGTACCTATGTGTAGTCAAAAAGTATTTTGCATAGGCACATTTGGAAACCCTGCATTGAAAAACATTTCTAGTTAAAGTACGAGAATGTCTGGAAAAGTCTCATTAGCCATTTTGGAAGGGTATATTCTGGAAATCCTTGGGCAGTGAAGTGAAACTTCACTCAATAATTTTTTTAAAAAAATAAATTCTATATTAGACAAAATTAGTAGTTTTTTTTAATTGGCTAACACTGCAGAATTTGGACATTCAAAGAAAAATAAGAGTAAACAGCTACTTTGGGACATTCAATCATCTTTTGGATACATATCTACAACTTGACTATCAGCTATTTAATATCAGACTCTACCATCAATTTATTTCTCTCACCATTGATGTTTCTATGATTACTATTTTGCCTATCTCAAACTATGAGTAATTCCTACTTCCCCAGTTCTCTGCTCTTGTAACAAGATCAAGAGCTTCGTAGTCTGACTTGGGTTTGAGTCTAAGTTTACCAGGGCAGGTTACATTATTTCTCCTCCACCGCATCTTCATCTTTTATAAACAGAAAATATCATCCTACAAGGCTGTTGTGAAAATAAACTGGGATGATTATGTAAAGAACTCCCAATTATACATGGAACTTTCAGTTAGCTTTGGAACTTCAGTTAGCTTTGGGGGCATAGCAAAGAGCTGGAGGGATTTATGAACCCTGGTATGATAGATTGGTTGTATTAAGGTGCCACTTTACCGCAACCGTCTCACACCCCCACATCTCACTCTGTGACCTTCCAGGGTTCTGCAGCTGGATTTTCAGAGTAACCATATCATTTGCTTTAGCCAATGGGATATCAGTAAAAATAAAAAGGAGAAACTTGACATATGCCAGAATGACTAGGTTTGCATCCTCTTATACCTCTACATTTACCACAAGAACATGCCTGGGCTAGCTTGCTGGAGAAATGTGAAAGACCATAGGGGCAGAGTCAAGTCACCCAGGCAACACCCTGGGCCTGTAAAACCCCATCCAACTTCCATTGCTTTTCTCAATTTCCACCATGGATTGTATAGTGTAACACTTTGCAAGTTCTTCAATATCTATATAGTTGAAAAAAGAATGTAGACAGACTAATATATATTAAGATTTCCAATGACCTGTATTTAATATTACATACTCACACAACTTTAATATTTATTGGTATAACACATATATCAAATACATAGTTTCTCTCCTCCAACATGCCCTTCACCACCTGAATTTTTTTAACCTCTCTCCTCATTATCATGTCTCTCATTTTTTTGATTGTAAGCAGAAGGATCGAAATTAGAATATTTTCTAGAGGTTCACTAAGCACTGAGTTGAAACTGAGCAAAATCTTTGAAAGGTTTTCCCATCATTTTTGCTTGTATCTGTTTCATATACCATTTATATTTGGCCAACGCTTGGTCAATATCATGATCCAAATGGTGAAGTTGGTTTCTTCTGCTGAGAAATAAGTAGTCCCACCATTCTAGGCTTGAGGATGAAGGGTACTGATATATTTTTATTTTATAAAAGGGCTCTACTTTAGAAGTTCTAGGCATATAATTTATATCCAACCTAAATTAAATAACCTTTCTGAAGGAAAGAATGAGGTTTTTCTTGGTGTTATTTCAGACTCTGAGAATTATCTATAAGCCCACTGTAAGGTGGATAGCAACTGTTGAATTCTCCATTTAGGTTGTGCATTAAATGTCTTTATGTTCCTGTTAAGGAGGAAGTCTTGTCCACATGACCCTCCCCAACCCCCCTATACACCCCCAGACCCACCCTGATGTGATTTGGATATTTGTCCCCTCCAAATCTCATGTTGAAATGTAATTCCCAATGTTGGAAGTGGGGGCCTAATGGGAAGTGTTTCGGCCACTGGGGTGAATCCCCTGTGAATGGCTTAGTGCCCTCCCTGTGGTAATGAGGTCACATGAGTTTTGGTTGTTGAAAAGAGTCTGAAACCTCCCTTCTCTCTTTCTCCCTCACTGGCCATGTGATGGTCTGGCTATCCCTTTGCATTCTGCCATGATTGTAAGCTACATGAGGTCTCATTTGAAGCCAAGAAGATGTTGTCATGATGCTTGTACAGCCTTCAGAACTATGAGCCATATAAGCCTCTTTTAGTTATAAATTACCCAGTCTTAGGTATTCCTTTACAGCAACGCAAAATGAACAAACCCCCCAAGAGGCGAACTCCCATCCTTGAAGGTGCTTATACTTTTAAAAGATAATACACAAGAAAGATAGGCCCCAGATAAGTTTATTTTTTCAATCTTCTCTTGTTGCTGCAAACATCTCAACACAAATTTATTACTTCCTCTTCATTGATAGTCACTGTCATTTCTTTATTCTGAGAGAAACGCTAGAAATTTATTTATAAGTAGAACAGGCTGTAGGGAAAAGAAAAACAAAAACATCTAGAAACCAACATTCAAAAGAATAGAGAATAAGGTGTGAAGAGGAGGTCAACTAGGAGAACAGGAAAGTATAAATGATGTCTGGCAATCAGGGGATACTAAATGTGCAAAGATGTTTCAGGTACTTCCCGGTTTTCACTCTCAGTGTTACATGGTCTCTTAATCAATTATGAATTTTAAGAAGAATAGATCATCTTTTACCAAAGTCAGGCAATCATATATCTGCTCTTTCAAAAGTAAAGCAATCACCAACAATTCTAAAAATATTTTGGTGACATACAACCACTGCCTCACATGTACTCTATCTAACCTCTTAGCCAGCTTTTATTACCAGTATTAAAATAGACATATTTATCATTTAGCCGTATACTGTGAAATTTTTCCATCACTTGGTTTTCTCATTTTCCAGGGCAAACTTTTCAATACCCAAGGGAAAACAACTGAAGTAGAACTGTACCAAAGTGCATTTCCAATGTCATGCAGCAGAAATAATGTTCAATGAAATTATTCTGTTAGTAGCTCCTGGAAAGTCAAGCTGAATACTCTATGCTTTCAGTGAGTATTTGACATTTCTTCCTTTTTTTTAAAGTCCTGGAACTTCCATTCTTTGTTTTATCCCTTAGTACATATTTATTTGGAAGATATACATTATCTAAGACTTATTCCCAAATATTTACCTAGACAATGAACTAAAGGATACGCAGTAAACACAGCTGAGAATATGGCTGATTGTGTTCCAAACTATGTAGCAGTGAAGTTTATTTTGGTCCCTCTAAGCCTCCCCATCATCCTTCAAACATTGACTATGGACTGTGTTCAGGGCACCAACATTTGACATTGTGAAGAATGGAATGAGGGATAAGACACAGAGTTCAGTCTTTCCAACTTCATACCTTTATGTTGTTCAGAATTTTGTTTTTATTTATGATTTTCTTCCTACCCTAAAAGCAAGAAAGCAACAACATCTATTCTTTCACCTTCAGTGTACATGTAAGTCAGGAAGATACCTCTTCTCAGATTCTATCTCTGTAAGAAAGCCCTTCCTCAATATTATAGCAGAGCTCATTGTTTACAAACATTTACCACCACCAAACTAAAGCATGTGGCATATGTCTCCTAAAACACACAGCAAAAGCTCTGGGAATAGATGGCAGGTAGAAGCTGGAAAGGCCTTGAAGACACTATTTGTAGAAGTCTGATGAGCCTAGAGGAGTGATATGGTTTGGCTGTGTCCCCAACCAAATCTCATTTTGAGTTATAGTTTCCATAATCCTCATGTGTCATGGGAGGGACCTGGTGAAAGGTAATTGAATCATGGGGATGGTTACCTACATGCTGTTTTCATGATAGTGAGTAAGTTTTCATGAGATCTGATGGTTTTATAAGGGGCTTTTCCCCACTTGCTTGGCACTTCTCCTTGCCGCTGCCATGTGAAGAAGGACGTGTTTGTTTCCCATTCTGCCACGATTGTAAGTTTCCTGAGGCCACCCCAGCCCAATGGAACTACGAGTCAATTAAACCTCTTTCCTTTATAAGTTACCCAGTCTCATGTATGTCTTTATTAGCAGTGTGAGAACGGACTAATACAAGGTGGCTTTCAGAAAAGCAAAGAAAACGTTATTGGCATCTAGAGGAAAGGAGACATTTATAGTGGCAGAAAGGCTAGTAAAACTGGTGCCTGTAGTAACACAAAAAATAAAATATTCCTTAAAAATTCAATGATAGAGCTAAGTAGATTACCAGGCAGAGAGCTTAAGGTACTGCATGGTTTCCTCTAGCTACTTATGATATAAAAAGAAAAAAAGAAATTAAAGAAGTATTAATATATTGAATAAAAATTAGAAATTACTAAATTGAGAAGGAAGGGCCCAGAAGAGTCCTTTCAACAAGCAAAAGTTTCTCAAAGTAAGATAAGGCCAACGTGAGATAAATTCCTTTGTTAAGATGTAAGAAAGATTTAAGATGATGCCTCATAGAATCTTTAACCTACACAAAAGTTCCACTGAGAATTTCAAGGACTTGCATCTCAGATCCCCTTCATTATATGATAAGGCTTCTAAGGATCTGAGGAGTTTCCCTCAGCAGCTTCACAGGGGTCCTACAGATGGATATATTACTTACATGGCAAACGGACTTTGCAGATTTGAATATGTTAAGGATTTTGAGATGGGGGGACTAGTCTGAATTGTCTAGATAGACCCAAGAGTCCTTATAAGGGAAGGAGAAGGGAGGGTAGTTTTAGAGAATGAAATGTGGCCATGGAAAGAGGTTGGCATGCTATGGGGCCACAAGTCAAAGAATGTGGGCAACCTCCAGAAAAGGCAACAAAATAGGTTATCCCCCAGATCTTCTAGAAGGAAAATAGTCTGCTGACCCTTTTTAGACTTCTGATCTCCAGAACTGTAAGATAGTAATTTTGTATGCTTTGTGCCTGTAAATTTGTGGTAATTTGTTACAGCCACAACAGGTTAAAAAAAAAACCATGGCCAAAAAGAAGAGAAGGGCCTATCTGCCTATCTGAAAGAGATCTGTGAGTGTAGATTTTGTCTAATGTAGTGGATTAGCATTTGATACCTTACAAAACCCCACATATTAAAAAAAAAAAAGATTCAAAGTTAAAATGAAAAGGATAAACAGTGCCAAATGAAAAGAAACCTTTGGACTCCTGAACTGCTATGGATAGAAAACAGAATGAGAATGTTTCTCATTTATACACACCAGCCACTTCCGGAAAAAGAATGATGCCCAAGGGATATAGCCAAGAGACATCAGAGGACAACTCCAGAGAGCAAGATTAGGCCCTAACCAAAGAATTATCAATACATGTCTGGCTGCATATCAGAATTGCTATATGCCCGTCACTGCTCTGGGTCTCCTGTTTTATATGTTTGAATTGGAATCTCTCTACTGGTTATCTCATATTTCTTTAATTCACGGGCATTTACATAAACAAGAGTAATATGTAATGAACTGCAAATAGCTTTCTTCACATGTGGACATAATATAAAGGATATTAGACCTTGAGCCCGAAACTATTGCCATAAAAAAGGGAGGTTTAAAAGGAGAGTCCTGAAGAAAGGAGGCTGTGTATTTTTCCCATGGGAGGGATGTAAATTGTGGCCAGAGGTCAGACCGTTCCACAGTGTATTTTCCAAAATGACTGTACCAATATCTTCTATCTCAGAAGAAATTCTACAATGTGATCTTGACAGTTCTGTCATTGAAAAGAGGTGTCTATAATCTCTGCTCCTTGAATCTGGGCAGGAATGGGACTTCATTGTACTACAAGAATGAAGAAGAAGTAACACTACATGACTTTTGTGGTTCAGTTAGGAAAGACAATGCAGCCTCCATCTTGTTTGCTGGAACACTTGCCAGTACACTAAGTTACCATACATTTTGTTCAGTTGCCTTACTGCTGCCATGCTTTGATGAAGTTCAAATTAACCCACGTGGAGAGACCACATGGGAAAGCCTTTAGACTACATGGACATAGAAGGTCTGTCCCAGATGGAGCAGGCCAGATGGAGCACCCAGATGCTCCAGTTCTTGTCTGACTTGCATCCACACCACTGTCCCCAAACACCTCCCAAATTCCTGATCCACAACAAACCATGAGAGGCCATAAACTTGTTTTTTTCCGCCACTAAGTTATAAGGAAATTTGTTTTGCAACAATACATAATGGAATAAGTCCCTTCTCCCATACCTTGGAAACACAGTGACTTACACATTGGTGGCAAGTCATTTCTTCTCATACTTTCACTTCAACTTTCATATTTTTTCTCAATTAGAAAGCCTTCTGTCAATATCATAGCAGAATTGTTTGTTCACTTCACCGTATTTACCTTATTTACCACCAATAAACCATGAAAATTTTCCTTGACATTGTTCACTGTATTGGATATTGTTATTTCTATACCTCTATGTTTTTGTCACTGAGATATGAATCCTCAAGAGAAAGAGCTATTCTCTTCTCCTGCAAGTTTTGTCTCCTGCAGTGAAAATGCAAAGGATACATATAGTCATGTGTGGCTTAAGAGGCTGCAATACATATAAAAAAACATGATGCATAATACTTGTGTAGGACCACACATTTGGAAGGAGCATGAAGCAGCTGATCTTATGGTAAAGCCCATCATCAAGGGGCAGAACAACATTAGATGTTAAACTTCCCTGTGGGATGAATGCAGGACTCTTTAGTGAGAACATCAGTGTACCATGTACTCAGACAAACCTGGAGAGTCAACTGGTTGCATGAGGCGTAGTAGAAAAACAGTTTCTAGTGAAAGACCTAACTTGCACTTCCTTAAAAGTATTTAATGGGAGGTGGAAAAATTAGAGAAAGCTAAATATACTTTTCAGGAGTAGAAAGTTTTACTAGTAGGAAAATGTGGAGGGGGCAATATTTTTAAAATACTCTTTCGTACACTGATTCAGCTGACACGTATTTATGGAATATCTATTCCATTACCTGAAAAACAAATAAGACAAATGTGTCCCAGTAAACATGGGGGCTTAAGTCTAATGGAGGGAGATAATACACTCACATGAAAAATAACAAAATAAATTCAGAAAATGGTAAATGCCGAAACAGAAAATGACACCTGACGAAGGGCAAGACAATGACCTGGGGAAACTGGCCCGTTAGCAAGGATGGTTAGAGAAGGTGTAGCACACGTTGTTGTCTGCCTACCCAGCAGCCATTCCTCTCCCTTCAGTCCTAAGGGAAGATCAAATCTCTCACCAGTTCTTCACTTTCCCATCTTCCCACATAGCAAATGGTGGAAAGTGTGAAACACAATTCTGAGATGTTATGGAGGAATCTGTCAGTGAAGTGAAAGTAGAATATGGATATTCCCAAGAAAGGTGTTCCTGTCAGATGAAGAGCGAGACTCTCCTGAGGATAGTCCCCAAGTCATTATCTACTTTGGACATTGCCTTGTGAAGACAAGATATAGAGGACTACTGCCATCATATTGTGAGGCGATGAGTATACAGTTTGGATATTTGTCCCTTACAGATCTCATGTGAAAATCTCATCTTCAGTGTTGGAGGTGGGGGCCTAATAGGTGGTGTTTGGGTCATGGGGAGAGGGTTCCCTTGTGAATGGCTTGGTGCTGTCCTCAAAGTAATGAGTGAGATCTAGCTCTATGAACGAGCTCCTGGGAGAGCCAATTGTTAAAAATAGGCTGGCAATTCCTTCCCCTTTTTCTTTCTTCCTTCCTGTCACAATGTGATGCCTGCTCTCCTTTACCTTCTGCCATGAGCGAAAGCTTCCTGAAGCCCTCAGCAGATACAGATTCTTGTGCCATGCTTCTCATATGGCTGAACCATGAGCCAAATAGGCCTCTTTTCTTTGTAAATTGCCCAGCCTCAAGTGTTCCTTTATAGCAACACAAATGGACTAAGACAGATAGGGAAGACAAAGAGTATTGTAGAGAAACTGACCCAACACCCTGATTTCATTGAGCCAGCACCAAATGTTAGATCACCTATTGCAGTACCTCTTTTTATGAGAAAGGCAAACCCTAACTGTTTAGAAAAATTTATGGTATTAGCACCCAAAAGTATGCTGAAAAATACAGAAGTTCTAGGACATTATATTAAGTGAAATAAGCTAGGTACAGAAAGACAAACACTGCATGATCTCACTCATATGTGGAATCTAAAAGAGTTGATCTTATATAAGTAGAGAGTAGAATGATGGTTGCCAGGTGCTGGGATGGTTGGGGGTGGTGGAGGAAGTTGGGGAGATGTAGGTGAGAGGATACGAAATTTTAGACAGGAGGAGAATTATTTATTGTACAATGTACTGATATATAATAGTTAGCAATATATTGTATTCTTGAAAAATGCTGACAGTGGACGTCAAGCATCCTCACCACAAAAATGGTAACTCTGTGAGGTAATGAATGTGTTAACTAGCTAGATTTAGTCATTCCACAATGTATATATGCTTCAAAACATCATGGCATACATAATATATACAATTTTATTTTTCAATTAAAAAATACAAATTTAAAAGTATTTAAATAAATATAGAAGTCCTCACTGAGGAGGCAACTCCTACACTGAGATACAAGGAGTGCAAAAGGAGGACTTATAGATTCGGATGAAGACTATTATGAGCCCAGAGAACACCAAGCCTCTAAGTTGGTGCTTTAGTCAGGATTTTATTGCATATATGTGTTAGTAATTGATTTACTGCCTCTCAGCCCCAATTCCACAATACATTGCCTGTTCTGTGACAAAGTAGCTGGACTCTAAATATTTCTCCTTTGCTGTCTGGCACTATATTAAGCGAGCTATGTCCATAGAGGGCCCTGGAGGGTCACAGCAGGATAGAGGTCCTCTCTTCCTGATTCTGTTGTGCTTGTCTCAGCAAGTTCCTGCTGAGTGTGTGTGTGTGTGTGTGTGTGTATGTGTGTGTGTGTGTCTGTGTGTGGTCTCTGCAGGGGCAGGTTTCTGAAGGGTGCACGGGTTCTCCAGTGGCCACTGCCAGCAGTACATGGTACTTCCCTGTAGGCACTTTCCTGAAGAACGGCAGAGGGTGAATTATCAGCAATCTGGCTAGCAGAGGGCAGTTCAGCAAACTTCTCCTTCATCCAGTAAGCCATGAATCCACCCTCCCAAAGAGGCATGGATTTCAGATCTAAGAAAGGAGCTTCTCTCTTAAATTGGTCTGTTTCTTGGGTGCTCTATGTTAGCCTTAAAAGTAGTAATGATTCCCTTTATATGACATTTCTGATTTTTTAAAATATCTCTTTACTCCTCACTAGTAAATTAAGGTTACTAAATATCCTATTAACATTTTTATTTTTTTGAGACAGGGTCTTACTCTGTGGCCCAGGGTAGAGTGCAGTGATACGATCCTGGCTCACTGTAGCCTCCACTTCCTGGCCTAAGCAATCATCCCACCACAGCCTCCCCAATACCTGTAACTACAAGTGTTCCCTCCACGCCTGGCTATTTTTTTTGAATTTTTTATAGAGATGAGGGTCTTCCTATGTTGCCCAGGCTGGTCTTGAACTCCTAGACTCAAGCAATCTGCCTGCCTTGGCCTCCCAAAATGCTTGGATTACAGGTATGAGCCACATGACCAGCCAGTAATTCTTCATATTAAACTTTTACTATTAAAATTGCTGTGTGGTTTCTGCCTTTTGATTGGCTCCTCATTTACATAATATGCCAGAATTATTTTACAGTATCATCAGAAGCATAAAGAGCAGGTTCTGGGATGGGACTCAATGAATGACCCCCAAAACAATGTTGCAGAACTGACCCACAGAGACTCTGTGCAAAAGGTAGGGAAGCAGGAAGTTACTGGTGCCATTTCCAGAAACACACCATCAATCGGAAGGGGTGTAATTTCCACCAATTGGAAGGGGAAAGCAGGCGCCTATTCTCAAATATACTATGTCTCCAATGATGCCTCTTAAACACTATATCCTTCAGACACTCCTGAATCTCTTCTCTCTTATCCTATTTAATTCCAAAATTGATTTTGCATAAGACCATCAGAGTAGCTGAATCTAAATTACATTGAATTTGAGTTCACCATATCTACATCGCTGGCAGTAAGACATAGAAAAGAAAAACATGCAAAATGGAAATGCAAGTTGATTTTTTCCCGTCTATAAAAACCTTCATGGAAGCTAAGATTATCTTTCATTGACTGAAGCTTGGTCATATGGTCATGTCTTGGCAACTATTGGAATATGGCTAGGAAAAAGGGAAATGTAGACGGGATTGTAGTCAGCCAACCAACGGTATATGCACAGTTATGTATACATCTCCTGTTCTCTTCTCCCATCCAACTCAGATTTAACTTTCCCAGTGGTATGGGGATGGGGATGAGATGGACTTTCAAAGAAATATGCAATAAACTCCCAATTATTTTAGACTTTTTGTTCCAAATAATTAAAGAATACCAAAGAGATATTAAGTTTGAAAGTAATAAATGGCATCAGGAAAACATACACTTTTTTTTTTTTTTTAGCACAGAAGTATCATTCTGCGAAAGCTGTGAGCAATTTGTCATTTAGCATGTAGAGAAAGCCATTACTAACATATAGACCATTATTTCTTCTGTCACATAAATGCTATGTATATTTCTCTGCATATTTACACTCTTAACAACACATATGAGCTTATTTTTTTGACAGTACTTTCAGATTTAACTATTTTTGAATGCTGATACAGGTCTATTCCACTTCATCAATTAGAGTTTGATGGTTATTGAGAGTAACAGGATTTTTTTTCAGACCTCTAAACACAGATCACTGGTCAAATATACACTATTTCCTATTTATAAGTTGAGAAATATTGAGATGTTTTAAGAATAGTATGACTGGACTTTATGTACATAGGCACATAAAACTTACTAAATATCGACTACATATGACTGGAAGAGTTCAGTTCAAGCTTTTAAGTCATAAGATTTAGATTTTATCAAAGTATTTTATACATAATTTCAGCTTTTTGATTAAACAGGATTTAATGAGCTATAAATTTAATTTAAAAACTAAAAGACATCCCACATATTTTACTATTTATCACCATGTTCCAAGGCTAAGCTAGAAAACAGAAATGGCCCTGTTTTCTTCATTTTATCAGATAAAATAAGTTGAGAAGTCACTAAACTAAAATTTACTTTTAATTTCTTCTATGTACACATTCATTCATAAAATGAGTATTTATTGAATGCCTACCAGGTTCCAGGCCTAGTAAATAGACAAGTAAAAAAGTACAATTTATTTTAGGGCAGGTGCTGATAAGTTCTATGAAGAAAAATGAATCAGCAAAAGGAAAATGTAGGAAGAAAAGTAATAAAGGAGGAAAGGAATGGATATTTAAATAAAATAGCCAGATAAGGCCTTATAGAGATTACCTTTGAACAGATACAAAAAGGAGGTGAAGGAACAGTCCCCGCTGGCTTTCAGAAGAAGAGCAATCCATGCCTGGCGGGGAGGAAGTGTTGATTGACAAAAATGCAAAAACCCTGAGAGTGTGTGCACACTTGCTCTGCTCAGAGAACAGAAAGTAGATCTAGGGCACAGTGAGCCAGACGGAAAGTAAAAGTAGAGAAATTTGAAGATATAGCACAGAAACCAAATGATTCAGATCATTGTGGACACTTGTAATGATGTTGGCTTACTAGTAAGATGGAAAAACATTGGAACTAGTAAGATGAAAAAGCATTGGAACATTTTGGGCCAAACTGTTGGGAAATGATCTCACTATGTATTTTAAAGGATCCTAAAATCTGCTGGTCAAAGACAGACTTTGGTGATGCATGAGGGTGACCAAGAGAGAAGGTACACTGGTTAGGAGCCCATTATAATAACGAGGTAAAAAAAAAAAAATTGTGTCTTGTTCAGGGAAATAGCAATGGAAAGCTTGAGTGGTATAATATTTGAATACAAGTTTAAGGTAATGTTAAAAAGACTTAAAGAGGTACTGGTTATAGTACATAAGAGATAAAAAGAGTCAAGGATGACTCAAAGGTTTCAGTCTGAAAAAATAAAAGGAGAGATTCATTATGGCGTATGTTGGGAAAATTTGTAGGAGTAAAATAGGACAGTGGTGTTAGATCATAAATTTGGTTTTAGACAAGATAAATTTGGACATCAGACACTCACTTAGATATGCTGAGTAGGCAGTGGGAAGTAAGAGTATGAAGTTCAGGAGAGTGCTTCAGGCCTGAGATATACATTTGGAGAATATCACTATATAGAATATAATCAGAGCTATGATCTTGTTCTTTTTTATGGCTGCACACACTAAAGTACACAGACTAGTGACACTACAAAGCAACCACATAAACAAGTCTGCAAAATAAGCAGCTAGTATCATGAGGACAAGATCAAATCTACACATAGCAATACTAAACATAAATGTAAATTGGGCTAAATGCTCCCAATTAAAAGACACAGAGTGGCAAGCTAGATAAGGAACCAAGAGCCATTGGTATGCTGTCTTCAAGAGACTCATCTCACATGCAATGACACACATAGACTCAAAATAATGAGATGGAGGAACATTTACCAAGCAAATAGAAAACAACAAAAAATATTTCTAATAGATTTCTGCTTTTAATAATGAAATATGTCAAACTCCTATAAAAACTATATGTAGGAAATATAAAAGTTTATATATAATTCATGTAATGGTTAATAGTAACTGAATAGCTAGTATTGAATAACCAAGCTTCTTTTGTTGTTTTGACATTGGAGAATTGAACATGCTTAAAAGTTATTGGAAAGGACCCAGTTAAGAGAGAAAGGGAGTTTGAAATACCATTAAGATCCTTCCCAATGACTTTTAAACATAATCACTTATCATGTTAAAAACAACAGAAGCTTGGTTATTTAAGCTTGGTTACCTCCTCTAGCTACCACCTTGTCTTCTTTTAGCCTGTTCCTTTTATGTTTTGAGTTTTTTTTAGAGACAAGATCTTTCCCTATTGCCCAGACTGGAATGCAGTGACATGATCATAGCTCACTGTAACCTTAAACTCAAACAATCCTCCTGTCTCAACCTTTTGAGTAGCTAAGACCACAAGTGCACACCACCACACCCTGTGTTTGTTGTTGGTATTTGGTAGAGAAGGGGTTTCACAATGTTGCTCAGGCTGATATCAAACTTCTGGGTTCAAATGTACTTCCTGCCTTTCCTTGGCCTCCTAACGCTGTGGAATTGCCAGCATGAGTCACCACTCCCAACCCTTTTATTTTAATATGTCACATGAACACCTCTATATCTCCAAGATAATATCTATCATTTCTCCCCTAAACTCCTTCAACAGCCTCCTGGCTGGTCTCTCTGCCTCTGTTATGGGTCTCTCAAATCTTTTCCCCACTCAGCCCCAGATTTCTTCTGGAAAGCAATTCAGATTATAGTATCTCCTCATACTTAAAACCTTTTCACCTGTGCATTAAGAACAACATTCTTTAAAGGATCCTGAAGGCCCTGTGTGATCTTTCTACTACCTCTCTCAAGGCTCATTGTCTCTACAATTTGCCTTTAGCTCATTGTGCTTTAATCAGATTTTTTAAATTCAATTTTTAACTTGTATTTAATGTTTCATCCTGCCAGTTTTCCTTTTCCTGATACACCTATTTTCTTTTCATATTTGTCTAATCAACTTTCACTCATTTTTGCATTGCAGTTCAGCACCATCATTTTTTCACAACTTTTTCACTGAGTTCCTTAAATTCCCTCTGTACTCCCACATCACACTGCATGCTTTTCTTCCTAAGAACTTTCATAACAGTTACCATTTCACATATATTTGGGGGATGAGCTAAATAATATCTCTCTTTTTTATTATACTATATATTCTATGCATTCGGAGATTTAATTTGTTCTCAGTATTGTAACCCTAGTGCCAGCACAGTACCTGTTACATACACGGTAATAAGTGTTTTTGAATAAAATGTCTGTTTTTTTTCTGACACTTTTGTTTCTTTTTGAGATGTTTCTCTGATTTTAACTGTAAGAACAAAAGAGCCAGAAATGGCTTTTGATTTTAACTCTAAGAACAAAAGAGCCAAAAATTCTTGTTTTCTTTAAAATATTTCTAGAAAAAATCTTTCTAGAAAAAAGCAAAGTACAGTCTCCGGGTACACAATGGGTTGAAATAATGTGTAAACAATGCCTACATATTTCTAAATTTCTTCCAGATGAGGGATATGAGTTACAAAGCAATTTGAGGCTTTGGCTGGTTGTAAGACTATAAAAATGAAAATTGTCTTCTTTCCTTACAAGTACTTGTTCCTGACTCAAAAGATGCATTTGGGTTAAAGTTCAAGAAGAAATATACATACCAATAAAACCAGGAATTCTGTTTGTTACCAGTAAGAGAAAAAAGGAACAGAAAATAAAATATAAAATACACCTTAGGTGGTAACAGTGGGAAGGGGGAAGAATTCTACCAAGGACTTTTAAATTGGGAGGAAAGAGATGGAGATAAGCCATGTATATACCAGAGCCTGAGACCTTATATGTATCTGAATAGTTCAATAGAATGTTTGATAAATTTTTCTTTTCTTTTTAAAATTTTTGCTGTTATAATGATTATTTAAATTTTTAAGTAATTTTTCAAATTGACATATCAACTGTCATGTGCACCATGATGAAAAGTTTATCTCATAGAAGTAGGGACTACAATGGTGATAACCAGAATCCACGATGGTTACAGGAGAGGGAGGGTTTGGAAAATGATGGTCAAATATATTTACAGTTACACAGGAGGAATATGTTTAAGAGATCTATTATACTACATGGCAACTATAGTCAACAATATATTCTTGAAAAATGGTAAGAATGAGCAATTATTTTTGTTTCTTCAAATTGTAAAATGAAGGACTAGTAGCAGCTAAATTTCAGTTTAGTGCTCATGGCATGCAGTTCCTTAAAACCTCATTGATTTATACACTTGGTTTTTTATAGTTATGATAAATAACTTAAAAATCGAGTCTATCACGAAGGTGATGAATAAAGTCATTTTTCATTTATAATGGAAAGTCTTTCTTGAGGTTATATGGCACGTAGGTAGAAGCTAAACTTACTCAGAGCATGAATGATGGGTAGCTAAAGGGTCCGTTTGTCACAGTTCGTCTACTGCAAACGAGATGACTACAAAGCTTAGGGCCCATCCATTTGTTTACAGAGACAGATTAATTTTTTTCAGCTTTTATTTTCTCTTTGGGAGCTTAGTTTACAAATGAAGGGAGCTGAAGTCTTCTCTAAACACACACAACCATACACACATACACAGCATATGAAAATGTGAAAGTCTTATTAAAAGCACATACATAAAATATGACTATTTCCATGATATCAGGGTCTCTATTTTGCTGGAGCAAATGAAAGACTTCGGAAAGTTTTAAAGACAAGGTAAGAAAAGAGTCATGGACAAAGATTAAGATTCAGCTAGAATGTCAGACCTTTCAAAATTATTTTTTTCAGCTTCAAATCATTTTTTCACATGAATACATCTTCACTAGTGCAAGGTTTCAAGCAGCTGAAACTGGAACAGGCCTCTTCTGTTTACTCTTAGATAGTGCTTTGAATTTTATTAGCATAACTTCTGGGAAATAGTCTAGTGCATTTGGATAGCTAAACACATTTTTTAAAAGAAAGGAAAAAATCTACAATGATTGGCAAAAGAACAACATAAAAATCATCAGAACATTTATATTTTTTTACAAAAGAATATCCTCCAACGAATTAGATCCGAGGAATTCATATTTAAGAGGATCAGTCTAAGAAGCTAACTGACTCATGGATTACAAAAGAATACTTTAAAGAACATATCAGAAAATACAGTTGCTTTGGGCATCAATTGAAATATTAGCAATTATCATAATTGAGTACATTTTCAAATATAAATATAATGTAAAAATGACCTCAGTTGCCATTTATTTGAATTATAATGAGAAATACTTTAAATAACATATTAGAAAAATCATTAACTGGAGATCCATCCACTAAGTGACAATAATAAAAATTGATGAGTGAACGTGAGCAGATTTATATTTGCAATCTCAAAGCTTTCTGTAGTTTCTCAAATAATCTCTGGACTTGCAGAGTTCCTCAATGGAGGCAATGATGGTATTTTCAGGAGAACAATGTTTCCCTTTGGGATTTGCCATATATCACAAGAATTTTGACATTCCTCCTTCCTGGGAAGTAAACACTTCCCTGTCATTAAAACAAAAACATCTCTTACACTTACACACACACACACACACACACACACACACCGCTGCTAAACACCCCCTGGGGGTTGGTAAAGGTAATGCCTAATGCCTACTTCAGAATTGTTGCTTAAATCTAGAGGCAGAGGTATGAGTTTTCAAGCAAACAGTCCACAGTTGACTCTGACTTACTAATTTGCTATATGAAATCTATATACTTTAAACCAAAGAATATATAAAGACAGTATTATGAACCTACACACTTCCACCAAGAGTTTTTAAAAGAAAAATATTTATTAGGATTTTTGTAAGTAAAAAATACATATTTGAGGGAAAGTTGAACTCTACAGTAAATCTTTAGGAAACCAAAAAAAGTTTATTCGCAATATAGTTAATATTTTTCATCTATTTTTTTCTTCAATAGGACTATATCTATGTTAAAATATCTGTAACTTATTTTAAAATACCCCCATAGGAGTATCCTTGTACTTTATTGTAAAATAAGCTTTCTGACTGAGAATATATACAGTATTACAAACTATGTAATATGGACAATTTAAATTATAGCTGTTGATTCACCTATTGATTAGGATTTTACTCAAACATAATAATTTTACATACAATATATTATTTTTAGAAACAGTATTTTAAACTACTTATGAGCATTTTATTTTAAACTTGATATTTTTTAAAGTAGACAATGTACACTTAACTGTTTTTCTGACTCTTAGCTAAATTCAGCATTGGTAAGCTTTCCTCTGTAAGAGCCTAATAGTATACATTTTAGGCTTCACAGGTCAGACGGTCTCTGTTGCAACTGTTCACCTTTGACGGCAGTGTAAAAAGGCCACAGAAAACAGGTAATCAAGTAAGCATGGCTATGTTTAAATAAATCTTTACTTATAAAAACAGGTGGCTTTGGTGCACAAGCTGTAGTTTGCTTAATTCTCATCTAAATTATGTAATAGTAAGAATATCTTCAACAACATAGAGAAACTAAGGAATGCCTGTTTTCTCCTGTTTTTAATTTATTCATAATGTATGAAACTTCTACAGTTTTAAATATGTTTTAGGGATAAACTAGGTCATTAATATTAAGAGATTAACACAGAAATATAGAGGTCTATATCAATGCGTCAATTAAAATTTCAGTAAATGAAAAAAGTAACCATTTCATTTTGGGACTGGAGGTAGTGAATTCCTTATTCAATGGTATGCTAGCCTATTTAATGAAGGAGATAGATTTTAATTAGCTGTTTACATACATGGTAATGATGCCTTGATATTACTTGATTATCAATAAAAGCAGGACTCACACCTGTTCATTTCCACTGAAATGAGTTTTTTTCAGATACTTCATGTTTTATTGACATTTTATTTAACAGAGAAAGATACCGCATCAAGGATTACTTCATGTGATTTCATATGAAGCTCTAGATTACGCTCTAGATGCGCATGCTATTTCAATTTAAGGAATCCTTAGAGGTTAGAGACAGAAGTCACAAAAAGATTCTTTTGTGTGGTTGCTGCACTGAAGTGTTGTGGTTGTATAATGTCACATATGCTTTATATGAACTTCAGGAATGGATTGAGATATTTGGCATAGAAATGCTATGGTCTTAAGTCTAGTTTAAGAAACCATATGCTGTAATATATTCCACTTGACTAATGTTCTAACTTTGGTCCTCTGACCTCCTTTATTAGCATCTCTTAGTGAATTTTTAAAAAGACGTATGTTAGTCTGTATACTAAACCCACAGGATTAAAATCTCTGTGCATAGTGACTATGAGTTTACGCATATCCCATATTCTCCAGGATTTTCTTGTTTTCTTTTGAAAGGAAAAACAAAGCTGTCTTTATTCATGGATTCATGATTATCTACATAACAAATCCCCAAAAAACTACCAAACAAAAATTTTCTGTAACTAATAAGTGAGTTTTGCAAAGTCACAGGACACAAGGTCAATACACAAAAGTCAATTACTTTCTCATATGCCAGCAATGAACAATTAGAATTGTAAGTTTAATAAATAACTTTTACTATAGTATACCCCAAGAAGAAGTACTTAGGAACAAATCTAACAAAATATGTAGAGAATCTGTAGGTAGAGAACCACAAAACAGATGAAAGAACTCATAGATCTAAATAATGGAGAGTGTGAAGAGAGACTATGAAATGGGAAAAAAGTACTGTACTTCTGAACCGTGCATCTAATAAGGGATTAATATCCAATAAATAAGGAACTAAAACAACTCAATAGCAAAATAATAATAATTTATTTAACAATGGGCAAAGAATGTGAATCGATATTTCTGTAAGGAAGACATACAAATGGCTAAGTATATAAAAAAAGTTCAATAACACAATTCATCAGGGAAATGCAAATTAAAGCCACTGTGAGATATCACCTCACACTGCTGTTAGAATGGTTATTATCAAAAAGATGAAAGATAACCAGTGTTGGTATGGATGTGAAGAAATGAGAGCTCATATACTCTTGGTGTAATTTAAGTTAGTACAGCTATTATGGAAAACAGTATGGAGGTTCCTCAAAAAATTAAAAATAGAACCACCATATAAGCCAGCAATCCCACTACTAGATATACCTCCAAAGGAAAAAAAAATCAGTATGTGGAAGAGATATCTGCACTTCCATTTTGGTTACAGCACTATTTACAATAACAAAGATATAGAATCAACTTAAGTGTCCATCAAGAAACAGATAAAGAAGATTTATTATACATGCAGATGGAACACTAGTCTTAAGAAAGAAAAAAATCCAGTCACTTGTGACAACATAGAAAAACCTAGAAGATACTATGTTAGGTGAAATAAGCCAAGCACACAAAGACACATGACAAACCTGAAAAAAGTAGAAGTAATAGAAGCAGAAAGTAGAATAATAGTTACCAGAGGCTGGGGGGAAAACAAGAAAAAAATGAAATATTGAAGAAATATTCTGTGTTCATGGAGTGAAACACTTAATATCATGCAAATCTCTCTAGCAAGTGGTTGTTCCACAGCTGCATTAAGTTCTTCCCTGAAAACACTCCTTCCTTCCCTACCACATGCCCAGGCTGCAGAATTTTCCAAATTTTTATGCTCTGCTTCCATTTTAAATAAAAGTTCCAACTTTAAATCATTTTGTACTCCCATATTTGATCAAAAATTTTTAGAAGAAGCCAGGCCACATACTGCATGCTTTGCAGCTTAGATATTTCTTCTTCTATCAGATATGCTAAATAATCACCCTTAAGTTCAAACTTTCACAAATTGCTAGGGCATGGACCCAATTTAGCCAAGTTCTTTGCTAAGGCAAAACACAAGTGACCTTTGTTTCAGTTCCCAATAACTTTCTCATTTTTATCTGAGTCTTCATCAGCCTTACCTTCACTGTCCATATTTCTATCAGCATTTTGGTCACAAGCGCAAGTCTCTAAGAAGTTCTAAACTTTCTTTCGTCATCCTGTCTTCTTGAGAGCCCTCCAAACTCTTCCAAAGTCGGCCTGTTACCCAGTTCCAAAGGTGCTTCCACATTTTCAGGTTTTTTTTTTTTTTGAGATGGAGTCTTGCTCTGTTGCCAGGCTGGAATGCAGTGGCACGATCTTGGCTCACTGCAACCTCTGCCTCCCAGCTTCAAGTGATTCTCCTGCCTCAGCCTCCCGAGTAGCTGGAACTACAGGCACGTGCCACCACACCCAGCTAACTTTGGTATTTTTAGTAAAGATGAGGTTTCACCATGTTGGCTAGGATGGTCTCTATCTCTTGACCTCATGATCCGCCCACATTGACCTCCCAATTTTCAGGTATCTTTATAGCAATGCCCCACTCCTTGGTGCCAATTTTATGTATTAGTCCATTTTGCATTGTTACAAGGAAATATCTGAGGCTGAGTTACTTTATAAAGAAAAGAGGTTTATTTGTCTGACAGTTCTGCAGGCTGTACAACAATGGCACCAGCATCCACCTAGCTTCTGGAAAGTCTTCAGAAAGCTTACAGTCATAGTGGAGAGCAAAGCAGGTGCCTGTGTATAACACGGCGAGACTGGAAGCAAGAGTGGATTTTCTGATATAACCATCCCAATTATATGTCTCGGACTAGCCTTTAGCAGCCACTGTTTTAGAGAAGCTTAGCATACAATATTTTTAAAGTTCTAATATGTCATTATAATTATAAAACAATTTTCAGAGTTCATTAATGTTTTCTTTAAAACTATTAGACCTTCGATGTTCAACCTCCTGAAATAGTGCTTAAAACCTAGAGGCAACATGTGGGATAAGTTGTCATAACTATGGATGAGATCAAATCTTAAAAAATGCATTGCAAAGATAATCCTCTTTCATTATGCTTTTACAAAAGGATGATGCTACATTAACACAGTAATTTCTGATAAATAAAATATATTAAATATCTAAGAATTAACAGTTGCTGGGGAAATATATAACCAAAGTTTAAAATATGTCAGAATATTTTAATAAATTATTAAAATAAATAAATTCTTAATAAAAAAGACCAGAGAAATCTGACTTCTTTCTTTCTCCGAAGCTAGTGGTGAGTTGATTATATTAGTTAGTTCTCATATTACTATAAATAACTACTTGAGATTGGGTAGTTTACAAAGAAAAGAGGTTTAACTGACTCACAGTTCTGGAGGCTGTATGGGAGGCATGGCTGGGGAGGCCCCAGGAAACTTACAATCATGGCAGAAGGCAAATGGCAAGCAAGCACATCTTTACATGTCAGAGCCAGAGAGCAAGAGCAGGGGGAAGTGCTACACACTCTCAAAAGACTAGATCTTGCGAGAACTCGCTCACCATCATGAAAACAGCAAATATTTTTATTTAGATAGTCGTTAGGATTGTATGATCTGTAATTTTCATATTACATCTTCTATTTCACAGTTAGTATCATATGAACTCTTTGAAATCAGACTTCCTAAAATTTAGCTAATAGGTCTGGTAAATACCTATTGGCTGCTTCTACTCTTACCAACTTTTTCCCTTCTCCAAAGGTTTACTGTTTTCATATAATTGATATGTGTTTTCCATCAGCCTTATTGTTGATTCTATTTTATAATTCTAAGCTTGTGTGTACGTGCATCAGCGCCCATGCATGAATGTCTGTGCTCTCTATTTCTTTCTTATCTATTTTTAATTTACAGTTATCTCACTGTGTTCTAATTTATGTATCTTTGTGAATACTTAAATAATTTTTGCAACATCGTGTAAACCAAAGAAATGAAGAATTTTAGTTTCCCATACCATTAATGTATTGTTTTCATTTCCTGAGTATGATTCTTTAGTTTCTTTTTCTGCCGGTGCTCTACTTTTGAATAAATAATCATATACCAATCACTAAAATGCAAGAGTCATACATCTGAAGTCATGTATGTTGATTACATAACAGTGTAGAAATTTGGTCTCAAGATAACCACAGTATTTAAAACCTCAATTTTATATTTAAATAAAAAAGAAACTAGCACATTTAGAAATGCACACTTCAACTTTGCTCACCTGACTAGCACCATGTATCTGTTTATTTAGTTGCTGGCTTGTGAAGGTATTATTGATAACACATTCAAAATCATGGGGTGATGATGAGTTCAGATACAGATCAGTAGGTAGGATGATAGATACCTTAGATACATAGATAAAACTCAGGTGAACTTGGAGATGTAAAGGTGAGCTAGAGCTCATCTTTCATTCACAAACTTTTTCCAAGCACACTGTAGTATGAATTGCGTTTGGACATTTAGGTGATAGCAAATTTTCAACACACAGCAACATTTTCTACATTTTTTTGTTTGTGTAATATCAAAAGTGTGACGTTGGCTAACAGTGAAAATAAAACTGTAGCTCACTCTAATTCTGCCAAAATATCCTATATTTTAATTAAGGGAGTTTTACCTGAGTGAAAAACATCGAAAATTCCAGTAAAAATCAAGGATTTTACATATGTATATGTGTATTTGAGCTAAAGACATATATTCTTAACCACCTGTAGCATGAAATAAGTAATCAAATGTGAAAGAAACAGCTAATTTGTTGAATCAAATAATTTTCTTCCAATGATTATATATCTTGCATAGCAGAAAGATTGCATGCATATGAATGAATGCATTTGCTTCACTTTATATTTTCTTCCCTAATAGTTTTAATTTTTTATTTTCTAATATTGTATGTGATGAAGAACTCGAGTAGTATTTTAAGCTATTACTTTAGATGCTTAAAGACCATTAGCACTCTAACAAAAATTGTCATTGTCTTTATAAAGATCTCTGTGCCTGTTGCCACATTAGTAAAACTGAGATAATCATAGAAACAGTTTCACAAGTTGGTGAGAAAATATTGATAAAGCACTTAGAATTCCATTACACACAGATCAGGTACCCAATAAATAATGGGTATTTCTCATGAAACAGATTAGTTCTGTATCACTTACTTTACATTTCCAGCATAGTACACAGTGCCTGAGACTGAGAAGCAGCTCTGTTAATATTTACTGAAAGAATAGCATTAAATAATACAAGAAAAATAAGATATAATTAAACAAATCAATATGATTGATCTCTGTGGACGTCCACAGTTTAAAACCATTCCCTCTTTCTTCTTTCTGTCTTACCCTAGGATCAGGGATGCCAGGAAATTCTAAAGTACTTGAAGTTTTTCACTGGATCATCTTAACTCTCTAGCTTTATCTAATTAACATGAAGCACCATCATGACTATGCATCTTATTCAATGTGTTTCAGAACAACTGTCTTCTAAGTTACATTTGACCATAACAATAAACTCGGTTTTCAAAATGTGTCAATCAACTAATAGGGTCATTGACTCACAACCTACAGACAGTAATAGTAACATTAACCTCTATCTTGGGTCAAAGCCCCTGCTTCACTTTTGGGATCATCAGCAAACCAGTTACCCCTGGCAAAGTTCAGTCCTCCAGGTGCACTGATGATAGTGAAAAGACAGTTTCCCAAAGCACAGCTTGTTCCTTTTCATCATCTCACTTCTCTCTCTTCTCACAAAGAATCTCTCTGTGTCAGACAAAGATGGGTGGTACAGTGTGTCTGGGTCTAAAGCTGGAAATGTTTTTCTTTTCTAAATCTCAAATATGTTTTCAGCCAAACGTTTGATGAACTACAAGAAATGAGAATCAGGAAGTCAGATGTTCGCTAAGATAGGTCACTTCTGTAAAATTATCTTACACTGACTACCAAAATATGACAATTATTTCAGGAAAGGGAACAAAAAAACGCTTGTGATTAGAAGATTGGGGAAAAGGACTACCTCTTCTACAGTTGTTTTCAAATTGAAATCTTTGTACTGTTATTTTAATATTTTAAAGTGTATTCACTTTTTGTTATTCTGAATCCTCAATTAGACTGTAATTATCTCAAAGGGTAAGATCACAAACCAAAGGTTATGCTCTCAACTGTATCACTAAAAATGGCCACAGTAATTTTTTTAGCCTTAGCTTCCTTCCACACCTACAAAATAAGCAGAAAAATATCCTGTCTCAAAAGGATTAAATGCAATAATGCATTTAAAAAAATGCTCCAAAAAAGGTGAACCATTAGATAAACATAAGGCAAAATATAAGGTTAAAAAGACAGAGAATAAAGCTTAAACATCTTTTTAATTTGAGAAAATGTAATGACACATGCAAATTTATTTGGAAAATAGATGACATAAAAGACATTCACCGAAGTTTTGTTCAACCAAGATCAAACTCAGAGAAATCGTAGGTGGGCAATGATATGCCTTGGTGAAATAACGAAGTGGGGATTTAATTTCTCATACTGAAAGTGCCTTTAATCTGTCCCATATTGTTATTCAGTTCATTAAAGAACAACATGCATAAACATGGATTTTTTTGTGTGCTTAAATCATCTTCCTAAATATGCAAATCAGTGAGGCATATATTATCAGTGTTCTGTTTAATATTCATTGTGATCTACTCAGTAGTTTTCCTTTCTAATGAGAGCATACCATCTAAGTAACTCACCTTCCCATGCCTGAACTTAGCCAATTTAGTTCGTACTTGAACACGACATTTTTTTTCAAAGTTCTTTCTAGACCATTACACATACGTATGTATGTTTGTATCTACATATCTTCTGTAGCTCCTCATTTACTTTGCAAACATATAGTCACCCTAAATTCAGTTTGATTATTGAAAGTCAGGGTTCTTTTTTTAATCAGAATTATATTTCAGGTAGAGTTTTAAATAATTAGCTCAATTGTTGTTATTGACTAGTAAATGAACACTAAAGAGCATATAAAATACATTCTAAATCTAAGTCTGCAAACAACTATATTGTCACATATGTCATCCTCATATACGACAACAAGGTTTATGGCTACATACAAAAACTTGGCTCTACATACCTATATACTAGTTATCAAGCCAGTCAGATACTTATCTTAAAAAGTTGTTCAATAAAGGAAATTTTATAAAATAACTATACACATGTGTTCATAAAAATAATATACTGGTCCCTATTCTCAGAAATTTTTACAAATGACATGCTATAAAACTCAGCACAAAACCCAAGATATCATGTAATTAAATTTCCTACTGCGTAACTATATTTGCACTACTAATACAGAAGAATTCAAGACACTAAGAGGAAAATTAAACCAAAACTGGACGAGTAGATAAACAGACAAAGAATATAGACATTACTATAGTCAGGAAAAAGTATACAAACAAGGACAAAAGAGAGAACTAAACAGAACATAGGGGCCTAAGGTATAAGTGCAAACTCATGAGGAACCTGCCTTGACTGGAGAAGCATGTGTGTGGAGAATTAACAGACTATTAAGATAAGGTGGGACCAGAATACGGTGGTTTTAGTTGTCAGAGATAAAATTTTAAGCCAGATGCTCTAGGCAATAGAAGTCTTTGTAACTTGAAGTACAGCTGAGAAGCATGTTGTAAAGCTTTAGGAGGACACAGAATAGAAAAAATACAGGATGCCTGCGAGGCAAACTCCTGGAGTTTTGTGCAGGCATACAAGTTATTCAAGTAATCTAGTCATGGGGGAAGAAGAGAGTGTCAGGCTCTAGTAAGGAAAAGAAAAGAGGAGAATCTTTTAAAGTACAACCAGTTTCATGACATATTTGTTATAAAATATTAAGGAAAGAAAAAAAGAGTTAATTCAAAATTTTTCATCTTGGATGTGAGAAGTGTGCTTTTTTGTACGTATGTGATACAGCTCTAGGTCCCTCCAGTAATTCCAACTTCACTCTATACTCAATTGTTATCGTTGTCTTTATTTTATATAGACTACACTATACAGATAATCATTGCTTTTATCTTATCTTTTACTGGTTAACCTGTATTGGTGCCTACGTAATCAGTAGGCAACTGGTTGAAGCTTTTCGTTTATTTTCTGTTACATGATGATAGTTACATTGGTCATCCAAAATAAATGCTTAATAAAGAAGTTAGTTGAAGACAGACATTCCTATGACACATTTATTTAAGTCATACTACACTTAAATAATTCCAAAGAGAATTCATTTATGATGTTTTAACTCACCTATCATATAATCAGCATTTCTCAAGGCTTAGAATGTATTATATGTAGACAATTCATAGGAAAGGAAAAACTCAGTATTTTTAATTAAATTGAAACCCACTTTTCAAAAGTGTATGTACATGGAGTTTTTTGTTACAGACCACTGTTAGTTTTCAAAAGCACATTCATAAGATTATTCTCTTTCAAGAAATCTAATAAATTCCTTCTGAATAAAAAATCTTGATAGATTAATATGAGATCTGGCTCATAGAACTTATTCTTAATTCACTGCGTTTGTGGCCTCCAAGATTTCAGCCATACTGACAAAAGTGAAAAAGCACCACTGCCAAAATTAAGATGAACACAGCAGACTTTAGGAAAAATTACCTAAGTTTTCTTATTTTAAATCTCACCCCCCATACTCTCCCCAACACACACCAAATCCTTATATGGTCAGTTCCTAATGATGAGAGGAGTTCAGCTAGCATCTTCCAAGCAAGAGTTCTGTGTCCTTTTTTGCCTATTCCCCAAACTCCAGGTTTTTGTTTTGCGGTGGCAAACACAGTCTAATTAGGTCATGTGCAATTGTCATATACATGATGATTATCAGGAGTTTTGGAGTCTGTTATTTCACTTGGGTTCTTATATAAGCATCATTGCACAAAACATCCTATTATTATTATATTAGTCTGCTAGGGCCGTCATAATAAAATACCACAGACTGGGTGGCTGAAGCAATAGAAATTTATTTTCTCACAGTTTTAAGAGGACAGAAATTCAAGATCAAGTTGTTGGTAGGTCTGGTTTCTCATGAGGCCTCCCTTTCTCCACGGCTTGACCATGGTTGTCTTCTTACTATGTCCTCACATGACATTTACTCAATGTACACATATCACTGATGTCTATTCTTCTTCTTCTAAGGATATCAGTCATGTAGGATCAGAGTCCTATTCTTCTAACCTCATTTAACCTTATTTCTTTTAAAGCTCTATCTCCGAATAAAGTCACATTGGGGATTAGGGCTTCAACATATGAATTTCAGGGAGACACAATTCAGTCCCATAAAAGTGAACACTAACCAATTTCAGAAAATACTGTCATTCCTAACATAGCCACCATTTACACAATTAATCATACAATTCTCCTAACCATAAGCACTCTTTAAAATCAGAACCCTACTGATTCTTGTAATGAAAATAGTGAATCACTTAACAGTTGTCATTTTCATCACTCATACCAGTAACATGTATTATAGAATTATAAATTACTATGAAGCTTAATGGAAAACAGGTGTAACAACTCACAATTTTTGCAAATTATAATTGAATTTAATGTATTAATGTATCATGTACCTGACCTATAGCATCTTATACTTTGAGGACTATATAGTATACAGTGAGATTATAATATGAGAACATATACACCAAGATTAGGATAAAGAGAACATTAAGACAAAAAAAAAAATCTTAGAATAGAAATGAGAAAATAAAATTAACAGAAAAAAAAGTATCTAGTTGGGCAAAGGAAAAGTCCATGGAGATTGAAAGAAGATGGTAAATTCTGGAATAAAAATTAAATACCTCTCTGGAATTTACACATATAGAACATTCCTGCTCAATGTGCCTATGCTGGCAGTGATTGCTGTATCATCTGAGAGTTCTTCCACACTAATAGTATCAATAGCTGGTATAAAGGGGGAGTGTCAAGGAAGGGAACAGAGGGCATTTCAACTGGAACATGTGAACAGGTGGGAAGGGGTCTCTCCAGCCTGTCTGAGGACTAGTCCTTTGAAAGTACTGGATCCACACCTTGTTAAGGACATTTTCACTGTAGGACTCAA
Source organism: Homo sapiens (assembly GCF_000001405.40). Taxonomy (NCBI): domain Eukaryota; kingdom Metazoa; phylum Chordata; class Mammalia; order Primates; family Hominidae; genus Homo; species Homo sapiens. The sequence continues at coordinate 9,908,467 of NC_000009.12, forward strand.
AGGAAACAGAATTGTACTTGTTGAGCATCCTTTCTGCTGGGAGTATGTGCCATCCACAGGGTTGTTAATGTATATTATTTCTCAAATGATAGTCCACAGATAAAATGAAGTATTAAACGTTCTGGATGAGGGAAATGGGTTTTAAAGATTTAGTTGTCTATGCAGTCTTTAAAATATATACTTTCTATCCATTTGCTATTTAATATGTGAGTTTTCTGTTCTTTATCTTGCTTATATTTTTTCTGTGCTGGTTGCTTAATATATCAAGTATTTCAGGAGTGATGAACAAACAAAATATAACATATTTATCTATGAAACTTATCTTTGGGAAGTTTTTGAAAATAGGCACTCATACAAATGCTAGGTCTAAGAATAAAAATATTATTGTCTTTGGTATCTAGGTCGGTAACACTTCTTTGGAGTTTAATGGTCAGTTAAACCAAAATATTATACAGAGAGAAGATATAGGCTATATTCCTCAATTTATCTGAAACTATTATATAGCAAGTGGTTTAAAATTGACATGATCATATATTAACATCATATTCTATCAATATCACTGAGGTAAATAAAGGATTTTTTTCACATATTTTCCAGGATTGAAAAAGCAACTCCAAACTACTGAGCTCAGAATTTCCTTTTTATTATGGAGGGAGTAGATGTAATGATTTTTGATTGCTGATATACATATTTTGTTCATCAAAAATTAAATGAAGCAGCACATTTCTACCTGAAATGGCATATCTGTCAGCTGTGTGCTTAGAGTGTATTTTTCTTCTCTCATATAATATTGCTATGGATGAATAGCATGCTGATGAATGGGATTTTAGGTTGAGTTTTTAATCTGAAAGTTTTTTTTTTTTTTTTACGGCTTTTCCTATTAATTTAACTAACAAGATTGCTGGGGGCAGGGGCAGCTGCTAGGAAGTAATATTGGAAAGACTTTAAAATATTTACATATCTGTATAAATGCAAATTTATTAAAAATGACAGTTGAAAAAAAGCAGTGTAGTATTGAGTTAAACATAGGCCTTAACCCCTCCATTCTAAATGCATTATTGGTTGATATATTTATATGAATTTATTATTAGGCACTATCTTAGACATCACTGTAAAATGTATAAAATATGGGGCAGTTTAATTGGTGTAAATATGTCAAAATGTAAAATTACTTTTTTAATTTCTCAATTTAATATTGTCAGACTTTTCTTTATAGTGCATTTATATTTCAATGAACTAATTAAGAAATTGACTAAGTTGACTTCAACATACAGACATGTGAGCCTTTGGGACATCATTTGTGGATTGAATGTTTTTTTTTGTCATGAGCATGCACTATTCACTAGACCTGATTCAACATCTGTTTTTGCCTATAAGTTCAATTATTTTTTCCCTAACATGCAGCTAGCTGTATATTTTTTTCTTTATAGTAAAGTAATACATATTCTTTGTAATACCTATAGATAGTAGATAAGGCATGCATACAAATGACAAAATCATCCTATCAGTTAGAGAAAAGTTCTAATTCCTTGGTGTTACTATTTTATGGTAAATATATGGTCTCTGGAGCCATAACCTCAGGTTCAAATGCTGGCTCAACTGCTTACTACTTTCTTGACATCTTGGTCAAGTTTGTACCTCAGCTTTCATATCTGTGAAGGCAGAGGACAACAGTATCTCAGTTACCAGGATTAAATAAGTTACATACAAAGTACTCATTAGAGCTCCTGGCATAGAATAAATGTTAAGCTGATGAAAATTGTATTATTGTAGAGTTTCATGCAAACCCCTGAATTTTTACATAAAATAGACATAGTTTATGAACATTTTTGCTGCTTGATGTAATGTGAATTTTTTCATCTCTCATGATACATGTGTGCAATCTTTTAAAAATATCTGTATAGCAATTTTCAGTCAACATCTGTATACGAGTATGCAGTTCTGTTCAAATAATCCCACGATTTTCTAGAAGAAAATATACTGAGCTGAAAGAAATGTATTCTTGAAGGATGTTTGAAAACATACGTACTCCTCTTGACAGTGTAGGGGTCTGAAAATTTCTGTTCAGCTTTTCTAGTACAAAGTATTGCCATTAACTCTCTTCTTTTTCTAGTTACTAAATTATAAGTGTGTTGCTTCAATTTATATTTAATTGCTTGTGGAATTAGGCATTGTTTTTTGTTATTTAATTTTGTCTTTTATGCATTATATATAGATGTATTTGTCATTTTCTTATTAATTACCATGAGATCATTTGATACAAAACTTGAGTTTCTTAAAATATCGGATGAAATTATTAAGCAGGTAACTGTTTTCCAAGTTCTAGTGTGAAGTCATGAGACTCCTAATGGACTGAATAATACTTGGAAAACTGAGAAGTTCTGAGTTTAATCACTCTAAAGTGATTTCAATCTTTGTCAAAACCCAACAATCATTACATTATGGGCTCGAGTAGCGTAGTTCTCATTCCAGTGGGAATCATTTTCTTTAGAAACTACTTGCTTTGGTTTGGTGTCTAGTTTCCAATTCATTGTTTCATATCTGGATTTGTCTTTTGGCTAACTCCTTACAGTTGATAGTTTGTTCTTCCATTTCCAGTCTGCTTGGCTTGTAATCCTGGTATTGCTCCTGTTCTTTGGTTTATTGTGTGGATAATATACATCAGCCCCATCCTCTCCTTTAACAAGGCTTTCACATTTCTAGCTTTAGTTTGTTTGGGAAGGTAGACAGCTATGACAACAACTATTATCCTTGTCAGGAAACAAATTCCAAGGCTGGATAAAATATTGCTCTCGTCCCATACTGCATTGTGACACTTCTTATAGCTAAATGCAAGAACTCTTACTTAGAGTCTCTGTGTGTGATTCTATCTAATTAAAAAGAACACTTCCAAACTTGTTTGAATGCAAATGTGCATGAAAATGAACATTAGCCACACCATAAAGAAGGCATTTAGAAACGCAAATACACACGAACCTCATGTCAGAGTTGACTCCCTTACCATTTGTTATGGTTTGGGGTTTGTTACCCCAACTAAATTACCATACACAGAGTTATACTGCTAAAATAAAATGCAGTGTAAAATTTATAATCATTTTAATAAAGTTAACATTCTGGAAAACAATTATTTCATTTTCATAATAATTTGCATTTTATCAGACTTCAAAAAAATGTTGCTTTTATATTTCCCTTTAGATATAAACTTTCATAACATTCAAAATGCCAAGTAACTGGGCTAAATAACAGTAGGATATAGGAAGCAAAATTAATATAACTTTTTATTTCTACTTTTAAGTAAAATTTTCAGGATCATAAATAAGAGAAAATGTTAATAAAATAATTCATTTTAAAAATTTTCCTGTGGTGATGTTGTTTAATAAAACCACATTTGGAAAACTAAATCTTCAAAAGTGGCCAGGTCATTTTTACTTAAAATACAAAGAGATCATCTGTTTTTTCTTGTCACTGTTATGGAACCAGCTTATACTACCATAATTCATTAGACTTAAAAGTAAGATCTTAATAATGTTTATTTATTAATTTGAGAATGTCAATCAAGAATAAGAAAAAATAAAGTCAATAATCTACAGCCTTGCTGATATATCTGCAATATATATTGTAAGTGGGGGAAAAATACTATAAAATAAAACCTTGATGGAAATTCAGTAAATTTCTGTCAAGTATATTTAGAAGTAAAAGTGAAAGCAAATAAATACACTTTTTTAATCGTTTAATTTAAAATCAAAATAAAAGATAAAGGAGCAGGTCAGCCCCTCTGGAAAACCTGCCACTTCAGTTGAAAAAACAAAGGACTGTCATTTGTTCTGAGTTGGAATATACAAACTACAGCATACAAACTAAAACATTTGTCCAAAATTTAGAGTCAACTCATTTATCATGAGGTAGCAGTCTCCCTTGTCAAATGCCAACTTTGATTATGCTGTAAATTCCACTATTTCTCTGGGGTTATCTTGGACTCCTCAGCATAAAATAATGTTCTTTTTGCCATATGAATTAAGGTTGAGATTGCACTGACACTCCTCAATAGCACATGTTTTGCCTCATCACTACCTAGAAATAATTTGGTAATGAAGCTCCCCTGAGAGAAAGCTGAATAATATTAAATGGTATCGTTGGCAATCAGTGCTGAAGCCTGACACGTGAGTTTGCATCTCCCTCTGGTGGCAGAGAGAAATGAATAGCCAGTAGGTATTATAATCCATAATTACAATTACAACTGCACTAATAAAATGATGTCAGAAGCCAATAACCCAAGTTGAGAATGATATTCCCTAGACTATCCAGATGTAAAGATTTTTTTTCTTTTTGTAAACAAATGTGATTCAATAGCACTGAGAATATTGCAAGAGTTTTTATATTTTGCTAATGTTCTAACTTCCTCATAGGAAAGAACATAAAAATAGAGTATAATCAATGCATCTTACAATTTCCTAAAAACTGATACTTTTTTGCTCTTCCTTCTCTCTTTCTTTATGAATGCAAATAAAGACAAGCACATTAAATAACAATCAGATTTTCTGTAAACATTCTTATAAGTTTTTTTAAGTCTGCTTATTTCATTTTATAAGATCATACAAATATGTGATCGATCATAAATTTCCTGGGATATCAACAGAAAGTGTGACAATATAGCTCCAATAAAAAATAATTCCAAATTACATTCTAATTGCTATATAAATTCATTTTTATGAAAAAAGAAAAGTATGTTATGCATAGTATTTCACTGTTAATGTGGTTAGCTACAGAGCAACACTGAATATAAATTTCCTTAATCTTTGATAAGGAGTCTTGATATTAGTCAACAGTGATAATGAATCTATTCAGCATCAGTATTTCCCAAAGTAAAAGAATAGTGATAAATACATGCTATATAAATTGCAGGAGGCATAAAAGTGCTTTAAGATCAAATAGGGAAAAAAAAACAAAACAGAGTGATCTCATCAAGATGGCTGACTACAGATGCCTAGCATTCATCTCTCCCAGAAGAAAGGACCAAGTTAATGAATAAACAGCTAAGATTGGACTGGAGTGTCGAAGGGAAAGGGGAGTGGAGATGCACCAGTAGTGACTGGAAATTCAGGAGGGCAGCACAGAGGCACCCAGAATCTGCAGACCCATCTCCCCAACCCTGATCTAATTTGCTGAGTCAGGAGGGACTTCCTATTGCCAGGAAAAGGTAAGCAGAAGAACCCCACAAGCCCCATTGCCTATGTAAACATCTACAGTCTCATACAACAGGAGAACTTCACAGTCCACACAAACCCTGAAACCAGTTTAGAGAATTGCTGGGAATTCATTACCCTGGATTAGGAGCACAAGGTGTGTACTCTCTCCCTCCACCTCCCACCTCCCATTCCCTGCCATTAGCCAAGCTGCCACAGCATGTTGCCATCTCAAGATCAGAGCCACCTCTGGAATATGCATTGTTCTGGGGGCCAACACAGGGCACCATCTTCATTATGACAAGCCGACAATAGTGACTGAATGCTACAACCCCAGCTATGTGGACTCTGGGCCTAGGATCAGCTGTGATTCTGGTCCTGTACAGTACAGAAACCAGTATTTGGTACCACACTTCTAGCCAGATAAATAATCTTACAGTCCTGCCTTGGGCAAACCCACCCTTGAACTAGCCAAATGCTGCACTCCTTTCCCAATGCAGGAGAGAACTCCGAGGTTCTGAGCAGCTAATACACCCCCAGACTAGTGGAGCAGCTATGTTCCTGCATTCAGGGTCTGAGAAACAGCCCCACAGCAACCCCTGCTACTCCAGACATGTCTCTGGCTTGCTTAACAGCCCTGTGCCTGCAGTCAGCGTTTGAGAAACAGTCCCAAAGGCTTCCCCTAGTGGGCACACCCATGGGCCAGGAAAACAGCAAAGAGTATATGTCTTGGGCCTTGAGCTTCAGGTGTCCACCCCTAGTGGACATGCTGAGTAGCCGTGTAGCCACGTCAGGGGCCTAAGAAATAACCCTGTGCCTGCACTTAGCAGACACAATCAGAGGCCAGCCAAACAGCCTTTCTCTCACATTCTAGGCCTGACTTACAGCCTTGCAGATTGCCCTTAGAAGACACACAGCCAGGCTGGCTGAACAGCTGAGGGCCTGCGTTCCGAGTACGTGTTTACCGCGCCTGTGTTCTGGCACTGTAGGCAACCCACAGCAAACATGCACCCAGACCAGCCAAGAGAGCATGTGATTGTATTCTGAGCTTGAAAAACATCCCCATACATAAGCTGACTACCAGCAGACACACTCCCGGGCCAGCTGAGCCTGCTTGTGCTCATATCTCAGGCCTGAGAAGTAGCCCTGTGGGTCACTTGGGCAAATATGCCCCCAAACTAGCTAGGAAACTGCTTCTATGTCATGGGCCTGCAAAACAGACCCACAGGCTGCCCTTGGAAGACATGCTTCCAGGCTGGCAGAAAAACTGCATGCCCATGCTCCTAGCCAGAGTAACATCCCTGTAGCCCCAAACCCAGTGAGCCAGACACCAAGTTGTTGGACTCACTGTGTGCACACATATGCCCCTGACCTGAAAAATAGCCCGGTGAGCCAACTTTCAGCAAAGCCTCGCCATTATCACCACAAACTCTCTTAGCATAGGCTACTGAGCAACTTGCAAATGCCTTTAGCATGGGTTAGAGCTGTAGAAACGACATGGAGACAACACAAATGTGTCTACCTAGAATGAAGGCCCACACACCCTACCAAACTGACAGCCCAAGACCCATTCGTATGAACATATCTTTCCATATGAAACTAACACCATAAAATTAAACTAGATTACTTTTCTACCAAATGCATGGAAATTAATGTAGGAACACATCAAACATAAAAAACAAAGGAAACATGACATCTCCAAAAAAAACTGATTATCTAGTAAACAGATACCAATCATAAGGAAATATATGAAATGCCAGAAAAAGAATTCAAAATAATAAATCTTAAGGAAACTGTGAGATATAAGAGAATACAGATAAACAATTCAAGAACATCAGGAAGACAACTCATGATTTGAATGAGAAATTAAATAAAGAGATAGATATCATTAAAAAAAGAACCAAACAGAAGTACTAAAGCTGAATAATTCAATTAATTTAAAAAAATACTATTGAGAACTTTAACAACAGGCTAGACCACCAAGCAGAAGAAACAAATTTCTGACCTTGAAAACAGATCTTTTTAAATGAACCAGGAAAAAAAAATAAATAAAAAAGAATGATGAAGAAAGCCTACAGGATTTATGGGAGATCATTAAGTGAACAAATATGTTATTATAAGCATTCAAGAAAAAAGGTGAGAAAATCATATTTAATGAAATGATAGCAGAAAACATCTTGTTTTGTTAGAGGGATGGACATCCAGATCCAGGAAGGTCAAAGAACTTCAGATTGATTCAGCCCAAACAGGTCTACTCCAAGGCGCATTATAGTCAAGTTGAAGAAAATCAAGGACAAATAATTCTAAAAGCTGGAAAAGAAAAACATTAAGTAACATATAAGGGAATTTCCACTAGATTAACAGCATAGTTTTCAGCAGAAACCTTAGAGGCAAGGAGAGAATGAGGCGATATATCCAAAGTACTAAAATTAAAAAAAAAAAAACAAAAAACTGTCAGCTACAAATACTATATTCAGCAAAACCATCTTTCAAAAATGGAGGACGAATGAAATGTTTCTCAGACAAGCAAAACTAAGGGAACTCATTACTACTAGCCAGTCTTACAAGAAATGTTCAAGAGAATTGTAGCTCTAGAAGTAAAAAGGTGGTAAATACCATCATGGAAACATACAAAACTCAAATTCACTGATACACACAGGAGAAAGAGAAAAGAATAAAACCATATCACTATAGAAAACCAACCAACCACAAATAATAAAAGAAAAAAGGAACAAAGGGTATATAAAACAACAAGAAATCAATCAAATGATAGGTGTACGTCCTCACCTATCAATAATAACTATGAATGTAAATAAACTAAATCCCCATTTAAAAGATATAAATTGGTTGAATAGATTTTTAAAATCCTCTCTCTATATATATATATACATGTATGTATACATATATACATATATGTTGCCTACAAGAACCTCATCTCACCTTTAAAGACACATATAGGGTGAAAGTTATAAAAAAAGATGTTCTGTGCAAACAGAAACCAAAAGCTAACAGTAGTTATAGTTAGATCAGACAAAACAGAAAAACAAAGAAACATCAGATTTAAACTTCACCATAGAACAAATGGATCTAATTTACAAAACATTTCATTCAACAGTTGGAGAATACACATTCTGCACATCAGCACATGGAACATTCTCCAGGATTGACATGTTAGGACACCAAACAAGTTTAAATATTTTTTAATCAAAATCATATCAAGTATCCCATTGATCACAATAGAATAAAATGATAACAAGAGGAACATTTGAAATAATACAAATTAATGGAAATTAAACAACATGTTCTCTAATAATGGGTGTAGGAAAAAGTTAAGAATGAAATTTAAAAATCTCTTGAAACAAATGAAAATGGAAACACAATGTACCAAAACCTATGGAATGCAGCAAAAGTAGTATTAAGAGGCAAGTATATATCAATAAATGTCTACATCAAAAAAAACTAGAAAAATTGTAAATAAACAATCTAACAATGAATGTCTAGAAAAGAACAAACTAAATCCAAAATTAGTAGCAAGGAAGAATAAAGATCAAGCAGAAGTAAACAAAATTGATACTAAAAAAATTTTTAAAAATCCACAAAACAAAAAGTTGGGTTTCTGAGAAGATGAAATTGACAAGCCATTAGCTAGACTGAAAAAAAAAAAAAAAAAAAAAGAGAGTAGACCTAAATAAAATCAGAAATAAAATCAAAGTCACAATGGAGATCACAGGAATACAAAACATTATTAGAGACCACCATGAACAACTACACTCCAATACATTTTAAAATCCAGAAAATTTCCTAAAAAAAAAAAAAAAAAAAATCCAGGACCAGATGTCTTTACCACTGAATTCTACCATATCTTTAGAGTTAACACCAATTCTTTTCAAGCTATTCCAAAAAAATGAAGCAGAAGGTATTCCTCCCAAATTATTTGTTGAGGTCAGCATAACCATAATATGAAAAGCAGACAAGGATATAAAAATAGCTAAACAGAAAACTGCAAGCCAATAGCCTGATGAACAGAGACACAAAAGTCTTAAACAAAATACTAACAAACCAAATCCAACAACACATCAAAAAGATAACACACCATGATTAAATGGGAGTTATCTCAGAAATGCAAGGATGGATTAACATGCAAATCAATAAATGTGATACATCACATTTGTAGAATGAAGGACAAAAGCCATTTATCAATACATACATTTGACACTAACATCCTTTAATGATTTAAACTCTAAATTAATTAGGTATAAAAGGAACATATCTCAGCATAATGGAGGTCATATATGACAAACCCAAAACATCTTACTGATCAGTGAAAAGCTGGTATCTTTTTCCCTAAGAACGAGAAAAGACAACTCTCACCTGTCTTATTACACATAGTATTCGAAGTCCTACCCAGAACAATTAGGCAAGAGAAAGAAAAGGAATACAAATTGGAAAGAAAGAAGTCAAATTATCTGTACCTAGATGACATGATTTTGTACATAGAAAAATCTAGAGAGTCTACCAAAAATCTCAGACTTGATAAATAAATTCAGCAAGGTTGCAGAATATAAAAATCAATATGAAAATTAAGTCACATTTCAATACAGGAAAAATGAACTAGCTGAAAAAGTAATCAAGAAAACTATCTCATTTACAATAGCTACAAGAAACTTATAAAATACCTAGGAATAAATTTAACCAAAGAGGTAAAAAAAAAAAAAAAAAAACTCCACAATGAAAACTACAAAACATTGATAAAAATAATTGAAGAAGATACAAATAAAAAGACACCCCATGCTCATGGATTAGAAGAATATTGTTAGAATCACAAAACTATCCAAAGCAATCTGATTCGATTAAATCTCTATCAAAATGTCAAGGATATTCTTCAAATAAATAGAAAAAAAATCATAAGATGTAAATGGAAGCACAAAATACTTCAAGTAGCCAAAGCCATCCTGAGACAAAACAGCAAAACTGAAGGCGTGACGCTACCAGACTTCAAAATACACTACAAAGCTGTAGTAACTGTAAAACAGCATAACACTGGCATAAAAACAGAAAGAGACCAATAGAACCAATAGAGAATGCAGAAATTAATCCACGTATCTATAGCCATCTGATTTTTGGCATGGGTATCGAGAATATTCACTGTTGAAAAGGTAGTATCTTTAATAAATGGTGCTAGGAGAACTGGATAGCCACCTGCAGAAGAATTAGACCCCTGCCTCCAACCCTATACAAACATCAATTCAAAATTAATCAATACCTAAATATACAGTACAGTCCTCAGAAAAATGGCATATAGTTACAGATCAATGAATGCCATTATTGTTTTTTATTCTAATTTTAATTAATCATACTAATCTTGATGTTGAGGAGATAGAATAACATCTGGCAGCCTTTTATTTGCTAATGTTAAACAACTAAAAATAGCTTTAAAAAAGTTAAAATATCCAAATGAATGACAATATTTGATTTATATAAAATGAATAAGTCATATTATTTAAATTTTAGGGTGTTTTTGCTCCTAATTTTTTGTTACTCTACTTTTCATACTGATTTAGCACCTCTTAAAAACATACCCTCTCTTCCTTCTAACTAGTTTCAGGACCCTATTACCTTGACCTCCAGTCATCTCTCTGAGTCAATTCCATTGAGCTGGGTGAATTGGTGGCTTGGCCCAAACTTCACCTCAACCCAGTCTCTCTTTGGGCAGGAATCAAAGTCCCCCCACAGGAAGGAATGTATCTTTCAACTCATGTGCCATTTTTGCAGAAGCTTTTCAGACACCTCCCTTACCAGTGAACTCAGTTTCCCACCCTTTAGATGGCTGTGGAGTCCTGCATGTGCCGCATTCGGATAATTATTCAAATGAAGTACACTTAAGAGCTTGCATTGTCTAAAGGCCCAATGATTCATGTAACTCCCCTATCAGCACAAATGAGAAGTTCCTGCCTGAATGCAGCAGATGGAAATGGAAATTACAGACTTTGGTAAGGCAGACTATATTGCAGCTTAATGATTTGCATTTTAAAAGTTGGGAGTTCTCATAAATACTAAAGAGAAAGAACAACGGGCTATATTAGGTAGTTTCAGGTGCTTGTATGACCTGGTGCTAACTATTTAACCTGCCTGAGTGAGCCTCAGTCTTCGTTACTGCAGCATTTGTAAGATATCAATGCCTGTTTGAATTCATGTCTTACTAAGCTGCTGCCAGGATTGAGTGACATGTGGATATAATAGGACTTCAGGAATTACAGTATTTCATAAATGCAGTAATAATCTGTTACATTTGTAACACCTATACGCTTTTCTGTTTCTATCTTCATATACACCTTGAAGTTTTTTTTCATCATAATCAAAGATCTTTTCTTGAGGTTACAATAAACGGGATTTAACCCATAAGCAGCAATGTTAGCAATTTTCAAATTTCTTAGACATGTTTTAAGTTTTACATTTAAATCAGTGACAAAATTGTTGTCAGTTTTGGTTTGTGTCTTCCAAAACAGTGTCTCAGGCACTTGCTCTTTGATGAGACACTGTGCAAACGTTGAAGGATATTAGAAAACAGAACAGTTTGTTTACCTCAGCTTTTTGTGGTCTGGATAATTTGCACACTGCTTTTCAATAAGCTGATTTGTCTTCTTGTTTACATAGGCTGTGCTATAGCCATTTAAAGTTCAAAATTACTGCTAAAAGGTAATTGATCCTCTACTTCAATATCCCTGCTGTTTCATGAGCTCTCTAACAATTCGAAGGAATCTATTTCTCACTGATGTTGAAAAACATAATAAGGTCACAGCAGGGAGGCTTTAGCTTCATTAAAGAACATTATTATAAAAATAAAATGATGGAGGGCAAATTGTTTTTGTCCTTGTGGTACTGTTTCTGCAGATCCACATTAATCTGAACGTTTAAAGCAACAATAAATTTGTTACGTCCTCTTTATCATTCACTTCACCATGGTAGCCCCTAGTGGTAGAAGGAGATGCCAATTGCTCACTGCTCAGGTTCCAGGGGATTTCTTCCTCAGTTGAATAAGAAGGAGTTAAGCCTCTTTAGAAAGGAGGGCTATAGCCTGTCGATAACTAAATTTATTCCTGCTTTTAACATATCAGAATTCTGATGTCCAGAAAATGTAGATGCCAGCATTATTTAAAAACTGAGTAGAGAAGTGAATAGAAATTTTGACCCACTCCGGCTTCCATCTATCATGGGAGCCTATAACGCAGGATGAACGAAGAAGGATTTAAGATAGAAGATCAGTGATTGCTCTATTAATCTAGTTTAACTGATACTAAAATCTGACAGAGCGAATTACAAGTTGCAGGCACTAAGGCTTATCAATTCATTACTACTTTCAAGGCTCTACCTTGCTTTCTTTTTGCCTTTAGCTCCTGGCAAAGGACAGCCTTTTACAGTTCAATTTCTCAGTTTATTTTTGACTGCTTTTAATTAAATTTGATGGCCTGCTTCTGCACCACTGAAGTTATTGGAGTTGCAAAGCACTTTGCTGTTATAATGATAGCTCCCTTGATGTCTGTTCATTATTAACTGCTTTTCAAAAGTGCTGCTTTCAACTCTCATTTTATAAATATTTAAATAATTGTGAATTTCTATAACATAAATGTCTGTGCACATAAGATAGGGTTTCTGTTTGCCTGTTTAATACATAGTAAAATAGAAATCTCTTTTTGTAAGGTTATATAATATTAATTAAGAATGTGTCCTTAATTCATTCCTAACATAAATTCTCACATGAATAGCAGTATCTCAAAATAATAATGATTTAAGAGCTATGACACTCACACATATAATTAATTCTAGTAAAATATCTTAGAATGATTTTTTTAATATATAGATTAAGAAAGTCCTGATTCTTTCTGGTCTTAAGATGAAATAGAGTATATTCAAGAGAACTTACAAATTACATAATAGTTTTACTGCTCAGGGGAAAAAAATGGCAGAGGATAAAATTAAAAGCCCTGATTTTTTTTTTTTTAAACAAAGACTGATGAATTAACAGTAGGTATCAATCTCTTTTCCTTCTCCAAGCTTCAGACAAATTATGGGAAAATAATTTTTAAAAAGCCAATTTATAGAAGTAAAAAAAAAAAAACTAAAGATAGTAGAAAAGACAATAGTGTAATTGAGAGCAGCTGATATTATGTGTCCCACACTGTTCTAATTCATTTAGCAACCATAACATTCCTATCATTACCTCCATTTTATAAATGAGGAAATGGTGAATCATTAAGCAATTTGCTGATTATCACATATTCAGTAAGTGGCAAAGCTAGTATTCAAGTCCAAGCAGTGTCGTTGTAAAGTCATACACTTAATCCCTGTGCCATAATTCAATAAATTGTGGAGGATGGGAAGCAGGTGGAGAAATGATTCATATAGCAGGGCTGAGAAAGTACTGCCTATATGCCCACAGTGTGGAGCCCCCACAAGAAGTTAGCAAATCACTCAGAGAAGCTGTGAGCAACTCACCACTTGGAAAAACTGAGTGCTTTAGAAGGCACGAATGAACTGCAGTTCTGAACAGAGAAAAATTCATCAAGTTCTAAGGTGGTTGCTCTCTCTTCCTCTACAGTGGGCAATTACCTCTTCATTCCCATCACCTCCCTTTCTCTCAATCCCTTGAATCCGAAGTATACTATTCTGTGAATAAATTAAACCTGTTAAATGTTAGATTTTGATCAGAGCTATTATTGGAAGTTCACATAATCAAGGGACCTGTAACCTTCTTTCCCTTTTTGGTTTCTAGAACACCAATTATATTACCCAAGCCCCCATTCTAAAATTCCCTTGTGAAATATGAATGAAGAGCCACAGATCATCAGCAATGGAAGCAAAATTTCAGCATGAGTAGTTGAGACCTACAGTAACAACTAAAAAGGACTGAAATAGAGATAATGTCTATAATCAAAGAACAGGGAAATATTACACATAACCAATGTTGGAGTGAGAAAACAGTATGTGTTGTACTAAATCAAAAAATGAATGCTATAAAAAATAACAAAAAAGTTATTGGAAAAGTATGAAAAATAAAATTTAAAAAACCAGTAGAACATAAGACAAACCAAAAACAAGAACATTCTATTAAAAACAGGGGGAATTTTATCTTTAAAAAATGGTATTGTCGTGAAAGGCAAGAAAAGCTGGAGAGGTTTTCCAGATTGAAGGGGACTGAAGAGATATGACAACTAATTGCAATACATGATTCTAGGTTGGACTCCATGCTGGAGGAAAATCATGCTATAAAGAATTGGCTCAATTGATGTAATATACTGCTAGTATTCTAATTCTATCAAAGTATTTTATCAATGTCACATTTACTGAATCTTACTACCATACTGTAGGTAAGTAAGACTATCTTTATCTTAGAAAACACACATTGAAATATTTACTGGTGAAAGACCATGTAACGTAAAATGACTAAGGAAAAAAAAAGGACTGTGTGTGTGGGGGGTGTGTGTGTGTGTGTGTGTGTGTGTATGTACAGAAAAAGGAAGCAAATAAGACAAATGTTAACTCTACAGATAATCTGGGTAAAAGATAGTGAGGTGTTGTATATTTTTACACCCTTTCTGTTAGTTTTTTTTTTCAAATAAAATATTGTAATGAATAGAAGAGTGGAAGATAAAAATCAAGAAAATCTATCAAAAGTTAAAAGAAAGACACAAAGAGATGGAAAACGACAAAAGACAGGAAGAGGAGAGCAATGCAGAAGGTCCAATGGCTGATTAATCATTAAAAAAATATTTGTGACAGTTGCAGTTGATAAGACTAAATTATCAATTAAACTATAGAAGAAAATTTCTGAGCACACACAAAAAAATCGATCTCCAAACGAAATCAGTTCCACACAAAGGTATATCAAGAATTTCAGAAATGCTTAAACGTTTCCTACAAAGAAAAAGCATACAACAAAACAATTTAAAAAGTAAAACAAGTCATCTACAAACAAAAAGGGAATCAGGCTGGCATCAAAGTGATCTTTTCATAATTGTGAGCAAGAATAATCTTCAACTTAAAATCTCAAGAAAATGCTCAATCAGATGGAAGGGTGGAGGAGGTAAGCTCATTGAAGAGAAGTACACATCTAAAATGTATACTTCTCATGGGCCGTATTTTTTAGAAAGATACTAGAAGTTGTACTTCTGCAAATATGAGGTATTGAAATCAAGGAGAATGAAGTGCGATCTAGGAACAAGAAGTCCAACAGAGAAAAACAAAGACAGGGAGTCTTAGAGAGCAACCAGTGAGAGGGGAGCAGAAGGATGAAAGGCTAGAGGAGTGAAATCTAAACATATGAAGGATGGAATTAAAATATTTTCATTATTTTGTATATTTGAAATTTGAAATCATCACTAACAACTTTATAAACTTCAGGAAAAATAAATATATTGTGCTAAAAATGTAAACCTAGAGAATAATATTTATGTAGTCATAATCATGTAAATAGGAAATAATGATTTCACCAGAAACAACACATTGAGAGAATAGTGGGAAAAGAGTCCTGTAATTGGTGCACCTGTCCTAATTCCTATGTAGGCATCATAATAGAAGTTATTAGGTAATGTTTAAAGTTGATAAATCAAGATAATAATACAAGCATATTAAATTAAAAACAATTAAGGTAGTTACCAAAAGGACCAGATACACGAGCTAAACATTGCTTTCTCTATTGAACAGGACTATAGCATAGAGAAGTGTCAAACAAGCTGCCATTATTCTGTTGCTGTTATTATAAGCCTCTTAATATAATACTATTTGATTACTAGATCATGAGCTCCTATTTATAAAAATAAAAGCAAATTTTAAAGTTATAACAACTCATGTTGCTACAAAAGCCCTAAAGTCATTTCAACAATACAGCACACTGATGACACTTTCCTTGCCCGAAACACTTTCCTTGCCTTTCCAGTACGCTTTCACTTTCCTTTCCTTGTTTAGAAACTTTTTAAAAGAAACATGGTCCTGTGTTACATGTAACATGCTTTTGAAATAAAAACCATCTCCTATCACAAGGAGTTTTTAAAAGAGCCTAGATGTTCTTATTGTCCTTCGTATCTCTAAAAATAATTGCTTTAAAAATTAGCTTATTCCCTTTGACAGATACTTGAAAGCTAAAGTTTTGTGGGATTCAGTACAAGGATAGGCATACCACATATCTCTACTTTTTATGAAATTTGTTGCTAGTAATGTTAGAATATGTTTGAATGAAGCACCTTCTGTCCTTGCTTTCAACTCCTAGCTAGAGTGCATGAAATACTAATCATCTCTTGTGTTAGTAATAGAATTTGTAAATTTCCACAAATAAAATATGTTTACTATAATTTCTAAATAGTCAATACCGAGTAGCAATACCTTTGACTTTAGCAGCTGGTATATAATTGTCTATATTACAGTGTTTATATTATAACTAGTATATATTACAGATAGTGTTATTCAACTATTATAGTAGGTTGTAGCAGTACAAAATTAAATTATCACAAATCTACAATTTGCTCACAAATTTTTAGTGGCAATGATCACTTATACTACTGTAGAGAGGCAGTAGTTGCCCATGTGCTGCCTAAAATGTGAGAAAGTTCTTATTACAGGGTAGGATAAAATTGTTGCCTTACTAAACAGAAATTCACATATTTCCCTCTCCAGAAAAACAAAAATGTGTATATTTAATATAGTCAAAGTTGAGTTTTTAAGGTAATATGTCATCTCTAACAGGAGGGTGACTGCTGAATGTTTGGTATTTAAGGTCTTACATACAGGACCTTGAAGGAGGTTCTATATTATATAAATAATCTTTGAAGAGTGATTTATGGTTTTGGATAACTAAAAGAATATGTGCTTCACTTCACATTAGTTTTTTTAAAGCATGTTTTTATTATTATAACAGTAATATTAAATATAGTGGTCTTTTTTCAGTACTTCTCATTTTTTTCAGCATTCAGATGACAAAATTTTTTAAAAAAAACTCTTCTACCTTACCTACCTGCATAACTAAACTGAGATTATTCCTTCTCTCACTCATTATGCTAACTTCTAATGTCGTGTCTCAAAAAATTTTCTTCTATGCACCTTTTTTCCTTTTATCTTTGTTTCATTGTAATGCTAGATAGATGATGACTTGTGAGAAAGAATCTCAAATCTATATACTAATCTCCCTTTGTTTGTTTGTTTGTTTTGAGTTAGGGTCTGGCTTTATCACCCAGGCTAGAGTACAGTGTCATGGTCATGGCTTACTGTAGCTTTGAACTCCTGGGCTAAAGAGATCCTCCCACCTCAGCCTCCTAAGTAGCTGGGAGTACAGATGTACAGCACCATGCCTAGAAAATTTTTTTTAAGTTTTTGTAGAAATGGGGTCTTTCTATGTTGCCCAGGCTGGTCTAGACTCCCAGGCTCAAGCGATCCTCCTGCTTCATCCTCCTAAAGTGCTGGGATTACAGGCATCAGCCACTGCACCTGGCCAACTTCTCTTATACGTTCCAGGCTTGTACTTCTAAATTCTACCTATCTTATACTTACCTAATATTTTCCTAAGTCAAGCCCTTGAAAACTCAGTATGAGCAAAAGAAACATTAATATTTTTTGAGAATAACTGTATGGTAGTGTTAATCATCTCAGAAGAATTGCTGGGAAACAGTACAATAAAACAGGAAAAATAGTGGATATTAAGACAGAAAGGGATCATCATCATACAAATTTTTAGTTGTATTTGCCCAAATTGTGTTGAAGGGGATAAAGCCAGGGAATATGGAAAGAAAAAAGGAAGATATCAAGGAGGCTATGAAAGAGGACTCAGATCTTGGAACGATGTATTTTTTTCAGTAAATACATGATGAATGCATACAACAGAGAAAAAGAGCAGAAAAGAGAAAGAAAAAACCAAACTCTATGATTTAAAATTTCACTGAATGTGAAGATAATTGTATCATTAAAATAACTGAGAAAGGGTAGAAATAAAAATCATAAGCTTCAAATATATATGACTTATTGTTGACAAAAATGATAGTTGAAAGCTAAAGCCAAAATTTCTAACTAGGGTTAATGTGAAGATTTCAAGAGAAAATTTAATAAAGAACTACTTATGCAAGTGTTTTGAGAAATCAAAGGTATAGTTTACCCATGAGCATTTGTTTAGAGAGATAAAAGTCACTGAAATAAAATTTGTATTTTAAGCTGTACATTTTCAGTGTTATATCATAAATTGGAATTGTATTTATTACAAATGGAAAAAGCTTTCCTGTAGCACACCAAGATTAGTTTTAATAGGTTCAAGAATTGTTGATTTGTAACCTTAAGACTATTAGTGTTGTGGAAAATTAAATATAATTAGGTATTGCAGGAAAAAGTGTTCATTGAAGTTTATATTTTATATGCCTTAGGAGATTAATTTTGCTTATTAGTTTTGTGATATTTAAGCACCGCTATAAACATCACAGATTTTGTAATAACCATTATATACTTAACCAGTATAAAATATTGAGTATTTCTATATTAGAATATTTAAAAGCATTTCTACTTGTGATTTCACTGGGGGTACAACACAATGTAAACTATACCCACTGCTGGAGGAGGAGCATGAAATAAAGAACTCTTCGGGCGAACACTTAAAACCCACCTAAATCAATCTCTGTGTTTTCTTTTCAGTATTACCTTCCATTATTACTACCCTTTATTATGAAAGCATTGCTAGCTGTCCTTTCCTAAGTGCCCTCTACATTCAAATTCACCATTTCTGTATGTACTATTCCCTACATCTGCAATGCCATTCCCAGCCCACACATCTGCCCTATTGGATTTATATCAAATTCAGCTTTCCTCAAGAAGCCTTCTCAGTTGCTTTAACAAAAATTACTGGTCTGTCTTCTGGAAAACAATTGGTGTCTGATCTCTCCTTATCTTTTAGCACCTAACACTAATAGTATAGTTATGTAAAGGAATGCGTGTGTGTACATAATAACATACTATTTAGTATCTAAATACACCGTGCATCTCCTATGATGGATAAATTACAAGTATATTATTAATATCTATCTATTTTTCCCATACATCTAATGCAGTGCAATGTTCATAGATTCTTAATATTGTTTGAAATATTGCCTCTTTCTTTAGTCATTGAGAGCCATCTTTTTCAGAGTCAATTTCATTCTTCTAGCCCTAGCTTATTTTCATGTCATTTGCATTTTCTTGAGATATGTGAATAAAGGACACGGGAAGAAAATGCAGTTGAGAGGTTGGCGAGTAGAAAGCTAATTCACTCAGATTTTACTACATATTGTTTGGAAGCCTAAGTTGTTTGGGTACAACTAACATAAAACTTGTTTTTATGTATTATAGGCATATATTCTTAAATGACTAATGAACTCTGCTTCATGTGAACAACGTTTCATCTTCTGATCATTTTCAATATTTTATTACACTTTGAAAAGTATTGTAGTGCTCCAGAAAATATAATGTCAACCGTTAAAATTCAACTTTACTACAGTTGTTGGCAATATTAAATAACTTTTGTTGCTGCATGATGTTAGCTGCAGCTTAAATTTCAGATCATGAAGTGTTATTAATATTACATGGTTAGAATTAATTTCCAGATCAATGAATCAATGCTATCTTAATATTCTTTGCCTTTAAATTTCATACCACATTATTTTGTGAGTGGATTTCATAAAAGGAAGATGCTTTATGTTGCCAAGCTCATTATCTTGAGTTTTTGTCCAGAACTGAATTCCCTTTGTTATCAAAGGACAGAGAGAGCACCTTAAAAACTATTGAACAATGCTGATTTGATGGGCAGGCAATTTACATTAAACTTAAAAGGAGGGAATTTTCTTTGCAAATATGTAAAGATCACTTACACAAAGTAAAGAGATATTTCACTATGGGAACAACAACAAAGACAGACTCACAATGCCATAAAGTGGAAAAAATGATTAACATGGAAAAATCCATTACTACTGTTATTAGAATATTAACTAATCTGAATATTTTATTTGTAAACTCGACTAGTGATACCTGACCTTGTATTTGGTGAAAGAAAATAAAGAACAAACTTAATTTCACACCTAATACAGTAGCAGTCATCTCTCTCTCTATACACACACACACACACACACACACACACACAATTTGCATTTTGGAAGAAAACTTAATTTTTTGAAGCCAGTTATTTTCTTTAAACTTGATGCTTTGGTAAGCTATTATTTCACTTGGTAATATCAATTAGTTTTCACACTTATAAAGTACTTAAACATTTATAAAATATTTGTAAAAGGCTTTCACAAATACAGTAGTTGATTTATAAAATAGAGACTATTTAGAACAAATAAATGATTTAAGTCTCAGAGGTTCGAAGAGACTTATATGCTCTGGTCTGTATAACTCATACATGGCAGAGTAGATAATTGAGCCTAAGCAATAGATACCATATCTGTCCGCTATACCTATTTTACTATGTCACTAACTCTGTGATCCTTCTAGTCTCCACTTAGTGTTTGTTAGCTCCCACATTTAGGATGTGCATACTGGGGGAGAAGAACACAAGAAAGAATGATGAAGGATTATCAAGAGTAAATTAACAATTAAAATGCTTATATTCACAAACTTGCCCCTTTGGACCAGTAAAGTTAACTTGAGTCTACTCAGTCAACCTGGGCAGCCCTTCCTCTATACCCCTTGCTATCAAGGAGTATTTTGCTTTTTGAAACTTGATAATGGGGAGGGCCAGAAGAGAAAACACTTGTTTTTTGAGACAGAGTCTCACTACTCTGTCACCAGGCTGAAGTGCAGTGGCGTGATCTTGTCTCACTGCAACCTCTGCCTCCTGGGTTCAAACGATTCTTCTGCCTCAGCCTCCCATGCAGCTGGGACTACAGGCATGTGCCACCATGCCCAGCTAACTTTTATATTTTTAGTAGAGACAGGGTTTCACCATGTTGGCCAGGATAGTCTCAATCTCTTGACCTCGTGATCTGCCCACCTCAGCCTCACAAAGTGCTGAGATTACAGGCTCAAGCCACAGCGCCTGGCCAAGAAAACACTTTTAAAGAGGTTTCTGAAAGAGACAGGGCCTGGATAAGGTTGATTTAATAATGGAGGATGTCCCTAGGAAGTTTAAATTTAAAAAGTTACATAGAGCTATGTGATGAATGTGGTCTACTTGTACTACATCATGTTCTACAAAGAGAATATGAGTTATTTTGAAATTACAGCTGGTCTGTTTTCTTTTGCCATAGTACTGCTCTGATTTTGGATGACATGGGTCACAATATAATGAGGACACCAGAGATAATGGACAGTACTCATACTCAAGGTTATACTCATTTACCACCTAGTTCAGGAGTCAGATACTCAGTCTGTAGGAAACAAAACAAAACAAAACACCAGAGCATAAGAAGTACTATGAGATAAAGCAGAGCTATAGGAATACACTACTTAGGGCTGGGAGCTCCAGGAGTATCTACCTGAAGAAGTTACACAAATGAGCGCTCAAGGGAGGAAGGAAAAACCAGACATCAGCACTGGAAACAGTTTAGGAGACCTGCAGTTCATTTGGTATGTTGATCTAGTACACAATTAGAGTGTGCCTTTGGTTAGAGTCACAGAATTGGGAATATCGAAGCCATGGACATAAGTGAGATCATTCAAATAGAACACACACAGAGAATAAAAAGGGCAAGAATGGACCTGGAAACCACAGTCTATGGGGAAGACAAGAACAGAGAAGTCTGAGAAAGAGACTGTTAACAATATTTCTACAGAGTTTATTTTTAAAATGACATTTTCACATAAAAACAATTTCTTGTATGTTTGAGTTTTCAAATGTAAACAAATGTACAACTCATTCATGTGTCACTCAAACTGGATAAAGAACTGCAGAAAAAGCATTGAAACAGAAGTAACTTTGAATATTTGATAAAGAAAAATCTTATTGTGATTATATAATGTAATTTTTATTAAAAATGCAGTATTTTAAAGTTTAAGTATATGATGAAAGATAGCATTGAGTATATCAGTATGGCTATTCTGCTTACACTTGACACAAATATAATATTTAAATTTATGAAATATGTATTATTTATACTTTTCCACAAAATGAAGCAGAACAATATAAGTGAGCATAATATGTATGTTTATCCATGTAAATAGGTCAATTTTGATTATTATAAACACTATTAAAAGCACATTTCTGTATGGTTACCCTTGAAGTCCCTACTCAAATTTCTTTCCTTTTAAAGGACTTTACGCATTTACTAGATAGGAATTACTACCATGACTCTCCCGAATTCATAATTTTCCTTAGTATAAAATAAAAATATATTTAAATATGCTTTTAACACAAATAGAATTTTACTCCAATTCTGTATTATAACTTGATTTTAATCCCTCTAGAAAATATGGTGACTATTTTTTCACAACCTCATTATTCTTCTATCCTATTTTTATGAAACAATTTAATTGACAATTTTCAAAATTAGAAGTTACTTTTTTCCTATAGAAAAAAATTGATTGTAACAACAAGTTAAAAATAAAAAAAAGAATTAAAAATTACTGGGGAGGAGCCAAGATGGCCGAATAGGAACAGCTCCGGTCTACAGCTCCCAGCGTGAGCGACGCAGAAGACAGGTGATTTCTGCATTTCCATCTGAGGTACAGGGTTCATCTCACTAGGGAGTGCCAGACAGTGGGCGCAGGTCAGTGGGTGCGTGCACCGTGCGTGAGCCGAAGCAGGGCGAGGCATTGCCTCACTCCAGAAGTGCAAGGTGTCAGGGAGTTCCCTTTCCTAGTCAAAGAAAGGGGTGACAGATGGCACCTGGAAAATCGGGTCGCTCCCACCCGAATACTGCGCTTTTCCGACGGGCTTAAAAAACAGTGCACCAGGAGATTATATCCCGCACGTGGCTCGGAGGGTCCTATGCCCACGGAGTCTCGCTGATTGCTAGCACAGCAGTCTGAGATCAAACTGCAAGACGGCAACGAGGCTGGGGGAGGGGCGCCCACCATTGCCCAGGCGTGCTTAGGTAAACAAAGCAGCTGGGAAGCTCGAACTGGGTGGAGTCCACCACAGCTCAAGGAGGCCTGCCTACCTCTGTAGGCTCCACCTCTGGGGGCAGGGCACAGACAAACAAAAAGACAGCAGTAACCTCTGCAGACTTAAATGTCCCTGTCTGACAGCTTTGAAGAGAGCAGTGGTTCTCCCAGCACGCAGCTGGAGATCTGAGAACGGGCAGACTGCCTCCTCAAGTGGGTCCCTGACCCCTGACCCCCGAGCAGCCTAACTGGGAGGCACCCCCCAGCAGGGGCACACTGACACCTCACACAGCAGAGTACTCCAACAGACCTGCAGCTGAGGGTCCTGTCTGTTAGAAGGAAAACTAACAAACAGAAAGGACATCCACACCAAAAACCCATCTGTACATCACCATCATCAAAGACCAAAAGTAGATAAAACCACAAAGATGGGGAAAAAACAGAACAGAAAAACTGGAAACTCTAAAATGCAGAGTGCCTCTCCTCCTCCAAAGGAACGCAGTTCCTCACCAGCAAAAGAACAAAGCTGGATGGAGAATAACTTTGACGAGCTGAGAGAAGAAGGCTTCAGACGATCAAATTACTCTGAGCTACGGGAGGACATTCAAACCAAAGGCAAAGAAGTTGAAAACTTTGAAAAAAATTTAGAAGAATGTATAACTAGAATAACCAATACAGAGAAGTGCTTAAAGGAGCTGATGGAGCTGAAAACCAAGGCTCCAGAACTACGTGAAGAATGCAGAAGCCTCAGGAGCCGATGCAATCAACTGGAAGAAAGGGTATCAGCAATGGAAGATGAAATGAATGAAATGAAGCGAGAAGGGAAGTTTAGAGAAAAAAGAATAAAAAGAAATGAGCAAAGCCTCCAAGAAATATGGGACTATGTGAAAAGACCAAATCTACATCTGATTGGTGTACCTGAAAGTGATGGGGAGAATGGAACCAAGTTGGAAAACACTCTGCAGGATATTATCCAGGAGAACTTCCCCAATCTAGCAAGGCAGGCCAACGTTCAGATTCAGGAAATACAGAGAACGCCACAAAGATACTCCTCGAGAAGAGCAACTCCAAGACACATAATTGTCAGATTCACCAAAGTTGAAATGAAGGAAAAAATGTTAAGGGCAGCCAGAGAGAAAGGTCGGGTTACCCTCAAAGGGAAGCCCATCAGACTAACAGCAGATCTCTCGGCAGAAACCCTACCAGCCAGAAAAGAGTGGGGGCCAATATTCAACATTCTTAAAGAAAAGAATTTTCAACCCAGAATTTCATATCCAGCCAAACTAAGCTTCATAAGTGAAGGAGAAATAAAATCCTTTACAGACAAGCAAATGTTGAGAGATTTTGTCACCACCAGGCCTGCCCTAAAACAGCTCCTGAAGGAAGCGCTAAACATGGAAAGGAACAACTGGTACCAGCCGCTGCAAAATCATGCCAAAATGTAAAGACCATCGAGACTAGGAAGTAACTGCATCAACTAACGTGCAAAATAACCAGCTAACATCATAATGACAGGATCAAATTCACACATAACAATATTAACTTTAAATGTAAATGGAGTACATGCTCCAATTAAAAGACACAGACTGGCAAATTGGATAAAGAGTCAAGACCCATCAGTGTGCTGTATTCAGGAAACCCATCTCACATGCAGAGACACACACAGGCTCAAAATAAAAGGATGGAGGAAGATCTACCAAGCAAATGGAAAACAAAAAAAGGCAGGGGTTGCAATCCTAGTTTCTGATAAAACAGACTTTAAACCAACAAAGATCAAAAGAGACAAAGAAGGCCATTACATAGTGGTAAAGGGATCAATTCAACAAGAAGAGCTAACTATCCTAAATATATATACACCCAACACAGGAGCACCCAGATTCATAAAGCAAGTCCTGAGTGACCTACAAGGAGACTTAGACTCCCACACATTAATAATGGGAGACTTTAACACCCCACTGTCAACATTAGACAGATCAACCAGACAGAAAGTCAACAAGGATACCCAGGAATTGAACTCAGCTCTGCACCAAGCGGACCTAATAGACATCTACAGAACTCTCCACCCCAAATCAACAGAATATACATTTTTTTCAGCACCACACCACACCTATTCCAAAATTGACCACATACTTGGAAGTAAAGGTCTCCTCAGAAAATGTAAAAGAACAGAAATTATAACAAACTATCTCTCAGACCACAGTGCAATCAAACTAGAACTCAGGATTAAGAATCTCACTCAAAGCTGCTCAACTACATGGAAACTGAACAACCTGCTCCTGAATGACTACTGGGTACATAATGAAATGAAGGCAGAAATAAAGATGTTCTTTGAAACCAACGAGAACAAAGACACAACATACCAGAATCTCTGGGACACATTCAAAGCAGTGTGTAGAGGGAAATTTATAGCACTAAACGCCCACAAGAGAAAGCAGGTAAGATCCAAAATTGACACCCTAACATCACAATTAAAAGAACTAGAAAAGCAAGAGCAAACACATTCAAAAGCTAGCAGAAGGCAAGAAATAAGTAAGATCAGAGCAGAACTGAAGGAAATAGAGACACAAAAAACCCTTCAAAAAAATCAATGAATCCAGGAGCTGGTTTTTTGAAAAGATCAACAAAATAGACTGCTAGCAAGACTAATAAAGAAGAAAAGAGAGAAGAATCAAATAGATGCAATAAAAAATGATAAAGGGGATATCGCCACCGATCCCACAGAAAGACAAACTACCATCAGAGAATACTACAAACGCCTCTATGCAAATAAACTAGAAAATCTAGAAGAAATGGATAAATTCCTCGACACATACACTCTCCCAAGACTAAACCAGGAAGAAGTTGAATCTCTGAATAGACCAATAACAGGATCTGAAATTATGGCAATAATCAATAGCTTACCAACCAAAAAGAGTCCAGGACCAGATGGATTCACAGCTGAATTCTCGCAGAGGTACAAGGAGGAACTGGTACCATTCCTTCTGAAACTATTCCAATCAACAGAAAAAGAGGGAATCCTCCCTAACTCATTTTATGAGGCCAGCATCATTTTAATACCAAAGCCGGGCAGAGACACAACCAAAAAAGAGAATTTTAGACCAATATCCTTGATGAATATTGATGCAAAAATCCTCAATAAAATACTGGCAAAACGAATCCAGCAGCACATCAAAAAGCTTATCAACCATGATCAAGAGGGCTTCATCCCTGGGATGCAAGGCTGGTTCAATATATGCAAATCAATAAATATAATCCAGCATATAAACAGAGCCAAAGACAAAAACCACATGATTATCTCAATAGATACAGAAAAGGCCTTTGACAAAATTCAACAACCATTCATGCTAAAAACTCAATAAATTAGGTATTGATGGGATGTATTTCAAAATAATAAGAGCTCTCTATGACAAACCCACAGCCAATATCATACTGAATGGGCAAAAACTGGAAGCATTCCCTTTGAAAACTGGCACAAGACAGGGATGCCCTCTCTCACCACTCCTATTCAACATAGTGTTGGAAGTTCTGGCCAGGGCAATCAGGCAGGAGAAGGAAATAAAGGGTATTCAATTAGGAAAAGAGGAAGTCAAATTGTCCCTGTTTGCAGAAGACATGATTGTATATCTAGAAAACCCCATCATCGTCTCAGCCCAAAATCTCCTTAAGCTGATAAGCGACTTCAGCAGTCTCAGGATACAAAATCAATGTACAAAAATCACAAGCATTCTTATACACCAACAACAGACAAACAGAGAGCCAAATCATGAGTGAACTCCCATTCACAATTGCTTCAAAGAGAATAAAATACCTAGGAATTCAACTTACAAGGGATGTGAAGGACCTCTCCAAGGAGAACTACAAACCAATGCTCAAGGAAATAAAAGAGGATACAAACAAATGGAAGAACATTCCATGCTCATGGGTAGGAACAATCAATATCGTGAAAATGGCCATACTGCCCAAGGTAATTTACAGATTCAATGCCATCCCCATCAAGCTACCAATGACTTTCTTCACAGAATTGGAAAAAACTACTTTAAAGTTCATATGGAACCAAAAAAAAAGCCCGCATTGCCAAGTCAATCCTAAGCCAAAAGAACAAAGCTGGAGGCATCACACTACCTGACTTCAAACTATACTACAAGGCTACAGTAACCAAAACAGCATGGTACTGGTACCAAAACAGAGATATAGATCAATGGAACAGAACAGAGCCCTCAGAAATAATGCTGCATATCTACAACTATCTGATCTTTGACAAACCTGACCAAAACAAGCAATGGGGAAAGGATTCCCTATTTAATAAATGGTGCTGGGAAAACTGGCTAGCCATATGTAGAAAGCTGAAACTGGATCCCTTCCTTACACCTTATACAAAAATCAATTCAAGATGGATTAAAGACTTAAACGTTCGACCTAAAACCATAAAAGCCCTAGAAGAAAACCTAGGCATTACCATTCAGGACATAGGCATGGGCAAGGACTTCATGTCTAAAACACCAAAAGCAATGGCAACAAAAGCCAAAATTGACAAATGGGATCTAATTAAACTAAAGAGCTTCTGCACAGCAAAAGAAACTACCATCAGAGTGAACAGGCAACCTAAAAAATGGGAGAAAATTTTCACAACCTACTCATCTGACAAAGGGCTAATATCCAGAATCTACAATGAACTCAAACAAATTTACAAGAAAAAAACAACCCAATTAAAAAGTGGGCGAAGGACATGAACAGACACTTCTCAAAAGAAGACATTTATGCAGCCAAAAAACACATGAAAAAATGCTCACCATCACTGGCCATCAGAGAAATGCAAATCAAAACCACAATGAGATACAATCTCACACCAGTTAGAATGGCGATCATTAAAAAGTCAGTAAACAACAGGTGCTGGAGAGGATGTGGAGAAATAGGAACACTTTTACACTGTTGGTGGGACTGTAAACTAGTTCAACCATTGTGGAAGTCAGTGTGGCGATTCCTCAGGGATCTAGAACTAGAAATACCATTTGACCCAGCCATCCCATTACTGGGTATATACCCAAAGGACTATAAATCATGCTGCTATAAAGACACATGCACCCGTATGTTTATTGCGGCATTATTCACAATAGCAAAGACTTGGAACCAACCCAAATGTCCAACAATGATAGACTGGATTAAGAAAATGTGGCACATATACACCATGGAATACTATGCAGCCATAAAAAATGATGAGTTCATGTCCTTTGTAGGGACATGGATGTAATTGGAAATCATCATTCTCAGTAAACTATCACAAGAACAAAAAACCAAACCCCACATATTCTCACTCATAGGTGGGAATTGAACAATGAGATCACATGGACACAGGAAGGGGAACATCACACTCTGGGGACTGTTGTTGGGTTGGGGGAAGGGGGAGGGATAGCACTGGGAGATATACCTAATGCTAGATGATGAGTTAATGGGTGCAGCGCACCAGCATGGCACATGTATACATATGTAACTAACCTGCACAATGTGCACATGTACCCTAAAACTTAAAGTAAAATAATAAAAAAAAATAAAAAATAAAAAATAAAAAATAAATTACTATATTGGTCTCTTTTATCTTTTTTCTCTATATACACATAAAAGTTATCTTATAAAGACATTTTAATCCAATTTCTAAAATTTAAATATATGCCTGCTCCTTCTTTCATGTCAGAAGTATTTTTTCTCAAGCATGTGTTTTAATAGTTCCATAGATAAATAAAAAAAAAAAATAGTTCCATAGAATTTTACTATTAGAAAAAATATTTTATAAATTTTATACAAGTATATATTTGGGCTATTTATGACTATAAAAACATAATTCTGTTTAAATATTTTCAGATATTCCTAATTATTTACTCACATTAAATCACAAGATACAGAATTGCTATGGAGGAGGGATTGTTGAGGTATTTCATAAATAGACCAAATACTTATTACATGTTTCTTGTATCTATTTTATAGCATTTGTCCTAGTACTGTTGATGAGTTTATCTTCTTTACTATTCTTTGAAACTGTGGAAGACAGATTGCATGTGAATTACCCATAAGTTATGTGTAGGCCCACCATGTAGTTCTTACAGTGTATGAAAATCATTTAAAAAAATAAGCTGTATAATACATATATTTCATTCCCTAAACTGTTATTCTATTCAGTTTACCAAAGTTTCATATTAATGTTTCTACATGATGTGATTAATATATTCTGGCTATGGATTTCTGAAGGTACAGACTCAGAGTGGATCATAACTGGAATTGGAGGCAGAGATCTTACCTCTTGTAATTTTAAGACTGGTAATCGAGGAGTCTTTTGAGTTATTGGATTATCTGCTTGCCCTTATTGCCTAACTCTGGAAATGACAAAACCTGAGGTCCTGAAGGGTTACTCGGCCCTCAGGTGATTACCAGTAAGGTGGCACTGAACAATGTGTCAGTTGAAATGCTTAATGATAACTCTGGTTTCCCACTCTGGATCACTACTACAAACAGCTTTCAGTCTTATGAGGTTCTAGCATTTACTCTACTTCTAGCTCAGATATTTTGATCCTCAGTTCAGAAAGAAATCCATTCATAGTTACCTGTTCTACAACTTGAAATTAGGTGGATTAAAAAGTATATGCATTGACCTAAAGACACTATCGAATTTTAAAATTATACTATTTTAAAGAAATGCAGTGTTTTCGTATTTTGAAAGCGTAAAAGGGTTGATGGAGTTACATCATTAATTCTGTAGATAGAAGTCCAAAAAATACACATCTTGTGTCATGGGAAACTAGCATACCCAGTCATACTGAACTCACCTGGAGCCGAAGCCCATCGCTTCCCTCGGTGCCAACATGCTGTCAGTCAGACACCTCTAACTGGAATATCACGGGCCAGGAACTGCTTGCCTTTTATTTTCCACCTGGAACAAAACATAGTGTCAGTCATTTCTTCATGTTCCTTGAAGCACAATAAGATATTCATTATGTTATCTTTTCCTGTCACATTAGACACTCATTTATCAGAATGCTCAACACAAAGGAAAGAAGTATAAACTCTTCACCTCTATAATTTACATCTGAGGGATTAATATAGCACCTGTATAAGTCAAAGGGACCATCTATATTTTATCTCCTATAAAATCTTCCTTATAAAAGGTTATTTATTACTTGAGCACAATCATTCCTATCCATTTGGTATAAGTAATTGATGCGTTAATTTAAGAAGCCATTTTCCATATAGTGTCCTTGGAAACAGTAAATCAAAATACATTTTTAAACTCCAGAGAGAAGCTGATGTTGAAAATAATTCATTTTCTGAATTCCTTTTTTTTTTTTTAACCATGAAAAGGAATCTCAGTAGGAAACAGAATGTGATAATGCAATTGCATTAGTTTTATGCCTATGCTCTTTTGTATTTCTCAACTTGAGAGACACTGATAAAGAACACTGATGTTTTCTCAAACGCACCAGAGTGTTGCTACTATGGAAATAGACCGCTTGACCTCATGATAAAAATTATAGGCTTGACGAAAACCATAGAGCAGGGCTCCTGTATGAATGGAATGTGCCAGGTAGGGTCTTGTACTGCACACAAATAGAGCTACTGACCTTTAGTATTTTAGCCTTGCTCCAGTTTGGTAGACAACTGGGTGGTTGTAAGGAACTCTAAAAATGCAAGAGATGCAGCACTGTAGCAGTCTTCTTGTGGCTTGTGCAGTCTTTGATTTGTCTATGTCTGCCTCCCCAAGATTTGGAGTTTGTTGCTGAACTGAATTCATGATGAAGATCCTGCAATTTGGTGACCTCCTTTTTGATGCTCACTGCTTATCTGAATCTTCAAAACCAGGATTGACCAGGTCAATAAAACCTATTTCTTGATCTAACTGCCAGAGTACCCATTTACCTCTTGTTGTACCTACTTGGTATTAATTGCTTGCTTGGATCATCACCTGATGCCTGGTAACACCCTCTGTGAATGAATCATGTGGCTCCCTGTATTTTGGTAAATGCAGTGAAATCTGTCTTCTGGTGTCAAGCTTGGAACCACTTATTTTGTCTCATCTTGCTAATACTCATTTAGCTTAAGAGTTTTTTCTATGCAGTACGATGTGAAGGGCTCAAGAAAGTCCCACCAGAATTGCTTAATGTAAATCAAACCTTAAGAGCAAATATCATTCTCTCCTTGTAGCCCTTTTTAATCTCAGATCATTCTGGAATCCACTTTATCACCTTCATTTCTTCTGCTACTGCCACAATAAACTTTCATCAGTTCTCACTTAGATAATAACTTCCTGAATATGGATCTTGTGCCAGGTGAAAACAGATGGCACTTTCAAATTAGGGTAACTTGAGTAGAGCTTAATAAAGAACTCATTTATAAAAGTGTGGGCTGTATGTGGGGAAACCACAAGGAAGGTATGATGGAGTTGATACCATCTCTAGACTTGCAGGGATGAGGGGAGTGAGCAGTTACTGACATCTAAGAGTCAGATATATAGTGGGCCTCTTGGAGAGGAGCAATGATCTTGGTTTGGGAGTCACAGGTAGCGTAAGATGGCAGCACAGATGGAAGTCTGAGGATAAAGGATAAACCCCGCTCATCTTCTCCCTTACCTCTGGTTTCTTGACTAGACTACCTATGGGACAAACCTCACTGGAAGCCTGAGTGCTTTGGAGCCTGTCAATGAACTCCATCAGGCTAGTTGCCAGGGGAATAGGATAGGAAAGAAAGAGTGAGTCTAAAGGAAAAACGGAAGAGATCCAGCTAACACTCTTATGCATACTTAATGGGGTTTGAAATTAGATTTGAGTCCTATCTCTACCTAGATGTATAATTCTAGACCGATAACTTTTATAAATCTTGATATCATTATCTGTACAACAGAGATAATACATTCTTCTGAGTTTTGTTAAATTAAATCGCATAGCATACCTGGAGGCTATAATATTAACAAAAGTGTCAACAGCTCTCCTGTTGAAATACAAAAATAAATCAACAAACACATATATGCTCCAGTCATGCTGAGCTCTTCACCACTTGTTCTAATTGATCATGTATTTTCAAACTTCTGCACTTTCGTAAGGGTTGTTCCCTCCGCTTAAGAATGATTTCTCTTCCTACATTTCAACCCTGATTTGCCTAGAAAACTCTTGCTCATATTTTACAATCTATGAGATATGATCTGAAGGCTTTCTCCAGCTTTTTAATCAAGAAAAGGTGACCATTCCCTTCTTGTTCTTCCATGGCACACAGCTCTCCACAAATCACTTAGACCTGGGGGTGGGCAAGCTTTTGGCTTCCCTGGGCCACACCAGAAAAAAAAAGAGTTGTCTTGGGCTACACATAAGATACACTAACACTAATGACAGCTGATGAGAAAAAGAAAATTCCAAAAAAATCTCATGTTTTCTCATGTTTTAAGAAAATTTGTGAATTTGTGTTGGGCTACATTCAAAGCCGTCCTGGGCCGCATGCTGCCTGTGGGCTACAGGATGGACAAGCTTGATTTAGATCATGCCTGGCTTCCTATATGACTATGAGGGAAGGGAAAAGCTATGTCTGACAGATTTGTATGCTCAAAAGGTGGTTCACAGCCAGGTTCTTAATATTCAATAAACATTAAGTGAATGAAGAAATATGTGTATCTTATTTTAGACAGTCTCACTCTGATGCCCAGGCTGAAGGGCAGTGGCATGATCTCAGCTCGCTGCAATTTCTGCCTCTTGGGTTCAAGTGATTCTCCTGCCTAAGCCTCCCAAGTAGCTGGGATTACAGGAACCCAGCACCACGCCTGGGTAATTTTTGTATTTTTAGTAGAGATGGAGTTTCGCCGTATTGGCCAGGCTGTTCTTGAACTCCTGACATCAAGTGATCCACCGGCCTCAGCCTCCCAAAGTGCTAGGATTACTGGCGTGAGCCACTGAGCCCAGCCAAATGTGTATATCTATAATAAATTTGTCACAATGTAAGGAAAGGGTTCAGTAACTTCAATCCTCTTTTCCCAAAGGACAGATCGGCCTGTGACAACTGGTGCATGGTGGAGAGTAGAACAACTCTGAAGAAGAGGTCCCAAAGGAAACTCCAGTCACTTTTGTAACTTTTCTCTGGGAAGCCTTGCTGGAAAATTCATGTCATTCATTCCAAGGTTGCCAAAAGCACTACAATTGATTGATTTCCAGAAGAAAAATCAGTAGTTATTAGCTAACTATGACAACAAATACTTCTGTGTATATCTAATGTATTTGAATGATTTAAAATAAAGAGTTGAATCTCCAACATTTTCTGAAAGCCCAGCCAAAAGTTCTACCCCACAATTGTTAAAACATTTATTCCATTTTGTGACTAGGTAATGAATTCCTGTGAATCATGAATCTAAGCCACAGGAAATAGTACACAGGACAAAATATTACTCTCACACTTGCCTCCATGCTTCCCATTTCCCACCCTCACCAAAACCACATTGATTGGCATCTGTGTGTCTTTGCAAAATTTCCTTCTGGAAATACAAACGAATACAACCATACATATATTCTTATTCTCCACCTCCTTTAAAAAAATTCAATGATTTACCAATATTATGGGTCTTACATTTTTCACTTAAAGTTAGGTGGGCATTATATCAGTAAATAAAAAGCATCTTCATCATCTTCATTATTTTCAGCTTTATGTTTTTCTATTTTACTGATATACCATAATTTAACCAGCACTCTCCCCAAAACGATTTAAAAAACCCCTTTACCTATTAAAGAGTTTATAATAAATTACTATTTATGCATCAATTTGTATATAAGATGTACATCTGTAGAATAGATTTCTATAAGTATGTGTAGGAAGGTCAAGGGGCAAATGAATCTGTAACTATCAGATATAGTGCCCAATTTCCTTCCTTGAGAATCAAACTAATTTGTGCTTCTACCGACAATCTACAAGATTGCTTGGGTGGGCCGACTTCTACAATTTTGCAAATCTTACAGGTGAAAAGTTTTATATCAATGCTATTTTAATTAGCATTTAAAAAATTATAAGGTAGTTTGAGCATGTTTTCATAATATTTAAAGACATTTGTGTGTATTTTTCTGTGAAATTTGTTAATAGCTTTGCCATTTTTTATCCAAGTTGCAATTTATAACATTCTTTATCATCCTATACATTTTCAAAATGAATGAAAGCCATTAACTACGTCAGCAAAACATTGCTCTGAGTTGTTTTTTTTTTTTTTTAAAGCTTTTGTCCCAAGCTTTTCTTGCAATCCCATATATGAAAACTGAAAATCACAAAGCGGTGCCACAGTGCCCTCTGGTGGCATTCTGCTCCATTGCATCTTCCCTGCACTAACTCGGGGCAAAAGCTGATAGTGGATATAGCTGGATGTCAGTCTTACATAGGCTGTTAGCCTACCCAAGTCTCCTTGGTCCTGAGACAATATCGTAGTACAATCAAACTCAAAATGAAGACATATTAGATCTGTTTTAACCCTTAAAGAACCAGATTAGTACCTGGAACTTGTTAGATATCCTAATAGGCAGGATTCATCTCCTTCCTAGTTGTTACAAAAGATGGCCTTGGAATATTTTGTCAGAGGGCTGCAGTGGAGGTTTATTCTAGGCAGTCAGGCTCTGCTTCATTTTCCCCTGTACAGTAGTCAGATTAAAAGGGCTATCATCACTCTCTGGAATTTTTAGTATTCAATGTATCACAACGTCAGGTCAGTAAGAAGTTTGAAATTCATTCATTCATTCATTCCCAAAATATTTGAAATACTATGTGTAGTGTTCTAAGTATTTGTCAATTATGTTATTGAACAAATCAACAAAAATTACTGTCTTCATGGAACATATCTTCTAGTTGGAGGAGACAATGAATAGCGAACATGTAATTAAGCAAATAATATGCTATATTAGAAGATATTAGAAGCTGTGGGTTTGTGGCTGTTAGATGGCGATATTTTAGTTTAAAATAAAAGTGTAGTCATTTCAAGAAAGCAACATCTGAATAAGAATTTGAAGGAGGTACAGAAGCTAATTGTGCAGTTCTCTAGAGGAAGAGCCTTCTAGGAAGTAGAAACAGCCTTAAACCCATAGCATGCTTGGTAAGTACAGTAGACAACTGAAAAATCCTTTTTCAGGATTAAAGGATTCTTTTTTTCCAAGCTGCTGGGAGTGCTGCTGGACTGCTAGCCCCAGCTCTCATCCCAATCTGCAAATTGCCCTAAGCTGTCCATGCTCCTTCACCAATGTCTCACTAAATATATCTTCCTACATATTTCATTAACAGCTCCATTTTACTTTTTCTTGATTTTTATCTTCATGTCAGAGTATCTAAAAGTTGGAAAACTCAAGGCTTTAGTCTTCTTTTCTTTTAAATGAGCCCAACGACTGGTAAATACAGAGGAGAAAGGCTTAGCCTGTTAGTCACAAGACAGAAAACCTTCCAGTGACGTTGGCTGAAGCCTTTGTTGAGATTGCATTGCAGCTCATCTTTCCTGTTTGCCCATTCTTGCTTTGTTCCCTTCTCTTTCACAGATGTCAATCACTACAAAACTCCTTAACAACCTATAGTAGATATCTACTTATAACAATCTGTCTCAGTCCACCTATTTGAGGAGTAGTAAGGTATCCAGTGTGCAGCTGACAACTCGATACAACATTTATTCATTATTTCCATAAACATTTTTTGAGTATCTACTATGTGCTAGCACTAAGGCTGGCACTTAAAATACAGGAGTACAAATAAAATGCACACACATTTCTTTCTCCATATGAAGCTTTAATTATAGTAGAGAGTACAAAAATTAAATAAGATTAATAAAAAGATTAATAAAAAGATTTTTTTAATATGGGAATGAGGTAAATTCTTACTAAGGCAACATTTGAGTGAAGACCTGAAGGAAAAAAGGGAGTCAGGCATGTGTATAACTGGGTGAAGAGTATTCCAAGAATAGGCCACATGAAGAGCAAAGTCTAAGAAGAGAGCATACATAGATTGCTTAAAAACAGCAAGAAATCCAGCTTTTTTTTTTCCAGTGGATTGAATGAGGGAAAGACATGAGGAGAGTAGGTCAGGGTAATGAGGAGACACATAATCTAAATTTGAGTAAGTTATTTTAAAAACTGGAGACATTAGCTTTTACTTCAAATGAAATGGAAAGCCAGTGGGGTATTTTTTGAGTAGAAAGCAGAGAAGGTCCAGTTTGGCCAGATGTAGAGATGAGACTGAAGGAAGTTAAAATGAGAAGCAGAAAAACAACAAAAAGGCCTACTGTAAAAGTCTAGAAAAGAGATGAATATGACCAGACAAGTAGTGGAGAGGTGTTGAGAGGTAGCTAGAATATGGATTTGTCTGAAGGTAAAAAGAATTTGTGAGCAGATTTGATGTGGTATGTTAAAAGAAATTGATAAAGTATAACTGTATAGTTTTAGATCTATGTAAGAGGTTACCATTTTTCAGTTAAAGTTGATTACCAAGATAGTGGCTTGGATGGGATTATTAGGAGATCCACGTGGAAGTGTCAGTTGTAAGATGCCCGTTAGGCATTTGAATAAAACTAATAGGGAGGTAAATAAACCTGAGATTACGGAGAAAATATGCCTGGAAGCATAAATTTGGAAGTTATTAGGATATAGGTGGTATTATAAACATAGAGATCACATGAGGTCACCAAAGGGTGATGAAAGGAAAAGAGATTTAAAAGAAAAGAAGACTAAAGCCTTGGGTAGTCCAACTTTTAGATACTGGTGATATGAAGATAAAAATCAAGAAGAAGTAAAATGGAGCTGTTAATGAAATATGCAGGAAGTCAGAGAGTGGGGTCCCAGAAGCCAACCAAAAACAGTGATTCAAAAAGAAGTGTTCTCCTGTGTCCAAGGTGGCAGTTAAGTAATGCAAGTTGAAGAATTGCACATTGCACATGCAACACAGAGCTCATGGGTGACCATGACAAGATGTGCTCTAGTAAAATTGGAGGAGGATGCTGGATTGTAATCAAGATAATTTAAGAGGGGAGAAATTAGAGTACCTACATATATTATTTTCACACATAAATAGAACACTTCTGAAAGTCAACCAGATTTATGCTGAAAAGCAAACCTTAATACAGTTCCAAAAATTGAAATCCAATAGACCATGTTCTCTGACCATAATCAAAATAAGTTAAAAATCAGAAACAAAGAGCACACACACAAATCTATACGTACCTGAAATATTTTTTAAAAGATGGTTACTGACATTTGTAAATAACCAAAGAACTATTATTGTAAAATTTAAAATGATACAAATTAAATGATATAAAATTTAAAATGATACAAATTAAATGATATAAAAACTACTATATGTTAGAACTTGAGGAAGCCTTTTGGATCCTTTCCCAGTTGGGAAAGTCATCCTTCACTTTCCCAAGCTGGACACTGTTTACAGAGGAGTACTTAAATCTGCCATGCATACTAAATCATTACCTTGTACCTTCTAAGATAATAAGGCTTTGTGGTTTTCTTCTTCACTAGATTGCAAGCAGCTTAAACACAAGCAATTATACATCTTGCTCATTCTCAGCACTTGGCAAAATACCTAGAAAATAGGTGGTACTCAATACTTGCTTATTTAATGAATGGGTAAAAATGTGTGGACAATTAATCATGTTACAATAAGTATAACTGAGAGATGCACAAAGCACTACATATGGCTGAAAACATCTAGCTTAGTGAGTGGCATGTAAGAGGTTATACGTTAAATTGTGTCAAATTAATTAAAAAATAAACTCCCTCTTCAAAGTAGCTGCAAAATAAACTTACAGAAAGAGTGCAGGGTTCAATAGCTGATTATTAGTCCCCAGTAGGGATCCACTTCTGATTCTGGCTGTGACTTTTTGCCTGGATCTTACCGAGGCACACTCTTTTTGCAAAGGGAAACATATTCTTTCCTTACTGCAGGTCTCCAGACCACTGCTCCCCCAACCCTCCTGCATCGACACTGGCTTCTGGGAGAACAGCTTGATCAGAGGAAAAACTGGGAACTATCTCGCACAATACAGAGACCCTCTAATGTAGTAACAGACATCTAAGCTCTAAAAGCACAAATGTTGTTTTACTTCAACTCATGCCTAAAATATCAAGGGATTTTAACGATAGAATTAAAGCAAAACTCAAGTAGTTCCACTGAAACTTAAAATATGCTTTAATTGAAGTGCAATATTATGTGAAGCAGAACTATGAATATTTGCTGACACATTATCATTTTTACAATGCAAATGACAGAATGAATAACGATTATATATATTAAAATCCTGATTTTGGAAGCCATGCATAGAGTTCTATTTGCTTGTGAAGATCAGAAAATGCCTTAGAAAAATGAAGTTTTTATCCCAAGAGCCCCAAAATACCACAAAAGAAATGATCTTTTTATAAAAAATAACTTGGAAGAACTGAAAAGTTGACACGTCCCTTTATCATGTATTCCTATATGTACAAGAGGCATATTCAGTACAATGAGTAGTTCAGCTATACAGATACTCTCTCATTTAGTTTTCAGTAAGGTACTTTGGAATATAATGGTACATTTTAGATATCCAAATTCTTTTCTAGTTATACTTAACATGTGCTCTGGAGATTATATATATATTTTATATATATATTATATATATTATATATGTATTATATATATAATATATATTATATATATTATATATATATTATATATATTTTATATACATATTATATATAATATATATTTTATATATATATTATATATATATTATATATTTTATATATTTTTATATATACTATATATTATATATATTTTATATATATTATATATATTTTATATATATAATATATATATTATATATATTTTATATATAATATATATATTATATATATATTTTATATATATATTATATATATATTATATATATAATATATATATTTTATATATATATATTTTAAATATATATTTTATATATATATATATACACCATGGCATGTAGGTAGTAAAAGGTCAAGTTAGATTTTCGTTCTGATTTTTGGTTCTAAGGACTAAAATACTTGAAGTTAGCACTGTTGTGAGAAGTTCATCTTCCAAGAGACTTTTCCTATAACATGTATGAACCTAAAAAAAATCCATAAAGAGATTCAAGTAATGGTGCCTACTAAGCTTATTTTGTTAAATCAGCCATCCCTGACAGTGAATATATCTATTTTTAGATAGAATGAATCAAGAAAGACAGCCTTATAGGGAGCAGATCAGTAGGGAACTTCATTTGTCTAGAAGTTATCTACGAGTTTCCTTGTTGCAGGAATATCCTGGTAGCAAGATTTTTTTCTTCTTGACTTTATGAAGAAGGGAGATAGATGAAGAAAGGTAAAAATGAAGACAGAGGAAAAAGGAGAAAGCTCAGAACATGAAGAGTAGTCAAGATTTTTATTGTTGATTATAAAATGTGTTACTATTTATTTGCCTTATGGGGTCTGCTCATCATTCAGGGCCCTATTCAAAGTCACCTTCCTTGTGAACATGAGGCTATCCTCCTAAAGCACAGTTTTTGTTCTATTACTATACTTATGAACTGCACTGCCATTCTCTATCAACACGACTTTCACTGTATCTCAATTTTTAAAAAATGTGACTATCTTCCCTCAATAGATTGGGATATTCTAGGAAGGGATGTGTATTCCTTATTGCTGCCACTCTTCTCCCAAAATTTGGCCTCACCGTACTCCATTCCCAATATCAAACAACATGCCTGAAAAAGAATAAGTCTTACTGAATCTTTGGCAAATAAATGGCAGGTGATGAACATTTTAAAAAATGTGAGACATAAAGGATAATAAAAGTAAAATGTAGAGATAAATTAAAAGTCCAATAGCTGCACTTTTAGCCTCAACTCTTTAGTGATTGGCTTATGTATCTGATGACACAATATTCTGCAAAACCTTTTTTCCCCAAAGGTTAAATTTTAAGGGTAAGTATGCAATACTTAGCCAAAATTGTAAGAAGTGTATTCACTTAATTTCTGTAATCCAATGGCAGTAATTCTAGGGGCATTGTTAAAAAGATAAGAGAAAGGAGATTTATTAGCCTAACCCAATAAATAGGTAGTATTATATTAGATCTGATCTCAACAGTAGGTATAAGGGCAAAAAAGATTGAGTAGAGACAAATTTTATGACAATAAAAAGATAATTGCAAAGAACAAGATATGGCAGTCAAATTTTGAGCTATTTGAAATATAAATAAAGCAGTAGCATTATCTAAATAAATTAATATTACAGTGCAATGAGAAACACTATATCTGATGCAATGTCAGCATGGGGGGGCCTAAGATTTCTGTGGTGGGATAAAGGGTGAAGAATACGAGAAAACAAGATGTAGAGCAAAAATTATAAGAATTGTTCATATGTCTCAAAATCAGAGAAAGTTCAAACATAAGGGGAAGAGATGGAAGCAATTATTTTATGTTTAATTACCTCCTCCATGATCTGTAGAAAATATTCCTTAAAAAGTGTTTCATTAATGTTTATGAGTTTCTCATTTTTTATATTTTCCACAAAATGGTAGCCATTTTCTAAACACTTTTTAGAGATTTTAAAAATTGAGACCAAAGCAGTGCATCTTACACACCAAGGCTTCCTAACCTTTAAAACATTATAAGACTTAAAAATTATCTCCCATTAACACCTTCTTAATTATTTGATGAAATCCACATTCTATGATGTTTTTTATTTTTAAATTTAGTTGATTTTTACCAATAAGCAACAACTTACTGATTGGGATAATCACTCTTGTTTTCCTTCCTCCATCTTCATGTGGATACTTCTTCTTTGCAACAGCCCTCGTAGGGAGTTAATGATTTATTTTCCCAGGGATAATGCTACTCACATACCAAAGGGAAAAATCATACGACCTAGGTTAAGCCAATCACTACATCCAGGCTCCTAGTCCTACTACGGAGTAGGCATTTTCTGAATCTCTACACTTTCATTGGAAACTCTGGCAAAGAAACAAACAAACAAACTAACAACAACAACAAAAAAAATGCTTTCTCATTCTTGACGAATGGGGAGCAAGTATGTAGACTCAGGTCATGTGTTATCTTCAGATCAGATGTGACATCAACTTTAGACTGAAGCCAACACTCTGAAGAGCAAGTAGAGATCAAAATAAAGGAAATTGAATCTTTGATGACCGCATTGAGTTATTGAATCATGGCTCTTCTGAAGCCAGTATTATCAAAAAATTTGTTTGTAGGGTCAATAAATTTCCATTTTTCTGTAAGTCAGTGTGAAATTGATTTTTGTTTCTGCAACCAAGCTATTTCCTTAAGTTTGATTCTTAACATAAAGTCTCTTAGTTATTCTTAACGTACCATCATAGTCCAGCCCATAGATATCAGACACATTTCCTGTATCACGTCAGGTTTCCCTGGCCTTGTTTTTTGTCCCAGCTGTCACTGTGACAACGACCTTTGTGTGAACTGTGGCTGACTTTATGCTGACCTAACCTGATAATGATTTGTCTTAAACCTGTGCAACACACCTCTCGTCTTCTCTCTGGGACTTCCATGTGACATCCAGATGGGGATGCTGTGAATTCTTGTTTAGACAGCAATTATGTGCAATGTAGAAGTGTGGGGAGTTCATTTCCCAAGAGGCACAACTTTGACAAATGAGCTAGGGAAGCTGGTGGAGAAATTTCTCACTTTTCTTTATTTGGACCAACTGTCTTAAGACCTAGTTTATTTGGCTTTTAAGAAGAAAGTGGAGGCCGGGCGCGGTGGCTCACGCCTGTAATCCCAGCACTTTGGGAGGCCGAGGCGGGCGGATCACGAGGTCAGGAGATCGAGACCATCCTGGCTAACACGGTGAAACCCCGTCTCTACTAAAAATACAAAAAATTAGCCGGGCGAGGTGGTGGACGCCTGTAGTCCCAGCTACTTGGGAGGCTGAGGCAGGAGAATGGCGTGAACCCCAGGGGGCGGAGCCTGCAGTGAGCCGAGATCGCGCCACTGCACTCCAGCCTGGGCGACAGCGAGACTCCGTCTCAAAAAAAAAAAAAAAAAAAAAAAAAAAAAAAAAAAAAAGAAGAAAGTGGAAGATCAAACTATCTTTTATACCCCTGAATCAATAATGCATCTTTTTATTATTTTCCTCATTTTTCCTTCCCTCATTCCTATTACATGGGAGTATGGTCTCAAATAACAGTAGCAGCACATAATTTCTGTTCTAATTTCTGGGAAAACTAGGTTAAAGCATTTGAAATCAGGCATAGCAGCAGAAAGCTGACTCTAAGAATAGAATTTGGGGGCTGGATTACTCACTGGTATGAAAGTAACAAGAGATTCTATTTCTGGTAGTAGCTGAGGTGATGATAATCCATGGCATGTAAATGCGTCATAAGTACCAGGAATTTTCACCTCAGGTTAATTAGAATAAGATGTAGGAGGAGGGTGAAATATGTATATGTAGCCCTTTAATGTTTCAGGGACAATGGAACTATGAGGTCTAGCTTCTATTAACTGAATTAGAAGCTTTGAGGGAAAAAAAAGTGATAAGTCTTGGGGCATCCATCTCCAATCTAAGGCAAGCTATAAAAGCCTAAGGGCCTCAATGGCAGTGTTTGAAGATATTCTTATCTCCTAAAATTAAAAGGCCGACTGTGTTAAAAATTAGACCTAGGTTTTAATTATGAAAGTGGTAGGCCTGTAAACACCATCTAGCCTTAATATATTTATGACAAAGCTATGGCTCTTATTGAAAAAATGAAACAAAATTCATGAGAAACTATGTCCTAGGGAGGGACACTTGAGCGGATAAGCATTAAGAATTTTGAACCCCTAAATTCTTCTGAATCCTCCTGGCTGTTAAAAACAGCACCCCCCAATGTTTCTGAGTAAAGTTTCCCCTCCCCTTGCCTGGAGGGCATACATGGATATTATCTGAGATGAATTTCTTACAAGTTAATGTCGTTCTCCTCAACATTCCTTCCTACAGCCCCTCTATGCCTTC
Source organism: Homo sapiens (assembly GCF_000001405.40). Classification (NCBI taxonomy): domain Eukaryota; kingdom Metazoa; phylum Chordata; class Mammalia; order Primates; family Hominidae; genus Homo; species Homo sapiens. The sequence goes on from NC_000009.12 coordinate 9,951,686, forward strand.
AGGCAAATAACCAGGGTGAGGTTTCAGTATACTTTGAACGGGGAAGTATAATTCTGCATCAGGAGGAAACAGATTATACATCACAGGAAAGGTAGTGCCTAGCCAGTATTTATAGCAGGAAACAAGATTACATATGTAGCAGTCAATTCAGTTTATGGGACTAAGGTGGCGGAGCAATGTAAAGACTAATATGAAGAGAATTTATTGATACCCATCATTTACTCATGATCTTAATTGAGTACTTGGGTAAGAACACCTGGCCCTGGCCCAAATATATATGTTGGAATCACCCCCTTGAAGTCTGCACACAATTATGGCCTACAGGAAATGAAATAAAGATGCTGGAATATTTTTGGCAAAGTATTGAGGAGGGACAGAGGCTGAGGATGGTAGTAAAATTAGAATGGATTTACCAGACAAGATCTGAGAACTCACCACCTGAAAGTTATGTGCCTAGGAGAGTCTAGAGGACACAATCCTAACACAGTGAAAAAGTACATTGGTGAAAGGAGAAATGGTAACTTTGAAGAGCTCAAACGTGGCTATGTTCTTTTGTCCTGGTTAAAGGTGGGACATTATTGGGCTCTGTAGTGGAATTCTAGAATGTAAGAAGCCAGGTGATGGTACTTAAACAGAAGGTGTATATAAAAGATGTAAAATGTGTAATGCTCAGCAACACGTGGTGCCTTGACCACAGGCATTTTTGGCAACAACCGGGAAATGGTGTTCCTGGGGCAAGATGTAGGTATAACAAACAAGGATGTTGTTCAATTACAAAACTGGTGGAAAATAGAATGATGGTAAGCAGAAGGCCAACATCGTTCATTGCAATGGAAGATTGTTTCTCACTCGTTCTGACAATCAAATTAGTTCACAGAATCCAGAGTACAATGATTGAATGGAAGGCTGGTTTTACTGAGGAAGACCAGCGCTATTAACTATATATATAATAACTATTCTCCCTTCCCTAAAGAGTCCTTGCACCATTTTGCCAGGATAACTATTCACTGGGGAAAGGTGAATGCCCAGAAATTTAAAAGATGGTTAGAACTAGGGTTTAAACACTGAAGATAGAGTACCTGTAATACTGTCATGAACCTCCAGTTAGAGTGAGGGCTATGGAGACCAGGAGATAAATTTATTCCAAATCCACTGCACAGTGTTTCTGATCTGTTCACTTATCTGGCTGCTATTTCCCTTAAAAATGTAAATATTTCTTAAATACCTATATAAGAATGATATAATTGGCAAGTAGAAGAGCCCTCATACTGCTTCTCAAACCTGTGGGGTAAGGAACATTGTGGAAGCCAGAAAAAATCCTATGCAAGAATGAATTTTAGGATGAACTGCAGAAATTAGTATCAACATCAAAGACTTGAAAAATGCAAAAGGTGGTGACCCACATCATATGTCTATTAGATTTATCCATTTTGTTCATACAGAACCAAAATGGATGGTTAATTCTGTGTGTCAACTTTCCTGGGTCATGGTGTGCAGATATGTGGTTAACATTATCCTGGATATTTCTGCAGCAGTAATCAGTAAAATTTGTGCACGCAGACTGCCCTCCACGATGTGGACAGGCCTCATCGAATCAGTTATAGGCATGAACAGAACAAAAGACTGACCTCACCTGAGCAAAAGGGATAAAAAGACTACATACTGGGTACAGTGTACACCATTCAGTAACAGGTGTACTAAAATCTCAGAATTCAACACTATAGAATTCAACCATGTAATCAAAAACTACTTATGCCCCAAAAGCTACTGAAATAAAAAAAATTAAATTAAAATAGAGGGAATTGTGGACACACACACACACACACACACACACACACATACATACACACTCACTTTTGGTTTTGTTTCTCTGGAGAATTCTAACACAATGATAAGCTACCATAACATTAAACAACACGTCATGTAGGATCTGGTATTTGTACTGGAGCAAATTAACAGTCTGTGATATTGGTTTATCTGACTTATGCTCACTGAGATCCCCTCAGTCCCATGTTTATTGTAACCACTGCTGAAGCAACCGGTTTTAAACATATTTTAACTAGTTTTTGCAGGTACCATCTGGCAATGCTTTATGTCATGCTCATGCTACATAGCTCACTCTTCCCGCCATAGGGTTTTATCGACATATGCTACATGATGCCCAGAAGAAATTGTTTGGCATACACACACTCAATGTTGCAACTAGCCTTTGCAGTTGCTTTTTGTGTAAAGGGAGGATTTCTTTGCTGTGTTTTTTAAAATTATATTTTTCCATCCATTTGCTACCTTGAAGGACTCTAGGTATATAGGGCACTTGATTGAAAGAGCAGGCTGGTTGCGGTGGCTCATGCTGGTAATCCCAGCACTTTGGGAGGCGGAGGCAGGTGGATCACTGAGGTCAGAAGTTTGAGACCAGTGGGGCCAACATGATGAAACCCTGTCTCTACAAAAAATACAAAAATTAGCTGGGTGTGGTGGTGTGCACCTGTAATCCCAGCTACTTGGGAGGCTGAGGGATGAGAATCGCTTGAACCTGGGAGGAGGCTACAGTGAGCCAAGACTGTGCCACTGCATTCCAGCCTCGGTGACAGATTGAGACTCTGTCTCAAAACAAAAAAAAAAAAAAAAAAAAAAAAAAAGATCATTGTCCTATAAACAGTATTACTAATAAACTCATCTATTTAGGGAGTAATGTAATTGTATCATCTTTTTTTCTATTAAGTATACTTATTCTAAAAAGCACTAACTTTAAACATGTTGTTTTAACATTATGAAAATACTTCTTGTAAGAGAACTATTAATAAGAACATTACTTATAAAATACATAATCAGACAATAAATTTTTCATAGTTTAAAACAAGAATATAAAATAATGCAGAAATAGAAAATCTGTCATTTATGAGAGCACAATTAATATAAAATCCATGAATATTAACTAGTTTTCTTTTAGAATACTATAATAGGTACATAACAAACATCCTTATACATATAAAATAGTAATCCTCCCTCCCATCTGAAACAGTTCCTATTTTTTATATCAATTTCTGTGTATATCCCAGCAATGTTATTTGTGTATAGAAACATAGATTAATACAGTAATAGATACAAGTAACTATATATACAATATAAGTAGAATTTTCCTTCAAATGGCTATATTGATTAGCTAGACAAATATTACAAAGGAATGAGATCAATTTGCATCTTATTCAAAACGAGATTCACGAACAAACAAAACTCAGTTTTAATATTAAACCTCTATTAAGATAAAGATACCATTTCAGCTCACTTTATAAATAATTGTGCAAGAAATGTTAAAGGCCTCCCACTAAAAAATAAAGAGTACAGGTCAAACTAAATGCTAAAGAGCTTGCATTTTAGTGAAGTAAAGAATGAAGAAGATAGGCAATCTACTCCCATCATATAGTAGGCATAGAAAGCCTAACAGCAATGTAGTCAGGTCCTCTTAAGTAAGCACTGTCAGCAAACAAAGGAACTTATCTCCAGTATAACACTGGAAAGGGAGCATGAAATTGATAAAGAACAAATGAATAATGCATGAATGAGTGAACGAGTACTAAACGGTGAAAGTGTAAAATGACTTTATCATCCTGAAAGGAACCACAAGAACATAAAGCAGTAAAGGATATGTACGTATTTAAGCTATATTCTTAAATAAATTTTTACTTCCTTTTTGTGATTCTTTATCATTTTATGAATCTTAAAATAAAACCTTGTCTTCTTACCGTTTGTTATATATCAATTTGGTACCCAACTTTACATTGGCCACAACATTGAACTCTGGATATTTGGGTTTTCGTTTTTTTTGTTTTGTTTTGTTTTGTTTTTTTTTTTTTTTGAGACAGAGTCTCGCTCTGTCGCCCAGGCTTGAGTATAGTGGCACGATCTTGGCTAACTGCAAGCTCCGCCTCCCAGGTTCACGCCATTCTCCTGCCTCAGCCTCCCAAGTAGCTGGGACTACAGGTGCCCGCCACCATGCCCGACTAATTTTTTGTATTTTTAGTAGAGACAGGGTTTCACCGTGTTAGCCAGGATGGTCTCGATCTCCTGACCTCGTGATAGCCCGCCTCGGCCTCCCAAAGTGCTGGGATTACAGGCGTGAGCCACCACGCCCGGCCTATTTGGGTTCTTAAGAAAATAATCATACTGCTTTCAAATAACAAAGATTTTCCAAAACTTAATGTAACTACATGTTCCTGAAACAGTATCAGAAGGACTACTCAATAAAGAGTTATCAAGCCATTTTTAAATTATAACAGGAGTGGTGGGGGGGATCTAAAATCTTACACAATAATTATTTGAGGCAGGCCACATTTATTTGCAAATGTACCAACCCACTAACTGTTGATCACGTGTTAAATGCAAGCTTTTAAAAAAATATATAGATTTTGCTCATATTTTAGAAATGTCCAATCTAATATATGGTCTTCATTTCATCATAAATATAATACATTTTCCTTTGGAGAGGTATTTTTCTTCCCATCAAATTATGTTACTTTTTGTTCTTTATGGGGAAAGGAAATAATGTAAAAGAGATTAAGGTGAGGTTTACCTCAGCCCTGATTAAAGTCAAACTTAAAAAAAAAAAAAAAAACTCTACCAAATTGGTGAGTGTTATGAGACAAAAGTAGTGTAGTGATTTAATTGAGGCTGAGAGTCAGATGATCAGAAATTTTTTATTTCTGCACGAACCTGAAAGATTAAAATAGTTATAAATAAGCACTACTTGATTTCAGAAATCCAGTTCATTGTTTTTAATATGTGCCTGTGGGTTTGCAAAATAAGTGGATTATGTTTCAAGTGGAGAGAAACCCATAATATTAAAAATATTCAAAATTAATACAGAAGATACATATGTTTTGTTATGTGGTTTATCATTTTGTCACACATTTAATCTAGTATTAAATACTTATTCTTCACAAATAGCTATTTCAGATAATTAAGGTAGGACATATGTGAATGAGACAAGGGAATGGCCCATACATGAATGAGACAAGGGAATGGCCCATAGGAGCTAGTTACCTAGTAATAGAGACAGATCAATGTATTAGCATTAATAAATCACAAGTTAGAGAGCAATGAGATTTTGTTTTCTAGCACTGAAGAATCTAAATAACTGAATCTTCTCCACATAAAATAGAAAGCACATAAAATGTATGAATAAATTGTAATCAATATCAACTTTAAACACATATTAGATGAAAAGAAAAGATGATGTTTATGTTATAACTGCCCATAGGTGGTAGCAAAAAAAATCAGTGCCCGTAACTAGCTAAGGGTCAGAACCTAACAAGAGAAACTATTGGGCTCAAGTTAAGTTGAAATTTGGAGTTGAGAACTCCATGTATAGCTGAAGCTCATGGAGAACATACAACTAATTTAAAAATAAATTGTTTGAGAAAAAGCATGCCCACTGTATTCATTTTGACTCCACAAAAAATAAATCCCATTTATATGTATGTATATATAAACAGACACAAAAAGTGATCCAGAGCTACTAACATCCATGGGAACATTAACAGAGGCAAAGAATACTCCTCTTTTTAAGATATCTCATAAATCCAAATCATATGGAATTCTGAAAAATAAAATCCTGTGAAACATTAATGTACAACCTAAAATTACAAAAGACATATTGATACAAAGCTTAACAAGAAAGGACTTGTACACATGCAGACAATAAGATAATACTTAAAATTATTAATGTTTCAAAGGAAAAAACAGATAAACAAGGTAAAATGTTACAAGAGAGCAAGCATATTTACAAAAAATTATACAATTAAATATCCGATGATTTAAAAATAATTGAAATTAAAATTCAAAGGAAAGCAGAAAGAATACTTTCTATCTCATTCTATGAGGCTATTTTTCTAATGCCATCACCACCATAGCAAAAACAAAACAACAACAAAAACCTGTAGGGAAATATCTCTCATAAACAAAAAGCAAAAAACCTTAACACAATATTAGTGATACTGACAAATGAATCCTAAAATTTATATGAAGAGGCAAAAGACCCAGAATAGCTAACACAATACTAAAGAATAAAGTTGGAAGACTGTCACAACCTGACTTCAAGACTTACTAAAAATCTACAGTAATCCAGACAGCCTGGTGTTGGTGAAACAAAAGATACACCGATCAACAGAATAGAAGATTAGCACTATAAGACAGGGTGAGAAAAAAAAAAAAATTAGAAGAGCCCAGAATCAGACCCACATCAATACAGTCAACTGATCTTTGACAAAAAAGCAAGGGCAATTCAATGGGGAAAAGGTATCTTTCAGCAAATCTTGGAATGACTGGAAGTTCATTTGTGTATGTGTAAGAGAGAGAATCTAGACATAGAGCTTACACCTTTCATAAAGCATAACTTAAAATAGATCAAACACCTAAATATTAAATCAACTCAAAAAATTCTAGAAGATACACAGGAGAAAATATAAGTGATGTTGAGTTTGGCAAGAAGTTTTCAGATACAGTACCAAAAACAATCTATGAAACAAAGAAGGATACATTGGACTTTATTAAAAACTTATGCTGTGGCTGGGTGCAGTGGCTCACGCCTGTAATCCCAGCACTTTGGGAGGCTGAGGTGGGTGGATCACCTGAGGTCAGGAGTTCAAGGCCAGCCTGACCAACATGGTGAAACCCCATCTCTACTAAACATACAAAAAATTAGCTGGGCGTGGTGGCACGCACCTGTAATACCAGCTACTAGGGAGACTGAGGCAGGAGAATTGCTTGAACCCAGGAGGCAGAGGTTGCAGTGAGCCAAGATCATGCCATTGCACTCCAGCCTGGGTGACAAGAGCAAAACTCCATCTCAAAAACAACAACAACAGCAACAAAACAAACAAAAACAAAAGACTTATGCTGTGTAAAACAAACTGTTAAGATAATCAGACAAGAAATAGTTGGGTAATTTATTTACAAAACACATATCTGCCAAAAAACTTTTATCCAAAATATACAAAGGACTTTTAAAACTCAGCAATAAGGAAACAAGTGACCCAATTTAAAATGCATAAGGTATCTGGACAGATACTTCAAAGAAAATATGCAGATGGCAAAAATATTAAATGATGCTCAATATCATAAAACCTCACACCTATTAGACACTACTATACCTATTAGAAGGGTGAAAACTAAAAATACTGACAATACCAAATGCTAGTGAGAATGTAGGGCAATAGGTGGGAATACAAAATGGTACAGCCATTTTAGAAAAAGGTTTGGTGGGCTTTTAAAACTACACATAGTCTTACCATAAAATCAAACAATCTTGCTCCTAGGTATAAACCCTGTTGTTTCTAAAAGTTATGTTCACACCAAAACCTTCCTGCAAAAGTTTACAGCAGCTTTATTCATAATTTCCCAAAACTGGAAGCAACCAAGATGTTCAACAGATGAATGAATAAACAAATTGTAGTATATCTATATAATAAAATATTATTCAGCAATAAAAAGAAATTGCCTATCAAGCCACAGTAATCTTAAATGCACCTTTGATGGCTAAGTGAAATAAACCAGTATTGAGAGCTGACATATTTGTGATTACAATTATATATTATTCTAGAAAAGGCAAAACTTGTAGAAATAGTAAAATGATCAGTTGTTTCCAGAGCCTCGAGAGGAAGGAAGAGGGGTAAATAGGTAAAGCACAGAGGACTTTTAGAACAGCAAAATTATTCCAAGTTTTACTGATATTGTAATGGTGGACACATGACAGTACATATTTGTCAAAACCCATGGAATTTTACAGCACAGAGTAAAACTTAATGTATAGACATTTAAAAAATTTAGCAGATTGGATGATCCTAGAAAAACTTCCTATGGCAAGAGAATCTATCTTCCTACGACAAATATATGAAAAACCTCACTGAAGAGAATGAGGTAGAAAGGTGCTGACCTAAATAACTTTGAAAATAAGTCAAGTCTATAATGCTAGAGGCAAAAGGAGGTGCACAAAAACAGTGTACTTGAGTTGATAAAGTTGTTTTCCACAGGGTACAGGTTAACAATTCTGATACTGCTACATGAATGTATTGGAATGGAACTGAATAAATGGACAGCAGATAGAACCAGCAGTGAGCTTTTTCAGATAAGCAAGGAGAGGAAGCTAGAATGACTTATGTTGTGATGGATTAGAGTTGTAGACATTGGTATGAACTCATATTTAGCATAATATATAGATGTTTACATATAGAGATATTTTAGAGAGATATGTCTATACATGGGTTATGATTAAGCACATATATTTTTTGCTCTGTCTGCCTAGAGGGCCTAGAAGAAATGGCAGACAGTAGCAACAAACATGCCTAGCACCCTGATACTGGTTTCTAATAACATTCTCTAATAAAAAGAAATTAGGGCTCCTTAAATAAACGACTGACTCTAGGTCTGAGGCAGGAAATATGCAACAACTTGGAACAACCAGTAGTGGCAGAATGCAAGGACATATTCAAAAAATTTTAAAAATGAAAAAAGGAGTATGAAAAAAGGAGTATGAAAATTTGAAAAAAAAAAAAAAATAGTGTGTCAAAGGAGCCCAGGAGCAACTGGGATAGCTCCCAATGGCCAAAGCTATGACAGCTTGAATAACAAAATAAATAAGAGGTGATGAGGAAAACAACCCACGTAGAATAATTCTAAATAATGTATGTAGCTACTCTATCTCAAGAAAGTGGAGCGTAACTTTCCACTCCTGCGCTGTGGCCTCTATGTAGGGACTTGCTTCCAAGAGTACAGTATGGAAAGGGGGGACAGGAGGAGACTAACTTAGCAGTGGAGAAACCTGACATATACTACCTCAGCGAGGTGATCAAGGCCAGTATCAATATGATAGCATGATAGCATGTACTTTTGATGGGATGAGATGAAAATGGTACTTGACCTCTGTGGTATTTCCTCCCAACAACCAATTATCTTAATCTTACGTAGAGAAAAACAGGAGACAAATTCTAACAGAGGGGCATCCTGCAAAATAGTTGAGCAATACTCATCAACAATAAGGAAAGTCAGAAACTGTCACAACCAAGAGGACCCTAAAGACACATGATAACTAAATATAATGTAATATCCATGAACATTTATTAAAAACAAAGAAAATAGAAATAAAATATGGACTTCTGCACAGCAAAAGAAACTACCATCAGAGTGAACAGGCAACCTACAGAATGGGAGAAAATTTTTGCAATCTACTCATCTGACAAAGGGCTAATATCCAGAATCTACAATGAACTCAAACAAATTTACAAGAAAAAAACAAACAACCCCATCAACAAGTGGGTGAAAGATATGAACAGACACTTCTCAAAAGAAGACATTTATGCAGCCAACAGACACATGAAAAAATGCTCATCATCACTGGACACCATATCTCCTTTCAAATATGAATTACAACTAGGTTAAATGAATTACTGATATCACTTGTATATACATATATATGCATATATTTAAAATTTGTATATATAAATATAGCTCACAAGCAGATACATACTCTTTCCTTTCAAGAATAAGGATTACTATATGTATCTTGCACTCCCTATCAAAACCTGGAATTGGAATTTTCAAAACCAAGGAACTTGAGGCACAAACAACATGCCTTTGTCATCTGTTCCTTGTTTGAGAAACAATAGGCAATGTATTTGCTGAAACAGTGGTTTTTAATAAATAAGTGAAATTGAGAACAAACAAGAAGAATGATTTCCTATGGACCTTTTGTTTTGAACATTAATTTAATATGATAAAGTCGGCTCATTTGCCCACAAGGTTGAAAGTTCCCAGGAGCATTAGTAAAAATTCATTCAAGGACCGTTAAATGGAGCTGGCTATATAGCAATTGGTGTGCTTCATTTTGGAGGTTAAATACTGAATAAAGTATTATTTTTGCCCTTACAGTGATTACTTGACTGCCAGCAGAGTGTGGGAAATGTTATGACAGAGTGTGGGAAGCAGGATGCTGGCAACACTGAGTGCAATTCCATGCCTTCACTTACTCTGACAATCAGATAAGATGATGAAATACAGCACTGTAATACGGTGCTTGGCAAACATGATGATCAATTATAAAAATGTAACTACAATAAAATCTAGAAGTCACAGTCCATTAAAATGCAAAACATAGTTATTGTCACATATGTCTCTTATTAGTCATGGTATTATTTCCACTAGTGCTTTTAAAAACAATTTCATAGAGGTTTAAGATGATGAATATGCTAATTACCCTAATTTGACCCATCAACATATACAATTATTATGTACCAATTTAAAAATAAGGAAAAAAAGAATTTCATAGAAAATAACTTAGAATCAGGTAGAAGAAAATAATCCCATAGAAACAAGTATAAGCAAATTTTAGTTCACCTAAGTTGCAGAACATCCTGGGTCTTGCTTCTGACAGCAGAACCAAATTTTTAAAAAGTTAATGATTAAAAGAATACTGTTAAGCTTTCTAAAATCACAAACCAAGCAATGAAGGCTGAACATATCAAAATACGTCAGGAATTTATGACTGGTCAAGTTATCCTAGGAGAAAGAAAAGCATGCTAAGTTTGAGGTTCATTTTAAGACAACCAAATTGAGAAAGTGATAACAGAAAACAATAATTAAGTTATAGAGAAACACAATAAAGGAAGCTAAAGGCAGTAGTTAATTAAAGAATTACCAACAAACAATTTGATTTCCTATCTATCCAGCTAAACAAATCCTTTATAAAGAAAATTAGAATATCTGTTGAACATATTGAACCTTATATAAATGTTCTCACTTGTGTGAGAACATTTAAAGCACAATTCACCCAAACATTAAGCCATTAAGCCATTAAGCCACAGTCAATATTTAGAAAATTGCCTCTGTAAACTCCGTTGCCCTTTTTTTCTACAACTGCCAACATTATTTCAGTTGTCTAAAAGTTACGATTAACGGTAGACATAAATACTATGTCCATCCATCCACCTTTTATACTTCTTTTCGTATGGTCTAATTGTTGTATGTATCTACATCTTATCACCTCATATGAAGCTGAATGTCTCTTACTGGCTGAAACTACACATTCAATAAGTTTCATATTTATACATCTGACTTAGAATCTTAGCAGAAATATAAGAGTTCAATAAAGACTGTTCCCAAAAGAAAATATAGTAGCACAATTTTCAAGTTGTAATGCACCATAACTTGAATAAAACAACTGAATGAGAATGAATAAACTTACGTCAAACACTAGAAATATAATGGGAGTCTGCTGTGGCCATAAAGTAATAGTATAGTAGTACCATTATAGTAGTACTTTATATAGTTACACTATATAAAGTAAAAGTAGTATTTAAAGGTTATCTGACAAGCCTAGGGATGTATAAGAGATTTATTATTTCAGCCAGATAATTTGACTTTAGTAACAAGTTTAGTAGAAAAGTAAATCAGGTGGATTTAATGTCTTCTTCCATTTTAAAAAATGTTTTTATAAATCCATAATACAATACTGAGATTTAAAAAATCCTTGTCAAATTCAGGCAAATTTAAAAAAGAAAAAAACTTACTTGACTCCATTAAACACAATTGTATGTACCTAAATTTCATTTTCCATTACTAACATCTAACACTTTAAGTCTATTTGGCACTCAATAGATCCCTGTAAGTCCCATTAACAGCAATGGGAATTCTATGGGCAGAGAGAAAAGAGAAATGCCTCTAAGTGTAAATAGTTTCTCCTTTATAACTTTATAATTAACCTCTGCTTTCTACCCAATTTTCTATGTTGGATGTTTTAATTACTTAAATGAAAATGACTGGATTGTAATGGAAACCAGATGGAAGCATCATCGAATAAATCAAGGAAATACAGTGGCAACGTCACTTTACACAAGTATAGAGTTTATTGTCATAAAAAAGGCAGCATAAAATATGCAGTCAAACAACAAAATTTGGGTAGGTAGAGACAGTTGATGTTTAATCATGTAACAGAGCCTTTCCTTTTTGGTAATAAAAACCCCAAGTTCAGACCAAGAAGGACAAAGCGATTATCAACTAAAAGCTTTAGAGGTGATATATGAAGAGATGAACTTATGGCTTCAATTTAGTTCCTGAAGGGTACCATGCACTAACTCAATGATAATTAGAAAGCTGTCAAAGGATTCATCAACATTGGAAACTAAACACTTGGATTCACAAACGTTTTAAGTCCAAGTGAAGTTCTTATTTACAAATGATTCTACTTGCTCCATGGAAAATTATGCCTCATTTCCATTTTTATGAGCATTTCTTTCATGCATTAATATATATGAATGGCACATCAGAGATTTAAAATGTGTATGAGTCAGAGAGACACAGACAGAGCCAGACAGAGGCAGAGGCAGGCAGAGACGGAGGCAGAGACGGAGGCAGAGACAGACAAAGACAGAGACAGAGAGAGACAGATGCCTGTATGGGCTTTTGAAATATAACCAGAAAGATATCTATTTCAATTTGAAGGTTTCTCAAATTGGGGGAAAAAAGAATCATCAAGTCAATACTGAATTTAGTTTGGGAGTGAGGGAATCATCTATCAAATATTTAACCGCTACTAGGACAAGAAAGAATGTAATAGCAGGCTTGTTAGAAATACGTTCTCTACTTTAAAATGCATGATGTATTTTGAAGACAGGTGCAGGTCATGGTGTAAATATGTTGCTCATAATTTCTTAGAAAAGTTTTGAGAGAATGAGAATGTTTTCTTTCCGTATAATTCCACATACTTTTAAGGATGCAGAGTAAAATCTAAAGAAGCTTAGCAGGATAGGACAATAGTTTCCTTCGCAGGAAAAAAGCAGAAAATTTTACCTTAATTATGACTCAGTGGAAACGGGAGGAAATCCTCTTGACGTGGGTTAGGAGTGGGGCAAATCTACTTTTCCATTAGAACCTTACAACAGGTTTGATTTTCTTTTTAGTTTATAAAGTTTTTAAAAAATGTTTAGTTTATAAGCCTATTCAAACTGTGGTTAGCAGGCTAAATGATATTTACATTTCTTTAGGAAAAAAATACATTCATTTTTATCTCCATTGCTTATAACTTAGTGTTCAAAAGTGAAAACATTTTAACAATGTAATAAACTAAGGCTTAGTTTGTGAGGATAAATACGGAATTTGTATGCTTTCTGTTTCAACCAGGAAGTATAATATGTACTCCAAGATCTAACTAAACTAATTTTTCATTTGAAATATAGGGAAATAAACTTATTTTTGTCCTAATTTTTCTTCTCTTACTTGCAAGTAAAATATGTTCATGCAAAAATAGGATGCTAACAAAAATTCATAATTTTATTTTGGTATTAGGACTCTTATTTCAACAATGTGTAATAAATTAAGTCTGTTCATTACAACAGACCTTCAAATGAGGATGCACAAACACACACAACGACACACAGAGTCCAAATTAGCAAATTTTTCATAACGTGGATAGATTCAAACTGCCCTTAAAAATTGCAAGAATATTAGTTCTGGGAATGCTAGAACCATAGAATCATGAAAAATAAACTGCTGTGGAACCTCAGGTTGGGGTGGTTGTTAATTTTACTTTGGAGTGGATGCAGCAGGTAGATTTAAGAGGAGCAACAGGCAAGGCTTCTAAGAAGAAACAATATGTGAGTTGGGTGTTAATGAGAGGAGAAGGCTTTCAAAACGGAGGAGACTGGTGAGGCAGGTATAAAGACATGATAAATAGTCACGGATTAGCAGAAAAGGGAACATCTCAGGATGGGCTTAGAGCACTTGTCGGGGACAGGAGATAATGTTAGACAATGAGATTGAATATGTAGACAGCAGGTCAGTTCAAAAGGACCTCATGCCATGCTAAGGAGATTCAGAGTTAATTGTGGCTCTAATAGTATTTATTAAGGAAAGGCAATATTTTTCTGTTCTATTACCTACTCCTTCTTTTCTCCTCTGACCTAATACTTGTTTCCTAAGAATTATCTGGAGCCACACAGATGTGAGTTGAAACATCGGCTTTTAAATTTTGGCTGTAAGTGTTGGGTAAGTGTTGTAAGCCCCTCCACTCTTCAGATATCACAATTGTTAAATGAAATAGTAACAGTACTTATGCTACATTGTCAACATTAAAACTTAGAGCTCTTGAAAATCATCTAGGACAGCATGACATACAGTAGGTGTACAATGAACACTATTTGTTTATGCATATTAGCATGTCTCTTTCCTTAGTGAGCATGTTGTATGATTTAACATATCAACAGATAATTGCATGTATGCATGCTCTCTTTTGTTTGCTTTTGAGTATATTGCTAAAAGCAAGCACAAAAAGTCAGGTTTTTATATTACTTATTTGAGAGAGGCTTGGGACTGCATAGAAGCATGCTGTTTTCCACTTTGGTATTTACACATAGAGAAACTATGCCCTCGACTCTACTGGCTTTCGGTTTTTTAATAAAGGATAGATAAAAGGAGACCATCCTAAATTGGCAATTCTATTTGCACACCTGGACAGAAACTAAAGACCTAAGGCTATTTTTCGCAACACAAGGAAAGATTTATTCTCAACTTCTAATTTATCAATAAAATATATATTCTATGCAATCACCTAAGTTCATATCATCAGTCACATTTACTAAAATCTTCAGACTTTCTAGGTTCATAGACCTCGTGATTATTTTTCTTTTTGACACATCATATGTTCTTTCAAAGTAAATTTTACTAAAACTGTTTCTAAGGTAGGCGTGTGCTATGGCAGCAAGGAGGTACCTTATCAGTAAAAGCTCTTGCTTCCATTGTAGAGCTAAGGGGTTTCAATGTGAATAACAAATTATTCTCCATAAAAGGCTGAGCTATTAAAATAAGGATCTCCACAAAAAGATTACAAATCATTTTAAAAAGATATGCCCTGCTTATTATCTGAATTCACTTAAATATGTTGTAGTCACATTGAGCTGTGCAAACTGTTTTAGGAAAAAAGTCATGAATGGGGAGAAGTGGATTTGGGGGAAAGTCCATCATATGAATGATGGCAGATTTCAGTTGTACACTCCTTCGGTCAGTGTTAACTGCTCCTGAGGAATCAAGGAGACAGGAGGAAGATTAACTTAAAAATACAAAAACTTACAGATGCTTTAGACAGAGCATCGAGGAAGAGAAGAAAGAAAACTGGCTGTTTCTAGCCATTAACAGAAACAGCTCACTTTTACTCATTTCCATTGTAGCAGGCATTGAATAAACCCCTTTAAATACTGCCTCTGTGAATTCTTACAAATGCTAGTCCCATTTGACAGAAGTAGCAGCAATCTGAATAATGGAGAGTTTAGGGACTACAGATCACAGATAGGAGATAGCAATGACAGGATCTGACCTTAGGCAGCATGTCTCCAATGGCTGAGAACTTCACCAGGGTAAGTCCCTGTAGTATAATGTTTCAGTCAAGTTCTGTAGTCAGTCTGCCTGGGACCCATGCCTTATTATCTGCACATTCTTAGACAAATGCCTCAGCCACTCTTTGCCTCAGTTTTATCATCAGCAAATTGTAGATATAAAAATAGTGCCTCCCTCAGAGTTGTGAGAATTACATGCACTACACTGAATGTTAGCAATTCTTGTCATTATCATTATTAGCAATAAAGTGACAAATTTGTAGAAATAAAGGCCCTTAACAACTAGAATTTATGCCAAGTTGTCATTAACAGAGGAAAATAGAGAAGGGTCGTCACAGTAAGCCTCTTCCCATCCTGTTTTAAGTTCTGTCTATTAAGGATAGTGCAGAATCATTGGTTGAGAGAGGGAAGGAAGAAAACATTTATTGAGAAACAATTATGTATTAGAAGGTATGCTAGGTAATTTTACATGTTACATCATTCAATCCTTACAGTGACCATAAAAGATGAATATTATCTCACTTTTCAGATGAGGAACATGAGGTTCATAGGGTTTAAGAGACTTTCCTGAAGTCATAGAGAATTAAAAGTTGTATTAGGATTAAAACAGAAAATGAGAAGTTTAAGCATCCCATGGGGTTGGCAGTTTTGGTTTGCAATGTGCTTTCGCTTTTTTATTTCAAAATCTTTAAGAACTATTGATATAGACATTGAACATGCGTAAAAAGTTGAAAGGTAAATCAAAGAGAATTGTTAACTCAAAATCCTTTTAAGCATACCATACCTGAGAAATAGCAAAAATTAATAGGTTTTACAAGTATACTTGATAGAAGCTTTGTTTTCAATATATACTGATATTATGATACATAAACATATTAAGAAAAATTTGTCACAAAATTTTAGAATTTGATATCCACATTAGAGAAGCTTTTGTATAAACTATTCAGATCAGAAGACAGTGATAAAAATGTTCTCTCACGCATATCATAATGACTAAATGTACACAGGTCCATTACTTTAAAGATTTTGGACTAGGTAAAAGAATCCTATTTTAGAATATTAAAAATTTATCACATTTTAAAGGGAACCTATTATTCTTCAATGAAACCATGAAGCCACAATTTTGAGTAATAACCACATGCAGTGTGCTACACTAGGACATTTGAAGGCCACAGATTTTTCAACTTCCAGTGAAGCTGGAGAGGAACAGAGCTGATTTGACTAAAAGTGATAATGACATTTCTAGTAGATTCATTCAGTAGTACAACCCCTAAAACGTCATTTTGCACTGTCTTATTAAGAAACATATTTTAAGATACGCTTTGAGTAAATGTAACAGCAAGATATTAAAACATACACCTGTAAAATAATCAAGAAAATATATTTGCATATCTAATTATAACCATTCAAATTAGCTATAAAGAATTAAATGCAAAAGTAAAGAGCAACTAGTCAATAATCTTGACATAGTGGTCCAGAGAATGCTGTACTTTGGGAGAGAAGCAGAGAGCACCAAAAAGAGGGTCTTTGCCTAATGTGGTGTGTTTTGAGAATGGAAGGGAAGGGTAGGCTTCCTGATCAAGTTGTCAGTTCCTTTCTTTATGAATTCTGAGGATTCCCAAAAAGAAAAATTCCTCTTCCACTCCTACAAAAAAGCTAGGTCACAGAAACAACAACAACAACAAAAACCAAACAAACAAAAAATTAGCACAACGCCGTTAATCTCAACCTTAATTCAGTTTGGCATTAGAGAACGAGAAAGGAAAGAAAACTTAATGAAAAAGAACCAAAGACACAGAACTAAGGATGTGATAACTTAATAACTGAATAAGTTATTAAGAATTCTTCATTGAGCAACTACTACTGACCAGTAACTATTCAAGGCCCCCACGATAAGCTGGTAAATTCATGAGATGTGATCTTGGCCTCATAGATACTGCAGTTAGTTTAGTAGGAGAGAGTCCATAGTCAAATAATTACTTAAATACTTGTAAAATTAAAACCATTGTGCCACAGTCTTTGGTCCTACGAAAGCATGTGACACGTCCATAAAAGTCTCACTGAGGAAATAACAAAGCTATGACCTGAGGTTACATAGAAATTAGGTGAAAGGATGAGAGCTGAGGATAGGATTTAGCGATCAAAGAATTACACATCTGAAGAAAGAGAAAAAGGCTAGGGTGGCTGCAGCACAGTCTCAGGGATAGTCTAGTGGGAGATGAAGCTGAACACTAGCAAGGACCAAGTCCTTTAAGATCTTGTGGCCTCATTAAACTCTCTCTTTCCTCCTCAACTTCCTCTTCTTCCTACTCCCACCAATAGGGTACCCTTGAAAGGTTTTAATCAAGGAGATAGAGGGTACTGTAGTCAAATGTGACAGGAATTGATTTCATATTAAAAATCTCAGGTATGCAGAAATGCAACTTACTCAACCTCTGCTTTTAATGGAGTTTCAAGTCTTGGAAGCAAAAAGATTTAAGGAGTCACTTTCAGGACTTCTCAGTCTAATTCAGTGTGAACATTATATTGTAAACACAGAGCACAGAATGAGATCAAAGAACAAGTTTACATTTTACTTTTGTGGCTCATTAAATCTGCTCCTTGGGGCTGCCGCTTCTACTGCCCCTGGATGACTTCTCTGATCAACCTTGAATAGAAATAATTCCTACAGTCATTTTAAGTGGCAATGCCCATCAAATCTGTAATTAAATATCAACTTTGCAATAGCAAAAGATTTCAAACTTTTAAAAAATTAACATGTCTTCCCACCCAAGCCCAGTTTTACTGCTTGCAGAAAGCTGTAGTGGGGAAGCAGGAACTTGTATACATTTTTCTCCTGGCCTCTGGCATTTCTAAGCCTCCCCAGCTTGCTAACTGCACTGTGCTTTCTTATCTCTGTCCACTCCTTTATGATTCAAGATGCATCTGGAGAACTGTCATTCAGTAGACATTAGAGAAAAATGGGTACATGGGGACAGTGGCACCTGTATGGGCCTTAAGGTGAAAAGGAGACCGTTTGTATTTATAAGGCCATATTAAGGATTATAGGTTTTATTATTAAGGATAATGAGGAACCAGCAAACCAGCAAATGGTTTTAGTCATGAGGTGTCACAGACATGTTTGCATTTTAAAAGAATTACTTTACTTTGGGAGGCCGAGGTGGGCGGATCACGAGGTCAGGAGATCGAGACCATCCTGGCTAACACGGTGAAACCCCATCTCTACTAAAAGTACAAAACATTAGCCGGGCGTGGTGGCAGGCACCTGTAGTCCCAGCTACTCGGGAGGCTGAGGCAGGAGAATGGCGTGAACCCGGGAGGCGGAGCTTGCAGTGAGCCGAGAGCCTGGGCGACAGCGAGACTCCTTCTCAAAAAAAAAAAAAAGAAAAAGAAAAAGAAAAAGAAAAAAAAAATTACTTTTGTGGTTGAATTACCTCATCTGGTTGGGTGGACAGTCAGACATGGCTCTTAGTGCAGCAGGTATGTACCTAGTAGGAAAAAAAATTGTCCTCCTCCCCCCACACAGGGCAGACAAGCTAAAAATCTTAGCAAAAGATTTGTATGGATCTGTCAAACGGTCTTTTGTTTAGGTAGTTACAGAGAACATGAAGAAAGGGCATTCACCAGGAGTCGTCCCGCTGGTTGACCGAATAGAGTCCTGGTCAGATTCAATAGCTAGGCTTAGCTGAATGGGAAGGCAGAGCTTCTGGAGTATCAGTATCACTGTTTCTACATTGCTCTGGCCCACAGAAAACCATGGCTTAGAGAAAAATAAACCTGGAATGTCACACTGGAACATGGCGCTAATTTAGACAATCTGCTTATTTTCCAAGGAACTGGTAGTTAAATACAGACTGTTTATTGTTCTAAATTTTAAATTTAAATTTTCAGCTTTGTTGCTATTTTTAATGAAATATCCTTTTAAATACAAAATGTTATTCAAGAATCTCAGTTGCTTTTATTTAGAATATCTGAAATTCTTAAGTAACAACCTACAAAGATAGAAAATTTTTAATTGGTTCTATTTGTCACCCTGCCTAAAGAACTTTTATAAATTCAGTATTCAAAAGGAGAAATATTAAATAAAAAGGTAAAACAATCATGTGATTAACAATAAGCTAATTAAAAAAATAAAAACATCAGGTAAGATTTAAGTTCCTTTTAAGTAGTAATTCTTCAGTCTGAGTGGTTATCAAAAGCAGCTGAACAGGTTGAAATAAATACAGATGGATTTAAATTCACTAGGTCTGGAGTAGAAACCAGGTGTTGAGCGGTATGGCTATATTTGGAGGAAGAATAATAGATGAAGCAACTTAGATGTCCCTGAGTTGATAGTTGTTCATTTTGAAGGTAGAAGATTATTTTAATTTTATATTAAAATTAGCTTGAAAGCAGTATAACTCTACTTTTGTATTTTGAATTTTCCAGAAAGAAGTTTTTATAAAAAGCAACAAAACTTCTCAACTCTGAGGAATTCAGGCTTAGAAACTAATGAGTTAGATTATGGCATAGGATTCAATTAATTTATGTTGGATTCTGAAGAAAATTCGAGAATTTACTTTTTAGTATTTGTATAGGAAAAGCATTCAGCATGCTTTGACAAGGATCTTTGCACTGGTTTGGTGGTGGCTGTGCAAATAGCACCACCAAGCTGCTGTCATGATTTATTTAGAGAGAAGTAATCTATGACTCATGTAACAATATAATAATTTCAAAAAATGTAACTTTATCCCATAATCTCTTTGTGTACTTAAATTTTAAACTGTATAACTACTTAATGCTCTCGGGGCATATTTGGGATGGGTCACAAATTCACAATTTGTAAATAGTATTTCATGAATAAAACTCTCTTTGGAAACATTGCTGGTAACATATTAGAACTTCAGCTTTAGTGACAAAATTGATCAATTAATAAAATAACTGAATTTTTAAAAATATATATTAAGTTCTTCACTTTAAAAAGTTTTTCTTCATCTGAATGAATTGCACTTTTCCCAGTAATACAAGCCACAGTTGCAGCATTTGACAATATGCAAAAATTATACTATATTCCTATTTATCTGGTTACGTAGAAATTGACAGTCAGAAACATGACTTTGAATTATGTTATAGCCCACAGAGAAAATTATCAAGCGCATCTTAACATTTCTAGTAGTGTTCTTTCTTTTGCCACATTAAATAGCAAACATACAGTGTTTAACATGCACATTTCCTCCTTACCTCTGTTCCAGAGTGAAAACTTGCCCCTATTTTTGCTCTTCTCAAGAGGAATCAATTTAAAAATTATTAGTAGACTTAGAGAACACCCTTGGACTTTTCTGTTTCGGTAACTGTCATGATAGTGACAGTAAGGCTATGGCGAAACTTACTGCTATTCCCACATTACTCTTTTGGGTTAGCAATCTGAATTTAATTTCATTCACTCCCTTCATATTATAGAAATTACTTGAGTGCCTATTTGTACAAAGTCCAGGTGAATTTGTTTCTTATTGCTACCATAATACATTATATACACATTACAAATATAGTAGCTTGAAAGAACACAAATTTGTTATTGTACAGTTTTGGAGGTTGGAAATCCAATATCAACCTCACTATGCTAAAGTCAAGGTGTCAGCAAAGCTGGTTCTTTCTGGAGGTCCTGAGGGGACAGTCCATTTCCTTACCTTTTTCAGCTTCTAGAGGCTGCCTGCATGCCTTGTCTTGTGGCTTACGGGCATCATTACTAGCTTTTGCTTCCTTTCTCATATCTCCTACTACTAACTCTGAGCCTCTGCCTCTTTCTTATAAGGAGCCTTCTGATTACATTTTGCCCACCTGAGTACTTTCCCATTGTAAGATCCTTAATTAATTACATCTGCAGAGCCCCTTTTGCCTTTGTAAGGTAGCATATTCACAGGTTCTTAAATTAAGGCATAGACATCTTTTGCAGGACATGATGCAAGCTAGCCAAAAGAGAAGGAGGGAACACATTAAAAACTGATATTGGAAAGTAAATTAGAAAATTCCAATAAGTCTAGAATTTAGTTACTCCTACCAGAAGGGAATAGTCATTTCTCTCTCTCTCTCTCCAACAGGGTTAACTTTTTGAACAGTAACTAAGTTAAAAATTAGCAGATGTGGCTGGGCGCAGTGGCTCATGCCTGTAATCCCAGCACTTTGAAAGGCCAAAGCGGGAGGATTGCTTGAGCTCAGGAATTTGAGACTAGCCTAAGCAACATAGTGGTGAGACCTTGTCTTTCAAAAAAAAAAAAAAAAAAAAATTACCCAGGTGTGGTCGCTTGCGTCTGTCGTCCCAGCTACTTGGAAGGCTGAAGCCGGAGGGTTACTTAACCCAGGAGACAAGAGTTTTCAGTGAGCTGAAATCATGCCATTGCCTTGCACCCTGGGTGACAGAGTGAGACCTTGTCTCAAAAAAAAAAAATTAAAAGTAGATGTTTTCATGACAAGTAGAGATTGACTTGGTCTAACTTATTCAGAAAATTGCCTTAATTCCTCACTCACTTTAGCATTCTAAAACTAACTTTCTTCGCTAGGAAAGGAAGAAGCTGCATTCTCTTTATATCTGTAAAGACCAAGTACATGGGGCACTCACAGATAGACGAGTCTAAAGTAAGGTGTCTTCTGTGGGAATTTTAGAGCTTAGGAGCAAGTACTTTGAGCTAAGAAAGGATATATTGGTGTGAAAACATGTTACTTGGCACAGAGTAAGGAGTCTTTTTTTTTCATTTATATTTTTATTTGTATTTTATTTGTATTTTTAATCATCTTATTTTTAGAAATTTTCTAATTAGCCAGTAAGTGCAAATGTGCTCTAATAGACACTTATGTGAACTAATGAAAAATTGAGAGGTGATCACAAGCTTTCTATACCACTGACATTGATTTGATATTTTTAAAAGAGGGAGAAAACATATTCTGATGGTTCTGTAAATAGATTTGTTCCCATCATAGGAATTTAGAAATTGTGACTCCTGAGACAATTTGCTTCCAATTATATTATGGAAACAGCTTTTATTTCAGGCAGCTAGAATTAGGCTTGCTCAACATCTTTAACTTGCAGAATAAATGGAGAAGCCATCCTCAATTTCTATTCTATGTATCAGAGATTTGTTTTGTTGTATGTGATCTATGACACATATGTAACGATTACATAGCCTCAGTGTTTGATTTTAAACTGCTTAACTCTCCAGATGTTTAAATTATAAAACCACCAGGTAAATACATTTATTTTTCTATACAAGTATGCACAGCTGGCTAATACCAAATGATGCCAAAATGTCTGCACCAAGCCTTTCTCCTTTGCTATTAAGGAAACTGCCCATGGGTTCATGTGGACAGAGAATAAAATTCATTTAACAGTAAAATATCGTATTTTGTCCCCCTTTCCACAACAGTTCTTTGACTTCAGATCAACAACTCTGGCCAATAAGGTCACCTGGCATAAGGATATTTTATATTTTTCTCTATTTGAAAATAACATTTAAATAAACCTCCACTTAATCTTTGAATCTAGACCTAATTACCCCACTAATTTCCGGATAAATTTCCTAGGCTGAGTGTTTCTCTCTGAAGCTTCCGACATCTTTTGAAAACCTCCTTAAAACACTTCCATACACAGTTATGGCAAGCATATTTTATTCCTTCTTCTACCCTACCTAGACTGTGAGCTCTTTGAGGATGGGGACTGGGTCTTACACCTTTAACTTCTTACCTATTGGTTGACATAGGAAATATTTGTTGACACAGTAAATATTCGTTGAATTAATAAATTAATAAATGTAGCATGCAGTGAGTGAGAACTTGCTGAGTTCTTTCATTCAGTGGGAAAAGGGGAGAAAATGTCATAAGCCTTATTTCTGAGATATTTATAGTATATTAAGGGGTAGAGAGAAGGAAAACTGGCGAAGAATCTGAAAATACTACATACAATTAAAAAGCAAGGACAATAAATGCTCAAAATTTGAGATTTTCTAAACACAGGAGAAGGTCGTATCACAATCAACTGAGGATTTCTTTCTAACCCACTCTCCCGTTAGCACTGTCTTTCTGTAAATGTGCGCTCCCATTTACAGAGGGCACATTATTATGTTGACAGCTGTGCCCAGTAGACACAGTAAGACTGTGGTTTGACATGATGGACTTCAGTCTTACCATATCCATGGACTCCTTTATTTTTCTTTATCTAGATCCCCAGATAAGCTTTAAGACAAATCCTCTAGCTCCTCTCTTTGAACCAACCCTTCGTATAGTTTCAGACATAAATACTTAACTGTGGTTCTTTGCTTTCACTATTATCCTGAATAACATGTGAGAGCTTTTCAAAATTTAGTTGCTTTTAACCTCTCTTCAAATTTCAGTAGTGGACAATGCGTTAAGCGATTTTGCTGTGTTTCCAGGATTGAGAACTGTTGAGCCACTCTGAGTGAGGACCTAGGACTAGCAGCACTACATCACCTGGAACTTATTAGGCATTCAGCGTCTCAGACTTTTCCAAAGACTTCGTGAAACAGAGTACGTATTTTAACAAAATTCTCTATGTAACTCCCACATGCATTAAAGTTTGTGATGCAATGCTCTACATTATATCAACCTACTAAAATACACACCACCACCAACAAGGAGATCTCTGTTAAGATAATAAGAAAGGCTCCTGGAGGAGGCAATAGAGCCCGTAGATACACAGGTTCTGGAGTCAATCTACCTGGATTCTAACACTTATTAGTTCTGTTACCTTGATTGCATTACTTGTTAGGCCTAAACTTCAGTTTACTGCATTAAAGTGGGGATACTGATAAATGACCAAATCCGTAAGATTTCTGTGAGGTGTACAGCATTATTTGGCATACAGTATCCCTCAGTAAAGTTAGTGCTACTAACGTTAAGTGAACTAGACCTGAAAAGCAGTAGAAGGCATTCCCTTCAGGTCATTATCAGCTTTGGATAGCTGGAGTAAACTAGAACACCAGTCTTCAAATGAGGCCCACATATTCCGAAAGGTCAATGAAGACATTCCAGATGAAACATAGGAACCATTCATTTTAAGTGGAACATTTTCAGATCCCCCACATCCATATACATCCATTTGTAATTTATCTGAAATTAAAATTTGATATGCCTGCAGTAGTGTGTGAGCTTTGTCTTTCTTTTCCAACTTGTCTTTCACAAAGGTCCCCCTCCCAGTTTACAAAATAGAAACTTAACTCCCAGCCATTTTAAATTTTAGTCTAGTATATTCTCTGAATGAAAAAACAAAAAACAAAAACAAAAAATATACTTTGTCACCACAAATACACTTTTTATGCATCATCCAGGTGATTAACTATATTTATTTTTATTTTTTTTGAGACAGAGTCTTGCTCTGTCACCCAGGCAGGATTGCAGTGGCATGATCTCGGCTCACTGCAACCTTTGCCTCCTGAGTTCAAGAGATTCTTACACCTTAGCCTCCCAAGTAGCTGGGATTACAGGTATGTGCCACCACACCTGGCTAATTTTTTGTATTTTTAGTAGAGATGGGGTTTCACCATGTTAGCCAGGCTGGTCTCAAAGTCCTAACCTCAGGTGATCCCCCGCCTTGACCTCCCAAAATGCTGAGATTACAGGTGTGAGCCACTACACCCTGCCACCAAAAAAAAAAAAAAAAAAAAAAATTTACTTTTTTTATGTCTAAATAGTTAGTCACCACTAGCTGACTATTAATGGCAAGTCTGTGTTCTTATTCTCTAGCTAGCTATCTGTCTTCTTAGACAGTTCACTCCTGAGTTGTCTGTAGGAGTGATAAATAATAACAAGTTAAATTTTTAAAAAAATGAAATAACTCTTTACTCACAACAAATTTGATTTGGCGATTGGTTTGGCAATAAGGATTAACTTTGCTGTTGAATTAGGATATTTTTCCATAAATTGAATAGCTAATACTGAAGATACAAAGTTTTTGCAGATATATTTTAACCACATGAAAATATATAGCACTGGCAAAATAGAATATTTATGACTACTAAACAAACAATATATAAAATTCAGATGTCAACCTAAAAATTTAAGAGCATTATGTTAAGTTTTACAAAATCTCTGAAGCTTGCAGATTGCACTTTGGTGATGTCAGCTCAGGACCTTGATAGGTGGATTCCCAGCTCTGCTACTATTTGTGACGTACTATAACACACTGGGAGGTCTAAAGTAGAACTTACCAATTTGAAGCTCAAAAGTGCATCCTTGGCTTAATAAAAAGAGAAAGTAAAACAGTTTTTGGCACATATCTTTAACCTCAAGGCCCTATTGGCACCCTAATACATTTATAAATATAATGTGAGATTTCAAACATATTTCTGAAGGAGGAGAGCCTAGATGCATGCATGAAGCATAGAGTTTTGTACTCTCAGATCTATGTTTAAGTTTTTAATGTTGAAAAAATAAATTCATAAACATATTATCATAAGTAGCATGTAATTAGACATTAACACTATGAAACAAGGAGGTAAGTGATTTTTAAGGGGTTTCCAAGCCTTTGTTCAAAAATACTAAGATATAACAACTTGGCTTAAAAATGATAAGTGAACGCAATAAAAATTGCCATGAGTACGACTGACGAGGACATATCAATTCGCGTTTGATGATTCTTATTATGTTTAATAATTATCCAGCAGGAATAGAATTCATTGTTATTTTGCTTTGAGTTATTTAAAGAGAAAAGTAAGAAAGAAGGGAATTTAGGGTTTATTTGATTGTGGTTATAATTCAACCAAAGCCGGTTTGAAGAGGCAATGGAAAAATAAGACATTTAAAGGTCTATTTAAATTTGAAATGAATTAATATTTCTTCTGACATAATATGGCATTTGAAAAAATATATTTAACATACCTTTCCAGAAAAAAAAAAGTTATGTGCTTTTGCTTTCATCTAGCACATGGAAAGTGGGAAAACCTGTTGCTTCCAATCAAACAATGAAAAAAAGTCAAAGAGAACTATCAAAGTATAACTTTTCTCAAGTCCATCAGATAGCTGATATTGTAGAGCAACCACTTAGCCAAAATTAAAACACACACACACACACGTGGGAGAAAGTGATTGGTAACATATAAATGTGTAAGAGTGATTCAGTCAAAATCAGAAAACCAACAAAAAAGAGTGAAAAGAGATAAGATAATCAATAGAACTGGACTCATAGATCACCTGAGTGTTAGATTTACTGGGTAACTGCTTTAAAATAACTATGTGAAACCTGTTGACAATCTAGTAAAAAAGGTGGAGAACATAGATTAAAAGATGGGGAACTTTAGCAGAGAGATAAAATCTATAAGAAAAATTAAAATGGAAACGCTAAAAGTGAAAACATAATGCAAGAATTGAAGAATTCCGTCAATGGATACATAAGTACTCGGACTTCATCTAGCTAAGGAAAAAAATAAAATGTATGCTTGTAAAAATGACTGAAACTGAAACACGGAAATAAATGAAGGTAAAATTTAAAAAATAAATAAAAAAGCAGAGCATTAAGAGGCATGGGACACCATCAAATGACTATTATGAATGTCCTTCAGTCCCGCAGAAAGAACTGATGGAGAACAGAACAAATGCACGCATGCATGTATAGATGTATATAATATATGCACAGATAGATATAATGACTGAGAATTTTAGAAAATTAAGGAAAGAAAGCACACTATAGATCCAAGAAGCTCGAAAAACCAATAAGCAGAATAAATAACAAAATAAACACAAAATAAACACAGATCGAAGAGTACAGGTACACACTGAGATACATCTCAGTCACACTGATGAAAACCAAAAGAGAAAATCCTTCAGGTAGCCAGAGAAAAAAGAAAAGTCGACACATTATACAGGAATGAAAACAACAACAACAAAAGAATTACAGCAAAATTCTTATCAGAAATCATACAAGCCAGAATATTCAGTCACATCTTTCAAGTACTAAAAGAAAGCAAAAACTATACACCAGTAATTCTATTCTCAGAGAAAATATTATTTTTTTAAATAAGGATAAAATAGTTTTCAGACAAAACTAAAGCTGATTTATTGCTAGCACACTTGTACTATGAGAAATGTCAGAGGATGTCCTTCAGGCAGAAGGAATATGATATGGGACATAAACTTAGATTTATACAAAGAAAGAGTGTCAAAAATGGTAAAAATGAGTATAAATATAAAAGCCTTTTAAAATTATTTTTCATCATTCTAAAAATTATGAATGATTATGGCAATATTTTAAAATAAAATTTCAGGTATTTTGCTTTTCCAGATGAATAATTTTCTTAAACCCAATAATAATTTCAGTAAGGTTTTTAAAATTTAACAGTTAAGTGTGTATCTTCTGGAAAAATATACAAAAATTGAATAGTGGTAGTTATCTGTAAGGAGGGGGAGAATGAGAGGGAGACATTTCAATAAATATACTCTTATTTTTTGAATTTTTAGATATTAAAATAAAAAATCAACACAATTAAAAAATTAAATACAGTGATATATACAATTTAAAGATGGAATTGTAACATATAAGTAGAACAATGATCTCAATTGGAAGATTCAAAGCAATCACCATAAGAATTTTACCTGAAATATTATGAAGAACTCAACAAACTATAGAATATTAACAAAGAATAATTTATAGATTGTGAATAATTAAGTAAATTCTGACTAAAGATTGCAACGAGTGGGAATTTACCAAACAGATTTTAAGACATACTGCAAACGCACAGTATTAAAGAGTATAGAATGATGAGTGAGGGAGAAACCCAGCTAACTCAGACATAGGTCTTTATATAGATGAAAATTAGATACATATCAGAGATTGGGCACAGCAACGGGCAAAATACGGGATGCTTGATAAATTGTCTTGAAAAAATCCAGTTATGACACTGAGAAAAGTAAAATTCGATCCTGATCATAGACTCTTGTTGTATTAATAATCCACATGTGAGAGGAGAATTATAAATTGAATAAAAGGGCAAATAGGAAAATACTTTGTAAACCACAATTGAGAAAATATTTATTAAACAAGAACTAAAAGAGATAACTCATAAGATTGGAAAAAATCAATATTTCAAAATTAAGCATTCTTTTCAACAAAATTTAACAGATATGAAAATACTAGCTATTTTGATAAACAAAAATTAACAGATTACCGTAGTAGAAAGTTATTTTAAAATATTAAAACCAATGAGTGATTTTTAATATATAAATCATATATATACTTGTAATATATAAACATATAACACATATCTGTGGTATTAAAACTTCGTGGATGGGCCGGTTATGGTGGGTCACGCCTATAATCCCAGGAATTGGGAGGCCGAGGTGGGCGGATCACCTGAGGTCAGGAGTTCAAGACCATCCTGGCCAACTTGGTGAAACTCCGTCTCTACTAAAAATACAAAAATTAGCCGGGCATAGTGGTACATGCCTGTAGTCCCAGCTACTTCGGAGGCTGAGGTCGGAGAATCGCTTGAACCCGGGGGGGCAAAGGTTGCAGTGAGCAGAGTTCACGCCACTGCACTCCAGCTTGGGTAACAGAGTGAGACACCTTGTCAAAAAAAAACAAAAAAAAAAAAAAAACAAAAAAAAAAACCCTTTATGGATCAAAATTCTTAGGAAAAAAAAGTCTCTGAAAGCTTCACAGAAAGGGTGATACAGAAAAAAAAATTAACACTGGATTACAGAACATACAAAGAATTCTCATAAATCAACAAGGTCGCAAAAAAGCCAGAAAATTAATAGATAATTAGGCAAAGCGTATTTATAGGTAGTTCACAGAAAAGGAGTTTAAATGTTCAAGCTTGTTTGCAATAAAAAATGCTAATTTAACCATGTTACATTCATTAGAAAGGCAAGCTATTGAGAGAAAAGGGAATTCATTATACTCTGGTAAGAATATCCATCTGTATAGTCATTCTGCAGAAAAGTCTCACACTATTCATTTAACCTGAATATGTTTAGGTCCAGGATTTCCATTCCAAGATCTATTTCCTAACAAAGTTCTCCAAAAGTTGATGAATGCACCTCCACAAAGTCTACATCACGTTATTATTTTTTAGTGGAGGAATTCGTAGCAAACTAAACATCTAATACAATTTTACTTATTGGCATAAATAAAATGCAGTGGATGTATACTATGGAAAAATCGGCAGCAGGTAGAAGCAAGTAAATGAAGTGAACATACACAGTCAGATGGATGAGTTTCAAACGCAGTTTTAACTTTAAAATTGTAAGATGCTGAACAACATGTATGGCCAATAACATGTAGGTAAATTTAAAACATATACTCACATTAAACAATTTTTTTTTTTTTTTTTTAAGACAGAGTCTCACTCTGTCGCCCAGGCTGGAGTGCAGTGGCACGATCTCGGCTCAGTGCAAGCTCCACCTCCAGGGTTCAAGCCATTCTCCTGCCTGAGCCTCCCGAGTAGCTGGGACTACAGGTGCCCGCCACCATGCCTGGCTAATTTTTTTTTGTATTTTTTTTACTAGAGACGGAGTTCCACCGTGTTAGCCAGGATGGTCTCGATCTCCTGACCTTGTGATCTGCCTGCCTCGGCCTCCCAAAGTGCTGGGATTACAGGCGTGAGCCACTGCGTCTGGCCAACGATTCTACATTCTTAATATGAGTGCAAGCGCATTAAATTGGGTTCCAATGGGGAAAAAGAAATAGAAGTAATGATCAGGAATGTGGAGATAAAATTTTAAAGGCGCTTTTTGACTCGTATCATACTCTATTTTCTTCATTTCCATAACAACTATCATCTAAAATCATATTTATTTTACTTGCTTATTATTTAATATCTGTCTCTTTCTTTTAGAATGTAAGACACATAAAGACAGGGCTTTTCTGTTGTTGTTCAAGGTGTCTCAAACACAAATATATTTTACATTACCACAGGGCATGACACATTATTAGGTGATAAAAATTACTTGATTAATTATCAGTAAATGAGCAATGATAATTTACCATAATTTGCTTTACCAGATTGCTTCCCCTAGGTTGGCTCAGTGGAAACAGTATGCCTCTCCTTGGTGGACAGCTTCTTGAGCCGAACATATGGTGAAGCACGGCTTCTATGCTTCCTGTAATTCCGAAAGGGTTGCCAAAATACAGATCTGTGCCAAGAAACCTCTGGCTTCCTAACCTTGACAAGCCTTTTTGAGGCACTTAGCCAGTCGTCTTTATATTCATCTTTGTCACTGAACAGATCCACAAGGACCAAACAACACCCATATTTTCCATATGGATGTAATATTGCAACACATTGTCTTTAAGCTAAAATAGCATTTTTAGGGCACAATTATTTATGTGCTAGTTATGGATGCTATACAAATTATTTGTCAGTAAGTCATCAAAAATCTCTTATATATTCAAATGTGGGTACATAGATACATATATTGTTGTTGTGGTGGTGGTGGTGTGTGTGTGTGTGTGTGTGTGTGTGTGTGTGTGTGTGTTGGCATAAACTAATTGCAATTCTCTTATTTATGATCACAGAAAAGTGACTTTTCTTCCCTCCTGAGGTAAGTTTCTTTCTTCCCTCAGGATAAGAATCAACACTTCCAGTTGCATTGTGTATTATTAGAGGTTATGCAAGAATCCAGAAGTCAGATCAAGGCTTTCCTATGATTAGTTTTTGTTTTGTATTTGATGCTATCTGTTAAGGTCTCAGAGCAAAAGGTCCTAAAAATTAAAAAAATAAAATAAAATAAAAGCTTAATGAAGCAAGGAGGACAATATTTCACTTCTTGATTATAGCTTTCTATTTATAATGCTTTTCTGTTTTACATTCAGCTTCCTCACAAATCAAGCCTGATAATGATTCATGTGCTAAACACTGTTCTGACGAAGATGATTTCTGTATAGTTCTAAAGTTTTCTGTATGGAAAAACAAGGTGATGTGGCGGAAATCTGGAATACATGCCTGCCTAAAATCAATGGAATATTCTATATTTTAATAGATTCCCTTTAGTGTAAATCAAATACTTAAATATGTTATACCAAAAAAAAAAAAAAACTTTATTACTGGGACTCATTTGTCGCTAGGGTACAGATAGGTGATTTGGATGCAAATCAAATGTACCGATGCTAGACTTTGATTCAGAATGGATTACACTGGGAAAGAGGACCTTGATTTTGCTAGTGCTGGTAGCAGCAGAGGTAGCCCCATTCTGGGCAGAGTTCATGGTGGCAGTAGCAGCCTCCTTGCTAAGGGGACTTAGAATAGTTCCACAGCATTTCTGCCAGAGTTCTTGGAATCTTAGTGCAGAGTCAACACTGCTGCCTTTCCAAAGAATCTCTAAACTATGGAATAAATACACTATAGTAAAATGTCATTCCAAAAGATGGGAAAAACAGAACAAACACTCTGTATGTAAAAGTATGCAAAGTCAAACACCAAAAGCTGGCAAGTATTTTGTAAAGTCCTTTATTACAACCAACAATAAAATACAGGCAAAGCACTTAGTACCAGCTACACCGTAAGCCCTATGTATAGAGCCATTAGGCAGCTATTTCTTTAAATATGTTTCACATGGGAACCAAAACGTACACTCACATACAAATACAAATTGAATATCATGAAATGACACTTACACTCTCTCTACTTCAATTCTGTTTAAGTTAAAAAATAAATAACTGCAACATACTTACGTGATTTCACAACTAATGTGATCAACAATTTGAAAAATACTGTCATAGAATGTCCACGCATAATTTCAATTTCTTAATTGATGCCTAATTGAGCATTACTGAAAACTAGGATATTGGAGTAACAACTCTAATCTTTGGAGGGTAATGACACAGGTAGCAGTTCACCGATTTATTCATTAATTTATAGTATCATTCTCTTCCCAGCAATTACTCTCTAGTGCCCTCTTAGAGACATAACTAAGGCTTGATTTAGTATGCCTATTCCTTTGTCAACCTGTAATTGAAGATCAGATATCGAAGTAAAACAAAAAAATTGAGAAGCAGTAGCAGTGATTGGAAAAATGACTTTTTAATTGTTTTATTCATACTGTTTTTTCTCATTTTAAAAAATCATGATTATTACAAAAAATTTTAAATATAAGTGAATAAAAATAATAAAATAGCATTCATTAATAATTAAACTGCAAACTAAAGATTATTACATGGAGTAGTCTGAGTCTGATCATGAGAAAGAAACCACACAGTGATTTTGTTAGGGGACATTTAATACAAAAATTATTAAATCATGAAAAAAGATTATAGAATATAAGAAAACTTTTCTATCTCTGGTACTCTAGGACTGGGAAAAAGTAGCCACAGAAGGACAAATTTGGAAAGAGACTCCCTTCTCAAGGCTGGGGTTCAGACCTTATTGGAGAAGATGTAGTTGTAACCCACAGGATGACAGAGAAATTTATCGGTGTGCCAGACTGGACATGGTCTGTAGTCATGAGGCAAGTAGTAAGCAACATTCAGAGTGCAGATTGGACGCAGGTGAGCCACAACTGGTAGGTGGGTGTATGGGTACACAGAGTGACTTTGGGCCCCGTGGCTACCTTCTGGAATACAAGTGATGTCAGGCAAGCTATAGCTAGTGGAGGTGCACATGGGCATTTACACTTAATGGGAGTAGGGGAACAGGCACAGCAGGTGAATTGATACAATATCCCTGCTGGGAGGACCACAGTGTCCTGAAGACCTTGGGACACAAACCTGGGGCAGCAGAGAGAATTAGGGTGCTGCTGCTGCTGTCTCTCGGAGGCCTGGAATACCCAGTGTCCATGTCAGGAGGACAGTGCATTCTGGGAGCATGGCTGGGCAAGCATCATCAGTGTCCTCACTCTCACACTCCTGACCAACCATGCACACCCAAAAACCAAAGGGGAGTGCCTTCTTCCTGCAATGTGCCCTACAGCTGGATACTGAGGAAGATTAACATCATGCTCACTATAAAGGAGAGATGCTTAAAGGAATTTCATTATCACACAGCATATATTAAGGGTTTAAATATGTTTCACATGGCAACCAAGACATATACCCACATGCAAATACAAACTGAAAAGTTAAATATCATGAAATAACACTTATGCTTTCTCTACTTCAATTCTGTGGGTTACAACCAGTGGGTTACAACTACGTCTTCTCCAATAAGGTCTGAACCCCAGCCTTGAGAAGGGAGTCTCTTTCCAAATTTGTCCTCTTGTGCGTACTTTTCCCCAGTCCTAGAGTACCAGAGATAGAAAAGTTTTCTTATATTCTATAATCACTCTTTTTTCATGATTTTATAATTTTTGTATTTGCAATCCTTAATAATTAACAATACACAATACAGTTAAGTTTTTTTTAGACCTCTCCATTCTTTGAACTGTAGCCATTACTACTCTGCCAGATATGCTGTTTTAAATTATTTTATTTACAACATGCTGGGGCCATGCCATATAATCTTTGGGAAAGATTCTTTTACAGAAAGTAGTCAAATATTGAAACAAATGATGTGCTAGTGATACAGATGATGGTCAAAATGATATCTACATTTAAAGACTTATTCATAATCCAAACAACTGATTTATAATAAAAGGAACTTTAAATACTTATTGTATTGGAGATTCTATAGATACACCACCTTTCATTATTTTATGAAACAATTATATTTTTAAAATATTATGTCCACATGGCATAAATATAAGTGATATTAGAAAAATTGATAAGATATTATCATTTATAATAACAGTTTTTTGATTATGAAAAACATTTATAAATAATATTTTATATTATTAATGAGTTATCATATTTGAAAGAACACTATTGTACAATTCAAACTTTATTCTCCCTCTCCTAAACACTGGGTCAGAACAAGGAAATAATTGTTTCTAACCATGAAAACTAATGTATAGGTAGAGTTGAAAACTCTGAAAATAACTAAAGAAAATTCATTTTACTCATTGGAAGACTACTTAATTTGGTTTGGGGAATAAGGAGGACAGCTACAGGCACCCAGGAATTTTGTAATTCAAAAATCTCTCTTCTACACTTTTCACTAATTAAAACTGTATTCATTAAGCAAAATTTACAAAGAATGATTATTAACTGTTAGCTGGTTGGGGAGAACAAGCCTTCTTTTACACTGCTGAGATATAAAAATTGGTACAAAGTTCTGTAGAACGCTCCAGAATGCCGAAAGTTTTAAAATGTTGTATTTCTTCTGATCCAAAAATTCCACATCTAGGAAATAACTGGACAATAGTAAAAGGTGTAAACATCACTTTTGCATTGTAGTATTAGTATAATAGTGATGAAGTGAGATAGACTAAGTGTCTATCAACAGGAAATTAAATAAATTATAGGTTATTGATATAATGGAATACTATGTATTTATTGAAGTAATATTGTAGAATATTTTTAGGTGATATGACATGTGATTAAGAACTATAATTATAAAGTAATATCACTGCTGTAAGTAAAATGTATGCATGTGTAAACCCAAAAGCCTCAAAGCATAATCTCTAAATGATTAACAATAGTTATCTCCCACAGGTGGGGCAATGAGAGGCTTGTATTGTTTTCTTAATATGTGCATATATTACCTAAATTTTTAGGTTGAATATAAGTTACTTTTATAATAAACAAAAGACAAATTTATGTTAAGGAAGAAGGCATTCAACTGGGTTAACACATTTACTTTTTAAAATTTATCACTTAGAAAATAATTAATTCACTTTTGTGATTGAAATACTCTCTAGAGTTACTATACAATGGATATAGAGTTTCAATAATACAAGATGAACAAGTTCTGAGATCTACTGTACAATGGGCATATAGTTAACTGTACTGTACACTTAAAATATGTTAATAGTGTAGATTTCATATTTTTTTTTTACTGTAATTAAAAGATACTCTCTAGAATTCTGAATATTTAAACTGGCCCCTATTTCCTGAACAGGAATAACTTTTAGCTGAATTCAGTCTCAGAGATGTGAGAGTAATTCAGGAAAGTAGCTAGTGTATAAGAGAGAAGATGAAAAAAGGGAAATCGAGAGAGCTTGACTGGGGAGGAAGTTATATAGCAATAATCAAGCAGAGATTAGACTGTAACTCAATAGAATTATGTTTTTTGAACTCCAACCAACAACCTTTTCTCTGGGTAGGCTGACTATTAATAGAAATAATAAACATGGGTAGTGAATCTCCAACCCAGTTTTTACATATATGATTAGTACTTACATATTAACATCAAATAATAATTTCATAGATTAGAATTTGTGATGCTGTGTTGTCCATTTTCACACTGCTGATAAGACATGCCGGAGACTGGGCAATTTACAGAAGAAAGAGGTTTAATGGACTTACAGTTCCACATGGCTGGGGAGGCGTTGCAATCATGGTAGAAGGCAAGGAGGAGCAAGTCACGTCTAACATGGAAGGCAGCAGGCAAAGAGAAGGCTTATGCAGAGAAACTCCTGTTTCTAAAACCATCCAATCTCATGAGACCAATTCACTATCACGAGAACAGCACGGGAAAGACCTGCCCCGACAACATGTGGGAATTATGGGAGCTACGAGATGAGATTTGGGTGGGGATGTTAGCCAAACCATATCTAATGCTAAAGTAATTATACCTATCACTTCTTAATAAAGATTCATTACCAAAAGTAATTCCTTCAGTTATGCAACTTTGGTTTACCTTAAAGATTTAATATGTATCTCAAAATAGTATTTAATTGTTCATACTCAGTTTACCTAGCAGCATAGTAATGTATGGAATAAATTCTTTCTTATATGACTTTTTCAGTATGCTAGTTGCAAATTGGATGAAGACAACTAGTTCATTTAAACTCTTTGTTTTTTTACATTTTTGCAGAAGGAATGTTATTTACTATTACAAGTAATAAAATACTATCAGGCAGGTTTAGGGTAATATTAAGCTGACATATTTGCCGTAACAGCAGTTTCATTATAATCGAGTCAAAACATTTCTTCTAAGAGATATCAATAACAAAGAATTTATGCACTTGTCTGCTTTTAAACAGGTGTCTGAAAATACAAGAATATTTATTTGGGAGTGTTTGATAGCTAAATTTATCATAACTCTTATTTCAAGAGTAAATTGCTTGTATTGATTATGCAAACATAATGATTAAATTCTGCTACAAAACACATAATTATTTATTGAACATCAATATGATAAAGCAAAACTTTTCAAAAATATTTTTGCACATATTGATCAGTTTTCAAAACATATTTTATGAAATTATGTTAGTTATTTTTAATTTCTTCTTGTCTGTTATTTAGTGTTTTGTTTTCTCTATCAGAAGTTCAGACTTGAAAACTGTTTATTATGAATGCCAACTTTCCAGTCTTTACTAAATTGATCAGTTCAAGAGTTCCTTGACCTCCAAGCATGCAGCTCAAACTGATTTCCTTGAAGACAACAGATGTTATTATCTATTAAATTAGATTTGGTATCTGTATTTTTAGGTTTACATTTTAAGGACATGCAGAACATAAGTCTCAAAGATAAAGTGCCAGACCTAAATCTGTCAACCATAAATGTATCATTAGTGCTGAATTTTAAATCTTTTTTTCTGCCTAGTAAAGTAAAATAGCCCAAATAATGTCAGTTCTTTTTATTTTATTAAAAAACCCCAGAGTAATTTTTAATAACAAGTGCTGTTACATATCTAGGTATAGTAGAGCTCAGTATATAAAAACTCTAAAAAGTGTATTAAGTAATTTTTAAGATACATACATTTATTTTCTTTGTTCTAAAAGGAAGGCTTTTATTTTCTTTTTATGGCCACACATTATATAAGGGATATCTTTTAATCTACTTCCATCAGGAAAAATAAACAATTGACCTTTGAAATCTAGAGAAATAAACAGAAAACCAAAATGAGACCAATTACCTTCTGGACCAATGACTGTACAACATATGTACTGTCAATGTCTCTCTCTCCCAAACATCAGAAGAGCCCTTAGTTTCACTGACCAAAAAAAAAAAAAAAAAAAAAAAAAAAAACCACAGACTTTACACAGTTGCACCCAAAGAGTTGCTCTGGGGAGGAGTTATGTCCTCTGCCAAAATTAAGAAGTTCATTTGTAGATTCTATATTTTTTTCATATTTCTTACATGTATCAACATAGAAAGGTGTTGATACAGACAGGAATCAGGGAAATACTGGGTAGAAGTGGATGTGGGTCCCTGGCGAGGGTCCATCCTCAAGTCTGGACCCACGGCCTTAAATGAGAGCATGCATTCCTGTTTTCCCACTTGAATGTTGCCTTTTCCAAAACCACCCTAGCCTTCTCTGCCCCCACATTCTGTACCCATAAAAACCCCAAGCTCCACTGGTAGAGGAGCAGAGCGGCAGAGAAGAAAAGAAGAGAAGAGAAGAAGCAGCTGGATGTTGGAGAGAAGCAGCCTGACTTCAGAGGGATGGCTTGATGGCAGGACTTTGGAGAAGAGTTCAGCCTGGGACAGCCGAACTCCATTATCTTCCCATTCCATCCCCCTTCTAGCTCCCCTTCTTGCCGAGAGCCACTTCCTCTGCTCACTAAAATCTTCCATATTCACCACCCTCCAATTTTTTCACACGACCTCATTCCTCCTGGACACTGGAAAAGGGCACAGGTGTGGGTGCAAGAGGCTGTCGCATTGACTCTCCACTGAACTGTTTAACATTTAAGCAATCCATGGATGGCAAAGCTAAAAGAGTGCACTGTGACACACACCCGCTGGGGCTCCAGGGGTCATGGGCAATGCCTAGGCACTGCCATGGGCCCCTACGGGGTTCGTTCTTGCTGGTGCCCAAAGTTGCTTGCCCCAGCTCCTGCACCTGCTCACCTGCATGCTCCCTGCACCCTCCCCGCTACCTCCACCACGCAAAGGGTTTGAGCACTGTGGGCTGAGAAAGCAAGCCACCCCTTCACAAGTCCCGCAAAGGGGTCAAGGGGACTATCCCATCTCAACTGGGGGCTCTCCCAGGATTCATCAGATGTGTGAGTAACATGGGGATCTGTCTCTCCTTGTCCTCGGACTTTCCTCTGAGCTATGCCACTTACAGGGGAGAGGATTCAACCATCTCTCTCTTTCTATGGATGAAAGGAATGTTGGTTCAGTTTCCCTTCACAGAGGTTTAGTCATTACGTGGGACCAGGACAAGGTCCTGGGGCAACTGAAGGTGTTGGCCAAGGTCCTCAGGTTTTCCTATGGTATCTTTCCTTTCTTCTCTCATGGTTTGAAATGCCTCCTATCTCTTCTTTCATAATGTTAAGTGTTTTGCTGCAAACTACTGAAATGTAACTAAGTACAATGTACGTTTGGCCCAGCCATCAGATGTGCAGTTCAGAACAATGTGATTTCTGTTTATGGAGGTGTCATTTTCACCCCAACAGCTGCAAGTCAGTGAGGGGGCTTGGCGGCTCCCCTCCTTACCACCTCCCCTCCCGGCTTTAGCACCTGGGTGTGCCCATTCCAGGCATGACTGTGCCCAGTGGCCAAGCAGAGCGGAAGTAAGCTGTGCACACTGCCCAGGTCCTAGGGAAATCTCAGAGGCCCAGGCCCCTACACAATCAGCTGGAAATGTAGCTTCTTCTTAGAAAATAGAAAGTAGTTTAGCCCTGGGCTGGGATGACTGTGAGGGGTGAGCTGCCCACCAACTCAGCCCTGTTGCATTGATTTTCTTAAAGTTTACTCTGGCAAAATGGCATTTGCTTACATTGGGCATTATTACAAATATCTCCATTAAATTTATTATCATGTTACCCTAAATACATTAGAGAGGATGTGCTCACCACATTAGATACTGTCCACTCTATGAGGGTCCTCAAGAGAGATATATTGTCTCAGTGTCAACATAGTTTTGTAAAATCAAAATGTAAAATCTTCTAGGGAAGATGAGTAAAATAGTCTTTTTTTTTTTTTTTAAGACAGAATTTCACTTTGCTGCCCAGGCTGCAGTGCAGTGGCGTGATCTCGGCTCACAACAACCTCTGCCTCCCAGGTTCAAGCAATTCTCCGGCCTCAGCCTCCTGAGTAGCTGAGATTACAGGCACCCACCACCACACTCGGCTAATTTTGTACTTTTAGTAGAAACGGGGTTTCACCATGTTGGTCAGGCTGATCCTGAACTCCTGACCTCATGTGATCTGTCTGCTTCGGCCTCCCAAAGTGCTGGTATTACAGGCATGAGCCACCATGCCCGGCTGAGTAAAATATTCTCATAAACTTGGGGATTGGAAAAATTTCTTATACAGAACACAAATAGCACTAACTCAAACAGAGAGTGAAAAAACAAACATTAAAATTCAGAGATTCTCTTTATCAAAATATACTTTTTTTTTTCTTTTTTTGAAATGGAGTTTTGTTCTTGTTGCCCAGGCTGGAGTGCAATGTTGTGATCTCAGCTCACTGCAACCACCGCCTCCCAGGTTCAAGCAATTCTCCTGCCTCAGCCTCCCGAGTAGCTGGGATTACAGGCATGAGCCACCACACCTAGCTAATTTTGTATTTTTAGTAGAGATGGGGTTTCTCCATGTTGGTCAGGCTGGTCTCGAACTCCTGAACTCAGGTGATCCACCTGCCTTGGCCTCCCGAAGTGTTGGGACTACAGGCATGAGCCACTGTGCCCGGCCCAGCCCAAAATATACTTTTAAAACAGTGCACAGTCAAGTCATAGAGAAAGAAAAGATAGGGATGATGTATATACCAAAGGTCTCATATTCACAAGATGAATAGAACTTCCACAAGTCATTGTCAAAAACCAGACAATTCCAATAACAAATGTGCGAGGGACTTCAACAGCACCACACACACACACACACACACACACACACACACACACGAGTTCCAAATGGCCATTAACATAAAGAAAAGGTGGTATACACATTCAGTAGAGTAATAATCAGCAATAAAAAGGAGTGAAGTACTGACACAATGCTACAACATAACGAACCTCAAAAACATTACGCTAAATGAAAGGAGTCAGTCATTATATGAAATGCCCAATATAGGCAAACCCATGAGAGTTAGAAAGTAGATTCGTGATTGTCTAGACCTGGAGGCTGTGGGCGGTAGAATGGACGAGACTGCTAATGGGTAAAAGTTTCTTTCTTGGAGTGATATTCTGGAATGAGATAGTGACAATGGTTGCATGACTGTGAATATACTGAAAACCACTGAATTGTGTGTTTTCAATGATTGAACTATATGTGATTTAAATTATATCTCAATAAAGCTACTAAAAGTTAGATGGAATGAAAATAAAAAGTTATAATAATAAAAATTCGTGGTAAAGAAAAATAACGTATTCTAGCTTATCAGTCATCATTGGAAACTAGTTCAACCATTGTGGAAGCCAGTGTGGCGATTCCTCAAGGATCTAGAACTAGAAATTCCATTTGACCCAGCCATCCCATTACTGGGCATATACTCAGAGGATTATAAATCATGCTGCTATAAAGACACATGCACATGTATGTTTATAGCAGCACTATTCACAATAGCAAAGACTTGGAACCAACCCAAATGTCCATCAATGATAGACTGGGTTAAGAAAATGTGGCACATATACACCATGGAATACTGCGCAGACATAAAAAAGGATGAGTTCATGTCCTTTGTAGGGACATGGATGAAGCTGGAAACCATCATTACGAGCAAACTATGGCAAGGACAGAAAACCAAACACTGCACGTTCTCACTCATTGGTGGGAGTTGAACCATGAGAACACATGGACACAGGGTGGGGAACATCACACACTGGGGCCTGCTGGGGGATGGGGAGAGGGGGGAGGGATAGCATTAGGAGATAAACCCAATGTAAATGACGAGTTAACGGGTGCAGCACACCAACATGGCACATGTATACATATGTTACAAACCTGCACGTTGTGCACATGTACCCTAGAACTTAAAGTAAAATAATAATAAAAAAATAAAATAAAATAAAAAGAATTTCAAAGTTAAAAAAAAACAGTTAGATGCCAATGTGAACTTTCATAAATAGTTGTTGGTTAAATACATACTTTAGAAAATTTAAAAGTATCAACTAAAGCTGAAAATCCTTTCCTTCTGGTCCAGCCTTTACATTCCCATGTGTATAATCACTAGTATGAGTTGGCAAAGATGTGGAGTAACTGGAATTCTCATATTCTCCTGGTGGGAGTATAAATTGGTCTAATTACTTTAGACATCATTTGGCTATATCTACTAAATATGGACATATGCATAAACAATGGCCTAGCAATTTCATTCTTAGGTACATATATTATCCTCTCCCTCCAAAGAGCAAACGATAAACATGTACATCAAAGTGCGTACAAGAATGTTCAAGGTCGTATGTTTTTTTGTAATAGGCACAAACTGGAAACAACACAAACATTCATTAGTAGTTAAAGGGATAAGTAGTGGTGAGATGATCTTATAATAAAATATTAAGCAGCAATGAAAATAGATGTGCTACAACCATGTATAACAATATGGATAAATTCTCTAATATAAAGTTGAGGATGCCAAAGTAGGAAAAATACATTTTACTTGATTCATTTTATATATAATTTAGAAACAAAAAATTGCTCTGTGACGCTGGAAGTAAGACTAACTTTGGAGAGGAAGCAGGGGTTTGTGATTAGCAGAGGTATCAGGGGCTAATATAACAAGAGTGATATTTACTCCTTGACTGAAATACTAATTACATGCGTCTGGTCACTTTTGTGAATATTTAATGAGTTAGACATCTGTGATTTTTTGCAATTTTTCTGTTATACTTGAATTAAGAAATAAAACAGAATCTGCTTTTCTCCACCAATGAGATTTTTAAAAATCATACAGACACAGTGAATCATGTTAACTGATCATGGTGATCATGGCAAAGAAAACTTAGAGCTAGATGTATAAACCATCTTTTAGAGTACTACTACTGCTACTTGTAAATATGTATAATACGTACTAGACATGATTCTAAATCATGTGTACTCATTTAATACAACAATTTTTTGAGTGGGGGACAATTTATCCCCATTGTACAAATAAGAAAACTGAGATACAGAAAGATTAATTTAACTGCCTCAGATGATAGCTAGTAAGTAAAGTCAGAGCTTGAAACCAGGAAGTCTGGCTCTAAAGTCTTTGTCCATAACCACGGACCTAATCTGTTGCTCTAGCAGGGATTTGGGATTTTATTACACACATTTTGAGAGCTCACCCTCTTGGATGCTTCCTTTCTATATCCTTCCTTTTTCCTCATTTGTTCCATCTTTTGAAAATACTTTTATCTTATGGATATTAAATTTGTAAGATAGTTTCTTTAAAAAAGATAACATTCAGCACCAATGTACTTTATTACTTAAACTTCACTTACCTCTCTAGAATAATTTATGTTTATCTCTTCTCCCATACTGTATATTAAAATTCAGAACTGACGTCTTATCTGTTTGTTTATCTCCCTCCCTAGGATATTGTCTGGTACATCATAGATGCCCAATAAATGACTGTTTTGAACTCAGCTGTTATAACACAATCTGTTAAAGGACAAAGAACAGTGTCCTTTGTCAAAAAGAACAAAACCTAAAAGCATAAAAGAAAAAACAAACAGAAAATTACAAA
The DNA here is from genome assembly GCF_000001405.40 of Homo sapiens. Taxonomy (NCBI): domain Eukaryota; kingdom Metazoa; phylum Chordata; class Mammalia; order Primates; family Hominidae; genus Homo; species Homo sapiens. The sequence goes on from NC_000009.12 coordinate 9,994,632, forward strand.
AGTAAAAGAGAGAAAGTGGGGATATATATGAAATGTCGAGTTTATACTCAATAAAGACCATGTGCATCTTAAACAATCACAAAACATATTTACAATTGAACAAATGTTTAGCTAAAATATTTATCAATTGTATTACATTTTAATTTTAGAAGGCAAACAATAACTTTTTGTTTTACTAATGATGAAAACTTCTTGCTTTGTCTAAAATATTTTTAGGTGAGAGTAGTTAAGTCTCCAAATAGCATATTATATATAATGTTAATATTGGATACTGCATCCATGTTTTTAAAATAAAACTATATTCACTGTATTTTAAATTAATATTCCTTTAGTACATTTAAAATTTAAAAGCTTAAAAACAGGTACATTTACATATATAAGCAAAATGAGTTTATTAAGTTTAAGCTTATTTTTGTAAACTGAATTTAGATTTTTATGAATTAATCTAATCTCTTTACTATGTAGAAACATACAATTAAAGGGAAAAATATTATTCTGGCTACTTTTTGCCTAAGGCTATCATTCTATTTTCTAATACCAAAAGCTAAAGGCCTCCAGAAAAATTTAAAGACCATGGAGCTATTGGTTTGGCAGCATACTTCACTTTTCTTTAGGTAAAATAGGGCTTTTATAGCATTCTCTAAGGTATTCTGTCTTCCCAATATTTGCAGATGGTGAAACTAAAAAGAGAACAATCAAACAAAAACAAGGCCCCCAACAGTTGTAAAGGTAAGCTATAAATTACAAAGTTTATAGCTTTGTCATGCTAATTCATGAGGTGTACATGTCCTGTGGAGATATTAAAAATGGTCTAAGAGATAAAAGTTTATAAATCTCCCTCACGGACATATGTGCTACTTTTACTTGCCTCTTCAGATCCATTCTCCCTTTTCTCCACCCCACTCTGTATCCTGAGATTGCTGGGCAGTAGCTTGGCAGTGGCCACTTTAGTCAGATTGCCTTTTCCTAAACCTCCTGGTTCAAGGAGCTGTTTCCTCCTGTTTTGCTCTTAGGCCTTAGAAGTAACTCCCTGCTGTTTCCACGTCTGAATGATTCTCTTTTACTCTACCTACTTCCTATTACCCAATTACAGTGTATTGTGTTTCTTGTTGGGACCCTGTCAGACATGTTTATTGTTGCTATTTATTTGATACTTTTCTGCCCCCAGATTATATTCTTATATTTTTAGGTGGTAAAATGCTCTGTAAACCCACAATTCAATCCCCTATTACTCAGTTACTGTTAATTTACATTCCACTTGAACATTATCAGTGACTGGGAGCTCACTACTTCCCCTTCCCAAAACAATCCATTTATTTCTACCAGATCTTAATTGTATAAATTTCTTTTTTCTTTTATTCTACTGTACCATAATATTTTGCCATTTCATTTTTACCTACATTTCCAGCTCGAGTCTCATTTTTTCCAGATATTTCCCTTTCCTTCATTTGAAATTCATGACACATGTATTAAATCATTTAAAAATATTATCTTTCTACTGTGATTATATGTCATAGAATGTATTGCCCAGAAATAAATGAAGGACTGATATCCTTATATTGGTCTGATATCCTACTATGGTGTTAGTTCATAACTTAAGTTGGGAGTTACTCCAGTAAATGAAGAGAGTTTTCATATCTAATAATTATTAATTAAATTGATTCAAAAGCCTCTCAGAAGACAAAATAGTAATTTGTTACACAATATTACCATAGTGAATTAGGATATTAAATAAATAAGATAAGCTCTCAGTATGGGAGAGGCTGATAAAATAAAAGAAAACAAAACACTGGCAAATGAGATGTCCATAGAGAGCTCTGAGAGAATGTAAACATGCCTGGAATCAGGAAGACTTATGCCTGGGCAAGGTGGTGTGAATGCCCAGGACTGACCTGAGGGTCCCTAATCTCTTACTTCTAGCTGACCTTGAGCCTTTGTGAAAGCAGAAAGTGAAGCTGAGGAAAATATGTAAACTGCCTTGCTAAGTATTGAAGTTGTGCTGTATTAAAACACAGAGGCCTTCTGCAAAGGTTGGGAGACCTATTAATTCAAAGCATTTAAGGTAATTATTGTCTAATTATTAGCTGACCACTATAAGGTCCTCAGAAGTGATTTCAGTGGCTTCATACGGCAAGGAATACAGACTTTACAGAATTCATCCAGGAAGGTTACTAAAGAAAATAATATTAAGAAGAACAACAAGACAACCTTCAACAACAAACCCTGAGAGAAAGAAGAGCTGATTTTCAGAGTTGGCATATTTATATTAGATTAAATATCCAGTTATCAAAAACATACATTTGGAAACATTTAACAAACCAGGAAGTATGGCCTGTATACAGGAAAAAGAGCAGTCAGTAGAAACTATCTTTGAAGAAGCCCAGGCATTGAATTTACTAGACAAACACTTCAAATTAGCTATTGTAAACATAATCCAAGACCTAAAGAAAACAATGTCCAAATAATTAAGGAAAACCTAAGAATAATATCTTGCCAAATAGAGAATCTCAATAAATAGTTAGAAATTATAAAAGTGAGTCAAGTAGCTATTCTAAAATTGAAAGCAAAATAACTGAAATTAAAAAGATATTCACTAGGGAGACTTAACATTTGAAATGGCAGAAGAAAGAATCAGCAAACTTGAAGATAAGCAATTTTTTTTTTTTTTTTTGAGACAGAGTTTCACTCTTGTTGCCCAGTCTGGAGTGCAATGATGCAATCTTAGCTCACCGCAACCTCTGCCTCCTGGGTTCAAGCGATTCTCCTGCCTCAACCTCCCGAGTAGCTGGGATTACAGACAGGCATGTGCCATGATGCCCAGCTAATTTTGTATTTTTAGTAGAGATGGGGTTTTTCCAAGTTGGTCAGGCTGGTCTTGAACTCCCACCCTCAGGTGGTCTGCCCACCTCAGCCTCCCAAAGTGCTGTGATTACAGGCGTGAGCCACCGTGCCTGGCCAACATGCAATTTTAATAAAGGAATTATTAAGAAATAATTTTAGGCAGATAGAGAGAGTAAAAAGAGTTCTTGGTAAGGCTTTTTCTTTTAATAGAAACAGCTCCTGAAACGTTTTTTTCTAGCAGAAAGGCAGCTTGAAAAGCCAGGCTGGCAAGTATTGATATGCTAATGTGGGTGATTAGAAAGTAGGTGCACCCAACATGGCCAACATGGCAATTCCCACCCTCTTCTCCTTGTCACCACATATGCCAGGCATCATGGCCACCCCCAGATAGCTCCACATGTGCAGGACTACATGACAGCTATAATTTGCATATTTAAAAGGCTAGGATGGGAGGGCCAGGTTTTTCACAGGCTACATGAATGACACACCTGGTGATACCAATCGCCTGGGCCATATGCAAATCAGACACCTTCTCCTCCAGCCTCTCAATATTACCAACCACTTTTCTGCCCCACACAGAGTTTCTTTCTTGGAACACAAACCTGCACGCTGTGCACATGTACCCTAGAACTTAAAGTATAATAAAAAAAAAAAAAAATATATATATATATATAAAAGAAGAAGAAGAAGGAATGCCCAGGCAGCAAGATGAAGCCACCTCGACCCTGTCCAGCCTGTGGTGAAGACCACTGGAGACAGAACTGCCCTCGGAGGTGGAGGTCACTGGGTGGAGTCTCACAGATGGTCCAGCAGGATTGATGGGTCCCGGGGCTCAAACCGTGGGTCCAGCAGCTCAAACTGCCATTATAGCACAGGAGCCCCAGGTGATTCTGGAAATTGAAGGAAAAAAAGTAGACCTCCTTCTAAGCACTACAGCCAGTCTCTCTTTTCTCCTCTCTAATCCAGGCCTCTCCCCTTCCCATAGCATGACCTTAAGGGGCATCTCAAGAAAAACTCTAATCCAATATTTTTCTCAACCTTAGTTGACACATACTTCCCAGACATTATCATGATAGCTCTACTAGTCAAAAAAAAAAAATCCCTCCAAATTAACCCTAGGACGTAATTTAGCTGTTTACACTCAACATAATGTGGCAGGATCACTGTCCTCTAGGGGAGCTCTAAGCTAACAAATAGCCAGGAAAGCAAGAAGTACACAAGGCAAGATAAGCAGTAGTTGCTCTAAATAACGTCTCTCTCCAGGCACAAGTGCTCAATTAGCTGAGCTAATAGCTCTAACAAGACCACTTGAGATAAGCGAGGGAAAGGTAGCTAACATTTTTACTGACTCCAAGTACTCTTTCCTGATTCTCCATGCTCATGCTGCCATTTGGAAGAAAAGACATTTTCTTACCATCAATGGATCTCCAGGAAATATCACCAAGAAATTAACAGGTTATTATCCTCAGTTTTTTTTCCTTCTATAAGAAATAGCAGGGATGCATTGCAGGGGACATCGAAAGGAAACAGATGAGGTAGCCAAAGGAAATAGATTAGCTAATCAGGCAGCTAAGTCAGCAGCAAGGAAGCCTCAAGGCATTAGCACAACTAGCAAATGGCCAACCCCAGGAAATGAAACCACGTTTATTTAACCCAGGAGATCTGGTATTAGTGAAAACTCTCACTTCTGCTTTCTTCCCTACGCTCGGGCTGGGAAAGGCCCGACACTGTTCTTTTGACAGTTACAGGAATCATCTCCTGGATGCACCACACTCAAGTCAAAGCCTAAAAAGCTAAGGGAGCAACCCCTGAAAGCCCAGAGGAAAGTCCTGAATCTCAATGTGGAGAAATAGAAGACCTTAGGCTGAAAATCATGAAAGATAAGTAACTGGGGAAGGGCTGCTCATCTTACTCAGTCCCACTGCTACCTCACCAGACTTTTTATTATTTCTGCCCTTCCCTCTCAAAATTTGCCACCAAATATTAGAACTTCTTTTTAACACATATTTGCAGGGAGAATTTAATTATACATGGGATTGCATTTGTAACTTTGTAGCTTCCCAAAGAGAAATGTTGTCTTGGCAAGTAAAGTTTTAAATGGAAATTATTTACTACGTCACTCTCATGGGAATTGTTATAGTCACGCTACTATTTGCAATAGAACTATACACTATGACACCCACGATGTGGAATTCTGGTTGTAAAATTCTAATTGCTGTAATATTTTGCCTCATTATACTTAGAGCAGGATAAGTAGTTACAGGAAAGATTTCGTCAAGGTTGTTTTGCTTACAGCAGGAGTAATAGTTTTTACTATCATTAAGTTTGACGGGACTTTTTACCGAAGGTTGCTAATGTGATGCACTCTAAGCTATGAAAAGGTTATAGAGAAAGAGATTTTATATAAGGAAGGATCTTGTTTGGTAAATTCTTGTCCTAAAAGGAAATGACCGGTTGTTTAGAGAAAGAATGTTTAGGACAAGTCAGAAAGTTTAAGTCTGTTGTAAGAGGGTCTGTGAAAGTCATGAAAAAATTTAATAATTAAAGGAAAGGAATTGTCAAGATTAATGCCAAAGTTATTTAGCCACCGAATAATGTATCTCTCCCAATCATACTGCAAGTTATAAAAATTGCCTAAGCCTAAAGTTATTCTCCAATGGCAAGTCAAGGGGGAAATGTATGCTCTTCTCAAGGAAAATGTTGCTTTTATATTAATGTTTCTGGTAATGTACATAAACATCTAGTGGAGGCAAACTGGTGTTGCAATACATGGGTGTAACTAACAAGAGTCAAATTACACTGTTAGTTATAGTCTATAGGACCCCCACTAACAGTGATAATTTTAATACTCATAATCCAACCCTATATTTTTAACCTTCTTGTAAAATTTATCTCTTTTCACCTAGAAACGATCAAACTCAAAATGGTGCTGCAAACAGAGCCCCACATGGACAAGCCATTCTTCCAAGTACCCTTAAATCCACCTCAGGAGAAGACCCAACTGCTGTTCCCCGACATGACGCCCCTTTTCATCAGGAAGTAGCCAGAAATAATTGTCGTCCAACACCCACTAACAACAGTTAGGTTTACTTCTCTTGAGGGGGGAATAATACAGGAGTTATTAAGAAATAATTCTAGGCAGATATAGAGGGTAAAAGTTCTTGATAAGACTTTTTCTTTTAATAAAAACAGCTCCCGAAACATTTCTTTTCTAACAGAAAGGCGGTTTGGAAAGCCAGGCTGGCAAGTATTAACATGCTAATGCTGGTGATTAGAAACTAGGTCTAACCAACATGGCCAGCTTGGTGATTCTCACCCTTTTCTTGTCAGCACGTGTGCCAGGCATCATGGCCACCCCTAGCTATCTCCACGGGTGCAGGACATCTGGTGGCCTGCATTTGCATATTAAGAGCCTGGGGTGGGAGGGTCAGGTTTTTCTGGGCTATGTGAAATACACACCTGGTCAAACCAATCCACTGGGCCGTATGCAAATCAGACACTGCTTTCTCCAGCTTCCCAATATTACCGACCACTTTTTCGCAGCAGCACACAGGGTTTCTCTCTTGGGAACCCCGCTCCCTCTATCTCTGTAGCGGGGAGCTTTTTTTTCTTCTTTCTTGACTATTAAATTCTCCACTCCTTAAAACCACTCCACGTGTGTCTCTGTCATTTATCTAAATTGGCGTGAGACCAATGACCCTGGTGTTCCTCCAGTCACCGGATCTGTATCAATTTGACATCATCCATTCCGAAGAGCAGAAAGATAAAGAATAAAGAAAAATGAACCGAGCCCCCAAAACCTGTGGGATAAAGTATATCAGCACATATAAAATGAAACTCCTTGAAGAGGAGAGAAAAAGGGGTCCAAAAGAATATTTGAAGATATAATAGTCAAAAGTTTCCCAAATTTGGTAAGAAGACAATCTGTATATCCAAGAAGCTTAATAAATTATAAGGATAAACTGAAAGAGATCCACAAGTAGAAACATCATAGTCAAATTATCAGTAGACAAAGATAATCTTAAAAGCAGAAAGATAAGGAACTTATCACATACTTGTCACTGTCAATAAGATTAAAAGTTGACTTCTCTTCAGAAATCACTGAAGCCAGAGGCAATGGAATAACGTATTCAAAGCACTGAAGAAAAAGACTATCACATAAGAATTCTCTACCTAACAAAATTATTTTTTAAAACATAGGAGAAATAATAAAATAAATGGTTTAACACATAAAATTAATTAATGTAACTCACCATACTAATTAAGAGAAAAACTAAAGGAATTCGTCACTAGTACAGCTGCCCTATGAGAAATACTAACTGGAGAGTCCTTCAGGTTGAAATGAAAAGTCTCTAGACAGTAACTTGAGTCCACATGGAGGAATAAAGAGTACAGACAAACAAACAATATAGGGAAATATACAAGATAATGTAAATATATTTTTGTTTAAAACGCTTTTATACTCCTACCTGACTTAAGAGATAACTGCATGAATTTTATTAATGGGTTTAAAATTATAAAGATGTAATTTTTATAGCAATGTTAATACAAAAGGGAAGCTAAAGAAAGGAGCTACATTGGAGCAATGTTTCTGTAAACTATTGAAATTAAGTTGTATTAATCTGAACTAGATTGTTTTAAATTAAGCAGTTAATTGTAATCCCAAGCACAATAACTAAGAAAATAAGATTTTAAAAAATAGAATAAATAACATAGGAACCAAACTGGTATACTAAAAATGTTTATCACAAAAAAGAGCAATATTAAAGAAACATAGGAACAAAAAAAAGACACAAGACATACAAAAAAAGTAAAATGGCATGCATAAATGTTACTTTATAATTTGTCTTTAAATATAAATATATATATATATATTTATATAAAGAATTCCAATTTAAATGCTGAGGTTGGGAGAATAGATTAGTTTTTAAAAATCAACACTTAATCTACCTATATGTTGTCTAAAAAAGAAACACTAAATTCAAAGACACAAATCAGTTGAAAATAAAAGGATGATAAGATACATGTCATGAAAACTGTTACCAAAAGAAAACTAAAGTGTCTACAGCTACTATCAGACAAAATAGACTTAAACCTACAAAATTTTACTAGCACAAAAGAAGAATATTTTGTAATAATAAAATGGTCACTCTTTAAGGAAGACATAAGAACTGTAAACACATATGTACCTAATGACAGAGTCTCAAAATACTTGAAAAAAAAAACTTACAGAAACAAAGAGAGAAATAGAAAATTTAACAATATGTAGGTACTGTCATACTTCACTTTCAATAATAGATAAAATGAAAAAGTAGATGATAAAAAAAAAAGACTTCAATAACACTACGAAATAGACCTAATGAAAATCTGTAGAAGATATTTCATACACTAGCCGAATACACAATCTTCTCAAGTGCACATGGAACATTCTTCAGGATGTATCATTATTAATTATATCTTATAGTAAGCCTCAACATATTTAAAATAATTAAAAATTTAAATTTAAATGAAAGACCACCAACTAAAATGAGATAAAATTACAAATCAATTATAAGAGAAACAGTTAATAATTAATAATTACTTGGAAATAAAATAAAGGCACTATGAAAGAGGTGACATATCAAGTGTGTCTTAAAGGAAAGATAGTCTTCTGTTAGTCAAGGGACATAAGAAATGAGTTCCAGGCAGAAGGAAGAATAAAGCCAAATTATGGAATTGAAAGGATATGACACATCCACAGAATTACATGTAGTTATATGCCTAGAATACTGGATCTATGGAGATGATGAGGAATGAGGAAGTGAGATAAAGGTTAGAAAGGAAGACAAACTACTAAGATACTTAGATTTCATAAATAGATGATGCAGGACCACTGAATAATTTTTAAGCAATAAAACCATAGACTCAAAATTACATTTTAGAAGATAATTTGAAGTTGGGGGATATTAAGAAAAATGGGTTGGAGATGAATTAAGATTGAATATATATGAATCCAATTATAAGAACAATTGTGTGTTCTGAATTAGATTAAAAAGGGCCGAGATGGTATAAGAGATAGTGAAACTAAAGAAGAGAAAGTGCTATTATTAAAAGATAGAATCTCAACTTATTCCAATGATAAATCTTTTTATAAGAGATAAAGTTAATACTAAAATAACCCAATAAGATTAATATTGGGTTAATATTAATAACCCAATAAGGCTGATAAAACATATGACAACAATAAAACAATTTAATGATAATATAGCCATTTGTGAATACTATTTTAAGTACTTTATTTATAACAACTCATGTGGTCCTCACAACAGGCTTATTAAACAGGTACTATTATTTTCCCCAATTTGAATTAAATTTCAAATTCTAAATTTTTTTAATACCCTAATGGCCAAATTTTAAAAAGCCGACATACCCGATTTATTTGCTTACAGACCCTAATACAAATTATTCAAAATTAATTTTGAAATAAATATTGCCTTGCAAGATTAAGCTCTCTACAAATAAGAGGAAAAAAAGATTGGAATTGAGAAACTTCAAAGGTTATTTTATTTAACCCTGGTACACTAACAGTCTTCAAAAAATAATTTAATGGGTATTTATGGAGGAACTAATATTCATCAAATATTATACTCAGCATGTGGCTACAAAAAAGAAAAGAAATATATAGCCCCTGACATAGAAAGGTTTTAAGTTTGATGGAGAAAATGTGCCTAAATACATTAAAAAAAATTTAGGTTGTATATATTGGGTGTTGTTTTTCCAGAAGATAAAATTGTTAAGTATACCTGGAGAATAAAAGCAATCATTAGGCTATATTAAAGCCACATTTTGAATGATAAGAGGGAATTTGCCATGTGGAAACAAAGGAGAAAGTCATTTCAAAAAACTATTTATTGAGGAATTAAGCAAATTAATACATTTTATATTTAAATAATATTTGCAGAACCCCAATCCCCAAAATGTATATGTGTATGGCAGATAATTCACATCATTTTCTTTTCTTTTCACATAAAAATATGCAATCATTCATTACCCACCGGTCAAGAGAATAGGTATATAAGCAGAAAACAAAATATTTTTAAGCCACATATTATACAATAAATAATTAAATAATTTTAAGGTGCCATTTAGCTCTCTGATAAGTTTTACATTTTAACACACACACACACCGCACACACACACACAGTGTAAACATAACGTTTTTAGATAATTCTATTTTTAAAATACCAAATAGTGTCATAATTTTATAAACACCAAACTTTATAAAATCAATGGTTCCCAAGTACAACCTTTCAGTAAGCAAACTAAGTTTACAGTAGTGTATTCAATAAATAATGCAACTCAACAACTGAAAGTTGTCACACTGAGATTTAGTTCTGTTTAAAAGCAGATCAGGGTTTACTATTCACTCATTCCCTCGAAGGACTGGCTCTAGCAAATTTTTCCAAGTTGGTGTTTTCTAGCAGAGGGTCTTAAAATTAACTAACTCAAAAGTAGTCCAACTGTAAATGCTAGTTTCATGCCATGCTTAATACTAATGGAAAAACTTTACTTTTCTTAGCTTGATCATATTTCTTTGCAATGAAAAATAAATGCCTAAGTGTAAAACGTGGACACTATTTCCTATAAGATTTTTTTTTGTCTTTTATTTTTCAGCCCATTTAAAGGTCATTGTATAACCTTTGGGCGATTATAATAACTGTTACTGTCCTAGGGCAGCAGATAAGGCACAAAGCTAACCTTGGTGTTTCTAAAGCACACAACCAACAGCTTTTTAAAGTAAAAGAGACCTTAAAACATGCTACCACTCGATGATTCTGATACTAGGCTTTATTTCTGTATCATGATGGCTATTTCTTTTCGAGGCCAACAGATAAGACCAAGATTATCAAAAAGCAGTTGTAGGTTCTACTGTGCTCAGTTCCTGCGGACTGCTGCTTGGCTAAGTTGCAGCTCCCTCTCTCCTTGGCAGGAAGCCTGGACAAGTAGCAGAACATTGTCAAAATTATTATTGTTTCTGTTTTTTCTTTCTTTTTCAGATAGCTCAAAAATGGTTATCAGAAAGTCGAGAATTTAAGAGTGTGTCTTTATCTCCTTTCTTAATTCTTCCTAAAGAAATAGTAGAAATGTCTAGGGCAGAAATGCATAAGCAGATGGTTATGTGCCTTCATTAATCAAATGCAGCTTTTCCCTCACCTATCTTGTCCCTCTGGCATGACACTATAAAACCTTCTGGAAAGGTACCTCGTAATATATATTGATAAAATGAAAATATACATAGTCTTTAACCCAGTTATTGCCCTTAGAGAGACCCTCTCCTCATTTAACAATCTGAAATGCACACAAATTCATAAAGATATTTCATTATAGTATTAGATATAAAAGAACAAAATTGTACTAAAATATACAAAATTATGGTAAATGCTTAATTAAATAATCAGTCAAATGAGGAAATATTACAGGGCAATAAAATTAAAATTCTAAAATCTAAACTGAATTTCAAAAATGCTTATGACATAAGAACAAGGCAGGGCATGCAATTATAAACATATACACATATGTACATATGCAAATATATGATGGTATTATACAAAAAATGAGATGAGAATCAATAAAGAAATATTGCAGTTAATGATTTCCTATTGCTTTTCATTTTTAGATTTCAAAGTTTTTAAGAGAAGCACTAAAAATGTAAATAAGAGTAAAACCTGGAAAAATAATCATACAATTTAATCATTTTAATACATTGATGATTTACATCAGTTCCCTGCTAGTTATAGGATAACTCAACTACTTAGCATTTGATACAAGCCTTTGACAATGTGACTAGTCTGTGCAGCTCTAGTCCCATTATTACAATTTTTTCATTGATTTAATATATATAGCCACTTTGAAAATTATGCTATATGCTGATCCCACTTACTTAAAATTTATTTTTCCTTTATAGCTTTCTAATTATTTTATATTGGCAAACCGTTACTTATTCTTTATGATCTAGTCCATATATCCTCCCAATGTTAGAATAAGCTATATTTGGATCATATTCCCGTTTTACAGAATTCAGGGTATTAGCATTTCTGCAGAGTTGAGAGAATATGCATGAATATAATCAGAGTATAATTAATATTGTTTCTTCAAATAACTGAGCAGGGTGTGTCCCTATGTCAGGTATTATTTAGTTCCCTTTACATTGGACGAATAATCAGAGCCAATATTTTTACTTGATTAGGTAGGATTTCTTCTATGTTTCTTACCATTCATCCAGTATTGCTCCAGCCTATCAATGAAACACCAAAGAATGCTGGTCAAAGACTTACTACAATCTAGATATATTCTATTGACAACTTTCTTCCATTCCATTCTATCTACTGGTGTAATAACCTTATGAAAATATGGAACAAGGCTATTCTGACATTTTACATTTTGACTTTCAATAGTCAAAATTTCTTTTAAAATTATTTTCCAATAATAATAATGTTATTGCTGGTATTATCACTATTGGTATAATAGCAATAATTTTAATGTAACAAATCCCCATGATATACCAACTCTCTTGATGATAACATTATAGTCTTTGAGCTCCTCAACACCACTCTAAGGCAGAAGTGTTTGTCTCTGTTTTTAAAAAGAAAACATTAAAGATCAAAGAGTTTAACTTATTTAAGGACATAAGTCAGAATTGATATGGTCCAGGATTCAAATGTAGGTGTTTATCTCTGCACTAAACTATATAAACCTTTAGTGCACTGTCAAGCACATCATTTTGCTTCATTTTTATTACTTTTACTTTATCATGTTGGAAAAATAGATCAGAGGAAAAATAAAGGACATAAGTAGAGTTTTAAAATTCATTAAAAATGGCAATTTTATTTAACTCTATAGAAGATGATCTAATAAACAGTAAAGGGCTTTAATTCGACCAAAAGCAATACCAAGGAAGAATAAATAATTTTCTTATTATAACAGTGAGAATACGATACGAAGAGGCGTTCTGAATTACTTGTCCTTGGGGGCCAGTTAAATAAGACAGAAGGCCATCTGTTTGGATGGTTTGGGCACTAAATTGCAAAGCATTAAAGAGCTGAACCATATGATCTCACGAATGCCTTCTGGTCATATGGTTCCATTTCAACAGTGTTTATCTCTTCCACATCAAAATTGTTCTTTTGAGAGAAATATGAGAGAGGCAAAATTTTGTTCATAAGCCACCTACAACCCCATGCACATGAGGAATGTTTTGGCTAAAATGTTAAATAAAATTGTGAATAGCTTCAGCATTTAAAAAAATATATATTTAAAATACTAACTGCTTGTCCAAAATCAGAACTTGTTAGAAATAAATTATCTGTTACAATTGATGCATAACAATCAAATTTTATTTATCAGCCAATAGTTACTTTAGTAAAATTTAGGTTATTCTATTAAGATCAATGCCATGTTAAAGAAAAGTATATTTATTTTCTCATCATATTTCTATACTTAAGAACCATTATGTTCTTAGTTCTAGTTAACACTTATAAATCTTAGTAAGTTTATAAAGTAATAAACCAGCTATAATTTGAGGAAATATTCATAAGGCAAACCTGCAAATCTGGGGGAGCTGGCATTTCCAATTTGATAAAAGGTGAGAAATAACAATAAAATCTTAAGCACCTCAACCCGCTTAACAAATTCCCTGTTGGCCCAGGGAACCTCAGAGAAACCTTGAAAACTGAGTTCTCACCTGTGATGGGATGGGAGGTCACACATACCTCACTATATCCCCTCCCTCCCTGTCAGTAGACTTTCATTCCTAAAAGTTGAACCAAAACCAGCCCTCTCAAAAGATTTGCTGAATTCCCCTCCCTTTTTGTGTTTTCAACCACATTCAACCAGCATTCCTTCCTGATGAGAGACCACCAACTGTGGACCAGCTGTGTCTGACTTAAGAGTCTGAATATAGGAAGCCTGTGTGGCCTTTGTTTCACATTTTGACATATAGAGCCTAATTTTAATGCATGTAAATGTTAAGTCTCCACTCCAAAGTGAACATGGGATATATGTAACATGCATGTTTGCTTAGCATGCATATGTGTGCCCCATTTCATGCATATTCACAGCTCCTCCCATATCCTGTGAGCATATATATATACTTAGCCAATCCATTCAGCATAAATTCCTGTCTCATCCTTCCTTATTTCAAGTGTCTGCTTCTGGTTTTTGCCAGAAGCTAAGCTTCCCAGTCTGCAGGATGGACAGCCTATAGGCTGTAACCTGGTATTAGGAATAAAGCTTTCCCTATAAGTTTAAAAAGATCATGATACTTCAATTGACAAGGGTTAATTTCCAGTCAATCAGTAATTCTCTATAACAAATTCAAGAAAGACCAAAATAAAGAACCACACTTGCCTCTGGTGAAAAATCAGAAAATGGTTAAAAATGAGTAAATAAATTGACTAACAATAATATAAATAATAATTAATAATCAATATTAGTTAATGGAAAATAACAAATGATTGGATTTTATTTTTTCCCTTTTTTTCTCTGATTGCTTATTGACAAATCAAACTTGTTCTCTAATAATGAAGCATGGAAACAGGTTTTAAAGTTATTTAATGAAAAGTTACTTTGAAAAAATCAATTACCTAATGTCATAGAAAGTTAAATTAATGCAATTCTGTTGACAATAAGGAAAATCTTTTAGAGTCTTAAAGCTTTCGCCTGGCACTTGATGTATGCTATACATTTGTCAACAATAAAGAGTCAAACTCTGTGATATATTTAAAAAGGTTTATTCTGAGCCAAATCTGAGTGACCGAGGCTCAAAGTACAGTCTCAAGAGGTTCTGAAAACAAGTATCCAAGGTGGTTGGGTTACAGCTTGATTTTATACATTTTAGGGAGACAGACAGATATCAGTCAATACCTGTAGGGTGTGCACGGGTTCGGTCCAGAAAGCCAGGACAACTCAAAGCAGGGGTTTCCAGGTCATAGGTGGATTCACAGATTTTTTCATTAGCAATTGGTTGAAAGAGTTAAGTAATTATCTATACACCTAGAAGCAATAGAAAGGAGTGTCTGGTTTAAGATAAGGAGTTGTGGAGACCAAGGTTCTCATTATGTAGATGAAGTCTCATAGGTGCCTACCTTAGAGGCAACAGACTGTAAATATTTCCTGTTGAGATCTTTAAAAGGTGCTAGACTGTCAGCTAGTCTCTTCAAGATCAGAAAAAGATCTGGAAAGGGAAGGGGATTTACGGAATGAAAGTTTCTCCCGCAAAGGACAGCTTTGCAGGGCCGTTTCAAAATATGTCAAAGTATATTTTGGGATAAAACATTTTAATTTCTTTCAGGGCCTGTAAAGCTCTCGTGTAACGCTATACTAGAGTCTGCTTGGAATTTGGTATATTTTTGCTACAGTCTGTTCTGTCAGTCTTAAGACCTCTGTTTTAATGGTAATGCTGGTCAGTTGTGCCTGAATTCCAAAGGGAGGAGAGTATAATGAAGCATATCCAATTCTCCCTTCCCATCATGGCCTGAATTAGCTTTTCAG